>NC_000004.12:121421381-123921381 GCF_000001405.40 Homo sapiens
AAGTGCTTATTTCTTAGATGTTTTTGTCTTTCTAAATTTCTTTCCTGAGTTTTGTCAGCATGTGTTCATACCTTGTTTTTACATTTCTATTTCTGGCCTTTGAATTTATTATTTTTCTGTTCTTTTATATCAGCAATTGCTTGTTCAATAACATTAAACGAAATTTAAATTTATTTATGTTGCAGTGTTGCTCTGCTTCTTGCTTTTCTTCTCTTTATTTATCTATCTCTCACTTTACCAAAATGTTTTGGTAATTATTTTCTGCTTCATAATTATCGGAAATTATAGTGGGTACTTGAGTGGTATTTTGTTTGTTTGTTTGCTTGATTTTGTTCATGTTTGTGTAGCGACTATACGGACCAGAATAGCAAGGGAGGAGTTTAGGTGATTAACTCAGTTTTTCTATTTCAAGAGTGCCCTCTAATGTTGCTACAGCGAAGTGCAGTTTCTTTAACAAATAGCTCTTTTTTGTTGTTGTTCTGCATTTTTCTTAGTTTTGATTCTATCTTGTTTTGGTAGAATATTTCATCTTAATCACTTTCTTCTTTTTTTCTCTTCATCATCAAACATTCAAGGAAACTTTCTGTTTCTGAGAAGCCTACTTATCCCAGAAACAATATCTTCCCGTAATAGTTGCCTATTGCTGCAAACAAACAACCCCAAAATTTAATGATTAAAAATAATAGTTTCTTTGTTTATGATTTTCTGTGATATCTGGGCATGGCTCTTTTGGGGCAACTTGCCTCTGTTTCTCATGGTGTCCACTGGGCCTATCCGTACAGTGCAATTTGGGCTGGAAGATCCAAGATGGCTTTGACTCCTTAGCTGGGATGGCTGGAATGCCAGGGCCTCTTTCTCCTGTGGGACTTTATCCCACAGGATAAAGACTTTCTAACTCTCCTCTACTCTCATGATTTTTTCTTTTCTTTTTTTTCCCAACACGGAGTCTCGCTTTGTCGCCCAGGCTGGAGTGCAGCGGCACAATCTCGGCTCACTGCAAAGTCCGCCTCCTGGGTTCACGCCATTCTCCTGCCTCAGCCTCCCGAGTGGCTGGGACTACAGGCGCTCCCCTACCACTACCGGCTAATTTTTTTGTATTTTTAGCAGAGACGGGGGTTTCGCCGTGTTTGCCAGGATGGTCTCCATCTCCTGACCTCGTGATCCGCCCACCTGGCCTCCCAAAGTGCTGGGATTACAGGCGTGAGCCACCGCACCCGGCCTCCTCTCGTGATTTCTAACTGAAGGTCATTTTTGTCTTAATGCAATCTCCGACAGGAGAGCTGGATTTCTTTACAGGGTGCTCAGAACTCCAACAGGGCACAGATGCAAGCTGTACAGTCTTCTAAGATCTAGCTTCAAAAGTTATATAGTCTCACTACAACATTCATTTGTTCAAAGCAAGTCACAATGCAAACCCAGATTCAAGACTCTACTTCCTAATGGGGGGAGTTTCAAAGTCACATTACAAAAAAAAAAAAAAAAAGACATGAGTGATGGGAGAGTTGTTATAGTTACCTTTGGAAACAATCTATCATGTTTCTCCAGACTGATGCATCTAGTCTCTAGTTCCATATACTTTATAAGCTTTTTATTTTTTGTAGCCCTTGCCAAGTCCTACCAGGGCTCAGATCTGTTTCCAGTATTCTTTTTCCAACTTGAAGTAGACTCTGTAGGTGAACCCTAACTGATGTTATCTGTCTTCCGCTGCTGCTATGACCCCATTGTACCTGTGTTCTCCTCCCTTTTGTGTCATTCCTACTTGACTTCACTCAATCCTCAGCTCCACAGCCGACTATACTATTCTTGGATGATTACTTCCACTCTCAAAAATAAATTGAAGTTTATAGAATTTATTTATCAGTTATGCTACAAATGGCTTAGTTATGTAGCAATAGGCCATTTCTCTTGCCATAGATATATAGGTAGAGAGAGAGAATATACATACATATATAGATGGATGGATGGATGGATAGATAAATGATAGGATAGATAGTTGGAAAGATTCAAATTTAGGCAGCTACCATTGTCCTATCTATCTTGTCTTAAAATTGAATCCTCATAGTTACAAATCTGAGATAGAGGATTTGCAATTCCATATGTCTTTAAAAATGTGTTATATTTTATATTTAAGTGCTACCTTAAATATTCTAATATATTAAAAAGCTTTATATTTGAAGACTATGCAAAAGTATATGCAGAATTTCCAGGCTATCTTTGGTTTTGATGCCCCCTAAGGTTAAGGTTTTCTTAGAGGTAATAGGAAAAAATTTAAATGGACGTAAGAGTAGAAGAGACTTTCACCAAAGGTTGTCTAGGTTTTTGTTCAGTGAATGGACATATTATCTCATTCCATCAAGTGACACCAAAATGCTTTCCAAGTCTTGGTCAATCACTAGCATGGAAATAAGAAGGAAAAGATATCATCCACAGATGATCCTGGGAAAGGCTGTTACTTGTCCGGATGCCCTGCCTGAAAAACAGCATGGTCTTAAAAGCATTTTAATGCCCAAATACACTTTAAACATTTTAATTGTTCTTTTTCCAAAATTAAAATTGAGAAACATATAATACCTAGTAGATATTACTGAACACTATATACATTTTAAATTTTCAAATTCTTTTTGCCCACAAAACTTTATTAGCAAACTTAACCCAAGGTTTTAAGAATTTTCCAAACTAAATTAATTGTTCTTATTCCAAAGATGAAAATGCAGTGCACCCAGCAATCAAATGGTACCAAGTAAGTGGAGAAATAATTTTTCTCTCTACTAAAGTCCTGCAGGTAGCAACTGAACATCTACTGAGTGGATTAAAGATAATCTGTTATTTTTCCTTATCTAGGTAAAGGTTGAGAGACTGTCTTGCCTAGAGAACAGAAGGCAATATGGTTAGCCTCTCAAAAGTAGAGTATTAGCCAGGTAGGTATTATAGATGCAGTTTCTTTAATTGTTAACAGTAGTTTATTTTTCTTCATTATAACTGAAATACCTTCTTACTCAAACTGTGATTGATAAATCAGCAGCATTGACATCACCTGGGAGTTTGTTACAATTATAGAAACTCAAGTACTATAGAATCAGAATCTACATTTTAACATGATCCACAATTGATTTCTAGTCACATTAGAATTTGAGAATCATTGGTATAATTTGTTCTTAAAAGACCTGACTCTTTAGGTAACCCCATAAGAAAGATACCTGTTACAGCAAGATTATTACTTACAATTTATAATAGATTCAGAATTTTTTTGAAATAGTAATGAAGTCCACAAATTGCATACCACTTAAATGAAAACTATTGTTGTTAAAAATATACAAAGATCAAGAAGAAATAGCCTTCACCTGTAAAGAACATACTAACATACAAGAGCTTTTTAAAATTAGGGATATAATCCCAAAACAAGACACTTAGAAATAATTTCTATAAGAGATCCATAGGCTATAGAGGCAGCACTGAGGAGGTCAAGGAAGACTACATAAAGGAGTTAGCATTTGAACTGGTCTTTCAAGGACAGAGAGAATTAAAGATAATGATGATGAGCAAAATCTTAATAGGCAGGAAAACCCAAGCAATTTATCTAAAATAAAGTGTACTTATAAAGGGGCATAAACTAAAAGCTAGGAAGGTAGGATAAGACCAGATATATTGTAGGCCCCTTCTCCAATTTAGTCCCCTCTTCTCATGGTAACAATCAGCATCCAAATGTGTAGGGTGTTTAAAATGTAATTTGTGGTAAAGGGGGAGGTTTTAGAACTAGACCAAGATATAGACCAAATCTTAGTTTTGACTTTTGTTAGATATGGGTCCTTAGTGAAATCAGTTGAACCTCTGAGCCTCATTGAATGTGGGTTATATTAATTCATGCACATAAAACATTCAGCATGATGCCTGGTACCTAATAATTATTATGTATGATATTATTATTATTATGTATGATATTTTATTATTATGTATAATTATTATGTATGATAACATTATTCTCTCCTTCTGGGTTTTGGTATCCTGCCAGTTTTATCACCTGCCAAGTAGTGCAGTAAATATTTCATGCCTTCATTAGTTTTGCTCTGGAGTTATAGAAATCCCATGTGAAAATGAAATAATAGCAAAGAATGCATCTCTATCTCTCCAACAAAATGTGATATAGCAATTCCTTAACCAAAAGTAATGAAAAATGCCTTAGATCTTAGACAGAGAATCATGTTATGTTAGAAGTTCTAACTATCATAAAGCATTAAGCCCCAAAGATGATTTCATCTCATCTATAAAATGGGAATAAAAGCCTACTTTTCAAAGTTGAAGGAAAGATAAAATTACATATATGAATTTTTACATCATTCAGTACAGGGCCTAGCATACAGTAAACATTGCATAAATGAGAGCTATAATCAACAATAATAATTACTATTTTATCAATAAGCTAGATAAGCAGCTCTTATCCCAGTTCCACTTGAGTGCATCCCTTTTAATGCTGCTTAGTAGAAAAGTAGAATGGAACCTACAGAAGTGGACAGTGTTTAAGTTTTCCTGTCCATTCAAGCCCTGCAACTCTTCACTGGATGACTTTGAGAAGTCTCTTAAAATTCTTTTTTGCCTCTCTACTGAAACCATCCTTGACAAGATCATGAAGTGTCTCTGCGTCAGCAAATCTAATCACTGAGTCTTGGTCCTCCTCTCACTTGACGTTTTGGCAGGATTTGATAAAGCTGATACTCTCTCCTTGACAAACTTTCTTTTTTTTATTTTAATAGCTTTAGGGATACAAGTAGATTTCAGTTACATGGATGAGTTGCATAATGGTGAAGTCTGGGTTTTTAATGTACATGTCACCTGAACAGCGTACATTGTACCCAGTAGGTAACGTTTTATCCCTCATTCCCTTCCCACCCTCCCCACTTCTGAGCTCCAATGTCCATTATACCACTCTGTATGCCTTTGCATACCCATAGCTTAGCTCCTACTTATAAGTAAGAATATGGGGTATTTGGTTTTCTATTTCTGAGTTAGTTCACTTAGAACAATGGCCTTCAGTTCCATCCAAGTTGCTGCAAATGACATTATTTCATTCTTTTTTATGGATGAGTAGTATTCCATGGTATAAATATACCACATTTTCTTTATCCATTCATTGGTTAATGGCCACTTAGGTTGATTCCATATTATTGCAATTGTGAACTGCCTGACATACTTCCTTAAAGCTTCAGCGACATCACTATTTTCCTTGGTTCTTCTTCCACATAACTTGCTGCTCTTTCTACCACACTTCTGTGAGCACCTCTTTTCTTAACTCTTGATGTTGAAGTACTCTAGGGATAGGCAGCACTTCCTTTATCTTCTCTATCTACTACCAACTAACTCCGTGCTGAATGTGTTCAGAGCTATGGCTTCAAATGTAATTATAGCTAGATCACTACCCAATGTATATCTGTAGCCCTGGCCTCTCAAGTGAGCTACATACTCATATCCATATCCAATTTCCTAGCCTGATTTCCAGGGCTGCTATAACAGATTACCACAAAGTTGGTGGCTTAAAACAACAGATATTTATTCTCTGACAGCCCTGGAGGCCAGAAGTCTGAAACCAAGGTGATGGCAGGACTGTGAACCAACTGAAGGCCATAGAGGAGAATCCTTCTTGCCTCTTCCAGCTTCTAGTGACTTCAAGCATTCCTTGGTTTGTGGCTGCATAACTCCTATCTCTGCCTCTATCTTCACATGGGCTTCTCTTCTGTCTTGTGCCTGTGTCTTCTCCTCTCTTGTCTCCTTGTCATTGGATTTAGGGTCATCCAGATAATCCAGATAATCCAGGATGATATCATTTAGAGATCTTTAACTTAATTACAACTGCAAATATCTTTTTTTTTCAAATAAAGTTATATTCATAGCTTACAGAAATTAAAACGTGGACATATCTTTCTTAGGGGCCACTATTCAACTTACAACACAAATCATCTGCAGACTCTACTTACAAATATTAATATAACCCAATCCCAACCACTTCCAACATTTTCATGGCTTCCAATCCAGTTCAGCCACCATCATCTCTTGTCTTTGCATGCCTACATAACTGGTCTCCCTGCTTCTGCCTCTTCATAGTCAATTCTCTCTTCATTGCAGAGTGGTCTTTCAAAATGCAAATAGGATCACGTCTCTTTCTTCCTGAAATTTCTTCAATACTTTCCCATCATACTTAAAATCCAAAGTCCTCACCAAAGGCCTCCAAGGCCCTACAGACTCTGGCCTCCCCCAGCCCTCCAAGCTCATCTTCTACTACCATCTTCCTCTGTCACTCAGGCCAAGCCATGGTGGTTTATTGCTCTTCCTTCACTACCCCAGGTGTGTTTCCCTTGGAGCCAGGGATATATTCTTCCCCCCACCGACTCCCACCAGTCTCTCTCCCATACTTCTTTCAGGTTGCTGCTCAAATAGCATGTCTTCAAAAGACCCTCTCTGACCACTGTTTCTTATTTATTTATTTATTTATTTTTTTGAGGCAGAGTCTCTCTCTGTTGCCAAGCTGGAGTGCAGTGGCGCGATCTCGGCTCACTGCAACCTCTGCCTCCTGGGTTCAAGTGATTCCCCTGCCTCAGCCTCCCAAGTAGCTGGGACTACAGGCACACACCACCACGCCTAGCTAATTTTTTTGTATTTTTTAATAGAGAAGAGAGTTCACCATGTTGGCCAGGATGATCTCGATTTCTTGACCTCGTGATCCCCCTGCCTCGGCCTCCCAAAGTGCTGGATTACAGGCATGAGCCACCACGCCCAGCCTCTGACCATGCTTTCTAAATGCCCTCATCTGATCACCCTCTATTGCCTTATCCTGCTACTGTTCTGTGTAGCACTAATCACTACCTGCCATTGTGTGTCCCCTTTACCACCCCCGCTATGTCTCTTTCTTTAGAGCTGAGGCTTTGTCTTCTTCACCTCTGTTTCCATAGTACCTATAGCAGTCTCTGAAGAATCACAGGTATTGAAAAACTATTTGTTGAATGAATAAATGAAAGAATAGTTCCTACAAAAGGTCAAAAAGGCAGGAGATTTTTGGGTGCAACAAAGGCATACTAATCTACAACATACTTTTCTTCATGTGTCTATTAATTTAATTTTGAATTTACATAAGAGATAAACTGGCAATTCCCCTCTTTTTTCCTATTCTTTTTCTGTAAATAAGGCAATAATATATCTTAGATATGTGGTGCACAGAGAAGGCAAAAGGAAAACTTGAGGTAATTACCTAATTCAAAATAGAGGCATATTTGTCATTTCAATTATCTGAATATTTCACCAATGTTTTGGAGAGGCTTAAAATATTTCAGTAGTGGCTTGAGTTGCTTTATAAGCACTACCTTAGAAAAGAAGATATTTATTAATTAACAAGCTTTTTCACCTACCTCTCTTCTTTTATGTCTTTTACCAGTTTTCATTCATCCAGGATTGAAGCATCACAAAAGAGGGACTCCTCCCTATTTGGACAGTTTCGTTTGTTTTTATTCCTACAAAAAGTGGCGATCTTAAGGTTATATGAGTCATTCAGGAACTAAGTCAGCACATGCATGCATGCAAGCAGTGTAGTGTTCATTCTGGACACAGAACCTGACATTTAGAAGTCTTAATTTTCCCTGCTCACAGCAATTAGTTTGTAACAGGGCTACCAGTGTTCTTACTGTAGATTAATTGAAAATTTCTCTGGTCTTGCAGTGGTACTTTCATGGTAGGTCTGTGCTAGATAGATAAAAAGGGGTCTGGAGCCAAGATGAGGCTTGCAAATCTGAGAAGGTTCACCCTTGACCTACCCCCAGTGGGTAATCCACCTCTGATAAACACTATAGTCTTCTAGAGCACAGTTTCATCTGTAGGTTTGTTTTTGTTTTTTCTTTCTGGTGATGAGTAATTTAAAACTTTTATAAGAAGTTTTTACATAAATTTTAAAGATAGAATCCAGATTTCAAAGATATAATATACCTATAGTGGACCTCAGAATGCCTAAACTGTGGAGGGCACCTTTACTCTCCTCTGTGGGAAGGAGTGTTTCCATGGAGACATTTCAGCAGCACTGGCAGATAACACTATGTTCCAGAAGCATTAGTCAGGAGCACAATTTCTACCTGAATTTCCACTCTAAATGGTTATCCCATTCAAAGCTTTGAGTTAGCGTATACAGAAAGTTATAATACACCTGCCCAGTATCCATAATCTAAAAAGCAATTACAATCAGAACAAGTAACAATTGACCAAGAAGCAATGGACAGAGAGACATTTTAGAGCCGGGAGATGCTGTTCAGAGGTTCTTAAATGGTACTTCTTTAAAATCTTAGTTTTCAGCACATTAGACAAAGTAATTTAAATCTAATGTTGAACACTGACACTTTTTTTCAGTGCAAAAAAATACTTAGCCAGAGGATAAAATCTTTGGAATTTCAAGCTTTCTAAAGAAAGCAATCGCCAGGTGTGGTGGCTCACACCTGTAATCCCAGCACTTTGGGAGGCCAAGGAGGGTGGATCACCAGGTCAGGAGATCGAGACCATCTTGGCTAACATGGTGAAACCCCGTCTCTACTAAAAGTACAAAAAATTAGCCAGGCATGGTGGCGGGTGCCTGTAGCCCCAGCTACTCTGGAGGCTGAGGCAGGAGAATGGCATGAACCCAGGAGACTGAGCTTGCAGTGAGCCGAGATCGCACCACTGCACTCCAGCCTGGGCGACAGAATGAGACTCTGCCTCAAAATAAATAAATAAATAAACAAATAAATAAAAAAGAAAGCAATCATTTTCAGTAAGTTTTTGGTCATGTTTTCAATTTTTTATCTGCTACTGTTATCCTATGACTAATTGAATGGATGTGTTCTATTATTTTCAGTGACTGTTGTTATTGTGTAACCTAATGTTTTCTGCTTGTAAATTTGTTACCTATTCATTTTATGAAATTAAATAAATATGTATTTCACAAAATTACACTGACTTCCAGTATTGCTACTGTCTGAATAAGTTTGAGAACAACTTACCAAGTCTAATTACCTTGTTTTTTGATTAAAACTCAGATGTTGTTACACAGAAAGAAAAGTTATGGAAAAAAGCTAAGATTAGAATCTGGGTCTTCCACCTCAGATACTATGTTTCTTTCATTGTTCTTGACATATTGTGGACTATAGAGATTTTATTTCTTATGCTAGATGTCAAAGATACTATATGATGATAGCCTTTTGTGCATAGAAAAAGTGGAAATATATACAAAGGTACAATTACCTAAGAAACAGTGCTGCTTTCTCTGGATAATCCACAGGCAAAAAGTAAGCAAAGTTTAGACCTGGCAGCCCACTGATTAAAAAATCAAAATAAAACAAGTATAACAATTTGATGGTAATGAGAAGAAAATAACATTCTCACACTCACAAGTACTCACTCCTGCTATGATATTCGTTAGAATAATCAAGGCAGCCAGGGATGAAAGAAGGCAAGACAAGCAACTCTGAAGGAGCAAAAGGACACCAATGAGTTCTTTGGTTTCCCAAATTAAAAAAAAAAAAAATCTCTTATTCTCAAAGAAAGAAAGAATATCTATGCATAGTTGTGGAGCATATAACAAGATTGGGGTCAGAGATTAACTGGAGCCTACCCTCATCCTGTTCTCTAGGTCAAAATTTGGGACTTTCTTCCAGCAATTGATCAGGAATAAGAACAGGATGTTATGCTGAGAGAACCCTAGTCTGAGACCAAACTGAGTCAGGTCACCTAGCTTTAGCAGGGAACTGCCATAAGCTAGTTTTGTAAGTAAAGGCAATTGAGCTCCCTGAGCTTCCATTTCCGCATCTGAAAAGAAAAATGTTTTTAAAATATCTATCAGATCTATAGTCTAGAAAGGGATAAAAAGAACCTCTTCTCATTTCTCTTCCCAAAAGACATTTCATCATTTCCTTCTGGCTAAGGGCAACAAAGTCTATTGTTTACTGAACTCAATCAATGGAATTTTATTGATACATAATATTTTTACATATTTATGGGCATACGTAATATTTTCTTACATGCGTAAAAATGTGTAATGGTCAAGTCAGGGTATTTCGAGTATTTATCACCTCCAATATTTATCACTTCTATGTGTTGGGAACATTTCAAATCCTTTCTTCTATTTTGAAATAAATGATACATTGTTGTTAACTATAGTCACCCTCCTCTGCTATTGAACATTGGAAATTATTTTTTCTGTATAACTGTATGTTTGTAACCAATAACCAATCTCTTTTAATCCCCCCACTTCCAGCCACACACCCTTCCTGTCATCTGGGAACATTCTACTCTACATCTATAAAATCAACTTTTTTAGTTCCAACATATTCGTGAGAACATGTGATATTTATCTTTCTGTGCCTGGTTTAGTTTGCTTAACATAATTACCTCCAGTTCCACCCATGTTGCTGCAAATGACATGATTTCATTTCATATGGCTGAAAAACATTCCATTGTGTATATATACCATATTTTCTTTATCCATACGTTTGTCGATGGACACTCAGGTTGACTCCATATCTTTGCTATTGTGAATAACACAGCAATAAGCATAGGGGTGCAGGTACCCCTTTGATAAACTGACTTCCTTTCCTTTAGATAAATACTCAGTAGTGGGATTGCTAGATCATATGGTAGTTCTATTTTTTAATTTTTAAATAAATCTTTATGTTGTTTTCCATAGTGGCTGTACTGATTTATATTTCTGCCAACAGTGTATAAGTGTTCCCTTCTCTGCATCCTCATCAGCATCTGTTTTTTACCCATCTATTTAACAATAGCCATTTTAACTAGGGTAAGGTGATATCTCATTGTTGTTTTGCTTTGTATTTCCCTGGTGATTCTGGGGTTGAATATTTTTTCATATACTGTTGGCCATTTGTAGGACTTCTTTTGAGAAATGTCTATTATGTCCTATGTCCCCCTTTTATTGTTTTTTTTAACTGTTGTTTGAGTTGCTTATATATTCTGCATATTAGTCATTTGTCAGGTGAATAGTTTGCAAAATTTTTCTCCTATTCAACAGGCTATCTTTTCACTCTGTCAGTTGTTTACTTTGCTGTACAGAAGCTTTTTAGTTTAGTTAGTTTAGTACAGTCCCTTTTGTCTATTTTTGTTTTTATTTCCTATGCTTTTAAGATTTTAACCATAAAATCTTTGTCTAGGACGATGTCTTGAAGTGTTTCACCTATTTTTTCTTCTACTAGTTTTACAGTTTCAGGTCTTACCTTGAGGTATTTAATTCATCTTGGGTTGAATTTTGTATATGGTGAGAAATAGGGGTTGTTTTATTCTTCTATGTATAGATAACTAGTTTTCCCAGTACCATTTATTGAAGAGACTGTATGTTCTTAACACCTTTGTTGAAAATCAGTTGGCTGTAAATACATAATTTCTCAGTTCTCTATTCTGTTCAATTGGTCTATGTGTATATATTTTTACCAATTCCATGCTGTTTTTGTTACAATAGCCTTGTAATATATTTTAAATTCAGGTAATGTGATGCCTTCAGATTTATTCTTTGTGCCAAAGATTACTTTGGCCATTTGGAGTCTTTCGTGGTTCCATACAAATTTTAGGATAATTTTTCTATTTTTCTGGATAATGACATGGTAATTTGGTAGAGACTGCATTGAATCTGTACATTGCTTTGGGTAGTATGGTCATTTAAGAAATATTAATTATTATGATCCACAAGTATGGTATATCATTCTATTTGTTTGTGTGCTCTTCAATTTCTTTCACCATTGTTTTCTAGTTTTCACTGTGAATATCTTTCTTCTCCTTGGTTAAATTTATTCCTAGGTATTTTCTTTTTTATTTTTGTAGCATTGTAAATGGAATTGCCTTCTTGATTTCTTTCTAAGGCAGTTCATTATTGGTATACAGAAATGCTACTGATTTAAAATTTTTTAAATTTTTGTGGGTACATTGGTGTATATATCTATGGGGTACATGAGATATTTTGATACAGCCATACAATACACAGTGGTCACATCAGAGTAAATAGGGTATTGTATTAGTCCATGTTCATGCTGTTGATAAAGACGTCCTCAAGACTGAGAAGAAAAAAAGGTTTAATGGACTTACAGTTCCATGTGGCTGGGGACTCCTCACAACCATGGAAGGTGAAAGACATATCCCACATGGTGGCAGACAAGAGAAGAGAGCTTGTGCAGGGAAACTCCCATTTTTTTAAAAACCATCAGATTTTATGAGACTTATTCACTATCACAAGAAAAGCACAGGAAAGACTTGCCCTCACGATTCACTCATCTCCCACCAGGTCCCTCCCACAACATGTGGAAATTATGGGAACTACAAGATGAGATTTGGGTGGGCACACAGAGCCAAACCATATCCTTTCACCCCTGGCCCCTCTCAAATCTCATGTCCTCACGTTTCAAAACCAATCATGCCTTCCCAACAGTCCCCCAAAGTCTCAACTCATTTCAGAATTAACTCAAAAGTCCACAGTCCAGAGTCTCATCTGAGACGATGCAAGTCCCTTCTACTGATGAGCCTGTAAAATCAAAAGCAAGTTAGTTAGTTCTAGATACAGTGGAGTACAAGCATTGAGTAAATACAGCCATTCCAAATGTGAGACACTGGCCAAAATAACGTGGCTACAAGCCCCATGAAAGTCCAAAATCCAGTGGGGCAGTCAAATCTTAAATGTCCAAAATGATTTCCTTTGACTCCATGTCTCACATCCAGGTCATGCTGATGCAAGAGGTGGGTTTCCACGGTCTTGGACAGCTCTGCCCTCGTGGCTTTGCCAGGTACAGCCTCCCTCCGGGCTGCTTTCATGAGCTGGCATTGAGTTTCTGCAGCTTTTCCAGGTGCATGATGCAAGCTGTCAGTGGATCTACCATTCTGGGGTCTGGAGGATGGTGGCCTCCTTCTCACAGCTCCACTAGGTTGTGCTCCAGTAGGGACTCTGTGTGGGGGCTTCAACCCCACATTTTCCTTCCACATTGCCCTAGCAGAAATTCTCCATGAGAGCCCCACCCCTGCAGCAAACTTCTGCCTGGACATCCAGGCACTTCCATACATCTTCTGAAACCCAGGTGGAGATTTCCAAACACCATTTCTTGACTTCTGTGCACTGGCAGGCTCAACACCACATGGAAGCTGCCAAGGTTTGGGGCTTGCACCCTCTGAAGCCACAACCTAAGCTCTGCATTAGCCCTTTCAGCCATGGCTGGAGTGACTAGGACATAGGGCACCAAGTCCCTAGGCTGCATACAGCATGGAGACCCTGGAGCTGGCCCACTAAACCACTTTTTCCTCCTCGGCCTCTGGGCTTGTGATGGAAGGGCCTGCCATGAAGACCTCTGACATGCTCTGGAGACATTTTCCCCATTGTCTTCGGGATTAACATTCAGGTCCTCATTACCTATGCAAATTTCTGTAGCCAGCTTGGATTTCTCCTCAGAAAATGGGCTTTTCTTTTCTATTGCATTGTCAGGCTGCAAATTTTCCAAACTTTTATTCTCTGTTTCCCTTTTAAAACTGAGTGCCTTTAACAGTACTCAAGTCACTTCTTGAATGTTTTGCTGATTAGAAATTTTTTCCACCAGATACCCTAAATCATCTCTCTCAAGTTCAAATTTCCACAAATCTCTAGAGCAGGGGCAAAATGCTGCCAGTATCTTTGCTAAAACATAACAAGAGTCACCTTTGCTCCAATTCCCAACAAGTTCCTTATTTCCATCTGAGACCACCTCAGCCCTAACCTTATTGTCCATATCGCTATCAGGATTTTGTTCAAGGCCATTCAACAAGCATCTAGGAAGCTCCACACTTTCCTGCATTTTTCTGTCTTCTTCTGAGCCCTCCAAACAATTTCAACCTCTGCTTGTTAACCAGTTTCAAAGTTGCATCCACATTTTTGGGTATCTTTTCAGCAACGCCCCACTCTGCTAGTACCAATTTACGTATTAATCTGCTTTCATACTGCTGATAAAGACATACACGAGACTGAAGTAAAAAACGTTTAATGGACTTACAGTTCCATGTGGCTGCGAATGACTCACAATTATGGTGGAATGTGAAAGGCATGTCTCACATGGCAGGAGATAAGAGAAGAGAGCTTGTGCAGGGAAACTCCCATTTTTTTCAAAGCCATCAGATCTTGTGAGACTTATTCACTATCATAAGAAGAGGATGGGAAAGACCTGGACCCAGGATTCAGTCATCTCCAACTGGGTCCCTCTCACAACACATGGGAATTATGGGAGCTACAAGATGAGTTTGGGTGGGGACACAGAACCAAACCATATTAGATATCCATCACCTCAAGCAATTATTTTTTCTTTGTGTTATAAACAATTCTATTATACTCTTTTAAATATACAACAAATTATTGACTGTAGTCACCCTGTTGTGCTATCAAATACTAGATTTTATTCATTCTATCTAACTATGTTTTTGTACCAATTAGCTGTGCTCAATTCCTCCTGCCACTCGTTTCCCAGTCTCTGGTAACCATCATTCTACTGTCTATTTTTCGTGGGTTCAACTGTTTTAATTTTTAGCTTCCACAATTAAGTGAAAAATGAAAAATATGTCTTCTATGCCTGGCTAATTTCACTTATTATAATGTCCTCCAGTTCCATCCATGTTGTTGCAAATGACAGGATCTCATTATTTTTTATGGCTGAATACTACTCCATTGTGTAAACATACCACATTTTCTTTATCTTGTTATCTGTTGATGGACACCTAGGTTGCTTCCAAATCCTGGCTATTGTGAATAGTGCTGTAATAAGCATGAGAGTACAGATATTTCTTCAATATACTAATTTCCTTTCTTTTGGGTGTATGCCTAACAATGGAATTCCTGGATCATATGATAGTTCTACTTTTAGTTGTTTGAAGAACCTCTGAACTGTTCTCCATTGTGATTGTACTAATTTATGTTCATACCAACAGTGTATGAGAGTTCTTTCTCTGTGTCCTTGTCAGCATTTCTTATTGCCTGTCTTTTGAATAAAAGCCATTTTAATTAGTAAGATGATATCTCATTGTAGTTTTGATTTGCATTTCTCTGATGATCAATTATGTTGAGCATCTTTTCATATATCTGTTTGCCATTTGTAAGTTTTTTTTTTTAGGAATGTCTATTCAGATCATTTGCCCATATTTTAATCAGATCATTTGTTTTTTCCTATAGAGTTGTTTGAGCTAATTACATATTCTGGTTATTTATCCTTTATCAGACACAGTTTCACCTTAACATTTGGCTTATGATAAGGAGTCCAGCAACCACCATGAGACACATTTTGTCCCAAACTCAATTCTAAACTTCAGGTCAAAGCCCTAGGAAAGAAAACTGGATCTAAGGGATCCAGAGGCAGATGACAATAGAAGTTAAAAGGCACAGTGCAAGTAAACATGGCTGATTCCTGCCAATAAAGCCAAACCCAAGCTTCTTGTTTCATGGATAAAGGCCATGTTAGTATCTGTGGCATAAATGAGGTCTAGGGAATTCAAGGCTACTGAAACCAGGAGAAATACGGTGTATGTGGGTAAAAGCAGACGATTTCCACCTTCTAGGCCCCCCTGCTTCATGGGTGCAAGTCACTTTAACACCCGTGGCGGCACCTGCCAAGTTCGCTGGGACTTGGGAATGGAAGAGGGAAAGAGGATACTCTTCCCTCTCTCCCTCATGTACCCTGGGTATCTGCTAGGAAGAGAAGGGAACCAGGCATACCTGCTCCCCTCTTTCTAGATAGGAAGCCATTCATCTTCAGTCTGTACCCCTTTCAAATGCATCCTGAACCCCTGGGATTCCTTTGAAAAAATGCCTTCTTTTTCCCTTTCTCCTTCTCAGTTCTCTCTTCGCTGATAAATAATTGCTATATATATATATACATATATATATATATACACACATATATATATGTATACATATGTATATATATATATATCTGAGTGCTCAAATATTGGTTATATCTCTGTTTAGATTGTTATATCCTCTTGCTTACTTGATTACTTTATCATGATATAATTACCTTCTTTGTCTCTTTTTACTATTTTTGACTTAAAATCTGTTTTATCTGATATAACTATAGCTACTCCTGCTCACATTTTGTTGCCCATTTACATGGAATATCTTTTTCTACCTCTTTACTTTCAGTCTATGTGTATGTGTCTCTACAGATGAGGTAAGTTTCTTGTAGGCAGCACATAGTTGGGTTTTTTGTTTTTCATTTTGGTCCATTCAGCCTGCCTGTATTTTTTTTTTTTTGAGACAGAGTCTTGCTCTGTTGTTTGGCTAGTGTACAGTGGCATGAGCTCAGCTCACTGCAACCTCTACCTCCTGGGTTCAAATGATTATCCTGCCTCAGCCTCTCTAGTAGCTGGGATTACAGGCACCTGCCACAAGTCCCATCTTTTTTTTTTTTTTTTTTTTTTTTTTTTTTTGTATTTTTAGTAGGGACAGGGTTTGACCATGTTGGCCAGGCTGGTTTCAAATTCCTGACCTCAGTGATCCACCCACCTTGGCCTCCCAAAGTGCTGGGATTACAAGCATAAGCCACCATGCCTGGCCAGTGTATGTCTTTTAAATGGAAAGTTTAATCTGTTTACCTTCAAGGTTATTATTGATATGTGAAGGCTTATTCCTGTCATTTTATTGTTTTCTGGTTGTTTTGTGTATCCGTTGTTCCGTTCTTTCTTATTGTTTATCATTGTAGTTTCATGGTTTCCTGTAGTGATAACATTTGAGTTCTTTTTATTCCTTATTTGTGTGTGCTCTACCAGTGAGTTTAATATTTTCGTGTGTTTTTACGGTGGTAGATATTGTTCGTTTACTTCCAGATGTAGGACTCCCTGAAGCATTTCTCGAAGGGCCAGTCTAGTGGTGATGTATTCATTCAGCTTTTGCTTATCTAGAGAAGACTTTATTTCTCCATCATTTATGAAGGATAAATTTGCTAGTGTAATATCCTTAGCAGATAGGTGGTTTTCTTTCAGCACTTTGATTATATTATCACATTCTCTTCTGTTCTGAAGGGTTTCTGCTGAGAAATCTGTAGGGTCTGATGGTAATTCCCCTAAGAGTGACTAGACACTTTCCTCTTGCTGGCTTTAGAATTATCTCTTTGTCCTTGACTTTTGACAGTTGACAGTAATGTGCTCTGGAGAAGGCCTTTTTAGTTTGTATCTATCTGGTCATGCCTGAGCTGCCTATATTTAGATGTCTCAATCTCCTGCTAGACTTTGGTTGTTTTTAAGCTATTATTTCAATAAATAGGCTTTTTAAAATCCCTTTGGTTTTCTCTTCACTTTAAGGAATACTAAACATTTTTATATTTGGTCATTTTATGGTGCCCTATATGTCACATAGTCTTTGTTCATTCTTTTTAACTCTTTTTTCTTTAATTCTGTCTAACCAGTTTATTTCAAAAGACCTCCCTTAAAGTTCTAATATTCCTTCTTTCTTGATGTAGTCTACTGTTAAAGCTCTCAAATGTATTTTTTATTTTATTCAATAAATTCTTGCGTTCCAGAATTTCTGTTTTGTTCTTTTTTATGGTATCTATCTATTTGGTAAATTTCTCATCCACATCTTAAATAGTTTTTACAATTTCTTTGTATTATTTATCTGTGTTCTCTTATATTTCACTGAGGTCCTTTAATATCATTATTTTAAGTTCTTTTTTTGGCATTTCCTAAATTCTTTTTTATTAGAATCTGTTTCTGGGGAATTATTGTTTTCCTTTGGAAACATCATATTTCCTTTTTAAATATATTTCTTGTGTCTTTACACTGATAACTGTACTTCTGGTATAATAGTTACTTCTTCTAGTTTTTTGGGTTTACTTTCATAGGGGAGGACTTTTCCCTGAAGATATATCTATGATTTTGGTTGGGTATAGCAGTTTGACTTTGATTCTGGGTGTCTGCAGTAGTGTAGTCTCTGTATAATTCCTTCAGTTATAAATAGCATCAGTGCTGTCTGTGATTTCCTCAGTCACTTAGGGTAAACTTGTTAGTAGAGGCTGTGGTGAAGTTTTGCTCGAGATGGTGATGCCAAGTGGGCCTGTCCTTGGACCCAAATGGTGGAAGCAGTGGGCTTAGTATGCCTGTCCTTGGGCCTTAGGGCAACAACATACTCTGCACTGGTGTTAGTGGGTCCAAGCAGGCTGATTCTTGGGCTCCATGTGGTTTGCTTGGGTGCCAGCTGTGGCAACAGTGGGCTGGACAGGCTCAGCCTCAGGTCTGCAGGTGGCATGTGAGGATAGGTACCAGCTGTAGTGGTAGAGGCAGTCTGGGTAGGTCCATCATCAGGCCCCAGGTGAAGTGCTTGGGCACTGGCAGTTGGAGCCAGGTGAGGTGGGCCTGTCTTTGGGCCCTCAGGTGGTGCATATGGGCTCTGGCTGCAGTAGGTAGGGACAAGGAGATTTCCGGGTTTCCAGTGAAATGTTCAGATGAGGGCAGCAGCAGCAGCAATGAGCAGGGAAAGCCTTCCCTCAGGGCACATGCATGTTTTCTGTGGCCTTGCTGCTGGGGAGAGTGGAATTGCTGTCAGTGACAACAGCTATTGGCAGACAGCTGAGAGCACCTGCTTTGGCCCTAGGCAGCAGTTGCAGGTGAGGAGCCTATCCTCAAGGTACATGTAAATGCATGGCAGCCCAACTGCTAGGACAGCAGAGTTGCTGCCAGTGGCCTGTGCTTCAGTCTCAGTGGCAGCAGAAAGAAACGGGAAAGAGGCTAGGAGAAGACCTAGAAAGAGAGATCCTCTGGAACACCGAGCTGTGGTGAAAAAGAACAGCCCCAGATTTCAAAACTTAAAAGAAAGACATCTTTTCTCCTCATAGCTCTCAGGAATTTACCTCTAACTGTACAAATGTGATTCAAAGAATCTTGCCTGAGTCACCAGTTTTCTATCTGCTTATAGATATCCAATACAGATTGTACAGAATGTAAGGGTCCAAAGGGGAAATAAAGTCCAGTATTTTCATTAATGATATCAAAATATTTCATATTTTGCCATAGAAAAATACAGAAAATAGAAAACACATTTTTTTTCCTTATGAGACAAAGAACAAAATGTACAAATAGAAGATAAAATTTGAAAATTACGATTTTATCTAGCTTAAATTTGGAAACCTTCAGCTGGGAGCATCTACTAGACCCTACACAGGAATTTGACCACAACTTTGCTTTAAATGATGTATTAATTTTAAATTGAACTATTTTTTAAAAACCTCTTTGGTAAATGAATCTCATTCCTAAAAGATTTATTCATCAAAGCTCCATTGTATTTCCAGTGTTCTTGGAGCTGTGGGAAATATTACAAGAGCAATCAGAAATTAAATTCAATTGTTTCTTCTGCTTAGTGGGGAGAATTTAACTACTGTGTCTACATAATTTCTTATTTTCTCATGTAGGAGACCCAGGCTTGATAATATTCTGATTAATGGTTCAGTATATTTGAGAATCCAAAGACAAAATACTAAAACGAAGTCAATCAAAACCCCCTTTCCCTGAATTTTTGCAGGAACAATTAATCTCAATTGAGACTAAAAGCCAAAGGGGAATAGCTAGCACATTATTAGTTCAGTTTTATATACTTTGATGAAAAGCTCATTATTTTCTTCTGATTAATTAGTATGCATCACTCAAAGATGTGAAAAATATTTAAAAAGTTAAAGTGAAGATATTTTTAAAGAAACCTTTTGTTCCTCAGTTTAGTTTATTTGTTACACTAAAAACAGCAATAATTTTTGCTTTCCATTTGTTTGTTAAATTTTCCTCCATCCCTTTATTTTGAGCCTATGTGTGTCTTTGCACGTGAGATGGGTCTCCTAAATACAGCACACCGATGGGTCTTGACCCTTTATCCAATTTGCCATTCTGTGTCTTTTAATTGGGGCATTTAGCCTATTTACATTACAGGTTAATATTGTTATGTGTGAATTTGATCCTGTCATTATGATGCTAGATGGTTGTTGATGCAGTTTCTTCATAGTGTCAATGTTCTTTACAATTTGGTATGTTTTTGCAGTGGCTGGTACCGGTTGTTCCTTTCCATTTTTACTGCTTCCTTCAGGAGCTCTTGTAAGGCAGGCCTGGTGGTAACAAAATCCCTCAGCATTTGCTTGTCTGTAAAGGATTTTATTTCTCCTTTGCTTATAAAGCTTAGTTTGGATGCATATGAGATTCTGGCTTGAAAATTCTTTAAGAATGTTGAATATTGGCCCCCACTCTCTTCTGGCTTGTAGGGTTTCTGCAGAGAGATCTGCTGTTAGTCTGATGGGCTTCCCTTTGTGGTTTCATTCTCCTCGTCACATTCAGGTACACCAATCAAATGTAGATTTGGTCTTTTCACATAGTCCCATATTTCTTGGAGGCTTTGTTCCTTTTTATTCTTTTTTCTCTAATTTTCTCTTCTCTCTTTATTTCATTAAGTTGATATTCAATCACTGATATCCTTTCTTCTGCTTGATTGATTTGGCTATTAAAACTTGTGTATGCTTCACAAAGTTCTCTTGCTGTGTCTTTCTGCTCCACCAGGTCATTTATGTTCTTTTCTACACTGGTTATTCTAGTTAGCAATTCATCTAACATTTTTTCAAGGTTCTTAGCTTCCTTGCATTGGGTTAGAACATGTTCCTTTAGCTCGGAGGAGATTGTTATTACCCATCTTCTGAAGCCTTCTTCTGACAATTCGTCAAACTCATTCTCCATCTTCAAACTCATTGCTGGTGAGGAGTTGTGATCCTTTCCAGGAGAAGAGGCATTCTGGTTTTTGGAATTTTCAGCCTTTTTGTGCTGCTTTCTCCTCATCTTCATGGATTTGTCTATCTTTGGTCTTTGATGTTAGTGACCTTCAGACAGGGTCTTTGAATCGACGTGCTATTCCTTTCTGTTTGTTAGTTTTCCTTCTGACAGTCAGGCCCTCTGCTGCCAGTCTGCTGGAGTTTGCTGGAGCTCCACTCCCAACCCTGTTTGCCTGGGTATCACCAGCGGAGGCTGCAGAACAGCAAAGGTTGCTGCCTGATCTTTCCTCTGGAAGCAGGAGTTGCAGTCCTAATCTCTGATAAAACAGACTTAAAATATCAACAAAGAATAAAACAGACTTTGTATCAACAAAGATCAAAAGAGACAAAGAAAGGCATTACATAATGGTAAAGGGATCAATGCAGAAAGAAGGGCTAACTATCTTAAACGTATATGCACCCAATACAGAAGCACCCAGATTCATAAAGCAAGTTCGTAGAGACCTACAAAGAGATTTAGTCTTCCACACAATAATAATGGGAGACTTTAACACCCCACTGTCAATATTAGACAGATAAATGAGGCAGAAAATTAACAAGGATATTCAGGATTTGAACTCAGCTCTGGACCAAGCAGACCTAATAGACATCTACATAACTCTCCACCCCAAATCAACAGAATATACATTCTTCTCAGCACCACATCATACTTATTCTAAAATTGACCACATAATTGGAAGTAAAACACTCCTCAGCAAATGCAAAAGAATGGAAATCATAACAAACACTCTCTCAGATCACAGTGCAATCAAATTAGAACTCAGGCTTAAGAAACTCACTCAAAACCACACAACTACATGGAAACTGAACAACCTGCTCCTGAATATTACTGGGTAAATAATGAAATGAAGACAGAAATAAAGATGTTCTTTGAAACCAATGAGAACAAAGACACAATGTACCAGAATCTCTGGGACACAATTAAAGCAGTGTTCAGAGGGAAATTTATAGCACTAAATGCCCACAAGAGAAAGCAGGAAAGATCTAAAATTGACACCCTAAAGTCAAAATTTAAAAAACTAGAGAAGCAACAGCAAACAAATTCAAAATCTAGCAGAAGACAAGAAATAACTAATGTCAGAGCAGAACTGAAGGAGATAGAGACATGAAAAGCCCTTCAAAAAATTAATGAATCCAGAAGCTGGTTTTTTGAAAAGATCAGCAAAATAGACCACTAGCCAGACTAATAAATAAAAAAGAGAGAAGAATCAAATAGATGCAATAAAAATGATATAGGGGATATCACCACTGATCCCACATAAATACAAACTACCATCAGAGAATACTATAAACACCTCTATGCGAATAAACTAGAAAATCTAGAAGAAATGGATAAATTCCTGGACACATACACCCTCCCAAGTCTAAACCAGGAAGAAGTCCCTGAATAAACCAATAACAAGTTGTGAAATTGAGGCAGTAATTAATAGCCTACCAACCAAAAAAAGTCCAGGACCAGACAGATTCACAGCCGAATTCTACCAGATGTACAAAGAGGAGCTGGTACCATTCCTTCTGAAACTATTCCAAACAATAGAAAAACAGGGAATCCTCCCTAACTCATTTTATGAAGCCAGAATCATCCTGATACAAAAACCTGGCAGAGACAAAACAAGAAAAGAAAATTTCAGGCCAATATCCCTGATGAACATCAATGTGAAAATCCTCAGTAAAATACCAGCAAACCGAGTCTAACAGCACATCAAAAAGCTTATCAACCACGATCAAGTCAGCTTCATCCCTGGGATGCATGGCTGGTTAAACATATGCAAATCAATAAACGTAATCCATCACATAAACACAACCAATGACAAAAGCCGCATGATTATCTCAACAGATGCAGAAAAGGCCTTTGATAAAATTCAACACCCCTTCATGCTAAAAACTCTCAATAAATTAGGTATCAATGGAATATATCTCAAAATAATCAGAGCTATTTATGACAAACCCACAGCCAATATCATACTGAATGGGCAAAAACTGGAAGCATTCCCTTTGAAAACTGGCACAAGACAAGGATGCCCTCTCTCACTACTCCTATTCGACATAGTATTGGAAGTTCCAGCCAGGACAATCAGTCAAGAGAAAGAAATAGAGAATTCAGATAGGAAGAGTGGAAGTCAAATAGTCTGTTTGCAGATGACATGACTGTATATTTTGAAAACCCCATCATCTCAGCCCAAAAACTCCTGAAGCTGATAAGCAACTTCAGCAAAGCCTCAGGATACAAAATCAATGTGCAAAAATCACAAGCATTTTTATACACCAATAATAGACAGATAGCCAAATCACAAGTGAACTCCCATTCACAATTGCTACTAAGAGAATAAAATACCTAAGAATCCAACCTACAAGGGATGTGAAGGACCTCTTCAAGGAGAACTACAAACCACTGCTCAAAGAAATAAGAGAGGACACAAACAAATGGAAAAATGTTCCATGCTCATGGATAGGAAGAATCAATATTGTGAAAATGGCCATACTGCCCAAAGTAATTTATAGATTCAATGCTATCCCCATCAAGCTACCACTGACTTTCTTCACAGAATTAGAAAAAACTACTTTAAACTTCATATGGAACCAAAAAAGGGCCCACATAGCCAAGACATTTCTGGGCAATAAGAATAAAGCTAGAGGCATCATGCTACCAGACTTCAAACTATACTACAAAGCTACAGTAACCAAAACACCATGGTACTGGTACCAAAACAGATATATAGACAAATGGAACAGAACAGAGGCCTCAGAAATAACACCACACATCTACAACAATCTGATCTTTGACAAACCTGACACAAATAAGCAATGGGGAAAAGATTCACTATTTAATAAATAGTGTTGGAAAAACTGGCTAGCCATATGCAGAAAACTGAAACTGGACTCCTTCCTTACACCTTATTAAAAAATCAACTCAAGATGTATTAAAGACTTAAACGTAAGGCCTAGGACCATAAAAATCCTAGAAGAAAACCTGGGCAATACTATTCAGGACATAGGCATGGGCAAAGACTTCATGTCTAAAACACCAAAAGCAATGGCAACAAAAGCCAAAATTGACAAATGGGACCTAATTAAACTAAAGAGCTTATGCTCAGCAAAAGAAACTATCATCAGAGTGAACAGGCAGCCTACAGAATGGGAGAAAAATTTTTCAGTCTACCCATCTTACAAAGGTCTAATATCCAAAATCTACAAGGAACCTAAACAAATTTACAAGAAACAAACAAACAACCCCCCATCAAAAAGTGGGCAAAGGATATGAACAGACACTTCTCAAAGGAAGACATTTATGCAGCCAACAAATATATGAAAAAAAGTTCATCATCACTGGTCATTAGAGAAATGCAAATCAAAACCATAATGCAATACCATCTCACGCTAGTTAGAACAGCGATTATTAAAAAGTCAGGAAACAACAGATGCTGGAGAGGATGTGGAGAAATAGGAAGGCTTTTACACCATTGGTGGGAGTCTAAATTAGTTTAACCATTGTGGAAGCCAGTGTAATGATTCTTCAAGGATCTAGAACCAGAAATGTCATTTGACTCAGTAATTCCATTACTGGGTATATACCCAAAGATTTATAAATCATTCTGCTATAAAGACACATGCACATGTGTGTTTATTGCAACACTATTTACAATAGCAAAGACTTGGAACCAACCCAAATGCCCATCAGTGAGAGACTGGATAAAGAAAATGTGGCACATATACACCATGGAATACTATTCAGCCATAAAAAAAGGATGAGTTCATGTCCTTTGCAGGGACATGGATGAAGCTGGAAACCATCATTCTCAGCACACTAACATAGGAACAGAAAACCAAACACCACATGTTCTCACTCATAAGTGGGAGTTGAACAATGAAAACACATGGACACAGGGAGGGGAACATCACATACTGGGGTCCTTCAGGGGGTAGGGGTCAAGGGAAGGGAGAGCATTAGGACAAATACCTAATGCATGCAAATACCCAAGGACCTGCACCGGCAGCAGTCTCTGATTTCCCTCAGTTTTTATTGATTATTATTTTCATTATTTCAGCAAAAAGGAATGTAGTAGGAGGGCAAGGTGATAATAAGGAGAAGGTCAGCAACAAACACGTGAGCAATAGAATCTATGTCATAATTAAGTTCAAGGGAAGGTACTATGACTGGATGTGCATGTAGGCCAGATTTATGTTTCTCTCCATCCAAACATCTCAGCGGAGTAAAGAATAACAAGGCAGCATTGCTGCAAACATGTCTCGCCTCCCACAGTAGGGCGGTTTTTCTCTCATCTCAGAATTGAACAAATGTACAATCGGGTTTTATACCGAGACATTCAGTTCCCAGGGGCAGGCAGGAGACAGTGGCCTTCCTCTATCTCAACTGCAAGAGGCTTTCCTCTTTTACTAATACACCTCAGCACAGACCCTTTATGGGTGTTGGGCTGGGGGATGGTCAGGTCTTTCTCATCCCACGAGGCCATATTTCAGACTATCACATGGGGAGAAACCTTGGACAATACCCCGCTTTCAAGGGCAGAGGTCCCTGCGGCTTTCCGCAGTGCATTGTGCCCCTGGTTTATTGAGACTAGAGAATGGCGATGACTTTTACCAAGTATACTGCTTGTAAACATTTTGTTAACAAGGCACGTCCTGCACAGCCCTAGATCCCTTAAACCTTGATTTCATACAACACGTTTTTGTGAGCTCCAGGTTGGGTCAAAGTGGCTGGGGCAAAGTGGCTGGGGCAAAGCTACAAATTAACGACATCTCAGCAAAGCAATTGTTTAAAGTACAGATCTTTTTCAAAATGGAGTCTCTTATGTCTTTCCTTTCTACATAGACCAGTAACAGTCTGATCTCTCCTTCTTTTCCCTGCATGTTAACTTACCCAGGTCATATCACCAGTGACATAGCAGAAATTTGAACCAAGTCCAAATATTTAAAAGTCCAAACTCTTCCTGATTTCCACATTTCCTAGGTAGATAGATAATGGCCTGAAAGAAGTCACTCCAGAAGAAAAAAGGAAAAGGAATCTGCTTAGAGATAGAACAGAGGAGGTATCAGCAGATGCTGCATAAAGACAAGATGTGTGAAGGTTAAACTTCACCATCTCACAATTGGCCTTAAGTGGTCTTCACTACTCAATATCATCACATGTGATACCATTGGAACATAGTTGACTCTGGGTAGGTTGATATAAAATATCAAAGCCAGATATATATGTAGGGAATTACTTCACCCACTATGTTCCTCAGAAAACACAATCAGATAGACTATTATAATTATGGAAATTTTTATCTTTTTGTTCCTCAGCAGATTAAATTAGAGTTTGTGTGTGTATGCGTGTGTGGGTGTCTTTAATCACGGTAATAATTACAGTGGTATTAAGTAGATACTAGCATTTGTATTTTCAAATTATTGCGGTATAAGATGGAAAAATACCCACACCAGTAAAAAGTCTTTTAAAAAACTTAAACTTCTATTTGAAATGTCTCTACTGCAGAGTTAAAAGAGAAACTTTAAAAGAGAGTAATACAATCATGATTCTGTTACAGATATAAAACACAAAGATTTTAATTCATTAATTAATGAAGAAACCAGGCCAATGTTGTAACCTTGTTCAAAGGAGAAATCAAAGAATCATTTGTATATATAAAGTAAGGGAATGTTGAAATGAATTTACAAATGGACCCAAAAGTGGCTTTCTCCACCAGAAAAAATTTGTTTGAATGTTTATAGACAAGAATTATGTGCATTGCTATGAGGTATCTACAAATTACAGGATTATAAAATAGCTCAAAGGCAAAGAAAGGTACAGGGTCCCTTACAGAATCAGATAATTTCCCAGAGGCTGTAGCATTCCACTAAAAGGATATCCAAGTAGTCTTTTTAGTTTATTCCAAAGTCTTATATTTTCCCTTACAAGATACCTAGTAATTGCTACAAAATAGATTTTCTAAAACAGCAATTTTAAAACAGAGGAGCAATTCTTCTGAAAAGAATCCTATTTATGCCTAACCACGTTGTTGTCTTGCTTGGTTTCCTCCAGCAGTTGAAAAATGTGCTAAATAATTTAAAAGTAGACACAAAGACTACTTGTTTAATGCCTATTTAGAAACTGCCGTGTCAAAATTTTTGTTATTGGAGCCATCTCTGCAGTTGCATAGAAACATGAAGAGACTCAAGGTAGAGTAGGCATGGAGCCAGGAGGTGATATTGGGTTCAAAGTCCACCCTGGTGACTCAGTCTGGGGAAAAAGAGGGAAGACAGGTTCAAAGTCTGCAACTGGAAGTCTGCATTTAAGTTCACCGGAAGGAAAAAAAAAATGTAAGAGATATATGAGTAATCAGAATACAATGATGTTTCCCAAAGAGTTGTTGGAGAACACCTACCTCTTGAAATAGGTAAGATGACCTTGGGGTCTATAGAAATGCATAGCCTAAAAATATTGATTTTTATGGTGATTCCGTTCTTTTATTGTTTTCAACTGTCTCTCAATGCATTTAACATTCTCATGGAGAGTCTCCAGTTCATGCTAGCATATACTTAACATATCTCTATCATTTGCCAACTTTTTTTCATAATAATAATAATAAAGTAGGCCTAGGCTTCAGAGTCTTTGACTTGGCAACATGAAAGCAACTTATTTAGCTAGAATTTCATAATATTGCTTTGTTTTAATGTACTTATAGTCAGTTATCTTCCACTGGGAAAGAAGTGCTAATTTTCTACTTATGATAATGATAGAAAGTTCTTAGATATTTTTAATTTGGGTAAGAAAGTGAATATATTAAAAATACCTAAAAATATTAACAAGTGGTAGCCAGGCATGGTAAAATAAGATGGTTGCCTAGGATGACTGAAGTTTGGGAAACACTGGTGAAGAAGAAAGAGGGCCAGGCCAGGAATCAGAAAACAGCAGGATTTCGTCCAACTTTAAGGACTTACCTAGCTATGTGACCCACTGCAGAGGTCATTCATGTCTTCAAAACTGAGGTTTTCTTATGTTTAAAATGAGGACTGAAAGCTCTGCCCTTCTCCTTTCACTGTGCTCCCAGAATAACATGAGAAAACACACCCAAAGGTATTTTGCAAAGTCCTAGACAGCCACACAGGCAGGAGGACACAGACAGGAGGAAAGTTTCCATTTTCAGGCAAGGAGTCGTTGTCATCATCACACTGTTTAAAGACAAACAGGTGGAGAAGGGAATTTGGTTCAGGCTGAGTGGCCAAGAGTAGCACCTCAGGAGCATCCATTGAAAAATACAAGCATCCATTGAAAAATACAAGCTCTTTTCCCGCTACTTTGGACTTGCCCTCTTCTTAGCATTGGCAAGTGAGAACTGGTAGGAGGTTTTCCTAAGAGCAGGTACTACAGTGCCCCTAACTGAAAATTTCAGCCAATGAAAAGAATCTAGGTTCCCCAAGCAATTCCTACAATGTCTAACAAGGACAGATTGGTGTCACATTTCAGAATGATTAGCTCATAGGGATAAAACCCTACATCTGACTGGTAGAACATTAACAGTAAAGAAATCATGGTCTTAGTGTTTTGAGCTCAGGAAATTCCAAAAGTCAGTGGAGCAGATTAGAAGGAAAGTTCTAGAAATGAAATGACATTGGAGTTCCTAAAAGAAAAGAGAAAGATCAAATTATAGGGCTTGCACTGAGTTTCAAAGAGGATTGGCAAGATGGGTTGTAGAATTAAATGACAGGCAGAGTGTGTATGTGGAGAAGGGTTGGTGTAAATGTATGTGTGTTGGTGTGTGTGTACACATGCATGAGAGAGAGAGGAGGGAAGCAACAGAGGGCTATTGATGCAAACCTATAGCCTAATTAATTATCCACGACAGAAAAAGAAATTCCTCCTACCCTTGCAAGTTGTCTTGTCTTCCTCTGAATACAAAGTGTATACCAACAGAATCTACCAGCCAACCAGAACAGGTAAGATATGCAAGAAAGGCAGGAGCATTAAGGTGTTATATTTATAGGCTCGTTTTTATAAAAGTTTCAAAAATCAAACAGATAGTTATTTCAAAATGGCATAGTGATTATATTTTATCATTGAGATTTTTGTGTGATAATATCTTTCTTTTTTATACTCTATGCCTCTGAGTAATCCTTTTTTACTCTATTTTGGTAAAATTGCATAATTTTGGATTCATTCTTCTTTCTGAAGGTTTGTCAATAGCGTTGGCATTGTATTTATTGGTACCCACCACAATGCAGTACCTTTTGTGCTGTCACTCTGTTCTTGAGTTGTTTCTATGAGTTTCATGTTATCTTATCTTAGTTTCATTTATCTAAAGTAATAAGTGACAGTGGAATTTCTCCTAGATGCCTATTTTAATATACCAGAAATTTGAAGAATAAACATGTGACAAAGTGAAATCCAGACTATGTAATATACTTATACTTTAAAAATTTGATAGTTTTCCTAATCAAGGCCTTCTTTAAAAATCAGCACTGGGATATTTTATTCATGAACTCTTGTTGTCTAATTCTAATCAGGCAATAAAAGGAACAAATGAGTACTTTTCTAAATGTAGTCATGTAAACAACAGAATCTGCCAGTTCCATCTAGGGTCATTTTCATCAAGCATTTGTATAAATAATCGAGAAGGGGGAGAAACAATATAATCATATTTGTAGGTTGGAAGATGATGCTAAGTCCTGGGAAAGTAAAGAACAAACTAGCAAACACTGATAGATAGACCATGAAGCTAGCTGAATCCCCGACAGGAGGTTTCTGGATGTCAGATCAGTAACAAGTACCTTCTTGGTAGGTAGTATTCTAAATGCTTAAAATATGGAACAGTAGAAGATAAACTTCTTAGTATCTGTAAATTCCACAGTGACTGTGACAATCCTAGCTATAACTTTTATCTTAACAAGTGGTAACCATAATAGTATACATTTGAAATCGTGAGTTACACATAGACATTTGGGAGTATAGAAGTGGATGCTGTGGTAGCTATAAACCTGTCTGGAAGAAGGTACTAAAGATGAAATGGCCACTTCTATGGTACAAAACCAGGAGGTAAATGAAATCACTGAAGATTCATATTAAAAATTGGAGAAGAAAAATAGATGTGTGTCTCTAAGAGAGGGGAAATAATTGAAAAGTATAAAGGAAATGCTCAAGATTAGCAACTCCTATGTAACTATGAGGTGTTTCTAACATGTTGAAAGTGAGGTATGTTTTAGGGATTATTTTTTAGTTGTCTGGAATAAATACAAGAGGCTTTGCCTACTTGCCCAATACAAAAGACATTTGAATTTTGTTTGTGTGTGGATAAAAACATTAAGCAACACCAATTCCCAAGCCACAGACTGCCCTGACCCTAGATGGTCATCAGCAGACCAAGAAGCCAAGAACATAACGGCTACATGTGACCCCTGCTGTGGCTGCTACCTAGCAGCAGCTGCCATTTTCAGGGACTGCATGTCCATGAGGGAGGTGGACAAGAAAATGCTTAACATCCAAAACAAGCACAGGAGCTACTTTGCTCATTGGGTCCCCCCATAATGTGAAATGTAGCCACTTCCAGAGCTAAAAATGTCCTCCACCTTCATCAGCAACAACACAGCCATCCAGGAGCTGTTTAAGCGCATCTTGGAGCAGCTCACTGTCATACGCAGGTGCAAGGCCTCCCTGCACTGGTACATGGGTGAGGGCATGAATGAGATGGATGAGTACATTGAGGCTGAGAGCAACATGAATGACCTGGTGCCCAAGTACCAACAGTACCAGGATGCCATGGCCAAGGAAGACAGAGTTTGAGGAAGAGGTGGCCTAGAGCCTTCTCTTACTGGGTAAAGGGTAGAAGCGATGTGAATTCTTTATTTACTCACAATGTGTTCTATGATATCCATGTCTCACTGTTTGCGCACTTGCTGTGTGTTCATCTCTATTAAAGCATATATATGCTTCATGCATATATATATGTTGATCTGTAGCCTTGTCTTGCCATATAATCACTAGAAGTATTCACAGCATCAAAAAAATTATTCTGTGCTCTGTTTGCTCATTCTGATAATGGTGATAGAGAGTTTTTTTCTTATCTTCCATGATGTGGCCTAGTTTGAAGTTGTTTCTAATTTAGTATCCATAGCCTTCCATGACATTACACTATTTTTTTTCTCTCTACCTCTCTGCTTACTCCAATTAATTTTGGTCAAGTTCTCTGTTCTTATCATGTATCATAAGTAGCTTTTCCTGAGGGTTTGCCTTAGGCACGTTTTTTTTTTTTTCAGTCAGAATTCACTGAAGCAAACAGAATTTTCTCCAGCCAGGTTAACCAGGGAGGGATTTACTACAGGGTATTAAATTACCTGCAGAGCTACTGTGAAAGCTCAGAAGCAAACTTAAGATTGATGTTTTAGGAATATCTTCAAAATCATAAAAGGAGACACTGTCCCTTACACTCATGAAGCCACTTGTCAAACTGTGAAGGTGCCATCTATTGACTCCAGAACTAAACCCCCATTGCCACAGTCAGGAATCTAACAATAAAAATGGCAAAGCTTTGATCAGGAAGCTGCCCCAGTGGCGAAGATACTACCTCCAGATGGTGCTTAAAACAGAAATGACATATGAAACATTAGAATCTCCCCACTTTACTTCTACTTTCCAAATCTCACATAAAAGCATCTAATTGGTAAAACCCAAATCATATCCAGAATCCTAGTTGCAAGAGTATGGGAAAGGTAATTTTATGTTCCAGCCTCTGAAGAAAGAATAGCATACGAGACTAACATGAGATGGAGCTATACCCCACTGGCTACTTAACACCCAGCACAACCTTCTACCCACACTTAACACCACTAGCAACAGCAATGTGCTCCTACCTAATGTGACAACACTATGTTTCACACCTATGAAAACAATCTCATCTTCCCCTGTGAGGAGAAGACCCAAAATTCCATCAGTAACTGCATCCATCCAGTCACCACTGGGTGACACTCAATTCTTTCCTAGTTCAGTCACCATACTATTTGGACATCCTGTGCCTGTGGCCAAAATGATAAATTTGGCAATCATCAACATACTGTGTATCAAAGAGAAAAGGAAAAAGAAAGGGAAGAAGGGGAAAGCATATACAAAATATATGCTTCCTTTAAATACTTTCGTGTATATTAACATAATACATAATAAAGCATATAAGTAGCTACCACGGACCTTATTTCTGCAACTGTTCACAAAGTTGTAGCTGACATTTATAACCTCCTTCACTACCATAATCAGGAAGCTCCCAGGATCAGGAAGCAGCCTGTTCAGGATGCTACCACCAAATCTAGACTTCCACATCCTTCATGGCTGGGCTCACCAGCAGCAACTGCAGGCACACAACCTTTATATCACTTTCATCTTCCAAATCTGGCAGAAATTCATCTGCTTTGGGAAATTTGTCTAAAACAGCAGCTTCCAATGAGAAAAATGTAGTTTCTAACTTTCTAGTTTCTGAAAAACAGGATAGATATTTGAGATAGCTACTGAGTGACAATTTATTATATCCATCATAGAACTCTCATTATTTCACAGACTGTCCTTCAGGCTCTTATCCGCTCTCCAGATTTCAAATATAAGTCCACAAACCCTTGAGGACAAATGGTTTCAAACTTAGATTATCTTTTTGGATTTTAGAAATCTAAAACACTGTATTTACTGTATATTACTAACATTAACATTAGGATCTGGGCAGCACCCACCCCATAACTGATCACATTAACCTTCCTAGAACAAAAGGTATAAATAATCATATTATTGGGATAAAGATTAAAAAATACCTTAACTTAGTTCATATCAGACTTTGCTTCAAATGCATTTGCATGAAACTTAAAATCAAAATCACTTGGATTTTAGGGCTTTTGAGATTTGGAGTTGTGGATAAGGAATTATAGATCTGTACCAACTATTATTGATAATTCCCAAATGTGTATTTTCAACCCTGAGCTCCAGATCCATATATGCTTATCTCTGTTTTCATTCTCATCCCCTGCCCCCATATAAACCTCAACATTCTTCAAACTGAAATCAAAACCCAGTCTTCCTCAAGTGTTCCCTGACTCAACGAGAGCCACTAATATCTACCTATTATTTGAAGCCAGAATCCTACATGTTATCCAAGAAAATCCCTCTCTCTCTTATCTACATACAGAGTTAGTCACCCAGTCCTGTCAATCTTACTGGTGAAATACCTCTCCAATATACTGCCTGTTTCCCAACACCACAGCCACCTTTTCTGGTCACACCACTGTTATTTCTAGATAATTTAAGACAGCTTCCTACTTCCTTGCCTCCCACACCTGGTATCTTTTCTCCACACAATAACACAGTGACCCTGTCACTTCCCAGCTTGTAACATTTCCTGTCTCCCTACCAGGGACAGTTTCCCTCAGGAAAAAGTCCCACCTACCAAACATTGTTTGAGAGACCCTTCCTTGCTTGCTGCTGCCCCCTCACAGTCTGGGCTCCAGCCACACTGCACTCCCTGCAGGAGCCTGAGTTCCTCATGCAGTCTCCCACCTCAGATCTATTTCTTTCTCCCGGAACAAGCCTCTTGTCTTTGCCAGGCTAATTCCTACTCAACTGTCAGGTCTCCACTTGGAAGTCACTCTCACTGAGCAGACAGTTCCTGACATATAGCTCCCAGACGAGAGCTTTATGTGTTTTCAAAGCAACTTACATCTCCCTTCCTTCCCAGTGACTAAGCTGTATTTGCACATCCCCCTTGCCACCCCTAGCTTGTCCCCTACCTTGGGTTGTACCTTCTAGGAGAATAAGGGCTGTATTTTCCTCATGCATTGTTGTGACCAGTGCTTGCCATGTAGTAGATGCTTGCCATATAGTAGATGCTCATAACTATTTTAATATTGGTTATAATGACAAATGAATATCTTTCCTTTCTTGTTCTTTTTCCACCCAACTCCAAATTCCTCTGTCCTTAGAAAAAAAGGAAAGAAAGTAATGTAAAGAGTGTAATTTGAGACACTCAAATTACATCTCAAAAAAACCCCAAAATAGAAGATGAATAAATCAATTACCAAAGTAGCCGCTTACTTCTCCCTCTGAGATACATCAGCATAGAGATGAAGGCTGACATAAAAGCTTTGGTAAGAGGAACACAGAGAAAAAAATCTGAGAGAAGCAGCTAAAGAAATGTTCTGAATCTCAAAATAGCAAGTAATATGGGAAGACAGGGTGAAGGAACCCGCAGGGAGAAACATCACCTTTTACAGGCATAAAATTACATCAAGGCCAGCCTTTGAATGGCCAAGGGGAGCCAGGGGTTCTGAGAAGCTGCACTGGGACTGAGAATAGGCAAGCCTGCCGCAGCCTGGCTGCAAATTGCTCCTTCACGAGCCTGGCTGGGAGGAAAACTATTTACACATGGGTGGTGAAGAAAACAGAAAATCTCAGAAAGGAGTCTGGATGATTCTTATGTTTGGGAGGTAGAATTTGAGAGAAAGAAAAAGTTTCCAAAGAAATTCATAATCCTATTTGGAAAAACATATCTGTGAATTAGAATTTTAACAAAACATGACTTGACCCCACAGAGGGTCTTCCTTTTACACCCCCTACATGTTTAATAACATATTACAGAGGCATTAAAAAAGGAACTGGGTGGTAACCTGGGAGAATGAAAACATTGTCTTTAATTCAGGACTTAATGGGTAATTTTTGGCTTAGATTTTCATTATTTTTAAAGTGTTTTCAATAAAGTAATTTTTTTTTGTTTTTTAAAAAAGAGTATTAGATAACTTTAATGTTTCTCACTTTTTTTTCTTTTTTTTGAGACAGGATCTCACTCTGTCACCCAGGCTGGAATGCGGTGGCACAGTCTTGGCTCACTGCAACCTCTGCCTCCTGGGCTCAAGCCATCCTCCTAGCTCAGCCTCCCGAATAGCTGGGACTATAGGCATGCACCACCAGCCTGGCTGAATTTTTTATATTCTTTGTAGATACAGGGTTTTGCCATGTTTCCCAGACTGGCCTCAAACTCCTGGACTTAAGTGATCTGCCTGCCTCACCCTCCCAAAATGCTGGGATTATAGGCGTGAGCCACGGTGTCCGGCCCCACTTTTCTTAACAGTGTTTTTCTAGTTCTGACAGTCATTAGTAAAAGTAAGGTTGACTAAATAATAAGTTAAAAATGAAGTTAATAGAATGGGAAGCTGTTGGGGAGCATTTTATTCCTGCCACTTAAAAATCACTCATCATGATCATAAATTAGCAGGCAGTTACTTATCTCAGTATAGAAAGCTGAGCCTGACAGATTGAGTTGCCTTTTCCCACCCCCCCACTCTTCCCTAGCATATCTACCCATATTCATTGATTTTATGCAAGTTGGCAAGACAGAGGGTAATTATGTCTGTTCCTCAACCTGACGGGACAACAGAGAACCTGCTAGAGAGTGAGAAGAAGCTAACACACTTCCAGGGGGGCTTTTTATCACATTTAGGGTAACCAAGTGCTGCTTAGGGGACTAAATAACCAAATACAAGATGGAATTGAGTAAGGGAGTTTGAGGGGGATCTCCCCACTTCTGCTTTGGGAAGAATAGGTCTCAGGCATCAGTGAAGAGGCAGTGGTGGAGGAGCTAGCTTAAATTTGGCAGCCAGCACAACTGAGACCCAACCTAAAGAAAGTCCCGAGGAGACAGAGGAGGCCTAGGGGATCCGATGGAGTCCTAGGCAGCAGATGGAGGCTAATAAACCAAGGAAATTTACGTCTAGAATGTTAACGTTGGAAGAAAACTGGGGACATTTTGGTTATGTAAAGATAAAGCACTTAAAATAATCTCAGATCCCAGGAAATTGACATTTTTCTCTGAGAGGAATATTGAAGACTTTATAATTTCCCCCTGGCAAACATTAGGCTGCCGATAGTTTTCTTTCTAAGTAAGGAAAGTTTGGATTTTATTCCAACTCAAAGTAGATAAATCTTTATCAAAAGAAAAAAATTAAATAATATAGATAAAAGAAGCAACAGAGAACAATGACAATTTTACCAACTATGGTGGGTAAAATAATTTTCCCTTCATATTGATTCTTATTTATCAGACTTGTAGAATATCAATTTAAATGTGAAAATATAGTGTTCCTTTTATTTCAAAATGTGACTTCATCATTCCTAAAAAAAAGAGAGGTACTCTTGCATTTCAGAAATTAGCATTAATTCCCATCTATTTGCTATGAAAGTAAAGCTTTAATATCCATATTTAACCACCTGCTATTGCATTTGCTTGTCCCAACAGCATTTGCAAACAAAGCCAGAGGTAGCATGGCATAGCAGCCAGAGCACTGGAACAGGAATCATGCCAGCGTCTGGTTATAGCGCAGGTTCTACCAGAGTGACTTTGGGCAAGTTAATTACGCTTTGTGTGTCTGTTTATTCATCTATCACACACCACGGGTGGATTAGAAGAACCTAAAATTCTTCCATATCTTAATGTTTAAAGGCACAGACGCTCTAGTGAGTGGAAAGCATTCAGTGAGTTGACATACTGTGTAATCTACAGAGCAACTCTGCTGGCAAGTGAAACAGCAGGGAAAAAACCTTTAAGCTCAAGGGAACTTCTGAACTGTAATAAAACACGGCGGTGTGCCATCATGAATTTACTCACTTTGTTTTCTAGACCCACTTGGTGATCCACCACATGCCATGTGACACTTTCCTCAGCCATGGGAGGGGGCAACTCTCATGTGTAGCTCTTGCTGACCCTTTAAGAAAACCCATTCCGCAAAGTGGTCTCTTTAGAATCTATCCTTACTGGAACTGTGTGTGACCTCTAAAACGGCTGTGCTGTGAGTATCCCCTGCCCACACCAAACCACTCACTAAATGTAATACTTTGCACACGCTTATATTTATGTGACTGTGTGAGTGAAAGTTAATGTTGTAGGCATTTAATCAGTACCTTTCTGTGGTAGGCAGGGTAACAGCCTACCAAAACGTCTGCATCCGAAAATGTCTGCCTCAAAATTTCTGAAGCCTGTGAATATGTTACCTTACACAGCAGAAGCGACTTTGCAGATGTGATAAGGTTAAGAATCTTGATATGGGAGGGTTAATCTATATTATTTGAGTATGCCCAGTGTAATCACAAGGGTCCTTATAAGATGGAAGAAAGCAGGAGTGGCACAGTCAGAGAAGGAGGTGTGACAACAGAAAGCAGAGATCAGAAATACAGATTTGAAGATGCTACCCTGCTGGCCCTGAAAATGGAGGAAAGGGCCACAAGCCAAAGAGTACAGATGGTCTCTACTAACTGGAAAAGGTGAGAATATGGATTTTCCCCCAGGGCCTCCAGAAATAATGAATGCAGTTTTGCTGACACCTTGATTTTAGTTTCATAAGACCCATTTTGGGCTTCTGACGTTCAGGAGTGTAGATAACAAACTTGTGTTGTTTTAAGCCACTAAGTGTGTGGCAAATTGTGAGAGCAGCAAGAAGAAACTTACACATTCCCTAATAGTGGGTTATCTAATATCCATAGAAATTATACAAATACCTCATCTACTCTCCTCATTTCACAGATAAAAAACAGAAGAATCAATGAGCTCTATCACTCTTCTATACAGTTTAATGAATTTTTCCAAAGCTTAATGTTAGGAACAAATGAAAGCAAGTGTTTTTGCATTAAAGCCTCATAGATAGCTAAACTGTGTGGAGCTGCTGATGGCTCCATATGAGGATGACCCTTAATAATGTGTGTTCTGCTGAGAAATATCCTTTTCTAGATTAATGTTAGAGAGAGAGAGAGAGAGAAATGTAAAGGAGTCTCACTGAAAACAAAAAAGAGCTATTAAAGCAAAATGTGAGCTAAGCCGCTAAGCCTTTTTTTTTTAAAGAGATATTCTCTGTAGTAAGCACATAAAGAAATAAGATTATGGAGAAAAGATACGTGTTCAGGAAGCATGTCACTGATCTTTAAGTAGCATTTGGGAGGAATCAGCTCTGAAATGTGTGCCTTGGATAACCCAGCAGAGGCAACACTTCTAATATTATTTCATCTTGACATGATCTGAGGAGGTTTTTCTGACAATGCTTTTCCAGATGACTGGAATCCTCTGTGGGAACACTATTATCAGGTGAGTGCTCTGCCAGGAGTCTGGGAAAGAGCTGCCTTGGACTTGGGTAATTGCCGTGAAACATTTTCTGAAGATAACTTAAAATGAGTTAAATTCTGTTTTTCTAGAAATAAAAAGCCAATATTAAAACTTTAGATATTAATAAGAAGTTAAATATATCTTACTAAGAGAAAATATTTAGCATATCTGTGCAAAATAGTTCATAGACTATTTAAAAGCCCACCTGTGTCCTGCCAACTTCAGTTAAATTCAAGCTTTCTTATAAGGTCACTTTTCTGTTTTTTTCTTAGACAGGAAAAGGCTAAATCCCAGTTGTGAAAATTCAAAGAGCACACACAGAACTATTGCTTTGGCCTAATTAAGGGAGCTTTATCATAATTATATAGTTTCTAGTCCTAAGAAGCCCAGGATTAAAAGGATTGTTGTTTTTCTTCCACAGTCCTTTTTTTTTTTTTTTTTTTTTAAATAATAGAGTGTGCCCAGGATGTTCTGGAACTCCTGAGCTCAAGGAATCCTCCTGCCTCAGCCTCCCAAAGTGCTGGGATTACAGGTACGAGCCTCCATACCCAGCCTGTAATTTTCCATTTTGCTGTTACTTGCCTTGTGTCTCACTTTCTTTTAACCAGGTTCCAAGGGTAAAATCTCATCACATCTAAATAACTTGGGGCGTGTTGCCTTAACCTCAATTCCTTTATCTGTGAAATAGGGATTATATTAGCACCAATTCCATAGGGTTCTTGTAAGGGTTAAAAAGGATGATTCCAGTAAATTGTTTAGTCTGATTTGATTTTGTATCAGAATGCTGCTATAAGAACACAAAGAATTCCACATATGCATACCCCCAAAATAAATATTTAGAAATATCCCAGAAGTTAGAAGGGATAAGGAAGGACACTATTATTTATGTTTATCAACTATATACCAGCTAAATTGTATGCATATTTTATTTAGTCCTCATATCTAATAAGGCAAAAGTATTAACCCATTTTAGGTAAGAAAATCGAAAGGTTAAGTACGTTGTCCAAGGTCCCAGAGCTAGTAAATAAAGAATGGAAGCTTCAACCCTTGTCTCTCTGATACTAAAGACTTTGATTATTTTTTTTTACCGTGCATCTTCTCAGGGCTACAGTAAAATTGAAGTATGCCCTATTCCAAAAAGGCTAGTACAGAGACGGTTCGAATGTGCCTTCCTTCTCTGAGCTGCATCCTCAAAGCTAAGGTACTGGCAGGAAAAGCAGTGTTATCATATGTTACAGCATTGCTTTGTCTTCTAATGAAGGGCAGCAGTGTCTCAGAAAAAGGAGACTCTTGGTTAAGTTCTGTTATAGGCATTGCTTATTATGCTGAGAAGCTGGAAAGGGTGAGGAAAAAAAGAACTGAAACCACCATGCATCATTTTGTGGACAAGGATCTCATTATTTGGGCAGTGAAATGTTTATATATGACTCCCTGTAAGTAATTAGCAGGTAGAAGAGCCCACCAGGAAGGTGCTTTCCTTTGTCTCGCTGTTGTTTACACTGTCTCTCCAAGGCATTGTTTGTCCTTGAGATATTGGGGTGTGTCTCAGTGCCTGAGAGAGAGACAGGGGGAAGGAGAGGTGGAAATTGGTGCAGGGATGTTACCTACCACAGGAGACCAGGAGTGAATCTGCAAGGCCATGGAAGCAGGCAACGACACATATTGGAGTCCCACCAGCAGAGGACAGAGGCTGCACCTGACCACCAAAGGTGCAGCCCCATGTGTTTTCAAAAGAGGAACCCAGCCTCTGAGAAGGGGGCAGCCATAGATATTGAGTCCCATTGTCCTGGTTAGCAGTAAGGGGAGAGGGAAAGCACCCTAGGAAAAGAATTCTAGGGTGGGAAATAAGGTTTTCCTGTAGTTAGAGAGGATTTATTCTGTGAAACTGAAGAGGAGATTATCTTTTTGAAGAGAGGCAAAGGAGGGGAACCCTAAGACTGTAAAATGGTTATGCCTATGAGAAGACATCCTGGAAGCATTTACCTTTTCCTTTCCCTTGGCTTCTGAGAAAGAATGCTATTTAGCATCAAATGTTAGGTTATTCCCCCCACTGTTGTAATCTCTTCTAGTTATTCTTCAATAGTTACCTGGTAGAATCTGTTTCCTGTGCCAGCCTTGTGTTGGGCAATGGTGCTTTGGAAGTTAATGGACAGTCAGTGGGCATTGTGCCTGCTTATGGGAAGGGTGGTGCACCCTTCCTGTCCTACACTGTCTCCACCAGGGCCCACAGAAGCAGCACAGTTCATTGAGAAGCTCTAGCTTGAGAGAAGCTATAGGGTGACCAGATACCTGAGACTGGCAGGGGCAAGGTGACCTCAGAGATTCACCCTGCAGCCTGCTCTCACTCAAGTGTATATGAGAACCAAACCTTCTTCCCCAAATAACTAGGAACAGATATTCTGGAAACATCACCTGGAAAGAGGTAAATAGACAGGAGCAGAAATATCTGGAGGGAGACTAAATGCACATATTCCATACAAGGATAGACATGTAGTTCAAAAAAATGCTCATTGTGTGAGATTTCTCACTTTCCCACAATGACCTAATTGGTATTTAGAGCTTCTCTGTAGAGTCTTTATTTGAGTTCCCACCCAGAGCTTATGGGCTTGTTTCCGTGGTGTTTCCTAGAGAAAATGATTATCCATTTTCTTCACTACAAAACACTGAGCAGTGTAGTGACTAAGTGTAAGGGCTCTAGCGTTAGATTGCCTGGCGTTACCTCCACATTATTAATTTAGTTGCTATAAGAACTTGGGCAATTTACATAGCCTCTCTGAACCCCAATTTCCTCACCTATACATAGAATTAGTAAAGGTACCTACCCTATAACATTTGTAACAATTAAATTAGAGAATTAATGTAATTTGTAGAGTTGTTGACATATAATAAGTGTTCAGGAAATGATAACCTCTAATTATAATTATTATTTTTGTTTTTAAAGTACTAAGAATCTCTACCTTCTCCTATGGATAACAGTGGGGACTAATGTCCAGCTGTGTCCTTGATGCTGTGCTCATTAGAAGGAGCCGCAGGTTTTAGCTCAGTCATTCTGACCCTTGGCAACATATTAGTGTTGCCTAAAGACCCTGGCCCTGGGCCACTCCTAGACCAATTAAATCAAAACATATGAGGATGGTATCCAGACATCAGCATTTTCAAAGTTCTCCAGATGATCCTAATATGCAGCCATGGTTGAGAACAATTATGTTAGCTCCTTGCTACTCAAAGTGCAATCAGAGAACCAGCAGCTTTGGCATTACTTGGAAGCTTGTTAGAACCATTCAGTTTTGTTCCACCCTCATCCCAAATGGACTGAATTAGTCTGAATTTAACAGGATTCCCAGGCAATTCACATGAACATTAAAGTTTGAGATACAGACACCAGCTAAACATCTCCAGTAATACTCTTAAGCAATTGCTTTTAGCAGCAAGTAATCTCACAAGCAGCAAAATCTCCTGGTGATTTCTTTCAGCAGTTATCTGGTGAGCAGACCCTAAGAATGCATCCTGTCTTGCCTTTGGCACCTTCTCAGTTTGGAAACAATAGCTCACTTCCTCCTTTAGCTCTTAGCATCCCCGCTAGAGGGCACTTGTTCAAAGAGGAACTTGTTCAAAGACCTGTTGCATCTCATAAACAAAGCACGTACTGTTGTATTTCTAGTTGTTTCAACTTCTTTGCACTTTAGTTATTAAGGGTAGATATCCACTGGCACCCTTTGGCTCAGGGATAACTCACTTCTAGAAAAGGCATCTAAAGAATTGCTAGATATAGTCCAACATACCACCAGGCAGTCTCGGAATCAGGTAATTGATTACCTGATTCAGGTACCTGATTCATACAGGGAGAGGACCTCGTAACACATCCCATTTTTTTTTTCTGTGATCAGCCCTTAAGAATAGAAATAAATGGGTAAAAAATGTTCTCGAAACAGACCCAGACATCTCTGTTAGTAGGGGCTCAGTTATAATGCAGTAACAACCAACTCCCAAGACCTCATTTGCACCTTGAGTTTATTTGCTGCCAAGAAGGTTTGGCAGTGGGGCTTTGCTCATCATAGCCACTCAGGTTCCCAGGCTAACCAAGCTTCAACATGAGCCTTATCAATTTCTGAAGCAGTGAAAAGGAAATGACAGTGTCTCAATGAAAATAAAAAGGTTTTGTCTAGAAGTGATACATGTGGCTTTTGTGCTCGTTACATTGTCCTAGCAAGCTACAGGACTAACTTTAAAGAGTGAGAGGGACAGAATCCTTACTCTGTCCCTGTAAGGAAAGAGAATCAGATATAGATGGACATATTTCAATGGACTCCCATTTTCTGTTTCTTTTGAATTCTTTCTTACATTTAAAAAGAAATGCTGATATTTATACTGACACCACAATAAGTAAAGAACAATGGTTCAATTGGACATCTCTTTGTTTCCCTTTCTACCCTAATACTCATCATGTTGATATTTTCTAGTCTTTTAATTCTGTTATTACAAATACATTTCTTATTTTTCTTGGTCTTAGATATTTATTTTATAGATAACAAACTTTATCAGGTAAAATACATTAGGTATTATTCTGTCTTCTCATTCTCCCGGATTTTAATAATCTCTTATTTTAGTACTTCATCAAAAACTATTTTCAGTGAAGGTCTCAGCTGCTGATGCTTTGTATTTCTGAGAATATTTTTTATTATGCTCTGATCTTTGGATGACAGTTTGGACATATCATTCTAAGTTCAGATTTCTTTTCCTTTAATTCTTTGAAAAGACACGATAGTCTTCTTGCTTCCAGTTGTTTATTTTTTTGAATTCTGATAGAAATTTGCTGCTTCTTTCTTTTTTATGCAATCCGCCTTTTCTCTATCAACTTTTAGGATTTTTTGTTTGTCTTTGAGGTCCTAAATTGTACTGTAATTTGTCTAAGTGTGGCTTTTCCTTTATCATCTTCGTCTTTAAATGATCTCTTCAATCTGAGGGTCTGCATCTTATTTTTTTATTCCAGGAAATTTTCTCCATTATGCCTTCAAGTATTACCCCCTCCCCATTTTTATTTCTCCCTCTTTCTGAGATTTCTACTACCCAGATATAAGTACTGCTAAATTTAAAAAATACATATTTTTCTTTCTTTTGTTCCCTCCTTCAAGGAAATTCCCCAAATCTGATCTTTCAATTTATTAATTTGTTTCTTAACTGTATCCATTTTGTTGTATAGCCTGTTCAAGATGTCTTTTACTTCAGATATTGTGATTTTATACCTAATATTTGTGTTTGATCCTTTTTTATGTTTCTTTGTCCTTCTTTCATATTAGTGATGTGTCCCTAATCTCGTCTAGCATTGTTTTTTAGCTTAATTTTAAATTCTTGGTCCATCTGTTTTAATATTTCTGTTTCTGATGGAATTTGTGATCTAATATGTCATATTTGTTTTGAAATAGTTGTAGTTATCAAAAACTTTGTTATTTGGGCCTGTAAATTCATTTTTCTCCAAATTGGGAAATTTTTAAATGGGCTACTGTGTCAGGCAATGTGTCTAAGGAAGCCAAACCTCAGTCCCTCTCAAACACGATAAACTCAGAATGTGCATATTTGTGGAGGAGGTGGCGGGAATGAGCTCTCAGGTGAAGAGCCTCAGCCACCAGAAAAAAAGAAAAACAGCCAATTACTCATCACTCCACAAACAGTTGTTAAGGTCCTGGCTTCATCCTTTGCAGAGGAAACTCATTAGATTGTGTATTATTGGTTTTGAGGTTCAAGGAGGAAGTACCTGCACCAAGTTGATTAACCTACAGTTGTATTTTTTTGCTCCTCTCAAGCACAGGGGTTTTGTTTCCTGATTTTACCACTAGGGCAAAACATGATCCAGTGCAGGTAAGAAGGAAGGCATTGCTGGTCCCATAATAAAGACAGGGTAGAAGCAATAACAGAACTATAACAATTCCCGTGATTTTTGCTGTGACTAGCCCTGTCTGCCTGCCTCTCATCCAACACAATTAATTTAAACTTTCAGTGGGTCACCCCAGGGGCTTCTCACAGTTTTCTACGTTTCATAGTATTTTCCTTCATAGTTCCCTCTGTACTGATTTTGGAGATGGGAGGGCATCAGTTACTAATTCAGCAGCTTGGTTAGAATCTGATGTTAAAATGTAACTATTTTAGCTTTTAATATGTTACCTTTCTATACAGAGTCCCTAACTCTACATTTCTTCATTCTAAGTATTAATAGTAATCTGGAACTATAGCAACATAAAAATGAATACAAAGACAGTAACATTATTTAGATTAAGTAAAAGCTCAGAATTATTAATACAAAATAACCACTATCTACAAAATGATTATGTTTTTCCATCAACCAGATTTGCATTCCATTGAGCCTTAATGGAAAATAATAACTCATCCAAGGGAGCCAGGCAGACAAAAAAAGATTATAGAGAACAAGCAGAACTTAAATTTTAAAAGCACACTTTAAAGAATAGTGCACTTACAATTTGAACAATGAATAAATAATAATGGATTTGGATTAAAACCTAGAGAATAAAATAAATATTCATGACTCATATTTATATAAATAAATAACTAAATAAGTAAATAAGTGGGAGAGAAAGCACAAGTCTTCCTTACAAAAGAGTTCTAAATAATCCATGTGGACGAAATGCAAGCAATAGAAAGTCACTGCTAGAATACCACAGAGAAAAGTACTGCAGGCAAGATCCACTGATGGATGCTAAAATTAGTGGATGAAAATTTATGGAGACAGAGAATATTTATATAATCTCAAAGTATCTCCTTCAAAAATACATATTCACTGTAAGGGAAAAGTGGTAGCTTTATACTAGAGAAAACTGGCAGAAACCATCATAACTGAGTGATCAAGATTAATATATAAATATATATTTTTATAATATAAATAAATGTAAATATAAACATATAAATAATAAATAAATTAATCATCAGTAATAAGACGTATCGACATCATAGAACTCCTGATATGATGCAAAGAGAAACGTCTCTTACCTTTATGGTAATCTTCCTGATAACACATAATCTCAATCTAATCAGGAGAAAACAAACCCAAACAGAAGGACATTCTACATGAAGCATTCACGGAAGGACATTTATCTACATGATAAAATTGCCCAGGTCGTGAAAGACTCAAGTGTCACAGATTGAGGGAAACTAAGAAGACATGACAATTAAATGTAATGTAGGATCCTGGATTGAATCCTGGGATAGAGAAAGTACGTCGTGGAAAATTTGTGAAATTGAAATAAAGTCTATAGCTTAATTGACAGTATCGTAACAATTGTTTTGTGGTTACTTGCAGAGGGCACCATTGACCTCCATATTGAAATGATGATGCCATACACACCAAGAGGGTATGAAAAGGTTTATTACTCACAGAACAAGGCTTTCTAGGGAGAGCAAGGCCGGTGCCCAGATTGGTCTGAAATGGCTTGAGCAAAGGGAGGGGCAAATAGCTTTGATTTTATGATTGTTTGGGATGGGATTGGGGTGAGGGTTCTCCCACAAGGGCTAGGGTTTATATGCAGTTTTATCTCCCCATTGGTGTCAAAGAAAGGTATACTCTGACTTTCTTATTGGCATACACAGATGTTGAGTGAGAGGGAAAAAGGAAAGGGTAGGCTTGAAAGTTGTCAGGATAAGACATCAAAAAATGGAGTTAGACACTTCATGTCATCAGTACTAATTTCTTAGTATTGATAATTGCACTATGGTTATATAAGAAATAGCATTAGGGAAAGCTGGGTAAAGAAAAAACAGGAATTTTCTTTACTAGTTTTTCAACTCTTCTGTAAGTCTAAAGTTATCTCAAAATAAAAAAAAAACTTTTTAAAAGCCATTCCACTTAGAAGAATTATTATATTGCAATATGGACTAGGTTATTTTTATTTTTATTTTTATTTTAAGTTTTGGGGTATGTGTGCAGGATGTGCAGATTTGTTACATATGTAAACATGTGCCATGGTGGTTTGCTGCACCTATCAACCTGTCACCTGGGTATTAAGCACAGCATCCATTAGCTATTTTTCCTAATCCTCTCCCTTCCCCCACCACACCCCTGGACAGGCCCCAGTGTGTGTTGTTCCCCTCCCTGTGTTCGTGTGTTCATTCAGTTCCCACTTATAAGTGAGAAGATGCAGTGTTTGATTTTCTGTTCCTACGTTAGTTTGCTGAGGATAGAATGAGATCATGTCCTTTGCAGGGACATAAATGGAGCTGGAAGTCATTATCCTTAGATATATTTTTTAAAGAATTTTTGGTATAAAAATTTTAAGTTGAATGAAAACCCCAGAGACAGAAAAAATGAAAAGTAGGGAGCTACTTTTCTATCAGGGGGAACCAGCCCCCAGTATTTCAGTGTAGGTCCTTTCTATTTTCCCTAATTGTCAGCCGGTCTGAGAAATAAAGAGAATGAGTACAAAGAGAGGAATTTTACAGCTGGGTCTCCGGGGGTGACATCACATATCAGTAGGTCCGTGATGTCCCCTGAGCCGCAAAACCAGCAGGTTTTTATTAAGGACTTTAAAAGGGGAGGGAGTGTATGAACAGGGAGTAGGTTACAAAGATCACATGCTTTAAAGGGCAATAAATATCACAAGGCAAAGGGCAAAATTAGAATTACTGATGAGGGTCTATGTTCGGCTGTGCACATATGGTCTTGATAAACATCTTAAACAACAGAAAACAGGGTTCAAGAGCAGAGAACCAGTCTGACCTCAAATTCACCAGGGTGGGATCTTTTCCCCTCTCTAATAAGCCTGAGGGTACTGCAGGAGACCAGGGCGTATTTCAGTCCTTATCTCAACCGCATAAGACCGACACTCCCAGAGCAGCCATTTATAGACCCCCCCCCCCCCCCAGGAATGCATTCCTTCCCCAGGGTATTAATTATTAATATTCCTCGCTGGGAAAAGAATTCAGCAATATCTCTCCTACTTGCACGTCCATTTATAGGCCTCTGTAAAAAGAAAAATATGGCTGTATTCTTCCCAACCCTGCAGGCAGTCAGACCTTTGGTTGTCTTCCCTTGTTCCCTAAAATTGCTGTTATTTTGTTCGTTTTCAAAGTGCACTGATTTCATATTGTTCAAACACATGTTTTACAATCAATTTGTACAATAGTGGTCCTCAAGTGATGTACATTCTCAGCTTATGAAGATAACAGGATTAAGAAATTAGAGTAAAGACAGGCATAAGAAATTATGAGTATTAATTTTGGGAACTGATAAATGTCCATGAAATCTTCACAATTTATATTCAGAGATTGCAGTAAAGACAGGTGTAAGAAATTATAAAAGTATTAATTTTGGGAACTGCTAAATGTCCATGAAATCTTCACAATTTATGGTCCTCTGCCACAGCTCCAGCCAGTCCCTCTGTTCGGGGTCCCTGACTTCCCGCAACACCTATCGGCAATTGCTAACCCTCATGTATTAGTTTTCTACTGCTGCTGTAATATGTTACTGTAATATAGACTTAAAAAACACAAATTTATTATCTTACAGTTCTGTAGATCAGAAGTCTGACATGGGTCTCACTGAGCTAAAATCACGGTAGCCCATGGGCTGTGTCCTTCTGGAGGCTACAGGCGGGGAATCTGTTTCCTTGCCTTTTCCAGCTTCTAGAGGCTACACCCATTTCTTGGCTTATAGTCCCCTTCCTCCATCTTCAAAGCCAGCAATTCTCAGACCCTTGTTCTATCATCACATTTCTCTTGGACTCTCCCCACTTCTGTTTTTCTCTTCTACTTTTAAGGACCTTTGTGATTACATTGGCTAGGCCCACACAGATAATCCAGGATAATTTCCCATTTCAAGGTGAGCTAGTTAGCAACTTCAACACCATCTTCAATTTTAATTCCCCTTTTCCATGTGTCCTAAGGTATTCACAGGTTCTGGAGATTAGGATGTGAACATCGTTGGGCACCATTATTCTGCCTATCACACTTCATATTCAAACATGAGTTTTTAATGGTTGTGAGAGAAAAATAAGGCCTTCAGCCTATACAAGGCAGGGAGTTAGACTTGAGCCTCTGCATAAATCCAGTACCTTTAAACACCAGTACAGACTTAGCATAGTGAAAATGTGGGCTAGAAAAGTATCTGCCCCCTGGTATGTGGGGACTTTTTCAAGAAATTGTATATATTTTGACAATTTCTAACAGGAAAGTTACAAGAATTGTGCAAAAAATTCTCATATTCCCCAAATGTTAACATTATACCTTATTTGCATTTTCATTTATTTACATGATTGTATAATTTTTTTTCTGAGGTGTGTTTGAAAGTGTGTCATAGACATGATGCTCCTTTTCTACCAAAGTACTTTTAGTGTGTAACAAGGACATTCTTTTATTAAGCAGAGTACAATTATATAAATTAGGAAATTAATATTGTTACAATAGTCCTACCTAAATTACAGACATCATTAACTTTTCACTAATTGTCCCAAAATTGTCCTATATAGCAATCTGGATCTTGTGTTGCATACAGTTGTCATGGCTCTTCAGTCTTTTAAAATCTGAAATATTTTTTCAGTCTTCATCATTCATGACATTGACATTATTGAAGAATATAGGCCGTTAGTTCATAGCATTCCCTCATTTTGGATTTGTCTGATGTTTCTTCATGATTTGAATCAGATTGTGCATTTTTGGGTAGAAACAGCACAGAAGCGATGTTACAATCTACTCAGTGCATCATACTGTGGCACATGATGTTGATCTGTCCCATTACTATGTTAATTTTCATTGCATATAGTTTTCCATTTGAAATTCATAAGTATTTCATACAGAAATATTTTGAGAATATGTAAATATACTACTTAAATTTTGCCTAATAGTGTTAGCATCCATTGATGATTCTTCTTGGAATTAATTTTTATTTTTATTTTATTTTATTGAAAATTTTTATTTTTATGGTTGCCAACTGGGGATTTCTAATTCTATTATTCCTTCTACATTTATAAGTTGAGCATCTTCTACAAGAAAGGGCTTTCCAATTTTCCCCATTTATCAAATTATTAGTCAATTAATATCAGTATGGATTCATGGATTCTTAGATGGGCTATAATCCTTTACTATTGTTCAGTTTGATGCTCACGTCATTGCAGATTTGGATAGTAGGAATCACTTCAGGGTGCTCCTGTGTCAAAGGGCATTGTTTCATTAAAAATTACTGTTTGGGTCTGAAATTAGGGTGAAAAAAGTTTAAATACAATAGAAAATTCCTCCGAGAAGTACTAAACGGAGCTTTGTCCTCACTTAATACTGAGCTTTAAATTTATAATCCTAGTGTCAAAAAAAACCATCATATGACTTTAACTTCAAGTATGATCCTGGGTTGGTAGCATGTGGGGTTGCTGGTAGAAGCAAAATTATACCCATTCTAAAGAAACAAACCTCAACACTTTCAAGATTCTTACACTTACGAAGAACAGGGACATATGAATCCATAACTCCAAATTATAGAAGCACAAGAAGAACAAACACCAGAGCAAGAAATTACAGAAACAACCACCAATAGTATTAGAATCTCCTTCCCCACCTAGAACTGCAGATATTGAAATTATCAGCCACAGAGTAAAAAGTAGTATATCCCTTTATGTTTAAGGAAGTAAAAAAAATGATTAAGCAAAAAATTACCACCAACAATGCCAGATAACCTTGGAAAAGATCAAACTCCTAGTAATGAAAAAGAGTTGGAGTTATAATCTCAGTTGATAAATAAAAGACTAGGCACAGCTGAAAACAAATTAAGAAATTGGAAAAAAAATTATTAGGCAGCTCATATAGAAAAGGGCTTAGAAAATATGAGTGTTAAAGAGACCTGTAATTTATGATGACAAGTTCTAACATCTTATAATTAAATCAGAAAAATATAGTAGAAAATGAGGAAGAGATAATATTAGAATAAATTAAAAATGAGAAATAAAAAAATACATGATGGTGTGAATCCACAGGGTATGGAAGCAAAACAAAGCTTAAACAAGATAAACACGAATAAACCCAGATCCAGACAAATCACAGTGAAACTGAACACAAAGACAACGCAAAGATTAGAAAGGTGGCTGAAGAGCAAAAGAAATATTATCTGCAAAGGAATAATATAAATAATAGCTAATATTTATTAATTGCTTATATTAGGCATTGTTCTATTCACAATATTAACTTATTTCATCCTATAAACAACACAATGAAAGAAATATAGTGATTATTTTATTTTTTAAATATAATTTTATAATTATGAAACTGCTACCATGTTTGGATTCTTTTTGTCTTCAGTACTCTAATACTCCACAATGATACTTCTAGGTGTAGGATTATTTTCATCCATTTTACTGGACACTCAGTTAATTCTTTCAAAAATGGAGATTTCTGTCCTTCAAGACTTGTGGATTTTAAAAAATTATTTAATTGTTTATTTCCTGTCCTCTATTTCTGTTTCCTATTTTTGACACACCTATAATTTAAACCTTGGAGTTCCTGGATGTATTCTCTAAATTTTTTGTGGGATATTTTACAATGAAATATTCTATATAATTTAAAGTGACACTTATCAACATGGACAAATCTTACAAACACATAGTTAAGTGGAAAATGTAAGTGACAAAGAAAGTATAAAATTAAAATAAAACAAAACAATTTCTATAACATCCAAACAAAAAATAATTTTGTGTGTATGTATACACATACACATATACATGTATATTGATACATAGGTGCAAAAGAATAAAGTTATTTGTTAAGAATAAAAATTATCAAATATTAGAATTAGTATTACTTTGGGGGGAGAGTAAGTAAGAGGATGAAATTGGAGAAGAGTACAAAGAAATGTCCAAGATTACTGATATTTTATTTCCTAACTCATGATTGTTACATGAATGTTTAAAATGTTTTATGTATTTTTGTATGTTTAAAGTATTTTAAAATAATTTTAAAAGCACTTAAGGAGATTCAAGTTAAGCCTAAGCAAATTTTTGTGAGTCCTCTAAATGATTCGTGATTTCTCAACTAAGAAATACACTTTATGAGTTAAAGGGTAGTCAACTCTTGCCATTTGAATTTGTTCCCTGGAAGACCAAGTTTATGAAATATTCTCAAATATATTGCAAAAATACAAAGAGATAAAAATTATTCACAGACAGATAAGGAATTTGAGGGATTGATCTAGAGAAATGGATATGTACATAATAACAATGCTAGAGTAGAAAAAAGAATGGAAGCAAAATTTAAACAAACATTAAGCTAAAGACAAAGAAACTGAAAGAGCTAATTGAGTTCTAGTTGATTGAGAAGGAAAGACGTAACTAGGCATTTCCTGCTTGCCATAACTTTTTGAAAGTAAGGTTCTTAAGGATAGAGAAACAAATCCTATGAGCTTCTTGACAAAAAAGAACACATTACTTACAAAGAAAAAATAAAATGAGTATAAAAATATGTAAGGTTTATTAATTTTACTAGCCAAGTGTTATATATCCCTATATAATCATATTTTATCAAAATGTCTAAATTTCTGATTTTTAATGTGTGTGTTATATTTTTGGTGCATACCAGTTTATGATAGTTATAAATAATGATTTATAGCATCACAAAACGTCCTTTAATGTTTTGAACTTTACACCTTATCTAAAGTTAATATTGCCATTCCTGCTTTCTTTCTTTTTAATCATTAAAAAATCATAAAAATTTTAATTCAGAGATAGAGCTCAACATTAACAAGGATTAGTTATATGTTATCATCGTTATTTCAGGTCACCAAATGGTTTCACTTAACCCTTTCTGGGCATATAGTAGATTGCTTTTGCTGGCTTCCCTGTGGTTGGGTGAAGCCATGTGACCAGTTGAGTTGTAACAGAATGTGACATTTTCACTTTCAATTCCAATCAGAATTCATTGACAGCAAAACCTCCAGCGCTCTCTTTCTCCTCTTAAATGTGCCTGACAGCATCCAAGTGATGGATACAGTCCAGGCCTTGGAGAGAGATGACAGAGAGATGACACAAAGTAGTCTGCAGCTGATGATGGACAAGTAGCAAGAGTAATCTTAAAGTTTATGAGGAAGAATAAAATTTCAAAAATAAAGCATAAATGTGAAAAAGAAGAGGAACTGAAGATAATCTAAAGCCCTTAAACTCAAATAATGATATTTGGCATTGATAAGGGAACAGAAAACACCCTCAGAAATATGTAGACACTCAGTATGGTCATGTGTCATTTAATGATGGGGATACATTCTGAGAAACATCTCATTAGGTGATTGCATCATTGTGTGCACATCATAAAGTAGACATCCACAAACCTGGAATGGTATAGCCTATTACACATCTTGGCTACATGGTATGGCCTATTGCTCCTAGGCTAGAAACCTGTAGAGTATGTTACTGTACTCAATACTATAGGCAATTGTAACATAAGATAAGTATTTGTGTGTCTAAACATAGAAAAAGTACAGTAAAAATACAGTATAAAAGATTGAAAATGGCATACCTTTATAAGGCCCTTACCATGAATGGGGTTTGCAGGACTGGAAATTGCTCTGGGTGAGTTAGTTGAGTGGTGAGTGACTGTGAAGGCCTAGAACATTACTATACACTACTGAAGACTTTATATAGGCTACACTAATTTTTTAAAAAATTTTCTTTCTCCAATAATAAGTTAACCTTAGCCTACTATAACTTCCCTACTTTATAAACCTTTTAATTTTTTAAAACTTTTTGACTCTTGTAACACTTAGCTTAAATTTTTAAAACTTTTTGACTCTTTTAACACTTAGCTTAAAACACAAACACATTATACAGCTGTACAAAATTATTTTATTTATATCCTTATTCTATAAGCTTTTTTCTAATTTATATATTTTAAGTTTTCTGTTACTTTTCAAATATTTCAGTTATAAACTAAGACACAAACACACACATTAGCCTACGCCTGTTTAGGGTCAGGATAATCAATATCACTGTCTTCCCCTCCACATCCTGTCCCACTGGAAGGTCTTCAGGGGCAGTAACACGCATGGAGTTGTCATCTCCTAGGATAGCAATACCTTCTTCTGGAATGCTTCCCAAAGGACCTGCCTGAGGCTATTTTACATTTAACATTTTTGTTATGACATTCTAAAATAACAATTAAAAGTATGGTAAATACATAAACCAGTAACAGTCATTTATTGTCATTATCAAGTATTACGTGCTGTTCATAATTGTATTGCTATACTTGTATACGACTTGCAGCTCAGTAGGTTTGTTTACACCAGCATCATCACAAACATGTAAGTAGTGTGTTGCGCTATGATGTTTTGCTGACTACAGTGTCATTAGGCAATAGGAATTGTTCAGCTCCATTATAATTATATGGGACCACCCAACAACGTGTTTCATCATTGATTGACATTTTATGTGGCATATTGACTGTTTTCACTGTAGTAATGCAAATGGTGGTAAATCAATAGATAACTTACTAAATGATGGTAGCATAACTATCTATATGGAAGAAAATCATGGTATATCCTTATAGAATACAATATGTAAAAAATATGTTTCCAATAGGGTAAGAATTTGAATGAAACAATAAAACAAATAAAAAATGCTTACAATAAAATTTAGGAGGCTAAAAATATAATCCAGGGGCGGGAAAGATCCTCTTAACTAATACCAGAAACCCACAAACTAGAAGGAAAAATACAGACAAATTTGACTATGCATGAAAGTTTTAGTGTAGTAAAAAATATTATAAACAATGTAGTCTAAAGATAATATACTTGCAAAAATAGTTGTAGTATCTATGACAGTAGAGGGTTAATATCTATACTATATAATATGCTTATTATCATAGCATTTTCTGTTTTCTATCTTTTGTCCACTTTTCTGTATTATATTGTCTCGGGGTATTATACGTTAACTTGTAACACATAATACAGTCCAAATGGCCAATTTGTATATATGTATTTGTGTGTGTCACGCACAAACACACACACACGAGAAAAATGCTAAGTCAGAAAATCTAAAGTAACAGCAAGCTATCATTTTTTACTCATCAAAATATAAAGATATAAATATGTAATAAAACTGCTATTAGGGATTTGGAAGAAAGGTATGTTCTTTAATTACTGAGGAAACTGTGAATTGTAATGTCTTTTTTGAAAGCCATCAGGCAATATAGGTTTTGATCCAGCAATCCCACTCCTGGGATTCTATATTATGATAATCAAGTAACCAGTAGATAAAGAAATAGATATGTACAAGAATGTTTATTGCAGCATTGTTCATAGTGACAAAAAATGGAAAACAAAGTGAATGTCAATAAATGGTTGAATAATTACCACACATTCCATTTAATCACATTATTAAATATGATATATGATATAGCCATTAAATACATAGAACTCGTAGAACTATATGAGTTGGGAGAATGCTCCATGAGTTACTGGTGAGTGAGAAAAGCAACATGTAAGAAAGCATACATAATGTGATCCAATTTTTTTAAAAAACAATGACAAGTAAAACCACTATATCCATATACAGTATATAGAAGAAAATATGGAAAAGTGTGTTATTAATGTGGATTATGGAGATGGGAGGAGCTCACAGGGAACGAGAAAGGAATAAGCAAAAAGGGAAGATTAATGCCAGAAAAGGTGGGGTCAGCACTAAAATGTATATTCAACACCATGATAAATATACTTAATGTAAAATTTTAGATATGTGTGTACATGTTTCAAGATATTAACAAACTTCATAAAATGAAATGTAATAAGAAGAGAAATTCTAAATATTATACTTATAGGAAGGAATAAAAACATTTTACACCACAGTTCCTTCTAGCACTTTCATACATAATAATAAGACTTATAACCCACCCTTCCAAGTACATATACTTGTGTAATGTGTTTTAAATCCCTTTGCTCCAATACACAAACTGAAGAACCTTAGGTAAATTATTTAACCTCTCTGAATGTAAATATTCTTATTAAATTGAAGCTAAAAATATCTACCTTACAAAAATGTGATGCAGAGCAACAGAAAATATTTATAGCAGCACCTCCCCAGCATGTGGCTGGCACCTAGAGAAGTGAAATAACATTTGAAGAATAAATTAGCCACTGGAAAATTTTAATGTTGACTTTTCATTTTCCCAGCCACCTGTTTCTTACTCAAAGACTTCAAATTTTAAAAGGAAGAGAGGGATATTTCAAATTAGATAGTGATAAGGAAATAAATCATGCTTATAACAAGCCTCTTAAGGGATCAAATGGTTTTAGAACCTTTAGGCAGGAACCTTTAGATCCTATGACCTATGACCTAGAGTCACCAATATAATACTAATATTACTAAAGTTAAGTATTTTTCAAATACAAGATTTCAACTCAAATTAATACGGCTTTTTTCTTTGCTCTTTATCCCTCAGTCTATTTCAAAGATGAGGGAATATGTTTTTGTACAAAGAGACAGACAATTAGGAAGCTAAACTGAATAGCTACAACATAAGGTAACATAAAATTATGGAAACCCTGAATTGCCACCAAAAATAATAAAAAAAACTCATCTCTTTACTGGAAGATTTTGTAGTTTTGTAGAGATACTCTGAACATTTACAACTGTCTTATACAGCCATAGTAAAATATACATTCTGTTTATTTGGAAAAGCATTTGTGTCTCCCAAAAGCCTGCAATTAACATCCCTCTTCTTTCTCTTACCAATTTCTTACTTCATTCTTGTTTCTTTACTTTATTACCATACATAAAGAAACATAAGCTTTCTTCTTAGCACATATCTTCCCAATGCTTACATTGTTACAGTGTTGCTTTATTGAATTATTATTAATCTTCCACTGCTATTATACACAAGCATTCAACCTCAACCTGTTTTCCCTAGAAAAAAACATATAAGGTGTGAAATCTTTGCTTCACTCACATTGGCATTCTGGAGTCTAAAGTAGATCAAATTCAGTGGAATAATAATGTCATGCATCAATGTCTTTTCTTCCTATTTTGCACCAACATAATGAATTCTCAGAAATCAGAGCTGTCACAATTATATGAAAAGAGACATGAGTATAGCTTTTACCTACTAAACAACTCTCATTTTATTAAAAGCCTATGACTAGAGATGAAAATAAAATAAAAAGCCGAAAAAAGATAATCATAAAATAAGCATATTCTTGCTATTCAAAACTTGAAATAAGAACATAACAGAAATCTAAGATGGCAGATAAATACATATCACTTAAATACAATTTAATATACTAACTCTAGTTTACTTTTATTAGACTTTCAGAGTGTCACAGGTCACGACTATCTAGTGCCAGTATCATGCAGGTGATAAGAAGAATTTACCAAGACAAGGGCAGATTTATTAGAGAAAGTATGAAAATACACTGCAAGAGTGCAACAGGCAGGACAGCAAGAAAGGAGCTGACTGCAATGAGACAGAGGCTTGCTGGAGATGTTTATAGGATGACGCTTGTGCTATGTGCTGAAAAGGGCTTTGTGCAGTACTGGTAACACCAAGGCTGCAGTGAGCTAACTTGTATTTTTCTATCAGCCAAGAGTCTAGTAATAGCTGGGTGCAGGAAGATGTGTCCTGGACCATGAAAAAGGCAGACTTTATAACTTATCTGTTTTTTCTTTCACTTTCCCCTGCTCCTACTGGCCTGACTTCTTTTCCCTAATTAGGACTCCACACAGAGGTCCAAATTTTATTTATTGATTTAGAAATTTTATTAATTAATTCCTTTAAGTCCAATTCTATTTAGACTTTCCTTCTCTGCTGTATCCTTTTTCTACACTGTGGAAGGCCATTTATCCAGAGCGTCACAATGCCCTCCACTGCTGGTAGATTTTACATTTAAGGATAACACTGATAAATGAAGGTGATACATATTAAAAATGAGTTTCTAGGTTTCCAACAAATAAAAAAGAGTATACCTTCTGTTAAAGGTTGAGTTGTATCTCCCAAAAAGATATGTTGAAGCCTTAACACCCGGTACCTGTGAATATGACCTGAGCTGGAAATAGGGTCTTTGCAGATGTAATCGAGTTAAGATGGAGGTTCATTATATTGAGTTAAGATGGGCCCTGATTCAATGACTAGTGTTCTTAAAATGGAGAAAATTTGGACACAGAGACACACAAGGAAGAACACCATGGAATTATGGAGGTAGAGATTAGAATGATGCATCTACCAGCCAAGAAATGCCAAGCATTGCTGGAAACCTCCAGAAGGTAGAAGAGGCAAGAAAGAATTCAACTCCTATGGCCTTCAGAGGGAGCATGGTCCAGCATAGCCTCCAGACCTGTGATATATTTGTATTATTTTAAGCTACCTAGTTTGTGGTGCTTTGTTACGGCAGCCTAGGAAACTCATATATCTACTAACTTACTCGTTTCAAGCAATATTGCCAGGAAGAGCTGATACAGACAGGGCTTCTAACCAACAACAAACATAAAAATATTGGAAAATTTTTTAAAAGAAAAATCAATATATAGCTAAACTTCAAAGAAAGAAAAGAAAGTCCTCAGGAGCAAGAAAGGAATAGGGAATTCAGGCCAGAAATGAACCTTAAGAGCTTTTAAAATTATTTTTAAATATTTTAAACATATAAAAATACACAAAACATATTAAACATTCATGTACCAATCATGGATTAAGAAATAAAATATCAGTAATCTTGGAATTTCTTTGTACTCTTCTCCAATTTCATCCTCCTACTTACTCTCCTCCCAAAGTAATAATAATTCTAATATTTGATAATTTTTATTCTTAACAAATAGCTTCATTCTTTTGTGCGTATGCATCAATATACATGCATATGTGTATACATACACACATAATTTCGTTTTGTTTGGATTTTCTAAAAATTGTTTTGTTTTAATTTTATACTTTCTTTGTCACTTACTTTTCCCACTTAACTATGAAAGATTTGTCCATGTTGATAAATGTCACTTTAAATTATATAGAATATTTCATTGTAAAATATCCTACAAAAGATTAGAGAATACATCCAGGAACTCCAAGGTTTAAAGTGTAAGTGTGCCAAAAATAGGAAACAGAAATAGAAGAGAGGAAATAAACATTCACTGCCCCAGGGCTTTCCAATCAGTAGGTGGCAGTCAGTAAGCCAGGTTTGTGTTCTTCCTTTCAGGGTAGCAAGTTCCCCCAGACCCTGAGCAGGTCCAGAGATGCTGTTTGGGAGCAAACACCATAAGGCTGGAGTCAAAAAACCTTATAAATGTACCTAGTGTTCTATTTTACTGCTGCTATGCTGGCATCTGGCATGCAGACCACAAGACAAAGTCCTTTCCGCTCTTCCATTCCCTTTTGACAGACAGAGGAGCCCCTCCCCATGGCCATCACCACTGCTGGCCCACAGGGGGTTCTACCAGGCCACCCCAATGTTCACTTAAGGCCCAAGGGCTCTTCAGTCAGCTTGTGGTGAGTGCTGCTTGGCCTGGGACTCACCCTTCAGGGCAGTGGGCTCTCCTCTGGCCCAGGAAAGGTCCAGACATGCTGTCCAAGAGCCCAGGCCTGGACTTGGGGACCCCAAGAGCCCACTTGGTGCTCTGCTGCACTGTGGCTAAGCTGGTACCTGAAACCAGCATGGCTCAGGGTTTCATCCAAGGCCAATGGTGTACTATCTGGGTATCACTGCTGGTTATTCAGGGCCTAAGGGCTCTTTAGTCAGCACGTGAGTAATCCTTCCAAGACTGGATTTTTCCCTTCAAGGTAGCTGTTTCCTTTCTGGCACAGGGTGTGTCTAGAAATGTCATCTGGGAGCCAGGGTGTGGAACTGAGGCCTCATGACTCTGCCTGGTGCCCTAGTCTACTGTGTCTGAGCTGGTATCCAGGATGCAAGACAAAGTCCTCTTTACTATTCTCTCTCCTCTCCTCAAGCAAAAGGAAGGTGTCATTTTTGTTGCTGCAAGCTGCGCTGCCTGGGGTTGTGGGAAAGGCAGTATAAGCATTCCCTTTCCTGTGACATCTGTTGTCACACTAGGTAACTCACTGCCCCAGTCCACTTGTCTAAGCCCAGCACAACATCAGGACTTGCCTAAGAATTGCAGTCCTTGTATCCTAGACTGCTTTTCAAATTTACTTATGACCCCAGAGTACTTTAAACCACAGTGGCAAGGCTTGCCAGAACTGAAGTTCCAACTGCTGGTATGGGCACTTCCCCTTTGCCTAGGTCTGGTCCAAATGCTCCCTTGTGAGAAGGTCCCAGCTGAGTTGAGCATGGTTTTGTTTTCAACTATGACAGAGCAGCACTGAATTCAATGCAAAGTCCCCCATCACTGTGCTCTCCTTCCCCTAAGTACAGATTCTCCGTGCCACGTGGCCACTACTAAGGAAGTGGGGAGGAATGGCATCAGCAATTCAAGAGTGTCTTTTCTACTCTTTTCAGTGCCTCTTTCAGAGATATAAAGTTAAAATTAAGTACTGTGATTGCTCTTCTGATTTTTGGTTCTTAAGAAGATGCTTTTTTGTGTGTGCAAATAGTTGTTAAAATGTGTTTCTGCAGAGATAATCAGTAGTGGAGTCTTGGCTATGGTAAATGTGATTGCATTCTTGATTTGGCTCTCAGCTTGAATGTTATAGGTTTATAGGAATGCTACTGATTTTTGTACATTGATTTTGTATTCTGAAACTTTACTGAAGTTATCAGTTCCAGGAGCCTTACAGTAGAGTCTTTAGCGTTTTCTAGGTATAGAATCATATTGTTAGTGAAGAGAGATAGTTTGACTTCTTACTTAACTATTTAGATGCCTTTTATTTCTTTCTTTTCCTAATTGCTTTGGCAAGAACTTCCAGTACTATGTTGAATAAGAGCAGTGAGACTGGGCATCCTTGTCTTGTTCCAGTTCTCAAGGAGACTGCTCCCAATTTTTAGCTATTCAGTATAATGTTGGCTGTGAATTTGTCACAGAGGGCTCTTACTATTTTGAGGTACGTTCCTTTGATGCCTAGTTTCTTGAGGGTTTTTATCATAAAAGGATGTCGAATATCATCAAAAGTTTTTTCCACATCTATTGAAATGATCATATGGTTTTTTGTTTTTAATTCTATTCATTCGGTAAATCACATTTATTGATTTGTGTATGTTGAACCAACCTTGCATCACAGGAATGAAGCCTAGGTGATCATAGTGAATTAACTTTTTGATGTGCTACTGGATTCATTTTGCTAAGGATATTTGCGTCTGTGTTCATGAGAGATATTGGTCTTCAGTTTTCTTTTTTCATTGTGTCTTTGCCAGGCTTTAACAAAATGGAGATGCTGGTTTGGTAGAATGAGTTACAGAGGAGTCCCTCCCCTTCGATTTTTTTTTTGAGGGGGGCGCGGATAGTTTCAGTAGAATTGGTACCAGCTCTACTTTGTACATCTGTTAGAATTCAACTATAAATCTGTCTGATTCAGAACTTGTTTTTGGTTGGTAGGGTCTTTTTTGTGTTTTGTTTGTTTGTTTGTTTGTTTGTTTGTTTGAGATGGAGTCTTGCTGTCTCGTCCAGGCTGGAGTGCAGTGGCGCGATCTCGGCTCACTGCAAGCTCCGCCTGCCGGGTTCACGCCATTCTCCTGCCTCAGCCTCCCGAGTCGCTGGGACTACAGGCACCCGCCACCACGCCCGGCTAATTGTTTGTATTTTCAGTAGAGACGGGGTTTCACCGTGTTAGCCAGGATGGTCTCGATCTCCTGACCTCGTAATCTGCCCACCTCACCCTCCCAAAGTGTTGGGATTACAGGCTTGAGCCACCGAACCCGGCCTTTGGTAGGTTTATTACTGATTCAATTTTGTAACTCGATATTGGTCTATTCACGGTTTTGATTTTTTGCTGATTCTATCTTGGAAGATGGTATGTTTCCAGGAATTTATCCATTTCCTCTAGGCTTTCTAGTTTGTGTGCATAGCAGTGTTTGTAATAGTCTCTGAGGATCATCTGTATTTCTGTGGGATCAGTTGTAATGCCATCTTTTTCATTTCTAATTGTTCTTATTTGGATCTTCTCTCCTCTTTCTTTTTTAACCTAGCTAATAGCTTAACAATCTTGTTTATACTTTCAAAAACAAACTTTTGATTTTGTTGATTCTTTGTATGAAATTTTAGGTCTCAATTTTGTTCAGTTGTGCTCTTTTAGTTTTCTTCTGCTAGCTTTCAGGTTAGTTTGCTCTTGTTTCTCTAGTTCCTCTAGGTGGGATGTTAGATAATTAATTTGAAATCTTTCTAACTTTTCAAGTTAGGTGTTTAGTGCTATAAACTTTCTTCTTAACACTACTTTTGCTGCATCCCAGAGTTTTGGTATGTTGTGTCTCTGCTTTTATTTCATGAAAGAATTTTTTTAATTTCTTCCCTAATTTTGTTGTTTACCCAAAAGTCATTCAGGATTATGTCGTTTAATTTCCATGTAATTGTATAGTTTTGAGAGTTTTTTGGTATTTATTTCTACTTTTATACCACTGTGTTTTGATAGCATGGTTGATATGATTTACTCTTTTTTTCAACTCAATAGGACTTGCTTTATAGCTGAGCATGTGGTTGATCTTGGAGTATGTTCTGTATGCAGAAGAGAAGAATGTATACCCTGTGGTTGGTGAGTGGATTGTTCTACAGAGGTCTATTAAGTCAAATTGGTCAAGTGTCAAATTTATGTTCAGAATTTCTGTGTTAGTTTTCTGCCTCAATGGTCTAATGCTGTTGCTGAGGTTTTTAAGTCCCCTACTATTATTGTGTTGCTAAGTCTTTTTGTAAGTTTAGAAGTTCTTGTTTTTTGAATCTGTATGTTCCAGTGTTGGGCGCATATATATTTAGGTTAATTAAGTCTCATTGCATTGAACCCTTTAGCATTATGTAATGGCATTTCTTGTTCTTTTTTACTGTTGTTGGTTTAAAGTCTGTTTTATCTGATGTAAGAGTAGTGACCTCTGTTCTTTTTTGCATTCTGTTTTTGTAATAGATATTTCTCCAATCCTTTACTTCTGGCCTATGGGTGTCATTACGTGTCAAGTGGGTCTCTTGAAGATAGCAGATGGATGGTCTTTTTTTAAAATTCGATTTGCTATTCTGTGCCTTTTAAGTATGATATTCAGACCACTTACATTCAAGGTTAATATTGATATGTGAGGCTTTGATCATATCATGAAGTTGTTAGTTCGTTGCTTTGTAGTTTCTATTGTGTGGTTGCTTTATAGGGTCTTTGAACTATGTAATTAAGTGGGTTTGTGTGGCAGCATGCTTTTGTTTCTAAATTTACGACTCCCTTGAATATCTCTTGTAAGGTTTGTCTAGCAGTAATAAATTCCCTTAGTATTTGTTTGTCAGAAAAAGATTTTATATCTCCTTCACTTATGAAGTTTATTTTGGTAAGATATGAAATTATTGGTTGGAATTCCTTTTCTTTAAGAATGCTGAAACTAAGCTTCCAATATCTCCTGGTTTGTGAGGTTTCTGCTGAGAAGTCCACTCTTAGCCTGATGGGGTTCCCTTTGTACATGATCTGATATTTTTCTTTAGCTGCTTTTAAGAGTTTTTTTCTTTAGCATTGATCTTCTGCAGTCCAGTGACTATTTTCCTTGGTGATGTTCATTTTGTACAGTATCTGAAAGACGTTCTATGAATTTCTTATATCTGGATGTCTACCTCTCTAACAAGATTAGGAAAATTTTCTTGAATTATTTCCTCAAGTATGTTTTTTAGGTTGTTTTCTTTTTCTCCATCCCTCTAATGAATTCCAATAATTCATAGGTTTGGTCACTTTACATAATCTCATATTTCTTGAAGACTTTGTGTTTTAAAATTCTTTTGCCTTTTTTTTTTTTTTTTTTTTTTTTGTCTGACTGGGCTAATTCAAAAGACTGGCCTTCAAGCTCTGAAATTCTTTCTTCTGCTTGATCCAGTCTATTGGTAAAGATTTACATTGTATTTTGAAATTCCTTAAGTAAGTTCTTCAATTCCAGAAGCTCTGATTGTTTTCTTTTTAAGATGTTTATCTCTTCTTTTATTTCCTGAATTGCTTTAGAAGTTGTTACTTCATGTTGATTTTCAACCTTGTCTTGGATCTCATTGAGCTTCCTTGCAATTTATGCTTTGAATTCTTATCTGTCATTTCTGGGTATCCACTTTGGTTAGGGAACATTGCTGGAAAGTTAGTGTGATCCTTTGATGATGTCACTACATTCATGTTTTTAATGGTGCCAAAATTCTTACACTGGTCCCTTCTTATTTGGAGACATTGTGGCACTTCTAATTATTGTAATTATTTTCATGTGGGTAAGATTTTTTCTTTTTCTTTCTTTCCCTATAATATTTTTGATATTTTTGGTGGTGTTGTTCTTTCCTTTTCCCTGCTCCAGATAGAGTGTGACTTTAGAGAATGCTGTAGGACTTTGGTTTTGCTTTTCCCTATGCACTTCTGTCCTTGGGTTTTACATTGGGCTGTGCAGTTTGTCCTACAGGCCAGTAGGTGGCCCTTAGGAGTAAGAGCCGGCTGTGGCCAATGCAGCTGGGTATATACTTGATTACTGTTTACTGGGAGATCTCTTGCCTCAGGCAATGGATTGATTCATGAAGTGCACAGTACTCTGAGCTCCCTCCTCATCTCCAGAGAGCTGGAGGGCAAGATGAGCAGGGACAGACTGGGTAGGTCCCCCTACAGGTCCCCTGATGGGAGGCACAGGCAACAGCCCTGAGGGAGAACCCAGAGATGTGCCTAGTTGTGGAGCTGGGAAACCTCCTTGACCCAAGCTCTCTGCATGAGGATGGGGGGCAGCCTAAACTCTTACTCCAAGAGAGTGGGTGCTCCAGAAGCTTGGAGATCTGCCTGGGTGTGGAGTAGAGAGAGCCCCCCTGTACCAGGATCTCTGAACAGGAAGGGTGGAGTGACTCAGGCTGCTATTCCAAATGAGCAGGTCCTTCAGATGCCTGGAGATCTTCTTGAGCATGAAGCAGAAAGAGACCCCCTGCACCTGTGTCTCTGCACAGGAAGGGTGGGCCATCTCAGGCTGCCAATCCAGGCAAGCAGGTGCTTTACATGCTTGGAGATCTACTCACCTGGAACAGAGGGGGCCTCGATATGCCATGACCTACGCCGGGAAGGGTGCTTATGCTGCTGTTCCAGGCAAGCAGTTGCTCCCAATGCCTGGAGATCTGCCTGGGCATGAAGCAGAGTGTCCTCCCACCCCATACCTGTTATCTGCACAAGAGGGTGGGCGGCTCAGTCTGCCAATCCAGGCAAGCAGGTGCTTTGAATGCCTAAAGATCTGCTTGGATGTGGAGTAGAGAGGGCCTCACTGCACTATGATCTATGTTGAGGGAGGGTGGGGCAGCTTAGGCTGCTAAACCAGATGAGTGGGTGGTCTGAATGCCTAGAAATCTGTCTGGGCATGAAGCAGAGAGGGCTTTCCTGTACAGAAGCTCTGTGCAAAAAGATTGAGTCAACTCAGGCTGCTAGACCATGCAAGCCAGTGCTCCAAATGCCTGGAGATCTACCTCCCTGTGGAGAAGAGAGGGCCCCCCTGGTCCATAACCTATGTACAGGAAGGGTGGGACAGCTCAGGCTACTGATCCAGGCAAGGAGGTGCTCTGAATACCTGGAGATCTGCCTGGGCATAGAGCAAAGATGGCCCCACTGCACCACAATCTATGTCTATGAAAAGACGGGCAGCCCAAGCTGCTGGTCCAGGCTGGCAGGTACTCCAAATGCCTGTATTTCTGCCTGGAGGTGAAGTGGAGTGGGTCCTGCTGCACCACGACCTTAGGGGAGCAGCCTGGGGAACCCAGCAATGACACACACAGACTGGTTCCAGGTGACCTGGAACTGCACATCTGGCCCTGGCTGCACATCTCATCTAGGAAAAACTGCTGCTGTAGCAGCTCTCCTCCCACCCCAGGCTTATGACAGGGAGAGCACAATTCCACAACCTACCGCTGAGGCACTTTCCACAGTTCTGTCTATGGAGGCCCCTACCACACTCCAGAGCAGACATTCCAATCTCTGGCCCAAGACAAATGTCTGCGTGGCCATACTGCTGAGGCACCAAAGAATGGCTGACTTTGTATCAGCCTGGATTAAAAGTGGCCTTCTGCTTTTGGTCCTAAATCTTGGAAATTGCCTGTAGCTTTTCCTGGTGTGTTTCCCTCACAGCATTTCCAAGCCTCTCCCCAAGTTAGCTTCAAGACTTGGGAGAAATGAAGTGTTCTCCCTTGGCCTAGGTCACTCAGCTCTCCCTGTAAGTCACAGAGGGAGGTTCTCTGCCTCTTTTGCATATGGGGGCTTCACTCACTTCACTCACTCCTCCCCGGGATCTGGGATGTCCTTCATAATTCTGGTGGGTTCCTACATTCCTTCTTGAATTAAAGCTTAGGGAGTTTATCTTTATGCACTATCTTGCTATTTCCAAGTGGCTGAGGCACACTAAAAGCCTCTAATCTGCCATCTTGAAAAAATAAAACAAACTAATCTTTGATCTTGATGCTGTGATTGGGTAAGACTTGTGTTGTCTTCCTTGGACAGGGAAGTAAGTATATTTTGCCTGTGGAGGGAAGGGAAGTGAATATTTGTGACAAAAAAAAACTTGGACTGAAGTCAACTGCATTATTGTTCTCAAATATTCACACTCCACTCTTTACTCCTATGAGTGGAATAACTGCCTTGCTTCACTGATGTTGGTCTTACCTGCGGGACTCACTTTGGCTTACAGAATGGGATCAGATGTTGGTCTTACCTACAGGACTCACTTTTGGCTTACAGAATGGGATCAGAGGTTCAACTCAGCATTTCCGGCTCTTCTTCTTTGCTGTAAAATAGGGATGTCCCACACAGGAACTCTTCCTGCAATCTGGTGCCAGAATGAAACACACCCCTCAGGCATGAGCTGAGGCACCACTAACCTAGAGCCTTCATTTCACGAGAATGTGAAATAAATATTTGGGGTTTTAAACTACTGAGATTTGGGTGGCCTTATTAACCCAGCATAACCTATCAGAGCTGGTTAATACAATCAGTTCTAAAATCAATTTGGCAACATCTAGTTAATTTGAAGATGTACATAGTTTATAATCTACTAATTCCACTTACAGTTATATACTCTAGAAAAACTTTTATACATGGGCACAAAAAGATATACACAAGGTTGTTATTGAAATGTTTGCAAGAACTAAACATGTAAATAATCTAAATATCTATCAATAAGAAGTATATACATTTAGTATATACATGGGATACTATACAAAATTTTAAATGATTAAATTGGGTATAATAAAATTAATACCAATATTTAAAGCAATGTGTAAAAAAATCATGTTGCCAAAGTATAGGTGTGATACCACTTGTAGTAAAGTTGTAAACACAAAAAAGTTATAAATATTATTGAAATACACACACAAGTTATATATATTATTGAAATACACACACACACACACACACACACACACACATATATATAGGAAACATAAATGGCAAGGGCATACCAAACTCAAGACAGTAGTTGCCTTTGCAGAGAGAAGGATAAATGAGATCAGGAAAGGATTTAAAGAAGACTTCAAATATGTCAATTTTCTCTTTCATATATCCGAAATCCCAATTGGCAAAATGTCAACACTCGTTAAATCCAGGTGTGTGGTAGCTATTTTTTCTGATTATTTCTATATGTTCCATTAGAACAATCTTTGTTTAATCTGATGCCCATTTCAATTCATACTCTTTTGAAATATGTCTTCCCCAAATAATTCTTTAGCTGCTTGTATATATATTCTACTTTCACTATACTATTAACATTAAAGACAAGTTCTACTTGTTATACTGGGCAGTGAGGCAACATGATATAATGAAAATATTGTGCACTCTGGACTCAGGGAAGCTTAGGCCAGATTCTTGGTTTGAACAAGCTGCAAATATCTAAACTCTCTGTGGTTTGGTTACTATCCTACAATGTCATAATTAAGACAAAGTCATTGCTATATCAAAAGCACTTAATAAATAAAAATGATTGGGTGATAATAATGATATCTAATTTATATTGAATGTTTTCTTTATTCTGTGAACTCTTTCAATCACTTAAATTGTATTCTTAATGCCTCTCTGCCCAACATTTATTCCCATTTTACAGATGAGGAAACTGAAGAGGTGAAAACTTATTCATCTGAGTTTTTACTTTACTCAATACTTGTTGTATTAATTCTTATAATATCCTACATGGCCCTAAAATGGTAAAGAAATGAGTAGAACTTCCTGGAAAAAGGAACCTATATTACAATAACAACCCAACTTATGCACATTTATCTTAATACCTGAGCACTCAAAAAACATCTATTCAAAGATATCCTTGGCATAAAGATGTTATCTGCCGTTCCCTGTGTGTTTTCCAAGCCAATTTATGGTCTCCTATGCATCCTAGTGTTTCAACAAATACAAACCAACAGATTAATTATACATTGATGTGGGATAAAAGGTGAAATTATATTTCTTTATCCTATAAAAGGTGAACATAACTTCGCCTTTTATCCTATATGTTCTTGAGGAGAAAGCAGACAAAAGCAAATTTGGGGGGCTAACAAAATGAACTTTAGGCTTATTATTTTCTCTTTTGTCCAGTTTTAAATCTTACTTTAGCACATTGCAGTGACAAAAGCCCACCAAAGATTTGTCATTTCAGCACACAAAAAAAGTCTAAGATATTCACTTCAATTTATTTGAGCTACTTTATATCCCACATTTATGATTTGTCTTCACACCTAGTCTGTTTAACTTCGCACATAATTCCTTCATGGGATGGTAATTTGTAATATAATGACTAGATTATATTAACCTTCAAGTCATTCAATAAAAATGATGTTTGAAAAACAAAATGTCTTAGTATCCTCCAAGGGCCCTCTATTCCTGGTTGAATTTTAAAATCATTTCAAGCCTGATGTTGTCTTTATATCTCTCTAGTCCAGGCTAAACCCTATGTAAATAGTTTTGAAGGTTTAGGTTCACTTGTTTTGCTTACAGAAGAAAAATAAATGCAGTTTCACTGTAGCTGAATTTTATTAGCATTTTCACATGAATCAAAAAATTACAACTTATTGGGATATTCAATCAGTAATGTGGCATTTCTGACACATATTCACTTGATTATTTCATTTAGGTAAAAATACTTCAGGCAAAGCAATAGTTCCAACCTAAGAAAGTTAAAAACTTTCTGCATTAAATCATTTAATTAAAATGTGTTTATGTTTATCTCTGCAGTGAATAATTTGGCAGAATTTTTAATACCAACAGAAAAATGGATCATGATGAAGTATGATTTAAAATATTTTAGAAACTTAGAAAAAATAAAAAATGAAAACTTGTTATTTCTTGCCAACTCATTGGCTCCAACAAAACCAGTAATAGCCACCATCAGTTTTATCAAAGACCACATTTTCAATTTTAGTACCTTATAGTTACTAATGAAAGGAATAAACTAGTACCTTCTAAAAACCTTCATACTATCTGGCCTAGAATTTGTATTTCAGTAGATGCAAATAAGTCAAGGAACAGGGAATCTGCAAAGCAGACAAGTAATTAAAACAGGAAAAAGAAAAAGAACAATTCAAACAAGTTTGATTAAAATCATGCCAAAGGGAAATGAGGCTTTGGATTATAAGGAGGAGCTGAAAGGTATTTCTAGATCACTGTTTCTGTCTCTGGTACTTGAATGTGGATGGGGAATCTAATGATAGCTATGTTCTTTTCTTAGAAATTACCCTTGTTTGGAGAACTTCAAAAAATTATCAGATGAGAACTCACAGAAGGTAAGTAAAGGGAAAAACCAATAGCTCCATTACCTCAAAAGAGAACTCCACTGGACAATTTGAGAAAATTGAAGACTGTGCCAGCTAATTCATTTCTCTAAATTCAGCAGTAATAGGCAGCTGAAAAAGAATTATAATCTAGGACTACCTGTTTCAAATAGCCATATGTTTTTTAATATCTCTGAGATTCTCCTTAGCCATTTTGTGATACGAGTTTTATTTTAAGGTGGCTCAAATTCTCTTAATAAGTAGAAAATAATGACAAATGAGCACACTCCAAATTCAGTCTTTTATCATTTTAATTAAATATGTCAGTGGCCTTTCCTGTTAGCAGAAAAATATGAAATGTATGTGGGGAATAAATCAAGAAAACTTTCATGGATATTGTGGAGCAACTTAGTTCTTTATGTTTGCTTCAAATCCATGTGGAAATAGATAAGGCACAAATACTGAATAAGTTAATTTATCTGAAGCTTATAACAATGTCAAATATATTACTTTTATAAGGGATCTTTCTGAAACAACACATTAAAATACCATCTGAAATTGGTTTCTCTAGACCCTGACTAGCCATCTTCTTACATATTTTACTCCAAAACCTTTTTCTGTACAACATGCGATTGTTTCTCTCTCTTTTAAAATATATTAGGATCTGAGAAAAGAAATATATTTTGACTCAGATATACTACAGATTGAAGGCCTCCAATCTGGTCAACATAATCCACCATATTAAATGTTCAAGTTTAATTGGCTTGTCTCATTAAGGATAATTAGTTAAGGCTATAAATGACTTACCTCACTAAGGATGAACAGTTAAGGCTATAATTAAATCCCCATTCCTGTGGCCAGGTCTTAGGAAAACATAACCAAAAGACAGCTAAGCCCCTCAATTCCAGTGTAAAGGGCCTGATGCAGAGGAAGAGGGAAAAGCTTGTCTTCAGTGCTGGTTTGCTGAGTATGTGTGTATTCACACAGGGGAAACTATAAGAGATATGAGGCCCCTTCATAGGATCAGGCTGGCTCCACATCTGTTCTAGTCTTAAGATACCTTGAGTCCCAACTCTACTTCCTGCTTTTCCAGTGTGTGGAACTTTGCCAGCAAACATGTTCCAGGAGGAGCCATTAACAACTCATATTCATAATCCACATGTCTTCCATGGGAAAGAATATTCTGCATGGCAGTGACCTTCCTAACTTAGCATTAAACAGGAATTATTCTAGGTATATGTTAATATTTCATTTAATCCAAGGGCAGGGATGCAAACAGGCTTCAAGAGCTACTCAATGAACAAAGCACTAGAAAGCCATTTGGAACCAAGGAATCTATCCTTTCATAGTTTTCAAGGGCATGAGGTTTCAAACTTCTCTCCCTCCCTTCCTTCCTCATTCCTCCCTCCTTCCCTCCCTCTCTTCCTTCCTTCCTTCTCTCTCTCTCTCTCTCCTCACCTCCCTCCTTTCATCTCTCTCTGTGTGGACCGAAGTTCTAAGTTCTTTTGTTATTTCCATGCACATCTGAAGCATCTTATATGTATGAGGTACCTGTGGCTCTTAAATGTCCAAGATACCTAGTGTGTTTCACTTTCAATTTCAAATTCACTAGATATAGAATTAAATATAGAACAAGTGGAATTGCGTGCTTATCCCTAATCCAATCATTTATGGCCGGGGAGATTTGGTTCCATACTAGATAATGGCAGCTGAGATCCATTTCTGTAGGTTAGGAGTAGATTATAAATAAAGGATGTTGTATGTGGGTCCAACGACCCAAAAAGTATCTCTTTTATTGAGTCATAGAAAGTTGAATCACGCGAAGTTTAGCTAGCCATTCCTATCTACATTAAAGAAATTTAGAATTATACCCTAATTCAGTATCTTTCTACAGGTGGTCAAAGACTGGTATAAATATCTATCTAGTTCATATATCTTTATTTATATTTATCTATTGATTGATCTATCAATCTGTCTATATGTGATCTATACTACACATATCTATATCTTTCTATTGATTAATCTGTTCTATACTAGATATATATGTCTATCTTTATCTATTGTAGGATATAGATGTATATAGATATGTTTAGTAGATATATATATAAATATATTTAGTATATCTATTTCTACACCTCTTTATATACATTGATAGAGATAGAGATAGATATATCTGTTATAGATCACATTGCAATTGCCAAAAGTTCAGCTCTTTTTCCAGATAGGCCAGTGCCAGGATATGTTCAGAGGACTCTTCTTGGTAATCCTGTAGTAGGCAACTGCTACCACTCTGGTGGAATGATGAATCAATCATATCTGCAAGGACTGACAACAGCAGGACCGGGCAATCTCCAGGAACCTGATACAGCCTGGAGGCGGGCAACTATGGTGCCCCTTCTGGCCATATACCTGCCTGACTTGATTATTACCATAGGAATACATAGTTTGAAGAAGGCTTGAAAACAATTACAATGGACCAGGTGCTACCCAGCAGAAAGAGAAATTTAAGGGACCCCTTTTACGGCAGAGTGCATCTAATGCAAGAAAGTAATTGTAGAAGAAACTAACTCTTCCATCAAGCTTTGTATCATATTATACATCAGATAAGCTCATCAACTGTGAAAATTTTAAGCTTTATGCCTCCCTACTTGAAGGCTCTTTTGAACAACATCTGCTGGAGTTCTTCAACCAGTAAATAAAGTTATTATGCAGTCCATATTTTACCTTTTGTTCATAAAAATGATTCTTAAATTTTTTTTCATAAAATTCTTTCTTCAAGTTGAGATAGGCTACATGTCCAAATTAAAGACAAATAAAAATATATCAGCAATTATATTACATGTGAGTGAAATAAAACTGCAAGACAAAGTTTGTCAAGCTGGGTTAAAGAAAGCAAAACAAAATACTTCTTATACACCTAAAGTTGAAAGTAAAAGGATGGAAAATATATAAAACATTAACAAAAGGACAATTGCTAATACTGTATTAATGTAAGACTCAGTACAATATATTTAAAGTACTAATAGACACAAAATGATTAACTTAAAATGGTCAGTTCAACAGAATATTAAAATCTTAAGTTTGTATGCATAAAGTAGAATGATTCAAAAGGAAGAAATAAAACTTTTTATTGCAGATGCTGTAATTGTGCACTTGGAAAATTGAAAACAATCAACATATAAGTTTTTAAAACAAATACAGTAAATACATTTTGTGAGATCACTGGATGTATTGTCAATATACAGGAATCAATTATGGTGTGTGTGTGTGTGTGTGTGTGTGTGTGTGCAACAAACAAATACCAATTTAAGAAAAATACTGTTTTTAAGACCATCAAAAAGCACCAAACGCTAGGAGAAAAACTAATGAAAGTTGTGTATGAGCTCTACACTAACAACTATTAGCTATTACCAAGAAAAATTAAGAAAGACCTACATAGATGGATATGTTTAACATATTTATGGATTAGAAGAAACAATATTTAAATCTGTCAGTTCTCTCCAGATTAATCTGTAGCTTCAAAATAATTCCAATGGGGTGTGTGTGTTTGTGTGTGTGTGTGTGTGAAAATCAACAAAACAAGTATAAAATGTATATAAAAATGAAAAAACCCAGATTAATAAAGATGATCTTGAAGATCAAAGCTGGAGGTGTTACACTACTGGATTTTTAAGTCTTATAAAACTACATTAATTAAAACTGTGATTTTTGAAGCAAGTTTAGATAAATTAACCAAGGAATAGAAGAGAATTCAAATTGTATCCATACTTATAAGGCCATCTGAATTATGATAAAGATGTCATTGTAATGCAATGGGGAAAATTGGTTGTTTCAATAAACAGTGCTGCATCAGTTGAATACTAGGCCTTACTACTATTTCACTCTGTTCACAAAAATAAATTTCAGGTGGATTACAAATCTAAATATGAAATATAAGACAATAAGTCTTCTAAAATAAAATCTAGGAGGATGACTTCAAGAACTCAGGTTTGCAAAGATATCTTAAACAAAACACAGAGAGCCCTAACCACAAGAGAAAAGACTAGTAAGTTGAGTTTTGTTCAAATTAAGGAATTCTGTTCATTTACACACACTATTTAGGAAGTGAAAACATAAGCTACAGAGTGGGAAGACATAAATAATTTCTACAAAGCAATAAGTAAAATTAACCCAATTTTTTAAATGAGCAAAATACTTTACAAAGTAGTGTGATCAAATGACTAATAAGCATATGAAAAAGTGGTCAAAAACATTACATATGAGATGAAAATGCATTAAAACCTCTGTGAGATAATACTAGAAACCCATCACAATTAAAACCAATCAAAAGTAAAAGGTTTGACAACCCCGGGTTTGGGTGAGGGAGTAATTGGCTTTCTAATACTGCTGGAGGGAATGTAAATTAATACTTACTGCTTTGGAAAATTAGCATTAACAAACTGCTGTGACACACAACAACATGGATGAATCTCACAGATACTATGTTGAGCGAAAAATGTCAGACACCAAAAATCACAGATAGTATCATTCCATGCGTGTGCAGTTAAAAAGCAAGCAAAACTAACCTCCAGTAATAGTAGCTGGGATAGCATTTACTTTTTAAGGGTTACTGACTGGGAGACAGCAAAAGGAAGCTTTCTGCATAATGCTCTCCATTCACGGTCTGATTGGTGGAAATACTCATTTTTAAAATTCTTCTAGCTTTACTCTTAAGATTGATATACTTCATTGTATATATGGTATAGCCCAATTAAAATGTCTGTAAAAGTTATCTGTTGAAAAAATGGTTTGCTAGAAGACAAAATAATAAAATAACAAAAATAAATAAACCATTTGTAAAAGTTATCAAAGGAAAACAGAATGTTAATTTACTCTGGGTCATTTCTAATAATATAAATTGTCTTTTTAAGGTTTATAACATGATGTTTTAATACACACATACATAGGGAAATCATTACTATTGTCAAGCTTAATAACATTATACATTTCCTCACATAGTTACTATGTGTGTGTCTATATGTTCCATGAGAGCACCTGAAATCTAGTCCCCCAACAAATTTCCGGTATATAATACAGTATTATTAACTATAATCATTATGCTGCACATTAGTTCTCTAGACCTACATACCCTACATAATTGCAACTGTACCCTATGACCAATATATCTCCTCCACTTCCTCGCTTCTGGTACCATTTTTCTACTCTCTGTTGTTGCAAATGGCAGAATCTCTTTTTCTTTAAAAGGCTGAATAATATTTCTCTCTCTCTCTCTCTCTTTCTCTCTCTCTCTCTGTGTGTGTGTGTGTGTGTGTGTACCACAATTTCTTTTTTTAAAATTATGCTTTAAGTTCTGGGATACATATGCAGAACATGCAGGTTTGTTACATATGTATACACATACCATGGGTGGTGCCCATCAACCTGTCATCTACATGAGGTATTTCTCCTAATCCTATCCCTCCCCTAGCCCCCCGCCCCCTTACAGGCCCCAGTGTGTGATGTTCCCCTCCCTGTGTCCATGTGTTCTCATTGTTCAACTCCTACTTATGAGTGAGAACATGCAGTGTTTGGTTTTCTGTTCCTGTGTTAGTCTGCTGAGAATCATGGTTTCCAGCTTCATCCATGTCCCTGACAAGGACATAAATTCATCCTTTTTTATGGCTGCATAGTATTCCATGGTGTATATGTGCCACATTTTCTTTATCCAGTCTATCATTGGTGAGCATTTGGGTTGGTTCCAAGTCTTTGCTATTGTGAATAGTGCTGCAATAAACATACATGTGCATGTGTCTTTATAGTAGAATGATTTATAATCCTTTGGGTATATACCCAGCAATGCCATTGCTGGGTCAAATGGTATTTCTGGTTCTAGATCCTTGAGGAATCACCACACTGTCTTCCACAATGGTTGAACTAATTTACACTCTCACCAACAGTGTAAAAGCATTCCTATTTCTCCACATCCTCTCCAGCATCTGTTGTTTCCTGACTTTTTAATGATCACCATTCTAACTGGCAGGAGATGGTATCTCATTGTGGTTTTGATTTGCATTTCTCTAATGACCAGTGATGATGAGCTTTTTTTCCCATATACTTTTTGGCTGCATAAATGTCTTCTTTTGAAAAGGGTCTATTCATATCCTTCGCCCACTTTTTTTATGGGGTTGTTTGGTTTTTTTTTTTCCTGTAAATTTGTTTAAGTTCCTTGTAGATTCTGGATATTAGCCCTTTGTCAGATGGATAGATTGCAAAAATTTTCTCCCTTTCTATAGGTTGCCTGTTTACTCTGATGATAGTTTCTTTTGCTGTACAGAAGCTCTTTAGTTTAATTAGATCCCATTTGTCAATTTTGGCTTTTGTTGCCTTTGCTGTTGGTGTGTTAGACATGGGGCCTTTGCCCATGTCTATGTCCTGAATGGTATTGCCTAGGTTTTCTTCTAGGGTTTTTATGGTTTTAGGTCTTACATTAAGCCTTTAATTCATCTTGAGTTAATTCTTGTATGCAGTGTAAGGAAGGGGTCCAGTTTCAGTTTTCTGCATATGGCTAGCCAGTTTTCCCAACACCATTTATTAAATAGGGAATCCTTTCCTCATTGCTTGTTTTTCTCAGGTTTGTCAAAGATCAGATGGTTGTAGATGTGTGGTGTTATTTCTGAGGTCTCTGTTCTGTTCCATTGGTCTATATCTCTGTTTTCGTACCAATACCATGCTGTTTTGGTTACTGTAGCCTTGTAGTATAATTTGAAGTCAGGTAGCGTGATGCCTCCAGCTTTGTTCTTTTTGCTTAGAATTGTCTTGGCTATACAGGCTCTTTTTTGGTTCCATATGAAATTTAAAGTAGTTTTTTCTAATTCTGTGAAGAAAATCAGTGGTGGCTTGATGGGGATAGCACTGAGTCTGTAAATTACTTTGGGCAGTATGGCCATTTTCACAATATTGATTCTTTCTATCCATGAGTACGGAGTGTTTTTTCATTCATTTGTGTCCTCTCTTATTTCCTTGAGCAGTGGTTTGTAGTTCTCCTTAAAGAGGTCCTTCACATCCCTTGTAAGTTGTATTCCCAGGTATTTGATTCTCTTTGTAGCAATTGTGCATGGGAGTTCACTCATGATTTGGCTCTCTGTTTGTCTGTTATTGGTGTATAGGAATTCTTGTGATTTTTGCACATTGATTTTGTAGCCTGAGAATTTGCTGAAGTTGCGTATCAGCTTGAAGGAACTTTGGGGCTGAGACGATGGGATTTTCTAAATATACAATCATGTCATCTGCAACTAGAGACAATTTGACTTCCTGTCTTCCTATTTGAATACGCTTTGTTTCTTTCTCTTGCCTGATTGCCCTGGCCAGAACTTCCAATACTATGTTGAATAGGAGTGGTGACAGAGGCATCCATGTCTTGTGCCAGTTTTCAAAGGGCTTTTGCCCATACAGTATGATATTGGCTATAGGTTTATCATAAATAGCTCTTATTATTTTGAGATACATTCCATCAATACCTAGTTTATTGAGAGGTTTTAGCAGGAAGAAACTGAAGGAGATAGAGACACGAAAAACCCTTCAAAAAATCAATGAATCCAGGAGCTGTTTTTTTCAAAAGATTAACAAAATACATAGGCTCCTAGCCAGGCTAATAATGAAGAAAAGAGAGAAGAAGCAAATAGACACAATAAAAAATTATAAAGGTGATATCACCACTGATCCCACAGAAATTCAAACTACCATCAGAGAACACTATAAACAACTCCACAGAAATTAATTAGAAAATCTAGAAGATATGGATAAATTCCTGGACACATATACCCTCCCAAGACTAAACCAGGAAGAAGTCGAATCCTTGAATAAACCAATAACAGGTTCTGAAATTGAAGCAGTAATTAATAGCCCATCAACCAAAAAAAGCCCAGGACCAGACGGATTCACAGCCAAATTCTACCAGAGGTACAAAGAGAAGCTGGTACCATTCCTTCTGAAACTATTCCAATCAATAGAAAAAGAGGGAATCCTCCCTAACTCATTTTATGAGGCCAGCATCATCCTGATAGCCAAACCTGGCAGAGACACAACAAAAAAGAAAATTTCAAGCCAATATGCCTGATGAACATCGATGCAAAAATCGTCAATAAAATACTGGCAAACCAAATCCAGTAGCGCATCAAAAAGCTTATCCACCAAGATCAAGTCGGCTTCGTCCCTGGGATGCAAGGCTGGTTCAACATACACAAATCAATAAACATAATCCATCACATAAACAGAACCAAAGACAAAAACCATATGAATATCTCAATAGATGCAGAAAAGGTCTTCGATAAAATTCAACACAATTTCTTCTTTATCCAGTCATCCAGCATTGAACACTTACGTTGTTTCCATATATTGGCTATTGTGACTAATACTGCAATGAACATGGAAGTGCAGGTATCTCTTCAAGATACTGATTTTACTTTCTTTGGCTATATACCCAGAAAAGGGATTGCTGGATCATATAGTAGTTCTACTCCAGTTTTTTTAGAAACCTTCATATTATTTTCTATAATGCCTGCACCAATTTACATTCCTGCCAACAGTGTACAAGGGTTCCTTTTTCCTCCACATCCTCGCCAACACTTATCTTTTATCTTTTTGATAGTAGCCATCCTAACAGGCAGGAGATGATATCTCATTGTGCTTTTGATTTGCATTTCCCTGATGATCAGTTATGTTAAGCACCTATTGGCCGTTTGTATGTCTATTTTTGGAAAATGTCTATTTAGGTCTTTTGCCCGTTTTTAAATCAGATTGTTTTTTTAGCTATTGAGTTTGAGGAGTTCCTTATATATTTTGAACATTAATCCCTTATGAGACATATGGTTTGCAAATATGTTCTCCTACTCAATTGGGCTGCCTTTTCATTTTATTGATTGCTTCCTTTGCCATGCAGATGCTTTTTAATTTGATATGGTCCCACTTGTTTGTTTTTTTTTGTTGCCTGAGTTTTTTGTGTCATATTCATGAAATCATTGGAAAAATCAATGTCATAGAGCTTTTCTCTTATGTTTTTATTTAGAAGTTTTATCGTTTTAGGTCTTACATTTAAGTTTTTAATTCATTTTGAGTTGATTTTCTTATATGGTTTAAGATAAGAATCCAATTTCATTCTTTTGCATGTGGATATACAATTTTCCCAACACCATTTATCAAAGAAACTATCCTTTCCCCCTTATGTATTCTTGGCACCCTTGTTGAAAATTAGTTAACCTTATATGCTTAGGTTTATTTCTGTGCTGTCTATTCTGTTTCACTCGTCTGTGTGTCTGTTTTTATGCCACTTTTGATTTGATTATTATAGCTTTGTAATGTAATTTTAAATAGGAATTGTAATGCTTCCAACTTTGTTCTTCTTTCTCAAGATTGCTTTGGCTATTTGGGGTCTTTTGTGGTTCCATATGAATTTTGGAATTCTTTTATATTTCTATTAAAAATGCCAGTGGAATTTTGATAGAGTTTGTGTCAAATCTGTCAGTACAGGTTACTTTTATTTTCTTCTTTCTAGTTTTTCATAATTTCCAATTTTTTCCATTAAGCATATATTTAGTGTGCATTAATAAAACAACAGTTATTTATAACAACAAAAACAAATTCATTCTTTTATCATGAATCCATAGAAGTCTTAAAGTCATTTGGCAGTAAACACAATGTATCAATTTAAATATTAAAGAGCTCACATTTCATTTTATAACACAATAATTTTTAGACCATATCAGTACATATTGCTGTTACAATAGACTAGAGATGATCAGTTCTCCTAGGTCAATATAAGGATGACTACAGCATTACGTTTTCTTCCTTCCATGGACTTATTGTCTAGATGGCTTAGTGTTTTCCTTTCACACATGTTTGTTTTGTAAGTCTTTGCTGCCAGGATTTTAGTATTCTTAGCAATTAAGTGCAGAGGTTCCTGAACCAGACTATGTATATTCAGATTCTCCATCCACCACTTAATAAGCATGACCTTAGGAAAATTACATAGCATCTCTGTTGTTAAGTGTACTTATAAATAAAATGAAGAGGAAAACAGTAATAGTTTCCTCATTAAATGTCTAGATGCAAAGAGCATAAAATGGTACCCAGCACATATAAGCACTTGATAAATGTTATCCATTATTGTTAACTTGGATTTCTAACTTTCCCCCTACACCGAGGACCACTTTTGTTGCTTTGATTGAAGCTTTGCAATTTGTCATGCAGAGCCTCATTTTACTGTGAATCAAATTTTCCATGTGAAAGATGCCTCAGGTGTTTGAAATGTCAGCCAACTTCAGTAACTGCTCACATTCCATTATCATCCACCTCCTCTTTTTGTCACACAGTCAGGCTAACTCTCAGATGTGGTTTATCATCCTAATAAATACACAAGGTTTATTTTCTAGCACACATGGGTTTTGTCAATAGTAACTTCTAAACTTTCAATTGTAATTAGTAACTCTTGAGCTACTGCTTCATTATGACTTTCATTTTAAATGGCACTAAGATGCTGAATAAAGTGGAATCTTGAGATCTTTTTATTCACATGTTTAAAGATATGAATTGAGGTCCTCTTATGTTCCAGGTAATTTACTAGTCACCAAGGTTCCAGCAATGAATCAGAAAAACAGGCTTTGGGAAATTTTGATTGTGGGGAGGAATATAGGAACAAATAAACAATTAAATGGGGGTTGGGGGGAAGTGTTGTGATAAGAGAAGTAAAGGAATGATAAGGTAATACAGAGAGCAAATCTTTCTTGGAAGCCAATCCTACTCTTAAGCTCAGACAAAAGGGGCCATTGCTCTGGGCTCTGTGCCTTAAATGGCTGTAGGTATTAATCACACACACACAAACCAATTCACTAAAGAACACATAGGTTCCCACTGAATACAATTACTTTTTCTGTTTTAATCTTTTAGATCAGAGATCAGCAAAAAATGACCAATGAAACAAATCCATCCCAACACCTGTTTTTGTTAAAGCGTTAAGGGAACACAGCCAGGCCAGTTTGTTTACATAGTTTATGAATGCTTTCACTCTACAATGACAAGGTTGAGTAGTTGCAACAGAGACCTTTGTCCCACCAGGCTTAAAATACTTACTTTTTGCCTCTTTATAAAAGTTTACCTGTATCTGCTTCAGATTCTTTAGAATGAAAACAAGTCTATCTTCCATGTCTAAAATCTTCTTCATAATAATTTTATCATTTTTCCATTTCACTTAACATGATTTCCTCAAGCCTGTCTTTCATAAATCTGACTTTTTAAAATGCTTTTCTCACCTTTCTACAAAGTACCAATCATCACCAACTCCCATCTCCGTTGTTTCAGCTCAGCCATCTCAAACATCCAAATCACCCACTAGAGCTAAACTACATCCCCAATGCAGGGATAGCAGGAGAAAGGGGTTGAACAGGAGGCTGAATCTTCCTAATCCACTCCAGGGCCTGCAGCTGGGTGGATTGAAAGCTCCCCTAGCCAATTTCGCAGTAGATTTTAGTTTGGGAAACTTGGACACTCAAATTACCCTGGTGAATAGTAATAAGTAGTAAGTGGTTACGGCTAAATTGTTTTTATTTTCAACTTCAGTCACCAGGGTTTGACACCCTTCCACTTCAAGGTGCTGAGTATAACCCTTATGTTCATCAAAGCTAAACACTTGAAAAAAAATTATTTTGATCATTTTAGACTTACAGAAAACTTGCAAAGATAGTACAGACAGCCCCTGTATACTTTTTATCTGGCTTCCCATGATGTTAATATCTCACATAACCATGTACAGTAACCAAAATTAAGAAATTAAGATTGGCTCAACAAATACTATTGACTAAATTACAGACTATTGATTTTATCCTGATATTTCCACTAATGTCTTCTGTTCCAGGATTCAAGTCAGGATACTGCACTGCATTTAGGTGTCATGCCTCCTTGGTCTCCTTCAATCTACTGCAGTTCATCAGTTTTTCTTTGTTATTCATTACCTTGACACTTTAGGAGAATAGTGGTTTAGGTGTTTCGTAGAATGTCCTTTAGTTTGGTTTTGTCTAATGTTTTCTCATAATTACTCTGAAGTTATGGATTTGGGGTACTGAATATCAATATGTGTTATGCTGGTGATGTTGGCCTTGATCACTTGGGTAAGGTAATGTCTGCCAGACCTGTGCACTGTAATGTTACCATTTCCCCTTTCCATACTCTGCCCTTTGGAAGTGAGTTACTAAGTCCAGCCGTTGGAGTTATTAAATCCGATCCATGGATATTAAGCTTCATTTCCTAGAGGGAGGAGTGTTTAAGAATTTGTAGACATGTTAAAACTACCACAATTATCAATAAATATTTGATGGCAGATATTTTGGGGCAATGTGAATATCCTGTTCCCCCTTAAAGTCTTACTCACTAATTTTAGCATTCATCAGTGGGTCTTGCCTGAAGCAGTTACAACTGTTGTGCTCTAATGGTGATGTTCTATTTTCCACATTCCTTCTCCATCTAGAATTGGAATTCTTCTGTTAGGAAAAATTGTTGCTTTTTCTTCCTCCCTTCCCCCCCTTTTCTCCCTCCCTCCCTCCTTCCCTCCCTCCCTCCCTCCCCCTCCTTCCTTCCCTCCCTCCCTCCCTTCCTTCCTTTTCTCCCTCCCTCCTTCCCTCCCTTCCTCCCTCCCTCCCTCCCTCCTTCCCTCCCTTCCTCCCTCCCTCCCTCCTTCCCTCCCTTCCTCCCTCCTTCCCTCCCTCCCTTCCTCCCTCCTTCCCTCCCTCCCTTCCTTCCTTCCTTCCCTCCCTCCCTCTTTCTCTTTCCCTCCTTTTTTCCTTCTTTCTGTTCTATATGGACTCATGGAGGTTTTTGTATTATACATAGAAATTATAGACATCAACACCACTTTTACATATACACATGAATGTATACCTAGACACACATACATATGTAATATTGGAGTTCATTTGCTACATATGCATGCATATGTGTATATACATGTTCACACATGTAATATGGAGGCAGATGAATGATAAGCCAACTCCCAGTTATCTATCATTATCCACTGTTTTATCCAACATGTTTTTCATCTGAGAATAGCTTCTTTTTATATTTTTATTTCAATAGTTTTGGGGGTACAGGTGGTTTTTGGTTACATGGATAAGTTCTTTAGTGGTGATTTCTGAGATTTTAATGCACCTGTCACCCAAGCAGTACAGTCTGTACTCAATATATAGTCTTTTATCCCTCAATACCTCCCAACCTTCCCTCCTGGTTCCCCAAAGTCCACTAAATCATTCTTGTGCCTTTGGTTCTTCATAGCTTAGCTCTGACCTATTATAAGGAAAGTGAGAACATATGATATTTGGTTTTCCATTCCTGAGTTATTTCACTTTGAATAATGACCTCCTGCTCCAACCAAGTTGCTGCCAAAAAACATTATTTCATTACTTATTATGGCTGAGTAGTATTCCATGGTGTATATATACATTTTCTTTATGCACTCATTGGTTGATGGGCACTTAGTTTGGTTCCATATTTTTGCAGTTGTGAATTGTGCTGCTATAAACATGCATGCCCATATGTCTTTTTTATATAATGACTTATTTTCCTTTGGGTAGTTACCCAGTAGTGGGATTGCTGGATCAAATGGTAGTTCCACTTTTAGTTCTTTTAGTAATCTCCACACTGTTTCCCATAATGGTTGTACTAATTTACATTTCCACCAGCAGTGTGAAAGTGTTCCCTTTCACCACATCCACACCAACATCTATTATTTTTTGACTTTTTAATTATGGTCATTCTTGCAGGAGTAAGGTGGTATCTCATTGTGGTTTTAATTTGCATTTCCCTGATGATTATTAATGTTGAGCACTTTTTCATATATTTGTTGGCCATTTGTGTATCTTCTTTGGAGAATTGTCTATTCATCTCCTTAGCCCACTTTTTGATGGGATTTCTTCTTCTTCTCGCTGATTTGAGTACCTTGTAGACTCTGGATATTAGTATTTGGTCAGATGTATATATTGCAAAGATTTTCTCCCGCTCTGTGGGTTGTCTGTTTACTCTGCTGATTATGTATTTTGCTGTGCAGAAGCTTTAGTTTAATTAAGTCCCGTCTGTTTATCTTTGTTTTTATCGTGTTTGCTTTTGGGTTCTTGGTCATGAAGTCTTTTCCTAAGCCAATATCTAGAAAGGTTTTTCCAATGTTATATTCTAGAATTTTTATGATTTCAGGTCTTGAGTTGATTTTGTATAAGGTGACAGATGAAGATCCAGTTTCAGTCTTCTACATGTGGCTTGCCAATTATCCCAGTACCATTGTTGAATAGGGTGTCCTTTCCCCACTTTCGGTTTTTGTTTGCTTTGTAAAAGATCAGTTGGCTGTAAGCATTTGGCTTTATTTCTGGCTTCTCTATTCTGTTCCATTGTTTTACATGCCTATTTTTATGCCAGTACCATGCTGTTTTGGTAGCTATAGTATATTGCAGTATAATTTGAAGTCGGGTAATGTGATGCCTCCAAATTTGTTCTTTTTGCTTAGTCTTACTTTGGCTATGTGGGCTCTTTTTTGGTTTCATATAAATTGTAGGTTTGTTTTTTCTAGTTATGTGAGGAATAATGATGGTATTTTGATGGGAATCTCATTTAATCTGTAGATTGCTTTGGGCAGTATGGTCATTTTCACAATAGTGAAATTTGACTTCTATGTTGTCTTTCATATGACATTTATTTTTATCATTTTTTCTGTTTTTCTTTACTTGGTTTCAAGCAAGTCATCTTTCATTTCCTTTTATTGTTGTATAATCTCCATTTTATAACTCTTTTTATTTGAACACTTCTTATGCTTCTTTGACTCATTACTTGTGTAATATATATGTGCATATAGTCTTCATCTTCATTTTGATTATGTTCTCTCCACTAAAGTTTTTTTTAGTGTCCATGCTTAGGTCACCCTTCTTTGTATCACTGATATTTGAGGGTAACTGTCTATGTGCTAATGACCTTTTATGGGCACCAATAGTGGTGTGTAGTTGGCAGCAACAACTCAAATCTATTGTCTCAAACTCCCTCTCACCAAATTGGTTATTTCGTTTCTCTAGAGTCACATGTTCCTATAGTTTGCACTTTTTACTTCTCCAAAGTTCCTTGAAAAGCACTTAGTTCACAGGATTTCTGTGATACTGATTTATTACTACCTCCTCCCTGTCTCTTTCAGTTCACCATTCTTCATCTAGCCAGCTAGGTCACAAATAATAGAAAAGGAATGTATCAAAGTTTTACTTCAGAAACATATCTTTCAGTGTTCTCCACTGTTAGTATTGCTGTTCCCAAAACCTTCTCCATATGTATCCAAAGTAGTGTTTCTAAATTTAAATATTACCTGCTTAAAACCCTTACAGGGTTCCTTGAAGTCCTCAAGAAATGAGCCATAGAAAAGTATTCAAAGATAAGGTATAAATAATTTTAAAAAGTAACATAATTACTATTGAGACATTCCTGGTGACATAATTAAATTTCAAGAGTAAAGAAAAATTTATATGGTCATCTAGACAAAAAGGGAAGTCAAGAAAGAATTGGGACTCAGATTTGCCTCTGTTATAGCTGCTGCAAAGGACAGCAAAGCAATAGTTACAGGGTTTTAAAGAATAGAGAGTGACCCCTGTAATTTAATCCAGTTAAGTTGTCCTTCAAGTACAAATGCAATTGACATTCTGAAGCAATAAAGAATTTGTAGACAAAATTCAGCCAACCAAGGGATACAAATAAAAAGATCAGAGGAATCACAGCAAAAGACTGATGTTGAGTGTTTAAGTGACTCAAATATATGACTAAATTACACAAATGGGAGAATTATGGAGATAAGACAGAATGTAAACGTTACAAACTTTTAAACTGACAGTTAATAAATGACAGTTTGTAATGTAATAAAAATGAGATGGATGAGATGAGAATTGGAAGTATAAATGTACCAATTTCTTCAACTTTATAGCAGTATCAACAACCACAACTCAAAGTTGAGTAGTATAGTTAAAAATAATTATTCAAGCATCAAAGTTATCTATTAATCATTTTCCCTTAATAAGAAGGATATCGCAAAAACTACAATCACTTATAGTCAGAAGCTATCTAAAGTTTTTCATTAACCATAGTCATTATGTTATAACAACAGATCACTTGAACTTATTCCTCCTGTCTAACTTATATATCCTTTGACCAACATCTCCCTAACTCTTCTTTCCCCCATCCATCCCAGCCTCTGATAACCATCATTCTACTCTATAATTCTATGTGATCAACTTTTTTACATTCTGCATATGAGTGAGATTATGAAGTTATTTGTCTTTCTGTGCCTGGCTTATTTTCCTTAACATAATGTCTTCCAGTTTCATCCATGTTGGGATAAATTGCAGGATCTTCTTTTCTGTGGCTGAATAGTCTTGTATTGTGTATGTATGTGTGTGTGTGCATGTGTGGTTGAATACTAGTCTAGTGTGTGTGTGTGGCTGAGTAGTATTCTTGTGTGTGTGTGTGTCTGAATAGTATTCTAGTGTATGTATGTATGTGTTGCTGAATAGTATTCGTGTGTGTCTGTGTGTGTGTGTGTCTCTGAATAGTATTCGTGTGTGTGTGGCTGAATAGTGTTTGTGTGTGTGTGTGTGTGTGTGTGTCACATTTTCTATATCCATCCACCCATCCATGGACTCTTAGGTTGATTTCATATCTTGGCTATCGTGAATAATGCTGCAATAAATGTGAAAGTGCAGGTCTCTTTGACATGTTGATTTCATTTCCTTTGGATATATACCCACTAGTGGGATTGCTGTATCATATGGTAGTCCCATTTTTAATTTTTCTGAGGAACTGCCATATTATTTTACATAATGACTGTATTCTTAAAAAATGCTTAAAAAGTGGATATTAAGTGTTCTTGCCACAAAAATGATAAATATTTGAGGTAATTTATATATATGAGGTAATACGCGTTTGTTAATTAGCAAGATTTAACCATTCCACAATAAGTAAAAAATTGTATATGTCAGTTTAAAATTTTTAATTTGCAAAAAAATAGTTTATCAGTTCCTTGAGTTTTATTTCTTTCTATGCAAGTAACAAAGTTTAATACTTCTTAGTAAAAATAAAATAATATAAATTATAAATGTTTTTTAAATGAACTAGTCTGTGTGTGTGTGCATGTGTGTGTGTGTGTGTATTCATATAAGTCCCCTCACAGATGTCTAAAATGACAGTCACTGAATTTTGCTAAAAGATATATGAAGTTGGTCAGATTTGGAAATTATTATTTTGCCCTCAACTCCACACTTCTCTGTATTGCTTGTTTATAACCTTCTTTTATAATATTTCTCATTTGTAAAATCATTTTTATAAAATGATAGGATCATAATTTTGTAAAAGAAAGAGAAAAAACATTAATAGGTAAGAAAAGAAGAAATTAAATTGTCAGAAATATAAAATGCTGTCAATAAATAAATTAATATAATAATCTAAAAATATTCACCATATTTAGTAATAAGGAGGTCATGATGACATGAGAAAAGTTCCTATGGAAGGGAGGGTGCAAGAACTAACCTGAAATGGACAGAGGAATACAATCCTGTGTCACTTAACAATGGGAATACATACTGAAGAAATGTGTCCTTAGGTAATTTTGGTTTTGTGCAAACATCATAGAGTGTACGTGCACAAACCTAAATGATACAGCTTACTACACACCTAGGCTACATGGTATATAGCATATTGCTCCTAGGCTACAAACCTATATGTTACTATACTCAATACTATGGGAAATTATAACACAATGGTATTTTTATCTAAACTTAGAAAAGACACAGTGAAAATACAGTTTAAAAAATTAAAAGATGATACGCCTGTATAGGGAAACTAACATGAATGAAGTTTGCAGAACTGGAAGTTTCTCTGGATGTGTCAGTGAGTAAGTGGTGAGTGAATCAAGGCCTAGGACATCATATTACTATAGAATTTATAAGCACTATACCTTTATGATATACTACATTTATTTTTAAAACAAAGTAATTACACTATGCCATTATGACGGCTACCATGTCACTAGATGATAGGAATTTTTCAGCTCCATTATAATCTTATGAGACCACTGTCACTTATGTTTTCTGTCACTGGCTGAAATGTCATTATACAGCACATGACTGTAAATGGAAGATGAGGAACAGAGGTAGTGGTGGAGAGTGTGTTAAACTTTTCACATGTTACACCTTAAGATGTTAAGTTACACCATATGATCTTAAAGTAATTCATTATCTTAAACTTTTAATTTTCTGAGTAAAAAAAGATACCTGCATTTTTGAACATTTACTTTTAATAGTGCTACATTAAATACTATTTCAACCTATTCATCCACTGTATTCAATATGTAGTAGAGTTACAATTCTCTTTCAGGAGTCTGTAATTTCCTAGGCATTGTATTATGCATATTTACAGTAGCACTTGTATCCCTAAGGCAATTATATCATAAACTAATCTTTGTAGTTTTCTCACTGTTTGCTAAAGGCTATTTCTAATCCTTATCTTCATATTTGGCTATAGTTTTGCCCTTATTTGTCAATCTAGTAACTCTAAGAAAGATTATTAGAGGTTCAATTGTCATGACATTCTGTTAGTACATATAGCATAGTAAGTAAAATATTTTACTTATTTGTGTCTAGAAGCCTCAAATATTTGTCTAATAATCAGTCCTGGAATATAGCATAATACATATTAAGCTTATTGATCTATAGCAGTCTTCTGTTATAGTAAGCCCTTTTTGAAAATTAAAAGAAATATTTTTTTCTATCTTTTCACATCTACATTCATGAATTCTAAAATATTTTACCCAAGGACTATGAAATTATATTTAGCAGAGTCATTGTTGATCCAAGCATTTGTGTCTCTACACTGAAGAAACTAGGATAATGTTTAGAAAAGTTTTACATTAATTTCACACATTTCACAGATTTGCAGGCAAATTAGGAGGTATTATAACATATTAAGTCTTACAAAATTTATCTTATTTTCTGTAACTCTAATTTTTTACACTTTTTTCTGCCATTTTTAATTTGAATTTTCTGATTTTCTATAAAAGATAAAATCAACACTTCATTCAAGCAATTATCATGTTTTACTGAGCATTGGGAAAAAATTATATTTTTAAAATATTTGAAGAGTAATGATATGGTTTGGCTTTGTGTCCCCACTCAGATCTCATCTCAAATTGTAATCCCCCAATTCAGATCCTGCTCCTGCTTTGTATGAGCTGCAAACCAGGAGCCACTGACTTCACCTCTCGGAGGCTCCAGTTACTCATCTGTAAAGCAGAAGCAGCAGCATCTACCTCACAGGGTTGTTAAGGGGATCACCACTTGACACCAAAGGTGAAAACATGGTCTGTGAGTGGCAAAGCCATTTTACAGTCAGCCAGTTCTGCATTACTGTGATGGGAACACCAGCCCTTCACAAACTGCACTTTCTGCTCAGCATCTAAATAGAAAGTCACCCTGTGAACCTACGTGCTGTCTCCTCTCTCCCCTCATAGTCCCAGCAGAGCTTCCAGGAGGGGGGTCATTGAATCTGGCTGTCTGTATTTCCTCCTCTCCCACTCACCTGGGACTCTCCTCTGGTTAGGGGCACTGATGGCCCCCACATTGCTGCTGTCTTTATCATCCTTGACTTTGGCTGTATTAGACCAGCTGGCCATGCCCTATGGCCTGAAACTTACCCTCCTCTGCTCCTTCCAGGTGACATGCTCCTGGTGTCCTCCACTGCTCAGGCCACCCTTTTGCAGCCTCCTTTCTAGGCCCCTCCCTTGTCTCTCTTCTGATGCTCCACACTCATGGCTGGGTTCCACGAGGGAGCCCAGGCCATTTCCACTGCTCTATCCCCTCTCCTAAGCACCAGAACTTGCAATCAGCCTGTTCCCACCTAGAGACCCCCACTTAGATGTCATCCCCAAGCTCAGCTGTCCATAGCTGGCCGCTCCTCTTATCTGGCCAGTCGTGTCACTTCTCCTGTGTAAGCAGCCCATGAATCTCATCAGTGATCTGGTGTGAGCTTTGATCACCTACCAAGACCAGTCCCTGATCCTGCTTTTCTCCCTCCATCTCTTGCTTTCTATGTATCTGAGTCTCAGATGGTGGCTACATAATCTCTCACCTGGAAGTTGCCACCTGCTCTTAGCAACCAAGCTAGGCTTTCTAAAATACAAGTCACTGCTCTGCCTAAAACTCATCTGGGTTTCCAGTGACCCTCAAGATAAAGTCCAATGTCTTTCCCTTGTGTTCAAAGCACACCCACTTTGGCCCCTGCCTGTGCCTCTAAGCTTCTCCTTTCCCAGCCTCCTCACCCCTCACACTATCCTTTACTGCTGCCAGACCAGGGCTTTTCCTGATCTTATGCCATTACTTGGCCTGTGGCTTTCCTCTCAGACCTCACCACCACTGTGACTGTGTATTGATGCGGGTGTAGGTTAGCTCCACAGGGCAGGGGAATCCCAGTGCTCAGCATGGGGCCTGGCACATAGCAGATACTTAATAAATGACAATGGTGGTTTTACAACCAATCCCCCAGAAATATAGAAGATTCTCAGAGGCTATTAGGAACATTTCTATGCACACAAACTAGAAAATCTAGAGGAAATGAATAAATTCCTAGAAACACACAACCTCTCAGGATGTGTAAGGAAGAAACTGATACCCTGAACAGACCCATATTGATTTCTGAAGTTGATTCAGTAATAACAAAACCTACCAACCAAAAAAGCCCTGAACCACATAATTTCACATCCAGACTCTACCGGATGTGCAAAGAAGAGCTGTTACCAATTCTACTGAAACTATTAAAAATAATCAAGGAGGTGGGACTCCTCCCTAACTTAATCTATGAAGCCAGCACCACTCTGATACCAAAATCTGGCAAAGACACAACTAAAAATACAAGCCAATATCCCTGATGAACGTAGATGCAAAAACCCTCAACAAAATACTTGCAAACCAAATGCAGCTGCAAATCAAAAGGTTAATTCACCACAATCAAGTAGGCTTTATTCCTGGGATACAGGACTGTTCCAACATATGCAAATTAATAATTGTGATTCACCACATAAATAGAATTTTTAAAAAGCCATCCGATCATCTCAATAGATGCAGTAAAAGCTTTTTAAATATAAAATCTAGCATCTCTTCATGATAAAAATCCTCAACAAACTAGGCATTGAAGGAACATACCTCAAAAGAATAAAAGCCATCTATGACAATCCCACAGCCAACATCATGCTGAATAGGCAAAAGGTGGAAGCATTTTTCTTAAGAACAGAAAGAAGAAAAGTATTCCCACTCTTATGACTCCCAGTCAACATAGTACTGAAAGTCCTAGCCAGAGCAATTCGGACAAGAGAAATAAATAAAATGCATCTAAATATGAAAAGAAAAAGTCAGATTATCTCTCTTCACTGATGATATAATTCTATACCTAGAAAACCCTAAAGACTCCTCCAAAAGGCTCCTAGAACTGATAAATAACTTCACTAAAGTTTTAGGATTTGAAATCAGTGTACAAAAATCAGTAACATTTTCATACACCAATAATATTCAAGCTGAGACTCAAATAAAGAATGCAATCCCATTTACAGTAGCCACAAAAAGAAAAAAAGAATATACTTTGGAATACATTTAACCAAGGAGGAAAACAATCTCTACAAGGAGAACTACAAAACACTGCTGAAAGAAATCGGAGATGATACAAACAAATGGAAAAATACCCCATGCTCATGGATTGAAAGAATCAATACTGTTAAAATGGCTATACTGCCCAAAACAATCTACAGATTCAACACTGTTCCTGCCAAACTACCAACATCATTTTTCACAAAACTAAAAAAAAAATGCATCCCAAAGTTCTCATGGAACCAAAAAAGAACCTAAAAAGCCAAAGCAATTCTATACAAGAAAAACAAAGCCAGAGACATCACACTACCCAACTTCAAGCTACAATACATTACAGTAACCAAAATACCATGGTACTAATACAAAAACAGACACATAGACTAATAGAACAGAATAAAGAATCCAGCAATAAAGCCACACACCTACAGCCATCTGATTGAAACAAAGTTGACAAAAATAAGCAAGGGGGAAAAGCTCCCTATTCAATAAACGATGCTGGGATAGCTAGATAGCCACATACAGAAGAATAAAACTGGACTCCTACTTTTCACCATATACAAAAATTAATTGAATATGGATTAAAGACCTCGAACTATAGAAATCCTAGAACAAAACCTAGGAAAAACCATTGTAGACATCAGCCTTGGCAAAGAGTTTATGACTAAGTCCCTAAAAGCAATGGCAACAAAAACAAAATTGATAAGTGGGACCTGATTAAACTAAAGAGCTCCTGCACAGCAAAAGAAACTTCAACAGAGTAAACAGACAAACTTCAGAATGGGAGAATATATTGCAAACTATGTGTATTAGTCAGGGCTCTCTAGAGGGATGGAACTAATGGAATATATATATATATGTGTATATATATATATATATATATATATATATGTAAAGGGGAGTTTATTAAGTATTAATTCACATGATCACAAGTTCCCACAATAGGGCATCTGCAGGCTGAGGAGGAAGGAGAGCCAGTCCGAGTTGCAGAACTGAAGAACTTGGAGTCCAATGTTCAAGAGCAGCAAGCATCCAGCACAGGAGAAAGATGTAAGCTGGGAGGCTAGGCCAGTTTCTCTTTTCATATTTTTCTGCCTGCTTATGTTCTACCATGCTGGCAGCTAACTAGAATTGTGCCCACCCAGATTAAGGGTGGGTCTGCCTTTGACTCAAACGTTAATCTCATTTGGCAACACCCTCACAGACACGCCCACGATCAATACTTTGTATCCTTCAATCCAATCAAGTTGACACTCAGTTTTAACAATCAAAAGTCCATTCTTGTCAACTTGAACCCATACACATTTTCTGAGATCATACGTAATTTTCAAATAAAGACAATAATAAGGTCATAATTATGCCTAACATAATACAACTGTCCTATGTACAACTGGAAATGCACCAATCCCCAACCTAGTAACTATTACATAAATTTAACAATACTTGAATTGCAGTCAATAAATCTTATGTCATATTATAAAGGAAAAAGGAAATAAAGTGAAGATATGTTCTTACTACAAATGTATACATGCACAAACACGTTTTTAACAAAAGAAGGAGGGAATACTTATGACAATTACAGTCCTCATTTCTGCAGCTGGTCACATGGTCATAGTTGGTATTGATGACTATCTTCTTCTACTACCCATTCTGTATTCCCTTTGCCTTCAGCAAGCACCTCAGCAGCTCATGGTTTTTTTTCCAAGTGGAGTGACCAAAACCTTCATTCCTGTAGGGTCTGGGTCATTTGTAGTCCTGCCTGGATTGGGCTGTTGTAGTTTCCCATTGACCTTAATCACAGGGCATGGTAATACTAAGAGATGCCCTAATGGATCTCCTGTACTCCATGAATACTCTTTCTTACCTCCATTATGGAGTAGTAGACTGATTTCATCTTGATAGTCTGGGTCAGTCACCCCAGCCAACACTGTAACTCCCTTCTTAGCCTGTTGACTTAAAGCTAGGAGGAACCCAAAGTGTCCAGGTGGCAATCTTAACTTCCAGTTTAATGGAATAATTGTTGTGATTCCTGGTAGCAGCGTTCCTCCCTCTGGAACTAAGACCTCTAGGCCAGCAGAATGTAATGTCATGGGAACAAAAAGCAAAAATTTTGCTAGTGGATCACTAGAGGTGATGGTGAGTGGTGCCACTTCCACTTCCATCCCTTGATTCCTAGACCAGTGAATCCTGGCTATAGGAGAAACAATATCATATATTGGATGTTGATCCAGAGCATACACAACCTTCTAGAGAACTTTGCCCCAGCCCTGCAAAGTATTGTCACCTAGTTGGAATTGTAATTGTGACTTCAAAGGCCATTCCACCATTCTACCAATCCAGCTGCTTTATGATGATGGGGAACATGGAAAGACCAGTGAATTCCATGAGCATGAGCCCACTGCCTCACTACTTTAGCTGTAAAGTGAGTGCCTTGGTCAGAGGCAACACTGTGTGGAATACCATGATGGTGGATAAGGCATTCCATGAGCCCACAGATGGTAGTCTTGGCAGAAGCATTGTGTGCAGGATAGGCAAACCCATATCCAGAGTAAGCGTCTATTCAGGCGAGGACAAACCTCTGCCCTTTCAATGATGGAAGGTTTTGGCCTCCCTCTCCCTGTGCAAACTGGTAAAAGGCCTTGGGATTTTTGAGCTATCCTTACCCGCCTCCCTACTTGTTTGATTTTGATACATGTTTTCTAATAACCTGGTTTTTCTCTTTTCACCTTCAGGCCAGCAAACTCCACACAGTCATGCAACCAGAGCCTCAGACAATGGCCCCTTCTGCTGAGGACCCTTAAATAAGCTTCTGAGGGAGACTGCCGTTTTCCCAAAACAGCGCCCCCTGTCAGCAGGAAGCAGTTAAGATCAGTCTTCGTCCTTATCCTTATCCTTATTCTAATGGCAGTTAGATGTACTTCTTCAGAGTGGCAGAATTAGGTAGCCAAGTAAGAAGCGCCCCCTGGCAGAACCTCTGACCAGCTTGCCCACTGGGAGGAGTGCGCACTGGGGTGGAACGTTGGAAAGTTCACACCATTTGCATGGGGGAGGAGCCTGGCCTCTCCTGATGTGGGGCGGTAACCTGGGATTCAATCTGTGAGGTGGGAAGCCAGCTAGCGAGACTCTCACTTCGCCGAGTGTCTCTGTTTCCCTTTTTTCCTTTTCACCCAATAAATTCCATTTTTCTCACCCTTCAAATTGTCTGCGGGGCTAATCTTTGATGGTCAAGTGACAAGAACCTGGCTTTTAGCTGAACTAAGGAGAAAGTCCTACAACAAACATTAGGATAGTGCTGAGGGGAAATGTGGGGTTGGAGCCCCCACACAGTCCCCACCAGGGCACTATCTAGTGAAGCTGTGGCAATGGGGCCACTGCCTCAATAGCTAAGAATGGTAGAGCCATCAGTAGCTCGCACCCTGAGCCTGGAAAAGCCGCAGTCACTCAAAGCCAACATGTGAGACCAGCCACAGGGGCTGACCTGTGAAAAGTCACAGAGGCAGAGCTGCCCAAGGCCTTGTGAGCCCACCCTTTGTACCAGTGTGCCCTGGATGCAGAACATGGAGTTAACAAGATTATTTTGGACATTAAGTTTGAATGTTTGCCCTGCTGTGTTTCAGACTTGCATGGAGCCTGTTGCACCTTCCTTTTGGCCAATTTCTCCCTTTTGGAATGGGAATGTTGACCCAATGATACTATTATACAATGATACTATTGTATTTTGGAAGTAAATAACTTGTTTTTGATCTGACAGGCTCATAGGTGGAAGGAACTTACCCTGAGTCTCAAGTGAGGCTTTAGACTTTTGAGTTAATGCTGAAATGATTAAGACTTTGGGGGACTATTGCAAAGGGATGATGCATATTGCAATGTGAGGAGGACATAAGATTTGGGGGGCCAGAGGTTAAATGATATAGTTTGGATGTTTGTCCCCTCCAAATCTCATGCTGAAATATAATCCCCAATGTTGGAGGTGGGGCCTGGTGGGAGGTGTTTGGATCATGGGGGTGGATTCTCATGAATGTTTTGATGCCATCCTCACAATAATCAGTGAGTTCTCCCTCTATGAGTTCACACCAGATCTGGTTATTTAAAAGAGCCTGGAACTTCCTCTTCACTCTCTTGCTTCCTCTCCCACCATGTGATACACAGCATCCCCCTTCGCCTTCTGCCATGATTGTAAGCTTCCTGAGGCCCTTACCAGAAGCAGATGCTGGTGCCACACTTTCTGTACAACCTGCTGAGCTATGAGCCAAAATAAACCCCTTTTCTTTATAAATTCCTGAGACTCAGATATTCCTTTGTAGCAACGCAAAGAGACTAACACAATATATAAATAAATGTATATTTGCATACATCTAAAACAATGCTTGAAATTATGTGGAGTTTCCATATTACTAACATCATATGGATTAGACTTGAAGATAAAAACCTGGATCATTGTTCTACACTAAATGTTACAAGCTAAGTTGAGCAATTACTAAACTGCCTCATCTATAAAACTAATGACCTCTCTTGGCTAGTGTATGAGTTCCTAGTGCAGTAACTCAAAACCCCTCTAGGTATTTTAAACAGATTTAACAATGGGAATTAGGTGCTTAAAAAATCTTTAGAAAAACAAGCAGGCTTTGATTCTAAGCTTCCAAGAATGACCCCCGCAGAATATTACAGATATGACATACCTGTAGAGCTGCTAATTCTGACACAGGTGAACAATTAGGAAGCTGTTCATGAAAAATTGAATTTTATAATGCATCACCGTAAGTTGTGATAAAACAGGAAACCACCACTGCTCCAATAGCAAGTGTCTCTTGACAACCATACAGCCATTGTGTGGGCATTCTAATACTACCGCAGGAAAACTCACGTCAATAACTCTGCTTGCCAGCAGAAAATGATCAAATTAAAAAGCAGTAGGAAAATGGCTTCTATCTTCCTTCTATCTCCCAAATCAGATTTCAGTGCATTTAATCATGAAACCCCATTTGCATCAAAAACACCTTTTAAAAATATGCGTTATAGCTTTCCAGCCCCTACAGTACAGGAAGCCACAATAAGAGCTCATGAGAATAGATGCTGATTTATCAGTTGACATTGCAAAGACATTTGGCTTAGTTGCTGCTGAGTCCACACATCAGTCACTTTTTAAGAAAATCTGAGGAGTTAAGTGGGACCTTGAAGTATCTTAAGAATAGTAAACACAGCTTAGCAGCCTGCTCAGGGAGAAACATCGGAAACCAACACATTTGGGAGGTCAGTAGTGGTGACAAGTACAAATATAATTTGTACTTTGTGTCTGCCAAATATAATTATGCCTGACTCTACCTAACCTCCAATGGCACATAATTGTAGCTATAATTTTAAGAAATCTCCAACGTCATGTTATACAAGTATATTTTTATTGTTATTCTTATTGATGATAGCATTATGCAAAATAGTATTTTAATTCTGTGATTCTCTATCTTGCTTTCACTCTTTCTTTGAACTCCATCTTCCCTGATTTTTCTCCTCCTCCCTTCTTGCTTAGTTCTAATGCTTATTAAAATATTTACTTCAGTGTGAGTGTTATGTAGAAGACCATCTGTGAACGCTAGTGCCAGGGGCATAATACAAAAGTAATTTGGGGAGAAATAATATGAAGACCCTAAGAATACTAGCCTTGTGATTTCCTTCTCAGAGAGCATGAATCACTCATCTGCCTTTGCTCCTGATGCAATTCAATAAGCCAGAGTTTGTTATTGAATGTGTTCCACTAAACTTATAGAACACATTTGTTGAATAAGTGGTGACAGTTGGTGCTTCCTCCCATCAGCTATTTTGCCATATAATGAGCAAAGCTTTCCATATTGTGTGGCTTTCTATAAACATTAAATTTTCTTCTGTTTGTATACATTGAGCCTGTGTGTAGATGACCGTATTTCCCTACTGACTCTGTGTTGTTTTGGAAGATGTTGCATTCCAAATGCATTGACTCTTCAAAACAGGAAGTCTTATTTTTGAAAGTGTAGCATTTTCTTCATAAATTAATACAATTTGGGGTCACCATTACAGTTTACTTTTGGGAGCTGTGAAGTAGCTATGACGGAATTTTTTTTCAATATCGAACTATGAACTTTATTTTAAATTTTCTGAAGATTAAATGGAGTGGTTTTGAAAGTAGAATTGTACTGATTTTTTCCTTGTATCTATTTCTTCCATTGCACTGGAGTTGAATTAGTTTATAAGCAATAACATAATGTAAAATTCATCCAGTGTTTCAGAATCCTACTTTTACAGAGTCTAAAGCCATAGTTGTTTGATTGGGGAAGGGAAGTAGCACTATTTGATTCTGCCAAGCCGTAATTACACCAGTATTCCAAGTTCTTGACATCCATATTTTTAAAAACAATAGCTTTATTGAGATGTAATTCACATACCATACAATTTACCCACTTAAATTAAATAATTTTGTGACTTTTAGTATACCCACAGTTGTGCAACCATCATCACTATTTAATTTTGGAGCAATTTCATTATCCTAAAAGCAAACTCCATACCCATTAACAGTCACTTCCACTATCTTTCTCCCCAACTCCTGGAAACCACTAATCTACTTTCAGTCTGTATAGATTTGCCTATTCTGAACATTTCATGTAAATATAATTATATAATAAGTGAACTTTTGTGTCTGTCTTCTTTCATTTAGCAGAATGTTCACAAAGTTCATCCAGTTGTAGCATGTATTAGTAGTTTATTCTTTTTATTGCTGAATAATATTCCTTTACATAGATATACCATATTTTGTCTAGCCATTTATCATTTGGGTTGTTTCCATTTTTTAGCCATTATAAATAACACCACCATAAACATTCGTGTGAGTCAAAGAGGATGGTAGAGGGATTTTGTTGTTATTATCAAGAGTCATCTTTTGTGCCCAAATGAAGTATTATTATTATTTTTTGTTTCCTACTCACTCCTTACCTGTAATCTTTCTTTCCTCCCTTCCTTTTTAAGTTTCTACCTTCTCTTCCTTCACTAAATATTTTTGAGCCTCTACTCAGTTCCCAGAACTATGCTAGAGACTAAAGATACAGAGGTGGACAAGGCACAGATCCAATCCCTGCTCTTATGAAGTTTTCATTCTAGTAAGTGTTAAACTAAATAAATATACATTTCCCATATGGTAGGCGCTATGGGAATATATTTAGGAGTATTTGGAGGCTCCATGGAAGCATAGATGGGGATGGCATAACCCAGAGAATAATGTTGGAAAATGCATTCTGGGAAAAGTAGCCTCAAAGGTAAGGTTTTAACAATAAGTAGTAATTAATCAAGCTAAGAAAGGGAAAGGATGTCAAGGCAGAGTGAACAGCATTCAAAGAGGCCCAGCTGGTAAGAGAGCCAGATGCATTTAAAGGACTGGAAGACAGCCATGTGACTGGCTCGTACAATTTGAGGGAAGCAGAAGAGGGAGGAGAGGTAAGTAGGGTCCCTTTTATGTAGGATTGATGCCTTGTCTTTATTCCAAGTGCAATAAGGAGCCATTGAAGGGCTTCCCTAGCTTCGCCATGTTAGTAATCATGGAGATGTCTACTTCTATCATCTAATACAGCTACTCCAGTTCCCTTCGTGTTTCACCAATTATTTTTCACAGATTCAAAAGTGACTCGTGCTCAGAAATAAACTGAGTCGTGTGTCTGAAATCCCCTAAAGCCTCCATCTATTCCATCCCCCACCTTTGGGAGCACTGTGTTCCCCAGAGCATTGTTCAGCCTCTGTGTGGGGTTGCTTCCAAGTATACTCCTAATTCTCAAAACATTGAACTCAACCCTTCCACCCAAGAACTCAAAGCATTGAACTCAAAGCACTGAACTCAAGTCTCTCAGAAAGCAAAGAGAATTGTCACTTCCCAATGTCACATTTTGTTCCCTGGGCATCAATGTTTATGTCCCAGTGTTTCACAGAATGTTCCTAAGTCCCCTGCCCCTCCCTACTCTGTCCTGGATTCAGACCAAATTAAAAAGGCTGGATCTGGAAACCTTTCTGTGAGACCACGATTGTATTATTTTCTCCATGCTCACTCTCTCTCGCTGTCTCTCTCTCTCTCTCCATACTAACATCCCTGTGGGCTCTCCTTCTGTCTCCAATCTCTCACTCATATAAATTCATGCCAACCTACTCTTGGTGTTTCTAATTCTCTAACATTTTCTTTTTTTTTAGTTTTATTATTATTATACTTTAAGTTTTAGGGTACATGTGCACAACGTGCAGGTTTGTTACATATGTATACATGTGCCATGTTGGTGTGCTGCACCCATTAACTCATCATTTAGCATTAGGTATATCTCCTAATGCTATCCCTCCCCCCTCTCCCCACCCCACAACAGTCCCCGCTGTGTGATGTTCCCCTTCCTGTGTCCATGTGTTCTCATTGTTCAATTCCCACCTATAAATGAGAACACGTGGTGTTTGGTTTTTTGTCCTTGCAATAGTTTGCTGAGAATGATGGTTACCAGTTTCATCCATGTCCCTACAAAGCACATGAACTCATCATTTTTTATGGCTGCATAGTATTCCATGGTGTATATGTGCCACATTTTCTTAATCCAGTCTGTCGTTGTGGGACATTTGGGTTGGTTCCAAGTCTTTGCTATTGTGAATAGTGCCGCAATAAACATACGTGTGCATGTGTCTTTATAGCAGCATGATTTATAGTCCTTTGTGTATATACCCAGTAATGGGATGGCTGGGTCAAAGGTATTTCTAGTTCTAGATCCCTGAGGAATTGCCACACTGACTTCCACAATGGTTGAACTAGTTTACAGTCCCACCAACAGTGTAAAAGTCTTCCTATTTTTCCACATCCTCTCCAGCACCTGTTGTTTCCTGACTTTTTAATGATCGCCATTCTAACTGGTGTGAGATGGTATCTCATTGTGGTTTTGATTTGCATTTCTCTGATGGCCAGTGATGATGAGCATTTTTTCATGTGTTTTTTGGCTGCATAAATATCTTCTTTTGAGAAGTGTCTGTTCATATCCTTCGCCCACTTTTTGATGGGGTTGTTTGTTTTTTTCTTGTCAATTTGTTTGAGTTCATTGTAGATTCTGGATATTAGCCCTTTGTCAGATGAGTAGGTTGCAAAAATTTTCTCCCATTCTGTAGGTTGCCTGTTCAGTCTGATGGTAGTTTCTTTTGCTGTGCAGAAGCTCTTGAGTTTAATTAGATCCCATTTGTCAATTTTGGCTTTTGTTGCCATTGCTTTTGGTGTTTTAGACATGAAGTCGTTGCCCATGCCTATGTCCTGAATGGTATTGCCTAGGTTTTCTTCTAGGGTTTTTATGGTTTTAGGTCTAACATTATAGTCTTTAATCCATCTTGAATTAATTTTTGTATAAGGTGTAAGGAAGGGATCCAGTTTCAGCTTTCTACATATGGCTAGCCAGTTTTCCCAGCACCATTTATTAAATAGGGAATCCTTTCCCCATTGCTTGTTTTTCTCAGGTTTGTCAAAGATCAGATAGTTGTAGATATGTGGCATTATTTCTGAGGGCTCTGTTCTGTTCCATTGGTCTATATCTCTGTTTTGGTAGCAGTACCATGCTGTTTTGGTTACTGTAGCCTTGCAGTATAGTTTGAAGTCAGGTAGCATGATGCCTCCAGCTTTGTTCTTTTGGCTTAGGATGAACATTGACGCAAAAATCCTCAATAAAATACTGGCAAACCAAATCCAGCAGCACATCAAAAAGCTTATCCACCATGATCAAGTGGGCTTTATCCCTGGGATGCAAGGCTGGTTCAACATACACAAATCAATAAATGTAACCCAACATATAAACAGAACCAAAGACAAAAACCACATGATTATCTCAATAGATGCAGAAAAGGCCTTTTACAAAATTCAACAACTGTTCATGCTAAAAACTCTCAATAAATTAGGTATTGATGGGATGTATCTCAAAATAATAAGAGCTATCTATGACAAACCCACAGCCAATATCATACTGAATGGGCAAAAACTGGAAGCATTCCCTTTGAAAACAGGCAGAAGACAGGGATGCCCTCTCTCACCACTCCTATTCAACATCGTGTTGGAAGTTCTGGCCAGGGCAATCAGGCAGGAGAAGGAAATAAAGGGCATTCAATTAGGAAAAGAGGAAGTCAAATTGTCCCTGTTTGCAGATGACATGATTGTATATCTAGAAAACCCCATTGTCTCGCCCAAAATTTCCTCAAGCTGATAAGTAACTTCAGCGAAGTCTCAGGATACAAAATCAATGTACAAAAATCACAAGCATTCTTATACAACAATAACAGACAAACATAGAGCCAAATCATGAGTGAACTCCCATTCACAATTCCTTCAAAGAGAATAAAATACCTAGGAATCCAACTTTCAAGGGATGTGAAGGACCTCTTCAAGGAGAACTACAAACCACTGCTCAATGAAATAAAAGAGGATACAAACAAATGGAAGAATATTCCATGCTCATGGGTAGGAAGAATCAATGTCGTGAAAATGGCCATACTGCCCAAGGTAATTTATAGATTCAATGCCATCCCCATCAAGTTACCAATGACTTTCTTCACAGAATTGGAAAAAACTACTTTAAAGTTCATATAATTCTCCAACATTTTCTCCCACTCCCTGTTCATACTAGTTTACCTGACTGACTTGAAATCCAACCAGTCAGCATAAGTTAGGGGCTAGTCTTTTTTTCCTATCCTAAATTTCTTGCTCCTTATTCTTTAAAGAGCAGACAGGGAGATTAACATCAAAATAACAACAAAAACACACAAATCACGTCATGTCATTTCTTGCATAAAGTCTCCAATATGGTTTTCCATTGTATTCAGAATAATGTCAAAATTCACTACAATGGTCTATAAATTCATACACAATCTGGGATCTGCCTGCATTTCCAAATTCATCTTGTATCCAGCCACACTGATCAAGCGTGCTTACTCCTGAGGGCCTCTGCCCTTGCCATTACCTCTGCCTAGATCTTGCTTCTCCTAGGTCAATACCTGACAGGTTTCTTTCTTTTCATTAAATTCTTTTCTGAAATATAATTACCTTCTCAGGTGACACTTTTCCCACATCCCCCATAGCCCCCCACCTCTGAGCATTCACTACCTTTCCCCTTTACTTTATCTTCTACAAAGCACTCATCACTGTCTGATATTAAACTATTTCATTTTTTTTTTTAGAGTGCAAATATAGGAGTATAAATAGATGTGAGGAAACTTTCAGGGGTGATAGATATGCTCATTATCTTGTGTTGATGGTTTCGTGGGTGTAGACATATACATAAACTGACAAAAGCAGACAATTTAAGCATGTGTAATTTGTTATACATCAATTATATGGCAACGACTCTATAAAAATAACAGCTCTTCTTACAAGCTTTGTCCTCGAGTGAGAGCAAAGATTTATTGACAATAGAGAAATAAACATTTAGAGAAAAAGTTCAGAAAATAAGGAAGTTTGTTTAAATTCCACAGAAAATGGAAGGATGAAGGAGGCACATTGAAAGAAGTGGGTCACAATCACAGGATATATACAGCAAAGTGGGACAAGAGCTAGGCTATGATGATTGACCCAAAGCCCTGGATTTGCAGAGAAAACTAAGAAACATGGCTGTGAGACCTGATGGTATTAGCCTTGATGGCCTCGTAGAGAAAGCATGATTACTAAAGGAATTCAAACACCAAATCCTTACATATGTTTCCTCAGAAAATTTATCTTCCTCAACTCCTTCTGCCAGAAATCTTGTTTTGGGTATGGAACTTTTTTGTTGTAGTCGTTATTTTGAGGCTGTGTGTGGAGAAGCATCATGTCTGAAGCAGTAGTCTACTTTTTCATCTGTCAATTATTTTGCTTCCTTTTGTACTTAAAAAGAAAAATACACAGTGACCCTGGAGTCTACAGGCCATTAATTCCAGGTAGTTATCAAAGTTAGCACTTTTCCTACAGGAACAATATAGCAGAGAGACATTCAATCAATAAATTGCATTTACTTCATCCTTCTTGCTCTGATGCTTAAGGAGCAAAATGCTTGCTCTTTATCCATTTGTGATACCAACACTACCCTTCAGAAAGCCCGGAACTGTGAAAATGTCCTATTCAAGATGTCATGTACTTTAGTTTAATTGCTTTGATGAGAAATCTAAGATATCTATGTGTATATCAGATGAAGGTATTCAAGGTTCTTTAAGACAGCACCCCAAAATTTCCAGCATCTACCTTTCTTTCATCTTCAGTGAAGTAGAGTTAAAATAACCAAAAACTATCCTTTTCAACTCAGGACAACTTACAATAATAACATATGTCTCAGTGTCTTTACTTGGGTTCTCCCTGAAGTATACCCTAAGACAAAAATTCAGGTGAATTTAGGAAGTGCATAGGACAATGTCCATGGAGTGAGAAGTGACACAGGATGAAGAAGGCAGCCAATAAATGATGTATAACTAAGCCAACCACTGCAGTGGGTATCCCATGTAGAAACTCTCAGAAACACACCACAAAACTACCCAATAAGAGAGGCAAGAGGGCTGGGATACATACACCACTCCTATCAGTCAGTGATTGAGAGCTGCTAGGGTGAGGGTATTAATTTCCTAGCACTTTTAGTCTATCTCACACATGGGCACAGAGATGATGGTACTGGCAGATAAAATTTATCTGGACCACATTGAAGTGAGAGCGTCTAAGGAATATGGGCAGAATCTTGACAGCATTGCTATTCCTGGTAATGGTGTTTGTCAACAGAGGATTGGGAAAGAGCCATAATGAGAAGTCTCTTCTTTCCTAATATTGGTGTCATTTGATTAAATGATATTAAATGTCAAAGTCTAAATCTGGGGTAGGAAAGAAGGATGGGGAGGAGTGAGCACTAATAATAGTACTGGAAATGAAGAATTATGTATAGTTGAGGTCATACTGGATTGGAGTGAACTCTAAACACACTGACTTGTGTTATTTCGGGGGCGGTGTGAAGACACAGGAATACGACATAACAACAGATACAGAGCCTGGAGTAATGACAGTACAAGTCAAGGAACACCAAGGATCACCAGCTGCCACCCAACCCAGGAAGAGGTAAGGAAGGATCATCCTCTCCTAGAGTCTTCAGAGAGAGCATGGCCTTGTTGACACTTTGATTTCAGATTTCTGGCCTCCAGAACTGTGGAAGAATAAATTTCTGTTGCTTTAAACCACGCACTCAATAGCAATCTGTTATGGCAGCCATAGGAAACTTATACTTGCCCTAACTCCTAGGAGGCAGCCTTCTGTGGATCAAATAAAAGCCTGAAGTTTCCACCAAGGCCAATCTACCTATCTGTCCCCCTTCCCAGCACCATATGGCTGCTGAAATCTTTGCTCAGGTCCTTAGCCTCCTAGCTACTGCTTTGTCCTGCACAAGTTAGGAGTTGCCAGATGCCTTGAGAGGAGATCACGCAAATATTTGGAGCTCACCTGTGGTTCTCTCCTCTTTAGGATTTTGCTCCTCAAGTCATTGTACTTTGGTACCTACGAATTTCAACCTTGTCCTTCATACCCCGTGGGTGTGAAGATTCCTGGCAGGACTCTATTTCCACGCTGCAACTAGGTAAATAAATGTTCCCAGGAAAAACCTTTAGAGTTTAGTATAGAATTATAGATTCAAAAGCAGTTTTCCTTGAAACTTTGAAAGCATTGGTTCATTATTTTTTAGTATCCTGGGTTGCTGATGTGACATTTTATTAAAAGCAAAACAAAACAAAACAAAAGCTCTGCTCATTACTCCGCCACCCGCCATACTCAGATTCTTATTCTTTCCCCTGATTTTCTGAAATTTATAAGGTTGTGTCCAAGAATTGCAGTTGTTTTTTTTTTATTATTTATCCTGTTCAGCACTTGGTGGACTTTTCAGCAGAGAAACTTCAAATCATTTTTTTTAATTACATGAATTTTCTTCTATTTCTCTTATTAGTTCTTCCAACTAATTTTCTATCATTGATTTAAAAGATAGACCTCCTAGACTGATCATCTATGGCTCTCTCAGTAATTTTTCTCATATTTTTCATCTGTTAGTCTTTTGTTCCATATTAAAAAATGACTTCTTCAAATTTTATTTTAGGTCCTTCTATACCTACATATACCAGTATCTATTTATATTCCTATAGAATATATTTTAATTCAGAGTACCTTATTTTTCCAGTTTCCAAAAACACATTCTTATTTTCTGATTGATCTTTCCTCACAGCAGGCTGTTTCGCTATTTCTCAAATGTCTCGGAGGTAAAATTCTGGAAGAATAAGTAAGATACAGGTAGTAGTGATCCTCTCTGAGAAGGAGAACTGGGGCCACGATATACAATAGGAACTACTATATAATTTGATTTTTTTACTATACACATACATTTGTACATTACTTAATTTTTAAAAGTTTGCCAATAAATATCTCTCTGAAAATATAAAAATTCAGATTAATTATTTTGTCCTTTGATCTTATCTTTTGGTGCTGTGGTCAGGCATTTATTTGTTCATTTTTGTTTTTCTCTCTCTTGGGCTGCTGATTTTCCTCAAACATTTGATATCCCTTGATAGTCTGTTCACAGATACAAATGAGAACTATGTTAATTAAGATACATAGATGATGTGGGTTTCGTCTGTCATTGTTTAAACTCATTCTCCCCTACAGTATGCTTCCTTGCATGGGAGTGGGACTGCGTGCTCTGAGCACGTGGGTAGGGTCTTTCTTTAGGATGTGTAGGTGGGGAAAAAATCAGAGGAGATGGAGACCCTTCCATAAAAGATTATTTGCAAAAATCACTGCAACTATTCCTTTCCCTGTGTGTATATCCCTTGCCATATGACATTGCAATTTCTTCCACAAAGAGGAGGAGTCGCAAGGAAGACCTTGTAATTTGCTTTTGCCAATAAAGTTCAATAAATGTGCTGATGTGCCAGTTCCAACCTAGGCCTCAAGAAGCCTGGCAAGCTCTCGCTCGCTCTCTTGGAAGCCTAGCCAGCTGCCATGTGAACAATCCTAGAATAGCCTGACAGGACAAGTTACCATAAGGAGCAGAGATGAGGCATCCAGCCTAGGCCATTCTAGTTTATCCACCCCTCAGCTGACCCAGCAATGTACTTTAAATGTATAAATGAGCCCAACCAAGACCAGACCACTCAGCTGAGCCTACCTCAAATTGCCAGCTAAAATAAATGGTTACTAGTTTTTTTTTTTTTTTTTTTTTTTTTTTGAGACGGAGTCTCGCTCTGTCGCCCAGGCTGGAGTGCAGTGGCGCGATCTCGGCTCACTGCAAGCTCCGCCTCCCGGGTTCACGCCATTCTCCTGCCTCAGCCTCCCAAGTAGCTGGGACTACAGGTGCCCGCCACCATGTCCGGCTAATTTTTTGTATTTTTTTTTTTTTTTTTTTTTTGAGACGGAGTCTCGCTCTGTCGCCCAGGCTGGAGTGCAGTGGCGGGATCTCGGCTCACTGCAAGCTCCGCCTCCCGGGTTCACGCCATTCTCCTGCCTCAGCCTCCCAAGTAGCTGGGACTACAGGCGCCGGCCACTACGCCCGGCTAATTTTTTGTATTTTTAGTAGAGACGGGGTTTCACCGTTTTAGCCGGGATGGTCTCGATCTCCTGACCTCGTGATCCGCCCGCCTCGGCCTCCCAAAGTGCTGGGATTACAGGCGTGAGCCACCGCGCCCGGCCAAATGGTTGCTAGTTTAAGCCACAAAATTTTGGGGTAGTTTGCCACCTAACATTTTCTGATTGATACATTCTTCCTATCCACACCTAAATACCAAATAAAGAAAATGTTATTATTCTGGTGTGCTAATGCTCATGCCAGAAGCCCTAGAATCCAGAAGACGTATCTTTCAATCTTTTTGGAAATCAGTTTCCTTGCCATATTGCCAATTACTCTGTATATTCCAGGGAGGAGAAGGGGATGAACTTTCTCAATTTGTCACCTCATTTTTCTGCCCCATGCTTAACCCCTATTCTTACTACCTGCTGACGCAATTTGACAACCATTACTAGAACCACATACGGAAAACAGCAGCCAAGGCTATACCCAAGCTGCCCTTAGAATCCTCTATTCACTGCAGCCCTTGGGTATGTGCATTCACAGTAGAGATTTTCTTCTGCCTTTAATTAGTGTCTCAACTCTGCTAGAAATTCACTCTTTTATGTGTCTCTTTTTTCTGGTCATTTTTAATTTAATCATTATAGTGAAATATATCATGCATGGAGAAAAGGGTATAAAATATTTATGTACAGTTACAGAATAATGGCAAAATTAATACTCATGAAGCTGTCACCCAAGTGAAAAGGATTACCCAATGCCTTAGAAGTTCCCCATGTGCCTCTTCTCAAATGTATTCCCCAGCACTCCCAGGAAATGACCACTGACAAGACTTTATCTTAATTATTTCTTTGCTTTTACTTGTAGTTTTACTAGCCATGTAAGAATCTCTAATCTTTAGTTTTTTAAAAAAATGAATAGAAAGTATAAACTGAGCTGTATGAGGAAATGGCAATATTGCCACCATCAGATGAAAGCTCCCAGGAGAAAGATAAACTGGACAGCCTTGGGTCACAGTGAAATTTCACCTTCACTGAGAGTTTATCCATCCTTTCTGGGGAATTAAATGGGCAGTGTACGAGAGGGTCCTGGGAACCACTGGGCTTCTGCAGTTGGGTTGTCTGATAGAACTATATTATGAACTAGGCATGAGACACTGGCATAAAGATAGTCAGAAATAGTAGATTTCTCAATTTTTTTCTTCTATGTTCGTAATGCCAAATTTTGTTTCCCAGGGGAAGTTTAGGACAAAACACTTCTGTGTGGTGATATGTGGAAAGGTCCTTAGCTGATCCAAGCAGTGGGACATGAAGGGGAGAGTAGAAATGTCACCAGCACCAGTAAGGACATGCCTAGTACAGATGAAAAATGGGATCAAGATCATATGACCTTTGTCCTCACCTTTAAAAGATAACTCAATGACAGTAGATATATCATTGATGACAGCCCTCTGATGACAGCCCTCAAAAAATGCATCACCAAGTCAGATCTCTTTCACAGACTCCTGACTCAGACTTCCTGACATTTCCATTGAGATTTCTAATAGATATATGAAACTCAAATGTCCAAGATGAACATCTAAACTCCCCCCATACCCAAATATCAGCTCCAAATTTAGCTTTCCCCATTTCAGTTGATAATAACCCATCCTTCCAGGGGCTCATGCCAAAACTCTGGTCTCCTCCCTAACTCTTCACTCTCACATGCCAAAAACAATTCATTAGAAAATCCAAACTCTTGTGCCATGGCAAACTACCTAAACAGAGTGGTCCTTCTAAAATTTAAGTCAGATCATGTGACTTCTCTCTTCATAAGCTTTCAAAACGTCTTCCTATTTCACATAGAATAAAAGCTAAAGTCACCATGGTAACCCATAAAGACTCCTTCCTCTGCTTCTCTGACATTCTCAAATTTCGGCTAACTTTATGCTAGCCTCAGTGGCTCTTTTGCAGTCTCTTGATCATACCAGGATGGCAGATGAGCTCCCACCTTAAGGAGTTGCTCTAGCTATTCCTTCAGCCAAGATCACTCTTATCCCAAATATCTACTTGGCCAAATACTCAGCTCCTTCAACTCATTGCTCAAATCTTTCCTTCTCAATAAGTCCTACCCAGACTATCCTACTTAATATTACAAACTGCCCCTACCCACTACCCCTGACACACTCAATCATCTTACACATCTCTAGTATTTAAAAAAAGTTCTGGAGCACCAAACACTTTCTAACACATTATATAATTTACTTGCTTATTGTGTATGGTTTGTTTTCCACCCCCCACAATAGAACATAGTCACATGAGGGCAGATATTTTTGTCTTTGTCCTCTTTGTTCGCATATGCATGCTAAGTGCCTAGAAGAGCATCTGGCACCTAGTAGAAACTCAGAATATAATCAGTAAATAAACAAATGAACATACTCATCTTTTTAATCCCTCTGCTCCAATGTGGATTGGTCGGTCGCTCTCTGTCTGGTCCATAGCTGTACACATGAGATCTCCCTTCAGGATCCTCCTGGAGATTCTTTTTGTCTCTTGCCAAAGCTGAAACACCTATTTCCCGTATTCCCTTTCTTGGCTTACTTTCTTATTTGGATACAGCACATCCTCCTATAGCTTCTTAATAAATGGTGTGGGGAAGGCACATTTTTTGAGACTTTACATATATAAAAATGTCTTTATTTTATCCTTCTGTTGATTTGGCAGTTTGATTCATTATACAATCCTACGTTGGAAATAATATCTTTTCAGAATTTTTTTCTGCTTGCTCCAGTGTTTCTGTTGAGATATCCAAATCATTGTGATGCCTGATCTTTTGTATGTGATTTGTTTCTCTCTCTGAAAGTCAGTAGAATATTTTTGTTCTCACTGTTCTGATATTTCAGAATCATGAGCCTTGGTGTGGATATATTTTCATCCAATATTCTGGGTTTTTAGTGGATCCTTTCATTCTGGCAATTCACATCTTTCAGTCCTGGGAAGATTCTTCTATAATTATTTTAAGGATTTCACCCATTGTTTTTTCTGTTCTCTCTTTCTGAATCCTCTACTATTCATATTTTAGACTTTCTAGATTGGTTTCTGCTTCTGTTTTCTTGTATGCCCAATTTACTATCTGGTAGTCTTTTTCTTCTAATTTCTTGGAGATGTCCTCAACATTGTCCTCCAACCTTTTATTGTGTTTTCACTTTCCCATAATATTTTTAATTTCTAAGAGCTCTTTAAGTTCTCTGAATTTTTCTTTTTTATTCCATTCTTTTCTTATTTACATTTTCATTTATCTGTTGGTTGGTTTTTTGTTTTTTTTTTAATCGTCTACGTTAAAGCCTTCCCCGGGTATCTATTACTATTTGGCAATCAGTTTGTGATAAAGAGTGCAGGACTAAAATGCTGATTGGAATTTCAGAGCACATGGGTAGGGTCTGTAGATGTGGGGTATTATTGTGAAGTAACCTTTGGGAGTTGATATGTTTGGCTGTGTCAGCACCCAAATCTCATCTTCAATTGTAGTTCCCATAATTCCCGCGTGTCGTGGGAGGGACCCAGTGGGTGGTAATTGAATCATGGGGGCATTAACCCCCATGCTGCTGTTCTTGTGATAGTGAGTGAGTTCTCATGAGATCTGATGGTTTTACAGGGGGCTTTTCCCCCTTTTGCTTGGCACTTCTCCTTGCTGCCATCATGTGGAGAAGGACATGTTTTCTTCCGCTTCTGTCATTATTATAAGTTTTCTGAGGCCTCCCCAGCCATGCAGAACTGTGAGTCAATTAAACCTCTTTCCTTTATAAATAACCCAGTCTCAGGCAGTCCTTCATGGAAGCGTGAGAAAGGACTAATATAGGAGCCTTCTTGGAGAAAAACTCCAAAGTCAATATTATTAAATCTTTTCTCTTGCATTGGTCAAGTTCCCCAGAGAAGTGTCTTCCATCTCCTTCCCAGAGGGTAGGAATCTGGCTGCCAACTTTCCAGGAGGGGAGTATCTGTATATTCAGCATCTATTTTGCATAAGGTCATTTAATCCCTCTTTGTTGTATAAGATCTCATCATCTCCATTTAGAGTCCCTCCTTTATACCTTTTGCACAGAACACAATTCCAAATTTCTGCCAGGTGGGAGAAGGGCAGTTGCCAGCAGCATGTGGTGGGTGAAGGACTCTAGGGATCTAAATGCCTTGTAAACAGCTTTCACTCAGCCCTCTTTATTTCAGACTCCAAACCAATCTCCAGTTTCAGAAGTACCTGACACTACTGTCCTATACTTTTTGAGGATTTTTTTTAACCTTTGTCTGGTTCCATTATCCCTGAAGTTAATATGGTTTTGGGTTTCCTGGGTCTGGTATATCAGTAATTATTTGTATATCTGCTATGCAGGATCCTAAAAATTATTATAATTTTCTCCTTTCCTGTTGTCCCATTATCAGTTTACATCTCTTAAAAAAATACATTCAATAGCCTTAATGGGGTTTTAGCAAGGGTGAAGTTAAAATTAAATGCATGTGTTTAATCTTCCATCTTAACCTGAAGCCCTTTTTGTTCTTTGCTTGTGTATTTCAAATGTGGATTTATGGAATGGGGTGGGGTGGAGGATTAACCATGAGCTTAATCTGCCACCTTGAATCATAATCAAAATTTTAAACTTTAAATTGCAATTGTAACTTTCTTCTAAGTGTTTTGAATTAAAAGGCACATATTTTTATTTAAGATGCAAGTTCTAAGTCAGTGCTGTGGATAAAATGTTGAACTTCATAATTAGGCAACATTAGTTGCATAACTAGCTAGTATTTGTACTATTCTTAGTATATTTCATATTCTTAGTGTTCTCTGTATTCTTAGCAGTCAGTGCCAGGGTAAATTCCTAGAGCCAAAGAAAAATGCTTAATCATGACATTGTCATCCTATATAATATTATATTGAATACACTTCAGGGTTAAGGATGTGATTCAAGGTTGATAAATATACTGGGTAAGTTTTAAAGTACTCTTGTGAAAGTCACATAAGTACCTGAACTCATTTAAGTCAACCCAAAACAAAAAACTACAGCAGTCAACAATCCATTCTTTTGCTTTCACGTGAGCAAATTTTTCTCACTTTGGAGTGATTCGTTTTAACTTGAAAATTAATTGTAGACTTTAAATATTGAGAAAATTTGTATTTTCTTCTGACTCTACTAATGAATATGAAGAGAAACCGAGGTACATTGGCTCCATAACTGATATTTTAAATTTTGTATGTTGACCTGCCTCGGATGGTAGTCATATTATAGGTACTTATAGCACCTAACTCATTGCTGCTGCAGCAAAGTTTATTTAAAAAATCTAAACAAACATTGTTTTAACTTGAATGTACCTTCTAAAAATGAAACACACAATAGTAAGTTGTAAAAAATATTCAATTCTGTAAAGAACAACACCACATTTTTTGTCAGAAATTATGAAATTTGATCCTCTTGGCAAGTGGCATAAATAATTTAATTTTAATTGTGCCTACCCTCAATAGCTGATAGCTGGCTTCTTTTCATAAATCAATAGATTGCTGTTATTTTTGTGACTTTTTCTTTTAAAAATGGAATGAAGAGAAAAAACTGAAATGTTTCCCTGACAACAAATACAGTCTTTCATCTCTGTTTGAAGGATGTCTTGCTTCTGTACCTAGTCAAATTACAGTGCAGTTGAGTATTGTCCTTTTTAGAGCCCAAAATTAGGTTTTGTAATTATTTTTAGTCTCTCACAAAAGCTAGAATTTATACAAAGACACAATGATAGGGAATTTATCACCCAGTAGCAAAGGCATTTCTCTTAGACTGAGGAAATGGAATATTTAACTTATTCCTAAATTGAATAAGTATTAGAGTAGTGTTCAAGAGTGCAGTCACAGGCTCTGAAGTTATTCATTCAACAAATATATATTAAGCACCTACAATGTGTCTGCTGGCACTGTGGTTGTCACTAAGGATATAATGGTGAGCAAAGATGGACAATGATCTCACAGAGTTTCTAGTCCCCAAGGTGTTGAAACGGTGGACTGTGTTCTGTTCTGTTGTGTTTTTGTTGTTATTGTTGTTTGATTTAAATTGAAATGCCTGGCAGTGCCTTGTACTCTGTAGTTTGGCCACAGTACCTGCAACTCCCTTTATATCATACATAAAAGCTTCAGACAGGCCGGGCGCAGTGGTACATGCCTGTAATCCCAGCACTTTGGGAGGCAAAGGCGGGTGGATCACGAGGTCAAGAGATCAAGACCATCATGGCCAACATGGTGAAATCCTGTCTCTACTAAAATTACAAAAATTAGCTGGGTGTGGTAGCACGTACCTGTAGTCCCAGCTACTTGGGAGGCTGAGGCAAGAGAATCTCTTGAACCCGGGAAGTGGAGGTTGCAGTGAGCCAAGATCACGCCACTGCACTCCAGCCTGGTGACAGAGCGAGACTCCATCTCAACAAAAAAGGCTTCAGATATTTATGTTTTCTGCCTAAACTCTGTAGGCGTTAGGCTTCGTCAGACCAATCTGGTTTTAAACCCCAATTCTGCCATTCACTGTGTGACTCTGAGCAAGTTAATTTACCATTCTAAACCTCAGTTTTCTTCTCTTAAAAGGAGAATAAAAGCAACACCTACTTTAAAGAGTTATTGAGGGTAAAAATAAGAAAATATATAAAGCCCTTTGCACAGTGACTAGAACATAGACCCCTAGTATTATTATAGGTATTACATTCTTAGTTCGATCATGAACAGAAACAGTATATTGTCTTTTTAAAATAATGATAAACCTTTAAAAATTATATAAAATTCAAGTAATGTCTAAATACAATGTCTCATCTTTCGTTTCTATTTTACTGATCATATGGTAAAAGGGCTATTTTGCCTAAAACATTTTGATAATGATCTAGAGAAGTTCAGGAGAAATATTGAGGCACCTAACGTATCATAATATTTGTGCCTACTGACTACATTTGTTTCCTCCAGGGTAGAACAGTAGCTATAACCCATGCTCCCTAGTTCAATTTGTCAAGCTCTAAAAACATTTTTCAAACTAATAATGACTGAGCAGATGGAAAGCGCTTATGTAGTGTCTGGTTTGCAGGGAGTTTTGTCTAAGAAGCTTTCAAAAATTATTTTATTTCACCCTTACATCATTCCTTTGAAATGTTAAGGGAGGACTTCAAACTTAATCTTGTACAAAACAAATCACAAGTCATGGAGAGGCTAACTGGCTTTGACTGTGCTTGAAAAATAATGGGCAGAACTTGACACCCACCACCACTCCATTCATAAGACCGGGCTGTCTCCACTGAGAGCAGAGAAAGTGACTTTGATTCTGGAATGCAGATATGCAATTATTACCTAACACTACATCATTCATTCATTTTACTGAATAAATATTTATTGAAGCCTTACTATGTACCGAAGTTCAAGATGCTTGAGATATAAGGGCCAAAAAGAAAGAAAAGGTCCCTGTTCTTATAGAACTTATAACTTGTTAGTGAAGAGAGATGGAAATAATCAAGCACATTAATACATGCACAGGTTAATTACAGATGATGAAAAGAGCTTCGAAGAAAACAAAACATAAGACCATAAAAGAGTGGCTGGCTGGAGAAAATAAACATTAGATACAGCAAAGAAATTCTCTCTGCAGAGCTGATATTTTAGCTGGGTAAGATCTGAATGAAGTGTAGAGTCCATGGAGGAGATGTCTGGATGCAGAGCATCCAAGACAAGGACCCACAGGCTAAAAAGATTTTGACACTTGCAGAAATTCAAAAGAACAGAAGGAAGACCAGTGTGCCTTTTTCACTATCTCAGCTTCATTGGCCAGGAGCATTATGATCAAGGAGAGTGATAGGGATGAAGGAGAGATAAACAGGAAATGAATTGTCATGGGCCTCTTGGGTTGTTATACAGACTTTAGATCTTGTTCTAGTGACACTGAAAAAACCACTGGAAGGGTTTTCACAGGAGGATCTATGTGATCTGATCACTCTGGCTGTTACATGAGTGTGTGTGTGTGTGTGTGTGCATGAACACCAGGAATGGAGAGGTGTGGAGGGGGTAGATAGTAAGAGTGGAAGCAGGGTGAGCTAAGAGCTGTGGTAAGAGCCTAGATAATACCAGCTTGGACAGACTGAGTAAAGAAAGTGAGAAGTGGGCTTAGATATTGCAGCCTCTGGTTTTGCTCTCTTAAAATGTTGCCATGAGACCACCATGTAAGAAAGCCAATCTAGCTTACTACAGGATGAGGAGTCATCTAAAAGAAAAGAGAAGAAACCAAGGCACTCCAGCTGACAGCTGGCACCTGCTGGTGAACTTGTGAATGAAGCCTTCTTGGTCTTCCAGCCTAGCTAACCTATCAGCTAAATTAGCCCCATGAGTGAGCCCAGCAGAACCTCCCAGCCAACCCACAGAATTGTGAGAAATAATACATTACTTTTTTAAAAAAGCTACTACATTTTGTTTTAGTTTGTTAAGTAGCAGTAGATAGACAGCTGAAACAAATTGTATCTGGAATGTGAGGGGTATAGAGGAATTAAGGATAGGTCTTATAATCTTAGCTTCAACAGTTGAGTCAAAAATAGTGCCATTTACTGAGATGGAGCATACTGAGAAAGGAAAGGTTGAGGTAAAAAATCACAAGTTCTGTTTTGGCTAGTTTGAAAATGTCTGCTAGTCATGCATTTAGAATTAAGAGATGTCAATAATGGGGATATAATTTTGAAAGCCATTAACATATAAATAGCATGTAAAGCCATGGGACTAGATGAGATCTTTAAGAACAGAATGCGGGTAGTGAAGGGTAGAACTAGGACTGAGCCTGGGGTGCTCCAACTTTTGAAGTTTGGTTAGAAAAGGAAGAACTAACAAGAACAGCAACAAAGACAGAGACTGAGCCATGAATGTTTTGAATGCCAAAAAAAGAAGAATCTACAGGAACAATGACAAGGCAGAGAAGAAACATTTCCAGTGAGTAAGAGAAAATCCAGGAAAGAGAGTATGGCTCTGTGCAAGCCAAGCGAAGAGGGTGTTTGAAGAAAATGGACGTGATCAAATGCTGCTGGGATGCAGCAGAGAGACTACTGGACCTGTCAACATGGCAGCCATTGGAACCATGAGCATCTGTGGTGGAGTGAAGACCGCCCTATAAACCACTCTCCCTCAAAACTTCACCATGCGGGGGAGCAGAGAAATGCAACAGGAGGAAGCCAGGGAGCTGTTACATCAGGAAAGTTTGTTTCTTTTGTAAGTTTTGTTGTCTTATTTTATTTTTAAACCCTCCTAGCCCCTAGTCATAGAATCATAAGCCCAGAGAGTTCCATACATTCCAGTTCAGCCCCTCAATTTACAGATTAGGAAACTGAAGAGACACAAAAAGGCAATTACCCTGTTCATAATCATACAATAAGTTATTGGCTTAGTTGCGGCTGACTACACACCAGATTTTCTGACCAACAACCTGTCCATTAAGGAGTAATTGATCCTATGAAAGGAGCTTCTCTGACAAGTACCAATGTCAATAATTATTGTATCTATATAGTCATTGGGTTATTATTTAAGGAAGTGCAGAGCTGCCCACCCATTACACGAAAGGATCCTACAAATGCCTCTCTAATCTCATCTTTGCTTACAAGCCCCTTTCCACTAAAAGTATTACCCAGCAAAAGCCTGTTATAAGAAATAGCTAGCTCTCTCTAGGGTAAAAATTATTAAACATGGTGGGAATGCAAAGTAGTAATTTATTATACTCATCTACTTTTCTTTCCAAGACCCTGATTATTAGAGGGTAATCTAAGAATGTTAAACTTTTGTCTGAGAAGAAAGACTAAATAAAATTACTTAAGATAAAAGACGGGTTCATTACAATAGAAAAGTGTTTTATTCTCTTTTTATCCATAGCATTGTCAAAACAATGTGTTAAATATCACTATAAGAAATATATAACCTAAATACCAAACAAATAAGATAATAAAAACTTTTATAGCACCCTATACTGAGTATTTTCTGTAAAAACCTCATCTTCAGTGACGTATGTGGGCTGCCATTCTAGAGGGTCCTGGAAGCAGCCAAGGATTTGCCTTGGGTTTCTGCACTCCAGGGTGCTCTGTTCTCATTACATCAAGCAGCTAGAACAGACACGGCCAATATCTTTCAGAGATGAATGACCAGACTGTTCAGATATGCCTGATATGGAGAATAAACAAGTCAAAGTTTCCTCCAAGTCCTCTGTTACAGACTGAATGCATGTCTTCTCAAAATTCATATGTTGAAGCCGTATTCCCCAATGTGGTTGTGTTTGGAATAAGGAAGTAATTAAGGTTAAATGAGGTCATAAGGGTCGGACCCAATCCAAAGGGAGTAGTTTCCTTATAAGAACAGGCACCAGAAAGTTCTCTCTCTCTCTCTCTGCCATGTGAGGACACAGCAAGAAGTTTGGTCATCTGCAAGCCAAGGAGAGAGCCCTTGCTAGGAAATGAATTAGTCAGCACCTTGATTTAAACTTCCCAGCCTCCAGAACTGTGAGAAAATAAATTTCTGTTGTCTAAGCCAGCCAGACTGTGCTATTTTATTATGGAAGCCTGAGAAGACTAAGACATCTTCCATGAGCATATGGGATGTAAGGATCTAAAACTGGAGCCAATCTCTAATCTTGACGTAATTTATTTATTTTATTTTATTTCAATAGTTTTGGGGGTACAGGTGGTTTTTGGTTACATGGATAAGTTCTTTAGTGGTGAATTCTGAATTTTTGGTGCACCTGTCACACAAGCAGAATACACCGTACCCAGTATGTAGTCTTTTATCCCCCAACCCCTCCCACCTTTCCCCGTGAGTCTCCAAATCCATCATATCATATTTATGCCTTTGCATCCTCATAGCTTAGCTCTCACTTATAAGTGGGAATATGTAATATTTGTTTTTCTATTCCTGAGTTACTTCACTTAGAATAATGGCCTCCAGCTCCATCCAAGTTGCTGCCAAAAGCCATTATTTCATTCCTTAGTATGGCTGAGTAGTATTCCATGGTGTATATATACCACATTTTCTTTATCCACTTGTCAACCAGCATTTACTGAAAATCTAATACATTATAGATGCTGAGAGATACAAAAGTAAGTAAATAAGGTAGAAAGCCACCAGAATCTCACATTGTCTGTGTTTTCTGCTCACCCCCAGGCAACACTCATCTAGTGCTTTCACCCAGGATCCTATTTCTTCTGATCCCGACCTCATCCTCAATATGTAGCATTTCTTGCACTCATCCTGAGCCACCCAAACACTTTTGTTACTTCTTCCACACAGGATACCTTTTCTTTAAATAAAGTATTTATTTTGGATATGCTACCTTTAAATTTTTGTTTCACATTATCTCCCCTAGAGCAAAGAAAATCTTATTCAAGTCATTTAAAATATTAATTATTTTTCGGGAGACAACATGGTATGGAAAGACCATGGACTTTGGAGGCGCATAAACTAGAGTATGTAATGCCAGCTCTTTCTTTCTGACCAGGTTTTTGCTTAAATTTTCCCTTCCTTTTGAAATGACTTCCAGTGCCTCCTTCTCCTTTACTGGTAGAGTTGCTTACTTTTAGACACTGTCAATGTGTCTGTTGGTGGCCATTGACTGGAGAGTTTTTGAGTATATTGTGTTTGCACTGTAGCCCTGTTTTTCCAACAGAAACCCAGAAAAAGAGATTGAGGTGGTGTAAACAAAATCTGATAGATCTAATTATTTTTCTTTTTTTATTTTATTTTTTTAATTTTGATTTTATTTTATTTTATTTTCCCATAAGTTGTTGGGGTACAGGTGGTGTTTGGTTACATGAGTAATTTTTAAGTGATAATTTGTGAGATCCTAGTGCACCCATCACCTGAGCAGTATACACTGCACCATATATGTTGTCTTCTATCCCTTGCCCCCCTCACTCTTCCGCACAAGTCCCTAAAGGCCATTGTATCATTCTTATGCCTTTGGGTCCTCATAGATTAGCTCCCACAGATTAGTGAGAACATATGATGTTTGATTTTCCATTGCTGAGTTAATTCACTTAGAATAATAGTCTTCAATCTTATCCAGGTCATTTCAAATCCTGTTAATTCACTCCTTTTTATAGCTGAGTACTATTCTATCACATATATATATATATCACAGTTTCTTTATCCACTCGTTGATTGATGGGCATTTGGGTTGGTTCCACAATTTTGCCATTGAGAATTGTGCTGCCATAAACATGCATGTGCAAGTATCTTTTTCGAATAATGACTTCTTTTCCTCTGGGTAGATACCCAGTAGTGGGATTGCTGGATCAAATGGTAGTTCTATTTTCCATTCTTTAAGGAATCTCCACACTGTTTTCCATAGCGGCTGTACTAGTTTACATTCCCACCAGCAGTGTACAAGTGTTCCCTGATCGCTGCATCCACACCAACATGTACTGTTTTTTGATTTTTTTATTATGGCCATTCTTGCAGGAGTAAAGTAGTATCACACTGTGGTTTTGATTTGCATTTCCCTGATCATTACTGATGTTGAGCATTTTTTCATATGTTTGTTGGTCATTTGTATACCTTCTTTTGAGAATTGTCTATTCATGTCCTTAGCCCACTTTTCGATGGGATTGTTGATTTATTTGAGTTTGTTGCAGATTCCGGATATTAGTCCTTTGTCAGATGTATAGATTGTGAAGATTTTCTCCCACTCTACATGTTGTCTGTTTACTCTGCTGACTGTTCCTTTGCCGTGCAAAAGCTCTTTAGTTTAATTAAGTCCCAGCTATTTATCTTTGTTTTTATTGCATTTGCTTTTGGGTTCTTGGTCATGAAATCCTTGCCTAAGCCAAGGTCTAGAAGAGTTTTTCCAATGTTATCTTCCAGAATTTTTATAGTTTCAGGTCCTAGGTTTAAGTCCTTAATCCATCTTAGTTGATTTTTATATAAGGTGAGAGATGAGGATCCAGTTTCATTCTCCTACATGTGGCTAGCCAATTATCCCAGCACCATTTGTTGTTGAAAGGTGTCCTTTCCCCACTTTGTTTTTGCTTACTTTGTTGAAGATCAGTTGGCTATAAGTATTTGGGTTAATTTCTGGGTTCTCTATTCTGTTCCACTGGTCTATGTGCCTATTTTTATACCAGTACCACACTGTTTTGGTGACTATGGCCTTATATTATATGTGAAATCATGTAGTGTGATGCCTCCAGATTTGTTCTTTTTGCTTAGTCTTGCTTTGGCTATGTGGGCTCTTTTTTGGTTTCATATGAATTCTCAAATTGTTTTTTCTAACTCTGTGAGGAATAATGGTGGTATTTTGATGGGGATTGCGTTGAATTTGTAGATTGCTTGTGGTGGAATGGTGATTTTCACAATATTGATACTACCCATCCATGAGTATGGGATGTGTTTCCATTTCTTTGTGTCATCTGTGATTTCTTTCCGCAGTGTTTTGTAGTTTTCCTTATAGAAGTCTTTCAACTCCTTTGTTAGGTATATTCCTAAGTATTTTTTTTTTTTGGAGGTATTGTAAAAGGGGTGGAGTTCTTGATGTGATTCTCTGCTTGGTCGCTGTTGGTGTATAGAAGAGCTACTGGTTTGTGTACATTAATCTTGTATCTGGAATCTGCTGAATGCTTTTATCAGTTCTAGGAGCTTTCTGGAGGAGTCCTTAGGATTGATATGATTCCAAAAGCAGAGGCAACAAAGGCAAAATAAGACACATGGTATTGCTTCAAATTTAAAAGCTTCTCTACAGCAAAGGAAACACTCAACATACTGAAGAGACAACTTATGCAATGGGAGAAGCTATTTGCAAACCATACATGTGATAAAGGGTTAATATGCAAAATATGTAAGAACTCAATAACAACAACAACAAAAATCTGATTTTTAAAATGGACTAAGGACCTATACAAATATATTTTGAAAGAAGACATACAAATGGCCAGCAGGTATATTTTTAAATGTTCAACCATACTAATCGTTAGGGAAATGCAAATTAAAGCCACAATGAGCTATCACCTCACTGATATTAGAATGACTACTATAAAAAAGACAAAAGATAAAATTGTTGGTAGGGGTATGGAAAAAAGGGGATCCTTGTACACTGTTGGTGGGAATGGAAATAAGTACAGCCATGTGGAAACTGTATGGAGGGTCCTTTAAAAATTAAAAATAGGCCGGGCACGGTGGCTTACGCGTGTAATCCCAACACTTTGGGAGGCCAAGGCAGGTGGATCACGAGGTCAAGAGATCGACACCATCCTGGCCAACATGGTGAAACCTGGTCTCTACTGACAATACAAAAATTAGCTGGGCATGGTGGCACATGCCTGTAGTCCCAGCTACTCGGGAGGCTAAGGCATGAGAATCGCTTGAACCCAGGAGGCGGAAGTTGCAGTGAGCCAAGATCACACCACTGCACTCCAGCCTAGCAATAGAGCAAAACTCAAAAAAAAAAAAAAAAAAATTGAAAATTCAAAATGGAGCTACCATTTGATCCAGCAATCCCACGACTAGATATACAGGAAAGGAAAGGAAAAGAAAGGAAATCAGTGTCTTAAAGAGATATCTGCACTCCCATGTTTATTACATTAGTCACAATAGCCAAGATATGAAATCAACCCAAGTGGCCATCAATAGCTGAATGAATAAAGAAATTGTGAAATATATATTTGCAACGACATGTTCAGCCCTAAACCTGTCATTTTTGACAATATGGGTGAACCTCAAGTATGTGATGCTAAGTAAAATAAGCCAGGCACAGAAAGACAAATATTGCATGATCTCACATATATGTGGAATCTAAAAAAACTCCAGCTCATAGAAGCAGAGAGTAGAATGGTGGTTGCCAGGGCCTGGGAGTAGGAAAAAGGAGGAGATGTTGGTCAAAAAGCACAAGGTTTTAGTTAGGCAGGATAAATATCTGCTGGAGATCTAATGTTCAGTATGCTGACTATAGTTAATAATAATACATGCTTGAAATTTGCTAAAATCATGTCTTAAATGTTCTCACCACACAAAAAATATAAATATGCGCAGTGATGAATGTGATAATTAGCTTGATTGTGGTAATCATTTCACAGTATGTATGTATGTCAAAACCTCACTTTGTGTACCTAAATATATGTAATTTTTATTTGTCAATCATACCTCAAAAATGCTGGAGGGCAAGTAAACACATACACACTAAGAATATATTTTACTCATAATGAGTTGAAAATTGTATGAAGCCTCCAGGTCAGAGCACCAGAAATAAATGGGATAAGATCATAAACTTTTATGAAAATAGAAACAAACTTTCTCTTTCATTTTCTATTTTGTCTTTATGTTTGCCTTCTCTGCCGTCACACACACACATACATTTTTAAATAGTAGCAAAAGTGAGTTAGAAAATTCTATCCCTTAAGACGAGAATAGATGTTGTAAGATAATTACCTGAATTTTTTCTCAGTAATTAGAGATTTAAAATCAGTTTAAATTGCTTAAAATGCTTCCCACAAAAAAAGTCCTTAAAACACTAAGACACTAACACTACATTCTCTGAATATAAACAACTTTCTTAGCATGCAACTCATGGAGCTGCAGAATTTATTTCTATATGAAAAGTCATAACCTAATCTCTATAATAATTTTGTATTTAATGTTCATTTAAAAAACTTGTAATCAAATAGTATAACCCATAACTAGCAATTATTGGATGTCTATGATGTGCTATGTGTTTTACACACTTAATTTACTTCTCACATCAAACTTACAACAACGTTACTATTGTCTTTATTTCATACACAAGGAAACAGAAGTTTTGAGAGATTAAGCAAAATGCCCAAGATCACAAAGTTAGTAAATGATTTAACTATTTTCTTTTATCTCCAGCACTTAATAGCATCTAACATTATATATTTATCGCTTATTTATTGTTTTTCTCCTATTACTAGATGGTATGTCTCATGAAGGCAAGAGTTCATGAGCTTTTTGTCTGCTTTGCTTATTGCTGTATCCATAGCTTCTAGAACACTGCCCATCATGGATAATGCTAAATAATTAGTGAAGAAAGCATGAAAAAAGAAAGCACACAAAAGTATAGACCAGTATCTCTCCTAAACAAAAATAGAAACATTATAAATAAAACTTTAATAAAGAAAATTCAGTACTGTACAAAAATTGGGTTTATCTCTGCAATGTAGGGTGGAGGGGTTGTCCTTAGAAAATATATAAACATAATTGACAACACTAATTTTTTTTAAAAGATGAGAAATTATATAATCGTCTGTATAGAAGCATTAAAGCATTTGAAAAATTTAACAACTTTTAAAATACACAATAAACCGTCTTAGAAAACTAGGAATAGAAAGAAATGTAATTAACCTTATTACAAATGAAACAAAAATATACAATATTCTTAATGTTGAAAAGTAATGATTAAGCCATCTTCACTGCTTTTATTCAACATTGTACTGCTGACCACAGGCTATTCAGTAATAAAAGAAAAAAGTATATGTAATATATTATGTTTGATATATTTCATGTATATATTACATATACATGCATTGAAAGGAAAGAAAACTTTTATTATTTGCAGATGATATTGTCTACTCATTAGTGTTTCTCAGACTATTCATGAAGGGCCAGTTTTCTTTCCAATTTGTCACAGACTAATACTTTTGAAAAATACACTAGAAATGAGTTAATAGAGAAGGAAAATCTTAAAAAGACATACAACATACAAACTACAATTTTTATTTTTAGATTCAGCAGATATATATTTGCTCCATCAACTTGCTTAAAAAGTTTCTAAACTTTTGCTCACAGTTTATCTTATCACAGGAACTCACTGGTTTGGGAACTAGCACTGGTTCATGGAACACACAATGAGTAACATTGATCTACACAGAAAACCCCACCACCAAAAAATTCGTGTCGAATTCTTAAAATTAGTAAGATAATTTAGCAAAGTGGCTGTGTTTAAGATCATATCACAAAAATCAATTACATTTATAGATACCAGCAACAAACCAAAAATATTTTTAAAGGTATTTACAAATAAGCATAATAAAATCTATCTAGGGAAAATCTTGAATCTTTATTGGAGTATATTAAAGAAGAACTAAGTAAAATGGAAAAATATGCTATATTCATGGATAGAAAGAATACAATTTATTCTGATGTGAATTATTCATAGTTGATTTATAAATTAAGTGCAGTAATAAATAAAACCCTCTTTTATTCCTAGTATTGAGTTCTGTCTCTCAATTAATCATCCTACTAGGAACTTATCAATTTTGTTGAACTTTTCAAGCACCAAATTTAGCTTTTAAATTTTTCTTTATTATTTATTTCCTATTTCAATGATTTCTGCATTCATTATTTATTTCCTTTTTTCTTACTTTGGTTTTAATTTGCTCTTTTGTGCCCAGCTTCTTAGGATAGAACCCTATCTCACTTTTTTTAAGCCCATTTTTATCTTTTTTAAATTAATATACTTTAAGTTCATGGGTACATGTGCACAATGTGCAGGTTTGTTACATAGATATACATGTGCCATGTTGCTTTGCTGCACCCATCAACTCGTCATTTACATTAGGTATTTCTCCTAATGCTATCCCTCCCCCAGTTCCCCACCCCACGACAGGCCACAATGTGTGATGTTCCCTGCCCTGTGTCCAAGTGTTCTCAGTGTTCAGTTCCCACCAATGAGCAAGAACATGCGGTGTTTGGTTTTCTGCCCTTGTGATAGTTTGCTCAGAATGATGGTTTTCAGTTTTATCCATGTCCCTGCAAAGGACATGAACTCATCCTTTTTTATGGCTGCATAGTATTCCATGGTGTATATGTGCCATATTTTCTTAATCCAATCTATCATTCATGGACATTTGGGTTGGTTCCAAGTCTTTGCAATTGTGAATAGTGCCGCAATAAATATACATGTGCATGTATCTTTATAGTAGCATGATTTATAAACCTTTGGGTATATACCCAATAATGGCATCCCTGGGTCAAATGGTATTTCTAGCTCTAGATCCTTGAGGAATCGCCACGCTGTCTTCCACAATGGTTGAACTAGTTTACACTCCAGCCAACAGTGTAAAAGCATTCCTATTTCTCCACATCCTCTCCAGCCTCTGTTGTTTCCTGACTTTTTAATGATTGCCATTCTAACTGGCGTGAGATGGTATCTCATTGTGGTTTTGATTTGCATTTCTCTGATGACCAATGATGATGAGCATTTTTTCATGTGTCTGTTGGCTGCATAAATGTCTTCTTTTGAGAAGTGTCTGTTCATATCCTTTGCCCAATTTTTGATGGGGTTGTTTGCTTTTTTATTGTAAATTGGTTTAAGTTCTTTGTAGCTACTGGATATTAGCCCTTTGTCAGATGTGTAGATTGCAAAAATTTTCTCCCATTGTGTAGGTTGCCTGTTCATTCTGATGGTGGTTTCTTTTGCTGTGCAGAAGCTCTTTAGTTTAATTAGATGCCATTTGTCAATTTTGGCTTTTGTTGCCATTGCTCTTGGTGTTTTAGTCATGAAGTCCTTGCCCGTGCCTATGTCCTGAATGGTATTGCCTAGGTTTTCTTCTAGGGTTTTTATGGTGTTAGGTCTAACATATAAGTCTTTAATCCATCTTGAATTAATTTTTGTATAAGGTGTAAGGAATGGATCCAGTTTCAGTTTTCTACATATGGATAGTCAGTTTTCCCAGCACCATTTATTAAATAGGGAATCCTTTCCCCATTGCTTGTTTTTGTCAGGATTGTCAAAGCACAGATGGTTGTAGATGTGTGGTGTTATTTCTGAGGGCTCTGTTCTGATCCGTTGGTCTATATCTCTGTTTTGGTACCAGTACCATGCTGTTTTGGTTACTGCAGCCTTGTAGTATAGTTTGAAGTCAGGTAGCGTGATGCCTCCAGCTTTGTTCTTTTGGCTTAGGACTGCCTTGGCAATGTGGGCTCTTTTTTGGTTCCATATGAACTTTAAAGTAGTTTTTCCAATTCTGTGAAGAAAGATATTGGTAGCTTGATGGGAATGGCATTGAATCTATAAATTACCTTGGGCAGTGTGGCCATTTTCACAATATTGATTCTTCCTATCCATGAGCATGGAATGTTCTTCCATTTGTTTGTGACCTCTTTTATTTCGTTGAGCAGTGGCTTGTAGTTCTCCATGAAGAGGTCCTTCACATCCCTTGTAAGTTGGATCCCTAGGTATTTTATTCTCTTTGTAGCAATTGTGAATGGGAGTTCACTCATGATTTGGCTGTTTGTCTGTTATTGGTGTATAGCAATGCTTGTGATTTTTGCACAATGACTTTGTATCCTGAGACTTGCTGAAGTTGCTTATCAGCTTAAGGAGATTTTGGGCTGATATGACGGGGTTTTCTAAATATACAATCATTTCATCTGCAAACAGAGACAATTTGACTTCCTCTTTTCGAAACTGAATACCCTTTATTTCTTCTCTTGCCTGATTGCCCGGGCCAGAACTTCAACACTATGTAGAATAGGAGTGGTGAGAGAGGGAATCCCTGTCTTGTGCTAGTTTTCAAAGGGAATGCTTCCAATTTTTGCCCATTCAGTATGATATTGGCTGTGGGTTTGTTGTAAATAGCTCTTATGATTTTGAGATACGTTCCATCAATACCTAGTTTATTGAGTTTTTAGCATGAAGGGCTGTTGAATTTTGTCAAAGGCCTTTCTGCATCTATTGAGATAATCATGTGGTTTTTGTCTTTGTTTCTGTTTGTGTGATGGATTGCATTTATTGATTTCCATATGTTGAACAAGCCTTGCATCCCAGGGATGAAGCCGACTTGCTCGTGGTGGATAAGCTTTTTGATGTGCTGCTGGATTCGGTTTGCCAGTATTTTATTGAGGATTTTTGCATCTATGTTCATCAGGGATATTGGTCTAAAATTCTCTTTTTTTGTTGTGTCTCTCCCAAGTTTTGGCATCAGGATGATATTGGCCTCATAAAATGAGTTAAAGAGGAGTCCCTCTTTTTCTATTAATAGGAATAGTTTCAGAAGGAATGGTACCAGCTCCTCTTTGTACCTTTGGTAGAATTCAACTGTAAATCTGTCTGGTCCTGAACTTTTTTTGGCTGGTTGGCTATTAATTATTGCCTCAATTTCAGAGCCTGTTACTGGTTTATTCAGAGATTTAACTTCTTCCTGGTTTAGTCTTCAGAGTGTGTATGTGTCCACGAATTTATCCATTTCTTCTATATTTTCTAGTTTATTTGCATAGAGGTGTTTATAATATTCTTTGATGCTAGTTTGTATTTCCGTGGGATCAATGGCGATATCCCCTTTATCATTTTTTATTGCATCTATTTGATTCCTCTCTCTTTTCTTCTTTATTAGTCTTGCTAGTGGTCTATCAATTTGTTGATCCTGTCAAAAAAACAGCTCCTGGATTCATTGATTTTTTTGAAGGGTTTTTTGTGTCTCTATCTCCTTCAGTTCTGCTCTGAACTTAGTTATTTCTTGCCTTCTGCTAGCATTTGAATGTGTTTGCTCTTGCTTCTCTAGTTCTTCTAATTGTGATGTTAAGGTGTCAATTTTAGATCTTTCCTGCTTTCTCTTGTGGGCATTTAGTGCTATAAATTTCCCTCTACACAGTGCTTTAAATGTGTCCCAGAGATTCTGGTTTGTTGTGTCTTTGTTCTGATTAGTTTAAAGAACATTTTAATTTCTGCCTTCATTTCATTACTTACCCAGTAGTCATTCAGGAGTAGGTTGTTCAGTTTCCATGTAGTTGTGCTCTTTTGAGTGAGTTTCTTAATCCTGAGTACTAATTTGATTGCACTGTGGTCTGAGAGTTTGTTGTGATTTCTGTCCTTTTACATTTGCTGAGGAGTGCTTTAGTTGCAATTATGTGGTCAATTTGAGAATACGTGTGATGTGGTGCTATGAAGAATGTATATTCTGTTGATTTGGGGTGGAGAGTTCTGTAGATGTTTGGTGTAGAGCTGAGTTCAAGTTCTAATATCCTTGTTAACCTTCTGTCTGTTTCATCTGTCTAATGTTGACAGTGGGGTGTTAAAGTCTCCCATTATTATTGTGTGGGAGTCTATGTCTCTTCATAGGTCTCTAAGGACTTGCTTTATGAATCTGGGTGCTCCTCTATTGGGTGCATATATATTTAGGATAGTTAGCTCTTCTTGTTGAATTGATCCCTTTACCATTAAGTAATGGCCTTCTTTGTCTCTTTTGATCTTTGTTCATTTAAAGTCTGTTTTATCAGAGACCAGGATTGCAACCCCTGCTTTGCTTTGCTTTGCTTTGCATTTGCTTGGTAGATCTTGCTCCATTCCTTTATTTAGAGCCTATGTGTGTCTCTGCACATGAAACGAGTCTCCTGAATACTGCACACTGATGGGTTTTCACTCTTTATCCAATTTGCCAGTCTGTGTCTTTTAATTGTAGCATTTAGCCCATTTACATTTAAGGTTAATACTGTTATGTGTGAATTTGATCCTGTCATTATGATGTTCACTGGTTATTTTGCCCGTTAATTGATACAGTTTCTTCCTAGCATCAAAGGTCTTTACAATTTGGCATGTTTTTGCAGTGGCTGGTACCAGTTGTTCCTTTCCATGTTTAGTGCTTCCTGCAGGAGCTCTTGTGAGGCAGGCCTAGTGGTAACAAAATCTCTTGGGATTTGCTTGTCTGTAAAGGATTTTATTTCTCCTTCACTTATGAAGCTTAGTTTGGCTGGATATGAAATTCTGGGTTGAAAATTCTTTTCTTTAAGAATGTTGAATATTGGCCCCCACTCTCTTCTGGCTTGTAGGGTTACTGCAGAGAGATCTGCTGTTAGTCTGATGGGCTTCCCTTTGTGGGTGACCCGACTTTTCTCTCTGGCTGCCCTTAACATTTTTTCCTTCATTTCAATCTTGGTGAATCTAACAATTATGTGTCTTGGGGTTGCTCTTCTAGAGGAGTATCTTTGTGGTGTTCTCTCTATTTCCTGAATTTGAATGTTGGCCTGCCTTGCTAGATTGGGGAAGTTCTCCTATATAATATCCTGAAGAGTGTGTTCCAACTTGGTTCCATTTTCCCCGTCACTTTCAGGTATGCCAATCAAACATAGATTTGGTCTTTTCACATAGTCCCATATTTCTTGCAGGCTTTGTTCATTTCTTTTTACTCTTTTTTCTCTAAACTTCTCCTCTCGCTTTATTTCATTCATTTGATCTTCAATCACTGATACCCTTTCTTCCACTTGATCACATCGGCTATTGAAGCTTCTGCATGTGTCGCAAAGTTCTTGTGCCATGGTTTTTTGCTCCATCAGGTCATTTAAGGTCTTCTCTACACTGTTTATTCTAGTTAGCCATTCATCTAATCTTTTTTCAAGGTTTTTAGCTTCCTTGCTATGGGTTCAAACATTCTCCTTTAGCTCGGAGAAGTTTGTTATTACCGACCTTCTGAAGCCTACTTCTGTCAACTCGTCAAAGTCATTCTCCATCCAGCTTTGTTCCATTGCTGGCAAGGAGCCGCGTTCCTTTGGAGGAGAAGAGGTGCCCTGATTTGTAGAATGTTCAGCTTTTCTGCTCTGGTTTCTCCCCATCTTTGTGGTTTTATCTACCTTTGGTCTTTGATGTTGGTGACCTACAGATGGAGTTTTGGTGTAGATGTCTTTTTTGTTGATGTTGATGCTATTCCTTTCTGTTTGTTAGTTTTCCTTCTAACAGTCAGATCCTTCAGCTGCTGGTCTGTTGGAGTTTGCTGAAGGTCCACTCCAGACGCTGTTTGCCTGCGTATCACCAGTGGAGGCTGCAGAACAGCAAATATTGCTGCCTGATCCTTCCTCTGGAAGCTTTGTCCCAGAGGGGCACCTGCCTGTATGAGGTGTAAGTCGTCCCCTACTGGGAGGTGTCTCCCAGTTAGGCTACATGGGGTCAGGGACCCACTCGAAGAGGCAGTCTGTCCGTTCTCAGAGCTCAAACACTATGCTGGGAGAACCACTGCTCTCCTCAGAGCTGTCAGACAGGGATGTTTAAGTCTGTGAAGTTTCTTCTGCCTTTTGTTCAGCTATGCCCTGCCCCCAGAGGTGGGGTCTACAGAGGCAGCAGGCCTAGCTGAGCTGTGGTGGTCTCCCCCAGTTCGAGCTTCCAGGCTGCTTTGTTTACCTACTCCAGCCTCAGCAATGGTGGACACCCCTCTCCCTGCCAGGCTGGTGCCTTGCAGTTCAATCTCAGACTGCTGCGCTAGCAGTAAGCAAGGCTCTGTGGGTGTGGGACCCACCAAGCTAGGTGTGGGATAGTATCTCCTGGTCTGCTGTTTGCTAAGACCGTTGGAAAAGCACAGTATTTATGGGGGAGTGTCCCGCTCTTCCCAGGTACAGTCTGTCATAGTTTCCCTTGGCTAGGAAAGGGAAATCCCCGACCCTTTGCACTTCCTGGGTGAGGTGATGCCTGCTCTGCTTCAGCTCGCCCTCTGTGGGCTGCACTCACTGTCCAACCAGTCCCAGTGAGATGAACCAGGTACCTCAGTTGGAAATGCAGAAATCACCCATCTTCTGTGTCGATCCCTCTGGGAGCTGCAGACCGGAGCTGTTCCTATTTGGCCATCTTCAAACCTGTCACCCTTTCTTCATCTTAATATAAGCATTTAAATGTATAAATTATCCTCTAAGCCCTGCTATAGTTACGTCACGTAAATTTGAGTTATTATATTCTTATTATCTTTCAGTTTAAAGTATTTTCCAATTTCCTTTATGATTTCCCCATTGATTCATAGATTATTTAGAAATATGTTGTTTACTTTCCAAATATTTGGATTTTTCTCCATACATTTTAATGTTATTAATATTTTTTCTAAGTCCAAAATGGTCAGAAAACATGTAGAATTTCAATTTTTTAACTGTATCTTCTTGAATACGGTTTTCTTGGATAATGTACCATGTGCACTTAAAAAGAATATGTATTTTGCAACCATTGAGTACAGTGTCTTACAAATGTTATTAAGGTCAAGGTGGCTGATAGTGTTGTCAGAGCCTATGTGCCTTTACTGATTTTTGCCTTCTGCATGGAGGGACATTTGGTGAACATTTACATGGGACACAAATGTTCCCCCAGTCTGATCCCATTTTGAGAAGTTTATACACATTATACTCTTCCCAAATCTCCTTGTCATGAATCTTCCAATCTTATTCTTTCTACCAAAGCATTATCCACAGCTTCTCAATCAGTGTGACTCAAGCCTCTGACAGTTCTCCTTCCAGACATAGCAATGAATCAGATGTACTCCTGGAAGTTCTGCCCAGGGCAAGGGATAATTTTCTTTGCTTCAGTATCTTTCAGAGCCACCCGGTGAATGGAACTGAAATGCTACAGGAGTTTGCTTTGGGATGGTAGGTGAGAGCACCCAAAAGCCATGTTCAAATTGTTCTCCAGTTGGTCACATGGAGCTCCACATTTGCCTACAGGTATCAGCTGATGACAAGATGGAAATACAGCAGAAGTTGGTGCACTGCAAGTATGAGTTACATGATTATGTAACTAAATTAAGTCTTAAGTCCAGCTCAGGTCCCATCTTGATGCTTCCACTTGATGATAAAGCCCTGCTGGGTATAACCAAATGTAAGGCTTTATGAATAAAATAGTTCCCATTTTGTGCAGGGCAGTTCAGTTCAGATGGTTACTTGAGGACTCAGGATAAAAGGTTCTGGCTTATAGCAAATCAGAAGCCATTCCTCAAAAAGAAAATAGTTCTTTGGCAAATAAAGCATATCTTTGTTCCAAAACCCTAGGGACTTTCACTGCAATTTTTCCATTAGGTCAAGCCCAGACCTAATAAAGCATTGTGATCTTCTACAGACATTTCAAGGACCACAGGAAACATTAGATCATCAAGGTCAATTGGCAGAGCTTCCTCCACAGCAACATAAACAAACTGAAGAGGCTTCTTTGTTTCAAGTGCCATCAAAGCTAGGAACCTCACAGGTTATGCCATAACTACTTGAGCAATACACTCAAATATGGTAAACATTGCCAACAAAATCCAAAGAAAACCAAAAAGCTTTAGACTTAGTGATGGCGAACTCAAGATGCAGCAATTTGTCTTTCATTTTGAGAAGGATATTACAACTTACCCCAGAATACTGGATATCCAGAAAATTGCCTGATGTGAAAGGCTGCTAAATTTTTCATGAGTTTATTCTTACTCTGGCAAGTGTTTTACTAAGACATATAGGATACCTCCTACTTCCCATTCACCGAGTCTAATCAGCATAATATTATCAGTATACTGGATCATAATAACGTTATTTGGAATACTGAGATAAATGGTATCTTGCAGATCAAATGACTGAGTACTGAGAATTGACAAAACCCTGAGGAAAATGTAAAGATATGCTCCTATCCTTGCAAAAGAAAAAGCAAAATGCTTCTGGTGTTCTTTAATTTTTACAGCAGAGGAAAAAGAAAAAAAATTGTGCTAGATTGATAGTTACCTGCAAGTGCTGGGAGTAATATTGATCTCTTGTGGTAGGAAACCTCACCTGAAACAGCCGATGCAATTGTAGTCACCACATGACTAAGTTGATACTAATCCACTATACTTTTCGAGAATCCATATGTATTCTTCACAAGGTAAACTAAATGTGGATGTACAAGAATAACTACCTCTGCATCTTTCCTTTATTTATTGACATTTTTGATGGTGATACTAAGTTCTGTGAATTTTCCCAGGTTGAGGAATTGTTTTGATTTATTATTTTGGTAGGTAAGGGTAATTTCAGAGGCTTTCACTGCTTCTCCTTGTCAAAATAATTCTAACTCCATGGGTCAGGAAGCAAATGGAGGAATTCTGGTGGTTGGACATATGTATAATCCAGCCATATATCCTGGAAATGGACATACAATCTACAATAGTATGACAGACATTCTGGGTATCTACGAAAAATAAGCCAAAAGTTTTAATCACCTGACCCATACAAGTTCCCACCACTGATGAACCACAGTGGTATTCTGGATAAAAATAATCCCCAAGGTATTCAGTGGGAATTCTCATAATCCCTAAAAGCTATCAGCAGCTCAGAGCCAATAAGCCCCCAAAGTTCTAGTTATTTCTCTGCCCTCAGGGTATGATTACATTAATCAATGGCCTCAGGCCTCTTTCTGAAAGACCAAGAGGAAGATTTGCATTACATGCCTGGGGTATTATCACAGAGGCCTTTTTATCCCCCTTCCCCTTATTCAAAGGTCCTGAGCATGTGAATCACTCAGTAAAGGCTATGGCTTTTATATGCTGGTGAGTCAAGGCAGACTGATTTTACCAAAGTGAGTCTAGTGCTTTTACAATATATTCTCACACATACTCTCCAGGTATGTGTGTATCCTTGGCATACATTACTAAAAAAACAACAGCAGCTATAACTCCTTTAGACTAAGTCATCTTCTCATGGGGTAGACTTTGCACAAATTCTCTGAGGCATGGACTTGAACTCCAGCTACAGGTCAGTTGGCAATGAGGAGTGTTATGGATGGGCTATGACATGAAACTGACATCTCAATTGTAAGGCAGACAGCATAGGTAAGGTCATTTAAGCTATTTAGGAAATGAAAGAACAACTTAGCAGAGAGGGAGGAGAGAAACTCAGTAGTGTTGGGAAGTTGAGGCACTCGTGTTCATCTGATTTTCCAAAACGTCCATCTTTCAATTCCTAGGATTTTACTCTTTTCCATTTGATGTCATAACTTTCACATAAAAGATCTGGCAAATTATGAATTAAACCTACACAGTAGTTCAGCAAACTGCAAGATTTAATTTTACATCTGAGAAAGAATCTATCAGCTCCGGAGTTCGAAGAGATAAGAGATCCTTTCAGTGCAACAACAGAGGTTTTCTAGGATTCTGATAATGTCTTGAATTTAAAATCTTGGCTTTGCAATCTTTGGGTATAGACAGAAGAATGTTTTAGGAGTTTTAAGGCATTACCTAAACAATAACCTTTCAGGACTGCACTGACATGTCATAGCCAATACCAATACTTGCGGAGAGGAGGAGGGATCTACCTGTGATGTAGCGGTGCTGGAAAGTAACTATGACCTTATGGGGCTTGGGGTTATTATACTCCATGTTATAGAGAGAAATAGAGACTCTGAAAATTTGCTGCTCAATAAACAGAAGGGAGCAGAGCCAGGATTCACTACAAGCACAGCGGGCTCCAGAGCTCATGTTTTTTACACTACAACGTCAACCTTACTTCCTAGCTGAGAGCCTAGAAATAGGGCAGAATATGTGAAAACACCCAAGAGCAAGTAGTGACCTATTCCATCTGAAGGAAAGAGTGAAAACCAATCACACCCAAGACCAATCTTAAGAGAATGACGTTTTCTGAAGCTCAACAATCTCCTCCTGCAGGAGGAAACAGCCGGAGTAATAGCAGTTCAATTGCCAAATGTTTCCATCTGGAAGCAATTTCCCTGAAACATAGACACCAGACAGAAAAAGTAACTTAGAAAAATGTAGTACCAGTCAAAGGAAGATAATATATTTAATTTGAAAAGAAAAGGGTTTAATACAAAAACATGGATTAGTGTTCTTTCATTTATGTCACCTGCGTCTCATATTGTCACACTCAGGAGCATGAGCATGTTGTCTAGATAGCTGTTTTTATCAAAACTCCAACTTTAGATTATAAGGAAAACTTATAGTTTACATTCTAGAAATTACTCAATCTAAAAATTTCTAGAAATAGACAAGCCCACCAATATTTCTGATAATCATGACTCACTCAACATATATATGTGTTGGATTTCTATCTTCTAGCTGACATGGGAGTACTCCACTGCTCACTTTCCCTTCAAAGCTCTACCTTTATCAAAGCTATTCTTGATTCCTCTTCATTACATCAGGGAGAAAGCTTTAAGCATCTATTAATTCCCTTTAACAGCTATCTTAACATTTGATAATCTCTTTTTTAATGAGAATGTTATGCCTTAGGCCAAGAGCAAACTATAGGCAATTGCAGAAACAACCAGCTAGAGGCATAGAGAAGGGCAGAACTCCACCTATGGGATAGGAGGAAGGAAATAAACAAACATATGGAGCTATAAATAAAAAAGATTTTCTATAAATATAGGAAAGTATTTAGAGAAAGAAGAGAGGATAATTAACCCAGGATAGAAAAGAAATCAAGCAGATTTTCTGAAACTTGGGATCATTCATCACGTATTCCCCTGAAGAACATTAGCTTTTCCAGAGCACAGTTTGAAAACTTTGGACTTAGCTGAGCTCTCAAGGGCTCTTCCACATGTGTGATTTCAAGAGCAGAGAACAATCCTTTCCATTCCAAACCTATGACGTTTTGTTACATGTTGAAATTTCATTAGGATGATAATGTTAGAAAAGTGTGCAGATTAAATCTCATGTGAAAAGTATTGTTGTGTTACTGTATGTCATTGAGGAAATAATTTTATGCTGGTCCCTTGCCTTACCACTCTCACAGCACTGCAGAGAAGCTTGTATGTGCCAGGGAGTGTAACACAGATTCAAAACTATTTTTTTAAAAAACAAGACATTCTGTTCTCAAGCCACAGAGGCCAATGTAAGGTCCTTCACCAAATAACCTAGGGCTTTTAGTGACCCTGAGGTAGGAGTTGGGTCTCAACTCCAGAGGCCAGGGTTGGACTCAGACCACATTGAAAACTAACTGAAACAGGGCAGAGTCAAAAGCACCTCTCCATAAGACACACCCACCAATGCTATGTCAGTTTACCATTGGCATGGCAATACCTGGAAATTACCCACCCCTTTCCATAGCAACAACTTAGCGATCTAGAAGTAACCACCCTTTTTCTAAACATTTCTGCATAATCCGCCCCTTAATTTGCATGTAATTAAAAGCAGGTATAAATAAGACTGCAGAACTGCCCCTGAGCTGCTACTCTGGGCACACTGCCTATGCAATAGCCCTGGTCCACAACGAGCAATGCCTCTGTTGCTGCTGTACACTGCTTTATAGTAGGTAGGAAAGGGGAAAGCCAAAAGGAATCCTAGAGTCCATTAGACTCTAACAGACAAGTCCAAGGTCTTCATCATCAATTTAATGCCCTCAGGACAATTCACAATCATTACCAAACTAAGGCTCCAGATCCTTTTACAGCTTCATACCTGTATACTCCTCATGGATGTCCACCAGCACTTCAAATTCAGTGGGATCATAACTGATCCATTACCTTCTCACCAAAACCTCTACATTCTCTGTCTCTGCTATAAATAGTAACCTTGTCATCTACTAGTTTTCTAATATAGGAAATTCAGCAAATCTTCACTCCTTCCTCTTTTAAGTCTGATCAACTCTGCCTTCAACATCCTTAGCCTTTGCTCTTATTCTCTCTCATCTGAACTACTGCAACAGCCATGGAACCAAGTGATCTCCCCAGACTGTTCTCTGCTTTCTTCAATCCCTCTCACAGTTGCTCAAAGGCATCTTTCTAAAACATAAATCAGATTGCACACCTTTCTGGCCGCAAAACCTTGGTAGGTTCTTATTTACTTCATGATGAAGACCAGTTCCTAAGCATGTCTCTAGAGTCCTTTACAAGTTGATATCAACCTGCATTTCCAGCCTCTTTCCCTATAGTGCCAGTGCTACATGCCTTATGTTTCACTGCACAAAACTTTGTTTTATTCTTCTAATGTATCTATGTTTTTCCAAGTGTTGTGATATATATCTGAAACGATCTTCTCTTGTTCTTTATGTGACAAATACCTACTTATCTTTTGCAAGATCTGGCTCTTGTATCACTTTCCCTAAAAAATCTTCCTTCCTCCCCTAAGCTACTAGTTGCTCCTTTCTCTCTACTATCATCATTCTCTCTGCCTGCCTCTCCTGGGTTGAATTGCGTCCCCAAAAATATATGGTCAAGTCTAATATGTTTGGCTGTGTCCCCAGCCAAATCTCATCTTGAATTATAGTTCCCATAATCCCCACGTGTCATGGGAGGGACCTGGTGGGTGGTAATTTAATGAGTTCTCGTGAGATCTGATGGTTTTTTAAGGGGCTTTTCCCCCTTTTGCTCTTGGCACTTCTTGCTGCCTCCATGTGAGGAAGGACATGTTTGTGTCCCCTTCCGCCATGATTGTAAGTTTCCTGAGGCCTCCTCAGCCATGTTGAACTGTGAGTCAATTAACTTCTTTCCTTTATAAATTGCCCAGTCTAGGGTATGTTTTTATTAGCAGCATGAGAATGGATTAATTCAAAGTCCAAACATCTCATACCTGCAAATGTGACCTTATTTGGAACTAGGGTCTTTGCAATGTAAAGAGTTGAGATAAGGATTAGGTTGAGCTCTAATCCCATAACTAGTGTCATAAGAAGGAAATTTGAACACAGACCCACATGGGCGAAATGCCATATGAGACAGAGACATAAATTGGGGTGCTGCATCTCCCAGTCAAGGAATACCAAAAATTGCTGGCAACAACCAGAAGCTAGGAGAGGGGCATAAAACAGATACTCCCTCAGAGCTTCCAGAAGGAACCAACCTGGCTGACACCTTGACTTTGGGCTTCTGGTCTCCAGAATTGTGAGAGAATAAGTTTCTGTTGTTTCCAGCTACCAGCTGTGATATTTTGTTACAGCAGCCCTAGCAAAATAATGCACCAATCAAACTAATACAGCAAAGTAATAAAGTTATCTTATACTCTATCACAGTTCTTTGCTTTACATCATCTTCCACCTAGACAACAAAATCCTGCACAACAAGGCTTATACCTTGTTTGTCTTTGTACCTCACTCCTGTTTCCAATACTTCTTCTAGTTCACAGTTTCTGTTAACTTCCTTGACAATCTGCAGGATCAGTGATTTTGACGAGCCATTGGCCTTGGTTGAGAAGATTCAGAGTCTTTTTGAGAAGATGTATGTGCTCAAGGTACCAATAATCACAGAATAAAAGAGAAGATAAAGGAAGATTAGGAGGAAAGGCTGAGATAAGACATCATTATTATGGTAGACACATTGACAGAAATGGCATATCTTACCATGCTATCAAATGCTTTCTTTTTTCCATGTGTATCCTCTTTTTATTTCTTGCTGAAGAAGTTTAAAGTAAATCTGAGACATCATTTCATTTTATTCCTATAAACCATAGCATGTATCTCTAAAAATATGAAAATGTTCTTTTGTAACTACCATCTTATTATCAGAGCTATCAACATTAATAATTCCTTCATATCCAACCAATGTCTTTTCTAAATTCACTTTTTTTTCTTTGCAGATAGTTTGTTTAAATTAGAATCTAAACAAGGCACATAAATTACATTTGCTCCATCAAACACTTTCTGATCTTGTCATTGTTAGCCATTTTTCTCTAGAAAATGTTCTATTTTTAAAGCCTCCGCTTACAGAGGACAAGTGTGGAATGTCTATATTTTTGATGAAAATTGATAGCTCATGTTTGAGATTCTGCCTGCAGTCATGATTTCTTTAGCCTTCAGAGTATTTGGCCCACCAAATGTTAATTTAAAGTTTTCACTCATTGCTAATCTTTTAAAATCAATAAATTTTACATAAAATCCAAAGTGGGGGATTCTCTAGCAAAAGGTCACTGGCAAACAAGAGACCTCATTCCCATGTGGCAAGAGCGGCCAGACTCCAAGAGGTGGAGCCGGTCAGGTGATGCTCACTCTCTCCTGTTTCCGCAAGCCCCAGCACACTGTCCCCTCTTCTAGGTGATTTCATTTACATATATTTATCTGCCTGGAGTCTGAGCCCATAAACTGCCACAGGGATAAGGATGGTAAATGTGCCCCAAACATTTTCAAGGAAGTTTTTATTCTAAAATGTTATTCATAATTTCAAATAGTAATTATGAAGGAAATGCAAGCACGAGTCTGTACGCGAAGATAAGCAAATTCTTCATGTTTTTGTCCAGGAGATCCAGACTTTGATATTTTCATTAGTGAAACTATCACCCAGAAGATGTAACCCTTACCCTTATTTTTTCACTCTGCATAACAGCTAACAAACATTGTGAGGCAAAGGAAAGGGCACAGATATTACCTTTGCTATTTTGATAACCCAAATGACTTCAAACCTGGGTTTGAATAAATGCCCCTGTGGTATTTACTTTATCGTTTAGTTCAGTAAGAAAAATTCATAACTCTAAAATGCCCTTTATATCACAGCATCAGCTCACAGGCACCCACAAAAAAATAGAATTTCACTTACAATTGACATCTACTTTGCTAGATTTGCCCTTCTCCTCATCATTCCATTTTCCCCTGGAGAAACAGAAAGCACAAAACTAGGTTCACGCTGAAAACTATAGGAAAGAGAAATCTTTAGATAGAAAAAAAAATGAATGCCTCTACTTTTAGTTCCTGAAAGGCATAAGATTTTTCTGAAATTAAACAGCATTGGCCTTGCCAATTTAAGATTTTCTCTGTTGAGACACTAATCTCCATTAACATGTACCCTTGATGTATGAGGTTTCCTCTTCATTTATCCTTTTTAAAATGAGCTTTTGTGGGAGGAAAAGATCTGAAAACTCATCCTGTGACTACTCCGCTCCTGAGGGAATAACCTTGAGAGTCAGATTTCAAAATCCTTTCATAGGAGGTATGGCTGATGGACAGTATTACTTGAGTTCCTTGGAAATGATTTTCACTGAAATGGTTGCCAAGGACTTCCACCTGGCTTGCACTGAATTATTATATTACATTGTGGGCATTTTTGAGATTTTCATTTCTTCAGAGAAAAAGAGTGATTAGGAAAAAGTTGAATCATAACAAGGAGCAAATATCGATTTTTTAAAGTTTGTTTTCCAGATGTTTTGCGCCATTCTTGACCTAAGTATTTCCTAATGTACTGAGTTCTTGTCTTTTCTAAGTATCCTCTCCCATTAGAAATGGCACTGTGTTAGAAACAGTCTCTATCAAGATTCCCAAACTGAGACACTTAATAAAGGTTAAATCAAGAATTTACTCTCAATGATGAAAAGAAAAGAGAAACAGAAAAATACAGAAAATCTCAACCTAAATTAGTTAAAAGCTTCCTGTAGCCACAGAATAATTGAATTTCAAGTCATAGAACAAATATCTGGAAAGACAGCAATTAAAGCAAGTCTACAAAAACCCAACTGGTATACTCAGAAGATGGGCCACAAGATCATTGCATTGTGTTTTTTAGTTGTTGTTGTTTTGTTTTGTTTTTTGAGACGGAGTCTTGCTCTGTCGCCCACGCTGGAGTGCAGTGGCGTGATCTCAGCTCACTGCAACCTCCGCCTTCTGGTTCACGCCATTCTCCTGCCTCAGCATCCCGAGTAGCTGGGACTACAGGTGCCCGCTACCATGCTTGGCTAATTTTGTTGTATTTTTAGTACAGACGGGGTTTCACCATGTTAGCCAGGATGGTCTCGATCTCCTGACCTCGTGATCTGCCCGCCTTGGCCTCCCAAAGTGCTGGGATTACAGGTGCATTGTGGTTTTGATTTGCATTTCCCTAATCATCAGTGATGTCGAGCACTTTTTCATACGTTTGTTGACCATTTGTATGTCTTCTTTTGAGTATTATCTGTTCATGTCCTTAGCCCACTTTTTGATGGGATTGTTTGTTTTTTTCTTGCCAATTTGTTTGAGTTCGTTGTAGAATCTGGATATTTGTCCTTTGTCAGATGTATAGATTGTGAAGATTTTCTTTCACTCTGTGGGTTGTCTGTTTACTCTGCTGGCTGTTCCTTCATTCAGCGATATTTAAAATCATGTTTTCATGTTTCCCTCCCAAAAAAATTCCACTAGAATTTTGCTTGGAATGGCATTCCACCTATCAATTAATTTGGAAGAAATGAGCATATTTACTGTCTTTTATTTTTAACAGTTCTTTTGAAAGTTATTCCTAAGTATTTATATTTATATTACTTGTTGAAGAGGATGAATTTTTTCATTTTGCTTTCTATTTGGTTTTAGCAGATTTAAATGAATACAATTGATTTTTATATTTTCATTTTATATGTAAGTGGCTTATGGATGCCTCTATTAGTCCTGTGAGATTTTTCAGTGGAGTCTCTTGGGTTTTCTACATAGATTATTTTACTCTCTATGGATAATGAAAATCCCCTTGTCTTAATAACTGTACCTCTTACTACAGCCCTAACTCATTGAAATTCTCCCTCTTTACGTTTTAGTGAGTCTATGCTTTCTATCTAGTCTGTTTCTCTCTCTCTTTTGTTACTCCTTAATCAGGTGAATTTTAGGCATATTCTAGACTTACTGTTGTGAGTCCCTCCATTACCCTGGTGAATATTCTCTTAACCTTTACCTGCAGTCCTGATCTTTCACTTATGCCATAGACTCATATTTCCAGAAGTTTTAAGATATTGATACGTGGGTGTCCCATCACTTTCCCAAACCAAACACATTCATTATAGATTTCCTTTACCAACTATCTTCGTTATGTTTGTTGTTGACATCATTTCGTTTTTTCTCCTACTCCAGATCCATTACTATTATAGTCAATTCCTCATTCTTCATCTACTCTGTCCAGCCTCACATAATGCCTGGACTTTATTCATTGTACATGCCTCTCAGATTTTTCATTCCCTTTATCCTCTCAAGGTTATGAGTCTAATGGATACCTCAGTGGGGACCGGGCTGTCTCTCCTCCTACTTAAAACATCACTTTCAACCTGCTGCTCTCCTGCTCAAGGTCTACAATAGGTCTCTGCTTTCTCTAATATCAATCCCAAACTCCTTTACCTATAAGGCCTTCTGCAGTCTATATAAAATATGCAAATAATACCTGCCTTACAGGTTTGCGTGGGGTAATGAAGCACCTTGCAAGAAGACTCCTTCATTAAATGCTTCTTTTTTAACTTTTAGTTTAAGTGCAGGTTTGTTACGTAGGTAAACTTGTGTCATGGGGATTTGTTATACAGATTATTTCCTCACCTAGATATTAAGCAAGCATAGTACCCATTAGTTATTTTTCCTGATTCTTTCCCTCCTCCTACCCTCCACCCTTCAAAAGGTCCCAGTGTGTATTGTTCCCCTCTATGTGTCCATGTATTCTCATCATTTAGCTCCCACTTGTAAGTGAGGACATGCAGTATTTAGTTTTCTCTTCCTGTGTTAGTTTGCTAAGAATAACGGCCTCCAGCTCCATCCCTGTTGCTGCAAAGGACATGATGTTTTTCCTTTTTATGGCTGCATAGTGTTCCATGGTGTACTTGTACCACATTTTCTTTATCCAGTCCATCACTGATGCGCACTTGGGTTGATTCCATGTTTTTGCTATTGTGAATAGTGCTGCAATGAATAGACATGTGCATGTGTCTTTATAATAGAATGATTTCTATTCCTTTGGGTATATACACAATAATGAGATTGCTGGGTCGAATGGTATTTATTCTGTCTTTAGGTCTTTGAGGAATCACCACACTGTCTTCCACAATGGCTAAACTAATTTACGCTCACACCAACAGTGTATAAGTGTTCCTTTTTCTCATAACCTAGCAAGCATCTGTGATGTTTTGACTTTTTACTAATAGCCATTCTGACTGGTGTGAGATGGTGTTTCATTGTGGTTTTGATTTGCATTTCTCTAATGATCAGTGATATTGAGCTTTCTTAAATGATTGCTGGCCACATGTATGTCTTCTTTTGAAAGTTGTCCATTTCTTAAAAAAAAAAAAAAAAATCCTACTTTTCCTGTCACCGATCCCTCACATTACAGTTTCCATGGCTTTGCTTATTTAATCCTTCTCTACTGGCTGCTGACCATCACCAGCTGCCAAGAGTCTCTTGCCTTTTTTGAACACACACTTGAAGAATTTTTTTTTTTTTTTTGAGATGGAGTTTCACTCTTATCACTCAGGCTGGAGTGCAATGGCATGATCTCAGTTCACTGCAACCTCCACCTCCCAGGTTCAAGCAATTCCCCTGCTTCAGCATCCTGAGTAGCTGGGATCACAGGCTTATCCAGGCGTGTGCCACCACACCTGGCTAGTTTTGTATTTCTAGTAGAGATGGGGTTTTGCCATGTTGGGGAGGCTGGTCTCAAATTCCTGACCTCAGTTGATCCACCCACCTCAGCCTCCCAAAGTGCTGGGATTACAGGTGTGAGCCACCGTGCCCGGCTAAAAAGACTCTTTATTCTTCAAGGCCACTTTCTTCTTGAGCATTCCTAAGTCACTGTAGCCCACATGGACTTTTATTAATTCCAATTCTCATTGAACCACAGAACAAATATATTATTTTTTTCAAATTATTTCACGTTTTCATTTTGTTTTCTTGGCCATTTAAAGCATAATATGTTCTCAATAAGTTATATTCACAATCATTACAGTTATTATTGAAGATCATTCCTTATGCCTCTTTTGCATTCTTTTATCCCTCATAGTACTTAACAGAGTGCAACAAGTAATAATGGGCTAATATCTTAATTTTATTCACTTGTTTTCACTTCTCTTTGTTTAATAGTGAAAATTTAAATGCTGTACCAAACTTTTCAACCTTAATTTGTTTTCATAATAATAATCAATGGCAATTTATTGATCATTTATTAATATTTATTTTCACAATAATAATCAATGGCAATTTATTGACCATTTATTATTTATTTTCATAATAATAATCAAAGGCAATTTATTGATATCATTAATATGCTTGCACACATTTAAAACTCTCAATCTATAAATTTATAAAGTAACGTTATTATTTGCATTTAATAAGTGAGAAAACTGAGCAGCAGAGGTGTAAGACAATTGCTCAGGATCACACAGCTAGTTAATGTTAGAGCTGGGACCAAGAACTGTCTCCAAAGCTATTGGCCTTGATCACTCTCCTGTACTGCTTTAATACAATAATTTACAGGTATAACACAAGTTTTATTTTATAACAGTGTTCAACAGAACAACATAAATTTTAAAACAGATATAGAATTGCTTCTTCATGAATCTTGCTAAGATACAAACTTTTTAAACACAGAAAAAGGCACTGTATTATTATAAGATAGAGTAGAAAGGTTATGTGATATAATGTATTTGATAGATTCATAAAAGTGAGTTTATAACTATTAAATTCATTATTAAATTCATTTGTCTGCCACTGTGAGGAGTTTGATGAATGGTAATTACTTTCATAAAAGTACAAAAGTTCCCTCTTCCACTGTTCTTGGCACCATTCTTTTTGAAAGCACTCTTCCCTTACTGCATCTCTTCCCGTTATTCACTCATCACCATTGTCCCTTGCCTTGGGGTTGCACTTTTAATCTTGGTATGAATGTGCTCATTTCTACATTTCTGCACAAAGGAAAAATTATTTCCTAAGAAGAGAAGAGACTTTTCATTCTTCATTCCAATTCTGAAACCAACACTAATTGAGCCAGTGTCCCAGCTCAACTTCTGAAGGGGAAAGCACAGTCAAACACAAACTGTCTCTGAGGTCCATCTTGTGCAGAAGAACTATAAGGGAGAAAAAACATTTTTTTTCCTCCACCTTCATGAGTCCTTAGTTGTAACAGACCCCTGTAACAAAAGACAGATTATCAAGAGAAAAACAAACAGAAATTTACTAACACATTTATTTAATACATACATGGAGAGGCCCAGGGAATGAATACTTCTCAAAAAAGTAGCCTTGAATTTCAGCTTATACAACATCTTCAGTAAAAAAACTACAAATTTTTAAAGAGATCACAAGACAAAGGAAAATAACTTTGAGTCTTCAGGGGCAGCAACTTGTGCAAAGGCAAATAAACTATACCTGGTAGTAGGCAGGAGTAGAGGGATACCTTTTGCCTTTGTAAATTTATGCCCTGTTAGGCAAATAGACGGAGAGCAGAGAGCTTTCCTGCATCTGCTTCTTTATTACCTTCAGCTCAAAACAATCCTTATGCCAAAAGGGTCTATTTTGGAGTGGCGTCTAATGGTGTCCCGTGCTATCAAGGGTTTTGACTCACTTAAGAAATACTTTCTGCACTCATTCCAAGCACTCTGCTAGGGGCCAACGATGCAAAAAAAAATGAGTAAACATACTTCTTCCTCTCAAGAAATTCCTCTGCTGAGTAGTCTTTTATGTGCAGGCCAGAGAAGCGGATGGAATATGTTTAGAATTCCTTTTTTACTTTTTCTATGTTGTATTTTGATTCTGTTTGTTTTGCATGTTTTCAGTCTTTTGACTCTTGAAAGCAAAGATGCTGATTGTGAATTCACTCTGTAGTATTTGTACAGTGGCCAGATGCAGAAACAAAATAATTAAAGTTTTTCAAAGTCCTTGATGAATTTCATCTTAAAAATACACATAAATACATGCATGCATACATACATACAATACACACACCAAGCACAAAATATTTTATTTTATAATTTTTTATTTTTTTATTTTTTGAAATGAAATCTTGCTTTGTCACCCAGGCTGGAGTGCAGTGGCATAATCTCAGCTCACTCCATCTCCCAGGTTCAAATGATTCTCCTGCCTCAGCCTCCCGAGTAGCTGGGATTACAGGCACGTGCCACCACGCCCAGCTAATTTTTGTATTTTTAGTACAGACGGGGTTTCACCATGTTGGTCAGGCTGATCTCGAACTTCTGACCTCAGGTGATCCACCTGCCTCAGCCTCCCAAACTGCTGGGATTATAGGCATGAGCCACTGCACTCGGCCACAAAGTATTTTATTTTAAATTGAGGAAAAAAATAATAAAGCAAATGATGATTCCTGAAAAACACAAGGGAAACATATGGAGAAATACAAAATATACAAATGCAAGTTATATCTGAATCATTTACATCTACTCTAACCTATATTATCTTTTCTCTCACATTCCAAATTATCTTTTCTATTTAGTTTTTGAAATTGAAAATTTTTTTCAAACTAAAAGCTTCTAATTCACTTGCATTTAAGTCATCAAAATATTGTTTCATGAAAGCTTTCTGATCTCTAGAATTTTTTGTAATGGATGTTTTAAAAACTTCCTCACCTCATTTCCTGTCCCTAGAGAAAGCATGACAACCTTCAAAAGGTTCAAGTTTCATCTGAAGTTGAAAAATCAAGGTTTAGAAATTGTCTCACCTTGGAGAAAGGTTATTAATCATTCTTCAGTGGAATCCACAGAATATTTGAACATTCACCTGAGGATAGTTTTGAAGACTTATCACATTGGGAAGGACACCTCCTTTTCTGTCATCCAAGGTGGTTTGTGATCTCCACAATGGGGCTCAGTCTTATTGTCTCTGCTTTGCACTGGTGGCATGTGGTTCTCCCCACTATGCTGATAGCCCCATGGTGATTCCAAGTAAAAAGAGAAAGGTGGAGGAAGGGAGCCTGTGTCCTGTGAAGTCTCTGTAAGATGACTGCAAGGCCCTGCAGGTCTGCTTTTTGTCTTTCCCAGGCTAGCACACACAGTACTATGAAGAAGGTGCACAAAATAATTTAACAAAGGACCACTGCATCTCTGAAAAGCAAAATCACACAGAGCTAGGGTAAAGGAGGGTAAAACTTTACCTAACTTCCTCCTTTATAGCATGCAGGACTTAAGAGGAGGTATCTCATGTGGCTGTTCTCTCTCTTCCTAAGCCCTCTCTTTCCCCTATTTCCCTTTAATTTCCTCTTTTCAAGTCATTTGACCAATTCTCTGTACTTATTCTGAGGAAACCCCAACATTACCACAGGAAGAAAAAGTTCTGCATTTATTCTTTACTTCATCTCCTCTCTGAATCTTGAAAACATCATTCCCTTAGGTAAACTGATGCTAATGCAGGTTCTCCTCTCTTCAGTGATAACCTATTTGTTTAGCTGAAAATGAAATTGGTTCTTCAACTACAGGGAGAACTCCATCTGGTTTCTTTGCTAGTAAGGTCACCCATCATTATGAGTTGAATTATTTGGAGAGTTTGGAGAGTTATTTGGGCCATACTTGGAGATAGGATATTCACAGAGGTAATCAAGTTAAGATAAGTTCATTAGGGTAGGCCCTAATCTAGTACAACTTGTATCTTTATAAAAAGAGAAATTTAGGAATTGCTGGCAAGATGGCTGAATAGGAACAGCTCTGGTCTGCAGCTCCCAGCGAGATTGATGCAGAAGGCGGGTGATTTCTGCATTTCCAACTGAGACACCCGGTCCGTCTCATTGAGACTGGTTGGACAGTGGGTGCAGCCCATGGAGGGCGACTGGGGATGCGCAAGTTGTCGGGGAACTTCCTGTTCCTAGCCAGGGGAAGCTGTGAGAGACTGTACTGGGAGGAACAGTGCACTCTGGCCCAGATACTGCACTTTTCCCATGGTCTTCACAACCAGCAAACCAGGAGATTCTCTCTGGTGCCTGGCTCGGTGTGTCCCACCCCCATGGAGCCCAGCAAGCTAAGATCCCTGGCTTGAAATTCTCGCTGCTAGCACAGCAGTCTAAGGTCGACGTGGGATGCTTGAGCTTGGTGGGGGGAGGGGCGTCCACCATTGCTGAGGCTTCAGTAGGCGGTTTTACCCTCACGGATAAACAAAGCCACCAGGAAGTTTGAACGGGACAGAATCCACTGCACTCAGCAAGGCCACTGTGGCCAGACTGCCTCTCTAGTCAGGGCATCTCTGAAAAAAAGGCAGCAGCCACAGTCAGGGACTTATAGTTAAAACCCCCATCTCCCTGAGACAGAGCACCTGGGGAAGGGGCGGCTGTGGGCCCAGCTTCAGCAGACTTAAGTGTCCCTGTCTGACAGCTCTTAAGAGTGCAGCAGATCTCCCAGCACAGTGTTTGAGCTCTGATAAGGGACAGGCTGCCTCCTCAAGTCGGTCCCTCACCCCCATGTATCCTGACTGGGAGATACCTCCCAGTAGGGGCCGACACACACCTCATACAGGAAAGCTCCCACTGGCATCTGGTGGGTACCCCTCTGGGACGAAGTTTCCAGAGGAAGGAACAGACAGCAATTTTTGCTGTTCTGCAGCCTCCACTGGTGATACCCAGGCAAACAGGGTCTGGAGTGGACCTCCAGCAAACTCCAGCAGACCTGCAGCTGAGGGTCCTGACTGTTAGAAGGAAAACTAACAAACAGAAAGGAATAGCAGCAACATCAATAAAAAGAATGTCCACTCAGAGAGCCCATCCGAAGGTAACCAATATCAAAGACCAAAGGTAGATAAATCCACGAAGATGGGGAGAAACCAGCACAAAAAGGCTGAAAACTCCGAAAACCAGAACGCTTCTTCTCTTCCAAAGGATCACAACTCCTCACTAGCAAGGGAGCAAAACTGGATGGAGAATGAGTTTGACAAATTGACAGAAGTAGGCTTCAGAAGGTGGGTAATAACAAACTCCTCCAAGCTAAAGGAGCATGTTCTAACCCAATGCAAGGAAGCTAAGAACCTTGAAAAAAGATTAGACAAACTGCTAACTAGAATAACCAGTTTAGAGAAGAACATAAATGACCTGATAGAGCTGAAAAACACAGCACAAGAACTTCATGAAGCATACACAAGTATCAATAGCTGAATCAATCAAGTGGAAGAAAGGATATCAGAGATTGAAGATCAACTCAATGAAATAAAGTGAGAAGACAAGATTAGAGAAAAAAGAGTGAAAGGAAATGACCAAAGCCTCCAAGAAATATGGAACTATGTGAAAAGACCAAATCTATGTTTGATTGGTGTACCAGAAGATAACAGGGAGAATGGAACCAAGTTGGAAAACACTCTTTAGGATATTATCCAGGAGAACTTCCCCAACCTAGCAAGGCAGGCCAACATTCAAATTTAAGAAACACAGACAACACCACAAAGATATCCCTCGAAAAGAGCAACCCAAAGACACATAATTGTCAGATTCATCAAGGTTGAAATGAAGGAAAAACTGTTAAGGGCAGCCAGAGAGAAAGGTCAGGTTACCCACAAAGGGAAGCCCATCAGACTAACAGCAGATCTCTCTGCAGAAACCCTACAAGACAGAAGATAGTGGGGGCCAATACTCAACATTCTTAAAGAAAAGAATTTTCAACCCAGAATTTCATTTCCAGCCAAACTAAGCTTCGTAAGTGAAAGAGAAATGAAATATTTTACAGACAAGTAAATGCTGAGAGATTTTATTACCACCAGGCCTGCCTTACAAGAGCTCCTGAAGGAAGCACTAAACATCGAAAGGAAAAATCTGTACCAACCACTGCAAAAACATACCAAATTGTGAAGACCATTGACACTATGAAGAAACTGCATCAACTAATGTACAAAATAACCAGCTAGCATCATAATGACACAAAGGATCAAATTCACACATAAGAATATTAACCTTAAAAGTAAATGGGCTAAATGCCCCAATTAAAAGATACAGACTGGCAAATTGGATAGAGTCAAGACCCATCAGTGCGCTGTATTCAGGAGACCCATCTCACATGCAAAGACACACATAGGCTCAAAATAAAGGGATGGAGGAAGATTTACCAAGCAAATGGAAAGCAAAAAAAAGCAGGGATTGCAATCCTAGTCTCTGATAAAACAGAGTTTAAACCAACAAATATCAGAACAGAAAAGAATGGCATTACATGATGGTAAAGGGATCAATGCAACAAGAAGAGCTAACTATCCTAAAAATATATGCACCCAATACAGGAGCACCCAGATTCATAAAGCAAATTCTTAGAGACCTACAAAGAGACTTAGACTCCCACACAATAATAATGGGAGACTTTAACACCCCACTGTCAGTATTAGACAGATCAACGAGACAGAAAATTAACAAGGATATTCAGGACTTGAGCTCAGCTCTGGACCAAGCAGACCTAGTAGACATCTACAGAACTATCCACCCCAAATCGATAGAATATACATGCTTTTCAATACCACATAGCACTTATTCTAAAATTGACCACATCATTGGAAGTAAAACACTCCTCAACAAATGCAAAAGAACAGAAATCGTAACAAACACTCTCTCAGACCACAGTGCAATCAAATTAGAACTCAGGATTAAGAAACTCACTCAAAACCGCATGACTACCTGGAATCTGAACAACCTGCTCCTGAATGACTGCTGGGTAAATAACAAAATTAAGGCAGAAATAAAGAAGTTCTTTGAAACCGATGAGAACAAAGACACAACGTACCAGAATCTCTGGGACACATTTAAAGCAGTATGTAGAGGGAAATTTATAGCACTAAATCCCCACAGGACAAAGCAGGAAAGATCTAAAATTGACACCCTAACATCACAATTAAAAGAACTAGAGAAGGCAGAGCAAACAAATTGAAAAGCTAGCAGAAGACAAGAAATAACTAAGATCAGAGCAGAACTGAAGGAGATAGAGACATGAAAGACCCTTCAAAAAAAATCAATGAACACAGGAGCTGGTTTTTTAAAAGATCAACAAAATAGATAGGCTGCTAGCCAGACTAATAGAGAAGAAAACTAAAGAATCAAGTAGATGCAATAAAAAATGATAATGGGGATATCACCACTGATCCCACAGAAATACAAACTACCATCAGAGAATACTATAAACACCTCTGTGCAAATAAACTAGACAATCTAGAAGAAATGGATAAATTCTTGGACACATATACCCTCCCAAGACTAAATCAGGAAGAAGTTGAATCCCTGAATAGATCAATAACAAGCTTTGAATTGAGGCAGTAATTAAAAGCCTACCAACCAAAAAAAAAAAAAAAAGCCTAGGACCAGACGGATTCACAGCTGAATTCTACCAGAGGTACAAAGAGGAGCTGGTGCCATTCATTCTGAAACTAATTCAATCAATAGAAAAAGAGGTACTCCTCGCTAACTCATTTCATGAGGCCAGCATCATCCTGATACCAAAACCTGGCAGAGACACAACAAAAAAAGAAAATTTCAGGCCAATATCCCTGATGAACATCAATGCGAAAATCCTCATTAAAATACTGGCAAACCGAATCCAGCAGCACATCAGAAAGCTTATCCACCACTATCAAGTCGACTTCATCCCTGAGCTGCAAGCCTGGTTCAACATATGCAAATCAATAAATGTAATCCATCACATAAACAGAACCAATGCCAAAAACCACATGATTATCTCAATAGATGCAGTAAAGGCCTTTGATAAAATTCAACACCCCTTCTTACTAAAAACTCTCAAAAAACTAGGTACTGATGGAACGTATCTCAAAATAATAGGAGCTATTTATGACAAACCCACAGCCAATATTACACGGAATGGGCAAAAGCTGGAAGCATTCCCATCGAAAACCAGCACAAGACAAGGAGGCCCTCTCTCACCACTCCTATTCAATGTAGTATTGGAAGTTCTGGCCAGGGCAATCAGGCAAGAGAAAGAAATAAAGGGTATTCAAATAGGAAGACAGGAAGTCAAATTGTCTCTGTTTGCAGATGCCATGATTGTGTATTTAGAAAGCCCCATTGTCTCAGCCCAAAATCCCCTTAAGCTGATAAGCAACTTCAGCAAAGTTTCAGGATACAAAATCAATACGCAAAAATCACAAGCATTCCTGAACACCAATAATAGACAAACAGAGAGCCAAATCATGAGTGAACTCCCATTCACAATTGCTACAAAAGGAATAAAATACCTAGGAATACAAGTTACAAGGGATGTGAGGGACCTCTTCAAGGAGAACTACAAACCACTGCTCAAGGAAATAAGAGAGGACACAAACAAATGGAAGAACATTTCATGCTCATGGATAGAAGAATCAATATCATGAAAATGACAATACTGCCCAAAATAATTTATAGATTCAATGCTATCCCCATCAGGCCACCATTGACTTTCTTCACAGAATTAGAAAAAACTACTGTATATTTAATATGGAGCCAAAAAAGAGCCTGTATAGCCAAGACAATCCTAAGCCAAAAGAACAAAGCTGGAGGCATCACGCTACCAGACTTCAAACTACACTACAAGGCTACAGTAACCAAAAGAGCATGGTACTGGTACCAAAACAAATATATCGACCAATGGAACAGAACAGAGGCCTCAGAAATAACACAACACATCTACAACCATCTGAGCTTTGAAAAACCTGACAAAAACAAGACATGGGGAAAAGATTCCCTGTTTAATAAATGGTGTTGGGAAAAGTGGCTAGCCATATGCAGAAAACTGAAACTGGATCCCTTCCCTACACCTTGTACAAAAATCAACTCAAGATGGATTAAAGACTTAAGTGTAAAACCCAAAACCATAAAAATCCTAGAAGAAAACCTAGGCAATACCATTCAGGACATAGGCATGGGCAAAGGCTTCATGACTAAAAAAATCCAAAAGCAATGGCAACAAAAGCCAAAATTGACAAATGGGACCTAATTAAACTAAAGAGCTTCTGCACAGCAAAAGAAACTATCATCAGAGTGAACAGGCAACCTACAGAATGGGAGAACATTTTGCAATCTATCCATCTGACAAAGGGCTAATATCCAGAATCTACAAAGAACTTAAACAAATTTACAAGAACAAAACAAACAACCCCATCAAAAAATGAGCAAAGGATATGAACAGACACTTCTCAAAAGAAGACATTTCTGCAGCCAACAAACATATGAAAAAAAGCTCACCACTGGTCATTAGAGAAATGCAAATCAAAACCACAAAGAGATACCATCTCACTCCAGTTAGAATGGCGATCATTAAAAAGTCAGGAAACAACAGATGCTGGAGAGGTTGTGGAGAAATAGGAATGCTTTTAGACTGTTTGTAGGACTGTAAATTACTTCAACCATTGTGGAAGACAGTGTGGCGATTCCTCAAGGATCTAGAACTTGAAATACCATTTGACCCAGCAATCCCATTACTGGGTATATACCCAAAGGGTTATAAATCATTCTACTATAAATACATGTGCATGCATATGTTTATTGCAGCACTGTTCACAATAGCAAAGACTTGTAACCAACCCAAATGCCCATTAATGATAGACTGTATAAAGAAAATGTGGCACATATACACCATGGAATACTATGCAGCCATAAAGAAGGATGAGTTCATGTTCTTAGCAGGGACATGGATGATGCTGGAAACCATCATTCTCAGCAAACTAACACAAGAGCAGAAAACCAAACACCGCATGTTCTCACTCATAAGTGGGAGTTGAAAAATGAGAACACATGGACACAGGGAGGGAAACATCACACACTGGGCCTGTCAGGGGGTGGGGGGCTAGGGGAGGAATAACATTAGGAGAAATATCTAATGTAGATGATGGGTTGATGGGTGCAACAAAACACCATGACACATGTATACCTATGTAACAAACCTGCACATTCTGCACATGTATCTCAGAACTTAAAATATAACACACACACAAAAAAATTGCCAATTTCATGCTGTAATAGCAAGCTCAGTTCAATGGCCCAATAAAATATGACAGCTGTCAATACTCACCAGCATTTCAAATTTCCTTCCACTCTGTACTTGGCTGACAAAATTAAGCACTCCTTATACCAACACTCTTAGAAGAAACCATTTATCAGAGCAACATTCAAAATGGCAATACACTTTAGCCATTCTTTTCCCTTCCACCCAATACTTGGGCCCCTGGGATTGGGACTTAAGAGAGATGTGGCTACCTACTCTTGAGAGTCACTTGACATAAAAACAGTGAAGATAGGCTGGGCACAGTGGGTCATGCCTGTAACCCCAGCACTTTGGGAGGCCGGGGCAGATGGATCATTTGAGGTCAGGAGTTTGAGACCAGCCTGGTGAACATAGTGAAACCCTGTCTCTACTAAAAATACAAAAATTAGCTGGGCATGGTGGTACGCACCTGTGATCGCAGCTACTCGGGAGGCTGAGGCAAGAGAATTGCTTGAGCCTGGGAGGTGGAGGTTGCAGTGAGCCAAGATTGTAGCACTGCACTCCAGCCTGGGTGACAGAGTGAGACTGTCTCAAAAAAAAGAAAAAAAAAACAGTGAAGATGATCAAATGAATCTTCTCAAGCTAATATTGAATTCGTTGCTTGTTGCTGGAACTTCATAGTTATTTTTCCAGAGAAGTCACCTAAAGGCATGTCATTGCAGGCATCTAAGATGATCACAAAACTCCCATCTCAATAATCACCCCCAACCCCTAGCCTGGGTTGGCCAAGGAACTTAGTGCACAGTGTTCTCAACACCAGGGAAGGGAGTGTTAGTCCCTCAGAACATATGCAGACATGGAGGGTGGCTCCTCTGACTCTGGAATCTCTCTGTTCCTCTGATTAGTTCACAGGTATCTGTGCATTGAGTTTTTAACCACTCTCACATACTTTTACTCTTCTAAGAATTGTTTTAGAGATCTTCCAAATGTTCTATACAAATAGGCCCAGCCCCAAACCGTCTCCTGGCTCCTCCATCCTCACCTATCTTCTCTGCTTTCTTCTCTCTTTCACTTTCTTCCCCAGCAGCAAAGTAAACTTCTCTCTATGCTTTAGACAGAGCAGTTTACCCAACTCCTTTAATTGTCCTGGCACATGCAACATCTGGTTTTTTTAGGTCTCACTTCTAACCCCAAGCAGCTTATCAAGATATTTTTTGATAAAGAGTTCCCTCCCTAAAATTAAAAGCTATTAAGGTGACAAATTGTTTGCCTGCATTCACTACTGGGTCAGATTCTTGAGCAGAGAATTCTTCTGCCATCCAGCAGAATAGGGAAGTCTTACCCTGGCTTAAATACTGGCAGTCTGCAAATGAGGAAGCAGGGGATGGAGGTGGGGGTCAGAGAGATGTGTGTGTGATTTGCCACAAATATGGAGTTAAAGGAAATAGAGTAGAGCTCAAAGCACCAATACCAAATCAATGAACTTTTGTTGGCTTGAACCAGGATGATGATGGTATTAGTGGAGCAGTAGACAGACTTATGAATAGAATTGATAAAATTTTGGATTGCATCAGATGTGAAGAATGAAAAAGAAGGAAGACTCTAGAATAATTTTGTCTCTAGATTGAACAAGCAGATAGGTGAAAGTAACATTTACTAAGATAGTGGGAAATTGGGATAATTTTAAGGCAAAAATTCAATATGTAAGTTTTGGGCACATCATGTTCGAGATGTCCAACATGTGTTCATCCCCACAATATATAATACATAATGATATACATCCAAGTTATACCAAGATATCAAGTAAGCAGTTGAAACCAAAAACAGGCTGGGCATGGTGGCTCACGCCTGTAATCCCTGCACTTTGGGAGGCTGAGGCGGGTAGCTCACCTGAGGTCAGGAGTTTGAGACTAGCCTGGGCAACATGGTGAAACCCCGTCTCTACTAAAAATACAAAAATTAGCTGGGCATGATGGCAGGCACCTGTAATCTCAGCTACTGGGGAAGCTGAGGAAGGAGAATCGCTTGAATCCAGGAGGCGGAGGTTGCAGTCAGCTGAGATGGCGCCACTACACTCCAGCCTGGGTAACAAGAGTGAAACTAAGTCAAAAAAGAAAGAAAGAAAAGAAAAGAAAAAGGAAAAGAAAGGAAAGGAAAGGAAAGGAAAGGAAAGGAAAGGAAAGGAAAGGAAAGGAAAGGAAAGGAAAGGAAAGGAAAGGAAGGCAGGGCAGGGCAGGGCAGGGCAAGGCAGGGCAAGGCAAGGCAAGGCAAGGCAGAAAGAAAAGAAAAGAAAAAAGAAAAGAAAAGTAAAAAGAAAAGAAAAGAGACTAAAAACAGCCAGTAGCTAAAAGGGGACATCTGACCTGAAGACATAGATTTGGGTTTCTCAGAATATAAATAGGATTCGTAGCAAAGGGAACAGGAAAAATCACCTAAGGAGTAAGTGAGATAGAGAAGAGCACCAAAGGTTGAGGTCTGGGGTACTCCTCAATTAGAGGCTTAGAAAAGGATTCAGCAAAGGAGACCAAAAACCAGGTACTAAAAAGATAGGAGTAAAGTCAAGAATAGTCAACTATTACATGTCACACACCACCATAAACTTAGTGGCCTTAAACAATAGCTATTTTATTATAAGCATGGAGTCTGTAGGTCAGGAATTCAGAAAGAGCCCAGCTAAACTGGCTTATCTGCACACTATCTGGGCCTCTGCTGGAAAGACTTCAAGACTAGGGTAACGAGATGTCTAAGCGCTGGCTAGTTGGAATCATCTGAAGTTCATCCTCTAACATGTCCCATGCCTGGGCTGAGAGGACTCAAAGACAAGACTTGATGACAAAACATCTGTATGTGTCCCCTCCATGGGGCTCAGCTTCCTCACAGCCTACAGCCCTCAGTTAGTTTGTTTTCTTAATGGAATATTAGGACTCTACACCAAATGTCTCAACTAACAAGACAGAAGCTGTATTGCCTTTTGTGACCTAGCATGAAAAGTCAGGCAGCATCACTTCTAATATATTCTGTTATAGGCAAGTTCTAAGTGTACTCAGATTCAAGAAGAAAAGATCTAGATTCTACCACTCACAGGGAAGTGGCAAAATTGTAGGAGAGCATGTGGTAGGGGTCATACCATTGTAGCCATTTTTGAAAAATGTAATCTTCCCCCATCAACTATGTTAAATGCTATTGAGAGGTCAATTGAGATGTAGACTTTTAAATGTCCAAATGATTTTACAACATGAGGTGGATGATGACATTATGAGTCTTCACTAACTTCCTAAATAAAATCAATTTTATCTTCCTTGTCCCTTATTTAATCACCTATCGTAATGCAATGCAAGTATCTTTAGATAGCTATATTTCTCCTAAACTAGAAGCTACTAGTGGGTAGGAAATAGGTAATTTAGTAGTATTAATATTTTTACTTTTAGGACCCAACACAGTGCCTGACACATAGGAGAAGCTCAAGAGACATTTGCCAAATAGATGATTCTGTACATTTCTTACCTGACTGCCAGTCCCATCATTCCAACTACTTATAAGACAACTCTGGCAGGACTTTCAGCCATCGCCTTAGACTCAAACAACTTAAAACTCATGTTATTCATTCCATGCTGAACTGGTTAATATTAGGTTTGTCTGCATATAGCAGGGGAAAAAATCAACAAACAACAAAACAATGTCAATTCTCCATTATATAAATAACTCCAAAGGTGGTGTGGTGATTTTACAGTGACTTCAGGGAACCAGGCTCCTATTTTTCTCTTCTACTATCCTTAGCACTTAGCTTCTACCCTAAAAGTCACCTTATGGCCCAAGATGGATGGACACATGCTGGATTAGCAGCAGGAGGAGAAAGGAGTGAAATTCCTTTAAATGACCTTTCCTGATGCACCACAGAGCTTTTCCATTTACAATGTTTTGGCCCAGATTTAACCAATGGCCACTCCTAGCTACAAAGAAGGATGAGATATATTTTTATTCCAGATAAATAAAAAAGTGCCCACCTAAAACTTGGGGTTCTGTTACTAGGTACAAAAAATAAAACAGAAATAGTCCTGTGTCTTTTGATTTCTTATCCAGCATTTTTATTTCTATTTAAAATGTCAAAAATTTCATTATTTGACTGCACTTAATCTTTATTTGCATTTAAAAAACACAACTCTGGTAGCTGGAAGAAGAATGAATTGGAAGTGGAACACACTGGGGGCACAGAGACCAATAAGTTACAAGGGAACTACAGAAATCCAAGAGAGAGAAGATAAAGCCCTAAACCAAGCTAGTAATAGTAGAGATAAAAAGGAGAGGATATGGAGGAGCATACAAGGAACAAAAATTTATATGAGACTTCTGAAAGCCTAAGTTTTAAAATCACACTGAAGAAAGAACATATGATGTCCAATAGGGTAGCCCTACCAACATAAAACACTGTGGACCTTGCAGGAAGCCAATTAATAAAATGGAGTATTCAGTGATAACTAGGAAAAGAAACTTTTGAAAACATCTTGGAATTTACTAAAAAGCCCTGAAAAATAATTGGATGTACTCCTCATTTACTTGCACCAAATTTGCTCTGTTAACAAAGCTAATTGCTCAGGATGGATTATAGCAGCCTGAATTAGGTGTGTGTGACATGGTATTTGTGTATTAGTGTACGATGATGTACATGTGTAAAACGTTGGTTGAACAATATGTATCCAATGACACTGTGACCACACCTCCCTCTAAGATTTTGCATAAATAAAAATTACATTAGTTTTTGTTATTGTATCTGATGCAACAAAATACATGGAAGTTAGGGGAGTAGAAAGATCAGAATGAAGGAGCAATATAAGGTCTTCTGCCTTTCTTCATGGCCAACTTCTCAACTTTAAAAAGAATCCACTCGGTGTAGGAGATTGAAAAATGCTTGGCAATATGAGCTTTTTATTTTATGGTAACAGAAGGTCCTTTAAATTAAGAGAATCCATTTCATGTTTAAATATAATAAAGCAAGATATTACCAATATCTTGCTCCAATTCAATTGACAGCATCAGGGCTCATTGCAGTATCTAACTAAAGGTTCACCCTTGCCACTGTTTCCAAATGAATTCATTCATTCACTTACTCATCCTGCAAATATTTATTTGGGGTCTACTATGTGCCTAGCACTATGTGAAGAACTAAAAATACAGTAGTGCTTTAACTAGACATTTCCTCTTGGCACACATTTGATTTACATTTCCAGCCTCCCCTGCAGTTAGTGGGGCTATCAGATCAGTTTCTGATGTATGAAATGTCATACATAAACTTCTTTCACAATATTCAATGCCCTTCCTTTTTCTCTGTCCATGAGCTGACTGGAGAAGTTTCAAAGGATCTGGGGACAAGGAGTGAAGAAAGGAGCAAAAGGAAGGTAGGAGCCTCTGTCAAAATGACAGGAACAATGCCAGTGCTCCCCACTTCCCACCACTATCAAACCTCAATAGACTATGAACTTCATGAGAAATAAACTTTCATTGTGTTTAAATGCCATTGACATTGACATTTTAGAGCTGTTTGTTAACGTATTCTGCCTATGCAGACGCTGAGACAGCAGGTACTTGGCACATTCACAGAGCAGACAGGTCAGCATGACCATAGTTCAGTTATCAAATGAAGAAATGGTAGGAGATGATGTCAGAGAAGCACGAAAGCAAGAAGGCAACACAACTACATGCTTTGCTGTCTGTATGTCAACACAGATGCCCAGTGCCCAATCACCAACAGACTTTGAAAGAAGTGACATATTTGGTCACTGGCCATGATGTGCATTTGTTATTTATGTAATGATTTCTAAACTGAAGGGCTAACAGCCAAGTTTGTATTTTATGCAATTATTCAATTAATGTACTACAGCAACTGAAAATTGAATTGTGTTTTGGAGGAACTGGTGTTATTGAACTAAACTGTGGTAGCTGTAATTTGTGCATATTAAAAATATGCAAAATGATGACTGCCTTACTGCTCTGAGGAACTGCAAAGGTTGTGGGTAGTAGGTAGAGAAAACATTTAAGGTCAAGAGTAGATATTTTAAAGTGGGAAAAATTACAGCCTGTTCGTATGAGGATAGAAATGGTGCCGAAGAGATATTGACAGACGAGGAGATATTTATGGGAGTCACATCCTGTGCAGGCCAAAGTAGCCAAAGTGGATGGAATCTAGTGCACAAGTGGAGGATTGGTTTTAGACAGAAGCACCAATAGTTCATTCATTTTAACTGCAATATAGAATACATGGATGTGGGGGCTGGTAGGTTGTTGGTGGAAAAACAAGTTCTCTCTTGATTGCTGCTACTGCATAATAAATAATACAATTTTTTAATTCTCATTTAAAGTTTTACAAGTTTTAAATGTTTATAAAAAATTTAAAGACCTGGCTTTAAATAAGAATAAAGGGGATAGGAAATAGTAAAGGCTCGAGGGAAGAAAAATCAGTGTGAAATTTTTGTCTTGCAGATAGAGAGTGAATTCATGTGGGAATGTAATAGGATTTCTGAATCCTCTAAAAGCCACTCTCGAAATTACTGATTTAAGACAGACCTGTCAGCTTAGTTGTATACTTTTCTCCAGCCATTTCTATTCTGTCTGAATTCTACACAATTTAAGAAATGAGGCTAATCTCCTACCTCCATTTTTTATGAAACCCTCCCCAGCCAGTAGGACTATCACTGGAGATTCTGTGCTCAGAGAAGACAAAGGGAATCTCGGGCTAGACCTATGCTCTGGCTCCCAGGACAAGGTTTCTTTTGAGGACACCTCTCTGTTTTTCCCATGTAGTGGATATTCTATGAAATGGAAAGCACAGCCCAAGAAAAATAAAGTTATAACAATAAATAGAAAAATACATAATCGATTTTCCCTGTTCTAGTTAGTTAATATCAGATCAAATTGAAAATAAATGTTGCTTAGAGAATTCTGAAGCAAGCTGTCATAAAAATCAAATAATAGTTTCTTTCTTCTTTCACCTAAATTTCTACGCTTTCTGACTTCATTTTCCATACTGCAACTTTCATATAGATCCAAACATTCATAGCAATTGAGTAGAATTTGGATTGAAGGCAAAATGAAGTAAAATAAATCAGAAGTCAGACTAATCCACAGTGTAGGCCACATGGCACAAAGTCAATAAGCAGCCTTATCTCTGTTTCAGGTAACAATCACCACAGAAAAATTGCAATCCAGTGAAGTCTTTCTATTAATAACGAGACCTTAACTTATCTCTTTCTGAGAACAAGGCTGAGTTTAAATAAAAGAATAAAGCTAACCAAAGAAGTTGAGTTGATAAATGGTTCATCTTTAAAAAACAAAACAAAACAGAACAAAAAACACCCACTGTTTTGAATTACACTCATCTCTTTTATTCTACTTCAAAGTTTTTTGTTTGTTTGTTTGTTTGTTTATTTGTTTTTTCAGCTCCAAGTGAAGCCCTGGGGAAAAGAAAAAAAAATGGCTTCACTGCCACTTTTTCAACACTTCAGACTCTTCCCCTGCCTCATGAGCTTCTTACACACATACTGCTCCCTCTGACTAAAGCACTCTTCACTCTATTGGTTTTTTTAACCAACTCCTACGTAACTTACAATTTTCCTATTGAATAATTTCTCCAAGACCTTCCTTCCTCCCCAGTTAATTTAGGTTTCCCTATCTTTTCCCTGAAAATACCCTATACTTTTTTGGCCGGGTATGGTGACTCACACCTGTAATCCTAACACTTTGGGAGGCCAAGGCGGGTGCATCACCCGAAGTTAGGAATTTGAGACCAGGCTGGCCGACGTGGGGAAACCCCGTCTCTACTAAAAATACAAAAATTAGCCAGGCGTGATGGCAAGTTCCTGTAATCCCAGCTACTTGGAAGGCTGAGTCAGGGGAATCTCTTGAACCTGGGAGGCAGAGGTTGCAGTGAGCCTAGATCGTGCCACTTCACTCCAGCCTGGGTGACAGAGCAAGACTCCACCTCAAAAAAACAAAACAAACAAACAAAAAAACACCTTATACTTTTTTTTTCCATAGGACACAATGAAATATGTGTTTGTTTAACATCTGTGCCCCATACTGGATAACAAGCTACATGAAGGCAGGACTATGCCTGACTTATTCATCATGGCTTAGACAATAGCTAGCTCAGTGCCTGGAACAGGTATTTATTCCTGTCATAGAATAAATACAATATTCATGAATAAGTGAATATTTCTTCTTTCACAGAAGACCAGAATCTGAGACAAGGAATTGTCCCATGTGCTCGAAGTCTTTGAAGAGCAAAAATCAAGGAGAGTAAGAATGGAAGCCACTCAACTACTGCTTCAGAACAAAGTTAGCACGGGCTCCTGAGAAATGACTAGAAGATATGCCTGGGATTCAAAGGACCTCAGAGCCACCCATAGCTAATGTCCCTGTCATCCAACAGATGCTGTGGCTTTGGGAAAGAACAGCCTTTCTTGACCTCAAATCTTTGTGTCTGAAAAATGAGAGGGGTACCAGATGCTACCTAAGCAGTCTTCCTACCTAAAATGTATGAGTATAAGAAGAATGATCAATTTTAATCTCAAAATACAATTCTCACCTTTCAGTTACCAAGATACAGCCCCCTTCCCTTAACCTGAGCTACAACAAAACATAAGTTCAATAGAGAATTGATTAATGAGTATAAAAAGGCAGCCCTGTGTTCTTGTGCTCAGAATTGGTTGGCTCTGTTCAATTCAATGAGCAAGAAGACTGAATCCTGTACTGTGTTTCATTAGCAAGTACAATAGCCCAGTTTTGATAAAGTGACTCAAATCACCTGATCTCTTTTTATTCCCCATGTATTAGCCAAACATTATTATGAAGTATGCTGTTGCCAGGCTACTATTTAGAATGTATGTTATAAGACATGTCTGTAGGACTTTTGAAATCATCTTTCAGTTTTATTCCCAGTAGTCACTTTCTAAGAATTAATTTCTCTTTTATTATGTGGTAATATTAAAGAGACAGTGTGTACAGTGTGTGTACATATGACTCACAGCAAATTAAGAGTATTGTGCCTTACTCTATCCAGAGAATCTCCCTGCCAATGGTTGCTGCTCCCACCTTTTTCTCTGAGCCACATCCTTGGCATCTCACAGCTAGATTACTGCAATAGTTCCCCAACAGTCAGCCTGCCTCTCACATTCTGATATGTCCTGGACTTCTTTGATCAATCCTGTTAAACCCCTATGCCAGAGGGAACCCCTGCATTAGTTTTTCTCATGCATTGATTTTGCTTTCATTAGTATGCTTACCTAAGATATGGTCTTTACAAAATATTTGAAGATGATGATGGTGCAAGGAGATGATGAGAATTACCTTTGATTTTGGGTGGACTGCTGCTGCTTCCATCCTAAAATGTGCCTACATTGTTCTTTATCTTACCATAGGATCTCTAATCATTCTCCCTGTAACTAACTGGAAATATGTGATAACAATTAGAGTCCCTGTAATCTCAGCACTTTAGGAGGATGAGGCGGGCGGATTGCTTGAGCCCAGGAGTTTGAGACCAGCCTGGGCAACATGGCAAAACCCAGCCACTACCAACAAAAATACAAAAATTAGCCAGGCGTGGTGGTGCACACCTGTAGTCCCAGCTACTTGGGAGACTGAGGTGGGAGGATAGCTTGAGCCCAGGAGATGGAGGTTGCAGTGAGCCGAGATCATGACACTGCACTCCAGCCTGGGTAATAGAACCAGACTGTTAAAAAAAAAAAAAAGAAGAAGAAGAAGAAGGAGGAGGAGGAGGAGGAGGAGGAGGAAAGGAAGGAAGGAAGGAAGGAAGGAAGGAAGGAAGGAAGGAAGGAAGGAAGGAAGGAAAGAAGGAAGGAAGGAACGAAGGAAGGAACGAAGGAAGGAAGTTAGTTCAAGTCCCGATTTCCTTTCCCTGATTCTGTTGGAAGCAAAATTTATTTAAATTGTGTTCATGGTTACAGTTGCAGCATCAAAAATATATTCAAATTAGGGCTTATTGGATGATCCATTAACCCCGAATCTCATGTTTTCTACTAATCCTGCTTTACCTGCATTTCAAGGCTATTGAACATTTCAGGAGAAACTATTTACATGAGACTGTTTGAGAATAATGAAATATAAGTGAACAATATGTCACCACGCCCACTTCCTAAGAACCTCTCCCTGCTCCAACACACACACACCTCCCTGGTGAATTGCCATAGCATAGTTTAGCAGCTCTTACCCTTTAAGGGTCAGAGAAACCTGATTTACACAGGTACGTACAAAAAAAAAATTAAGAATCTTGGTAATTTCACTTGATGATTAAGAGCTCCTTGCTCCTTGCTCTATTTTAGATAGCTAAATTACACACCTGGCTGCATCTTAAAATATCTGAATATTGAATTTTCTGTCTTAAGTCCTTCTATCTCATGTCTTACAGTGATTCTCATATGAAAGCAAACCTGGATCAGAATAAAGGCAGAACATAAGCTTTTCTATTATATGGCAATATTAAATAGGGTTGATGTATAAAAGGCTTTGTTTCTCAGCAAATCAAAACAGTGATTTAATTTTTAAAACATGTCCTGTCTTTTCTATTTAAAAACTCACAATGCCCAATTTCCATGAGGCATGCTTATACAGTAATGTGTTTAAGTTTTTTCTAAGTGTTTTGAGTACCAAACTTAGTTGCAAGGAGAACATTGGCAAGGGCACTTAGGATTGGTAGTGAAGAGAGAAATACGCTCCCATTTCACTTTATCTAACTTATTCCAACAGTACTTTGAGAAAGGACATGTGAAAATAAAAAAAAAAATCCTTGAAGTAGTCCAAATGCAGATACTTCAGACTAAAACATTAATAGTGTGAAAGGTTGTCCCGTGGGCAGAATGTGGCACTACTCCAACTAATTTAAGGGATTTCAGGTTTTCTCTGGTGAGCTGGGAGATGTGATTTAGGGCAGACACCATGCTGCAGACAAATGGGAAAATGAGAGTCCCAAGGGCAGTGAAGACTCAGGGAGAGAGGTGGTCAGAGTAGGTTCCAGGGATGAGACTAATGATGGGTCTCAAGTACAGCAATAGCTGACACCGAGCTTAAAACTTCTACTTTCCTGCTGATATCCTTACAGAATTTTAAATTCTAGAAACCAATGTCAGTGTGCTTCTGAGAATGGAGATGGGTCCCAAGTTGTCCCCTAGAACATTGTGGCTATGAAGAGATGGCAAGAGGAGAACAAATTGCTATTCAAAGTAAGAAGTGGCAAGTGACAATCAAGCAAACCTCAGCACACCCCCAAGAGCTGGCGGAAACACTTGGTTTACTGCAGAAGCATGGGATACAAGTTAAACTATTTTACTGGACATTAATCAAAGGATAACCCTGAAAAGACAGGGGAAAACTTAGTAAGGCTAAGAACTACCTTGATATTGTCTGTGCCTTGGCACATAATGAGTATTGAAAACACAGGAAGGCTTAACAATTCAGAACAGAGGTTGTAGAGACAGATTTAAGTTTGAATTTCAACTCTGCCAAGTGACCTTGAGCAAGTTTCTTAACATCTGAAAACCTCTGTTTCTTCTTGTTTAAAATAGACATAATGAGAAGGATTGAGTGCAGTCATGCATGTAAATGTATCTGACGTGTAATAAATACACAGTAAGTATTTTGGTTTGGGTTTTTATTTTATCTGAATCTAAGTGAAAGAAAAATTCTAGATACATTATCAAAATGGTTATAAGCTGCTTCAGGAGAATGCCTGAATTCCTGATCAAAGAGCCAGGAAGCAAACAAACAAACAAAAAAAGATGGGCACGTAGGAGGTGGTCAGTAGCAAGTTTCCCTCAACGTGGGCTAAACTGGCTCTACTCATGTCTGACAACACAGTGGGAAACTTCTGACACTGCCGGGCTGTGATGATTGCTCCCTTCTCCCTCCTGCTTCTAGACAGGGTAGCATTTAAACCACCCAAGATTGTCTGTGTCTTATTCTTAGAGCTCACCAGGGGGAAAGATACTATCCACTTCTCCAGGCCCCTTCCCATGCACTGCAGCCCTCCTGTTCAAAAGATATTTTTTAAGTTAATGTCTGTATTTACATAAAGAAAATGGCTTATAGGCTTGTAAAGTAGGAGTGAGGTTTCAATGATTTCAGAAAAGTGATATTACAGCAGGAGACCTAAACATGCACAGATTCAGCCTTGCCAATCACTTCTTGTTTTATTCAGGATTCTTTCAAGGTAAGTGACAAGGAGCCAACTCAAATTACTCTGAGGGAAAAAATAGGAATATGTTGGCTTATGTAATGAAACGTTCAGGATTTGGTCTGCATTCAGACACAACAGGAGCAGATGTTCAAAACAATGTCCTAAAAGATCTCTCCTGTCCTTTCTTTCCCTTGTTCTCCTTTTCCTGGTGTTAATGTCAATCTTCAGAAAGTGTTTTTCTTACAGCTCCTGGCCTCAGAAGAAAAAGACCACTTCTCTCTTCCCAATGTTCTCATCAAACCAAATAACAGATATCCTTTACTCTTCTCCTCTCCACACAATTCCCAACGAAGAGAGATATATGCAAGAAACAATAGCCAAATGAGAAGCAAAATGCCAATGTCTTTCTTTCCCCCAATAAAAACAAAACTAAACTAAACAAAAACCTGTAAAACTGTGGTTAGAGGACACTTCTTAGTCCTGGAAGCCTTAATAAGGTTTTTGGCTTTCTCTCCCCTCCAACTTAGATGGTGGGTACTGAAGAATTAACCCTGGCTTATTGATCTGATCATTTCCAGAGACAGAAGAGGGAGAACAGAAAACTTGGATTTACTTTGAACAAGAAAGTACTGTACACAGTGATTCAGCCCATTACCAAATACAGTTTCTCCTCAACTTACGATGGAGTTACATCCCAGTAAACCCATTATAAGTTGAGAATATCGTAAGTGGATTGTAAGTTGAGAATATCGTAAGTGGAAAATACAATTAATTCACTTCACCTACCAAACATCATAGCTTAGCCTAGCCTAACTTAAACATCCTCAGAACACTTATATTCGTCTACAGTTGGGCAAAATCATCTAACACATCTATTTTATAATAAAGCTTTAAATATCTCGGGTAATTTACTGAATACTGTACTGAAAGTGAAAAATGGGATGGTTGTATGGGTACTCGAAGTATGGTTTCTACTGAGTTGGCAATGCTTTCATACCATCACAAAGTTGAAAAATCATTAAGTCAAACCATTGTAAATTGGGAACCATCTGTATGGCCCAAGGATCAATCACATTGGCACCTTGGGAGAGGAGGTAACCGAGCTGATCAGGCATAAGAAAAGAACATGGAAGAATGCCCCCCGCAACATTGATGCCCCTCTTCTAGGACTCAGCATGATTTTGACACAGAAATAAGATATCCTTGTTTGAACTGCTTGAGGCCACACAGTAAGAAAAGGAGCAGAGGGAATTCTCTACCTGCAGAATACAATTTTGAACCATTCATGCTAAAAGGGGTGCCTTCCACAAATCTCAGCACCAAGGGAAGCATGTTTTTCCTATGGCTAGATCCGGGCATGGTTCACTTTCCACTTCATTATAACTCAAACTTCAAAAGGAATAATTTGTCCTTAGAGTCAGCACTCTGTGTTCACTGCCTGCAGCCACAACCCACCATTGGATCTTATTTTGATATTGTTCATTAGCCTCAGGAACGGCATTTCCACTTCTAAAAGTAAACTGACAGCTCTGCATTTCATAATGTTAGGATCTAGAACGAAACTATTTCAAGTGTATCTATAAAATGCACATTTCTTAATATACTTTTGGCTTCTTACCACTTCTTTTTTTTTTTTCACTTTTAAACCATCATTTCTGTGACTAACAGTGCCCACTTGGTTCACTTCACAATCTGGCCTGTCCCATCTCAGTACTGCTCAGTGATTGTCCCTAGGGGAAGGTCCCCACCAAAAGTTGTTATTCCAAAGCTCATTATTTCTTTCTGAACCTGAACCTGGACCTGGCCCTCACTCTCTGCAGGCAGCCTAGTTCCCTGCTTTTCAGAGTAGCTAGATGCATTTATCCAGTATGAGCTCTCTGGATTTCTCTTTCCCTGTCTCACAATTTAACATTCTTGCACTGTTTATGTCATTTCTGCCTCAGAAGGGACCTCTGTCCCAAGGCTAATGACTCCTGATCTCATCCTCCCCATTTGTTCTCTCTCTGCCTACCCCCTGCCTATTTCTCTTCAGCCTAGAAATAAGCTCATGTCTCTCCATTCTAAAAGAGCAAACAATTCAATAAGTACAAAACAAAAATCTTTAAGCTTTTCTTCAAGCAACCATTTTCTCTCTTTCCCATAATTTCCAGACTGTTTAACATAGCAGACTTCCTTTGTTCTTGATAATTTCTCACCTCCTGTTTTCTCCTTAGTATTGCAACCTGATTTCCACAAATTTATTGCATCTCTTAACTACAAATTTATTGCAGCTGTTAACCACTCCTCATCCCACTGCTCATACTACTTAACTTCTTGTAAGAACAGAGATCTTGTGACCATTTTATCTCAGCACTTAGTAAATACCTAGCAAGAGTTGATGTTCAATTAATTTTTGATTAATTAATAACTAACCCTTTGATACTGTTAAACACTCCTTTAAATCTCACCACTCTTCTGGCTTCTGGGACATTATATACCTCTGGTTTTTCTCTTTTCTCTGTTTCTAGTCCTTCTCATTCTTCATATCTGATTCCTACCTGTTGAATGTAGATATTCCCTAGGATTCTTTCCTTGGCTTTTTTTTTTTTTTTTTGTCATCCATATTCTCTAACTACAAAATCATCATTCCCAAGATTTCAAATCTCACATGTTTGGTGACTCCCATATTTAGCCTTTGTAAGCCTGACTTTTCCTTAATTCCAACCTTTGTCTCCCACAATGGATGCTCTGTAGAAGCCTTCAGTTAAATACCCTCACCTAAAGTCACTATTTCCCCTACCCATGCCTACTGTCTTTCTTGTGTTCCTTACTTCCACTCCTAGTATCTCCAATTACCCAGGCACTGGGCTCCCTTTTCCCATCTCTCACATTTGTACAAACTATAAACCTGGTACTGTAATAGGCACTAGAGATGTAAATATGGAGATGATATGGTGCCTGCCTGCTTTCCAAGGATATTATAGTCTGTCCGGGTAGGCCAAAACATAAACATACAACTTTGATGTAAGATGAAGATGGTAATGATGGAGGTGTGTCATTATGGCTATCAGAGCACATAGGGGAAGCTTATTGCTTAGTGTGGTGATGGTGATAGTGAATGTAGGGAAGCAGTGTTGAGGAGAACAGTCATGGGAGTTTTCCTAGAAGATCTAGTCTCTGATTTGAGTCTTGAAGGAGAGGTACTAGTTGGATATCCAAATGGTTGGTATGTAGTATGGTGTGTGAATATGACTGCAGCCCAAATAGGTGAGCTGTACAGGAATCTTGCCAAAGAGACCAGATTTGGAATCAAACCTGCCATATCTAATGTGTCTTGCCCGGTTATTTTCTGGTGGAGAACCTAACATCCTTTACAGCCTCCTAACATCACACAGTCTATAGCTAGCAAACAAGACTATCTATAGAAAACCTGTAATAATAAAAATAGCTAATATGTACTCAGCATTAGTACAAGCACAGCTCTAAGTGCTTCCCTTCTTTTAGCTTATTTAATTCTCAAGACAACCCTGTGGGGTAGGAAGTATTATAATCATTTTATAGTGAGGAAACTCACTATAAAGTGGCCCAGAGTGGTGTATATCTCACCTAAGACACAGTTAACAGACAGCAGAGCTAAGATGTGAACCCAAGCTCTCTAGTCAAGAGTCCATGCTCCTAATCACTATACCATATTGCCTCTCCTTTGTTTTAAACTATTTTACTTTCACTCTTACCTTTGTAGGATTTGTGTAATTGTGGTGCTTGTTCACCAAATTAGCATGAAAAGATAAAAAAGATCCCAGAGATAGCCTTTGTGCCAAGATATCAAAAAATCCTAGGCCCTAATTAGAAATGTTAGTGGTTCATGAGGAGGCTCTGTATCCAACATATGCTGAATGATCTAAATAAATATAATCTAATTTAAAAAAATGTACGCAAAGATTGGCAGGCTTGCTCCTCCCATCTCTCCTAATAATATTTGTCATGAATTATGGGTTGTTATTGTGACGAAAGAGGCTGAATTTTGAGGGAACTGCAAAATGGTAAAATGTGGAAAGGGATATTTTTTAAAACTTATACAAACATTCATCCAAATGTACCTACTTCAATGGTGTCATCAAATGTCTTTACATAAAAAATATATATGCTTTAAAATTCTCTGCACAAAATCAATGTATTTTTCCCTTCATACCCAAAAGAATATAAATGGACAGAGCTAATATAAAGAAATAGAATTGTAGAAACTATTTTTAAAATAAGATTTTACTGGAATATCAAGTACAAAATATGTGGCATGGGAGAAGAGGCAGAAAGTGCTGAGATACGTGAGGTGGCATGGACTGTAATGTATAAAACTAGGGCTAGGTATGTTAATTCTCTAAGATCACGTTAGTTAGGAACAGAGCAACACTACAATCTAGGTCTTCTTATATCAAGTCCAGTGTTTGTGTGATATAAATCTTACATCAGGGTCCAGAAGCTGAGAATTGGGAGTAATTTAGAAATCAACAAGGCCAACCCTCTTCATTCCCTCTTTAAAAAAAAAAAAGGAAAGAAATCAGTAAGGTACAAAAAGGTGCAATGTCATACACAAAGTCTCACTGCTGATTAGTGTTAGAAACAGGTGTCTTGGGTCTCCTGATTCCCGTGTTAATTTCCCATTCAATTTCTGGGAAATTGCAATTGAATCCTTTCTTACTCTAGGAGCAGATTGGCCAAACTTAAGTGCATGAAAAACTATGATTATTGTCATCTTTTTCTTCTCAGAAAGGTATTATGCTGTTTCTTCAAAAACTAAAAAGGGATCAGTGGCATAAGGTGGGGTAGGGAGAGTCAGCAAAAGAGGTCAGCCCCAATGGAGAAATATTTACAACTGATATCATTAGAGTTGTCAGCATATGGTAATCATGAAAGCAGGACCACATTTTGGCTGGCTTTATTATTGTTTTTCAGTTCAAAGACAATGCATGCCCTTCTTTGCCTGCACAAGGCTTGAGGAGGGCAGCAATTATAAACACTGTCACTGGTAGAATTCTCTTCCCTGACTGGGCTCTGGAAAACACAAAACGCACAAAAGAAGCAAATATGCTTGAGTAGAAGATGATGCCAAATATAAAATGATCTCCATTTTCCCTATGAGAATAGCCTCCAAAAGAAAAGATTTTTGGCTACCTTGATTAGTTAGTTTTCTAGGGACATAGATGAAATAGTTAAACAACTTCATAAGCATGGAATTTGTTCACTTTATATACATATTTTAAAGTACATCTTATATAAAATCACATAAATGAAAAATAACATCATAATTTTCAAACGTTGCCTACTTTTCTGCCCTTAAATTGCATGAAACCATTTATTTAAGCTCTTCACACATAATTTCAATATCTTTATCATCCTTATCATCACCTGAACCATTTTCAAGTCATCTAACCATTTCTAGAGCATATTATCTTTATTTCCTTCTAAATCATTTGAGATATTGCATTTTTGAAAATCTCTGTAGGATGCTATCTCCAGAAATTTTGTTCAAAACAGAATTAGTCATTCCCATAAACTTTTGGATGCTGGGTTTGTTTTTTAAATGTATGCTGAATACTTTTGATGAAAAAATTTACTCTATTGCTTTTTTAAAAAGTGTTCTTTGAAAGGCTTGTTAAGGCAATATCCAACCTTTAAACTGTGAGATTGGACCCCAGGAATAACTATTAAATCTATGAGTGTCATTGCCTCTTTTTTAAAACAAATCTGTAAGCAACCTTACCTTCTCTTTGGGTATAGATGGTAAATAAGTCAGTCTTCAACTGGGCACTGAGAACACAGAAGTAGCACCAGTGTCACACAGAATGCTGATGCTCAGTTAGCTCAGCCCTATATTCTTTTGCTGCCGAGCAGCACATCCATGCTCTTGACTGGGCAACTAGTAAACTTCTAGAATGAAATTCAGCACCCTGCCCAGATGGTTTTGCAAGAGCAGTGACCCCCAAACACCAATAAAACCACCAACCACCAAAACATGGGCTCCTATGGTCTATCCACTCATAAGACAGGCTTGTGATCATGCTTCAGATGCCAGAATAACCAGGGCCGTGCTTAGACCTGGATCAGCAGATCTGTAACATGCAGATAGATTCTTTCCTCAAACACTAGCTATTTAAAGCTGTTTTAATGACTTCAGTTCCTCTGGCTGCAAATTCAAGATGGAGCAAACAGTTCAGATTTGGCCCACTGTGAATTTTTGCAATCTACCCATCTGACAAAGGGCTAATATCCAGAATCTACAAAGAACTCAAACAAATTTACAAGAAAAAATCAAATAACCCCATCAAAAAGTGGGCAAAGGATATGAACAGACACTTCTCAAAAGAAGACATTTATGTAGCCAACAGACACGTGAAAAAATGCTCCTCATCACTGGTCATCAGAGAAATGCAAATCAAAACCACAATGAGATACCATCTCACACCAGTTAGAATGGCAATCATTAAAAAGTCAGGAAACAACAGATGCTGGAGAGGATGTGGAGAAATAGGAACAATTTTATACTGTTGGCGGGAGTGTAAACTAGTTCAACCATTGTGGAAGACAGTGTAGTGATTCCTCAAGGATCTAGAATTAGAAATACCATTTGACCCAGCCATCCCATTACTGGGTATACACCCAAAGGATTATAAATCATGCTACTATAAAGACACATGCACACGTATGTTTATTGCAGCACTATTCACAATAGCAAAGACTTGGAACCAACCCAAATATCCATCGATGATAGACTGGATTAAGAAAATGTGGCACATATATACCATGGAATACTATGCAGCCATGAAAAATGATGAGTTCATGTCCTTTGCAGTAACATGGATGAAGCTGGAAACCATCATTCTCAGCAAACTATCACAAGGACAGAAAACCAAACACCACATGTTCTCACTCATAGGTGGGAACTGAACAATGAGAATACTTGGACACAGGGAGGAGAACATCACACCCCAGGGCCTGTCGTGGGGTGGGAGGCAGAGGGAGGGATAGCATTAGGAGAAATACTTAATGTAAATGATGAGTTAATCGGTGCAGCAAACCAACATGGCACATGTATACATCTGTAACAAACCTGCACATTGTGCACATGTACCCTAGAACTTAAAGTATAATTAAAAAAAAAAAAAAAGAAAAAGCTCTGTAAACCTGAGGCTGATTTTTATTGTGAAAATTTTGTATTTTGATTAAATTATTTACTTTTAGTTGCTTAGGAAAAGCAAAGTGTTAAAATTTAAGAAAAACTTTGAGACAAAATAACCCTGGCTCTTATCTGTAACCTACTTTAGCACCCTGGACAAATCATTTTACCTTGCTAGCTCTATCTTTTTTAACCGTAAATGGGTTAGTTAAATCTCAGGTTTCTATAAAATTGTATGAAGATGAAATTTCAAAACGTTATATGAAAAAGACATTTGAATTCAACTCTGTCAAAGAACTTACACTCAGAATACATAAATCTTAAAAAAGAAATGAAGAAAAACAATCCAATTTTTAAAAACTGGGCCAAAGGCTCAAAAAGGGACTTTTAAAAAATACAGCATCCAAATAACAAATAAGCATATGAAAAGATGTCCAACAACTTTGGTTACAGAAATGAAGCCAAAATGTGATAACACTAAAATTTATCAGGATGCCTTTTCAAAATTACCATATGTTAGTAAAGTTGTGGAACAGCCAAAACTCACACTGCTAATGGAAATGTACAGCAGTGCAGCCACTTTTTAAAACTCTTTGGCAGTATCTGCTAAAGTTGGATGTATATAGGCCTTACAATCCAGCAATTCCACTCTTAGATATATCCCCAACAAAATGAGTGCATATGTGCACCAAACAACATAAAATAATGTTAGAAGCAGTTTTATCTATAAGAAGCAAAAACTAGAAACAATCCAAATGTCTATCAGCAGTAGGATGAATAAATTAATTGTAGTATGTTATGCAATAGAATGTGTACAGTAATGAAAAAGACTGAATTATTGCTATATTCAACAATGTGAACGGGTCTCAGAGATGCTAATGGTACGCAAAAGAAGACTGACACAAAAGAATATGCACTGTACGATTTCATTTATTTGAAGTTCAAAAACAAGCAAAACTAATTTTTGGTGCTAGAAGTCAGAATGGTGGGTTACCTGTGGGAGCACAATACTGACTGGGAGGCTGGAGATGTTCTAAATTTTGATCTGGATTGTAGTTATATGGGTATATTTGTTTATAAAAATGCATCAAGCTTTATTATAATGTCTAGTGTCAATAAAAAGCATATTTACTTGTAAAATTTTATTAAACTTTACATATTGCATGACTCATCAATTTTAAAATTTATCCTCCAAATTTTTATGAGTGAAGAAAGATATACCTGAAGTTTAGTAACTCTTTCAAATATTATTTGTTGGGTTTCATTCAAAAAATAATATTTTTAGCTATTGTTTTAGCAATATATATGGATAGAGATGTCTAAGTAATATTCACAAATTATTCACCAAACATTAATTATTTTTTCCAGAGGGCAATAGTTGACTTTTGACATGGACTTTTCTATATTGTTTGAATTATTAATGATGGCATATGTCATTTTTATAAAAATTATAGGGCCATTTTTCTTCAAGAAAAATGAATAAATAAAGCTATCTGGGTAACATGTCTGACCACTATCCCTGTCAAGGATAATTGAGTGGGTTTGTATAATTCAATAATTGTAATTAAATCCATAGCCATGATCATTCTGAAACGCCTGCATCCTCTTTCTCCCTTTCTGTTCACCAGCTGCAGTGCTGCTAATGGCTGAGGGCATCACTGAGATGTTCTGTAACTCACTGCAGGCGAGATGCCGCTTCAGTATCCCATACCTTTGGCTGCTCTTCGTCTACTATACCTCCTCACACTTCTCCCAGTCACCTTTCCAGCAGCTGTGATTCCAGCTGATTTTGGCCACCCACATTGATCTGGACAGGATGCCTCTCAGGTAGGTTTCAATATAGATGTCCCTTTTCCACCTCTAGCCAACCTGAACCCAGGAAGACTGTGGGCAGCCTGAGTACATGACGTTTTTCTCACAACCGAGGGTTGTTGACTCCCAAGTGGTAGATATTTGTCAAGGCTGATGCTATTACTTTTGGTTACATGGTATTCGATCAGGCTTCCTATTGGAGGGAAGGAATCTTTATTTGAAGATCTTGATGGATGATAGGTTGTCCCCTTTCACCAGGAAAGCCAGAAAGGTCCCTGGCAGCTATTGGAATAGCATGTGGCCTCAACTCTCCCAGTAGGAACTTCCACACAATACTTGGAATCCTGAGGGGATGATGTTAACATACAGGAGTATCCTGTTATTCATTCATAAGAGGATTGCGAAATTGAGTGTCCATGGAAATGGTGGCAAGTATCCAGTAGCAACAGCAGTGACATTCTACCAGACTTTCCTGAGACATGAATCTGGTCATATTCTCAGCTACACAGACTTCCTTAGCTCTTGACTATTTCCTAAACTTGATTCATAAGCTATTCAACATTTTTCCAACAAATATCTTTTCTCCCAAGCTATCCAGATGTGGTTTCTGTTGCATGCAACTAGGAACCCTGATCCCCTCCTACTACCTTTTTATTTATTTCTGTCCAGTTGGAACCTGGAGAAAACTAACACTACCTCTCTATAAACCTACTTTACTGAAGGAAGAAAATTCCATTCATTCCCATCTCTCCACATCACCTTCCGCTTCTCTGGGATTTCCATCACTCCGAGAGCATTCCACATAAACTGGACCTGTTTAGTTGATCCTTTCCCCTTGGAAGCCTTTACTCTCTTTACAAAAAAAAAAAAAAAAAATCTGTTTAAAGAGAAAAAGTCAGCCTACTTTTTTCCAAACTCCTTTGGGACTTTGTAAAAGGTGAAATGGGTAAGCATGTTGGTATCTGGAAAGAATTTTTAAAGATCCTTCTCTACATTCCACTGTTTTATCAATAGTCAAGTATTCTATTTCATGACTATTGTGTATTAGGTATATCTATACTTGATTTTACAAATTCATAATTGTGAAGGTAAAATCAATCAATATCACAACATCCAAAAGCCATCAACACTTTCGCATTAGTTTCTCACTCCTGAGCTGCTTTCAAGAAATGATTTAGATAAAGAGGACCAAATGAAACAGGCTGGAAATTCAGAAAGAATTATATTCCCATCTCTGTGACTGTGCTTCCTTCATCAAAGGATATAGTAGAATGGATATTTGTTATACGTTGAGGCTGCATAGCAACTGTGCACATCTTTACAGTGTATGGGAACTTGTTGCCATAAAAAGCCTCACCTCCCCAAGGTAAAAGCCAGCAGGACCTTTCCCTGGTCCCTAGCAGACAGGACTCAGACAGGGAATGAGCATCTTGCCCATCACCTGGTCAAGGCAAAAGTAACAGGAAGATGAAGAAGCTGTGTAAAATTCACTCCTGCAAGGGAATATGATGTGACAGACATTCATTTGTTTTGAGGAGGCCCAATGGCAATACCCAAAGCCAGCCCTGGGTAATAGTGAACTGCCATATCTGAGTCCCAGCAGCAGAGCATGGTTTGAGCCATCTTCTGGTGGTCCAAACCTGCCAGAGATTTCTGCAAACCACACGACTCATGCTAATACATTTATATTCTGCTATAACTAGTAAAAGAAGGTCCTTTTGACAATGGATAACCCTGATTGATAGTGGAGAAAATGCTTACCCAAGGAATTTATTTTATTTTCTTTCCTATAACACAAAGAAACCTACCTCGATATGAAATAAATACCCTTTCAAATCCTGGTGTATAAAGTATACTCATTATTAATAGTCCTGCCTACATAAAATACCTCAAAACCACAAATAAATATTATTTATTATGGTGATAAATAACCATCTCTCAGATTGCAGGGAGCTTTAAAAACACTGAATCTCACAGGATGCTGTTCACATTCATCTGCAAGGAAGAGAACTAGTACCATTGTTTAGTCTGAATTGAACCATACAAACAATATTATGTGTTTGTGTGATATATTGTGCCAGCACAGTTTAATAAATCTTATTCAATAACTTTTGCACCACATCAACCTTATAGAGAATAACATTTTTTTTTTTTTTTTTGAGATGGAGTCTCCTCAGCCGCCCAGGTTGGAGTGCAGTGGCGTGATCTCAGCTCACTGCAACCACTGTCTCCCGGGTTCAATAGATTCTCCCAACTCAGCCTCCCGAGTAGCTGGGATTACAGGCACCTGCCATCATGCCTGGCTAATTAGAGAATAACTTTTTACAGGACTTAGCATCATATTTTTATTTGTATAAAATAAACATAAAACTAGAGCTTATTTCCTGTTAACCATTTTGTGAGTCTTTTTGTACACTTCCAAAACACCAATAGCCACTTTATTATTTTTCTTTTGCTTTTGTTAGCATCTTTGGGCCACACAAATATTTAGAAGATTTATGTGGTATCAAACTCATAATTTTGTGTAAACAAAGCTCACCCATTTCTATATAGTTCATATTTCTAAGCCAAGGCAAAGACAAAATAGGGATCATTTTTCTTTGACAATTTTATTTAGCATAAAAGACTATATACAGGCATTACACCTGTAAAAAACAATTCCATGTAAATAATAAACATAAACCCCATAATTTGGTTTATATCTTTATCCACCTATCAAATTCCATGACCATTCCCTTAATTTACATTTTTACCAGTTTGGTCAGGATTCATAGTTGGAGACAGTAGAATCTTCTTTACCTGATTGATGCAAGAGGAATTACTAAGTGATATGACTAGTTCACAGAATTGTTAAGAGAGCTGAGAAAACAGACTATGATGACTTCATTAACCACAACACAGAATTAGGCCTCTCAAGGAGTTTCTACCTTTACCCTGCCTCTGCCCCTGTGGATTTGTGGCTGAATCAGTGGGCTGGTATTAGTGCTGTTCCTATGACGATGGTTCTAGCTCCAGAATTACATCATCTCTTCCACCCTTTTCCAACAAAATGTAGCCCCACGTCTGCCTCTCTCCCTTGTAACTCAGTTCCATATCAGTTTTGTGTAAGTGCAGCTGTACACAGGATGGACCCTAGTGCATATGCAATGTCCTAGTTGCAGAGGAGTCTGGGAAACACAGGTTTGGGTGTTCTAGTCTCTACAGCACAAAAAGATATGATAGAAGGGAGTTGAAATGAGAGTTGATCAAGCCCAATCTAATAGTATAACTCATAACTTTCTTATATTTCTACTGAGGCCAGAATGGTCTTTAAAATGAAACCATAATGTTGCTACTCCTGACATAAAATCCTTCAGGGAATTCTAAAGTCATTCAACATGGGAACTCTTCAATATGCATTATAAAACTTTGATGATGCAACCCTTATCCAGGTCTGTAGCCTCATCTCCTTCCCTCATATATGTATTTACAAAGTCAGTATGTGGTTTCAGACCTCCCAATATTTGCATATTCTGTTCTCTTTGCCTGGAACATCTTTCTCTGTCTTCTTTCCCTAACTAATTCCTACTAGTACTTCAATTAGCTTTGCTATTATCACTTGTTCCCAAAGATGCCCAATCCCTGTAATATGATGGGATGTCTACCCATCTAGCCTCATATAATATTCTACACATATTGATTTGTAGCACTCATTTCATGGAACCGTCATTAGCCTGATTTATTTTTCAGTCTTCCACATTAGACCATAACTAAGGTAAGGCTTATTATCTACCTCTATAACCCCAGTACTTTCCATAATGCCTAACAAACACAAAAAAATTCTTTGTAAATAAATGGACTTGGGGGAGAGGATGAATAGGCAGAGCACAGGGGATTTTTAGGGCAGTGATACTATTCTACATGATACTATAATGTAGGAAACATGTCATTATGCATTTGTCAAAACCCATAGAATGTACAACACCAAGAAAGAACACTAATGTAAACTATGAATTTTGGGTGACAATGATGTATCAGTGCAGGTTCATTGGTTTTGATAGGTTAACTACTCTGATGTGTGGGGCAGGAGGTATATGGGAACGCTGCATTTTCTGCTCAAGTTTGCTGCTAATCTAAAAATGCTCTAAAAATTAAAGTCTATAATGGGACACATGGAAGTAAAGTGTGTGGAGTGATAGACAATGGAGACTTGGAAGGGTGGGAAGTAGGAGGGGGAGAATGATGAGAAACTACTTAAGGGGTACAATGTACATTATTCAGATGATGAATCCTCTAAAAGCCCTGACTTCACCACTACACAATATATCCATGTAACAAAATCACACTTGTATACAATAAATTTATACAAAATTTTAAAAAGTAAAATTTGTTTAAGAAAAAATAAATAGAACATGAATGAGTGTAATTGAATAAAAATATCATTGTGGTCCAGAACTAAAGGAAGGAGTTTCTGAATGCTTGCCTAGAAATGCAAAGTTAAAGAACACAGTGCTTTCATAACACAAGAAGGAAGAAGCTGTTCAATCTCTTTGTTTTACAGAAGAGGAGATCAAGGAACATAGAGTTATTTTCTCAAGATCACACAGATAAAATCTGAGCAGGGAACAAGTGTTTAATTCCTGCCTTCGTACTTGAATGACCCTGGACTATTGAAACGGTTCAGTATCACAAGGCCTCGTCTTGTCCAGAATCTAAAGAATTAAACTCTAAAGATCTGGCAATGACTTGGCAGTTTTGTTCTATTAAGAGTGAACTTATGTACTTCAAGCAAACTATTCTTAGGGAACTCTCCAGAGCCCCTTCTCAAAATGACTTTAGATTTAACAACTAAACTTTTGTAGATTTTAAGCAGAAGAACAAAATAAAGTTGTTAAAGTATCAAATGAGATAATGTATGAGAAAGGAAATATAAGGTATTGTCATGATTAAATCTATTTCTTGGAATAACACAATATCTGCCCTAAGCTAGAAAGTGAATAAGTAATTTGTTTCAGAATGAGAAAAAACTCTCAAGCCTGGTAAAGGCTATCACTCAATATGCCTTTTCCTGAGAAATAATTTTATAAGCCTCCAAATGGAAAGACAAATAATTTTTAAATATTTTATATATATTGCGCTTTAATTCTAGTAAAATGTCACACTTTAAATTGTGGTCTGAGAGAAATTTACTGTTTATTATACACAACATCGGTTCAACTCAGTATTTTGCTTTTTAATAAGAAACCCTGTAAAATGTCATCAATAAGTCTGAAAACTCAGATGAAATTTATAATTTCTAGGACTCAGAGAAACATGTAAATAGACAGAGTCATTAAAGAAATTAAATCAATAAAATCTTCCCACAGAAGAGATAATAGGCCCAGAGGACTTCATAGACAGTCATAAACAGATCATTCTAATCTGATACAAACTCTTGATTTCTATCACACTGATACAAACTTTATGCCAAAAACAACGACAATAGAGGAAATCAAGTATCCTCAAACTCATGTATGTAGGTGTAAAAATCCTAAACAAAACATTAGAAAACAAAATCCAATCAATAGTCTATAGTAAAATATGATCAAGTCAGGATTACTCTAGGGTAATGGAAGCTTAACAATGGAAAATCTATTCACCATATTAGCAAATTAAGGAGATAAATCATATAATTATCTCTGAAAACACACAAAAAAGCACTCAATGAAATCCAACATTATCTTCCTGATAAAACTCTTAGCACCCAGAAAAGCCCCCAAAAAAGAATTTCTTTAACTTAATAAGCATATCTGACAAAAACTTATGACAAACTTCACACTTGGTGGCAAAAACATCAAAATTATTACCAAAAATTTGGGAACAAACCTAAGAAACACTCCATCAACTCTTCTATTCGATATTACTATCAAGATCCTAGGCAGTAAGATATAACAAGAAACAGAAACAAAAGGTATTATAATTGGAAAAAAAGTAAACCACTTATTATTTGCAAAGCTATAATTGTCTACATAGAAAATTCATGGTTGTCATTAGAGAATAACTGAAGAATGTAAAGAGGATTTGAAGATTTAAAAGTAGTAAATAAATAATAAAGCAACAGAGGACTGAAAGTGCCATAGATTGAGAGATGTGATTAATTCAACCACCTGAGATTTAAAAACATATAGACAAGTTATCAGAATAGGAAAAGAGCTTAGTAATGGGATCATATTCAAAAATCAACTGCATTTCTATACATTAACAACAAAAGGTAGCTCACGTAGCTCACAAATACCATTTAGAGTAGCAATAGAATAAATATATACAAAAATTATGAAAAAATTATAAACCTTTACTAAAAAACATTAAAGCAGACTAAATAAATGGAAAATCATGTTCATTAACACAGACTCACTATTGCAAAATGTGAATTCTCCCCAAATTTATATATAAATTAAATAAAATTTCAATCAACATTGCACAAGGGTTTCTCATGGAACATAACAAATTGATTACAAAATTTATACTGAGTTAGTATAAATGTATACTATTTAAATTTGTACTGAGCTAGTATAAAATGTCAGAACTAGATAAGACACTCCAAAAGAAGTCTAAGTTGGAGGTGGGGGAAACTTTTCCTCCCAGATACCAAAACTTATTTTAAGTTATGGTAACTAAGACAATTTAGGTATGTGATATGGATAAAAAGACTAATTGACTAGAATTAAAAGTCCAGCAACAGATTTACATATACATGGAAACTCAAGCTATGATAGAGTTGACATTGCATATCATTGGAAAAGGATGGACAATTCAATAAAGAGTACTGGGATAATTGATTATCCATTTGGAAAAATGATAAAATTGAATTCTATACATATAAAACACAATAATCAATTATAGATGGCATTGTTTATAAAAGCAAAACTTAAAGCTTTTAGAAAAAAACATTGGTGAATATTTTTCAACCTTAGTGGGAAATAACTTCTTAAACAAGACACAAAAATGCCTACCAAAAAGAAACATTACTACATTAAATCAAGATAATTTGTATCAAAAGACAGTATAAAAGTATGTTAAAATCAAGCCACAGCAGACAATTTTGAAGCAAATATCTATAAAGGGGTATTATCAAAAAGCATAATAATACTGGATAAAATAAATAAGCATTTCACAGACAGGAAATACGAATGGCCCATAAGCGTATAAAAGCACACTCAGCTTCATAAGTGATTAGGAAAGTGCAAATTACATTTACCAGAGGAGCAAAAATATCAAAGGTTAGGTACAGTGTAGAGCAACAGTAATTCTCTTATGCACGTGATGAATGCAGCCATCTGGGAATAACCATTTGGAAAACAATATCACATAATTGTGTAAAACTGAACAGTTTACTTAGCCTAATGACCCAAATGATCATTTTTATACTGTAAGGATAATGATACATACTTTAGGGAAGCTCTTGTACATGTTTATACAGAAATATATACAAGATTGTCTGCAGCATCATTGTATATACTAACAAAAATTTGTCCATCAACAGAATTACATAATGGTATATCACACAATTGAATATTATATAGCAGTGAATGTGAATAAACTAAACTTACAAGCATTAACATAGGTAAATCTTCAAAACATGTTGAGTAAAAAAGCAAGTAGAAATTATATGATTCCACTTTAATAGACTTTATTTTTAGAGCGGTTTTAGGTTCACAGAAAAATTAAGCAGAAATAGAGCTCCCACATAACCTCTAACTTCCCCCACTCCCCACCACTGCATACAGCCTTCCCTCATTAACACTCTGCACCAAAGTGGTATATTTGTTACAAAAGATGAGTCTGTGTTGACACATCATTAACAACCCAAAACCCATAGTTTACAATTGAGGTTCACTCTTTGGGTTTGAATATTTTATAATTTTAACAAATGTACAGTGACATGTATCCACCATTGTAGTTTCACAGAGAATTTTCACTGCCCTAAAATCCTCTGTGCTCCACCTATTCATTCCTTACTTCCCTCAGCTCCTGGCAACCACTGATTTTTCGCTGTCTCCATAGTTTTGCTATTTCCAGAAAGTCATATAGTTAGAATTATACAGTATGTAACCTTTTCAGATTGCCTGCTTTTACTTAGTAATATACATTTAAGATTATTTTATGTTTTCTCATGGCTTGATAGCTCTTTTCTTTTTCATGCTGAATAATATTCCATTGTCTCGACGTACTACCATTTATCCATTCGCCTGCTGAAGGATACTTTGGTTGCTTCCAAGTTTTGGCAATTACGAATAAAGCTAAGATAAACATTTGTGTGCAAGTTTTGTGTGAACGTAAGTTTTTCAGTTCCTTTGGGTAAATACCAAGGAGTGTAACGGCTGAATTGTATGGTGTATTAGTCTATTTTAACACTGTTAAAGAAATACCTGAAACTGGGTAATTTATAAAGAAAAGAGATGTAATTGGCTCACGGTTCTGCAGGCTGTACAGGAAGCATGGCTGGGGAGGCTTCAGGAAACTTACAATCATGGCAGAAGGGGAAGCAAGCACATCTTACATGGCCGGAGCAGGAGGAAGAGAATGAAGGGGATGGGGTTGCTACACACTTTTAAGCAACCAGATCTCATGACAGCTCACTCACTACCATGAGAACAGCGAAGGGGAAATCAGCCCCCCATGATCCAATCACCTCCCACCAGGCCCCTCCTCCAACACTGGGGATTACAGTTTGACATGAGATTTGGGCAGGAACACAAATCCAAACTATATCATATGGTAAATTTAGTTTTAAGAGAGACTGCCAAGCTGTCTTCCAAAGTGGCTATACCATTTTGCATTCCCACCAGCAGTCAATGAGAGTTCCTGTTACTCCACATTCTTGCCAGTACTTGATGTTGCCAGTATTCTGGATTTTGACCATTCCAATAGATGTGTAGTGGTATCTCATTGTTTTAATTTGCATTTTCCTGATGACATATGATGTAGAGCATTTCAAATGCTTAGATAGTTCTAGCCTTGTTATTTTACAATAATCTGCCTAATCTCCCAGGATTTAATTAGGACATAGTCGTGTAACAGAAGGTAGAGGAAGATAAAGGAAAACTAACATTTATTAAGTAACTTATGCACTAAGCACTGTGCCAGCCATTGTTTAGGTGAAATATGTGTGTATATACATGTGTTTGTACATATACGTACTATATATATGTAAGCATGTAGAATATATACACAGAATAAAGAATAATAATGAAATAATAGCTATAAGCACACCACCTGAAATAAGAAAGGAAACATTACAAGCATCCCAGAGCCTCCTAAATGCCCCCCTGATCTTATCCCATGCCCTCTGGCCAGAAATAATAGTTATGTGTTAATCATATAATTGCTTTTCTGTATACTCTGCATGTGTATCTGTTAATAAATAAAATACTGTATAATTTTTGCCTACTTCAATCAATATTATCTCTGAGATTTATCCATGTTGTTATATGTAGCTGTAGCTCATTCATTTTCACTACTTTATAGTATTCTATTGTGTGCTATACCATAATATATTCGTTCTGTTGATGGGCATATGAGTTCTTTTCAGTTTTTAATTTTAACAATGCTACCATGGATACTATTGTGTATGTTTCCTGGCATGTATGCTCATATAGAGTACATACCTGGAAGTAAATAACTGAGTCACTGTGCATGCATATATTTCACTTTATTAGGTAATGCTAATTTTTTCTGAAATACTAGTACAGAGTGCCACAGCAGAGTGTAAGCATTTCAGTTCCTTCTAGTCATCAATCACAGTTGGAATTGTTAGACTCTTCAATCAATTTCATAAACATGAAATGGTATGTGATAATTTTGTTATTTTGTATATTCTTGGTTATTAATGAAGCTAAATATCTTTTCACAAGTTCATTTTTCTTTTGTGTTTCCTTCTCTATGAAATGTCTATACATGTCTCTGGCATTTTTTTTTTAATTTGTGCTGTAGTTGAGTATTTTTGATGGAAAGAAATTACTGTATTGTTCTTTAGTCTTTAAAAAGATTACTTAAGCCAATATCCAACCTTAAAATTGTAAAATACTGAGTTTTCTTTTATTATTATTATTATTATTATTATTATTATTATTATTATACTTTAAGTTCTAGGGTACATGTGCACAACATGCAGGTTTGTTACATATGTATACATGTGCCATGTTGGTGTGCTGCACCCATTAACTCGTCATTTACATTAGGTATATCTCCTAATGCTATCCCTCCCCTCTCCCCCACCCCACAACAGGCCCTGGTGTGTGATGTTCCCCTTCCTGTGTCCAAATGTTCTCATTGTTCAATTCCCACCTATGAGTGAGAACATGCAGTGTTTGGTTTTTTGTCCCTGCAATAGTTTGCTGAGAATGATGGTTTCCAGCTTCATCCATGTACCTACAAAGGACATGAACTCATCCTTTCTTATGGCTGCATAGTATTCCATGGTGTATATGTGCCACATTTTCTTAATCCAGTCTATCATTGATGGACATTTGGGTTGGTTCCAAGTCTTTGCTATTGTGAATAGTGCCGCAATAAACATACGTGTGCATGTGCGTTTATAGCAGAATGATTTATAATCCTTTGAGTATATACCCAGTAATGGGATGGCTGGGTCAAATGGTATTTCTAGTTCTAGATCCTTGAGGAATCGTCACACTGTCTGAGTTTTCTTAACTACAAATGTGGTATGTCTCTATTTATTTGAGTTCTTTTAGAGTCTTACCTCTCAATAAATGTTTAGAACTTTCTGGATAGAAGCCAAGCACATTTTACATTAGATTTATTCCAATGTATTTTAGTTGCTATTGTAATGACATATTACTTCCTTTGCATTTCTAACTGCTCTTTGCTAGTATCATGCTACACTTTGTATTTGTAGTATCTGGTGTGTTTCAATTAAGCATATCACCACAACACAAAGAAACACTTATTATTAATTGACATTATATGTATAAAAATTAGAATCAGAAAGGAAAGGGATTGTTAAGTCATTGTTCTGTTCTAGGTATTGAACTAAGAACTCCACTATCTCACTTTTTCTCACTTTAAATATATTAATCTCAGTGTGAAGAGAAGGCTTTGTTTGTGTATGTGTGTGAGAGAACAATTACCATGAGATCTACCCTCTTAACAAATGTTTAAATATACAACAGTATTGTTACCTATAGGCACTGTTTGTGTAGCATATCTCTAAGATCTTAATCATCTTGCATAACTAAAACTTTATACTGTTGAAAATAACTTTCCATTTGCCCCTCCCCTCCACTCTCTGCTTATGTGTGTTTGACTATTTTGTATTCCTTATATAAGTAGTATCATGTATACTTTGCTTTTTGTAACTGGCTTATTTCACTTAGCATAAGGTCCTTAAAGTTCATTCTTGCTACTGTACATAGTGGAATTTCTTCCTTTTTTAAAGCTGAAAAATATTCCATTGTATGTATATACCACATTTTTATCATTCATCCATCAGTGCACATTTAGGTTGTTTTCACACTTTGTCCATTATGACCAATGGTGCAGTGAACATGGGAGTACAAATATTTCTTCAAGACCATAATTCCAATTTTTTTTGATAAATACCCAGAAGTTGGATTGCTGCATGGTATGGTGGTTTTATTTTTAATTATTTAAGGAACCTCCACCCTGTTTATATAGTGGCTGCACTATTTTATATTTGCACCAAAGATTGCAGAAGGGGTACAATTTCTCAACATACCAACACTTCTCAGCTCTTGAGTTTTTGATAAAGGCTATCCTAACAGGTGTGAGGTGATACCTCATTGTGTTTTTGATTTTCATTTCCCTGAAAACTATTCATATTGAGCATGTTTTCATATACCTGATGGCCATTTGTATGTCTTCTTTGTAGGATTTTCTATTCAAGTCATTTGCCCATTTTAAAGTGAGTTATTTAAGTTTTTGCTACTGAGTTGTCTGAGTTTTGTATATATTTTGAAAATTAACCCCCCGTCAGATATATGGTTTGCAAATATTTTCTCCCATTCTGTAAGTTATCTTTTCACTCTGTTTATCATTTCCTTTGCTGTGTAGAAGAATTTTAGTTTGATGTGGTCTCACTTGTCTATTTTTTGTTGTTGTTGCCTGTGCTTTTGATGTCATATCTAAGAAATCATCACCAAGATCAATGCCATGAAGCTTTTCCCCCATTTTTTCTTCTAAGGTTTTTATAGTTTCAGGTCTTATGTTTAAGTTTTTAATCCATTTTGAGTTGACTTTTGTTATGGTGTTAAGATAAGGGTCCAACTTCATTCTCTTGCATGTGGATATCCAGTTTTCTCAACACCTTTCCCCTTTGTATATCCTTTGTATCCTTGTGGAAAATCGGTTGACCATATATGGTCAACTGGTCTACAAGATGTAGACAATGTTCCACTGGTCTACAAGTCTATCTTTGTTGTTGTTGTTGAGATGGAGTCTCATTCTTGTCACCCAGGCTGGAGTGCAATGGCGCTATCTTGGCTCACTGCAACTTCTGCCTCCTGGGTTCAAGCAATTCTCCTGTCTCAGCCTCCAGAGTAGCTGAGATTACAGGCACATGCCACCATGCCTGGCTAATTTTTGTATTTTTAGTAGAGGTGGGGTTTCACCATGTTGGCCAGGCTGGTCTCGAACTCCTGACCTCAGGTGATCTGCCCACCTTGGACTCCCAAATTGCTGGGATTACAGGCATGAGCCACCATGCCTGGTCTACAAATCTATCTTTATGCCAGTTACCAAACTATTTTAATTACTGTAGCTTCATAATATATATTGAAATAAGGAAGTGCAATGCCTCCAGCTTTGTTCTTTTTTCTCCAGATTGTTTTAGCCATCAGGACCTTTGTGATTCCACATGTATTATAAGATTTTTGTCTCTATTTCTATAAAAAAAATGCTTCCAGGATTTCGATAAGGATTGCATTAAAACTATGGATCATTTTGGGTGGTATAGACATTTTATAATATTAAATCTTCCAATCTGTGAGCATGAAATATCTTTCCATTTATTTGTGCCTTCTTTAATTTCTTTAATCAATGTTTTATAGTTTTCAGTGTACAAGTCTTTCACCTCCTGTTAAGTTTATTCCTATTTCATCTTTTTTGATGTTACTATAAATAGGATTATTTTCCTAGTTTCCTTAATTTCCAACAGCTTGATGTTCATATATAAAAACAATCCTGATTTTTGTATGTTGATTTTGAATCCTGTCAGTTTACTGAACTTGTTTAGCAGTTCTATCAGTTTTTGTGGAGACTCTAGGATTTTCTACATATAAGATCATGTCATCTGCAAACAGAGATAATTTTACTTCTTTCTGATTTAAATGCCTCTTATTTCTTTTCCTTTCCTAATTGCTCTGGCTAGGACTTCCACTACTGTAGGGAATAGAAGTAGCAAGAGTGGACACACTTGTCTTGTTCTTGGTCTTAAAGGAAAGGTTTTCAACCTTTCACCATTGAGTATGATGTAAGCTATGGGTTTGTCATATACGGACTTTTTTGTGTTGAGGTACATTCCTTCTATATTTAATTTGTTGCATTTTATCATGAAAAAAATGTAGAACTTTGTCAAATGCTTTTTCCACATCTATTAACATGACAGTGGTTTTTAATCCTTCATTCTGTTCACATGGTGTATCACGTTAATTGGTTTGCATATGTTGAAACATCCTTGCATGCAAGGGATAAATCCCACTTGGTTATGGTGTATGATGCTTTGGCAGGAAGATTTTTATCCTCATTTAATAGTTTAGGAAACTGAGGCTCACATGGTTAAGCAAATTTTAACCAGAATCTGAACACAGAAGGGAGACAGAGGGAAAAAGAATATGAGGGAAGATAGAGAGGTGTGTGGAAAAGATGAGGGAAGGCAGGAAGGCAAGAAAGGGAGAGAAGGAGCACAGATTACAGGAAGAAGAGAGAAGTCCAGGGAAACAGAGAGAGAAGCATGATGGGAAGTAGATCCCTCTCCATACTGCACCCCCTTCCACCACCTCCACAGTGCTGGAACCACATAAGCAACAGCAACTCATTTTTATGCTTCCACAACCTGCTACTCCCTAAGTCTTTCACTAATTTGCCAAAATATATTCTTTCTTCAAATAGTATCAATTTGTAAGTTTGAAATTATTTCCAAATAAAAAGGTTAAAATAATAGTCAACTTTAGTAAAGAAGAGCTTTGTTTGTGAGCAATTGTCAGATCCCTGGAACTTGTCAGCCTCTCCACTTTTAAGCAGAGCTGGCCCTCCATCTCCTTTTGGCCGCCTTTTGCCCCTGCCTCATGTGGTACCTTGGTTGCCCCAGAACTAATTATGGAATCCCACGTGGACATGGCTTTCCTGTGCACTACTCTGAGGTTCTTGAACTTTCCCTATTTTCATTCTCTCTATTAAAACAACGCTCCTGTGTCTCATATCCAGAAGACCTTCCTCTCTGGCAGTGGAATAATCATGTAAATCAGTTCTTGAGAGCCTAAAATGCATATCTCATTTAAAACAACATTAAGAGAAAAGATTAATGGAAAAATAACAGGAAGTATTGAAGCCAAGAAATATTGTAAGTAAACAGGCCTTTTGCCATGTCCCAAATCATACCACATCTGTACCTCTACTCTCTAACAAAACTTGTTTTGCTAGAACAATAAATGGGTGTAAGACAAAAGAAAACAGCAGAGACTCTATTTAGCATAATACCTCAAAGATTTAAAGCTGACATTATTTTTAATATAATAATGCACTATAAGAAAAATTGAGCAAGCTTAGGAGACCTTTCAAAATCAAAGAAAGATCAAGACTATCAACATAATAAGACACTGGGATTATACCCTAAGAGGTGCCCAGCCTTAGCAAGGGAGCAGCCTGCTCTTATTATATGTCACCTAGAAGTTAGATCAGGATACCGTCTTTTTCATTAGTCTCTCTTCCTACCTGCTACATCTGAACCACCCTCATCCCAGGTGCTTCCAGGGAAAAAAAAAAACAAAAACCAAATTTAACAACTGATGGCTCAAGCCAAAGCCTGAGAGAATAAAGTAGGACTGTGTGAGTGTGTGTTTGCAGGGGCAGGGGCAGGGGCAGGTGGATGAAAACACTCACGGCCAGTGGTGGAGGCAGGGTAGAGAAGACATCTGCAGTTGATGTCGAGACGGCTGTGCAACTGTAGAAAAGAAAAAATGACTTCACCACTCCCTACTTTTCTCAGATGTGCCTCAATGTTTAATAGTGAGTTTTTTTTATAATAGACAGTACTTTTTGCCCTTCTAAACATTAACAGCATCGCTAAGAGGTTACATAAATAAGCATTTCCTTTGTAGATTACATAAGCAGGTCATCATTGCTTTACGGCGGTACAAAGGGGAAAATTTTCATCCTACTGCTTTGCCTTTTATGAGATGAGGCTGAAAATGATTTTCTACTTATTTTCTCTCCTTGATCTTTTCTACCACCTTTCAGATCAATAAAATATGATAACAGTGACTCACAACTTTCCTACAAGAGTTTGTCAGAAGAGCTCTTAGGAATGATTCCATTCTAAATAAGCGAAGCTTTCACCTTTGTGCCTACTCATTCGATTCATGTGTGTTCATTCAACCATTAATTAAATAGATAACAGCATCCATTGAATGCATTGTGCCGAGGCTGTGTCCTAAGTCTCTGTTCCATCAATGCTCAGGAAACTGTCATAGACTGCTATTTATTAAAATGAACCTTAGAAAAAATAAGGCAAACTTAGTTCTGTGTGCTATTATTGCTTCTCAATAGAGATACTCTTATGATCTAAAGTTGATAAATAATCTATGATTTTGTAATGTGTATTCCACATTTCATCTTTTCCCTTTTGCAGCTCTATTTTTTAATAAAGCCTGTGTTATTTTTAAAGACAAAAATCCTACACATATTTCTTACATTGCAAACAAACAAAAATTCATTTTACCAAGATCTTTCATTCCAGAAGCCCTTACATATCCTTATGTGAAAAGATTGCTCTAGGGCTTCTCACCTGCCTTATGAAAGCAACTCAGTTGCAACAGCTAAAACCTCATTTTGAAATTTGAAAGTTGAACCAAGAGTAACATTAGACAGTAACTCACCCCAACAAGGAAATAAAGAACAATATTTCTATGTAACTATATAGAATAACCAGGGTATAAACAAACAAAAACTCTGACTACATTAAGTAATAAGTGAATTTATTATGAGGATATGGATATGCTCAGGATTAAGGCAAAAGTTAAAGAATCAGTCTCAGAAAGAAATAGAAAGTAGGCAGTTCAACACAGTAGCAGGAAAGAACTGACAGTCTCTTCTGCTAGAATGAACTCCAGTGCCCTTACACCCTTTCCCCTGCTCACAAAATTCCTTTTCAACAGCAGGGATGGAAAGGGGGCATCCAACGACTCCACTGGGTACTCTGAGTGACATCCGCCACACTGATTCCAATGGGACAGAGGCAGAGTATTAGTTTCCTATGGCTGCTATAACAAATCACTGCAAATCAGGTGGCTTAAAGCAACAAAAATGTATTCTTTCACAGTTCTAGAGGCCAGAGTTCAACATCAGTTTCACTGGGCTGAAATCAAAGTATAGGCAGGGACTAGGCCTCCCTCTTAGAAGGATAGATATGGTTTCATCTAGGATAATCCAAGATAATCTGCCATCTCAACATCTTTAATTTAGTCCCATCTGCAAACTTTTTTTGCTATACCAAGGAACAGTCACAGGTTCTAGGGATTAGGACCTTGCTACTTTTGGGGGAACATTTTTCAGCCTATCACTGGCACAGGCAGAGTGTAGGTACTGGCATCAAAAGAACAGGATAGCCAAAAATTTGAAGCAATCAAAATGCCCTTCAATAGGTGAATGGATGAACATTCATTCAACAGAATGGTACATTGATACAACAGAATATTATGCAGTAGTAAAAAGAAATGGGCCATCAAGCCATGAAAAAACATGGAGGACCCTTAAACACACATTATTAAGCGACACAGCCAGTCTGAAAAGGCTACATCCCATATGATTCCAATTATGTGACATTCTGGAAAAGGGAAAATTAGACACTGAAAAGATCCATGGTTGACAGAGGTTTGGGGGAGTGAGGGAGAATAGGGAAGGGATGAATAGATGAAGCACGGAGAATTTTGAGGGGTGGTGAAACTATCCTGTACAATGCTGTAATGGTGGATACATAACACTATACATTTGTCACAACCCAACTGTACAACATAAGGAGTAGACCGTGATATAAACTCTGGACTTTAGTTAATAATATTTCAATATTGGTTCATCAATTGTAACAAATGTACCACACTAATGCAAAATGTTAATAATTGGGGAAACTGGGAGGAAATAAAGGAAGTATTTGGGAACTATCTGTATTTTCTCTTAAATTTTTCTATGACCCGAAGCTGCTCTAAGTTATAAAATCCATTCACTTTTTGAAAAAGAATAGACCATATGCTGAGGAGCCATAAGAATAATAATAAGAATCTCAGATAAAATGACTTTCAAAGTCAGATTCCATTACAGCTTCCAAGCCGGCTGCGTCTTGCCCCAGTTCTCATGGAACACTGGACAAATCAGTACATTTGTTATTATGTGATATCATAAGAACAAAGATAGTATGAATACCATAGCCTGTAAATAATCAAAATGTAGTATCATTTATAAAATATAAAATCATTTAAGTAGTAAACAAACTGCCTTCTTCCAACCCTAATCACATCCCCGAATACTTAACATGTGTGAGTAATGAAATGATACAAGTTTCACCTCCTTTTCCCTCCCCAGATTACCTCTGTAAGAAGTGTTAAATACGAGGAGAAAAGGCCAAAAGGAAATCACAAAATGGATGAAATAATGAAATAATGGATGAAAAATATGGGCATGAGAAATCCACAAATTGTACCTTCATTCTCCAAACTAATTGTTCTTTAAAAACCCACCTTAGCCAGGCTCATTGGTGCACACCTGTAGTTCCAGCTCAGGGGGCTGAAGTGGGAGGATTGCTTGAGCCCAGGAGTTTGAGACCAGCTGGGGCAACATATTAAGACTCCATATGTTAAAAATTGGTTAAATAATTAATTTTGTTTAAAAAGCCTTGCCCTAATTTAATATCAGAGGGCTGAAGGAAAAAGCTTCAGTTTGCAGATGAATCTCTAACCTGAAAATTCATAATCGGAGTATGGCACTGGGTGGTGTAATTAGCTTACTCCCACTGCCAGGCCCCTCTGACAGCACCTCATCAGAAGTCAGAGAAGATGAGGGGTGGGAAAGAAGGTGCGGGGGAGAGTTCTTTGAAGGGAGCAGAAAATAGACTATTGAAATGAGAATAATTCTGTCCAGTAAAAGTTGACTGAATAAATCATTTCCAATAATTGATTTGTCCTGGCACATTTGTGCTGCTGGAATTTCAGCTGATACCTATTTTAAGCCTCCAAGTCCTCCCTTCCTTTAAAATAAAGTTACAGTTTCATATACCTTGGAGCACTATTGGATCGATCATTTCTGTGGCCCCTAAATTATAGCTTACCAATCATTGTGAAGTTTTTCTTTTTTTTTTTTTTTTTGAGACGGAGTCTCGCTGTGTCGCCCAGGCTGGAGTGCAGTGCCGTGATCTCGGCTCACTGCAGCCCCCACCTCCCAGGTTCAAGCAATTATCTGCCTTAGCCTTCCGAGTAGCTGGGATTACAGGTGCCTGCCACCACACCCAGCTAATTTTTTTGTATTTTTAGTAGAGACAGGTTTCACCATCTTGGTCAGGTCAGGCTGGTCTTGAACTCCTGACCTCATGATCCACCCGCCTTGGCCTCCCAAAGTGCTAGGATTATTTACAGGCATGAGCCACCATGCCCAGCCTTCATTGTGGAGTATTTTCAAAGGGATAGTAATCCCTGAAAACTCAACCCCTAAGAAAACATTAATTCTCAACCTCTCCATACAAAGTGTTTCATGTGCATGTGAGCTCTAGCACACTGTCTACACAGTGCAGGCCAAATTCGAATCTGAAGAGTTACACTCTGCCATTTCATTAAAGTCCTGCCAATTCAAGTGAGGTAGCACTTCTCAAGGGAAGAAAAACAAGTACAAGGTTCCTATTGCAGAATATTCTGACATTCTGTCTCCTGTGCCTGCAGTCTATTATGAGCAATATATTTGCAGAATCACATACCAAAAAATAATATTTTCAGTTCCCTCCTCTAATTCTCTGGAGTTATATGCATATCTTGAAGCCTGATTCTCCCACTTTCTGCCTCATTCATTGACACATTCAAGAACCACTCACCCTTAATTCCATCACCTGCCCCAAATACATAAAAACAAGCCTTCCCAACACACAACCAGCCAACCTCTTGGTTATTTTACTCTTCATACTGTGCCAATTTATAGATACCTATTTCTTTAAAACTCTCCTAATTTCCTTTATTGTTTCAGATGAACATCTGAAATGCCATAAGAGCATCCCTTCTGCAAAGTTATATTGCAAGTTTTAATTATAAGAAAATGCCAAATTTGCATATAAAGGGCTATATCACTTGTTTATGAGCACAGAGATTTCCTGAGCTGCTACAGACTTTGCAGTCCCTGTCACCTCAAACACAAGACAAAATATGAAGACTGTGCTGTTTTGTGATTCCAGACTCAGTTATGTTGCTAACAGATGTAATGGCACCAGTTCTATCAGTGAACAGTAGTAAGCCAGAAAGGAGAACTGTGTGAAGGTCTGTTTCTCTTCACTCTAGACTGATAAGGATCCTTAATCAGCAAGACTAGGGGAATACTTATCTTCACTCTGTGGACCCTGTGGTCTCCACTAAGTTCAGCTATTTCTTGCTCCAGGGCCTCTATAATTACAGTTTTAGTCTTTGCTTATGCCCATATGCAAAGTATTCAGGTAGCCAGCATTTATTAGTTGATTTTCTGCAGAGGCCTCTGCTTCTATGTCCACATTCAGAGGTATTTAATACCTACGTATATGCCTGGCCCTGGTTTAGGCAATGGGAATAAACCAGTAAACAAAACAGACTCTCTTTCATCCACACATTCTGAAAAATAAACGCTTCTTGCTTCCCACATTACTACTGCTTTCAGAATCTTCTCTAAACCTGTCCTGCATCTGCACTCCTTCTCCCAGCATGATCCTGGGAAATCCATAATTCTCCTGCATAATCCCTGTCACTAAGAAAAGACTTGTTGGTCGGGCGCAGTGGCTCACGCCTGTAATCCCAGCACTTTGGGAGGCCGAGGTGGGCGGATCACGAGGTCAGGAGATCGAGACCATCCTGGCTAACACGGTGAAACCCTGTCTCTACTAAAAAAAATACAAAAAATTAGCCGGGCGTGGTGGTGGGCGCCTGTAGTCCCAGCTACTCAGGAGGCCGAGGCAGGAGAATGGCGTGAACCCAGGAGGCAGAGCTTGCAGTGAGCAGAGATCGTGCCACTGCACTTCAGCCTGGGCAACAGAGCGAGACTCCATCTCAAAAAAATAAAAAAGAAAAAGAAAAAGAGACTTGTTTTAAACATTTCTTAACAGTAGTGTGGAAGTTTTCAATCTATGCAGAAAATAATTCGCTCATTGAGCAAAATTATGTATGATGCCACAACACTCTCCCAGTACACATCCATCTCAAAAGGTGTTTCTCTTCAACCATTCTAAGCCAACTATCCTTAGGACCCCCTAAGGATGGTAGTTTACAAGGAGGTCTTAGTGGATATTCCTGGGGTAGATTATCAAATAGCATTACATGGATAACACAGTCTTTACCCTAATTTACAAAGTGGAAGTAACCCCCATGATTTGATCATTTCTCTCTTTATAAATATAGGCTAAGGTTGGCAATGCTTAAATTAGTATACAAATTTGGGGTAGAGGAAGGGAGATTTTTGCCACCTAGTACTGCCAAATACTACAAACTCACTGTTCCTCTCATTTGTTATTGTGACATAGAACATTGCAATTAGCACTTTCACATGAAAGGCAACCAGACAGAAACTGGAATACTGTTAAAATCAAACTACCAGCCTGGATAATATAGTAAGATCTTGTCTCTATTAAAAAATTATTTTAAAAATTAAACTACCAGGCTGAGCACAGTGGCTCACACCTATAAGCCCAGCACTTTGGAAAGCTGAGGCAAGAGGATCACTTGAGGCCAGTTCGAGACCAGACTGGGCAATATAGTGAGGCCCCATCACTACAAAATAATTTTTTTAATCAATCTACCAATAGTTTGGTACCATTTTTAATTGACAAATAAATGAAAACAGCTGAACTATCTATGGTATAATGCATAAGTAAATTGTGGGTTTATCCAGTGGAAAACTGCACAGCAATGAAAATGAACAAATTACAATTCCATGATATGGTCAGATGTCACAAACATAATGTTAAGCAAGAAAAGCCACACCCAAAATAATACCTACCATGATGATTCCATTTATAAAAAGTTCAAATATGTACAGAGCTAAACTATAGCATTAGAAGTTAGACTAACAGTTACCCATGAGGAGGCAGTCACTGTAAGGGTATAATTGGAGCTTCATGGGTGCTGATTATGTTTTTTGACATGAGGACTGGTTACACAGATGTATTCTTTTTCTGAATATCATTTATTTGTAAACTTAAAACTTGTGGCCAAGATGGCCGAATAGGAACAGCTCTGGTCTGCAGCTCCCAGCATGACTGATGCAGAAGATGGGTGATTTCTGCATTTCAACTGAGGAAACTGGCTCATCTCACTGGGACTGGTTGAACAGTGGGTGCAGCCCACAGAGGGCGAGCCAAAGCAGGGCAGGTTGTCGCCTCACCCAGGAAGTGCAAGGGGTCAGGGGAATTCCCTTTCCTAGTCAAGGGAAGCCATGACAGACTGCACCTGTAAAAACAGGACACTCCTGCCCAAATACTGCAATTTTCCCAAGGTCTTAACAACCAGCAGACGAGGAGATTCTCTCCCGTGCCTGGCTCGGCAGGTCCCATGCTCACAGAGCCTTGCTCACTGCTAGCCCAGCAGTCTGAGATTAAACTGTGAGGTGGCAGCCTGGTTGGGGGAGGGGCGTCCACCATTGCTGAGGCTTGAGTAGGTAAACAAAGTGGCCTGGAAGCTCGCACTGAGCGGAGTCCACCACAGCTCAGCAAGGCCTACTGCCTCTATAGGCTAGACTTCTGTGGGCAGGGCATAGCTGAACAAAAGGCAGCAGACAACTTCTGCAGACTTAAATGTCCCTGTCTGACAGCTCTTAAGAGAGCAGTGGTTCTTCCAGCACGGTGTTTGAGCTCTGAGAATGGACAGACTGCCTTCTCAAGTGGGTCCCTGAACCCCGTGTATCCTAACTGGGAGACATCTCCCAGTAAGGGCAGACAGACACCTCATATAGGCACGTGCCCCTCTGGGATGAAGCTTCCAGAGGAAAAGGATCAGGCAGCAATATTTGCTGTTCTGCAGCCTCTGCTGGTGATGCCCAGGCAAACAGGGTCTGGAGTGGACCTCCAGCAAACTCCAGCAGACCTGCAGCTGAGGGACCTGACTGCTAGAAGGAAAACTGACAAACAGAAAGGAATAGCATCAACATCAACAAAAAGGACATCTACACAAAAACCCCATCTGTAGGTCACCAACATCGAAGATCACAGTTAGATAAAACCACAAAGATGAAGGAGAGACCAGAGCAGAAAAGCTGAAAATTCTGAAAATCAGAGCACCTCTACTCCTCCAAAGGATCACAGCTCCTCACCAGCAATGGAACAAAGCTGGTTGGAGAATGCCTTTGATGAGTTGACAGAAGTAGGCTCGGAGGGTCGGTAATAACAAACTTCTCTGAGCTAAATGAGCATGTTCTAACCCATCACAAGGAAGCTAAAAAACCTTGAAAAAAGGTTAGCTGAATTACTAACTTGAATAAACAGTGTAGAAAAGAACATAAATGACCTGATGGAGCTGAAAACCATGGCATGAGAACTTCATGATGCATGCACAAGCTTCAATAGCTGATACAATCAAGTGGAAAAAAGGGTATCAGTGATGGAAGATCAAATTAATGAAATATGGTGAGAACACAAGGTTAGAGAAAAAAGAGTAAAAAGAAATGAACAAAGGCTTCAAGAAACATGGGACTATGTGAAAAGACTAAATCTACATTTGATTGGTGTACCTGAAAGTGATGAGAATGGAACCAAGTTGGAAAACACTCTGCAAGATATTATACAGGAGAACTTCCCCAACCTAGCAAAGCAGGCCAACATTCAAACTCAGGAAATACAGAGAACACCACAAAGATACTCCTCGAGAAGAGCAACCCCAAGATACGTAATTATCAGATTTGCCAAGGTTGAAATAAAGGAAAAAATGTTAACGGCAGCCAGACAGAAAGGTCGGGTTACCCACAAAGGGAAGCCCATCAGACTAACAGCGGATCACTCAGCAGAAGCACTACAAGCCAGAAGAGAGTAGGGGCCAACATTCAACATTCTTAAAGAAAAGAATTTTCAACCCAGAATTTCATTTCCAGCCAAACTAAGCTTCGTAAGTGAAGGAGAAATAAAATCCTTTATAGATGAGCAAATGCTGAGAGATTTTGTCATCACCAGGCCTGCCTTACAAGAGCTCCTGAAGGAAGCACTAAACATGGAAAGGAATAACTGGTACCAGCCACCATAAAAACATGCCAAATTGTAAAGACCATTGATGCTATGAAGAAACTGCATCAACTAATGTACAAAATAACCAGCTAGCATCATAATGACACAAAGGATCAAATTCACACATAAGAATATTAACCTTAAAAGTAAATGGGCTAAATGCCCCAATTAAAAGATACAGACTGGCAAATTGGATAAAGAGTCAAAACTCATAGGTGTGCTGTGTTCAGAAGACCCATCTCACATGAAGAGACACACATAGGCTCAAAATAAAGGGATGGAGGAAGATCTACCAAGCAAATGGAAAGCAAAAAAAAAAAAAAAAAGCAGGGGTTGCAATCCTAGTCTCTGATAAAACAGATTTTAAACCAACAAAGATCAAAAGAGACAAAGAAGGCCATTACATAATGGTAAAGGGATCAATTCAACAGGAAGAGCTAACTATCCTAAATATATATGCACCCAATATGGGAGCACCCAGATTCATAAAGCAAGTCCTTAGAGAACTACAAAGAGACTTAGACTCCCACACAATAGTAATGGGAGATTTTAACACCCCACAGTCAATATTAGACCGATCAATGAGACAGAAGGTTAACAAGGATATCCAGGACTTGAACCCAGCTCTGCACCAAGCAGACCTAATAGATATCTACAGAACTTTCCACCCCAAATCAACAGAATATACATTCTTTCAGCACCACATCGCACTTATTCTCAAATTGACCACGTAATTGCAACTAAAGCACTCCTCAGCAAATGTAAAAGAACAGAAATCACAACAAACTGTGTCTCAGACCACAGTGCAATCAAATTAGAACTCAGGATTAAGAAACTCACTCAAAACCACACAACTACATGGAAACTGAACAACCTGCTCCTGAATGCCTACTGGGTACATAACCAAATGAAGGCAGAAATAAAGATGTTCTTTGAAACCAATGAGAACAAAGACACAATGTACCAGAATCTCTGGGACTCAGCCAAAGCAGTTCATAGAAGGAGTTATAGCACTAAATGCCCACAAGGAAAGCAGGAAAGATCTAAAATCGACACCCTAACATCACAATTAAAAGAACTAGAGAAGCAAGAGCAAACAAATTCAAAAGCTAGCAGAAGGCAGGAAATAACCAAGATCAGAGCAGAACTTAAAGAGACAGAGACACAAAATCCATTCAAAAAATCAATGGATCCAGGAGCTGGTTTTTTGAAAAGATCAACAAAATTGATAGACCACTAGCAAGACTAATTAAGAAGAAAATAGAGAAGAATCAAATAGACGCAATAAAAAATGATAAAGGGGATAGCACCACCAATCCCACAGAAATACAAACTACCATCAGAGAATACTATAAAAATCTCTATGCAAATAAACTAGAAAATCTAGAAGAAATGCATAAATCCCTTGACACATACACCCTCCCAAGACTAATCCAGGAAGAAGTTGAATCTCTGAATGGATCAATAACAGGCTGTAATATTGAGGCAATATTAATAGCCTACCAATGAAAAAAAGCCCAGGACCAGATGGATTGATTCACAGCCGAATTCTACCAGAGGTACAAAGAGGAGCTGGTACCATTCCTTCTGAGACTATTCCAATTAATAGAAAAAGAGGGACTCCTCCCTAACTCATTTTATGAGGCCAGCATCATCCTGATACCAAAGCCTGGCAGAGACACAACAGAAAAAGAGTTTTAGACCAATATCCCTGATGAACATTGATGCAAAAATCCAAAAATCCTCAATAAAATACTGACAAACCAAATCTAGCAGCACATCAAAAAGCTTATCCACCACTATCAAGTCAGCTTCATCCCTAGGATGCAAGCCTGGTTCAACATACACAAATCAATAAACATAAACAAAACCAACGACAAAAACCACATGATTATCTCAATAGACGCAGAAAAGGCCTTTGACAAAATTAAACAGTGCTTCATGCCAAAAACTCTCAGTAAACTAGGTATTAATGGAATGTATGTCAAAATAATATGAGCTATTTATGACAAATCCACAGCCAATATCATACTGAATGGGCAAAAACTGGAAGAAATCCCTTTGAAAACTGGCACAAGACAAGGATGCCCTCTCTCAACACTCCTATTCAACATAGTGTTGGAAGTTCTGGCCAGGGCAGCCAGTCAAGAGAAAGAAATAAAGGGCACTCAATTAGGAAAAGAGGAAGTCAACTTGTCTCTGTTTGCTGATGACATGATTGTATATTTAGAAAACCCCATCGTATCAGCCCCAAATCTCCTTAAGCTGATAAGCAACTTCAGCAAAGTCTCAGGATACAAAATTAATGTGCACAAATCACAAGCATTCCTATACACCAATAACAGACAAACAGAGAGCCAAATCATGAGGAACTCCCATTCACAATAGCTACAAAGAGAATAAAATACTTAGGAATCCAACTTACAAGGGATGTGAAGGACATCTTCAAGGAGAACTACAAACCACTGCTCAACAAAATAAAAGAGGACAAAAACAAATGGAAGAACATTCCATGCTCATGGATAGGAAGAATCAGTATCATGAAAATGGCCATACTGCCCAAAGTAATTTGTAGATTCAATGCCATGCCCATCAAGCTACCAATGACTTTCTTCACAGAATGGGAAAAAAACTACTTTAAAGTTCATATGGGACCAAAAAAGAGCCCACATTGCCAAGACAATCCTAAGCAAAAAGAACAAAGCTGGAGGCATCATGCTACCTGACTTCAAACTATACTACAAGGCTACAGTAATCAAAACAGCATGATACTGGTACCAAAACAGAGATGTAGACCAATGGAACAGAACAGAGGACTCAGAAATAACACCACACATCTACAACCATCTGATCTTTGACAAACCTGACAAAAAAAAGCAACTGGGGAAAGGATTCCCTATTTAATAAATGGTGCTGGGAAAACTGGCTAGCCACATGTAGAAAGTTGAAACTGGATCCCTTCCTTGCACCTTATACAAAAATTAATTCAAGATGGATTAAAGACTTACATATTAGACCTAACACCGTAAAAACCCTAGAAGAAAACCTAGGCAATACCATTCAGGACATAGGCATGGGCAAGGACTTCATGACTAAAACACCAAAAGCAATGGCAACAAAAGCCAAAATAGACAAATGGGATCTAATTAAACTAAAGAGCTTCTGCACAGCAAAAGAAACTACCATCAGAGTGAACAGGCAACCTACAAAATGGGAGAAAATTTTTGCAATCTACCCATCTAACAAAGGGCTAATATCCAGGATCTACAAAGAACTCAAACAAATTTACAATTTTAAAAAACCCATCAAAAAGTGGGTGAAGGATATGAACAGACACTTCTCTAAAGAAGATATTTATGCAGCCAACAGACACATGAAAAAAGCTCATCATCACTGGTCATCAGAGAAATTCAAATCAAAACCACAATGGGCTACCATCTCACACCAGTTAGAATGGCGATCCTTAAAAAGTCAGGAAACAACAGATGCTGGAGCGGATGTGGAGAAATAGGAATGCTTTTACACTGTTGGTGGGAGTGTACACTAGTTCAACCATTGTGGAAGACAGTGTGGCGATTCCTCAAGGATCTAGAATTAGAAATACCATTTGACCTAGCCATCCCATTACCAGGTATATACCCAAAGGATTATAAATCATGCTACTATAAAGACACATGCACACGTATGTTTATTGCGGCACTATTCACAATAGCAAAGACTTGGAACCAACCCAAATATCCATCAATGATAGACTGGATTAAGAAAATGTGGCACATATACACCATGGAATACTATGCAGCCATAAAAAAGGATGAGTTCATGTCCTTTGCAGGGACATGGATGCAGCTGCAAACCATCATTCTGAGCAAATTATCACAAGGACAGAAAACCAAACATTGCATGTTCTCACTCATAGGTGGGAATTGAGCAATGAGAACACTTGGACACAGCACAGGGAACATCACACCCCAGGGCCTGTCGTGGGGTGGGGAACTGGGGGGAGGGATAGGATTAGGAGAAATATCTAATGTCAATGACGAGTTGATGGGTGCAGCAAACCAACATGGCACAAGTATACCTATGTATCAAACCTGCACTTTGTGCACATGTACCCTGAAACTTAAATTATATTTTAAAAAAGTAAAACTTGTGTATTTTTCTATATGCATTTTATACTTCAATAAAAATTATCAAAAATAAAAATAAAACTATCATTAAATAACCTAAGCAAATTTTAAAATCTAAGGTGATAGAATGATCACTCATCCATGACAAACAATAGATGATAGCTTAAAATATTTCCCATGACACCACCCAGATGATTTGGGACATCTGCAGCAGTGAATTTAAACTTTAGCTAGTGACTAAAAATCGGTGACTGTAAAATAATTCATCTACCAAAAGTCTTTATAGTAACAGTCAAGAAAATAGAAAAGTTGGATGTCATAAAAATTAATGGAAAAGAAGAGGCAATTTTTGCTGCATATTTATATTTGACAACTAATTCAAAAACCCACAGATTAACAATTATAGTAGCTATATGTGTCATAATAACATTCACAATCTGGCTCAGATTGTCTATTATGCATCACCTATTAACTCTAACACTAAAAATAAATTTAAAGAATTATGTTTTTCGTATGCAATCAAGTTGTAATATCTTTGGAGTATATGCAACATTGTTAAAAGAATTTAATCAACTTTTACAGCTAAGATCAGAACACTGTTAGGTCCAAGGAGACAGAATGAGAAAGAGATGATACTGGAACAGGTATTGGGACCTGTTAGACTAACCCTAGCAACAGGAGAGCCCATGGTTCCCAGCTTCATCTCTTGCCATGTCTTGTACCACAATGTGCATTTTACATTTCATATCTACCCAAGTACTTTCATCTCCCCTAACACATTGTTTAAATGGTCCCTCTACACTGTATGCATCTCCCTCCCCTAGCTACCTGACAAACACCTGATTTTCTTCTCTTCAACTTTTATTTTAAGTTCTGGGGTACATGTGCAGGATGTGCAGGTTTGTTACATAGGTAAATGTGTGCCATGTGGTTTGCTTCACAGATCAATCCATCACCCAAGCATTAAGCCCAGCATCCATTAGCTATTCTTCCTGATGCTCTCCCTCCCCCTGCCCCTGATAACAGGCCCCAGTGTGTGTTGTTCCCCTAAATGTGTCCATGTGTTCTCATCATTCAGCTCCCACGAACAACTGATTTAATTTTAAGATCCCACTCACATATAATCAGCTTTCTGAAGCTTTTTTAACCCCCATGTTTTCCCTCTTACTCAGTTAAAAATCACTAACCCTTTCTTTTATGCCCACTCTCTATGCACATTATTGCCCCAACCCCTTTAATTCGCATCACATGACTTCTTTCATATTTGCCTGTCCCGAGGACAATAGATGGCAGGCCTCCTCTGATTCGTATTCGTGTCAATATTACTTAGCACAGTATCCATGTCACCTAGTACATCTCAGATAGGCACAGTTCTCGGTAAATATTTTTTGAATCAGTGAGTATCAGTAAATATTTCTTGAATCATTGAGCCAATTATCTGAAGGCTATTCAACTGAAAATCTAACCTTCTGCTCAAATGAAACCTACTATACCTAACTACATAAATTTAATAGGATTTAGAGTAAAGTTTCGAAAGTAAAAAGACTGAGTTTTGAATACCTCACTCTAGAGTTAAGCATGTTGATCAGTTCTTTCTATTTTATTATTATTATTATTATTATTATTATTATTATTATTATTATATTATTGTTACCCAGGCTGGAGTGCAATGGCCGATCTCAGCTCACTGCAACCTCCACCTCCCGGGTCCAAGCGTTGCTCCTTCCTCAGCCTCCCAAGTAGCTGGGATTACAGGGATGCGCCACCACGCCTGGCTAATTTTGTATTTTTAGTAGAGATGGGATTTCTTCATGTTGGTCAGGCTGGTCTCAAACTCCTGACCTCAGGTGATCTGCCCACCTTGGCCTCCCAAAGTGCTGGGATTACAGGTGTGAGCCACCGTGCCCGGCCGATGAGTTCTTTCTAACCCACACCCATCAGTTAAAGATGTTGAGTAGGGAAAAGGGCATTGACTCCTCACAAGCAAACAATTCTATAAGTGACTTCCACATCATAGCTCAAGATATTTGAAGCACATAGAACACAAAACACCACTGAATCCCCCAAACAGTCCTGGGATGTAGTCAACAACAAAAACCATCTAATTTTTTTTTCTCTTTTAAGCTCATTTCCCAATCCAAATTCTTCACCCCCAACCCATAGACAAACGTTCTTCTAAGTTTAAGGTATAACTGTGTGATCTTGCCAAGTGTATAAGTTTGTCTTGTATGCATGTGTTTTTATTAAATGTAAATTATAATTTCAGATGCATACATGTATACACATATACATTTACACACTTGCCTATAGACAATCTCTCTCACACACACACGCACACACACACATACACACACACACATTTCTATTTTCACTCAACATGATGCTTTAAGCTCCCTCCAGGTTGCTATGTCTAACTGCTGTAAAGCACTCTGTAGATGCGTCTCTCACATTTTACCTACCCACTTTCCCAGCCATTATTACCCAGTTTCCACTTATTCCCCAACGTCACAAATAGTGCCATGAAAAACATCCTCATATGTGTCCCCTATGAAATACGCTTAGATGTTTCTTTGAGGTTTATACCCAGGAGCAAAATTGCTGGGTTACATGGTTTGTTTATATTTAATATGACCAACTATGGCCATATCGCTTTCCAGAACACCTGTACTATGCTGTCACCATCAATCCATGAAGATTCTATATTCCCGCATCACCAGCAATGCTCCAGCACCTCCCAGCAGAGCTGATATACAATAAACTGTGTGTATTTGAAATGCACAAGTTAATAAGTTTTAAAATTTGTATAAGCATGAAACTATTATGACAATCAAGATAACAAGAATATTCATCACTTTCAAAAGTATCCTCATAACTTATTCTTGTCTTTCTGTTTTCCATTTCATTGATTTCTGCATTGATCTTTGTTTTTCTTATTACTTTGAGTTTCATTCACTCTTCTTATGGTTTCTTTAACTGGAAGCTGAGACCAATTTAAGAAACATTTTTCTCTAATATAGGCATTTACAGCATTAAATATCCCCTAAGTACTGCTTTAGATATAGTCCACAAAATTTTATACATTGTACTTTTATTATTAAAATGTGTTAGTTTCCCTTTGGGAGGCCCAGGCCGGCGGATCACCTGAGGTCAGGAGTTCAAGACCAGCCTGGCTAACATGGTGAAACCCCATTTCTACTAAAAGTACAAAAAATTACCTGGGCGTGGTGGTGTGCACCTGTAATCTTAGCTACTCGGGAGGCTGGGACAGGAGAATTACTTGAACTGGGGAGGCAGAGGTTTCAGTGAGCCAAGATTGCACCATTGCACTCCAGCTTGGGCAACAAGAGCATAACTCCATCTCAAAAAAAAAAAAAAGTATTAGTCTCCAAATACTTGGGGATTTTCCAGATATCTTCTTGTGATTATTAGTTTAATTCCATGCTGATTAAAGAGCATACTTTGTATAACAAATTTTTTAAGTTTATTGAGACTTTTATTATGGTCCAATGTATCAGCTATATTGATAAATGTTTCATACACACTTGAATATGTTTTCTACTTTTGTTAGTTTGAGTGCTGTACAAATGTTAATTAGGTCAAGTTAGTTAACAGTGTAGTTTAAGTCTTCTATTTACTTACTGCTTTTCTATTTATTCTGTCAATTATTGAGAGAAAACATTGAAATATGCAACTATAATTTTTTAAATTTTTCTTGCATTTCTAAAAGAAAATACGTAAAGTTTTTCACCTTATGTATTTTGAAATTCTGTTATTAGATACCTAAACATTTAGGATTGTTATGTTCTATTGATTAACTCACACTTTTATCTTTAAGAAAAGGACCTGTTTGTCTGTGGTAATAGTTTGGCTCTGAAATGTACTTTGATACTACATAGCAAGACTAACTTTTCTTTTATCAGCCTCTCACAACGTTAACATCTCACAAGTATAGTACAATATTAAGAAATTGACATTGATACAATCCATATGACTTATGCATATTTTGCCAGTTATACATGTACTCATGTTGGAGAGGGGGCAGGAAGGAATACCTCTGTTGAATTTTATCACATGTAGCTTTACATGAACAACCACAATCAAAACACTCAACTGATAAAATTCGGTAGAGTTACACCTTACTGCCTTCTCCCCAATATGAGTACATGTATAACCTGCAAAATATGTATAAGCCTGTGGATTGTATCAGTGTCAGTTTCTTAATAGTATACTACAGTTGTGTAAGATGTTAACGTTGGGAGAGGCTAAGAAAAGACTGCATGACACTGGCTGCAATCTCCTGTCAATCTAAAATTATTTCAAAATAAAAGGTGACATATACTATAGTACATACATGACCTTTTGAAATTATTTTTTCACACAGCATCTTGCCCTTTAGGCCATCCAAGTTGTTACATGTATTAATAGTTTACTCCTTTATATTAATCAGTAATATGGTATGAATGTACCACTGTTTTATCACTATTCACACTTTGAAGGACATTTGTGTAGTTTCCATTTATTGACTCTTATGAATAAAACTACTATGAATGTGTACAAGTTCCTGAATGAAAATAAGTTTCCTTTTTTTTTTTTTTTTGACAGAGTTTTGTTCTTTTATCCCAGGCTGGAGTGCAATGGCATGATCTCGGCTCAGTGCAAACTCCCCTCCTGGGTTCAAGCGATTCTTCTGCCTCAGCTTCCTGAGTAGTTGGGATTACAGGCGCCTGCCACCATGCCTGACTAATTTTTGTATTTTTAGTAGAGATGGGGTTTCACCACGTTGGCCAGGCTGGTCTTGAACTCCCTGAAATAAATTTCCAGGGGAGCAATTGCTGGGCTTTATGTTAAGTCTGTTTTCAGTTTTGAAAACAATTGCTGAACTATTTTCCAGAACGACTGTACCGTTTTATATTCCCATCAGTGGTGCGTATTGTTTTCTCCACATCTTTGCCAGTATTTGGTGCTATAACTATTTTTTTAGCTGTTCTGATAGATATGTAGTAATACCTTATTATAGTTTTCATTTTCATTTCTCTAATGGCTAATAATTATGAACATATTTTTATTTATTTGCCATCTGTATATCCTCTTTGATGAACTGACTGTTTATATCTTTTGTACATTTTCTAATTCAATTGTTTGTATTCTTCTGTTTGGTTTTGAGAATTTAACACATTGTAGATAAAAGGCCTTTGCCAGTTACGTGACTTGGCGCATTTATCCCAGTTCATAATTTATCTTTGCATTCTTATAACGCATTATTCACAGAGGAAAAGCTTTTAATGTAAGTAAAATTTATCAATTTTTCCTCTTATTAATCATGGTTTTGTTGTCAAGTCTAAAAACTCTTTGCCTAGTTCTAAGTCCTGACGTTTTTCACCTATATTCTTTTCTAGAAGTTTTATAGTTCATTTTTGTATTTTAAATCTATGATCCATTTTGAGTTAATTGTTGTTTAAAGTGTAAAATTTAGGTTGAGGTTCATTTTTTTTCCAATAAATGTGCAATTATCTATTGGCTTTTTAAGTTGATCTTAATTCTGGCAAACTTGTTGAATTCTGTTATTATTTACAAGTTGGTGTTGATCCTGATGCCTTTTCTATATAACATTATTATCTCCAAATAAGGTGTTTTATCTCTGCAATATTTACATATCTTAGTTGCTTTTTTTTCCTTGTAGAGTTAGCCAAAACCTGTCACTGTATATTAAACTGTAACAATGAGAACAGGCAACTTTTTCTTATCCCTGATCCTAAAGGGACTGCATCTGAGTTTCTTCATTAACTGTAATATTTGCTACAGGACTTTGATACATACCTTCACCACAGTAAGGAAATTCTCTTCTATTTTCACTTACTAGAAAATAATTATTTTAAATAAGTGTGGTATCAAGTAATTTTCTGTATCATCTGAGATAATTATTTTCTCCATTAATATTTTAATGTGGGAATTACATTGACAGAGTTTTCTAATGTAAAATCATCCTTGTATTACTAATATAAAGCCTATTTTATCGTAATATACTCTGGTTCACACAATTGGATTTGGTTGCTGATATTTTATTTAAGATTTTTACCTCTATTGCCATAAGGACAACTAGGCCATGATTTCCTTGCATTACTCTTACCTGGTTTTAGAGTCATAATTTAGCCTCATAAAATAAGGTGATCAGATTACTCCTATTTATTTTTTCAGAATAATTCAAATAAGAAAAGAATTTTTCTTCCTTGAAAAATGAGAACTCGTCTGTAGAAATATCGTGGCTTGAAGTACTTTGATTATAATTTCAATTTACTTAACACTTATTGTTTAACTCAAGCTCTTTTTTGTCTTTTTTCTTGTCAATTTTGATGACACTATTTTCTGTAAGAACTTTCCTTGGATTCAGTCTGGTATTCAATATTGTGGACACGTAGTTAACGTCTCCATGGGGATTACAGAGAGCATAAGAAAAACATGTCCCCATTTACCCTAGCATGACACCAGAATCATCATCTGAAGCCTATTCAGGGACATCCCAGAGGTTCCGATGGGATCTGGCATGTCCAAAGACCTGCAGGGTCCTGATGGTCCACACTGCTGAAGCTTATAGTTAATTGGCTACAAGCATGACATTTGCTTTTAGAACATAGTTCTCCATGTTCCCATAATATAGCATATTCACTGTTTTATTTCCCCTCTTAGAGTTGGTTTCCAGCTCTCTTTCCTGTATTCCACAACTTTCTTGTCCTGACTGGCTTAATATTTACCTTTTCTTGTTATCAATAACTTTCCTCTAGACTATAAAATACTTTCTGCCTCTAATTATATCTGGGCTGTGGACGTGTAACAAGCTATGAGAGAGGTTCTCAACTGAACAAGATATAAAATTTAGCTGTGACTACTTCAGATTCTTGGCTATGTGTCTGATGGTTGCCTATCCCCCAACTTCACTCACTTAACTACAAAAAATAATTAGAAGAAATGGCTTCATTCAACACAAATTATTCTCTTCAAGTTCTCATGTTTCTGGTAGGATAACTGAACACCATAGCAATGTGTCTGCCCTCACAGTGGCTTGTCTTTACTTTATTATTTGTAATCTGAAATCAAGTTAATAGCCCCATGTTTCTCCCTAGGATCCTCATTGATAAATTCAATTAATTGATATATTCAATTAACTGGTTTGGTTTATAGTGAAGGATGCACAGTTTAAATAGTACTGTTAAATTGTACCTTACAGTAAATTTCACTGCATTAAGTATTATCAAATTTCAGTTAGACTTCCAGCACGTGGTGAGATTCCCTTGACTGTCATTCAATTGATTGGATTATTCATAAAATAAAGACATTAAATAACATAGAAACCACATACATAGCGCTCAGTAGAGAAGGATATAAATTAGAGTCCTTGGGACATTTTGTTTTCTGCTATTTGAATAGAGTTTCACTGAATGATGTAGATTTATAGAAATCATAAATTTAAGATAATCAGAACTAAACAGCTAAGTGTCTTAACAAATTGGCAAAAAAAAAAAATGCAGAAAGTTTGTCTCTTATCCTTGAACATAAAATACAAGAGCATGGTTCCTCAGATATTCATCATTGTCTATCCATTCTTTGGAGCCTTGCTTCCTGGGGTTAAGAACTATGGAATGCTATGGACTGAATGTTGTGACCCCCTAAAATGTATATGTTGAAATTTTAACCTCCAATGTGATGATAACAGGAGATGGGGCCTTTAGGGGGTGTGTAGGTCATGAAGGTGTGCCCTTGTAAGAAGAGAAAGGAGAGAGTTTGCTTCCTTTCTCTCTGCTTTCTGCCATGTGAGGATACAACGAGAAGACTGCTATCTGCAAACCAGGACGCAAGCAGACCCTTGTGACAATAGAAGTGCCAGCACCTTGATCTTGGACTTCCCAGACTGCAGAACTATGAAAAATAAATTTCTGTGTTTAAGCTACCTAGTCTGTGGTATTTTTGTTATAGCATCCAGATTGGACTAAGATGTTAGGCATGAAAGCAGTAAAACTGCAAGAAAACATCCTTCTGAAAGCCTCTGAAAATACAGAATTAAAACCACATATGGTCATTCAAGTAAATTATTATGCTGATGGTGCTTGTAAGGAATGATAGCATTTCCTGAACACAGTGCTAAGGAAATCCAAATAAGAATTCAAAGAATAGAAAGAGAAGACTATGCAGTCAATTTCAAGAAGAATCCAGTCTTCAACTAGAAAGAGAAGACTATGTAGTCAAGTTCTAGAAGAATCCAGTCTTCAACTGAGGGCTGAGGATCACCAGTGCCCATTTGCCCAAGTTCAACCTTTCTGAGGCATTTTTTAGGTCAGGTTACCACTAATCTTGGTCACTAACTGCGTTAGAGTTCTTCAGAGAACACACCATGCCATTGCACTCCAGCCTGGGCAAAAAGAGTGAAATTCCATCTCAAAAATAAATAAATAAGTAAATAAAAAGTCAAGGTGACTGAGATCCCTGTGGAAGATATTGTAAGAAAAAGCACAATTTTTTCTTACATATTGACATAGCCCTCAAGTAGGATCATGAAAGCGTATTCTTGGTCCTAACATACAAACCATCCACTTTTGTGGTTCTTGCAAATCAATATAGAAAACAAGCATTTTCCAGGTTGGTAGCTGCATACCAGATGCCAGGGTCAACGTTGATTTGCTTCATTAAGGCACCATTCTTGAGCAAAAGCTGAAACTGAAGCCAATACCTGAATAAATGTATGACATTCCACAGTCGTTCTCCAAGATCCATCCCACTTCTATAGAGCCCAAATAAGCAAATTAGATAGGGATGGGATTGGTATCACTACACTTGCATCTTACAAATCTTTGGGAATGGCAATAGCCTCTGAAGTTCCTCCAGCAATGTGGTATTGCTTTTGGTTTACCATCCTGGCAGAAAGAGGAAGCTCGAGGGGCATACACTTGGTCCTTCCTCCCATAATATCTTTACCTCATGAGTCGGAGAATCAATGTGATGATCCTTCCAACTCTCAAGTATGTCTATTCAGATTATACATCCAGTAACCTAGGAAACAACCACAGGGGCCTGCGGATCTACTGGGCCCATGGTGATTCAAATTTAGGCCAAAACCTCATTTAGTACTTGATTTCCAGAAACCTTACTTTGAAAAGTAAACAACAGTGGCTTTCTGTTCCCCTGAATTTAGCATCAATTCAGGGCTGGTGTCTAGTAATCCTTCAAAATTATTGCTATTTTCTTTTTTCCAGTGTTCATTTACTCTTGTAAAATGCTAGAGATACCTTGAGGAAAGCTTGGAGGAAGACTTATAGTCTGAATATTTTTCTGACATAACATTATAGTGCAAAATATGTGTTTTTTTGTAAAAAGCACTAATGGTAGAGCAAAAAGATGATGACACACTCATGCCTGTCCATTCCTTCATTCAAAAAATATTTGATTGCAGGCCCACTGTATACCAGAGTTGTTCAAGTTGATAGATATACAGTAGTATCTTTAAAGATCCTACATTTTAGAAAACAGAGAAGGAAATTAATTAAATATTTCAAATAATTTTAGATTATGATAAGCTCAACAAAAAATAAATAAGATGATATGATGGAGATATTGAGGGGAGATTTTCAAGGTGCTGCTTCAGATAAAGTAGTTTTAAAAGGCTGACTGAGAATGTAAAATTGAGGTTGAAAACTGAAGGAAGCAGTGGAGCCAGCCCTTAGAAGAACTCAAAGAATAAATAAGTAACAGGCAGAAAGAACAGGTCGTGCAGAAAAAGACCCTGAGGTGAAAATGTGTGGTGTGGCTGCAGCGCTGTGTTGAGTTGATGTGAGATGAGGCCAATGTGCAGGTCATTGCAAGTAAGGAATTTGCACTGTAAGATCGGCTATAATATGACATACGTACTTCATGCAATTTAAAAACTACGGCACCCATGCGGAAGCAGTCAAACACCTAAGTGACTTGATTTAACACTAATCTTTGTAAGCGGCACTTAAAAATAGTAAAAACCTGATAAAAACAGCACACTTTTGAACTTTTTTTTTTTTTTTTTTTGAGACGGAGTCTCGCTCTGTCGCCCAGGCTGCAGTGCAGTGGCGCGATCTCGGCTCACTGAAAGCTCCGCCTCCCGGGTTCACGCCATTCTCCTGCCTCAGCCTCCCGAGTAGCTGGGACTACAGGCGCCCGCCACCACGCCCGGCTAATTTTTTGCATTTTTTTAGTAGAGACGGGCTTTCACCGTGTTAGCCGGGATGGTCTCGATCTCCTGACCTTGTGATCTGCCTGCCTCGGCCTCCCAAAGTGCTGGGATTACAAGCGTGAGCCACTGTGCCCAGCCCACATTTTTGATGATTAAGTTCATAAATACTACAATACATATGACACTTTACCTTAAAAAATACCCGAAGTTTGTAGAAACAGACGTCAGAAATGATGCAGCTGTGAGTTATTGCGATGTGGTTGCAGAAGGGTCACCTGCAATCCAATGGAAAGTTGTAATGCCTGCTATGTGGGGTGTGGCTCGTAACACAGTTAACTGAGGTCACTGGTGGATGTTTGAGGTGCCTGTGTGCATTCTGTGTGTCCCTGCGCTGAGCCACTCATCAGGTGCAGTTTCTGCATTTACTGAGAATTTTTCACACGTACGCAAACATGAAATTTTCATCATGCTCAAATTTTTCCTTAACAATCGCTTTTCAAAAGCAAGCATTATAGCAGAACTGACTATTTTATTCTAATTGTAGAAGGTACTATCTGAAAGTTTTAAATAACAAAGTAGCATGATATAATTTTTGTTTTAAAAGACCATTTGGATAGTTAACAATAATAATATGTACTTCAAAATTGCTAGCAGAATAGATCTTAAATGTTCTCACCACAAAATAAGTGTATGAGGTGAAAGACGCTAAGTGACTTGATTTAATCATTTCACAATGTATACATATATCAAAACATTGAGCTGTGCACCATAACTATATACAATCTTTGTTTGTCAATTCTACCTTAATAAAGCTGAGGGGCAGGGGAAAGACTCCAAACCATTACAAGAAAACACTCAGAGAAAGAATGTGATACACAATAAGAAGAGAAAGAGAACCCCCATTTTCCTGTAAATGTGCAGAGAAAAGGGAGCGAGAACAAAGAAGTGGCCCAGTTGGAGAGTCACTGGCATATAAAGCACATCCATAAAGAATAAACCTGACACTTCACTTACAGAATCTACATACAAAAGTCACTAAAGGAAAATTTGTTGCATTAGTAAATGATCAGATTAATAAAGACGAACCATTCCTAAGTTCTAAGGAGGAAATCATCACTTTGGTGTGTACAGAATGAGTACAGATGGATATGAATGCCATTTAACTGAGCTGGAAAACAATGAGAAAGTGCAGGTTTAGAGGGAAGCAGCCTAGTGGAAACGACAAGTTGGCAGTTGGATCTGTGCTTTCAACTTCAGTGGAGAGGTAGAGCTAGAGGCATAACCAGCATCTGGCTGGTGTTTAACGCAAAACTGGCTGCATGAGACAACCTAGGAGAGGCAGAGGCCCAGGACCTTTCTCTTCACAAGTATGCATTTGAAATTCTATGCGGTTCTTTTCTTGTTCTGATTTGGTGTCTGAGGTTTGTATAGATGGTCACCATGACAAAGAAACAAAGGAGAGCGGAAGGAAAAATGGAAGGAAGGAACTATAAAATTCCAGGTCTCTCGTCTAAAATATACTTAGGAAACAAAGCTACTACCAAGTCATCGCTAAATTACTAGGTAAAGGTTAATGAATTCACTAACCCTTTCCTTCTATACACAGTTTTTTAACCCATTTTTCAGTCTGGGATATTCTGTGGCTTTTTGGTAGAAAGAGAAGTAGATACTGTTGAAGACTAAACAGATACTTAGCTTTTAGTGAATACACTTGAATCATCTTGAGTCTTGAAAACTTTTCTTGGCCATTTATCTGCTTTTAAAGTAATAGCTTTATGTACCAAAAGTTTCTAGCCACTCTTTCCTGAAAATGAGCACTTAACAAAATATAAAATATCAATCTTATAAATGGTTTCAGAACTATTTTGCACATTATCACTAATGCTGTTATATTCAAACAGCCACTGTTTTTGACACCCATTGCTATCACCAGCCAAATAAGCTTCTTAACCAATTCACATACTTGAGCAAATCTGCCACAATTATGGTACTTTTTAATTTTTTTACTCTATATATTTGTGATAACTGTTTCAAATTTTATAATAGTTCTAGAATTACAGAACAATTGCCAAGACAGTAAAAGAAGTTCCATATATCCTGCACCCAGATGTCTTTTTGCTAATATTTTACATTAGTTTGGTACATAGGATACAATTAATGAACCAATATTGAAACATTGTTACTAACTAGTGCCAATTGTTTATTCAAATTTCTTTATTATTTTTTATTTAATTAAACTAAGGAATGCAGGATGCAACGTTATGTTAGTTGTCGCATCTCCCTAGGCCCCTCTTGGCTATAACAGTTTCTGAGACCTTCCTTGTCTTTGATGACCTTGACAAATTTGGACAATACTAGTCAGACATTTTGTAGGATGCCCCTTCAATGGAATCTACCTGATGTTTTTCTCATGACAGGAGTTATAGGTTTGGGGAAGGAAGACCACAGAGGTAAAGTGCCATTTTCTTTTTCTTTTTTTTTTTTTTTTTTTTTTTTGAGACAGAGTCTCGCTCTGTCGCCCAGGCTGGAGTGCAGTGGTGTGATCTTGGCTCACTGCAATCTCAGCCTCCCGGGTTCAAGTGATTCTCCTGCCTCAGCCTCCCGAGGAGCTGGGACTACAGGCTCCCACCACCACACCCAGCTACTAATTTTTTTTTTTTTTTTTTGTATTTCTAGTAGAGGCGGGCTTTCACCATGTTGGCCAGGTTGGTCTCGAACTCCTGACCTGAAATGATCCACCCATCTTGGCCTCCCAAAGTGCTGGGATTACAGGCTTAAGCCACTGCTCCTGGCCCATTTTCTTCACATCCTATCAAGGGTACATACTATCAACATGATTTATCACTATTGCTGTTGACCTTGATCACCTGGCTGAGGTAGTATTTGTCAGGTTTCTTCAATGTAAAATTGCTTCTTTCCTCCTTTCCATACTGTATTCTTTGAAAGGAAGTAACTGCGTGCAGATCATAGCTAAAGAGAGGGGAATTATACTCTGTCTCTTCAAGGAGAGGGCGGTATGGTACTTTCTGAGCATGCCCACCACCCTCTTCTCATTCTCTTCCCCTGCTATGATAGGGGAAAAAAGTGAAATTATGTCTTTCCCTGACAGTCAGTGAGAAGCACTGGATGGAAAAGGAGCCACGTGCTGCTAAGAGGGCAGGGCAGGCATTCAATGCCAGGTGACAAGACCAAGGGCACATATGCTGTCACAGGTACCATCACTAATGGCAGGTGCATCACGTTTTCAGACTGGACTCCCTGCCTCTAATCTGAAGACTTCCTTTCCCCCTCGCTGGAACCACTTGGCTCCTACTTGCAGGCTCTGCCCTTTCCATCCATAGGTGTAAGACAGACCTTGGCATTCTGGGGCAAGCTGGACTCGCATTCAGTACCAAGCCAGCCTTATCATGTAGCCTAGTACCTTCTAGCACCAGTTCCAATCACTGATTACTCTCTCTTGTTTGTCATTTTTAGGAAGCCCCCTAGTAACTTAATATCTCTAAGACAGATGGTTCATCTTGCTACTTCCAGTGAGTTCTCCTTTCCAGGTGCCAGGGTTCTCCCCTCAATTCAAGATTATGAACAGAAGGCTCTGCCACTCACCTTACTTGACTTCTAATAACCACTTGTTTCTAGATTCCTTATCCATGTCTTGCACACACCTACTGGAATACACCATCTTCTCTTTATGTGACACCACCTGTTTACTATGTCTCTTACCCAACCCTGTGTAGACACACTTGTCCTTCTAGGGTGAACTTAGTCGCGTCACATGTGTCATGGATCATACACTGCAAAGCTTCACACTGTGCCCCACCTCAAGCATCAGAGGTCCAGATCCAGCTTCTGCTTCCTCGAGTCTGCTAATTTCTACCTGAGTTACTGGATCTTGTCTGGTAAAGTACTAAGATCTGACACTGTTTGCTACTGCTTCTGTACTTTTCATTTACTGCCTCAGAAAAATAATGCTCTATCAAACTAATCAGATATTTATTCCCAAGTTGGGCTGTTTATTCTTCTCTTGAACAAAGTATATATCATGCACTTACTTCAGTCAGAACTGCACTCTACTAAATTTCTGAGCTCCTTTTTCTTTCCCTCTTATGCCAGAATCTGGAAGCTGGCCTAAATACTGCAAACCCTAAATAACATTTGGCCAATCCAACTGTGATAACCAAACAGTAATTAGACTCAAGCTGAAGGTCAGATATTCAGTTGACTAATGTTCTATAAGGACTCATTAAATGATTGTCTGGGAAAAGCCTTCCCACATTGTGTCACATGCCAAATTATGTATCTTGGCCTTGTGTATAGATTCTGTCACCTTTTCTTACAACACTTGATAAAGAGCTTCTAATTTTCAAAACATGGTGGATGATAACACTTTCACATATAACCATCAAAGAAGCAGATTCTTCCTGGGTCCAACAAGACTATCCCATCACTTTAAAAGCCTATTGGATTATTAAGGAAATAAAGATGAGAGGCAAATGTGGAGAATATTCTTTTCAGCATTCTTAACTAGATATTGCAAATTATTTAAACATCGCACATAATAAAATGATATAGCCAGATGATGAAATAACATACAGTTGTTGAAAGTGATGTATAGTTGAAATATATTTATTGACATGGAAGGAAATAAAATAGTGAAAAAGAAAAGTGATAAAACATTTTGTAAAATAGGACTCCATTTTGATAAAAATCGCATGTGCATGTGGATAAAAAAATTCAAAAAGGTCATACTCATTGAATATAATACCAAATGTTAATAGCTGTTATCTATGGGATCACTGATTACTTTTTTTCTCTTCTTTCATATCGTATTTTCTACTTTTTCTACTATGAACATGTATTAGTTATGTAATAATTGTATTTATTTATTTTAAAGACAGGGTCTCACTCTGCTGCCCAGGTTGGAGTGCGGTGGCAAGGTCATAGTTCACTGCAGCCTCGAGCTCCTGGGCTCAATCAATCCTCTTGCCCTCAGTCTCTTAAATAGGTTGCACTACAGGCATGTGCCTCCACGCCCAGTGAAATTTCTTTTTTTTGGTCAGTGGGGACCAGGGTCTTACTTTGTTGCCTAGGCTGGTCTCAAACTTCTAGCCTCAAGCAAAAAGTGCTGGGATTACAGGCATTAGCCCCCCGCAGCCAACCTTGTAATAATATTTTTAACTATTCCCTGAATTTGTGAACCGTAAAATGATCGCATGTACATGTGCTCTATGGATAGTAATAGTTGATGTCCTTAATTTTGGTCTCATCCTTAGTTATAATTGCATTGACTTCAGAATTGAGGGCTCATATGTTTAGAAAAACAAGAGGCAGATTGAATCTATAACATTTTATGAACCATTTACACTGAAAAATATTGTAAATGGCTTTTTCAAAAAAAGTCATACACTAAATTTTTAATAGTGGTTAGTTCTGATTAATATGATGTTGAGTGAGTTTTTTTTTTATTTTGCTTTGCTTTCCTTTTTTTTTCTTACTTTTCAAAACATGCTACCCTTAAAATGTGGTTTTAAAGGGGAAGATGATGAAAAGTTATTGATATCATCATCTCTTATTATTCCATCAGAGTCTGGGAATGCTGGAACAGAGTAACCCAGTATAACAAGCTCTGCAGACTGCCCTATTAGTGCAGGGGTACTCAACCACATACCACTAATGGCTCAGAGTGTAAGACTTTACTAAAAATGCAGCTACATCGTTAACCACTTGATTGCAGGGACCATGTCTTAAACAATTTGTGCTTGCCGAGTGCATTGCATAAAGTAGGGGCACAGTATATTTGTCAAAAGAAATAATGATCATAGGTGGGAGGGAAGATGATGAAGAGAAGTGAGTTAAAGGGTACCAACAAACAGAAAAATATAAGGAATAAATTCAATATTTGATAGCAGAGTAGGATGACTATACTTAAAAAATGTATTGTGCTAGGGCAATGGAACCTTTAAATACCCTGACTTGAACATTATGAATTATATTCATATGAAAATTTTCTCATGTACCCCATAATTTGCACAAATAAAAAAAAGGACCATGGTAGAAAAAAAGAAATAATAAAGATCGTAAGACACTTAGAAGTTATAGGGGATTGACAGTCATCTGGATCCAACTTTAACAAAAATCACTACATTCATAGTGTTTGACCTCGCAGCCTTCGATCATCCTTACTTAAATAAAGAGACATCCAGCCTCCTGCTGCTTGCCCAGTTCCTAGTTCCACATCAATCTGTCTTTGTCTCAAACATATCCAGAGTTTCCCCACCCCCGCCCCCGCCAGTTTTCCCCCACCCCCACCAATTTTCTGGCTATCAGAGAGGGCTCAGCTCTCTATTCTTGATATATGACTGTGGTCTACCCTACTCAGGGAGACCACATAAGCTTTTCCAAAAGATAGACCTCTTCCCAAGTTCTGGAACTTGACCTCAACAATGTATAGATAGAAATGATTACATAAACACCACAGATGCCCTGTTCTTCCTTCCTACCATAAATATTTTTAGAATCAGGTTATAATTAAATGTATATGTCATCCAGATAGACTAATAATATGGTGCCCCCACAAAACAACATTTTGCAAATATTTATCCAACATGTTTTAGTGCTAGCAGGATTAGTGCCATCAAGAAATAATTTTTATAGCACTGCCATTTGTTTTCTTAATTTCTCCTTGAGGGAACTTCCTATGTTAGCAGGAATAAGACTTGGAAGTCTTCTGAAAATAGTAACCGTATAAGCAAAAGAAACGTGATGAATCTTCTTGGCATCTTTTCTAAGAGGTCAGACTTCATGTACTCCATGAAAGAGGTACAATGGGTTTAAGGAAATAACATCCTGAAATAAAATGTCAAGAAAGGAAAGAAGCAAAATAAGAGGATTACAGAAAAAACAAATACTTGATAACACTTGTAATTCATGTTGAAAAAAGAAAAGATCTGAATTAACATTAGAAAACCCTGAGAACATGAGAGAGAGGACAAAACTGAGACATATTTTAAAGCACAGAGAATAATGATAAAGAAATAAAAACCAATAAGGACAGAGAAGAGAGAATCAAACTAAGAATTCTATTTTTCTCTCAGGAAGAGACCAAAACAACTGACAAAATTCAAACTTATAAATAAAGAAGTATCTAAATTTTGAAGATTCTTCGGGGTCACAGATGAAACAGTTCACTTCATTCCTGGGAAAATAAATCCATAATTAGACACTCCTGGGTAAATTTTTAACATTAAAATAATAAAGAAAACAATCATAAACTTTCAGGATAATGGGGTAGAGGGAGAAGGGAAAATTACAGATTAGCCTCACTTTTATAATGTTAAATTTAAAAAAAAAAATCTACAGCTTTTGAACAAAAACAAATTTTATAACCAACCAAGTTGTTTTCCTGAAGAAAAACACTAAAAAGACACAAATATGCATGAACTCAGAAAACATTTCACAAATATCTGTGTTAAAAATACTCATTGAATATACACTGGCCAAAAATGAGATAAATCAAAGTAATAAACATTAATATTAGAAAATTATATATTAAAAGACTGGCGAGTCGTTGCTGAAATTGAACTCCAAATTCAGGAACTTAATCGGATAATATGTGCTGAAACAGATTCTGCCTTCTGTGGATAAATTATGGTCCTGCTTTCCCTGAGTTTCTCTTTTATTCATTCATTGAACAAGTATGAAGCACCTCCTTTGTGCCAGGCCCTGTTGGCCCCTAGAGATACAGTGATAATACAGTAAATAAGATAGTTGTAACCTCTTCTTTAAGTCATTCTGCAGTCTAATTTTTTCAGTTCTGTCCCTTTTCTAGCAGAAATAATTATTGAGCCACATTCTTCACCCCCAATTTAGCAAGAATTTCTTCTCAAATATGAGGTCTTCTTAGAATAATAACAAGTGTTATAGTCCAGCATTTTAAGAACAACAATTAAATTATTTTATAGTTGGGACACTGTGCCAGAAGAATTATTTTACAAAAGGTCTTTTGTTTCCCCTCCACAAAAGCAGAATTGCGCAGAGCAACATAATAGCCATTTTTATTGCCAAGAAATTTAAATAATGATTTTTTCCCACTTTAAACATCACGTTTAATTGCCAGGTGCTGTGGCTCATGCCGGTAATCCCAACACTTTGAGAGGCCGAGGTGGCCAGATCACCTGAGGTCAGGAGTTTGAGACCAGCCTGGCCAACATGGTGAAACCATCTGTACTAAAAATACAAAAATTAGCCAGGTGTAGTGGCGAATACCCATAATCCCAGCTACTTGGGAGGCTGAGGCAGGAGAATTGCTTGAACCCGGGAGGTGGAGGTTGCAGTGAGCTGAGATCACACCATTGCACTCTAGCCTGGACAACAAGAGTGAAACTCTGTCTCAAAAAAAAAAAAAAAATCACACTTAATGAACAGAATCCCTTGGGCTCTGTAAGTGGAAAAAATGCAGATATTATTTGTCTCCATGCCCATTTTCACATTGCCTCACATTTAGGACTTGGGTTGTTTCTGTGTTGACTATACTTTAAAGTAAGCCCTTATAGCAAGTAAACACATGAAAATGGTAATGGATGTTATTAAAGGACTTAACTGAACTTGGCTTCATTGCCCCTTCATTTTAGGGTCCTTTCTCCTTTCAAAAAGATGTTGGTTCTAAGGCCTTGGATATTTTAACTCAATATTCTTTCTCTCTCCCAAGCTTGCTTTGCCAGTACTTCAGACCTAAGTAAGTGAAATTGAAATACCAGAATAGTACATTACAGAGTGTTCCAATACTTTTGTTTGTTTGTTTTTGTTTTTGTTTTTGAGACGGAGTCTCACTCTGTCACCCAGGCTGGAGTGTAGTGGGATCAGGTTGGCTCACTGCAGCCTCCATCTCCTGGGTTCAAGCAATTCTGCCTCAGCTTCCTGAGTAGCTGGGATTACAGGCGCCCACTACCACGCCCAGCTAATTTTTTTATGTTTTTAGTAGAGACGGGGTTTCACCATGTTCGCCAGGCTGGTCTTGAACTCTTGACCTCAGGTGATCCACCTGCCTCGGCCTCCTAAAGCGCTGGAATTAGAGGCGTGAGCCACCGTGCCCGGCCTCCTCCAATACTTAACATAAAATCAGTACTGCATAAAGGGAAGATTATTTTCAAAGTTTAATTCTATTTCACAAATCTCTTTTCCTCTTGGATTAATTAGACTGAACAAATATTTTTGTGTCAAAAGTTTAAATAAATAAAGTATGTCTAATCTACTCAATATGAAATATTCTTCTGCCATTAAAGATGATGTTTATACAGAACTTGCAACAATATGGAATCTCAGAAAATGGATTAGGTTGGTTGTGAGGGGAGCTATAATAGTCACGGTTTGGTCAGAGAAGCAAATCCACTAGGAAATATACATAAAATGCATTTACTATGGGAATTTTTCCCTACCCAGTTGTAGGATCTAGTTAAACAATCTATGTGACTCCTTTGTCTCTGTATCTAGTGCCTTAAGTCCACAGGGTGGGGCAGTTGGGAAAGAAAGATGGACACAAAGAGGAAAGAGCAAGGGCAAACAGGAACCTGCTGTCAGGCTAGGATATTCCCCTACTTGCAAGCTGAAAGATTCACCTTCTATTGTTTTATGAATGTTGGCAGAAGACATAAGACACCTGGATCACAGATGAAGTACTTTGTTACTCACAATACAGCAAATGGCATGAACATCATGCTTGTCATAGTCCCCTTTGCTCCCCAAGTCCCACAGGGGCTTTACAGAAAATCTCAGATGGATACTGCACATGCAGCATATCTGTATCACAGCTGAGAAACACTGAGTTTGGAGAATCCATTACTTCTGTAATAAGCAGTAAGTAGTTTGTTCTTTGTCACAGTGGGAGATACGTCATCTTCAGCATTCTTGCTATAAACACAACCTTGAGAAATGACCAAATAAAAGGAGGCTTAAATTCTTGGCACATTCAACAAGAACACAAAGGCATGCTCACAGCGCATGGTGGATTGCCTCTTCCAATACCTCTGAGGCTGAGCTGAAACTCATGAAAGATGGATTGGAACCTTCCCTTATTTCTCACCACTTCCAAGTCTCCAACTTTGATGATGGGTGTGTCCTGCAGGGAAGACCAGTGTTTTTTCATCATAAAGTGAAATACACGTCTGGTCCAGGAGTTGGGGAGGCTGAAGGAGAATAAAGCAGGAGCTGCAGTAGATGCAGGTCCAACTATGGTACAATACTGACCAGGTGAGCCTGGTCTGTTTACAGTTCCATTTAGGTTATAGTTCACAGTGTACAGAAAAACCTTTAGGCCGAACTTAACATACGTAAGGAGGCAGCTTTAGGCTAAACTTGATTTAACACTGGGAACTGAAGGAACAATAGAAACCACACTATCCATGTTGTTTTGGAGGGCTCAAAGAACACCTCCCAGTTCAGTGATACTCTAGGAAGCCTCAAAGGTCCTCGTATAAAGTCACAGTGAAGAGCTATTACAGCAAAAGGGCCTAAAGCAAAATCAGCAGAGGAAAAGTCCCATGGGGCAAAGTCCAGAGGAGGCCACACACAAGCTTCCAAGAGCCCTCTTCCAGTGGATTCCTATGGGACACACTTATTATCCCAGCAATAAGTTAAAGGAAGATCGTTAGAGATTCACTTCTCAAGATTTTTATTGGGGGCCGGTTGTGTAGGCACTCTCTGCTTAACATATATCAAAATTCCGAACTCCCAGAAGGAAAGCAAGAGTTCCACATAATTCATATTGTTTGAACAATTTACGCACAGTGAGCTTCTCTTATCAGTTCTGGTCATGATGAAAACCCTCTCGAAACCCGAATTTCCAGATGCCATCCAAAGGCCAATCTTTCAAGCAGGCATTTCTAAGACTAGCAGTCCCAAACCTGCTGTGTGAACTCTTTTTTTTACACACTTGTCTTCATATGACAACAATCGTGACTCCATTGAAACTCTTGCTTTGTTCTCTTTATATGAGTGTAGAAATATGTTCTTCTGTTTGTTTTTTAAAAACTCATAAAAACAAAACACCTTTTCCCATTTCCATTTTCTGTGGAAAGGATTTTCTTCTAAGCTCTCCTCTTAACCTCCCCTCTTCCCTTTATTTACACTGGCCCTAGAAAGGTGGAGTCAGTTGGGTTAACTGATTGCTAAATTTGGAAAGAATAACTGAGGGTGTTTGACTCAATTCACCCTTAGGATTGTCCTGGCTTCAGGGAACTCATGTTCCTCTGATATTCCAGGAGTCTGACCCTTCAAAGAGAGGCCTACTGTGCTAGTATTGCTGGCACACTCAATGTTAGCAATATTCAATGTTCAATCAATATTCAATATTAGCAACCCATATGGCAGACCAAGAGCCCTTATCCCAACAGTAAAGATAATTTTTGGACCTCCTCTGCCTTATTTTTTGTTTTAGTTTATTAACTTGATCAGAACCAAGTGGGGAGGGGTGTTTCTGTACATGGAGTCCCTTCAGAGGCTCCAACAAACAACAGGAAGAACTATTTTGAAAATGGTAAAACATTACTTATTAGAGTGGTATTTTTTTCTTTCTCTATATCCTCAATTTTCTAAAATATTATCCTATTACTTTCACAATTTTTAAAAATTATTTTTATAGCCAACTGAAAATTATATGCTCAAAAGTTCTTGCTGTCTTTAAAGTCAGAAAGGAGCTATAGCTGATTCTTACATAACGAAGTCATGGGGAGAACTACCTTTATACATACACACGGTTAAGTTGTGATTTATCTGAGGGCTTTGCAGAATCAACAACTGTGGAAAAGTCACAAGAATCACAGTGAAAATCTCTTAAATCATGATTGCATAAGATAAAGGATATATTTGCTCTAGATGGGTAACTCTGAATTATACAATGTTATGGATAAATGTATAATCTATACAGCAATGTCGAGTATATTTTAAAGAATAAGCATGCAAAATATAATGTTGTAGCTTCTCCAGCAGTTTGCACATTTGAAGTTGAAGCAGATTTTTCGATGTTTATGCCCACCTTAGTTGGCTTTCAATTCCTTTGTACCTCTCTTCAGCAGAAAATCTGAAAGTAAAAACTTTTGTAATTGGGTCACCTTTTTGGTTCAATTTTACAACCAAAAGCCTTTCCAACCTCTTACCTAATGCTTTTTTATTCAGCTTAGTATTTATTAGAGTTCTTAATGTCAAGATTTGATAAAGTTCTCTCTTTCAAGATGCCTATTTTTCTGAGCTTTGCAACAAATTGCTATTTATTCACATGACACCATGTTTCATGAAAAGTGTATTATCATTAAACATTATTAGAATCCGACACTTTGTGGTGGGATGCTCAGGCTATGAGAAGCAAGAGGGAATGGATGTCTCCACCCTCTCTCACTACAGGTAAAGAAATCTGAAGTGCAATGTTATACTAACTACCCAAATTTTCTCTCTCCAATATTTCTCTCGCTTTCTCTCTATCTCTGTCTCTTCATCTCTCTTCTATTCTCTCCCCCCGCCCCAATTACATTTGCATTGGCTAAAGTGTATGGTGCTATTTCCTTAATAGAGTTAGCAGTGGAAGAATTAAACTGCTTTCTTAGGCGGGGTGCAGTGGCTCATGCCTGTAATCCCAGCACTTTGGGAGGCCGAAGCCGGCAGATCACTTAAGGCCAGGAGTTTGAGACCAGCCTGGGCAACATGGTGAAACCCTGTATCTACTAAAAATACCAAAATTATCCAGGTATGGTGGTGCTTCTTACTAGGACTTTCATCCATATGTTTGGTATCACAACTATTTCATACTTTATTTTCTTATGCATTGACAGAATGAAACACAAGATGTGTATTGGTCAGAACTCATGGTTACTATTAGTTTCTTTTAAGATAGTTAAACTAGTTTACCTACCTTAAACAAGTTTCTTTCTTTGTGTCAAGGACACTTTCTTTGTGTCAAATACAGTGTCAAAGATGAAATTACCAGAATATGGGGATAATGAAGTCTAAACAAAAATAAGATAATTATTAAAACATGAAATGGATACCCTTCTCACCTTCCTCTTCACCAGATAATCAGGAAGGTGAATACAGTAAACACCTCTTTGATGGCTACCTATGGAGGTGGGTATCCAACAGCCATGACTGTTCTTAGTAACTTTACTGCACAGCTATAGCTTATTGATGCAGGAATGGTCAGCTAACACAAGCTGGACCACTCAAATACTGTCATTTCCAATATTTGAAATTTTGAACTGAAAGACAGAGACAGGGAATTGTTGGAATGGAGTTATAGTAATGGCAACACATAAGGGATGAAAAATTCATGTATTCCTGCTGCTAAGTTCCCAAAATATACTCAGCTGTTTTCCATCATACTCAAGATTTAGTTGTTATTTCCCCTAATTCTTTGAGATGAATCAGTGTTGGTTGTTCATCCAACAGTCATTTTCTTCCCTACCTCTTCCTTGATAACAGAAGCCCTAATTGGTCATTTGTCTAGGAGTCACTGGGCCCCTTCCCAGACCCAAGGCAGTGAAGTTAAAGCCAGGTATGAAGAGTCTCATTCTCCTTACCACTGATTGGTTTATGCACAGGTACGCTACAGAGCTTGGGATAAAGTCAACTTTGTATCACCCAAGCTTTTTATCATCCCCTTCCCCCCTTATCTGGATATCGTCATATCTGCACATGATTCCTGGAACACCTAGAGGCATCTTAAAGCCACAAGGAGAGACTCGCCAACAGGCTGTGGTTAGAGAGAACAGCTAGACAAAAGGTACCTGAGTCTCTGATTGAGCTACTGAATTAGCCAACTCTGGGACCTCTGGGCTTCTTGTTACTTGAGATAATGAAGGTCCATATTATTTAAGCCAGATGTAATTGTGTTTTTGTTTACTTTGGGGTTAAATAAAACCAAGTGATATATCCAATATACTCACGATCAATTTCTTTTTTATACAAAGTACCTGAGTTTATTTCTGCTACTTGCTACCAAAGACTATAAACCAGTAGATTGTGGAACTGTGTGTTCCAGGTTTTACCAGGCTGCATGAACAAATGAGGTCACCTTTACATTAGTACTCCAAACACTGATGCTCTCACCCCACACCTGCTTGAGTAGCAGAAAATTCCATGTTTTATTTATATGTTTCTCCTTAAAGGTTTTCAAAAATCTCATGGAAATTCTTAGACTTGCTAAAGATTTACTAGTTACTTGTTTGTTTTTCATTATAATTTTATCAAATAAGCATGTGTTACTAAAATTATTATTTTAATTTTGTCTCTTCTTTAAAGTTTATATAAATTAAATCATAATATATGTATTTTATATCTTGATTCTTTTTTCACTCAACAATGTATATGCAAGATTTATTCACATTATTTGGTGGAGCTGGAGTTTATTTCATTGCTGAATATTCCATTAAATGATATGTAATAATTTAATTTATCCATTCTACTCTAGATATAGACATGGGTTATATCCAATATTTTTCTTGAATATTTTCTGTCCATGGTAGAATTACACTGTCTTTAAAACTGTATATTCTATTTTCATCACTTAACATTTTAGCATAAGCGTTTTTGTGTTGTTAAATTCTATTCCTAAAGATTATCTCTAACAGCTGTATAACACTTCATTATGTGTACATACTATAATTTATTTAACCATTTCCCTAGGGTTTTCATTTAGATTGTCTTCAATTATTTGTTACTATGAATAATGTTATAGTGAACATTTTTTACACAGATTTATATCTGCATTTCAAAGCATTTCCTTAGGTCATTTCCAAAAACTAGAATTACCATGTCAAGCAGTATAAATATTTTAAATCAAATTTCCCTGCAGAAGGGTTGGACTCATTTATTCTTTCATGAGGAAGAAATGAGAGTGCCTATTTCACCTCATCCTTACAAGCACTAAATATGCTTGCATGTTGTTCCCTCTCTCTCCTCCCCTCTCTCATCTCCTTCAAGGGTTTTGATACAAACCTTGATCACTACTTGGTCAGGTACCAAAAAAGGACTTTTTATGTATAAGAAATTCTAGATGAATTAGACCTTCAAAAAGAAAAAGCATTCAACAATAATAAATAAAAATATCCCTGGATTTTTAAAGAGAAAAATAGAAGAGGAAGGAGAATAAAACTGTGGCCGAAACTAACTAGACGCTCACCAAACACACGTTCTCTTCTAAGCACACAACAAAATTACATTAACTAGTCTCCCTTACATTTGTGTCTATAACAGAGTTCTAGCTAATGGAAAATGGGGAGAAGTGGTGCATGCCAACAAAACTTCCCATACATCACCCTACTTTCTCCATCTATAGGCTAAATGGAGAAAATTCTAAGGACATAGAGGACAGAGCCATAAAAAGAAAGGAGACTTAGTCCCTAAATGATTACATGAAATTCCCTAAATGATCACATAAAATTCCTCCCATCCAGAAATACTCACACTGAAATGAGTGAGGAATAGATTTGATAAGGTTAAGTGTCTGAGAATTCTGGATTTAGATATTAACAGCAGCTGGAATTGTTTATCTTAACTATCACAAAATATTTATTGAATAATTACTATATTCTAGGTGCTTTGTTAGATGTGTTACTTATGTTTCCCTGTTTAATCATTATAGCAATTTTATGCAGAAGTTCTTATTAGTACCATCTTGAAAATAAGTGATTTTCCCAATTAAAGACAAGTGATTTGCCCAAGAGGGAAGAGTCAGAATTTAAATCTGAGTTCCTCTGATGGCAAAGGCCATGCTCATCACACTATCTCATGCTTGCTGTAAGTGTTTTATATACAGAGGCTGTATAAAACACATAGGGACTATGGTGCATTCATTCAACAATCAATCATTGAATGCACACAGGATCTTTTTTTTTTTACATATGTAATGGGGCCTACATCTTCTCATCTCTAACTTATATCTCTTATAAATATAGAAATTGAAACTTAGTCATTTATATTTAGCTAATGTCATAATAAATTTTTTCATATTTTAAATATCAAGGCCATGTATTTACATGTTTTGAGTAGAGGAAAGTGAGGTGGGGCCATAGAAGGGCAGTAGAGAGATTCCTTCTCGATGATTTTGGGCCTGCATCCCGTTTCCAAGTCCCATGAGGTGCCTGGAATGTGGCAAGGCCTTTGACGCAGTGGCTGATGGAAAGCAATAGGGGATGGGGAATGTTGTAGAGCTGCCTCTTAAGTGAACCACACAGCAAGTCACTACAGTGGACTGTTCAAATCACTATGGCATGTTTTAGGCTGCCTGTGCCTCAATAATAACCTACACAAATTTAGCAATCCTGTTCCTAAAGAGAAAATAATCTGTGAATACACACCTTAAAGCTCCAAATTTACAGAGCAATGTCTATCATCAAAAATTAATTTTAGGTATCTTCCTTTTAATTAGCTTCAGCTAATTAGCTGCTAAACTGTACACTACAGATGCTTCAAATTTGCCCCACAACACTAAGATGAAGACATTTCATGCTATTATCTCTTTTTAAAAATCACATCATGTCAGAATCTAAATTCCTCATCTTTCATATTAATAAAATATTTCCCCAAACTTTATCATGCTTTGTGAGTCACCCCCCCTTCCTCGATATCACAAAAGAAATTGGTGGAGCTTACACAATCTCGTTATATATATATATAAAGGGCTTCTAAGGTAACCAGTTCATCTTTGCTCTCTGAAAAGATACAAGTTTAGATGATTCACTTGAAGGAGCAGCTCCAGAACACTCCCATTCCTCAGTCCCTACTGCCCAAATCAGTGACCACATCAAAGACCTTGCCATCTTCCAGGGTACTTCATGGGAACTGGGACTGGAATACAAACCAATCCCACAGAAAGGGCCCCTCTGTACTCTCCCTGCCATCTCAACCTTAGGGCTCTACCTCACCTTCTCTACTCAAAGCCTGCCTTCCTGCTCAGGGGTAATACTACATAATCCCCTCATCCTACTTCCACTCCTACCACCCAAAACTCATGAACCAGAGACGCTTCTCACGGCTCAAACCTAAGGGAACACAACACCAACCTTTTCTTTCTGGATTTCAGTGAGGAAACGAGATCTTAATTCCTTCCTGGTGAGGATTCAGCAGCAGCAACAACAAAAGAAAAAACAAGAAAGTAATAATAATGATGCTTTCACATATATAAAAACAGAACCTAGCAATACACATTGATAACATAAAACTAGTCATTTTACTTAAGATTATATTTTAATAAAGAGCCACTAGAATCAGGATCTTCTCAGCATCATTCATTAACTACTCAGGAATGGTCTGCTTCATTCATCTCACAGGCAGTCCCACATTTATTATTCAGCAAATGTTTGTCACATGCTTTCTACATGCCAGCCATAGCACTGGAAGCTGGGGATATAAAAATGTCCATGCTTGAGCATTTCCTCTGTCCAGGTGTGCCTTCACAATTATTAACTCATGTTAGTTCTCAATGAAGTGCAACAATATTATCTTCATTTTATACATGAGGAAAACATCAGAGAAATCAAGTAAACTGCTCAGTCATAGAGCTGGTAATTGGTAGAGAAGGGATTCTAACTCAGTTGGTCTGGCTTGAGAGCCATACTCTTTATCAGTACTCTAGTGAGATATATTAGGTATTTCTGTATAGCACCCATATTAGCATAATGATTGCCAGAACACCCCATCCACATCCCCCTACTGAACCCTGGGGTTTCCCATTCCAGCATCCCTTTCCCTAAGACCCACCTAACTCAGATGCATCCCGCCATCCAGGATCCTCCAACCAAAACCCTGATCTGCACTTCCCCAGGGTAGATATAGACCTTTAACACCCTAAACACTAAAAAGATTTTGGTGGGCATTCCCAGCCAATATGTACTGAAAAACACAATTTAATATTTTGAAATGATACAAGCTTAACTACACAGTAAGAAAAACCATTTCATTCAGGCCAGCCGTGGTGGCTCATGCCTGTGATCCTAGCACTTTGGGAGGTCAAGACTGGGGGATCACTTGAGCCTAGGAATTCGAGGCCAGCCTGGGCAACCTCGTCTCTACAAAAAATACAAAAATTAGCTGAGCGTGATGGTACACACCTGTAGTCCAAGCTACTCGGGAGGCTGAGGCAAGAGGATCACTTGAGCCTGGGAGGTCAAGGCTGTGGTGAGCCGTGATTGGACCCCTGCACTCCAGTCTGGGTAACAAAGTAAGACCCTGTCTCAAAAAAAAGGAAATAATTTTGTTCTAAATTTTTAGATATAAATTTATATGAAAGTTTATTGAAGCTGAATCAACATCTCTTCGTTTTCTCCCCCTTTTTTCCCTTTTGTCTTCCTGACATAAGTTTACACTTAATGTAGGTAATCCAGTCCAGCCCAGTCTGGCAAGGTATTTAGGAGGCCCACAGGGGAGGCTGCTCCATTAGACTGAAATTACTTTAAGCTCTTAAGCAGAGATTACTCTTCTCCACAAAAAGAGATGATCCTCAGTAGCAGTGATTATCTGTAATTTCTTGAAGTTCTTATGAACTCTAAAATTCTACGTGGCTCTAGCTGTTATAATCATTGTTTGCTTAGGTTTTTTGTTTTAAAGAAGGAGAAATGAAAATACCATGGCCTTAGTCTTCTGTGGAGTTTTTGGTTTATGTCTGCAAAACATTGTGCTCTGCTTGATGATAAATGTACCCATTATCTTAGTTAGAAAGATAAAGAAATATATTTTTAAAGTTACATGAATCTATTTCTTTACCTCATCAACAAAATTCCTCCTATTACCTCTCTCTCCAATACATATGCTTGAACTTTATGTTAATTAAAATTAGAAATAATTAAAAAAATTACCAAAAAGTATCAGTGTCAACTGCACAAAGGATGCTTTAGGCAGAGAGGAGCATAAGGCTCAGAAATGCTCTTCAAGGACTTATATTCTCTTGGAGGAAAGAGCTGAATAGGATAGTTAAAAGCACTTAGTAATAAATTTCCATCAACTGCAGAATACAGATAAGATATACCACTGAAATATAGAAAAATGAGAGATCTCTTGGCTGAAGTGATTAGGCAAGTTTTAAATATGATATTCAGGTTTGGACAGGACATTAAAACTGAATGGATTTTCGTAGGGAAAAAGATGAGGGGAAGATATTCAGGTAACATACCGGTGAGAGCAAAGTAGAAAAGCAGAAACTGTGGTTAAGAGTATGAATAGCAACTTAACTAGAGTGGATGATCTATGTCAGGAGAGAAGTGAGAGCTAGGACTAGAAAGATGGTTAGGGACATTCTTTGCAGAATGAGGAATTGGGACTTTAGACAGTTGACCATGGGAGCTACCAAAGGTGTTTGGGTTAGTGAAGATATGACGAAAGTGGTGTCTGGAAAGTAAACGGACAAACATGATAGCAGTATTGTCAAGATTTGTTTTCATGGCTGGGCACGGTGGCTCCTGCCTGTAATCCCAGCACTTTAGGAGGCTGAGGATGGTGGATCACAAGGTCAGGAGTTCAAGACCAGCCTGACCAACATGGTGAAACCCCATATCTACTAAAAATACAAAAATTAGCTGGGCGAGTTGTCCAGCACCTCTAATCCCAGCTACTCAGGAGGCTGAGGCAGGAGAGTGGCTTGAACCTGGGAGGCAGAGGTTTCAGTGTGCCGAGATTGTGCCACTGCACTCCAGCCTGGGCAACAGAATAAGACTCTGTCTCAAAAAAAAAAAAAAAAAAAGATTTGTTTTTATTATTGTCCCCCCACCCCAGAACCTTCATAGATATTTTTCCCCTAATTGCCATCCCCTGTAAAATATTAATAGCACAGATAAACTGTATGTCTGTTTATGGACTGTGTGTATATATCTGTACTTTTGATATACAAACATGAAAAGAGTATGATTTTTTCAGCTCCCAATAACCAGTTTTCACCCTCTTATGAGTGACATTGCCCCCACTGAGAATGTGTAGATTGCACAATGTGTAAAATTGGAGGATGTCTTAGTCCATTTGGGTTGCTATAACAGAATACCATAGACTAAGTAGGTTATAAACAACAGAAATTTATTTCTTACAGTGCTAGAGACTGGGATGTCCAAAATCAAAGTGCCAGCAAACATGGTTGCTAGTGTGGGCCTCTTCCCTGGTTCATAAATGGTACTTTCCAACCATGTCTTCAGATAGTGGAAGGGACAAACAAGCTCCCTGGGGCCTGTGAATAAGGGCACTAATCTCATGCGTGAGGCTCCACCTCCCACAAGGTCTCACTTCCTAATATCACCACTTTGGGGGTTAGGATTTTAACATAAATTTGGAGAGACACAAACATTCAGACCATAGCAGAGGGTGATATATCAACAGATGGGAGTAGGAAGTATTTTTGTATTCCACGTAAAAGCCCAAACCAGCACAGGGGATAAAGAAGACAGGGCCTAATGAAAGAAAATAAGTTAGATCAGAGCACAGTTTGGAGGTGGACTGAGCTAACAGCAGGGCAGTCAACCAGGAGAAGGGACAAGGAAGTGTTCTAAAGAGGCAGCCACCTCAGGGTAGGTGCAGGCAGCAGTTTGCACCTGGGTTTCCAGGAGAAGACTATGAGGTCCCAAGAAGGCAGACAGCACCCACTAACTGGGAATCTGAGCTGGCGACTGGGGCCTGAGAGCCATAGTCATCTTGGAGCTGTGGCAGATTCACAAGATTGCCAACTGGCAAGAGGAGAGGTTGACAACAGAAAAACCTGCTAGAAACAGAAGCAAAGCAGAAATTAAGTCCTAGGAGCCCAGGACATAGAAGAGAAGCTCTGATTTGCAGACTAATCTGGGACCCAGAGATGAGCACTCAGACCTGGCCCACAACCCAGGAGGACAACTAGTGATACTTGGTGAAGGAGGTACAGAGGTACAGAGGTGGTTAACCATGACCTTCTTTATGACAGGCTGACTTGGCCTAGTAATAGAAGTAAGGCTGAGTCTTCAAGAAATGAGATATACTGGTCACACAGAGGAATCTAGGCGGTGTTGGCAGAATGGCAGAAGAAGCTGTAAACAGCATGGGCACTTAAGAAGTCATTTCAGAACATTCAGTTCAAGATGGAAGTCTGAGCCATGGACTCAATTAAATGAGAATAATGGGAGTAAAAAACTCACTTGTAAGAGAACAGAAGGAAAGCCATTAGTGCAAGAGAGATGTCATCAAATTTTTGAGAAATGGAAAGCTGAAGAAGTGGTGACTATGAAGCCCTAACCAGAAATACACAGAAAAGAGGCTGCAGATGAAGAGAAAGGCTGTCTCCAAAAACAGACATACAGTTTATCTGTGCTCTTAAAATTTCATGAGGAGTGGCAATTAGGGAAAAAATGTCTATGAATGTTCTGGGGTGGGGGACAATAATGAAAAAAAGTCTGAAAAATACTGCTCTAACATTTGCCAGTTTACTTTCCAGATATCATTTTTGTCATGCCTCCGCTTGCCCAGGAACCTTCAGTAGCTCCCATGGTCAACCGTGTAAAGCCTCAATTCCTCATTCTATAGTTTAAAGCTCTTCCTATTTTGCCCCCAACCAAAGGGGGATGGTGAGTTCTTGCTCTATTAGTTCCCATGAGAGCTGGTTGTTTGAATAGCCTAGCAGCTCCTCCTCTCTCTCTTGTCTGTTCTTTCGTCACGTGACCTCTGCACAAGCCAACTTTCCACCTACTTCTGCCATGAGTGGAAGCAGTCTGAGGCCTTCCCCAAATACAGATGCTAGCACCATGCTTCCTGTACAATCCACAGAATCTTGAGCTAAATAAACCTCTCTTCCTTATCAATTACGCAGCCTCAGGTATTCCTTTATGACCCAAACGGACTAAGACAGCCACCCTCACATGCTGACATTTAGAGGCCCCCAGGATGATGGCTGTGCAACAAGCCTAGAGAGAAATCAATGCAATCAAAGGATGGAGGCTCCAGGAAAAAATTTTCAGGAAGAAAAAAATGTATAAGGTGCCATCAACATTCCATAATGCTTGAATATTACAAACACTTAAGAAACAATAAAGGCAGGTGTCATGAGGGTGGGAGGGACAAGTATACAAGAAGGGGAATGAAATCAGAGAGCACAGCTGGGTTAGATATTAGCCAATTTACCTAAACGTTTTTCTTCCCAGTTACAGAATCAATATACTGACAGAGCACACAAGACTTAATTGGGATCAGAGAATATAAATAGAATCAACCCTAACAATTTCAAAGCAAAATTACAGGTGACGTGTTGGAAGATGAAAAGGAAAGAGAAGAGATGAAGGACATCTCTAGTGCTCTAACCTTTCAAAATGGGGAGATCCTTTCTATAGTTGTTGGAACAAGAAATTAAAATGCAAATATATTATTTAAAGTTGCATAGGTATTGAAAAGAGGAACTGAGAACAGTCAGTAGAAGAGAAAATGAACGGTGAATGGGGTAGATGAGCTTAACCACCATCTATCATGGCAGGAATCCAATAGAAAAACCTGAAAAGAAGGAATGAAGAAATCATAGTTTATGCATATTATTTATAAGTGTGGATAGAACTACCTAGAACAAATAAAAATGGAAAATGATAAAAATGTTAAAAGAGTTTCGCACCATGGGAAATGGAATGGGAGTGGAAAATTGAGAGAATAAGGACTTTTCTTTTTCCCAGGAAGACTTCCACACTATTTAACTTTTTAAACATTTGTATTTATGACTTCAATAAAAATAATAAATTTTCTCTTTAATAAAAATAAGTCATTTGTATAATCCAAATGCAGTAATTGGTTCCAAAAATAGGATAGCAGCAGAAATGGAAAGAAGGGGTAGGTGGAAAAGACAGAATGAAGAAAGAAGTATCCAGGCTTGATCATTAATTTAACACAAAAGACAAACAAAGAGATGATATAAAAATATTCCCAAAGATTTGAATCTGAAGCCTTTTATTCAGAAGGCTCTTAGAGCCACTACTAAAAATAGAAAAATTGGGAGGGCATATCTGTCTGAGGGAAATATGATGAATGTACTTTGAGTCATTCACACATGAGAAGATAATGATAGCAATAAGTGAATTTACATTTTTAAAACATTTATTTATTTCAAATATCAAAACCTAGCTGGCAAATAGATTCTGCAGAAGGGAATCTTTTTTCTTATGTGTGCCTGTGGCTATATATCTCATTATTGCCAGGTAACAACAATGGAGAGAAATGTGCAACATTCCTAGAAAACATTTAAAAACTTTACGAAAGAGAGACATGTTCCATGCTCCATTGAAGGACTGGGAGCAGGAGAGAGGATGGGAATCAGACCAAGGAATACAGACCAGTGCTTTTGAAAACAAAACTGAATGTCCTAAAATGAAAATTTAAAGTGATTCTAAACCACCAAGCAGCAAGTGACTAACCAAGAAGAAGATTAAAATCTAGATTCACTTTTTGTCCAAGTGTTGGGGTGAGGAAGATTTTATAAGAATATCCTGTGATAACACGGGAATGGAAAACCAAACACCGCATGTTCTCACTTATAAATGGGAGCTGAACAATGAGAACACATGGACACAGGGAGGGGAACAACACTCACTGGGGCCTGTTGAGGGAGGACGGGGGATGAGGGGAGAGCATTAGGGAAAAGAGCTAATGCATGCTGGGTTTAATACCTAGGTGATGGGTTGACAGGTGCAGCAAACCACCATGGCACACATTTACCTATGTAACAAACCCGCATGTCCAGCACGTGTATCCCGGAACTTAAAATAAAATAAAAGAATACCCTGTGATGCTGAAAAAAGAAAAAAAATCAGTATAAATAGAAGTGTAGTTTGAAGGTGATGGAAGTAAACCTATGTCAACAGCACCACCCTCTGGGCACAAAATAGACTGCCCAGACTTGGGATGTACACACACATACACACACACACACACACACACATGCACGCACACACGCACACACACACACACACACACACACACACACACGAAAGGAAAAACATATCCACAGAAGTTTTTGATAACTAAAATTAGGTGTAAGTTCTAAATCAAGTAATAAACTGTTTTGCCTCATTCATATCAGCTAAATTAACTGAAGGCATATTATTTGGATGTTGTACTTCCGCCTAAGACGTAGAAAGCTGGAAAGAGCATCAATTTTACCCTAACAAAAATAAAATGGTATGTATGCTACAAAATCATGATTCTTGAAATCATCTTTGCTAAGCAGAAAAAACCTTCCTCACCCGCAAAGATGTTCATGTCTTAATTCCCAAAACTTGTGAATGTGCTATCTTACGTGGCAAAAGGGATTTTGCAGATGTGATCTTGAGGTGGGAAAATTATTCTGGATTACCCAAGTGGGCTGAATTTAATCACAAGTGTCCTCAAAAGAGAAATAGGGAGGAAGGAGAGTCCATCAGAGGAGATGTGGTGATAGAAAGCAAATGTCAGGGTTAAGCAATTGCTGGCTTTGAAGATAAAGGAAGGCCACCAGCTAAGGAATGTGCGCAGCCTCTGGAAGCTGAAATAGGCAGGAAAATAGATGGTCCTGAGAGCCCACAGAAAGGGACACGGCCCTGCCCACACCTTTACTTTAGTCCAGTGATACTAATTTTGGACTTCTGACTTCCAGAACTATAAGATAATCATTTGTGATATTTTAAGCCACTGTGTTTGTGGTAGGTATATATATTTGATATTCATATATGAAAATTTATGTATATGTATAAATGCACACACACACACACATTGCTGTAGGAAGAAAAATGGTTCCATTATTGTGAGAAACAGTTTTTATACAGTTACACATAGACTTACCATATAACCCAGCGATCCCATTCTTATTTATCCAAGAGAAATAGCATATATCCACATAAATATTGTACATGAATCTTTATAGTGATTTTATTCATGATCACTCAGAACTAGAAACAACACTGATGTCTACCACCTGATGAATGAATAAATGTACTGTGTTATATCCATAAAACAGAATATTATTCAGAAAACAAGGACAAACTAATTACTGATACACACTATAAGAAGGTTGTATCTCAAATGCATTATGCTCTTTGAAAGAATTCAGACTCAGCTGGACGCAGTGGCTCATGCCTGTAATCCCATCACTTTGGGAGGCCAAGGCCAGTGGATCACCTGAAGTTAGGAGTTTGAGACCAGCCTGGCCAACATGACGAAACCCCGTCTCTACTGAAAATACAAAAATTAGCCAGGTGTGGGGGGTGTCTGTAATCCTAGCTACTCAGGAGGCTAAGGCAGGAGAATCAGTTGAATTCAGGAAGCGGAGGTTACAGTGAGCCAAGATCACGCCACTGTACTCCAGCCTGGGTGACAGAGCAAGACTCCGTCTCAAAAAGTAAAAAATAAAAAAAAAAGAAAGAATTCATACTCAAAATGCTATACTGTGTGATTCCATTTATATGACATCCTGGGAGAAAAAAAAAAACAATAGAAACTGAAACCAGGTTAGTAATTACCTGAGTTTGGGAGTAGGCAAAAAGGATTGACTATGAGAGGGTTTTAGAAGACTTTTGGGGGAGAAGATGGGGGTAATGATAATATCCTATAACTTAATTGTTGTGATGGTTTCATAATTGCATGCATTTGACAACATTCAAGACACTGTACACCTAAAAAAGATGAATTTTACTGAATGTAAACTCAGCTTCAATATACCTAACTCTAAAAAAATAAAAAAGCAAGTAAGTTGAAACTGGACTTAACTTGAAACTGGGCTGGCCATTTGCTAACTTCAAGATTATCCTGAATTGGTAATACCTGAGCTTTGCAGAATTGCGCAATCTCAAATCAAGCAGAGACTGAGCTGAGCAATAGCCATCATGTTCCCCCACACTCATGTGGTTTACAAGGAAAGTGTTTTAGAAACTTTCATTATGTTCCTCTTCATGTTTTTCCATTATGAATTATCAAAGATTTTATGTATTTATTTTAGGGTAATGTTTTAAAATACATATTCACCTGATTCAACAATCAAAAGATTTAAAAGGTATACAGTGAAATATCTCCCTCTTTTCCCTGTCCCTCATCTACCCAGTTTTCTTCTGCACACACAATCATTATTACTAGTTTCTCATGTATCCTTCAAAAGTATTCTATTCTTGCACAGCAAATGCATACATGAATTCTTATTTTTCCTTTTTTTACACAAAGGGTAACCATATTGTGACCATTATTCTACATCTCAATATCTTCATTTAACAATATTCCTTAATTCTCAGTATTTTTCCACATCAGAACAGAGGAAGCTTTCTTACTCTTTGTGGCTGTGCTGTATCCATTGTACAAATGTACCATCATTACTTTACCCAGCCCCCTATTAACAGGCTTTTAAAATGTTTCCATATTTTGTTATTAGAAGAAATGCTACAATGCATAGCCTTATGCCCATGTTACTGCACATCAGTGGTATCATAAGACAACTTCTAGAAATACAACTGTTGAATCAAAGAGTATATATATATTTATAAATGTGATCTATAATGCCAGATGCCCTCCAAAGAGGATAGAACAATTCACAATGGCACCATCCAGTTATAAGAGCAGCTGATTGAGAAGGCCTTTATCAACAATTATTTTTGTCTTGGCTAATCTGCTCATTGAAACATTGTACCTCACCATAGTTTTATCTTGCATTATTTTTATTATGAACGAGATTAAACATCTTTCCAATTGTTGACTGATAACTTGTATTGCCTGCTCTGTAAATGACCTTTTCATGTCATTGGCCTTCATTTCTCATGAGTTATTGATCCTTTCCTTTCAATATGAAGGACCTCAATATGTATTAGGGAAACTACACCTATGAGTTGCAAATATTTTTCTGTAGGTGATTGTTTTTCTTTTAAACTTGCCTATTGTGCCTTTGACCATTCATAAATCTTTAACTTTCAATTCTAAAAGTTTAAGGTTTATTAGTTGAATTTAATCAGTCTTTTTGTCATTTATGGCTACTAGATTTTATAACATATTAACACTTGTTCCAAAGTCAGATAATAGAGTTAATTTTAATATTTGTATGATTTCTTCTTTTTATATTTAAATCATTGATCATCCTGAGCTGGGAGTTATGGATCCAGTTTTAGTTTTTTGAGATGTCTATCCAAAAGAGTGGGTCCTGGCACTATTTATTTAATAGTTATATTTTCTCTTTTGACTTAAAATGATGCTTTATACTACGTTTCTATCTGTATTGAGGCCTATTTCTGTCATTTTTATTCTATTTAATTGGTCTGTCTGCCTACTGTATGAGTACTACACTTCATTTTAGAGCCACTACCAAAAATAGAAAAATCAGGAAGACATATTTGTCTGTGGGAAATATAATGAATGTACTTTGAATCATTTGCGTATGAGAAGATAATGGTAGCAATAATGGATTTACGTTTTTAAAACATTTGGGGGGCCTCTAAAAAATGTTACAACAGTTGTAATTTTTGTTTTAGTATCTGGTCATTCTAGCCCCTTATCACAGTCCAATTCTTTTTTTTTAATTTTTTATTTAATTATACTTTAAGTTCTAGGGTACATGTGCACAACGTGCAGGTTTGTTACATGGGTATACATGTGCCATGTTGGTTTGCTGCATCCGTCAACTCGTCATTTACATTAGGTATTTCTCCTAATGCTATCCCTCCCCGCTTCCCCACCCCACGACAGGCCCTGGTGTGTGATGTTCTCTGCCCTGTGTCCATGTGTTCTCATCGTTCAACTCCCACCTATGAGTAAGAACATGTGGTGTTTGGTTTTCTGTCCTTGTGATAGTTTGCTGAGAATGATGGTTTCCAGCTTCATCCATGTCCCTGCAAAGGACATGAACTCGTCCTTTTCTATGGCTGCATAGTATTCCATGGTGTATGTGTGCCACGTTTTCTTAATCCAGTCTATCATTGGTGAACATTTGGGTTGGTTCTAAGACTTTGCTATTGTGAATAGTGCCACAATAAACATACGTGTGCATGTGTCTTTATAGTAGCATGATTTATAATACTTTGGGTATATACCCAGTAATGGGATGGCTGGGTCAAATGGTATTTCTAGTTCTAGATCCTTGAGGAAACGCCACACTGTCTTCCACAATGGTTGAACTAATTTACACTCCCACCAACAGTGTAAAAGCATTCCTATTTCTCCACATCCTCTCCAGCATGTGTCGTTTCCTGCGTCAGATGGTATCTCATTGTGGTTTTGATTTGCATTTCTCTGATGACCAGTGATGATGAGCTTTTTTTCATAGGTCTGTTGGCTGCATAAATGTCTTCTTCTGAGAAGTGTTTGTTCATATCCTTTGCTCGCTTTTTGATGGGGTTGTTTTTTTCTTCTATATTTGTTTAAGTTCTTTCTAGATTCTGGATATTAGCCCTTTGTCAGATGGGTAGATTGCAAAAATTTTCTCCCATTCCATAGGCTGCCTGTTCACTCTGATGATAGTTTCTTTTGCTGTGCAGAAGCTCTTTAGTTTAATTAGATCCCATTTGTCTATTTTGGCTTTTGTTGCCATTGCTTTTGCTGTTTTAGTCATGAAGTCTTTGCCCATGCCTATGTCCTGAATGGTATTGCCTAGGTTTTCTTCTAGGGTTTTTATGGTTTTAGGTCTTACATTTAAGTCTTTAATCCATCTTGAGTTAATTTTTGCATAAGGTGTAAGGAAGGGATACAGTTTCAGCTTTCTACATATGGCTAGCCAGTTTTCCCAGCACCATTTATTAAATATTAAATAAAGAATCCTTCCCCATTGCTTGTTCTTGTCAGGCTTGTCAAAGATCAGATGATTGTAGATGTGTGGTGTTATTTCTGAGGCCTCTGTTCTGTTCCATTGGTCTATTGGTCTATATCTCTGTTTTGGTACCAATACCATGCTGTTTTGGTTACTGTAGCCTTGTAGTATTGATGGAACGTATCTCAAAATAATAAGAGCTATTTATGACAAACCCATAGCCAATATCATACTGAATGGGCAAAACTGGAAGCCTTCCCTTTGAAAACTGGCACAAGACCAGGATGCCCTCTCTCACCACTCCTGTTCAACATAGTGTTGGAAGTTCTGGCCAGGGCAATCAGGCAAGAGAAAGAAATAAAGGGTATTCAATTAGGAAAAGAGGAAGTCAACTTGTCTCTGTTTGCAGGTGACATGATTGTATATTTAGAAAACCCCATTGTATCAGCCCCAAATCTCCTTAAGCTGATAAGCAACTTAAGCAAAGTCTCAGGATAAAAAATCAAGGTGCAAAAATCACAAGCATTCTTATACACCAATAACAGACAGAGAGCCAAATCATGAGTGAACTCCCATTCACAATTGCTACAAAGAGAATAAAATGCCTAGGAATCCAACTGATCCAACTAACAAGGGATGTGAAGGACCTCTTCAAGGAGAACTACAAACCAGTGCTCAAGGAAATAAAAGAGATCACAAACAAATGGAATAACATTCCATGCTCATGGATAGGAAGAATCAATATCGTGAAAATGGCCATACTGTCCAAGGTAATTTATGGACTCAATGCTATCCCTATCAAGCTACCACTGACTTTCTTCACAAAATTGGAAAAAACTACTTTAAAGTTCATGTGGAACCAAAAAAGAGCCCACATAGCCAAGACAATCCTAAGCAAAAAGAACAAAGCTGGAGGCATCAGGCTACCTGATCACAGTCCAATTCTTTAGAAAGAATTCTCCTGGCACTCTTACTTGTCTGTTTTTTCACATAAACTTCCAAAAATTTTCTCTGGGTATTTTAATGAGATCACATTAAATGTATAGTTGAATTTAAGGAGAATTGACAATGTCACAATAATAAACTTACACGCACAGCATTTCATAAATGCAGGTGATGGGTAGAAAAATGCACAGAGCGCTATTGCTGGGTCAGAAGGTAAATACATTTATAGATTGGGTAAATATTGCCAAACTACCCTCCAGAGGGGTTATACCACTTTTTATTCCTACTGACCATCTGTGAGAATTCCTAGTTCACTGTAGCTTGCCGTCACAACAACGATGTTCTCCAACTTTTGGATTTTTGACAATCTGATAGGTGGAAAAAGGAATCTCAGTGTAATCTGAATTTGCGCTTCCCTTATTATGAGTTAAATCAAGCATCTTTTCATGCTTAAGGGCCATATTTCTTATTCTATGAACTGCCTATTCATCTCTTTTGCCCTTTTTTTTTCTTACTATAGTACTGGTTTGGGGTTTTTTTCCCTTTAAAAAATGTATATACCTTAATTTAAAACTACTTTATTGCTAAAAAATGCTAACAAACATCTGAGCCTTCAGCGAGCCATAGTCTTTTTGCTAGTGGAGGATCTTGCCTCGACGTTAATGGCTGCTGCTTGGGATACTGCAGCAATTTCTTAGAATAAGACAATAATGAAGTTTGCCGCATTGATTGACTCTTTTTTTAACAAATGATTTCTCTGAAACAGACTTTTTTTTCTAAGAGACAAGCTCTCGCTCTGTCACCCAGGCTGGAGGGCAGCAGCATGATCATAGCTTACTGCAGCCTCAAACTCTTAGGCCTCAGCCTCCCATGCAGCTGGAACTACAGGCATGCACCACCACACCAAGCTCATTATTTTTTCATTTCTTTTTTGAGAGACAGGATCTCCCTATGTTGCCTGGGCTGGTCTTGAACTCCTGGCCTCAAGCAGTCCTCCTGCCTCAGCCTCCTGAGTAGCTAAGCATAAGCCACAGTGTCTAGTAGTAGAGCTTCTTTCAAAATTGGAGTCAATCTTCTCAAACCCTATGGCTGCTTTATCAACTAAGTTTATGGAACATTCTAAATCCTTTGTTGTTGTTTCAACAATGTTCACAGCATCTTCACCAGGAATAGTTTCCATCTTAAGAAACTAATTTCTTTGCTCATCTATAAGAGCAACTCTTTGTCCATTCAAGTTTTATCATGACATTGCAGCAATTCAGTCACATCTTCAGGCTTCACTTCTACTTCTACTTCTGTTGCCATTTCCACCATGTCTGCAATTACTTCGTCCACTGAAGTCCTAGGCCCCTGAAAGTCATCCATGAGGTTTAGAATGAATTCCTTCCAAACTCCTGGTAATGCTGATATTTTTACCTCTGCCCATGAATCATGAATATTCTTAATGGCTGTATTAATCTGTTCCCACACTGCTATAAAGAAATGCCTAAGACTGGGTAATTTATGAAAAGAAATTGAATTGATTCCACAGTTCTACAGGCTGTACATGAAGCATGGCTGGGAGGCCTCAGGAAACTTACAATCATGGCAGAAGGCAAAGGAGAAGCAAGTACATCTTACCATGGTGGAGCAGGAGGAAGAGAGAGTGACGGGAGAGGTGCTACACACTTGCAAACAACCAGATCTTGTGAGAACTCTATTATGAGACAACACTAGGGGATGATACTAAACCATTAGAAACCACCCCAGTGATCCAGTTACTTCACACCACTCAGCACTCAGAATCATAATTCAACATGAGATTTGGGTGGGAACACAAAGCCAAACCATATCAATGGCATCTAAAATGGTGAATCTTTTCCAGAATGTTTTCTATTTACTTTGCCCAGATCCATCAAAAGAATCACTATCTATGGCAGCTATGCCCTTATAAAGTACATTTTTTAATAAGACTTAAAGGTTGAAATTACTCCTTGATCTATGGAGTGCAGAATATATGTTGTGTTAGCAGGCATGAAAACAACATTCAGCTCCTCCTAAATCTCCATCAGAGCTCTTAAGTGATGAGGTGTATTGTCAATGTACAGTAATATTTTGAAAAGGATTTTTTTTCTGAGCAGGTCTCAAAAGTGGGCTTAAAATAACAGCAAACCATGCTATAAACAGATGTGCTATCATCCATTGTTGTACCATTTATAGAATGCAGGCAGAGTAGATTTAGCATGATTTTTAAGGGCCCTAGGATCCAGGGAATGGTAAATGAGCACTGGCTTCAGCTTAACATCACCAGCTGCATTGGCCCCTAAAGAGTCAGCCTGTTCTTTGAAGCTTTAGCCAGGCATTGATGTATCCTCTCTAGCTATAAATTGCATCTTCTAATAGAAGGCTGTTTGTTTACACTAAAAATCTGTGGTTTAGTGTAGCCTCCTTTATCAATTATCTTAGCTAGGTCATCTGGAGAACTAGCTGCAACTTCTGCATCAGCACTTGCTGTTTCAATTTGCACTTTTCTATTACAGAGACGGCTTCTTTCCTTAAGCCGCATGAACCAAAACTGCTCACTTACTTTTCTTCTGCAGCTTCCTCACCTCTCAGCCTTCATGGAATTGAAAATTAGGATCTTGCTCTGGATTGGGCTTTGACTTAAGGGAATGTTGTGGCTGGTTTGATCTTCTAACCAGACTACTCAAACTTTCTCTATATCAGCAATACGGCTATTTCACTGTCTTAATCATTCATGTGTTCAATGGAGTAGCACTTTTAATTTTCTTCAAGAAAGAAAATTAAAATTTACATTTATTCTCAATTTGGCTGTTTGGCACCAGTAGCCTAGCTTTCAGCCTGCCTTGGCTTTTGACCTGCCTTACTCACTAAGCTGAATCACTTTGAACTTTTCATTTAAAATAAGAGATGTGTGAGTCTCTTCCTTTCATTTGAACACTCAGAGGCCATTGCAGGGTTATTAATTGGCCTAATTTCAATATTGTTTTGTCTCAGGGAATAGAAAGGATCAGAGAGAGAGAGAGAAAGAGAGAGAGAGATGAGGGAACAGCCAGTCGGTGGAGCAGTCAGAACTCACATATTTATCAATTAAGCCCACTGTCTTAAATGGGCATGGTTCATAGCACCTTAATTATGACAGTAACATTGAAGATCACTGATCACAGATCACCATAAGATACATAATAATGAAAACTTAAAATATTGCAAGGATTACCAAAATGTGACAAACAGATAAAGAGTGAGCACATGCTATTGGAAAAATGGTGCTGATACACTGACTCAATGCAGGGTTGCCACAAACTTATGATTTGTTTAAAAAAATTTTTTTTTAATTGTTTGCAAAGTACAATAAAACAAGGTGTGTCAGCATGTACAAAGGAGATTAGATCTTTGTTGTATGAACTGTAAATGTTTTCCCGTTTGTCATTTAAATTGTCTTGGTGGTGATTTTCCCTCCCTCCCTCCCTCCCTCCCGTCTTCCCTTCCTCCCTTCCTCCCTCCCTTCCTTCCTTTCCTCCCTCCCTCCCGTCTTCCCTTCCTCCCTTCCTCCCTCCCTCCCTTCCTTCCTTCCTTTCCTCCTTCCCTCCTTCAGGCTCTCTGCAGCCTTGTGCTCCTGTGCTCAAACAATTCTCTCACCTCAGTCTCCCAAATAGCTGAGACCAGAGACGTGTGCCACCACATCCAGCTAATTTTTTGTTTGGTTTTTTAAAAAATAAAAATGGGGTTTTGCCATGTTGTCCATGCTGGTCTCAAACTCCTGTGCTCAAGCAATCCACCCACCTTGGCCTCCCAAAGTGCTGGAATTACAGGCATGAGCCACTGTGCCTGGCCTGCCTTCCATGTAGTTTTTGATTTTTAGGAAATCAAAAATAATCATCTTTTCTCCTATGGCTTCTGGATTTTGGGTGATAGAAAGGCCTCACACTTCAAGATCATTATGGCAGACATGGAACTGCACCACTTAGATCCCCTTTCAAGAAAATACTCAGTTCCAAGCTGTGAAAATGTGGGTTGCTGACAGCCTTCCAACTCTTAATCTCCTTCAGGTTTTGCCTCAGCTTTCCAGCCAAGCCAAGCTCTTCTCCAGAAGACACTTAGCCAATAATTGAGTAAGGAAGGTGGTGGCACAGGGCCCAGGCACTTCTGTCTCACAAAGGGCTCTTTGCAGGAACTCTTTGCCTCAGAGTTCCACATGATACTGGCAAAGATTTGGTCAGGTCTGCAGTGCAATCTGATGACACCCCTTGCCCAATCCTGCCTTCTACCTGTTCCATTCAATAAACCTGTTGCATCCCTAACTCCATCTCAGCATCTGCTTCCCAGAGAATCTAGAAGGTGCAGGTATGATGAAATCCCTCCATGCTTCTTTCTCATATGTTTATGATTTTATTTTTAAGTTTAAATGTTTCATTTTGAGAGTTACCTGATACATGAGGTATAGAAAAAGCCTTATATTTTCCTAGATGGCTCCCCAACTGTCTTCACACCATTTGTTAGAAAAAAATGCTATCTTTACCCAGCAAATTAAGACCTACCTTTAACATATACTAAATTTCCAAATGATTTGTTTCCATATCTGAACTTGCTGTTTTGTCTGTCTATTCATGCCACAGTATTATACTGTTTCAGCTATTCAGGATATGTAGTCTAATCTGTGTAAAGAATAGAAGAATAGTGCTCCCTCACTACTCTCAAGTTTTACTAACAATCCTTCCTTTTTTGCATGATGTTTACAATCAGCTTATCTAGTTCCACAAAAATTTGTCTCCCAATAAACTCACAGAGAGCTGGGAAGAAGGTCACTAAGTAAATAAATATAGCAAATGTTTTTTGTGGATTTTTATTTTTTTAATTCTTTTATTAATAAATTTTCAGATCCAGACCTACAGAAAATATAGCAAATGTTAAAGCTCACAGGTGGATTTCTCTTAAAGTGTTACTAATAAATAATCCAGGGCTTATATTTAAAGCCAGTGGCCTATTTTCAATAACAGAACAGAGCTCTTTGAAACATATCATCTTCTATGTGAAAAGTATAACCAACTGATTCTCAACTTGCCTCTGCATTAAAATTGCCTATGAGGCCTCTCAAAAAAACAAAAATCCAATATCATGTGTACACATACAGTTTTTAAGATTCCCCTGGTTATTCTGATGAGCATCAACGGTGGTGAAAAGAATATTATCACTATTTTAAAGTTTTCAAAGGAAGATTAGTTCATTTTATTTAAAAAAGCTTATTAATGGCAATTACTTGGCTTTAAAAAAAAAAATGCAACCAGAAGGGCATAAGTACAAAAAGAAAAATGACACCAACTGAAATGGCAGTTTGAAAACAGAAAACTGAAAGGCAAATATTAGAAGAGATCGATAAACTGCTTCTTTCTAGAAAAAATTATTGTCTTTTTTATTTATCTCAAAGAAAGTGACAGACAGTAAATGGGAGGCAAGTTCACAATAGGAAAGAGGAAAGAGAAAGGTAGTACTCTGAATTTTTGCATTAAGTTTTATAATTAGCTTTTCTACTAAGCAAGTAGCACCACAAGCATTGCTTTAATAGATGCCTAAATAAACATGGTGCAAATAAACCAGAGACCCCTTCGATCTTTCCTATATTTAGGAAAAATCATGTACTATGAAGGAAATTCAGTCTATGGTTTGCATTTCTTACTGCCCAAAAGACCAACTGTAAATTCAGTTCTCAACTAACACCACTGTCAATTATTAGCTTAAAAAGAGAGAACATTGTTAAATAAATTTAATAATAAATCTAAACACACATGTACACATAATTCAGGGGGACAGAAATGTTTATTTTTCATTAATCTTTTGAATACAATCATCATAATTTTACAGGTTTAGTTTAGTTGCGAACTTCACTAATAACATTTCCAAGAGTTCACAATTTCAAGGCTAAGCTTCTGATTAAAGTATCATGGTTACAAATGTAATATAAATGGAGTTTTTAAAAAAGGCTAAAAGCACTCTAGCCTCTTAAAAAATATATATAAATGGAAAATGGCCAGGCATTAAACTTAGTAACATTAAGTACACTTTAGTACTACAGCAGTCAAAGAGATCTCCACTAGAGATCAGAAAGAAGCACCACTATTTTCTTCTATGACGTGTATGTGTTGGTCATGAGCATGCTAGTATGAATAAGGCAATGTGTTAAGCACTGGCATACAAATGCAGCTAAAGGTGCTGAAGGAAGGCAGTGGGGTGGTGCAGGCACACAGCAGGGAGCTCTTCCCCGTGACACGTTAGTCATCTTCTCCACAGAGCAGCAGAAGAGCTTTCTTATAGTCCCCAGATGTATCTCCCTGAAACCAAATGTATTCCATTAACCTCCATGACTCACAGAAGCCATAGAAAATTTTAAAACTAAATAACTGGCAACAAATTTTATTCATAAGACTCTTCTCCCAAGTGGGTAATCTCTGTGACTTTCACATCAGGAATGTTATGCAGGGAGTTTCCTACCAATGTAACCTCAGACACTCAGTATTCCCTCTGGTAACACAAAGAATCAGGCAACTTTAACAACTATAGTCAAATCAAGCCTTCTAGACAGAATAGTTTCTATCACTTGGTATATATCAGCTAACACGGGCAGTGCTGGGGCTGCAGGGCTGTCATGGCTCTCCCTCCGAGACAGAAGGGCAGAACATGCTTTGCATCTGCTTGTCTCACATGCAGACATGCATGATAAATTAATGTTTCAAGCTAAAAGTGCATGGGTAAACTCTCTAGTGTCCTTTGGGCCAGCCAAACCACAAACATGCTAAACTAAAAGCTTCTGCTCAATTGAAATCTTGCTTTGCACATGGTCCACATTAACCTTTACTGGAAAAAAAAAAAAAAAGTCAAAAGACTTTAAGCTAAATGTAATTATAGGCCACAGAGCACCTTGTTTTAAAAAGAACAAAAATGATACTAATACCTAGGGGCTCTTTACTCCCAATATGACCTGGTTGGCTCTTTCCTGAATTAGAAACCAGCATCAGAGATAAGGTGATAACAGACGATAAAGAAAGGAAAAGCTGATATGAAATAAAAGAAGGACTAATAAAGACAGCTGGAATTGATAAAAGACAGAAAGAACACATTATTATCATAGGCAAGGGGTTTGGTTTGTTGAGTCATCTGTTACCACTACTAAATAATGCTTCTGAGTTCACCAAGAGCCTCAGCCACATCAATACCCATGCTTTCACTTGGGAGCCATCATCTCTACTTCAGGAAACATTATGCTAAGCTTTTTAACTCATTGCTCTAATCGTGTCACTAAAATTTTAAACTTAACACAAGAATCAGGTTCTCTTATCCTTGTCTTTCATGCAACATACCAGTCTGCTTTGGATTCCCAAACGTAATTTAAAGAAAGGTTCTACTACCTTAATCATGGAATAAAGAGAGGTGGCAAAATTCTTCCTAAACTCCTTCCTGATGTTAAACAGATCAATCTCACTCCTGGAAACCATGACTCTGATGAGGGTATGATCATCTGTCCCAGCTCCCTTTAAAAAAAAAAAAAAAGAGAGAAGCAAAATGCTTAAAAACTTCAAACATAGGATCAAATGCTCCCGGGTGCGGGTGAATCAATAAGGTATAACAATTTAGTAGAACTGGGTTGAATGTTATAAGGGAAAAATTCCCAAGGTCTATCATCTAAAACATAAACAAAAGTGAAGAATAATAATTAGAAAGAGAAATGTATTAGATAGAAGGTTCATGGTCTCCACTTACCTTCATAGCATAATAGAGGGTCTCTGCAAGGTAGGCAGGTATACTTCGAATAGATTTCACTAAGAAAATAAACAATACAATGGTCAAATGCTATTTTGATATGTAAAGGATTAAGTAATTAAAAATCAAGTGCTGCTTCCTGCTTATAGCTCTACTTCTATAAAAACACAAAAGTACCAGAGGCTAAAGAGCTGTAAGCTAATCTGATTTCCTCACTCACCAAGTATTTTCTTAGACACTGGCTTAGGTTTTCCTTGGAGTTCTGAGGTCTGCATAGAAAGGCATGGAGAATAAGGGCACAGGTTTTTCTATGCGCCTTGGTTCTGTGAAGACTTTTTGGATACTGCAGTTTGGGCAGCCTGGATTGTTATCATAATACCACAACATTCTTCATCACCAATAAATTACACAAATCCCTTGGAAGTTTTCATTCCAAGACATTAAAGCAAATAATACAAGATTACTACCTAATTTTTTTAAACTCTTGGGTGATCTTCCTATACTCTCTACATATTCTTTAATATCAATGATTCACACAGAGCAGCATGAGATTTATCCATTTCAGTACAAAAACAGATAAATCAATATCAGAAAGGATCTCTTCTCTGAACATGTACATGTTGAATGTAGGTTGGGGCTGCTCAGACCTCAGTCTGCTTAGCTTCAGAAAATCTATCATGAAAATTCCTTAATATACAAAAATAATCCTTGCATGTGGAGATTTCTTAATTCTCCCTTTTCTAAGTCTTAAGAAAAACAGCCACCAGTAACTGAAAATGTCTTAATTTGTATGCGTATTCTAATTATGAAGGACCTGTCTAAAAGTTTTCTGGTAAAAGTACATTAACTGTGTACTCAAGTGAAAGGCTACTTTTAGAGTTGGTTCATGCAGATCTTTAGCTTAGTCTCCTGAAGACAGAGAGCACAAAAGTGTGAGCTCAAGGCCAAATACTTGGAACAAACAGCAGACAGAGGCTCACTGCAGACCCATATGAACAAAAGGACCACAGGAGACTCACAAACTAGATTCTCCCTAGCTTTGGAGTACATAATACTGCAATCAACTGCACAGATTCAGTTCTCCAATTTTTCCAGATTATTCTGAATATTTAATTAAAATAAAACTAAATTATTTAATTTGAAAACAACCATCATCACATCTTCTATTACATCAAAGATATTCTTCTTTTCTAAACCAGATGACAATTTCTTAGTCTGCCTCAAAGCTGAGAGAACAGTATTCAAAAAAATTCTAAAATTCCACAGGTATCAGAAATAATGTTTACAAGCCTCTGAGATAATGTCCACGACATTTCAGGTTTATCAATAAATAATATTTTTAATGCAGCTTCAAAATGATTTTTAAACAATTATCTTAGTATTTCCATAGGATTTAGATGAACTAACCAGACAATCCTGTATTTCCAACATCAAAATAAATTTCTGAATTGGAAATTTGGGAGTTTGCTTCCCCTAAATATCATATCAAGCTCTTCCTTCACACCTAGGTGGTTATTTTCAGATGCAGCCTCAATTGAATAAAATGCTTTAGCTCTTACCACCAAAAATATCAATACATTGTAAATCACCTACCAACAGCAAGGAGTAGTTGCTCTAAATTGCCAGAAGTCTCGCGGTCAATGGTTTCCTCAATTTGAAATCCTGATATAGTCATGTACTTGTCAAACACTAGAAAAAATAAAAATGATTCCCTAATCATGTAGGGATCACTCTTTCCAGAAAGATGGTATTTACTTTGATTAGGTAGTGTCTTACTGAACACAAATCTCCCCTTCTTCCTTGCTGACAGAACCTTGTGCTCAAAGCCTCAATGTGCCAAGCCCTAAGCAATGGATTGTAAATATACTTTGTTCACTGATTGCCAGCCCCCTTACGAGTTATAGCCAATGAGACCTAAAGGTAAATCTACTGGAGGGGATGCTGAGAAATCTCCTCACTTACAAAAAGTGATACACAGATAGGACTAGTTTACCCTTTTCTTTCCTTCCTGCTGTGAAATGGTTAAGTTTGGAGCTAGAGCAGACATCTTATGATAATGAAGAAAGAAAACCAAAACACTAGGGATAATGGAGCAAAAAGAAAAACCAGAAAGATCTCAGGTCCTGCCAAATCAACCATGGAATCCCACCTCTGGAAAAAAAGCCCAATTTTTAAAGCCACTATTAGGGTTCTCTGTCACTTGCACTAAATTCATTCCCAACTGATACCACAAGTGCTGATGACTATCCAGAGATAAGGTCCTGGGTACCAACCTCTAGGAGGAAATACGTGTAGTGAGCCACTATTCAGTGATGTGTGACTATGAGAGGAACAATCTAGAGAACTGACCTCCCTTGCCATCCTCCAATAGTGAAGGGTGGACTCAGGATCTCTAGTTTGTAAAAGCTACAACAGCAGCAAAAACAATGTTGAGATTTCTCCAGGTCACCAAAAGGAAGAAATACAAAAACTGATTCATTCTCTAAGTCCCTGCTATGTAGCAGGTATTCTGTCACACTGGCTCATGCACTTTCCAAATTTACCAATGTATCTGCCCCATACAGATTTTTTTCACTCACCCTTTCTCAAATGAGACACACTTCGTGTTCCAAAGATGGTGATAAACTTTTCTTCATCTGTCCCCCATTTAAGTTCTCCAGCCTGAAATAAAGCCTGCAAAAATTTCAAACTCAATTAATAAATTGTTCCTCCATCTCATTTCCAGGTTCTTAAACACACTTGTTTTTTACTCCCTGAATTTTAACTCACTTGATTCATCATCTTGTATTAATAGTTTTCATTTCTAATGTGTCCTACTCTGAAACTCAGCTCACTGAGTTTGGAGCACCTTTGGAGCTTGCCACTGAACTGTGCCACAGAAGATTCATGGGTCCAAGCAACAAAGCACGGCAATGGTGCAAGGTTACATGTTCCCAAAATGTCTGCCATAACCTCCAATCTTTCAGAAGCAACAGTATGGGTCAGGAGAAAGTTATGACTACCTCACTGTTGATACATCCATGTATAGACTGGGAAAGGATTTAACTGGAAGCTAAGTTGTCTGCCTTTTCTGTTTTGCTTGTTCTATAGCTGTTCAATAGCACATGAGTAAAAGTACACTTCATATTTTCTCTTTACAACTGAGATTTAACCAAGGCTAGCTATAAAATGTTTTCATATTTCCAAAGATCACAATAAATTTTTAAAAGATTGTGGGTATAGCACAGTGCCTGGCATATAGAAGCACTCAATAAGTAGTGGTTGAATAGTTTGAGTGCCCATACTTCCTTTTTGACATGGGGAAAAAATATGCTTTCTTGTGCACGTATAGCTGCCTAAAAAAATAAGCTTATATACAAACATCAACGTTAACTCTGAATCCACTTATTGACGTGAGAATAATTTATTAAAACCCAAAGAATCAACCTTTACAATGACTGTACTATCCTTTTATTCATTTCAAACTAAGTCTACATATTAAAGCAAGATGAATGCAATTTGCTGAGGCTGCTACTTGCAGTTGGCCTTATACCCACAAGCAGCAATCCAAATAAAGACAGGAAGTGATAATAACAGGCTTGAATATAGAAGTTTTGATCACAGTATATTTAAAAATGTAGATTATGGTGGTAAAGATCTATTTTTTATTATATTTCTGGAGAATAAGAAAAAAATGAGACTCATGTATCTTTATGCTCAATTTTAAAATTAATTATTTTAAAGATAAAAATGAATAATATCAATTCTGGCCATGTGAACATGCTCTTAAAACCTGAAAAGACAGTAACTCTGAAAGTCATGCATGCATCTAAACTTTAGAACTATATCATGATGACACAGACCTTTCTTAAAATAACTTTTAAAATTTAATTACAAAAACAACGCAAGTTCATTGAGAAATTTTATAAAACTAAGAAAGAACAAAAATAAGAAAATAGAAGTTGCAGGCTAGGCATAGTGGCTCATGCCTGTAATCCCAGCATTTTGGGACGCTGAGGCAGGTGGATCGCTTGAGCCCAGGAGTTCAAGACCAGCCTGGGCAACCTGTCAAAACCTGTCTCTACTAAAAATACAAAACTTATCCAGGCACGGTGGCAGATGCCTGTAATCCCAGCTACCCGGGAGGCTGTGGCAAGAGAATTGTTTGAACCCAGGAGGCAGAGGTTGCAGTGAGCCTAGATCATGGCACTGCACTCCAGCCTGGGCACGAAGGAAAGGAAAGGGGAAGAGGGAGGGGAGGGGAGGGGAGGGAGAGGGGCGGAAAGGAGAAGGGAGGGGAGGGAGAGGGGAGGGGAGGGAGAGGGGATAGGAAGGAGAAGGGAGGGGAAGGAAAGGGGAGGGTAAGGAAATGGGAGGGGAAGGAAAGGTGAAGGAAAGAAAAGGAAAAAGGAGAAAGGGGAAAGAGAAAGGAAAGAAAAGAAAAGTTGCTATTTAATATCAATTTCCTGAGGGTGCTAGTTACTACTTCTGGTATGTTTCTACATGTAGATAAAATATACAAATACATTAACACCTAAATGGGTAAAGGACTCATCTTGTACAATATCACAGACATTGATGCACACACTTCTTATCAACTGTTTTAAATGTCTAGAAATGTTCTCTAGTAGGTACAGGAGTTAAGCCTGTTATATGGGAATAATTGGTGAGATGTCAGTTATTTTTACCACAATGTTTTAATTTTCTTGGGAGAATTATGTTTGGGATCAATATCTACTGTAAAACTATTATTAAGTAATCATATGCAATAATAATGATGGCTTCTTCATGTAAAACAATGATATTTAACAGTTTTGTTTTAATCTAAGTATCCTTTCTCCTAAATGAGGATGCCCAATATTCATGGATCCATCTGGATGAGGGACCCTTACACCCCTTCCCTAAGCTTTACGGTTCAGCCTGAGTACAGTTTCATAAGCCCTGGTTCAGTGCAAAGGATGAGTCTTTGGAGTCAAAACAGATGTGGTCTATCTGCAAGATCTCAGATGAACTACTTAATCTCCTCTTCAGCCTCAGTGTATATAGTCATTAACGGAGATTATATAACTAAGATAATGCACTGAACAGTGTCAGGTAATCAGTAGCAAATGCCCAGTAAAAGTAAAAAGTGCCTGATTACTTCTCCTTCTCCCTCTTTCCTCTAAGAGTTCAACTCTCCCTCCAGAGAAAGAATAAAACAAGGATTTACTGGGGAAGAAGGTAAATCTGTTTTAATGCATTAAAAGTATTAAATCAATTTAACACATTAAAAATGTTAAAAAGTGGATTATCTACAAAACGTTCAGTTCCCAAGTGAATGACTCACTATGGCTTATCAAACCTCTCAAATAATAGAAATCTTCTTAGTGCCAGGTATCAGTAGAGACAAAAATGCAAAAGCTTATAAAAGAGCCCTTTAGCTGTCTCAGCTTACTCTCAATTAAGAAATCTCAAATTCTCACTAGTGATAACAGTCCAGCTGCCCTTGCTACGAGGTACAAGTTGGTGTGTTCCTTTTTATAATGCCAAAAGATTATTTGTTTTCAACAGGTTTATTAATTAATAATAATACATTTGAAAGAATCAAAAATAATAGCCAGTGTAACATGTTCTGTATTGCTCCTAGTCACTGGAAGGCTAAGAAAAGCTTGGATTCCATTCAAGGGATACTTTAAAGTAACTCCATAAAGCAGTTTTCACATGTACAGTCTCACATGTACTCTCAGGGTTCTGAATGGTTATATCCACTGCATGACACGTAAGTGTCACCTATACAGCCTCAGTAATCAAAGGACCAAGAATGCAGGCATTACCTGAGAGCATGTTCAAAATCCAGACTCCCAGCCCCTGCCCAGACCCATAGAATCAGAATCTGCAATTAAAGGTCCCAGGTGCGCCACATGCCCATGAAAGTTTGAGCAGCAGTGCTATCCAGTAAGTGCTCCAAGGACAGAAATCAATGAAAACAAGGTTAAAATGTACTGTTTTCCCCTCAGGAGCCTCGTGCTGCAGCAATGCTCTCATTACATCACCAACTATGCTGGGAAATCTGCCCTCTGCCTGTGAATGCAGGCCTCACTGCAGACATCTGAGAGGACTAGAGTTGGTTTCTTACACTGTGACCCTGAAAAGCTCCCAGAACTCCTATCCTACTCTTGACAGTAGGAATGAGAGAATCAGCACTATCTCCTAGCAAAGCCACAACCAATGCTTGGAAAGCAGTAAGATCACCTCAGTACTGAACAAAGCCCCTAACAGGAGTACAACTCTGTAGGGTTGCTCTAGCCCTCTTCCCGAAAGAAGGTGGAATTAAGCTAGATCTATGCTTGAGTTGATATTTAATAAGCCCTTTAATGATAGAGAAAATCAGGGAAGGCACTAATACTCAAGAACACTGAATATCTTACAGTGAAATATTCTTATAGTGAAATATTAATATTCAATAACACTGACTATCTTCTAGTGAAAGAGAAAGAGCTTTGGAGTCAGACAGGCCTCGTTAGGAATTCCAACTCCACTGCTATTCAGTGGAAGCCATGGGTTTGTTTCTTTATCCATAAAAGGGAAATTGCCCCTTTCTGGTAGAGTTATGTGCTCATTCATTCATCAGTTATTTACTGAGCACCTACTCTATGCCAGAAGCTGAGGATACAATTGAACTGACAGCTCAGGGGGCCCAGGAAGGCAGTGAAGTAAATAGATGGCTTCCAGAGAACGTGGCAAGAACTGTGACAGGAAGCCTGGGGGCGGGGGGGGGTATGGTTTTCCCTGTGAGGGGCACCTAACTCTAAAGTATCTAAGCTGAAGACTGACTCTTGAAGAGGACTCAGGTGAAGCGGGGTGGGAGGGGCAAGAGGGCAGAGAGAGCATGTGAGAGAGGCTGGAGGCATAAGTAAACAACACACAGATAACAAAGGGGCTTGTAACCCATTCAGGAACCCGGACTTTATCCTGAGGGCAATGGAACCACCAGAGTCTGAAGGGGCTGGACACAATTGGCTTGCATTTTCTAAGACAGAGTGAAGCAAGAGTCAAATACTGCACAGAGAGCCCTCGGTAAACATTCAGTTCTTTTTTTCTCTCCAGCTAGACAGAGATGACAGCATTCTGAAACCATTATAAAATCAACCTACCCAAAAGAATAACCGCTCTCCTCTTTCCTGTTAGCAAAGTGAGATCGCATATCCATGGGTTGTTCCACTGGAGGAATGAATATGGCTCTTCCTTTTTCAATGATACATGACAAACAACCAAGAATTGTATATTCTCTTAATTGAAACATGTGACCAGAAAGAGGTCTATGATTGGTGGTTCTAGGAACCCAAGTAATTCCTTTATTACCAATTTCCAGTTTTCAGCTCTCATGTTTCAAATTTCCTTTCCTATATTTTAATAACTGTTTTATTAACCAGACTGAGACTTTATAGGGGTTTATAAGTCACTTAAGAGGAAATTTTCATTTGGAGTCACTAAAAAGCTGCTGACAGAAGACCAATCCTACTTAAAATTCTGTCGAAGGAAATGCAGAGAAATTTCCTAATACCAAAATAACTTGTCATCTCTTATGTAATTAAACACCACTTACTGTTAAATACTTTATTCTTTCTTCTTTATCTTCTCCTGCTAAGAGACCCACTGCATAATTGGCAGTGGAAGTAATAACACTGTTTTTTGGTAAAATTCTCTATTTTGTGAATGTTCAATAATCACAAAAAAAAACATGTCTAGTTGGAACTCACTATATAATTTATTTTATTTCGTTTCAGCTTTAAGGTAAAATATTTTGCTGACCAGGTCAGAATAAGAAAAAGCTACTTATGTAGGTCTTATGCTATGTAAATAACCCATTAACAAGATTATCACTAGAAGCTATTACAACATACATTGTGATTTTTCATTACCATGAATTATTTCTTCATTTCTACAGCATAATAAAGTCATCATATCCTGGTGTCACTCACCTGAGCATCTTGTTCAACTTGAGCTTCATCAATTCCAGCATCAGGGTCTCTGTTAGCCTATGAGAGGTAATATGTCACATTACTGAACTATAGAGCATTCTCATTCAAAAGGAAAAATGGTTCCACCTGATGGTTATTCAATAACACTCTTTCTCTAGGAATAATATGCTTTTATTAAGATCAATCCTGCACTATTTCACGTTATCATCACCCAGCACTGTCCAAAACCAATAATGACCCTACTGATTTTAAATTCTATGAAAGAACAAGATACCGCTATCATTCTATGAAAGGAACAAGATACTACTATCTAAAACATGTATGAGTTAGCTGTTAAGAATTTAGACCAGATATTCTGAAACACAAACAAGCACAGGCAACATACAGTCAGAATCATCGCAGTAAGAATCAGCAAGTACCACAAATTATTAAAAGAATTTTAAGTGACCTTACTTAACTAGATTCAGCCCAGTCCAACTTCAGGCTTTTTAATCAAACTGTAATTAATCTCCACGCAATACCTGAAGGAGAACCACCAACATCCGCTGGTAGTACCCTGAAGTGTCCCCCACCACGTCATCTTCCAGGCTTGAGCCATATTCTGCAACAAAATAATTTCATACTTATTTACATCTTCTTTCAACTAGAAAAGTAATCTTGCCCCATTAATCAAATGAAAGCGATGTAAAAGAAGAAATAATTATATTTGGTTAACATAAATTCCCTCTATTCCATCTCTGAATGCTCTAAGCAAATGCTTTCAGTGAGTGGTTGGACAAAAATGAATTAAAGTCTCCCAAAGGCACTCAATTCAAACTTAAATCAAGACTCAGCCATTTAGAAATTCTCTCGACCAATGTAGTCATTAATCTATAGATACATGATGGTACTGGAAAGTCTCCAAAACACAATCAATCATAAGCTTAAACTCTGTTTTGCTTTCTTTCAAATCTTTTATATGGTTAGCTTCCAAATGTCTTCTATCTCTAATATTCTGAGATTTATTTCTTTGGGCATGGCCATCACTCCTAATAAGGTATTTTTCCTCTGCAGAAATAAAGTTAACTCTTGAGAGACAGCAATGATATTTTAAAGTAGGCCCCCCTCCCACCTCTATTTCCAGCTGCTCAATGTAAGCCCATATAAAAGGGGAGAACTGGGATCTACAAGAGTCTACAAGTCTTTCTCACTACTCTCAAACAGATGCTATTAAAGGAAAGGAGGCCTTACTCTAAGGTATTTAAATATTTAATTATTATGCAAAAGCAAACGAACTTTAAAAGCCTGAAACTTCTATTTTAAAAGGCCCAGAAGAGTTACATGTTTATTTCAACAAGTTACCCAAATACAAAACCTTGTAGGAATCTTTAATTCTTTCTTCTACACCAACACCTGTAAATATTAACCATTAAATCCTATCACGTTTCTCCTGTCCCTGATTTATCCTCCTCACACCTCTCACTCACCTAGGTTGGGCCACAATTCCTAAATACCTAGCTTACCTCCCACACACATAACTATCCAATTAGCCTCTCAATTCAAATCTCCTTCCTCCCTCAATTGTTCCTTCAGCACTCCACTGCTCATTCAGGAATTTACAGTGCCTGTGAATTAAGTCCAAATTCCTAATCCAGTCATGCAAAACCATCTATATCTGAGCCTAACCTCGCTTGTTCCATTTACCTCCCACAATGGACATGCACACATCCTCCACAGCAGCCAGGCCCTCTCCGTCCCTCAATACACTCTCCACAGTCCAGTCTCCATGCCATTAAAGACAGGCAGTACCTCACCCAAAAATATCTTTTCTACCTACTCAAAATGCACCTAGTCTTTTTTTCCCAGCTTTATTGAGTTATGATGGACAAATAAAAATTGTATATATTTAAGGTATACACCATGATGTTTTCATATATGTGTACGTTGTGAAATGATTACCACAATCAAGTTAATCAGCATATCCATCACTTCATATAGTCTATATTTTTGTGTGTGGTGAGGACATTTAAAATATACTGTATTCACAAATTTCAAGCATATAATAGTTATACTTTCACTATAGTCACCACGCTGTTCATGAGATCCCCAGAACTTATTCATCCTGCCTAACTAAAATCGTGTATGCTTTGACCAATATTTCACCAGTCCCTTCTCCCATTCACCCCACCCCTACACCCTAGCAAACACTGTTTTACTATCTGTTTCTATGAGTTCAATTTTTTTAGATTCAACATAAGAAGTGAGATCATGCATAGCTTATGCCTTGTGCCTAGCTTATTTCACTTTGCATTATGTCCTCCACGTTTATCCATGATGTTGAAATGACAGGATTTCCCCTCTTTAAGACTGAACAGTACTCCTGTGTGTGTGTGTCTGTGTTTGTGTGTGTGTGTGTACGTATTCTTTATCTATTCATCTGTCAATGGACACTTTGTAAACCCACCTAGTCTTGAAACTCTGCTGCATGTGTGATTTGTACCATGAAGCCTCCCTAACATCCAAAGCTATGATGACCTCTCTCTTCTGAATGCATTATTGCATTTAACATCATTGGTATTTTACTTTAGTTTGAATTTCATTATCCTTTAAATATTGCAGTCATTCTGTCATGTCACCCACTGAGGAGACTGCACACAAACTGCTTGAGGACAGGAGCTGTGTTATGCACACCTTTTGTCACTCATGACAGCCTGTTAACACACTGCCAGACACATAGCCAGTGCTCAATTACACGGCTGAGTAGGACAGACCACACAGTTATTACCCCCTTTGAGCACACCATTTGTAATCCAGTAGCACAAAGGCTCTCATCAACGTCAACATCCCCAGAAAGAGATCTTTGAATAGTACATCAAATAAAGTTCAAAGTTGAGATACATGTATCACTTCTGCCTTAGCGGTTGGGAACTTACTGCCTATAAAAAGAGAAGCAGGAAAGAGAGATTCAGCCCTTTAGAAAGGTAATTATACAGTTGCTCTAAACAATTTTTTGCTGTTTTGACTTGCTGGGTTAACAAAGCCATTTCTAAGATTAACAAACTAATGGCAAGATACAGCCCCTAGCAAAAGACACTAGGCTTGGAGTCTGTTGACTGAGCTGAGAAACTGGATAGTCTGACCCTCCTCAGTCAGGCAGGAGAAAGAGTTGGCTACAAGAAATCTGGTAAGAAAAGGACTCTCTACCTCTACTTTTTACTTCATTTTCTTGATTCTATTCATGAGACATATTTTAGGCCGAAATGCAGATTTCTGTTCATATAAAAGACACACTAAAAAGAAAAATCAAAATGCAGAATATTTTATTCAAGCACTGCCATTAGCTAAGACAACATACATTTACTCAAATGTACTTTATCAACTCTGATGTGGGAAAGGGTTTAGGTTTCTCTTCCAAAGTTCCAAAAGTACTTTTTATATAACTCCTAAATTTTGCTAGCATAAAGCTAAATATTTTTAAAGGAGGAAAAACCATTTTTACCTTAATGTTAACATAAAGACAACCTGTATATCCCTACACTAATTGCAAATCCTATGCAAAAGTAAACTCCATCTTCAGCAGTAGCTTCTTATAAAATATGAAAATAGTAGAGGATAACAAGGCAGTCTTTTCCTTACTGAAGGAGAAAAATAGCTTGAATTGCAGGTCATTCATTCATTCATTCATTCATCCATCATTTACTGCGTGCCTCCCATACCTACAAAGGACTGCATTCAAATCACAGAAATGAAGGAAGTGATAGTGGAGGTGAAGTCAAAATATAACTCACAAACATTTACCTTCTTCATAAACTTGTTTGATGGCTCTCAGTTCTTCAGGTGTCCTTGAAGCAATAATTTCTGTCAGTACTTTTTCATTTGTTCCAGCTCCCTGTTTGGAGATTTTAATAGAGAAAACATGTCAATAAGATTAAAAAGAAAGTTATTAAAAGAAAGTTATAGATGTTACCCAAATTGCATAGTTATATAAATATTATCCAGTATAACATGGATTTCTTTGTATATGAGTTCTATTAGTTATAGAAATAACAAGTTTTAAATGATTTTCTCTCCAAAGACCATTTTATTCTTTTTGCCTAATGGAAAACAATGTTTATCATGTGTATGTGTGTATATATGTGTACGTATACATAACCAGTTACATAAATTTGTAACTTTTAATTTGATCAGTTAATTCTAGCTTAAAAGTAAAACATTTTCATGAAACATGAAGTAATTTTTTAAAAACCGAAAGAGTAAAAATGAAAACTTCACGTAAATGTACATGGAAGAGCACTGATACTTAATAAGCACCTCAAAAGATAAACCCCTGACCCCCAAGTTAAGTGCTGTGCAGTCACAGGAAAATTCTACATCAAAGGTAACAATAAATATAGCAATACTTAATTATTAGGAATTAGAACAGTATAAAGGAATTGGGACTTGCTTTCTGGATTTTTGAAAAATCATTTTAGTTGGCTTTCCTTTTTCTGCTTTTAAAAATCACATCTATATGATTAAACTAAGAGATGCAACGATATAGCTGGACTTAATTTTTTTTAAAAGATAGTATATTGAAGCCTTATTTTCTTTATATTTCTATTTTTTGCCAAAAATCAAGCACTGAAAAACCTAGAGTTCATTCTCTGGCAGAATTTCAACTACTGCTGACATTTCAGAAGTACTTAGCAAAAAAAGTGCTTTTCTCAATAACCTCAGATTTTTGTTTATTCCAAAAGAATCACCATAGGAAAATGAAGAGACTGAGCACAAACCAGCTCCTATCAGGATGACCCTTCTCCTCTCTCCACTCCATCAGTAAGAATCCCTGAGAAACATTATTTCCTTGTTAAATCTCAATGTGCCCATTCAAAATCTAACAGCTAACAACTGAACTACTTCCTGTCCCATGAGCCTAAACAAATGTGTCAATGCCTTCATATTTATACAACATTCCAAACACCAGTCAAGGGAATACATATTTAATTTTTGCTGCAACTGAAATTATAGCAAGTTTACCAGCTACTTCATTTTAGTGTTTAGAGGGGCAGGAAAGAAGGAAAGAGTATGAGAAAATATTTATCTTGAAAATTCTCTCTGAAGCTTTACCTTTTAACCTAAAATGATGAGCAATATTATGGTTCCCTAATCAGGCAATTTTCTACTGAAAAAGATAAAATAGCTCATCTGTAATATTTTTTAAACATCCTCAAAATCAGAAGACAGGCATGAAAATAAAATACAAAAAGCTATAAAAATATGAAAATTTTAAACAGCCCAGTATTATTGAGTTTAAATCTACAAAAAGATGAAATGACACACGTGTAATTTTCTCCCTCCTTTACTGCTTATTGCCTCCCAGTTTTGTCTGCCAAGCAACTCTCACTGAAATAATCAGATAAAATTTTTTAAATATAACAAATAAGAGGAAGTAATTACCAAAACAAAATAATACTATCTATGCAAGAATGTTCCTTTCACTCATCCTTTTTACCTTCAAGGCATGTTTCAGTTCATAAGCATCATAAAGCCGAGAGGGTTTCATCAGAGCCACAATTAATTTTTCAAATTTTCCAGTTAGTTCTGATTTCAGGTCATCCAGAAGATCCTAACCCACAGAAAATACAAATTTGTTAACCAGCAGAAATTGTAATAAGATTCTTCTTAAATATGAATGACAGTCCTTTGCTCTAATGAATTCTTTATGTTGCTGTCTCCAAGTAGAAGGCCCATGAGCTAAACAAAACCCTATAACCTTGAATAACATACTTTTAACCTGTGACCAAAATCTTAAACTAAAGCAAACCCACTTATACGTCAAGATATTTGTTTCTAAAAGATGTTTTTCTTAACTTGAAAAAAAAGAATACCTTTAAAAGTAGTCTAAAACTATTTTATAAAAATACTATTCTGAGAAACATATCTTCTTTGTAATTTCAAAAAATAATCATATAATGAAATTTACAAAGGACAACATTTAGTCTCTCATACCCAAACGTAATAATTTTTTCTTTTCTCTCAATATGTAATAACATTCAAACACATAATAGATTATAGTCATTGTTATGACTCCTGACCACTGGGAGATATCTGTTCCTATGGGGAAATTGTGTATGTAATTATGAAAAAATTATGTAATTGTGAAAAAAAAAACACAGTATTTCCTACCTATAAGTTTCAGCATACCACACAACTAAAAATGGTGTTTAGAATACTTTCTTTTTTGCTTTGCACTTGTTTCCTTAGTTAAGTGACATACGTTTTCAGAATAACAAGACTACATTTAAGTTTTCCATGCATGCACTAATTCATTTAAATTTAAATAATTCAAATAATTCATTTAAATAATTCAAATAAATTTTTTTGAATTATTAATCAAATAAAAGCATTTAAATCAACTAATTAAAAACCCATTAGTTAAAATCATGACAAAAGGAACCAAGACTGTGACTGTGTTAAAACAAAACATATTTTAATACAGGCTTACACCTAGAAAATGGATAGTAAGACATCCATGTGAATGCTGAGTGGGAAACACAGAGGAAAAGAAGAGAGACAGTTCTCACTACAGGATCTTTTGGCACCTCTACAGCATTAGGCAAGGAAAAACAATTATGTGAGGATAAGCTGGGTGAGCACTGTATCCTAAGAGCTGATAATTTAGAGGAGAGTGGAAAAGAAACAGAAGTAGGGAAGTCGGAATCACAAAATAAATGATGCTTACAAAAGAATATCAGTATATTCCAAACTAGTCTTATAACTGATAGCTGTTCTCCCATTCTCTCTTGGGATGAAGTGTGGTCTTACCCTGCCAAACAGAGTCTTAAAAGCTGCAGAGATTTCCTGGCGCTGAGCATTACTTCGGGATGTCAACAGAGTCAGGATGCTCTCCTCATCTGTGCCTGCAATTTATGGTTAACAATTACATTTTGGCTCCTACATGCATACTCTCCCAACGATCTTGGCAACTCGCTTCCCAGTCACCTTATTTCCTTGCCTCTCCCTATGCGAATATAAAATATATTTTATGGCCGGCGCAGTGGCTCACATCTGTAATCCTAGCTCTTTGGGAGGCCAAGATGGGAGGATTGCTTGAGGCCAGGAGTTCAAGACCTGCCTGGTCAACATAGTGAGACCCCCATCTCTTAGAAAAAAAAAAAATATGTATATATATATATATATACACACACACATATATATATACACACACACACACACAGACGCAAATACACACATATATATAAATGTTTTATTAAACAGTTTATTAAAAATTTACAATATATAAAATGTTACGTTTCCAATATATTCTACCCCCCATTCCCAACCTATTGTGAAGTAGATGGAAAAATACTTCTGCCTTTTAAAAAACTTAGGGCACCTAGTTTTTTAAAAACACACAAATAAGTATGAGCTAAGGCAAAATGTGACAAGTGCCTCAGGAGAGATCTAGGTGTTAAATGGGGCTCAAAGAAGGGTCTCCTAGCTGATAGGAGGTGGAAGGGAATCTTGGAGAATGATTCATGGAGAAGGTGACACCCACAAGTATTGAAGGATGGAAGGATTGTGAAAGGCAGTGACGAAAGGAAGGACAGCGTTTAGAATGAGAGAAAAGCTCAGCAGTGGGGAAATACAGGGCTTTCATAAACAGCAGATAAGCCAGGATGGTTGGGTCTGAGAACACATTAAACAGTAATGGGAGATGAGTCTGAAAAGGTGGGCTGGATACAATGGAAGGACTTACAGGGCCAGAAAGCACATGAACAGTAGTACAAAAGGAGCCTGAGCACAGGAGATCAGTGACACATGGAAATCCTTGAGATGAGAGGTTTTTAAATGACTAGAAAAGAGGCTGGGGAAAGAGAAGAGTCTAGCAGAATGAGAATGGGATATCTGATTGGGAACAGAGCTGCACAGCTGCCCACCTGCAGGGATGGCTGCCTTATCGACTCGGGCCTCTACCACACAGGTGAGGGTGACAAGCTCAAAAGCACAGAGGCTGAATTTAACTGCCTGTTCAGTTCTAGAGACTGAATATTAGGGATGGTTTATAGCAAGCTTGTCCAACCCATGGCCTGCAAGCCACATGTGGCCCAGGACAGCTCTGAATGCAGCCTAACACAAACTCATAAACTTTCTGAAAACATTATGAAATTTTTTTGCTTTTTTTTTTTTTTTAGCTCATCAGCTATCATTATTGTTAGTGTATTTTATGTGTGGCCCAAGATAATTCTTCCAATGTGGCCCAGAGAAGCCAAAAGACTGGACACTCTGGTTTATAGTATTATTTTGTTATCTTAACATATCTCTTCTCCTACAGATTTCAGATCAAAATATTCTAAAATTATTCTTACTGTAATTAATGACTTGTTTGGAAAAACAAATATCACATTTGCTTTAGAAAGAGGAAGCTAAATTTACCCAAGCCTTTCATAGCCTTCCGAAGAGTTTCTGCATCAGCCCGCTCATCAAATCCAGGGAAGTCAGTCACAGTGCCTCTGAGAACCTAATTCACGAAACACAGTGGTATTATTCATATCATGACTAATATGACAAAGTAAATAACACAAACAGGAAGCCGCTTGCTATATATCATATTCAGTCATTAAATAAATTTACCATTTGATAAGATTTGTGACCCCTTTTGAACTGGGAAGGGAACCATTTACAATGGGAATTGGCATGGCCGATTCAGCACAGAAGCTATCCTGATCACCTGTAATACCATCAGTGGGAAGGCTGGCTCCCTCTTCTCTGTGACGAAACCCCACCAACACCTCCTGGTTCACAGAGGGCACATCTTTGCAGGTTCCCTTCCCATTAAGTCTCACACCATTTTGATCTACAAGCATACTGAGCCCGCACTAAATCTTAATACCCTATCCTGAGTACTCAATTTTAAGCAGTGCTCTTGTTACGTGCCTTTTGATCTAAGTCCTGTTTCTGTATACATACTTAGGGACTTTACGATAACCCAGCAAAGCCTGAAATGATCGTTCACGTGCCAGAGGAATACAAATCTTTGAATTTAGAACTTTATAAAGGTGTATTGGAAGACATTCTTCATAAAGCTTCCTGTTACACATTACTTTATCATATATATACACTGCTTTTAATAACCAAAATATCTTCGTATTTCAAAAAAAATTAGTGATATCGGCTGGGCGCAGTGGCTCACGCCTGTAATCCCAACACTTTGGGAGGCTGAGGCAGGCGGATCACAAGGTCAGGAGATCCGAGACCATCCTGGCTAACACGTTGAAACCCCATCTCTACTAAAAAAATTAACCGGGTGTGGTGGCAGGCGCCTGTAGTCCCAGCTGCTTGGGAGGCTGAGGCAGGAGAATGGTGTGAACCTGGGAGGCGGAGCTTGCAGTGAGCCAAGATCGCGCCACTGCACTCCAGCCAAGGTGACAGAGCGAGACTCTGTCTCACAAAAAAAAAAAAAAAAAAGTTAGTGATATCATTAGATCCTGAGAGTCATAAGGCTTTATTAATACTGAGCCATAAATGTTTATCTTACGCTAAATGGAGGCTCCCAGAATTTACTTTACCAATAAATGTTTTTACATTCCCTCAAAACTCCTGCTTAGGTACCATCTAAACTGAGAAACAAACAGCTAAAAGGACTGTAAAGCTAGCCTCGTTTACAATCTTACATGTCTTATTATAAATGCACAAAAGCACAGTCACCAAAAAGGAGGAAAGTTTCTTTTCCATCTTAGCCTCCAATTGTTGCTATGCCAACAATAACATAATACTAATCAAATTTTAAAAGATGACAACAGAGAGAGATAGCCATGGTGAAGAACTTCCCCAGGGCATAGTGTCAAAGGTCAGTTCAGTGGCCTTCTCTCTTTAGTGGCACTAAATTAGGCTTCCTGAAAAAGTGGCACTCATGGATCCAGGAGATAGTGACAAAGACTCTCCCTTTGACCACACTTTGAAGAGGCTCCCCTGAGCCCTCTTCTCAACTAGTCCTTGTCATTGGGCCTCCTTTGCCTGCCTAGCAAGAAGCTTGCTAAGTCAGTTTAAGGAGGATACCCCTACTTTTGGTATCTGATCACCCTCTGTTATGAACCGAATATCTGTGTCCCCTCAAAATTCATATGTTGAAACCCTACCCCACCACATGACGGTAAATAGGAGGTAGAGCCTTTGCGAGATAATTAGAATTAGATGAAGTCATGAAAGCAGGGCCCCCAAAATGAGATCAGCATCCTTGTAAGAATCCAGAGACAGCTTGCCTCTCTCTGCTCTGTCACGTTAGGCTACAATAATGTCTAGAAGAGAGCCCTCACCACACCCAACCATGCTGGCACCCTGAGACTTCCAGTCACCAAAACTTTGAGAAATGAATTTCCTTCTTTATAAGCCACCCAGTCTATAGTATTCTGTTACAGCAGCCCAATGAACTAAGGCACCCTCTATATCTGATCAATTTCCTCATCCCCTCCCCCAACATCTGATCATCCTGGCCTGCCTTCAGCAAGAATCCTATTAAGTCAGTTTAGCACGAGTCCCCCTAACTTGATGTTTCCTGTTAGTAACTTTCCATGCACTGACCTCACTCTGCTTGTTAGCTATAAATCCCCAATTGTCTTCACTGTATTCAGAGTTGAACCTAATCTCTCTCCCCTGTGATAACAGTCATGACTTACATTGTAGTATTCTTGACTGAGGTCTTCCTTACCACCAGAATAACTTTTTCTTCAACTGTAGTCCTTACCCTTGTTCAAGAAGAGAAGACACACTGTTCTTTCCTCGGAACAGGGTCAGCTATGAGAGAACTTATCAGAAAACCTGACCTCATGAAGCCCCACACGACCTTAACTCCTAAGTCAAGTGGTATGATCATGAGGCCAAAAGAATATAATTCAAGAGAAAAAGAGGTGTTTCCAGGTTGATGTCCCAGCCCCAGGTTGTTGAAAGCACCACTGGCAGCAGCTTTCACTCCCTCTGTGCCTCAGCTAAACAAGGGACTGTGGCCAACTAGGAAAAGGGGAAGGGGAGCCTCTCTCCCACTTGTCTCGTGGAGAGGTTATGAAACTAAGCCAGAGCTGTTCATTCCACCAAGAGGGAAATCCACCCACAGCCAGGCTAGTCTCCATTTCCACCCCATCTAAGGAGCACAGATACATAAAGACCAATAGATTCCCTGCCATTCATTCGATACCTTAATCCATATGAAACTGAATGGTTGAATACTGACAACTTCATAAAAGGAGTTATAGTTTAGAAGAGAAATTGATAAGATTTGAGAAGATGATGCTCAAAATTAGCCTGTGTTAGGAAAGTTCTTTCTCTCAGATCAAGTTACAGCTTCTCTTTAATGAGACCACTTCAAATTGATCAGTATCATTGTAAAAATGAATAAACTCTACAAGTTTTCTTAATGTGAGAACTTAGGACTGAATGCCCCTTGCAGTCCATCTGTCTTTTTACTCATTGACTCACCATCTTTTGAATGTCTCCCCCGTCCAAAGTATTATACTAACTACTAGTTAAAAGTCAGGATCCCTCAAGTTAAGTGTGAAATGACAGGCATATAACTAATCAAGTGCAGTAGAATATGTACACACAGAGGCTGGATTAGGGCAATGTGAGCACATTTGAGAGGACTATATTGGGAAGTGTGAAAAGAGAAAAAATTCGGAAAAAAATTCCAAACAGTCTTGAAAGTTGCCTGTGAATTTGCCAGGCCAATCTTGGTACTTTGGCTAAAGAGTTAAGTATTTCAGCAGACTGGAACAAGCAGTAAGGTTGAAACAAAAACAAGGGAAAGGTCACAGTGAAGGGAGGGGAAGGGCACAAAAGCCATGCTAAAATGTGCAGACCTCATCCTGTAGGCAACAGGAAGCCACTGGAGGACACTCAGGCAGGGAAGAACAATGTCAACTCTGCACAGCAAGATGGAACCGACTGTGCAAGAGTGACAAGAAGACTGCTTAGAAACTAACAACACAAAGAAGGAAAGGAAGACCTAAACAAAGGCAGGGACAGAAACAGGCCCCAGGTAGACAGGAACTACTTAGGGTGATTCTGTTTTTTGGATGAGAAAGAGGATGGCTGACTTTGCATTTCTCCATAGTAGGCTTGGTGAGTTGTCAGCATACGCCGGTAGTAGCTGGAGGGGGCCACCACGCAAGACAATATTAATGGGGTGGAAAGAGCCAGAGGAGAAGGAAAGGGAAGGTGACCTACAATCAGAGTGGCAGCTAGTATCTGCTGAGTGCAGCAATGCACCAGGCACCGTGCACAGAGCTTCACATAGATCATCTCAGGGAAATCCCATCTTACAGACAAAGAAACATACTGGCTCAGAAAGGTTTTAGCAAGTGAGTCACCCAAATGACCATCAAACAAGCAAGTAGCAGAGATGGGACTTGAAGCCACAGGACCTTGGCTCCTGGGCTCTTACCCATGAAGCTACACTGTACTCCTAAAGGCAAGAAGAAAATCCAAGGAGGGTGATGGCATGGAAGCTGAAGGAGGCAAATGTTCCAAGAGGAAAGAAAGAGGAGGCAGTGTCCAATACCACAGGAAGTCAAGGAAGAGCTAAGAGTGAAAGGGTCCACTGGATTTGGTAACTAGGAGATCTTTGGTGGTGTTTAACAGTCTGGCTATAGGACACTCAGGAATGAATTGAGGGAAAGACGGTCTCAATGAAACAACAGTTTGCAAAGCAGGCTTTTAAAAACACAGTTAAGAGAAAAAAAAAGGCTTGATAAGGTTTGTAGGCTATGAAGAAACTTCTGGAGAGACAGAGAGGTGAAAAACAGGGAGAGGTTAGAAACAGAAGAGACATGAGGGATTTGCCTAAAGAAAAAAGATATCTGACACCAGAGACTGAAGGAAATTAGGTGAAAGATGAATGGAAGAAAAGCATCTTAAAAATCTCACCTACTAAGCATGAAGAAACAACTGCTAGTCCTCTTTTTGAGAGCTTTCTAGAAATTGTGAAACACTTTTGCTACATTCCATACAGTCAGAGTCATCCACTAAGGATAGCAAAGCCACGTAGCGGTATTAAGAGACCAGATGTGAATCAGAGAAATGAGTAAGAAGGGCAGAACCCTTGTTTGGACATCCTGTGCAAACCCCATCACTGCCCACCCAAAACTGTCTGCAAATGTGACTTTAAATGACTCATTCAAGAGGGCTTCCCCTGTTTCCTGGAGTCCCCACACTTTACCCAGATTAATGCCAACTCTTAAGTAGGTACTGTTCCCTCACCCATTCACCCATCCTCAGTTCATCCTCAATTCCCTTTATCTGCTACCACCAATGCCTTACGAAGATAATTATAATATATTCTTAGATAATACTTGGCCAAAATATACAATTCACTCTTTTAATTCTCACCTTCAAAAATATCCATTCTTTAGGTCTATAATTTTGTTGGCTTTTTTTTTCTCTAAATGAAAAAGTTCTTTACCCGCAAGGACTAGGTATGCCAAAAAAAAAATGAATAAGACCAACCAAACAACAAGGGAAGGGTAGCTTTTCTAGACACAGAACTTAGACATAAATAACAATTTCAAGTTTAAAGATGAGAAAGTATTCACCTGTCTGGAACATTTTAAATAAAGCCTTCCTGAAGACACAGAAAAGGACTAAACTCTCTTTGTTCTCCAGTTCCATATAATCAATATTTACTCAAATACCGCACCCTCCCCCCACCTCCAGCATTCCACGTAATATTAACTAGGAGCTGGAAATCATGAAGCAAACCACAAGCTGAGCAACTGCTAAGCCGCTATGCAGTGATTTTTAAGGGTGGTTCTTCTGAGGCAGGTTTCCAAAGACCTTGGAGCCACTCCAAAAAACAGTAAGCTGGGAAGACAATTGCCTCCCCACTCCATGTACATACACTAGGGCCCTACCTTATGTACGTATTAGAGGCCCGTTAATATTTCCTGCAATAATGGTTCCCGCTAATGAGAAAATAAATTATTTATCACTGTACTAAGAAAAAAATAAGAAGGGCATAAAAGAGGGAAATGTCAGTGTGACCTGATTATGCTTTGAGCTGTAAAGCAAAATAATTATCAGGGAAAAAATTAGGACCTCCAAGAAGACTGAGGAGTACAAACACATCAGAGGTCAGAGACATGCTCTCAACCCCCAATCCTAACCCTTGCTCTAATCCCAACTCAGAAAAAGTGAATGATATAGTTCAAAGCGTTAAACTCGAACTGGCCTATTGCTTACTTTTGTGTAATTTCCTTTCCTTTTCATGCTCCATCTTACTTGTTTTTGCTTCTTTCCATTTGTCTATCCATCCTACCACCTTTGACCTGTTTCTTAAAATCAAATGCAAGGGAAAAAAAACATCACTGGAGAACAGACTAAGTTGTTTGCATCGTGGTAGAAAAGAAGGTTTTGATAACAAAGTGAAGATTTGTAAAATGATTTAAATTTTTGTTGTGTATTTCTTTAATGCTCTGTGTTTAATGTTGTGTCTCTTTACCAGTGTAAGAATGACTTCCCTTGACAAACACCAATAAAATGGAAAGTTAAATTGTGTGCTCAAGTTGCCCAAGAATAACTCCAGTGATGTCTTGAGTGAGTTAAAGTGAGCAGGTGGCATTGGCCTCCCATGAGTTCACATTGAAGGTCAGAGGAGAGTATGCTCTTTTACCAAATTGTTCCATTGGGCATTCCATGAATAACACTTGAAAAGTTCTATCCCTTCCAAGACAAGGCTTGATTTCCCCACCTCACTGCAGTTTCACTCCATCATGCCAAACTCTTTTACACCCCTAAGTATTTATTTGCTGTTGTTACCTCTCTGTATGATGGCTTCCCTCCTTTGTCCCATACAAAGAATGCCAGCTAAGTAACCTCAATTTCCCCTTCTGTGAAACAAAAATAGTAATACCTATTTCCAAAACTGTGTTATGAGGACTAAATAATGCACACAAAAGACTTGGCAATGCATCTATTATATCAATAAATCTTAGATCCATTTCCCATTGCGCTCATGTTTAACAATACTTGGCACATAGTGAAAATGCAAAAGCCTCATGCATTCATGAATGCATGCATGGATGAAAAAGAGAACAGTTAAGAACTAGTGTCCCACCAGGCGCAGTGGCTCATGCCTGTAATCCCAGCACTTTGGGAGGCCGAGGCACACGGATCACTTGAGGTTAGGAGTTCGAGACTAGCCTGGCCAACATGGCGAAACTCCGTCTCTACTAAAAATACAAAAATTAGCCAGGCGTGGTGGCACATGCCTCTAATCCCAGCTACTCCGGAGGCTGAGGGAAGAGAATCAGTTGAACCCAGGAAGCAGAGGTTGCAGTGAGCTGAGATCACGCCACGGCACTCCAGCCTGGACAACAAAGCGAGACTCCATCTCGGGGGAGAAAAAAAAAAACCCAAAAAACTAGTGTCCAAAGAAATGAAGCCAGGAGTATAATTCCTTGCAATTAATCAATTGATGATATGTTTACATATTATGTAAACTAACTAAACTGAAAGACTGCGTCTAAGAAGCACTTAAAGCAAAGGTCTTAGGAGCCCTAATTTTTAAAAAACAGATGCATTTGTGAAATTTTAGAATAGTATGAAGGTTATATGAATAAAATGTATTTCAGGAATGAATCTATGCTGTAAAAGCACTGTTATATTTTTACCATTTTGAACTTCTAAGTCATTAAAAGAAGAAAGCCGGACTGCCTGCCTGTAACTAGCCTGATCACCTATGTAGGCCTTCCAAGGAGAACTGGATATTAGATAAGGAAATCAGGGTTTGCTGAATGCCAATGAATTGCTCAGTGGCTTGCAAAGCAGCCAAGTAGTTTTTGATCTAGTTCTTTCTCAGCAGCCAAAATGAACTTAAGAGTTAAACAGATAAGGAACCAAGAGAAATCACCAGGAGCAGCACAGGCCACGGGTAAACAGGTAACCCTGATCTAAGATCCCAAAAGTGAACATTAGCTCCAGAGAGACTTGACTTTAAAAAATGAATGGCATGAAAAGATGCAATCAATATCCAGTCAGCTCCTCTGGAAGGAGTTTCATCTCAAATTTATTTATTTACATTTATCCTGCTTGCTCGGCACAGGGCTTTTTTAAATTATTATAATAATTTTAAACCAACCGAAAATATTTCTGATCAAACCTTGTAACTTAAACATATACCATAGAGATAATTCTGATGTTCATGAGAACACTTGGACACAGAAAGGGGAACATCACACACCCACACCGGGGCCTATTGTGGGCGGGGGGGAGGGGGGAGGGATAGCATTAGGAGATACAGCTAATGTAAATATTGAGTTAATGGGTGCAGCACACCAACATGGCACCATGTATACATATGTAACAAACCTGCATGTTGTGCACACATACCCTAGAACTTAAAGTATAATAAAAATATATATATAATAAAAAATAAATAAAAAATAAACAAAAAAATTCTGATGTTCATGAAGCTTCTAATGAACAATTACGTAGCCTAGTTTTGCCTTCATGACATTCTTACTGCTCAGACGCCGCACCCAACTTTAATACTAAACTTTTTTTTTGAGACGTAGTCTCACTGTTGCCCAGGCTGGAGTGCAGCAGCGCGATCTCAGCTCACTGCAACCTCCGCCTCCCGGGTTCAAGTGATTCTCCTGCCTCAGCCTCCCGAGTAGCTGGGATTACAGTTGTGCACCACCATGCCCAGCTAATTTTTGTATTTTTAGAAGAGACGAGGTCTCACCATGTTGGTTAGGCTGGTCTCGAACTCCTGACCTCGTGATCCACGTGCCTCAGCCTCCCAAAGTGCTAGGATTACAGGCATGAGCCACCATGCCTGGCCAATACTAAATATTTTAACAAAATGTTTTACTTTCATGATTTCCAAAAATAGTAACAAAACTAGAACAAAATTTAACACTCTGTATCTTTTTTAAAACATTACTTGTAACTTTTATGATTAGTAAAAACTGTAGTTTTGATAGAAAACAGTCTTGGTGTTATATTGTCATAGGGCTCAGGTACATAATTTTATATGCAAACCACCATTCTCCTAGGTTTTCTATACACATGGCCTTTATGATACTAATCATTCTTTGAAATTATTAAAATTAATGTCCACAACTGGAAAATATGTTCGCTTATACTATTTGGGTAAACAGTCTACATAATGAAAAGGAATTGATGGACCCTCAGACATCACTGGGGAACTTACAAGAGATTCAAGAAACTGCTAAATGAGCAAAGATAGAGGGAATTATTATTCGATGCTTGTTAAATCTTCATGTACATCACCACACCAGCATATCAAGATAGGAAAAATATTACTCAGGAAAGTTAATTCCACATAAAAGTATCCTTTCTATGGAGAAGAACTTAAACCAAACTTTCCACTTGAAGTAATATGAGAATTGGTTTACTGTAACATTTAAGTGCAAAAGAGGAGGTAAGAATGGGATCACTGTGTAAGTTTCATAAAGTAATCAACTAATCTTAATCCTCCCATTTTCACTTGGAAAGGACCAAGAAACCTTTTTCAATTTTGATAAGTCAATCTGATAAAAAGTGAACTATAAATAAGAGACAGCATTGTTTTAGCAGTTAAAACACTTGTTTAAAAAAAACTATCTGGACTCTGACAAGCCGGTTAGATTGACAAGATCTGTGAAATCAGTTTTAGAGTTTTTAAGCCCTGGTATCTTATTCACAAAAGACTGTATAACATGGTCAATATTTAAAGACCTTAAACTATCTTCTCTTTCCTACATTTTTGATAAACATTAATAACAGTAAAGAAACCAGGCGCAGTGGGATTACAGTCCTGAGGCCGAGGCGGGAGGATCACTTGAGGCAAGGAGTTTGAGACCAGCCTGGCCAACATGGTGAAACCCCGCCTCTACTAAAAATACAAAATTAGCTGGGCATGGTGGGGCGCCTGTAATCCCAGCTACTTGGAAAGCTGAGACACGAGAATTGCTTGAACCCGGGAGGCAGAGGTTGTAGTGAGCGAGATCACTACGTCACTGGACTCCAGCCTGGGCGACAGAGTGAGACTCCGTCTCAAAAAAAAAGGAAAAAAAAAAAACAGTAAAGAAAGCCTGTAGTAGATTATCAATTTCTGAAACAGTCCCAAGGCAAATTCAATTGAGAACTCGTTCCACGAGTTCATTGCTTAAGAAAAACAGCGCTTGTGTTTAATCTTTTGGATTAAAAAAAAAATCAGAGCCTACGTCCTACAGTTTTAGTAAAACTGGGCTGAGCAACTGGAAAAAGCCAATGCTCAATCACAGTATTAAAATACAGAAAACTTTGCGGAAAAAAAATAAAGGAAGTCGGGGGGCGGGGTGGGGGGGGAATGCGTTCGCCTCACATGACCACGATGAGCTGTTCTTGCTCCGGTTCTAATTTGAGCTACTCTCTGGATTTTGGGGAAGGCCCACTTTTACACATTCACTCATGAAAAGGGAGCGCACACAAATCCGGCCACGTCACCAGCTGTTGCGCGCGAAGGCAGCTTGGCGGCGTCGGTGCTGGTTCCGGAGGGCGCTCAGCGGGAAGAACCGGGACACAGAAACGGGGGCAGGGAAGCAAAGGGGGAACAAGAAAAGTGGAAGCGATGTCCCCAAAGCAGGTTCCCTTTCCTCCTAAACTTTTTGGCTCTCAGACAAATCCTAAAAGTCCCTCGTCGCAGCATACAAAGTTGTGGGTAAATCCAGCGCAGTGGGGGGCGCACGGCCTTACCTGTGCCATGGCGACTACTCAGGTCAGGGGAAGGTGAAGCAGGACTGCAAAAGAGAAGAAACCTCGGGCTTAGCGCGCCATTTGCAACTCGTGCCCTCCCCAAGCGCAGGTCCGCGGGGACCCGGCGGCGCTCAGACAGCCCGGAGGGCCCCGCCACGGGGCCGACCCGCCCTCTCGCAGCTACCGGGACAGCTCTCGGCCGAGCGTCCGCGCGAATCCAGTGCCCCGCGACCACGCTCTCCTCTCCAGAAGGAGCCCCCTCCCCGGGCTGCGACCACTCACCCAGACTGTGGGACCCAAGTGCCCCGAAACCCCGGGAGAGCGGCGGAGAGCCGGGCGACGGTACGCGGGGCGACGCCGAGATGCAGACGCTGAAGGATCCGGCAGCTGCACCTAGACTGATCCAAGCAACGGAAACGCCAGCGGCCCCACCCCGGCCCTGCCCGGCTTGGCCCGTCCCACCCCCGCCAGGGCCCCAACCGCAGGCCGGCCGCGCCAGCCGGGCCCGCCCCTGCCCCGGCCTCAGCGCGCCTGCGTGGGTCGCGGCTCGTCCCAGTTGGTCTCCCGCGGCGCGGACTGTCCCGCTGGTCTCGCGGGCCTGGGTGGGGAGCGGCCGCAGAGCTGCTGGAACCAGGAGGAGGCGCCGCTCCCCCGAGGGCCCCGGAGACCTCTTGTCCTCGCGCCGCGGGAAGGGCCTGGGGAGCTGTCCAGGGCTCGGGGTTTTGGAGGTGCTTGAGCCTCCCTGCCCTCTGTGACCGCAGGAACCGTAGCCTCACTTGGGTGCTCAACATAGTGCGTGGGCGTCTTTTTGGAGGCGAGACAAAATCATCGCAGCTAAGGACAGCGCGCCTTTGTCGATGGGATAGAAAAAACGTGAAAGGAGGGCCGTTTCCCAAGTTGTTTTTGTTTCTGTTTTGTTTTGTTGTTTTGTTGTTGTTTTAATGCCTATTATTGCTTCCTAGATGGCCCTCTCTTAAATGTACAGCCTTCTAGTAGCGTATGTGGGCTATTTGAAAACCTCTGCTTCCAATCAGTTTCTGTTTTCAAAACTAGCCTAGAACTTTAATATGACTTAAATTTGAGCAATGCCTCATATTGGTTCAACATAAAATATATGAGTATATGAGAGAGAGGGGGAGGGAGGGAGAATCTACAGCGTATTGTACTAGCATGGTGCTGTGTTCTGTGAAAGGGCTTTATATGCAAAGCAGCCCCCAAACGCGAAGGAGTCAAGAAACCAAAGAACGAGACAGACAAATCCAGTCTGTAGGTAATAGGGGTGCTATTGGAGGATGTGGTAGACAGAAGCGTGGCCTTGGGCGGCGGCAAGCAGATAAATTTCTGCACTGTTACTCCCCAGACCCTGGCCTTATATACCGTAAGGAAAGAGTATACTGCTCTGTGCAAGACAATTAAAGGCAGCCCTCCGGAACAGGTGAGAATGCCGTATGCTTCATAGCCTACAATGTGGGCAATAGCATCAAGGTTGACATGTTCTTATGCTAAGGACAGTTTAAAAAAAAAATCCTAGGAATCAGGAGGTATTCATGGGACTGGGGTTATTAAAGGTCAACATGGCGGATTAGCATCCGGGATATAATCACTTTTGTCTCCATATGCTGGAAAAGGAAAAGTAGAAGACACAGGGACCTTCTCAGACTTACTGGTGTGGGGAGGGAAGGTGCCAGGGCAGAGGGGGCAAGAGGACAAGTTTGCGACACTAGATGCAGTGTTCTAGACATATGCTAGAATGGGAAGGGCAAAGTGCTTCTCAACGTGGAGGTTAAGGGTAAGAGATGAGGATCTAGTCTTCTTTGAGAATGAGGAAGAATAAATTAAATGGACAGCAAATGTGGTTCTTTGTATAGAACTTCTCATTCGCTTTCACGTGTGAACCACATGCCTATTCCAGCCCTGACAAAGTCACAACAGAGTGGTTGTTCTCTGGGAAAGGAGGCAAAATTGCAAAATTTGTGGAGCTTGCCAACCCCATCACCCCCACCCCACTGGCGGGTTGCCTTTCCTCTGGGAGCCTCCTCTCCACCAGCCCAGCTGTCTACTCAGCCTCAGGCTCTCCCCAAGTCAGCACCTCCCCCGGGTTTTCTTTACAGGTATTAATATATCTGAAGGCAGCCCTTTTCTGAGCATCTGTCTCCGTTGCTCCAGCTTTTCTACTTTCTCTCTGCCCTGCACCAAAAGCAGGACCTGTAGTCTTGCCTAGAGCATTCTTTTTTCTCACCCATATCCACTTGAACTCAGTTTGCTTCTCTCACTTTCTACTCTCACATTAATGGAGTTAAACAGGACCTCAGAGATCCTGTATTTAACAATCATTGATTTTACAGGGACATGAGACTCATCATGGGTTAGTGACTTGCTCTATGTCCTGCAGCTAAATACTGACAAAATCGATGAGTTATTGGACTCAGAGTCTTGAAATACTCCAGGTAGCATTTCTTTCACTTCCAGTAATATCAGTTTATTCAACTCCTACTCTGGACCAGGCACAGATCTAGGTGCTGGGGTAAACACGGCAAGTGAAACAAAGGCCTTGCCCTCATAGGTCATACATTCTGGTGGAGGAAACAAACAATAAACAAGTATCTAATATGTCCTGTGTGATGCGTGGTATAAAGAAAATAAAGGCTAGGGAATGGAAATGAAGGGAACACTTATTTTGCAAAGGTGATATGAAGCCATTTCTGAGAAGCCTTGAACAGAAACCTAAATTGATACAATTTAATTGTATTTGACAACTATACACTGAGCACCTGTGGAAAGGCCATACCTAAGAGTTTGCACCTTAATATTATAGATAAAGCATGTATATGAACACTACAATGAGAGACTATAAATCAGGAAAGAAATGCCTAGAATGCAATCAAAATGCAATTAGTTTCAGAGGAAGGAGCTAATATTTTGTCAGATGGTTGACATAGCATTTGGATTAGGCTTTTGAGAGAGGATATTTTATCAAACTATGAAGGGGAGAAAGGGTGGTCTGGTTAAGTGAACTGCAAAACCAAGAGAAGGAAAGTATCTCTTTGTGTCTGTGTGATTTGAACTGTCTAAAATGGCTGGAGTGGAAGGTACAATATTAGAGTTGAGAGATGTAGAAACTAAAACACAAAGAAGCTCAGCGACTTATTTAGAATAAAGAGAGATTGCCACATAAAGATTCTGCTTTGAATTGTGTATTTAATTGATGGATTTTGAACAACTGATGTTCTTAACTACTGAGTGATATAAATGATAGGCACTCAGGAAATCTCTTTCACTACCTCTTGTCAGCCTAATAACAAACAGAGAGGGAGACTTTCTAAAAGAAAATGATGTTTATTTGGGAATGGGCATTGCAATGGGAATATGTGTGCCATATTAAACTATTTTGCGTATTCAGGGAGGTAAAGGAAGGCAAAGGTTTTTCAAGGAAGAAGGAAGATTACATCATTGTTTTTGAGATAATTATCCTTGGCTACAGTAATCAATAACTAGAGTGGCACCAGTCTAATGTTGTACAGGCAGTTGCTGGGCAGATGTCTCCGCAGAAGTTCTCATTTTCTCTCTCTCTCTCTCTCTCTCTCTCTCTCTCTCTGTGTGTGTGTGTGTGTGTGTGTGTGTGTGTGTGTGTGGTTGCAATGGCCTTTGTCCAAAGTTGTGGTTTTTGCAGTATTTTTCAATAGTTCTTGTTATCAGGCATTTATGTATTAGAACCCTCCCTTCATGGCCTTCCCCAGCCATTTGTCAGGGATTTGTCTCGTTTTTTAACACAATTGACTCCATTTTGATAAGGACAGCTTTCACACTCTTAAAAACAAGTGTCTGTCATTCATCCCCCAATGGCCTTTATCAGTGTCCAAATGTCATCTTTAGAATCTCTGCCGGATTCGCCAGTTAAGTCTTTCATCTTTCTAATTAAATTTTCTCTTCTTACACATTTAAAAATTAAAGTCCTTCTTTCTCAGTGTATTGTCTTTGTGTTGTGTTCATTATAAGTACTACATAATAATTGTGGGGAGTTTTTTATACTATTCTTAGATATAAATAATGAGTTTCAGCTGTTTTCTATGAGACACTCAGGTCACATCAATTTTCTTTTTATTAGAGAAATATACCAAATGCCAGAGAACTAATTTACAAACACACTTTTGAAACTGTATTTATTTGTTAACTCAGGATTTTCCCTATTTCTCTCAATTATTTGGATCATTCAGGAACTAGCCAATTTATTCTAAATAAGTCGCTGAGCTTCTTTGTGTTTCAGTTTCTACATCTCTCAACTCTAATATTTTGATCATATATTCATGGCCCTACTGTTTCCCTTGATTATAATGACACATAAAGAAAAGAAAATGAGTTACAGGCTTTTTATAAATAAGTACAAAACAACTCTTCTTTAGTTTTAGAGGAATTGGAATCTTGTTTTTTAGAAAATTATAACATTTTCAACCAGTCTACTTTAAAAATTGATTTTGTTTAATAAATATATCTATTGCAAATTATGGCAAGTTAAAGAAGAAGAAAAGATGGCAGGAGAATGAATTGCATGAAGCAGAAGAAACGAGAGAGTGGCTGAGGAGTAAAGTAGGGGCTAGATACAAAGGGAAAGGAGGAACATCATGTCTTCCAGGCAAGATCTGGAAAAAGCACACTCTCTGAAGACAGAGACAGTTGAGTTCAAATCCCTACTCTGCCTGCATACCAGGGATGTGACTTGGACAAATTATGTGATTTCTCTGATCCTTGGCTTCCTTATCTAGAGTGGAGGCTAGTTTCAAATAAGTTAATTTGTGAAACTGCCTAACAAATTGTGAAAAAGGGTTGATTCCATTCCCCCATGGCTCTTTTTTCTTTCAGAAACACTAACCATCATTCTCAGTTCCTGTTCTGATGATTAAGGACCCACCTTCATATTAAAAGCAAAAATAACCTCCTCTGGACCCACTGCTCCACTGCAGCAGGACCTATTGCCAGCCAGTCTCTCAGAGACGGCAGGTCCAACTCTTGGGGGCCAACCTGATGCTTCCTGGTGCCATTCCCCCTTCTTCCCGCCTATTCTGCCTCATCCAGAGTCTACCATCGATGGCCCCTATCAACATACAACTAGCCTAGACCCCCACCCTCTACCCTTCTCTCCACACGTGGGCCCTCTGATCCCCATCTGCTGGTGCCAACAACTGTAAAACCGTCACCTGGAATTTAATTCAAGTCACCTATCTGCCCTCAACTCATTCATGTCTTAAAGTCCCAGGGTGAGATTAGAGGTGGGGCTGCCTTCCTCAGTGGGCTCTGTCAAGTCTTTTTCCACCATCATCTCTACATCCCAGCAGTGATACTGGAATGTAGCTTTATTCTAGTGGCTCCCCATTCTTGCTCTTTAGGTTTAAAGTGGTTGTAGTGTCTCTGGAGAAAATAGGTCTCTCAGTGTGTTCAGGCTGCCATAACAAAATTGCATGAAGTGAGTAGCTTATAAACAACAGAAATGTGTTTATCACAGTCTGAAGCCTGGAAAGTGCAAGAACAAGGTTCCACAGATTTGGGGTCAGGTGAGGGCTTGCTTCCTCATAGACAGCCATCTTTACTGTAACCTCACATGGCAGAAGAGACTAGCTAGCTCTCTGGGGTCTCTTTTTTAAAGGCACTCTTAGTCCCTTTTCTGTTGCAATAAAAATACCACACACTGGGTAATTTATAAAGAACAGAAGTTTATTTGGCTCACAGTTCTGGAGACTGGGAAGTCCAAGAGCATGGCACCAGCGTCTGGTGAGGGCCTTCATGCTATATCATCCTGCGGAGGAAGGCAGAAGGTAGAAGGGAAACCAAGCACTTGAGACCAAGAGAAAGGTGACCAAATTCATCCTTTTTATCAGGAACTGACTCCCGAGATAACTAACTCACTCCCGTTCATGACCTACTCACCTCTTAAAGGCCCACCTCTCAACACTGTTGCATTGAGGATTAAGTTTCTAACACATGGACTTTGGAGGGCATGTTCAAACCATAGCAGGCACTAATCTTAATCATGAAGTGGAGTTCCCATGACCTAATCATCTCCCAAAGGCCCTACCCCTAATGCCATCACCTTAGAGGTGAAGATTTCAACATATCCATTTGAGAGGGACACATTCAGACATAGCAACAGGTCCAGGTATCTTTCAGAAACTCATCCTGAGCTAACAGTGCTAACTATCCCCTTATTGAGATCCATGTGCTCACCAAGAAATTAAAAGCAGAGACTCCTCAGGAGATTTTCAGTTTTAGATGTCTTTCCATTATTTTTATGCAAAACATTTGTATTTATCCAGTAAAATGTAAATCAACTTTCCTAGTAGGACACTGGAATGTAGATCTTGGGTAAATAATTAGAATATCTCATAGGAATCTTTCATGCAGAATTTTTAGGTGTGATTGAGATTCTCAACACTATTAGTAAAAGAAGCAGTAAAGGCTGGGCACGGTGGCTCACATCTGTAATCCCAGCACTTTAGGAGGCCGAGGCAGGTGGATCACTTGAGCCCAGCAATTCGAGACCATCCTGGGCAACATGGCAAAACCCCATCCCTACAAAAAAATACAAAAATGAGGGGGGTGTAGTGGCACACACCTGAAGTCCCAGCTAGCTACTTGGGAGGCTGAGGTAGGAGGATCATTTGAACCCAGGAGGTCAAGGCTACAGTGAGCTGAGTTCACGCCACTGCATTCAAGCATGGGAGATAGAGTGAGACCCTGTCTCAAAAAAAAAAAAATAAAAGAGAAAGAGAGAAGCAGCAGCAATAAAAATACTAAGCATGCATATAAAAGGACAAGCATCCTGCATCTCTTGTTTATTGCTGAATCCCCAACACCTAGCACAGTGCACATATTAATACATTAACTCATCCATTCAAAACATTTCATGAGCACCAGGCCGGGCAGGGTGGCTCACACCTGTAATCCCAGCACTTTGGGAGGCTGAGGCAGGCAGATCATCTGAGGTCAGGAGTTCGAGACCAGCCTGGCCAACATGATAAAACCCCGTCTCTACTAAAAATACAAAGATTAGCCAGGTGTGGTGGTGCACGCCTGTAATCCCAGCTACTCGGGGGCTGAGGCAGGAGAATCACTTGAATCTAGGAGGCGGAGGTTGTAGTGAGCCGAGATTGTGCCACCACTGCACTCCAGCCTGGGAGATAGAGCAAGACTCCATCTCAAAAACAAAACAAAACAAGACAAAAAAACTCATGAGCACTAAGTAACTGCTCATGAAATGTTTTGAATGGATGAGTGAATGTATGTATGAATGCATTGAATGCATTATAGTATAGGGGTATTGGTTTTCTTAAACAAAGGTTGCTATTAACTGCAAACTACTTATATTAAGAAGGCTATGAAATGAGATATGAAAAAGAGTTAAAAGGCAATTTTATAAGGGAGAACTTTGCCAGGGGAATAAATGTATTCTAGACAGCATTCTGAATTCCAAAAAGAACTCATCCATGGTTAGGTTAAGTTTTATTTTATGATTTTAACTAGTGTATGACCTTGGACAATGATTTGATTTTTCCTTATTTGGAATGTTGGTAAAGATTAAATGTGTTGACTTGTTTAATGCGTAAAAATAACAAGAAGATGAGTTTAAATTTCTCACCCCTTTTTTTTCTTCCAGAAGCTCTCACCACTGAATCCCACCTTCATTTTCCATGCTGATGATTCAGTCCCCATCCATCCCACTCAAAATCTAAAATTAGCCAGGATCAGTGGCTTGTGCCTGTAATCCCAGAAACTCGGGAGGCTGAGGCTAGGAGGGTCACTTGAGCCCAAGAAGTCGAGGCCAGCCTGGGCAACATAGGGAGACCCTGTTCATAAAAAATAAAATAAAAATTTTAAAAATCAGGCAGGCGTGGTGGTAGATGCCTGTAGCCCTAGCTATCTCGGAGGCTGAGGCAGGAAGATCTCCTGAGCCCAAGCGTTCAAGGCTGCAGTGAGCTGTGATTGCCACTGCACTTCAGCCTAGGTGACAGAGCAAGATCCCACCTCAAAAAAAAAAAAAAAAAAAAAAAACTATGGGCTGGGCGCAGTGGCTCATGCCCACCCTCAGCACTCCTGTTTCTCAGGCCTTCAGACTTGAACAGGAATCCACACATCATCAGCTCTCAGGCTCTCAGGGCTCAGGACTCAGAATTTTACCATCAGCTCCCTGGGTCTTCAGCTCACAGATGGTAGATAGTGGGAATTCTTAGTCTCTATAATCATGAGAGCAATTCCTTATAATATACCTAATTATGTATGTATCTCCATATCCTATTGCTTCTGTTATTCTGGAGAACCCCGACTTTAGTATTCTAGAGAAAAACTTTTTTCTACTCATGCAACACTTATGACACCAAATGTATGGAGTTTATCCTCACATTTAGCAATTCTCCAACTCTCCAGACACAAACTGGATGACCTACAAGTAAACTATGACACTAACTATCCGGAGTTAATGCATACCCCACAAGACTGCTGCCCCACCTTCAGATGCCTGTCAAAAGTACCAAGTTGTCACCTGTAGTATAAATTGGGACTTCCCACAAGCTACTCTTCAGGTTTGATAATTCGCTATAATGGCTCACAAGACTCTGGAAAACATTTACTTACTTTTACTGGTTTATTATAAAGGATGTTGCCAATGATGCAGATGAAAATGTACATAGGGCAAGGCATGGGGGTGTGGCACAGGGCTTCCAGGCCCTCTCCAGGCATGGCATCCTTGCAGCAACTCCATTTGTTCAGCAACCCAGGAGCTCTTCACAGCCTGTTGTTTATGATTGTTATGGAGGCTTCATTATATAGGCATGATTGATTGAATCATGGGCAATTGGTTATTGAACTCAATCTCTAGCCCCTCTCTCCTCCTCATAGGAGGAGTGAGGGGCTCAAAGTTCCAAACCTTTAATCACATAGTTGGTTCCTATGGCAACCATCCCCCATCCTCTAAGAGCTACCGCCTTAGCATAAACTCAGGTATGGTTGGAAGGGGCTTATGAATAACAAAAGATGCTCCTCTCACCCCTACCTACCACCCAGAAAATCCCAAAGGTTTTAGGAGGTCTGTGCCAGGAGCCAGGAACAAAAACCAAATATACATTTCTTATTCTATCACAATATCACAAATATGCTGATGTATATATTAGAAGCCACAAACACAAGTATAAAAGAAAGGCCTGAACAGATGGGTACGTATGTGTGGGGTTGTGTGAGTGTCCATCCTAGAAGTCGGCCTCACAGGCATCAACGCATGTGATGGGAAGAACTTAGCCTTGAGAGTCAGGAAGTCTGCATTCTAGTCTCGGAACTGCCAAGAATTTGCACCGTGAGCTTGGATACAACACACTAACCTCTCCTGACCTGTTTTCATATTCGTAGCTGAACAGGTTCAACTATGACCCCAAGATTTTTTCAATTCTAAAGTGTCAGAGATTCTGGGATAGCCTAGCATCACCATTCATATATATATATATATTTTTTTTTTTTTTTTTTTTTTTTTTTTTTGAGACAGAGTCTCACTCTGTCACCCAGGCTGGAATGCAGTGGTGCTATCTCAGCTCACGGCAACCTCTGCCTCCTGGGTTCATGCCATCCTTGTGCCTCAGCCTCCCAAGTAGCTGGAACTACAGGCACCCGCCACCACGCCTGGCTAATTTTTTTGTATTTTTAGTAGAGACGGGGTTTCACCATGTTAGCCAGGATGGTCTTGATCTCCTGACCTCGTGACCTGCCCACCTCGGCCTCCCAAAGTGCTGGGATTGCAGGCGTGAGCCACCGCGCCCAGCCACCATTCATATATATTTTCTCTGCATTAACATTAACCACAGTGCAAGTTTTTCCCCTTCATGCAAACTTATTTGAGTGAGGTGAAATGCGGGCTCAGGGAAGAGGGAAACAGAGAGAAGGCATCTTGTCTGAGAAAGGAGATGAAGACTCCGCTTCTAAAGGATGGTGAAGGGAATTGGGTAATAGTCACTCTCTCGCACCCTGGACACTGCCATTCCCACTTTGATTCCTCCTGTCCTCCATGTTTTCTCACTATCCAACCACATCAGCAATAATTACTCCTTGACGTCATCCAAACCAGCAGCCCCTCTTTTTCCACCCAGCCTACCACTCTTTCTCCTGCTTTCAGTTTCTTCTCTATCCAACGTATGGCTTCAACACTGAATGCTTTAATTTACCATCTTGTCATTGTCCTCACCCTCCTCACTCCAGTCAGCTCTCTTCACACCCCTGCTGACTCATACCCCACCATCACCCACCCATAAGTGCCGGCTACTGAGTGCAACCACATCATACCACAGACTGGCTTTATGACAGATTTGAGGTCATGATCAAGAAAACCAGAGCCAGGCAGAAGTTAAAGTGATGAAAACAAATTTTATTCAGGACTGTTGCAATAGGGAAAGCGGGACCTCAGTGTAGAACTGGGCTCCATTCTGAATGCATCAGTGATAAGTGCGGATGTATAGTCAGGGAGCAGGGCATTGGTGGATAGAAAATTGCTATGAGGAGACATCAAGGCTGGGGGAATTCTGGCTGAACCAATCTAACAGGATTCCTGCTGAAGGCAGGCCGAGGTGATTAGAGACCAACAATGGTGAGGGAAGAGTTTTGATTAGATATCAAGGATGATTAAGTATTGAGGGTGGGGGATTCTTACTAAACTGCTTTGGCAGTGTTACTTACTAAAACTGGACTTTACAAAGAAGTGCACACGTGGGCCTAGGAGAACGTTCGAAAGCCTAACTAAAGTTTGGCCAAGCAAAGAATCTTTGTCAGTCATCAGCATTTCTTATCCAGTCTTGATTCAATATGTCCCTGCTCAGCTCTTTCCCCATGCCTCATGACATTAGTTTTAACCTTTCACTGTTATCCTTCAGATCCCAGCCCTCACCTTTTCCCCCAGCAGGTGGCCTTAACTCTGACTCAACATACTTGCCCTGGTTTTTCATCTTACACCTACAAACTCATCTTTGCCCACACTCATTCTTACCTCCTTCTTTCTTGCTCAAAGGGTGAGAGGCCCCTCTTCCTGCCTAAGGTTTAAGGTTTATCCTCCAAGGTTATGATTTTTGTTTTTCTTTTGAGACAGGCTGGAGTGCAGTGGCACCATTTTGGCTCACTGCAACCTCTACCTCCCAGGTTCAAGTGGGCCTCCCTTCTCAGTCTCCCGAGTAGCTGAGACTACAAGCGTGTACCACTACACCTGGCTGATTTTTTTGTATTTTTTGTAGAAACAGAGTTTTGCCACATTGCCCAGCCTGGTCTTGAGCTCCTGAACTAAAGCAATCCACCCACCTCGGCCTCCCAAAGTGCTCAGATTACAGGTGTGAGCCACCATGCCTAGCCCAGGATTATGATCTTGATCTCACACGTATTTAAAACTTTTCTGTCCACTAGCTTCTTCCTTTCCGCCCAAATTAGCAAACCTGTTTAAGCCAGGACCCTTTTAGCCACAAGTGAAAGAAACCCAAATCAAGCTAGCTTGGGTAAAAAGTGTGTCTAGCAAGATCCTTAACGATAAGCAGCAGAACCCATTCTAACTATTTCAGCAAAAAAATTATTAAAGGACTATAGGTAGCTCATACAATTTCTGAAAGGATCAGAAAATCTGGCTTGGTGGCCATGTAGGCTGGACAATGCCCAAATCACACTGCCAACCTCTCCAGTGAAGAGGCCACCATGACTGGCACCACTGATGGGGCATCCCCACATTAAGTTCACAGAAATTTTGAAAACCAACAACAGAAATAAAGAAAAATTGTGAAGGGAATTGTGATGACCTGCTCAGAGCTCTCTGTCTCATGTTCCTTTCTCATAGGCCAGTGACCAGCTTTCTGCTTGTGGCAAGAATACAGCCATAGTTAGCTCAGTCTTTCATTCCACTAGCTCCACAAAAGCCACCTTTCCAAAGCTCAACTTCAAAAAATCAGATTGAAGCAGCAAGGTCACAGACCCCAGTGGCAGCCCCCACCCACATGATCTAGTGGAACATCTCCTGGAAAAATTTTTCATCAGCAATCTGGATCTGCTAAAAATCTGTTAACTTGAAGTATGAAGTAAAATGAAGCATTTCCTGCCTCTGTAAATCAGGGTTTCTCAACCATGGCACTATTGACATATTGACCTGGATAATTCTTTGTTGGGGAATGGGGGTAGGGTAAGGGTAGCTTTCCTGTCCATTGCAGGATGTTTAGCAGCATCTTCAGCCTCTACTCACTATTCACCATTAGTACCCTCCCTCTCCAGTTGTGACAAACAACAGTGTCTCCCAACATTGCCCAATGTACTCTGCTAAGCAAAATCACCTGCATCTGAGAACCATGTCACCCAGCCTGCAGTGGCCTGACCATAACAAACCACACTTCCAAACCCGCATCTCCAGCTCAGACCTCTCTCCTGAGCTCTAGGCTGATATATCTACCTGCTTGCTACTCATGTCTCAACCAAGATATCCCATAGCTAACTCAAACATGCCCAAATCTAACTCATCATTTTTCCTCCAAGACTAGCTTTTTCCCCGCAGTTCCTGTCCTGGTTAAAGATATCACTGTTGATCAGTCATCCGTACCAGAATCTTGGCAGTATTCTGGATCCTTCATCTTTCTTCACCTCTCCCTCTCCCATCACCACATCTAAAGAAGTAGATTCTAACAACACCTTTCTTAGCTTGTATTAGCCTCCTCCTACCCAATTGTAAGTTTCCTGCAAGTTTTCTGCTGGGCTCTTAATTTCTCCTCTCTCTCTAATTTACTTTCCAAATTGCTTTAAGATTTACTTTTTTCTAAATGCAAATATGAACATGTCATTCCATACTTCAAATTAACAGATTTTTAGCAGATCCAGATTGCTTGTGAAAAATAGTCGAGACTCTTTAGCAAGGTATACAATGACCTTCCTGAACTTTTCCATGTCCCTCTCTCCAAACTTACTTTACCTCTGCTTTCTTGCTGAGAAACTACATAAAAATCCCTGGTTTTGGCCGGTCACAGTGGCTCATGCCTGTAATCCCAGCACTTTGGGAGGCTGAGGTGAGTGGATTACGAGGTCAGGAGTTCGAGACCAGCCTGGCCAACATGGTGAAACCCCATCTCTATTAAAGATACAAAAAATTAGCTGGCCGTGGGGGCGCGTGCCTATAATCCCACCTACTTGACAGACTGGGTCAGGAGAATCACTTGAACCCAGGAGGCAGAGGTTGCAGTGAGCCGAGATCACGCCATTACACTCCAGCCTGGGCAACAGGGCAAGACTCTGTCTTAAAAAAAAAAAAAAATTCCTGGTGTTGCATTTGCTATCTCCCCTGCCTGCTCCAACACCCTCTCCCCAACTCCTACATTCTCTTAGTTCACCTGGTGAACTCCTACTCCTGCTTCAAAACCTACTGCAACCATCTTCTCTTAATTTTTTTCTTTCTCATAAGGCTCCTCCTTGACCAAGTGTCCCAATATCTTAACGGCAAGCTGAAAAACCAGGACCACAGCCACCTGCTAGTTTGCTCTTGAATTCCTGTCCTACAGAAATTGTGAGATTAAAAAAAAAAAAAAAAAAGTTTACTGTTTTAAACCACCAAATTTGAGATGATTTGTTACAGAACAATAGATGACTAATCCAAAGTTTGCTTACAGGGGTCAACATGACTGATATTCTAGACCCAAGTTTCAAGTTTAGGGTGCTCAGTGTTCCTAACTCAAGCTTCACTTGGGTTTTGAATAAAACCCATGACCTATTTTTATTTCTGTTTCATTTTGAAACACAGTAAAAATAATTACAGTAAGGAATGTTTTGAGTGAATTATCTAATCAATATTCGCAAAGTAATATGCAAAGGAAGAGTTCTGAAGAAAATATTTTTACTTATTATTTAAAGTCTCAGGATAGGGATTGAAAGAGCATTAAAACATAGTCTCCTTTGACCTTCAGATTTTTATCTTGAGTCTATAGGATGTAAACAGAGAATCTAACTCCAATTTTTTAGATAATCTGCTAGGAATGTATTTTTGATTTCAGGAAGAAAACTCTCCACTATGTAAAAATCTTCTAAACTTTTCTATACAGTTTACTCATTTTAAAAATTTGTTTGTAGAAACAACTGAAACGTTCATCGAAGAAGAATAAATACATTGTGGTTTATTTATATAATGGAATGATGTCCAGCAGCAAAAAAAGAACACAACAGCATGGAATAATCTCAAAAACGTGTTCAGCAAAAGAAGCAGGACAGAAGAAAAACCATTCTGTCTGATTCCATCTACACGAATTTCAAGAACAGGAAAACTAAGCTATGATAATAGAAATCAGAATTAGCTGTTTTGGGGGGATGGAAGGCTTTGGGGAGTTTTGAGGGTGAGGTTGACTAAAAGGGGGAGCAACAAAACTTCCTGAGATAATGGAAAGGTTCTATATCTTGATATGGATGATGGTTACATGAGTGTATGTATTTGTCAAATTTCATCAATTACAGTTTGTTATAATTTATGTTTATTAATTAAATTAAACATTAATTCATGCTTATTAATTAAATTAAACTTATTGATTAAATTATGTTTATTATTTATTGTTTATAAACAATAAATTTATGTACGTATAATATAAATAAATTTATGTATGTATAATATAAATAAATTTATGTATGTATAATATAAATAAATTTATGTATGTATAAGTAAAATATATTATTTCAATAAATATTTATTATAAATACTTATGTTTATTTTACCTCATGGAAATTTTACCTTAATCTAAAAAAGACAACATGAAAAAATAGTATGTAATACTAAAATCAAATCATGTTTCCCTATTGAAAGGCAAACACTCTTTGAGAAGACATAAACAGGGCATTCAGAACATCAAATAGAAAGAGCTTCCACCATCACACAAGTGAAACAAAATCAGTATTTCCAAATATTTTTCAGAAACTACCTTTGGGAAGAGTAAACCTCAGCTATTGGAGCCATGATAAATACCCACTGATTCTGAGCACAAGCCCTGTCCTCTCTCCAGCTGGATTTGGTAGGAAAATCACGATCCAGCTTGCCTCACTCCTGAGCCTTTGCTCTGAACGGAGCGCACTCACAGTGCGGGGTCTGGGCCTCCCGGCTGCGAGGCGGCCGGCAAGGCAGAGCCCAGGAGATGAGTAAGCGGCAGTGGGCGGGAGTCACAGCGGTCCGCGGGTGACTCAGCGTCCAGGAATCCCAGGGGGCCAGAAAGAAGATTTTGGCAAAGAAAGGAGGCCAGAGGAAAAAAAACCACATTGACAAGGCCTCACAGCTGCCGGAGGGACAGATGTAAGCTGCTGCTGGGACAGAAGGGGAGCGACTGGCAGCCTTAGACAAGACTGGGGAAGGCCAGGGGCCTCTGCATGACAATACAGGGCAGCAACTGGGAACGAAGGAATCGCTATCTGGCCCGATGTGGGGAGAACAGAAAAAGTGAAAACGGTGGGGCCACTGAGGCAGAAGGCATCATGTGGGGAGGAAATCATTTTGTAAAGAATTTGAGCATCTACCAATGAAATACAGACACCAGATTCCTCACCTGGTCTCTAGGATCGCTCTTGCCCTGCAGCTGAACAATCTTTATGATTCACCTTCTTCTCAGGATGAAGTCCATCATCAGGATCATGGTTTATGACTCCTTTATCATTTCTCCTACATCACAGAGAGAGTCCCTTCAGAGATACTGAGTTTGTTTGGAAATGTGCAGGGGATTTGCAAATCTGGGATATGCGAGCTGTGGGGCCCAAAAGTACATCCAAAGACAATGAGGGAAAGCTTATAAAACCAAAAGAGAAAAGTAGACGTAATTTGTTTTGAGGCAAAGAGAACACTGCTTACAGGGGCTTATGGCAGGAGTTGATTCCAGTTCATTAGTGGAGACAGTGTCCAGCAAGTGTTCTTGTGCATCTGGCTAGCTAGTTTGAGAAGTCCTTGGAAAATAAAACAGAATGAGATCATGTCCTTTTCAGGAACACGGATGGAAATGGAGGCCATTATCCTTAGCAAACTAATGCAGGAACAGAAAACCAAATACTGCATGTTCTCGCTTATAAGTTTGGGAGCTAAATGATGAGAACTCAGACACAAAGAAGGGAACAGACACTGGAGCCTACTTGAGGATAAAGGACGGGAAGAGGAAGAGGATCAGAAAAAATAACTATTGGGTATTAGGCTTACTACCTGGGTGACGAGATAATCTGTATAACAAACCGCCATGAATGAGTTTACCTATATAACAGATCTTCACATGCACTCCTGAACTTAAAAAAAAAAGTTAAAAAAAAGTCCTTTTTATAGGAATACGTGCATAAGACCCCCTTCAGAAAGTCTTTGTAATCGTTCTTATCATAAGCATGTGTGCCTGAGAACCTTCCCTTCTCAGCCTCTTGGCCATATTTGTTAGAGTTTGGCACAAGTGACTCCATTTTGATTCTGACGACTTTAACACATCAATTCCCCTTACCTTCTTAGAGAATTTCATCTCCACCACATCCTGGCCCACCCCCAGTCCCAGTATGTTTCTCTCAGGTTGTAGCTTATAGGTCTTTGCCTTGTTCAGAAGCCTTTCCTTACCAGCCCCCCTAATTTGGATTAGGTACTTTTCTATGGATTATCTAGCACCACATACCTTCTATGGTACCTTCCTCTAAGCTTTGCCATAGGATATTATGGTTGCCTATTAATTTTTTAACTATGAAATATTTAAAACTATAGAAATGTAAAGGTATTTTGCTACCAATTAAACCTTGTTACAATTAAATACCTTGTTAATGAAACCAATTTTAAAAATAGAGGAATAAAATATTAAAGACACAGAATGTTAGCATTGGTATTCCTGTACATATATTTGTTACTTATATATCTAATCATATACAAATATAGTATTGCTTGATTTCAAATTTAATACAATTAGACATGGCATGCACTATACATGCTCTTTAGCTATTTTTGTCACTCTACATTGTGTTTTGACACATTAATGAAGAAATTTAGACTACAAGAACAAATTGTAAAAGTAAAAGAAAAACTAATAAATTTGACTACACTAAAATGTAAAACTCTGAACATCAATATGTTACATAAATGAAGTTAAGAGTTGCAGAATGTAATTACTTCTTTTTAAAATATATTACTCTATTAAAGATATTCATTTCATAATTTTAAAAGTCAAAATTTTTTTTACCATGTTAGCAATAAAAAAAAAAGTCTCTTGTCTTACCCCCACTAACTTCCATTCTCCAGAAGCAAAAATTTTTTAATTCTTTTAACCATTTTTTCTGGACTTGACCTCTATATTTTTAAATAACATGATTATGTTGACTTTTTTAGAATATTATCTATCGACTCCATACCATTAAAGATAATGATTTAGCTTTCCTCTGTCTGTCTCTTTCTCTCTCTCCATCATTTCAATAGTTATAGTTTCTGGTTGGAGCAATATTCAGTGCTTACATCACCATGATTACATAAATATAATTCACAGAAGATCCATGTTAATGTCCTCTGATTTCACTCTCTTTCATCTATAACTTTTTTCCTTATTTCCACTACTCTCATTGGTTTCATGTGCTGGAGACCTACAACTTACTTACCTCTAAATACAACCTTAAAAGAAGAATTTCTTTAATGCCTTCAAATTCAACAGGCAATACACACACATACGTGCGCACACACATATGTGTGTATGCATTTTCCTCTAGAGACATCCCTTCTAAAGCATTCTCTGGCCTGGTGCAGTGTCTCACACCTGTTATCCCAGCACTTTGGGAAGCAGAGTGGGGAGAATTGCTTGAGCCCAGGAGTTTAAGACCAGCCTTGGCAACATAGCAAGACCCCGTCTCTACAAAAAAAATTAAAAAATGATCTGGGTGTGGTGGCATGCACTGACAGTCCCAGCTACTCAAGAGGCTGATGTGGGAAGATCACTTGAGCCTGGTAGGTTGAGGTTTCAGTGAGCCGTGATCATGGCACTTCTGCCTGGGCAACAAAACAAGACCCTATCTAAAGAAAAATAAAAAATAAAAAATAAATTTAAAAAAAGCACTCTCTTAACCTCTCTGGTCGAGTTGTTCTATTATCGGCCACCAGCTTTCCAGTTGGGACTTCCCATCATTGTTATTGTGGACATAGGATGACAAAGCTATTCCCATTTGCCAGGAACTGTGCCAATTTCATAACCCAGATCTGGCAGTCCCTAAGGTTAAGGCAAACTGCAACAATCGGTCAATGTATCTGGACAGTTCCCTGTTTCCTAGATCCTATGTTGTATTCTTCCTGGTTTATTGCCTCAGTTTGTGGAATCCATGCTCTAATATTTTCCTGAAAAATAATAAAAAGGACATAATTTTTTTAAAAAACATGCATGTCAGAAATATTTTTAATATGCCTTCATATGTGTTAGAAAATTTGGCAAGGAATAGGAATCAAGATTTGAAGTCATTTTCCATCTGAATTTCAAAGATATGGCTGCACTGGCTTCTAGCTTTCCCGTGTGGCAGGTGAGAAGTCTGGTATCTTTCCACTTCTGGGTCTTTTGAATATCTGGGTACTTGTAGGCTCTTTTCTTTATCTCCAAGGTTCTGAAATTTCTCATGGCATGCCTTTGTGTGTTTTTGTTTTTTATGCATTATGCAGGGCACAAAGTGAGCTCTCTCCATCTATAAACTCATGACTTCTGTTCAGGAAAAATGTTTTTGCTTATTTCTGTGAAAATATCCTACCCTATCTTTTTATAATCTCTCTTTCTGGAACTCCTGCTTATTTAGGTGTTGAGCTTCTTGAACTCTACTATTTTCCTTTTCTCTTCTATTTTTCATTTCTCTATTTTTGATTGACTTTCTGGATTTTTCCCAATTTCCCTTCCAGACTTTCTTCTGAAATTTTGGTTCATTTGTTCATTTGTTTGTTTTTATGTTTTCTTCTGGTCCACACGTAGCTGCTATTTTCTTGAAGATTCAGTTCTGTTATGACATAGGCCTTCCTTAATTGTCTGGTGATCCTTGGCTGTCTGCTTATATTTAAAACAAGGCAATAAAAAAGTGACAGGAACAGACTGACACTTATTCTTGTAAGGTGATTTGGCAAGGTTGTTTTATTGTTTGTTGTTTGTTTATTTGTTTTAGTTTTTGTTTTCAGCTAGCTTCCCACAGAGAACTCAACTACGACTCCCACCTGAGAAGTAAGTTTGGCTGCCAATTCATTTCTTTTACTGACTTGCAACTAATCTTCCCATTTTCAGGACTACCTGTACCCCTTATGTTAATATTTCTAAGTAGTTCTGAGATTCCATAGTTCAAAGCAGCCTTCACCTCAGCTTTCTCTGGTGTGTTGAGTCAGTTTTACCACTACTCCATTTGCTTTCTAGTTTCCAAAATTCTACTGCTTCTATCTTGTCTACATAGAGGTATTTTGTGTAAGTATTTCAGTTTTGTCTTTATAGCTTTGTGTACTTCATTGTTCCTTTTCTGTAATTCTGGGAAGGAGGGTCAGTGGACATATGTTCACTCAGCCATGTTTAGCCAGAAGTCGTGAAATCACCTCTTTTTTTGTCAGTATGTATTTCTTGTTAGATTTGAAGCTAACTGAGGTGAGGTGAAGACCATAACTAGATCATTATTGCAGTCTAGCATCCAGCATAATGCCTGGCATATGTTAGGACCTCAATAAGTAAGGTTTTATTGAATGAATACACATATAGCACAATGATATTTTTTTAATATTAACCAGTGTCTGGCTTTGTTTTTCTCTCCAGCATTTTATTTTCCCCTTTTCAGCTAATCTATTATCGTTGTTTCAGAGAACACATAGAACAATAAAAAGCAAATTATTCTTCTATCCTGAGTTTCAAAAGCTTAAGTCTTTAGGAAAATTGAAAGGATTCATGGCATAGAGGAAATACTGAGGCAAAGCATTATGATAACATTGTGAAGCATACCTGTACCATGCCCCTAGAACTAGAAGACTGACCTGAAATAGAATCAGAGCTTAGCACCAGGGGAGCAGCAAAGTCCTGCTGAAAAAATGGTTAGTGTGCCTAGGCGATTGAGACCAGTTTCTCCCTCTAGAATGGCACAGGTGCAGCAGAAAGTTTCCTTCGAATTTAAGAATAAAAACAAGGTAAACAGAGAATTCCAGAGGATCTAAAGGAGCCTCCTAGATAGGAATTAATGTCAAGAAATGCCCGAATGGACTGCTCAGTGAGGAAACATTGCATTGCCCATGTCAATGGATGCAACACTATCCTAGTCCATTTAGTGCTACTTCAACAGGATACCTGAGACTGGGTAATTCATGAACAGAAACTTATTTATTGGCTCACAACTGAAGGCTGGGAAGTCCAAGATTAAGGAGCCACATCTGGTGAGAGCCTTCTTGCTGCAGAAGACATCATGGTGGTGAGAGAGAGATCAAGAGAAGGCCAAGCTCACTTTTACAACTAACCCACTACTGCAATAATGACACTAATCCACACATGAGGGCAGAGCCCTCATGACCTACTCACTTTTTAATGGTTCCGCCTCTCATCACTGTTGCATTGGGGATTACATTTCCAGCATATAAACTTTGGGGGACACATTCAAATTATAGCAAACATGACAGGTGACACTGAGCATAAGATCCTTCCCCAGTCTGATGCCTTGGCACTATGTAAGCCCCTTGGTTCTTAAATGAAATCCTTGGGAAATCCCAAAATTGACTGAGATTTATTTTCCGTCACCCAAGTAAAATGAAAGCTCAATATTGAAACAAAATATAGTTATTAAAATATTAATATAAAATTATATTTCCCCAACATTTCTATTGGTTAGTTGAAATTTGTATACACTATACAATATGGTAATTCTGACTCCCAGAGACTTATTTTAAAATTCATTTAAAAAAACTTATACAACAAGTATTTACACAACAAATGACCAAATATTTTTTATATAGGAACATGCCATATTAAAGTAGAGATTTATACTTGTGAATGACATACCAAAAAACACCAAAGACATGGTTAGTAGAACAAGTAGATTTGGGGGATTTTTAAAATAATATTTGTAATCTTAACAAAGTAATAAGGAAATACAGAAACATCTGTCAGGAATGTATATTGGGACCTCCCCTTTCAGCTGAGATGAAGGTCATTGCTCTCACTGAGACAACTAGAAAAGCTGGATAATATACACAAAATAGCATCTATTTGAAGTCATTGAAGAAGCGATGAGGAAACTCAGACTTGGGCAACAAGTCCTGGAGAATGAGAAAACTTAGAGAGGAATGTCGACATTTTATAACTGATTTTTCCTTTGGGGCATTTGCTAGTTCAGAGTACTTGGCAAGAGGGAAAGAATCCAGGCAACAGACTTGGGCAGAAGGCCTCTAAGAGGCAGTAAAGACAGCCGAATTTTTGGTTCCAGTTTTGGGGACTGGAAAAATCCAAATCTCATGAGGCTGGAAACCCAATGAGAAAGGTTAATGGACACTTGACACTGTTTTCCTATCAAAATATTTGCCAAATTCTGAGGCTGCATGGAGCAGGACATTAAGCAACTAAGCAAAAAGTGTCTGAATACAGCAGAGGTTTTGCAATCTTAAAAGGCTCGCCAAGAGGAAAGGGCCTCAGTGAACACCCCAGGTTCTCAGGGGGAACTCTAGGAGAGCTACTCTCTAGGAACAGGGATGAATCTGAGATGGAAAAGAGACTCTCAAAAACAGTAATGTACAGTATGACATTCTGGAAAAGGCAAAACTATGGAGACAGTAAATAGATCAGTAGCTGCCAGGGGCTTGAGGTAGGGAGGGATGAGTAGGAGGAGCACAGAAAATTTTTAGGGCAGTGAAAATACTCTTTATGATACTATGATGGTGGACACATATCTCTTTTCATTTGTCAAAACCCATAAAATGCACAGTACCAAGAGTGAACCCTACTGTAAACTATGAACTTTGGATGATAATGGTGTGTTGATGTAGATTGATCAATTGTAAAAAATACACTTCCCTGGGGTGGGATATTGATAGTAAGGGAGGTTGCGGGGGGTTGACAGGGAATATATGGGAACTCTATAAGTTCTACCCAATTTTGCTGTGAACCTAAAACTGCTCTAAAAAAAAAAGTCTAGTTTTAAAAAATCTATATCACAGTCTGGAATTGGTTCTGTCTCACTGGGTTCAGGTGATCAGCTCCCTAGCAGAGGATGAGGTAGGGCATCTCTGGAGGAATCTATTACCCCAAAGCTTTTATAATTTAAATAATACAATGTCTGGCATTGAATCAAAATTAGCAGGCATTCCAGGAGTTAGAAACAATTTCTAAAAACCAAGAGGAAATATCTAAAAACCAAGGGGATGATCTGATTCAGATATTTCAGTTATCAAAAAAACTTTAAGTATGATTAATATATTCAGAAAAAAATAGATAAAATGAGTGTCTATCATTACTTAAAACTAAATATAGGCATGAATTGTGGAGCATAACATATATCAAAAAGGTAATAATAACAATATTTCACATTTGTTGAAGGCTCATTTTATGCCAGACATTGCTCTAAGTGACTCTGATTTCCCACAACAGTCCTGTAAAATAAACACTATTGTGGTGCCCACTTTACAAATGAGGAAACCGAGGTACAAGATGGTTAAATAAATGCTTATAGTTAAATGACTAATAGATGGTAGAGCTAGAATTTGAACTCGGACAGTCCAATCCCAGAGTTCTCACTGTTAATCATGATATTATATGGTGCATGTATCTTACACAACTACAAGAGCCATAGGTCGATAATGTTTTGATTAAAGAGATGTAAAAAGTTTGACAATTAAAATTGTTATTATTATTATTTTTGAGACAGGATTTCACTCTGCCACCCAGGCTGGAGTGCAATGGCATGATCACGGCTCACAGCAGCCTCAACCTCCCCGGCTCAAGCAATCCTCCCGCCTGAGACCTCCCAAGTAGCTGGGAATACAGGTACACACCACCATGCCTGGCTCATTTTTCTATTTTTTTGTAGAGACAGGATCTCACTATATTGCCTCAGCTAGTAGAACTCCTAGGCTCAAGCGATCCTCCCACCTTGGCCTCCAAAATGCGGGATTATAGGCATGAACTGTGCCCAGCCTTAAAATTATTTTGGTCACTAAATTTTGTTCTGTTTTTCTCATGGCCCCAAACTATGTGAATGTGAAATAGTTCCAATTTAGCCTAAATTGTGTAGAAATATATTTTTATGTAATTTAGGCTATTAATTGCCCAATAATGTTTGCTTGTACATATGAAAGATTGAGAAGAAATGTATCTAATTTTAAGTAGACTAAAAATAGAAAATAAAAACATGCTTGTAAAATTTGACCAAAAACAGTGTTCAATATTAACCACCACCTAAGCGGCTTTTATAAACTTCTGCCTGGACAGTCTCTAATTATTATAATTGCCACCTGTGGATTTTTAGCTGCAGACCTACACAGTTAATTCATTTATCTAACCTGTGGGTAGGGAACTTTGACAGAGAATTCCACCCCACTGTAGATCTCTACTCTTCTCAGCAGGACTCCCTGAATAAAGAAAGTCTTCCTTCTCTGACACACATGGTTCTTGTTGACAGACACACATACCTGGTTCACCACTTTACCAGATAAACATTTAAGGAATGTATTTGAAATGACAGTGGACTCAAAGGCAGGAATCGCCTTCCTGCCCCAACTCCCTTCCCCAACATCTTTTTGCTGCCAGAAAAATCTACCATTAAATTTGATTTCCCCAAGTCTCTTCTATACAGATAAATCAAGCATTTGTCATCATACTTGCCTTAGTATGAATCAATGAATTGACTCAATCTCATAGGCAACTAGCTGTGGTCAGGGACATGATGAAGTTTGAGTTTGGGATGCAGTAAGCACAGCCATGAGTTTTTGAACATAAACTACTTAGTTGCGATGTTATGAAGATAAGAATGTAACCTCCCTCTTAGGATTGCTGTGAGGATTGCATGAGAATAATGAGCATAAAAATGCTTAAGATAGTTTTAGACACCCAGTAGGTGCTCAATAAAGTATAACTTTTTTTTGAGATAGGGTTTGTCTCTGTCATCCAGACTGGAGTACAGTGGCGCAATCATGGCTCACTGCAGCCTCGACCTCCTGGGCTCAAGCAATCCTCCCATCTCAACCTCTCAAGTGGCTGGGACTGCAGGTGCACTTCACCACACCCAGCTAGTTTTTGTATGTTTTAGTAGAGATGGGGTTTTGCCACATTTTTCAGGCTGGTCTCAAACTCCTGGCCACAAGTGATCCACCCATCTTGGCCTCCCAAAGTGCTGGGATTACAGGGGTGAGCCACCTCGCCTGGCCAATGATAACTTTCATAATTAATTATAATGACTTTGAAAATGATTTAAAAAATTTTAAGGAACCAAATATACTTTAAAAGAACTGGCAAGGTGATTGTGGTAGTAGTTCTGAATAAAATGTAATGAAAGAAAAAATTAGTCCAACTCACAGAGTTAGTTTTTGTTTTCGAACATCACTTTTTGCTGCTTTGAATGATGTGCAAAAGACTTAGAAACATCTTGTGATCAAATTGTTTAGCACACATATCTTGTGGAATCAGAATATCAGGTTTATAGTTAAGATTGTCTCTCTCTCCATTTATTAAATGATTTGTAATCTCTTCATATCTCTGTTTATTAAATAATCTTATTGCTATGGTTTGAATGTTTGTGTTCACTCTAGAATTCATGTTGAAATTTAATCCTCAATGCAACAGTATTAAGAGGTGGGGCCTTTAGGAAGTGATTAAATCATGAGGGCAGACCCTCATAAATGGGATTAGCAACCTTATAAAAGGGCTGTAGGGAGACAGCAAGGCCTTTTTTGCTCTTCTACCATGCGAGGACACAGCATTTGTCCCCTCTGGAAGACAGAGCAATGAGGCCCCATCTTGGAAGCAGAGAGAAGGCCTCTACTAGACACTGAACCTGCCAGCACCCTGATCTTGGTCTTTTCAGCCTCCAGAACTGTGAGAAATAAATGTCTGTTGTCTATAAATTATCCAGTCTAAGGTATTTTGTTAGAGCAGCAGGAATTATCACCTAACATAATGCCCACTCACACAGGGTTAGGTACACTATTGCTTTTCTGATATGAAAATTATCTTGTTGACTCAGTATCAGCAGGATGTGTCCATTGAGCTATTTTCCCAATAACAACGTGGAGTGTACATATAACTAGCATTTTCTCACTGAGTTCCCTTTGTGACCAGGAGTAAACCTTTGCCAGCTTGTTAAAAAGTTTTATAGCTGCAGTTTGGCTACCAATAAAAAATAAGCTAATTGTCTCATGGGATGCAAGAACTTGGGAGTTTGCCTCATTAGCACTGTGTTTCAGCCAACCTAGCTTCTCAAAATGATTCCCCTGGGCTAGTTTTCCAGTTAGCCTTGTGTATGATATCAACTTTTACTGTTACCTGAGAAGTATGTTATCTATGGATTAGTGTGCTTGGAGAGAGAACTGAAAAGGCAGAAGCCTATTTGAACCAGGATGCCACGTGGGGTGGAGGACTGGCTAGAGTCGTCCATGAGCTTCTGATTGCTGGTTAGTGGCCCTGTCACTTACCAGCTGTGTAACCTTGAGCAAGTCATTCACTAGCATCTCAGCTTTTCTCACAGGATAAACAATATTGTTAAAGTGAGGGGTCTTTAAATTCCCCTTCTCACCCTAATACTGTTTTACTCTTACCTCTGAAAGATGAAAATGAATTTGAAGATCTTTTGTTTGTTATTAAGAGGCACCATTTTCAAAGGCTAAGATGATAACTACATATTTAGAGGAAAAAATTTTAATAAATTTAGATTACACAGACTAGTGGAAACAAAATTAAAATCAACTAATTTCTCAAGAGTCACACTGAAGTGTACCTTTAAGCTGAAATGAACAGGCCGGGCGTGGTGCCTCATGCCTGTAATCACAGCACTTTGGGAGGCTGAGGTGGGTGGATTACTTGAGGTCAGAAGTTCAAGACCAGCCTGGCCAACATGGTGAAACCCTGTCTCTACTAAAAATACAAAAATTAGCCGAGTGTGGTGGCACACACCTGTAATCCCAGCTACTCGGGAGGCTGAGGCAGGAGAATCACTTGAACCCAGCAGTCAGCCAAGATCACGCCATTGCGCTCCAGCCTGGGTACAGAGCGAGACTCTGTCTCAAAAAAAACAAAACAAAACAAAACAAAAAGAAGTGAAATGGAATGACCCTACAAATAAATATAGCCAACTGATTTTTGACAAAAGCAAAAGTACAAGAGCAATTCAATGGAGAAAGGATATTCTTTTCAACAAATAGTGCTACAATGATTGTAATGTGCAGAAAGAAATGAAACTAGACATAAACTGTATTCATTTCACAAAAATTAATTGAAAATTGATCATAGGAAGTGAAACAGAACTTGCCACTCCTTAAGTGTGGGCTACACATAGTGACACATAGTACAGTATGGAAAGGCAGGAAAAATTGGTCACCTCATGGTAGAAAAACCTGACAAGTACTACCTCAGCCAGGTAATCAAGATCATCACAACAGTGATGTTGTGTTGATATGATACACACCTGATACAATTTGATGCAGATTGTGCTTTACCTCTGTGGTCTTCCTCTATAGAACCCCAGAATCCAGTCTAATCAGGAGAAAAAAAAATCAAACCAGTCACAACTGAGACATTCTACAAAATACCTGACCAATGTTTCTCAAAATTTTCAAGGTTATCAAAAACAAAGGAAGTCTAAGAAACTGTCGTAGCCAAAAGGAACCTAAGGAAACACAATGACAACATAAAATGTTACATCCTGAATAAAGTCCTGGAAAGAAAAAGGACATTTGATAAAAACTAAGGAAATGTGAACAAAAAAGGACTTTGGTTAATAGTGTGTCAATATTAGTTCATTAATTGTGTCATATATACCATAATAATGTAAAATGTTAAGGATGGGGGAACTGGGTGTGAGGTACACAGAACTCTCTGTACTATCACTGCAATGTTTCTGTAAAGCTGAAATTCTTCTAAAAATAAAGTTTATTTTTTAAATATCAGAATTTTTATGTATGTCCAGGTAAAATGTTCACACCAATACCTTTGTTTTGAATTTTTTTCTTTCCTTTTTCATAGTTAATGATATAGCTGTTGCTAGGTGATATAATCCCACCCTTTATTTGGTTCTCCAAGGATCCTTTGATTTTGAAAATAAGTCACCTCCATAAAATTACATATTTAAAGGTAAAATACCACCAACCGACACTAACGAATAAAGCAGCTCACTTTTTGTGTGCGAGCATTTCATCCAAAAAAACAGTAAAAGGCCATGCGCGGTGGCTCACGCCTGTAATCTCAACACTTTGGGAGGCCGAGGCGGGCAGATCACTTGAGGTCAGGAGTTTGAGACCAGCCTGGCCAACATGGTGAAACCCTGTCTCTACTGAAAATACAAAAAAATTAGCCAGGTGTAGTGGCAGACACCTGTAATCCCAGCTACTGTGGAGGCTGAGGCAGGAGAATCGCTTGAACCCGGGAGGTAGAGGTTGCAGTGAGCTGAGATTGTGCCACTGCACTCCAGTCTGGGTGACAGAGTGAGACTCCATCTCAAAAAACAAAAACAAACAAACAAACGGAAACAACAACAAAAAAAACCCCAACAAACCACCGTCTTAATAATAAGAAACAGACACACTTAGAAGCCTCCCTGGTTTGGAGATTATCTTACTCTATAAAATTAAATTATATACAGTGTGTTGAAATAGACAAAAGGCCCTAGCAGGCTGGAGCCTTTATTGAATTGTTCGTTTCTGCTAGGTTACACCTGAACTTACCGCCTATTGAAATTCTCTCCGGGAATGTGACCTGGTACATATTCTGCTACATGTGGTGTTTAGAAACTTGCATTCTGGTCCTAATTGACCCACCAACAAATATCAACAAATATGTAACAATGAGTCTCCACTTTTTTTGTGAACAAATATGGAATTGGATTGAGCTGACTTCTAAGGCTTCTTCCTGTTTTGTGATTGCAGACATGAGGGTAACATTACCACCAGCTGATATAATATGAATTTGTTTTTCAGATTAGCTGGTCTCACCTGGCACAAAGTAGAGTCCTGAGGTGAGAGGGTGTAGGATGGGTAGGAAGAGAAGGGCTGAAGTTTAATCAAGGAAAGAGAAGTCTTAGAAGAGGCCTGACTCCAAGTATTTGGAGGATGGTCATATGGGAAGAGTTAACAGACATGTTCTGGGACATTCCAGAGAACAAGCTTAGGGCCAACCCATAGGTAGGAATGACCCACATATGAACCAGCATAACTCATCTTTCAGGGACAGGGACATAACTCAGTCAAAGACACCCTACAGGAGAGTGGTTCACTGGATTGTGGTGACTTTTCATAGCAGGGGAAGCAGACTCCCACTCACCTGTTTTTTCTGTTTTTAAAATGCGTAAGTTCTTCCTTCTTTCATCTCTTTCCTTCAGCTCTTCCCTTCTTCCAGTAACCCCCATTCACTCCGAGTTTCTGATACCCAGCCCTGCAGGTGTTTTTAGTACAAATATTTTGTCTCTCAGGTGTTTGGGGCAGAGGAAAAAAGATAAGAAGCACTAATCTAGTTCACTTAAAAGCCCTGTGCAATGCTAAGAGTGACTACAACAGAAAGCGTCAGCTCTGTGTAACCCCATCCTTCACAGTCCTCATGTCCCCTGACAGCCTCTCTCTTTGCGGTCTCATCTTCATATCCCTGTGTAATATCTCCTTTCAGAGCACAAGCTATGGAGCTGGGTGTGGTGGATCATGCCTGTAATCCCAGCTACTCAGGAAGCTTATGCAGGAGGATTGCTTGGGCCCAGGAGTTTGAGGTGGGTCTGGGCAACATAGCAAGACCACATCTCAAAAACAACAACAACAGCAACAGCAAAAACCAACAAAACATTGCTTCATAACAAAGGTAGTTTCACCAGGCTTGGAATAAGCCCTTCTTGGTTTCTGGGACAACTCTTTTAAATGCTTAAGACTCTTCCTACACATTTTAACCCAGGTACATAGGAGATCTATGTAAGAAGTCTCCCTTAAATCTACAACATTTTTCGGTGGGGGAAGGCATGCTTTGCCACAGTGCAATATTGGAATCTAGAGGAGCTCATTTCTTCCTTCAGTGGGAAAGCCACAGGCACTAAGCAGATACACCAATGTTCCATCCCTTAAGTGATGTCTTCGTTGAAACCCACAATGCATTACTGACAGACATTCCTGGAACAATGGCTTTTTCTCTGAGACCATAGTTCTCTTCCAGATCATCAGAGGAAATGAAAAGAGCATAGACACATGCCTGGTGAGCAGGCTGCCTGAGAAGCCCTGCCATTTCCCATTTTTCCTAATAACTCAGAAAATAAGCAGTCAGCCAGGCCCGGTGGCTCACACCTGTAATCCTAGCACTTTTGGAAGCCGAGGCGGGAGGATCACTTGAAGTCCAGAGTTTGTGACCAGCCTGGCCAACATGGTGAAACCCCTTCTCTACTAAAAATACAGAAAAATTAGCTGAGCATAGTGGTGGCACCTATAATCCCAGCTACTCTGGAGGCTGAGGCAGGAGAATCGCTTGAACCCAGGAGGGAGAGGTTGCAATGAGCCGAGATCACGCCACTGCACTCCAGCCTGGGCAACAGAATGAGACTCCATCTCATAAAAAAAAAAAAAAAAAAAAAAAGCAGTCAACATAGAAAGTGGCTTCAAGAAGGAAGGACATATCTAAAACTTTTTTTTTCTTACTTCCCCCTGCTCAGAACAAACTTTGAGATCACCATCTCGCAATCTAACACTGACGAAAACACAGTCTTGTAGAACGTGAACGTCAAAACCACAGCACTTTTTTGTTTTTATAGGACAAGTTGAGTATCTGTTTCGTAGTTTATCAGTTTTATTGATCATGAGAACACATATAGCAACTGCCTGGCTTCTAAGTCACATAGTATTTTATTATCTTTCTTTTCTCAGACAAAGAAGATAACTCAAGTAGTAAAATATTGGGCTGAATGACTACCTAAATGATCTCTAAGTAGGTTTCACACTAGACTGATCAGCAGTTACCTGCATCTGACCAGCCACAGCAGCTGCTGGGTACTCATTTCTGTAGCAGGGCCATTTACCTGTTCACTGTTTAGTTCATTCAAGGGGCCCCTTTATCTGTCAGGAGGAAATTAGCCATAGAATCAAGTCCTGCCACATTAGTGCTTCCACTGTACCTAATACTGACCTCTGCTGTTGTTTTAACCACATTACATGGAAGCCATTTATTTACCTATCTGTCTTGACTACTAAGTTGTGAACTCTCTGAGAATTGAAAGTGTGTCTTATTCATCCACTCGGTTTCAATGATTGGTATAAATAACTGCTCAATATGCATTTACTGGATGAATGAACAAACCAACACGCAGCCATCAGACAGTGAGGCCTAGTGGTTAAGAAGATGTGCTCTGGTGGCAAACATCTGTTTTAAAATCCTGGTTCCCCAGTTTCCAACTGTGTGAGTGACACTGAACAATTTCTTAATCCATTTGCACCTCAGCCTGTTAAGGGGGGTTAATATTAGAACTTTTTTCACAGTACTGTTGAGTTAGTATATACGAAGCATGTAGAAAAATGCAAGCACACTAATGTTTAGTATATGTTCACTGTGGTTGCTATTGTTATGAATATGATCATTATTACTAGGCAAAAATAATACCCCTATTAAGAACACTAGAAGAATTTAATACGTGAGTTCACGGCTCTTTGCACCAGAGCCTCTGATAGTGAAAAGGCAAGCCAGATACTACCACACAGTGGAGAAAGATGTTTAAAATGTGCTTTGTCCTGGCTATGTAGTGGCTTATGCCCGTAATCCTAACACTTTGGGAGGCTGAGGCAGGCGGATCACTTGAGGCCGGGCATTCAAGACCAGCCTGGCCAACATGGCGAAACCCCATCTCTACTAAAAATACAAAAAGGTAGCCGGGTGTGGTCGTGGGCGCTTGTAATCCCAGCTACTCTGGAGGCTGAACCACAAGAATCACTTGAACCAACTGAGATCGCACCACTGCACTCCAGCATGGGCGACAAAGTGAGACTCTGTCTCAAAAAGACAAACAAACAAACGAAAGTGCTTTGTCCTCCATGAATAAAATTCAGCTAATACTGGGCAAGTATTCACTATGGGCCCCACGTCTGTTAGATCTTTTATTCATATGACCTTATTTCCGTTTCAAAGCAAGTATGGGAGAAAGAACTTTTGTTATTTTTCCCTTTTTGAGTTTTACTCTGCTGCCCAGGCTAGAGTACAATGGTGCGATCTTGGCTCACTGAAGCCTCTACCCACCGGGTACAAGTGATTCTCCTGCTTCAGCCTCCTGAGTAGCTGGAACTACAAGTGTGGGAATGTCCCAGCTAATTTTTGTATTTTTAGTAGAGAAGGGGTTTCGCCATGTTGGCCAGGCTGGTCTTGAACTCCTGACCTCAGATGATTCAACTGCCTCTGCCTCCCAAAGTGCTGAGATTACAGGCATGAGCCACCGCGCCTGACCATTTTTCTCATTTTTTAAAAGATGAGGAAAATGAGGCTCAGAAATGTTAAACAATTTCCTGAACATGATACACAGGTAGGTGAATCATCTGGCCCCAGAGCCCATCATCTTTCTGTTCCAAGTTGCCTCCAATGCAACAAACAGAGAGCAGAAGCATCACGGGAATGTTGTTAAATGTTCCCTGTGGCATTGCCCAATGAATGAGGATGAAGCCAGGCGTCCTCAGCCTTTGGTCCCAAGTACAGTAATCCCCAAAGAATGCTGGTTCTGAGGTCTCCCTCCAGCCCTGAATAAAGTCCCCTGGATGCATTTCTGGGAATTGAAGGATATAATTTCTTTAAAAAATATTTTAAGGCAAGTAGTTATTAAATATTATAGTCATAATTAAATAATTCATAATACCTCAAATTTCCCCTCGGGAGACCTCTGTCAAAACCATGCTATGCCCAGCTACAAAATTCTAATGATAAATTTCATATATTCTAACCCAGCTCATTTCCCAAAGAGGCACTAATATCTCTGGGGGGTTTTAAATCATGGCACTGCTGTCAAGTTGTAAGTATTATCATCTTCATTTTGTGGGTGAGGAAACTGAATTTTTAAGGATTTAAAAGACTTGGCTAAGGTCATACAGCTAATGAGGAGCAGAGAAGGGTTGGAATCCAGATTTTCAGCTTCTACACTGCCACTCTGGCAGTCAAACCCTGAGCCATTTACTGTGGAAAAGCTTTGTGACAAGCACTGCACTAAGGGCCAGAAATGGAAAAGTGAGTAAGACATAGTTCCCAATCTTGTGGGGAGATACACTCATAACTAACACAATAAAATGTAAACATGGTGATAGACCATATCTATAAAATGCCACTGGGGCACATGAAATTCTTTAAAAAGCATGTAACAATTGAACTGGGTGTTGGAGAGTGAGTAAGAGTTTGCCCAGGAGGGGAAGTGCAGTCTAAGCAGAAGGCGATTCTTGTGCATGGAGTATGCAGGAAACATGCGGGAGTGGCCCCTTGATTCTTGCTGCATTTTGAAAGGCGAGACCTTTTAAATAGTCTGATTTATGATACAACAGTAATAAACCAGACAAGAGTACCTTTTTTTTTTTTTAAACTTTGAGTTCCAGGATACATGTACAGAACGTACAGGTTTGTTACATAGGTATACATGTGCTGTGGTGGTTACTTGTACCTATCAACTCATCATCTAGGTTTTAAGTCACACATGCATTAGGCATTTGCCCTAATGCTCTCCCTCCCCTTGGCCCCCACTCCCTGACAGGCCCTGGCATGGGTTGTTCCTCTCCCTATGTCCATGTATTCTCTTTTTTTTTTTTTTTTTTTTTTGAGACAGAGTCTCGCTCTGTCGCCCAGGCTGGAGTGCAGTGGTGCGATCTCGGCTCACTGCAAGCTCCACCTCCCGGATTCACACCATTCTCCTGCTTCAGCCTCCCGAGTAGCTGGAACTACAGGTGCCCACCACCACACCCGGCTAATTTTTTGCATTTTTTTTTTTTTTTATTTTTAGTAGAGACAGGGTTTCGCTCTGTTAGCCAGGATGGTCTCGATCTGACCTTGTGATCTGCCCGACTTGGCCTCCCAAAGTGCTGAGATTACAGGTGTGAGCCACCACGCCCAACCTGTGTCCATGTATTCTCATTGTTCAGCTCCCACTTACCAGTGAGAACATGCAGTGTTTGGTTTTCAGTTCCTGTGTTAGTTTGCTGAGGATGATGGCTTCCAGCTCCATCCATGTTCCTGCAAAGGACATGATCTCATTCCTTTTTAATGGCTGCATAGTATTCCATGGTGCATATGTGCCACATTTTCATTATCCAGTCTATCATTGATGGGCATTTGGGTTGGTTCCATGTCTTTGCTATTGTAAATAGTGCTGCAATAAACATACATGTGCATGTATCTTTATAGTAGAATGATTTATATTCCTTTGGGTATATACCGAGTAATGGGATTGCTGAGTCAAATGGTATTTCTGGTTCTAGATCCTTGAGGAATCACCACACTGTCTTCCACAATGGTTGAACTAATTTACATTCCCACCAACAGTGTAAAAATGTTCCTATTTCTCCACAGCCTCACCAGCATCTATTGTTTCTTGACTTTTTAATAATCCCCATTTTGACTGGCATGAGATGGTATCTTAGTGTGGTTTTGATTTGCATTTCTCTAATTATCAGTAATGTAGACCTTTTTTTCATATGTTTGTTGGCCGCATAAATGTCTTCTTTTGAGAAGTGTCTGTTCATATACTTTGCCCACTTTTTGATGGGTTTGTTTGTTTTTTTCTTGTGAATTTGTTTAAGTTCCTTGCAGATTCTGGATATTAGACCTTTGTCAGACAGGTAGATTGCAAAAATTTTCTCCCATTCTGTAGGTTGCCTGTTCACTCTGATAATGGTTTCTTTTGCAGTGCAGAAGCTCTTTAGTTTAATTATACCCCATTTGTCAATTTTAGCTTTTGTTGCAATTGCTTTTGGTGTTTTTGTCATGAAGTTGTTGCCCATGCCTATGTCCTGAATGATATTGCCTAGGTTTTCTTCTAGGGTTTTTATCGTTTTGGGTTTTACACATAAATCTTTAATTCATCTTGAGTTAATTTTTTTATAAGGTGTAAGGAAGGGGTCCAGTTCCAGTTTTCTGCATATGGCTAGCCAGTTTTCTCAGAACCATTTATTAGATAGGGAATCCTTTCCCCATTCCTTGTTTTTGTCAGGTTTGTTGAAGATCAGATGGTTGTAGATGTGTGGTGTTATTTCTGAGGTCTCTGTTCTGTTCCATTGGTCTATATGGCAAGAGGACCCTTTAAACTTTATAAGTTTACATATACAATGTGTGTGTATGTCAACATACATTTGCATGAAGTGTGTAGGAAACATGGGGGGAGTGGCCCCTTTATTCTTGTTATATGTGGATATATGTATACCCACAGTATATATCTGTATATATTAGTATATACACAGTATATATATATGAATATATGTATATATACACACGTAGTATATATATGGCATTTCATTGAGATGTCTTAAGACTGACAAATTTTAGGACTATTATCTTGGCTTTTCTCTTTAATCTATCTCAGTGTTTCTTGATTAGGGCCAATTTTTAAATGTCTCTGAACATTTTTGGTTGTCACAACTGGGGACGGGATGGGGAAAGGTGTTACCGGCATCCTACAATGCACAGGACAGCTCCGGCAAGAAAAAAATTATCCAGTCCAAATAGTCAATTATGCTGAGGCTGAGAAACCCTGCTTATCTGCTTAGGAAGCCAGGCTCCTCCATCAAACTATCACCAAAGCCCAGAGAAAGGGTGCCGGAACCAAACCAAAGGCACAGGCATTTCAATTTCAGAGGAATTAGCACTGAGGCTGACGACCTTGTTCTTGCTTCACAACCTGACAGAAGCCTGCTCTGTGTTATCTAGGTAAAGAGACACCACAGAGATTACATAAAAAGCAGGCGGCTCAGGGGCCTAAGAACGGATGGTATCCATTAAAAATCAATTCACTAATAGTTTACCTAATAAACAGAACCACCAGGCTAAGTTTTAAAGGCCCTTCCTGCTTCTGCAGAGTGAAACAAGGGCAAACAGTTAATATATTTTTCTGTGTGCTTCTGTCTTTATTCTGTTTACTTAATAGCAATAACAACAACCATTGCCATTGCTGAGCACTCACTAGATATCAAGCACCATGCTAACTGCTTTCCGTGAATTATATCATGGAACCTTCCCCATTATGATATTATTTCCAGGGCGTATATTTTCCCCTGCTGGAGACTCATCCTTATTATGAGAGAAAACACTGAAGCGGTTCCACAAAAGAAGCAGTTACACCACTTACGAAACAACGCATGGTTATCAAAACCAGAGAAAATGTAGCCATCAAACAAGCAGATTTCACTAAGCACTAAGGTCCTCCATCTGTCAGGTTTGGTGCTATTTTCTAAGAAGGTCTTACCCTCAAGAAGGATAATAATAATATTATTTTGTAATAAAAAATAAAAAATAAAACTTAGCTTCTATTTTTTACTAACATAGATACCCATATATGGATAGCTTTAGATCCCCTGTCTCCCTTACTGATTGTATATTATATTCCAGACAAGAAAAGTATTATCCTTTAAACAAAGCTACTATGTTTCAGAACTTGGCTTAACCTGGTCTCAGTGCCAGGGTTCAGGCCAATTAACTAGAGGGCCAGGTGGGAGTCTACTTGTGGGAGCTGCCTTGTTTAAGAACTTAGATTTGGATGGAAAGAGACCAGAGTGGGAAGAACTACTGAGGACTGCATGATGCCTGTTCTCAAGCTCCGCTTTGCAAGTGATTTTCCAGTGCTTTTGTCCTTGACTCCAATAAGACTTGTTTTTCTTGCCCCCAGGAAAAGTTTCACAAAACACTATTTACACTTTCTCTGTGTGACCCACTCGTATTTTCTGTTCTGATTCTATTTTATTCCATTAAATTTTCTCTAATGCTAGTGTTGAATTAGTGGGTGACCGTATGTGCTGGTTTGCCCAGCACAGTCCTAGTTGATGCTGTTATCCCCTACAATTATTAATGACTCTCCCTTTCAGCTGTTAAATTGATTTCATAATGCATTGCTCAGGTTTGGAAAAATCCTGCTGTGGAAAAAGAAGCTTCAAGCAGCAGGTGAAAAAACTGTTTTCACAAGGAGGGAAGAGGCCCAGGACCCTGTAGAGCTGCCTCAGGGCCAAAGAAACAGCGCTGTGAGGGATTCACATTTTCTGAATCACAGTCTGTGCCTTTGTCAGGGTACTCAGGCAGCTGTGAGATGTCACCCCCAAGTGGTTTCTCAGGGGGTCATGGAGCAGGGTCCCTTTTCTCCCATAGACCACAGACGTGAAAGAGAAGGATCTATGTTTCAATCCATTGACTCACCGAGACGCGTGGAGCTTGCTAAGGAATTTGGGATTCCTATACTGCAGTATGCAGGTTACAGCAGTAACCTAGGAACATCGAATTATTTCTGACAATGTTTAAACTCACGGTTTAAAGAAATTAATTACAATTAATTTTCATAAATATCTGTGTGACCAGGCCAGCCGAGATAGCTCACACCTGTAATCCCAGCACTTTGGTGAGCTGAAGTGGGCTGATCACTTGTGGTCACAAGTTCAAGACCAGCCTGGCCAAAATGGTGAAACTCCGTCTCTACTAAAAATACAAAAATTAGCCAGGCATGGTGGCACATGCCTATGTTTGCAGCTACTCAAGAGGCTGAGGCAGGAGGATCACTTGAACCCGGGAGCTGGAGGTTGCAGTGAGCCAAGATTGTGCCGCTGCACTCCAGTCTGGGCCACACAGCGAGACTCTGTCTCAAGAAAATAAAATAAATCTGTGTAACCAAAATATGCTAGAAATAAATGATAGTTACTTAACAATGTTGCTTATTCATAGTGAGATTTTCAAAAGTAAAAAAACAAAAATTTTTGTTTTCTTTAAAAAGAAATTTGCTCAGAGGTACAAAATTTTTAGTAGCTTTTCCGTGAATAACATTTAAATTTGAAATGAACAGATTAAACATTTTAAAAACATTTTTCTTATAGAAAAGGAAAATTTTAATTACTTTAAACTGCTTTGGATATTCATTTACTTAAATCCTTTTCCATATTTCTCCGATCTTAAAATATGTTTGAGATGAGCAAAATCACATAGAATTTGTTAAAGATACTGCAATTCAGGAGGAAGTATTTGAAAAGAGGACTGACCCATATTCTCTTCAAATATTTTATTCTTACTTTTTTTTAAAACCAAGAAGGGTAGTTTTTTGCTACATTTTAAAAAAATGATTGCTATGATTTGAGTGTCCCCTCCAAAACTCATGTTGAAACTTAATCCCCAAAGTGGCAGTATTGAAAGTTGGGGCCATTAAGAGGTGATTGAATCATAAGGGCTCTGCCCTCATGAATGAATTATTAATCCATTGATAGGTTAATGGATTATCAGGGATGGGGAACTAGTGGCTTTATAAGAAGAGGAAAGACCTGAGTTAGCATGTTAGCATGCTCAGCCCCCTCACCATGTGATGCCCCGTGCTGCCTCAAGACTCTGCAGAGAGTCCCCACCAGCAAGAAGGCCCTCACCAGATGCAGCCCCTCAACCTTGGACTTCTCAGCCTCCAGAACTTCAAGAAATAAATTTCCTTCTTTATAAATTACCCAACTTCAAGAAATAAATTTCCTTCTTTATAAATTACCCAGCTTCAAGTATTCTAAGCAACAGGAAACAGACTAGTGCAATGATTTTCACATTTCTACTTGAAGTGACTAATAGCAACATATTTCAATGTTTTTGTCTTTCAAAAATAATTATGTTTTATAATTCCTAGTGACACTTCCCTCTCTTCAAGTCTCATTTAAGAAAACTGAAAAGTATTCAGGTTCTCAAAGTCAATTGGTAATAAATGGAATTTGCAGGGTTTTTTTCTTTGCTGCTGCCTCTGAGCATGGCTTCAGCAGTGCCACATCATGAATCCAGCAATGTATAGCAATGTATATTCACACATTCTTCTCATGTACTGTGCTAGGCTGTGGAGCTTAAGGCAACAGACAGCTTCTCGCTTTTTTTAGCTTTCCAGGCAAGAGCCCAAAACAACTTGTTAAAATAGGTGTTTTAAGAAAGTTAGAAATGAAAGAACTATAACCATGATAGAATGCTTTGAAATGTATTCTATCCCAGTAGTCCCTCCTCTAGAATACCAGACTGTCCTTGCAAATGATAAGCTGGAACTTTATTGTCCAAATTCAGGGGGCTGCAAGGGTGAGTGTTCTCTAATACTCCACTGGCATCAGCTTAAATGTTGATGAATGTGGATCTGATTCAAACAGCCCAGGGAAGCAACTCTTGTAAAAATTTCTAAGACCTTATGCCGGGCTACCTCATTCCTTCTGTGTCTCTTCTTTAAGCACTTCTTTCACTTGGCTTCCAGGATAGCTCTCTGGCCTGCTTTATTCCCACCTCTCTGACCTCCTGCCTCACCTCTTTTGCTGGGTCCTCTCCATTTGCTCACACTCTGAACGTTGCAGTGCATTAGGGTTAGTCCTTGGCATCTTTTTTCCCCTTCCCATACTCACTTTTTAGGTTATCTCATTTATTCTCACCACCCTCACTTGCTAAGCAGTCTCATTCATTCTCATGGCTTCAAATGCCATCTATATGTTAATGACTCCCAAATGTAGAATTCTGAACTCAAGCTTAATGCTTCCACAACTGAGTTTCTATTATTGCTTCCACCCCCAGTCTGCTCCTTTTATTGTCTTCTCCATCTCAATTGATGGCAACCTCAACTTCCCAGTGGCTCAGGCCAGAAACCTTGGAGTCATCTTTGACACCTCTCTTCCTTTCACATTCTGCATCAGCAAATGTGATTGTCTCTGCCTCAAAATGTAGCTGAGGGTAGGGTATGGTGGCTCACGCCTGTAATCCCAGCACTTTGGGAGGCCGAGGCGGGCAGATCACTTGAGGTTAGGAGTTTGAGACAAGCCTGGCCAACATGGTGAAACTCTATCTCTACTACAAATACAAAAATTAGCCGGGCATGGAGGTGGGCACTTGTGGTTTCAGCTACTTGCAAGGCTGAGGCAGGAGAGTCACTTGAACCCAGAAGGCAGAGGTTGTAGTCAGCTGAGATCATGCACTGCACTCCAGCCTGGGTAACAGAGCAAGACTCCATATTAAAAGAAAAAAAATCTAACCAGAATTTGACTTACCCAGTACTGCCACATTATACAATTCCAAGAGGCCCCTCTGACATTAAACATATAGTAAGTGATACCTCTGGAAGCTCTGGATTTGTGAGTCTCACCACCTCCACTATCACCATCTTAGTTCAACCATCATCATCTCTTGCCTCATTGTGCAACAGCCTCACAACTTGTATATTAACTTCCTCCTTCCCTATTCAGTGTATCCTCAACATAATGCCATCAAGATTCTGTTAAAGCACAAGTCCTATCATATCACTTCTCTCCTCAAAACTTCCCAATGGATTCTCAATTCAGAGTAAAAGCAAACATTTTACAGTGACCTCTAAGACCCTACTTGATATGGTTGTCTGTCACCAACCTGATCTCATCTTCTACGAGTACTCTGCCCTTCCCTCACTCCATCCTTGGCGTACTGAACACTTCGCTATTCATCAAACATGCCAGGAACCGCAGGGTCTTTGCAGTTTCTGTTCACGTTGCCTGGAATGATCTTACCCCAGATTTCTCTCTCTTTGTTAGGTCTTTATTCTAATGTCACCTTCTGAATGAGGCCAGCCCTGGCCACCCTATCTAAAATTTTAGTCATTCTCCCCTGTACTTCCTATGCTCTTCCCTGCTTTATATGTTCTCATTAGCACATTTCACTACCTAAAGCAGTGGGAAGATACAGCATCATCCTCCAGAATGCAGTAAACACTCTCCACCTAATGAATTTGATATGGTGCTGTGTCCCCAGTAGGCAGAATACACAGGTCCTGGAATCAAGGGGTGGAAGGAGAAATGACCCTGTTTATGCTCATTCCCAGTGATCCACTTGCAGAATTTGTGGATATGCCCATGATACTGTGATGTCATTAAATAGCTAAGACGTGCTTTTACAAAAGAAGTTTAGATTTGATTTTGCGAAGCATTTTCACCCGTTAAAATCACAAGTGACCTGTATGGAGGTGGATTTGTTCATAATCACATTGGATATTGTCTCTGGACAGTTCTTTCCAATCCCAATACTCCCACCTGGTGGCCATAAAAGCTTAGATGCTGAATAAAGAGTTCAGATCAGGCTGATAGTGTGTTCCCCAAATTCAGGCTGCAGAGTCCTCTGGTCACAAGCCCTTAACCTTGGATTCAAGGGCCCAAGGCTGGGGGCTAATAGGCAACACCATGGGCTGTGGGTGCAAAGTGTGAAAAGAAAGGGAGTTGTAGGGAAAATGATGCCGGCATAATAGCACCTTCCTCAGAGCTGTGGTCAGGCTTCAGTGAGCTAAATTCACATCAACATAGGGCCTGCCATGTGGTAGACATCTAATATAATTACACACTTTTATTATCATTAATCCAAGATGAATGGGCGTGCCAGTGGACACAATCAAAAGACTACCCAAGAACCTGTTTTTAAGGAGAATTGTGATGTTTGAGCACAGATCTGAGAGGTGAGATGAATATCCAAAGGCAGATTCCCTCTTCTAGTACAGATGTTTCACGTAAGAAAATAAACAGGCTGGGTGTGGTGGTGCACGCCTATAATCCCAGCACTTTGGGAGGCTGAGGCAGGTGGATCATGAGGTCAGGAGATCAAGACCATGCTGGCTTACATGGTGAAACCCCATCTCTACTAAAAATACAAAAAATTAGCTAGATGTGGTGGCACACATCTGTAGTAGTCCCAGCTACTTGGGAGGCTGAGGCAGGAGAATCGCTTGAACCCGGGAGGTGGAGGCTGCAGTGAGCCGAGATCGCGCCACTGCACTCCAACCTGGGCAACAGAGCGAGACTCGTCTCAAAAAAAAAAAAAAAAAAAAGGAAAAAAAAAATCAGTGAGGCTATGAAGTTAATGCAATTTAACAAATATGGAGAGCAGCTCAGATCTTGTTATACGTCATAAAATTCCTACAAGAGAAAGAATCCAGTTTGGATTATAGCTTTGAAAAAAATGTATCATAATTCAGAGACTCTCTACACAGAAGAAAACGTGTAAGTATAATGAATGTGAAAAACATTTCAATTCCGTCTCACCCTTTACTGTCCATCACAGAACACACGCTGGAGAAGGCAGATGTGCGGTGACCCCAGAAACATCCTCGCCAGGGCTCTGCTTTGCCTCATGTCAGCAGCCTTGCTGGGCAGAAACCTCACACACATAATGAATGTGGAACCCTCCAGGCCCCATGAACATCAGAGGGCTCGCGCTGGAAATATTTAGATCCTGGCATTGCTTCTCTCTCCTCTCAACTACTCAGATGCTCGTTATCTCTGTGTTCATAGATTTTTGGCTCTTGATTATGTTTTAGTTAGGTCAAAAAGTCTGCTGACATTGATCAAATCCTACTACTACTACTAACTTTTAATGGTTCATCTGAGCCTACTGAATATAGTCAGAACTCTCCAAAATGTCTCTGTGTGCATTCTGAAATTCTGAGCAGGAGGCTGAAGGACCTCAGGGCATGGGGTGTGTTTTCATCTTTCATTCCAAGAGAAGTCTGTGACTTTGCAAGATTAAAGAGGATGTGAGAAGTAACCAGCCGGCTTTCTTTATGGATAGGGGTGAATTTGGATTTCTGGAACAGTGGACTCTTGTGGAGGCTGGACTATTTTTGCATAAGCTGGAAAGAATACATTCGGCAGAAAAGTGCCAACCTGACATTTGCAGGGAAGGAAAAAATGCCCAGATACAACTGTACACATATGAAGAATACCAGGAATCACATGGGAAGAACAATAGCATAGGAGCAGACTAATAAGTCTTGGCAGAAACAAGGAAGTGGATTAGGAACAATACCATGACTTCAGATATCTATATAGATTATCAAAGTAAAGGTTAATTCATAATACATCTAATGAATTTAAAATTTTAGCAAAAGGAGAGGAATACTGTGTCAAACAAAAGAAGATATTGTGAAATGGGACAAAAAAGTAAGAATGCAGTGATGAAGACTACTTTACCTAGCAGAAACACTAGGTAACATGATCAGTAACTATACATCACATATGGTCACATATGTTCAAGGTGTTTCTCAAGTATTATTATCTGCCTTTTCAGATGGGGAAACTGAGGCACAGAGAGGCAGTCACGTGATCAATCTAGGATTTAAATGCAACAGCCTGGCTCCAGTATCTAAGCACTGCCTCTCTAATAGAGTAGAGCTAGCCAACAGAGAGTGAGAGAAATTCATATACTAGAGAATGGAATCAATCATTGTGAGATCATTTCAGTTGCAAATAAAATGAGAGAAAAAAAGTGAAATTCATGTAAGACAGGCATCCTGGGCAGGCATTAGATAAAATAATGCAGTTTAATTCAGAGAAATAGCTGGCACAGAGACAAAATGTAGTACTGATTGATTATTTCAGCTGTTAGAAAATCTGTTGTCCAAATGTCCTCCCTTCCTCTGTGTGGGTTCTGAGAAGCCACAGCTGGTGAAGGCAGTTTTGCGTCAAAGCTGCAAGGAATGTGGAGGAATCATGGAGAACAGGGTGAGAACCACAAGTTTAGGGGCTGGCTGGCAAATGGTCCTCTTTTCAAAAAGCAGACAGAGTGGGCTGGGGTGAGGAGAGGAGTCTGGAAATTATGAAAGAACAAGTTTAATGTCAATCCATATCAAAATTCTATGTTTAAAAATAGAGTCTGTGAGCATTTAGAAGTGCAGCCATCTGAAAACCACTAAGTCGTACTTTGTATTTTGTAGGAGTGGAGATCAAATTCCAAATGTAGGCCAATCATTTCCAGTTTCTTCACAGTAGATAAGACTGGCTAAAATCTACTGTGCCCACCAGGTTAGAAAGTACACCAGCTATCTCAGCATGGCTGTTTGTGTTGGCAATAAGGAATCTGGAATCAGTGACTTGCTGTCACTGACCAGACACCCAGTGAGCCCAGAGTAAAATTCTGATTTACAGCCTATTTCTATTCATCACCATGTTGGCCTAGACCGTATGACAAGGCTTCTAACTCACTTTTTTTGCCTAGCTCTCTAATTCCAGTTTGTCCTAGAGGCTTATCCTTTGCTCTAGTCCACTAGGTTCAGCTTCCTTTAGTCCTGGCCTCTGACCCAATGTAAATGGACTGATTATCCAGATGTACAATGCTACCCACTGCCTGGATACCTACTCTCAGGCTTCACCACATAAGTCTGCCTAAAATGTACACTAATTCAACACCTGTCTTTGAACACTGCATATGGTGGAGGCAGTCCGACTCAGACTTCCAGGGCCCCATCTTCATAAGGGTTCACAGCTTTCTCTGTCTCCCTGCAAGGCATCATCCATTGCCTTCCTGCAATATAAACTGATTCTCTTGGGCCGTAATAAGAAATGCCATAAGCATAGTAAAAAGTAGTTTTCCCCTGGTATCTGACAAAACTTCGTGATTTTCTATTGACAAGATGGGGAGATGTGGTGTGGATGATAGAACAGTTAGGTGGATTGATATCTAGCTGAAAACTAAACTCGAAGTGTCTTGAGAAATGAATCCACGTCAAACAGCCTAGAAGGAAGTATGGGCATGTTCTAAGCCTATATCTGACCCAAACTTAAACAATGATTTTGCCAGAAACCAGATAAAGACATAAAAGGCAAAAAAGTTAGCCAAGTTTCCTACGACAACAGCCTAAGAGAGTTAATATGTGGGATAACTGTATGAAGAAATTTTTATCATTTCCTTATTTGTCAACTATATGTCAATAAAGCAAAAAAATAATAAGTAAGGTTAGAAATCTAAGATTTTAACATCTCTTTACAAGTTGGAAAGTTGAGGTTTAATTAAAATCAACCAACCAACAACAAAAATAAAAACACCCTGACTATAAAAAAAAAAAAAAAGAAAAGAAAAAAGGAAAATACAAGCTGGGCCCAGAGCATCTTGTAAGAAAGTAAAGAGTGCTCACAAAAAGAAAGGGTGGAATACATAAAAGAAATGCAGGAGCCAACCCCAAAGAGCTCACCGCCCGCATACAAACAACCATCATCTTTCCCCTGGATTGTGGCTGGGGCCTCCAAACAACCATCATCTTTCTCCTGGATTGTGGGTGGGGCCTCCTAAACCGGTTTCCCTGGCTCTATTCTTGCCCTTTCAAGTCACTTCTCAACATAGCAGAGTGACCTAACCCATTATTCCTTCACTTGAAAGCACTAACCCATCATTCCTCCTCTTGAAACTGTCCAATGGCTCCCCATCACACTCAGAATAAAGCCCAACGTTTGTACCATGGTCCACAAGGCCCTCCACTTGCTGCTGCTTTCTCCCTCAGCACCCCTTCAGGCGCCAGCCCCTGCTGGCTCCCTCCACAGTGGCCGGCCTGCTGCACCTCCATTATGTCAGGCAAGCTCCTGCCTTAGAGCCTTCGCATTCCCTATTCCCTCTGCCTAGAAGGGCTTCCCCCAGATGCCCACAGTGCCGGCTCCTGTGCCTCCTTCAATCCCTCACTCAACTCTCATCTCACGGCGGCCTACCCTGACCACCTATTTGACTACAGCTTTTCAAGGGCCCCTTACGCTGCTCGACTTTCTCCTTTTTCATAGCAGTGTCTCCTTCTAATGGCACAAGATAATTTGCTAATTATGTTTTATGTTTCTTTTCTGTCTCCCTGCTCTAGACTGTAAGTTCCTAAAGGCAGGAATCATCTATTTTTTTCAGCCATGTACCCGATAACCCAGAACAGTACCTGACACTTTGTAGGTACTCAATGTACCTACAATATTTGCTGAATAAATTAATGGTTTAGCTGTTAATTAATTAGTCATTAATTAGCTAAAGAGACGTCCCTTTAGGTTGCTTCTATTCCTTTGCTTTTAACATCGATATCCTTATACATGTCTCTAGTGTGTATGTATGTTTCTCTATAAAGATAGGAAAAGGTGGAATTACTGATTACGTGCAGTTTAAATGTCAATAGATACTGCCAAATTGCCCTTCAATGTATCCATTCAGATTCACATTCCTACCATAGTGTGTGAGGACTTGTTTACCCGAGCCAACAGCATCACTTTTTAAGTGGAATATAATCTAACTGGAGGGCTGCCAGAGGGAGCAAACAGAACGGTAGAGTCTGGCACTCTCTAAAAGAAACTTCGTCTGTTTAACCTAGAGAAGAGAAAATTCTGAAGAGCTCTCGTGAAAGAAGAATTCTAATTATTCTTTGACATCCTAGTGCTGTAAAATCCTGCCTTCCCAGACCTACCCACAGGGCAACTTGACTCGTACTTGTTTCTGAATTCCATGACCTTCCCTGTTCCTAACGATGCTAATGAATTCAATTATTTGTGTATTGACCAAGGGGCAAAATACCAGATAAATTCTCTGTCTTTTTTGATATCATGTTTGCTAAGGAGCTGACTTCATATCATAAAGTAGTTGTTGTAACAATGTAACAATTTCGTCTCACTTTTTGTTGTTTGAATCCCAATATTAAGATGACATATACTAGATAAAAATGTTCTAATTGCCAATTAGCTTGTTCAATCTCATCAATAACTTTAAACTACAAGAATAAAATTTTTTAATCTATCAGATTGGAAAATATAAAAAAGGTCATGTACTGTTACGTAGAGTATAAATGATTACAACTCTGGAAATCAATCTAACAATGACAGAAATATAAAATGTGCACATGCTTTAAGTCAAAAATTCTATTTTTAGGAGTTATCCTAAGGAAAGAATTATGGACGTGGACAAGGACTTAGCTAATAAGGGCTTCCAAATTCATTCATTTATACTAATGAAAAAATTTAAATAAAATATCCATCTATACAAGGTTTGTTATGCAAATTATGTTACTAAGTTTAATGGAATACATGCAGCCATTAAAATTTTGAAGTAGGTCTGTGTGCTGGGTATTTCCCCACTGACCCTCCAGATCTATCTTTCACCCTTTTCCACCCTACCTTGTGTCCTAGGAGGGGTATCAATGGGCTCCCTCATCCTCTGGTTTTGTCTGGGTTTGACCACTGGGAAGCAATGGTAGAAAATGAATCGTTGGAAGGAATGAGGGGTCTGAGTATTCCTTCCCTTTCTTCCCTCCCTGTTGAGTCACCAAGCGCTGGCTGTGTTTTCCAAAGACCCTGGTTCCTGTCAAGCGGATATTTCCCACCACTACTCTCCTGGGTCCTGGCAACTGCCCCTCCTTTCACCTCTCTAGACCCAGGGCTGGTAATAGCTCCAGCTCCCCACTGTGGCTGTCCCTGAGGTGCTTGCCCAGTCTCTGCTGGTTCCCTAAACCCTGTCCACAGTCCTATAATGCAGCTTTAATTTCTGCCATCCAGTATTGAAAGTTCAACAAATGGAGAGGAGAAACATACCACATTTTTGGTTCTGCATTTTCATCCTATTTTGATGTACAAAATTGTACATCAAAACATAGATTGTGTAAGGGACACAAAAAAATTAGTTATACACAACATTTAAAATGCACAGAAAGTTGAAGTTTTCTGTATTAGCTATTGTATCTTGCTTTGAGAATGTTATTTAAAAAGAAAGCAGATCAAGCTAAGAAGCAAAGAATAAAGAGTAATCCATTACAAAACACTATTATAACCAAATAGGAAAGTGTCCTGAAGTGTTAGAGTGATAGTAAAGACCCACAGACAACCATGGACTTAAATTAAGCAGTAAAAATCCCATTGAGAGAAGAAATACCAGCTACCTAATCAATCACATGATTACTTTCTCTAATAGACTTAAAAAATAAAATATATATGGTAATCAGCCCTAATTTTAAAACTTCAGGAAGACTTTTAAATAATAAGAATAGCACTTTTTTCAATATTAACACATTTATTATACATTATGTTTCAATACAAATTTTCTAAATATGATAATGTATCATATTATCAAGGTTAACTTTTAAACATTAATTATTTAGATTATAGATGGGATAAGAACAATCTGCAAGCAGCATTGGGATTTATTTTCACAGGTAATAGGAGTTTCCTCCAGCTACAAGGCAGAAGTTATCTTCCAAATCTGTTTTATAAAATGCAGATCAAAGCCAATGAGTGGGTCCTGAAATCAATTTAGTGGATAGAGTGAGAGGGGGCAAGTAGTATTTTTTAATGACATAAAATGACTAGAATAGAATTAGAATAAAACAGAAAGTATCAGAGTGCCTTTCACTTAAGTGTACCGTATAATGAAACTTGTATTTCATTTATTTTCATGTGCACTGGGTCACAAGGCAAAATGCATTTCTTACTGGGTCTTGGTCAAAACCTTTTGAAAGCCTCTGTTCTAGTCTGTGCTAACCTCTAACAATTTCACTGCTTTCAGCCAAGGTTACAGTACAACTAATAAAAGCAGCAGACAGAAGTAAAGGTGAAGATCAAAACAGAACAAATTTATAGCAAATGTGTTAGGGTAGAGAACATTTTAATGTTATTATCCTAAAAGGAATCTTTAGACTGATAAAAGCTATGGTATTTAACTGTCATGGCTATAATGGCCTTAGCTATAACTTCTGAATCTCAGTGGGAATGGTAGGGGAATAACTGTATTGCACAACTGGTAACTTACCTTTTCTGATATTTCTCCAAGAGAGGCTGTTCATTAAATTACTTTAAATAAATATCTGGTGTGATTGCAGACAACATGATTCAAATTAAAAAGTAAGGCAGATAAAAACTGTCACACATTATTGAGAAAAGCAATTACAAAAAACAGCACTAGAATAGGTTCCAAATTATGACTCGAAAAATAATAAAAATATGTTATATATATGAAAAAGATAGGAAAATCAATTAAGGGCATAGGATTATGGAATATCTTTAATAAGTGTCTGAATACTTATACTGAGTACACATTACTTTTATATTCAGAAAAAGAAATAAGGATATATTTGCAATATTCTTCAAAAAAGAAAGCAAAAAGTCACGTGGAAAGCTCTCCATCTCAAGAATTCTTGGGACCCAGGTTTTCCAGAGTCAAGCAAATCCTGCCTTTGAGCATTACAACTGGACCAGGGTGGTGAGGCCTCTTCCCCTGAAGGCATGTCAGATATCCAAATATTAGGTTCAAAAACAATTTCACAGGCCAGGCCCTGTGGCTCATGCCTGTAATTCCAGCGCTTTGCAGGGCCAAGGCGGGAGGATCACTTGAGGTCAGGAGTTTGAGACCAGCCTGGCCAACATGGTGAAACCCTGTCTCTACAAAAAATACAGAAATTAGCCGGGTGTGGTGGCACGCGCATGTAGTCCCAGCTTCTTGGGAGGCTGAGGCAGGAGAATCGCTGGAACCCAGGAGGTGGAGGTTGCAGTGAGCCGAGATCCCACCGCTGCACTCCGGCCTGGGTGACAGAGTGAGACTCTGGCATTAAAAAAAAAAAGAAAAAAAATTCACAAGTGGTTTTCCTAAATTTTATTTTATTTATTTATTTTTTTAAATGTCCCACAAATATTTTATTATCATTATCATTATTATTATTATTATACTTTAAGTTCTAGGGTACATGTGCACAACGTGCAGATTTGTTACATAGGTATACATGTACTATGTTGGTTTGCTGCACCCATCAACTCGTCATTTACATTAGGTATTTTTCCTAATGCTATCCTTCCCCAAGGCCCCAGTGTGTGATGTTCCCCACCCTGTGTCCATGTGTTCTCATTGTTCAACTCCCACTTATGAGTGAGAACATGTGATGTTTGGTTTTCTGTCCTTGTGATAGTTTGCTGAAAATGATGGTTTCCAGCTTCATCCGTGTCCCTGCAAAGGACATGTACTCATCCTTTTTTATGGCTGCATAGTATTCAATGGTATATATGTGCCACATTTTCTTTTTTTTTTTTAATTATACTTTAAGTTCTAGGATACATGTGCACAACGTGCAGATTTGTTACATATGTATACATGTGCCATGTTGGTGTGCTGCACCCAGTAACTCATCATTTACATTGGGTATATCTCCTAATGCTTTCCCTCCCCCCTTCCCCTGACCCACAACAGGCCCGAGTGTGTGATGTTCCCCTTCCTGTGTTCAAGTGTTCTCATTGTTCAATTCTCACCTGTGAGTGAGAACATGCAGTGTTTGGTTTTTCGTTCTTGGAATAGTTTGCTGAGAATGATGGTTTCCAGCTTCATCCATGTCCCACAAAGGACATGAACTCATCCTTTTTTATGGCTGCATAGTATTCCATGGTATATATGTGCCACATTTTCTTAATCCAGTCTATCATTGATGGACATTTGGGTTGGTTCCAAGTCTTTGCTATTGTAAATAGTGCCGCAATAAACATACGTGTGCATGTGCCTTTATAGCAGCATGATTTATAATCCTTTGGGTATATACCCAGTAATGGGATGGCTGGGTCAAATGGTATTTCTAGTTCTAGATCCTTAAGGAATCACCACACTGTCTTCCACAATGGTTGAACTAGTTTACCAGCAGTGTAAAAGTGTTCCTATTTCTCCACATTCTCTCCAGCACCTGTTGTTTCCTGACTTTTTAATGATCGCCATTCTCACTGGTGTGAGATTAATTCAAGATGGATTAAAGATTTAAATGTTAGACCTAAAACCATAAAAACCCTAGAAGAAAACCTAGGCAATACCATTCAGGACATAGGCATGGGCAAGGACTTCATGTCTAAAACACCAAAAGCAATGGCAACAAAAGCCAAAATTGACAAATGGGATCTAATTAAACTAAAGAGCTTCTGTACAGCAAAAGAAACTACCATCAGAGTGAACAGGCAATCTACAGAATGGGAGAAAATTTTTGCAATCTACCCATCTGACAAAGGGCTAATATCCAGAATCTACAAAGAACTCAAACAAATTTACAAGAAAAAAACAAACAACCCCATCAAAAAGTGGGCAAAGGATATGAGCAGACACTTCTCAAAAGAAGACATCTATGCAGCCAACAGACACATGAAAAAATGCTCATCATCACTGGCCATCAGAGAAATGCAAATCAAAACCACAATGAGATACCTAAATTTTAATAAATTTACTTTTCCATTATCAAAGCAGTAAAGCAACATTTTAAAAGTCTGGAAAATAGATGCAGGAATTCCAAATCCCACTATTTAACACAAGTATTGTCATTTTATATATTCCCTTACAGCATTTTTGTATGTGTATTTTGCATGGTTACCACCATGGTAAATATAAAATTTTATGATCAGGCTTTTTTTTTTTACATAATATTACTACATTGTTCTTTTTGCTACATAGACTTCATATATTTTATTTTTAAATGGCTGTATATTATTGCATTAAGTAAATATCCTGATTTAGTTCATCATTCCTCAGTTACTGGAATGAATTTCTTAAATATTTATTGACTATTTCTACAAGGCCTACAACCTATAGATTATATCTCTATCTACACTTACATAGATAAGTACAGAGAGTACACAAAGACTTTATAATGACCATCTCCTTTAATTTTTTTAAATGCAAGTGTCTTTAAAACATATTTCCAGCACTGGACTAGATATTTTCGCATATTTTCTTTCATCTTATCCTTAAACTAACCCTGCAGCATCAGGCTAACAATCTCTATTATGAGAATAAAATAAAATACAGTAAGGAAGGCAAAGGAAGTATATAGGCAATATTTAAGTAGTTAAATATCAACCCAAATCTGACATCAAAATCTTAGGACGAGCTGTCTTTCTAAAATGTACTTTTCAAATCACTTTTTATTAGAAATAAAGGATAATGTAACCCTGTAGTACTGAGACATTTTAGAATCTAAGCATAAAGACTTTGATGTTCTGTTTGGCCAGTATGGTATTTTATAAATTTGTGAACAAGAGCATCTAACAGTAAAGCACATACCATGCAGCTTGCCACAGTCCTTACCCCTCACCTCATGCACATGTGTGCATGTACACATGCACACACATATGAACACACACAAATACACAGAAACACAACCACACAACACACACACAAGCACACATGCACATCATACAAACACACACTTATAGACACTCAACCACATACGCACACAGACACAAACATACACACAAATACACACAGTGTTATAGTACCTTTAGGCTATCTACCTGGCCTTTGAAGGCATCTGAGTTTGCGTCCCCTTTGTTAGCATTTTAACCAAAGAGAGGGGACACCTGTTAGGACACTGGGAAGCAGCTGAAGTAAATCTATAATCTGCACAAAATTAATAAATTTGGGAGATAATGCTGTTCGTAGCAGTAGATAGGTGATTACTGGGAGTATTAAATTAACCAAATATATTTACAATGAGATATGCAAAATTTATATTTGTATTTGTTCTGCTTTGAAGATTATGCCTGTTATGATATTGCCCCAGACAAAAAACTGGCAGGATAACAACATGGTCATGAAATCAATAATTCATATTTGTGAAGACAATTCTAACCTTTTAAGTACTTTTACATCTGTAGTACAAGACTCAGGAACAAAAATAAGAGCAATTAAAATGATCTATAAGAACAACCAAAACTGAAATGGCCACATAACCAAACCGTATAGTTTTTAAGAGCTCATACTGAAACATCAAAGGAAAAACATTTTTAAAAGAAGATTTCATTATATTGCATTCGCAGAAACCTCTTCCAGTTATTGTCTAATCCTAAATAATTTCACTCATTGTTTAATTCTTTGTTTACCTAGATGATGTCAAAAGGGTTTCCTCCCTTGAGGGACTGATACATTTCCCAAACACTTAGGGACGTGGAGACCCCCACAAGTTGCCTCATGTTCTAATTAAGTTTACCTTGCAATATTTGGAACACAGTAAATATTCTAAGAAAACCATTTTAGGATATTATAATCTGATTTTAGACAATTCTCATCCATTTTTATGGCTTTTGTAATTATTACAGATAATTATGAGTGAACCATTTTTTAAAACCTTATATTTCCTTTATGCCCTATGTAAAAACTAGCACTGTGATCATTTAATATTAGCACAGATTCATATCTAATTGGCATCCATGTTGATTGGATTATAAATTCATCTTTTTCAAATCTTGAATTAAAGCACTCAGAAACATCAATTCATAATAGCATGCAGGAGAAATAACTACATTGAGTAATTTGGGCATTTGTCATCTGAGAAATTAGAAGTGAACAAACTGCATCCACATTAAATGATACATACAAAGGTGGACATGAGAAGTACTCGTCTTATATTAATCTTATATGTGCTCTGTATGCACATGCCTTCAGATGCTGGATAACAGAAATCCTGCTTTCTGACTATTCTAAAGCAATCTTCTGCATGCCAGAATAGCTAACCAAATTGAGTCTAGGAAGTGATTGGATTCTGTATGAGTTTGTTTGGGCTGACATAACAAAGTACTAAAGACTGGGTGGCTTAAAGAACAGAAATTTATTTCCTCACAGTTCTGGAAGCCAGAAGTCTGAGATCAAAGTGTCAGCAGGGTTAATTTCTTCTGAGGTCTCTCTCCTTGGCTTGCAGATGGCCATTGTGATGGTTATTACTGTGTGTCAACTTGACTGGGTCACAGGATGCCCAGATAATCGTTATTTCTGGGTGTGCCTGAGAGTGCTTTCAGAAAAGATTAGCAGTTGAATTGGTGGACTGAGCGATGCAGATGGCCCTCCTGATGAGGGTGGGTCCTGTCTCGTTCACTGAGGGCCTGAATAGAACAAAAGGTAGAGGAGGGAGGAATTCGACCCATTTGTTTCTGAACTGGGATATTTTATCTCATCTCCTGCTCTCAGACTAGGATTTGTACCATCTGTGCCCTGGTTTTCAAGCCTTGGGGCTTGAACTAAATTATACCCCTGGCTTCCATGTGTCTCCAGCTTGTAGACAGCAGATCATGGGACTCAGCCTCCATAATCATGTAAATCAATTCCTCATAATAAACCTCCTTCATATATATTTATATATATAAAAAGGATATGTGGATGTGTGAATATATGTTATGTATTGTAATGCACATATGTATATATTTATATGTATATATACATACACATATACAGTACACACATACATCTATATATATTTATATATACACATGCATAGTTTTCTTTGGAGAATGCTAAAACAGCCATCATCTTCCTCTATCTTTACACGGCATGTCTGTGTTTTAATCGCCTCTTTTTTTGGATAAAAGTCATATTGAATTAGGATCCAGCCTAATGACTTCATTTAACCTTAGTTACCTCTTTAAAGGACCTATCTCCAAATACATTTTGAGATACTGGAAGTTAGGACTTCAGGACTTCAGGCTGGGCACAATGGTTCACACCTGTAAACCCAGCAATTTGCGAGGCTGAGGCAGGAGGATCACTTGAGCTCAGGAGTTCGAGACCAGCCTGGGCAAATAAGGACCTTATCTGTCTTGTTTTCACTGCCGTCTCAGCATCTAAAACTGTCTGGAGCAAAGTATATGCTTAATAAATATGATTAAATGTTAAATATCTGAAACTCCACCTCTACAAAAAATACAAAAATTAGCGAGGCATGGTGGAACATGCCTGTAGTCCCAGCTACTCGGGAGGCTGAGGTGGGAGGGTGGCTTGAGCCTGGGAGGCAGAGCTTGCTGGGAGCGGAGATAACGCCACTGCACTCCAGCCTGGGCAATAGAGCCAGACCTTGTCTCAAACGATGAGAAAAAGAATAAGTTAGGACTTCAACATATGAATTTTGGAGAAATACAGTTTAGCCCATATGATATTCTTATTTCTATATTTCATAACAGCGAAGCAAGTAACTATTACCTTTGCAGAGTTGGGTTGCCTCATTTAAAAAAAGAACAAAAAAGAAAAATGAAATTAGAAGACATCTAGCTTTTTAAACCATATTCTCCACCAACTCAGCCAGACAAAGGCAGTTTGGTCCATAAAAAGATGCTTTCCATCCTAAGCAGCAGTGAAAGGGCCCCTTTGCCAGCAAGTCTGGTACCCTCTTGCAAAGCTGTATGCACCTCCCGGTGCATAATAAGAACAAAGAAAAACAGAAACAAAAGCAGGGTGACTGAATGACTCTCCTCTTCCATTCATGATCATGTCTGTTGTCACCACTAATCCTCAAAAGCCAAAATTAGACATTAGGATGGTGGTCTTCAAACAACTAGGACAAGTTCACATCAAACTATCTAGGAAGCATTTTTTATGTTTTCAGCCTCAAACATATCAGAATATGTGAATGAAGAAGTGAAGCAGGTAGGATTAAATTCAACTGTATACAACATACAAGTGAAAATAAGGGGGACTTTACACAGAAGAAGTTCGGAGAAAAGTAGTCTAGAGTAGGTATGGTTGCTCCATGGTCATCAGAGATCCTGCTCTTTCCTTCTCTCTGGCTGCCTTTCTCAGCACAAGCTTCCGTCGTCACTATGGACTAATGTCCAAGGGGGCTTCTGGAGCTGGGGCCATTGAGACCATGCAGGCAGCAGGAAAGAGGAAGGCAGAAATGGCAATAGGGGATGCTCTAGCACATCTGCCTCTTCAGGAGTCTTCTTGGAGATCCTGTCTGGTAGCTTCAGCTTTTAATTCATCAGCAAGGGAGTCTAGGAAAAGTAATGTCTCAGACACACTATTCTGAATAAAATTAGTTTGGTTCCATAAAGACCTAGGGAATATGTGTGTTGTAAGAGCTTACTGAGGGATCCTAATATTAATACTTCCTAACCCCTTGAGAACCACTGCAAAAGAAACAGTTTCCTGGAGAATTTTCTTGAGTAGGCCATCCCAAAGAAATTAACTGAAGGACATATTTGTCTTTTCTCCCGGCATCCATTCTGCCTGTTCTCAACAACATCCCAGATTTTGATGTGAGCATCGAGCCCTGCCCTACTCTCAGTCTATATGGTCCAGGTGCAGGCCCATCTTTAACCCTAGGGATAAGTCAAATGATCCCAGCCTAAACCTCATTAGCATGTATCCTGTTGGCCAAGTAATTAGTTCAAGGGTAAGCATATGACCTAAGCCTATTCAATCAGAATGCGTCTCAAGACTTTTACTGGAATGTAAACTCAACAAAAATAAGGACCTTACCTTTCTCATTTCCACTGCTTCCTCACATCTAAAACTGTCTGGAATAAAGTACATGCTTAATAAATATGATTGGATGTTAAATATCTGAAAATGGAGCTAGAGATTAGAGAAAAACTAGATTTTGATAACATTGTTTGAATTTCTGTCTCTATGTACCTCAATTAAGTCTACCCTTGGTTCTTTCAGTTACTAAGTCCATAAATTTTCTTTATTTGCTTACAGCATCTTGAGTTTGAATTTCCCTTACCTGCACCCAAAAGGTAATAGGGAAGTAGGCAGGACCAGTAGACTAAGCCAGTAAAGGCTTAACATTTTATTAGGCTCAGAATATTAAATATTCAGAATATTAAATTTTTTGCTCAATAGAAATATTAATCATTTCTATTGAGCAAAAGAACTCACAACATACAGGATGATTTAATAAGTAGGATTTTGAAATGTGAAGAGATGAGGAGTCCCCTCTGATGACACATCTTATTTTGTATCTAACAATCAATGAGTCACCCCACAGAAATACAAACTACCATCAGAGAATACTATAAACACCTCTACACAAATAAACTAAAAAATCTAGAAGAAATGGATAAATTCCTGGACACATATACCCTCCCAAGACTAAACCAGGAAGAAGTCGAATCCCTGAATACACCAATAACAAGTTCTGAAATTGAGGCAGTAATTAATAGCCTACCGACCTAGAAGATCTCAGGACCAGATGGATTCACAGCCGAATTCTACCAGAGGTATAAACAGGAGATGATACAATTCCTTCTGAAACTATTCCAACCAATTGAAAAGGAGGGACTCCTCCTTAATTCATTTTATGAGGCAGCATCATTCTGATACCAAAACCTGGCAGAGGCACAGCAAAAAAAGAAAACTTCAGGCCAATATCCCTGATGAACATTGATGCGAAAATCCTCAATAAAATGCTGGCAGACCAAATCCAGCAGCACATCAAACAGCTTATCCACCATGATGAAGGCAGCTTCATCCCTGGGATGCAAGGCTGGTTCCACATATGCAAATCAATAAACACAATCCATTACATAAGCAGAACCAATGACAAAAACCACATGATTATCTCAATAGATTTAGAAAAGGCCTTTGATAAAATTCAATATCACTTCACATTTAAAAACTCTCAATAAACTAGGTATTGATGGAACATATCTCAAAATAATAAAAGCTATTTATGACAAACCCACAGCCAATATCATACTGAATGGGCAAAAGCTGGAAGCATTCCCTTTGAAAACCAGCACAAGGCAAGGATACCCTCTCTCACCACTCCTATTCAACATAGTATTGGAAGTTCTGGCCAGGTCAATCAGGCAAGAGAAAGAAACAAAGCGTATTCAAATAGGAAGAATGGAAGTCAAATTGTCTCTGTTTGCAGACAACATGATGCTATATTTAGAAAACCCCACTGTCTCAGCCCAAAAGCTCCTTAAGCTGGTAATCAAGTCCAGCAAAGTCTCAGGATACAAAATCCATGTGCAAAAATCACAAGCATTCTATACACAAACAGTAGACAAGCAGAGAACCAAATCATGAATGAACTCCCATTCACAATTGCTACAAAGATAATAAAATACCTAGAAATACAGCTAACAAGGGATGTGAAGGACCTCTTCAAGGAGAACTACAAATTACTGCTCAAGGAATAAGAGAGGGCACAAACAAATGGAAAAACAGTCCATCCTCTTGGATAGGAAGAATCAATATTGTGAAAATGGCCATACTGCTCAAAGTAATTTATAGATTCAATACTATTCCCATTAAACTACCATTGACATTCTTCACAGAATTAGAAAAAACTACTTTAAGTTTCATATGGAACCGAAAAAGAGCCCACATAGCCAAGACCATCCTAAGCAAAAGAACAAAACTGGAGGCATCACGCTACCTGACTTCAAACTATACTACAAGGCTACGTGACCAAAACAGCATGGTACTAGTACCAAAACAGATGTATAGACCAATGGAAGGGAACAGGCCTCAGAAATAATACCACACATCTACAACCATCTGATCTTTAACAAACCTGACAAAAACAAGCCATGGGGAAAGGATTCCCTATCTAATAAATGGTGCTGGGAAAACTAGCTAGCCATATGCAGAAAACTGAAACTGAACCCCTTCCTTACACCTTATACAAAAATTAACTCAAGATGATTAAAGACTTAAGTGTAAAACCCAAAACCACAAAAACCCTAGAAGAAAACCTAGGCAATACCATTCAGGACATAGGCATGGGCAAAGACTTCATGACAAACACACCGAAGACAATTGCAACAAAAAACAAAATTGACAACTGGGATCTAATTAAACTAAAGGGCTTCTGCACAGCAAAAGAAACTAACATCAGAGTGAACATGCAACCTACAGAATAGGAGAAAATTTTTGCAATCTACCCATCTGACAAAGGTCTAATATCCAGGATCTGCAAGGAACTTAAACAAATTCACTAGAAAAAAACAAACAACTCCATCAAAAAGTGGGCAAAGGATATGAACAGACACTTCTCAAAAGAAGACATTTATGTGGCCAATAAACATATGAAAAAAAGCTCAACATCACTGATCATTAGAGAAATGCAAATCAAAACCACAATGATGTACCATCTGACACCAATCAGAATGGCAATTATTAAAAAGTCAAGAAACAATTGATCCTGGTGAGGCTGTGAACAAATAGGAGCGTTTTTACACTGTCAGTGGGAACATAAATTAGTTCAACCATTGTGGAACACAGTGTGGCAATTCCTCAAGGATCTAGAACAAGAAGTACCATTTGACCCGGTAACCCCATTACTGGGTATATACACAAACGAACATAAATCATTCTACTGTAAAGACACATACATACATATGTTTATTGCAGCACTATATACAATAGCAAAGACATGGAACCAACCCAAATGCCCATCAGTGATAGACTGGATAAACAAAATATGGTACATATACACCATGGAATACCATGCAGCCATAAAAAGGAATGAGATCATGTCCTTTGCAGGAATATGGATGAAGCTGGAAGCCATCATCCTCAGCAAACTAACACAGCAACAAAAAACCAAACATCACATGTTCTCACTCATAAGTGGGAGTTGAACAATGAGAACACATGGACACAGGGAGGGGAACAACACACACTGGGTCCAGTTGGAGGTGGGGGATGAGGGGAGGGAGAGCATAAGAACAAATAGCTAATGCATGGGGGGCTTCAAACCTAGGTGATGGGTTGATAGGTGCAGCAAACCACCATAGCACATGTATACCTATGTAACATGTGCTTTTGGGCTGAGACAATGGGTTTTTCTAAATATAGAAATCTACATGTTCTGAACTTGTATCCCAGAACTTAAAGTAAAATTTTAAAAAAGAAAAAAAAAATCAGTGAGTCTTTTCAACAAATGGTACTGGAACAACTGCACATCTACATGCAAAAATACACAAAAATTAATTTAAAATGGGCCACAGCAATGCAAATGTACAATGCAAAACTATACAGTTATACAACCCCTGGAAGATAACTTAGGGAAAAAATCTAGGTGACCTTGGGTTTGGTGATGTTTTTAGATACAACATCAAAATCATGATTCATGAGAGAATAAATTGTTAAGTTGAACTTCCTTAAAATTAAAAACTTTTTCTCTGCAAAAGCCCCTGTTAAGAGAATAAAAAGACAAATCACAGACAGAGATAATATTTGCAAAATACCTATCTCATAAAGAACTGATATCCAATGTATACAAAGAACTCTTAAAACTCACGATAAGAAAAAAACAACAACCCAACTATACAATGGGCAAAAGGTCTAAAGAGACATCTCAACAAAAAAGATATACAGATGACAAATAAGTATATGAAAAGATGTTCAACATCATACATCATTAGAGAAATGCAAATTAAAACAACAAGAAACCACTAGACACTTATTAGAATGACTAAAATCCAAAACACTGATAACATCAGATGCTGATGAGGATGTAGAGCAACCAGAGCTCATTCATTGCTAGTGGAAATGCAAAATGGTAAGCCACTTTAGAAGACAGTTTGGCAGTTTCTTACAAACTAAGCATAGTCTTACCATACAATCCAGCAATCATATTCCTTGGTATTTACTCAAATGAGTTGAAAACTTAACATCCGCACAAAAAACTGCATGAGAGAGTTTATAGCAACTTTATTTGTAATTGCCAAAACTTGAAAGCAACCAAGATATCCTTTAATAGATGAATGGATAAACAAATTTTGGTACATCTGTACAACGGACTATTACTTAGAGATAAAAAGAAATGAGCTATCAAGCCACAAAAACACATGGAGGAAACTTAAATGCATATTGCTAATTGAGAGAAGCCAATCTGAATGGCTGCCTTACTGTATGATTCCAATTATATGACATTCTGAAAATGGCAAAACTGTGGACACAGTAAAAAAAAATCAGTGGTTGCCTGGAGTTTGGAGGCAGGGAGAGACAAATAGGTGGAGTACAGGTGATTTTTAGGGCAGTGAAATGATTTTGTGTGATACAGCAATGGCGGCGGCATGTCATGGTACGTTTGCTAAAACCCATAGAACATACATCAAGAGTGAATGTTAATGTAAACTGTAAACTTTACAGTTACAGAGTAAACTCTGTAAACTTTAGTTAATAATGTATTAATATTGGTAATCGATTGTAACAAATGTAACATGCTAATAAAAGATTTTAATAAGAATAGAAATGGAGTGTGGGGTTGGGGAGTGTGGGGTTGGTATGTGAGAACTCTCTACTTTAAACTCAATTATTCTATAACCTGAAAACTGCCCCTCAGTTATGAAATCTATTAAAGAACAAATCAATAAAATAAAAATTTAAAATAATCAATGAGAATAAATTTTGAAGCAATATTCCCTCTATTTCTATATATGTTTCAAGTTTCTATAACAAATTTTTACAAAATGTACATACCTAGATAGTCCACAGCTAGGAGTTTATCCTATAGCTGTATGCATATATTGATCAAAGATTTACATCAAAGGATTATGTACTATTGTCAGTAATAGCAAAAGCCAGGAAACAACTAAATATCCATTAACAAATAATTGGTTAAATAAATTATGCTTTTTTTACACATGAAATACTACAGAGCAGTTAAAAAGGGACAACTGGCTGGGCGCAGTGGCTCATGCCTGTAATCCCAGAACTTTGGGAGGCCAAGGTGGGCAGATCACCTGAGGTTGGGAGTTCAAGACCAGCCTGACCAACATGGTGAAACCCCATCTCTACTAAAAACACAAAATTAGCTGGGAGTGGTGGCACATGCATGTAATCCCAGCTACTCAGGAGGCTGAGGCAGGAGAATCACTTGAACTCAGGAGGCGGAGGTTGTGGTGAGCCGAGAGCGTACCGTTGCGCTCCAGCCTGGGCAACAAGAGCGAAACTCCATCTCAAAAACAAAACAAAAAAAAAACGGGACAACTATATGTGTAGAATGTAAGTAAGCTCCATGATAGGGAAGGTATCTTTGCTTTATTATTGTTCACTAATACAGCCTAAATAACCAGAATTGTGTCTGGCACCTGCTAGATCCTCAATAAGTATCTGTTGAATAAATGAATAGAGAATAATGGTTAAATTTCTTAAAGGAAAGTAAAAACAATGTGCATATGGTTTGCTTATCATGAAACATGAGGGCATTCCTCTTGACCAAGAGCTACCCCAGATGTAGACTCTGATTTTCCATGGAGCTGGGAGCAGGAATAAAGGAAGCATGGTGTTGGGTGGGGTTTTTTTAAATGAATCTGAACCATTTTCAACAAAATTACTCAAGCCTCTTAGTGTGTAGACTCAGAGTGGGCGATTATAAAAGTTCAAATGCATAATATTTTATGGTGAATACCAAGACTTACAATAAAACTTACAGTAATCAAGACACTGTGGGAATGACATAAGGATGGCCCTATGGAACAGAACAGAGAAACCAGAAAGACATCCACACTTACATGGTTATTTGATTTTTGACAAAGATGCCAAAGTAATCCAATGGGTAAAGTCTCTTCAACAAATAAAAAAACAAAAACAGAAACATTGTTTATATATAGGAGGAAAAAGAACCTCAATCTTCACCTCATACCATACACAAAAATTATTATTATTTTTTTTGAGATGGAGTCTCACTTTGTTGCCCAGACTGAAGTGCAGTGGCATGATCTTGGCTCACTGTAGCCTCAACTTCTTGGGTTCAAGTGATTCTCGCACCTCAGCCTCCCAAGTAGCTGGGATTACAGGCACCCACCACCATACCTGGCTAATTTTTGTCTTTTTAGTAGAGACAGGGTTTCACCATGTTGGCCAGGCTGGTCTTGAACTCCTGACCTCAGGTGATCCACCCGCTTCAGCCTCCCAAAATGCTGGGATTACAGGCGTGAGCCACAGTGCCTGGCCAAAAATTAATTTAGTATGGAAAATAGACCTAGTAAAAGTTAAAACTATAAAGTTTCTAGCTTAGAAGAAAACACAGGAGAATATTTTTGGTGACAGGGTATAGGCAAAAGTCTCTTAGGACAGAGAAAGCAATCAACATAAAAGAAAAACTAGATAAATTAAACTTTAAAATTTAAAATACATCTTTTGAAGACACTGTTAAGAAAATGAATAGGCTAGCCACAAAGTGGGAGAACATATTTGCAAAGCATATATATTTGATAAAGGACTAGTGTCCAGAAGATATCAAGAATTCCTATAACTCAATAACAAAAGACAAACAACCCAAAACAGGGCACTTGTAGAGAAATAAGGTCCAAGTGATGCTTAGTGTGATGAAACAACCAGATACATGAGAAAAGAATTAATCCAGTAATACTATACAACCCTCATACTTTATCCAAACTCTGAATATAATGGAAGAATCATTTAATATTTCAAGAAGATAACATTAATTGGCATATAAATTTGCCCATTAAAAAGTAAATTTAACATAAAACTAAATATTTCTATCTATGAATCTCATTCTAAATGACCGTTAACAAAGTTTGGTAATAATAACTCACCAATAAAAAGCCACATTAAAAACTGTGTTACGTATAGTTTATTTTTATTTCATAGCCTTTTAAAAAATATAAGCCACCTAATATTTTGAAAAACATACACAGAATAATCATTTAGCTGCCACAATATTACAAAAATAAAATGACACAGAATAAATTGCACAAGAGAACAAAATAATCTCTGCTGAGTCACTCTGACTAGGAACACATAATAGTCACTAGGAAGGTGAAGTGGAGCAGTACTGCCATTTCTTCATGATCAATTATCACTAAAATCAGTCACAGGAACTATTCCCAGGAGGTCATCCATTCACTATACAGGAATATGTGCAATATATAGATGTCAAGTTAACATCTTGAATTTAATTCCAAATACCATTCTTTCTTTTCCTCTGGGAGACAAATTCAATGGCAAGCTAGAATAGTGAAGACCAGGGGATACCAAGCCCATGACTGACCCACACCTCTCCCAGCTGGTTCTACAACACAAGAAAGAGAATAAAGTATACCGTGCTATCTAACACAATAGCTAGTAGCCCCATTTGGCTATCTGAATTTAAATTAATTACAATTAAACAAAATTTAAATTTTCCTTCCTCAGTCACACTAGCCACATTTCAAGTGTTCACTAGCCACATGTGCCTATATGGTTACCATATTGGACACTGCAGATATAGAACATTTCTGTCATCACAGAAAGTTCTTTTAGACAGCCCTAGATGTGGGAAGTGTTTCTTCTTTGCTTAGCTAGGATGTAGGCTGCTTATAGAAGCAGCTTTGAGAGGCAATTCTTCTCCCAGGATATTCCTAGACTGGTGGTGGAGTCACAGAAAGGAGTAAGGTAGCCTTTCTTTGCGTAGATTCCCCTCCTCCATGCATGAAAGCGATGGTCTTTCTATAGGAATCAAATACACAAACCCAGACTCCACCAAAATATAACTGACAGGAAAATTAGAGAGGAGAGAAATGATACAGATGAGGGAGCAGCGTAATAGAACATTCTTTATCCTACACCAACCCTCCACAAAGAGGTTACGGCCACCAAGGAAGTGCACAGGTACCCAGGGCCCTCTAGAAAATCCTGATGTGGGACAAGGATATTGACTGAGAGAGGTCAGCCCTGTCAAGAGTTTTGTGAGAACACCTGACATGCCTTCACTCTGCTCACTCTGTCAGAGGGGAGCAGTGCTGCTTGGAGCTTTGACAGTTGTGAAGGAACTAGAGTTTTGATCTTTTTGAACTTTATGCTCCTCTGCAACTGTATTCTGTAGCCAGGGCATAAAATGTTAGTTGTCCTCCCAAGATCCACCATCATCTTCTTCTTCATCAAGAGAAACTGGATTTTTGTCAAAGGCAGTTATATATCCAGCTACAAAAACTACATTTCTCAGACAATCTTGCAGATAGCAGTAGCCAATGACACAGTTCTGGCCAATGAGATGAAGGCAAAAGTTATTGGGCTGCTGAGGAAGCTCTTTAAAAGGAAGTGGATTTGAACTGGCATGCCCCGTTTTCTCTGTGGGCTTCCTCCTTCTTCTTGTGGGGTGCTGCGGGGACCATCTTGGAACCTGGAGGAAAAAGCCAAGGGAACCTCAGCAGCCACCTTAATTAAGCCTGACACCCGTGAGCTGCTGAACCAGCACCAGCAGCTGCCTGCCTCTAACCTCCTTGTTCTGTGAGAAAAGAACAAACCCTCTAATTTATTTAAGCCGCTCTTCAGTCCAGAACTTCCTATTCCATTACCAAGATAAAAATTCATCTTGATTCCCAATAGGAAAGTGTGATTTTTCATCTGAAAGGAAAAGACATCTTGCTTGAAGAATCTGTACCTATTCAATAAATTCAAGTAACTTCAGAGTCATACTAATAAAACAAAAGTCGCAGATAATGGTTTTAGCTCAAACCCACCCATGTCCTTCAGGATCTGTCTATACAGACCAAGAATGGCAGAAATGTTTGGGCTTATTATATAAAAAGCTACTATTAAGGAAAAAAACAAGGTTTTTTTAACCTTAATCCATCAGAAAGCTTTTTCTGCATGCTTATTAAGTTCTGATTACTGGGTCTGAACGCCCTTCTGATAATCCACCTTCCGGTATGGGAAGATGCTCATGACTCAGATACTTAATCAGATCATTATTAACCCATAACATTATTTATTTTGTGTAGACAAAATAAAAAGTGGAGGACTGAGAAATTTATTTCACTGATTCAAACAAAAAAAAAAAACTACATCAAAGATTTACAACTCAATTCTTAACCTTCTCTTGTATGTGACACAGACATCTGACAGTGACATTCTAATGATCCTAGAGTTTTAATTGTGGATTTAGCTTAAATATGCACGAATATCTCAGAGTAGCTGTAAAAATTAAAAACAAAGTACAGCACTGTGTAGATACCTTATGCATTACATTAGTATCTTTAGTGTTCTAACAGTCTCTAGATTAGTAAGTGTGACTTAGAAAACAACAAACATTTCCCACTATTCTAAATGGTTTAACCATTTACAAACTTTAAAATTTTGGTCATTTAAAATTTAACTCTATTGCACTGATTTTGAAACTATAGACAAAATTGGAAATATAGAATGTCAAACTAAAAATAGAGTATTTCATATTTTTTACTCACCTAGTTCCAAGTTTCCACCCCTGCAAGCGAACCAAAAACAAATCCTGGCACCTTGCCATTCCCAGAAAAGCCAGTGCATGGCACACTCTGGGTAAATTTTCTCTCTTATTCTGTAGAATCGCACCAGATGGCATCAGTTCTGCATCTACAGCTGTGCCCTAAAATTGAAGTTCAGACATAGGAATCTACTTTATTAGACATTTTAGATTTTGCAGGTGTGAGTGTGATGTCATTCTCATTCAACTTAAAATGGTTATCTTGCCAAGTAGAACTGCAGATCCATTGCACTTACAAGTTTGGAAATTAGTGCAACAGCCAAGATTGTCCTGATAAGATCTGAAGCCATTTTGAACACCTGAAATTTAGAAACAATGATGAAATAATAACATTTGAAATAAAATACAAATATTACATAATAGAATTATGGCTCATTTCCTTATAATGTAAGAAATTCAAGTCACCTTCTAACATTGCTGAAGAATCACTAAAAACCTTTTTATTGAAAATAAAACACAGGAATCTTCTATAATCAAGTTACATTTATATAATAAGCAGTTATGTTAAATGTTCTTGACTTTTCAAGTGCTTTAATGTCTAGCTCATATATATACAGTCTTTAAAAATAGATTTGGCACATAGTGATTGTCAGAACAGGGGATCGTCAGGGGATGGAGTAGCCAACATGTAGAAGCCTGCAACCTAGACCATTGTGGGTGTCAGAGTATTTGATCTAAGCCAAAAATGCATAAAGGTGGCCAAAATTGTGAGTTTGAAAGTAGTTCTAATTTGAGAGATCAGTCTATGTCAGGTCTTGGAAAAATGATGATTGAATAAATAAATAAACAGCAAAAGACAGCTCATCTACAGCTGTCAAAGTTTCAAAAGCAGAGTCTCTAACAAAGCAAGTGCAGGGCAGGAGATCAACAGCAGCAAGATCTAAGAGCAAATGTGAGTTACCTTAATTCCCAGAGCTTAGAGTCAAGTTCCAAGCAGAGGTTGAGTAATAGGAATAAATATTCATTGTGGCCTGGATAAATGGGAACTTGGTCATTAATGAATTTGATTACAAGGAGTTAATAAAATGGCCCTGGATACAAGATAGAAAGGCACCCCTGCTTTCTTAGGAACCTGAGTCAGTAGAACCAGCTGAGAGATTGGATTAATACTGAGATGGTAATAAACTACTCACCCTGACTTTTCAATAGTCTCTTGTTTAGGAAGAATGATGGGCAGGTTAAATTCATGGATACCAGTGGTGCTGCTAGGAAGATTAAAGGATTGTAAACTCAAGAAGGCAAGCATGTGGTTAAAATAATTTCCATTCTGGTTATTCTAAAGTGTGAAATGATTGTTTTCAATCCTTACAAACAACTATAATTGCTAATTAATTACTCCCACACTCATCTTCAATGTCCATATTAACCATACAACCTTTTAACTAAATGCCACTGCAGAGATATCAACCAATTAGAGAACTATTGTTCAAAGCACAATACAGAATCACTGCAGTTGATTCAGGGAGTTCAAACTGGGAATTCAAATCAAGTCTTACCATAACTCTGATAAAGAGGTGAGGATTTGCTCATACCATAATAATTAAAGTAAACCTCTTACTTCATTAAGAACAGGCCTATTTGGGGAGAGTGAAATAGAAAGTGGGAAATTATCTAATGTCTTGGGCCAAAATTATTCACCTGAGACTATTTTTCCTTTGAAGCATTAAAATAATTGTCTTACACTTCACTTTTATATTATCAACTTAGGCAAACTTTAGTATTTCATTGTTTTTAGCCTCTCTATATGGTCTTTGTGTCTAAAATTAGTATTTTCAATACTATAGTTATGACTTAGCTTATCCCACACTGACATGACTAAACCCAAATCTTCCCTTACTGAAGATTGAGTATATCTGCATCACATATTTCACCCCATGAACCCCCGCACTGTTTTTCAAAAGGGCCGAATGATTATTAAAAGTGCAAACACTCCTGACATCTCATTCAAATTTCCACAATCCTCTACTAAGACACTGATTCTTGCAATGAGTTAGGAGTCAGTTTGGCTTTGTGGATCTGGTAGAAGCTCACCAGATTTGAGTGGGAGAGTGCCCTTTCCTTCCTTGTACCCATTTCCCCCATCCTGAACCAACATGTTTTTAGGCCCTGGATCTTTAGAAGTTTAGTCATAACTAAGGCCAACGTGAAACCATGCGTCATCCCAACTTACCATTTGCAGAAAGCTTCCATCTCCCGTTGTTCCAGCCTTCTTTTTGCAGGCCCAAACTGTCATTGCAGCTGTGGTCCCCTGAGCACCAGTCAAGGGCAGCAGCTCGGCTCTAGAAAGAGAGATGACATAAATCTAGGGAAAAGCTACTGAAGGATGAAGATATTTCCCAAACTAACATTAGCGAGAGGGTACTTAGGGCATACTGGTACTCGAGTTTGCTCCTGCCCGCCCATCTTCTGCAAAAGCTCTAGTAATTTAACCTGAAACCACAGACCCGCCTCTCCGTCCTTTTTCCTGTTTCCCTACACTATGCAAACAGTACCTCTTTTAGCTGGCCCTCCATGCCATCACCCAAAAGGTCACGTACCGGCCAACCCTAAGGCATCTTCCAAATGACTCTCACTGTAACGTTCACCATCCGCTGTCCCAGATTCGAAACCTACCCTGCACGGCAATCCGCAAGCACTAACCGTGGTTGGTGGCTAGAATATGAGTAAGGATCACCGGGAGGAAGGGATTCCTCCCTCCAAATGGACGACTGAATCTTCTCTCCCCCACGCCCCACCCCAGCACCACCAGACGAACCCCATTTACCATCTCTCAAAGCGCAAAAATATTTAAAGCAATATTTAAAATACTTTAAGTGCGCCCCGTTTCCTCCTGCCACCCGTCCCAAAGCCCACACAGTCTTTCTCAAAAATGTGGATATTCAGGTTAACCTGCGATTTTGTTCGAAAGTGGCTAAACTGCATTATCCGAATAATTTACTTTTCCACTCCTTGGGTATAACTAAAATGCAGTTGGACAGAAAAGAGCTTGCAGTTGTCCAAAGTCATTCCGGCTCCAAAGGGCGAATTCTCTTTTCGCCATCTCTCCCAGCCCTGGAACAGCTTAGGGTCCCTCTCGAAGAGCACAGCGCCAGCCCAGACCCCATACACCCACCGTCCCTGGCACCCGAACGCGCTGCGAGCCCCGGGCCTCCCACAGGAGCGGAGACGCGGGTCCCTGCGCCTCACGCCGGAACGGACCCGTCAGAGCCGCCGAGCCCCGCACCTGGAAGCTGGGAGGCCGCGAGGACGGAGAATCGAGGCGGAGACCCAGCCCAGCGCCCGCGCAGCTCGGTGCCCTCCCGCCAGTGCCCGCACTCGGGTCACACCGCTTGCTCTCGGGAGAAGCCCCAAGGCTCGCGGTGCACCGAGAGGCGCCCGGGCTGGAGCGCCCCGGCCGTGTTGGCCACGGAGTTCTTCAGCTGCTTGATGACCACGAAGAGCAGGAGGAAAAGTAAGAAGAGCAGGAAGAAGAAGAGCGCCAGGTAGAGCAGCAAGTTGAGTTCCCACTCCATGCTGGAGGCGCCGGCGCTCGCTGGCCCTGCGCGCTCGGCGCGGGCTGCAGCTGGAGGGCGAGCGCGCCGCCCGCACACCCACCTCCCGCACTCCCGCCCCTCGCGAGGGCGTCCCGCTATGGGCGCCGACTCCGGGGTCCGTGCTTTGCCTCCCCCGGCTCCGAGGAAACGCGCCAAGGAGCTGAGGAAATCCGGCGCAGACTCTCCCAGCTGGCACCAAAGCCTTCCGCTTCGCCGAGATCCTCTCAGGTGCTCTTGAGGACGCGAGCGACTTCCCTAGGAGCGAACTTCCGCGGGCACGGACGCCAGAAGAGGTAACAGCTCAGTCTTCCAGGGGAGGTCGGGACTGGTGTTTTGTAAATGATTTAAAAGTTCCACCCCCAACATCCAGTAGGGTCCCTAGCTCCGCTGCGTTCCCAATTAATTTATTTCGTTATATCCCTCCGTTCCTGCTTTCCGAAAGGACAGGGGATGTCATGGCCCAGAGACCCAAAAGAATGAAAGGTGGCAGTGAAGATGGGGTCTGAAAGGCTATGAGATGATTTCGTGCTATGAGGTGTCTGAGTGAATTCCAGTTCGAGCTGTCTTGCTCTTCAGAGTAGCAGATACATTCAGTGTTGAGTGTACTTTTCTATGGACAACAGGTCACTTGGAAACGCATTAAGAATACAATGTATTTCAGAAGTTATATAGCACAAAGATTTCAAATATTGGCCTCAAATTCAGTTTATTTGGTGAAAAGAGGAAAACAAGTTTACTCAAAGTGTTTCTTGAGTCCCTAAAGCCTTTCTGTATCTGGTTGACGTGACCCAAAGCCCATATCGCGCAGCTTTAAAAGCTGTTCAGTGTATCTATTACTGCAGAACAAATTACCCCCAAATTTAGTGGCTTCAAACAGCATAAACATTGATCATCTCTCACAGTTTCTGTGGGTCCGAAATGTGGGAGCACTGGCTGGGTGATTCTGGTGTCGGGTTACTCATGAGGCTCCGTTCAGATGTCAGCCAGGTCTGCCTTCAGCTGAATGCTTGTGTAGAGGTGGAGGATCCACTTCCAGGGTGGCTCACTCACTGCTTGCCAGGTAGGGCTGGTTGTTGGTGGGAGGCCTCAGTTCCCTTCCATGGGTGCTTCCAATACAGCTGCGGGATTCCCCCAGAACAAGTGATGAAAGAAAACAAAGCAGAGGCTGCAGTGCTCTTTACCGCCAGCTTCAGAAGTCACGTGCCATCAGATCTGTAATATCCTACTGGTCACACAGGTCAGCCCTATTCAGGGTAGGAGTCCAAGGACACGAACGCCAAGGAGTAAGGATCACTGGGGCTCATCTTAGAGTCGGCTATGACAGCTGTTAATACAGCCAGCTATCATTGCCCATTTGTAGGCCTAACTTTATTTTATTCTTTATTTGTGAAGATGCAGAATTGCCTCCTGGACTGAATTCTGGGGATGAGGGCTGACAACATCCCAGATTGTAATAAGTGGCTGCTCCAGGGATGACAGGGGTTCAAAGAGACAGGGTGGTATGAAAACAGTCTGTGAACTGCAAGTCTCATGGACCCGATTCTAGTGTCAGCTCTGTCAGTGGTCACTTTTGCTCAGTGACTCTCAGTCCCCTCATCTGTAACATGCCTTGCTTATCTTTCCCTTGGATTTGTTGTGAGGCTCAAAAATGAGAAAATGTTAAATAAAAATGTGTTTTGCTATATAAATGTCAGATACTGTTATTATTCTATTACGAAGGGCCCCCAATGCTACAAGCTATTGTACAAAATTTCCAGGCCCTAGGCCTCTCCATCAAGCATCTTAGTGCATAAGTGAGAAGAATCTTTCTTTCATTTTCTCTTTGTCTCTCTCTCAATAACATTATATTGATCCACTTCATAGGCAGTGGTATGCTGGAGCTGGCTCGTAATGACTCACAGGAGCTGATTGTTAAATTTTGTAAACCAATTTTTAAATTCCAGCTATTATTAAAAGTTAAATTATATAAACCTACAATTATGTTAACAACAAAGGTAATTAATACTCCAAACTCATCACTTTCTAATTATTTTATTAGGTTGGTAAAAAGGCAATCACGGTTTTTGTCATTAAAAGCAAAAACCGTGATTGCTTTTGCACCAACCTCAGTACTACATTTCACTGCTGTCTATGCACTTGAGGTTATTTACATCTGTTGTAGCTGTGTGGTGAAGATGCTGCATAGTGGTATGTTACTGCGCATCTCTTCCCAGCTGTGTTCAGTGCTGTCATGTTGGTAGCTTGAAATTAGCCATGATGAGTGGGTTTGCCTTGAGAAAATGGACAAATGCTACAAATCAGGACCAGGGAGGCAGTTGTTAAATTAACCAGCACAACACTGCTCGTGGGACTATTGAGAGAAATTTGAAGTCTTATACAAGTTTAGCAAAGATTTGTGATTTTTTTTTTTTGACTGCCCAGAATCCACACACCTCCACTCTAAGCACCACATGTTCCTACGGGTGGAATTCTCCATTTTATGTAATCTTGGCAAGAAGACAGATCCCAGTGCCTACTTTCCCTTGCCACCTCCTGTTATGGAAACCAAGGGGATCAGATATATCTTTTACCCACTCCTGATACAGTGTGGGGAGGAGGGCAGGAAGAGCTATGCCAGAAATTTAGCTAAATATCCTTGTCTCCAGTACTCTGAATCTTGGGAGTTGACAGAACAGGAGGAATGTTCGGAAGTCAGATGCATCCCCGTTGCACAGGCAATCTGAGTGCCAGAACAGTCCCAAGAGTGACCTAGCCATGGCTACTGCTACCTGCTTCGACAGCATCCTCAACTCCTGGCCCAGACTGGGCCCTCCTGCTTTCTTTCCATTCCGTAACCTTCCACTGGCTTTCCAGGAAATCTTGCTGCGAGGCAGAGTGGTTAGCGCCAGTTTTCAAAGGAGAATGCTAACCAATTAAGAAAGCATTGCTTAAGTACTTTGCACATGTTAAGCACTCTTAATTAACGAGGTGTTTGGTCGGAAAGGCATGTGATTTGGCACATTGCCATCCAGATATCCAAGGTATCTAAGGATGAAAACTGAAGCATGGAGAGGTTAAGTGACTTGCTGAAGACCACACCGCTGGCAAGTGGCAGGAGAGGGATGTGAACCCAGGAAGTCTGGCTCCAGAGCCTGCACTCCCAACCCTCATGATTGTACTGCCTCTCAGGGAAAAGTATACTTTTGTGTGCATGACCATCAAATTAATCACCATATTTTTTTCTTTTGAGCGTCAGACTAAAAAGAAACACATTTCAAGAGACATATGCCTTCTGCATCTCAGCTCCTACTTTTGAAATCTTGAAGGTCAGAACTTCAAATGAGCCAGTGTTTGCCTGCAGAATGCTGTGGGAAAAGGCCAACGGATGAAGGTTTTATGTTGCCAAGCTCAACCCATGTCAGCCTTTCTAACCATAACTATTTAGATTATCCATTTATCTGAGCAGCTTAAATGGATTTATAGGTTATAGGTGTTAACTAATAAATTCTTATATTCACTCTCCGTAGAATTTGTATTTAAAATAATATTGCTGCCACGAAAAATAACATATTACATTTAGTGGATGCTCCCAATGTTTTTCAGCCTCTGGTCATATTTATGTATCTCATAAAAGGCTCTGAACTTCAGTTTATATTGTATAAATGACTCCATATGAATAAAGCAGAATCTTTCTCTTCCTAAAGATGCTCATTAATGGAAATTCATAGAAAGAAAACCCAAGCATTTTAAAAAGCAGAAAGGATACTCACTATAGATAAGAGCATTGCTGCTTCCAGCAACTAAAAGATGCACAAATGGGTAGGTGGAGGGAGCTGTGTCACTACAATCTCATCCGGCTGCCCACAGTGTGGACCACACATACACTCCCACTAACAGCGTGCCTCGTCCCCCACTCAGAGTTAGACTTCATGCATCTTTCATCTTCTCAGTCTCCTCCCTGTGGGTCTCAAAACAACTAGATATTGCCCCGGAGCTGCCCAAGGTCTTAGCCTATGGACCTCTGTGGCATGGGCAAGATGAGGGTTCCCCTTCCCTTTCCCACCTTATTCCTCCCCACTCTCACCTCTTATAGGAAGCAGGTATTTGATCATAACAAGCATCATAGATATTTATGAGAAATGATTAATGCCAGGAACAGAAAGGTTTATGTGTCTTGTAAATGTGCTTCTATAAAGTGTCTAAACACCTAAGAAGACACCTAGAAAGGGCTGTAAAAATCTACTGTCACAATCCTACCTGGACTTACCTGTTGTGGGAAACTGGAGGATGGAAGCAGCTTCCCCAGGAGAAGGGCAGGATAAGATTGGGAGACAAGAGAAAAAGAGATTTCCGGGCACCTGTCTGAGGCTGACTCAACTTGGCCTGACATGAACCCCTCCAAAAAACAAATGTTTTGCAACATGCTCTGGACTTGAGATGTGTTGTTAACCTGGCTGGTAAGACAGGTTCTTAAGTAACAGCACACCTTCCCAGGTACTGCAGGCCATAAGAACTGCTTAGATGGGATCACCTTAAAGCACCCATGCATGTGCTGGAGATGAGGTCCATACCCCTTGGAAGCTTCCAGGCCCTAGGACACTGTCCTCGCTAGTTAGGACCTGAATCAGCCCCAATGATCTTGGTGACTCCAATGGCCCAGAAATATCCCAGCCATACTATTCACGCCTCTGTGGCACCTCATCTCCCTTGCTTCTGCCCCGTACACAAAAACACCACCATGTTCATTTCTGTGGAGGAGATACAAACTGGACCTCTTTGAAATTGCTCCTTGTTTATACTCTTTATCACCCCTACAACCCTCTAGATCAGAATTAGAAAGGCTAAGAGAATGTTTGCTGCTATAGGAGAACAGAAAAGTGAATTGTTCTGCCTGAGGGAGTTGTATAAAGTTCATCAGCTGTTACTGTAACACCCCATGACAGGATTTGCTCTTTACACCTTCACCTCTTCCCAGATCCCATCCTCAAATGAATGACTTCAGCAGTTATACAGGGCATATAAAATGAGACGCTCTTCAGGAAATAAGTAAAATTTATGTGATAAGCTATTTAAATTTCATGTAACCATTTAGGAATTCCAGTGAGAAGGAAGTAAGGACGGGTGGGAGGAAGGGAGAGAGGGAGAAAGGGAGAAAGGGAGGGAGGGAAGACAAAGAAAAGAAATCTAATAAAGAAATTTACTGGAGGGGTATGTGGGAGATAGTCCTATGTGGGTAGCCCTTGAAATCCGGAATTCACCACTAAGAATAGTTTTGTGAAAAATACTCTGGATTCTGTCCTTGATTTAGAATGTCTTTAAACACAGCAGAAGATACACTAAGTCTGTTCAATATTGGAAAAGAAAAATATTAAGTGACAGATTGTAATTGCAGCCAAATGCTATATCTTCAGTTTGGATTCTGCAGTAAATTAACAGGAACATTGAAAAAAGTCAGTGTGACTGTGGCCAACCCTGGACTTGATCAATACTATGTCATGTAGCAAAATAAAGAATCTGAGCATTATCGAGCAATGTATCTTTTGTTCAGCATAACTTTAATGGCAGTGGAGAAACTGTTGCTGCTGATGACAGGTCTGCAAGCTCCTGCACGAGTTGACGATGAAGAGCGTTGAGCTTGCACACACACACAAGACAAAAATTGGGCAGTCCAGAGGGGGGAAAGGAATAATAAAAGTAGATTTTGTCTGTAACTCCTACATCCTTACTGAAACACCAGCTTGTGAGATCTAACCACCTCAACATCTAGGGCTTGCACTCCCAGACCTCATGACCCAATCTGCCTTCCAGACATGTGCAGGTAGACACTGTGGCACAGACTGGCAGCAAACACACTTGGGTTCCAGTCCCAGCCCTAGATACTCGGCCTTTTACTACACCATATACTGTAGTGCTGCAAGTGGCAACAAGACTTTATTTCGATATCTACCTCTTCTCCATGCATCCCATGTGACTTAGAGGAAACCGTTCCAGGGAAGTGGGTCCAGAATGGTCTAAAATGCATTCAGGGAATATGAAGTTTTGTTGTTTTTTTTTTGGTCCAGGAGGGCACATCTGATGTAAATTGATCTAATCTAACTGAAGTCTTACAGTGTCTAAAAAAGAAAATAAAACCACTATAAGTATCTAAAGTAGGGGAATTTAATACTGTTTAAGCTAGTAAAATTAGTTACAAGGCTGTTGAATGGTAGAAGGAGTAAAAAGGAGACAGTAAGTTTACCACAAGATTGTAGCTCTCCTGGACTAGAGAAGCAAAGGGGAAAATGGGATTACACAGAGCCCATGATCACTGTGTCAGGAAAGCCCCCACAGTGTCTATGGCTGCTGCTGCCAGTGGAGAAGTCTAATCTCCCAACTGGATCCGAGGACTGGGCTCACCAGCCACCTCCCAAGACACCACCAGAAGCCAGAAAACAAAGAAGTCTTCTCCCTTTCGCTCATCTTCCAACATCCTGGCAGTGCCTCCCATTATGACATTACCTGATGGGAAGCTGGGTGGCGGGGGAGTCTAGGCTCTCAGCAAGATGGTCGAGAGGAGAGAAGGGCAGGAATGAAGCTGAAATACAACAGGCATTACCCAGCACAGGAAGTACACATGATCCACGCACTGGGGAGAAGGTTCTCTCCCATGCATGTCAAATATAAGTAAATAAGAATGGCAGCCCAGTTTCTGGTGGCAGCCACCTTATGTCCATGGGGAGAACCAGCCACAGCTGAATTGATAAATGGCACATCAGAGAGAACCTGATTCCCTGATGGCACTATTGGGCCAGTAAATCCATCAATCTTGAAGGCTTGCCTACTGCTGGGCATTCTATTTTGTACAAAAATGCATTTCATTATTGTTTAAGCTGGTTTGAGTTTGATTATTTTGAACTGCTGGAGGCACCCTAAGATATATTCAAAAGCCTCAGTTTTCTTATCTGTCAAATGGGGTAATAGCATGTTAATGACATCTACTTGAATAAGGCTGTTGTAACTGTTAAATGGAATAATACGTGTAAAGCACCTGGCATTTAGTAAGCACCTAACAAATGACAGTTTGTGTTATTATTATTACTATCATTTTTAATGGAGGTAACAATATTTCTAACTGTTTTGCCATGCAAATATTGTTTAATAATAAATGTGGTCAGCCACTCCAGGCCAGCCCTCCATCCCTGCCATATACAGCTTTCCATGCTGAGGGCTTCATACCACCATCCACCACACAGTTTCCACCTCCCTTTTTTCCTCCTCGTAAGAACACTGGAGCCACCACCAGGACCTGGAGACTGGATCAATCTGGAGCTCTTCATCTCCCACGGGTCTACTTTCCATACCTCACTATGGAAGCAGTAGGATGATGTGGAGAGGAACCATGCTGAGAAACTGGTAAAAGAGCAGAACCAATAAGGTGACCTAATCCTCAGATCATCAGGAAACCAGACCATGAAACTAGGAGTGTAAGCCCAGTACAAAGGAGTACGTTTACATTTTTTAAAGTATTGTGTCTTTACTGAAATTATCTAAATAGCCCACTGAAATTACCCAAATTATGAAACAACCCTGGGTTGTGTGACTTTCTTGAGACTCATTATGTGAATGAGCAGGTGTAAGCAGCTTGCATGAAGTGGCCATAGAATCTGGCATGTGGAGCATCTCTTTGACAAGCCTAGGCTTGAGGCTGGGAACTCATGGCCGTGGGGTTGACTTTCCATGGTCACCAATATACTACACACATCTTTGGATTATCTTCACTCTTCCCATAGACCGTACCAATCTATCTACCTGTTTTTCCCTTCAATATTTGTATCATTCATTTCAATGAAGTAAGTTGCTACTGGAAAAAAAAAGGAAGGAATGAAACCCTAGCCCCAGACTCCTTGAGGGGATGGATTTGAGGTTTCCTCCTGTCTCTCCTCCTTGGACCAGGCCAATGATTAAACCTCTTTCAACCAAGAGTGTTAGCTCATGCCTGTAATCCCAGCATGTTGGGAGGCTGAGGCAGGTGGATCACTTGAGGTCAGGAGTTTGAGCCCAGCCTGGCCAACATGGTGAAACTCCATCTCTATTAAAAATACAAAACAGTAACCGGGCGTGGTGGCGTGTGCCTGTAATCCCAGCTACTCAGGAGGCTGAGGCACGAGAATCGCTTGAGCCTGGGAGGCAGAGGCTGCAGTGAGCTGAAATCCCGCCACTGCAGTCCAGCTTGGGTGACAGAGTGAGGCTCTGTGTTAAAAAAAAAAAAAAAAAAAAACCACGAAGGAAGGAAGGTAGTTAGTTCCCAAATGACTCTGATGATTAACTAGATGTGGGAATCACTATTCTAGTTCAACTTCTTTATACTGCAGATAAAGACCTTGAAACCTAATGAGAATAAGTGACTTACCCAAAGTCAGACACAGAGGAAGTACAAAAGTGAAAACTGCAATTCAGGTTGAGTGTCTGGTAGTTATGTCCTTTCCACCAATTGAGAATTCCTTTCTTTTCTTTTTAAACTATGTAGCCATTTTCCTATAGTTAGAATTGTTTTCAAAATGGTAATTTTGCCTCTGAATTAGAATTAATTAAAACGCACATTGAACTTTTAAAAAATTATTAATTCACAATATAATAGACTGCAGTGTTTTATCTAAGAGAACTCAAAGAAATGAATTCTTCAAAAAATAAGACAATTATAATTTTTCAATCAAAAATAATATTAATAATTTTTTAAAGTTTAATGAAAATAATGTTTCTTAATTACCACAGTACCTGGAAGTTCTGCAAGTGAATCACTCACTTGAAAGATTTTGAATAAAGCTAACCTTCTCCTGTCTGTGTTAGATCTTCTCCATATGCCTTTCAGGTCTACCCTCCACCCTGCTGTGTGTCCCATTAGCTCACATTGATTAGCCACCTCTTGCCCTACACTTTCTGCTAGGCTTTTTCCAAGGGAGGCACCACTGAAGGATGGAAGCAGAGAGGGGTTGTGGTATTTATTCCCTGGCCCCTCCCTGCTAGGCTGGAAGTTAATCATAGCCAACTCCCTCCTCTAGAGTCCTCAGTGTCTAGTAGCTGCTGATCTCATCAGGTTCCAGTACCCACCTTCTCCCTTTGCCTCTTTGAGATTATGGATGGTAACAGTTTCCCGCTGTTGCTGTCACCCCTTCATTACCATCTGCTATGAACTAATTGTTTGCTATAGTCTGAATATGCCCCCCCTCAAAAATTCAGGTGTTGTCAATGTGAGAGTAATAAGAGGTGAGGGTTTAAGAAGTTATTAGGTCATGAGGGCTCCTCCCCCATGAGTGGAATTAAAACTCTTACAAAAGAGGCTTCTTGCAGCATTCATTTGGCAAGCTTGCCCTTCCACCTTCTGCCTTGCTGGGGCACAGCATTCCTCCTCTCAGGAGGATGCAGCCCTCACCAGACAACCAAACTGCAGCAACTTGATCTTGGACTTTTCAGCCTCCAGAATGGTGAGAAATACATTTATCTTCTTTATAAATTACCCAGTCTCAGATATGCTGTTCCAGCAGCACAAAACAAACTAAGATAATATTTGTGTCCCCCTGCCCCAATTCATATGTTAAATCCTAATCCTGGAAGCTTAGGAGGTGGACCTTAGATAGACTATTAGGTCATGAGGGCAGCACTCTCACGAATGGGATGAGTGCCCTTAAAAGAGACCACAGAGCGCTCCCTCACCCCTTCTAATATGTGAGGACACAGTGAGATGACAGCCATCTATGAACCAGGAAGTGGGCCCTCACCAGACACATAATCTGAGGGCACCTTGACCTTGTACTTCCCAGCCTCCAAGACTGTGAGAAGTAAGTTGTTTAAGCCACCTAGTCTATGGTATTGTTGGTACAGCAACCCAAACAGAGTAAGACACCAACTCTTTGATCACCCCTTTAGAGGATGCCTGGCTCTTGGCAGGCCCCTGAGTGATACTCCACTCAGGCATTTCTCTTCTGCCTCTGCATCGCTTCGGGGATGGCATTCTAGATGGCTCCACTGTGAATTAGCTGTGTGTCTTCAGGAAAATTGTTTAACCTTTCTGACACTAAAGTTCATCAACAGTAAAAATAAAACATTGCAGGATTGTTTTAAGAATCAAATGACATATTTATGTTAAAGCATTTTATAATGATAATCTACTACATTAGAGGTAAAACCAATGATCGATGTTTGTTTTCAATTTTATTAATTTTTATATATAGAAATACATTGTTGAAACTTTGTCTATTTCAAAAAAATTCAGTATATTAGGGGACTGAAAGAGAAGCTATTTTATGTACAAATGATGATATGCCTATGCGGTAAACTGAGGAACTAATATTGACTCAATCCCTACTGTCTGGTAAAACAATTTCACAGCTTTTTCTGTGGAAATTATGAATCTGCTTGTGTGATGACCTTGATAGAGGGGGTGTTTACATCATCCAGGTGGTCTCCTAAAATACTTGGAAACATTATAATCCATTTGATTTGCATCTAGGTAAATGTTTCTTATAGACAGCATTTTTTCTTTTCTTTTTCTTTCTGAACATGGTAAAATACACTTAACATAAAATTTACCATCCTACTTACTTTTAAGTGTATAGTCCAGTGATATTACATATACTCCCTTTCTCGTGCAACATTACCACCATCCATGTCCAGAATTTTTCCATCTTGCAAAACTGAAACTCTATGCCCATTAAACAACTGCCCATTTCCTCCTTCCTCCAGCCCGTGGCAACAGCCATTCTAATTTCTGTCTTTATGAATTTTACTACTCTAGGTACCTCATATAAGTGGATTCAGTAACTTTCTTTTCTGTGACTGGCTTATTTCACTTAGCATAATGTCCTCAAGTTTCATTCATGTTGTAGCATATGTCTGAATCTCCTTCCTTTTTAAGGCTGAATAATATTCTGTGATGGTTAATTTTATGTGTCAGTTGGACTGGGCCCTGGGGTGCCCAGACATTTAGTCAAACATTATTCCAGGTGTGCCTGTGAGGGTGTTTCTGGAGGACATTAACATTCTCCTCGTGGTTCTGTTTCTCTGGAGAACCCTGACTAATACATATTCCATTATTTGCATATGCCACTCCTGTAGATATATTTTATTTTGATTAAAACTACGGTTTCACCATATGATCTGAAACATTAAAGTAATCTATTTTAGTCGTAAGTTCTAGGAAAGCATACACATATCCCTCCTGGACTATTTCCTTAGAGTTTAAGTATGTTAACATAGAAAGCCACAATGCTGTTTTGCAGTTATGAATAATATTTCTACTTAGTTTTCTATATTTGGAGAGGCCAGTTCCACAGTCGCTAAGGTATAGGCTTGGTATGATTGCCTCCGTAATACGTCATATTAGAAGGCCCATTGTCATGAATACCAATTGTGGTTTACAACAGAAACCCTTGGTGAGAGATTCTAAGGCCTCTAGTTGGAAATATATCTGGAAATTAATTTTGCTATCCCCTTCATAAACCAGCTATCAAATGACTGCCTACCCAAGCCTCCCTCTGGCTTTCGTATCAGCCATCTGGAAGCCACTGTGAATCTATCCAAGGAATCTTCTAACTCTCCCCTCTGAAATCATTATTCCCGATTAGAAGCTGCTGGCTTGGAGAGAGAAGCAAGGACTCTTTTTATCACTTTATACTTAAGTGCTTTGTTGTAGCTTAGTGGCTCTGAACACCTAAACACCAAGATGATCAGCATTATAGAGATGGCCAACCTGAAAGCATTTTTTTCAAGAATTCAAAAGCTATGGTTATAAATTCACCAACAGGAAATTGTCTTACAGTTGTTGTTGTTTTTTTTTTTAATAACCTGTGAATCATTGTAAAAAGAAAATGTTCTGGGTGTTTGCGAAACTTGTGTTATTTGAACACTAATACCGTCTTGAGGTTTTCTTTTGCTCCATCACAGATACTGTTGGTTGAACTAAGTGATGCTATTATAGTCATTACTCAATAATGAAAAAGAGGACTTGTGACATCTGAAGAAAATGCGTATTCCTTGTCACTTGTACACATCTGGCTCTTGTGTGTGGCCCCTCATAATCATGGCCTCTTCAAATGCTGTATGGCTGAGCTGGGGGGCTATGATTTTCACTATGCATCACCAAGAATTATGTTTCTCCACCCACCCCAGCTGTGGTTGAACCGTTTCTCACCTTTAAGAAGAAATGAACACACAACTCATTATATAAAGCTCAGCACCTGCTACTTACATATTTTTCACATTTAATGTTTTCATCTATCCTGTGTATCTTGTCAGATGAAAAAGTATTTTGCAAGAGGAAAACAGCTATATATCAGTTTCATCGTTTTGCTGATGCCTTGGTTATATTTACCTGTAAGACTTTTCCTCCTTCTCCAAATTTCTTCAGATTTTCTGGTGTTGTGGAAAGAGTATTGGTTGAAAACTTCAGAACCTGGATTCTCACCATCCCCTGCCAGCATAAGCCATACAACATCGCACATGTCTTAAACTTCATTGTGGTTCTGTTCCTCAAACTGGGGGATTAAGCATAATTATCTCCAAATCCCTTCTAGTTCCAAAATTCAAATAGCTTATCATTTTTTACTGCCAAAACAAGGGATGGTGGAAGAGAGAGATTATCAGAATGAGTTGCTGCCAGCTGCCAGGATGACAGAGTAGGTGGGGAACCCAGACTGCTTTCTTTCAGGGGAGTCATTGGCTCCTGGAAGGGCCTCTGACACATTTGCTGAAGAGGTTCCTTCACGGCTCACTGCTCATTCCAGCCACGACTTTATTCCTTTTATTAATACATTAAGTAAGTGGGGTTATTCATGTGTCACCTACATATCAGCCACATTTTCACTGTGTGCAAACCACAAACAGGACTCAGCACAACATGTTGTTTCCCTCATGGAGAAAAATCACTCCACAAAGCACGACTGAACAATGTAGACAGCACGTGGAGTTGTCTCCTTTTTATAACCTTTCTTCCCCAGCAAAGTTGTCACTTCTCCCTCCTTTCCTTTCTTTGTTATGCAGGAAACCTAGGTGCCAACCTGAGCTAATTTCTACCTGTAGGTTTATCAAATTGCCTTTTAAATAAAATTGCCTCTGCCCCCAAGGAATTCTCCTACTAGCTGAGAAGAAGATATTTTTCCCGAGTATTACACATACCTCTTCAACTTCTCTGATCCAGCCCAAACCATTTCCAAGTAGAAAAGGATGTGAAAGAAAGAAAGCTATGTTGATAAGACCTCCCACCTATGCTTCTGAGGACAGGGCTTCATGCACTGTGTGATGGCATGCAGTTTTTAGTCTCTTTCAGGTTATTTATTCAAATAAATAAAAATTCATTTGTACAGGCTTAAGAATGAAACTTTCCCCATCTCTACCTCCCTGAGAAAAAGGCTTCTCTTCATCTTTAATTTTGAACAAAAAGTGGTCTTATCTTACAAATTCCTTTTTAAATACTAAAGAGCATTAATAGAGCATTTTTTGTTATCAAGCATCTGACAATCCATTATTTTATATCTTCTTTAACATCACAATAATTATTTCACAACAGTCTTATAAAGCTATTACATTTGGTATGCTATTTGGTATTTACGCATTTCTAATGAGATTTACAGATTTAGTCTGCCAAAGAAATAATGTGATATTTGCTCCCAGCTTCAACACAAGCAGAATACTAATGTGAAGAATGACTATTTTGTCTACCATCCTGTGATAAACTATTGATAATCATAATTGTAAAATAATTGATACATAATGGCAATGTGTTTCTACTCTATGAGCTGTATTTTTTTAATACTATGAAATTAAATTATGAAATAAGCCTTGTAGAGATGTCAAAATTATACTATCCTAGTGAAATATATAAGGGATAAAATAGTACTATGTCCTTTCGCTGAACTGTTAAATAAAGACAGTCTTTTTCTAAAGGAAATATACAAATTGTTTAAACTTATCACTGCAGATTCAACTTTGTCAAAATTTAACAGTTATTAATCTGGTATGTCTAGTATTTTTTAAAGGCATATTGTGGAAAACATTGTTTCATCGTAAAGTGTGGTGACTTAGTCCCTGAGGTCTGGAGCCAGCTGCCTAAATTAATAAATCTTGGCTTTACTCCTAACTACCATGTAACTTCAACTCCTGGTGAGTCAGTTGCCTCATCTATAAAATGGAGGTAATAATATTACTCTCATCATTGGGTTGTTGTGAAGATTAAGTGGTTTAATACATGTAAAATGCTTAGAACATTGTCAAGAACATAATAAGCGCTCAATAATGGTTAACTATCATTCTTATTGTTAACATGTCACAAGTCAGGGTATTAACATACCGATGTCAGCGCCAATCTGTAAGCACTCTTGTGATGACAGAAACCAGCTGTATGCTTCATTGCTCACCACACTAATCACACGTACCATTCTCCAGCTATTGTTTCTGCTGGTATTCGGTATGTTTATGGGTTTTTTTTAACTTTTTTTTTTTTTTGAGACGAAGTTTCACTCTTGTCGCCCAGGCTGGAGTGCAATGGCATGATCTTGGCTTACTGCAACCTCTGCCTCCTGGGTTAAGGCGATTCACCTGCCTCAACCTCCCGAGTAGCTGGTGCCTGCCACCACGCCTGGCTAATTTTTATATTTTTAGTAGAGGCTAGTCTCAAACTCTTGACCTCAGATGATCTGCCCACCTTGGCCTCCCAAAGTGCTAAGATTATAGGCATGAGCCACCACGCCCAGCCTAAACTTTTATATATACATCTATATATAGGGAAATACGGACATATATTTTTAGAGACAGGGTCTCTTTACATTGCCCAGGCTGGCCTCTAACTCCTGAGTTCAAGCGATTTTCCTGTCTTGGCCTCCTGAATAGCCAGGACTATAGGCATGCACCAGGGTCCCTGGTTGTTTTTTATGTTTACATTTTTGATACATCCAGAATTTAATTTTTGATATGGCGTAGAGATCCGTCCTTTTTTTTCCATTTGACTACCCAGTTCTCCAAGAATCATTCATTCAGTGAATAATCCATCTTTTCTATTACATTTTCCTTGTTCATTCACTCTCCACAACCTTCGACCAAAAGTCTTCAAACTAGGTTTCAGATACACCTAAGGGTATATGAAGACTTTCTAAAGGGCACATGAAGGTCAGACACAATGGCTCATGCCTGTAATCCCAGCACTTTGGGAGGCTGAGGTGGGAGGACCTCTTGAGCCCAGGAATTCAAGAGCAGAGCAGCCTGAGCAAAACAGTGAGACCCCCTTCTCTACAAACAAATAAAAATAAATGAATAAATAAAGGCAGATGAACATGGTTAATTTTATGACTATGTCCAAATACTCAACATCTACATACTTTTTCCTAAAATTGTTTGTCTAAGAAGATGTCTGTCATCAAGGGTACCCTTGCCTCTCTTTTTTCCTCACTCTCACCTTTATTTCTTAGAGCAGTTTTAGGTTCACAACAAAACTGAGCAGAAAGTACAGAGTTTTCTCATATACGTCCCCTTCTCTGCACACACAGCCATCCTATCAACAGATCACTGTCACTGTCCCCCACCAGAGCTGTACATTTGTCACCATCAATGAACCTGCATGGGTATGTCATTACCCAGAGTTCATAGTTCACATCAGGGTTCTCTCTTGGTGTTATATGCTCTATGGGTTTGGACAAGTGTGTAATAACAGGTATCCACCATTACAGGATCACACAGAATAGTTTCACTGCTCTAAAAATCCTCTGTGTTCCACCTATTCATTCCTGCCTCTCTCCTAACATCTGACAACCAGTGATCTTTTCACTGTTTCAATAGTTTTGGCTTTTCCAGGGTGTCATATAATTGGAATCATACAGTATGCAGTCTTTTTAGATTGGTTTCTTTCACTTAGCAATAGGTCAAGGGTCTGTTTTCTTTCTTTCCTTTTTTTTTTTTTTTTTGAGACTCACTCTGTCACCAGGCTGGGGTGCAGTGGCGTGATCTCGGCTCATTGCAACCTTCGTCTCCCCGGTTCAAGCGATTCTCCTGCCTCAGCCTCCCAAGTAGCTGGGACTACAGGTGTGTGCCACCACACCCAGTTAATTTTTGTATTTTTAGTAGAGATGGGGTTTCACCATGTTGACCAGGATGGTCTCGATATCTTGACCTCATGATCAGTCCGCCTCGGCCTCCCAAACTGCTAGGATTAAAGGCATGAGCCACCGTGCCCGACTGGGTCTATTTTCATAGTCTGCTTTCCAGATTTTTTTCCCCACCTTAACAATATCTTACTGACTCCTAACTTATCCTAACTCCTATCACACATTGCCAAATCAAGAAGAAATCCAGCAATCCTTTGATCAAGGCACCATAATACATCCTCTCCTATCCCCTCATTAAGAGATAGGTTTCCAATAAATTGTACTTCTTAGGTGACAAGAAACAAGCTTTTTCCTGCTGCACAGCTTCAGTGGCTCTCTCCCTACTCCACCAGCTTCTAGCCAATGACAGCCTCACTGAGCTCCAAATATTTCCTTTTTCTAAGACGGTCATCCCACCTCTAGGAAGCCCCACTGTCACATAGTCAAATAAGTGCTCCCTGTCTCCTCTTAGTGCCCCAGGTTTCCACAAGTAAGGTCCTGAACCTACACACCCCTCTCTGCGGGATGATGATTTGAGAGATTCTGTGTGCTTTGCTGGTGTCTCTTTGATATAAGACTTCCAATAAACCTTCTTACTGCCCCTCTGTGTATCATCCATGGGGATTGTGCCAACTAATAGTCATATAAGAATGGTTTATCAAAATTTATAATGTATGCTGTTTTAATCAAATGTATATCACCAGTATTTAGAATAACAAGTAAATCCAAAAGAAATTGTTTTATACATGGGGTCAAAGGACATATATTTTATATGAAGAATGACTACCAATTGAATTACCAATTGAAGACATTCAATATAAATATATTACATTAGGATAAACATCTATTGGAGACGTAGAATAGAAATGGAAGTTGAAAGAGAAAAAGGATGATGTGAAATTTCTAACTATTGGAGAGGAGCTTGTTTATTAATGTTTTAAATGGACGCTGGTGATGGATTCCAAATTACTGTGGTATCTGTATTTCCACTGGAGAGTGATAGAAAAGCTTCACTTTAAAATATAAATATTTACAATGTGCCATAAACAATATCCTTTGCTGCTGTTTAAATTTATGATGAAATATTTAAGATGTCAATTTTAAAATATTTGAGAGGGTACATCACTTTTCAGGAAGCTTTTAGAGGGACTGATTTTTAAATAATCCTAAAATATATCCTAGGCTGCATTATTTCTTATATTCCCAGCTAATGCCTGTAATCCCAGCACTTTGGGAGGCCAAGGGAAGAGGATTGCTTGAGGTCAGGAGTTAGAGACCAACCTAGGCAACATAATGAGATCTCATGTCTACTGAGAAAAAAAAAAAAAAAAAAAAAAACTTAGCCAAGTGTGTAGAGTGCCTATTGTCTCAGCTACTCAGGAGGCTAAAGTGAGAGGATCACTTAAGCCCAGGGGTTTGAGGCTGCATTGAGCTATGCTCACACCACTGCACTCCAAGCTGGGCAACAAAATGCGATCCTGTTTCTAAAAATAAATAAATAATAATGATAACATATATTTGTAGACCAATTAACAGGGCACTTTTACATACATTATCTAATTTGATCCCAACTGCAATCTTCAATTAAGAATGAAGTGCTTTCTGCAAAGTGCACAAATTCAATTCCAACTATGTGAAGAGACATGGGTAGAATTTCCTAAATTGTTCCCAAAGATGAGCATAGTCTAAACCTAAAGAGTTATTTGGCATTATTTTCCAATTTAATAATGTCAGTATTCTTCATTCAAATATATTTTGTTCTTATGTTACAGAAAGTTTTTTAAAATATAAGAGTGATGGGGGGGTTGGTTTTATTGTTATATCATTAAAAATTTAGATCTGGAAAGCATGTTAATAAAACTATGTCAAGAAAAATCAAATCACTTGTCAAAGGTAGTGGCAGAACACAAGTTGGAAACTGGAAACTCTGATTCTCTGCTCAAAAATCAATCATTTAAGAAAGATTTTATCTTAGCTCGGACACATGGATGGACACTTTCTCTTTTTAAAAACATGTTTATTGAAATATAATTTACATACACTCCTTTAATTACATAATTATATATCATTATATATTAATATATAATTTAAGTACACTACTTTACAGTATACAGTTCAGTGGTTTTTGATATATTACAGACTTGTGAAACCATAATCATAACCCAATTTTAGAACATTACATCATCCCCCAAAGAAACCTTGGACCCACTGTCAGTCACTCTCCATTCCCCTTTCTCCTTACCACCTCCTTCCTTCCTCACTCCCACAATACCAGTAATCTACTTTCTGTCTCTAAATTCTTCTTTTTTCGAATATTTTATATCAATGAGAACATACACTATGTGGTCTTTCTTGACTGGCTTCTTTCACTTAGCATAATGTTTCTGAGGTTCATCCCTATTGTGGCATGTAACATGTATCAATAAAAAATTCCTCTTTATTGCTAAATAACATTCCATTTAACTAATGGCTATAGTACATTTTGTCTATTTATTCTCTAACTGATGGACATTTACATCATTTCTACTTTTTGGCTATTGTGAATAATGTTTCTTTGAACATTTGTGTACAAGTGTTTATGTGAGCATGTTTTCATTTCTCTTGGGTGGATATGTAGGAGTGGAGTTGCTGGGTCATATATTTAACTCTGTTAACTTATGTAACTCTATGTTTAACATTATGAGGAACTGCCAAACTGTTTTCCAAAGTGGTTGTACAATTTTACCTTCCCACCAGCAATATGCAGGGGTCCCAATTTCTCCACATCCTCACCAACACTTGTTATGTCTGTCTTTTATATTATAGCCAACCTAGTGGGTGTGAAGAGTAGATTGACTTAATCAAGATTCACCAAATAGTTGTGGAACTCCCCACTTCATTTCACCAAATAGATTCAAAATCAAAAACACAAACTTTATCATGAACATACAGAGTTATCTAACAAATCGACAAAAGGTTTCTAATGTCTGATTGCAACTGTACTGTGTTAGGTACTAAAGAAATAAAAAAACCCACTTAACATTAACTGTATTTTCCACAGTTCACCCTTTATGCATTAGATAGAATACTAATTAATGAAATATGAATCCTGTTATAAACTGAATATATGTTCCCCCAAAACTCGTATGTTAAAACCCTAAACTCTAATGTGATGGTATTTGCAGGTGGGACCTTTGGGAAAGTAATTAGGTTTAGATAAGGTCATGAGGGTGGGGCCCCCATCATGAGATTAGTGTCCTTATAAGAAGAGGAAGAGTACAGAGCTCTTTCCCTCTCTGCCATGTGAGGACACATTGAGAAGGCAGCCATCTGCAAGCCAGGAGGCAAGTCCTCACCAGAACTCAACCATGCTGGCACCCTGATCTCAGACTCCCAGCCTCCAGAACTGTGAGAAATAAACATCTGTCATTGAAGCCACCCAGTCTATGGTATTTTATTATTGCCGCCCCAGCTAACTAATGCATAATGCACATCCTCATCTTTAAGGAATCCTCAAGGAATTTTTATTTTCTTATTAGGAGGAGATTAAATTTAATAAAACAGATAACAATTACAGAACAGAATATGGAAAAGAGCTACAGAATTTGATATCATATGTATCAAAGTGATACAAATAAGCAGAAGGAGGTGGGATTCATAGGAAGGACTGAGATTAACATTTATTGGGTATTTTTCTAGCTAGGAAACTGTTTTTTGGGGGGCCCATTGCTTCTTTTTAGGCTGCTAGAAAAGGACAATGGGTGGGTGGATGGGTAGAACAAAAAGGCAAAAGGAACAAACAATGCCCACATATATGGAGGCAATAGACTAAATATTAATATTTTCTGTCTCCAGGAGGTCACTCATTCATATTTAGATTCTTATTTTCATGGGATCATGTCTGGTAAATTGGACTATTCATCTGCTTTGGCAAGCCTGGTGCATTCCTGGGATGCCACAAACATGCCTTCCTGATATTCATGGAGCCGTTTTCTGGTCCAGACGTCACAGGAGAGCCTTGTGGTTCTAGCAAGTTATTTCCTTGTTCTAAGACTGTGCTGTTGCAGAGATGCTAGCAGCCCTACATCCCTCTCTGACCCTTTGTGGAATCAGAGCAGGCCCACAAAGCCCATCTTGGTGTTTTAAGAACTGTGTCTCATACACAGCTCCTCAAGCAAGCTGTCAACTTACCTTATCTCTAGGTAGCTCACTGAATACAGATGGTGTCACCCCAGAACAGCCACTGACATGTCACATATCTGAAGGCATCTTCTTTGTTGCTTATTTCTCGCCCCTCCTTGGAAATGGGCTTGCGTTGTTCCCTTTGCCTTTTTGTTCTACCACCCACCCACAAGCATTCTCTCTTGGCAGCTTGAAAAGCCCTGGCACTCTGAATGTAACTACCAATGGGTGCTCTTCGCCAAGTGGGTTCTGACATCATGTTCTGTTGCCAACAGCCCTGCCTCACTCCAGCTGTTCTGCCTACTTCTTTCCGAGCAGTGTGACACCCACAGAGAAGGGTGGGGTAGAGCTCAGCCTGACAGAGCATCTCTATTTCTGCCCCTGGGCTCTGCTGGAGGCTCTTCAATATTGGACATGCACAACAAAATATGTACACATGACTGTGCACTGAGCACAGGGCTTTTGCAGAGTGTGGGCTAATCAAATGATCAGTTTGCTTTGTGGCTTGGGACAGAATGAAATCTTGTTAACTGGTGTCACAACAAGACAAAATAGACATCAAAGCCTGAGGGGTATGGCCACAGGGTGAAGCTACCTACTCCAGTCCACAGGGTTGCTTTTGCAGAGTTCACCTGGACATGAGCCAGATGCTTGAGCCTCCCCCCTTGTACATGGTGCTAGGCAAACCTTGTATTTCTTCCCAACTTTTAGCTATGAAACATAAAGCATCTCCATAAAATTAAGGGAGAAAAGTCCTACCACTCTAATATCTTCACTGGTTTAAATTTCATGTAATTACTTTGAGTTCTAACTGCTATGAATTTATTTTTACACAATGTTAATCAACCAGCATGTATTTCCTTCAGGGTAAAGCTCAAAGTGTTGCCATCTAAAGCCACTCCATCAACAAATATGCACTGATCACCTTCTCTATGAAAAGCAGAGTTTTAAATTGGCTTCCCAAAGCCTGATTACCAAAACATTGACTAATCTCCTAAAGAAAAATTGAGTGCACTGAGAAGCTTGTGAAATATATTTTGGATGGCTAGATATGTTGTGAGGTTTTTTTGGATTCTGTAAAATTTTCCAATTCTGAACAAATGTCTTTATGCATCTTAAATCACTAGCCTGGCTCAATCGTAGTTGGTTCTTTGCCTCACCTCAGCTGACTTTGGTGTCCTTCACATTATTGCAGATGACTGAAACACCATCTATCCTTCTCGAGGCTTTGAAACTATTTTAAAGAAAAGAAGGTAGTTTCATTGAAATGTTCCACATTTCATTTATATAATGTCAACTAAAGGTTCTGTAGAGTAATTAATCCTGTTTAACAGTTTTCTCTAGCCAGGTGCCATGGCTCACACCTGAGTAATCCCAGCACTTTGGGAGGCCCAGGCAGGAAGATTGCTTGAGCTCAGGAGACCAGCCTGGACAACATAGGAACACCTTGTCTGTACAGAAAATTTTAAAAATTAGTGGGGCATGGTGGTGCACCCCTGTAGTCCAAGCTACTCAAGAGGCTGAAGTGGGAGGATCGCTGGAGCCCAGGAGGTCAAGGCTGCATGCAGTGAGTCGTGATTGCACCACTGCACTCCAGCCTGGGTAGAGTGAGACCCTATCTGGAAAAAAAAAAATTGAAAACAATTTTCCCATAACAAAGATGTATATTTATTTTAAATACAATATTTTCTAATTTAATGATTTAATGTATTTATTTGTTAGTTTCAGAGAACCTGAAGGCTTACACTGGAAGTCTGTTATAATCACGTTGGTCTTACCTATATGCGACATATGACTAGTAGTCTATCTTGTTAGATGTCCTAAACATGCATAGCTTCCCCACTAAAGAAGAGAAAGCATCAAACTAATAAATGCCTGACTTTGGCAAGTTACCTTATTTATCTAAGCATCAGAATCCTCATCTAGTTCTGGTTGTTGGGAAAATTAAATGTATGGGAGTTGCTTTGAACAGTGCCTGGAACATGGAAAGAATGCAAAGGTGGCTATGAAGATTACTCTTGCTAGGCAGTACCATTTAGGCTTGTGGCTCCAGGTAAACATGTTTCCATCTTCATCCTTTTCCCACTCTTCTCTCATTCATTCATTCATTCATTCACTCATTCAATATTTACTAAGCTCCTTCCATATTTGAGGCCCAGGCAGTGTGGATTAAAAAGTGACTACAACAGAACTTAATGGGAGACACAGCCAGGCAAACAGACCACTTTAATCCATGCCATAAATGCAAAGATGGAGGAAGTATCAAATCTTCAGGAGCACAGAGCGGGGGTTTAACCGGGTCTGTGGTTTCAGGAAAGGCTTTTTGCTTTCTCTGAGATGCAACCTGAAGAATGCTTAGGAGTTTGCCAGCATAAAATGTCAGGGAAAGTCTTTCAGGCAGGTAACCCCAACGCAAATGGCTGAAGTTAAGAGAGAACTTGGTACTTCTGAGTAATTTAAAATAATTCAGTAAAGTTTAAGATTAGATGAACAGGAAAGTTTTTAAAGATGGGTCTGAGGAAACAGACAGGAACTAGATGAGAAAAGGCATTGTAAACCATGGCACAGGGTTTGGAATGTATCTTAAAAGCAATGGGAAGCCATGGGAGGGCTATATGTAAAGCAGCATTGTTAGATTTGTGTTTTGTTTTCTTTTTGGGGTATGAAGTCTCACTCTGTTGCCGAGGCTGGAGTGCAGTGGTGCAATCACAGCTCACTGCAGCCTCAGACTCCAGGCTCAAGTGATTCTCCCACCTGTCTCCCCAGTGGATGGGACTGCAGACACAAGCTACCATACCTTGTGTTTTAGAAGCATCATACAAGATGTGGAAAATGAACTGTTCGAGGGCAACACTGGAGGCTAGGCAGTTAAGTCGGAGGCTGATACAATAATTTAGGAAAAAGATGATAGTGACCTGAGTTATGGTAGTGACAATGAAATTGGATAAAACATATGGGTTAAGTGTTTAGTAGGTGGACTCAGCTGGACTTGGTGATTTATGAGAAGGAGTGGGTGTGGTGACGGAGGAATCAAGAATGATACTCTGGTTTACTGGCTACTGGGGTATTGCCATTCACTCAAGGGAACACAAGGAAGAACAAGTTTAGAAGAAAGATAGAGTTCGGCTGTGGACACAGTGAATTTGAAATGTCCCTGGAACATCTGGAGACACTGAGAGCCCAGAGAAGAGGTCTGGGCTGGTACAATAGATTTAGATGTCATCAGCATATTGCTGGTAATTGAAACCATGGAAGTGGAAAACTAAAGAGAGTGTATAAAAGGAGACATTTTCTAGGACAGAATCCCATGAAACACTGGCACTTAAGAGATGAACTGAAAAAGAGGAATCCCCAAAAGGAACTGAAAAGGAATATCCAAAGAGGTAGAAAAAACAGAAGTATAACAAGTCACTGAAGTCAAGAGGAAAAGGTACTTTGAGAAGAACACTAAAGTCAAGAAAAAACAGTATTTCAAGAAGACAGATGATATTAAATGATACAGAAAATTAAGAGACTCAATATTTATTAGTTTTAACAAGGAGATGTAGGTCTATCTAGATTCCACAAACACACACAGAGACACTTACACATACATACACATACTCACACACTTTAAACCCTCAGATAAGAGGCTAATGTTCCCCTAAGAGACAACAAGGTCTGGTCTCGCTTGTTTTTTTCTCCTACCACCTCCATCTTTTGCAGTTTCTTTGTGACTCATCTGTAGCCCTCAGCATACCAAAAGCAAAAAGAGAAAAGAAACAAGGGGTAGGGTACAACTCGAAAGTTCTGTGACCAAAACTGAATCCATCTCAGTAGTACCCTGATTCTAGCTGGGGCTTTTTGTTTTGGGTTTGGGGGGGGGGGGTTGTTTGTTTGTTTGTTTGTTTTGGTTTTTCTTATTATTGTTGTTGGTTTTGATGCAATCATGGCTTCCTGCAGCCTCAAACTCCTGGGCTCAAGGGATCCCCCCCACCTCAGCCTCCAAAATAGGTAGGACCACAGGTGCATGCCACCACACCAGGCCTGTCTTCCTTCCTTCTTTTCTTCCTTCCTTCCTTCCTTCCTTCCCTCCTTTCAGTTTTTTTTTGGTAAAGACAAGGTCTTGCTATGTTGTCCAGGGTGGTCTCCAATTCCTGGGCTCAGGCCATCCTCCCCCGTCAGCCTCCCACAGTGCTGAGATTACATGTGTGAGCCACTGCATCTGGCAAATTCTAGCTGTTGAACTGAAACTTCCCAATAGAAGCAAGTTATCATTATTTTAAAAGTAAACTGCAGAGATAAAATGCTAACTTGACCACTGAAGTCATGAAGTTTAATTCTCATCTCCTAAGAATTCAATTGACTCCTAGAAATTTTAAGAAGGGAGATCATGGACTATACATTTCAACATTTCAGAACTTTTACTACCAACTTTTGACTCAGGCAATACCATCTAGATAAAACAATAACAACAACAAAAGTACACATAGCTCAATTTCTTTGCTATGTTTAAATGATCACAAATTATTTATTAAAGAAAAAATGCAGTAGGAAAAGCTTGCCACAAAGAAAATGACTGACTTATTCTCAAAGTCCAAGTATAACTCTGAGAAATTCAAATGTATGAAAGACATAATTTCAAGGGGTTAGATATATGAACATTTTTACATTTTCATTTTTTAAACTCCTTTAAAACATATGGTTTAGTTAAATAGGATTTATTTGCAGGGCAGAAGAATGTCACATTATATGACTCACATCCTACCTAAATTTTCCTGTTGGAGCTTTTCCTCTGACAGATGAGTAATCTCATTTTATGTTGGATCAGACCCACAATTTGATACGGAGTTATGGCCTGAAATAGGAGCCAGTTGCTAGCTGTAGAATTCAAATGCTCTCCAAGTACAATATAGTTATCTCATTGCTTTAATAAAAAATTAACATTATGTGGGAAATTTCTGATGGTCTTCATCACTAACGAAGTATACCCAATTTTGATCCTGAAGAGAACCAGAAGTTCCCCTAAATTCCAAAAAATGCAAAGAAGGCAAATACTGTACACTAAATAGAATGAAGAGAGATCCTGCATTCAGCAAAACAGCTGATGCCAATCAGATTAAAGACCTGCACAGAGTAACAGAATCAACATGAGACTAAGCTTCTTCATCTCCCTGCCCCATGTCTCCACCATGAACTCTTCAACCAATCAATGATCTCTTCACTTCCGCCCACTCTCAAACCTTTAAAAACCCAAGCCCAAACTCACTAAGGGGATGGATGTGAGGTTTCCTCCTATCTCCTAGTTGGGCCAGCCCAATGATTAAACCTCTTTCTTTGCAAACAAAAACAAAAAATAGTCAAGTGAGGCTGTTAAAGAAAGAAAGAAAGACAGAAAGAAAAAGAATGAAGAGCTTTATACTGATTGCAGACAAAATTCTAAAACAGGTGATCAGATAGTCTGTAATCATTTAGAAATGTAAGAGGTGACGATTAGGCATCAGCATGGGCTCAGCACAATCGAATTTTACTAGAGAATATAATGGTCCTATCAAAATAGGGTTATTTTTGGAAAATAGATTTGCCAAGCTGCTATCATACACACCAGAGAGCCTAAAAAGATGAAAACTTGAGTTATTTAGCCATAACAGAGTATACAAATATTCTATTGGCTATGTTATAATTTACTATGACTTTGCAAAGTCACTCATTCAACATATATTTATTGAGGGCTTGCCTCATGTCTCACACTGTGCTGAGTGCTTATCTATGAGGTAGAAATTGTTATCATCAAGAGGCAGCAGCATGTGACTTAAGCACACAGACTTGGAACCAGATAGCCTGCATTCAGATCCTGACCTTGTCACTTAAATGGCCATGTGACCTTGAGAAAGTAATTTAATCTCTGCCTCATTTTGCTCATCTGTAAAGTGGAGTGTAAGGGAATTGTGAAGATTAAATTAATAAATGCAAACATCTTAGTACAGTGTCTGGCATGTAATAATTGTTCTATGAGCATCAGCTGTAACAATTCCATTTTCAGGAGGTGCTATTGACAATGTTTGTGTTTCTCTCAAAATAATCCCCTAATAATCCCAATGTTTGTGTTTCTCTCAAAATAATCCCCTAATAATCCCCAATATGATGGTATTTGGAGGTGGTGCATTTAGGAAGTAATTAGGTCTTAGGGGTACCCTTCTAAAAAGAGACACAAGAGCGAGGCTGTCTCTTCACCGTCTGAGAATATAGCAAGAAAGTTGCCCTCCGCAAACCAGTGCCTTGATCTTGGACTTTCCAGCTACCACAACTATGAGAAATAAATTTTTGTTGCATAAGCCACCCACTTTGTGGTATTTTATTATATAGCAGCACGAGCTGCTTAAGACAAGAGGTAAGTAAGATCATGTGTCGAAGACATCACAGTTTCCCCAGCAAAGATCTAAGCCCAAGGCTGTCTGATGCCAAAGCCCATGCCCTGAACCACATCAGAAATGGCATTTAAAAAGTGTGACATTTTTGGCTTTCAAAAAAACATTTGACATCCACTTCTTTCTACTTTTACTTTAATAATGTATCCAGATATGCAAAAGACCTAATGTGTCTGGGAAGCTATTTCTGGGTCTATATGCCGAAACTTTCCTAGAGGCCAGGAAAGTTACTTAGAACATTGGGCTTGCAACTTTGAAGGCTATACCTCTCCTATTTTAAAAGGTACATCATGGCCAGGTGCAGTGGCTCTCACCTGTAATCCCAGCACTTTGGGAGGCCAAGGCAGGCAGATCACCTGAGGTCGGGAGTTAGAGACCAGCCTGACCAATATGGAGAAACCCCATCTCTAGTAAAAATACAAAATTAGCTGGGCATGGTGGTGCATGCCTGTAATCCCAGCTATTCGGGAGGCTGAGCAGGAGAATAGCTTGAACCTCCCAGAGTTCTGTAATTATAGGCATGAGCCACTGTGCCCGGGCCATTTACTTAATTATTGACTCCTCACATTTTCAGGTTTCCTCAAATGCCCCCTCATCAAAGAGGCCTCTCTCCTGATTACATTACTTCACAGTAACTTCTTGGCCACTCTCTCTCACCGGGCTTTACTTTTCTTTGTATCACCTCTCATTACCAGGCACTACTGATAGTTTGTTTATTACTTTTTTGTCTACCTGTCTCTATAATATAGGCTCCAAGTGACCTGTTCTATTTTGTTTACATTATCCCAGTGCTTAAAATAGAGCCTGGCACATAGTAGGTTCGCAAAGAATACTTATATAAATGACTGAATTCTTATAAATTTTTACTTCTTACAAACCTAATTTTTATTAGTAATACTAGAAACAAAAATTAAGGGAAACTCCCATTATCAAACTTTTTTTTTTTTGAGAAAGGGTCTCACTCCGTCACCCAGGCTGGAATGCAGCGGCATGGTCACGGCTCACTGCAGCTTCAACCTCCCAGGCTCAGGTGATCCTCCCACCTCAATCTCCCAAGTAACTGGGACTATAGGTGTGTGCCACCACACCCGGCCAATTTTTGTATTTTTTGTGGGGACAGGGTTTTGCCATGTTGCCCAAGCTGGTCTTGAACTCCTGGGCTCAAGCAATCCTCTTGCCTCAGCCTCATGAGTAGCTGGGATTATAAGTGCACACCACCATACTTGGTGTTAGCAACATCTTGATAACCTCAAATGTTGAAAAAAAAAAAAGGCAAATGGGGATTTTATTTATACTATCATCAAGGTGAGAGTAGTCTAGTGAATTACGAGATTCATAAGTAATGCTCACCTGAGAAGAGTTTGTGCTCAAAGTTGCATTAGTCATCTTTTGCTTCTTAGCAGCCTAAAGCAGCATACACTTATTATCTCATGGTTTCTGTGAGTCAGGAACCCAGGCATACATTAACAGGGTTTGCTTAAGGGTCCCTCTTAAAGCTACAATCAAGATGTCAGCGAGGGCTAAAGTCTCATCTAAAAGCTCAGCATAGGAAGCTCAACAAGCTCACTTCTGTGACTGTTGTCAGGCTTCAATTCCCTTTGAGATATAGATTTAGGTCCCAAATATTTACCTGGCAACTGGCTGCAGAACACCCTCAGTTCCTTGTCATGTGGGCCCCCTGACATGGAAACTTGCTTTATCAAATCCAGCAAGAGAGGGAGTCCGCTAGCATGATCGAAGTTATATTTTCTTATAATCCAATAACAGAAGTGTCATCCCCTTAATGTTGAGGTATTCTGTTGATTACAAGTAAGTCATTCAAGGGGAGGGGATCACATAAGGCCCTAAATATCAGGAGGTATGAATCACTGGGGGCCATCTTAGGGGCCTGTTACCACTGAAATACTATCTCAAAATAATATTATATTGCTTGCTAGAGAAATGTACGCTTCAGCCAGGCACAGTAGCTCACACCTGTAATCCCAGTAACTCAGGAGGCCGAGCTGAGATGATCACTTGAGGCCAGGAGTTAAACTAACCTGGGCAACATAGTGAGACCCATGTCTAAAAAAAAAAAGATAAAGAAAAGAAACGTGCCTACATGATACCACAGTCCAGCCTAGGCTGTCCATGGTCACCTCATGGGAGAGTCAGCATCGTCTGGTGTTCTCCCATTTCTGCTGAAGCTGCTGCCTCTGAAACAGCCTAAGCCTTCCTTGTTAGACAACTTTAGGAAGAAGCAAGCAGGGTAAGAGCGAAGAGATACAAAATAGAAACTTTTCCTCTTAAGTCATTTATTTGAATAAGGAGTTGATCAATGGTATGGGTACAGCATCCCTGGGAGTTGGGCTAATGGAGAGCGGCCAACATAGTACAAATAACGTATTCTGTAAGAGCCTATCCATCAAGAACCAGGGCCACTTTTGCATGTAGAACTCCTCCTATTGCTTGTGATAAAAGCTCAATATCAACCTCACTCTTGCCTGTATGCTAGCTTTGGAATTGTAGTCAGACTTCATATGTCTCTTTGCATTAATGAGCCCTACTTCATCATTATACTTCTAATTGTGTGTCAAGTTAAAGCATGAGAAATTGAGTTTGGATAATCTAATAATAGCAGCTTTATTCTCTATATGGATATCAGATGGCAAAGTAATTAAATGAGGAAAGTTAAGATCCTCACAGAGAGAAAGGCAATAACCTGGTTTGGTGTTAAGAGTGAAGAGAATACACTTGCCATAGAAATGAATTCCCATTTACAAGAAGCAGCACAGAGTACAGTCTCTGGAGTCAGGCTGTCTGGGTATGAATCCTAGTTCTGTGGCTTACTAGCTGTGCAAACTTGGACAGATTACTCAATCTGTCTGTACCTTGTAACATAGGCATCTGTAAAAGACAGATAACGAATACTGGTTCACTGTAACAGATGGACCACACTGATGAGGGCTGTTGATGGGTGGACGAGGTTGTGTATGTGGGGGAAAAGTGTATGGAGACTTCGTGTACTTTCCGCTCAATTTTTCTCTTAACCTGAAATTGTTCTTAAAATTGTCTATGAGTTTATAAAATCATGATGTTAAAATATGCCTCAAGATTAGATTGTCACTGAAAGCACTCCTTCCACAAAGTGAGTGAACAGCAAGTTAGCAAACATTGTAGGGAAGTACCTCCTATTGAACTTTGCTGGCACCAATCACACTGCCTAGCACATAGCAGGAATTCCACCTAACTCTGGAAATCTGTAAGCAGGCAGTTAGCACTGCCTTATGGGAACAGGGGAGTGGAGGACACCTCCCCTCACATTTTGCACAAAACAGACAGGGAATCCTAGAGCTAGATAAGATTGGATATATATCTCTCTCCTAGAAATTTAGATCAGGGCTTCTCCAACTTTAACGTTTATAAGAATCACCTGGAGGGGGCTGGGCACAGTGGCTCATGCCTGTAATCCCAACACTTTGGGAGGCCGAGGTGGGCGGATCATTTGAAGTCAGAAGTTGGAGACCAGCCTGGCCAACATGGCAAAACCCCATCTCTACCAAAAATACAATAAATTAGCTGGGCTTGGTGACACATGCCTGTAGTCCCAGCTACCTGGGAGGCTGAGGCAGGAGAATTGCTTGAGCCAGGAGGTGGAGGTTGCAGTGAGCCGAGATCACACCACTGCACTCCAGCCTGGGTGACAGAGTGAGACTCCCATCTTAAAACAAAAAACAAAAAACAAAAAACAAAACATTACTATTTGAGACTGTCACTACAACAGTTACTACTGTTACTACTTGAGACTGTCATTACAAGACTTACTACTGTCACTACTTGAGACTGTCATTACGAGACTGAACGAAAACGGACGCATGCAGAAATGAAAACTTAAAACAAAAGAAACTGTTTTAAAGGAAGGGACCAGGGGAAAAAGAAGAGGGCTCCTTGCTTCTAGTGAGCAAAGGCAGCAGCCCCTGAGCTTCTGCAGCCCTTCGTATTTATCGGGTAGAAAGAGCAGGGAGAAGGAGGTAACAATTGGTCAGCTGCTTGATTGATCACAGGTTCACGTTATTGCTAACAGGCTTCACATGTGCCTAACCACAAGAAACACCTGTGCCTGGGTTGTGACTCCCCTCAGCATTCCTTCTGGGCGGCAGATGCAGTTTGTCAGTTTGCCAACATCCTGCTTTCATGAGAAACAGTTTGCTGTTTACTCATATAGCCTTCAGTTGTATGCTGAGTTGATCATGACCCTCATTCTTTTGGCCTTCAACATATGCCCTGCCAAAAGGATTCAAATATTGTTAAAACTCTTTGAGAGAAAAACAAAACACAGCTTGCTAGCCTGTTTAGTTCCTCTCTCATAACCTCTATCACCCTCAATCCATCCAAATAAACTCTCATTCTAAGTAAACGCAGTGTGATTACCAAGCAAATGCAGCCTTCTGAGTTCTTCAGTCCCTTTCGGCCAGATTACTGATCCTAAACTCTTCCTATTTATAAATTCCAAAAGGTCTACTGAACAGAAATCATCTTTATCCAAACTCTTGCCACTTTTAAATGTGATCCACTGCCCAGCAGCATCAGCATCACCAGAGAGCCAGTTAAAAATGCAAATTTCCAGGTCTCTCTCTCCTGCCTCCTTCTTGGGCTCACCCAGCTAATCCAGGATAACCTCCCCATTTGAAAACCCATAACTTAATCACTGCTGCAAAATAACTTTTGCCATATAAGGCAACATATTCACAGTTTCCAGAGATTGGAATGTGGAAATCTTTAAAAGAGGCCATTGTTTTGCTTACTATACAACACTATAAGTTATTTACATGACAATTAGTTTAATTCACAATAGCAAATTCCACTTATTTTATTTGTAGAAAACTAAGTGACAACTTTTCTAGATCATATTTATTGCTTAGACATTAAACAATATAATTTCCTACAGATTTCTATCGATGAGCATGAATCTTCTTTTAATAGATGAGAACAAATCCAAGGGCATCAGTGATGTGTCCAAGATAGAGCCATATGCATAATCTAAGTGAAATGAAAATGTCCCTTCCCTGAATTATCTTCTAATTTGTTGTATTTTTGATAAGCTGAAAATGGATAATTTTTTATTCCTCTAAATACATTGTAAAGCCTTAATAATAATAATATAGCTTCCTGGACATAACAAATGATATAATCAGAGTCAAAGGAAAAGCTCTTTTCAATATCCAAGGAAGCTAGAGATGGACTGGATAATCTAATGGACTTAAAAATCTATAATTCCCATAAAACATATGCGAGGGAAATTTGCACTACATTTTTTTTTTTTGAGACGAAGTCTCACTCTGTAGCCGAGGCTGGAGTGCAGTGGCGCGATCTCGGCTCACTGCAAGCTCCGCCTCCCGGGTTCACGCCATTCTCCTGCCTCAGCATCCTGAGTAGCTGGGACTACAGGCACCTGCCACTACGCCCGGCTAATTTTTTTCGTATTTTTAGTAGAGATGGGATTTCACCATGTTAGCCAGGATGGTCTCAATCTCCTGACCTTGTGATCCACTCGCCTCAGCCTCCCAAAGTGCTAGGATTACAGGCGTGAGCCACCGCGCCAGGCCTGCACTATATTTGACATATTCAGTTGTCAATACATAAAATCTTTTCAACATATTAACTGATAAGTGGTTTCCCGTTTGAATCTTGAAAAAAAACAAAACAAATGTCTTTGTTAAAATGTAGTTGAAAGTCAAAATTCCCTTAAATAAAAAAATTAGCTAAGTATGGCCAAACAATAAAAAGAAAACATAACACCTTTTTACTTTTTACTTTTTCTGATAATAAAAGCTATTCACATGCCTTACAGAAGATTTGGAAAGTTCATAAAGAAAAAATAGCAAAATGAAATAAAAACCTTTTCCCAAAATCCTATCACTCAGAGATAACCATTTTTAATATTTCATATTATACCCTTCCAGGATAACTTTTGGTACACCAAATTCTATACAGACAAATTGTACAGCAGATATATGGTAAATAAAATGGTAAGCTTTCATTTGTTCACTCATCCACCCATTTTTTTCTTTTTTTTGAGATGGAGTCTCACTCTGTCATCCAGGCTGGAGTGCAGTGGCACAATCTCAGCTCACTGCAACCTCTGCCTCCCAGGTTCAAGTGATTCTCCAGCCTCAGCCTCCCGAGTAGCTGGGATTACAGGTGTGGGCCACCATGCCTGGCTAATTTTTGTATTTTTAGTAGAGACAGGGTTTCACCATGTTGGTCAGGCTGGTCTCGAACTCCTGAACTCAAGTGATCTGCCCACCTTGACCTCCCAAAGTACTGAGATTACAGGCATGAGCCACTGTGCCCAGCCTTTTTTTATTTTTGAGATGGATTCTTGCTCTATTGTTCAGGCTGGAGTGCAGTGGTACAATCTCAGTTCACTGCAACCTCCATCTTTTGGGTTCAAGCGATTCTCCAGCCTCAGCCTCCTGAGTAGCTGCGATTACAGGTGTGTGCCACCATGCCCAGCTAATTTTTGTATTTTTAGTGGAGACGGGGGTTTCACCATGTTGGCCAGGCTGGTCTCAAACTCCTGACCTCAAGTGATCTGGCTGCTTTGGCCTCCTAAAGTGCTGGGATTACAGGCGTGAGCCACCGCACCTGGCCTCCACCCATTAATTCTTTCACCAGATGTGCTAAGTAGGCCATTCATCCTTTGATTCACAAGGTACACTACCAGTCTCAGTGGGTGCTACAAAGGTGAAGAAGACATAGACTTTATACTCTAGTAGAAATGTACTAGAATTCCTTCGGACACACTTTTACAAAGACCAACTCAAATGTATTGGCTCACTAGAATCGCATGGGGTCAGGAAAGGGCATTTCTCCAAGAAATAGAAGGCTGCTGGTCAGACAAAGCAACTGATGTTCAATAAAGAGAATGCACACTCAAATAGTTTGTTGAGAACTAGGTTATTTTTAGACAGATCATCCAGATTAATATGCTGATTCCAACTGATTCTTCTTTTAAGAACAGAAGGTGAGGCCAGGTGCGGTGGCTCACTCCTGTAATCCCAGCACTTTGGGAGGCCAAGGTGGGCGAATCACCTGAAATCAGGAGTTTGAAACCAGCCGGACCAACATGGTGAAACCCCATCTCTACTAAAAATACAAAAATTAGCCAGGCGTTGTGGTGCATGCCTGTAGTCCCAGCTACTTGGGAGGCTGAGGCAGGAGAATTACTTTAACCTGGGAGGTGGAGGTTGCAGTGAGCCAAGATCATGCCACTGCACTCCAGCCTGGGTGACAGAGTGAGACTCTCTCAAAAAAGAAAAAAAAAATAATAGAATGTATCACATTACCTGACACATTATCTGAACCTCTTCTTAACCTTCCAAACTTATTTTTCCCTGAAATCATGAAACAAATTTTCCTTTGGCATTCAAAAATTTCTTATAAACACAAGGTTGTAAAGTACATATATTTTAGGATGGTATGTAGATGTAAGTGGAGATGGGTCATACACCTTTGGATTAACTCGAAAATAAAAAGACAAAAGCAAGAGTGTTTAAATTAGAATATAAAAGTGAAAGTAGAAAAGAACAGTGGAAATTCAACAAAAGTGGAAGGAAAGCAAAGTAATCAAGCAGCAGTTTCAGAAAAGCAATCTGTCATGCTGAGTTTGGGCAGTTTCATGGGAAGCCTTTGCCAACCCAACAAGAAAGGAGGAAACTAACATTTGAATAGCTATCATGTCCAAAATGTTTCATCAGATGCTTTCATTCAGACCACTTAACACAGAATAATTGTTATTTCCAATCTGAAGATACAGAACCCCCAAATCAGAAAGAATATTTAGCTCACTCCAAGTTCATTTGAGCTGAACTTTATCTGAAGCCAAAGTCCATTCTCTTTCCATTACCAAGCTGCCTTGCAGTAAATAACAGGCTATTTCAACAAAGGTCTATTTCATCGCTGAAGGGAAAAATTACCAAATGGCCACTGAAAGAACTCAAGGATTTAAATGAAGAACTTATCAACCAGGAGTTCTGGTATGAAACTGTACTATAAAAATGAATTCATGTTGCTAAAGAACTTAAGTGGTTAGTACCCTGTAATCCCCTTGCCGATTTTGAAAATTAATCATTTCTGTCCACTTTCCTCCTTCTTCACAATTTCTCTCTCCAGACCATGTGGAGCTCATCTCATCTCAGTTTTTGCATATGTTACTCTTTCTGCTTGAAACACTTTTCCTCTCCAGATGGCATCAAGGGTGCTCCTGCTCAACACCAAAGATTTACTTTACTTTAATGTCACCGCTACAAAGTCACCTGTTCCTGCAACTACCCCTATTAAGATAGCATTCCTATTCTCAGAGAGCACTTAACACTGTATGAAATTGTTCTATTTGTTTAGGGTTTTTTGCCTTTTCCAAAAAGAATATAAATTCCTTGAAAGGATCTTGTCTACCCTGTTTCTCCAGCACTTAAATTATTCTTGGACAGAGTAGGCCCTCTTCAAGTATTTATTGAGTACATGGATTGCAAGTGGTACAAAGTGAGACTAAAATGTATCACTGGTAGAAAAAACTTGTGAGAAGCTACCAAAGAAGCCAGAGAAAGACTGCGTAGGAGTTACAGTGCCTACCACCTCTAAAGCAAAAGGAAACAAAATAATAATATGCAAACACTTAAATAGTGCTTATTCCATGCCAGGCACTGTTCTAAACATTTTATGTATATATTAACTCATTTTTATTCCTCAGAATAAATAGGTTTCTCACTTCCCCTGCTTTGTTTTTGTTTTTGTTTTTTTTTTGCCGGTGAGTAATGTGAAGCACACAGGTTAACTTGCCCAGGGTTATAGTAGTTAATGATAGCCTTAAAATTTGAACCCTGGCAGTGAACACTTTTTAAAACTACTATTTGATACTGCCTCTCCAAAAAAGCTGAGTGGTTGGCAGCATGGCCCCGCTAAGGCTTCTCTGTGACCGTAAAAAAAAGTCTATCGACTTAAAATAACTGGAGAGGGGATAAGAAATAAACGGTGCATTTACTTTCAGTCCACAGTAGTAGTAACATCGTTAGTTACTACGTGCGAACATTCTCCATTCTCATCAACTTCTCAGATCCCACAAGATTTCACCTTTGGCCACAAAAACATCCCATTTCACCAATTTATCTTTCTCCCCCAACCCTTATGCCGCCTCATTCCAGTGTTTGTTCATTTAATCTGCTCCAAATCCTGCATCTGCGGCTTTCCAGGGACCAATGTCAACTCATCTGTGAAATTGCAGAAGTACATGTCTAGTCTCCACCCCGTGAGAGGACTGAGCAAAGGGTGAAGTGTGCGAGCGGTCTACTGATAATAATTTCTATCACTCTCATGGTTATTTTAAGTATCCTTTTCTCCTCTGCACTTTATGAGAAAAGAAACGGAACTTCACGTTCAGAAACGGCCTCCCAAAGCCGCAATGGCTTCTCGCAGCTCGCTGGCCTTCCCCAATCACGCTTTGAGTCTGCGCAGTAGCTGCAGCCCAAGCCATTTCCCATTTTTCCGCCGCCGCGCCTTGATGACGTAATTTTCCTGCGCCTCGGGGCGAGCAGCGGCGCGCAAGGAAAGATCGGGTTCCGTTTTTCCCGCGGATTCTGGTGCCTGTGGGGCCGGTGACCCAACACCATGAAGGAAACGCCACTCTCAAACTGCGAACGCCGCTTCCTACTCCGTGCCATCGAAGAGAAGAAGGTATGGTTTGGTGCCCGCAGAATTGCGCGCTGCGTGGGCGCTCGGGTCTCAAGGTGTGGACTGATACCTGGCCCGCCTGGGCCCGGGGAGCTACTAGGGGAACGACCGGCACGTTCACCCCATCCCTCAGGCTTTATTTATTTTTTTTCGACAGGTTCTTTTCAAGGCTCCAGTCACCGCAGCAGTTGTCCATGCTGTAGTTTCCACTTTCCTGTATGGGCGGGCTGGTTAGGATTCCACTTTCCCCCAAGTGCTTAGCCCAGGGCCAGACAAAAAGTAGTTGCTTAAGAAATACTTGTTGAAGGAATAAATTAATGAATGAATTTGTGCTTACAGCGGCTGGATGGCAGACAAACCTATGATTATAGGAACATCAGGATCTCATTTGGAACAGATTACGGATGCTGCATTGTGGAACTTGGAAAAACAAGGTAACAGGATTTAAATGAGATACACATTCGGAAGGGAGAAGTTTGAAAAAAGACCTTATTGACTTGGTTGTTTATAAAGCAGCTAAGAAGTCTGGACAGTATTCTTTGTTTAGCTGACAAAAATAAGTATTTTTTTATGCGAGATTTTTTGCTTTTGTGGTCACACTTGAACTTTTTAATCATAAACGTATTTTCTGTCACGTATCACATAGTTCTTTTCTGACTTCTATAAATCGTATAGACAACTAGTAGTGATCATATGGAATTTGTTTCTCACACTAATATAGAGATCTTGAGCATCTTGTCATTAAGTGTACATCCTGCTTTCTTTTTCCTGAGTGACATGAAAATTAGGTTTTCAGATATTCATTTGAAAGTTGTGAGGCTATTTGGTCACATAATGGTGGTGAACTATGCCATGTGAAAACCTTTAAGAAATCTCAGGTTTTCATGCCATCTTGTATCAATAAATACTTGCTTTAGAGGTAAAGGTCACTGATTTTTAAAACAATCTGTGGAATAGTAAACATTGTAATAAGAAGAGAGGTGTTTTTTCTGTCGTGTTTTTAGTTGTACCAATTTATGTTTTATTTCTGTGTATATTATACTTTACATATAATTTTTATCTCCTATGATTTATTTGGCTGAGTATGATATTACTCACATTAAGATTGAAACTTGTTATCTGTTTCAGTTTTTTGTTTTGGAAGGAGAGTCTATTTGGTTAATACTTTGTAACTTTATCTTTGCAGAGTTCTTGGACAGGTTTCCTGTGAACTTGTGTCTCCAAAACTCAATCGGGCAACAGAAGGTATTCTTTTTTTTAACCTTGAACTCTCTCAGATGGCCGCTCCAGCTTTCGAACCTGGCAGGTATTTAAATCTTTTTCTTAAGTTGCTTTAGTCATAGGAGAACCTAACAGCAGTGAGCTTTTGTTTTAATACCTGGTGTTATATTTCATGACATTAGCCCATTCCTATTTTCTCCTTATAGGCAGTCAGATCTCTTGGTGAAGTTGAATCGACTCATGGAAAGATGTCTAAGAAATTCGAAGTGTATAGACACTGAGTCTCTCTGTGTTGTTGCTGGTGAAAAGGTGGGGAATATGCCCATAATTCTTAATCTTAGGATGAATACTGTTGATCATGGATCCCGGTATCTATCCTTTTATTCTCAGAACTTTAGTTAACTCAGTATTGTACTGGTTTGCTTCACTTCAGATGTTCTTGAGTGATACCCTTAGAACTTTGTGCTACCTCTCTCTCTCTGAAGGGACAAAAAGGGTGTCCCTTCAGAGGACACCCTTTTTCTTAAAGGTTTCTAAAAGGTTTTCACCCTTTATCTTAAAAGGGTGAAAATAGCAACTTAGATTTTTGTGTAAAAATATTTTATTCAAAGAACTTGTGGCTTTTTCATATAATCTCTCATTTTCTACATGAGTTCATAGAAGCAGGTAGTTTTCCTTTTTCATGCAGAACTCAAGAACAGATGAAATCCTTCATTTGGATAGGTTTATCGATTTACACAGGGCCACACCATGTCAGTGGCAGGGATAACTTTGAAAATCTTAGTCCCAATAAATTGTGCTGCATTAGGATATTAGAATTTTATTTTATTTTATTTTGTTTTATTTTTTTGAGATAGAGTCTCACTCTGTTGCCCAGGCTGGAGTGCAGTGGTGCAATCTCAGCTCACTGCAACCTCTGCCTCCCCTGTTCAAGCGATTCTCCCACTCAGCTTTCCGAGCAGCTGGAACTACCGGCGCCTGCCACCACGCCCGGCTAATTTTTGTATTTTTAGTAGAGATGGGGTTTCACCAGCAGGCTAGTCTTGAACTCCAGACCTCAAGTGATTCACCTGCCTTGGCCTCCCAAAGTGCTGGGATTACAGGCGTGAGCTACTGTGCCTGGCCAGAATTTGATTCTTGATTAGGGTATTTTGACAAGCATTTTCATCCCAGAGAAGTCATTTAGCTTCCCATATTCCATACCTAAGCATAATACTTCCTATTTGCATTACTTGTAAGGTTATTAAAAATATCACAAAACCTAAAAGTTTAATTTTTTTTAATTTTTGAAAACTTTCATTATTTTCTCTGAGGGACAGGGTGACACTCTCGTCCAGGCCGGAGTACAGTGGTGTCATTATAGCTCACTGTAATCTTAAACTCCTGGGCTCAAGAGATCCTCTCTCCTTAGCCTCCCGAATAGCTAGGACTATAGGCGCGTGCCACTCCACCCAGCTAACTAAAAAACTTTTTTTTTTTTTTTTTTGTAGAGATAGGGTCTTGCTGTGTTGCTCAGGCTGGTCTCGAACTCCTAGGCTAAAGCAGTTCTGCCACCTTGACCTCCCAAAGTGCTGGGATTACAGGTGTAAGCCACTGTGCCTGGCCTAGAGTTTGTGGTTTTTAACAGACATGATAAAAATGTAATTAGATTTGAGGTTAGGAAAATCGTAGTATTAAATGTTAGAGTGGTTCTGTTTATTTAAAGTATGTGTTCTGTTGTTAAACGACCCACATAGTATTTCAGATGTTTGGCTTAAATTTTCTAAAATATATTTTTTGTTGACAAAGTACAAGGAGTAACTGCGTGTTTTAACAGCAAGAAAAAATAATTTGTACACAATGTTACTTTTCCTGATAAATAGCCACTGGTTGTAATCAGTTAGGATTTATTTTTATTTTAAATTCACTATCAGGTTTGGCAAATACGTGTAGACCTACATTTATTAAATCATGATGGAAATATTATTGATGCTGCCAGCATTGCTGCAATCGTGGCCTTATGTCATTTCCGAAGACCTGATGTCTCTGTCCAAGGAGATGAAGTAACACTGGTAAGCTCCTATGTGAACCAGGATCCTTGATATGAATGAATGAGGAGGGTCTTAAATGTGCAGGCAACTTGTTTTTAGTGAAGTTATGTTGTAGATGGCAATTGGGTCGTTTCTAAAAATTTGTTTGTAAGACTGAAACTGCATATGGTCAAAATTGCCCTGGAAATCTCTTAACCGTTCCTCTGTTGAAACATTTGTCAGTAAGAACATACCCTAGCCTGGTTTTCCAGAATAGAATTAGATGACTATTTTGGATTGAACATTAGATGAAGTGGTTGACTTATGTTTAGGGGCCATATGTGTGAAAAATACATGAATCTCAGCACAGTGAGATGCTTACCCTGCAAGAGGCATGCAATAGCTGAAAAGCACTGAGGAATCAGCAGGTTCATATTTGTCTCCAGGACTTTTGTTCATTAGGCAAAGAGATGACGAAAGTCCATCAGAAATACCTGGAGGGCTTGTTAAAACGTATAGCCAGACTACTCCCAAAGTAAAACAGGGCTAGGACTTAAGATTTTGTACTTCTAACTTTGAGTTCTTAGGTAATACTGATGTTGCTGGTCCAGGGAGCACATTTTGAAAACCATTGACCTACGTTGTCTTTATCTTTTGTTCTGAGTATGTCAGTTTTGATTTATATAAATTACATGCTAGAATAGTGAAAGTGCACTGTAGTTGTAGTTTGAATCCTGAAGTTGCAAAAGGACACATCAGATGCCCAGATTTTCTAAGCAATGATTCATAATTTTGATTTTGGGCAGTAGACTGAAGCAGAACCATTAAAAAGTGAGAAATAGGGACAAAGGTTTATTAACAGTAGAGGTAATATTCTTTTAGAGGAGGGAGTTTATATAAGGAAGTGAAAAAAAGTAGAAAGCGATTACTACACTTGAAAAATCAATTAAAGAATACTGTGGTGTTATTGCTAGTGGGAATGTAAAATGGTACAGCCATGTTGGAAAAGTTTGGTAGCTTAAGTTTTAAGTGTAGACAGCATTCTATATTCAGAAAAATAACAGTAGAAGAAAATATTCTTTTTTTTTTTTCTTTTTTTTTTTTTTGAGACAGGATCTCACTCCGTTGTCCAGGCTGGGGTGCAGTGGCGTGATCTCGGCTCACTGTAACCTCTGCCTCCTGGACTTAAGCAATCCTCCCACCTCAGTCTCCTGAGTAGTGGGGACTACAGGTATGTGCCACCCACTTGACTAATTTTTGTATTTTTTGTAGAGATATGGTTTCACCAAATTGCCCAGGCTGGTCTCGAACTCCTGGGCTCAAGTGATCCTCCCACCTTGGCCTCCCAAACTGTTGGGATTACAGGCATGAGCCACCATGCCCAGCTGAAAACACTCTCTTATATGTACATCTTTCAGCAGGTTTGACCTTGTAATTTTTTTTTTTTCTTTTGAGACAAAGTTTCACTGTTGTTGCCTAGGCTAGAGTACAATGGCGTGATCTCGGCTCACTGCAGCCTCCGCCTCCCGGATTCAAGCGATTCTCCTGCCTCAGCCTCCCAAGTAGCTGGGATTGCAGGCATGTGCAACCACGCCTGGCTAATTTTGTATTTTTAGTAGAGACAGGGTTTCTCCATGTTGGTCAGGCTGGTCTTGAACTCCCAACCTCGTCCACATCGGCCTTCCAAAGTGCTGGGATTACAGACGTGAGCCACTGCCCCCAGCCGACCTTATAATGTTAAAACAAACTGCAATGGCTTAAAATTAGAAAAAAAAAAAAAAATTCTAGCAATTCCATGCCTAAGAATCTACGGGAGGAATAAGAGCTTACTACGTTCAGAGACTTCAATGCAAGTGTTCATAGCATCATTTGTTAGCCAGAAACTGGAAACAATCCAAATGTCCAGCTGGTGAATAGATAAAATGTCATATATACAAATAATGGAATGCTGTTCAGTAATGAAAAGAACTGAACTACTGATAAATGCTGCAAGGTGCATGAAACATGCTAAGTTGAAAGAAGCCAGGCACAAAACATTACAACTTTTTTTTTTTCCATTTATATAGAATGCTCAGAAAGTCAGATTTATAGAGACAGAAATAAGATAGATCAGTGATTCCTTGGGGCTAGGGTGGGAGTACACCAGACTCCTACGGACTACAGACAGATTCAAAGGAATTTTGGGGAGTAATGGAAATGTTAAAAAACTAGATTGTGGTGATGGGTCCGTAAATGTATCCATAACTATACATTTACTAAAAATTGAATCATATACTTAAAATGAGTGGATTTTGGCTGGGCGTGGTGGCTCACACCTGTAATTCCAGCACTTTGGGAGGCCAAGGCAGGTGGATCACCTCAGGTTGGGAGTTCGAGACCAGCCTGACCAACATGGAGAAACCCCGTCTACTAAAAATACAAAATTAGCCGGGCGTGGTGGCACATGCCTGTAATCCCACCTACTTGGGAGGCTGACATAGGAGAATCGCATGAGCCCAGGAGGCGGAGGTTGCCGGGAGCTGACATCTTGCCATTGCACTCCAGCCTGGGCAACAAGAGTGAAACTTCATCTCCAAAAAAAAAAGTGGATTTTATGGGATGTAAATTATGTGTCAGTAAATTTTTGAAAAAGCTTTTTGAAAAAGTTGTACAGTTTGAGGAACGTGAGTGGCAAAATCAAACTGGTAATTAATTAAAAGAAGTTATTTAGGTACTCAAAAGAATAAAGGAACTTCATTTTTTAGTATTTGATGTGCAAGATGATTTTTTTGGATGTTCATAACTTAGTGACTATAATTATTAAACATTTTCTTTTGAAACAGTATACACCTGAAGAGCGTGATCCTGTACCATTAAGTATCCACCACATGCCCATTTGTGTCAGTTTTGCCTTTTTCCAGCAAGGGTAAGCCTCGCCTTATTATGGGCCAAAATTACAAATGCAGCTAGGAATTTTATTGCTCTACTCAAGTATGTCATGTTAATATTAAACAAACACTTCCCTTAATAGTAAAGCACCTTGTATTTCCTTTCTTTCTTTGTAAGGGCATTAGTTGGCAAAGAACTTTCTCAGTAGAAGTAACAAAACTCTTATACTTTGATGAAGATACTTCCCAACATTTTTCTTTTCATGGGATACTTATAAACTTAGGAATTTACTATGGCATGGTAGTGTTTTATGTTTCCTAAGGCTGTACAGTGGTTAAGAGAATTATATGCTAGGCTCTAATTTGGGACAGTGGGGTGAGAATTACTGTGGGTTATTGGAAGATAGGGGACTTTGGAACATATTAGATGGAGTAGTTCTAGGAGTCGGTTACAAGGGGGGATGGTTCACAGACTGGAGGAAAAAAATCTAATGTTCTTAAGTTTTCCAGCGTTTTCATTACTTAACTGCTAAATCCTCCTGTGGCAGAAAACTTGGAGTTTTTCAGGTCCATTTAATGGTGCTTTCAAATGAAAACTTGAGCCTTAAATTCCTTTAGAAACAAGGGAAGATAAAAATATTTCACACAGTGTTGTGCACAAGGACTAGAGAAACACTTACAAGTTTTAGTGATTGTAAGTGTAGAGTTTTATCAGAGGAAAATGGGCCAGCATTGTCCAGTAGAAATAAAATGTGAACCATATATATAATTTTCTTATTTTCTTCTTTTTTTTGAGATGAGGTCTGGCTTTGTTGCCCAATTTGGATTTCAGCAGCGTGATTTTTGCTCATTACAACCTCTGCTTTCTGGGCTCAATGAATTCTTCAGCCTCAGCCTTCCGAGTAGTTGAGACTACAGGCATGCACCACCATGCCTAGCTAATTTTTGTATTTTTTTTGTAAAAAAGAGGTTTTGCCATATTGCCCAGGCTGGTCTGGAACTCCTGAGTTCAAAAGTGATCTAGCTACCTCAGCCTCCCAAAATGCTGGATTACGGGGATGAGCCACCATGCCTGGCTGTTTCTTTTTCTTTTCTTTTCTTTTTTTTTTTTAAGACAAGGTCTCCCTCTGTCACCCAGGCTTGAGTGCAGTGGCGTGATCATGTTTTATTGCAGCCTCAACCTCTCAGGCTCAAGTGATTCTCCTGCCTCAGCCTCCTGAGTAGCTGGGACCACAGGTGCACACCATGCCCAGCTAATTTCTTTATTTTTTGTAGAGATGGGATTTCACTACGTTGCCCAGGATGGTCTGAAGCTCCTGGGCTCAAGTGATCCGCCTATCTCCACCTCCCAAAGTGCTAGGATTATAGGCTTGAGCCACCATGCGCAGCATTTGTTACTTTTTAAATTTTTTTTTTATTTTTTTGTGACAGGGTCTCACTCTCACCCAGGCTGGAGTGCAGTGGTGTGATCATAGCTCACTGCAGCCTACTTCTGAGCTCAAGTGATCCTCCCACCTCAGCCTTCCAAGTAGCTGGGACTATAGGTGTGTGGCATACCCAGCTAATTTAAAAAAATTTTTTTTGTAGAGACAGGGTCTCACTTTGTTGCCCAGGCTGGTCCCAAACTCATGAGCTCAAGTGATCTTGCAGTCCTGACCTCCCAAAGTGCTGGGATTACAAGCATGAGCCACCATGCCTGGCCTCATATGTGTAATTTAATATTTTCCAGTAGTCACATTAAAAAGGTAAAATTAATTTTTATATATTTTTAATTAATATATTTTCACGTTAATGAAATAAAATGATTAATGAAATAATCAGTATTTTAATAATTACTCATGAGATAGTCTACATTCTTTTGTTTCCACTAAGTCTCTGAAATCCAATATTTTACATACTCTGATTACATTTCAAGGGCTCAGTAACCACAGGTGACTATTGGCAAATGTACCGGACAGTGCAGAAATAGACAGTATTTTTTTCATGAGCCATTAGCAGAACGCAGTAGAACTTTGGAGTACAGGACATTAGGGCAACTTTAGGGTTAACCAATTTAACATTATCTAAGTTTTTATTAATGAGCCAGAAGTCATTTAATCAAAGAGATAGCATTAGGTTTAGATTATATATCATTTAAGTAAATCCAATCTGAACTTAATGTGATTTCATTGTAATAACTAGAGATACCCACTTAGCATTCATTTGTGTTCATAAACACAATAATTTTCTTGTCTCTTTCCCCATTTCAGTGACCCAAATCCGTAGGCTCAGACCTTTATTCTCTGTTGACTTTATTGATGCCATCTTTTAAAAATTCATTACCCAAGAAATGGTAAGCATTCGGTCTCAGATTTGTTCAGGTCCATTTAACATTCATTTCAGAACATATTTATTGGTGGATCCCAATGAACGAGAAGAACGTGTGATGGATGGCTTGCTGGTGATTGCCATGAACAAACATCGAGAGATTTGTACTATCCAGTCCAGTGGTGGGATAATGCTACTAAAAGATCAAGTTAGTGCTTTGATTAATGTCCCATTAATAATAGGTTGCTTCTCTTTAGATGCTTTTTCTTGTCTTTTAACAAAAATCCAATGGGGATACTTCCAGTGATTTATTCTAGGATGTGTTAGAATCTGGTTTCAGTACTGTCACTATTAAATACATTCTGTTGACTGGTGGCTATGAGGTATCCTCCTCCTTCCTACCTTGGTGCTCCCGTGTCTGGCCTGCTGGAGTCTGACCCTTCCACCTAGAAGCAGGGTCTAGTGAAGAAAAAGATTTATATCCCTATTAAAAAAAAAAAAAAAGTGGCCGGGCATGTTGGCTTACGCCTGTAATCCCAGCACTTTGGGAGGCCGTGGCTGGTGGATCACTTGAGGTCAGGAGTTCAAGACCAGCCTGGCCAACATGGTGAAACCCATCTCTACTAAAAATACAAAATTAGCTGGGTGTGGTGGCTGGCGCACGCCTGTAATCCCAGCTACTTGGGAGGCTGAGGCAGGAGAATTGCTTGAATCCGGGAGGCAGAGGTTGCAGTGAGCTGAGATCGTGCCATTGTTCTCCAGTCTGGGCAACAACAGCAAAATTCCATCTGAAAAAATAAAAAATAAAATAAATAAATAAATATTAGCCGAGCTTGGTGGTGCATGCGTGTGGTCCTGGCCACTTGGGAGGCTGAGGTGGGAGGATTGCTTGAGCCTAGGAGGTGGAGGTTGAGTGAGCTGAGATCGTGTCACTGCATTCCAGCCTGGGCTACGGAATGAGACCCTGTCTCAAAAGCAAATAAAAATTTTTAAACATCCAATAGTAGACATTATGTAAAAAGATAGTTTTACTTGCACTTTTAGAACTACAATTGGCAGTAGTTCTGAAACCCAGCTATATATCATATTCACATGGGAGCTTTTAGAAAATAGATCTCCATATAGCATACAGTGTAGATGATTAAAAGCTTCTTTAGTTTGAATTCTAGTTCTGCCCCCATACTAGCTGATCTTGGGCAAATGATTTTATATCTTTGGGTCTCACTTTCTTTATCTGTAAAATAGGGAATGATGTTATTGCCAACACCTTGTTGTTATAAGGATATAAATATATTGCACAGTGTCTAGCACACATTTATTAAGTGTGCAATAAATGTTAGTTTCTGGTATCATCATCATCATCTTTACCAGCATCACAAGTACTACCCAGATTACCCACAGAAAAAGGAAGTTAGTGCATCCTGGAGCATATATGTGTCTGTGGCCTCTTCTGTGGTATCTTTTATACTGTTGTATAAGAAAGTTTTTATGTCTGTTCCCTTGATGTGACAGTCCTTCACATATCTTAAAACAACTTTCACATCTTGCCTTAATCTGTGTTTACATTGTATTCATGTTTGGAAAAGTCAGGCTTAAATTATAAAGGTAGAAAAATTTCATGGTTTTAGTTTCATTAGAGAAAACTATTTGGTTTATTGTCTTTAAACAACAGAATTCACTTTTATAAATAGGTTCTGAGATGCAGTAAAATCGCTGGTGTGAAAGTAGCAGAAATTACAGAGCTAATATTGAAAGCTTTGGAGAATGACCAAAAAGTAAGGTAAGTAACTTTTCCAGAACTAAGTGGTCTTTTATTTTCATTTTTTAAATTTTTATTATTTTTTTTAGTATAAGCAAGCTTTATTATGCATGAACTTGATTTCACATACAAAGTTAGAATGGCAATTTCAATTAAAATTGACTCATTAAAAAGTGTAAATACCATGGTATAGTTATGTTACCCAAAACTCCGAAAGGTAGTGAAACTGGTAACAGATATTGCTACTCATCTTTGGACGGATACAATAAAAGTATTAATGAAACTGGTTCCCAGACAAGTATGTGTCACTTGCTCCTGTGCCTTAGGGAGGAGAGGATGTTATAACACAAGCATTATTGATGCAGTGACTTGTGGATAGTTGCTCCTTATTAACACTGCTAAAATTAGGTTCACGTTTTTTACTTTGTGTGGGAGCTGGTGATTCTTGTCCTTTTGTTTTATGAGGGATATCTTTCAAAGTGCTGGCATCAAACCCACTTATTGCAAAATGCATCACAGATGGGAATTTAAGTCTGGGTCAAGTCCAGAATTCTAAAACAATAAAGAGGAAAGACCCTCCTAAGAGCAAGAGGTCTTCATTAATCCAGACTCCAAGATACAACACAGGGAACAGGAAATGGCCCTAAATGGTCTTTTAATATATTTTTTTTCTTAAGGATCTTCCTTGAACGAGGGCAACCATATAAATTTCACACTTGATCTTTCCTTATTTGTTAATCTGAATTGAGTATACTATTTAATGTGTTTTTAGAAAATTGGACTTGTTATATTTTCTGCAATTTAAATGTAACCTATATTGAAAAATCATATAAGATTTTTGTTTGTTTTTTGAGATGAAGTCTCACTTCTCACTCTGTCACCTAGGCTATAGTGCATTTGTGCAATCTCAGCTCACTGCAGCCTCCGCCTCATGGCTTCAAGTGATTCTCCTGCCTCAGCCTCCCAAATAGCTGAGATTACAGATGCATACCACCATGCCCGGCTAATTTTTATATTTTTAGTAGGGATGGGGTTTCGCCGTTTTGGCCAGGCCGGTCTCAAACTCCTGACCTCAGGTGATCCACCCGCCTGGGCCTCCCAAAATATTAGGATTACAGGTGTGAGCCACCGTGCCTGGAGACATAAGATTTTTCTTTAGCAGTTAACATTTTCTTAGGATAAAAATAATCTAGTAACTCAAATTAATGGAAGGAAACAGGTTGATTTCCATCTCTACCTCTTACTGTGCTATCTTAAGCAAGATACATAACCCAGCATTTCAGTGTCCTCTTCTATAATATGGGATATTAACACTACCTGGTAGGGCTGATTTGAGGGTTAGAGAATAGTATATTTTAAGCACCTAGCACATGGTCTGGCACGTGGTTTAATAAATGATTATGCTAACTATTTACTCTTGTTAGGCATAATAAATTGGTGAGGTTAAGTTAGATAAACTAACTCTCTTCCAATATTTTTCATCCACCAAAGGATAAAATAATAGTTTTTTTCCCTTCCTGTCTTCTATCCAATCTGTTACCTTCCTCCCCCTTCCTTCCCACCAAAAAAACCCCCACATACAGGAAAGAAGGTGGAAAGTTTGGTTTTGCAGAGTCTATAGCAAATCAAAGGATCACAGCATTTAAAATGGAAAAGGCCCCTATTGATACCTCGGATGTAGAAGAAAAAGCAGAAGAAATCATTGCTGAAGCAGAACCTCCTTCAGAAGTGTATCTTTATTTGGTGGTTTTTGCAGTAACAAGATTCATAACACTTGGCATTATAATATTAGGCTATATGAAGGATGTGTATACTGAAATTAGTTTTTGTAAACACTGTACTTTGTTAGAGAAAACACTTAAAATACAAGATAGAGATGTGAGTCATATTCTGTTGATGGTATAACATTCAGCTTCTATTCAGTTATCCTGGAAAAAACAGATTTTAAGGACCAATTTAATTTAGTACTATAACTAAAATGTTGAGAGAATCTGTCTCTTCACATTTCTTATTAATTGCATCCATAAAATCTTGCCTGAGTTTTTTTTCTTCTTCATTGTTCAGCCATCCATAGTGTAGCTATATTAAGTTTTTTTTCCCCTAGGAACTTGGGGCACACTTGAATCAATCTTACAAGAAGAAAACTTTCATTCTCATCTTCAACAGTTCATCAAATAGCAATATTTTTGTTACTCAGTTTTCTTAACTTGTTAAGTGTTTCTACACCTGTGCTATGGACTCCTGGAACTGCCCAAATTGGAGAGGGAGTAGAAAACTCCTGGGGTGATCTTGAAGACTCTGAGAAGGAAGATGATGAAGGCGGTGGTGATCAAGCTATCATTCTTGATGGTATAAAAATGGACACTGGAGTAGAAGTCTCTGATATTGGAAGCCAAGGTAGGTGACACTTTATGGCACACTTACTATATATTACATACATATAGTATTACCGTATAGTTATATATATAATGCATAAAATGTGTGTATATTTATATTATCACTGTATATAGTAATATATAGCATATTAGCTATATAGAGATGTATAGTGGATAAATAACATACAGGATACTATATAGAGAGAATATAGATATGTAGTTATATATAGGGATGTAAGTATTGCATTTTTAGAGGGGCTAAATATTGTGATTTAAATTTCAACTAAATTATTGTGGCTAGCTGCAATACTAATGCTACTTTCTAAAAGAATATGCATATCTTTGTAGAGTAGTGGAACACTGGCATAAATGATAGTGATATTTTTAATTAAAAAAATTTTGTGTGTGTGTATGTATGTGGGTGGGTTTTAAGGGAATGAGTTTCTTGAAGATCTTATTCCTCCCTGCTGTCTTTTTTTTTGTAGTTTCTAGACTGAAACAAAAAGCCCATCCCATATCATAACATATAATACTGCCTAAATAAAACTTTCTATGATGATAGAAACATTAAGTATCTACACTGGTATAGCAGCCACTAGCCCCACATGGCTAGTGAACACTTGAAATGTGGCTTGTGTTACTGAGAACTGAATTTTAAATTTTACTTAATACAAAATTAAGCAGCCACATGTGGCTAGTGGCTACCATGCTAGACATCGCAGTATTAGAACATAAAAAAATTCTATAAGTAACTAGAATACTGGTAGTCCTAGACGTTTCTTGCATTCTGAAAGCCATAGAACTGAAGTTGTTATGTATGGTTATTTCTACTTTTTAAAAAAAGCAAATTCTTGCTGGTCTATATAATAGAATGACTTATTTTCTTACGTGGTAAGAACAGAAATCCTACAAGGAACTGGGAGCTAGGCTGGCAGGGAAAATTGAAGGTGATGTGTTTAATAGGAATGTAATGCAAATACTTCTGTTTTCAAAGAGAGAAATTATTGCTTATGAACATTACTGGAGCCTGGGCTTTTTGTTTTTTTACTTAAGTAAATAGGTAAGGAAAAAATTTCCCATTGATTGGGACCCTTACTCAAATTTCCCAGTGGTTACTTCTATTTGGTATTATTCTTCCAGAACTTGTTCCAGGTATTTATTTACTCTCTGTGCAGTGATGTAAGCTAATGCTGCATATACTTGTATAGCATTGAATATAACTAGTTGGTTTAACAATTCTCTTATTGTTGAAGATGTAAGTTGTTTCCATTTTCTCACTGTTAATATCCTTGCACTTGCATATACCTCTTATATGTTTGTTTAGTGTATTCTTCTAACAGTGAATAATATTTTCAACTGAATATAATGAAGGTGGACCTAAGCATTGGAAAAATGGAGCAGGTACAGCCTTCCTAAAGCATGTGAACAAAGGGAGAAACTAATTGAAAACTAAAAATACAAATAATTGATATGGGTTAATTCACATTTTATGTATATCATTAACTAATAAGCAGGAGAAAAATGGGCAAAATACATGGAGCAGTTCTCAAAGTATACAATGGCCAGTAATATTTTTCATGGTCAGCCCTGACAGTAATACAAATAAAATCCAAAGAAAAATGACATGGCATTTTTTGTTACTGTATTTTGGGCAGTATTAAAAACACCAGCAATGCCAAAGGTATATGGGAAATGGGTTCTTTTATTTCTTGGAATGTAAACTGGAACTATTTCTGGAGGAATAGAGTAGCACAAACAATTCAGTTGTCTCTACAAAAGATGCTATATACATTTCCCCCTAGCTTTTCTATTATGACATGTACCAAATTGTCACACCATTCAAGCACCTGTAGGAAATAAGAGTTTAAAGAAACAAATGTTACAGATGAGTTCTAGAGTGCTCTAAGAAGCTGATTTAAAGAAAAGATTAAGCCTCCACCTAGAGTTTTATTTTTATTTTTTGGGATGGAGTCTTGCTCTGTCACCCAGACTGGAGTGCAGTGGCACTGCAACCTCCACCTCCATGGGTTCAAGCGATTCTCATGCCTCAGCCTCGAGTAGCTGGGCCTACAAGCACATGCCACCACGCCTGGCTAATTTTTCTATTATTTTTAATAGAGCTGGGGTTTCACCATGTTGGCCAGACTGGACTCGAGTTCCTGACCTCAGGTAATCCACCTGCCTCAGCCTACCAAAATGTGGGTATTAAAAGTGTGAGCCACCACGCCCAGCCCCAGAAATAAGAGTTTAGAACGTCTGATAGAAATAAATTCATGTAGAAATAAATTTTGCAAGAGATTGCTTAACTTTTTTTTTTTTTTTTAAATTAATAAAAAAACAAAGATGCTCCCATAATACTCTCAGATAGTGAAGAAGAAGAAATGATCATTTTGGAACCAGACAAGAATCCAAAGAAAATAAGGTAACAAATTTCTGGTTTATTTCAAATGTATACATATACTCAACACTTATAGAGGTTTGCTCTCTGGTTTTACTCTCATCTTGCCACATGACTATAAACAAAAAGACATCCCTTTTTCATTAGAGATCCATCTGTTCTGTGATTTTTTTACCTTGTGATTTATAAAAATTAGGACCTAAATCTATAATATAAACTTCTTGGATGCCAGTCTTACTCATAGCTGACACATTTTAGATCCTACTGGAAAACTAAGAAATGCCTCTTATTTCAATAATCCAAAACTTAACATACTCTTAGTAAATTCTTACTTTGCTTTATTCACAGAACACAGACCACCAGTGCAAAACAAGAAAAAGCACCAAGTAAAAAGCCAGTGAAAAGAAGAAAAAAGAAGAGAGCTGCCAATTAAAGCTAACAGTTGTATATCTGTATATATAACTATTAAAAGGGATATTTATTCCATTCTGAGAACCCTGGGTATTTTTTATTCACAAATCCATTATAAAATCTAGCAGGATTTTAAAAATAGTTTTTTGTTTTTAATGTGCTTTAAAATAATAAACCTTCTGGAGCATTTCTCGTCTGTTAATTTGCATATAAGCTTCCCACCCTCTTCCACTCCCAACCTCTGTTGAGTTTACCTCGCAAAACCTAAACAAACAGGTTTTACAAAGAGCGAAAAAGTCTGGGGAATCTCTACTGTATCTATCTCTGAATACTGTATTCAGATATGCTTAGATTAGATTATGCCCAAGTCAGCAAATTGATCCAGTTGCTTAGGAAAATGAATGTCAGAATTTGAGGGTCTGTTTTCCTAAACCTACTTTAATTTTAGAGGAAGGCTTTTCACTTCCCATTATATAGTAAACCAAGTAAACTTCTTTACTAAGCAAAATCCTGAAGAAGTTAAATTTGACTTGCAAAGTTTTCCAAATCAATTTATTATCCTGACAGCTGGCATCATTAATACTTTAACAAAACCACTTAAAATTAGCCAAATATCTAAGACAGATACATATACAAAAGATATACAAATTAAAACCATTTAAAAAGTAATAGATACCATAATTTGTACTTGGCCACAACTTCTGTATTCAGAAATGATTGTAAAATTAAAACCTAAGTTAAAAACTGTACACCATATACTTTGAGTGATTTACATCTTAGAAAACAAAGGCAGTCTTTCATTGTTACAGATTTAGTGTCTCTGGTGGGTTGAGGAGAGAAACACCATGATACCTGTAAGTAGGGAAAAAAAAAGCATTTTTAGTAAACACTCACTGGGTAAAGGAGATCATGGAATAATGTTTGTACTCATGTATTGGGAACTAAAAAATGCTATTTCTGTCTGACCGACTTGATGGTTTTAGAAACACTGTCTGGTCCCTGAAACACACATGCATGCCCCCTTCCTTCTCTCTTCTCCCCCAGACCCAGGGCAGAAAGCATGAACTACAACCTTCTTCAAACACATAACCAATTTAGAGAACAGCTTCTCAAGGAGGCTATGGCAGATTCATGAATAAGGTTAAAATGTCAAAGATCTCTGAACCATAATCTAGAAAAGTAAGCTTCAATATCCAAGTTAATTCTTACTTTGAATTTTTGTACTTTTCTCTTATTGACTGTTGTGCATGCTGTGGTGCTTTGAGGTAGGTCTGGTGAAGGTCCATGAGACAAGGCTTAAGACTTTCCAGGGTATATCCAGTCTTTCGTATTAATGATTCAGGCTACAGAGAAGGGAATAGAGAACCCCTGAGTTTTGCTTTTAGTAACACACCAAACACAGTAAATAGTTGGCATTAAGCTTATGTTAAATTCCAGTACTAATCTTTAACTTTTCCAACTACTAGTTTTCTCAGGCCATTATTCCATCCCTCGATCCATTTTCTACTACTTTCCCTGCCAGCAACAGGTCAGATGCTTTTAAAAAAGCTCACCTTTCAATCCAAGTTACAACTAAGCTTACTACCTAACAAACACTGTTCAACAGGTAACATGCCTTAAACAGTATATAATCATCCCTCAGTGTACATGAGGGATTGGTTCCAGGACCCTTCCCAAATATACCCAAATCTGTACATATTCAAGTCCTGCAGTCACCCTTCCATATATATGGGTTGTGAATCCCCTGAATACTGTAGTTTCAGTCCACATTTGATTGGAAAAAAATCCATGTGTAAGTGGACTCACACAGTTCAAACCTGTGTTTTTCAAAGGTCAACTATATATATTTGAAGTTTTTCCAAGTAAGAACATCTAGGCAACCCTCAGTTTTGTAGGACAATTATTATTTAATCTGGCACAGGCATTTCAGTCACAAGATAGGTGTGTGAAGACCGTAATACATACCCAGCTTTGTCCCGTGACTGTGTAGAGTGCTAAATGAAAGGCAGCTCCAGCAATAACTGATGGCAAATACTTGAGGTATGGGTCAGCATCTATCAAACTTAATTCTCCCAAAAACTGGAATAAAAAATACTTTATGATCACAAGAGCGTTTAGAATTCAAATGTCAAACCTCTGCCTTCTAACCTAATTTTTTCCTGCCTTTGATAACGGCTCTGTAGCAACTCTAGAAAAAATATCTCACAGCCTCATCTTTAAACATATCAATCATTTTAGTGTTTTGTTCCATCCTCATCCTGTATTTTCCCTCCTTTATTAACTTTTAAAAAACAACTCTTCTGACTACCCATCCCCAAGATGTCATCCTTAGACCTCTGCTTCTAGTGCTTTCCTGATATAGATTATCTTTTGCCAGCAGTAGGCTTTCTTCCATACTGCAGCATTAATCTCCCTCTGAATACTAAATCTCTTCACCACTGCTGTACAAAGGAACTAGGTTCCTTTACAAAGGAATTAGGGCTTACCCCTAATTATTACCAAAGAATCACCATTCAACAAAATGAAAGTTAACTCACCATTGCTAAACTTTCAACTTTGCAGTTTGCAGGCTGCTGATGCAGAAAGTATTGGGTAAGAAACTGATTTACTGTTGGAGCAGCTAAGTCAAAAGTAAGGACTTTCAAAACTAGATGCTCCATTCTCAGAACTTGTTTCTTGGTGTAGGTATCATCTGTAATGTACACAAACTCTGCTACTTCTGGGGGGTATATTTCTTCAAACTTTCTACAATGAAAAAAGTTTTAAGTAATCAGTCCTAAAAGAGAAGCAAGCTTCCTTATCCCAGTTCTGAAATCCCATTAGCAGAATATGGAATGAATCCAAAATCCACACCAACTGCATTTCCAGACACTTGATCATCATTTCTAGTAGAGACTGGATAGCTAATTGCTAATTAAAAGGCCCAAATCAATAAAGGACTTTTGAGATATTTTCCCCAGTTCAGTCAAAGGAAGTAAATGAAAGGCATGAGACTTCTCGAGATGGGAACAATGCCAGAGTTCACCAAGTAGCTGAAAATTTAGGAAATACAAGTCTTAGGAAAACATGTTTCATGTTTTCATTTTTAAATTTAGTTTTTCTTTCTTTTTTTTTTTTTTTTTTGAGACAAGAGTCTTGCTCTGTCGCCCAGGCCAGAGTGCAGTGGTGCAATCTTAGCTCGCTGCAACTTCCACCTCCTGGGTTCAAGCGATTCTCTTGCCTCAGCCTCCCTAGTAGCTGAGATTACAGGCATGCATCACCATGCCCAGCTAATTTTTGTATTTTTAGTAGAGACAGGGTTTCGCCATGATGGCCAGGCTGGTCTCAAACTCCTGACCTCAAGTGATCCGCCCACCTCGGCCTCCCAAAGTGCTGGGATTACAGGCGCGAGCCACCGCACCCAGCCTTTACTTCTTAATAAAAGAGACACTGCTTATATGCCAGAAAGTAATATTGGAAGGAAAATGTTTTAAAATTTGTAACCTAGTGTACTATATCATGTTCAAGGAATCCAGTTGGGGGAAAATTAGTGTTCTAGATTAGAACAGTTTCATCCTCCTCCACTGCCCTAAGCCCCAGCACATTGCCATCCCTAAAGTAGTCACTGACTCTGCCTGGTGTATGTTAAAAGGTCACCATTAAAAAAATCAATTTCTTCCCTAGACAAAAGGTCGTGATCACTTTTAAACAAACCAAGGTAGACTTACGAGGCTAACAGCATAGCAGCAGTGCCCACAAGCTGAAGTTTTCCTCTCAGCACTGACATGGAAGACAGGAACCTATCAATGTAGTTCACAGCCAAATGCAGGGTCTCATTCTGTAGTTTATATTCTTCTCCTACTTCAACTAACCAGTCCACGAGGATAGCTCTCATACTGTTAGTGATGTCTGGCTGTTTCTTCATGTAACCCACTTTAGGTTTACATTTAACCTATTGAGAAAATTATTTATAGTGTTAAAATTATTCTAGTGTAAAAACTGCAATTAGATTATTTTACCATTAATTACGAGAGGCTACATGCTATAAACTTAACTGTAGCATTAGAATAATTCATTAGTTTAAAAATTTAAACATTATCCTCTCAATTTCATTTAGCCACATTTAACAAATACATTATACAAACTGGATTCAGAGAACCTTTACCTCCATTTCCCTAAGGTATGTGTGAATATCCTCATGGTAGTCTGGTACTTCATTAACACTCACTGGCTTTTCATCTTCTAATATAATTGACATGTCCATAGTATGTGGTGACTCTGGGACAATTCAAAAGATATGATTAAATTAATTGTTTGCCTATTTAGTTTAATAGCTAAAAATGACTGCCATGGAAGGAATCTCATATTAACAAAGCACTTATTTCTTCAAACTAAAAAGAGCTTCTCATGACAAAATATGTAGAATATTTTACCCTAGTCTCAGTATCTCTGTACATAGAACTTTGGAATGATTTTAGTTAATGAGGGAAAAAAAAAAAAACATATTGGTAGGCCCCTAACAGGAAAATGAGAATCAGGTATTATCTTAAAGTATCCATCTTCCACAACAGAAAGGAGCAAATGGCATGGTGGTTCTGTTAGGACAGAACACTTTTAAAATCCAAGTTTTGAGATAATATCTAAGATTTGTCCCAAGAGAAACTGCAGATCCCAGAGTCTGACATATATAAAGCACAAGTAGGCAATAGCTAGCATCAGTTAAATGGCCTCTATTAACAAGTGTTATTAAGAAATTAGGTTTGTTATGGGCAAATGGATTAACACTATAAATAATTTATTTTTTGTAGTATAAATTATTTTGAAGCAAAGAGTATCATCCATTATTCCTTTCACTTCAAAGATCACCTTGAGATTAAACATTTTCTGCAAAATTTTGATAAAAACACACAAATTATTATTTCCAAAGGACTTTTCCTGCTCACCCCTCCTTCCTCACAATCAATACAACTAAAACTAAAATGAGATTGGATTTAGTGAGCTGTCCAGTGACTCAATATCCCTAGGGCAAAGAAATAGTACAAACTGCAAAGAGCTGTTTACAGAAGCTACTTTAATACATGGGTAAGAGTAAACAGCCATGGTACAACTATTTACTTGTAGGAGGAAAAGTGTCACTTTCTGGTATCAGATGCTAATCCAGACTGGTTTTATAGAAACAAAATTATAAAACTGGAAGAGACGTTATGTAATCACAATATTTAAGACTGCATCTTCAAATAGCACTAAGTGATATATAAGTGAGTTAAATAAAACTGAAATCTATTCTCCCAACCAAGAACACATTTATGGGATCAGATTAAAATAAGCATTTAAGATCTAATTATAATTAGATTGATGTGACTGGCAGTGAACCTGAAAGAGCACTGGATAAGGATCTTTTTGTATGTCACCAAGTCAAGTGTTAGCTGTGAGATCTGAGATAAGTCACATCCTTTCTAAGCCTTGTTACATTAAACCTAACTCACTATAGTCAAAATGACTACATAAGACATCTTAAAATGCAAATCATTAATATCATCTAATAATTATAATTACCGTAATTCCACACAGATTTTCCTTAAAACTTACCAAAACTACCATCCATTGGATAATCAAGAGGGACCAATGGTTTTCTGGGTCCAGGTAAACTAATGGCTGAATTAAAAGCCAGGGCATCTTCACGCTCTATTTTTTGAGATTCAGCTGGCTTCTTCTGAGCTTCTTTTTCTGCTTCATCCACATGAATGGTGAACGCAGGCTGTTTACTGTTTGCTTTCCAAGGAGGAACGGTGACATGCTCATCATTTACAGGAAGATCCTTAAGGGGTGCAACCTAAAAAAAAATTAATAACTGGCTTTGAGCCTACTAGTCTTGCATTCTTTCTCTTATGGGTGTTGGCCTTTGCTTTTTCTCCCAAATACTCTATCAGGAATTAAACTTTCTGGGACAAAGAAGAGTTTCAGTATTCAAAAGAGAAGGGATGTTCCCATTTGTCACAGGCATTCCCACAAAGGCTATCAATAGATAACACTAGGTGGAATTATGCAAAACTTATCAGGGCCACAAGAAGGGTCGGGTGACAGGCCAATACGTGACAAGTTTAGGAAAGACAGCAAAAAAATTGTTGGTTCACCACTGTCGCCCGAGGGTGGAGCAACAGAGCAAATCCGGCTAAAATGGCGGAATTTGCCAAAAGCAAAGTATTTTGTACACGCTTTTCTAAAGTAGAGGTCATCTCTTAAGCGTGAGGAGGATAGGGGTCAGAGTCCTACAGCAGTGCCTGGGGTTTAAAAGTGGAGAGAAAGGCGCGGAGCTGAGCGAAGACTACACGTTTTAGAGCTTGGTTTGACCCCATTATGTACAGGCAGATGCCCCCTATAGAGAGCAGACCGGCAGCATACACACAGTGTTGGCGGGGTCCTGATGCTAATATGGGAGAACTCCTACTGTGGCAAACCACACACCAGCACCAACTGCACTCCAGACCCTGGCCCCCTTCCAAAAGCCCAGGACATGCCTTCTCGCCACTCTTCTCTGCCTGCTAAGCCAATGCCAAACCCTGCTCGACCCACCCTCCTGCAGATATCCCGCATCCCTTTACCCGTCTCGTCTTCGGCCTCTGCTGCTGCGCTAGACCCCGCGGGTTCCCGGACTTCAGTACCGCCAGCGCGGCCCGGGTCCGCGGTTGTTGGACGGGCGCTGCCTTTTCCGGGTTGATATTCTCCTGGTCCTCTTGGAGCGCCGTCTGCTGCAATGCTAGCAGCGCCGAGCCCGCCTCGCGGGTCGCAGGCCCCGGCGCAGAGTTGCCCAACATCACTGCTCCCGGGAGTGGACGGCGGGATCAGCCTGCGGCGCCAAGCAGCGTGCACTCTGCCCAGCCGACCACTCGCACCGACCCGGCCAAAGAATAGTCGTAGCCGCCGGTCGCAGCCCAGGCCAGCCTACCAGCCCGCCCGCTCGCTCACCCAGCTCGAGACCACGCAGGGCCGAGGAGGTTGCGAAAGGCGCAGGCAGGCACTGCCCAGCGTGGCGAGCCAAAGACGCCCAGAGATGCAGCGAGCAGCCCGCCGGAGCGGCGGCTGTTCTTGCAGTTCAAGTATCCCGCGACTATTGAAATGGACCAATGAAAGCGCTCGCGGCCTTGACGTCATTCAAGGCGACAGGGTCGCAGGCGAGTGAAGGGTAAACCAAAGGAAACTGAGCAGGGGCGGGGCAGGAGGGAGAAACAAACTGGCTGGGGCGGGAGAAAACGCCTGCGCGGGGCGGGGAGAGGTAGGATTTAGGGCCCGACGCTTCCGATTATTTTAAGCTGAGCCACCTAGTGAGCGAGGCTGTCCGAAGGCTGACTCTAAGCCTTTTAGGGAATTAAACGGAATTAAACTTTGGCGACTATCATTTGGGTTGCCCAGCCTTTAGCTCTGGGACGTCTAGTTAGCTTAAGTGACTTTTTCCAAAGGTCTAAAATCTGGGGCACGTTTTTCAGTATCTCCGATTCTCCGTTTTCTTATGTGTTAATAGGGACTAATAACTACAGTCATATGGTTGTTAGGATTAAATAATGTGCATAAATTATTTAACACGGAGCTCACATAGTAATACAGTACTCAAGTGTCAAGACTGTAATGTCATCTTAACATTTAGGCGTTTATTCATAGTAACCAGAAATTGTGTTTTATGCTTTTTATTTTTCCTAATGAAGATGCAATTAATTTAAGATGGCACCTTGAACTACTGTTGATATATATAATAAATAGCAGTGCATTACAAAATATTCAAATACAGTCATTAATTTTTTTCTATTTTTCCCCAAGCTGTGGCAACCAACAAAAAACACAATGACGTTCTAGTGACCTAGATATAATTATGTTCCTTTCAGAAGTAAAGTTTTTTAAACATAGTAAAAACAATATGACCTTATTAAAATAAAACTCTCTTAACTATACGTGCCTTTAACAAATTTTTATATTTATATATAAATATAAGAATATACAAAGCTTGCACATAACTAATAAGTATAATAGCATATCATTAAGAAGCACTGTTTTCTAAAAAATTCGTGAGTCTGCCCTTCTTGAAACATAAAGCTTATTTTCCATTATCTGTATGCCATTTTAAAACCTTTCAATATTCCCTTGAAATTAATAAATATGAATTAAGATTAATGCACAAAACTTCTGTAGCCTTAATGTCATATATGATAAAAAGAGATCTAGAAGATACTAGTGTAGGAAAATCTAAGATGGCATCACTATTTCTGCACTCTTCACTTGAAGCACGCTGAATAGCTCCACTGGTTACAGCATGTCTAATTAAGATCCCCCGACTCTGTGTAAGCTCTTCTTATTTCCTGGCTACAATTTATAGCACTGAGCCAAGTCCAGCATTTCCACAAACTGCAGCAGAGTCATAAAACACTACCAAGCAAAAGGAATATCAGTTGCAAATCAATCCTATCTCCTAGAAAAAACAATTGGTAGGTTATTTCCACTAGCTGGCAACATACATAGTAACCAGGACACAAAGCAAGTACCAGTACTTGGGTTCTGGTCCCAGCTTTACAAAATATTAGCATGTCCTCTTAATCACAAAATTTCACTGAGAATCAGTTTTCTTATATGATTTGACAAATTTTACAACAGTTGTGAAGATCAAATAAGGTAATATATAAAAATACATTTTGAAGCCTATAAAGCGGTCTACATGTTTATGTGTTTATGTACCTTGTAATACATTTGAATATATTTTAATTTTCCACATATTACTTCTCAATTTAAAAATTAAAACAGCCACTTGCCAAAAATTCATTAAAATCCTATTTAAATCATTCTACTTGTGTTTTAAAAATAAAAAGACTCTTTTAGTTTTAGAAAGTTCAATTTGTCAAAAGAAATAGAAGCATTACTTTAAAAAGCCATTATATCTCAAATATTTTTAGATATAAAAAAGCATTTGAAATTAAAGTACATACACAGTTAACTTCTAATTCTCTTTTAACATTTTTCATTTAAACAGACCACTTCTTTGGGACTTTACCTTATTTGTATGTCATGCTGCATCGAAGAATGAAATCAATGCATTTTGGTCATAACTGTCCAGAATTTCCAATAGAAGGGGTACTTTAGTTTTTACATTGGTGCCTTTAAACTTAAATTTATCTATGAAAAGATCAGTGATCATGCCTTTAAAGAAAAAACATAAATTTCCTGTCAGTGATTAGTTATATTTAATGACACAGTATTTCACTAAAGTAATTGCTTGATAATCTATTTTTAAGCACCTGTAATTCCATGATTTAACATACACAAACCTAAAAGCCATGTTTTTAAAAATAGTCATTTTGGGGGGATTTTAAAACAAGTTTCAAGATATAAATCATCTGCCTAATAACCCTCTTAACAATTGATTACAAGCTATTAATTCAGACAATCAACTACTGGCCATTTTTGAACTGCTATCAGTATATATAACATCACAACAAGTGGTATATTTTTTCCACCAAGCTGACCATTTTGACATAGTCTAGGCAGATTCTATTTTTAACAGCTTATCTGAATTAAAATATTCCACCTATATGTTGACCATTCTTGGGATTTGACTTGAAGGCAAATAGTCCTAGGTTCAAAGATCTGGGCAAATCATTTCACCTTGAGTTTTCTCATATGTAAAACAGGAATAATTCAAGCTGTCAATCCTTTATCCAAAAAGCTTGATGCAAGATGTATTTCAGAATTTTTCCTATTTTAGGAAGATAATGAAAGGAATATACTATGGTATTAACCCCAAGGGGACTGAGTAGCAGCATCCAATAGCAAAACATAGTACTATTTCTGGCACAAAATATACGGATGAATATTTGCACTAAGTGGAATAAAAAAGATATAACCTTGGGCTGGGCACGGTGGCTCATGCCTGTAATCCCAGCACTTTGGGAGGCTGAGGTGGGCAGATCACGAAGTCAGGGGTTGGAGACCAGCCTGGCCAATATGGTGAAACCCTGTCTCTACTAAAAGTACAAAAAAATTAGCTGGGCATGGTGGCGCACACCTGTAATCGCAGCTACTCAGGAGGCTGAGGCAGGAGAATTGCTTGAACCCAGGGGGCAGAGGCTGCAGTAAGCCGAGATCGCGCCACTGACTCCAGCCTGGGAGACCAAGCGAGACTCTGTCTCAAAAAACAAACAAACAAACAAACAAAAAATATATATAAAACCTCATGTCAGTTTAAGTCAGATTTTGTTATTAAATTAATTCAGATTAAGTCAAGATTTTGCTGTCAAATTATTTATGAAAAAAACTTTGGTTTACAAAGCTGTCTGGATTTTGCAATCAGTGATATTATGTACAGCCAATCTCATAAGTTATTATAAGGATAAAAGAGATCATGTGCTTGTCATGTAATAAAGGTTAAGACATTAAATATAGCTACAGTTTGTGAGAAAGTCTCTGGATATGTAATAAAAAATTCAGTAGGCAGGCTTAAGGATCCATGTGTACTAGTGATACCAATTGGCTCTACAGTGACTATGGAAGGCTTGGCATAGTGTAAAAGGCATGCATTTTGGGGTGAGAAGATTCTAATGCAGGCATGATCACTAACTTGCTAGGTGACAACAAATTCCTTAGACTCAGATTTCAGTTAAAGCATATGAAAAATGAAGATAATACCACCTACCTTGCAGAGCTATTGTAAGGATTAAATATCTCACCTGATTATGAAGACAGTGTAAATAGTGTGCTATATACAACAGGTCTTATGTAAAGATTGCTAACAAAATTGTTTTTCTTAAGCTGTTTCTTCCTTCCTCACTCCTTCTTTCCCTCTCCTCACCTCCCTTACTCTGTTTCAATACAATTTGTGAAACATTCAGCTTCTCACCACCAAAGTTTTGAACTATAAATTGACACAACACAAATACTGTATATCCTTTATTAAATTTTGCCTTAAAAATTTTAAATGCTGCATTTTTATAATTCACAATAGCAACAAAACATGACAATTATTTGTGTGAAATACAGTCTAAGCTCTAAAGGTTCATAGATTACATTCATTTTATACCAGGTTTGTTCATATATATAGATTAATTCATCACAGTATACTTATTTCTTAATATACTTGCATTTTATCAAGTAAAAGAATTAAATATTAAAAGTAGCTTGACAAAATACAGAAATATTCTGTGCAATAAATTTGTTGTCAACTGATTCATGACTGGTTCATGAATCATGACTGATGTAATCTTTTTATCTTTCTGCCCAGCTTCTCTTACATGATCCTTGGGAAATAGCCAGTTGAAAAGAAATATGGCAAGGTATTCTAGAATGGTCCACTAACCATAGAGTCTTTCAAGATGTGCAGGTTGCTTTTTGTATTCTTCCTGTAGGTGATCTGCCTCTTCTAGAATACAGTGATATTCTGGTATCAGAAAGTTCGTATTTCCCTCATGAATCTGTAATTCCTATTTAAAATGAAAAACAGAAGCACCTTAATATTCAAAATTCAATCCAATGTAATGTTAAAGTATTGATAATTTTAGAAATCCTATGACTTCAAATAATAATCACCAGTCCACGACGACACATGTACTTACTTTTAAAGCATCAATTAACTGCACTTTCTTAGCCAAAAGCAACTGGTACTCCAGCTTTGGGTGGATTAGCTTTAAAGTGTGTTTGACTGATACTTCATTTATCTCTAGAAGGAGTTGACCAGATGCAGTTAGATAAATCACTTTGATCAGAAACATTAATAATGTAACAACAACACAAAATAAACATCAGAAAGAATTATTAATTTTGTTTGTTTACCGTATGATATGTTGAGGTTAATTTTCCTTTTTGTAGCTTCTTTAGAAAGCACATCTTTTAGGATGGAGATAGTAGAAATGTTGTCAGATTTAAAAACTCCCTCTCCTTTTCTATAAAATTAATATATTTTTTAAAAGAATAGCTGTAGAAGGAAATTGTCCAGTACATATATATTTTATGATTAGTACTTAGAGTATAGATTTCATTTGACTGTAGATTTCTTCTGTATACATATATCATTAATATAAAGCAAATTTAAACATGTAATCCTTTACTGTTATATTAATTCAGCTTCTGAATATACTCGTAAAACTAAACAAGATATATGCCTCCTAAAGATGTGACAATTTATATAAAAACTTCATTTAAACAACTTTTATCTTCATTTTTCACTAATATTTCCAACAGCTAGTCTCATATATAGACATATATAAAATGCACTTAGAATTGCTTACTTACATAAGTATGTTTTTCTTTCATGTAATCACACAAATTACAGTGTGACTATATGCTTTATCCTTAAAAGAAATCTGATATCAAATATGAAAGAGTGACATCTGCTGTTTTTCATGCTCAGCATCCAATGCCACTGCTTATGGTCAGAGGACCATTATTTTTCTTTTTTTTTTTTTTTTGAGACGGAGTCTCATTCTGTTGCCAGGCTGGAGTGCAGTGGCGTGATCTCCACTCACTACAACCTCCACTTTCTGGGTTCAAGCGATTCTCCTGCCTCAGCCTCCCAAGTAGCTGGGATTACAGGCACATGCCACTACACCCAGCTAATGTTTTCGTATTTTGAGTAGAGATGGGGGTCTCACCATGTTGGCCAGGATGGTCTCGATCTCCTGACCTTGTGATCCGCCCACCTTGGCCTCCCAAAGTGCTGGGATTACAGGCATGAGCTACTGAGATTACAGGCGTGAGCCACCACGCCCGGCCAGGATCGTTATTTTTCTTTAGGGTACCACTCCTCTTTCTCTTGCCCTCTTCAGTTTCAGTGGCAATGGTCTCAGTCTATTTCTGGGACTTCAGGAGGAAGCATTGAGCAGTACATTCCATACCCCTGACCACAGTGGTTCATGGCTTAACAATGATACTCAATCCTGGGACTTTTATTGGAGCCAGTGGGCAAGAGAAGCTCTATAGCAGCTGAAAATATGTAAGACTGGATTCTAGGAACTGCTGGTGGCCATAACACTGCATGGTAAAGCCAAGAAAAGATAAAAGCAGAACTGAACAAGGGATAAAATCTTGATGACATCAATTAAGCCACTGATCCAGTTGTGCGTGAGGCAGATTACTGCTAGACTTTTAAGTTATGTGAGCCGATAAATTTATTTTATTTGGTTAAGCTGCTTGCATTTGGTTCCTTTTTACGATGACCAAGTTTCCTAATTAATATATATCATCTTTCATATAGTTAATGTTACCTTTTCATTTGGTTTTCACACACACACAAATGATGTATACCAACTAGCTATATGCAAATGATAATTGCTTTGGTCCGTTGTGGTGGCTCACGCCTGTAATCCCAGCACTTTGGGAGGCCAAGGCGGGCAGATCACTTGAGGTCAGGAGTTCGAGACTAACCTGGCCAACATGGTGAGACCCGTCTCTACTGAAAATACAAAAATTAGCCAGGCGTGGTAGCACACTCCTAAAATTCCAGCTACTCAGGAGGCTAAGGCATTAGAATCACTTGGGCCTGGGAGGAGGAGGTTGCAGTGAGCTGAGATTGAGACACTGCACTCCAGCCTGGGCTGATGAGTGAGACCCTGTCTCAAAACAAATAAAAAAAAAGATAATTTTTTTTTCTAGAAAGATAAATAATACACCCTTACTACTTTGATCTCAATTATGTTTTAGAAATCATGACATTTCTATTAGTCTTTAATCTTAACAGATGATATTTAGTAAACACATAGTGCCAGGTACTATAGAATGACTCAAATGGTTATCTTCTTTTAATCATCATAACAATTCAATAAAGTAAGTGCTATTATTTTCATTCCTCAGAAAAGAAAACTGAAGTTCAGAGAGTTAAGCAACCAGCTAGGGTCACACAGCTGGTAAGTCACAGAGCCAGGATTGAAACATTAGTACATCTGCCTCCAAAGCACATACTTCTACACTACCTCCATACACATATATTTTATTCAGGCATCCGAAAAACATCTGTTGAGTACCTATTATGTGCAAAACTATGTTTTAGGTCCTTGCAGGCTACATACAAAGATATTTAAAATTAGACTGTCCATGAAAATAAAGTTTAACTTAGAGAAATAAGTTTGTATAAAAATTATTAGAGGCCGGGCTTGGTGGCTCATGCCTGTAATACCAGTACTTTGGGAGGCTGAGGCAGGCAGATCACGAGGTCAAGAGATCAAGACCATCCTGGCCAACACGGTGAAACTAGTCTCTACTAAAAATACAAAAATTAGCTGGGCGTGGTGGCACATGCCTGTAGTCCCAACTACTCGGGAGGTTGAGGCAGGAGAATCACTTGAACCCAGGAGGTGGCGGTTGCAGTGAGCCAAGATCGTGCCACTGCACTCCAGAATGGCAACAAAGCAAGACTCTGTCTCAAAAAAAGAATAAAATAAAAAATAAAAAATTATTATATACTTTAAGCAGATAACAATAAATATCACAGACAAGTAAGAAAAAATGCTATGGAAACAGAGAAGAGAATCAAGGGAGAATCAAAGAAGGCTTCAAAAATGTAGCTACTGCAGGATGCAGTAGCTTGCACCTATAATCCCAGCTACTGGGGAGGCTGAGGCAGGAGGATTGCTTGAAGCCAGGAGTTTGAGACCAGCTTGGGCAACACAGTGAGACTCTCTTAAAAAAAAAAAAGTAGCTATTAAGTTGGACCTTAAAGGATAAACAGTTTTGAATCTTAAGAAAAAATACTCAAAGACACAGAATGATAAAAGAGCAAAGGTCTGCTATTATAAAAGTATATAATATGCTAGGGGCATGTTGAATTGTCTGCTATGATTAATGTGTGAGGTTCATTGTGGTACTTCAAAATGGGAGTAATTATTACAGGTTTAGACACAGATAAGCTTCCTTGGACGGTACAGTGAAAAACCTCCACAGAATGGATGTTAAAAACCAATTAGATTTCTGAAGAGTTCTTGGTTCTAAAAGGCTGAATTCTGAGGTAAAATTATGTTTTTAGAATAATACTGTTATTATCCTAAAATAACAAGAGAAGCAAGAGGTATTCTACTTCTTGCTCTCTAGTTGAGACTTTACCATGCTAAGTTTTTAGAACTTAGGAGAAAACCACAATAATCTGCTTAGGGAAAGAACCTTAAGAGGCAGAGGCAGAGAAAGAATAATGAGCTCTCTCCCAGACAAATAACACAAAGCAAAAAAAACAAAAACACACACACACACACACACACACACACACACACAAAACAAACAACCTACAGGCCAGGTGTGGTGGCTCACGCCTATAATCCCAGCACTTTAGGAGGCCAACGCAGGAGGATTGCTTGAGCTCAGGAGTTTGAGACCAGCTTGACCAACATGGTGAAACCCTGTCTACAGAAAATAAAAAAATTAGCTGGGCATGGTGGTGCATGCCTGTGGTCCCAGCTACTCAGGAGGCTGAGGTGGGAGGTCAAGGCTGCAGTAAGCCGAGATCATGCCACTGCACTCTAACCTGGGTGACAGAGTGAGATCCTGTCTCAAAACAAACAAACAAAACAAACAGCAACAACAACAAAAAAACAAAAACAAAAAACAACCTACAGATGTGAGAATGAGAATGCAAAGACTTTGAAGAAGCAGGAGGATCCAAGCTTAATGGGTAGAGGTAGAGATATTGGCCTTGCCCAAGAAGTAGGCCATTTCACATTCAGAGACAGGTTAAAAAAAGGAAGGAAAAGTTTAGTTTCTACTATATTGAGAAGTTGAGAGGAATTATTGGAGCTTATAGAAGATGAGTTAGAAGTGATGGTGGAGGAGCGAGGGGTGCAACTAGAAGCTTGAGAAGCGTATAGAACAATATAATGACCTCCGCACCATATCAGGATAGCTACAAAAAGCCTGCATTTTCTAAGCCCTGAAGTTCTAAGCCATGTTATATTTGTGCATAAAGAAATTCAACTGGAGTTTTTATTGGAATTAGGATAAATATTCAAATCAATTTGGGTAGGACTGTCATCTTTTACAATGTCTTCATATTGATGACTATAGAATATATTACTCCATTTAATCAAGTCGTTTATGTCAATAAAATCTTACAGTTTTCTTCATGTAACTTCTACATATTTCTAATTAAGAATATTCCTACAGATTTTATCTGGCTATTTTGTTATTGTTATTGCTACTCTGAAGGGCTCTTTTTAAATAATTTATTTTCTCACTAGTTATTGTTATTGTTATTGTTGGGAACTTAGGAAATATATTGATCTTTGCATATACATCTTTACTCAATCACTTTTCTAAACTTACTAATTTGATTTTTCAATAGATTATCTTGAACAGTATAGATTTTCAATCAGATTACTCACAAATAACTCCTAACTTAAAGGAAAACTTAGAAGCTACATTTATATAAAACAACACTTGTGAACCAGTAATAAGTTAGATTTACCTGTAGGTACTTTCAAGTTGTGTATCTAGAAAGGTGTTCTGAAAGTAAAATGTCACACATTCTCCTGCTGGAGGTTTTTCTGGAACTTCAGGCAGACAAAAAACCACCCAGGAGTGAACTTCAGCAAAACTGAACTGGCCTGTTAGGGTCAGTGTATTCATGGGTCTGTAATATAATAGTAGAGGCGCACATTTATGTGTGGGAATACATGAAAGTATTATATGTACACGTTAATAAGCAGAATTTTGTAATAGTTGTTAAATATAAATGAAAACATTCAATTTTCTCAGATTAATCTTATACGTCAAATAAATGAACATTTCAATTTCATGAAAAAAAATCGAACACTTACCTATACCTGCACCTGTGCTAAGTATCAGTTAAGTGATATATGTAAACAGGTTTTATTCATTATAACATGCTTTTCAAATAAAATTTCATTTATTTGGGTATATTTCATTTTTAAAAAGTTTATTTTTTTATTTTTTTATTTTTATAGAGACAAGGTCTTACTATGTTGCCCAGGCTGGTCTCAAACTCCAGGGCTCAAGCAATTTTTCTTTCAGCTTCCCAAAGTGCTGGGATTACAGGTGTGAGCCACCACGTCCAGCCCTCATTTTAAAAAAGCTTATCTAGTATTTCTACTACATAAACTACAAAACATACTTATACAAGGATCTCATTAGGGAAATAATCAGTATAGTGTGAAGGCAAAGAATTGGGCTTTTGAGTAAGACAGGCATGGGTTGTTCCATTATTTACTAGCTCTGTGCCATTGGACAACTTATAGAATAATACCTTCTATCTTCCTGAAATATGGGATCATACTTTCTATCTTGCAAAAGCACACCCTAAAGTAACATTAAAAAAACTGTAAAATAAATCTAATTTAAAATAAATCAGATGGATAATTATAAAGAGTTAAGAAAATGCAGTTTATGAAATGAAAAGTTCGGACCAATCCTGTCATTTGCAGATGAAAAAACTAAAACCTAGAGGCTAAATTAAATTATCCCCCCAAAGTCAGACAGGAACAGATTGTAATCCAAGTCTCTTGATTCCCAATTTGCTGTTCTTTCTAGCATACCATGCTGCCTCCATTAGTACAACCTTGACTTTTAAGCAAGACAGAAAGAGTCTGTTCTCTTAAATGTTTCCAAAAAATCTTCTTTAGGAATAGTCTGTCTTACATCTTATTGAAATTATATATTTTAAATTATAGGCAGCAATATAAAGAATATGGGTTTTGGCTTCAATTCATAGCTTTAGTCCTTTTATCAGCAAGTTACTTAACTTTTCTAAGCCTCCATTTCTCATTTGTAAAATGGAGACATTATTACCTGTCTTGCTGTAAGAATTAAATACTACATAAGCTCCTAGCATAATACATGGCACAAAGAAAGTAATCAGTAATTGTTCATCTCTTTCCCTTCTCTTTAAGCTCATGTTCTGAAAAACTACAAAGAAGTGGATGCCTAAGTTGGCATGGAAATAAAAGGCACTATCACAACCAATTGCTTTATCTGATTTTTCTTTATCCTGAGAAGAAATATAAAGGAAATATAATATTTGAGGCTGATACAATGAGGTCCTATTCACAGAGAACTATTATACTATCTAAAGGTTAAACAGTATTTGCTCTCACATTAAGTATCTGAGAAAGAGAACTGCTATTCTAATAATCCCAGAATAGTAATATATGAGAAAGATGGGAAAGTCCAACTCAAACCAGCCTCTAAAATAAGACAAAGAATCTTATATTTATTGGAAATATTAAATCTATAATATTTAAACTGTTTATTTAATTTTTAAAAGTAGAAATTGCTAACAGAATTTACACTATAAAAATAAAAAACAGGTCTATTTGAATTGTGTAATATCCTAAAAAGAATTTGCTCTTTCCTTTGTCCTACCTGTCATGATCAATAAAGTGAGTTCTTTGATGGAGTGAAAGAGGTTTGATGTGGTACTGGCGGACCTGACAGGTTTTGGGTTGAATTCTTGGAGTCACATATGCTTGTAGTGTGCCATACTGGCCTTCAATTGAGCGAATCTGATTCAACACAAAAGAGGAAATAAAATAAGAATATTTAGCAACAAAACATATCTTTAGAATGTTCAACATAAGTTATCAAGTACTTAAAATTCACTAATATGTGAAGACCTAATTTAAGAGGAGTTGGAAAGCTGTCCAGCTTCTTTCTCCTGTCCCACTCTGTTCCAATTCATGGGACAGACTGTAGTACATCTTGTACTACACAAAGGTAACTTCTCTAATCTAATTAATACTTTAACTCATACTTTTCATGGCATGAGGGGGAAAATATCAACATTTGACCTAAGTGGGAAATATTTTAAAAGTTTAAGCAAGATTTTTTGCAAATGTTGCACTGTGAATATTGCTGACAAGGAAGAGGATAAGAAAAGATAATAAGTACAGAAAGAAAACAAAAAATAGATCTGATAAACTTATATTTTGGTGTTGATTTTTAAACAGTAATAAGCTCATATTGGCAGAGATTTTTTTCCATAAGAAAAAAAGCTTTAATATAGGACATAACAATTTTATATGAAAAATTATTTTGTAATAATCAGTATAACAATTAATATTCCTTATTCACAAATTCAAACAATAAAGAAAAATCTGGAGAAACATGTAAGTCACCTGCAATCCTCCCACCCCAGATGATCACTATTACTACTTTGGTAGTTATGCTTCCATACGTCTCTCTACGTACATGTACAAAAAAAGAGAGTATTTAGCATATAGCTGTTATTATAAAAATCTATTGACAGAAAAATTGTTTCAAATAACTTAATTGTTGACATTCTGTGAAAATAGAGATGCATACCTATAATCTATGGCATATTTGGACTGGAAATTCTTTTGGGCTATTTTGAATATGACTGGCCGGATATCCTGAGAATTCAACATACTTAACAGGAAATAGTAATTCACTAAGCTAGGAAGATCTAATTTAAGAGAAGGACCTAGTTTAATATATCATTTCACATGACTAAGTTCTACTGGATATCAGACATCTTTGCTTTCATTTCCAATATTCACATTTTCCCCCTTATCTCTGCCTCTCCTATTACCATCACCTCCCTGCTCCTCCCATCCCACTTATGCCTCCTCATATTGTATAACTGGCTATATCAGACAGGTGTGTTTCTTTTCATACATTTCTTCATATTTATATCATTATAGATAAAAATATATTCAAATTATACATAGAGGTTTTATCAGCATTTTGTGTGTTTTATGGAATTCCCTCCATGTTAACATGTATAAATCAACTCATTCTTTATAGTAGCTGTATAATATTCCAAGATATGGATAAATAGCTATTTATTCAACCCTTCAATCATTAATGAGTATTCACCTTAGTTCTACTTTTCTGCTTCTACAAGCAATGCTGCAATTAATTATATTCATGTCTGTTATGTATATTACTGCTATTTTATTGCCATTAATAGATTCCCCCAAAGGAGCTAATATCTATTTTCCTAAGTGGCTGTAACAACTTATATTTCCACCAGCTATGACTGACAGTGTCATTTTCTTCATCCTTGCCCCCTAGTGATGTTGTTCTTTAACATTTTTTGCCAATCTGTTGGATAAGAAGAAACTGCTTTTTGTTATTTGAATTTGAATTTCTCTGGCTAAAGATGAGGTAGAACTTTTTTGTTTGTTAGCTATTTTGATTCCCTCTTCTGTGTTTTGGGTTTTTTTTGTTTTTTTTTGAGATAGAGTCTCACTCCATTGCCCAAGCTGAAGTACAGTGGCACAATCTCAGCTCACTGCAACCTCCGTCTCCTGGGTTCAAGCGATTATCATGCCTCGGCCTCCCAAGTAGCTGGGATTACAGATGTGTGCCACCCTGCCCAGCTAATTTTTTTTATTGTTTCTTTTAGTAGAGATAGGGTTTCACCATGTTGGCCAGGCTGTTCTTGAACTCCTGACCTCAAGTGATCCGCCTGCCTTGGCCTCCCAAAGTGCTAAGATTGCAGGCGTGAGCCACTGTGCCCAATCTTCTCTTCTGTGACTTGCCTATCCATATCCTTTGCCTATTTTCCTTACTCGGTGGTTTTTATTGTAACAGTAGGCTGTTTATATGTTATTGACAATTACCTATTATCGGTTAGACAATGAAGTCTTCTTTCTTTAAATAAGTAGGTACTTAATTCATCTGAATTTATTTTTTATATATGGCTTAAGATAATAATTCATTTAATTTTCTTCTAGATGGATGCCAGTTGTGCCAACAGCAATTTTTAAATAGAAATAGTGATTTAATAGAAGTGTTCTCTTCTATTAAAATAGAAATGTCATGCACTAAATTCCCATAAATGTGAAATATATTCTGGGTTCTATTTCCAGATTATTCTGTTGCATGGCCTATTTATTTAGGCTTGGAAATATCCTCCATTATTTTTATTATGGTAGTTTTATGGTATGTTTTATCATATGGCAAAGCAAGTTCCACCTTACTTTTCTTCTTTTTCATAATTTTCTTGGCTCTTTTCAGGCATTTTGTCTTTCTTCTATACATTAAAATTAGTATATCCAATTAAAAAAAGAGGAAGACGGTTGGGCGTGGTGGCTCACACCTATAATCCCAGCACTTTGGGAGGCCAAGGCAGGTGGATCAACTGAGGTCAGGAGTTCGAGACCAACCTGTCCAACATGGTGAAACCCTGTCTCTACTAAAATACAAAAATTAGCCAGGCATGGTGGTACATGCCTGTAATCCCAGCTACTAGGGAGGCTGAGGCACGAAAATCACTTGTACCAGGGAGGTGGAGGTTGCAGTGAGTCAAGATTGTGCCACTGCATTCCAGTCTGGGCGACAGAGCAAGACTCCATCTAAAAAAAAAAAAAGAGAAACATTGCTTTTAATCAATTTTTACTTGACTTTTGAATTTATTAGCAGAAACTTGCTCAATGTAAAATGTTTAAATGTGTTTTTTCTTTTAGAAATAAATTTATCCTAGTTTTCCATTTTTCTTTCAAAGTACATAAAAGGGAATGTATGCAGACCAAAATGAATTGTTTAGGGGAAAAATCATATTTAACTGGAACTTCCTTAACCAGATGTGAAACAAATATTGTGTAACAGCATCTCTCTTGAAAAAAAAAAAAAAAACCTTTGAGTTTCAAAACATCAGCAACACCAGGAAAAAAGTTATAGTGCTTAATTTTTAGATAATAGGTCTATCAAAACTAATCCCACTATAAATAACTAAAACAGATTTGTGTGCTATGGTAAGTATTTAATTATGAAAATGACTATGTCATTAAATTGCTAGAGAAAACTTTAAAAGGTTTTCTCTAGAATGTATGGTAATAAATGATATCACTGGAATGCAATCAGCAAAATTCAGATGGTAGGAAAATATATGGTGAATGCCCAGATACTTTAATAACTAAGTTAATTTAGAAGATGACTGTCAGGACCAGCCTGGCCAACGTGGCAAAACCCCGTCCCTAAAAAAAAAAAAAGTACAAAAATTAGCCAGGTGTGGTGGTGGGCACCTGTAATCCCAGCTACTCAGGAGGCTGAGGCAGGAGAATCACTTGAACCTGGGAAGTGGAGGATGCGGTGAACCCAGATCATGCCACTGCACTCCAGCCTGGGTGACAAGAGCACAAGAGCGAGACTCCATCTCAAAAAAAAAAAAAAAGATGACTGGATTAAACAAGCTGTAAAACAAAAATCAGTAAAATCTGAACATTAAATATTTTATAATATTAAAAAATTATTGTTGATTTTTCTTAGGTGTGATAATAGTGTTGTAGTTATGTTTTAAAAAAAGAGAGTACCTATCTTAGACACATTAAATGAAATTATGAATATCTTGTATTTGCTTCAAAATATTTTAGGGTAGTAAATGAATAGCATAAATAAAGTGGCCATGAGTTGATCATTGCTGAAGCTGTGTGATTAATACATGGGGATTAATTACTTTTATAAATGTTTGAAACTTTCTATAATAGAAAATTTGAAAAAAATTTTTCAGTTAGAGGAAACTTTAAGACCAATAATTTTAGGCCGGGCATGGTGGCTCACCCCTGTAATCCCAGCACTTTGGGAGGCTGAGGCATGTGGATTGCTTCAGCTCAGGAGTTTGAGACCAACCTGGGCAACATGGCAAAATCCAGTTTCTATTTAAAAAATAAAATCAATAATTTTAGAGAAGGTGATTAAGAAGTAATAGCAGAGATTGTGGTGTGGGCTAAATTACATCCTAACTGGTCATTCAAAATTCATTACTCCAAACAATTCATTTCAGGGAGAAATTAAATGCAAACAAATAATATCATATGTTGTAAGACATACCAGCAGGAAAAAGGAAATTCAAACATTCAAGTAAAGGTAATTTCTAATATTTTTACCTTGAGTTCCAGCCTTGTAGTATCTGCCTGGCACCGATAAGTGGCAAGAAGGAAGTTGTCGTTTGACTGGGAAGAATACAAAGTGGAGGAAAAGAATGAATCCATGTTTTTAGCAACAAAAAAAAGACATCAATAATAATAATGGTTACCATTTGCTTAAGCACCTGTCATTGGTGCTCAGCGCTTTTCAAACATGTTCTAACTTACACTTACAAAAACTCTATGCACTAAGTTTTACTAATTAAATTTTAACAGATGAAGAAACTGAGGTTATGAGGAGTTAAATAAAAGCCATTAAGTGATGAAACTGGAATTCAAATTCCTATCGAAAGCTCATGCTCTTTCCATCTTGAGTTTTTACAATAACATTTTTAAACATTAAGAATTCTTCTAAAAATCTGACAATGCAAACACCAAATGTGATATGGTTTGGCTCTGTCCCCATTCAAATCTCATCTTGAATTGTACTGCCATAATTCCCATGTGTTGTGGGAGGGACTCAGTGGGAGATAATTGAATCATGGGGCCATTTTCTCCCATACTGCTCTCATGGTAGTGAATAAGATCTGATGGTTTTATAAGGGGAAACCCCTTTCTCTTGGCTCTCATTTTCTCTTGTCTGCCGCCATGTGAGATGTGCCTTTCACCTTCCGCCATGATTGTGAGGCCTCCCCAGCCAGGTGGAACTGTGAGTCCAATAAACCTCTTTCTTTTGTAAATTGTCCCATCTTGGATATGTCTTTATCAGCAGTGTGAAAATGGACTAATACAAAATGTTTATACTGTAAAGGCACATACACCAGAGTTTAATATTGAATCTCTTAGATTTTTCACAAATACTTATACAGGAAAGAGAAATATCTCTTCTCTGTATTCCCAGCAAATGGCACAGTGCCTGGCATACTGTAAGTGCTTAATACATGTTTGTTGAACTAACCTAGAGGAGTTTTTTCAAATATTATAACTTCTTGAAATTGAATATTAAACTACTAGAAATAGAGAAATGTAGCTAGGTTCATGGATTACAAAAAGAGACACAGCAACATAAGATAATTTATATGTAATTTTTGAGACTGCTATTTCTCTATTTTTATTAAATAATCAAAGAAATAAAAAGGATGGTAATATAAAATATAAAACTCAAACATTTCAATTTCAAATCATTTAAACTCAACAGAGAGGACTGATCAATTTAAAAGTAAATATATTCTTTTTTTTTTTTTTTGAGACAGAGTCTTGCTGTGTTGCCCAGGCTAGAGTGCAGTGGTGTGATCTCAGCTCAATGTAACCTCTGCCTCCTGGGCTCAACTGACTCTCATACCTCAGCCTCCCAAATAGCTGGGACTACAGGTGCATGCCACCACACCCAGCTACTTGTTATGTATTTTTAGTAAAGAGGGTGTTTTACCATGTTGGCCAGGCTGGTCTTGAATTCCTGGCCTCAAGTGATCCACCTGCCTTGGGCTCCCAAAGTGCTGGGATTACACGTATGAGCCACGGTGCCAAGCCGTAAATGTGTTCTTGTATGATTAAAAGCAAACGTTATATACTACAGTGTTTATCAATAAATGATACAGATAACATGTTTGGGATGAGGTTTGGGAGTGGGAAGGAGAGGGTGAAGAGCATGAAAAAATGACTGGGCTGGGCATGGTGGCTCACACCTGTAATCCCAGCACTTTGGGAGGCTGGAAGGTGGAAGGACAGCTTGAAGCTAGGAGTTCAAGACCAGCCTGGGCAACAAAGTGAGGCCCCATTTCTACAAAAAATAAAAAATAAAAAAAATTAGCTGGGCATCATGGCATATGCCTATGGTCCTACGTACTCAGGAGACTGAGACAAGAAGATAAGCTTAAGCCCAGAAGTTTCAGGCTGCAATAAGCTATGATCACGCCACTGCACTCCAGCCTGGGTGACACAGTAAGACCCCCATCTTTTAAAAAAAAAAAAGACTAACCATATGTTGAAAATTAGTGATGGGTACATGCAAGTTATTATACTAGTCTTTCTACTTTTGTGTATACTTGAAACCTCCATACGTTTTTTTAAAGCCATTGTCCTAGAAAATATATTTTAAATTAGTATCAAATAGTCATTTCAAAGAATCCTTCAGTGATGTAATTAAAACAGATTAATCTTTCATAGTAACTTAAGAATCAAAGATTTTAAGTTTGTTTTAAGTTTACTGATTTTCTAAATAATCATAAAAATGTAGGCCATATCTTTTGTGTTTTGTTCTCAAACAGGAACGACAAACCACATATTGATAATATAATACAACTGTTATAAAATCGCTTATTAAAAATAAAATTTTTACTATGAAGTTATATTGAAAAACAGGCTGGGCACAGTGGCTCACACCTGTAATCCCAGCACTTTGGGAGGCCAAGGCCAGTGGATCACCTGAGGTCAGGAGTTCAAGACTAGCCTGACCAACATGGCAAAAACCCATCTCTACTAAAAATACAAAAATTAGCCGGGTGTGGTGGCGTGTGCGTGTAGTCCCAGCTACTTGGGAGTCTTGAGACAGGAGAATTGCTTGAACCTGGGAGGCGGAGGTTGCAGTGAGCTGAGATTGTGCCACTGCACTCCAGCCTGGGTGAGGAGTGAGACTCCATCTCAAAAAAAAAAAAAAAAAAAGAAAAAGAAAATTATTCTTTTATCTATCAATATTTTACTTTATCTACTCTTTTATTCCTCCTTTTTAAAAATATATATATAAGGCCAGACGTGGTGGCTCATGCTTATAATCCCAGCACTTTGGGAGGCTGAGGTGGGAGGATCACTTAGGCCCAGGAGTTTGAGACCAGCCTGGGCAACATAGGAAGACCCTGTCTCTACAAAAAATTTAAAAATCAGCCAGGCATGGTGGCTTGTGCCTGTAGTCCCAGCTACTTGGAAGGCTGAGGTGGGAGGATCTGCTTGAGCCAAGGAGGTCGAGGCTGCAGCGAGCCATGATCACGCCACTGCACTCCAGCCTGGGCAACAGAGCGAGACCATGTCTTAAAAAAGTAAATAAATAACAAAAACCAAATAAATAAAATATATTCTGCAACAGTGCCAATGCATATAAATAAAATAAAATATATATTAATATAACTAACCACCAACTCCAGTTACCATCTCCTCCTGCTCTGGCTTGCCTTCTACAATGCAATTAATCCAAACCTTATCTATACCTTGACTTCTCTTCAGGAGTCACACCTAGCTCTGAGACTGCTTATCGGCTAGTACTAAGCAGAAAGAAGTGATACAGTAAGCATGTCCAAAAGCACTGACGTGATCATCTCAGGTACTGTGCACGTTAAGTGCTCAATAAAAGTCTGTTGAATGAAGTTTAGTATGCATTCAACAAGCCTAGAAAAAGTGGGGCAGGGCAGGAAGAGCGGGGGAAGCAACAGATCATGTTCCAATGCAGGGATGTGTGAAACTATATAGCATTTTCAGGAATTTTAAGAACTTCAGTTTGGCAGAAATAATGTGCATGGGAGGGGTGGTAGCAGCCGGTGAGAGAGAAGTTAGAGATGTAATCAAGAGCTGAATCATGGAAAGTTTTCTATGCCACAATAAGGAATCTATATTTATATCTAGCAGGAAATCAGGAATATTGAAAAGGTTTTGAGAAAAGAAAGATACAGTGATGTTCGTGTTTTAGGAAGGAAGACGTCTCTGGTGGTAGTGTACATACAGCATATCCTAGAAGTCAGAGGCAAGACTAGAGGCAGAGAAACTTATAAAGTAGTTCAAGCAAGACATGATAAGGGCCTGGACTAAGTTAACAGGGGTAGGAATGAAGCCAAGTGGAAGTATGAAAGCCATGGAGGTAGAACTGACAGAAACTAGTGACTAATTGGATATATAGGCTGAACATTCCCAAACTGAGTATCTAAAATGTTCCAAAACTCTAAACTTTTTGAGTGCCAAGATAATACTTTAAGGAAACGCTCATTGGAGCATTTCAGATTTCAGATTTTCAAATTTGGGGTGCTGAACCAGTAAATACAAAACAAATATTCCAAAACCTGAAAAAAATCCAAAATCCAAAATACTTCTTGGTCCCAAGCATTTCACATAAGGGATATCAACCTGTAACAGATCACAGAAAAGAAGGAATCTAGGACATCAGGTTTCTCGACTGAGGACAGGGAAAGAGAACCGACACAGATTTTGAAGGAAAGGTTACATAAGAAATAATTGAAAAAGAAACATCAAAACCTAGCAGCATCTATAGACTTTAATCAAAATGGCATAATAGAAATGAAAGCATGTGAAGAATTCTTTTATATTTTTACTCACCTCAGAATCACAGCTGCTAAAGCTAACAACAGCAGAATTTTTATCCACATCAAGTAAATCTATTGGAACATCACTCTATAGTCAATATTAAAAAAAAAGAAGGTTGAGATGGAAAACCTAAAAATGTTCATAAATTATGTTTTCTCTAAGAGTTCTCCTTAGTTCTAGTTTATATTCATCTTTAAATTTGAGAGTATGAATTCTCTTAACTTATACTTGATAGTATATACTTCCAGAAAATAAATATAATAAAGAATAAATGTTATTTTACAATCACCTGCTTTTTTCTAACTTGGATTATAAAAATCACAGAATAACATCTCTCACCACCCCCTTAAAAGTCCAATCATCCCACTTATTTTTATAAAGTGCTAAAAATGTTACCATGAGCTATAAATAATCACATGGCCATTCTGATTGTATCAGTTCATTTTTATCAGTTTTAATTTTACCTGTAACACAGAAAGAAGATAATTTTTGGTCTCCTCTGGAGAGGCAGTTTGTAGGACAAAGCTGTTGCACTGTCCTATGTGAATGGCATTCCTAGAGTTGTTCAATGCAACAGCCCGTGAGCTAGCATTACTTAAGAGAGTTTTCTGCCTTTAGGTTTTTTTTTTAATAATCTGATCTCTCCATTACATCTTTTTAAACCTTTTCTTCCTCCAATTTGTTATGTTCTCATTTTGTGATTGGTTTACTACCTTTTGTTTGTTTTCTATTCATCCTATTATTCTTTTCTACTTCCTGAATACCTTCTAATTTAAATAAGTCAGTAAATATATACATTGATGAATGGAGTCATATATTATTATCCCTAAATTTCACCCTTTAGTATTCTCTACTTTGCCTGTTGACCTACCAGAAACTGTTGGGTTAATGAGCAAGCTGTACTTTAATGTTTGGGGCTTTAAAAAAAAATGTTCTAGCAAGGGCATTAAATATGGTAGTTTTCTAAGTCACATCTCTGTTAAGATTCTCCCAGAGGGTAGCCAAAGAAGAAAAACCTTACTGTCTTTTCTAACTCTTCTTAAAACTGAAGCCCATCTTTTGTTTGTTAAGTACATAAATAAAAAGTAAAAATATAATTCAAATAATCTGTGAGCAAACCAATTATCTAAAGGAAGAATAAAAGGCCATAAACATTTAAAATTACTGTCTATGACTGGGTGGGGTGGTTCACGCTTGCAATCCCAGCACTTTGTGAGGCCGAGGCGGGTGGATCACCAGAGGTCAGGAGTTCAAGACCAGCCTGGCCAACATGGTGAAACCCCGTCTCTACTAAAAATACAAAATTAGCCAGGTGTGGTGGCACATACCTGTAGTCCCAGCTACTCGGGAGGCTGAGGCAGGAGAATCACTTGAACCTGGGAGTCGGAGGTTACAGTGAGCTGAGATCGCACCACTGCACTCCAGTCTAGGTGACAGAGTAAAACTCTGTCTCAAAAAAATAAAAATAAAAATAAAAATAAAATAAAATTACTGTCTAAAACTAAAAATGTTCAATAATAATTAGTACATATGACTGGTTTGCAAAATAGATCCAGTCATAAAACTAAGAAATTAGACATTTTGCTTACCTGTATTAAGACATTATCTATTGCAGTCTGTACCTCTAAGATAAGGCTGTAACTGGCATCATCTTTATTTAGTGTAAATTTATCATTTATACCAAAGGAAGGTACTGCTGATTTTGCTTTGCTTGATTGAGAAGACTGTTGATAATTCTCTCTTTCCTGCAATACCTTATACTGCAAATGTTCCAACTCATTCCTGGAGAAAAACACATACAAATTTGTCAAATATAAGTATAAACATTTGAGGTCGTTAGGATGTTTACAAAAATTTGAGACATTTGCTTTTACAAAATGGGTTTTTATTGGTTGAGTTAATAAAATAAAAACAAAGGGAGCAAAATTTTTGCTTCTATGACTGACTAAATGATTCCACATTATTTATCCTTAACCCCAAAATTAAAATATCTACTCATTCCCATACTAGCAATATTAATAGAGAGTTTTAAATATCATGGTAGGCTACAAAATAATCTTAACACAGGAATCTTGTTACAGTTACATAAAGTACTAATCAGAAGAGAAACTTCTTATACTAATGAGAAGAGAAACTAATATTGCAGAACATATTAGTCTTAATGAAAAGAGACAAAATGTGTGAAGCCAGTAAACACGTAACTTTCAGTAAGACATTAGGGGAGACATAAAAAATAAAAAGGAAGCTGCAGAGCATTAGCATTTTGGGGACCACAAGGATGATCATGAGCCAGTGGTATGGCTTAACTACCAAGAGTTAGAGAGGATTCTGCTGAGACTGAACTACAGCATTGCTTAGAGCTCCAGTTAAGGGGAAGGGCCACATGCAAATGGAGTAAACAGTCATTGGGATAGAACAACATGAGGCTTAACTAGCCACAGTTTAGGAGGAAAAGTCTAGGGAGGAGCTTAGAAGGGATCTGTGTAATGAACAAAGGAAAAGATTCATTCATCAAAGAAATATTTACTGCTAAATATTACATATTTACTCCTATGTACCTAGCAGTGTTTGGGTATCAAATGAACAAATCAGATATAAGTTTCTCATAAAGCTTACATTCCAGTGGAATCAAGAAATGGTAGACTTGGTTATAAAAAAAAGGTAATGTATTGAGGATGTGAGAGAGTAGTCATTAACTATACTTGTATCCTTGTTGCATGAAGTAGGATATCCTGAATGAATCTGGTATACTTGTTTGCATGAACATTACAGTTTGCTCTCTGGTGGCTTTGGTGAAACGGCTTGTGCTACTAGTACTTGTGGCATTTGCTGCCTTAAAAGTTTCTGTAGCCTTCAACTACCACCAGAAAAAAATCATCCTTCACTCCACAAAAGGTCAGCATGGGTTGAAATGGGGAGAGCAGTCATTAAAAGTTTCAGCAACTCCCACGTCTTCGTTGTATGAAGCACCTTTATTGGAGTTTGAGGTCCCCCTTTTCACAGCACACGTCAAATTGAGCAGACCATAAAAGCAATTCCTGTGTCTAGGGGAGTCAAAATTACTCAGTTCCGGTTAAGAAAATTTACAAGCCAACATTACAGATTCAGAAGGGTCCACAGGAACAGCAAACGTTAGAGTTAATGAGAAATAATACAGCCATCTGTGTTGATTTCTAATGTCTGTGAAAAATAAAAAATAAAACACAAGTGTCTATGACACACACACACAAAAAAGAAAAACACAACCCTTGACCTAAGAAAATGTCAATATAGAATAAGGCACACAAAAAAGTATATTTCTATCTCCAAAATATTAATCAGCACTTACGCTAATTTTCTCGAAACTGTAAACTTCCATTTTAAAAGGTGATAAACTAATTAATTACATAATTCCTTCCAATAAAATATACTGCATCTATAAGTAATAAAAAGCAACAACCACACACTTCATGAGATTTTTAAAAAAGCAAATAAAAAACTCAAAGTTACCGTAAGGAAGAAATTTTATTCTGCATCTCCTGATTAATTTTTAGTTCTTCTCCTGGTCCACTTTCCTTATGAATGGGCTCTGTTGTCAGACCTGTAACCCAGCCTGTAGAGATGAATTACAATCACGCACCACTTAGTACTGCTAGTGTTAAAAAGATAAATTATGCATTGTATAGCAGAAACTCCAATGTACATGCCCCTTTGTCCACCAATATCAGCCTAACTTAACCCTAGGACTTCATTCAAAAACAAAACATAAAATCAAGCTGGAAAATATTCAGACTACAGAGAAATTACTTAAGCATTTCACGATATCATTTTTTTTTTGCCTGAAATACTGTAATACTATAATGAAGGGAATCTTTTACTTAACAGATTTAAAGTATGGAATAAGTCAACATAGTCTAGCAATTTCAAAAATAGCTGAAAAATAAGAATTGCCTTTTAAAAATTACTTTCATGGAAATTTAAACTCTCACATGACTACTATGAGAATGCAAAAATTACCAACTCAAAAGCAAGTTTTGGCAAGTTTTTGAGACCCTGTCTCAAAAAAAAAGTTTTTATAAGACATGTACATAGTCCAAAACATAAAATAAATCTCAATAAGTACTTCTCTTTAAATCAAAGAATATAATTTAATACTTAAAGGTAAGAGTGACATGCTAAACACTCTTAAAAAGTATTATTCAAATATCAACTATTTTATAAATCAAGAAGCCTACATTTTCTCCTTATTTTTTAACCATAAAGTTTTTAATGCTGTAAGTAAGAGTGATTGACTAATACAGCAGCCTCCCCTTATCCACGATTCCACTTTCTACATTTTAGTAACCCATAGTCAATGGTAGGCTGAACATATTAAATGGAAAATTCCAGAAATAAGTCCTAAGTTTTAAATTGTACAACATTCTGAATAGGGTGATAAAATCTCATGCCATCCTGCTCCATTCTGCCCATGATGTGAATCATCCCTTTGTCCAACATATCACCTGCTGTATATGATACCTGCTACCAGCCTATCTACTGTTCACTTAGAAGCCAAATCAGTTATCAGATCAACTGTTGTAGTATCACAGTGCTTATGTTCAAGTAACCTCACTTTATTTAATAAGGACCCGAAAGCACAAGAGTAGTGATGTAAGCATATTGTTATAATTGCTCTATTTTATTATTCGTTATTGTTAATCTTTTACTATGCCTAATTTATAAGTTAAATTTTATCATAGGCATGTAGGTATAGGAAAAAATATAATATATATAGAGTTCAGCACTATTTGAGGTTTGAGGCTTCCACTGGGGGTCTTGGAATGGATTCCCCATGAATAAGGGGGGACTACTATAACTGTTTTTTAAAAAGAGTCATCAAAAGCAGTTTATTAAATTTAATTTTTTTTGTTGTTGACTCTTTCTTCAATTACCTATTATCATTTACTTTACCTGAATATGTGGACACCACGATTTCATCATAGCTGTCTTTTCCTACACAACCACCCTGGATAGATGTGACGCTTTCAGACAACATCTAAAAAAGTTTAAGACCAAGCACTTCATTAGTAACTAAAAAATCCACAGATATATTAAAATAAGCCACACAACGTTTTCCCTGGCTCCAGACATTCAACATATATTTACTGAATGTTTATGTGCAGACACTCAGATTAGAAAGACAAAATATCTTGAACAAATGGCAGGAAACTTCAGTGTTTTTAAATTTGGGAAAGAAGATTCAAAACGACCCTAGTATATTTGTGGGTACCACTCAGCTAACGATATACTCACCTAATGAGCAAAAATAGTTTATTTATTTATTTAGAGACAAAGTCTCCCTCCGTCACCCAGGCTGGAGAGCAGTGGTGCAATCACAGCTCACTGCAGCCTTGACCTCCTGGGCTCAAACGATCCTCCCTCCTTAGGCCCCAGAGTAGCTGGGACCAGAGGTGCGCGCCACAACGCTGGGCTAATTTTTGTATTTTTTTGTAGACATGGGGTGTTGCCATGTTTTCCAGGCTGGTCTTCAAATCGTGGGCTCAAGCAATCTGCCACCTTGGCCTCCCAAACTGCTAGGATTATAGGCGTGAACCACAGCGCCCCGCCAGTTTATTTTTATAAAGAAAGGTTTTTTAAAAACTTACATAAGCAAGGCTGGGCGCGGTGGCTCACACCTGTAATCCCAGCACTTTGGGAAGCCGAGGTGGGCGGATCACGAGGTGAAGAGATTGAGACCGTCCTGTCCAACATGGTGAAACCCCATCTCTACTAAAAATACAAAAAAAATTAGCCGGGCGTGGTGGCGCGTGCCTGTACTCCCAGCTACTCGGGAGACTGAGGCAAGAGAATCACTTCGACCCGGAAGGCGGAGGTTGCAGTGAGCTGAGATCGTCCCACTGTACTCCAGTCTGGCGACAGAGCGAGACTGTCTAAAAAATAAAAATAAAAAAAAATTACATAAAGCAAAAAGCAAAATACCCCGTTAAGTTTAGTCTATTATCTGAATTCCATACACCATCTCTTATGTGTATTCTCAAAATAGTTTTTTAGATAAAGAAAGAATATGGTAACCTATATGGAATCTTTAGGAAATCTGCTATTGTGGAGAGAAACCAAGTTTTTTCAGATGACTCAGGGTTTATAATAACCATCTTTTAAGCAGTACTTTCCAAACTTGTCTGACAACCACTTAGGTAACTCAACTAGGAATCTGTATTTTTTTTTATTTATTTATTTCTTTTAAAATAATTGTAGGGAGCTGGTTTTTTGTTTTTGTTTGGTTTTTTTTTTAGACAGGACATTGATCTGTTGCCCAGGCTGGAATGCAGTGCATGATCATGGCTCACTGCAGCCTGGACCTCACAGGTTCAAGTGACCCTCCCACCTTGGCCTTCCAAGTAGCTGGGACTACAGGTGTACACCACCATGCCTAGCTAATTTTTTAAATTTTTTGCAGAGATGGGGTCTCCCTCTGTTGCCCAGGCTGGTGTTGAACTCCTGGGCTCAAGCAAACCTCCTGCCTTGGCCTCCCAAAGTGCTGGGATTACAGGTGTGAGCCACTGTGCCAGGCCAGAAACTGTGTTTTTAACTAACACTCTAGGTAAGCGGCTTTCAAGCTATTTGGAAAGCAAGCAATATAAATTTTATATTACAATCTGGTATACATTCACACATAAACATATACAGCAATGTATCTAACTTAAAAGATTTGTGTCATACTCTGATATGTTCTAATCTATTCTATTTTGTTTTTTAAAAACGGCACTGGCAACACACTAATTGGTTTTGACTAGCAGTTTGAAAAACTCTGGTAGGTAGTTCTTAGCAGGCAAGGCTGAGAACTTTTGTTTTAAAGGAGGGAGTGGAAGGAAGGGACACTAGCATTAAACCGGACAATCAACAAAATTCTAGTACTCTTCACCTACCCTATGGGGGCAAACCTCTGAGCTATCCTGCAAATTAGGCTATGATAGTTGTTCCTGAGGCTAATTACCTGAAAATTCAAGTAACAAAGGTTTGATTATAATAAATCACATAAAGTTAGATTTACAGGTGGGGTCAAATATCCGCATTTTTAACAAGTGTCCAGTTGTTGTGTATAATAAAGTCTTCAAAAAATTGTTTATTATTGATCTGAGAGATTGATTAGATCTTCCTTTAATTTACTGAACACAAAACACTGGAAATCACCTGACTTGCAGAAGAATGTTTTACTTATCCAATAGAAACACGCACATTCTCACTTTCTGAGTGGTTTATCAGGGAACTATTAATTACAACTTTAAAGAGTATATTTAATGCAATATACTTGGAAAACATTACAAAAATTTTTTACAAACTGTTCATTTCCTAACTGTTCATTTCTATACCCTTTTTTGCTAATAGAACATTTTAATGAAATTCATTTATCTTATGTACTTATATAAAAAAATCGGGGCTACTCTGCACACTGCCTATGGGGTAGCCCTGTTCTGCAAGGAGCAGGAAAAAAAAAAAAAAGAAAGGAAAAAAGGAAGGAAGGAGGGAAGGAGGGAAGGAGGGAAGGGAGGGAGGGAGGGGAAAAGAAAGGGAAGAAAGGGAGAAAGGAAGAAAGAAAGAAAGAAATGATCCTATAACCATGAAATTAGAGATCCTGGGCAATATAGTATGGATAAGTTTTATGTAAGAAAACATGGAACTAAACTTACAAAAAAAAGAACTTGGTCCTTCCTCAAAATATTGGCAAATGAATATACAAGTTTAAGTTAAAATGCAATGTTTAAAGTATACATATTTTCTCTTTTTATGATTCACCCCTTAACTACCTTTTTTGATTAATCAACCATCTACCAGTCCAGACTGTGTCAGACAGTACGTCTTCTCCTGATTAGAAAAGCAACATAGAAAGTGACGATGTGAATCCAAGATGAGGCAGAGTATTCCCAACCTAAGCATAACCTGAAAGCAGGACCTCTGTCATTAGACAGAAGAAATAGGAAGAGGATAGGATTTCTTAGTGCCAGACCTGGCAGAACAGGTAAATGCTATGACATTTCTGGGGTTTGGAATAAAAGTCAAAGAGGAGACTTGGGGTCTGAATAGGAAAGTTTCTCAAAGGGCTGATGAGAAAAAGCAGGAGATCATCAACAATGGATTATTATTTCTAAGCCTAAACTATTACCTGCATCATTAGCAGGATGACTTTTTACACCAAAACAAGATGAACAAATTTGAAACCAATCTATAAAATAAACTCAACTGTGTAACATTTTTATCCCTATATTTTCTAAATGATATACTTTACCTGTGCTTCAAACCACTTGTATTTTCTGAACTGCAGTTAAAGTTAGGATTGAGAGGTACCACTAGTAGATAAATTAGACCAAAAATTAGACTCAGTTGACACTGAGTTGTGAACTCTTTTTTTTCTTTAAGTTTAATAGCCTCAGTGTGTCCTATATTAGGCAGGATAGGGAAGCCCTGGATTGGTGAACACTAGTTCATGAAAATTAAAGATTCAATTTATGCCAGAATGCTTCTCTATGTAACTTTATAGCTTGGCATAAATGAGTTTAATTACATTTAAAATTTGTGAATTAAAATTACTTTTATCTAGTATTTCTTCTAATACAGGCAGCCCTTGAGTGGGTAGGAGTGAAACTGCTACTTTTTTCATTTTGCTTAAGGTTATTTCTGATACTGTCCTAACAATATGAAGTTTATTCCTAAAATCTTATTATTTTAAAACAACAGACTTACTTATATTAACCAAACATATAAATATTACTCCCATAAAGTGTCATTATATGTTATAAACTAAGGCAAAATATTTAATACTTTAGAGACTTATAATAATATTTTAAAGTATAATGAAAAAGTAATTTGTTATCCTGCTTAAAGGCAAGAGTCTATTATTCAAACACAAGAGAAGTCTAGAGAAGATTCTGATAACATCAAAATAGCAATATTTTAAACCAAACACAAGATTTTAATATATTTTCACTTAATAAAATTCAAACCATCTGTCATCTCTATAATAATTTGACAAATAATAAGCATATAGTCTTTTTTAATGAACTTACCTGATCAAATCGTAGAACAGGTTCATTTGCATTATCAAAACTATACACTTCCACCATTCCGTCATCTCTCCCAACAAGTAAATCTTTAACCCCATCACCCACAATGTCAAAGCTGTCAATACACAAAATACCTTTAAAAAGAGATATGTGATAAGTTATTAAGAAGACTAATAGTTATGGTCAAGTATATGCCAAGTAAGAATGAAAAAAACACACATACCGACTCAGAATGGTGAGCAAAAAAACTTTGACCAAAATCAAGTGCTCTTCTCTTGTCCATCCACATTCATCTATTTCCAGGTCTTTAAATATAATCTGTGTGAGAACGGCCCCTACATTTATATCTCCCTCCAGCTCTGGCCAAAGCTCCAGACTTATATATTCAATTTGGTATCTTCTCACAGACATCTGCATCTAAAACTTTCCATACCCCAAACAAAACTCTTTATTCCCCTCTTTACCATACCCCCTCAATACTGCTCCTCCCTCTGTCTTCCCCCATCTCCATAAATTATTCTACCTAGCTGCTCAGACAAAAATTCTGGGCCACATCTGATTTCTTTCTTTTTCTCACCACCCCTCATATCAAAACTGCTAGCAAATTCCATCTTCTCTACCTCCACAATATATACTGAAATTGTCTATGTTTCCAGCTACTGATAGCCTAGACTAAGCTAGCCTAGACTAGAATAAATTATAATAACTCTTCTAACTGGTCTCCATGCTTCCAGTTTTGACCTGTTGCCCCCCGCCCCCTCCAATCCATTCTCCAGTGTCCTTTGTTTTGTTTAGGCTTAGTAAATTAAGTGTCACACTCCCACTGACAATTTTCTAATGACTTCCTACAGCACCTAGATTAAAATTCAAACTGTTTTCCAAGGCTTACACAATTTGGCTCTACTCTACCTCTCTGACTCCATCTCCTGCCATGTTAACGCATTTAGCCAAACTGACTGACCTTCCTACTGTTCCTCAAATGAATCAAATCTACCTCCACCTCAAATCTTTCACACTTACTTTTTCCTCTTCCTGAAACATTTTTTTCCCCAAATCTTCATATTGCTAACTCTTTTTCTTATCAATCAGATCTCAGTTCAAATTTCACCTCTTCTAAGAGGCTATCTTTGACTACGTGGTCTAAAAGTGACCCTCCTCCTTCTACCATCACTCTCTAATACACAGCCCTGTTTTATTTTCTTCAGGTGACTAGGTAAAGCTGTCTTATGTATTTATTTGTTTTTACTCTGTCTCTCCTAATAAGTATTTGTTGAAGGAATAAATGAATATATGAACATCCTGAACATATACATAGGCATCTCACTATCTACCTAATCAGTTATAAATTCTCCTTAGAAAGGTATAAATTCCTTAGAAAACAGGAATATTCTCTGACCCACTGCACTTCTTCTTTGCCTCATAACAAAGACTCCCAGATTCCAATTAATTCTGTACCTCAAACAACTAAATTACCTCAGACAATTAAAATCCAATTAAAATTGGATTTTAGCATAAAATGATATTAGCCTATAAAAACGTATCAATACCAAATTACTATCAGCATTTCTTACTTTTAAAAAATTATGCCAATAGTATAATAGACCTGACAAATAAACAAATAGTAGATAAATCAAGGTGTGAATTGCTAAGTCTGCTATGTAGTATAAATAGATAAAATAGAATAAATTATATAATTTAAGATACTTAATAATCATTGACACCTCAGAATCTGAACTACATGAAAAGCATACCTCCTCTCTTTTTCTCATTTTGAATTTCCCACTTGCGTACTGGTTTGGATGTAGTAATCTGTATAAGCGCAAGTTTTCCGTCTGATGTCCCAAACAAAAGGTCTTCTCCAGAGTCACCTACTTATAATTAAAGTCAACATATTATATTTATCCTACAATTAGTAATCTCTTTAAAATTAAAATGTTGTTATGTAAAAATATCATTTTAAAAAGTACTATAAAAAGATATAAAACTTAATTGTTGAGAATGGTTATATATTCACACAATTTTATAGCTATAAGAGATAAGACATTTCCCCATTATATAATTTTAAGATGAAGAAACTAGGTTGGGTGCCGTGGCTCATGCCTGTAATCCCAGCACTTTGGGAGACTGAGGTGAGAGGATCCCTTGAGCCCAGGAGTTCCAGACTAACCTGGGCAACATGGCGAAACCCTGTCTCTATAAAAAATACCAAAAACCTAGCCGGGCATGGTGGTGTGCGCCTGTAGTACTAGGGAGGCTGAGGTGGGAGGATCCCTTGAGCCTGGGAGGTCGAGGCCGTGGTGAGCTGAGATTGTACCACTGCACGCCAGCCTGGGAGACAGAGTGAGACCCTGCCCCCCAGCCCCCCAAAAAAGAAAAAAACGGAGAATTAAAAGTTCAATAACTCGTGCTGTTAGTTACTGGCAAGTTACCAGAAAGACAACTGTCTCAATTCTAGTTTATGTCCTTTCTACAATTTCCCATTTTCACTTACTATTAAAACACATAGTTGATTTGTGAAAAATAAAATCCTGATTACCGCCATTTCCATTGTGTAGTGCTAAGACAGTAGGGGGTCCAGGAACTTCAACTGCATACATCACATCAGATCCCTGAAGGAGAAGTATTTAAAAACTGAAACAGAATACAAACTGAAAATAATAGAGGCATTCATGAATAACATCAATATTCAAATACAGTACTCTTAGTAACACCTAGAATAAAATTGCTTTAAAAATTAGGTTACGAATACAACTTGCATTTGTTAGCAATTTTGCATATATCAACTGATTTGAAAACAACATATATACACATATATACGTATAAATGTATACATATATACGTATATATACAGATATGTACACACATGTATACATATATACACATATGTATACATATATGCACATGTATGTGTATATATGTATATGTACATATATGTACATACATGTATGTGTATATATGTATATATGTGTACATGTACATGTGTATATGTATATGTACATATATATGTGTGTATATATATATATATAAAATGTAAAGACCAAGAAGAAAACATTTAAAATATTCTCTACCTTTAATACATTTTAAATACATTGTTTGCCTGAAAACTTGACACTGGCAGATTTTCCTATCAAGTCTCTAGGAACAAATTATTCCCTCTGCCCTCTCTAGGTTAACTGGAAGTCTTTAACTTGGAATACATCCAAATATTTTAACAGACACAAAGTTACTTCCTAAGGAAAATTTTGGCCTTGCCTTTGGGTATTCCCAAAATCTGCTCCAGTCAGAGGCTGAATGACCTGCTACTTAGATAAAAAAACAAGTTAGGTCCTTATATATTTATCAGTTTTTCAATTTTGCTACTTGTAATGCTTGTCATTTTGGGCACAGTATTTGTGATGCTGTTAAAGAATGAGTTAGAAGTACTTATACTCACATGGAAAAAATATCCATGATCTATAATTCAATGAATACAAAATTTGCAAAATGGGGTGTGGTGGCTTATGCCTGTAATCCCAGCACTTCCGGAGGCCAAGACGGGTGGATCATCAGGTCAGGAGTTCAAGACCAGCCTGACCAACATGGTGAAACCGTCTCTACTAAAAATACAAAATTAGCCAGGTGTGGTGGTGCATGCCTGTAATCCCAGCTACTCAGGAGGCTAAAGGAGGAGAATTGCTTGAACCCGGGAAGCAGAGGTCGCAGTGAGCCAAGATTGCACCACTACTCCAGCCTGGGCGACAGAGCAAGACTCCATCTCAAAAAAAAAAGAAAACACAATTTGCAAAATTATAGTTAATATGGTATGACATTTTTGTTTTAATGTTTTTTTTTTTTTGAGATGGAATCTTGCTTTGTTGCCCAGGCTGAAATGCAATGCTGTGACCTCAGCTCGCTGCAACCTCCACCTTCCGGGTTTAAGTGATTCTCCTGTCTCAGCTGCCCGAGTAGCTGGATTACAGGTGCAGGCCACCATGCCTGGCTAAGTTTTGTATTTTTAGTAGAGACAAAGTTTCACCATGTTGGCCAGACTGGTCTTGAACTCCTGACCTCAGGTGATCCATCTGCCTCAGCCTCCCACAGTGCTGGGATTACAGGCGTGAGCCACCACATCAGGACTAAAAAAAGTTTAATGTTTATTTAGAAAACGTAAGAAAGCCATATGCTTTATCTTTTTTTTTTTTTTTGAGCCAGGATCTGACTCTGTCATCCAGGCTGGAGTGCAGTGCAGTGGTGTGATCATAGCTTACCGCAGCCTCGACCTTCTGGGCTCAAATGATGTTCCCACCTCAGCTTCCTGAGTAGCTGGGACTACTGGCATGCACCACCATGCCCAGCTAAATTTTTTTTAAGAGATGGGGGTCTCGCTATGTTGCCCAGGCTGGTCTTGAATTCCTGGAGTCAAGTGATCCTCCAACCTCGGCCTCCCAAAGTGCTGGGGTAATAGGCCTGAGCCGCTGTGCCCAGCCTGTTTTATCTTTTATTTAAAATATCATATTAAAATTTACAGATATCTACACGTAACTATATAAACACAAAAGAATATACACAAAACTGTTAAAAAGAGGCAACCTCTGGAGTAATGGATTATTCACAGAGATAGACGGGGAGTGAGAAAAAAGCATGCGGTGCAGAGGGAAAGACTTCAACTTTATTTTCTACAGATCTTTAGTAATTATTTTAAAAATAATAAGCATATGGATCTCTTGTCAAAGCAGAATCCTAGAATTCAGTCAATTTCTAATTGAATGCTAAACAGCTCCTGTTAAAAGCCTTGTTCAAAACAATTCATATTTAAAAGCATAGGCTATGGGGGAAATTAATCATTCATAACTCTAAAATGAACCTTTTTTCTTTTCTTTTTTTTTTTTTTTTGAGATGGAGTCTCCCTCTGTTGCCCAGGCTGGAGTGCAGTGATGCAATTTCAGCTCACCGCAACCTCCGCCTCCTGGGTTCGAGTGATTCTTGTGCTTCAGCCTCCTGAGTAACTGGGATTACAGGTGTGTGCTACTGCACCCAGCTAATTTTGTATTTTTAGTAGAGACAGGGTTTCACCATGTTGGCCAGGCTGGTCTCAAACTCCTGGCCTCAAATGATCTTCCCGTCTCAGCCTCCAAAAGTGCTGGAATTACAGGTGTGAGCCACCATGCCTGGCCTAAAATGAACCTTTAACATTACTTTGTCCCTGGGGGGTAAAAACCTCATAGACTCACTGGATTTTTCCTTTTACAAAAGGGCTGATGCCAAGAAATGGCCATCTGACTATGGAATTCCAAAGAGTGAGATAGCCTGTGGTGGCATGGACTTCACAGCTCAACTTTTTCATCAACTGCACCAACTATATCAGCCTGTTTCTGATACAGTTCATCTAACTGTTACATGCTATTTACCTTTAAACATTATTTTAAGCATCCTATAGAGTGTGTGTGTGTGTGTGTGTGCATATATTTTATTGAAAGTCACTCTCAAGAAGATATAGTGGTAACTATTATTACTCATAACAATGACCTGAAGCAGTTGTTTTAGCCAATCGTGGTTTTTACCAGAAATATAAGGACATCAAAATGAATTTTCCCTCTATCACTCATTTACTTATCCAACATATATTTACTGAGTGCTTATTCCATATACTTCCATAAACACTGGATAAACTCAAGTTATATAACATCCTCCCTCCAACCCAATTTCTTCCTTTAATTTGATTTTTGGGGAAGATAAAGGTGATGGAAGAAGAAAACAAAACAAAAAGGCAGGTAAAGGTTCTCTGTAGTCAAAGTACTCCATTCTGATAATAGCTCAGAAATTGTGTATGGTGAGGCAAAAAAAATCCTTTTTCTTCCAAATATGCTTCTCTTAAAAACTTACAAAACAACACATTTGACTCAAGTTAAAAAAATTAATATGTCAAATTATTTAAAAATTGTTTCCACATGTTTATAAAAGCCCTTAAAACAGTAACCACTAATTTATCTCAAGTACATAATGTTCATTGATATTCTTTCACATAATATAAAAAATTAGAAAAATACAAATAACAGCAACCTGTAAAACTCTGAGCACTCTGTCCTGGCAGGCCAATACAGGTGTGATACGAGATAATCTTTCCACTGGAAGGCAGATCACATCATTGATTTTATCCCCAGAAAGGTAATAATGTTGGTCTTTGCAGTCACAATAATGGTTATAGATGTAACTTGCACTGAGAAAGAGGTCTGAGCCAGATATGTGCCTGAGAACATTAAAATAGTAATTTTTAAAAATAAGCACAGGTACTGAATTTTTTTCAGAGATAAAAACAGAAAAATGTATACAGTTTACTAACATTTTATTATAGACTTAGAGAACACAGTTTTTAAAACTTTCTCCTAGTTAATTCCTAGTATTTTTGGTATAACACTGTTTTTGATTTTGAAAGCTGAAAATGAGGATGTTAAGGCCTCGGGCTTCTCAATAAAAACTGAGCTCAGAAAAATGGAAAACAAAGACAAGATAATGATAATTTAACTGTCTATATCCAAAGACAATTAATACATCAAAAAATGACTTCTTTGTGTACTATGTGCCAAGCACTATCTTAAGTGATTTTTATGTATTAGATCAATTAATCATCATAACTCTATAAAATAAGGACCATTATTATTCCTTTTACAGGTGAATAATAAAATGTAAAATAACTTGCCTAATGGCACCTAAGTATTAAGTAGTAGATTAGACTGCAACTCAGTTTTTTGCTCGAGTTAGCTTTCTTACTACCACACTAAATTGCCTGAAAAAGTCTATTTTAAGTGATTCTACCTCAAACTAAATGATAAACAGCAGAAAAAAAAAGATTTCATTAGAACTTTATCTTGAAAAAAGAAATGAAAACAAGTTTATTTCATATTACATTTAACAAAATTTAGTCAATAGTCATAACTATATTCTAATTCTTAGACTGAACTGAGTTTTCACTTGGGTGAGCTAAAATGTCTTGACAAAAATTATATTTAAGTGTGATATATTTTTCACTTCTAGGTTGTTATTACCATATTTATCATAAAGAGGGTAATTTTATTTGAATGTTTCATGTATTCCTCTACCTCCAAGTTCTATTAAAAAATTTTATATTAAAATTATTCTCTGAAGAGCTTATCCTATAATAATCCTCCCTGATTTTCTATTCTTCAGTTATTAAGTGGCCTCACTTTGTGGCTCTGCATATGATTGAATAGTCCTCTTACTATTTTTATCAATTTCATGAAATTCTCTATGTTTTTCAAAATTTTAAATTCCATTTTGAAACCAATCTGTATTATATTTGCATTATATTGGCCAAAGTACTATTTAGCAATCTCTATTGTTGACATGAGTGGGGATACATGGCAACATTAAGCAGGAAAGGATATGTGGTGACTAATGTTAAGTGGTCAGTTTCCTTACTGAATATCTTCAAGTTATAACTTTTGTTTTCCTATAAAACCTTACAAATGTGGGGATTCAGACAATCAATTTTCAAAAATTGAGTAAAGAACTTTTCTATCCCATCTTTGCCACTCTAGTAAAAACATTTAAGAAACCACTTGAAGAGACTGTTACTGAGAAACTCTCTATCTTTCTCACACTACTATCCATATAACTGTCCGAATGTAGAGTTATGCTATTAACACATTACTTTCAGTATTCCATAATTATCATTGGCCATGTCTATATACAAGTGTATTTCAAAAGTGTTACTATTCTTGTTAAACCATTTGAAATTACATATTTCCACTTATCATGGTTTAATTTTAATCTAATTTCACCAAGCCAATGTTTTACATCCCAAACATCAGGAGATGTGCTGTGCATTATACAAAACTTTGGGCTGAATCAGTTGTTTCTAGCCTAAGAGTCTGGCTGATTATATAACTTGGCTGCACTAGATTCAAAGGAAGAACTTAAAAAATAAAAATAAAACCTACTCCTGGTTATTTTGATTCGGCAGGTATGAGGTAGGACAAGGAATTGTTTAAGTGGCCCAAGGGATTCTTCTAAGTAGCAAATATAAGAAATAATGAATTAGATGAATTTTAAAGCCCTTTTCAGCTCCCTGTGATTCAAAAACTCAAATCTGAATTGCAAAATCTCACATATCAGGCAGCCATTTAGGGAGCTATATTTCACTTAGAGTCTTACCTGATATACCTGAAATTATACCCTATTGGTAATCACTAACTTTGACAGCCAGCCTTTTAACATAATGATGCTACCTGAAAACCAGAACTATCAAAAATAGCCAAGGAACATAAAGCTAAATATCTAGATTTATTTTCAATTTTTTTGATACCTTGATCATGAATCAAACTGAACCAAGTTGTCAAAAATGATTGTATAAATACTATAAAGTTCTTTAAAAAAATTTCAACAACCAATTTAATATTGATTGTAGGTCAAATTTAGTTTCTGACTAATAAAATACCTTTAGTTAATTTTATTTTCCAGAAAGCCTATTAAGATATGATACTTAGTTGCCTCACATCTATCCAAAATATTATAAATAAGTATGTAAAAATACAAAAGAGAACAAAAGACATACATAGCTTTAATGCTTTCAGTGAGGTTTGTTTCAAAGGAGAGGAACTGTTTTCCTCTTTTTGTGAAGCCTCTAATCTCAGATGCTGCAGCAATAAAAATTTTCTCCTGAGGTGTGTTGATAACCCCTCCCAGTTCCAGCCTTGCAATCTTCGGCCCGGGTAAAGTCTTGAACACTGCCTGAAAAAAATCATTCAGGAAAAAAGTACACAAATTACTTTATTGTGAGCATTTTTTCCTTTACAATAGAAAATGTTATGATGTTAAATTTGCAAAATATTATAGTTCCACTATATAGAAATAATTTTAGATAATAATCTATATACTTCAGCAGGTCTTCAGGTTTTTTGCTATACTTAACTTTTAAATATATATTCCCACACATATTTGAATGATGTCATTGAAATCTAAATCCTTGTAATTCAAAGTACAGTTCACTAAGCAGCAATGTTAGCATCACTAAATTTATTTAAAATGCAGCAGATCAACTGAATGAGAATCTGTATTTTAACAAGATTCCCCAGCTGGTTCCTATGCCTACTGAAGTTTTAGAGGCATTGGATTAACAATACTCCTACGAACAGGGAAGTCCATTTGGCAAATTCTTTAATGAGGTCCAATGAACATGTTTTTACACTTCAATCATCTTTTAAAACTAATCTTTCCTGGCTTCTTTACAATTTTTATAAATTTTAATAGTTAAAGGACTATAGAATTTACTGAAAATGTGAATGTATGACTTAATACCTATAATCATATATCTATTTAACTGAAAACAATATTCATTTCATTAATTTTTTTGTGGTTATTTTCCATTTTATTATTTGCACCAGCTTCTTCTCCTCCACTTCCTCCCCATGACTTTATATACAGAGAATAAGATATCTGGGAGAATATGAATAATGGAAACACTGAGTTTCTGGTAGTTTTTATTCTCTTCATCTTTCTGGAAATTCCATATAATATATAATGAATACTAGAATTCACATCTCAGACTCATCATTCTAAGTTTCTAATTATGATCTGTAAATATGATAATGTAATAGTAATAACTTCCTTGATTAGGTTAAATTAAGTGGAAAAGGTTGTGGGTTAGTTGCTTCCATGATTACATTATGCTACATAAGATTCTTTCTTAGCAGACTACAGAAATTTCCTGCTGGCTTTGATGAATTAGATTACCATGTTGTGAGAAGGACTGTAAGAGAACCACAGAGCAAGAAATTGCAGAGACCTCAAGGAATTGAGAGCAGCCCCTGGTTTACAGATGTTAATAAAGTGGGGACCTCAGTCCTATAATAGCAAGGAACTGAATTCTGCAAACAACCACATGAGCTTGGAATAAGACCCCACACTCTAGAAAGGAACACAGCTCAGCTGACATCTAAATTGCAGCTGTGTGAAACCTTGAGCACAAACTCCTGTGCTACAGAAACTGTTAGATAATAAATGTGTGTTGTGTTAAGGCCCTAAATTTGGGGTAATATATTACACAGCATAGAAAAGTAACCCACGACCACAGGATGCCAAAGGTGCCTTACAACTAGCTAGCAAATTACTTTTGTGCTACCCGCAGACTCATATCTCACATAACTACTTACCTCAGAACCCATTTTCCATTACCTGTATTTTAGGAAATTTTTAACCTAGTATTATTCAATAAATAGTGCATTCTCTTTTAGAAAACCATTTTTCCCCTTCACAAAGCTATACTTACTGCTGCTTCTCCTTTCTTCATGCCAAAGCACATAACTACCCCATCATGATCTCCAATAACCACCTGTAATAGATGGAAGATAATCTAAAATTACTATTATTAATATTATGACCTAATAATTATATACAGGGAAAGCAAGATTCTTAATTTATAAATACTGACTTAATAGAGATCAGAAAATCTAGGAAAGACACCCCCACAAAAAATAATCCTCAAAAGAACAAGAGCCAAAAGAGAAGGATATGGAGAGTCATTAGAAAAGTAATTGGCCATAGATTTTGTTCCTATAATGTTAATAGGACAACACAATATATTTTGTTTTGCTTTTTTTCAACTTTTATTGTAGGTTCTGGGAGTCCACATGCAGGTTGTTACGAAGGTATACTGCCAGACAACAGTTATGGACAGAAATGCCTACAAAGTAATTTTTTTTTCATAACTGGAGCATAAGAACATTTTAAGATTAACTTTTAAAACAGATTATCAAATAAAGTTGTGACTGACATATTTAATAATTTTAAACACCTTTTTTAAAAGAAAAATTTTAATGTATGAAAATGTACACAAAATATTATAATGAATTATCATGTGCCTATCACCTAGTTTCAACAATTACCAACATGTAGACAATGAATTGTTTTGAAATAAATATAGAGGGACATTTTAACACTTCTTCCTCAAAAGTAGATATCAAACAACCTTAGACCAGTTCCAGTACGTGGCCTGCTGGGTACCAGGCCACACAGCAGGAGGTGAGCAGCGGGAAAGTGATCATTTACAGACTGAGCTCCGCCTCCCGTCAGATCAGCAGCGTCATTAGATTCTCATAGAAGCACAAACCCTATTGTGAACTGCGCATGGTTGTATGCTCCTTATGAGAATCTAACTAATGCCTGATGATCTGAGGTAGAACACAGTTTCATCCCAAAACAATCCCAGCCCCATTGGTGGAAAAACTGTCTTCCACGAAACTGGTTCCTGGTGCTAAAAAACTCTGGGAGCTCTGATTTAAGAAACTACTACTTATCAAGTTTAGGCATAGTATCAAACAGAGAGTCACAATCATCTGAAAAAGCTATTTAAATACCCCTCCTTATTTCCAGCTATGTATCTGTGTAAGCTGGATTTTCTTCAAATATTTCAGCCAAAACAACATAGCACAGCAGATTGAATGCAGTAAACAAATATGAAAATCTATGTGTGTATGCTTATGCCAGGACATTAAACAAGTTGCAAAAAGTATAACATAATGACACTATACTCACTAAATTCTTTGTTTTGAAAAATAGTTATTTTTCATAAAGACATGTTATGTAAACATGTAATAATTTTTTTAAAATAAAATAGTTTAAGCATTTCTTAGTTTTCATTTTAATATAGTAAGTATTGATACATACAACTTACATAAACAAATGTTCTTTGGGATCCTCAATCATTTAATTGTGTAAAGGGGTGCTGAGACCAAAAATTTTGAGAAGTGCTAATCTAGTAGACTTAATACAGTAAATGACAATCAGAAATCTGTTGGTTTATCTTTTTTATTTTATTCATTTATTTTTTAATTGACAACAATTGTACATATTCGTGGGGTACATAGCAATGTTTCAATACATATAACATATACTGATCACACTGGGATAATTAGCATATCCATCATCTAAAATACTGATCATTTCTCTGGGTTAGGATCAGTCAATACCTTCTTTTTAGCTATTTGAAACTATATATTGTTAACTATAGTCATCCTATAGTGGTATAGACTACTTGAGTTTTTTCTTCCTATCTAGCTATAATTTTATATCCTTTAATAAATATCTCCCTATCCCTCCCTTCCCTCTACCCTTTGCAGCCTCTAGTATTCTCTGTCCTACTTTTTACTTTAACGTGACCAACTTTTTTTAGCTTCCACATATTAATGAGAACATGTGGTGTTCAACTTTCTGTTCCTGGCTTATTTCACTAAACATAATGTCCTCCAGTTCCATCCATGTTACTGCAAATGATAGGATTTCATTCTTCTCTCTCTTTTTTTTTTTTTTGAGACAGAGTTTTGCCCTTGTCGGCCAGGCTGGAGTGCAAAGGTGCCATCTCAGCTCACTGCAACCTCTGCCTCCTGGGTTCAAGCGATTCTCCCATGTCAGCCCCCCAAGTAGCTGGAATTACAGATGCCTGCCATCGTGCCTGGCTAATTTTTGTATTTTTAGTACAGATGGGGTTTCACCATGTTGGCCAGGCTGGTCTCCAACTGCTGACCTCAGGTGATCCGCCCGCCTCAGCCTCCCAAAGTGCTGGGATTACAGGCGTGAGTCACCATGCCTGGCCAGGATTTCATTATTTTTTATTGCTGAATAGTATTCCATTGTGTATATATACCACTTTTTTTTATACATTCATCTGTTGTTAAACACCCAGGCTGATTCCATATCTTGGCTATTGTGAACAGTGCTGCAATAAAACATGAGGCTGCAGTTGTCTCTTTGATATGATGATTTCCTTTCCTTTGGGTAAATTCCCAGCAGTGGGGTTGCTAAATCATATGGTCGCCCTATTTGTAGTTTTTGAAAAATCCTACATACTGTTCACTATAGTGGATGTACTATCCCACCAATGGCACAGAAGAGTTTCCTTTCTCCACATTCTTGCCAGTATTTGTTGTTTTTTGGTTTTTTGTTTTCTTGTCTTTTTGATAACAGCCATTCTAACTGGGGTAAGATGATACTTCATTGTGGTTTGATTTGCCATTTTCCTGATGATTAATGATGTTAAGTATTTTTTCATGTTTTTTTGGTCATTTGTATGTATTCTTCTGAGAAATGTTTAGATCATTTGCCCACTTTTTAATCAGATTGCTTGTTTGTTTGCTATTGGTATGTTTGAGTTCCTTGTATATTCTGGATATTAATTCCTTGTTGGATGAGTAGTTTGCAAATATTTTAAATCCCATTCTATAGATTGTCTTTTCACTCTTGTTGATTGTTTCCTTTCCTGTGTAGAAGCTTTTTGGTTTGATATGATCCCACTTGTTTATTTTTGCTTTTGTTGTTTGTGTTTTTGAGGTCTTATTCATTAACTATTTTCCCAGACCAATGTCCTAAAGCATTAACATTTAGGTCTTTTTTTGTTTTTTGTTTTGTTTTGTTTTGTTTTTTTGAGATGGAGTCTTCCTCTCCTGAGTAGCTGGGATTACAGGTGCCTGCCACAATGACAAGCTAATTTTTTTGTATTTCTAGTAGAGATAGGGTTTCACCATGTTGGCCAGGCTGGTCTTGAACTCCTGACCTCAAGTGATCCACTCGCCTTGGCCTCCCAAACTGCAGGGATTACAAGTGTGAGCCACCACACCTGGCCACATTTAGGTCTCTGATCCATTTTGTGTTCATTTTTATATGGGGTGAGAGGTGGGGGTCTTGGTTTCATCCTTCTGCATATGAATATTCAGTTTTCCCAGCACCATTTATTGAAGAGGCTGTCCTTTCCCCAGGGGCTGTTCTTGGCTCTTTTGTCAAAAATCAGTTGGTTGTAGATATGTGGATTAATTTCTGAGTTCTCTATTCCATTTTATGTTCTCTGTGTCTCTGTGTTTTTATGCCAGTATTATGCTGTTTTGGTTACTACAGCTTTGTAGTATATTTTGAGATCTGGTAGTGTAATGCCCCAGCTTTGTTCCTTTTACTCAGGATTGTTTTGGCTATTTGGGGTCTTTGTGGTTCCATACAAATTTTAAGATTTTTTTTCTCTTCCTGTGAAAAATGACATTGGTATTTCGATAGAGATTGCATTGAATCTGTAGATTGCTTTGGGTTGTATTGTTATTTTAACAAAATTAATTCTTCCAATCCATGAACATGGGATGTTTTTCCATTTGTTGGTATCCTCTTTAATTTCTTTCATCAGTGTTTTATAGTTTTTTTTATAGAGGTCTTTCATTTCCTTGGTTAATTTATTCCTAAGTATTTTATCTTTTATCTATTATAATTGGGATTGTGTTCTTGATTTCTTTTTCAGCTAGTTTGTTGTGTATAGAAACACTACTAATTTCAGTATATTAATTTTGTATCCTGCAACTTTACTGAATTCATTTGTCAGTTCTAAGAGTTTTTTGGTAGAGTCTTTAGGTTTTTCTATATATAGGATCATGTCATCGGCAAACAGAGATAATTTGACTCTCCTTTCCAATCTGGATGCACTTTATTTCTTTTTCTTGTATAATTGCTCTGGCTAGGACTTCTAGTACTATGTGTAATTGTTGATTCATCTTGCTAAAATGTTTATATATCAGGATAAAGTATTTTTTTGCAGCTATTAAAATATTTGGCTAGTCTACTAAGAAACTATAATTGTTTTGTGGAAATCATAGGATCAACATTTCTTTAAACATAATCAATATTGTTAGTTAAGTACAGTTTAACATCAAAATATTTAATGACTTTAAAATATGAGAAAGTTTAAAGAGAACATTTTCTTGATACCTTATTCTGCTTTATATTTCTTTTTTCATATACACATCTGACACACAGAAAAAATGGAGTATGGTTTTTAAGTTTGCCTACACTGTTTACTAATGGTATATAATAATTTTAATGTCCAAGAAAATTATTGTCTATAAATGTCCCTTGGTATTCCAGTTTCTGTTCAAATTAAAAAATTCATTTCCATTTTAACATTAGCATTTTTAAGAGAATAACTTAATAATAAAGAAGGAAATAGGAGCCTCTCCTCTGTCACTGCTAGGGAATAGTGGAGAAATCAGAATCTATACAGTACCTTTTGTGTAGCTCTGTGTCTTGAGGCAGGAATTAGCTTCATAGTCTTCTGAGATGTTACTCCCACCTAAAGAAAAACACCAGATGCCTAGTGAATTTAATTTGAAGTTATTACAGAGATTAAAATAAGTTATAGTGAACCTTTTTGTTAAACTGAAATTAGTGATATAACTATTATCAGTAATTAATTTATTTTCTAATGAGATATGTCATATTAGTCAGAATACATATAGGAAACAACCAAAATAGTAAAATTTATCCTATAAAGTTGTCAAGCCAAAAATAGTTGTGTAAGATGACTGGCAAGATGCTTTACTAAAAAATATCTCTAGAAGCCTTCTTTTCCAACTGCATACAGTTGTTCAGCAAAGTGATTCAAGAACTTTGAAAATAGATTATAGTTATTAAAAATGCAACGGAAGACCACATGCAGTGGCTCATGCCTGTAATCTCAGCACTTTGGGAGGCTGAAGTGGGAGGATCACTTGAGCCCAGGTGTTCAACACCATCTAGGCAACACAGGGAGACTCTGTCTCTACAAAAAATAAAAAATTAGCTAGGCATGGTGGTGCATGCCTGCAGGCCCAACTACTTGGAAGGCTGAGGCAGGAGGATAACTTGAGTCCAGGAATTTGAGGCTGTGGTGAGTCATGATCATGCCACTGTACTCCAGACTGGCTGCGTGACAGAACAAGACCCTGTTTCAAAAAAAAAAAAAAAAAAAAAAAAAAAAAAAAGAAGATTTATGCTAAAATACCAAATATGATAATGGCCATAACATCCAATCTAACAGGTGAAGATTATTTTACAAAAAAATACAGAGGATGAAAGCAGCAGGGAACTGTCACTGCTGGTGTATAGTTAGGAGAAGAGGATGGGACCAATGGGAGAGGAATTGGTGAAAACAACACATCATGATAAAACGTTCATATAGTATAAATGACTTTATTCTGCATTCCAGAAAATTGTATTAAAGTCATCTGCTTAGATTTGTATTTCTGAAACATCAATCTAGCAAGTGATGTGAAGGATGGCTTGGAGGGAGATGAAGCTGGAGTTCAGGAGCCCAATTTGGAGGTTATTTCAATTATTCAAGCAAGAGAAGATGAGAACCCAAATGAGGGTAATAGAGATGGAAGATATGGGACAGATTCAAGAGATATTTGGGAGTTAAAAGCAGTAAGATGTGGTGACCAGTTGGATATGGAAGTACATAGCATAAACCCCTAGAAAATTGACTGGGCAAACATTTGTACCATTAACTAAAATGAGGTGGCCTAAAAATATGATGAGGAATTGGGGTAGAGAGAATTTTAGGTCTGAAAGAAATTCTGAAAGGCAGTGTAGTGTAACAAAAATACACCAGTTCTGGAGTCCGAGACTTTGATTCAAATAGCCACTCCCTAATTTTTAGCTATTAAGCAAATTACTTGCCTTCTCTAACCCCTTAGATCCTCATTTATAATATTGTCTACTTTGCAAATTCTTATGAGGATTAAATATGTTGGTAGGTATGCTAAATTCTTAGAATAAGCTAGATGCACATTAAACTGTTGTCATTGCTTTTTTTCCCCCTTTCGAGACAGTCTCGCTCTGTCGCCCCAGCTGGAGTGCAGTGGCATGATGTCAGCTCACTGCAGCCTCCGCCTCCCGAGTTCAAGCGATTCTCCTGCCTTAACCTCCCGAGTACCTGGGATTACAGGCGCCCGCCACCACACCGGGCTAATTTTTGTACTTTTTGTAGAGAAGAGGTTTAACCATGTAGGCTAGGCTGGTCTCGAACTGCTGACCTTAGGTGATCCGCCCGCCTCGGCCTCCCAAAGTGCTGGGATAACAGGCGTGAGCCACTGCCCCCGGCCCGGTTTTCATTGCTTTTACCATGATCTGCCTGGTGCGGTACAGCTCACAGTAAGAAACAAGTGCCTGGTGCTCCGCAAAAGGGTCCGGGTAGAGATGGAGATTGAGGATTAGAGGCCCTCAGGCAGCCACGGCTAGGGAGGAGGAGAAGGGCCCTGGGGGGAATCCGGGATGAGACAGTGTCACATTTTCAGAGCATCCTCAGGACCCGGCAGAAGCCAGTACCGTGGGGGCTTGTGCCGCTTTTCCCCGGTCCCCTCGGACCGTCACAGACGAAAGGGAGCTGCCCAAAGGCGGGGTGCTGAGAGGTCGGCACCCAGCCCGGCTCCTTCGCCTCCGCACCAGCTCCTGGCGACCGAGACTTTCGTCAGTGGAAGGAAGGAATCCTCTCCGGGTGCTGGGCTTGCCCAGCGCGGCGCCCGCCCTATCCCTTGGGTTTACCTGCAGATAATCCATTCGGTTTAAAATCAGATCCATGATGACTACGCGGAGGGGCTAAGCAGCGCCGGACAAGAACAGGAGGGACAGAGGCTTCGGGCCCGCAGGCCTCCGACCCAGTCAGAAGGCTGCCCGCGCCCCTCAAAAGCCAGCCCCAGCTACCGCGCCTAGGTCCTGGGCTGCACAGGCGGGGCGACAGGGCAGTGGCGTCCTGCGTGACGTCAGTACGCTGCTGCGAGGGGCTCCTGGAAGAAGATGAAGGCCCGCCCCTTTCCCGAAGCACCGCCCACTGACAGCGTGTTCCAATCAGAGGCGGAGAGGAACAAAAGAGGCGAGGTCCGGGAGACCCATACAGGGCGGTTTCCACAGAGACCCCAGACGCAGTCTTGGCTCCACCCTCACCGCGGCCCAGGGCTAATACTGGACTTCTTTCCTTATCGCTGTAGAAAAAACTAGATAAGCCTGCTAGATTCTGACCGATTTCACTCTGACATTGGAAAGGGTCCTACAAAGAATTAGGTTCCACCGTTATAGGTGCTAGCTTACAGCAGCGGTTCTTAGACTTTTGGCCTTAGGACTTATTTACAAGACTCTTAAAAACCGTTGAGGAGCACAAAGACCATTTGCTTTTTGTGGGTTTTCTCTCATTTTTAATGTTTTTTTTATTTCAATAGTTTTGGGTGTACAGGCGGGTTTTGGTTACATGGATGAGCTCTTGAGTGGCGAATTCCGAGATTTTAGTGTACCCGTCACCCACCAGTGTACACTGTACCCAATATGTAGTATTTTATCCCTCACCCCGCTCCCAATCTCCTCCCTACCTGGAGTTCCCAGAATCCATTATATCGCTCTGTATGTCTTTGCATCCTCATAACTGAACATGCAGTATTTGGTTTTCTATTCCTAAGTTACTTCACTTAGAATAATGGCCTCCAGTTCCATCCAAGTTGCTGCCAAAAGATATTATTTCGTTCCTTTTTATGGCTGAGTAGTATTCAATGGTGTATATATACTACATTTTCTTTATCCACTCGTTAGTCAATGGGCACTTAGGTTGGCCCCATATCTTTGCAATTGCGACTTATGCTGCTATAAACATGCGTGTATATGTGTCTTTTTCCTTTGGGTAGATACCCAGTAGTGGGATTGCTGGATTGAATGGTAGCTCCACCTTTATTTATTTATTTAAGGAAACTTTATACTGTTTTCCATAGTGGTGGTATTAATTTACATCCCCCAAGCAGTGCAAAAGTGTTCCCTTTTCACCATATCGACACCAACGTATATTTTCTAAATTTTATTTTTTATGTTTATTTTTTTTTTTTTGAGACAGAGTCTTGCTCTTGTCCCCCAGTCTGGAGTGCAATGGCACTATCTCGGCTCACTGCAACCTCCGGCTCCCGGGTTCAAGTGATTCTCCTGCCTCAGCCTCCCGAGTAGCTGGGATTACAGGTGCCCGCCACCACGCCTGGCTGATTTTTGTATTTTTAGTAGAAACAGGGTTTTGCCATGTTGGCCAGGCTGGTCTCGAACTCCTGACCTCGTGATCCGCCTGCCTCATGGCCATTATTGCAGGAGTAAGGTGGTATCTCACTGTGGTTTTAATTTGCATTTCCCTGGTGATTTAGTGATGTTGAGCATCTTTTCATGTTTGTTGGCTATTTGTATATCTTCTTTTGAAAAATGTCCTTTGCCCACTTTTTGATGGGATTGTTTTTTTCTAGCTGATTTGTTTGAGTTCCTTGTAGATTCTAGGTACAAGTCCTTTATCAGATGCACAGTTTGAAAATATTTTCTTTTACTCTATGGGCTGTTTACTGATTATTTCTTTTGCTGTGCAGAAGCTTTTTAGTTTATTTAGGTCCCATTTATTTATTTTTGTTTTTGTTGCATTTGGCTAATGTCCAAAAGAGTTTTTCCAATGTTATCTTCTAAAATTTTTGTGGTTTCAGGTCTTAGATTTAAGTCTTTGATTCATCTTGAGTTGATTTTTGTATAAGGTGAGAGATGGGAATCCAGTTTCATTCTTCTACCTGTGGCTAAACTAGTTTTCCCAGCACCATTTATTGAATAGGGCGCCCTTTTCCCAATTTATGTTTTTGTATGCTTTGTTGAAGATCAGTTGACTGTAAGTACTTGGCTTTATTTCTGGGTTCTCTATTCTGTTCCATTGGTCTATGTGTCTTTATTTATTTATTTATTTATTTTACCTGTACCATGCTGTTTTGGTAACTTGCCTTGCAGTATAATTTGAAGTGTGGTAACGTGATGCCTCCAGATTTGTTCTTTTTGCTTATTATTGCTTTGGCTATTCAGGCTGTCTTTTGGTTCCATATGAATTTTAGAATTTTTTTTTTAGTTCTGTGAAAAGTAGTAATGATATTTTGATGGGAATTGCACTGAATCTGTAGATTGCTTTGGAAAGTATAAAGACCATTTGTTTATATGAGTTACCTATTGATTTTTACCATATTAGACATTAGAACTGAAAACAATTAGTGTTTTTTAAAAACCTATGACAAATATCTTAATGAAAAAAATATTTTCCAAAATAAAAAAATAAAATAACTGGTACTGTGCGCAAATCTATTTTCTGTCCATTTTAATAGTAGACAGGAGGAGCTTCAAATCTGCTACTGCATTCAATCTATTGTTATATGTTGTTTTTGTTCATGTATATGAAGAAAATTTGGTCCAAACTCAACAAGTAGTAGTTTTTTGAAAGGTTAGTTGCAATGTGAAATGTGACTTTGTTACACAACATCAAAAAATTCCATCTGTTAGTATCACCATGGATCTCATCAGTAAAGTCCCGAGTATGGGAGATCTGTCAAACTTAGATGGTGAATACATATTTTCCAAAATTCAAATTTGTGCTTGAAAGTTTGAAATTTACACATTGGCAAGAAATGTCGATTGTTTTCCTTGAACTGATAGGTTCCCTTCTTGAATTCACAAGAAAGTAAATGCCAGATATCTAAGTCTGAATAATCATAATTTGTGAGTAATTCCTTCAAATAAAAAGTGTCCCATGAAAAAAGCAGGAAGTTCAGCTAGCAGCTCAATCCCACAAGTGCTTTTCCTTGAGACAACTAATGTATTTCAGTATTCAGTAGAAGGATTTTATACATACTTCTTATGTCCTCACATAGAACATTTAAAAAGACATATTCAAGAGTTAAGATGTAATAAATGAGGGCTGAATCAGAAGAAAGAAAAAAGAAAAAAAGATAATATTAACAATGTTGCTGCTTCGTTAAGAACATTTTTATATGAAATGGTTTTTGTTTCCTATCAGTGCATGTTATATAGAATATGGTGTCTACTAGTACAGTTTGGAGCCACTATTTTGATTTATGCTTAAGCACTAGCAGTATTAACCACCATTGTTTCGGTACCATCAGTGCAAATGTCAGCAGAGTGAAATGGCAAATCACAACTTAGTGTTATGAAAATAGTTTCAAAATTGCAGACAGCTGTGAAAAGGCCTCAGGAACCACCCCTGCCCCTCGGGGCCCCACAGACTACTACTGACCCATAGTGACCCAGGATTTAAGAGCTGACATTCTTTGACTCACTTTCATCGGTCCTTCCTTAATGTGCATAGAGCTCTGCCTGGGGAAATACAGATAAGTTCAGATACAGCTACTTTCCTGATTCTTGTGGTTTTTCTTTTTCTTTCTTTCTTTTTTTTTTTTTTTGTAGAGATGGAGTTTTGCCATGTTGCCCAGGCTGGTATTGAACTCCTGGGCTCGAGTGGTCCGCCCACCTCAGCCTCCCAAAGTTCTGGGATTACAGACATGAGCCACTGTGGTTTTCCAGGAAAGAGTTCACAAATAATTGTGAAACAAAAAGAATTAAATCCCTGAGAAGAGGTGCTTCTTAAGAAGAGAAGTTATTTACTGCAGCAATATCTGAAAAAGTTTTCCCTGTGTTCCAGACAATTATATCTCTGAGGCTAAAATAATCCCACATTAAAATAGACAATACATGTAGATGGGTTAGCTGTTCAGCAATTTGGGGGAAATATATATCAATTTAGATTCAAGAAAAAAATACAAATAAATTTTAGAAGTCAACTGAAAAATAAAGCCATAGAAAAGACAGAAGAAAATAGAATTGTATAGCATTTTACAGAATTTTGGAGGTTGGAGGATATAGTATTAGTTTGCTAGGGCTGCCATAGCAAAGTAGTACACACTGGGAGGCTTTTCAACAACAGAAATTTATTTTCTCACAGTCTTGGAGTCTAGAAGTCATAGATCAAGGTGTCAGCAGGGAATAAAACCGATCTTCAGAGGCCTCTCTTCTTGGCTTATAGATCGTCATCTTCTCCGTGTCTTCACGTGGTCCTCCCTCTATGTCTGTCTGTGTCTCATCTTGTCTTTTTATAAGCACACCAGTCATATTATCTCATTTTAAATTAATTACCTCTTTAAAGACCCTATCTCCAACTATAGTTATAGTCTGAGATACTGAAGGCGAGGACTTTAACATGAGTTTTGAGGGGACACAATTCAGCCCATAACAGAAGGAAACTGATCTCAAAAGGAATAGAAGAAACCACAAAGGAAAAAAGCAGATATGGTGTTACATGCCTGTAGTCTCAGCTATTTGAAGGCTGAGGCTCAAGATTGCTTGAGCCCAACAATCCAGCCTGGGCAAAATAGCAAGGCCCCATCTCTAAAAAACAAACAAAAAACTAACTTAAAAAAAATGAAAAGTAAAGATAAACATTTCAATATGTCACAACAATGTTTAAATGAAAACAAAAATATAGGAGAAAAGAGTTAATATCTTAAAAAATAGTTCATACAAATTAATAATGAAGAAATACTATGGTTCTAATAAATAGGTAAAAAAAAAAACACCAAAGACAGACAATGCTGGCAGTGCTTACTTTCCATTTAGCAAGTGATGTCCACTGTTCAATTAATTGTGTAGAAGGAAAGTAAAAGTTTATTTTGAAGCTCAAATTTATTTTAAAACAGTGAAATGAGGCTATGATATAGCATCAAAACAATACAAAAAGTTTGCATAATATGATATTTGGAATTCTTTGATTTTGCATCTAAAAATGCAATTTATTATTTTTAAAGTACATACTATGTTTTGTTTCTAAATGATTAGTAAAGATTTCAACCTACTAATTTTAAGTATTCCTCAAATAATTAATTAGCAGGGTAAGGAATTTTTATTCACAATAAAGAAAATGTCAAGTTAAATTACCACTGTGTGTCCTCTTTTTAAAGATGTTTTAGGGTATCAGAGACATCTTGGTGGTCTTTATAAAACTCAACAGAAGATGGCTGCCTCTCAGATGTGACAAAGACCACTTTAGAGACAAATTTGCAGAATTACCATGCACCTCAGTAATTTATAACCTTATGTTATGGTGCTAAAGCAACCATTATGAGTATAAGTTAAACAACTTATGGCTAAAAATAAAAGCAATTTAAACTGCATTAAAGTTAAAACCATCAACACGCTAGTGGTGGTCAGCTGAGTGACTGAGTCATGAGTAAAAACATTAGTTTCCCCTAACACATGGTATAAATTTAGAAATTCTCAAACTCTTTTTTAAACTGAACAAAGTTATAAATACCCATTTTAGATTTTTTTTTTTTTTTTTTTTTTTTTTTGTGGGGGGTGGTTCACTTTGTCACCCAGGCTGGAGTGCAGTGGCGTGAACCAGCTCACTGCAGCCTCAACTTCCTGGGCTCAAGTTATCCTCTCACCCCAGCCTCCTGAGTAACTGGAACCACAGACACATGCCACCATGCCCGGCTAATTTTTTTTGTATTTTTTGTAGAGACAGTTTCACCATGTTGCCCTGCTGGTCTCGAACTCCTGAACTGAAGCCATCGACCTGCTTCAACGTCCCAAAGTGCTGCGATTACAGGTGTGCACCACTGTGCCCAGCCTGATTTTGGGAGGCTGAGGCAGGAGGATCGCTTGAGGCCAAAAGTTAAAGACTAGCCTGGACAACATAGTGAGACCCGCCTCTAAAAATGTATTTTAAAAACTTTATTTAAAAAATTTAAAAAGACATGGAAAGAAAGATTACCACCTTGGATGATGACATTAACCTCCTAAAACACCTCTATGAGCTCCAGGGACTAGGAACCCCTGATGTAGCATAACCCTGTTTGCCTGAACCATTTATGAAGACCAGAGAAGTTAAATGGTTTGTCCCATACCACAGTCATTAGTGTGGCTTCAGTTCTCTTTAGACATTGTCCATCAGACAATTTATCTTCCCATTTACAAAAGCTGCTTTCACTTGGCTTGCACATTTGAAATATAAATATATTGACATATTGGGTAAGATAGTTATCCTAAATTGTACCAAATTTGCTTTTAATAATCACAACATATCATTTTTGTTTTTATTGTGCATAAACTCTGTAAAGATACTCTGTACCATTTTTCAAAGTTTTCTCATTATTTCAAGTCTAAGAACCCAAACTTTTCAACAGATTGTGACTTCCATAAAGTCATGGGTGCTCTGTAAATTCAATACAGCAGGCACTTACAAAGTACCCAACTTTTCGAACAATAAGTCTAAGAAGCACTTTGAGTGTTGCTTTCTTTTCTTTATCTGTAAATGAGAAAAAAATAAGAATAGCAAAGAGGTAAAAAATGAGAGATGTCCTAAGGAAAAAAGAGTCCTGGGGCTTTGACAATCCTTTAATTAATGTTTTTTTCTATAAAGTTGTTTTTGGTCCTGTTTAAATGCTCCCTTCTCTGAGTTGCCCCAACAACTTCTTTGAGGTTTGTTTTCCCAAAGGTACCTGTTAAAAGTGACTAGGGAAAAGACTTGCTGACCCAGAGCTATCTTTATCCTCAAGTGAAGGACTAATTCTGACAGCAATCCCCTCGACTAATCCTCATCTCAACCGTATGCTACCACATTAATACCTTATGGCTTAGTGTGAGTTCCCTAAAAGCAAAACCTAATAAGATTTGGATGTGGTGACTCATTAAGGGGATGCTCTCTGGAGAAAGGGAAGGAAGGAAACTGGAAAAGGCAGAGGAAGAATCTAAACCAGGATTTCATCTCAGCTTGAGTCTGGCATCACCCTAATCCTTTCAGGAGCTCTGGAGCATGAACTGCACTGAATAGTTGGCCCCATCTTGAGACAAGGGGCCAGCCCTTTGTGCCCCCACCCATCAGTCACTGGCCATGGGGAGGCGGAGGCATCACATCCCGAGCAAGGCTTCTTCTTTTTAGCTGAGGGCAATTCTCCAGGGGAAGTGATTGGCTAGGAACTGCACAGGAGAATCTGGGAGACAGGTGCACTGGTCCAGTAGAGGGCATCTGGGCAGGGCATCAAAAACATCAACCACACTCACTACACCTTGTCATCACACCTTCTTCTGAAACAACACCTTGAAATGATGAATAAGGAAAAAGATGAAATATTAAAACTATACCAGTTTGTACATAGTAAATAAAGAAAAAATGCCTGTTAAGAGCTCTACAGTTGTGAGGGGCATGGACAAAAAAAAAAAAAAAAAAAAGTCAGCTTTTTATCCACATGGTGTGGATACCATGAGGCTTATCTTCATACTTCTCTGATCTTCAGATTCCAAGAATCTTAGGCTGAATGTCCCCAGCTGAATCTGCCACTTTTTCATTCAACATTTTTTCCAACCGCAAAGAAGAAAATTACAAAATATTCAGTTCCATAGCTATAAGCAAAAACTTTTCACACTTGGAATCCTGGACCATACTATAAAACTATCAGAAACATCTATTATAGAAACTTTGTATCTTTACTATCTTAACATATGGTAACATATAACAATGGAAAAATTCAATATTTTATTCAGTTCTGAGACACAACATAAAGTACATAAAGTTTGAAAAATGTTTAAGACGAATACTCTTAGCATGGCACAAAAGTTAATGAAGTGTTCTACAATGGTAGCAAAACATTTATAAAGTTCCTTTCTTAATTTAACTCCCAAAAAGTAGAAATTAAGAAATAATCTTTAAAGAGCTTTATGTAGTTCCATTTAACACTTATTTCTGTCTTCATGTCTAAAGAGCTTTTCTGCATGATAGCAATGATTTTAAAGTAGCATGTATTTAGTTGGTTTTAAGGACCTCTGAAAATCTTTGATCTATGATCACAATTCGTATTCCTATACGACTTGACAGCAACTGACTGCAGACTCAGGATGTTAAACATAACTCTATGAGAGATTTAAACCTAGCTGGTTAAAAAATGCTTTGAGTGTTTTATAGTCTCTGAAGTGACTGGGGAACTTACTGGTCTGCATGCCTTTTCCCATTAAAGTCAAGAGGCATTGCGGATATTACCAGCATTCAGCACAATTATGTAATAAGGCATATGTAGATATATCACAATATATTTTATATAGAAAGTGGAACTGGAATCCTTTGATAAGAAACAAAGATGTCAATCATTGTAAGCAACGATGGCAATAAATGCCCCAAAAGGAACTGAAACACACCTGGGGATGCTTGGCCATGTCTTTCCAAGTACGCCCATAGTCACTGCTCTTTCCTATTTCTTCCCATGAGCAGACCCTCCAAAACTCAGCAGGGAGCTCACAGGTGAGATATGAAGTCAGCTGTTGATATCTCATTTAGCATTAAAGCAGCAGAGGCAGAAATTAGATGGTTATAACAAAATGACAACCCTGCATAACCCCCAACTTAAAAGAAAATCACATTACTGAAAAACAACAAACGTAAGTCTAAGACAGAAAGCAAGCAGTCTATATTTTAGAAAAATCTTTAATGTGTTGTTTTAAATAATTCTATGAAACTTAAATATACAATGTAATTATATTTTTCATTAACCCATTTTGTTGTTAAATTCTTCACTTGGGGCTCAGTGGTTCTAGGATTATCAGTGACACCTAAAATTCTAAGAATGTCTTACCAAGTCATAGCTGGTTGTAAAATGTCTTCAGTTTCTATTAAAAAAAAAAAAAAAAAACCTCTTCAGAACTTGGACAAGGGAAGGTATGCTACATAGTGAAGACTTTTTATTTTTATTTTGTTGGCAGTTCAGTTGGTTTCAACATTTATTGAGCACCTACTATATACCAGGCACTGTACTAGATGCTGGAGACACAAAGATGAATAAGACATGGTCCCTGTCCCCAAGGAACTGATAGTCTCTTGGAGGCAAACAGGTAGTGCAAAGATGTGGAGTTTACTCTAAAATGAATAAAAGTTTCAATAATATAGTAATATTGGGCTTTTCAACACAATGGTATGCCACTGTAATGTCAAAGCAGACAAATAAAATGCATTTTCATGTGATAAAACAATAAAACCATTAAGAGCTAACTTTTAAAGGTTCACATGATAAAGGTAGTTAATACTAAAAATTTACATCATAGTTTTTCAAGTATTTCATACTTAGAAATATTATTGCCCACATTTGTGCTATAGTCAAAGCCAAATCCAGGTTGCTGCATCATTCACATCTCAGCATGCTGGGATTCAGTTTCTCACTAAGTTTATGAATTAGAATGGCTAATTCCTCAGTTGCTTGGCTCTTGTCTTCCAAAAGTTCATAACGAAGGCTGGAGATATCTTGCTTGATTTCTTTTAATTCACCTATAGTATTGATATTAAAAAATTATTGGTAAGTTGCTCTTTGGATTTAGAAATGAACAAAGAGTGAAATTCTTACAATATCAATGTATTTGCTTCATAAGGTCTCCAAGGTAGCTACTTCAAAGTTTTTTCTTTAAAATATTTAAGAAACATCTGTCTTTAAAGGTACACTGACCTTTGAAAAAAGCTATAAAAATAGTCCAGCTATATTTTTTAAAGTAACACTCAGCTTAAAGTATTGTCCTTTTGTTGACCTACATTTTAACATAAGGTGATTCTCTGTTAACTGATCTATAGCCAAGATATCTCCTTTCTGACTACAAGGGAGTCCCTTTGTTTCTTTCAAGTGTAAAGGTTGACACCTGCATCAAATATCTCCCATTGCTAGGATCAAAGGGAATCCTAGAAAAACTAAATTTTACTAAAAATGAATCAATCTATCTGACAGGCAAATAATTTCAAGGCAAATATGAAGTAAGGGAAAGAAAGAAAAAAGAGTAAGGAGTGTTTATTAGGGAAGGCAATGGCAATGGACATGAAGACATTAGTTTGTCCAGCACAAAGGACTAATGCGTAAGGAAGTAACAAGCAACAGTGCAATTGAGGAGTTTAGATATGATACCACTGACAATATATTCCTGAAGAGAATAGGAGAGTTTGGGCTATAAAAATAAATTGCTCCCATAATTCAGTTTGGCAGTATTTTGAGCATACGTATATTGCAATTAAAAACTGGATTCTCTTCAAGGAGAGGCAGTATTTGGTTAAAAAAGAAAAGAAAAGAAACACTGGATTCTCTTGCAAGTGACCGTAATGTAGATAAACCACTGACCTTCAAAAGTGAATGTTGGAGCAAGAATTTACCTTGAATCTAAGAAATGATTCTTCAAACCATTGACTTAGGTTTTTATAATAAAATGGCATTTAAAACACACCTTTGATGATATTTCCTGGTATCTTTAATATGCTTTAAAGTATAATTTCAATATTCTTCTATTATATAAAAGTCAGAGCATTTTTATTTGAAAAGAATTCTAACTCAGGAATACACACAAAACATTTGAGGAGCCCTTTTGTGGCAAAAAAAAAAAAAAGTGCTTCCTTTGGCATATGGCAATATAAAAGGAATAAACTGATCTTATTTGAAATCATGAGGCAGACTTCAGTGGAAGGAGTGGATTCTCACACCATTCAGTACCGCAGGAGACCCCCTGCCCTACTTCACCTTCTACTATCCTTTCTTCCTTGTCCCCGACTCATGGGGAGACTACAACCTATGTGTTGTATTAAATATTTAATCTGCCAATTCAGGAAACACAAGTTACTCAAACTCTTCAGATTTTAGTTTCCTCATTAATTAAATGAGGAGATTATATGACACATTTTCTTAGTAAGAACTTTGTTCAAAACTCCAAATTCTCATTGATTTTCCCCTTTTGTGCAAGGGCTTGGGAAATGCTTCTTGTTTTTTATGCCGTTTTAGCCATACAGTTCTTCCCACTTTGTTCCTCCCTCTCCACCCCCCATGGAGATTACGGTACAACTCATCAGACTTCTGCTTTCTAAACTACAACCTCATTCCAATCCTTTCTCCTGAGACAGATTGATTAGGTCACCATGATTAGATTTTTGCTAGTTATCGATTATAAATTCACAGGTTTCTCTTCTACATACATACACTATTGGATTGATTTACATTTAAAATGCATTCCTTGTATTAATCAAGTAATGGCTTCAAAGCCTATGAACAATTTTATTAAGTTTAGTCCTTTCCTCTTTTATCAGTGTAGATAGATTTAGTGGCATCTCATTGGTGTTGGAAGGTACAGTTTCCATTTTTAGGGCAACTTATTTCTCCCTGGTTGATTTCTTTCCAACTCTGGGCCTGTGTTTAGCTCTACATCCTAGACTTTGGTAAAAAATTTTTATAGTCCAGAGAGATGCCCTGCCTCAAATATGCCTTAAAAAAATAAGCTTGCTTAAAGTAAGGAGGCAGGGGGGAAAGTGAAATTCAAAAGAGACGCACCAGACAAGAAAAACAGGTTAAAAATGTGTTTCTGAACAATAAAACAGAGGTTTTCCTGAAGACATGAATTCTGTTTGAGTCACTGTTCTTTTATCTGCTTAACTGGAAAAATGTTAACACTAATGTGAACTCATTGAAAATGTAACCAATACTTACTGACTACCTTATGTCAGAAGGATTAAAAAACTCCTAGAAAGATGTCAGTCTTTACATTCTAAGAATCAGTTAGGGCACTATGAGTAGAGATAAATTGCCTCTGATCAATATTGTAAATAACTGTTTATTTTAAAAGATGAAGTTTTAGAAACGTAACATAAGATCCTCCTCCCATCTTAGAGGCATCCAAACTATAACCTGGGATTGGATTTTTAAAATATGCCTCAACATTAAGTTTTCCAGGTTCATTAAGTTAGCTATAAAAGGATATTTTTTAAGTTGGAGATGCTTACCTTCATTAACTTCATCATTTTCTTTGTCTACTTGTGCTTTCAAAACATACCGCTTTATAAGTCTTTTCATTATCTGCTGTTGGGCAAAAGTAAATGATTAGATCTCCAATGATATACATAAGTGCCCCAATCCTATTTTCCAAAGAGGCTTACATACCTGTAAAGCAAACAACTCAGGGGAGAAAAAAATTTTATAACTATGTATAGAAAAATTACGCAGGTTTCAGAACTTAACTCTCTTAATGCCTTCTACTGAGACTTACTGCATAATCCACCAATACTTTTTTTTTGCCTCAGAAACGGAAGAAGCTTTTAAAAAGAAGTTAAGCTTGAAGATTTGAATTCATGGCTCCTCTTTCAACTAATAGTTTCTTTTTAAATTACATTGACACCACATTATCACCCATAGACACTACCTTATTTCCCAGTATTTAGAAAAATACATCAATGTATACTCTATATAGAGAATTTGGAAAATATACAGAAGAACAAAATAAACAAATGAAATCATTGGCAACCTCACCAGCCAAAGATAATCACTGTTTTCATTTTGGTGTATGCCCTTCCAATATCTTTTCTTTAAAATTTGTATATATACTAATTACTGTAAGTATTATATTTTATGTTTTCTAAATGCCATATATTTTGTTATATTGCATACGTTTCTCTAATAGCAATATATGTGACTATTTTCAGTCTAAATAAATGCTCTTCTAGGATAACTGTTTACCCATATGGAAAAAATTAAATTGGAGCCCTATTTCATACCATGAACACAAAAATTAATTCCATTTGCATCTTAAATGTGAAAGACAAAGCTTCTGAACCCTTAAAAGAACGTATTATATAAGAGAGTATATTTATAAATTTGGGGTAGACCTGTATTTTTAAAAAAACAAGATTAAAACTTCTGATTACAATAGAAAAGACTGATAAATTCAACTTCATTACAATTTAAAATTTCTGTTTAAAGAGATACTATAAAGAAAGTGAAAAGGCAAGCCATAAACTGGGAGAAAATATTGGTAATGCTTGTAATTAAAAATAATTTATATCCAAATATATAAAGAACTTTAATTCAATAAGAAAAACTCAAATAACCCGATTTTAAAATGGGCAAAAGACAAACAAATGTTTCACAGAAATGGAAACGTGAAGGGTCAACAAGCTTAAGAAACAATTTCAAACTCTGTTGCAGGGAAATACAAATTATGACTAAAAGGAGACACAATTTTACATCTAATAAAGAGAACGATTAATAAATCTGGTTATGCCAAGTGTTAGAAAGGATATGGATCAATGGGGACTTTTATATTTTACTGGCAAGACTGCAGACAACTTTGAAGACAATTTAGTACTATCTTTTTAGTTTTTAAATTGATTTCTATTAACAAAATTTTAGAGGTGGAGTCTCACTATATTGCACAGGCTTGCCTCAAACTCCTGGGCTCAACGCTGTCCTCCTGCCTCAGCCTCTCAAGCAGCTGGAGCTATAGACATGACCCACTGCATCCAGGTGGTATTATCTTTTAAAGTTGAACATTTACATACCCTTTCAGCTAGAAGTCCACTTCTCAGTAAAAGGCCTAGAGAAACTTTGTAGGTATGAACCAAGAGACATACAACAATGTTTGTAGCAACCCTGTCTGAAATTGCAAAACACTGGAAACAATCTAAACAAATATTAACAAGAATAGACAAATTGCAGTATTTTCAATGTAATGTTATTGTGTTCATTAATGAAATTAATGCACCATAGCCACACACAACAGTGTGGATGAATCTTAGAAGCATAATGTTGAATGAAAAATTCCAGTTGCAGAAGACCACAGAGTATGAAGCTATTCTTATGAAGCTCAATAACAAGTAAATCTGTAGAATATATTTTTAGGAATACTGACACATATAAGAAATTATATTTGAAAAGAAAATCAAAGCAAGAAGAGGAGAAACCCAACTTCAAGATAGGGATTAACTCTTAGGTGGAGGCAGAGGAGTAGGTAGCAAGGTGCATATAAGTAGAGGCAATGGACGGATAATGTTATCATTGTCAGGTCGGTGGTGGTTTCATAGGTGTGAATGTAATTATGCTTCATAATTTATTTTGCATTACACATATTCTTAAGCATGTAACAAATGTTGTATATAAAAGATAACAAAGGAAAGGGAAAAAGACCTGAACTAAAATGCAGACATAGCGAGAGTAGAAAATATATACTTCAATTTTAAGAAAGTAGAAATTATGCCAAGGTCAAGTAAAAGAGAAGAATCCAGGAAGATTCAAAATGTTATGCAGAGAATAACAACAGACTGAGAGGGCCCACGCTACTGAAAAGGAAAAGCTCATTTTTCCAGTCACTGTAAGACATAAAACCTGTTGAATTTTGTAGAATCTAGATCCCAGGACAGACTCACAGCTGGATGGATCTTAAACTGGACTGATTCATTCATTCAGCAAATATTTATTGAGAGCCAATTCTGTGGCAGGTACTGTACCAGGTGCTAGGAATACAACAGTGAACACAGTCCCCAGTCCAGTGAAACTTCATATTGATATGGAACCATTCACAATAATGGGTGAACATATCAGGGATCTGGTTAAATTTAGGGGACAGTGAAGACAGATTCCTATAAAATGAAAATACAAAATTATGTGTATCAGTTGAAAGCAGCTTGAAAGGCAGTAATACAAATTGGTGGAAAAGAAATGACTATTTAAAAAGTAGTGCTGAGACAAGTTGAGCCTCTGCACAAGGCAAGAAGGTACCTGAGATTAGACAGAAATCAGTTTCGCCACACATGACACTACCTGGTAATAGTCCATCCCTTTGTTCATGTTGGAAAGATAGTTCATGAGAATTCTAAAATGATCTGCAGCTCAGAGAAGGAGACAAAGATTGGCCATCCCCATTCTATTAGGAAGCTTGTCTAGTAAACCCAAGACAGTATTGTGTAATAGGCAACAAAGACTCTTGAGGTCTCTCTCCCCCTATCGCAATAGTTCCTGAATAAAATCTGTTTTTACCACTTTAGCTGCTGTCTGGCTCTGGTTTTCTTTAACACAGTTGAGACTGTGAGTTGCAAGAACAAATCATGTAGTTTTGAGTTGTGACTCCATCATTCACAAGCTCTGGAACCTTGGTATCTTAATCTGTGTAATGGAAATGCTAGACAGTGTCTTGTAAAAGAGACAATACATGTAAATTACATAGTAGGTGCTCAAATAATATAACTATTATTCTTTCATTATTATCTATGCTTCTGTAAAGCAAATCTTGATAAATCCATCTTAATGATGGTACCACAAGCAAGGACCATGAAACTCATATGTAACAAGTAAAAGTACCATTTTAAATACTACCTTTAACTAAATTTCCAACTGATTCTTTAATTAAAGCTAGTACAAAAAATTAAACTGACCAATAACAGATTCATCTTTTTTCCCTCTTGCTCAAATTGCTAACTAACTAACACAAAAGAAGTCTATAGATTAACTTCCACATTCCACAAACCTCCAGAAATTATATAGCTTTCTTGGTACAAGCCTGTGAGTCACTCTTTAAGGAAGACATTCTAACTCTATAAAGACTATTGATTTTCTCTGTCCAGGGTATGGAAATCCTAGAGAGAGGTTCCAAAACTGAAATTGAGTGGTAACCAGGTAAAGATTCCAGGCGGTACTTACTTCAAACAGTCCTTCCTGCAAACAAACCCAAGTTCATTTTTCAACCCTCCGTTAAGACTGGGAGAAGAAATAAGATGTGGGTGGTTGGGTAGCTGCGGGGTGGTTAGATATCTTCCTTCCTGAAAGGAGTGAAAGTTTTTCTTCTCACTTGGTATTTTTACTGATTCAAATTCAACTAATAATTGTTAAGCACTCTATCAGGTACTTTTACATTCATTCTCTCACTTAATTCTACAGAGAAGCCAAATTTGACTCTTATTAGTAGATTTTGTACTATGAATTTTAACAATCTAAAAAGTGTGAATGAAGGGTAATAAGACTGATGTAGACAAATAGAAAAAAAACTCAGAAGTACAGAGTAAAATTTTAGAAAGGAAAAGGACCTTGGGAATCATTGTTTTTCATGTTTTTATACCACTCACGAAACTTTGTGAAAGATTACCATTACACAGCTTCTGTATAAACTTCTGTGATTGAGGGCCTGCTATTTTTCCAGACAGCTGGTTTAATCTATTTTTGGACAACTATAGCTGTTAGAAAACAACTCCTTTGTTTTGAAGCCAAAATAACTATCGGTCCAAATTCTGTTCTTTGGGGTAACAGAGAATAAATTTGTTTTTTATTCTACTTGATTGACTTTTACCTGTTACTTTTTTCTGCATTTTTTTGTTTTTTGTTTTTTTTGAAGAGGGACCTGCAAACCTATTGATTGACTTTAAAATATCTTCTCTTGTAGGTTTCCCAGTTCTGTTGACCTAAAGAAAAAATCTGAGGCAAACTAAATATATAAGTAGAGAGTTTATCTGGGCCAAGTTTAAGGACTGCAACCTGGGGAGCACAGATTCAAGTTGCCCTGAATATGTGCTCCAATTCGCAGCAATTACTAGTGGGTTTTTAAAGGAAAAGAAGAGGCAGTTCCTAAGTTGTTTATCAAGGACTTACATTGAAATAACATAAGCTTTTGACTGGTTATACATTGTTCTTTGTATCACAAATTCTAGGTACATGAAGATAACAGGTGAGGCTGCAAGTCAGGAACAAATGAATTTAAACAACTGCCCTCAGGCGTGGGTAGAGGTAGGGGACTGTGACTGAAAGTCCCATACTCATGTTCTCTGGGCCTGCATACCTCACATAGTTCAGACTGCTCTGAGCTATTTTTGTTTTCTCTATTCCCAAACCATTTTATTTATATTTCATTGCATTTATATTTATTTCTATTTCATATATAGGCATAACTATACTACATAGCATGTAGCGTTATGTGAATATTTGTCTACTTATACTTTCCTTTCCTTCCTCCTAACCTCAACACTGCCATTCTACTTCAATGGAGAGATTCTTGAAGGCATGACTTATATCTTTGTATCTGTATAACCTAACATCATGTATATAACAGGGGTTGTCCCTGAATGTGCCTGAAGCTCACTGTGAGTGGAGTTCAGGAACATCTCATTTTGCCCCATTTAGAGAAAAACTCTCATGTGCTTCCAGTAAAACCAAGCCATCAATGATATCCTTCATGGATTGGACCAGAGTCCACCACCTGGGCCAAAGACTGTCCAATACTGTATTTGTTTGGACCAAGGGTGTTACCAAAGCGAAGTCATCTGTGAAAGCAGATCTGCCAGCAAGAGACAACAGAGAGAATAAAACTCAAGAACTCATAGTCCAGCTTCAGTGGAGTCTCACAATAAATTCCTATTTCTTAACATATCATAGCATATCTGCGTGCTTTTAACTTGAAATAACCAAACACAAATATCGTTATAATAAATAATAAATAAAATATTGTTAAAATTAGCAGAATTTAATCATGGCCATCCTCCTGAGTATGTTCTTGAGAAAAAAATCACGCCCAGTTAAAAAAAATTCTTTACACACATAAAAGAATTACTTCAACATGCTATTAATAATTAATTTTAATATAAATACCACTATTGATCAAAACATTTTTGGTATTTTTTTTTTTGAGAGAAAGCGTCTTGCTGTGTCACCAGGGCTGGAGTTCAGTGACATGATCATAGCTCATTGCAGCCTCAAACTCCTGGACTCAAACTGCCCTCCCACATCAGCCTCCCAAAGCACTGGAATTGTAGAAGTGAGCCACCATGTCTGGCCCTGATCAAAACATTTTTGAAACTCTTCCGCTGTGGCCCCTTGGGGCATATTTGAATCTCTGTCTTTGAAGAAATTGTTTTGGAGAAAAAAACCCTCATTTGGATATAAAACACATAAGGTGATGACCCTATTGGTGATGGCTACATGTTTGTTGAAGTTGGATGTGATCATTTTTTAAAAAAATGCAAAGTCATGGCACTAAGTCTTATTAATAGGAATAATTAGCTAAGTTCAGTAACTAGAAAAAAATGAAACATTTTTTGAGTCTTATGGACTAATTATAAAAGTAATTCTTTAAAGATGTTCTAAAAATATTCTGAGTTGTGATAGCCTCATTAGAATTAGTATATTCTAAGAGTTATCACTTTGAAAGAAAAATCCCTATTTAGCAGACCAAGTTCTGTTTTTTTTTTTTTTAGTAGAGACAGGGTTTCACCATGTTAACCAGGCTGGTCTCAAACTCTTGACCTCAGGTGATCCACCCACCTTGGCCTCCCAAAGTGCTGGGATTACAGGCGTGAGCCACCACGCCCACCTCCAAGTTCTGTAATAGTTTTAAAGGTAAGTCTTACCTATTATAATCAGGCTGCATGAAAAAAAATCTCTAACAACTAAACAATTGTTATTATTACTCATTGTTATGAACTGAATGTTTTGTCCACCCCAGGCTCATGTGTTCAAATCCTACCCCTCCAATGTGATAGTATTAGGAGGTGATTAGGTTCCACCCTTACAAATGGGATTAGTGCTCTTATAAAAGAGACCCCACAGAACTTCCTTGTCCCTTTTCTGCCATATGAGACAGAGTGAGAAGACAGTTGTCTATGAACCAGGAAGCACTTACAGCTACCTGATTTTCAACAAATGCACCAAGAACATACATTGGGGAAAGGACAGTCTCTTCAATGAATGGTGCTGGGAAAACTGGACATCCACATGCAGAAGGATAAAACTAGACCTCTACCTCTCACCATATACAAAAATCATTTCAAAATAAAGTCTCAGGTGTAAGACTCAAAATGATAAAACTACTAGAAGAAAACAGGGGAAATACTTCAGGACACTGGTCTGGGCAAGGAGTTTTTGGATAAGACCTCAAAAACACAGGCAACAAAAGCAAAAATAGGCAAATGGGATTACATCAAGCATATTTTCAAACTACACATCTGACAAGGGGTTAATATCCAGAATATATAAGAAACTTAAACAACTCAACAGCAAAAAACAAGTAATCCAATTTAAAAATGGGCAAAAGACCTGAAGAGACATTTGTCAAAAGAAGACATACAAATGGACAACAGGCATATGAAAAAATGTTCAACATCACTAATCAACAGAGAAATGCAAATCAAAACCACAATAAGATTTCACCTCACCCTAGTTAGGATGGCTATTATCAAACAGACAAAAAATAACAAATGCTGGTATGGATGTGGAGAAAGAGAACTCATATACTATTGATAGGAATGTAAAATTAGTACAGCCATTACAGAAAACAGTATGGAAGTTCCTTAAAAAATTAAAAATAGAACCACCATATGATTCAAAAATCCTACTACTGGGTATATATCCAAAGGAAATGAAATCAGTATATTGAATAGATACTTAAAAAATTAAAAATAGAACTACCATATGATCCAGCAATCCCACTACTGGTATATACCCAAAGGAAATGAAATCAGTATGTTGAAGAGACATCTGTACTCCCATGTTTACTGCAGCACTATTCACAACAGCCAAAATATGGAATCAACCTAACTGTCCATCAGCAGATGAACAGATAAAGAAAGTATGGTTGTATATATACACACAGTGGAATTCTATTCAGCCACAATGACTTTTTGTCTTTGTGGCAACTCAGATGGACCTGGAGGACATAATGTTAAATGAAATAAGCCAGGTACAGAAAGGCAAATATCATATGATCTCACTCATATGTGACATCTTAAAAAGTTTATCTCATAGAAGTAGAGAGTAGAATAGTGGCTACCAGAAGTTGGAGAGGGCAGGGGGAATGGGAAGTAGGGAGAAGTTGGTCACCAGGTACAAAGTTATAGTTAGATAGAAGAAGTAATTTAAGGTGTTACAGGGCACAGTAGGGGGACTATAGTTAACAACATTGTATTGTATGTTTTAAAATAGCTAGAAGAGAGGATTTTGAATGGTCTTACAACAAAGAAATGATAAATGAACAAGGTGATGAACATGCCAAATACACTGCTTTGATCCTTACACAACGTATACATGTATTGAAATATCACACTGTATGCCATAAGTATGCATAATTATAATGTGTCAATTAAAAATAAAATTAAAAAATAAAGTTTGAGGAAAAAGGAGCCAAAAATAGAAATGGATGAAAAATTCAAAATGAATAGGGAAAAAATGGTAGATATGGAAGACAGTCAAGAAGAATTCAGCAGGCTTTAAATTGGTGTCTTTGAAGAAGAAATTCAAAATAATGGAGCAGAAAAATGTCTTGAGATATTTCAATAAAATTATTCAAAAATTAAAAGAAGACTAAACGTACATATTGAAAGGCCATAGTGTGGCCAGGTGCAGTGGCTCATGCCTGTAATGCCAGCACTTTGGGAGGCCGAGATGGGTGGATCATGAGGTCAGGAGATCGAGACTATCCTGGCTAACACAATGAAACCCCATCTCTACTAAAAAAATACAAAAATTGACCAGGTGTGGTGGCGGCACCTGTAGTCCCAGCTACTTGGGAGGCTGAGGCAGGACAATCACTTGAACCTGGGAGGTGGAGATTGCAGTGAGCCGAGATCACGCCACTGCACTCCAGCCTGGGTGACACAGCAAGACTCCATCTTAAAAAACAAAAAAATAGAAAGGCCATAGTGTATGCCAGGAAAAATTGATACAGATCCATCTATAGAACAATCAATACCAAGTTGTAGGATTTAAAAGATAAAGATATTTGGGGCATTCAAACTAAAACCTCCGGTCAACTATATGAGGAAAACAATCAGGCTGGCCTCAAACTCTTCCACATCAACATTCCATTTCAGGAGGCTCTGGAGCAACATCTACACATACATTAAAAATAAATTATAACCTAAGTATATTACAGGTAGTCAATATAAATATATAGAAATAGAAACTAATTTAGAACATAAAATAACTCAGAGAACATAGTTCTCATAAACTCTTCTTGAAGGAACTACCAAAAGACAAAGTTAAGCTAAGAAAGAGATAAACAGAAAATTATGGCAAAAAAGACTGGTGGTGAATACTGACTATGTTTAACTGTGGGACTAAAACTAAACCAAATGTAGGCTATAGTCCTGACAAGGTAGTGAAGTGGATCAGAATATGTCACCCCAAAATATGCCATTTTGGCATAAGGATTATTTTGAGCTAAAGGCAATTAAAAAGTAGCAAACACAGAAAGAGTTCTCTGCCCTAACCCATCTGCCTAAAAACAGGACATACATTTCCCTTTGTGAAGATCTTCTTCCTCTCCCCCTCCCAGATTAGCAGGAGGAAAAACAATCATTACCACTGGGGACAGAAAGTCAGCACCAAGGTGGTTCTGCACAAGCAAACCTTACTAAAATAACCTGTATCTTCTATCAGTTTCTCCCACATATTTACCTTCCAACAATTTACTACCTTTAGCAACCCAAACACTTTTTCCTTTGTCATATCCCTTCTCCACAAACTTCTTGTCCCTTGTTAAGTTGGTATATAAGCCCCAAATGCCAACTACTCCTTTGAGCCACTCATCACTGAGTTTTTCTACAGGTATGTGCACTGCATGCATAAATAATCCTTTTTTCCCCTCCTGTTTATCAGTCAGTTGTCAGTTTAATTCATAGCCCCCAGGTACTGAACCTAAAGGGATTAAGAAAATTATTCTTCTTCCCCCAACAAACACAGTTCTAATAATTTAACAAGCAGGAGCTGGGAGAGGAAGGGGGAAAATGGTGTAAATAAAACACGGATATTGATTTTCTTCATAGTTTAGAGCTGAAGGATCAAAAGATAAAACTTGAAACATATCAATCAATTAACAGAGATCTAAGTATGTTTAAAAATATTAAGATAAACACCAAGACATATAGTATAATCCACTTCAGCAGACACTGCCACTTCTCTTCCACAGCTTTTTAGTTTGGCACATGGCCACTTGAAATTAGGACTTTATTTTCCAGGCTCCATTGCAGATAGGTGGTTTGTGCAACTTTACAGAAATTTCTTATAGGAAGGAACTTTCTTCTCTATCACTTTCTAACTGTATTTTGGAATGTAGAAATAATAGGCAGAGCTCCAGGAGCTTTCTTGGAACATGAGATAATGTTAGACTGAAAGCCATTCATGATGCAGTAATACGATGGAAAAAGCCTGGGTCCCTGACATTGTTAGGTACCACATTAGGAACATGAGAGAGAAATAAATTTCTATTTTCTTTTAGCCATTTAAAGGTTTGTATGTGGTGGTTTTGTGAGAACTGCACCAAATTAATCATAATTAATATAAATAATAAGGGGACTACTTTAAAATGTCACTGAATACACAAAAGACCTAATAAATCGAAAAGTATATCCTTAGAAAAGAAAACACAACATTATAAAGCATCAATTTGCCTTAACGTGATCAAAATAAAGATACCAGCAGACAAGCCCACCTTAAAATTCAAATAGAGAAATAAGGAAGAGGTTGGGTGCTGGTGGCTCATACCTTTAATCCCAGCATTTTGGGAGGCTGAGGCAAGTGGATCACTTGAGGTCAGGAGTTCAAGACCAGCCTGGTCAACATGGTAAAACCCAATCTCTACTAAAAATACAAAAGTTAGCTGGGTGTGGTGGCAGGCACCAGTAGTCCCAGCTACTCGGGAGGCTGAGGCAGGAGAATTGCTTGAATCCAGGAGGTGGAGGTTGCAGTGAGCCGAGATTGCACCACTGCACTCCAGCCTGGGCAAGAGAGGCAGACTCTGTCACAAAAAAAAAAAAAAAAAGAATGAAAGGAAAAATAATAGGAAATTCTGTAAAATAAAAACCCTGAAGTAAGGATGTGTATGTGTGTGTGCGTGTGTGCGTGTGTATGTACACACGTGCAAGAATGCACATGTATGTGTGTTTTGTTTGTTTGATTTTTGTCTTAAACTATAATAATTATGATAATGTGGTTCTACAGCATGAATAGATCAGTGGAACAGAATGAAAAGCCTAGAAATAAATTTATACAGGAATTTAGTAAATTATTAAAGTGGTATTTCAAATCAATAGAAAAGATAGATTATTCAACACACCCAACTGTATAATAATCTGGAAAGACAACATATTTGGATTCCCATCCTACAGGTTAAATGAAAATATATTCTATATGAATCAAATATTTTCAGAGTCCAAAGAAGTGAAAGAACTAAAGAAATATGAGTTAAAAATATTAAATAATCTCCTATGGGGGAAAAATCTTTCCAAGTAGGACACAAAACCTGACGCCATAAACAATTTGTAACGTTGACTATACAAAAATAAAAAAAGTTGTGAATGGGAAAAAATACTTTAAATATTAAAAAGACACACAATAACCTGGTAAAAAACATTCTTAAGTCATAACACAAAGGCTAATATTGTTAAAATATGAAGAATTCCTCTTCATTGATAACAAAAAGCCCTTCAAGTAAAGCAAATATATATGGAGACATAAGGATATATAACATTAAACATAAAAAGGAAGGTAAAACTCATTCATGATAAAGAAATGCAAAGCAGCACATTTTAACCTATCTGGTGAAGATAAAAACCTTTGGTAACACACTGTTTGTAAATTAGGGAGGAAATAGGTGCTCTCATATATTTATTGTAAGAATGTAAGTTAGTACAAGCTCCATCAGTTTGATAATAGCTAAAAAATTAAAATTCAAATATACTTTAACCAGACAATTCCATGTATTTGTTCATGATTGAGATGTTATATATACAAAATGACTTACTACAGTGTTGCTTATAATAGCTAAATATTAGCAATATCCTCTATTTTCATCAATAAAAGAATGATTAAATAAGTATAACCATATGATGGAATACAATGTAACTACCAAAAGTAAAACTTTAACTTTAAAAAGAGACAAAGAAAGGCATTATATAATAATAAGGGGATCAGCTCAGCAAGAGAATATACCAGTTATAAATATACATGCACCCAATACTAGAGCACTCAGATATATAAAGCAAATATTATTAAGTCTAAAGGGAGAAATATATCCTAATATAATAATAGTTGGGAACTTCAACCTCACTCTCAGCATTAGACAGATCATTCAGACAGAAAATCAACAAAAAACCATCAGATTTAAACTACACCAAGACCAATGGACCAAAAATATATTTACAGAACATTTTACCCAACAGCTGGAAAGTACACATTCTGTTTTTTTTTTTTTTTTTTTTTTTTTTGAGACAGTGTCTCACTCTGTACCCTAGGCTGGAGTGCAGTTGTACAATCATGGCTCACTGCAGTCTCAACTTCTTGGGCTCAGGTGATCCTCCTACCCCATCTTCCCAAGTATGTAGGATTACAGGCATGTGCCACTATGCCTGGCTAATTTTTTTCACTTTTGCAGAGACAAGGTCTCACCATGTTGCCCAGGCTGGTCTCAAACTCCTGAGCTTAAGCAATCCTTCTGCCTTGGCCTTCCAAGGCAGGTGTGAGCTACCAGACCCAACCCCAAAACATATATTCTTTTAATCAGCACGTGGTACATTCTCTATGATTGACCATATGTTAGGACATAAAACAAGTCTCAGGAACTTAATAAAATCAAAATTATATCAAGTATTTTATCTGACCACAATGGAATAAAATTAGACATCATAACAAAAGGCACATTTGAAACTATGCAAATACATGAAAATTAAACAACATATTCCTGAATGACCAATGAGTCAAGGAAAAAATTAAGAATGAAATTTTAATATTCCTTGAAATGAGTGAAAATAGAAATACAACATACCAACACCCATGCAACACAGCAAAAGCAGGATTAAGGGGCAAGTTTATAGCAATAAATGCCTACATCCATCAAAAAACTAGAAAGATTTCAAACAATCTAATGATGCACATAAAGGGAAAAAAGCATAAAAAATGCTTGAAAAAAGCATGCAAGAAAAGCATGAACAAATCAAACCCCAAATTGGTAGAAGAAATAATAAAGATTAGAGCAGAAATAAACAAAATTGAGACTAAAATAAATACAAAAAATCAACAAAACAAAGTTTTTTTTAAAAAGATAAACAAAATTGACAAATCATTAGCTAGAGTAACTTAAAAACAGAGAGATATGACTCAAATAAATAAAATCAGAAAATGAAAAAGGAGACATCACAATGGATAATAGAGAAATATGAAAGATCACTAGAGACTACTATGAATAACCATATGCCAATAAATTAGAAAACCTGGGAAAATAGATAAAATCACAGACACATTCAATCTACCAAGATTGAACCAAGAAGAAATAGAAAATCTAAACAGACCAAAAACAGGTAACAAGATTAAATGAGTGCATAAAACATCTCCCAAAAAAATAAAATAAAGTCCAGGACCAAATGGTTTCACTGCTGAATTCTACTGAACCTTTAAAGAAGAATTAATACTAATTATTCTCAAACTAATCGAAAAAATTAAAGCAGAAGGAATTCTTCTTAACTCACTTTATGAGACCAGTATAACCCCAATACCAAAATAAGGACACAATAAAACTACAGGCCAATATCCCTGATGAACATAGATGTAAAAATCCTCAATAAAATATTAATAAACCAAATCCAAAATCACATCAAAATCCCACTTGATAGTGGGACTTATCCCAGGAATGCAAGGATGTTTCAACATACAAAAATCAATAAACATCATACATCACATCAACAGAATGAAGGATAAAAACTGTATGATTATCTCAACAGATGATAAAAGCTTTTCATAAAATTCAATATTCCTTTATGATAAAAAATCTTAATAAATTAGGTATAGAAAGAAAGAATCTCAATGTAATAAAGGCATACAACAAACCCACAGCTAACATCTTACTGAACTGGGAAAAGCTGAAAGGTTTTTTAGAAGTGTAACAAGACAAGGATGCTCACTATCACCACTCTTATTCAACATAGTATTGGATGCTCTGGCCAGAACAATTAGGCAAGAGAAAGAAAGAAGGGTATCCAAATTGGAAAGGAGGAAGTCAAATTGTCCCTGTTTGCAGACAACATGATCGTATACATTGAAAAACCTACAGACTCTACCAAAAAACTTTTAGAACTGATAAACAAATTCAGTAAAGTAGCAGAATACAAAATTAACATACAAAAATCAGTTGCATTTCTATACACGAACAACAAACTACTTGAAAAAGAAAATAAAAAAGGCAATGCCATTTACAATACTCAGGTATAAATTAACCAAGGAGATGAAAGACCTCTTCAAGGAAAACTACAAAACACTGATGAAAGAAACTGAAGAGGATACAAACAAAGGGAAATGTACCACATGCTCATGGATCAGAAGAATTACTACTGTTAAAATGACAACGGTACTCAAAGCAATCTACAGATTCAATGCAACTCCTATCAAAATACCAATGACATTATTCACAGAAATAGAAATAATATCCTAAAATTTGTAGGGAATCATAAAAGACCCCAAATAGCCAAAGCAATCCTGAGCAAAAAGAACAAATCTGGAAGTATCACACAATCGGACCTTAAAATATATTACCAGGCTGTAGAAACCAAAACTACACGGTACTGGCATAAAAAGACACATAAACCTATGGAACAGAATTAAGAACTCAGAAATTAATCCATGTGTCTATAACCAACTGAGTTTTTACAAAGATGCCAAAAACACTCATTGGGAAAAGGACAGTCTCTTCAATAACTGGTGCTGGGAAAACTGGATATCCATATGCAGAAGAATAAGACTAGACTCCCACTTCTCACCTTGTATAAAAATCAGGGCAAAATGGACCAAAGACCTAAATGTAAGACCTGAAATGATAAAACTAGTAGAAAAAAACATAGGAGAAATGCTTCAGGACACTGGTCTGGGAAAATATTTTATGAACAAGACCTCAAAAGCAGAAGTAACAAAAGCAAAAATAAACATATGGGATCATACCAAACCAAAGGCTTCTTGGTTTGGTTCATACCAACAAAGGAAAAAACAACAGTGAAAAGACAGCCTACAAAATTGGAGAAAATATTTGCAAATTGCTCATCCAATAGGGGATTAATATCCAGAATATACAGGGAACTCAATCATCTCAACAGCAAAAAAAAAAAAAAAAAAAAAAAAAAAAAAAAAAAAAAATTCCAATTAAAAATGGGCAAATAATCTGAACAGACATTTCTCAAAAGAATACATACAAATGGTCAATGATATATGAAAAAATGCTCGACATCACTAACCAAACCACAATGAGGTTATCATCTCACTCCAGTTAGAATGTCTACTATCAAAAAGACAAAAAAAAAATGCTGGTAAGAATGCAGAGAAAGGGAACTCTAATATGTTGTTGATGGGAATGTAAACTAGTACAACCATTATGTAGAACAGTATGGAGGATTTTCCAAGAACTACAAATAGAGCTACCATATGATCCAGCAACCCCACTACGGGAATTTATCTAAAGGAAAAGAAATCATTATATCAAAGAGACAACTGCACCCACATGTTTTATTGCAGCACTATTCACAATATTCAAAATATGAAATCAACCTAGGTGTCTAACAGCAGATGAATGTATAAAAAATGTAGTATATATACACAACGGAATGCAATTCAGCTATAAAAAAGATTGAAATCCCATCATTTGCAGCAACATGGATGGAACTGGAGGACATTATGTCAAGTGAAATAAGCCAGGAACATAAAGTTAAGCACCGCATGTTCTAACTCATAAACTCATATGTGGAAGCTAAAAAAAGTTGATCTCACAGAGGTAAAATGTAGGACGAAGGATACTAGAGACTGGGAAGGGTAAGGGGTAGGGAGGGATATGGAGAGATTTGTTAAAGGATACAAAATTACCGCTAGATAGGAGGAATAACTTCTAGTGTTCTACACCAGGAGTCCCCAACCCGCAGATGAAGGACTGGCATCTGTCCGTGGCCTGTCAGGAACCAGGCTGCACAGCAGGAAGTGACAGGCTGGCAAGCGAGCATTACCGCTTGAGCTCCACCTCCTGTCAGATTAGCAGCGGCATTAGATTCTCCTATTATTGTGAACCCTATTGTGAACTGCACATGTGACAGATCTAGGGTGTGCACTCCTTATGAGAATCTAATGCCTGAAGAGCCTGAAGATCTGAGGTGGAACACTTTCACCCTGAAACCATCATTCCACCCCATCTGTGAAAAAATTGTCTTCCACAAAACCGGTCCCTGGTGCCAAAAAGGTTGGGGACCACTGTTCTATACCACTATAGCATGACCATAGTTAACAATGATATATTAATATTATATAGTTTCATATAGCTAGAAGGAGGATACTGAATGTTACCAACACAAAGAAATGATAGATGTCTGAGATGATGGATATGCTAATTACCCTGATCTGATTCCTACATATGTATCAAAACATCACTATGTAGACAATGAGTAAGTATAATTATTTATCAATTAAAAATAAAGTTAGACAAAACCAATAAAACAAAAATAAACAAATATGTAAAATTTACAAAAATTTTCTTAAAAAAAAGACTTTGACAATCAGTGGGCTGAGCCATTTTGTGGTTTCCTGCTTCTAAAAAAATTGGATAAAAAATAGAACAATACGCAGTAACGGACATCACCAATATATTATAAATTCCTTGATCGTCACTTTTGTGAACTTATACACATTAGAAAGTCAAAGACTTGATGATCGAAATGATCAACGAGATGAAAAACAAAGGGCTATAACTTCCCCTGAGTTGGAGAATAGTGTTCAAATGTCACATCCAGTATCAAAATGCAAAAGATATTTTAAAGTAGCACTCATGAAACAGTATAGCCAAACAATCCATTTAAAAAATGGATCACCTGAAAGAAAAACCTAGAGAAAAAACAAGTTTTCCTGCCATGGGAGCATTATTCATTCTAACATACTCTGTCTTCTACTGCTTTCTCCAGTTTAAGTTATACATTATTTGGCAATTGTAGCAACACTTTGCTTTCAATATTGTGAGAGGAACTCTTAGTTAAAAAAATGAAGGACTTGGACTCTGATTTCTAAAGTCTCCTCCAACTAACATACTATTTTCTTTTATTTTTAATTTTTTTTTAAAAAATTTCACAGGTGTTGAATCATTTTCTTTGTTCTGAACTATCCTCATGGTATAATGGTATATCTCAAGAATATAACTCAACTCATGACACACACACAAACACACACGCAGACATATATGGAATCACATAGAGATCAAGAGATACGTCTAATGAATGCTTACCTGATAACGTGTTGGCTGATTGAGAATGCTGTTAAAACTGTGTGATTCAAAAACTCTTGAGTTAGACTGAGTGAAGAGGTTTAACTAGGAAAAAATACAATTAACCTAGTAAATTAGAATACATTCATTTGGAATAAAAAATATAATCCATTTATTCTCCTTGATAACATTTCTGGAGTCAACATTCCCAAGAAACATTTTGTGGAAGTTGAGCTTTGTAAGTGATGTAATATATTCCCAAAGGTTAAAATTACTGTGAGCAATATGCTCACATTTATCAAAATGTTGGCAGGATGTACTACTGTAATAGAACTATTTAATGGAAAATATATGTTAAAAATTGGCTCATAATAAACATAATTTTCCCTGGGGACCTTGTATACTTTATCAAAATGTACTCAAGGCATCTAGAAGGCCAAATTCCATAGAAGTTTGATCTGTTCCTGAGCCTAAGTTCCTCTTCTAGATTTGAATAGAAACATATTGCAGGTTCAGATGGCACCATTTGGTATTTTGCAGCCCTAAAATATTAGCCAAAATAACACATCTTCCAAAGCATCTTGGCCTTATGCTAAGCCAGGTTCACAATTTTGGAGAGAATTGGGCTAAAGAATTTTGGTTTCCTTTTCTTTTCTCTCTTTTTCTTTTTAAGGTTTAGCTTTTGAGTGGGTAGGAACAGGAAGCAAGAGGAACACACAGGTAATACCTAGTCTTCATGTATACGAGCAGGGCCTCTTATCTGTGGCCAAGCTCTGCCACTGTAAGGTGTGATTCAAACACATGGCCCTCTAGCCAAAGAGATGATTTACCTCACCACCTAACTTCCCACCATTATAACTCAGGAAGGTGTGGGATGCTAAGAGATAAGGAAGTGCCACTGATAGGCAAGGACCTTCATTTGTTCTCTTACAATTGTGCCTGGAGAAAACCTTAGCTAACAAAGTTAATTCTCCAATCGGCCACTGGAGGCCAGTATCTGATTGCTGACTGAGGTTAGCTGTCTAGGTTAGCTGGAAAGATTTCTTGAGGTTCCTTCCTCTCTTCTAAAAAAGAGAAATAGAAAAGTATAATTTCTCCAAATTTCTGCTGCATTCAATACATGAAGAGTATCTATGAATATGAGTAATATTAAAGAGATGTAAACAGCTATATGCAAAATTTTTAAAAATGAAATCAAAATTTTATTATTTATTGTGGCAGTTTTTAACCAGATATGGGAAGAGTGGGAAGTCGAGGAACAAGCCTCCTGAGAGATCAGTGTCCAACTTTCTATTTCCAGCATCTTCTCTGAGAAAAGCTATTCTTTCCTGTCAATGGTACGATACAGGCAGGAGAGGACAGCCTAAATGTAATGCTTCCTTCTTGTTCCTGTGAACAGGCTGTATTTTCTTTACAGTGGTCTAGGTAGCCACAAGCCTACTGCGTGTGCTCTTCTCAACCTGACGTTTAGTATTTTCCCTTCTACATTATGATAATATCAGGAATGAAGTCAGTGAGACCTGTTGCCTACAGAAAGAAAACTCAAGGTGTGTTCTGTGAAGTGCAAGAGTTGTGAGCTCCCACACTTGAGAGACTTTCTTTTTTGCAATAAAGCTTCAGTTAATAAATCCCCAGAAAAACAAAAGTCCCTCAAAGCAAAGTCAATTTCAGTAGCAGCAGGAGCTGCCCAGGATGACAACTAGAGCCTGGCTCCTTTAAGAGACCAGCTACCGCACAGCTGAAGGTACACCTCGCTGAGAGGAAGTGGGCCAGTAACCAAGGGTGGACTCAGGTGCTGAACATGAGGCATCCAGGTGCCGCAGAGAGAGCTAGGCATCTGATGCTAAAATACTTGAATTCTGCACCTACCCCACACTGGTCAGTTAATGTGACCTTGCATAAGCAAATTATCTGAATAGCTTCAATTGTCTTATCTATAAAATGGGAATAATGATAATACCTACCTCACAGCGTTGCATGAGGTTCAAATGTACAGGAAAGCACTTTGTAAACTGTGAATGAGGAAGGGCACTGATATTTGTTGAGGCTGGAATTTTGTAGATCTCATGTAATCCTCACAACAACTCTACAAAGTTAGACAATTGTCTACAATTCGTGGACAATTAAGGCTCAGAGTAGTGAAGTGATTTATCCATGTTCCTTGTTAATAAGCCCTAAGTGCCACAATTCAAATCCAGGTCTAATGTCGAAGCTCTCTTCTTTGTCTTATACTGCTTCTCACTACATACATGAGGTATTATTTTAAATCATGGGCTGTCACAACCAATCGCTGACTTGTAATTCAATAGCCTTAAGAGCCCATATCCAGGTCAAACAAAAAAAGATTTAAAAGGTCACTTTCTTAAAGAATACAATTCTTGAAGATTCACAACAATTTTAAAAAGCAATAAATTAAATTGCACTAATCTTAACTTTTTCGCCTAGTTTCAACGAGAAAAAATATCTACCTTCACTCAGGAAGGCCTATGCTTTATGGGGATAACATTGATATCTCGTGGGCTTTTAGGATGTTATAGCTACAGACCATTTTCATAATTTTAGAAAAAGTTATATTTTAACTCTACACATTTGTTCCTGTCTGCCTCATTCCCTATTATTTAGGTTCACTCACATCCTTCTATCTATACCATTCTATCTCTGAAAGTTAGTTCATGATAACAAAGTATGATCATGAAAATTATCTTCTTTGTTAAACTATGACTCAACTGAGATAACTCAAGGGTTTCTTGCTTATTTATAAAATGAGTATTTATGGTTATTTGAGGATGCTCTTGGGCCTGTATCTATTTTATGACACTAATGGAAAAAAGATTATTTAGTCAAATAAAAAGTTTCTACAAAAAAGGAGAATATGGTGGTGGTGAACTATACATAAACCAAGAAGGCTAGAAGTTTAAACTATTTAACTTCAGAATAACAGTTGAGAAGCATGGAACATACAAAAACAAAGTGTTTTCTAACAGTGACTTTTCTGGTTACTTTTAACAAGTTAAAGGCTTTTTTGTTTGTTTTTAATCTGGCAGTTTATATGATGTTCTGATCAAAAGCAGGGCCTCGACTCAGTGACTTCTTGAAACATCATGAAAATATTTAGTATTAGTCTGTGAAAGACTGTGGACTAGACAGTTACTTTTAACATCTTCTAAGTTCACACATAAAAATTATTGAACAAACATCAGAAGACAAGAAAAAAAAGACAGAACATTTATTTTAAGGTCTTGGTAAGTTTTCGATACCTACCCTGGACTTTGAGTTACCCATTCCCATTTCTATATCCTTCTGAAGCCTTCTCCTTCTGCATTTGGGAAAGTTAACAATTCGCATGATGAAATAAACAAATGATTTTGGACTAGGAACTAGACTGAAAGGTGGAGGTAATGTTTTTCCATCATCAAAATAGGATAACCAAAGTTTTGAACGAGCAAACTTCCATTCTACATCACTGTCATCCTGTGTCACAAAAATAGAAAAAAAAACTAATTTTAAATGCTAAATATTCTAGTGACTGTTGCTAATAGGTTTTTTACAATGAATCTAAGTTACGTTTTTGAAATAGGTAACTTATACACATTTATCTACATATATTCTATAGACCTACACAATATTCTCATTTTTCAAATATAAGATACTCATTCTTTTTCATATGCCTCTACCTGTACCCACTGAAATTTAACCAGAACTTCCTGTCTAACATCCAAAAACAAGGCAAAAAAGACAAGAAAAATAGAGTGCCAAGGAAGGATAAAATGATTAATTCCTCCCTCTGTCCCCCACCCAGTCAATTCTGCATGTTTGACAATAGTTGCCTATTTCCCATCCTCCTTCCTCACCTATACCTATCCAAGCCAGGCTGTAGACACAGCATATTATATTTCAAGGGCAAGGGGAAAAATGATTCTCAGATGAATTGCTTTTCGGCATTTCTGTGTTTACCATATGTCCCCAAATGTCACATAAGCCCCTGAGTGCCTGAACTTGTTTTACATCTCCTTCCATTCTCTGTGCTGCCCACGGTGATGGAGATAACCACCCTAACTGATAGGAGAAATGAAGGGAAGGGGTCCTTATGAGGAGGAAGCTGGCTCTCTCAGTTCACACAGCCTAGAAGGCCATTAGGACCAAAACTTCTACTTTGAGAACACTATATTATGAGTTTCTAAAACATACATAGAGATTTGGTGGAGTTAACAAACTGCAAAGCACTAAAAAGATACTGAAAACTGAACTGAAGGACATAAGAAAACATATATACAACAGTGAAGAGAGGTACCAAACCCAGCCCAATCCAAAACCAAGAATCAAGTGATTTCTAGAATACTCAAAATTTTGACTGGATAAAGAATACCATTAGTGTTTGCCAAACATCTGGTCATTCTACCAGGTAGAATTGTGGGCTGGCTAATTGAAGAGAGAGTAATTTCCTTAGGGCCAATACTTCTTCTAGCCACTAATTTCAAAACTTCTGAAATATACCCTGAGAGAAGGCGGAGCAGCAGTAAATTCATGGGGACCCCTGCTGTGCACCTAGAAGACAGCAGAATGTGTAGAGCTATCTATCCAGGTAGAAAACACAGGGAAAGGCTCAGGCTCTGTGTGGATATAAGCCTCTTTGTTACATGAGCTGGAGCTCAGCCACAGGGTACAGAAGCAGATGTGTACTATCAGAATAGGATGACAAGGATAGATACTATGGATAGAAAACCGATTTACCTCAATTTCTTGATATGAGCTATTAATCATAGCAATTAGCATGTTGAGTAAAACGACCACCATAGTTACATTGTATATTCCATAAAGAACGTATCCAATATTTTCTATGAATTTGTGATCATATTTGAGCACAACGGAAGTCACTTCAGACAACCCAAATATTGACCAAAATAAAGTCTTGAAACTTTCTTCTACACTGTTGAAAAAATAAGATACAAAGTAAGTAAGTTAACAGTTTTCAATATCTAAGAGTGAAAAGTAAAAAACAAGTTAGGGTTTAACTACTGTACAGATGTAAAATGCCACCATAATATACTCCAAGAGCAGGATTACTTTGTTATGACATTTCATAGAAAAATTATTCTTTCAGGTTTTCAGGAACTGATGATTAAATGGTGCCAATGCCTAGCTTTTCTGAAGTTATCATCAAGTGAAAATTCTCTGAACTCCACAGGAGAAAGCTGAAGTCAAGTCACAATAACCATTCCTTTCTCCTACAAAAATGGGAATTTGCTGTTTGATTTTGTATGTGATTTAGAAATTTAAATCAGGTTTTCTGTAGTAGAACAGGGTTGGGATTAAAATTATATACCCAATTTTTAAGAAGTATGTAAAAACATATTCCTTGCAGCATCATTTGCAGTAGGGAAGAATGAAAGTAATCTAAATATCCATCAGTAGGGGACAGGCTAAATAATTCTGGTATATCCAGATGATGGAATGCTATGCAGTCACTGTAGGAAAATGAGACAGATCGAGCTTTGTGTGTTTATATAAAATTATATCAAAGATACAGTAAATGAAAAAATAAGATATAGCAAGTGTGAAATATTCTATCATTTAAATAAAAAAGAAGGGCATACAAATACTTATATTCTTTTTTATATAAAAAAATCTCTGAAAATATCCAAAAGACACCATTGTCTCTGGGAACTAAGGATAAGTAAGAGACTGGGCCAAGGGTAGGGAGAAGGACAGGCATTTCCCTGTAGACGCCTCTCTATTTAAATTTTTTATCATAGGAACACATTACCTACCTAGAAATACTTAACTGGAAATGAAGAGGAGGCAGCAGAATGAAAGATTCCTGTTCTTTTCCCTTAATTTATATAATGTACTTCCCGATTCTTCCACCACAACAATTAGCACTTAGGTCCTCACCAGACTAATTACCTAAGTTCGTCCCTTAAATCATCTTTGGGTGGTTTTGTCACAGAACCAAATTGTAATCACTAGTGAACTAAATTAGTAATCATTAAATTAAAGATTTACACACATAAAATTCCATTACACCTTCAAAAGTAAGTCTTTTCTTTTCTCAGAGAAAGATTTGTGAAAAAGTACGTTTTAAGTTTCTTATAACACATCCTAAATAACAATGAATTTTATAGATTTGTAGGTTTTAGGACTAGTTTATTCATTCACTCATAAAACAAATATTGACAGAGCACCTATTATGTTCCAGAAATTTTGCTACACCCTGAGGATGGAGGGTTGAATAGAACTCTATTCCTATAGAGTTACTCTCTATTACAAAACATTTGGCTGTGTGATATCATGGCGTAGATGCTGACAGAAGAGTAAGAAAAACTATAATCTTTTTGTTCCTACCATTTATTTAACCGTATCACAAAATTCTCCCGCTCCTTCCTCTTGCTCCTTTGCAAACCTTGCTGCCCCTAGCTTCTCCTCGAATCTATATGGAGTGCATGTGTGGGAAGAGGGGGATAGTAAAAAAGGAAAGGACACTGGCAGTTCTGAGCTCCTACTGTGGGCAAGAGGCTTTATATAACTCACCTTACATAATTGTCACAACGACCTTATTTAAACTTTATTGTGCTTATTTTAAAAATAAGGAAACTGACACTGAGAAATGTTCAGGAACTTAACCAAAAGCCACAGCTAGAAACAGCAGAGATTGCATTCAAATCCACGTCTGCATGATTTTCAGCCTATGTCCTTTCTACTACATTGAATGGTCACATCCCTAGACAAAACAGTGAAGAAAATAGAATGTATAAAATGAGTTACCATAGAGTTAAAAGGAAAATGGGGGCAGGGATCACATTGTGTACAAGATCTCTTTGTAATTTCCCTGCTGGGTTCAAACAGGTTTTTTTCTTCATTACAATAAAGCAAGTTTCAAGTCTCTTTCACCTCTAAGACCTGTTCTATATTAACTATTAAAAAATTCATTTTAGAACAATTGAGATGTCTACAAGGGCTTGATATGCTACTTTAGTCTATAGAGTACTTACTGAGTGTATAGTTTGTTTCCAGCAGTGGCATTATTGGGAACAAAGGGAGAGCAGGGAGGGTTTATGACCTTCCCACCTGGAAGAACTGCAGTAGAAGGGGGGCCCTATATTCATGACAACCAAACACCACTGGGTGAGAACAGATCTCACAATCTGGGTGTCTCCATGCTGCAGGAACTTGAAGGGAAAATGACTAAGGAAACTTGATCAAGGAAGACTTCATGGAAGAGGTGAGTCTCCAGTGTAGAAACCAGTATGGCCAAAGGAAGAAACTGGTATTACCATGATAGTGGGCTATAAAATGTTTAGCTATAACTTCCTCTTACTCGACTTCCTGTACCGATCAATGAATATATTAAAATAAAAGCTGATGCTTCCTTTTTGAAAGAAGAGTACTGGCTACAAAATGATGAAACTAATTTTAATGTTATACATAATGTAAGAGACATCCAGTATTAGAAATCTGTTATCCTGTTTTCTTAAAATAGCCAGTTTTGTCTAGGGTTTTTCCAAATTCTGACCCATTCTGTGGTCAAACTCTCACTAAGCTCAGAGATGAGCCTTCAGAGCAATATAATCAACACAAGCACTAACTGTTTTTGATGGATTATTTTCTGTGCTTAAAAACATCTTTATTACAATCAGAGAAATTTTTCCTTTGCTTCCTCTAGATTGGTTAGAATTTCTCTTTATCATACCTGTATAATAAGATATTTTACTTACGTGGTAAAAGCAGCATTAACTTTAGCCCCAAGGTAGTAAGAATAAAGTATGAACATGCCAATCATAAAGGCAAAAAACACCATAATAAAGAGGACCATGAACTTGAATATGTCCTTTACAGTCCTTCCAAGAGAGATCTGCAGGGGGCCAAAGCTCTCATTTGCAGGGAGGATGTACGCAATCCGAGAGAAGCTGAGCACAACAGCTATGGCATAAAGGCCTTCAGATATAATCTGAGGGTCAGAAGGGAGCCATTTATCTCTAGCTAGAAAAAAGAGAGAAAGAGATTAAAAATGGAGCTTTCTATTCATTGCCAACTACGCAAAGCAAATACCTTAAATAGGATCTATCTTGTAGGTAGGTGGTTACCATCTCAGTTGAAACTAATCTAGATTTAATTAACTGTCCAGGGACTATTTTCATCTTAAACCAGAAACGTAAATTCTATATTACTTTAGATGGAGGGTACACTATTATAAAGATACTAAGCTGACTCCACATTCAGCAGAAACAGAATAAAATACAAAACATGGAGAGGTTAAAACACTTCGTTAGACACAGACTGTATCCAGGATGACAAAACAACTGACTTGACTGATTTGTCCCTTCAGTCATTAGATTTACTGACCAGTTATTTTGTCATCCTATAGGCACAGCCGGAGTGTAACTTCTTTTCCATATCTTGTGGGAAAATTAGTTCATCCAACAATTCATGCAAATAAAATATTTCGAGGAGTGAGAATGTCACTGAATCACAATGGTGCTGACGATGTGTTATCTCAGCAATATAACTTGTCCCCGAAAAATGTAAAATGCCACTGAAGTAAAAGAATTTTGGATATAGATTCAGAATGAGGACCCCTAACAACCCTTTCAAGGTCACTTATTAAGTCTGCAGCAGACCTGTCAGGTCAATGAAATATTATGTGGTTAATTGTGCAAACTTGCAGACATCTGCAATAACAACAAAACTTAACATTTGTTGATCAGTTCAGCCACTGTGGAAAGCACTTTGAAGATTTCTCAAAGAACTTAAAACAGAACTACCATTCAACCCAGCAATTCCATTAGTGGGTATATATCCAAATGAAAACATATTGTTTTACCAAAAGACACATGCACTTGCATCTTCATTGCAGCACTATTCACAATAGCTAAGATACGGAATCAACCTAGGTGCTCATCAACAGTGGACTGGATACAGAAAATGTGGTACATATACTCCATGGAATACTATGCAGCCACAAAAAAGAACAAAAATCATGTCCTTTGCAGCAACATGAATGCAGCTGGAGGCCATTATCCTAAGTGAATTAATGCAGGAATAGAAAACCAAATACAGCAGGTTTTCACTTATAAGTGGAAGCTAAATAGTGGGTATTCATGGACATAAACATAGCAACAATGAAACTGGAAAACTACTAGAGGGAGGAGGAAAGGGTTGAAAAACATCTATTGGGTATATGCTCAGTACCCAGGTAATGAGGTCATTCCTAGCCCTAAACCTCAGAATCATGCAATATGCTCAGGTAACAAACCTGCACATGTGCCCTCTGAATCTAAAAAAAAGTTTAAAAAATTAACATTTCTTGACTATTTAATATGTGTCAGACACTGCTTTCAATGATCCTATGGATTTGATATTATTATCCTCTCTTTAGAGATGCAGAAACCAGACTTAGAAAGATTAAAAATTGATCAAAACAATACATATAGGAGATAGGGAAGCCTGAATCCATCCCTTCCAGACAACAGTCATCAAATATACATAAATAAATTTCAATAAATAGGTTATGAAATGGTCAAGATACCTAAAATACAATCTAAAATTAATTCTTTAATTACAAATGGTGATCATTTGCTCATTTGAACAAGTCTCCTTGGTATATAAAAGTCTTTGCTTGCTGAGAATAACAGAGGTGCTTAATTACATCTTATATTTTGGAGCGGAAGTCCAGCCTTCAATAACATTAACATGCTCCTTGTACTCATCACAATGTGCCCTAATTACACCTATAAAAAAGTATTCTTCACAACCAGATCACAGTTAAACTCTGTGCCTGAGTTCCCTTACCTGTAAGATGAAGATTAGACAACACTTTCTAAAGTATTTTCCAGATTTCAGATTTTACAACTATATCCAAATTTGCTAACTGTGGCTCCTCAATTTGGCCTCAAGGGAAGGGAGGCTAACATTACTTACCATTGGTTTGTACGGGGCAAGGAAGGCATCAATGTTCTTTCACACCGGATGTCAGCTGAGGTCTCACTGCTCTTCATAATATAGAGATATTTGACATGAACCCCATTCCATGCCATGTGAACAGGACAACATCCTCCCAAAATATTTCTGCTGGTTCTCCAGAGCTTACATTCTCACGGTCACTTTAGAACCTACTTCCTGCCTCTGTTGAATTACCGTTCACTTTGCCTGCAGAGCAGTTTGGCAACTTTTATTATCTTATCTCCTTGAACCCATGCTCTCAGGGACTTACCTTCCACATCAAGCAGTTTATCAAACTATTTTTTCCCTAATTAAGACAGTCTCCCAATAGTAATTATCTTATAGGCTTAAAGGTAATTTTCTTCCACCTTGCAATATTGTCTTTTTATAGCTATGAAAACTGAGGCACAGTGAAGCAAATTGACTTGAACAAGTTTACACAGCAAAGGGGGTCAGAGCCTTGAAATGAATCCAGTTTTGTAGGTTCCAAAGTTCATGCTTTCTCCACTGTCCATAAATATTCAATACACCTCTCATACTAAACATACTCCAATTGGCATTTCCTTCCAAAATGTGGTTCCAATACCTTTCCCAAAACACAAGGGGACCCTGAAGCTAACAACTTACCATAAGTGAAATACTGTATCTCTGGTGGGAGTGTCACTTCACTGAGGTCACTCTCTTGGACGTAACTGTCCACATACTGTTGTGCCTTCGTTGCCTGAAGGAAAGCTAGGAATCTGGCTGTGAAAGCAGCAATGAAGATGGACAGCATCCCAAAGTCAAGCACATTCCACAACTGCAAAATGTATTCCCTAGGTCCTTCCAGCCAGAGCTCTTTACATTCAGACCACATCATTCCTGTCACAACAAATACAGAGGGTGCAGGTCAGATTTTACAGGCCAGACTGAGAAGCCATTATTGTGTCCACCATCAGGTCACATCTCTACCCTACACGTCAAGCACAGTACTAGGCATCACAAAGCATTGACTGACTGACTGTATGGTCACTGAGGCCCTGTGCAGAGTTAAATGGAAGAAGCTCCTGCTAAGAAAATAATTCACCCCACCACACTAGAATTTGGAGAAGCGGTCCACATGTGGCACCAGAGATGTCTCTATTCATGAGAGGAGGTGGTGGAGGGGGGTGAGGAGAAGAAAGAAGGAAAGGAAATAAGGAGAGAAGGCTCTTCAAGTTATCCCATAAGACTTTTGGAGAAGAAAATATGTTCTATACAATCACAATGGTTAGTTATCAAACCATAGTGATTATTGGAGAAATAAGTCCACAAGATTTTTAACAAGAAGAACAGTTTCCCAATGATACTCATATCACACTCTTATCCTCTCTTCTCATTTCCATGTCATGCTAAAAAGTGAGCAATATCGTTTGAAAAAGATGAAACCCTTAAGTGAGAGGTCCTAGGACATTCTGAAGAAACTGAAAGCAGAAAATGCCATTCTGGGACAAGAGGACAAAATAGTACAACTTAACAACTTAACAAATTGTCCAACTTAACAAATTGTCCTGACTACATAAAGGGAAAATACTGTAGAATTTTTAAAAAATGTAATGGCTTAAAAGAAAATGTATAAAATAATTACTTGACCTAGGCTGAGGCCACAGGAGTGAATGGGAGGAAGAACTAACCTACTAACTCCGAAAATGAGAAGACACCAAGACTCACATTGGATAAAACAAATACAAAAATGACTTCGGATTAATCAGAAATAAACAACCTGGTTCCAATCTCCATTTCTTAGCAGAGAACACAATAAATTCTTTTCCTCACATTACTTCAAATTCTTATTTTAACACAGCTATTCAAAATGGGTTATTGTAAGACGAAATAGGTTGGTGCAAAAGTAATTGCAGTTTTTGCCATTTTAAAAATAGTAAAAACCACAGTTATTTTTGTACCCAACCTAATAACAAACATTCTGAAAATGAAAACTCTCCTAAAATCTCTGGAACTAAAACAACAAAGAAAGTATTTGTCATCAGTTGATAGCCATTGGGTTATTTCATAAGTATTTCAATTAAATAATCACAGTGAGTTACATTTTAAAACTTACATCTTGTTCAATAATTGAAGTTAGATTTCTGAAACATAGTATATTTGTAATTAGGGTCACGTTACTCATAAAAAATTTTATGTAGTGTTAAGGGACACCTTTTGGCATTATCTAGCTAGAAAATTATTTGGTTATTTTGCTATTTAGCTTATCTTGCAACAGTGATGTTGTCACCATATAAGATATAATAACATTTTTTTTCAATAGAAAATGACAATTATTTCTATAATTACCTTTTGGTAGAAATTAGGATATTTAAAATAAAAGACTTACCAAGAACCCAGACCATAATTAGCATTTCAGTCCATGTAAACTGGGTGGTTTTCACCCTGAAGATCTGTTTGGGATAGTCAGTAACTGTGATATTGGGCAGCGTGGTGATGCCTTCGAACCTGTCTGAGGCATTGAACACAAGCAGACCCAGGAAGATGATGAAAGAAGCTGCATGTGCTACAAACTTCATAAAAGGGCTTCGCAGAATTTTCCCCAGCTGTAACAAACCAAAGAGGAAAAGTTTGCTTCAGAAAATCTGGCTTTCACTTGTGGAGATTACAACATAGGATTAAAAAAAATAGATGAAAGGAGAACACTCAAAATTCTGCTTCTGTTTCCAAAAAGCTTTATATTATGAAAAATATTCTTTTTTAGGGGAATGCTTCCTCCAAAAATAATTTAATAAGTATTCAAAATTCATTGTTTCTAAATGTCCAATTTGTCTTAGGGTAGACTGCATTCACAGATGCACTTCTGGAAATCACAGGGCCTATACTGGTTCTTGCTCTTATTTTTACACAAAAGAATATGCAAAGTCTGGATTTTAGGGTCTGGAAAAAGAAATTTCAACTTTGTATTGTGTAATTCTTCATTGCTTTGTAATTGTAATTGAGATGTTATGAGGATCTTATAGACTCATATAAGACCTTAAAAACCCTTTGAAGATTAAAAAAATTACTACTACAGAAGTAAATTTTAGTTCTCATTTCTAAATATTCCAAAATCAAGTTATACCTGGTATGCTATAAAAAAGGCAGAAAATATTAGAACCAAGATGAATATTGTATCTGTTACTGCCCCTAATAAGGAGATACACAATAATTAAAACCTCTAAGTAGGTTAACTTATTTGAAAGTGATCTCCCAGTTGGATAATCATGTAAATGGTACAAAGGGACTTCCAAAGTTCAGTATATAATTATTTTAAGGTGACTCCTTTAAAATCCCCTATGATATAATGTCCTTAAAAGTCCCACGTTCCCGTGAAAATGAAAAACCATTCCTCCTGTCCCAAGGGCCCCCACAGTCCAAGAATTAGGTACATTTGGTAGATTTATCAAGTATGTTCTCTTTTCTACACTCTCAGACCCTGCTTTTTAACTCTGTCTGTGACCTTATAAAGTACTGAGGTTCACATTTAAGGGACTGTTAACTCCAAACAAATGTTTTTGTAGGTCTAGAACCTTAATGGGATGTCAATAAATGATGAAAGAGATGTCAGGGATTTTTGGGATTGAACATGAATGCACACAGACGAATGTCACATTTTCCATGTTAGACACAGAAGAATAAACAACACATTTACACATCACCTTGTTGTTACACAGCTGCAAAAAGGGCACGTTTGGGGGTAGCTTATCCGTAGCACATAGAAATTTCTTGGGAATTACCAAGTCTGTTTCTCCTAAAGGTCAATCTTTTAAAACTTTAAATAACATGAAAAGAAAGCAGAATGCCAATCTCAAAAATGGGACATACATGGAAAATTCTTGCTATGTTGCCTTTTTCCATAAGATAGGTGGTATACGGCAGCTCTAAACATGGGCTCTGGGAATGGCTCAACTTCCATGTTTCCCTTCTCTGCAGAGCATGCCACACTGTTAGTTGTACTTGTAAAAGTGCAGGGAAAAAAGAAGTGGACTCCAAGATGGCTACTTCAAACCTGATGGAATGTTTTAACTGATTAAGTTCCCCTAAGAGACAAACATTTCTAAACCTGAACTTTCCAACTCATTTCCTTCAGAAAAGAAAATTATTTGGGTAGGATATGATTTTTTTTATTGCATGCTCTCTCATATTATTTATAGTTTTTCATCTTTAGTGTTTACGTATTTGAAGAATCTTAAAGTAATTTTCCATGATACATAACAAAAGAACTTGGCTGAGTCATCAAACATGATCAAAATGACAAACTTTCTGCCTTAATTTGCATGGGCAACTCAATGATGAAATGAGATGGATGAATATTCTCACACATATATGGTGTTTGCAGAGCAGAACTCTGCCGGTGGAGACTGCTGAGCCAGAGAGATGATAGATTTCCAGGATCACTTGTAAGTGCCCTTGACTCATTTTGCCTTGAAACTACCTCTGACTTAAACAAAACCAAATTTCAGAATATAAAAACAGGATTAAAGGATCTCAGCACAGCTCCTTCTCTCTGGCAGTGCCTGTAATAACTGGCATGAATAGTATTCCTTTCCACATCTTGCTAGGGGATCTCTTGGGCACAACTAAATTGATTTTACATTGGAAAGTTGAGAGGAGAATAAAGGTACTAACCAAAATGATCCAAGCAAAACCAAATAAACAATCTAAAAAAATCTAAAACCCCTGAACCTAAATCCTACATTTTTAAGAACTGTCTGAATTAACAAAGGGCTAGGGGAACCTGACATGCATTTTCTTGAAGACTTTGGATACCACTGCTGTTCTCAACTGTGCTTCGCACACTTAACCTTGGATTTCTTCTGACAGGTCCAAATGGGTTGCCCTTCTAGTTCCCAGCGTAACTGTTTCTTGGTACTACTGCAGCAGTGCTCTCCATTCCCCGGTCTGTTCACAGGCCAGCCCAGTCGACACTCTACTTATTAAGCCGTCAATAAAATCAGTACAAGGGCTACTTCACTCAAGCAGCTTTTCCTTCTCTGTCTACCATGAGGATTTTATCTTAAAAGCCTAAGTACTTTATGCCTGCAAATGTGGTATATCCCACTGGTACCAAATCCTTTTTCATCCCTTATTTGAATTGATCCAGTAATTAAAAAGGAGAATCTGTGTTCTTGAATCAATTAACATTCAGGGTAAAACTGATAAGATTCTTAAGCATGAAGCTTTTTATTTTTTTATCCCAAAGAGACACAGTACACCACCACAGAGGAAATAGATGTAGAAAGCAAGTACCCTGCTGCAAGGTGCGATCCAGTAGCCAATGGCCAGGAATGGAAGGCCCAGGGCCACGACCAGCACAACGAGACACTTGATAGCTATGGTCTGCTCCCTTAGGCCTGAGAGGTTCTCATACCAGATCGTCAAGAGCTGCTGCTGGCAGTTGGGATGAGCCACAAACTATTGGGAGAGAGAGAGTTTGAGAAGGGGAGAGAAAGGTAAGTTACCATACCATTGTCAATAGCTCAACTATTAAATACACATGCATCCTAAAGATATTAAAGCATATTTTTTCTAGCATATTGGTACTGGAAGGTTCTGGTAATATTCTTCTTAGCTTTCCCTCCATTTTTCAAAATTGTTTCAGAACTAATAGAAGAATTAGAATGGAAATGAGAAGGTAAAATTGGTGGTGTCCTTAATCACAGTTCTTTTTGATAGAAACCCTCCATGATTCACAGATTTCTCTGTGGAATCTGGGTGACATCTGGCTTCTTTTGTAAAAATGTGTCCCATCTTGCTGTTGGCCAGCTTACTTGCATTCAGTTCAAAATGGAAAAGAAGAAAAGTTACTTGGTTTATTGTAGGCTATAGCTAAAAGAGAAATGTGTGAAGTTTCGCGAGCAACCCCTAAAATGCTACATACAAAAAAATGCATAATGCACCCTTTGTGTAATTATGTACTATTACTGCAAATCTGTAAAAGGCCTGAAAAATAATCAATTGAACTTGCAAGTATTATGCTGGGTCTACACATGCACTTCTTCCAGGAACTGGCACCAAATGCCACTTCCCTCCCGTCCTCTTTTTTATTGCTTCCTGTATCAAAAGGTCAAAAGAACATGACTATTTATCTTCAGCAGTTCTTTAATAAATACAATTCTAATCAGGAAAAATGAGCAAATTATACTTATTTCAGCCCAGCCATTTGATTTTTTTTTTCCCGTTTGATTTTGTTAAGTTATCTGCCTGCATCATTTAGAAGGACTGGGATTTCTTTAAAGCCCTGTTCTTATTCAAGAAGCAGAATGCATTTGTACTCAGGCCCTTGTAAAGGTCCCTATGCCAAAATCTGCCCATTTGTAGCTAGACACACCTTTTTTTGAATGGTCATATGCTCTTTGTCCAAGCTCAGGAATTCAAAAATCAACTATGAGTGACAACATATTTTTTAAAGGAGTTCTTAGCAACACAAAAATCAAGGTGTCACTGTCTTCTAAAAAACAGAATAAGCAATAACAATGAACCTGTTAAGAAACACCCATGAAATGTTTTTGGGAACTGAGAAACAGAGTAGCTGCAGTTCCTACTTGTCAAAAGGTTCCTCTTTGATCAAGTTCTAGTTAATAATCCTGATGATTCTTAGTAACTCCAGGCAATTCCTAGAGTTATTAATATTTGGCTCTTTATCAAAGCCCACCTACAAGGAAATGCACAGGTTTCCACTGACTGGTGCATAGTTTCCCATCAACAATTTTAATTAAAAAAGAAAGTCTCATCTCCCAGGACAGGCGATGTAGGTTCAATTTCCCCCAAATCCCTGCCTTTGCCCCCAGAGTGCACCCAGTGTAAAGTCCACTGATGGCTGCACTGGCAGCTGCCTCCGCATCACCATACATGCGTACTTAACGACCCACAGACAGAGGTGGTGAGAATAAATTTATGAATATTAGATTTGAAATAATTAACTGAGTTATTATGTTGAGATTCTAAGCCTCAATGTGATGGGTATTAGAAAGCTAGGCTTTTGGGAGGTAATTAGATCATGAGGGAGGAGCCTTCATGAATGAGACTGGAGCCCTGATAGGAAGAGGCAGGAGAGCTCGCTCTTTCCACCATGTGAGGATACAATGAGAAGTCAGCAGTCTGCAACCCAGAGGAGAGCCCTCATCAGATCTTCACTATGCTGGCATCCTCATTTTGGATTTCCAGCCTCCAGAACTGTAAGAAATAATTTTTTTTTTTTGAGATGGAGTTTCTCTTTTGTTGCCCAGGCTGGAGTGCAATGGCACAATCTCGTCTCACCACAACCTCCACCTCCCGGGTTCAAGTGATTCTCCTACCTCAGCCTCCCAAGTAGCTAAGATTACAGGCATGTGCCACCATGCCTGGCTAATTTTTTGTATTTTTAGTAGAGACGGGGTTTCTCCATGGCGGTCAGGCTGGTCTCAAACTCTCAACCTCAGGTGATCCGCCCGCCTCAGCCTCTGAAAGTGCTGGGATTACAGGCATGAGCCACCACGCCTGGCCGAGAAATAAATTTCTGTTGTTTATAAACCACCCAGCCTATGGTACTTAGTTACAGCAGCCTGAACTAAGAAGCATATTTTATCATGCGAGTTCCTTTCCATTCAGTTTTCAAAATCCCAGGTCCTGATTTTCAGTAGCTGCTAGTTGCTAAGGATGTATTAGATCTTCTCTCCAAACCCAGGATTTTGTCACTTTTCCAAGGTTCTAAGTTTTGAAAACAGCATTTCATAGACCAATGCAATCATTATTTGAACTCACGAATATCAAAGTTGAAGGCTTCCTGGGTATATGTGACAACTTTCTAGGATTCTTGTTGAGAACTTCTCCAAACTTCCACTTCTGCTCCTGTACTATATTTAGATCATTTCCTTCCTGCTTCACCTCTCCCTCTATGGTCCCTAAATGTCCTTCATTCATTCATTCATTTATTCACTCATCAAAATGTCTTAAGCCCCTCCTATGATCCAGGCAGTATATTGGGCAAGTGTATTGGTACAAGAAGATAAAAATGGAAGCATCAGAGTTGAATTAAGTGATAAGAGGTCATTGTTCTAGGGTACACAGTAAGCTTTGAATAGACACAAAATAAGCTATTATAACTGAGACTTCAACTCATAGGCTTGTCAAGATGCCTAATCAGAATTTAAAAGAGTCTTAATTTGAATGTTGGTACAAGTATCTTGATATTTGGAGGATCTGCATTTGTGGGAAGTTAGACAGATATAAATAAAAGGCATCCCTGGTGGCTGCAGCCAGGCTAAGCTTAGGACAGATAATGGTGCATTCAGGGTAAACTACAGGTGGAGCATATAATGTCATTAAATCAGATTACCACTTAGGAAATCAACAATGTAGTTTTTAGACCAACAGTTTCTGTAGGAAACAAAATTCCCATGAAGTTAAGAGACAGGTGGGCATGTGTCTATATGGAATTGATGGACAAATTTCCCTTTTGTGAGTGTCTGGTAGCTATCGTTTGAATGTGTCTCCTCCAACATTCAGGTGCTGTCAATGTGGTAGAGTTAACAGGTGGGGCCTTCAAGAGGTGATTAGGCCATGAGGGCTGCTCCCTTGTTAATGGTATTAAGACGCCTATAAAAAAGACTTCATGCAGCATTCAGCTAGCTTGCTCTTCTACTCTTCTGCCATGTGAGGACGTAGTGTTCCTCCCCTCTAGAGGATGCAGCCCTCACCAGACTACCAAACCTGCTGGTGCCTTGATCTTGGACTTCCCAGCCTCCAGAACTATGAGACAAGAAAGTTTTGTTCTTATAAGTCTCTCCATCTCAGGCATTCTATTGTAACAACACAAACGGACTAAGGCACTAGTCGTTCTTAGGTTTTAAACTCTTGAGGACAGAAATATTAATGTTATAGCATATCTCCCTTTCCTACTCCTCCTCCTTGGACTAATTTTTAAATTTGAAGATGTGCTTTATGTCATTAATTACATATTTATAAAGATTGCACAGCTTCAAAGACTTGATGGACTCAATCCTTCCCATATGGCATATATGTGATGGTCAATCTTTGACTTGATGTAACCTGTACTACAGTGCAAACACTTACTCTACATTAAGTAGTAACCAAAATTGTGGGTGTTTGCATTTTGCCTGTTACACTTTAAAATTCAGCTTAACAGGTCTATTTCCTATGCTTCTAATTCTACTCTTTTTTTTGAGATAATTATACACGACTTCATGGATTCTGTCGATTCCATTTAATCCACACAAACAGATTTTCCTCCAATGATGTAAAATCCTAATGCAAGTACACAAGGAGCATTTCAAAAAAGAAAGTAAAGCCAGTACAATAATAGCAAGTGAAGGCAAAAAAGCTAATCCCTTTAGGAGATGAGTTTTGGTCTTTTCAATGACTTCGAAATAGGGCAGTGACCTTTATACCTGAAAAGTGTTTTACCTCCTGAAAAATCTCCTTATGTCACTACACCAGTTATGCCCAACTGGATAACATTTGTATGCTGTTTCCTAACTTCAGTGGACCAGCAAATTGAAGTCATAACAAAAATAATACCCTTATTTTGAGTTTTCTGATTCAAAGAGAGAATGCTTGACACAAGAAAATCTCAATCTTTCAATTGGACAATCAGCATTGAGAACAACTGAAATGTTTTTTCTTGCCAAATAACTAATAGATTATAAACTGAACCACTGATCAGGGCAGGCTAGGGAAAACAATCAAATTTTAAACTTAAAAATTAATTCATGTTACACTGTTTTTCATCAAATCAGCCTTCACAAGAACTGTCTTCATGGGAATACTGTTGTGTAAAATCATGGTAGGAACTCTGGATTTGTTTTTAATGATACTGTTAGAGCCACAATTCATACAATTTAAAGGAACATATTCTTGTAAATAAAAACTAGGCAATTCAACTTCTTTTAAAAACTCAATGACTTGTGAAATATAAACCTAAAACTTATATTGCACAGGTTTTCTGGATTTTCAAACTTGCTGAGTGCAAAATGCTCTGTTATCTCTTGGTGCCTGGGGAAGACCAGGACAAGAGGCCACACAGTGCAGGACACAGGACTGTGCCGGCCAGCACACCCGTTCCAACGTCTCAGTGGTGTATTTACCACTCTCTCATTGCATTTCTTTAATTCTGGGCTTCCCCTGCACACTTTTTGCACAGAAAGTGGATACACAATGGATGCTTTTATCCTGTTTATACTGCTGCATGTTTCTTTTTAGGATGGCTTTTCTACATTTAAATCTAATCCTACTATGGAGGAAATATTAATAGGAGAGCAGAAACGAAGAACTCAGGAAATGTTCTCCTTCTCTTTCTGAGAGCCCAGTTTTCCAGATTCAGTGGTCTACCAAGCTCTAGTATCTTTTGTCAAAAACTTTCTCAAAATAGACATAGCTCACGGTGAAGTAGGTAGAACTTTGGTTATTTCTATGGTGGGGAGTGGATTAATGTTCAGCTGCACATCACAGAGCAGGATAGAGGTAGAGTCAGAATTAGAACTCAAGACTTTTGGTGGGGGGCAAATAGTCCATTATTCTAATTAAACAAAATTAGTGTTTTTGCCTAAAATTTAATTTTCTTGTACCCATTTTCAGAAAATCAAATTTCATCTTCCAGTGTATTCCATTCTCTTTTCAAAGAATAATATAGGTATTTCTATAAATAGTAATAGTGTTCACTATCCTTCCAGTTTTAAAATTTACCTTACAGACCCCTTAAAAATGATTTTAGGCTGGACGCAGTGGCTCACACCTATAATCCTAGCACTCTGAGAGGCTGAGGTGGGCGGATCACTTGAGGTCAGGAGTTCAAGACCAGCCTGGCCAACATGGTAAAACCCCGTCTCTACTAAAAAAACAAAAAATTAGCCAGGCATGGATGATGGGTGCCTGTAATCCCAGCTACTCGGGAGGCTGAGGCAGGAAAATTGCTTGAACCTGGGAGGTGGAGGTTGCAGTGAGCCAAGATCTCGCCACTGCACTCAAGCCTGGGAGACAGAGTGAGACTCCATTTCAAAAAAAAGAAAAAAAAACAGATTTTAGGATGAATAATCTTCAAAATCCATTCCCTGTTAGTAAAGATGCAGGCAGATGGTTGCTCTTTTACTATCAGCATTGAGAATTGTAAATTTTTATTCTTTGTTAGTTTAAGAGAAGGAAAATGGTATTTGTACATTAGTATACGTTTATCACTAAAAGGTCTGAAAATTTTAAATATGCATGTTAGCCATTTGAATTTTCTCTTCTGTGACATGCCTATTCAAATCTTTTGCTGATTTTTCTACAGGGCCCTGGATGTTTTCCTTACAAATTTGTTTGAGTTCTTGGGATATTAAGAAGATCAATCTTTTGTGAGATACAATCGAAAAAACATTTTTCCTAGTATGCCCTTCACTTTTTTGTTTATAATCTTTCTGATGTCATACAGAGGTTTTAAATTATATGTGGCCAGATTATTTGCATTTTTGCTTGGAGATTTCTTCGCTTTTATATGAGAAAGTCCTTTCCAACATAAACATTAAATTCACGGTCATGTATCTCCTATTCTGGTGTTTTATATATTCATTTTCTGGATTAACTGTCCTTGAGTTCTGTAAGGCCTGTGTTGAACTCATGCCTTGATTTCTAGGAAAGACCAGATCTCTGGGAATCCTGAGCCCAGTTAGAAGACAATAGACTCAGAACCAGAGCTGGGAGTAGGTCTTGGGCAGAGGGTAGAAAAAAGACTTCCTGGCCGGGCGCGGTGGCTCACGCCTGTAATCCCAGCACTTTGGGAGGCCGAGGCGGGCGGATCACGAGGTCAGGAGATCGAGACCATCCCGGCTAAAACGGTGAAACCCCGTCTCTACTAAAAATACAAAAAATTAGCCGGGCGTAGTGGCGGGCGCCTGTAGTCCCAGCTACTTGGGAGGCTGAGGCAGGAGAATGGCGTGAACCCGGGAGGCGGAGCTTGCAGTGAGCCGAGATCGCGCCACTGCACTCCAGCCTGGGCGACAGAGCGAGACTCCGTCTCAAAAAAAAAAAAAAAAAAAAAAAGACTTCCTGAGTCTCATATGCGGCCAATATTGGCTTACAATTAGATAAGAATGGTTTCCTTGGTGGAATTATGGGTTGATTTGAATAAATATGAGTTTATTATGTTATCAGGGGGTGGGGGAGTCCATAACATATAAAGTTACTTTGAAATCCCAATGGCTTGCATATGGCTGTGGACTACCTCTGTGCCAGAGTGGGCAGGGTTTGTGCATCATTATAACCCAAGACGTGGTTTTGCTTGGAGACTAGAAATGAGATGGTGGGAAAAGGAAGCAGCAGGAGTGGGTGGGGTGATATTTTTCCTCCTGTGAGAATGAAGATGGGTGAGTGTTGACTGAAAACGAAGGAAGCCTTTGTTTTTTGGGTTTTTTTTTGTTTTTTTTTTTTTTTTCGAGTCGGAGTCTCGCTCTGTCGCCCAGGCTGCAGTGCAGTGGCGTGATCTTGGCTCACTACAAGCTCCGCCTTCCGGGTTCATGACATTCTCCTGCCTCAGCCTCCCTAGTAGCTGCAACTACAGGTGCCTGCCACCACGCCCGTCTAATTTTTTTGTATGTTTTTTAGTAGAGACAGGGTTTCACCATGTTAGCCAGGATGGTCTCGATCTCCTGACCTCGTGATCCACCTGCCTCGGCCCCCCAAAGTGCTGGGATTACAGGTGTGAGCCACCGTGCCCGGCCATGAAGGAAGCCTTTGAAAGGAAGAAAGAAAGGAGAAATTGGGGCTTTGCAAGTATTCTAGAATAGAATTCTTACACACATTTATTATTCTAGAACAGAATTCTTACATACATTTATTATTCTAGAATAGAATTCTTACATACAGTTATTGAGTGAAGATTCCAAATCAAAGACTCTAATTAATACTCCTTTTATAGCATAAAACAAACAAAACCAGAAGTTTGCAAAAGTCCTAAATCTCCTTACAGTTCTAACTTTTTTGTTGTTGCCTGATGGTTGACTGATACCAATTTATTACTAACGACACCTCATACTTTGTAACCTACATGCCAATTTATTTAAAATTGACATGCAGGAAGACATAAACTCTGCAAGGCAGTTTAGTTGACTGAAGCACAAGTGTAGATGAGGTGTCTCTGCTCATATAACACTTCCAAAGCAATGATAAAAAACCAGTGACAATTGAAATCAATTCTCTCAGGTGCCAAAGAAAAGAGATACATATTGCAGGATGTGTGAATATATGTCTAGACAATTTTCTAAAAAACAGTTTACTATCAATCTTGCTCAAAACTATCCTTTTCCCTCAATATATTAATAACAAAACCTCAACTAGCAAGAATGCTCTGAGAGGGCAATCTAGCCAATTTAATTATCTTGTAACATACTTTCCTTGAAAAGTTGTTTTATTTCAATCTTTACTGAGAATCTTCACATTTGACTATCTTATGAAGTAGAGAAGAGATCTGCCATTAATGGTTGACCAAAATCTTGCAAATACTATGTGTAGAAGTTTTCTACATTGTGGTAGTAGAATTATGTGTGTCAGAAGAGAGAGAGACAGAGAGGAGGGGAGAGAGAAAGAGGAGAAAGAGACACAGAGAGAGAGAGAGAGATTTCCCCATCCTCACTTGCTGCTAGGGTGCAAACATTGGCTTAGGTTCCACTGATCAGTGGAAGGGGCCATATGAAAACAGGCAGGATGCAGAGCATCCTTTCTATGCTGATATGGGAGCAGCAGAGGCAGAATTGTTCTGTTTGGGCCACAGAAACTCCCTTAACAGGTCAGCACTGTGCCTGGTTCTGGGTGAGGTTTTTGGAAGCACAGCTTAGATAAGCTTGTTCCTCTACCTCCTCTTAGGATTCTGTGAGCTTCCTCAATATCACTTACTAAATTCCTTCCTGCCTAAATCAACTCCTCTTACTAAGGACTTGATTCAGTACAAGGGGCATGAAATCTGTCTTTGACGAGTGAGGATTAACTAGCTTAAGAGTCATCACTCTGGGTATGAATTTTCATAATGTAGAAATGTTATTATTAATAGCTAATACTTATTGAGAAATACTTATTGAGAAATCACCATGTACTACTGTGTGCTAATCACATGCATTATCTCATGCAATCCTTAAACAAATGAATAAGTAGGTACAACTATTGTCTTCACTTTACTAGTGAGCAGATGGAGGCTTGGATGGTTAGGTGACTTGCTCATGGTCACACAGGAGCACATGGTGATGTCAGGACATGAATCCTTACAGGTTGGCTCTAGTGCCTGTCCTCTTAAGCACCATGTCACACTGCAGAAAAGACAGAACACTTGGCTCTTTGTAAATTGACCAACTTCATAAAACCAGAGCTGATAACAGTTTATTTCTTTGTGATTTATCAGTTTCTCTTAAAGTACAAGAAAGTCTGTTATATAACATGTATAAAGTATTGGATTCTGGATAACTGAGATATTTATTATTGTGAAACATAACTACAATTTTTGTGAATTATTTAAAAGCCCCATACAAGTTAGCAAATAGATACACATAACAGTTTTTCTGCAATAATCAGAGTAAAAAAATCATAATTTTTATTTCTGGCACCTGCATGACCAACTCCTTAGTTATGTGACCTTAGACATGTCATTGAAGCTTGGCAATCCTCAGTTTCCTTGTAGAATAGAAACCCCATCATCTATCTGATGTATTTTATAGATAAAATGAATAATAACATAGACTTGCTGCAAGGATTCACATAACAATGTAAAAATGCCTTACAAAAATGTATACAAGTAACAGCATTATTAATTGTATTGTAATTAACAGTTTACAGAGTGCTTTTGCATATCTTAACTCATTTAAATTCCACCAAAACCCTGAGATAGATAAGAGATATTATCCTCCTTGTACATGAGGGAACTGAAATTTAAAAATTTATGACTTATTCAAGGTCCCACCATGGGTAAAAAGTAGAAAGGATCAGAAGCTACACATTTAACTTGCAACTTTACCCCCCACAAAAAACTCTTTTATCAATAGCATCTATTTTTTTATTTTATTTTTTGAGACAAGGTCTTGCTTGCTCTGTTGCCCAGGCTGGAATGCAGTGGTGCTATCATTGCTCACTGCAGCTTCAAATCTCCTGGGCTCAAGTGATCTTCCTGCCTCAGCCTCCTGAGTAGCTGGAACTACAGGCACGTGCCACCATGCCTGGCTAATTTTTAAATTTTTAGTAGAGACAGGGTCTCGCTATGTTGCCCAGCTGGTCTTGAACGCCTGGCCTCAAGTGATCCTCCTGCTTCAGCCTCCCAAAGCGCTGGGATTACAGGCCCCAAAGTGCTGGGATTACAGGCACATGCCATCATGCCCAGCTAATTTTGTTTCTTTTTTGTACAGACACAGTCTCATTATGTTGCCCAGCCTACTAGCGTCTAGTCTTATTATTTTAATAATTTTCCTAGGATTATGGCATAGTTTGTATCACATGTTTATTCTAATATGGCACTAGATGAAAGTAGGCCCACTCACCTTTTTGACTTCATACTTAATGGCAAGTTTGACACGACTTAATGAAGCTTTGTGCCTGTGTACCTCCAGAGGCTCTGCTGATTCCAGATCTCCATTCAGAATGGCTTCTACCTCTTCTGAGTCTCGGCAGAGATCCAGCACACCCACTACAAAGTCTTTGCATTGCATGGAGAGCTTCCGATAGTCATTCTAAGAACAAGAGGTTTAGTGTTTTAACACAAATAATTTGCTTTTATTCAGTGGAAAGTATTTGGGTGAATTAGAAAAAGGTATCCCTTCTTTTGGGGGTAGAAAGCTGCAGCCCACCTGGATGCAAGGCTTGTTGAGCTGAATACAGGCTGGATTTGCACCCACCCAACCCTTTAGCCAGGTTTCCTTCTGCTGCAACCAGCCCAACCATCCGAGATATTTCTGAAAATGGCATGATTATAATCTCACTTATATGTGGAATCTAAAAAAGTCATACTCAGAGAATAGAAAAGTGGCTACCAGAGGCAGGGGGCGGGAGTAGGAGGTAGGGTGAAGTAGAGATGGAATGAGGAGATATTGGTCAAAGTGAACAAAGTTTCATTTAGACAGAAGAAATAAGTTTTTGAGATCTATCTGCACGGCACAGTGACTATAGCTTTAATACTGTACTATATACTTCAAAATTGATGAGTAAATTTCAAATGTCTCACTACCACAAAAAGTAACGTGAGGTGACAGATATGTTAATTAGCTTGATTTAATCATTTCACATTGTATACATACATCGAAGCATCCCATGGTACCCATGGTACCCCATAAATATATACAATAATTATTTGTCAATTAAAAACTTTAAAAAGCATTTACTCAAAAAAGTATATGCCAAAAGACCAAAGGATCAAAGAGTTTTCTCTCTTTTGTACAAACAATAGTTCTTGTAAAGCCAAAACAAGACCATTTCTACATTGGAAATTTTTCTATAATGGCAATTTTTCTAAAATGGCAATTTGATGTAGAAGATCAACTATATGTGATATGAAAGTTGTCAAAACTAAGTCAACTGTGTTAAAAACACCACAAAACAAAAAAACCCTGACTAATAGAGTCAGAGAAGGCCACGAAGGGAGGGTTCTCACACATAAAACTATCACAAAAGACTGCAAAAACCATAACCTTGCATAAAGGCCATGGCAACCTTACACAAAAAATACCTCCGTGAGGACATCTGCCCAGCAACTGCCTGTACAACTTTGGACTGGCTCCGCCTTTGTTATTGTTCCGGGAGTGTAACCCTCCTCACTTTTCCTTTAAAAACCTTGTCTTTCTTTACCTCCCTGAATACACACATAGTTTACCATGTCACTTGTATTTCCACTGCAATGTTATATTCCCAAATAAATATGATTTTCTATTTTTTTGTTTTCTTTTTTTTTTTTTTAGATGGAGTCTTGCTCTGTCATCCAGGCTGGAGTACAGTGGCACGATCTTGGCTCACTGCAACCTCCGCCTCCTGGGTTCAAGCAATTCTCCTACCTCAGCCTCCCGAGTAGCTGGGATTATAGGCATGTGCCACCACACCCGGCTATCTTTTGTATTTTCAGTAGAGATGGGGTTTCACCATATTGGCCAGACTGGTCTTGAACTCCTGACCTCAAATGATCCACCCACCTGGGCCTCCCAAAGTGCTGGGATTACAGGCATGAGTCACCGCACCCGGCCTCATTTTCTTTTAGAGAACCTCTCTCTCTGTTATTTAGGTTGACAGTGAAAAATAACTTGTCCAGTTCATTATCCCTTGCCTTACTGGAGACATTGCTTCTCAAAGTGTAGTCCTCAGACCAGCAGCATCAGCAGCACCTGGGCATGTGTTAGAAATGCAAATTCTCAGACCCCAGCCCACATGTCCTGATTTAGAAACTGAGGAAGGGCCCAGCAATCTCTGTGTGTTTTCACACACCCTTCAGATGATTCTGATACATGTTAAGTTTGAGAATAACTGGTTTATAGCGAATGTAGAGAGGTAGATGGATACCCACCTGTATACAGAGGGTTTTTTGTTTGTTTGTTTGTCTGAAGGGCATATTACTGTGCCCTGCAGAACTAGAAGAAGAGAAATATATCACTGTATGTAACTGAATTCTCAAGGGTTACAGAATTCAGTACCTGAGAGAAAAATTTCCAGGCCACTGGAACTAACACATTGCTAAAAATAATCCGTGAATCTTTAATTTCATTTGCATATTTATACACTGCCATGGACTGCCATAAGGAAGTCAGCTGGTAGCATTCCTTGTTGCCTTCTGAATGGAGCTTTATTTCTAGTCCATTTGTTCTAATGAAGGTGTCAATGACCATCTCCTGAGAAAGTATCTCATTTTTGGAGACTCCAGTTCTACTTTTATGACTTTCACTAAAATTCTAGCCTATTAGGAAAGGTAACCAGATAATAATCTAATGTGAAATGCTTGAGGAAAACAGAATTTCCCATTGTAACATGTCCTGAGACATTGTATGTGTCCATATTACTAAGTAATATTTGGCTCAGCAGAATTACTGGGCTTCCAAAAATCATACTTTAAAAAAGACATGTGAAAAATTTCAATTTTTTTCCTTTAAATAATTAACGTGATTTGATGAGCAAAACCACGTCATCAGCTAAAATAAACAAGAAGAAGAGAGACTGTTTAAAGGCTACACAGATTAGAATAGTTTCCATTTCAGATATGAGAAATTCAGATAAAGAACAGTTACAGTTAATCCTTTTCCCTTCGTAAGGGAACAGATAAAATGAATAAAACTTCAATCTTTAGTTTCCATTCAAGTTGGTACCATGCAACTGATAAAATTAATAAAATGTTCAGTCTCTGGTTTCTGTGCAGAGTGTCAGTTAAATATCCATCTGCTTTCCATTCCTGAAAGACTAATGAAACATTTTATTATAGCATCCAGAAGAAGTATTAAATCCATGCCTGTTTCCATATAAAGCTTCCCTTTTAATATAATTTTTTTAGATGAAATTTCCTCATGTTATTCTTCAGTTCAGACTGTTCTGTAAGATTTGGTACAACATAGGGTGGTTATTTCTCCACTGATCAGAAATAAAAAGAGGCTACCTTCCGTGCTTTGAAGAACACTTAGTACCCACATCTGTAGTAATACCTAAATAATGACTCATTACCTATAAAATTATAGTCTATAAACTGTTTAGTTTTAAGGAAAGCTTTTTTCACATCCACTGAAAGATCAATAAAGATAAAAAAACTGATAATCAAACATGTTGCAAGGACAGCACTACTTGTTTTTATAACAATTTAAACATTTCCCACTTGAAGAAGTCTGTTGCCAGAGTGCAGAAAATAATCAGAGCTGGAGATAATGGTGATTTCTTTTGTTATAGTCATTGGATACCATTTTTTAAACCTATGCAGAGTTCCGTGGGAAAGATGGAGAACTCCAGCTAAGAACAGCCTCTCTTCAGCTGCAAAAGCAACCATCTATGTAAAGTTCACATTGACTGTTAGTTCCACCTTGAGGCCGCATTGACTGTTAATTCCACCACGTTACTTCACAGATCAGACCATTTGTCTGGTCTACATTTTCTAATAAGTTTATCTTAAGTTAGTTTTGCATAATGGTCTTTAATATACTGCTCATCTATTACCACAGCCCTCCACAGTTAGCTGGTGGACCTACTGCACACCTTATAGAGCAGAACTTAAAACCCTAAGGATCTGCTCAAGCCAGAGGAAGAACAATGAAGTTCAGTCTTCATCACAATCTATCTACAGGTTCTGCACACTCCTTTTAATGTATATGTTTAATTACCATTCTAATCCTTTTTTATCCTGAAGTGGAAAACTGAAATTCAACTCTTAACAGGCTTGGTTCTGTCAGGCTCTTTCCCTAATAACAAAAGAGGCAAGTTATCATACTGATTAAAAGCATAGAGTCTGAAGCCAGACTTCCTGGGTTCAAATACTGCTTTACCACCTACTAGCTGTGTGATATTGTGGAATTCACTTTACCTCTCTGACATGAATAATCCTACCCAATATTGGTACTATGAGGATTAAATGCTTAGAATGTGTTTGGTACAAATTAGGTGCTAAGAAGTGCTTCAATATTACCAGGTACATTATATTAGATATAATACCTACGACTGGGACTCAAGACACTCAAATCTAGGCTTAACATATGAAATGTTGCCTACAGCCTTTGTTTTCTCTTTTACAAAGTGAAAGATGATTCCTAGAGTATTTTCCTGCTATAAAATGTCACCTTGCTTTTGGATTATATTCATTTTTTTTCTTCCTTACAGCTGTAGTGTGATATAAGGTGAAATTGTTTTTTTACTTTAAGGAGAGGAAAACTGAGGCACAGGGAAGCAAACGCCTCTCCCTACTTCTTTATTTTTACAAAAAAGGTGCGTCATTGACTCAGTCAGAACTAGAAAATTTCAGTTTGCGTCCTCACAGCTTAATAAATGACTGGCTTCCTTGCCACTGACATTTTGGAGGATTAGACCAAGAGTCTATCTTTCCAATATTCTGTTTCTCAGAATAGCTTCAAACAGCATTTGCACATCCAAAATATTTCTTTAATAACCTGTCACCGAGCTATCCTCCATTAATTTATCTAAATCTGTATCCTAGAATATTTGACCTCTTAGGGTATTGACCTTCACATGTTTTAAACACCATACCTACTGTATTCCTCAAAGAAATGTGAAAACTGCAGAGTGGCTGAGAATCTTCTCTGAAGCATCTAAATAATGGCAATTTCGGGGGTGAGATACTAGATATTATAGGCCATTGATAAGATAAAATAAATATAGGTGTCTTAAAAGGAAAAAAAATCACCTCTTTTTCACTAGGAAAAAATTTTTTTTTTTAATTTCAAGGCTAATACTTTGAGCTCAAAGTCCCCATGGGAAGAATATAGCGAACACCATGGAATAGGGCAAATTAGGTTACCTGCTTGTCTCAGAAATGAGCTTCACTTTTGCTGCCCTTTCAGAGCTCAGAGTCTCAGGGTCAGTGCTATGAAAGCACTATTTTCTCTGTCTGTCTAAAGCCCTGACAGACGGACATGAACATGGGATAAGAGGGGAGAAAGGTGAAAGAAAGGCAGATAAGAAAGGAATAACAAGGACAGGTAAAAATGAGAAAGAAAAGGCACATTGAGTTAGGGGAGAGAGACATGAAGTCCTTGGAGACTATAATTTCTAAAGAACTGTCCTAATTTTGGCTCAGAGAGGGCTATCTTGCTACACAAGCACTTTCCATATAATCTAGAAAAAAGAACTGGGAGATTTAGATGATTTTTGCTTAACCTTATAGATATTTGGCAGCTTTATGGATGTTCTCTAGAATTCAACTGTGTTTTCTCTCTTTTTGCCTCTTTATTTGTGATATTTCCCCACCCCTGAAAGGTTATCAGAGGTGACCCTTTAAGTCAGAATAAGGGAGATTCTAAGCATTACCAATATGGACTTAGTCAGCTTCAGGGTAAAACTATGAATAACAAATTCTCTTACCATGGTTGCACTGAGCTGACGACTCTGGGTGGAATTGCAAACATCACCATCTTTAGTAAATTATTAAAACACGACCTTAGAAAATATTCCCTTTTATAGAATCTCTTGCAGACTTTCAGTATATATCAAGAAAAATGTGTAAAAACAAGATTTGTGTGGCATTTGAAATAGTGGCAAATAAATATGTTTAGAATTATGTTTTAATTACTGTTTCAAAACAACAAAGTGATATTTACAAGTGCTTTACCTAAATGCTTTTCTACTGTCTCTAAACGGAATTTGGAGTTTTCAACTTGCTCTGAGATCTAAAAAAAAAAAAAAAAAAAAAAACATTTTGGGTCCAAGTAAATAAATCTTTTCAAATACCACATAATGAATCTCTTCAAAGGGGTTAGATATAAGGTAAGACTTACTTTCTTCTTTGTATTTTCCCTTTTTTGGAAAATGCTTACAATAAATGTGTGTAGCTTTTACATCAGAAAAATATTTTAATGGGTTAACAAAATTACAGTAAGTCCAGATCTCCACTGGGACAAAATGAGCATTGATGGATATCCAGGGAATTTTGTGTGTATGGAAAAGGGATGGGACCACTTTCCCACCATTTTCTTGCAACACCGGGGCAAAGTATATTTTCTGTATCCTGAATTATATTGCTAGTTGCATTTGTGTAAATCTCACTAACTATAAAAACCATATTCAGATGTGAAAGAATAATCACTTTTTCTGTGATCTGACACCATAACACTAAACTAAAAAGATTAACTTAGCATCTAGAAAATAATTCAAGGAATTGATGTCTACAATCGTCTTTTTAGATGGGAAATGGGAGACAAGAAGCTGCCAAAAACAGTCTAAATAATATTGATCGGAACTATGAAATACCCAGATTTAGTAGCTAGAACCAATCAAAACGCATAGGAGGAGGTAGCAACTGATTAAAAAATAAAATGATCTGTCATTAATATATAATTTTTATACAAATAAATAATACTGCTTGATTGAAAATAATATCCAGAAAAAAAGTTCACTTATTAAAAAAAATCTCTTAAAGCAAATCACTTTGCTGTCCTCATATTTCTAGATTGAACTGACATCTACGGCTCACCACTCTGAATATACATTTGTGGAATTCAGGGAGAGGCATTTTGTCATATCAGTGAAGTGACTTTAATAGTATTTTTTATTGGTCTTTTGACTTTTGATTCTAAAGGGATACACAAATGCTTGGGCCAATGAACAGTGCATCCAAAACTAACACTATCGTGGAGATGGAATAGGAGCTTGCTCTGTCCAGTCCACCACACACCTAGTATTGCAGGACATCCAGACACGGTATACTCCCTCAGGGGAAATAAAGCAAACATATTACTTATGTGCTACCATGCAACTAACTACAAAACAGGAGGAAGGATTTGGAAGACAAAAAGTCACACCCAAACCCTCCTTTTAGCAAAAAGGGGAGAAATCTTGAGTTTTATTTAATGCTTACCCAACACAGAGCGGCACCATAATTATAGCTCTCTGATCCAGAATACTGGATCCCCAAAGCGAATTTGTCACAGCACCATCATTGAGAGGGAGAAAGAAAACATTAGATGAGGTCTGAATGACGTTCTCAGTCCCTCGTGATTTCACATTCACTGGGCAAAACCGAATGTGGAGCGAACGGTGGCAGAGCAGGCCAGGCAGCAGCGGGGAAGTTGGGTGAGCACACAGAGCAGCCGGGGTAGAGCGCAAAGCTTACCTTGAACTCCTTCTCTATGTTGGCCAGCTTGGCCAGCTCGTTGCTGAGCTCTAGGGCCGTAAGCACCGGGTCCTCGCTGGACAATGAGAGGTAAGCCGGGCTGGCCAGCCCCTTGTAGGCATTGATCCTCGAGCGTGAGTGGCTGAAGGAGTCGTGCCTCTGCTTCTCCATGCAGTCCCCGCACTTGCAGAAATAGTCGTGCGGCCGCTCGATCCTGGCACCCTTCATCAGCAGCATGTGCACCACTTCGTATTTCTGGCAGTGCGCCGCCAGGATGATGGGGGTGATGTCCGGCGAGAAGCGCGTGCCGTCCTCGTCGTAAGCGTAGAAGTCGTCGTCCTGCAGCTCCTGCTCACAGGGGCTCAGAGTGAGACGCTTGCTGGCCGCGAAGCCAGGGTGGTTGAGGATGGCCTCTACGATGCGCACGTAGCCCTTGCTGATGGCGAGCAGCAGGGCGTCGCCAATGCGCGCCAGGTTCTCCTTCTTGAGCAGCAGCTCGGTCACCTCCAGGTGCTCGTTGCCCACAGCCAGCTGCAGCGCGTTCTGGCCCATGTAGTCCACGCAGTTGACGTTCAGCGTCTTGGACTCCTCCAGCATCTTGCGCACCACTGGGATGTTGCCGTACTCGGCGGCGTCGAGGAAGCGCTCCTCCTCGGCGGTGAGGCTGGTGCCGCGGTCATTGAACATGAAGGCCGGGCCCCTGACAGCCTGGCGCCGGCCCTTCTCCCGCATCACTGTCATGCGTCTCAGGGATGGGCTTCCCTCCATGGACCTAATCAGTAGCAACGATAAAACAACTGTAGAATATTAGGGCACATTCCTTCCTTTCACATGTCAGGGCCCTTTCTGGAATACACACTACCCACTGCAAACCTCTGGCTGCAGGGGTCGGCTCAGTTGCTAGCGATACCGTTGCTAACTACTCGCCTGAAAGTGACACCTGTGATCTAACCCTGGCTGCTAGATCCCAGAAGGAAGCCGGCAGCCCTTCAGAACAAAAGCTCCTATTCTCTAGAAAATGATATTCAGATGGAATAATAATAAAAATTTCCATATACCCATGCCTTCCTTGTGACCCTAGTAAAGATGGAACTCATCGTACCTTCCGCTCTTAAAAGTCTTGGACATTGAGGCTTGCAGGTACTTGACATTCAAGTACTAGGCTTGAAGACTAAGAGAAGTTAATTTTTTAAAGAATGAGGCCAAAACACTCCTGCCAAGTCATTGCATCCTTTTAACTAAATAAAATCATTGACCCTCAGCCCCCTACAAAAGCACAGGATTTAGGCCAAGTATCATGTTGCAGGATCTTAGTTTCATCTTTTTCTCTTTATTTTAAAATTTTTGTTTATTTAAATACTTTTTTAGAGACAGGGTCTCTGTGGCCCAAGCTAGAGTGCAGTGGCAAGATCACAGGTGCAGCCCTGAACCCTTAGGCTCAAGCAATCCTCCACCTCAGCCTCCCAAGTAGCTAGGACTACAGGCACATGCCACTTGCCCCCACACCCTCCACCTTATGCGTTTCTCTTAAGGGGATTCACCCATCCCCAAGTTATAGGATTTATCTTTTCAAAGATGCAGACAAGATTTAGCAATTATAAAATTTGAGCATCAACCTAGATTGATTTTATTGAAAACAACCGTGCCTTTGTAATAAGAATTATTTAATTACTAGTATTATATATTTGCCTCTTGGAACTGAAACGACAAGGTTTGATTATGGTTTAAAAATCACTAGAATTACTTTGTGAGTAAAGCAACTGGGCACTAATTGTACATCCAGATCAATGCGCACTGAAATCCTAACACAACCACATTAGTTGAGATTTATTTAGCTGCATTATCAAAGTTATGTCAATTGATGTGTACAGTGATTTGAGTTCACATCTTAATTTCTGTGATGTTAGGTAAATAATTTCATTTCCTTGTGCATCCTTACGCCAGGTAGAAAATCGAATTTTATGAAGTTCTCAGATTTTCCTCATGAATAAAAAGCTTTTTCGGAAATTCAGAGTCTCTGAAAAACAATGCTAAATAAACACTTTTAACATCGTGACTATCTATAATCTTTCAATAATCTGTACAATATTTTGGTGGCTATTAAAATGTTGCACAAATATTGTATAAATCTGTATCTTACCTTACCCACTTCCAATGTTCAAGATAACTTCCTTTTAAAAATCTGTGATTTTTGGTGGGATGAATTGTACCAAAAAGTACCAGATAAAGCTTCCACATTACTGACTTTTGAAGCAAATAAGTCAAAGTTAAAAGTGAACGGCTAGAAAAGAAAATGCTTTATTTCTAGAATATATATTCCAGAAATACCTCCTACCATTGAAAAAACTGTATTCGTGGAGTCAGGAGTTGAAAATTAACTAGAGAGGACACTGGCCTCCCTGGGTGCCTGGGGTGGATGACTAAATTGGGAAGCTTCCCTGGCAAGAGGAATCAGAGGCACCTACCAGTGTCCATTCTGTTTTCAGCTCTGAGGGCCCCAAACAGAGAGAGGAGCACAGAAGCCACTGGCTTCTCCCAGATAGGGACTAAGGCAAATGTGGCCGGGCAAGCCTGACTCTATAGAGGTATGGCAACTAAAGGGGTCCCCAGAGAGGCTTGTTGACTTATGCAAGGACACAGTGCTGTGACTGGCACCCAATTCTAATGGCTCAACTAGTGTCAAGTGATCAACTTTTAAAAATTAAATAAACATATTTGTTTTATATACACATATGTGTTTGTAGCAATTTCTAGAAATCAACACATGAAGATTTTGAAGTTATATCTGGACTGGGACTAAGAAGTCATACAGGAAGGGGGACTTTCACTTTTTACTTTTCACTTATACCCTTTTGCATATTTTGAATAGTTTTAACCACAGTGTGAATCTCTTTATTGAACATAAAATTAATGTTTTAAATTTTTATTTATTAAAAATTTTATTTTTAATTCCTTGGTTGACAAAAATGTTAAAATGTATTTATTAGAAACCATTACATTATAATCTTTCTGAAGTGAAATAAATGTGCTGTGTTTGGCTGTTATGAGTAGGGTATGATGTGTAGGGGAGAGTGTGGAGTAGAGTGTATGTGTGGTATGTGTGGGAGACAAGGGAAGGGTGCAAGTCTGAGTTGGGGGACATGTGTGGGGTGTGTGTGTGTGTGTGTGTGTGTGTGTGTTGGTATAATAATGACTTTTAGGTGGACAAGAACTGCATAGAAGAGAACTTTGTTTCAAGACCAAACTCTATGACAAGGATTTTAAACAAATCTTGTAAATATTATAGTAATAAGTATGTTTTATGACTATTAGTGGTACTGACTTCATTGGGTTAATATTTTTATTATTAATCTATGAACTGATATTCTTCAAATGGCTAGAAATTCCATGTTGTATAAAATATTATATATTGATGAGAGGAAATATATGTGGAGTATATATGTCAGAATTTCAATACTCAGAGGGGTTACCTTTGGGAAAATAAACTCTTATTAAAGTGTCACATCTTGGTGGAAAGGCTTTTAATTTAATGATTGCTATCTACAGGGAAAAATCACTTATAAAAATCTTACTATTTCTCCCAAAAGACACCAGGTTGAGAACATTAGGACATCATTCTTTCATCAATATTTCCTTTGTATTTCTTAGTATTTTACGGTTTTCCTTAATACTTCTTATTCCTTCAAAAGCTATACCTCCATACTATATATTTGAACTGAAATGTCTGATTTTAGAACAAGTCACATGTCATTTTTATTTTGTCTTTAAAAACTTCTGACACTGAGAAGTGAGATATCTCAATTAGAACAAATTATACTGTTGTTTCAAAATAAAAGAGCTGACTTAATATCACTCATCTTATGATAAATTCACAAATGGAAGTGTCTTTTTGTTAACTTTCCTTATAGTACTAAGATAAATTTCATTAATCTGAACTGATGGAACGAGTCAATATTCACATCATCCACAATGCATAAACATAATCTCAGCTGGCCTTGACAATGTATCTCTTCTAGCATGAAAAATAAGGAAGGAATGTGGGTGAATGGGGGAGAATGTTTAGCTCTAGTAATGTTAACACTAAAATTATTTTGCCAGGAATTTCCTACCCTCAGATCTTCATCCAATGGGTCATTCAACACCGCGAGAGTGCATTCTGCAGGGACTTCTTTCTGGTAAAAGCATTGGAGTACCACTGACCCGCAGATCTATGAGGGCCATGTTTAAGCTCCTCATGACTAATACAGATAGCTGGTAATATCCAACTGCTATGGACCAAATTGTGTCCCCACAAAATTCATATGTTGAAGCCCTAACCCTTAATGTGATAGTATTTGGAGACAGAGCCTTTGGGAGATTATTTTGAAATCATAGGATCATAAAGATGGGGCTCTGATGATGGGATTAGTGCCTTTATAGGACAAGAGGGCTTGCTCCCCTCACCCTGCTACCTCCTATGTAAGGAAACATTGAGAAGGTGGCCACCTACAAGGTACCTCTCCAGAAACCGAACATGCTGGCACCGATTTCAGACTTCCAGTCTCCAGAACTGGAAGAAAATAAATTTCTGTGTGTGTCTTTTTTTTAAGCCACCCATTCTATGATATTTTGTCATGGCAGCCTGAATGAAGACACTGACAATACATTTTAAGGCAAAACATTTTTTTCATGCTTTGTGGGACCCTAGAATTTGTCCAAACACTTAAGCAGATGAAAGGCTCTTCTGAGAAATATTGTGGTGGAGCCATAGGGAACCCTCTGCTCTGCTCTATTCAGAAGCTAAAATACAAGTAACACTCCTCACTTTTCCTAACTTTGCTATCAACTCATCTGACCTCCAACAGGGTTTCTCTAAGTGTGACCTGAGTACCACCTGCCTCAAGGTCACTTGGACTGCTTGTTGAAATCAGATTTCTGGGCCCCATTCAGATGAACTAAATCAGAATCTCTCACGGTTGGACCCTGAAATATGCCCTTTAAATGAAAGTTCTTTACAATTACTGGGAACCTCCAATATAAAAATAATGGAGCATCCTGGATCAAGGACCCCTGGCTATGAGGCCTTCAAGCAGTTGTCACTCTGGTCCTGCCAAAAATGAAGTTGAAATAATATGTTTGAGCAGCACAGGCTAAGGGACAAGTAGCCTCACATTCATTTAGTTTCTCTAAACTTTATTAACTATTTAAAATTTGGTCTCCAGGAAGCTATTTACCTAAACCACAGCACAGCAAGTAGGCAGCCTACAGAAATGCCTTCAGCAGTGACTGTTTAATGTCAAGACCTTGCTTTTATGAAGGAGTGATATTTTTAAAAGGTTATTGTATCTTTTCAAAAACAATTAAAGAGTTAAAGAGATTGTTCACCATAGTATTCTTTGTACCTTTTATGAGGATTAAAGTGCCAAAGTCAACCTAGAATTGCAAATCAAGAAGCCTCTCTCTTCAGATAAGTTTTTGTCCTTTAATCTAAAAATAAAAACTGTATAACCCTCACTCCCCTGCCCCTCTCTTAGGGGGACTGCTCAATTGTTATTACTATCTTATTTCACATTTCTGGCACAGTCTTTCTCCTTTTTTAAATTATTTCTCACACAGATTTAAAACCAAATATCCTATATTCCATGTGTTTTAAACCTGTTTTAAGTTATTTGAGACAGAGTCTTACTCTGTCACCCAGGCTGGAGTGTAGTGGGAGGATCTCGGCTCGCTGCAACTTCTGCCTCCCGGGCTCAAGTGTCTGAATTTATTTAAAAAAAAAAAAACAACCCAGAGTATTAAGAAATACCCTCTCATATATGCCTCTACTGTACACGTTCATAGATAGTACAGTCATGTTTTATTTATCATTATCCACAGAGTTCTACCCAGTGCCCCATAGAAAATAAATATCAATAAATATCTGTTTAGTTGAGTTTCTAAATCTCTTCCTAGATCCCATCCTCTCACCTGACCTCAGGTCCCACATATACTGTGGTCTATCACCTGGTTACTCTAAAATGCCCCAACTCACCTTCTTCCTTAAAGCAGCTCCCACTCCTAACATTTGTATCTCAGGCTGATTATTCAGGTTTAGAAATTTCAAGGTCATCTATGACTCACTGTTTTGATCATGTCAGTCACAAAGTTCTAAAGCTTCTGCTTTGGAATGTTTCTTGTACTGAATGCTTCCTTCCAATTCTCATTGCCAGCACCAGCCTCCAGATCTTTATCAAGTCATAGCTGGGTTGTTGTAACAGCTTCCCAGCAGAGATGGCATGAAGGAAGGCAACTAAACTTTTCTGAGCACCTCATATGTATGTAATGTTTTCAATGCACTATCATATTTAACTCTCATAACAATACCACGAAGCAGGTATAATTTTCTCTGTTTCATAGATAACAAAACTGAGCTCAAATGAAATTGCCAAAGATAACACAAATGGTAAAATAACGAAGAACTGGGATTCAACCTGGAATCTGTCTGACTCTTATTTTCCATTGCCTCAGGCTGTACCTGATTCTCCTCTTTACACATGACAACTATGCCCAGCATCTTGCTGTTCATAAACTCTGTTTTCACCATATCACACTTCTCTTTAAAAAAAAAAACCAAAACAGGAAACCATCAGTAACACCCCTACTGCTCTTTTCATCAGTCGAGACTCGTCTGTATGACTTTCAGGGATGGTGACAGCCCACCCCACCCTGCCTAGCCAACCTTCCTTCCCTTGTTCCCCAGATTCATTCTTCACTATCCTGTAAACATATTATTCTGCCATTTCTGTACTGTCAAGGGGTACTCCCGTACTATTAAGGACATTTGTTGAAAATATATTAAGGTGCTCTTCTTTTTTGCCTTTTCAAATACAGGATCTTTGCCCTGGTTGACTCAGGACATCTCTGCCTGGAGGGTGGGTGGTGCAGTATAGAGTTGGGTGGGTGTGTTCAAGGGGAGTTCGAGAAGATACATTTTACAGGAGTGAAAAGAAAAGGATCATGGAGAAGTTCAGATTCTTACAAGCAAAAAATTATGGGATTTTTGTATTTTTATGAATGATTTTGAGGATTTTGCAAGCAGAATTTGAGAAAAGGGAAACTGTCTAATGAAAAGATTTTCTCAATTCCTTTATTCCTCTAATTCATCCTGAAGGACCCTGATCATAAAGTGCTCTCATTATGCAGACAAGATAGCTCTCCCACTTCTGACAGCAAAGCCGTGATGCTTACTGTCCTGGGAGGACAAATAAATAACAGAAGGGAAGTAAAAGTCAAGATGTGGATTCAATAAGGTGAGGAAGTACCTTAAGTACTGGTTAAGTAATGGAATGATATGGGAAAAGCAAAGAGCTTTCTCAAGCCACCCTCAGCTCCTCTGTGGTGTGGACACTGCTATGAGAGCCAGGTAGCCTGCACTAAGGCTTGGGACAGATTGCTGGTGCTGTAAGCTGGATGGAAGATGTTGCAGGTGCTGGGATTTGTAGCAGTGGGAGCTGAGCTGAAACCAAGTACTTGAGGGAGCATATCTGGGTTTCTAACAAAAGAAAGTCAGCCAAGATCCAGTTACTTCTGCTGACAAGCAGCACTCAAGTAGACATAGAACAGTGCCCAGAGACCAGAAGAGTTAGAGGACACTAACTCTTTCCCCCTCCAGGGACACATAAGCTCCCCTCCCCCAAGGGCCAGATGTGACAGAGAAGAGCAGGGGAAAGGGTAGTTCCCGAGAGCCTGAGCAAGTTTATCCAAATAAACATTTACTTTATAGTATCGAACTAAGATAAAAGAGGTCAGCCTCCCGGCCTCTTTCTGCAGTGTGCTGAATGCTGGTAGACAGACAGGCCACTGAGACTCTGAGCCCTTTAGAAGATTGGGGGACAAGAATCAGAAAGCAAAAGCCCCTTCCACACCGGCTCAAGACGTGGGGAGACACTGTCCTAACTGACCAAATCCCTGCCAAATGTAGAGCAAGCCTTCCCTCCTTGTCAATTCACGTAACTGCTTAATTGCTTAATTGACTTAATTGCCTAATTTATTGATTGCACTATTCACTTGTTGAGTGTCTGTGTAGTAAGCAAAAACAAAACAAAATTTAAAACACTAATGTGAACCACAGATTGGGCATTTAATGTTTTCTCTCCTACTCAGTAAGTGGGAGGCTCAGGAGACAGACTTTTGTTGCAGGCAGATTACAGGAGCTACACGTTGCTGCCCATCCAAGTTGTGAGTGATTTCTTGACCCTTTTACACCTACCTCCAGGATGTTCCTCTTATGTTTCCCTCTCTGAACACACTGTTATTTCTGCTCTTTGCCAATTCAAATCCTTCTTACCATCAGTGGTCCAGTTTACATTACACTTCTGTATACAGAGGGTCACGTTTCACAGGGCAATGCCGATATGACCCACAAGATTCTGTTCAGTATGAAATGTTGGGTCTTTTGATCCTTTCTGAAGCCATTCCTGACCACTTCAGCCCAAGCTTTTGTAATATAGGTAGTCTACTCATAAATATAGACACTTAATTTTACCTCATCTCCTTGATTTTTGTCTCCTTGATTATTGTCTCCTGTGACAATCATGTCCTCAGTTCAATTGAGGATAAATGTTTTATGTGCCTTATCTTATGTTTTATTCTTGACATATTATCTCTACTGTACCTAATACAATGTAGTATATGTTCAAAAATACTTGGCAATTGATACTAATTCTGCAGATTTAAAGACTTCATCAGAATGCTACCTCCCTTACGGTCACTGAGGAGTACAGAACTAGAAGATTAGAGCTCAGAGGTCTTCCTGGCTACTTTATCATGATGCTGCTAGGGAATAAGAAAATGAACAATGGGTTATAAATCCAAGTATCACTATTAAAATGCATGCTGAGCTTATGTGTCAGAACATTTTGGTTCTACAAAGAACAGCTTCTAACATGGGTGTTTGGGTTGAATCACAAGCTCCTTAGCACACTGCAATACATGAGCATTATTACGGAAGTCACCTCAAATCCTTTATTGAATGAGGTAAAGATTAACCAACTATTCAACCCATGTAGCAAGCAAGCAAAGTAAGAACACCATCAATGTGAGTTGAGTTAATGAGAATGACATCCAAAATGTTTGGATGGAGCAGTTCACCACATTGAAGAAAGTGACTGTGCTAACCAGCCAGGATCCTGTGCGTCAGTTTTGAAGGGCAAGAAGGGCAGATGGAGCCACAGAAGATAAGTAGTGAGAAAAGCACAGAAGTGGGGGAAAGTGTTAGACAACAGCCACCATGTTAGTTACACTATGGAGATGGTGATAATTGGAAATGGTAATGAGGGTGGGAAGCAGCAGGTACTGACAAAAGACAAGAAAGTCAGAGAAGAAAAGACAAGAAAGTCAGAGAAGAAAAGTCAAAAAATAGAAAAATCCCATAATCTCCCTGGCAAGCAGGCACCTGTCAGTCAATGTGGCTACCTCTGGAGACATCTGACATTTACACAATAGGCTTATGTGTATGTGGTTGGAAGGAGGAGACAGAATCTGACAGTCTTAATAATATCATCAAAAACACACATTTTGAACATCTCTTAATATATATTTTTTGGAGGGGAAGAAGTGGAGTGGGGACACTCTGAACCCCAGTAGCCATTAAGTACACCAGCATGCAAGGCTAGGGAAAGCTAGCCCATCACTTCAACTGTCTAGTTAGAGAGTACATGGCCACAGGTAGTCCACAAGTATCTCATACCTACTTCTCAGCCTGCATCTACCTACACATCATAGAGCTCAATAATACATTGTCACAGTAACAACCAAACCAGCAAGATAAGGTGCTTCACTGAAGAAAGAGGAAAGCGCAGATTTCATTTCTAAAGATTCTCATCATTCCCACCGCCGCCCTGACACACACACATAAAAATTTAAAATATAAGCATTCCAGCACTTATAAGCCCAGAGAGATATTTAGGTCTCCACAGTAATGAATTCCCTGATAGTTTCTGTTGGTCTGCATTATATTCAGAATTCTTCATGCATAATTTTAATAAAGCTTGGCCAGGCATGGTGGCTCATGCCTATAATCCCAGTACTTTGGGAGGCAGAGGCAGATGACTCACTTGAAGCCAGAAGTTCTAGACCAACTGGGGCAACAAAGTGAAACCCCATCTCTACTAAAAATACAAAAATTAGCTGGGCATGGTGGTGCATGCCTATAATCCCAGCTACTCGGGAGGCTGAGGCACAAGAATCAAGAATGGCTTGAATCTGGGAGTTGGAAGTTGCAGTGAGCCAAGATTGCGCTGCTGCACTCCAGCCTGGGTGACAGAACGAGACCCTGTCTCAAAAAACAAACAAACAAACAAAAAACTTAAAAACAATCTATTAGATATATGCTAATTTTGGCATTTGCCCTAATGACTGTCAGAAGCAAGAAGCTGTTGTGTATTTAAGGAGAGGAACCCTGGTCTATCTCCACTGCTTTATCTCTCATTCTTTTCATAAAAGCATGAGTAGCTCTTTGCCAGATTCCTCAGCAGCTAAAACCAGAAAAGCAAACAGCTACCTAACAGTGCATTGTTCCCTCTAAAAGTACACTGGAGCAGAAGTGAGGACCCTTAGCCATTGCCTGCATGACTTCTTGGTAATACTTCTTAAACGAACGTATGTGCCCAAGAAAGTATTCAAGCAAATGCCTTCTAGAACTTAGATGTTTATGCTTCTAGGAACTGTGTTCTGTGTATAACTCCATTAAACCAACTACTGTATTGCTTTGCAATTGTCTGTCTTCATGCCTATCTCCCCAATGATATTAAAATGTCCTTAAAGGCAAAGGCTGCCTCTTTTCATCTCCATATGCTTGGCTTTTAGTATATGGTGATGAATATCTATTGGAGGGATGGGTGCCCAGATGCACGCATAGTTAAACCACATCACTGAAGACCTAAGGAACAGATAATTTTCCCCCCCTAGATTACAGAATACCCCTAGTCACATATGGTTATGTGTGGAAGAAGCAGTGGTGGAGGGGAATTGAAGTGATTCGTCTATAAAAAAGAATGTCACATATAATATAAATTAATAAAAAGAAATAAAAGTAATGTCAACAATCATTCTTTCAAAGCAAATTTCTGCTTAATAACATTTAATTCTTAGTTACACCACAAAAGTATTTGGTGCATTCTCTATCTCTTGATTTTGATTTTACATAGTTATATTTTATCAGGATAATCTAGAGGCAAACAGGAGATAAATCTTAAAATTAATAACCTTTAATAATTAATTAGTAATTAAACAAATCTCAAACTCATCTTCACAATGCTTTTTAAAACTAATTTTTATTATTTCAGGAAGACTAGTGACAATGAAATTAAAAGTTATATAAATTCAGTCTATACTTGAACAAGAATTCAGACAAAATGACCATAGATAATAAAATTAAGGAACTTCTACTGACCCAAGAGAAGTTCATATTTAAATACATTAGTCACTATCAATTATATATATATAGTTATTAGAATAAAGGAATCTGGTTTTCTATCATTATCATCCATATCTAAAGTCAAAACAAGTCACACATTTTCCTTAACAAGTCACACATTTGTGGACATTTAAGTCTCATTTTTTAAAAAGACCTAGGACCAAATCCACATTATCACCTATTATTTGAACAGTGCAAAGAAAATAGTATTTTTAATAGGTTTTTTTTTAACTAGATAATTGAAGACAAATATACCTGACCTAAATGCTAAATTAAACACAAAATGCTATTAACAATCCTAATTATTCTCATAAAGTCACTGCTGAGCCCCTCGTGCATAAGCGTGAAGTCAGCCATCCCACAGTCTACATCTGCAGACCCTCTGTATGGGGCCAGACTCCTATGTGTTCACCCAGCACAGCCCACTAACACAGCGCCCCTTCTGGACGGATGTTATGCAACACTGAGGGCAGTAGAGGGGAGAGGGTTGAGAAGCAAGACTTCTGGACAAGCAAAGAGCCTCCCCTCCTTAGAAGAATGCCCAGCAGCCATTCATCATTCCTTAGCATCCTCCCTGAAACAGGAAATCTCAATCCTGAGCTAGGAAATTTAAAGGATTCCTTCCTACCAAGGGCACAGCAACTCCGTAAAGTTTTCTTCCTCCCATTACATTTCCCATGGCGTTTGACTGCCTATTATAAACTGGGGGGTGGGGGGAGGGTGGGGGAGTAAAGGTTTATGGGATATTGTAGGCAGAGGAAAAGCTCAATGTTTAATAACAACTTTAAGAGAAAGAGAGAGGGACAGAAAAGCACAGACACATTTTCTATCCCAGCACAATAATGAAAAATCCTTAAAATTCTAACTCAGTCCTCAGAAGATGGTCTAGTGCTGGACTGGGATCCTCTCACCTCTTTAATATTAATAAAAGGGATAATCATAAATAATATTTGGCAGGGGGTCAACTGTGCTTTGCGATAACCTTTTTTCCTCTTTCCCCTTACTCTTAGACCTCCTATTTAGCTTACCAACTTTCTCAAGTTGATTTGCCATCAGCAGCCAAATTTAAATGAATTAATTGGATTTCATAAATAAATTAATACTAATTAATAGTTTCCTGTATTGCTCCTCCCAAGAGTAAATGCATTTTAAAATTTCTTTGAGGAAGAGAGAAATGCTTAACCACAGGAGGCCACAGTGCGAACAGCACAGTCCCAGAAAGCTGGGGATTTCAGATGGCCTGGGGCTGCTGTGAATTAGATGTCAATCTGCAGCTTCAGTTTCTTAATTTGTAAAATAAGAGACTGGACTAGATGAAATCCTTTCAAATTCAAACATTCTATTATTCTTCAAAATATTCTATATTGTTAAATTTCAGAAGTGTGGTACTAAGATGATTTTAGGTGGGGAATTCAGATGACCTTCTTATCACACAGTGTAAGTTACTATCTACTCCATGTGCTTAATAAGATCAGTTACGAGTAAGAATGTTCTTCCTTCTGCCATTCTTGGTTACGTTAAATAATATTGCCAATGTTAGGGCTTAAATAAACACAACACACAATCATAGGAGTGTATCATAGGGATGTTCAGTCTCAAGATGGTGGAATAAAGGCCTTTCTCATCCCTTCTCCTTTTCAAAATTACCTCCCTAAACAAGGAGAACAAGGAATTGCAACACAAATTTCATCTTCCATGAAACCAAGAGACATTTGTAACTCCAAGCTACAATATATAACGGTGGAAAGGAGATGAGTTGTTAAAATAGTAAATCATTTAGTGGAGAGAAAGAAGTTCCAACTACAGTGGCTGTTACAGAAAACAAGCTGATCCACCCAGCTCAATGCTAGAGAACGCCCAGAAATTGAAAGCAAAAAAAATTCCAGAAAGTAGAGATAAGGCTGGAACCTAAAATGAGGGAATTGGCTATATAAAAAGTGCATAGAAACCCTCCCCCTACATCCCCACCTGCTAATTGATATGGTTAAGTGACAACCCTCCTGCACCCCTATGGGAGATAGGATATGGAATCTCTGGAGATACAGAAACAGAAATGCTCTAGACGTGGGGATACCAGGGGGGCAGGAACTAGGAACAGGGGGACTCTTGCCCAGTTCGTCAATACTAACAGCCAGGTTTATTATTTCCTAATCTCTTCTCCCCTGAGAAATATTAGGAAAAAAACCCCTGGATCTCTGAAATAAAGAATGCTATAAAAAAGAATACTCATAAGACAAGAAAGAGCTCTTAGAAATTAAAAATATAATCACTAAAATGGAAATAAATTCAGTGAAAGAGTTGGGAGATAGAGACAAGGAAATAGAAAAAACACAAAAAGCAAGCACTGGAAAACAGAAGAGAAGAGATATAAAAACTAGGGGATCAGTCAGGAGGTCCAACATCCAGACCATAGAAATTCCAGAAAAAGCAAAGAATAAAAATAGTGGTTAGGAAAACTTCCCAGAACTAAAGGACATAATGTCCAGATGGAAAGTGTTACCCAAGTGTCCAGCTCAGGTGATGATGAAAGCATCCATACCAAGGCACATCTTCAGAAGAGAGCTAATGAACAGACAATTCTAAGAGCTTCCTGAAGCGGGGGGAAAAAAAGACCTCATACAAAGAAAGTTAGAGGGCTCTAGAAAGGATAACTTCAGGAAAACACACACAGTTAGACACCGTAGAAGATTTAGCTAAGAAACAAGGACACGATGTGACAAATATTTACTCCAAGAAAAACAATCAATTATCAAAGAAAATAAATGTAGTCATACTATACTACTTGACTTAGCGGTGAACAATGATTACATGGTCATATTAATGAAGAACTTAAATAAGATATTAACCAGAAATTGTGATAAACCATCTTGTGGAAGATAGGGGGAGAATAATAGATACATGTGAACATAAATTCTCACCTGAGACTACTGATAACATCTAAAATATGAATAAAAAGATAGCAGTATATGAAAGAGTTGAAAGTGGAGTAGACAGAAAAGGAGAAGGGACCAGGGAATTGCTGGGGGCTTGCTGTTGTTCGTAGACGTCTTTTAGCACTATCTAACTTTTAAAACTATTTGATATTACATAAAAATAACTTAAACCAACAAAAATGATGACTCATTGTACACAGTGAAATTGCTATATACAACTGATAATATAAAGAAAAGTTTCAGAGTATTAAAGGCCTCAAGGCTGGGTGGTGCAGTGGTTCATGCCTATAATCACAGCAACTTGGGAGGTAGAGGTAGGAGGATTGCTTGAGCTCAGGAGTTAGAGACCAGCCTGGGCAACATAGTGAGACCTCATCGATACAAAAAATTTTACAAGTAGTCAGTTATGGTAGTGTGTGCCTGTAGTCCCAGTTACTTGGGAGGCTAAGATTTGAGGATCACTTGAGCCTAGGAGTTTGAGTCTGCAATGAGCTATGATTGCACCAACTGCACTCCAGCCTAGGTGATAGAGTGAGACTCTGTCTCAAAAAAAAAAAAAAAAAAAGAATTAAAAAAATAAAGTCCTTAAGTCTAATGCCATGCTGTGCTGTTCTTAAAAATTAAACTATAACTGTAAAGAAAGCCGCCTCTTTCTTAATAACACTAGTCAGTCTGGACTCAAAGTCCAGACTCATGTCCCTAAGATTCAACAATCACTTGGAGAATCTGATTCCCTCCAGGGTTGGGAGGGAGGGAAGTCCTGCTTCCAGTCTAATGCCTGAGCCAACACACACGCTAAGCCAAGACTGGAACATTTATACAAGACCAGTGCCACAGAAACTAACATACAAAGTGTTTTAGGTAATCTGAGTTACAAGGCATTGTGGACTCATTTTTGGTTCCTTGATCATATAAAGGTGAGTATCAGAAGATCTATTATTGATTTGCCAGGGAAGCGTTAGAACATTACTTTACATCTCTGTGTACTAATTTCCTCATTTGGTAAGTGATGACAATGATTTAAAAAACTGCTTTAAAGAGGAGCGATTTAAGTGAATGAGTATAAACGACAGCATGAAGTAGTATATAAACACAAATTAACTACTTTTATTAAGACAATTTTTTGGCAGCACTTCCTCTAAAGAAAAACTAAACAGGATTTTTTTTCTAGAAATCTTTCTCTGTTAAAGATAACATTGCTGAAAAATCTAATGATTTTGTGCATGTATGCTAATACGTGCAAGGACTGATTCTTCTAACAGTAGAGTCATAAGTTTTTCTCTTGATCTTTCAGTTTTTGAAGAGTGTGCATCGATGTTATTTCTTGCTGCTTTTTCTCCCTGCCCTCTAAACAAAAGCTTTTTCCCTCAAAATCTAGCTTGGACTCCCTTTGTTTCTCTCTTCACACTCCTTTGAGTAATCTCATGTAGTCACACAACTGTGTAACAATTCCCATCAGACAGCTTTAAACTTGTATTTCCTTTTCCCTGCTTAACATCTCTATCAGAAATATTTGATCATTCACTATTCCTTTAAAAAGAAAAAAAAAAAAAACAAAAAGAGAACTATCTGAAAAATCAGATCCTCACCTTTGCTTTTTTCTTGTCAACAATGGCATCAACCATGTTGGTTATCTGGGTCAAAAATCACTAAATTGTCTCTGATCCTGCTTTCTCTTTAAAGCCATCATGGATAGTGAGTTGCAAAATTCCATAGATTCTAGCTGGTTTTTTTTTTTTTCCCTCAATTTCTCCCCTTTCCATTCCACCAACACTACACTATTACAGAGTCTAATCTCAGCCTGGACAGTTACAGTCATCTCCTAATTTGTCTCTTCACTTTCTATTAATTGCCACTTCAATCCAGAGTGGGTTTGCTCAAATTACTGCTACTTTAAAATAATCAGTGGCTCCCTAGTGCCTCATCCTGGCATATAGGATCCTCCGCACTAATGCCTCAAACCAACATGTCCAGCTAAATCTCACTGCTCCCCTATACATATCTATGTTCCAACCAAACTCAACTAATATTCCTTAAACATGCCTGGCATTTTGGGGAAAGAGAGGGCTTGAATTAAGTATTTACCTTGTCTCTGCTTCTTGTCCTATCTATCCTTCAAGGCCCATAAAGGTTTCCTTGATTTCCCCACAACTTAATGTTGTCCTTCTCTTCTTCGCACTTGACCCTTTATAACTCTTTGCGGTTTTTTTTTTGTTTTTTTGTTTTTGTTGTTGTTGTTTTTTTTTAAAACGGAACTGATTTTACTCTAATTTACAGCATAACTGCTCATGCCCAGTCTCATTCCCACCTCTCCCTCATGAGATTGTAAACTTCTTGAGTACAGGAAAGTTGTCATGCTTATCTTTGTGGCTTGCAGTACCTAGCCTACACTTTGCAAATATGCACGCTTGAGAAACGCTTGAATTGAGACTCATGAAAACTGCCTTCCAATATCTTTTTTGGAATTCATCACATATACTGAATAACTGAAACATTTTTAAAAAATGAGGCCGTCACTACAATGACATATTACTTGGTCCTAGGTTTGCAACCAATTGGGATGAAGGAAGTCTTGGTTTGAATCAGTGGTTCAATCAAGAGTTCTATCAACAGGTAAAAATAATCTTGTTAGTGATACAGCAGGTGACACTTTTCCTCCCAAGTCAGTCTATTTAAAATTTCCACATGGAATAGGGCAGCATGGAGCAGTGAAACCAGCAACAGAAGTACCCCGAGGAATTATCCTGGTAAAGGTGGGATTGTACCCTCAGCATCCTGCTCAATTTTAAATTCAGCTATGCTGTTCCGTCTCCTGAAATGACCCTGGGTATCCTTCTCGGAGTCCATCCTAGGGCTGTCGTGTTCACTTTTAAACAACAATAAATAAACACTGTTTATGAAACAGTGGCCGGATTCTCCTCAAAGGTGGAATAAACAGCTAATCTCTGTTACAGAGATCAAGCTAGTCTCCGATGTTACCAAGTGACAGGCCTGAAATAAACATGAAGAGCTTGCTGCCCTGCCTCTAGAAGAAACGTTTTTAATGTATATCTCCTTAAAAATGACTGGGTCTTCTTCTCGACCTCTACAAAATAAGTATACCACAACATTTACTTGCTGAATTACGTAAAGTTAGCAAACATATACAAAAGATGTTCTATTAGCAGTGAGACAGCAAGCCTACAATAGAATTTGCCCTAGGGTTTTGTGTAATTGACCTCAAATTTCGGAAGGCAAAGTGAATAATCTCTGCTCCGCCCTACTTTCTCAGATAAGAGTTCCGGTGTTTCATGTAGTCAGGATTTAAGGTTTTTAAAAAAGAAGAATTTTAAAAGGAATAAAAAAACAGCTACGTTATAAAAACCAATTTGGCAAAAGGAAAAATGGACAATGTTTTAAAACCTTAGGGAGACGGGGAAGTGAGCTGGTGGCGCTTTCATCCCAAAGGATATACCTTCCCTCCATTTCCTGGGCCGTTTCCATTCCACGCTTATCTTCAGCAATAACTGAACCACATCGGGATGCGTCGCTCATTTAAAATCAGAACTCTTCCCTATGGGATCTACTCCCAGCCACTGATTGTGTTCCTGTGTTCTACCGGCAGGTCCAGCCTGACCAGGCGCAGACTCTGCGCGCGCGGAGCAGCGCGCGATCCTGGGGATGCAGGGGTCATCCCGGAGGTCTCGGCCTCGGGCGGTGGGCCTCTCGCCGGCAGCAGGGGGCGCTGCAGAACCTCGGTCCCCATCCTGGAGAACCACCTCCCCGGCTCAGCCGGTCTGCGCCGCCCGCCACCATCCGACCCCAAGTTCTCTACCTAGTTCTGAGCGTTCTTCCTAAAAAAGACAGTAAACCCTGCGGCACTCCCAGTGTTACGTGACAGAAAAAATACAGAGCATCTCACCCTGTGAAACCGATCACCCTCTTTTTATCTTCTCTGCGTCTCGCACTGATTAAAAGCTGTCTCCAAGATTGGAAATTAAGAAAAGTTGCTCTTTCTCATGCATTAGCGCGCCGACCGCTCCTTCGTTTAGAAAGAGAGAGAGGGAAAGAAAGAAAGAGAAAAAGAGAGCCCGCGCGCCGGGGCGCGAGCCGCTGACCCTGCACCGCCTGGGAACCGCAGTCAAAGTTATCACTAAAGCGGTTCCCCGGCTGCCCGATGCCCACTCTCTCCCTCAGGGGACCCTATAGGGCTTCGGTTCCAGTTTTACCCCAAATGTGACTGAACCACAGAGAGACGAGGCGCCTGGGCAAACCTTCAACCCACACCCTGTATCGCACTGTCCCCTCCCTACTCCCCACTTCTCTGCCCCCGCCCCCGACGTCCCAGAGCGTCGGAGGGGACCCAAGTCCACGCTGGGACGCCCGGGAGGAGTTCAGGGTTCAAGTGCGCGCCTGGGTCTGTGCACATCTTCCCCTTCCTCGGCCTCCCTGGGTAAGCTCGGGACCCCGGGGTCCGTCTTCCAAGGGGTGCCCAGCCCTGGCAGCAGTCGTGCGAGCTCCTCGGCTCTAATACAGGGAGTGGCTGCTCGCCAGGATGCTTGTCTGAAGTCAGTGTGCCCGCCTGCGGGCTGTTCCGTGTGCTTGAGCCTGGACAGAGCCCCTGCCACGCACTCGGCAGCCCCTGTGTCCCTCCACCGCGCGGGACCGAGGGGGCGAGCCTCCGGCCGAGGTCTGTCCCCTCCAAATCACTCCAAATCGAACTGCCTGGCCGTACCATGTGGGTCTCGGAGGTCCCGGGCTCGACGTGGAGCCGCCCGGCGCGCGCCTTCCCGCCCCCCGCCCGGCACCGCCCTCCGAGGCGCGGGCCGCGGCCGGGCCCGGTACTCACAGGTCCGGCCCGTGGGAGAAGGGCGGCGGGCAGTAGCCGTGCGGCTCCCGCTGCGAGGGCGCCGAGCGCGGCTCCAGCCCCCCGTTGACGCCCCTCCAGCCCCGGCGGCGGCGCTGCGGCTCCGCGCCCTCGTCCTCGCCCTCGTCTTCCTCCTCCTCCGGCGCCGGGAAGGTCACCCTTGCTTGTTCTTTGCACTTCCTGACCTTGGTGGACATCGCGCCGGCTGCGGTCCGAGTGTGGGGGTGCCGGCTGCCGGCCTCCTCCGCCTTCGCGGCAGTGCAGTCTTCCCGCGGCGCCCCTTCACCACCTCCCGCGGCTTCCGGGGCCCCGGGCGGCCCAGGGCGGGAAGGCAGGAGCGGAGAGCGTCGCGGCCCGCGATCCAGCAGTTAGAGGCTAGCGCCGAAGCCGAGCTGCCGCCGCCCACCATCAAACCGTGGGAGCAGCTGCCGCGGCCGTGGCTGCGACGAGGAAGCCCGGGGCCGAGCGGGGCTCTGGTGCTGGGAGAGGCTCTCCAGCCCCGCGGCGGCGGCGATGCCTCCTCGGCGCCCGTCTCCTGTCTCCGACAGCATCACTTGCTAGGACAGCATCGTTACTCAGGGAGAAGGAGAGGGAGGGCGGGAGGGGGAAGAGGAGGGGGAGAATCAATTCCTTATCAGACAGAGCTGGAGAGGAAATCAGACAGACCGCAGGTGGGGAGTAAAGAAAGAGAAACTTCCCCTCCCCACTCTCTTTCTCTTCCAGAGGATCTAGGGCCCTTTTTGCATCTACAGAAACAAGTTTCCTAAGGAAGGGAAAAGGAAATCCACTGGCTTGTTAATTTTCCTGCAGCCAACTCTCCAAATTTGTCTCAAAAAGCATCACTTGTTCGTTGGGTTACTCCCGGTAAGACTTGGTTGAACCTACGGAGGTTTAAGTACCTTCCCCTGAGTGCCTTCGTACTCCATCCAGCCTGGTAATGTTTTAAACGTGCATGATGCTTCAGTTCTTTTAATGACTCTCAAAGGCGTCTAATAAGATTTATATACTTTCCAAGGAAGATTTTTCAGCGAAATGCAGTCTTCTTTTTAAAACACACTCACAAAAATTGCATTTTAGAATTCAAGACCAGTCATTCTTTTGGGAGGAAAGAGGTACAGAATCTTAGCAGGAATCTTAGGGATCAAGGAGTCTCTTGGTCCTTTTAAATAAGAAACCCTTGGCCTAGAGAGACTGAAAAAGGTACTCATGATAGGTGGGTAGTGAGAAAACTTAGATTAGATCCAGAAGAGTGTGTTCTTCCAGACTTTCCCTTGCTTCAAATAGACGGCTTTCTAGCAAGTCCAACTAGGAAAAATCACAAAAATACTGGACACGCTCTGATGAGATAAAATTTATTTAACTGTATCCAATTATACTGTACTTTTTAGAGGAACAATTCTTCCCAAATTTAAGCAAAACACAAGAAAATGTAGCTCCTTTGAATTTAATTCTTAAAAAGTAAATAAAATATTGTGTATTAAATTGGCAAGTCTATATGTTGAAAGAAGCAATAGCATTTATACATCTAATATAGGAAAAACAAAAACAAGTAAATATTGTATAGTGCTTTATGTTTGGAAGTGCTTTTCAGTTGTTAGTACATATGCAAGTGTTAACGGTTTCACAATGTAGGTTAGCAGACCTATTCAGTTTCACCTCTGGAATATCTCTAAAGCAGGACTGCCCTTCTCCACCCGGTACCACCGCCTCAATTCAGGCTCCCCTGCTTCTCCCTGCTATCCAGCCTTTCTGCAGCCCACCTCTCCCCATACTGTTTCATTCTTTGTACTACTGGAAAGACCATGCTTAAAGCAAAGTCTGATCACGACTTTTCTCTATAAAAATCTCTGGTGGCTTCCCACTACTTTCAGGTTAAAATCCAAGTTTTCAATCTCTCCTCCCATCCTTTTTCATACACATTCTAACTGCAGTTACCCTGAACGCTCAGTCATCAACTGACATGCTAGATACTTTCCCATTTCTCTGCCTTTGTCTATGGCATTCCTGTCACTGAAATGTCTCTCTTCATTCATCTGCTACACTGACTTTTCCTTAAAGAACTAGGTTAGCTGTGGCCTCCAGTCTGACAGCCCTCTTGGGTCCCAGTGGATTTTCCACAGGCTCTGGTCCTTACCCACACTGTGTATACCACAGTCTTACCAGTGATCACATCATACTGAAATTCACTCTGTATGTGCCTGTTTCCTCTAAACTATGAATCCCTTGAGGGTGATGTGGGATCTTATTTATTTTGAGCTATTAGGGGCTCATCTTTTTGTCCTTGCTATTTAGATCAGTACCTGATGTGCAGGACAAGCTAAATAAATGTTTGTTGGATGAATTTATGAAGTTTATAGTTTCTTTATAATTACTTTAGTATGTTTATAAACTGCCCTTATAGGACCATGGATAGAAGCTCTATAGCAATGCTGGAGTCACCAGGATTTACTCTTACACAATGTCTTAGTCTCCTGAGGCTGCCACAACAAAGTACCAAAGACTGGGTGGCTTGGGTGGCTTAAACAACAGATACTTAATTGCTCACAATTCTGGAGACTAGAAGTCTGAGTTCAAAGTGTTCACAGGGTTGGTTTCTTTTGAGGCCTCTCTTTGTGGTTTATAGATGGCTATCTTCTCCCTGTCTTCACATGGTCTTCCTTCTGTGCCTGTGTCTTGATCTCCTCTTCTTATAAGGACACCACTCATATAGAATTAGGGCCCACCCTGATCACCTCATTTTACTTAATTACCTCTTTAAAGACTCCATCTCCAAATACTGGCACATTCTGAGGTACTGGGGGTTAGGACTTCAACATGTGAATTCTGGCAGTACACAATTCAGCCCATAACAGAGGAGAAGTTTCTGATCTCAAAAGGAATAGAAGAAACCACAAAGAAAAAAATAGACATGAAAAGCAAAGATTAAACACTTCAATGTATCACAAAAATTTTAAAATATAAATAAGGTTATCTGTAAGAATTACTGCTCAACAGTGTCTTCTTATTAGACACAGCATAGAAGTTAGACTTAGCAATTTTCTGAAGGTAGCAAGAGCACAGAAACAGGTAAAGTGTTCCTAACAGTGTACATTTCTTTCCCCTCCTTAAGAGCAGAAGTTCTTGGCCGGGCGCAGTGGCTCACACCAGTAGTCCCAGCACTTTGGGAGGCCAAGGTGGGCAGATCACGTGAGGTCAGGAGTTCGAAACCAGCCTGGCCAACATGGCGAGACTCTGTCTCTACTAAAAAAACAGTACAAAAATTAGCTGGGCGTGGTGGCAGGCGCCTGTAATCCCAGTGTAGAGGCTGAGGCAGGAGAATTGCTTGAACCCGGGAGGCGGAGGTTGCGATGAGCCAAGATCACGCCACTGCACTCCAGCTTGGGCGACAAGAGCGCAAGAGCGAGACTCTGTCTCAAAAAGAAAATAAAAAAGAGTAGAAGTTCTCCTATAAATGCATTTGCTTGCTTTTTAAAGTAAACTTAACTGATTGATTTTGTTACCAGTATAAATTAAGAAGATAAAAGCTGCATATCAGAACAATCAACCCCCCCAAATTAGGATTCCCAAACTTATGATGTGGTCATTAACATTCTAGTGCCTTTTACACAGAACTTATAATGTCCCATAAACTGTCTTTCACTAATGCTTGCTGTTCTCTTACAGTCCAAGGAGTTCCCAGGCAGTTTCCTCACTCAATGTGTTTTGAAAATTTCCTCTAGTCAGAAGTTTGGAACTTGTATTGGTCTGTTCTCATGCTGCAAATAAAGACATACCCAAGACTGGGTGATTTATACAGGAAAGAGGTTTCATGGACTCACAGTTCCCTATGGCTAGGGAGGCCTCACAATCAAGGCAGAAGGCAAAGTAGAAGCAAAGGCACGGCTTACATGGCAGCAGGCAAGAGAGCTTGTGCAGTTCCATTTATAAATGGAACTTCCATTTATAAAACCATCAGATCTCATGAGACTTATTCACCACCATGAGAACAGTATGGGGGATCTGCCCTCATGATTCAATTATCTCCACCTGGCCCCATCCTTGACACCTGGGGATCATTACAATTCAAGGTGAGATTTGGTTGGGGACACAGCCAAACCATATCAGGACTCAAAACTTACTTTAACATAGAAATAAGTTATAAATTATGGTTATATTTCCTGGAAAGTTAGCTTGAACTTGTTTCAATAACAGTGTAGGGAGGTATTTAAGAACATAAGGCCAGAGGCCTGGAATCAAATCCCACCTCTGCTGCTCACAGGTTGTGTGACTTTGAGAAAGCTACTTAACCTCTCCGAGCCTCAGTTTTTCCCTCAGTAAAATGAAGATATAGTCGTTGTACCTACTTCATAGGGGTGTTATAAGGATTCTGTGTTAATGGCACTTAAAACTGTACCTGGCATATAGTAGGCACTAGTAAGTATTAGCTACTATTAGTTCAGTATGTGAATTATAGAACTAACAATAGAAATCAGAAGTCTGTTTCCTAAAGCAAGGATCTACCCTATCTGATTTAGATGCCATTCTATAATAGTATTTGCTAAGTTGTAACACTGGGCTGTCAGTTCTTCTAGGGGCAGGGACAGAGTCTTATTTGACATTGTCACACCAGTGTAATCATAAAGCTGGCAACATAGTGAGTGTTCAATAAATGGTAAGTAGTAATAACAGTAGTGGCAATTGAAACAGCCGTGGTAGTTGGAACAGCAGCCATTCAATAACTATTTGTGAAATGAAGAGATCCCATAGTGAGGAGGGGGAGGGAGCGACTTTTCTTCTTCTGCTTTGGGTACAGTGCCAACCTCAAGTAAAATTTGAGAATGGGCAAAACCTTTCTTTGGCATCTCTCTACTCTTTCTCTACATCTTTGTCTACCTTATAATGCCTTGTTTCCTAGCACCTATGAGCTCAGTGACATCGTATTGTTTTCATCCTTCCAGGATCTTATCTCTGGCCTGCCATTACCCCAAAAGGGCTCCATGCTTCTCAATGACCTTTCTATTCCCTGCCAGTCAAAAACTGCTATTCCTTCAGGGCAGTCAGTCTCAGTTAGCTGTTAAAGGGAAAGTATTTTATACAAGTTTGTACTAATGTGTGTGAGCCCCTAAAAGTCCTTAATGCTCCAAGGGATTTACATTTTTCAAAAACAACAGTAACTGTCCATTTAATGGAACTACCAGCTGTGTATTAAAGTCAAGTGAAAGGAAGATGCTTTTAGGGGAAGGGAAGATACTAGGAGCTGCCTACAACTCCCCTGTAGGGTTTCTGACTTTTTTCTTTTATTCTTTTTTTTGAGATGGAGTCTCGCTCTGTCACCCAGGCTGGACTGCAGTGGCGCAATCTCGGCTCACTGCAACCTCCGCCTCCTGGGTTCAAGCAATTCTCCCGCCTTAGCTTCCCCAGTAGCTGGGACTACAGGCGCCCGCCACCACACCCAGCTAATTTTTTGTATTTTTAGTAGAGATGGGGTTTCACCATGTTAGCCAGGATGGTCTCAATCTCCTCACCTCATGATCCACTCGGCCTCCCAAAGTGCTGGAATTACAGGCATGAGCCACCGCAGCCAGCCAACTTTCATCCTACCCATTACTAAAAGTTATAATTTTCTACCATTTTGAATTTGCCCCACCCCCCACCCCATTAACATCTACCAATAGCATTGTCAAGATGGGCTCCCAATTTGAGGAGGGAGTGGAAAATGGGTTAAGGGGCAAAGCTAGGGGATTTATGTATAGCTTCAATATTGAGCAAATAGAGACAGAAATTTATTATTTTGGGGAGACAATTCTCCATGAGTGCCTCATGTTTCTGTACACCTTGAAAGCAGAGGCAATGGTTACCTTTGTTCTGGAATATCTTTTCAAGGATGTTTATATGGCAAACAGCAAAGAACTAGTATGTGTACTGTTCTGTGTAATAAAGATAACTCTCTCCTTGGGGCAAAGGTCAGGCATGCCTACTGACTGTTATAAAAGATTCAGGTTACCTAAGCTCCAGGTTCTTCTCTTGTAATGCAACCTGCTGCATGTGCAGGTGTCATCTGCCCCTCTCCATGTCACTCTGTGGGAACTGAGACTCAGGGAACTGGCACAAATACTGGCACTCTGGATACCGCTATTGCTATGAGTAATAAACCGTCCTTTGCGTCTGGCAGGGGAGTTTTGTGCCTTCTGCCAGCATTCATGAAACTGTGGCTAACTACCTTGTTAGCTTGCCAGTAGGGTAAAATTTCAGATCCTTCATAGTTCTTAACAATTATTACATTTTATAGGCCAGGCACAGTGGCTCACGTCTGTAATCCCAGACATGGGATTACACCCACTTTGGGAGGCCAAGGTGGGTGGATCTCTTACGTTCAAGAGTTCAAGACCAGACTGAGCAACATAGTGAGACCCTGTCTCTACAAAAAATTAAAAAAAAAAAATAGCCAGGCACAGTGATATGGCATGGCTCGTGCCTGTAATCTCAGCCCCTCAGGAAGCTGAGGTGGGAGGATCACCTGAGCCTGGGCTGTCAAGGCTTTGGTGAGCCGAGATTGTGCCATTGCACTCCTGCCTGGGTAACAGAGTCAGACCCTGTCTCAAAAAAAAAAAAAAAAAAAAAAAAGATTAGGTTTTATAGATGGAAAATTCACAGCTCTCTCCAGATCAGAAATCTCCAAGAGTAAATTAGTGTCTTAAAGGGGTTGTAATAACTTTCCTATGTGACTAAGTGCATTATTAATCAATTTTTCTATGATCAAGTACTCCTTTACATACCTGCTAATACAATTTTTGATATGAAATCAGTCCTAGAGGGAATCAATGTAAGATACAGACTTGATGAGTGCTTGCAGTTTTTTATTGACAATCTGAAGAATGACTTGACTCTAAATTGCAGCTCAAGGCTTAGAATGCTATTGTGTTTGGAGATTTGAGGAAAGTGGGCGTGAAGACTTAGTGTTCATTTCCTCAACCTCTCTCTGTGTGAACATACAGGAATCAAATCTGTCTAGCCTCTCTTTTTGGCAAGGTTAAGAACAATTCCACTTCATCCTAATCCCAATGATTCCTGCCGACCCTCTTCCAAAAACTATTTAAAGACATGTTCTTCAAAGTTATATTTGTCTTTCCTTCAGGGAGAAAAAGAATACCAATCACTTATAATATGGAAACTAGCAGAAATGGGTCACATAAGTCATCTGTCAGAAATTGGGAAAATAGAGTAGGTCAGTCTTTCCAGTCATGGTACTTTTACCTTCAATCAAATGAGATACGATAATTTCTTATTTATATTAATTCTACCCAGGCTGAATTCTTAAGACATATTTAAAATGTTAATTAAAAATGTAAATGCAATTCTCTTTACTTTCCCTTTTCTTTTATGTCAAATTTATTCTGTGCTACATGCACACCTCTTACAGGTTCCAAATGCAACCCCATGCTAAGTTCTGAATTACTAATAATGGACTTAGGATAAGGTTGTTAGTCTCCATATTACCAGGTTAGTGGTTAACCACTTTAACGTTGTTTTGTTTAAAAGCAGAAATATCTACCACCACCATTGATTGGAGAAAGACCTGACTTACTGATGTCTGACCAGATATGAATTTCGAGAAGTGAGGGTGAAACTCACTTAAACACTCTGTATATATAAAGGACACTGTTTCCCCATTGACATAAACTATGCCCTTCCTACCTCCCATTAGCCAGCTCTAATCTTCAAATGTAACTCTTTTATCCTATAACTCTTAACTTTAGGCAAAAGTGTTAAGATAAAGCAAAAGGAAAGAGAAATAGAAAAGACAAAAAAATTAAAATGTTATCTTTTCTCCCAATATTCACCTGGAGCGTCGCTGATGTACTGGTATCATGCAAGATTCCCCTATATTCACCTGGAGTAAATTATCTTGAAAATGTATGAAATACCCATACAAGATGCTCAATGGCCTCATTTTAATGCAAATTTTGGTTAAATAATTAAAATTACAAGATATTCACATGGCAACATAGAAATATGTAATTCAACTGTTAATCCTTTTGATATGACATTATGATTATTATAATGTCTTTAAGGATTTTAGGGATAAAGGAAAGGGAGGAGATTGTACTGTCCAGGTAATCATGAACTATGTGGGGTTGAAACATTTTAAAGGACATCTAGTCTGATCAACTTATAATGTTTGAATCCCTTTGCACAATCCTGACTAAATGTTCATAATATACATTAATATTTTCATCACTAAACAGTTTTTAAGAACATGATTCATTTACCTCTATAGATTATTTTTTAATGTAATAAATTCTTTTTTTTTGTTTTTATTTACTTTTTTTTCTTTTCTGTAAGTAAATTCTTAAAAGAGATTTGGATGCCAGGAAAAAAATTTCATAGTGTGGCTTACATCTTAATCAATGAGTCAAGTCTGTGAGTAAATGCCCTTAGAAAGAAGATTGTTGTATATCTTAGTGATGAGATAAGCACTCAGAGGGGGACTTTAAGTGATGTCTTTGAGGGTTCCTAGAAGGCATTGATGTCCAACACCATGTATATCTGCGAGAAGTGGAAAAGTCCAACTGGACATGTGTATTAGGCTATTCTTGCATTGTTATAAAGAAATACCTGAGACTAGGTAGTGTATATATAAAAAAAGAGAGGTTTAATTGGCTCACAGTTCTGCAGGTTTTACAGGAAGCATGGTGCTGGTTTCTGCTCAACTTTTAGGGAGGCCTCAGGAAGCTCACAATCATGGTGGAAAGTGAAGGGGGAACTGGCAAGTCACACGGCGAAAGCAGGAGCAACAAAGAGGGAGAGAAGGTGAAGGGAAGGTTGGTGGGAGGTGCCACACACCTTTAAACAGCCAGATCTTGTGTGAACTCAGAGCAGGAGCTCACTTAACACCAAGAGGATGGTCCAAGCCATTCATGAGGGACCCATGATCCAAACACCTCCCACTGGGCCTACTTCTGAGATTGGATTACATTTCAACATGAGATTAGAGCAGGGACATGCATTCAAACTATCTCAATGTGTAAAATATAAAAATTCAGTAAACAATAGAGTTCCTATTGAAAATGTGTGCCTTTTAAGTTCAAGTCTTGGATATAACCAGTCAGAACCTCTGTTATAATTATGAGTTGGGGATGGGGATAGAAGGCATAATAAAGATCTATATTGTTGTGAGCCAAGAAGGAGACAGGTTATACCTCTTTGCGTTCAATAGATTTAGGCTTGACTACCAAACAGGAGAATGCTCTAAAATACAATGGAAAGTGAAAGCTTTGAATCTTGGCTTAAAGGTGATTTATTCTGCAAAAGGAGCTCTGCCCAATGGACTTTTCTGGCACCCTCTGAAGGCTGACACTTTCTGTAGAGCCCAGGAAAAATAATAAAAGACTTAGTATCTACATCAAACAATTCCTGCACACTAAAGTATTTCTTCTAAAAATTATACATTAATCTTGGCTACTGAACAACAAAAAGAAGTCATTGCTTTAGGATGTTTTGTTTGCTTTATGAGGACTTTCCTCTCACTCAGCTGTTTACCTAGCAGCTTAAAATTCTGAAATCCCAAAGGAAAGAGAGGCTTCTCACACATCAGAAAGAAGATGGCAGGCTACCAAACCGTAAATGGCTCCAATTTTCATGTAAAGTCAGCTGAGTGAATCACAGGTGGATTTTTACCAAAAATGCACTGAAGGGCCTCTGCCACCAATAATACCTTATTTAAAAATGATCAGCTCATCCTTGGCTAGAAATATTATGCATACTGTAGCCAAATATATTAAAATATAAATAAAACAAGGACACCTCTGGAGATAGTTCAGCAAAAACCCAATATCCAGAAATAAATTGATTTAGGAGGAATAGTAAAAGCTCATAACAGGCAGCAAGGGTGCAGTAAGGATTTATGGGTTGGAACTGTTATGGGGGAAAAATAGAATTGCTTAGCTAGAATGACTTTTTGGGAACACATATAAGAAGATTTTATTCATGACTTTAGATCTTTCAGAATATACTTTTATATAAATGCAAAATATACAATTCAGTCAAAAGCAGGAAAAGAATTACCGGTACCTAAGGATATAAAAAAATCTCAAGATAGGGCTGGGCATGGTGGCTCACACCTGTAATCTCAGCACTCTGGGAGGCAGAAGAGAGGATTGCTTGAGGCCAGGAGTTCGAGACCAGCCTGGGCAACAGAGCAAAACCTTTTCTCAAAAAAAAAAAAAAAAAAAAAAACCTCAAGATAGTAATGTGGCCAAGAATGAAATGATCTTAAATACAGAAAATGTAAGATAGTAGATGATTTGCGACAGTCACAATTACAGTCCACATACTTTATCTCCCAGAATCTCAAATCATCATCATCTTCATTAGCAGCAGCAGTGGTTATTCTCTTCTACTATCCCTTACCACTTAATGTGCAGTAAGCATCTGTAAGATAATGCCCTGGAAACCTAAAATAAACCCAAATATATATGATCTTTTGATGTCTCCTCATTGCTTCCAGATAATGTCCTTTACTTAACACATAAGGCTTTTGGTGATCTGGCCCTTGCCTATCTCTCCAGCTTTGACTCCTGCTACCTTTCCTTTGAGACTTTGTATATGTGTTCCTTCTGTCTAGAATCCATTCATTCAAAAAACTTGTTGTATACCACCTGTAAGTCGGGCGCCATGGCTCAAGCCTGTAATCCCAGCACTTTGGGAGGCTGAGACCAGTAGATCACCTTAGGTCGGGAGTTCAAGACCAGCCTGGCCAACATGGTGAAACCCCGCATCTACTGAAAATACAAAAATTAGCTGGGTGTGGTGGCACACACCTGTAGTCCCAGCTTCTGGGGAGGCTGAGGCAGGAGAATCTCTTGAACCTGGAATCAGAGGTTGTAGTCAGCCAAGATCGTACCACTGCACTCCAGCCTGGGCAACAGAGCAAGACTCTGTCAAAATAATAATAATAATAATAACAACAACAACAATAAAGAACACCAACCATGTGCCCTTCCATGAATGTCTACCTGGAAAACTCTTCATCCTTCAAGACTCAAAATCTCCTCCTTGAAGTTTCCTTCCTCAAGGAAAGTTGATCCCTACCCTTTTTACTTTTTAAATAATGCCGCCATTGTGCCTTGAACACAAACCTGGTACAGACTGGAACCACAGTGAATGTTTTTTTAAGGGAGTAAAACCAAAACTATACAAGTGAATATATTCTAATTATCAAAAGTTTAAACGAGCATGAAGTAGTGAAAGTAAAAACTAACAATATTCTTTACCTTTTACCTCCTTCAGTCCTACTCCCCCCTCAGAAATAATTGTAGTTAAGAGTTTGGGGCATATTTTTTTCAGGCTTTTTTCAATACTTGTCTATAATAGCCAGTTTTACATGTTTAAAAGCAGAGCTCCTGGAGCCAGGCTGCCTAGAACAGAATTTGAGTCTGCCTTTTTAATATTTTTGGGGTTTGAGGTGAATTATTTATCCTTGCTGGGTCTGTTTCCTTATCTATACAACGGCAATAATAATAGTACCTAGCTGATTAAGTGAATTAATACATAAAGCAAGTACAGTGCCTAACATGTAGTATGTTTTTAAGAAGTGTTTGTTAGATATGCTATGCAAGTATAGGATTTTATGTTGCTTTTAAAAATACATAAGTGAAATTATACTGTACTTACTGTTCTGCAACTTGTTTTTATTTTCGCTTAACAATATATCTACCTCATTTTATAATATGGATATACTATGCTGTATTTAACCATTCATTATTTAATTTGTTTGTAAATTGATTGCCACGAGAATATTTTCCAGAAAATCCCTAAAATTTTTGAGTCATAGTATATACACACTTTGTTTATTTGTGCACTAACAAATTGCTGTATGAGGAGGATGTTTTTAAATTCCCATCAACAGCCCTAACCAGCAGGAATCAAGAGTGAATCAAGTACACACTGGGCAAGACACATCTCCCTGGTCACATAACCTCATGAACAAGTGTCAAGAAACCTTGGAGGTCCAGGCTCGGTGGCTCATGCCTGTAATCCTGGCACTTTGGGAGGCCGAGGCAGTGGATTGCCTGTGCTCAGGAGTTAGAGATCAGCCTGGGCAACACGATGAAACCTCGTCTCTACTAAAAATACAACAAATTAGCCAGGCATGGCAGTGTGCGCCTGTAATCCCAGCTACTCGGGAGGCTGAGGCAGGAGAATTGCTAGAACCTGAGAGGCGGAGGTTGTAGTGAGCTGAGATCGCGCCACTGCACTCCAGCCTGGGTGACACAGTGAGACTCCATCTCTTAAAAAAAAAAAAGGCAACCTTGCAGTTACCTTTTCTCACAGCCTCCTTCTTGTTTCTAGCTGCCGGGGTCATGAAGGAACATGAATATCCTTAATATCTCCTTTCCCTACACTCAGCAGTTCCAGCCTTCCCATGACCCCATTGTCTGCCTTGAGTCTACCAGGACTGTCTTTGTTAGGCCCTGTATTGGTTCATTTTCACACTGCTGATAAAGACATACCCAAGACTGGGCAATTTATAAAGAAAAAGAGGCTTAATGGACTCACAGTTCCACGTGGCTGGGGAGGCCTCACAATCATGGAAGAAGGCAAAAGGCACATCTTACATGGTGGCAGACGAGAGAGAATGAGAGCCAAGTGAAAGGGGTTTCCCCTTATAAAGCCATCAGATCTCATGAGACTTATTCACTACCATGAGAACAGTATGGGGGAAACTACCCTCATGATTCAATTATCTCCCACCTGCTCCTTCACACAACACGTGGGAATTATGGGAGCTACAATTCAAGATGAGATTGTGTGGGGGCACAGCCAAACCATATGAGGCCCTTTACCTACATGTTTATAAGACTCACCGTAAAATCTCCAGACTCCAAGCCACCTCTCCTCTCCCATCATATCTGCCCATTTCTACTTCTAGCTCCATCTCCCACATATTCTTTTTTTTTTTTTTTTTTTTAGATGGAGTCTCACTTTGTCAACAAGGCTGGAGTGCAGTGTCGCAATCTTGGCTCAATGCAACCTCCGCCTCCCGGGTTCAAGGGATTCTTCTGCCTCAGCCTCCTGAGTAGCTGGGACTACAGGTGCATGCCACCATGCCTGGCTAATTTTTGTATTTTTGGTAGAGATGGGGTTTCACCATATTGGCCAGGCTGGTCTCAAATTCCTGACCTCATGATCTGCCCGCCTCGGCCTCCCAAAGTGCTTGGATTACAGGTATGAGCCACCACACCTGGCCCACATATTCTTTACCAAACTCTTGAACCCCTTTCCTTTGTTTCTTCCGGAACTCAAGATCCTTCCTCAGCAAAATCTGCTACATATTCATCCCCTTTTGTGAAGGAGTTTCCTTTACCTTCTTGCTCTGCAGAAAACCTGGTTGTCTGAGGATGCTTCTTCCCTTACAGTCTTCTCAAGTCAGGGCTGATTTTTCTACTACATCCTTCTATATTTATGGGCCTGGAATGACTTTAGGTCTCTTTGATCTTTTTTCTTTTTTTCTGCTTCAGACCATTCTCCCTCCTTTCTCCCCAGCTTTGAATGTAATGTCATCAAATGATATTACCAGCTAATCTTGTTGTTGCAATTTCTCTCTGTCCCTGAGCCCCTCCCAATTTCTCTATGACTTTAGCTCCTGACTCATTATCACTCTCTTCCACACATTTTCTGTATTAATTTTTGAAAAGTCAGCATATACGTAGATGATCTTTCTAACACCCTGGCCTCTCAGTTTCTTGAATTCCTTTCTATCTTGTCCTACACCCTACCCCAGCCATTATGCATGATCACACTCTAGAAGTTATTGCAACAACTAACTAAAACCCTTCCATAATCTTAATTTCATGCACCTTACTCTCTGACCTTACCACCTCCTGTAGTTGCAGGTCACTCCCTGTATTAGCACAACTCTAGCAATCCTTCAATCTTTTCAGAACCTCTAATCCATTGATCTACCCTTTTTTGTTTATTCCAGTGGCCCCTTACCCAGCTTGAAACCCACAACCATCATCATAACGATTCCCTGCATAATGTGCTCAACCCCCTTGCTCCCTCTCCCTTCTTTATATTCACTTGGCAAAACCAACTGTACTCAGCCATGCTTCTACTTGTGCAGCTGGATGAGCCTGGAGGAAAACACACAGTGGCACTGTCTTGCCCCACATTAAATCAGGACCAAGAATGTCAAGTGGGTTCTTACACTGCCTGGCCATCATAACACAGAAGGCAGTAGGGGATGGGGGTGAGTAGAAATATGTGAAGAGTTATACCTTGTTTCAAGAAAGGATAACAATATGGATTAACTCTATGAGGTGACAGAAAAATATACACTGAAATATATGTTATTTATCAACAACTACTATTGTTTTTATAAATTATTTTCCCTTCAGGATGTTACTCTTGGGGATAGGGACTACCACTCAATAGATTCTTAGAGAATTTAATTTTGACTAGAATTTTTTTGTTATAGGTAATGATGTAAACTGATAAAGATGGTAGTAGGGGTGGGAGTGATGCTGATGGCATGGACCTAGGTATTTCCTAAATGTATTTTATCTATATGCCATTCTCCTTAACCTTGATAGTCTTTATGTTCTTGGTAAGCAATAACTGAATGTGCTTACAGGGCTAGACTGAAGTTTTTAGATCCGAGAACATTATGGCTTCTTCAGAGCAGAAGTCATATATTCTTTGTGAATCTCCATCCCATGGCCCAAATCCATTTTGTTTCTTTTCCCATTGCTATTTTTTTTATTACTGATATTTTTGGCCCATATTTAAGGTATAAACCTACTTTGGGAGCAAGGGATTAAATTGGATAAGAGGTAGATAATCTTAGTAATAATCCTTTCCTTAAAACCTTTTTTAAATGAATAATCTGGCCTGTAATCCTAGTACTTTGGGAGGCCGAGGGGGGCAGATCATGTGAGGTCAGGAGTTTGAGACCAGCCTGGTCAACATGGTGAAGCCCCGTCTCTACTAAAAATATGAAAAAAAATTAGTTGGGTGTGGTGGTGGGTGCCTGTAATCCCAGCTACTCAGGAGGCTGAGACAAGAGAATCACTTGAACCCAGGTGGTGGAGGTTGCAGTGAGCCAAGATGGTGCCATTGCACTCCAGCCTGGGTGATGAGAGTGAAACTCTGTCTCAAAAAAAAAAAATTAATAATCTGATGTATTACCTCCTATAAAAGTTTTGGATTTAAAAAAAAGGTTACTAGGATGCCTAACCAATGAAAAAGAGTGCAAATAAGTAGTCCATGAACTGATTCCTTTAAATGGCATATTCTGAGATTTTTGTTTTTAGTTTTTGTCATAATTTGTCTTGGTAATAGAATTATTAAAAAAAATGATTCGGGTAAGGGACAGATTTTGGCAGCCTCATGTTTTATAATTAAGTAAATACGTTATTATAATGTAGAATTTTAGAGCTTTTTAAAAAGCCACATAGGTTTTTGCATGTGACACAAGTCAAGATTGAGACTGATTGATGATAATTATCAGTGTATTAAGCATGTATTTATGTCATTTATCTAGCATGTACTGCCTTCAAACTTTCCTGAATTAGCAAAAATTCTTCCCTATATTTCTTTTTAGTAACTCACTGATATATGATAAATGATGAAGAAAATAAATGTTAAGCCTTTCATTTTTGCCATTGTTAAATGGTTTAAGGCTTTGATTTTCTATAACTATTTTATACTCTAAGAAAAAAGACAAGAATTTTTTCCTATAAAATCTCAGTATCTTATTTCTTAGTCACACTTTAAAACTGAAGAGATTAGTAATTTTTTCTATGTCAATATGTGAAATATGCAATACAAAATTGTACAAACCCATTTAATTCCATTCTCTGTCTTTTGTCAATCAAACATCCTCCCTGATAAGAGCTCAATTATTTGATTAATTATAAATCGCTATTTTTTGATATGATATTCACAGTAGAATAATTTATAATAGACAAAATTACAAACAATAAGATCTTGGTGTTCAGTGGGATTTATGGTGTTTTCATGCAATGGAATACCGAACTGACACAAAAGTCATGTTAGAGAAGAATATTTATAGATGTGGGGAAAAGTTCATGATATCCATTACACAAAAATTGTGAGCTATGGAAGTTTTATGTATAGCTGCACGCTGTATTTTTTCATCAAACCAACATAGCAAAAATGCTACAAAAACTTACACTTATTCCTGGGGGCAGGAAGCGGGAGAAGGCATTGAGGATGTTTTATGATTCTTAAATTTTTCTTTAGTTTTTTCTATGTTTTTCAAAGTTTCTGCACTGACCATCTGTTAGCTCAGTAAGTAGAAAAAAACCTTTTTAACCTAATTGCTCAAATTTAAATGGTTTTATTTAATTTCATTATCCAAATCAGCCAATATTTATTGAATGCCAGCCTAGTGTAAGACACTGTAGGAAGACATTTTTAAAACAATTTTCCCTGCATTCAAAGAGCTTCCAGATTCCAGTTTTAGAAGAATTAGGTGTAAAAATTATAAAATGTTAAAAAAATCAATAAAGTTTAAAGAAGTAAATCCAGGCATGGAAAGGTGATAAGTGACATATGATTGATTATAGGGGCACTTATTGCTAGAGGATCACTTACTCTCTGTTTAACATTCTTGTGTTAAATCTGATAAAATACGAATCTAAACAATCCATGCTTTTTTCTTTCCTATTTGTGCAAAAACCTGGTTGTATTTCACTGGTGACCTCATCATTAGTGAATAATCCTTTTCTTGAGTTTAATTTCAGTGGCATTTAGTAAAGGAAGCACAGGTTTGGAACCTCCTAGTTCCTTGAGTGCAGGAGTATACACTTATCATTTCAGACAAATCCTTTGTCTGAGATTTTTATTTAGATACAGGCTATAAAGTTTTCTTCCTTCCCTAATTCCTGATGTGGATTGAAAGATAGAGGAGGGGAAAAAGACACATCTTTTTGCTGTGGAGCTCTTAATATCTTTTCTAAGTGATAGAAGGGAGAGTATAGTAAGCTAATCAGTCATTTAGTCAATGGCTATTTTTTGAGAGATACATAGAAATATACTAGCACCAAAGCACAGTGCTGCATGCCAGTCAGTGAAGTGGCAAAATAAAGAGGATGGAACTGAAGGTATTTAAATAATTTCAAATAAGGATCCTAACTTTATTTTTCACCCTCAGTATTTAACCATCTTTGTTCATTCCTCCCATGGGAAACACTGGGAATGAATTATTGTCATTCAATGAGGCTAATTCTACTGTAAAGCAATATGCTACTTAGCACCATTAAGAAAAATAGTATTTTTTAAACCTATAATAACAGAAACTGATGGTTTAAGTTTCCCTGAATGTTATCTATGGGTAGGTAACACAAATAATTGTTGAATCATATTCTTCTGTCACACCATATAGATTTTCCCAGATCTCCTTCCAGAGTAATTTTCAAAACCATGTGTGAGAATATGTATTTTCCCCCAGAGGGGACGTAAGCACAGGATAAATTTTAAAAGTGGTACAATAAAAGTGATAACAGGGTCTTAATGACATTTCTTCATGCCTGATAAGTGAGAATGATGCAGGGATAATTATTTCTCCATAGCACTTGTGAATTATATTTATCTAATGAAAATTTTTTTTTCTCCCTATTATTGATCCTTCCCTCCTTTCCTCTCTCTCTTCCTTCCCTCCTTCCTTTTCTTCCACTGTAAAAAATTGTCTTTTTTCTCTCCCCTATCTTTTTCCCTCCCTCTTTCCCTCCCTCCTTCTTTCCCTCCCTCCCTCCCTCCCTCCCTTCCTTTAATAATTTGCATAGATATGTTTGAAATTAGATTTCTACAGCTACTGCTGGAGAGTGAGGGGGGTCTTTTCTTATCAATTTAACAAATAAAAAGGTTTATAAGCTGTGTTCTCTGGGACAAAACAAATATGGTTGCTCGAAAAAAACAACAGTAGCCTCCTTATTGAAACAGACCTCTTCAACAGCTCCTTTAAAAACTAAAAAATAATTTATTTAAAATAAAATAAGTATATTCTAACAAATGAATACTTTATTCAAGTAATACATTTGGTGTAAAAAATTTACATCACTATTTTTCCATAATATTAGAAAATTATTTCTCTGAAATAAAAACCTTCATTAAAGGATAACTTCTTGGCGGGGCGCAGTGGCTCATGTAATCCCAGCACTTTGGGAGGCTGAGGTGGGTGGATCACAAGGTCAGGAGTTCAAGACCAGCCTGACCAACATAGTGAAACCCCATCCCTCTAAAAATACAAAAATTAGCTGGGCATGGTGGCACGTGCCTGTAAGCCCAGCTACTCAGGAGGCTGAGGCAGGAGAATCGCTTGAACCCGGGAGGTGGAGGTTGCAGTGAGCTGAGATAGCGCCATTGCACTCCAGCCTGGGTGACAGAGCTAGACTCAAAAACAAAACAAAACAAAACAAAACAGATAAGTTCATAACATCATACTCACTTTTACATAGTTATAAGCCTGTTAAAACATACAAATTTCTCATTTAAGTGAATTTACCATTTACATTAAATAATATTTATCGAGCACCTGTACCTTTCTCTACCTGAAGCTAGAAATTCTGCTAATCAAATTACTGACAGAATAGGTAATACCCCCGACCTTTCCAGGAGTCACTGGTCACTGTTTATATTATTAATTAGTCAGTAAATTCTGAAGTAAATTTAGGATTTTTTAAAAAAGATATGGCAATTGTTTTTTTCTTTACTACATTTGGCCAACTGAATATTCTCTTTTTTTCTTTTTTTTTTCACATGCCCATTGTGTCAAATGAATATTCTTGATGTTATATTTTTACCTGAAAATTTAAAAATTCTGAATAATTTCTCACACTCTAAATTCCCAGAGGATAACAAGAAGAGATAAAGGAAACTTTATGATCTTTCCAATGCTCCTCCCTTCCTCCTAGTGATATGAGGAATAAACATAATAGCGTTTATTGAATGGCTTGGGGGGAAAAGCATTCTGCTGTCTAGAGTCAGAATATTAGAGTTGGAATCCTAAGAGAATACCTTGCCCAACACCCTCATATTACATGTGAGAAGAATAATGAGCCATGAAGAAGCTAACTGACTTCCCCCATGTCACATGGTTGGCTAATTCCCTCACAAATCTGCCCATCTCTCTGCTTCAGTATTCTCCCAGTTGCTGAATGAGAAACTGCTCCCTTCCTCTTCAATCTCTCCCCAGCTCCCATCAGTTGCACCTCTGAACCACCTCTTCTTTGTATTCCCACTGCCTCCTTCCCAGTTCAGATACTCATGATCCCCAGCCCATGTTCTTGCAGCAGTTTGCCACTGTTCTCCTGATGTCCAGTGTCCAGGTTTCTTCTTCTCCCCAGCTTTCACTTCATTGCATTTTCTGCTACTAGAGTCATCTTTTACATCCAGACCAGATGCTGTCCTTCTTCTATAATCCCTGAATGACTTCCTGACCCCTGAATATAAAAAAGTTATTTTTCTTTTCTCTTTTATTTTTAACATTTCAATTCAAAGAAGGATGTGATTCAGTATGTATCATAGATACATAATAATATAAACAGTCTCTTTTCTCAAGAGCTTAGAGCTTTATTAGGAAAAAATCCATATATTAAAAAAGAATAATAATCTTTATGATACTTGAAATGATTTCACGTGTATCATCTAACGAGCTTTATATATGATTCTGTATATCCAATATTTGCAAAATTTAAGGGACTTTTTTCTTTTATGTAATATTTGACATAAAAAGTAGATATATATATAATGCATATGTAAATTATGGAGCATCAAAGAAAAATAAACCCTTATGTACCCACTTGTATTAGGGTTCTCCAGAGAAACAGAACCAGTAAAAGATACATGACTTCATAACATTATACTCACTCTTACCTAATTATAAGCCTGTTTAAACATACAAATTTATCCTTTAAGTGAATTTACTGTTTACATTAAATAATATTTATTGAGTGCCCACACCTTTCTCTACCTAAGCGAGAAATTCTTCTTTATGTAAATATATATACACATACACACACACACACACATGTGCATGCATACACGCACACACACACACATATATACCCACATGTATAAAGGAGATCTATTACGAAGAGATAGATTTATTTATTTATTTTTGAGATAGAGTCTTGTTCTGTCACCCAGGCTGCAGTGCAGTAGCACAATCTCAGCTCACTGCAACCTCTGTCTCCCAGGTTCAAGCAATTCTCCTGCCTCAGCCTCCTGAGTAGCTGGGATTACAGGCACCTGCCGCCATGCCCGGCTAATTTTTTTGTATATTTAATAGACACAGGGTTTTACCATATTGGCCAGGCTGGTCTTGAACTCCTGACCTCAGATGATCCACCTGCCTTGGCCTTGCCAAGTGCTGGGATTACAGGCATGAGCCACAGTGCCCAGCCATGAAGAGATTTATTATGAGAAATTGGCTAATATGATTACGGGGGCTGAGAATCCCACTATTTGCTTTTTACAAACTGGAGACCTGGAAAACCCAGTGATGTAATTCAATCTGGCCTTTAATCAAGACAGGGTAAATCATCAGTGGGCTTCATGTCTTTTCCCATCTTATACTATTTCTTGTAAGATCAAAGCATTTGGCCCAATTTGAATGTCCTAAACTCATCAAAGTAAGGTGACAGGGAATGAAGACAAGTTCCTTTTAATAACCCTGGCTTCTTTGTTCTCTGACAATCTTCAAAGAGTACTTTGCTCCTGAGGACAATCTTGTGAGAGCAAAGCAAGTAAATATCCTTATTTTTGTGTCTTCATGTCTTTCATCAGTGATGCAAAATTATTAGCCATTTCTCTTGGAGAAGATTCTGTCCATTCTTTCATTTCTCTTTATCTGGAATTTCAATTAGGTGTTTGTTTAACTTTCTCATTTTATTCTCTGTGCCCCTTAATACCTCCTTAATATTTTTCTTCTCCTAATACTTCCTTGCTACATTCTGGACAGTTCCATTCATTTATTCAGCAAATATTTATTTAGCAGTTACTAGTGGTAAACACTATTTTGGGCAGTTGAGTACCTCAGGGAACAAAATAAATGCATCCCTACCCAGGAGGCGCTTACATTTGAAGAGATGAAATTAAGAAACAGACAATAAATGATAAATATAGTAAGCAAATTATGTAGAATGTAGAAGGTGATAAATGCCACGAAAAAAGGCAAGTAAATGCCATGAAAAAGGAGAACAAGATAATTCCCTCTCTGTTTTTATTGGTCATTTAACATTCAATTAAGTTTTTATTTTAAACAATTATTTTTTTATTTCTAAATGTTCTACTTGATTATTTTTCAAACCTGTCTGGTCACTTTTGAAAGTCTATGGTTTCTGCTCATTTAAAAAGTTTCACATTTTACTGCTAAGATTATCCAAGGAATAGTAATTTTATATAATTACTAATTACAATAATAAAAGTTTTGAAGATCTCTGTATTTATTGCTTATTTCTATTTACTCACAAAGGTAGATTTTCCTTTGTGTGTTTGATAGTTTATTTTAAAATTATTTTTATTATGAGTTTGTTTCAGATTGAATGTAGTCTGTGAAAATTCTAAGGGCCTAAAGTGAAATTACTTCAGAGAAGATTTGGATTTTCTTTTGCTGGGAGCCAGGAGGCTGTGCTGATCTGGAATGACATTAGCCCTTCTGAGAATCCAGTTGTAAATGTTGAAATCTCAGGTTAAATTCTTACCTAGGGATTGGGATTGGCGTGAGATTTAGGTGTAGTATTCTGGTCCCAGTGCTGGTACAGGTGTTGCTCCTCAGATTAGTGAAGGCTTCTTACCATTTCCATTTCAACTCAATGTTTTTGTTTTGGTTTGGAGGCAAGAGCTAGCCCTAAGCTATTTCTCTTCTTTTTGAGCTCAGCAATTCTTTAAAAAGCATCATTTTAAAAATAGTTATTAACGAATTGGGGGTATTATAGTGGAGAACCATTCAGGGTATCTAGTCTGCCATGCTGCTAGAACTGAACTCAACACTAAGTTACCTTTCCTATTCCTATCCTGCAGCTTCTCACTAATTCAGCATCCTTTCCTCACTGCACTCCCAGTTCAATCTGGTACCTCATATTACCACACCTAGTATTTACATGCCTTTGTTTGTGCAATAGCCTTCATATCTATCTTCCCCTACTCCCAATAAATGAACTTCCACACTTTTCTTTGCTGCCCAGAGAAATTCTATCTGCCTTTTAAGCCTACTAGAAGGTCAGCTGTTCTGAAAACTTCCCCTAACCACCATGCCTCACCTCTCCAAGGCAGAATTACTTCCTCCTTTATAAACTAATATCATTACCCTTGATACTAGGGTAGAGAATTGAGATTACTTGGGTAGAGATCAGCCTGCCAATTTGGTATTAAAGAACCATATCTTAGTCATCTGTGTTTCCCTAATGCATAATGTGGCCATTCAATAAATCTGACAATTTAACCTAATTGTGGGATTCGCGATTGCAGTTTTGGTTGCACAACTCCCAGTTTACTCCCCTTAGGCATTCACTGCTCTTGGACGTTGCTATTATTACTCAGGAAGATTTTCTTGGCTTCAGATGTGGGAGTTTTGTGTATATCATTTGTCCTTCACACTCCGAGAATATTCTGATAGGTTTTTTTTAATCATACTCCCTTCTGTCAACAGAGTTTAAATTCTTTCTTAAAAATAGGATTGCCAGCATAAAACATTATTATTACTGCTAAAAATGGTGGTAAAACATATAGCTATGTTTACTTAATTACAATATTTCATTAGATACGGTCATTATTGGCCTGCACAAATTTTCAGAATGATTTACTTCTTAAGAATTTTGAAAGCTGGGAAAGTGGTATTCTTTACTTTTAAAAATTATATTTATAGTATATGAAGACATTTTAATTGTTAAAAAATTATTCTAATAATATCAAAGTATTTTGATTAAAAGTGTAAGTCCCTTTTCCCACAGTACCACTTCTACCTCATGGGTACTACTACTAACAATTTAGTGTATATCTTTCAAACATTGATATAGATATTGATATAGAATATAGCCATTAAGTTACAGTGCTATTTCCTTTACTAGAGAGCAAAAGGTCAAATTACATTGATTTTTCTGTCATTGAGTATTCATTTGATGTCAGCAATAGAAAAATAAACAAATATATATCAAGCTCAATACCAATCACATTGGATGCTAGGACACTAGCAATGACATTTTTATCTTGCATTGGACAGCTTATGATGGAATGAGTTTGTGAGGTTCATAAGAATCAGGAAAAAAAGGGGTAATTAAAAGCAACTCTAATGACAAAATCACAATACATCATGCTTAAGTAGTTATATAAAGCCATTATTCTGTCCAGTGGGGGTAATTTTTTTCCATTTTTTCCCAACTTATGGAAATTAGTTATATATTGCTTTTTAGCATATAGAGACCTGGCTTTAAAAAGCTTCTAGATCCCTAATTACTCTTAAAGTAACATTTTGTTTCCTGTATAATTTAGAAAAAAGCCTCTGAAAGCCTATGATCCTTTTATTTATAAAAAATAAAAAAGGGGAACATAATTTATGACCAAGAATTTTCAAATGAAGTGTGTTAAGAACACACTTATTTAATCTCTGGATGAAGGGTTTGCATCCCAATTCCAAGCATAGAATCTTGGAAGGAACTGAAAAGACCTTGTAAGTAACCAAGGGCAAATTCTTTTCTTTGCCGAAAAACGAGGGAATTTTGATCCTCCCCAGAATACTGCAGGAAGAGCACCAGGATCCCAGAAGTCCTGGGTTTGGATCTCAGCTCTGTCATTCTAAGCCTGAGTTCTCTTCTTAAACTGTGGTGAGAATAGCTATGGCATGGGGATGTAGTCAATGAGATTAGTAAATTACATGAAGTAGATGTGCCTGCCCTGTCCTTATACCAAATTAGAGAAAAGAGTCCACAGTGTTTTTTCCCTTCCCCATTCCACCTTGTCTAAGGGTACAGATCTAAGTTGTAGGAAAAGGGGGGCAAGAGTCTAAATCATCTGACTTACAGGCCAGTTAGCTTCCCATGAATTTCTTTTAACCAAGCCCTGATGCCTTTCACCCTCTTCATGGAGATTATTTCCGGTCCTTAGACACACAGATGCCCCTTCACTATGAATGCCAACTGTGTTCTTGGCTGATGATGGATCATGGCAGTCCCCTTCTTCCCCTTCTATGACTTTCCTTTGCCTTCAGGATAAAGTCCACCTCCTTAACATAACCTAAAAGGCCCCTGTTGACCTCTCTACCCTCTGTGTTTCCTCTTCTCCTTAGACACTCAGACCCAGCCACACTGAACTATTCTCAAGTACTCTGTTACCTCCATGCATTTGCACAATCCCCTCACTCCTCACTAAGCAAATTCATACCGACACATTTTGTTTGTTCCAACTTAACATGTGATCCTTTCTGGGAAGTCTTACTCGACCTTGGATCTCATGCTCCTCATCATAGAACATATCCTAACACTGTGTAGTAATGGATGATTGACTTATGTGACTGCTCTGCTCAGCTACAACATCCTTGAATCTTGAAGAGACTGTGTGTTATTAATCTTAATATCTGTCACAGCTTGCACAATACTTTGCACTATAATTCTATTATTTATTTTTAGCTTTTTAGTTGAAGTAGACCATACATTCCAAAAGTTCATAAATCATGTATGTACAGCTTAATGAATTTTAACAAATAAAACTTCTGCCATAACTAGCATCAATCAAGGAACAGAACATTAGTCCAGAATCCCTCTCCATGCCCTTTTTCAGTCATTACTCCTCTTATTTCTAATACAATACAGTGTTTTTGAACTTTATATAAATGAAATCATACAGTACATATCTTCTTTTGTGTCTGCCTTCTTTTGCTCAATATTATGACTGTAGGATTCTAAAAGCTTTTTAAAAAAATGGGTAATATTGCTGTATCTAAGATTTTAATCAATGTATATGAGAGGTTTTCTATATCACCACTTCAGAAAGAAGGCAGCTATTTTGAGGCACAGATGAAATCCCTCTCTAGTGGTTGTGGTGATAGCCTGCTCAGCATTCTTTTTTGTGATTTCTATCAACCCAATTTTGTTCAGGTGTACACCCCTCTATGGAAAGCCCAAGTGACTCCCAGTGGACGGGTCTGGTTGGTAAGCTTTCTCCCCCTTGTCAGGGATTGGCTCAGGAATGGGAGTCTCCATTTCAGCCACTGAGGAAATGTTGCTGGGGTTCGAGGTATCTTTTTGCCTCCTACTCCAGGAATGCATGCAGAAGCAACCCTGTCACTCTTCTCCTGGATGTGTCATGTGTGGGCAGTAGGTTCAGACACTAAGGCTACTCTGGTCGCCTTTGTCCTTGAGGATGAAGTTGATACAAAGAGGAAGACAGAGCCAAGAATCACAAAGAAATAGGGCTTGCTACTGCATTAAGCCATCCTCGAGCCTGTGCTACCTCTAAGTTTCTAGTTACATCATGTCATCCAGCAAATTTCATTATTGCTTAATGTAGTTTGAGTTTTTTTTTTAAATACAACTAAAGGCACTTTAACTGGTATGTGTCCCAAGGACTCAGATGATTACTTGGAAGGCACATTTAATGGAATTGATGGTGATGTGAAGCTTTGATCTTGGGAAGGGGATGCGAGTCAGACAGTGAGGGATGGAGTGACATGGCATGGAGGGCTCCACCTACAACACAGGCTGAGAAGAAATCCCTCAGGAGTGAGCTATTTGCACACTGCTCACAATGCCTTGGGTTGTCAAGGCTCCATGGGTATGCTACAGACTTGAGGAACCTTTTAAGTGAAGAACGGCAACATTGTGAGTGGTGGGGATGAGGGCAGCTGCCTGTGCCAGCAGGTAGAGAAGCTTCTCCTTTCCCCCTCCCATGGAGGAAAGGACGGCCAGTGCAACAGCAGTGGTAACCCTACATGGCCCAAGGGTGTTTCTTCAGAGCACAAGGAGTGCCCTGGATGGCAAGTTGCCAGATTTTGGTAGTAGACGTGCAGGAAGACAAGGTTCTCAAGTGCTGGACACGAGGCGAAGCACAGGCATGTCAGATCCCCAGTGTTTTCCCAACACTATAGTGTGAAAATGAGAGTGATAAAAGTGGTAGGAAAGGGCCCCTCGGTGGATGGAGCTAGCTTCTCTCTCTCTCTCTCCTTCTCTCTCTCTCTCCCTCTCTCAATCTCTCTCTCTCTCTCTCTCTCTCTCCTCCTGGAGATAAGAGTAATTATATTGTCCACTAGGACTGAGAAAGCATGCCTGAGGGCGCTGGAGTTACCATGGAGAGAGGACTCTCCAGTGAGAAGGCCGTTCTGCATTTATGTGATGTAGAGCTCAGAGTGATTCAAGCTGAATTTACAGAGAAAATAGTTCTTTCTGCCACCCAAGCTGGGGAAGTGGGATAGACCAGTTCTGTTGGCACACAGGATATGAGAGAGACTGTGGATGAAGGTGGCATCTGATTTGAATTGTGAGAGAAAGATAGAATTTATACTTGCAGTGGGGAGGATGTTTTCATTAAAGGGAACTGAAAGTGCAAAGGCAGAGGGGCAGGAAGTGCAGAGTGGCTATTCAGGGTATGTGAGAATGAGAGGGGTGAGGACATTTGGAAAGAGACATGTCTAGGTGGAAAAGAGTTGTGAATGCCTCTGAAGAGGTTCGAATCTTACACTATAGGTAAAGGTGAACAATTAAAGGATTTTACCATGTCAATGATATGATTTAAATTGGCCTCAAGATGATTAAAATCAGGATGGACTAGAATAGAGAAAGATAGCGAGTGGGGAGACCAAGTTAGAGCCCACAGCAATAGAACACAGGAAAGGAAGTGGGGGCCTGAATTAGGGTTGTGGTGATAGACTATAGAGAATTTCTGGAGGTGAACTTGACAAGAGTTGATAACTGATCGGATGTGAATATGGCATGATTAACAGAAACTGCATCATTGTCACAAAATCTAGTCCCAGAGGTTGATAATTTTTTCACATCATGTTACATTTTCCACTTAACCATCTTTCTGGTGAAATGATTCCCAACTTGCAGACTATTTTGGGAGTACATTGTAGCAAAATGAAACACACACACAAAAAAGTGATAAGTGTTACATGTAAAAAGAATTTGCCTGGAACAGACTCCTTTCTCTCATGGGGTTAACAGTAGTACTGCTTTTGATGAAGTGCATTGTGCATCCCAGTGATGGTAATAGAAAGAGAAGAATTTTGGGGGCCCCTTGCACCTTCATGGCCCTCTCAACTCACTATCAGAACCTACCAGAAGTGAGTCAGAGCCAAGAACTGAAGAAATATTTTTTACAGTTTTTCAGAATTTGTTTTTTTGACTGGAGTGCATTCATTTTCTAAGCAAGAAAACTGTGCCTGGAACTTGACTCCAAAACATAATTCCCTTTATTAGTAAAGAGATGGAATTGTGAATGTGTTCCTTAAGGAATGGATGCCAAAAGCTTTCTTGATGATAAAAAGGTAACAATACCCCTTAAAGTAGTGTTTTTAAATGAATAACTTCATTATCTTCTCTTCCAGAGGGAAGACCGTAGAAGCTTTATCATAGGGCCTAGTGTCATGATCATATATTTACTCCATAAATACCTGTGAGGTAAGTATCAGGAACAGATTCTAAGTAAAAGACCTTAGATGGGAAAACTCCCAAGCAGTGATATAATATTAAAGCTGTTGTTGTAGGAGAACTGTCTTATTCTTGGTTAGTTGGAAAATAAACAGATCTTCAGAGAAAAAAGTAGAGGGAAGGGTGTCTACTCCTGAGGGCTGTTTGGTTCACTCATTTAATATTTGACTCAAGAGTTGGGCATAAAATTAGAGGGAAATCTCAGTTCCAGAGATTCTAAGCAGATTTTAAATTACTCATCCCCTTCCATGTTGTTGGCTTTGAGAATATCACTGACGACTATGGAGGGATCCTCAAGGTCCACAACTTCTTTCTCAGGGAAAGGCTAGCAATGACTTCTTAATTTTGACCTTGGCTGTTTAACAGATCTTTTGTTGTTGTTTGTTTGTTTGAGACAGGGTTTCTCTCTGTCACCCAGGCTGGAGTGCAGTGGTGCAATCTCAGTTCACTGTAACCCCCACCTCCCAGGTTCAAGCAATTCTCCCACCTCAGTCTCCTGAGTAGCTGGGACTACAGGCAGGTGCCACCATGCTTGGCTATTTTTTTGTACTTTTGGTGGAAACAGGGTTTTGCCATGTTGCTCAGGCTGGTCTCAAACTCCTGGGCTCAAGCAATCCTCCCATCCCATCCTCCCAAAGTGCTGGGATCACAGACGTGAACCACAGTGATCATTTATTTTCCCAGATTTACATTGCTTTGTGTAATCCAACCTAGAGGTCCAGTTTTTGTGGCACATAGTAATTAGAATGACTAGTTAATCCTCGAAGGATAATCTGGAATATTTGCATTATATTTTACTGCATAGCAAATCCTGCACAGCCCCACTAAAGGAAAGGGGGCATTTAATACAGAGCAAGTAGTAATATATAATAAAAATGAAAAGCATTTAGTAGCAATGAGATATTGTGCCCCCAAATCATCCTTCCAATACCATGATTTGATAGTACAGGGAATGCTGGAAATTTTCCAAAAGAAAATGGAAATACAAGGATTCTATTTTTATTGCATAACAAGGAAAGGAAATGCTCAACTACCGCAAGAATATGTTGGAAGCATATGGATTTTGAACCAAAAGATGAAAGTGATATTATGCCTCTGGAAATTCAGTGTCTTCATTGTGATTTAAAGTGTCATAGCCCACAGTAAGCATCTTGGCAAAAGCAAAAGAAAAGAATGAATAAGAAGCCTAAGTAATTATGAATCTACATTTCAAGATACGAGTAAGGAAAAAAGGCATAAACTAGCTAAAATTCTTATTCAGGCCAATTGTCTTTAAAATACATCAAGGCATTCTTAAAACTAACTTAATTGCCAGAAAAACAGCAAAGTATCACTATCCTAAGTATGACCTAAAAATTAATAATAAAAGCTCTTATCTATATAGAATAATCATTTCATTACTTGCTTCCTTTTGTTACCATTCAGAAATTTAATAGTGAATTGGAAGTAACCTGAACCAGGAATTATTATTTCTCAATCCAAGAAAATTGACGGAAGATATTCATGGACTTGCTGCCTGTATCAATGAACTATTGTTGCATAACAAACAACCTCAAAACTTGATGGTTTAAAACAACGATTTATTTAGCTCATGATATTGCAAGTCAGATTGGCAATTTAGGCTGGGCTAAGCTGTGCTCATGTGTCTGCGTGCAGCTATGTGATGTCTAGTTCACTGTGATTCCAGAGCTCATCTGGTTGTCAGCTGGGACCCGTTGGCTCTCCTCCATGTGATTTCTCATCCTTCAGCAGCTAGCCAGAGCTGGTGCTTATGGTGGAACAGGGGTCCAAGAGAGAAAGTGGAAGCATGCAAGAGTTCTTGAGGCCCAGGCTTATAACTGGCACAAGTACACTTCTGCTGCATTCTATTAGCCAAAGCACCTAACAAGGCCAGCTCAGATTCAAGACATGGGAAATAGACTCTATATCTTGATGGGAGGAGTTGCATGGTCACATTTTAAAATCATGGATACAGGGAGGTTGTTAATTGGAACGATCAAATGATCAATCTACTATACTAAAAACTCTTCTAACATTTTAAAACATTTATTAAAGAAGTATTTTTTTTCACTTGATTTTTTAAGTTGTTGTTGCTGTTTGTTTTTTTGAGACAGGATCATACTGTCACCCAGGCTGGAGTGCAGTGACATGAGCATTGCTCACTGCAGCCTCAAACTTCTGGGCTCTAGGGATCTTCCTGCCTTAGCCTTCAAAGAAGCTAGGATGCTTACCTAGGTGTCATACCCATTTCTTATTCCATATAATAAATCTGAAATTAGCCAGGTGAGATGACTCACGGCTGTTATCTCAGCACTTTGGGAGGCCAAGGTGGGAAGATTGCTTAAGCTCAGAAGTTAGATACCAGCCTGGGCAACACAGGGAGATCCCGTCTCTACAAATAATGAAATAAAATTAGCTGAGTATAGTGGTGGGCACCTGTAGTCCCAGCTACTTGGGAGGCTGAGGTGGGAGGATCGCTTGAGCCTGGGAGGTCAAGACTGCAGTGAGCGGTGATCACAGTGCACTCCAGCCTGTGCACTCCAGTGCACTCCAGGTGACAGAGCATCACCCTATCTCAAGATAAATAAATAAATCTGAAATTATTTGAAGACAGTTGTTTATCCTCAATGTTCTACTCTTGTTTTCAGTGTAATGAAACCATGAATACTGTGAGAAAAGGAACCAGTCCTATGTATTTTGAATCTCCTGTGCTTATGACAGTCTGGCATAAAGGAGATGTTCAGTAAATGTTAATGAAATAACATTTAGTTACCAATGTTAAATATCCCCAGTTCTTCCAAAAATACCTGACGTAGCATGCTTTTGTGCCCTTCATCATCATTCTTGTCCCGTTTGGGGACAACGTTTGGTCTAAGTAGCACAAAGAAATGTGGTAGTATTATGTAGAATGATTAATGAGCCCAAGATTGAAATTACTGTTCATTCATCTTGTCAAAGAAAACCTTTCTTGTTTTCTTCTATGAGCTGTACTAAGTTCTGTCACTCCTATATCACATTTACTCTGTTTAATTTCAGCTTGTTTCATTTATTCCACTACACCAAGAAGTTGAAGCCTTCTTGGGTACTGACTTTGTCACCTAAAGTAGACTCCCTTGTTCAAAACTGCACATGATCTACAGATTTGATAGGCTTATTTTCATAATTTTATCTACACCGAGAATAACAGTGTTCAGATATGGCCAAGATGAATCCATTTTTCTGGTTGATATCTATTTATATATTAATATTCTTTAAGTGTTTCTCTTGTGCAGACTATGGCAATGGCCCTTACGTTGTCTCTATCATTTCCTCCCTTAAATTCCTCCTTTACAAAATAGCCATAGTGACTTTTGTAAAACTTAAATCAGATTATGTCTTGCTCAAAACTTTTAATGGCTTTGGCTTTATTAGAATGCAAATTTCTTGCCATGGTCTATAGGCCCCCACACCATCAGACCTCTGCACACCTCTCAGCACACTGAAGACAGTCATTTCACTGATGGCTGTGAAGTCGGCTAACGGGTTACTGTTCTTTCAAAGGCAATCTGTCTTTTCTTCTTGGGAAGCTTTCTAAGATTTCTCTTTGTTTTTGGTTTTCTGATGTTTCACTCTGATTTGTCTAAGGGTAGATCTCTTGGTAGAGAAGTCCCCTGTATGGATAGTGGATAGTACAGAACCCTATATATACTATGGTTTTTCCTATACTTACATACATACCTACAATAAACTTTAATTTATAAATGAGGCGCATTAAAAGATTAACAACAATAACTGAGCTGATCTTAGTAACTTCAGCATGTGATTTATTTTCTTTCCTTATTAAGTAGAGAATGTTTATCTTTTCACTTAAAGGAAGCACTTTATGGTTTCTCTTTGGCAAATACAAATCACCAGCATCACCATTCTTGCACTTTGGGGCCATTATTAAGTAAAACTAGTGTTACTTGAACACAAGCACTGCAATACCATGACAGTCTATTTGATAACTGAGACAGCTGCTAAGTGACTAACAGGTGGGTAGTATATAGTATGGATACACAGATGAAGGGATAATTCACGTCCCAGGTGGGTGAGATGGAATGGAAATGACATAAGATTTCATTACACTACTCAGAATAGCATGCGATTTAAAACTTTTGAATTGCTTATTTCTGAAATTTTCCATTAATATTTTTGGACCGCAGTTGACTGTGGTTAATTGAAACCATGCAAAGTGAAACTGTGGATAAGTGGGGAGTTCTGTATTAATATTGCTTGAGATTCACTGGGTTTCCTGACTCTATAGGTTGGGGTCTCTCATTAGTTCTAGAAAATTCTTAGCCTTTATGTCTTCAAATATTGCCTCTGTGCCTCCTTTTAGAATAGCAGTTAAACCAGGGGTGTCCAATCTTTTGGCTTCCCTGGGCCACATTGGAAGAAGAAGAATGGTCTTGGGACACACAAAAAATACTAACACTAACAACAGTTGATGAACTAAAAAAAAAAAAAATCACAAAAAAATCTCATAATGTTTTAAGAAAGTTTACAAATTTGTGTTGGGCTGCATTCAAAGCCATCCTGGGCTGCATGTGGCCCGGGGCCACACATTGGACAAGCTTAAGTTAAATTTATGTTAGCCTAGACCTTTTCCTAATATCCTCTAATTCTCTTTCATTTTCCTCTGTATTTTCCAGCCCTATGTCTCCCCATACAGTTCTCTGGATAATTTTCCCAACCTGTATTCCAGAACATTAATTCTCTCTTCAGCTTTTTAGGTTAATCTGGCATCAAACTCATTCATTGACATTTTTACAGTTTTAGTTATCATATATTGTATTTCTAGAAGATCAGTTTTTTAAAAATTCCACTTTGCAACATTTTATAGTTTTCTGTTTCTTACAGATGTCTTCAAGCTTATCTTCATTTACATTACATGGTAAGCATAGTTCTTTTACTGTTTGCCTTTGAAGTCTTTATTGGGGTTGGGGGTCTGTGTTTTTATTGTTTTTGCTGATTCTTACTCAAGTCTAGTTTCTTTATGTTGCGGTTTCCTTTGTGTGTAGGACATTGTATTTGAAAAATTATTTGTGTAAACAATTTGAGTCCCACAGGTGAAGGCCCACTAATCTCCAGAAAGAATTTTTGTTTGCTTCTTCTAGGCTTCTCAGGGGGCACTTTCACCTTAAACTAAGTTGAAGTCTTGAGCTAGCAATTGAATCAGGGGTTTAAATTTTCTTCCTGGGCTGGCTCACTTCTGGTTCATGCCTGTCTTGAGTGTGCAGCTCTGTGGAGGGGAGCTTCCAGTTTATTTAGGAGACGATCTTCTACGAATTCTCCACATTGTGCCATCTCCCTTGCCCAGCAAGCCCTTCAAAACAAAGCTTCTAATTTATCCAGATTGACAAATGACTTCAGGGCAAAAGCAGTTTCTGTACCCATTTCTCTTCAACCCATTTACCTTCCAGAGTTCTCATTTTCCCTTGACCTTAGGCCTTTTAAAGAACTATCTTGTTATCTCTTTGATAATTTTAAAATGTTTCTTTTAAGTATTTCAGTTGTTTTCATCAAGATGATTGATTCAATACACAGGAAACAACTTCACTTCAAATTCTCACTCTGTTATTTTGTAGCTGCATGGCTTTGGACAAGTTATTTAACCTCCATGTAACTCAGTTTTTTCATGCGTAAAATGGGGCTAATACTACTACCTACATTACAAGATTACATGTAAAGAATAGTGCCAGGGTATAAAAAGTATTTGATAAATGTTAACTATTATTACTATTGTCATACCACCTTATTTATTTCCTTTAGGCCACTTACCACTTTCAAAAATTGTCATATTATTTTTATTGTTGTTGTTTTCTCTTCTAGTAGAATATAAGCTTCATATTTTCATATTTACCACTATAAAATTGAATACTATTATTTTAAATGAATTAATAAGCATATTCAAGTTTTCACTATAAAAACATCGGCTTTGGGCCAGGCACGGTGGCTTATGCCTGTAATTCCAACACTTTGGGAGGCCGAGGCGGGCAGATCACAAGGTCAGGAGTTTGAAACCAGCCTGGCCAATATGGTGAAACCCTGTCTCTACTAAAAATACAAAAATTAGTCAGGCGTGATGGCATGTAGTACCAGCTACTCGGGAGGCTGAGGCAGGAGAATCGCTTGAACCCAGGAGGCGGAGCTTGCAGTGAGCGGAGATCGTGCCACTGCACTCCAGCCTGGGTGACAAAGCAAGACTCTGTCTCAAAAAAAAAAATAAAAATAAAAATAAAAAATAAAAAAAAATTAAATAAATAAATAAATAAATCAGCTTTGGCTCAATCCCAATAGCACAAATTGAAAATAGGCCAGTTTATGTGAAAAAGCAAACAATCTAAAGTCTATTCTATAGCATGTTCTTTTTTAAAAGAGTGAACTAAAAACCCACCTTAATCCAAGAAAAGTGAAATAATAATTAGACCATATTTTACAATTTAATTTCCAAAATCACTTGGATATACGGCACATTATTTCTGTGTTCGAACAAATATGCCCCTTTTCAAATTTTAAATAACAAGATACCTTAGTTCAAGTATTTTTAAAATTTGCATATGCACTCCTTTGCCAAATATCTCAATCTTTCATCATTTATCATAATTCTAGAGACTCTTTCTTCCATGGAGTCATTCCTCCATTTACAGGGGTTCAGGGATGTTCTGCACGTAATTTCTCACATTATGACCTTTTGATGAAACTGCTGCATTATGCATTCTATTCAGTGCCAGTGAAAGGAATGAACTGTAAACATGTTGATTGTTAATGCCTCATCGTGGATAGAGATACCATTTGGTTTATCATTTGGTAGCTAAAACTTCCCTATTACCTCTGTCTTCTCCCAACTCAGAATCTCAGAAGATTATAGATCATATTAGACAGGCTGTTGAGTTCGTCTTAAGAAATGCTCTCGGCCGGGCGCAGTGGCTCACGTCTGTAATCCCAGCACTCTGGGAGGCCGAGGCGGGCAGATCATGAGGTCAGGAGATCGAGACCATCCTGGCTAACACGGTGAAACCCTGTCTCTACTAAACATACAAAAAATTAGCCAGGCGTGGTGGCAGGCGCCTGTAGTCCCAGCTACTCGGGAGGCTGAGGCAGGAGAATGGCATGAACCCGGGAGACAGAGCTTACAGTGAGCAGAGATCGTGCCACTGCGCCACTGCACTCCAGCCTGGGCGACAGAGTAAGACTCCGTCTCAAAAAAAACAAAAGAAATGCTCTCACTCGCTGACTCAGACTTGACATCTCTCTTTGGTTCTGCATAAGGAGATTAGTGATTTCCTCTGCAAGGAGAGCCCAGGAAACTCCTTCTCCAGTTAGGTTACCTGAAGCTCTCTTCAGGTGCTTTCACTTTATTGCCTTCAAAGGTTTTTTCAGGTAGTATAGTGAGTCAATCTTAGTACAATTTTTATATTCTTTCTGGTCACAGAACATATAAGCCTTTGCAAAGATAAATCTAAATATTAATACATATTTGATAGTATGTCCAGCTTTATGTGATATATTTCACCCCAAAAGTTTTACGGCTATTAGATCTTTATAAATTAAATTCTAATCAAGTATACTAAGGGGTCTTTGTATTTAAAAATAAGCCTGAGATTAATTATTTTTAGAAATCAGAGTGAAGAGGAGGAGCAGGAGGAGATAAAGTTCCACAGGTAGAGAGGGCCAAATTGTGAAGATAGTTGTATGAAATAATAAGTTACATACTGACTATTGTCTGGCCAGCACTGTTTTAATGCAGGGTCCTGCTGGGGGTACTTTGTGAGTTATCTTTTCATCCCTCATGCCATCAATGTATGATAATGTATGCATTCGTCCATAAAAAGTAAATGAAATTGTAACATTGAGAAATGAAACACAAATCTCAATTTCTTTTAGGGCAATGTAGTCTTGAAGTCTTGAGTGAAAGAATGGAACTAGAAAAAAATATTCTCTAAGACTAGCTGTGTCTAAGTAAGAAGGTTATGAAGAAGATATGGCGCCAGGCATGGTGGTTCACACCAGTAATCCCAGCAGTTTGGGAGGCCAATGAGGGAGGATTGCTTGAGGCCAGGAGTTTGAGACCAGCCTGGGCAACATAGCAAGATGCCTTATCTCTACATATAAAATATATATATATATTTATATAACATTTATATATATATATATATTATACATTGCCGGGCATAGTGGCACACACCTTTAGTCCTAGCTACTTGAGAGGCTAAGGTGTGAGGATTGCTTGAGTCCAAGAGTTTGAGCATGCAGTGAGGTATGATTGCACCACTTCACTCAACCTCTAGACAACAGAGTGAGACTCTGTCTCAAATAAAAAAGCGTTAAAAAAAGAAGATAAAGGAGAGCAAAGTACGGATAATGCTGGACTTTCCTATTGTCATGGTTTAAATGTCCACTCCAAAACTCATGTTGAAACTTAATCCCCAGTGTGGCAGTATTGAGAGGTGGGGCCTTGAAGAGGTGATTGGATCATGGGAGTCTGCCCTCATGAATGGTTGAATGGATTAATGGGTTATCATAAGAGGGGAGCTGGTAGTTTCATAAAAGGAAAAAAGAAAGACCCAAGCTAGCACATGACCATGCTTGGTCTCCTCATAATGTGATGCCCTGTGTCACCTGGGGACTCTTTTTTAGCAAGAAGTCCCTCACCAGATGTGGCTCCTTGACCTTGGGGCCAAACTGTAACAAATAAATTCCTTTTCTTTATAAGTTACTCAGTTTCAGGCATTCATTATAAGCAACAGAATATGAACTAAGAGACATATTAAAGCATGTTTTTCTCATTGGTTATAGAGTGTCATCAACTGGCTTGCAGTAAAGGAGTAATGTGATAAGATTTTGTTTTATTACAATAACTCCAAGAGCCACTTGGGGGGTAAATTAGAAAGAAAAGTGACTAGAGACACAAAATCTCATGATGGAGTCATTGCAGTAGTTAAGGCAAGGAAAACAACAAGAGCCTAATATATTGGAGAAGATGCAGAGTTATTTGGGAGGTTGAGTTGGCAGGACTTGCATTTTAGTGGCACTCACAGGTTTCTGAATTGCACTCTTGAGGGACTGTTATGCAAGTTACTAAAATAGGGAATGTAGGATGAAGGGTAATTTGGTGGCAGATGAAGAGGAATGGATTTAACGAGTAAGATACTGAGTTCATCTAGAGAATCTTGGAGGAGGAATCTGTGAGTATCCATGTGGAGTTGTTCAGTGTACATATTGGATACACAGGTCTGGGACTCAGAAGAAAGAACAGGACAGAATTAAAGGTCTGACCTACACCTACATTGGGCATGTAGGTATAGGTCAAAGACATGGATGAGATGGCTGAAATGACTTGGGAAGATCAGTGAAGTGAAAAGAGAAGAAGAGTAAATGTAGAACCAGGAGAGCCTGAAAAGGAAGGAAAGGTTGGAGGGAAGGAAAGATAAGCAGGAGAAAGTGTGTTTTTAGAGGCATAAGGAGGAAAAATGCCAAAGGAGAAGAGTACTTCAGGAAAGAGAAAAGCCAATAAGATCAGAGAGTCCAGGGAAGTCTAGCATAATTGGTTTCTGAAAGGTTTTCACAGGATTGGACAAATACAAGATCATTGTTGATTCTGCAAGAGTACTAGAGAAGTGAATTGAAAGTGGGATTCAAATTTTCTCCCCCTTGCCAGCCCTTATCCTCACCTGCCTGGGCCTCCAGACACTCTCTGACTCACCCCACCCTGCCTTTTGTGTTGTCTGGGGTGGGTTCCTTAGCACTAAAGTTCAGGGCAGAATTTCCTCCTCAAAGTAGAAAAAGAGCTGTGTGTGTAGGAAAGAGAGAAGGGAATCAGATTATAGTCACTTAAGTAAAGCAAGATTTCAAGCCCTGGGGAAGTCAAGTCTCAAGGGGTCTAAGGTGGAGCTGCAGATTAAGGGTACCAGGTGGGAACAGAGGGTTTCAAGGAAAGCAAGTTACAACACAGGAAGAGAAGTTGGGGAATTTCAGAGAGCTCCACTGGGGTTTTCCCAATTTGCCTTCAAGGTCTGATAGGTGAGTCTGGCTGTCCAGAAGCAGGGCAGTAAAGTGAAGAAGAGGTGACTGTAAATGTAAAACAACTTTTGAGAAGTTTATCTGTGAAAGAAAGGAAAAAGTGAGGGTTTTTATACATTGGACTTTTGTAAAATAAGGCATGTACAACGATAATTTGCTTCCTAAATTTAGGGCTCATTACACATTTGAAATGCTGGAATCTGGGATAGTGGTGATATTAAGATAATGGATATAATTTAGAAATATATTTATTCTTCAACAAGTATCTGTAGTTAATGGGGCTGATTGTCAGAAAATAGACTTTAGTCTAAATGATGATTAGCAACAATAATTTTTTGTCTGTCTTATTTTCATTTTTATTTCTACAGGGAAGAAAGCTAATGGAACTTGAGAGCAGGTGAAATGGAAGGCTATGTGCAAGTTCTAAGGGAATAAAGTTTGTTTTCTAATGTTGCCTCTTTATGTAGATTGTTTTTTCATAACTTGATTAAAAGTCTCCGTCCTTTTCACCTTCTCCCCTGCCTGAAGTCATTTCTGCCATGTATATGAGCTAACGATTTTTGGTGTAGTCACCTTTTCAATTGATCTGTGTTGTTTACCAAGTCTCACATCAATTTCAACTGTGCTGCCTCCCGGAGTTCTGCTAACTTGTGAGGACAAACAATCCTCTCCGCCTGGCAGGCAGCGGATGACCAGACCGCGCTCAGTTCTGATTGGTTGAATCCCCTGGGTCTGATTAGTCCAGATGAGTCAGAAGGCACGTTCCCAAGCGTGAGCTATGTTTATTGTTCGTTATTGTTCTAAGTCTTAAACAACTGGAAAGATAACAAATAAAGTTTCCTTGAAAACACATCTTTTTCTAAAAAGTGGCTGAAAATACTTGCACAGGTATGTTGTCTAGTGGTGGCAACGACATGTATCAGTAAGAGCTCTTTAAATTAAAAGTGACCTGATTAAATAGATTTAAATAAAAAAGGGAATTAGTTGGTTCTCATAACTGAAAGTCTGGGTGAGAGTTCAGGCTCACGTGAACTTGAGTGCTCAAATGCTGTCATTACAAATCTGTCTCTCCACTGGGGACTACTAGATAGGGGAGCGAAGAAGCAGGGGCAAGAGTTGAAAAACTATCTATTGAGTACTCTGCTCACTACCTGGGTGACAGAATCATTTGTATGCCAAACCTCAGCATCATAAAATATACTCATGTAACAAACCTACACATGTACCCCCTGAATCTAAAACAAAAGCTGATTTTTTTTTTTAATCTTTCTCTCTCCGCCTCTCAGCTCTGCTGTCTTCTGTGCTGCCTTCATTCTTAGGCTCTAACCAAGTCATGAGAAAAGTGTCAGCCAGCAGCTCCAGGCTTATAGCCTATCAGTTTTTGAACTCCAGAATATAGGGAGCACCTCTTTACCAGTGGTTCTGGAAGATATATCGGAGCTAAATTTCACCTACGAGATGGTTGAGGAGGGTGTCCACGCCTCAGATAACCACTAAGTCCAAGGACTGGACTGGACTGATAGACCAGGCTTATCTTGCATACCCACTTCTGGAATTGGGGGTGACTCTGGGGTCAACCACGGAAACAGCAACGAGAAGTGTGCTGCATTCCTGTAGTAGGTCAGAGGATTTCATTAGGGTTCAGCTCAAGTTCCATGTTCTCACCAGGCCTTTCACATTCAGGGAAGGTAGGTCCCGTTTTACCTAACAGTAGAATCTATTCTTAAAAAGAGGAGAGAGGCTATAACTGATGTGAGGAAAGCAGCCCTCTAACAGAAAAACTGAAGAGAGTAGAAAAAAAAAAAGCCAAAGAATACCATGAGAAGGGAAACAAAGAGTTAAAAAGAGGCACAGAGAGAAAGACAAAAAGATTAAAAATAAACAGAAACTGTAAGCAAACATAAGGATCATTAAACAGCTATAAAGCTAATCACAGCATTTGCCTAGACCAATTCCAAGAGAAAGCAATTTTCTTTGATGTAAGCACCCTGGGAAGGAAATATTGGCCTGTTCTGGCTCATCCCCAAGGTGTGTGTCTCTCTTGTCTTTTCCTGCTCTCTGTCTTCCATCCCTTCTGTTCTCTTTTTAACTGCTCACATCTGTACTGACTGCTTTTTCTTCACATAAGTAGCTACTACCTTCCACCTTCTCTTGGCTTCTTTTGCTTGACTTCTGCACAGCAAAATTTTACTTCCCAATTCTCCAAGGTAAGATGGAAATGAAAAAGATGAAGATGACACTCTACCAAGCTCCTGGCATAGTTATTTGATGTGCCAGAACTAAGACAGACCACATAATTTTTAGGGCCTGTTATTCAAAACTTATTAAGAATACTATGATAGGCCGGGTGCAGTGGCTCACACCTGTAATCCCAGCACCTTGGGAGGCTGAGGTGGGCAGATCACTTGAACTCAGGAGTTGGAGACCAGCCTGGCCAACGTGGTGAAACCCCATCTCTACTAAAAATGCAAAAAATTAGCCAGGTGTGGTGGTGCATGCCTGTAGTCCCAGCTACTCGGGAGCCTGAGATAGGAGAATCGCTTGAACCTGAGAGGTGGAGGCTGCAATGAGCTGAGATTGTGCCCCCTCACTCCAGCCTGGGTGACACAGCGAGACTCCATATCAAAAAAAAAAAAAGAAAGAAAAAAGAATATCATGATATCAGAGCATTAAACTAAGAACAGGGATTTTCTGGGACTGGGGTCTGTGCAACTGCACAAGATGCACACCCATGAAGCTGATCCTGGACAGAGTTCTTGGTTACCTTCCCACCTGCTCTCCTTAGATATTCCCTCTCCTCCATATGGCCTCTTTTTAGAGGAGGCTGGTCCCATCCCTAGTGCCAATAATATGTTCCCATTCCCTTTGTCTGCAACTGGCTTATTCATGAACACATGATACAGCTCTGGTCAATGGGACTTCATTTCTTCTTTGATGAAAACAGACACATGGGAAGAAGCAGTTCTTTTTTCCCTAGACATTGTGCAATAATGCCTAGCACTGCTTCAGGCATCTTGCTAAATAAGAAACACTTTCCCAAAGACAGCAAAGTAGAAAGAGAAGACATCCATCAATTAGTTGTTGAATTAACTAGCCATGAAGTCCTTCCCACTTAGATGTCTTGGTATGTGAAATAGATTTTTTCTTATTGCTTAAGTCAATGGAGTTGGGGTTTTCTGCTTATAGCCAAGGGCAGTTTAATTAACGTATCTTAGTAATCAAAGAAATTATTACATAAAAGTAAATTCTTACATAAAAACAGGAACAGGAAGGAGAAGGGCAGTAATGTAAACTGTGGTGCAATACAGGAGGACCAGGCTTAGTGAAAGTATTTTTTCCTACTGAAGAGGTTCATCTCAAACAGTCCACCTTCCTTCTCCCTCTTGTGAGATGTTAAAGCAGATGCATGGAAAGTTTAGAAAAAGAATACAAAGTAACAAAACATAAAATGAAATGCAAACCCAGATTTCAGAAACACTTCTGTTAATAGAAACTTTGGCTTACAAATAAGATTTCTTGACGGTAATGTGTGAGTAAGCGTTACCAACCCAGAAGTAGAAACAACTAGCCCTTGAATGTGCTTTTTTGGGTCATCTTTGAAATTTCTGTAGTAAGTGACTTATACCTACTTTCAAGAACTTAGCAAAATAGAGATAAACTAAAGGGAAATCTTTCTTGACGTACTGCCAAACAAATATATTCTAAAGCTATTTGTTATGGTGAGAATGCTGTCTATTGTAAGTAATAGGAAAACTAACTGAAACTGACGTAAGCTTACATAATCAGGGACTCCAAGGTAGACTGGATTCTGGGCCAGCTGGATCCAGGCTCAAAGTAATTAAGGTTCTTTCTTTTTCTCATCTCTTGACTCTGCCCATCCTTGAGAGATACAATACACTGATCCAATACTCCTCACATGCCCTGTCCTGGCATCAGGAGGAGGGGCTCACCTACCCTAGCCACCTAGACTAAGATGGAAGAGAATGTGAGTTTTGTCTCAAGAAGGGGAAAAGGATCCTGGGCAGGTACAATCAACAATAATTGTACATTACCTTACGAAAAAGGTACATTATCTTACAATTATTGCACAACGAACTAGTGTTGAAATTGTAGCTTATTAATGGCAAATGTTTCAGGGAAAGGCTAATGCTAGTCAAAAGTCAAAGAATACTAAATCCAACATGAATTTATTTCAAATTCACACATGTCTAAACCTCAAATGTAAATTGAAAAGGGAATGAAATTGAAGCTAGAGACATCATGTATATTACCAAATCAAAGTGACAGATTAGAGATAACAAAGCAAGATCTCTGAGTGAAACTATCTATTACACTCCATCAAAGTGGCAATTAAAAAGCCCAGATGTAAAGTCACATAACTTTGATTGGGTTCATACCAACATGTCTGACTGCTCTTCGGAAAAGAAAATTTAATTAGGGAGTTGACGTCATATATTAGAAAGCAACAGCAATGTTTCATTCTTTCTCTTAAACAGTTTGTATTAAAATCTTCTAGTCACCAGATACTGAACATTCTAAGTTACTGGCAAAATTCCAAAAAGGAGTTGTGGTGAAATGGAAGGCATGCTTCCAATTTCTAACTGCACCTTTTTTTTTTGAGATGGAGTCTCGCTTTGTCGCCCAGGCTGGAGTGCAGTGGTGCAATCTCGGCTCACTTTAACCTCCGCCTCCTGGGTTCAAGCGATTCTCCTGCTTCAGCCTCCTGAGTAGCTGTGATTACAGGCACACGCAGCCAGGCCCAGCTAATTTTTTAATGTATTTTTAGTAGAGATGGAGTTTCACCATGTTGGCCAGGCTGGTCTCGAACTCCTGACTTCAGGTGATCCACCCACCTCGGCCTCCTAAAATGTTGAGATTACAGGTGTGAGCCACCGCACCTGGCCTGCTTTTTATTTAATATAGTTTTAGGGAGTCACCTTTTTAAGAACCAGCTCTTCAATCTGCCTGAATTTGAGATTGCCTCATTTTCATTGGCACGAGGACAAAGACATTTGTTTCTTTTCCCAAAATAACAAGACATCCTTTATTTCAAATAGAGGTAACTAGAAAACATTGCAGTAATTTATAGATACCATGTAATTGTAAGACAACATGTTATACCAAAGGCTGAAGAAAAATTAGCTATTTAAGAAGTAGTTTATCTGAATCAAAATTATGGCATTGCTTTGCAAGGAGTTTTCTTGCATCTTATACAAACCAAACTCCTTTTTAAGTTATCACCTGATGAATTGTGTGCTGTTAGTCAGTGCTGATGGGAAGCCATGGGATGGGAGTGAAGGTCTTGACCAAATGAAGAGATATCTAAAAAAAAAAAAAAAAGAAAAAAACCCCAGCTCACTCAATATCATCTTTTTATATCTTATTAAGCAAGCAGCACCCATCATCACAATATACAATAATAATATGTTACTAAGAGAAAAAAGGTATCTGAAACTAAAATTGACTGTGGACAGTTTTTCCTTAGAAGGAAGAGGTGTCATAATTCTTTTCAGTGGGGAAATAAATCTTTATACTGCTCCTTTCTTCTCACAGAGACTATAAAGGAGAGGAGAGAGGAGTGAGACCTGGAGCAGGGGCCTGTCATTCACAGTCTTCCATCATTCAAGAGGCAGCTTGATACTTAGTTGGGAGATAGAAGTTAGAGCGGCAGTGTTCTCTCCAACCCCGTCAACAGTAGGAAGAATCGTAGTTATTGTTGTTTTAGATGTTGTGGCAATAAAGGAGGCAGGCAAAGCAAGAGCTAAGCAACTTGGTGGGAAGTGACAGCTGGTGAAATAGCCAAGGGACTCCAGAAGAAGAAAGTTAAGCATTGTATTTCAAGTTGTCTGCCCTAGAAGTCTGTGATGCAACCTTTTTGCCATTCCTCTGAATTATTAGTAAAAATTTGCTATACATTGTAATGCATTGTGTAATTTTTTTTGAGGGGCAGGGTATGGTTGAAATTCAAGGCAAGCAGCTTGAGTTCCACATAGAAGGTAGTATTAATCAGAGAAATGGAGATAAGACATTGGTGAGCAAGAGTTCTGTAGAGCAGGAATACAGTCACAAACATAGCCAAAGTCGACACAGAAATTCTGGGAAGGAAATAGGATGGGGACTTCAGTTGATATCTGGATTACTCATATATATTGAAAGGTCTACTGTGTACTAGGCTCTGGACTAGGTATTTACATGTACTCTCTTGTTCATTCCTCTCAACAATTCCATGTGGTTTTGTTACTTTTCCCCCTTGACATAAAGAAATTGAGGCATAGAGACATTAAGTAACTTGCCAAAGGTCATAAATGCTGGTGCTATTATAAATGGAGCACAGAGATCTGCATGACACAAAAGCCCACGTCTGTGTTAGTTTATACATACTCCCTGTCCAGGACCCTCATGGACTTTGCAGTACTGGTTGACATTCTTTGATCCACACTCTTTTCCCTTGGTATAAATAATTAAGTGCTGACTTTAAATGCTGCCCCAAATTTCCAGTTATGTTCAGTTTTAAAAGAAATCTGTACTATTAATAATAGTTATTGATTATCTAGTTAGTATGTATGAAAGAAAAAAGAGGCATAATACCCAATTCCTAACCTTTTGAGATGTATAATTAAGTTGGGCAGATATGGTAAGTATTAACATAGAAATAAAAAGCCTTGTAGACATTCCAAGCCAAAAACCAAAGGCTCAGCTAATGTGGGGTAATGTAAAGTATGGAGTGAGAAATATACTATGGGATTCCTAGGTCAATTTCTCAGAAGCTGTGTGGGTTTGAGCAAGTGACTTGACCTCTCAGTCATAGCTGCCTCACTGGCAATATGAGATGGGGAGATCCCCTGCCTTACCCATCATAGCATTGCTGTGAGTCTTAAGCGAGGTGACAAATGGAAAAATTGCTTTGTAAACTGTAAAGACTTATATGAACTTCAGTTATTTATTCTAGAATTCTCCTGTAAACATGACTGTCTTCCAGATATTTGTTAATGGCCCATCCTACCTCAATGGGAAAATACCATAAGGTAAGACTATAATGAGTATGTCTGAACAAAGCATCTGTTGTACCGAAGCACTACTTTCACCTATTGCTTATCTGCTCATGTTAAGAGAATGATTAGCAGGAGAGCAGGCAACAATTGCAGTGAGGAGTATTGGTGCTGACAAGGCAAAAAAGAACAACCATAGTCAACCAAAATCCTATCCTCTCCCATGCACTATCCCCTCCTCTGTTGGTTATGGAAACAGTCAGTTTTATACCCTGGCTTTTTCTCAAGTACACCTTTTTCTTCTCTGTATCAGCACTGCCTGACTTCAGGTCCTGGTTTCCTCTTGACTGGGCGTTGCAACAGCCTATCAATCCATTTCCCATGCCACCACCAAGGGTTTCTTTCTAAAATGCAAATGTAATCACATTGCTCTCCAAATTAAAAATCCTCAGACTATCTTTCCAATGCCTGAATAAAGTTTAAACTCACCAAAACCTTTCATAATCACTTTAGATAGGTAAAACTTGATTGTGAAAGGTTTTGGTGAGTTTGAATAAGGTATGATCAACTACACTGCCACAATTTTGGACTTGCCCTTCCCTGCCTTGTTCTACTGATGATTTGTCTTCCATCCTTCAAGACTCAGTCCTGGATCAACCTCCTCTTCACAGCCTTCTTCCCCATCTGCTCCCATCCCACACCTAGAAGTAGAGTTAGGGGTTCTCTTTGATCCATTAACACATAAGGAATGCTCCTCTTACAGTATCTTCCACAGTTGGTATCATTACTTATTTTTCTGTCCACTAGACTATAAAGTCTTGAGGATGGTGACTTACTCGAATTTGAATCTCTGGCACCTAGTATATAATAGCTCCTTAATAAATGTTGAAAGAATAGATGTATTAACACTGACTTAAAACTTCCCCATACTAGTTTTTAAAATGACTACATTAGCAATGTATTATAGTAGCACAGCTTGCTTGTAATTTTCTGTCTTATGTACTCAGCATGGAAATTTTTTCAATCAGAATAACTGAAGTTGTAATCATTTAAAAGAGGTATCACTAGCTAAATGGATTCTCGTGCTTAGAAAAATGTAAGAGTGCAGTGAAGAACAGAAAAATTCCATGAAGATATTTCTTTATCCTCATTTTCAGGTCAAATTCCCTTCTCTTGGAACTGGCAGTCAAGTTGTGACTTTATTAATTATGGCATTACTGGCTGTGGCTATCAGCATATTGACACTGTCAAAAATATATAACTGTGAAAACCAGTAGGAATAAATGGAGCATGAAAAATGGAATGTTTCAGTATGAGAAACTCTCTAAAGGAAGAATTCCAGCGCCCAGAGACCACTATCTGGTCAAAATAGTTCCCTGACTGTGGGTATAAGTAAAAAACATTTCATTTATAGTGGGCAGTGTAGAGACGTCAGTGTGGGACATAGCTATTTTAGCTGCTTTTTTTCTGTGTAATGGCAAATATCACCATGTTCTATAGAAAAAGTAATTGAAGTGCATTAATCAGAGACTCACTCTCTGGGAAACCACAATTTACACTAGACTAAGTGATAACATGGAGGGGCCATTACATCAAAATTAGTCTGACTTTCTGTATCAGTGGGACTTTTTAAAAAAGGAAATTGGTAACCTTTCCCTTTTTCTCCTATTTTTTTTTTAGAGGCTTCCTTAAGTAGCATATCTCCTTAAAATCCAAGAGTAAAATTTTGCTTTCTTGTAAAGGCTGGGATTATTGCTCTTTCTAAAGGACAGAGGAGACCTGCAGATGAAAGGTCAGGGCAGCATGATATCTTTTCCTTTTCATTGACTCTTTGAGTTCCCTAGCTTGTGCCCTCACCATCCTATGACTGGATCGTTGCAACTGCCTCAGGCACCTCCCATCAGCTCAGCCTGCTGCTCCAGTCTTTGCTGGGTCACCCAGCTCTGCACAGGTTAACCTTGCAGCACCTGGCACATGGTGCTCCAACTGTGAGCCTCGCACTTACAGCCTCAGAGTGTGTATGCAAGGGGGCGGGGTAAAAAAATGCTCCCCTTTTCCATCCCAGAGGTGGATCTGAGGCTCTTTCTACATGACCTGCAGATGGTGCCATTGGCATGAAGCCCCAGTTACCAACTGGATAGCACACCATTGTATTTTCTGTCCTCCCCTCTTGTTTCACGCTCTACCAAGTTCTCCAGTCTTGTTCATTGAGACCACTTCTCCAAATGAACCACCTGTATGCAAACCTTGTCCCAGACCTCTGCCTTTGGGGACACCAAAGCTAAGCTAGCCTTCAAGCTGGTCTGTAACAGACACACATTCTTCATTACTAAATGCAATGGGTAGAAGTATTTTTTTTATTTGTAATAATAAAGCTCAAATTTTCACTCCTATTTTGTAATGCGGGGTGGAAGGAAGTAATTATTTAGTTCATTCAAGTGACTCAGATTCTTTTGGTTAAAGGAGTCTCTTTAGATTATGATAGTGTCCATTCCTTCAGCATTTAAGCTTCACTATTCTGGATTCTCTCTCTCCCCTTCTCCTACACTTCTCTCTAGAGACCATGTAAATTCTCAGATACTTAATATCATTCTGGCATCTTTCTCTCCCTTCAGTGTTATTTGCTTTCTTGTTCACTAGGGCAATAATCCAGACTCTCTTTGTCTACTAATAATAAGAGGTTGTAGGGAAAAAATTACACAAAAAGACAAATATGGCTAAAAATAATACAAAGATATTATTATTATTCCTCTTCAAGTCTCTCCCCTTTTCCCAATCAGTCTTCTACTATTATTGACTAGTGCCAGCGTTACCATGTCAGTTATCTACTAAGGAACCGACAATGGCTTCTAATAACCTATGATAGCTAGCCTGCACAGAACTTCTCTGCTTCCAGTTGTACTTAAAGGCAGTGTCAATATCCTTTGAAGCGAAGGAGGTACATGGGGTACGAAAATTACAGTAATGTTAGGAGGGAAAAATGGGAACAGGGGAGGTGACCAGCAATTGCCATTAAAGTTTGCCTCTTCTTACTGTCCCTCATATGACCCCCTGCAACAAAAACAATGCTTGGTTCAGCAAGTAAGTTTGCTGTCAGGCACACAGATAAAATATATTTCTCAGGTTCCTTGCCGTTAGGTTGGGGCTGGCTGACTGCATTCTGGACAGTGGACAGCAGAAGCAATTTACACCATTGTTGGGGCTGGCCCATAAGAACCTCCCATTCACAATTCTCCGTTCAGTCATTTTCTTCTGTGGTAAACTTGGAAGCCATATGCAGAAGATGACCATGTCAAAACATGAAATGAGCCTAGGGCCCTGAATAACTGGGTAGAGCTGGGTGGAGATGAACCCCTTATTTTCTCCTGATGCTCACCCCTACCATATCGAATTGGGATGTGAATAGCTCTATTAATTATGACATTATTGTCTGTTGCTATTAGTGTATCTACAATGTCAAAAGTGTGTAACTGTGAAAACCAGCAGGAGTAAAAAGAGCATGGGAAATGGAATATTTCAGTATGTGAAACTCTCTAAAGAAAGAATTCCAGTGCCTTTAAATTATTAGTTAAAGTTTTAAAGATTTATTGTGTTAAGCTATTGAGATTTGGAGATTGTTTCAGCAGCTAGTTTTATTTACCCTAATATACCTCTCAGTATTGTGCATGGAAATCCTCTTGCCCCAAATGGATATTCTCGTCCCTTATTTTTTTTCTAATCAAAATCGCACCAACTTTCAAAGGCCCAGCTAAAGTCATATCTGACCCACAAACTTTTCAATGATCTCTACAGCTCATGGTGACCCCTCTCTTTTCCCAACTCTTATAGTACTTGCTGTATGTCCTAATCAGACCTTAAATGTGTGCGGCTTTGGTTTGCTACTTCACATTTTAAAATGTGTATGTGTTTACTTGTCCACTAGATTATAAATTCCCAACTGGAAAAGACTATTACTAATATTATTATTAAACTCCCAAAGCAATTATCACCCATCTGTGTAGATGGCACACCAGGAATGAAAAGTTAGAAGTCACAGAAGGCCTCTAAATGTCCTATAAATATCATAGCATGATTTTAGCATCAGCTAAATATAAGAATTCAAACCCAGTAATGCTGGCTCACAGGTACAACAGTAAATTCTCTGAGGATAAAATTAATGCCTATATATAAATGAGCAGTTCAGAAACACATTCAGTTTGCTTTTTTCCTCAAGGGCTAATTAATGTTAGCATTTACTCTTCCTCTCTTCTAAATGAATATTAAACAATATCCCAAATTGTGAAAGGCAGGCTTAGAATGTGAGATCTTTTTGAAACTCCCCATACCACTGATTTTCTCTCACCTGTATTTAACTCCTCATTTGGAATGAAAGTCAGCAGGTTTAGCACAATCTTTGCTGGACTTTATGAGTCTACTTTTTTGATAATAATAACAATTAAAATAATAATAATAAATAATTCTTTACATTCCTGAATCTCCTCTTTCTGACCCTAAGTGTTACAAACTAATATCCACCTATTTATTTTCTTTCTCTAACTGTGACGAAAGAACAAGTTGCCAATGTTTATATTTAGAGAATCTCTAGGTAACTATGATTTATTTGGCAATTAAGCAAAAGGGAATGGGAAGAACTGTTTTAAATTAAAGATGAAAAAAGGTCTTGAAAAAAGTTCATATTCTAATATTTTTATATAAGTTGCTGTTTGAAGATGCTGGAAATCACTTTAAACTGAAAAAAAAATTTGACTGTAACTTTTGTTGCAGTTGCTGTGTGCTAGCTTGAATAGTGCAGATACCGTTGAACTCTTCTATTCATTCAGGAAGGCTTAGTGCTAGCAATTTGCTTTTCTGTCCAGTCAATGCACTTTCGTTTTAAGCTGGAGAAAATACCTCTGTAATTGTAGAGCTCATGCCCTCTAGTCTTTAGTTTCAACTCCGTTGAAGCTACTTGTATAGAGATCAGTCTCTGCTGGTTTTAACAGTGGTTCTAACAATCATAGAGCATTCAGTCTCATCCTTTACAAGTTCCAAGAACAACATATTGACGATAAAGAGTAAATTTTCTAGTCTTTCAGGACTAACTTGAAATGATAAAGCAACATGGGACAAATATCTGAAAAGCAAAGAAACATTTTATGGACAGTCTATTATTCTTGCATTTTTATTTTTTCACAGCCATAATTTAACCTCTGGTTGACAGCAAGGAAGACCAAGAACTACGATTTAAATACACTGGTTCATATATTTTCCCCTACAAACTCTAATGTGAGAATTGCCTTTCAATATGTGCTTGAAGTTTATAAAAAATAGTCACCATTAAGGACTTTCAGCTGAGGTTTTCAAACTGTGTTTCTCAAAGTCTGAGGTTCTGTGTGGTGGGACCTCAGGGCTGCCAAAAGTAGGCTGAGTGTGGGGTCTTTTCTCCCCTTCCAACCCAGCGTTTTGCTTTTTATCTGTTTACATTTGGATTTCTATATAAAATTTACAATTACAAAATGGATTCTGTTAAAAAAATAAAAAATCCCTGCATGATGTAATCCATCTATGGAGATGTTTATCTTCCTCCAATTGGTGCAACTCATTTTTCTGTATTAAAATAACAAAAATGTCATGTTGTGGGAACTGTACAGAGGACATTTGCTGTTTTGTTGGCTGCCTGGGGTCTATACCCTTTCCTAGCAGCACCCTAATTTCCTTTTGGGGAACTACCTCTCTCCCACTGTGTGTGATGCTGGTGGATGGTAGATCTGGGGACCTCCCTTCAAAGGAGCTGAAGTGACTTGCTCTTTCCTCTCAAAGCCCCAGGACAACAAAGGTGTGAATCACTAACCTGTGCTCCATCAGTCAGATGCCCTCTCTTGGGTCTCTGAATCTGGAGTGAGTGACACAACAAAAGGAACACCTGGATTTTCGAGATTTTATCAGTGGTACCCTGCCCTGTCAGGAGACCATGCTAAGGTTCCTCCTTTCCCATCTTCCAGAGCTGCATTGGTGCCTGCCCATTTTCAAGTCTGAATCTCAAGCCTTTCAGCAATTAAGTGAGTCGCTACTAATCCTTCCACCTGCACATGCTTTTTTGCACTGTGTGTCTTCATTTTTCTTGCCTTGCTCTTCCTTTCTCCTTCGTGGACCAGACTGTAGACTGCAGACTGCCTTATGGCAGCCTCCCACAAGAGTTTAGCTACTCACTGTCCACTGTCCCTTGGGATGCATGCTTTTCTTCTTCTAAGGGCGTTGGTGGCTCACTTACTCTCCATCCCTTTCTACTTCAGTACCTGCACTCACTTCTCCCTGTTTTGGTTCTGCTGTCCTGTGTCAGTGCTGATATCCAATGCATTCCTGCCTTCCTGCACAGTAAGTTACCCCAGCGACGGTGTGAAACATGTAGGCTTCACTTGTCTTGAGAGTCAGGAACTCCCGCCAGAAAAATGCAGGCAGAGAAGGTTAGGAACAATAAGAATATCGGGAATGTAGTAGTAGTGTGTCAAGACCCAGACTGAGAGACAAGCAAGTATTAGAGAACGGGCAGGAAGGGGCACAAAATTAGATATACAGAAATTTAGGACAGGGTGCCACTATAATGAGAAAATTATTCTGAGGTAAGCTCTGGTTTGTACAGGGGCTTCTTTCACAGCAGCAACTGCTCTGGTGAGGGTGCTGATGGCCCCCACCCCCATCCAAATAAAACAATATGGACTTTTACCCAAATTCTATTTGGTCTTCACAAGACAAGCCACTGTCTTATTAACACAACAGTGACAATAAGACCTACTTGATATATTTTTGAATAATAATAGTAGCTGTCATTTATGGAGTGCTTACTGCATGTCAGGCTCTTTGGCAAAGTGCTTTGAATATAAGGAGAACTGAGTCTGAGGGAGGTTAAACAACTCATTCAAGATCACTCACCAACTAAATGGTAAAGTTGAGATTTGAACTTAGGTCTGCCAAGTCAGAGCACAAGTTCTTAATCACTCAGCATTTTGCCCCTAAATGCCATTCAATTGGACTCTGCTCTGGAATGTACAGACACCATGTCTTCCAATCCCAACCTTCTTACCTAGTTCAATAAACTGGTGCTGAATAAACAAGTACAAAGGAGGCTGTTAACTCTCACCTGGTGTAAGAATGGGCATAGTGGTCATTGTCCACAACCGTACGGCCTTCTTTCGGGAAATGCTCCTTCCCCCGTATACCCACAAGCAAATAGAAGCTGCTGTTCATTTACAGATCCCACTCACAGGCCTGCTCTGATTGGCCCGGGTGGTGATAGTAAACCATGTCCCACTTAGAGCTGATTGGAACAGGTTCGGGCCCAGCTGGGATGAACACAAGCGAGGCCAATCAGAGGAAGCCTCCCCTCTGATGTTTAAACTGTGATCAGAGGCTAGTCTCACTCTCCCTCTGGTGGTGAAACTTGGAGGTACTTGGCATAATAGCGGCTGGTGGTCATATTTCCATGAGGAAGTGCGTCTGAAAATATACAACTGACCTAAAGACAGAAACTGAGAGGTTGAAAGATGGAAACCAGAAGGAGAGATTAGGAGAAAGTGAGAGCGACAGGTTTTGAGACCTGGTATGAATTTCTTCTCAAGTCCCAGCTCCACACTTGCCCTCGCATCACCTTAACCAATCCTAGTTGGGTTTAGTCACTTCCAACCAAAATAGTTCTGACTGAGACCATGAATTTTTAAAAACTCGCATTAACACGTTAGGTCTATGTTTACCCTGAGAGAATGGAGAAAATACTTGGTCTTCTATCCGCACACGGCATGCACTTCACCTCTAAACTTAGACTGTGCAGCCCTAGAAGGGAGGGTAGTGGTGAGAATTGACAGAGCAGGGAAACCAATTTTAAGAATAATTTCTCAATGGCAGTCCTGTTTTCTTGTCTCCTTTGCCAACTTTCAATACTTATGTTGGAGGAGTCTTCCCGGACCATTAGGTAGCAAGAAATAAATTTGTTATGGTACCACATATTCCTTCAGAATAGTTGATAATAAAGTTTTTATCCTGAAGAACTCAGGAGCACGTAGACAGAGATTCTTTGCTACCCTGGACATGAACTAAACTGAGTTTAACTTAATTCATGAAACTATTCTAGAATAATTCAATAATTACTATGATGTTAACTATTAATTTATGGGACAGATCAACTAGGAGATAATTCTTCACCTTACAGCACACCACTCCCACAAAAAAAAAAAAAAAAAAGTCATGGAATTGCTGCAAGTATTTGGTTTCAGAGTATAAGATACTGCCCTGACAATTTATAAAACCTCCCCTTATGGAGAAGCCAAAGGTCATAGTGAGTCCACATATATTTAATTAACTCACAATGTATTCAGACACATGTTATTATATGAAGCCAGGCTACTAAGGACAGGTGGGCAGTCTGCTCACTGTTCAATGATACCTTGATTGGGGCACAAGTGGGAGCTGAAATCCAGTCCTCACTTCACACCCTAAGCCACACGCCCAGGAGCCTGCCTCCACCCACACATGGACACCATCTAGGTCAGTGGTGGCCCTACCACAGGTAAAGCAGACCTGCCTGCTACCTAAAACTCTTTAGAAGGAAAAAGGCTTTCTTCTGAAACACAAAATAGAAAAACAACAGAAGTAACATTTTCCCTAGAAAAATTAAACACATAAGTGCCTAATAAGTACTTACTGAACTAAATGAATACACTGTAGAATAAGAAAGGTAATGATTTTCTTGATAATCTGCCCGAAGGAAAGTGTTAGCAAATGCTCCTATTTCCATGCATGGCTTATTTCTTTCCGATCATTGCTTTTTGTCCACTCCACCCAACAGCATTAGAATCGATGACATCTTTATTGCATCTTTTCTCTTTTTAAATAAGGACAAAAGAAGAGCAAGAAACTTCTTTTAATTTTTAAAAAGTTTCTTATTTACTACCAGTTTCCCTCCTCCATCTCGATCCTCATAGTGCCCTGAACTGCCTCATAGCACCCAAGACTGGTGGGGAAATAGCTCCAGTGAGTCAAACAGAATTACATCCCCATCACTGGGGTTTCAGTTTACCAACATTGACAATGAATTCCTTTCCATGGTTCACCATAGTTTGCTTTTTTATACCACAGAAATGTTCTGGACACGCATATGGTGCTTTCTATAAATATCAGCTACACATTCCAGCTTTCGAAGGAGCACATTCTGCTAAACATAGACTATGGAGACAAGTAATCCCTGTTTTTCTTGCTGTATATCATGGGTGCTAATTCAGGCTAAGTTTTCCTTATTCCATCTCAGTTTGGCCTTGGTTATTTTGGGCCTTTGCACAAAGGTCACTGGATTGCTTCTAGTGTCTCGTAGTTAATACCCCGACTAGCAGCATTTGCAGTCACAGGCTTCTGGAGCCACAGCTGCAATTCCCATTAACTGGAAGAACCACAGTGTTGCTAAATAGTCTCACAGAAATTCTAGTCCCCAAACCAGAGCTTTGGGAGTCTCTTGGTAATTGCAAGAGCCATAAGCCATTCGAAAGTTGAGATCTAGATATTACCGACCTACAACTTCCCCAGATGACGCAGGAAGACTGACAATTTGGCATGAATAGCTAGAGCTATGGCAAGAGCTCTGCAGAATATGTGATTAGTACAAAAACTTAAAGTGTGATTGTTCAGTCTTCCCAGGCAATGCCAACCTATGGGATAACCTGGGTATTACAGGTTCATAATACCTACGGTCCAGATGTGACTTGATCACATCTTCTCTTGCTTTCTGCTTGTTCGTTTTTGTTTTAACTTTTTTTTTTCAAACTTCAATACAAATTTGGTCTTGTATGCAATTTTAATGTCGGAGTATGCCATTCAGCACAAGAAATAGAAGTCTGTTAGAGCTACTTGTTATTGGCTCTTTCATTTTGAATAAATTATTTCTTTAAGACCTTTGTCTCTTCCTGTTTATAACCTGCCATTTAGCTCTAAAATGCCCGTCAGTCACACCAGATCTCCACTGGAGTATTTGTCATCTGTGCAGGGCTTTTCAGTTTACAAAATATAACATCACATCCCTTCCCTCATAGATTCCCAGAAAAACCTTGTGAGGTAGAACTTGTTATTTTCATTTTAGAACTGAGGAAAGTGAAACCAAACTGATTCTGTGACAGGTCCACAGAGGAGATCCAGAACTCAAATTACAGGCTAGTGTTCTTTCCATTTTAACCAGAATATCTTTTGCCTTTAGAACTGTTGTAACTAGGTGTGTGGAGGGGGCACTGGATCTGAGCTCCAAGATTTCCTGTAAGTCATTCCTTCCAACCAGGGGAAGTATCAATGGTTGCTTATTGGCTCTGAGCCTCAGTTTACTTTTCTGTAAAATAAAATCCTTTTTAGCTCTCATGCTGTATGATCCGATGATAAGCAAACAGGGCCATCAGGAATTTTTTTTCCTCCAAGTGTGATGTACACATTTAGCAGCAGAGGAAAACAGAAAAGTTGAATTTTTTTTCTTTTTTTCTCTTCTCCTTTCTCTATCTTCATTTCTTTCTTTTACCATTCCCTTAGTCTGCTACCTTTCAATACTTATTTACACCATTCAAGTCCTTATTTTTATCAGTTGCTAAATGAAGAAAATAGTGCTGTTCTCACACAATTTTATTGTGATTTACAACTTCTGTCTCCATCAAGTAAGTCTCAAAACAGCAGGTCCAGGTAGCACACCAAAATCTATGGAAAGTTAGATTGAATTGGTTTTTGGATGTGTTTTTGTTTTTAGCTTTGATTTTATGTTCTTCTTATAGCATTTTGTTGACGTCTATGTTTGTGTTGAGAATGGAGATGCCGAGATTTTTTTTTTTAATTTTTAAACCTGTAACCTTGTCATGCATGTAAAACTGGTACTTGCTGAAAACACAAATGGAGAAAAAGACTTTCCTGGGGGATTCTCACAACAGATGGGCAACAGATCTACCTAAGAAGTTAGATCAGAAGTACCCAAAATGTTTTCCCTGGAGCAATAGCATCAGCATCAACTGAAAATATGTTAGAGATGCAAATTCTCTGGCCCCTCTTAAGACCTGGTGAGTCAGAAACTCTCAAACTGGGAACCCTAAATCTGTGTTTGAACAAGCTCTCCAGATGCTTTTGCTGTGCTCTAACGTTTAATAACTACTTAGTTAGATTATTGTCTTATTATGGTATTTTTTCAGTCTTAAGCTACTCAGCATGGCTCTGGAAGGGACACCACTGAGAATATCTGTTATTGGAATGGAAGAAACTTTACATGGGGCCAGTAAGGCACAGCCGTAACTACAGAATAACAATTAGCTCTGTTGTAACACTCCATTACCTTTTCAATTTTCTTATTGCTACCTTGGACATATATTATTAATGTCCTTCATATATTTTAAAGATATATTAAACCTTAATCTATAAATTAGCATCAATACATAATATGAAATGAATAAACATAAATCACAAGATACTTGTGATAAAAAACTTTTTGTTTTTGTTTTTTGAGACAGAGTCTCGCTCTTGCTCAGGCTGGAGTGCAGTGGAATGGCATGATCTCGGCTCACTACAACCTCTGCCTTTCAGGTTCAAGCGATCCTCTCACCTCAGCCTTCCAAGTAGCTAGTATTACAGACATGTGCCACCACGCCTGGCTCATTTTTGTGTTTTTAGTAGAGACGGAGTTTCACCATGTTGGCCAGGCTGGTCTTGAATTTCTGAGCTCAAGTGATCTGCCCGCCTCGGCCTCCCTAAGTAATGGGATTACAGGTGTGAGCCACCACACTGGCCTACAGACTATGTTTGAACCCTGGTTCAGTTCCACTGGGACTCATCACTTTTCTGTAATGACCCCACTGGGCTGTTCCTACACAGTAAATTCAATTTTGTCTCTTAGTCTTTGAGTAATCCTGGCCTTACAGGGTCTATCCTGCTAAATATTTCTTTCACACTGCCAATTCCTTATTCCATAAAATTTTGTAAGAGGCTATGCTTGTTTACCCTGAGGAAACAGTACCCTCCCTGAGGCATTGGATCTTGTTTGTGAAATCAGTTAGTAGCAGTACATTTCTGGAAAAAACACTTTCTGTTTTGATTAGCACTTTAATTTTCAAGGTTAATACTCATAAGCTTCCCAAACGTAGAGGACCAGCTTTTACTCATTACAAACATATATTCATCTTTGGATGGCAAGACTTTGGGTTATGCTACCTAATAGCTGTGTGATTTTGAGCAAATTACGTAACCTCCAAGAGCCTTGGTTTCCTCATCTGCCACATAGGGGCATTGCTTCTGCCATGGACTCAGGGCCAGAATTCAGAACCTGGGGAGAAATTCCATTTGTTTTAAATGCAACTCAGTTTTTCCTTACACCTAGGTTTTTCAGCCTGTGAGAGGAGATGCAAAAGTTTTCCCCTCCCATTTGCAAGGGGAAGACAATGGCACTTTGATGTCTATATTATAGACTTTGGTGTGAATCCTAAACTTTAACATTTACTAGCCATATGACTTTGGGTAATTTACTTGGCCTCTTTAAGGTTTAGCTTTTTTATCTATGAAATGGTGTAATAATATTACCTGTGTTGTAGGGTTGAAGAGATAAATGTGCAAAATGCTTAGTCCGTCACATATAATATTATTGTAATTATTGTTACTGCCTCTCTTTCTTACCCTATCTCAAGCTTGATGCTTCTCTCACTGGACCAGAATAATCATTTATTTATTTTTTTTATCATAATGAGACAAATTATAAGTCACAATTTCCTTCACTCTTTTTTCTTTATTAAATTCAGTGCAAAGCTATATCTAGCTATTGCTTGTATTGTTTGAAGCACCCTTTTTGGCCATGAAGATAGGTCTTCTCAATTGATTATTGGTTCTGAGCTCTGAATGTGGATGTTTCATTTATGGGCAAATGGCCAAAGGCTTTTTCTTATGGCCTATAGCTTGTAGCCAAGCCTATGGAGGCAATTTGGTAACTTTTCCCAGAACAGAAATTATGGGCCATGGTCCAGCCAACCACAAAATTCTTTCACCTTACATTGCTGTACATTGAAACATAAATTCCCCTCCCCTCTATTTTTTGTGGAAATAAAAGCAAACGAGAATGGTTTCTAAACAAAGGAGTTTTAAAGAGGGGCTCTGCTGAATGTAGAAATTCTCTCTTGTTGCAGTCTGTCTCTGGAAACAGCACACACATCTTGCTTAAGGACAACAGGCAATACCTGTGATGTTTGAATCCCATCAATTACCACTAAAAGAAAAAAAACTTTACGTGTCAGTATCAGAGGGTCTTAGTTCCTTTGTAGGAGATTTTCCCGAGGGCCTCTCATTACAATTCTCACATGCTTGTTCTGAAAATAATAATGTGCATATACATATGAATGTAAAATTTAGGAAGTGCTAATTTCTCTCTTTATATAATTAAGAGTCCTCAGATAAGACAATTGAAGAGGGCTTGTGAAACGACTATTTACAAAAGCATAAGCTGGATAAAGGGGGAGGTACAGGGAATGAAGAATTACCCTGGAGCTGGCAATAGCAGGACCCATTACCACCCCTAGGACTAAGAGGCAGGAGGAGGGGGCAGTTAAAGGGCCTGGAGAGAGAGCTGGCCTTCGGTAGAAAAATGCAGCAGCTGCCTGCATAGTCAGGCTCTTTTATCCTCTCTGATCTATGGTACCTCCTACAGCTACCTCCTGGCCCACTGATTCCATCTATAAAGGTCAGTGGATTCATTTCTTAGGCTGCTGTACCACAAATTGGGTGACTCAAAACAACAATAACGTATTGTCTCACAATTCTGGAGGATGGAAGTTCAAAATCAAGGTGTCATTAAGGCCACTGTCCCTCTTAAAACTGTAGCATAATCCTTCCCTACCTCTTCCTAGATTCTAATGGTTTGCTGGAAATCTTTGGCATTCTTTGCCTTGTAGAAGTATCACTCCAATCCTTCATCTTCCCAAGCTGTTTACTCTCCCTGTCTCTGTCTTCACATGGCTGTCTTCTTATGAGGACACCAGTCATGCTGGATTCAGGGCCCACCCTACTCCAGTACAACCTCATCTTAACTAGTTACATCTGCAATGACCCTATTTCCAAATAAGGTCACATTCTGAGGTCCTGGACATTAGGGACTTGAACATATATCTCTTTTGAAGAAACACAATTGAGCCCATAACAGTCATCCTTCCAGAGCACAGGCAGATGGAGAGGGTGAAAAATAGTGAATGGAGAGGAACAAGCAGAGAATTAGTGTACTCTCCTTTCATCATGTCCTCCTTGGTTCACACTCCACAGTGTCCCAAACTTTGACCTCTCTTCTTAAGCTTTATTTCATTTTTTATTGAAGTATAAGGTATATACAGAAGTACACAAACAATAAGTGCATAGCTTGAGGAATTTCTCAAAACTCAACATACCCATGTAAACAGCATCTGGATCAAGACACAGTATTAACACTACAGAAGCCCCCTCCTACTCCCCTCCAGTTTCTATCCCTCCATCCCCAACAGACAACCATCACTGCAGCTTCTAACACCACAGATTCATGTTGCCTGCCTTTCAACTTCACATTAGAGGAATTTTACATATGCACACATTTGTGTCTGTCTCTTCCCACAACGTTATGTTTCTATGAGTCATCTATGCTATTGTGTATAGCTGTAGGACACTCATTCTCATTCCATTATGTGTGTATACCACAATTTATTTACCTTTCTACTGTTACAGGTTCTTGGATAGATTCCAGTTGGGGGATCTGATGAATTACGTTGCTGTGAACATGCTTGTACATACCGTTTGGTGAAAAGTGTTTATGACTTTTTGACAAACATTCTCTAGGAAGTTTTGCTCATTCCCTAGTCAGAATTATGTGTGTCCTACTTGTTGTTCTCAAAGTGAGCACTTACTGGAGCGTCAAGCTTGAGTTATCGACGTCTGTCTCCTCCCTACCTGCTAACACCTCTGTGAGTGTGAGCTTTCTGGGGCAAAGATTCTGCTTTATGTCTCTTCACATCCTAGCATGTGCCTGCTACATAGTAGGACCCTAATCAGTTTGTTTAGTGAATGAATGGGTGAATGAATAAATGGGTAGCATAGAGACACCATGAATCAGGATTGGAGGATGGAATAGGGTCTGATGATAGTCAGTTCACCTTCAAGAGTCTGGCACACTGGCATCATCTGATGTTGTTATCTCCTGGCTTCCACCTGCCTTCCTTCAGAGTCCTCTCATTTTAGGAATAGGTGTCTCTGCAGATCACATTTTCTTTTTAGTGCATTATCACTAACATTGATTCTCCTGACCAGGGCCTTTGTGCATATTGGGAATTCTTCCCTATTCTCTAATATTTTACATATTTTTCCCCTTATTTCTCCCTTTGATATTTAGACATGACTCAAGTTTTCTTTACTATGAAATATTGTTTTATTTTCTGAATCTATGATTTACATCTTTTGCTCCCATTCTGTCTGCTCTCCAAATCTGCAGCTCTTTCAAAATGCTCTATGAATGCCAAGGCCTCCACATTCTCCTGGGACTCTAGGCTTCCAACCTTGGAGTTCATCTTAGTTACTGCTTCTGTGACCTGTTCTTATCGTTCCTTCTTACTTAATCTGCTGCCTCACCTCATTCAGTACTTCCCCTTTAATGTTTTTCTTACTAATTCCATAGTTACTACATCAATCAATGTCCTACTCACCTCACACTTATGTTCATAACAGCCTCTTAGCTGGTCTTCCTATCTCCTCTATTTCAATTTGTCCTTCACATACAGAATAGTTTTCATCACTCGCTCACGAAATGAGAGACTTCCAATTGCCAACCAGATCCACCTCAATTCTCTCCAATCTTATTTCTCCTTACTTAGTGTCATAACTATACCTGCCTTTGTAGAACCAGCTCCCCACATTTTTCCAACTGTCATTATCGTGTCTTTGGCCATTGCACATTTAACAAGAGCTCTGAACTTCTGGTATGAAACAGAAATGAATTCTAAACTGGCTTTCCAATGACAAGGTGGAGAAAATACCAAAACACAAGGCAGAAAGGGTGTTTTGATAACATTTTCCCTTTTGAGAGCATTTGTTATTTTCATAGCACTATTAACCTTAATTTACAAAAATTCTAAAATTTGGGATTCAGATGGTCAAGCTGATATTTTGCAGCCTTAAAAAGTATGTCCTAACACTGCAGCCTCTGCTTCACACAAGCATATTCCCATAGTTAGATAACAAGCTAAGTTTTAATAACATCAATCATTTATAAATTATATGGGCTAAAGTGTGACTAATAGCTCCATTACTAAGTGAAGAAGTATAATGAAAATTAAGTCATTTAATAGTTCCCAAAGTAAGTAATCATTTGGTAGTAAACTCATGGCTAGTTTAACTGCTATGTATAATAAGACATTTATATTTTTGTAAAATGACTTCAACATTAAGAATCAAAGGTTAGAACTCAGTGGTCTTCTCTTTTGTCATGAACACATTTTAATTTTTACAGCAGAAACAAGAGACTATTTTTATTATACTATTTATGGTAGCTAATTATCTCTTTGTAAAAAGAGATTTCATATAACCTATTTTAGGGAAAAGAGTTAAGAATCTCTTTTGGTTTTCAGTGTCCAGAGATTTTGCTACTTCGTTTTATATCATAGTTATATATTATAATCAGAGTGGGGTTTTTGTGCATGGTTTGATTTGGAGGAAGTTACTGTAATTCAGAGAGGATATTAATCTCTGCCAGTCACCAATGTGAATATAGCTCACGATTGCTCAATTCTTACACTGTTTCCAGGAATAGATGAGAATAGAGCCTAGTGGGGGCAGGGCTGGCTGAGCCATCCTGGGGGGAGTAGCTTTACTTCATGAATACTAGAAGAAAAATTTGGTATATGCACATTTGCTATTACTTGGCTTTGTAGCCAAACATTACTCTCTTTTTATGGTTTCTTGTCTTGTCAATGAAGCCAAAGATGTTCCAGTGTTTATTGGTGGTGTCAGTTTGATCCCTGACTTTATCAAAATGTCATTCCAATAATCTTCATTCTGGTTTTAGTCTCAGCTAGGTAAATTCTTCCTGAATTTGCTGCTGTCTGTCTTAGGCGAGGCCACATTTGAGTTGGAGCATAGTGATGATAGAGGCATAGGTACCTGCTGAACCAGCTTTGGGGAAAGGAAACTTGGCTTTCTGAGTATTATATTTATTTTTCACGGATTTTTGACTCAACTGAAGTTTCTGCATGTGAATGTGTAATAAGTTGAAATTTTAGGTGAAGAATTGAAGTATTCTTCTATACTACTGTATAAAATTATATCTCCTTATAAAAAAATCCACTGTAGTGTAACTAGTTCATTGCTTTATTAAGAGAGATAATGGTTCACAATGTTTTTATAAGCAATATATTACCATATAAAGAATGATAATTATTATAACCCTTAACAAGTGGGAACCCTATGGCTGAAACAGTAAGATGAAAGATCTTTTTTTTTTTTTTTTTGAGACAGGGTTTCACTCTGTCACCCAGGCTGGAGTGTAGTGATGTGATCTTGGCTTACCACAGCCTTGACCTCCTGGGTTCAAGTGATTCTTCCACCTCAGCCCCCCAAGCAGCTGGGACTACTGGCATGTGCCACCATGCCTGGCTAATTTTTGTATTTTTTGTAGAGACAGGGTTTTGCCATGTTGCCCAGGCTGGTGTTGAACTCTTGAACTCAAGCAATCTGCCTACCTTGGCCTCCCAAAATGCTGGGATTACAGGTGTGAGTCGCTGCCCCTGGCCCACCAAAGTTCTTATAGGGCATCATAGGTAAGTAAGCACATGAAAGGCCCGGCAGCATACAACAATGTTCCTAGATGAAAGACACAACATAATATCTAGAAACAGAATCCTGGGCCTTTTTGGTTATTTATAAACACTGTATGGAATTCTTGTTGAAGATAGTTCTCCGCTGCTTGAGTCTAAATTCCTCAAGGGCTTGTCCCTTTATTAGTCATTGACATCATAGATGATGTGTTCTAATGTGTATTCATTCTATTGAGGGCACTATTATAGCCAAAATGTTTCAAAAATATCAATGTATATTTATATTTTATAGAAGTTATTCAGTGTAAGCATGGACATATTTACAGCCTGCAGCCATCATAGATCAATGCACCAAAGATCATTTTGTCTTTTGAAAGTTAAAATTCAATTTATTGAATTGCCAACTTACCGAAGTTTAGTGATTTAGTAAAAATGGTTTTAATATTTGAACAGGAATTTTAGTTACCGATGATAAAACATACAAAATTAATGCTGATATGCCATTTGAAGAATTTGCCAAAAAAAAAACTGAAAATGCTTCAAGTTTGAATAAATAAAAAACATCACCCAAGAAGTGGTCAAAACAATCCTAGCACATATGGAATGCTAAAGGTTTGGTTTCAAACAAGGGGCAATGGTAATGTGTAGATTTGGTGGTAATTTGTTAAAAGACTTGCTATGAAAATGTTACTAAAGCATCAGGAGAGCCAAAAGGGAACTCAGAGAAGGCTCTATAAATGGGCCATGTGATTAGTGTGAAGAGAGAAATAAATCAGCTAGAACATGATTGGAGAAACCACACCAACTCCATCATTGGCTACCAGTGGTTAAAAATGAGTTGAAGGTTGATATGCTACCTGAGAAACTGGAAACACATCTTTAAAATGCTGTATAATTGGGAAAATGTAAATAGCATTAAATGAGATTTCTAGTTACCTTATTAATTTTCCCAATTTGAAGAGTTTTGCTCTGTGTTGTAAACTATACAGTTGTTTGTGTTTTGTTTTCCTGAATATTCCTACAGTATTAGTGTAACTCAATCACAAAGACATTTCATCCTTTGGCATCTATGTTGTGAGCTGCCATACTCAGTGAATAATGGAACTGATACTTGCATTCCAGTGTGGGTACTCCTCTGCAGTGGTGGCTGTCCCACAACCTCATTGTCCAATTCTGGCTTCTTGGTGCTGTCAATAAATTACCAAAGGCCTGGATGATTTGATGATATCAGCTACCAGAATTGCCAATGCCACTTTTCTTAGTTTTTATTAGTAACATTTATTATCGTTATATAATATTGTTGGTAGAAGTTTCTCATGTGTTAGGCCGACAATGGTGGAAACTCCTTGGCAGCAATCTGGAAGCCCAATCCACTTACCCTAGAAATAGTTCAGGGCAAATTGTGCTTCCCTTAGTATGATATGATTGTCCTAGAAAGCAGTGAAAGTTGACTCTATCTAAGCAACTGGGACAAACTCCAAGACTAGAAGCGTGGATGGCAGCCTGAGGACATAGGGCTACAGACATTTTCAGATGGAGGGCAGTGAGAAGTGGTGAGTGGTTTTAAGTTTCTGTTTTCACATTGGTGTCCCAGAATCTAAGTTTCTTTGATACCCTGAATTATGACTATGGAGATATTTTCATTTTTTATACCCAGAATCTTGTAAAGAAAAATTCCTCTCTTCTGCCAGTTTGTTTGTTTCGTCAAGGATTATGACATTACAGCAATGAATGAGGTTCACTATATGCGAGATCTTTATGTTGAATTCCTTATGTGGTTGCATATTTGTCATGCCAGAAAATTTTCAGTATCAGATAGATGTGCTCCCAATGCCACATAGTGGAATGTCAAGCTATCTAGGAAAGGTTATCTAGATTCTTAATAAGTTCCATTACATTTCTTCACTTAATATGAGTAGTATGGCTTGAGTGGTTTTTGCTTACGACTGCTCTTACAACTTTGCCTTCTGGAACCACATGTGTCTGTTGATGTCAAGTGGAGTGTATCTAAACTCTCCTGTACCTCTTTTCCATCCCATACTTGTTTCTAAGGTAAAATGCTCCGTGAGCAGAAGTTGATGTAGACAAATTCCAGTGACATTACAATTACAATATCACCAGCAGCCCAGTAACTATCACATCATTTCAGGATTTACCTGAGAATCAAAGTAGGATGGTCAAATTTTGAGTCAGGTAAAAGCTGAAGACTTGTGTGTTTCCCCTTACCTTCACACCCTCCAGTGTTTTCATTACATGTTCTGGGTGGTCAGTATGGTCAGAGCCTCTTTGGGGAATAGAAAGATAAGATCAAAGTGCCAGCATGATTATACACACCACATGAATGTGGAATTACATAGAACATTATGATTTGGTTAATGCATTCTGGAATTCAGTCACATCTATGCAAATATCTCACCAGAAGAAAAGGGGAGTAAAGGCAATCAACTTGCTTTTCCATTTTGCTTGTCAAATGCTTTCAAAATCCTCACTTTGAAAAGAAAAGGCTTTGCAGAGGTGACTTCTTTCTCACTGTTTCAATGACAGGTAAGGAAAATGTGCCCCTCCAACCACCTCACCTGGTGTGGCCCCCAGGTGCTTCAGCAGCCTGTAGGCCACCTATCACTTTCTGACCCAGCCTTTGTGAAGCAGCGAACAGCTCACTTCAGGCTTTCCTAATATTATATTTCTATACTGGTATCCTGACTCTTCATAAATCACAATCCTTAGCACTGTCAGGAACCATGTCAAATGGATTGCCAAAAATTTTTTAAAACAATAGCATCTTATATGAAAATTATTACGTTACACTGATAATTTCTCTTTTGAAAATTTTTAAATGTTTTTAGGATTCTTATTACAATATCCCAGGTAGTATTAGTTAATATTTAAAGAGTAACCCAAATTGAACATCAATAATTGCCAAAATTAACCATTTCTCTAAAGGTGCTAAGGCTATTAAAACCATAACTGTAAAATTGTCCTGTTTCTGAATGTGTCAGTATTCTTATTTTTTGTATGCACAGATGACAAAACATGTAGAATTAAGGTTGATACTTAGTGCAGGGTCTGGCATATAGTAGGGCATCCAGTGAACATTTATTGAAATAAATGTTGCTTGAATGCTGTTGATGGGTCGGGCTTATTTCACAAATCTTTCTCTCTCACTGGGAGTTTTCTCTCAGGAGCCCTCATCATTCTCAGAGCTATTATTTTGGTTTCCCTTGCCTTTCATCTGTCATATAAGTCTGAACGCAAACCATAGAGAGCATTTGGTGTTTTTTTCCTGTTCAGTGTTTTTTCTTCAGTCCCTGTGTGAATCAATGGTTCAAAAAGATGGATGTTGCCTGCTTCTTCTGTGTCAGCCAAAGCAAGAAAACTTGCTGCAGATGGACCAGTTGGGTGGTGACAACATTCAGTTACTATTAATAATAACTGATAAGGCACGTTTAAGGCCTGCTAAGGATTTGATTCATGAAGAGTCAGGAGACCAGCAAAGAAACATGATCCTAGTAAAGTCTGATGTGAGCTATTGGCTGTCTTCACAAAGGCTGGGACAGAAAATGATGCATGGCTTACAGGCCGGTGAAGCACCCCAGGGACCACTTAGGCAAGGTGATTGGAGGGGCACATTTTCCTTATCTGTCACTAACACAATGAGAAAGAATTCACTTCTGCAAAGCCTTTTCTTTTCAAAGTGAGGATTTTGAAACCACTTGAAAAGGGAAAAATGAGTTTATTGCCTTTACTTCCTCCCCTAGGATTTAGAGTTTATTAAAATCCACTGGAAAGAAGCAGAGAGCAGGAGATTGTACTTGATAGAATGTCTTCAGAGTTCTGAAAGTGGCCCAAATGGTCTGAATGTTGGGAATTCTGGCAAGATAGAGGAAGGAAGTTGAAGCTGTTTCACTTACTAATGTAGCATAAACCAAAGTAAATAGTTATATCACAAAGCAGAAAGCACCCTCTACTCCCTACCTCCTCCAATATGGTTAATGGAAATGAAAGCCCATGAATAATTTTCTTTAAAAAAACCGCTGGATACAAGATATGATCATGATCTATTCTCTATTTTTATTTTGCTAGCATAAATGAGATAAAAAAACTTTCTTTAAATTTAAAAATGGACAAACTGATTGAACACTAGAATGGTTTACTGAAGAAAGAAGCCAAACAGGAGAAAAATTCACTTATGTTTGGTCTCCTAAAGGAATCCTAAGACACAACAGCCTCTCTGCAGATATATTCCAGATCTGTGAGAATCTCTGTCCTTGCATAAAAATTGTAAGGAGTATACTGATCAAGGTCTGCAAATACAAGATTTGCAGAGCATCAGTCTCTCCAATGAGCTTTGCTGTCCAATTAGAGGAATGAGAAAGTGATGACATAAAAAGGCCAGGACTCTGGAGAAACTTGTACAGGATAGTTATTGATAGCATCAGGCTCCATTCCACTCTGATAGACCTTGTAGTCCCTGCTATATGGAACCTTTGCTGATCGAGAAGTTCATGCCTCCCTCCTTTCTCAAGTAACTAAATAGCATCAAGCTCGGCCTCCAAAGGGGACCTACTGGGTGATGGGGAGTGTGCAGAGATAGTGCAACTGAGAAATACACTGAGCAGGTGGCTTGTGTCATAGAGCTTGGCATTGCCAGGGTATGCATAAGACCAGAGAGACTATCATTTACCAGGATGTATCTTTCTAGGCTGCAAGTACTTCATATTTTGATGTTTATGAAATTACCTCACAGGGAGAGGGAAAGCAATTATCTATCAAAGTAATTTCAAAAAACAGCATTTTAAAATTCAGGATAACAAAAACACAGGGGTAAAGTGGATTCCATTAAAGAATCACTATGGCAAGAAGAGAAATCAACACTCTCTTTTAAAGTGCTTAGAAAGTATTTATGAAATACCTACTATATGCCCAACACTTTGGAAACTGAGAAAATCACATAAAACCTGGTTCCATTGCTAATGGAGATTATAGGATTTATACTTAAGACTTATCTATAAAAGCATTTTAAGTATACATAATAGCTGTTTATGAATGAGTACGTTTATATGCAGCGGTGTGCTGGTACATCAGCTCTCCTACAAAAACAAAAAAACCAACCTTGATTTGTAGTGTTTGCCAATTTCTGCAGTGTAAATACTTTCACCATGATTGAATGCAGAGTTGAGAAAAGATGTGCAGGGTTGATGTCACAAGCCAGTACAAGGCAGCTTCAGCTCAGAGGTTATAGCTGTCCTAGACGTCTGGGGAAGGGAGGCCAGCCAGTCAGACTACTATTAGGAAGGCTTAAATGAGGGAAGGCAGGATTTAAGAAGGGGAAGATCATTGTGTGGTGAACTCTGAAAAAATAAGGCTGCTTGCTTTGTTCTCCACTCCCACCCCTCTACATCCCAATACAGTCTGTGAATACAGTAGATACTCAGTAAAGAAGTTTGTTGGAAACTAGGCATTGAAGAAACATACCTCAAAATAATAAGAGCCATATATGACAAACCCACAGCCAATATCATACTGAATGGGGAAACATTGAAAGCATTTTCCCTAAGAACTGGAACAAGACAAGGATATCTACTCTCACCACTCCTATTCAACATGCTACTGGAAGTACTAGCCAGAGCAATTGGGCAAGAGAAAGAAATAAATGATATCCAAATTGGAAAAGAGGAAGTCATATTATCTCTGTATGCTGATGACATGATTGTTTACCTAGAAAACCCTAAAGACTCCTCCAGAAGACTACTAGACTTGACAGGTGACTTCAGTAAAATTTCAGGATACAAAATCAATGTACAAAAATCAGTAGCATTTGTATATACCAATAACATTCAAGCTAAGAACAAAATCAAGAACTCCATTTCGTTTACAATTGCCACAAAAAATAAAATACCTAGGAATATATTTAATCAAGGAGGTAAAAGATCTCTACAAAGAGAACTACAAAACGTGGCTGAAAGAAACTGTAGACAATACAAACAAATGGAAAAACATCCCATACTCATGGATTGGAAGAATCAATGTCATTAAAATGACCATACTGCCCAAAACAATCTACAGATTCAATGCAATTTCTAATTCCTAATTCAAATTATTAGTGTCATTCTTCATAGAATTAGAAAAAACATTCCAAAAGCTCATATGGAACCAAAAAATGGACTGAATATCCAAAACACTCCTAAGTAAGAGCAAATACTGAGGTGTCACAGTCACACTGTCTGACTTGAAATTATACTACAACACTATAGTAACTAAAACAACATAGTACTAATACATAAATATACACATAGACCAATGGAACAGAATAAAGAATCAAGAAATAAAGCCACATACCTAAAACCAACTGATTTTTTTATAAGGTCAACAGAAATAAACAATGAGGAAAGGACACTCTGTTCAATAAATGATGCTGGGAAAACTGGCTAGACACATACAACAGAATAAAACTAGAACCTATCTCTCACTATATACAAAAATTAATTCAAGATATAAGACCTGAAACTATAAAAATCCTAGAAGAAAACCTAGGAAAACCTCTTCTGGACATCAGTCTATGCAAAGAGTTTATAATAAAGACCCCAAAAGCAATTGCAACAAAAACAAAAATAGAAAAATGAACCTTAATTAAGCTAAAAAGCTTCCATACAGCCAAATAAATAATTAACAGAATAAACAACCTATAGAATGGGATAAAATATTTGTAAATTATGCCTCTGACAAAGGACTAATATCCAGAATCTATAAGAAATTCAAATAACTCAATAAGAAAAAAACAAACAACCTTATTAAAAACTGGGCAACGGATACGAACAGAAATTTCACAAAAGAAGATATACAAGTGGCTAAAAAACACATGAAAAAAATCCTCAACACCACTAATCATTACAGAAATGCAAATTAAAACGACACTGATATATCATTTTACACCAGCCAGAATGGCTATTACTAAAAAATCAAAAAACAACAGATGTCGGCATGCATGTGGAGAAAAGGAAATGCTTGTAAATTGTTGATAGGAGTGTAAATTAGTTCAACCTCCATGGAAAACAGTATGGAGATATATCAAACAACTAAAAATAGAAATATCATTCAGTTCAGCAATCCCACTCCTGGGTATTTACCTAAAGGGAAAGAAATCATTGCATAAAAAAGATACCGGCACTCGGGGGCCCGGCGTGGTGGCTCACGCCTGTAATCCCAGCACTTTGGGAGGCCAAGGGGGGCGGATCACAAGGTCAGGAGATTGAGACTCATCCTGGCTAACATGGTGAAACCCCATCTCTACTAAAAATGCAAAAAAATTAGCTGGGCGTGGTGGAGGGCACCTGTAGTCCCAGCCACTCGGGAGGCTGAGGCAGGAGAATGGCATGAACCCGGGAGGCGGAGCTTGCAGTGAGCCAAGATCGCACCACTGCACTCCAGCCTGGGGGACAGAGCGAGACTCCGTCTCAAAAAACAAACAAACAAACAAACAACAAAAAAAAGAAGATATCAGCACTCATGTTTATCGCAGCACTATTCACAATAGCAAAGTAATGGAACCAACCTAAGTGTCCACCAATGATTGATTGGATAAAGAAAATGTCATATATATACACCATAAAATATTACGCAGCCATAAAAAAGAATGAAATCATGTCCTTTGCACAACATCGTTGGAGCTTGAGGCCATTATCCTGAATGAATTAATTTAGAAGCAGAAAATCAAATATTTCATGTTCTTCTTATAAGTGGGAGCTAAACAATGGGTACACATTCCATAAAAATGGAAACAAAAGACACTAGGGACTCTAAAAGGGGGAAGGATGAAAGGAAGGTGAGGGTTGAAAAATTACCTATTGGGTACAGTGTTCAACATTTGGGTGATGGGTACCCTAGAAGTCCAATCCCCACCATTATGCAATATACCCAGGTAACAAACAAGCACATGCATCATCTGAATCTAAAAATTTTTAAAAAGCCAACCAAACAAAAATATTCAAAAATCCAGCTTATAAAAAGAGATAAATCAAAGCATAGTTGTGACCACTGTGTCTGTTAAAAGAAACAGCTGACCAGAACATTAGGATGAATTCAATTAACAAGTTCTCCTCATGCTTTTTATATCACTTGACTTATTAAAAGTGGATCTATTCACACACGCAGAAGAAATTTTTTTTTGAGTTACAAAAATAATGGTTAGGCTGAAAGGAATGGGAAGGTTTTTCTCAGCAACACTTTTTTCTTTGAGTTAAGTACCTTCTGTGCCTAGTTTGGTGAGTGTTTTTTTTTTTTTTTTTTATCATAAAGGGATGCTAGATTTTATAGAAGGCTTTTTCTGCATCTATGGAAATGATCATATGGTTTTTGTTTTTAATTCTGTTTATGTGATATATCACATTTATTGACTTGCGTATGTTAAATCATCCCTGCATTTTTTGGATAAAACTTCAAAATAGGCTGGGTACGGTCGCTCACGCCTGTAATCCCAGCAGTTCCGGAGGCCGAGGCGGGCGGATCACAAGGTCAGGAGATGGAGACCATCCTGGCTAACACGGTGAAACCCCGTCTCTACTAAAAATACAAAAAAATTAGCCAGGCGTGGTGGTGGGCGCCTGTAGTCCCAGCTATTCTGGAGGCTGAGGCAGGAGAATGGCATGACTCGGGAGGCGGAGCTTGCAGTGAGACGAGATCGCGTCACTGCACTCCAGCCTGGGCGACAGAGCGAGACTCTCTCTCAAAAAACAAACAACAACAACAACAAAACAACTTCAAAATAATAAAAGGCATACATGACAAACCCAGTCAACATCATACTGAATGGGGAAACGTTGAAAGCATTTCCCCTGAAAACTGGAACAAGACAAGGATGTAAACTTTCACCACTTCTACTTAACATAGTACTGGAAGTCCTAACCAGAGCAGTCAGGCAAGAGAAAGAAATAAAGGGCATCCAAATTGGAAAAAAAGAAGTTAAACTATCGCTGTTCACTGATGATATGATTGTATACCTAGAAAACCCTAAAGCCTCCTGCAGAAGACTCCTAGATTTGATAAGCAAATTCAGTAAAATCTCAGGTTACAAAATCAATGTACACAAATCAGTAGCACTGCTATACACCAACACGAACCAAGCTGAGAATCAAATTAAAAAGTCAATCCCTTTCACAACAGCTACAAAAATAATAAAAAACTTAGGAATATACTTAACCAATGAGGTGAAAGATCTCTACAAAGAGAACTACAAAACACTGCTGAAAGAAATCATAGATGACACAAACATATGGAAACACATCCCATGCTCATGGATTGAAAGAATCAATATCATGAAAACGACCATATTGCCTGAAGCAATCTACAGATTCAATGCAATTTCTATCAAAATACCAGCATAATTTTTCACAGAATTAGAAAAATAAATCCTAAAATTAATTTGGAACTAAAAATGTGCCCGAATAGCCAAAGCAATCCTAAACAAAAAGAAGAAATCTGGAGGCATTCCTTTACCAGACTTCAAATTATACCACAAGGCTATAGTTACTAAAACAGCACGGTACTGGTGTAAAAGTAGATACATAGGCCAATGGAACAGAATAGAGCACCCAGAAATAAAGCCAAATACAACAAACTGATCTTTCACAAAGCATACTAAAACATAAATTGGGAAAAGGACATCCTAGTTAATAAATGGTGCTGGGAAAACTGGCTAGCCACATGTAGAAAAATGAAACTAGATCCCTATCTCTCACCTTATACAAAAGTCCACTTGAGATACATCAAAGACTTAAATCTAAGACCTGAAACCATAAAGATTCTAGGAAAACCTAGAATTAGATAGAATTTCCTAGATTAGATAATCTAGGAAAAACTTTTCTAGACATTGGTCTAGGCAAAGAATTTATGACTAACACCCCAAAAGCAAATGCAACTAAAACATAGATAAATGGGACTTAATTAAACTAAAAGGCTTCTGCATAACAAAAGAAATAATCAAAGTAAAAGGCAACCCCCAGAGTACAAGAAAATATTTGTAAACTATGCATCCAACAAAGGATTTATGTCCAGCATCTACAAGGAACTCAAACAAATCAGCGAGAAAAGAACAAATAATCCCATCAAAAAATAGGCAAAAGACATGAATAGATATTTCTCAAAAGAAGATAGATTTAGGCCAGGTGCAGTAGCTCACACCTATAACCACAGCATTTTGGGAGGCTGAGGTGGGTGGATCGCTTGAGCCCAGGAGTTTGAGGCTAGCCTGAGCAACATGGCAAAACCCCGTTTCTACAAAAACTGCAAAAATTAGTCAGGTGTGGTGGTGCGCACCAGTAGTCCCAGGCACTCAGGAGGCTGAGGTGGGAGGATTGCTTGAGTGCGGGAGATGGAGGTTGCAGTAAGCCATGATGGTGCCACTGCACTCCAGCCTGGGTGACAGAGTGAGACCCTCTCTCAAAAAATAAATAAATAAACAAATAAATAATATGCGTACATACAAATAATCCCATCAAAAATGGGCAAACAACATGAACAAACATTTCTCAAAAGAAGATCGATGCATACATATGGTTATGTAATTTTCTACTTTCTTCTGTACATTGGAAATATATAATAATAAAAATTATTTAAATTTTTTAAAAGCTGTGAGGAAAAGGGAATTATGCAAACAAAGGTGTAGAAGTAGAAATAAATGCAATCGGATGGCTTTGATCTGACTTGATCTCATCAAACTGAGTGTGTCAGGGAACAGCAAATGGCCAAGAAACATATGAAAAAATGTGCATCACTAATCATCAGGGAAATGCAAATTGAAACCATAATTAGATGCCACCTTAGTACTGCAAGAATGGTCATAATTAAAAAGTCAGAGAACAATAGATGTTGGCATGGATGTGGTGAAAACAGAACGCTTATACATTACTGGAAGGAATGTAAATTAGCACAACCTCTATGAAAACAGTATGGAGATTCCTTAAAAAACTAAAAGCAGATCTACAATTCAACCCAGCAATCTTACTACTGGGTATCTACCCAAAGGAAAAGAAGTCATTATTGTAGCAAAATTCACAATTGCAAAGATATGGAACCAACCTAAATGCCCATTGATCAATTAGTGAGTAAAGAAAATGTGATATATACACATGATGGAAAACTACTTAGCCATAAAAAAGAAAGAAATAATGTCTTTTGCAGCAACTTGGATGGAGCTGGAGGTCATTATTATAAGTGAAGTAATTCAGGAATGGAAAACCAAATATTGCATGTTCTCACTTATAAGTGGGAGTTCAGCTATGGGAATGCAAATGCAGAGTGATATAATAGACTATGGAGACTCAGAAGGGGGAGGTTAGGCAGGGAGGTGAGGGTTAAAAAACTACATGTTGTGTACAATGTACACTACTTGGGTGACGGGTGCACTAAAATCTCAGACTTCACCACTATGCAAATCATCCATGTAACCAGAAGCTATTGAAATAAAAAATATATGTTTTAAGAAAAAATATGCAAAATAAATATGATTCTTATAAAAAAGAAATTAATATTCTTCTGTTAAAAAAACAACAAAACTTTAAAAAAAAAAAAACAAAAACAGGCCAGGCTCAGTGGGTCACGCCTATAATCCCAGCACTTTGGGAGGCCAAGGCAGGTGGATCACCTAAGGTCAGGAGTTTGAGACCAGCCTGGTAAACATGGCAAAACCCTGTCTCTACTAAAAGTACAAAAAATTAGCTGGGCATGGTGGCTCATGCCTGTAGTTCCAGCTACTTGGGAGGCTGAGACACAAGAATTTCTTGAACCTGGGAAGTGGAGGTTGCAGTGAGCTGACATTGTACCATTGCACTCCAGCCTGGGTGACAGAGTGAGACTCAGTCTCAGAAAAAAACCAAAAACCAAAAACCGAAACAAAAACAAAGGTGGAGAGATCAAAGTATAGTCATTGGTCACTTAACAGGGACACGTTCTGATAAATACATTGTTAGGCAATTGCATCATTGTGCAAACGTCTTAGAGTGGACTAATACAAACCTAGATGATACAGCCTACTACACACCCAGGCTATATGGGATAGCCTATTGCTCCTAGGGTACAAACCTATACAGCATCTGCAAGGAATTGCCTACTAAATACTGTAAGCAATTATAACACAATGGTGTGTGTGTATCTAAACATAGAAAAGGTGACAGGAAAGATATATGATGTTATAGTCTTACCGGACCACCATCATATATGTGGTCTGTCATTGACCAAATTTTCATTATGTGACACATGACTGTGTGACCAAATGTTAAAGTCTATTAAAGTTGGTGATAGATGCATACATACAGTTATTATGTATTTTATTTTCTGCTTTCTTCTGTACATTGGAAATATGTCATAATAAAAATTATTTAAGTTTTTTAAGAACTGAGAGGAAAAGGGAATTATGCAAACAAAGATGCAGAAGTAGAAATGAATGCAATCTGGTAGCTTTGATCTGATTTGATCTCACCAAAGGGAGTGTGACAGTGAACAGCAAAAAATGAGGTTGGGTGCAAGGATGTAGATTTTTTTTTTTTTTGAGACGGAGTCTTGCTCTGTCGCCCAGGCTGGAGTGCAGTGGCGTGATCTCGGCTCACTGCAAGCTTTGCCTCCCGGTTTCATGCCATTCTCCTGCCTCAGCCTCCCAAGTAGCTGGGACTACAGGACCCCGCCACCACGCCCAGCTAATATTTTTGTATTTTTAGTAGAGACAGGGTTTCACCATGTTAGCCAGGATGGTCTCGATCTCCTGACCTCGTGATCTGCCCACCTCGGCCTCCCAAAGTGCTGGGATTACAGGAGTGAGCCACCGCGCCCAGCCTAGTGCAAGGATGTGGATGAATGGGAATCACATGTCAGTTAACTGCTGCCTTTCAAACTTCTTAAGTGGTGCCAAAGAACTTATTCTATTCTTCCTCCTTAGAATTTTGAATTTCTGTATTTGTGGAGAAAAATTGTTCACATCCATTAAGTTAGAATTAGGTGGGGGAGAGAAACATTTAATCTTATTTCATAGGGAAATGGACAGCCTAAATAAAAACATTTGCTATTGTGAAAAAAATCAATGGTATTAAGAAGTGTTTATTAATGTAGCTGCCTCTATATTCAATACACTCCAGTTATCCAGCCCCCATTCCCTCCCCTAAAGTTATACATATTGTGAAGCAGCCTAAAATAGCGTCCAGTTGGACAAGTGTATGGAATGGCAGAGGGTCCCTTGGATTTTATAGTTGTGTTCCATTCATTGAATTAAACAAAGAATAAATGAAATGTAAATTTACACAGTGTTGAAAGTCTATTGTTGATAAAAGGAAACAGGACAAAATGTTATAATCACAGCAAGCCGGCATTCAAGGCACTGGAAAGAATATAGAGAAAGGCACTCTCCACTCTGCTTTGTACATTTCTCATTACTGTATTAGCATCTTATAATCATAAATAACACCTTAGAAAATAACCCAGAGCACAAAAGCTCTCAAAAACATTCACTGTATCATCAATGCACTCTACGTAATGCATTCAGCACCCCACAGGCATGCCATTAAATCACAGTAATAGGAAAACAACAACAAATGCTTGCCTGAAACACAAGATTTTTGCAACTGAGGATGGGGATTACTTTATTCTTTCAAGCCTTTATTGTATAAAGCTTGGATAGATTAGCTGTATTAGAACCTATGTTAAAATAGAAGCTACAGTGATGGCTGTCTATTGAGCAAATGGGGTCACAAACCTATCCTCAAAAAGTTTTCAAAAGGGGGGATTTATTTAAAAAGTGTACCCAATGTCACACAATTGGTATGCATCTGGTACACATTTTACTGTGTTAATAGTGATTTGGGAAACACTGTACCATTCCCCTGAATTTTCCTCATAGACACCTAAGTCAGAGCTGAACCTCGTAAACACTCTCTCTCACCGTATCTTCATATACAGTCATTTCCCCAACCATTAGGCTTTCTGAGTTTACCTTTATGAAGTTTTTAGAATATCTCAAGGAATAAAACTTCCGCCAGTTATCACGGAATTTCTCCATTCAGATAATCTTCCTCCTATCCAAAATTAAATAATCAAAATTTTAAAAGGAGAATCTTTTCTTATTCTATTCTACTTTGCTTACCAAGTTCTGATGTTTTCCAGGCACCATTTATTTTCCTTCTTCCTTGTATTTATAACCTTCAGAGTGACATGTGAATAGTCCCTAATAAGTTTCTCCTAGCTAATGTGTTTAGTTCCTTTCCTTTCATTATACTATTTAAACCTGACATTCATTAAACTATTCCTGTGTTTTTTGCTAAACTTTTCCCTTTCTCTTCAACTTTCTGGCACTTGTTTTTAGTACTATGATAGAAAAATAATAGAACATGTTTTTAGCAACAACTTTGGACTACATGTTTAAATGTAGCTTTCAGATATATAGATTTAGATGCAGTATTCCAGATGTAGTCTACTAGGTCATATTACATTACATGAGTGTTTTCCTGATTGCTAAAATGGATGTTGTCCACTCAGGGGAGCAGGTTACCCAGATTTTCCTTATTATCTCTCCTTCAATCTCAGGCTCTCTTCAATCCGTTCTATGACTGTGTATCCTTATTTTAAATAAGTCTTTGAACATATAATCTACATATTCAATGTTTGGCTTTTGCTTATGCTTTTTTAGTATTTATGCCTATTTTCTTAATATTTATTTATTAGGTTTCTAAACCCTCCCCCAACCTTTGCTTTTCTTTTTTTTCATGAATTTTTTTTATTATACTTTAAGTTCTGGGATACATGTGCAAAACACGCAGGTTTGTTACATAGGTATAAAAGAGCCATGGTGGTTTGCTGCACCCATTAACCTGTCATCTACATTAGGCATTTCTTCTAATGCTATCCCTCCCCTAGCCCCCGACCCCTGACAGGCCCTGGTGTGTGATGTTCCCCTCCCTGTATCCATGTGTTCTCATTGTTCAATTTCCACCTATGAGTGAGAACATGCGGTGTTTGGTTTTCTGTTCCTTTGCTGAGAATGATGGTTTCCAGCTTCATCCATGTCCCTGCAAAGGACATGAACTAATCCTTCTTTATGGTTGCAGAGTATTCCATGGTGTAGATGCGCCACATTTTCTTTATCCAGTCTATCATTGACAGGCATTTGGGTTGGTTCCAAGTCTTTGCTATTGTGAATAGTGCCGCAATAAACATACATGTGCATGTGTCTTTATAGTAGAATGATTTACAATCCTTTGGGTATATACCCAGTAATGGGATTGCTGGGTCAAATGGTATTTCTAGTTGTAGATCCTTGAGGAATTGCCACACTGTCTTCCACAATGGTTGAACTAATTTATACTCCCATCAACAGTGTAAAAGCATTCCTATTTCTCCACGTTCTCTCTAGCATTTGATGTTTCCTGACTTTTTAACGATCACCATTCTAACTGGCATGAGATGGTATCTCATTGTGGATTTGATTTGCTTTACTCTAATGACCAGTGATGATGAGCTTTTTTTTCATATATTTGTTGGCTGCATAAATGTCTTCTTTTGAGAAGTGTCTGTTCATATACTTTGCCCACTTTTTGATGGGGTTGTTTTATTCTTGTAAATTTGTTTAAATTCTTATAGATTCTGGATATTAGTCCTTTGTCAGATGGATAGATTGCAAAAATTTTCTCCCATTCTGTAGGTTGCCTGTTCACTTTGAGGATAGTTTCTTTTGCTGTACAGAAGCTCTTTAGTTTAATTAGATCCTGTTTGTCAATTTTGGCGTTTGTTGCCATTGTTTTCGGTGTTTTAGTCATGAAATCTTTGCCCATGCCTATGTCCTGAATGGTATTGCCTAGGTTTTCTTCTAGGATTTTTATGGTTTTAGGTCTTACATTTAAGTCTTTAATCCGTCTCGAGTTAATTTTTGTATAAGGTCTAAGGAAAAGGTCCAGTTTCAGTTTTCTGCATATGGCTAGCCAATTTTCCCAACACCATTTATTAAATAGGGAATCCTTTCCCCATTGCTTGTTTTTGTCAGGTTTGTCAAAGATCAGATGGTTGTAGATGTGTGGTGTTATTTCTGAGTCATCTGTTCTGTTCCATTGGTCTGTATATCTGTTTTGGTACCAGTACCATACTGTTTTGGTTACTGCAGCCTTGTAGTATACTTTGAAATCAGGTAGCGTGATGCCTCCAGTTTCATTCTTTTTGCTTAGGATTGTCTTGGCTATGCAGGCTCTTTTTTGATTCCATATGAAATTTAAAGTAGTTTTTTCTAATTCTGTGAAGAAGGTCAATGGTAGCTTGATCAGGATAGCACTGAATCTGTAAATTACTTTGGGCAGTATGGCCATTTTCATTATATTAATTCTTCCTATCCATGAGGATGGAACGTTTTTCCATTTGTTTCTGTCCTCTCTTATTTCCTTGAGAAGTGGTTTGTAGTTCTCCTTGAAGAGGTCCTTCACATTCCTTTTAAGTTGTATTCCTAGGTATTTTATTCTCTTGGTAGCATTGTGAATGGGAGTTCACTCCTGATTTGGCTCTCTATTTGTCTATTATTGGTGTAAAGGAATGCTTGTGATTTTTGCAGATGGATTTTGTATCCTGAGACTTTGCTGAAGTTGCTTATCAGCTTAAGGAGATTTTGGGCTGAGACGATGGGGTTTTCTAAATACACAATCATGTCATCTGCAAACAGAGATAATTTGACTTCCTCTCTTCCTATTTGAATACCCTTTATTTCTTTCTCTTGCCTGATTGCCTTGGCCAAAATTTCCAATACTATGTTGAATAGGAGTGGTGAGAGAGGGCATCTTTGTCTTGTGCTGGTTTTCAAAGGGAATGCTTCCAGATTTTGCCCATTCAGTATGATATTGGCTGTGGGTTTGTCATAAGTAGCTCTTATTATTTTGAGATACATTCCATCAATACTTAGCATGAAGGGCTGTTGAATTTTATCTAAGGCCTTTTCTTCATCTATTGAGATAATCGTGGTTTTTGTCATTGGTTCTATTTATGTGATGGATTACATTTATTGATTTGTGTATGTTGAACCAGCCTTGCATTCCAGGAATGAAGCCAACTTGATCATGGTGGATAAGCTTTTTGATGTGTTGCTGGATTCAGTTTGCCCATATTTTACTTAGAGTTTTTGCATTGGTGTTCATCAGGGATATTGGCCTGAAATTTTCTTTTTTTGTTGTGTCTCTGCCAGGTTTTGGTAACAGGATGATGCTGGCCTCATAAAATGAGTTAGGGAGGAGTCCCTCTTTTTCTATTGATTGGAATATTTTCAGAAGGAATGGTACCAGCTCCTTTTCGTACCTCTGGTAGAATTCAGCTGTGAATCCGTCTGGTCTTGGGTTTTGTTTTTGTTTGTTTGTTTGTTTTTTGGTTGGTAGGCTATTAATTACTGCCTCAATTTCAGAACTTGTTATTGGTCTATTCAGGGATTTGACTTCTTCCTGGTTTAGTCTTGGGAGGGTGTACGTGTCCAGGAACTTATCCATTTCTTCTAGATTTTCTAGTTTATTTGCATAGAGGTGTTTATAGTATTCTCTCATGGTAGTTTGTATTTCTGTGGAATTGGCGATGATCTCCCCTTTATCATTTTTTACCGTGTTTATTTGATTCTTCTCTTTTTTCTTTTTTATTAGCCCGGTTAACAGTCTACCTATTTGGTTAATCTTTTCAAAAAACCAGCTCTTGGATTCATTGATTTTTTAAAGAGTGTTTTGTGTCTCTATCTCCTTCAGTTCTGCTCTCATCTTAGTTATTTCTTGTCTTCTGCTAGCTTTTGAATTTGTTTGCTCTTGCTTCTCTAATTCTTTTAATTGTGATGTTAGGGTGTCAATTTTAGATCTTTCCAGTTTTCTCCTGTGGGGATTTAGTGCTATAAATTTACCTCTAAACACTGCTTCAGCTGTGTCCCAGAGATTCTGATATGTTGTGTCTTTGTTCTCATTGGTTTCAAAGAACTTATTTATTTCTGACTTCATTTCATTATTTACCCAGTAGTTCTTCAGGAGCAGGTTGTTCAGTTTCCATGTAGTTGTGCAGTTTTGAGTGAGTTTCTTAATCCTGAGTTCTAATTTGTTTGCACTATGCTCTGAGAGACTGTTTGTTATGATTTCCATTCTTTTCCATTGTTAAGGAGTGTTTACTTCCAATTATGTGGTTGATTTTAGAATAAGTATGATGTGGTGCTGAGAAGAATGTATATTCTGTTGATTTGGGGTGGAGAGTTCCATAGATGTCTATTAGGTCCGCTTGGTCCAGAGCTGAGTTCAAGTCCTGAATATCCTTATTGATTTTCTGTCTCATTAATCTGTCTAATATTGACAGTGGGGTGTTAAAATCTCCCACTATTATTGCGTGGGAGTCTAAGTCTCTTTGTAGGTCTCTAAGAACTTGCTTTATGAATCTGGGTACTCCTGTATTGGGTGCACATATATTTAGGATAGTCAGCTTTTCTTGTTGCGTTGATTCCTTTACCATTATTTAATGCCCTTCTTTGTCTTTTTTGATCTTTGTTAGTTTAAAGTCTGTTTTATCACAGAGTAGGATTGCAACCCCTGCTTCTTTTTTGCTTTCCATTTGCTTAGTAAGTTTTCATCCATCCCTTTATTCTAAGCCTATGTGTGTCTTTGCACATGAGATGGGTCTCCTGAGTACAGCACAGTGATGGGTCTTGATTCTATATCCAATTTTCCAGTCTGTGTCCTTTAATTGGGGCATTTATCTCATTTACATTTAAGGTTAATATTGTTATGTGTGGCTTTGATCCTGTCATTATGGTGCTATTGCCTGTTAGTTGATGCAGTTTCTTCATAGTGTCATTGGTCTTTATATTTTGGTGTGTTTTTCCAGTGGCTGATTCCAGTTTTTCCTTTCCATATTTAGTGCTTCTTTCAGGAGCTCTTGTAAGGCAGGCCTAGTGCTGACAAAATCTCTCAGCATTTGCTTGTCTGTAAAGGATTTTATTTCTCCTTCACTTATGAAGCTTAGTTTGGCTGGATGTGAAATTCTGGGTTGAAAATTCTTTTCTTTAAGAATGTTGAATATTGGTCCCCACTCTCTTCTGGCTTGTAGGGTTTCTGCAGAGAGATCCACTGTTAGTCTGATGGGCTTCCCTTTGTGGGTAACTCGACCTTTCTCTCTGACTGCCCTTAACATTTTTTCCTTCATTTCAGCCTTGGTGAATCTGATGATTATGTGTCTTGGGGTTGCTCTTCTTGAGGAGTATCTTTGTGGTGTTCTCTGTATTTCCTGAATTTGAATGTTGGCCTGTCTTGCTAGGTTGGGGAAGTTCTCCTGGATAACATCTTGAAGAGTGTTTTCCAAGTTGGTTCCATTCTCCCCATCACTTTCAGGTACACCAATCAAACGTAGGTTTGGTCTTCTCACACAGTCCCATATTTCTTGGAGGCTTTGTTCATTCCTTTTCATTCTTTTCCTCTAGTCTTGTCTTCACGCTTTATTTCATTAGGTTGATCTTCAATCTCTGATATCCTTTCTTCTGCTTGATCGATTTGACTATTGATACTTGCGTATGCTTCATGAAGTTCTTGTGCTGTGTTTTTCAGCTCTGTCAGGTCATTTATGTTCTTCTCTAAACTGGTTATTCTAGTTAGCAATTTGTCTAACCTTTTTTCAAGTTCTTAGCTTCCTTGCATTTGGTTAGAACATGCTCCTTTAGCGCAGAGGAGTTTGTTATTACCCACCATCTGAAGCTTACTTCTGTCAGTTCATGAAACTCATTCTCTGTCCAGTTTTTTTCCCTTGCTGGCGAGGAGTTGTGATCCTTTGGAGGAGAAGAGGCATTCTGGTTTCGGAATTTTCAGCCATTTTGTGCTGGCTTTTCCTCATCTTCCTGGATTTATTAACCTTTGGTCTTTGATGCTGGTGACCTTCAGATGGAGCTTTTCTGTGGACGTCCTTTTTGTTGATGTTGATGCTATTCATTTCTGTTTGTTAGTTTTCCTTCTAACAGCTCCAACCTTTTCTTTACAGATCTATAGTTGTTAAGATTTAGTCAGATGTTTAACTAATCTTGACATTGCTAAGATCCAGATTTTGGTGCATTCTCTGAGATTTGGATAGGAGACAATCTAGAAATTACATGCATTTAAGTGAAAATAGCATACCTAAATTAAGATGTAGATGTTGGGATTTCATCCTAGGACAATGTTTTCCATGTCTTTGTGTCTTTGTTTCTTGATATATACATCTTTCAAACAAGGGTGTGCTACCTGAGTTTTGAGATATCTAGATGCTTTCAATTTCAGGCTCCTTAGACATCTGACATGTTTAACACTCAGTTTTTAAAGATATGTTTTCTCTAAATGGTGCTGACATAAATATATTTTTACATAAGGTAGGTGGTAATCATTCATTAATCCATCTAATTATTGAATTAATGTGCCACATTGGAAATTCTAGAAGAAGTTTGAGATGGTACATTTTTGGAATCAAAAATCATTTTAGGATATTAAGGAATCAAAAGTAAGTTTAAAATTGCCATATAAACTGTATTTTAATGATAAAATTTGATTTTTGTTCTTATATTAAAGTAGTATGACATACATTATGAAAATTACAGAGAAAAATCACTTGGAAAAGCCAATTAAGAAAATTCCATTACAGTTAGTGCCATTACAAGAATCTTATCCAGATCCATGTTCTTAATAACCTTCATAAGTATTTGCCTGTGTTCCCTGATGTGTATTTCTAACCCAGAACTGTTCTTTAGGCCCCAGGCTATATGTATATTTGACAGCATCATTTACATGTCTCAAAGAAGCCTCACATTCTACACATTCAAAGCTGATCTCAAGGGAATCCTCCCAGAACTGGTCCTCCTCCAGTGTTCTCCATCTTAGTGGACAGCACCACCATATACTCAGTTGTGCAGGCCAGAGTCAGGAGTTGTTCCTGGCATCGTCTCACTTCTCCCCATAGCTATGTCACACATTACTCAATTCTGTTGATTTGTATTTCCTAAATAACTTCTGAATCTGTCCACTTCTTTCCATCTCACTGTCATCCACTAAGGCCAAAACCACCATTATGTCTTCTCATTCATAGGGTGACTAAATCTCCAGGTTTCCCCACAACTACAGGATTCCCAGAACGTGGGACTTTTCAGTTTTAAACTGGGACAGTCCCTGCCAAACCAAGATGAGTTAGTCGCCTTAAGTTTTGATCCCCCTGCTTCCACTTTTGCGTCCCTCCAATTCTTTTCCACACTGAAGCCAAAGTGATTTATTCAAAATGAAAATCTGAAACATGAGATATCACTTCAAACCTGTTAGAATGCCTAAAATTAAAAAGACTGGCCAGACCAAGACTGAGTGAGGATTGGAGGAACTGGGACTGTCACACACTGATTATGGAAACATAGAATGCACTTTGGAATAAAAAAACCACTTTGGAGACCTGTTTGGCAGTTTCTTTCAAAGTTAAACGTACACTTACCATTCAATTTATGTTTATGAAAGAAAACATATATCCATAAAAACAAATGTTCATAGTAGGTTTATTCAAACATAAAGCTTTATTCATGATACCCAAAAAGTGGAAACAATACCAATGTCCATCAATAGGTTATTGGATAAGTAAATTGAGATATATCAAAAAAAATGGGATACTACCCAGCAAAATAAGCATGACTGATGCATGCAACAACATGTATGAATCTTGAATACATGCTGAATGAAAGGAGCCAAATATAAGAGTACATACTGCAATACTCCATTTACATGAAATTGTAGAATAAAGAAAAATAATATATGCAATGAGAGGAAGCAGCTCAGTGGCTTCGTGAGGCTGGGGAGGTTTCACTGGGACTGGAAAAAGGCATGAGAACACTTTCTGGGATAATAGAGATATTTATATCTTGATTTTCATGGTGGTTATGAGCACAAATTTCATTAAACTATATACTTAAATACATTTTATTGTATGTAAATATTTTTAGGGTTTTAAAATGTAAAATAAATAATATTTTAAAATCCAAAGAACAAAAACCCACAAATTTGACCATATCACTCACCTGTTTAAAATACTTAAAAGGCTTCCTAATACTTTTAGAATAAACTCATGTTTATTCCATGTTAACATCTGGCCCTGCCTCTTTCTCTGAACCTATTTCATGCCACTTTCCCCACACTTTCTGTGATCCAAATCCAAACCCACACATTTTTTTTTTTTTTCTCCTTCATGGCCTCTCCTGCCTTAGGGCCTATACACTCTTCTCCTTCTGCCTAGAATGTTCCTCTCACCTGGTTCTTCAGAGTAAGTTAATACCTCCTGATCCTTCAGATAGAATCAAAACTGCCACTTCCTCAGGAAAGCTTTCACTGATCTTCCCGTTAGCATCGGGTCTGCCTATGACATCTCCTATGCAGTAGAAGTGCCTTTATACCACTTTACGCAATTTCTAATTATATATATTTGTGGGATATTTTGACTCTCTACCTTCCCATTAGATGTTAAGCACCATGAGGTTAAAACTATGTCTGTTTTACTCACTGTTGTGACCTCAGCACTTTACACAATGCTGGGCTTAGGATAAGACTCAAATATTTGCCACTTGAATGAATGCTCAGTAATAAGTAATAACCTTGCTCCTACATTACTATAGTATGGTATCCCAATCAATATATCTGTATCATTTTCTTACTTGAATTCAAATTGATTAGTGAGGAATTTCAGTTTTCAAACACCTTACACCTATGCAAATCTCTCATTAACATTTTTTTTCCACCAAAACCAAGCAAGTCATTTAGCTATACAATTTTTCTATAGGTCTCAAGAACATTAAAAATTTATAAAAATCAGCTATAGAATTCATAAAATCGCATTATTGTTATATTATTAATCATTTATAGAACTTGATTTGTTAAATAAAACATCTATTTCTACTATAATACAGTGAGGTTTGTCTTTGCCAATATAATCTCATATGGGGCTTATTTGATAAAAATTGAAATATGTTCTTAAAAATACATAGCACACTCTTTTAGTAAAAAGAAATATCAGAGATGTTATATGACTACCCCGATAGAATCATTATGCCCTGTTAGGAAATCATCTGATAAAATATTTTAATAACACCAAAACTAGGTAACCTTTTGAATGCATTACAATTAATAGTTTTAAAACATTTCCTAGTGGTTTTCTTTATGTTTTATGGTTAGCTATTCTCAGAAAAGTGAAACACTTTTCTTTAAAGATTTTTAAACTACCAGAATAATGAAAAGTAAGATATTGTGAACTAATAATAAAAAGATGTCATTTCAAATCTTTAGGATCTGTAAATGACCTAGCTACTTAGTCTATAAAACAGAATAAAAATCACTACCTCTATTATGTATAATGATGGCTGACCATAATATCTTGCCGAAATGCTTGATATTGCACAAACAAATTCATCTTATGTTGGTGAAGGTGAAACCAGTCTTTGTTGAATTAATGTTGGCCATTAGGTTACTGATGATTAGGTGCATTTCCTTTCAGGAAAAATGTTGCTACTGCAGATGAACAAAAGTGTCTCATTTTTCTCAGGAAAAGCAACAACAGTAAAAATAACAAGAAATAACCTGTTTTCATTTTTCATCTTAGCTGCCAGAAAACTGGAGCAAAATTCAAGTCCCCAGTTTTCAGCTCTTTTCAGGTACCAAGGTGCATTTGTTCTTATGGGTCACTTTTATTTTCTTATACCCAATGTTAAAAATCTATTTTCAATTCTTAGAGACAATGAATTTCTGTAAAAGATTTAATTCTCTATTGACTTAGCAAAAAAAATAATAAACAGCAAAGTTAGTATACTTTTGAATATTTGCAAGTCATCAGTGAACTGATCTCTTAAGATCATCTGGAGGGTGGGACTGCCTTCCTTGCTCTTACATTTGTACACACAGGGTCAACCAAATACATTCCTTGACTTCTGGAGGGGTTCAATCATTATTGACCAAAATGAGTGAACTTACACAAAGAAATTGTGAGGTGATTTTATAATCTCTCTCTCTTCCAGTTGGAGCCAAAAATAAGCCACCATCTGTACTATATTCATGCTTTCTGATTTAGCTAGCAGGTTCAGGTGGGAGACAAATTTTAAAAATGAGAAGGAAAATGACTTCAACAGGAGAAAAACAAAAATAATTTTTAGAACTTCAAATTGAATTTAAGATTAGCCACTATAACATAATTGAGTTTGAAATCAGGGCCCTAAAAAGACCTGTTGTAGTGAATGGAAATACGTTATGCCTTTTGAAACCTAGACTACATTATCCCTTACTTGCTGAACTTCAAAATCAAGCAGCCACATTACAGCGACAGTATTTCTCTGATTTTTATTCAGTGAACTATTTGAAGTGCTTTTAATAAAAATTGTAGAAATCACACAAGTATCAGAATACAGCATGTTCATATGCTTGATCTTGAAATTTGGCAACTTAGGCCCATATTAATGTAGATTCTATCTCCACTGGTAGGACTTACAACTGTTTTTCCTTGCAATTGTCAATAATTTCCTACTTTTACTAATTTCTTGTCTTATAATTAATTGCTTAGTTTTAGTGTGACTTTAAGGAATCATTGAAAAATATTCTTAACTCATCAACTAGCCATAGATTCCCACTAACTCCCAACCCCATTTTTCATTCTGACCTGAGAACCAAGCCTTTTGTCCAAATATACACAAAGTATAAAATCATTTCCATCAGATCTGGAAAATCTTTTAACCTCGATACTTACAATTCACTCCTAGGAATTAGCCGTCACAGTCAGGCATGAGTTAACAGAGAGCGAGAACCTGTTCTCCTATTTTTCAAACATTTCTGGGGAGAGATGAATTTTCATATTCCAAATTTATATGACAGTGAATCAGGATGATCTCTCTCTCTCTCCCACCCCACCTTTCTCTGGGTGTTAATCACTCATTGAAAAGCTTTTTAAAGACACAGTTCAATATTTTTTTACTGACTCACTGTTAATAAAATTGCAGGTAGTAATTGCAGTCCTTGATTCCTTATGTTAGCACTACTGTATTTCTAAATCATTTAAAAGTGATATAAACAATTTTCTGAAAGTGTGAAAATGCACTATTCCTTGTACATTAAGGTACTGTCACTGCCAACCATCAATAGGACTTGCTTAGTCATTAGTCCTGTACTCCTGCCGAATTAATGTTGAGCCATCTACTTTCTCACCTCAACATCTGCCTAAGTTTAAGCAGGGGTAGTACACAGAATTATAAAGAAAGCAGGAATATTTGGCCCAGAATCCAAAGCTAAAATGTGTCCTTTACTGTCCTGGCTTTCCCACGTGTTGAATTGTACATCTGAGAGAAACTGTGTAGAAACAGCCAAGTTTGATAACAGGGGAGTCCTCACATATAGCAAGTCTAAAATTTCATTAAGTGTTGTTTGGGATGCTATTAATGTTATTACTGTAATACAAACATCAAAGGAAATCAGATCACACACTCAGGGAAATCATTCCCTGCTGGAAATCCTGTTAGCTGACTTCAATTATGCTGTGCTTTTCCTCATTCAGAAGGCTGTGTCAGCCTCATTATCTGATCTCTAAATCACCTGCTTAATGAAAGCGCACACATTTGAAACTCATCAAATTAAATAAAACAAAATTTGAATCTTGTGCTTGTTTGGGTTCAGATCACAGCAATATCAAAATTATTCTGATTGCTATAAGGGTGTCTATGGACAGTAGTTAAGGACATAAGTAGGATTGAATCAAAATTAGAAAGAGAGCCTTTCAGAAGGGAAGGAAGGCTTATAGGAAACCAAAGTAGATGTTTCTTTCAAGATTAGCATCAATTTTGTAAAGTATAATTCAAGATCTGTTAACTTCCCTCTATTATATTCCCCGAAAGGAAAACACAAGCATACAATATATGTATCCTTCTTTTGTTTTCACTTTTATTATGAAAAATGTTAAACATATAGAAAAGAAGAGGGACTAGCATAATAAATACATACATATCACCTTTAAAAAATAATTGTTGGTCAAGTGTAGTGACTCATACCTATAATCCCAGCACTTTGGGAGGCCAAGGTGGGAGGATTGCTTGAGCCCAGGAATTTAAGACCAACCTGAGCACCATGGCAAGACTGTGTCTCTACGAAAAATTTAAAAATTATCCAGGTGTGGTGGCACATACCTGAGCTACTTGTGAGGCTGAAGTGGGAGGATCACTTGAGCCTGGGAGGTTGAGGCTGCAGCGAACCATGTTTGCCCCACTGTACTGCAATCTGGGCAACAGAGTGAGACCCTGTCTCATAAAAAATTATTATTGTGGCATATTTGTTTCATAAATCTAAAGTATTTTAAAACATTATGGAAACCATGATATTTCACCCCCAAATATTTCAAAATGCATCCCTGAAAAACCAGGGTATTTTACTATAACCCACAATTTTATTATCATACCTTATGAAAGTAACAATTATTCCTTATTAGCATTTAATTTTTAGATAATATTTAACGTTCCTCTACTGTCCTAAAGAAGCCCTTTAGAGTTGGTTTATTTGAACCAGGAAATGCACTTACTCTTAAATATCACAAGTCTGACTTTAAGTTAAATGTATTCATGGGTGTATTAATCCGTTTTCACACTGCTATAAAGAGCTACCTAAGACTGGGTAATTTACAAAGAAAAGAGGTTTAATTGACTTACAGTTCTGCAGGCTGTACAGGAAGCATGGCTGGGAGGCCTCAGGAAACTTACAATCATGACAGAAGGTGAAGGGGAAGCAAGCATGTCTTACCATGGCAGAGCAGGAGAGAAGGAGAGAGCGAAGGGGGAAGTGTCACACACTTTTAAACCATCAGATCTGATGAGAACTCACTCACTATCACGAGTATTGCAAGGGGAAAATCTGCCCCCATGATCCAATCACCTCCCACCAGGTCCCTCCCCTAACATTAGGGATTACAATTCAACATGAGATTTAGGTGGAGACACAGAGCCAAACCATATCGATGGATATCTTTATAAATTTTAACAATGCATATACGACTTTCAATTGTACATAAAATGTGGCCAAAGAAATAAATTCACCTCCTTATTTTTCAGGCATTGAGTTGCCTGTATCCAACATTTCCTAGCATTTAATTCAAAATGTTTTTGCTCTCTTTGTTTTAATTTCCACAAAACTATTGTAAGAAGCCAAAGAGGGGTGGAAATGTTTTCCACTGCTAAACAAGTAGAAAAGCCTTCTCACTATCTCAAAAGTTATGACACATGTGTAGAAACAAATGTCAAGGGTAAAATGCCTTGAATATTCCGTATCACTCTGATACATTTTAGTCCAAAACATTGATTATGAAAATAACTTGATTCACTCAATATGTCTTGTGTAGATCCTAGTAATTTCATTGGCAGCTATAGAAAGGAGCTATTGAGAACATTCAGACAGCCTCTCTGAGAACTTGTCGAAGACGCCCAGTTGCTAGCTGGTGCCTCGGATCTGTGGGACACACTGTGTCTGCACCTTGCCAGCCAGGATTGGTCGGGGAGAAACTGAATGTGTCACCCAACAGGCTCTTCTTAGTGGCCTCACAACATGAGAATGTGGATAGCTTATTTTGGAGAGGAATCCAGAACACATTTTGCTCTCCACTTCACTGCAGCATGCCAGTCACTGGTATGTAACACTGGATCAAGGCAAGCCTGGGAACACGCTATGCAAGGAAAGTTTTTCAACCCCAGTAACTAATTCTTCATCACTGACCCACCAATTGTGTCAATAGTTTTGGATCCTCCAACGACGTATGTAACCAAAGTTTGCAAATCACACTAACATGACTATCCAAATTGTGGATTTAGCTAGTGAGATCTGTTATCTACTTATGATAATGTACTAACAGTACTGGTTATAATTCAGAAAATGAAGAATTTCCTGTTAATTTGTGCAAAATAAGTATTTCCTCAAGAAAACTCATTTAAGTTTTAAAGTGCTCTTAAATAAGGAAAGCTTGCTGTGTTATTGTCCTGTGAGATGGCAGAGCAATCATTTCCAAGCATGAGTTCCTGATATCTTCTTAAGTTCCCCCACTCCACCTCCACCAAAATGAGAAAAATAAGAGCAATATTGTGAGTTGTTTTTCTGTGTTGTTTTGTTTTGTTTTGTTTTGTTTTGAGACAGCTCACTCTGTCGCCCAGGCTGGAGTGCAGTGGTGCGATCCTGGCTCACTACAACCTCTATCTCCAGGGTTTAAGCAATTCTCATGCCTCAGCCTCTCTAGTAGCTGGGACTATAGGTGCATGCCACTTTGCCCAGCTTTTGTATTTTAATAGAGATGAGGTTTCATCATGTTGCCCAGGCTGGTCTTGAACTCCTGAGCTCAGGTAATCTGCCCACCTCGGCCTCCCAAAGTGCTAGGATTACAGGCACGAGCTACCGTGCCCAGCTTATGAGTTTAAGTTAAATTTATTAAATTTAAATAACTAATCTCTGGTCTGAGACTATCTTTTTATTTTTTTGTGTGTCTTTTTTAATGTTAACATTTTTCTTCTTTTATGAGATGATGATGCTAGTTGCTAATAGCATGTTAGTGGTCTTGATGAAATTTAAAGTTCATAACCCTATATAATTTTCATATTTAAAAAGTATATGTTTGTGTTTTGGTTATTTATTGCTATATGACAAACAACCCCAGATAGTAGAGTCCTTGAACAATAATCATTTATTTGTTCATGATTTTGCAATTTGGGATAGGACCTGATGGTGTCTCTGCTCCATATGGCAGCCGAGTGGCTCACCTGGGGCTGAAACACCCACTCCTAAGACTCCAATGATTAGTGCTGGCTGTCAACTGGGATCACAGTGGGCTGTGAGACTGCCACTCTTACAGACAGATTGGTTAATGTGAACGTGTGATAGATTTCAAGCCAAGGAGATATAAGGGAAAACAGTGAAGTGAGGAAAAATCTTTTAGGAAGTGTACTCACTCTAAAAGTGATACACAGGAAAATCATCTTTTTGTTGATATTATTCTGCTGGATGTTGCCACATCTGCAGAGGATGCCTGCAACTAGGACAGCCATCATAAAACCATGATGGAAATAGACCAAAACTAAAGCTGAGGTTGGCAGCACGTAAAGACAGAAGGAACCTGAGTCTCTTACGTTATGAGCTGCTTGAATTAACCGTGCTTGAAGCCACCCTACTTATGAAACAACTATGTGAAATAAATGTTCTTCACTCTTTCAATCTGAAGAGTCGTGGTTATGTTTTCTTTCCTTTGTTATGTTTTCTTTCCTTTTACTTACAGCCAAAAACATCACCTTAACTAATTCATGTGTTGTTGCTTAACTAAACATTTGCATAAAGAACAATTAAGAAACTAAAAGAAACAAACAAGTGTCTAGAATGAGGATAACTTTACAATACTGAGTAACAGGAGCAAACTAACGCATGAGAGATTCATTCCAAAGAAGGTATTATTTTTTTGAAAAAGATAGTCCCTGTCAACCACACCAAATAGTGTTGGATCATACTCCTTTTCAATTTCTTTCAATCTTTCTGTATGGTCTAGAAAAAATTCTCGGTCTAATGCTAGATTGTCTTTAACCTCTAATATTTTCTAGCCTAAATTTTTAGCAAAAAGAGAACAGGCCTCAAGCTCAAATCTCCAGGTAGAAATGGTATTTAGCTAGAAATTAGTAATATCATTTTGCTTTAGTTGAACTTACTTACTTTTATGGTTAATCTATTAATGGCAAATTATATTGTTTTTCTGTTTATCGTAATAATATAAAGCATCTATCTTTAAAGTAAGAAGTATTTAATTTAAAGATAAGTGTTGGCTGGGTGCATTGGCTCATACCTATAATCCCAGAACTTTGGGAGGCTGAGGTGGGTATATCACCTGAGGTCAGGAGTTCAAGAACACCCTGACTAGGAGAGTGAAACCCCGTCTCTACTGAAAATACAAAATTAATTAGCCAGGCATGGTGGTCCATACCTGTAATCCCAGCTACTTGGGAAGCTGAGGCAGGAGAATCGCTTGAACCCAGGAGTTGGAGGTTGCATTGAGCCAAGATCGTGCTATTGCACTCCAACCTGGGCAAAAAGAGTGAAACACCATCTCAAAAAACTAAAAATAAAAAAAATGTTAAGTAAATATTAGTGTAGCTGGGGCAAAGATATGACAAAAATTATGAAGTGGCCCAGGGATGCCTGAAGTTTGGAGACTACTAGCCTAGGGTATTTGATAAACTACTGGAGTAGAGAGGGTGCAAAAGTACTACATACAGCATGGCCATCTGGCTGGAACATTACTTTATAATGAGACTATTTATGAGGATCTCTTTTATATTTCATCTCAGATGGATTTTCCCAGATGAATTAGCTCTGAATATGGCACTCCCATCATGTACACTGCACTTTCATTGCTGCATCCTTATCTTGGCCTTAATGGATCAATATCTCTGGTTTTGATGCCTCCATGAAAGAATTAAGGTGTCTTGTTCTTACTTGAATCTTCTTTTTGTTATTATTGCCACCTTCCCTTGCCTGTACTTCCATTCTCCACTCAGTTCAAGTGTTTATTAATTTCAGATCTTTATTAATTCCAATTCCTTTGAAGGAAATGTGTCTCTCTACTCCAACTCTGCTCATCAAAATCCTGTCCATCTTTCAAGGACCAGCTCAAAAGCCACTCTTTGTGTGGAGCCTTCTCAGATCTCACTGCAGTAGGAATGAGTCTCTTCTCCTATAGCTCCCTTTCAAAGCTCTGATGAAAACATATTTCACAACCTGCCTGTGAATTGAGGAGATAAGGAGCTCCTGGAGAATGAGGAATTTATTTCAATTATCTTTATCTTATTACCAGAAGCCTAAAAGTTGTTAAATTGCATTGATCTAGAATTAAATCACAGTTTTAAGTTAGTTCGGAATGATTTGGTGATGATTTTTATTTTAAAATGCCCTTCTGTCATCTTTGCAATAGTTTATATCCATTTTTCTTTATGCTTTGTTTTCTCAAAAAAATGACTCTCCAGCAATGAAAGGGATTTTGAGCCAGTATATCACAATAAAAGGATATTATTTTAACTATCCAAGAGCAATTTTATTTCATTTTGGAAGACATTAGAAAATGCTGAGTTATCTTCTTTAGACACCCATTTCAAATTTTTACATCTTGTATTTATAGGAAGTTTTTCCTCATATTGAAACTAGACCTTTCAAAGCTTCAGTTTAACTTGTTTCTTATTATTCTAGTCTCATAGTCACCATAAGAAACAGCTGGTCACCATCCACTTAATCTGTTCCCATCACAATAAAAAGCCAGCATATCTAAATGTCCTATGAAAAGCACACAAAATTTTACTTTTTAGCTAAGAGTCAGTAGATATTTTGTATTAACAGGGTAAGTTATTGATTACATTTTTGTTTTTAGTATGAGCATGTATCTCTTCTTCAAACAGAGAGATCCTAAGATTATCACTGAGAAGGCAGTTTTTATCAGAGAAGTTCAGAGAGACAATCTAGTATAATGCATTTGAGGATGGAAATGGATTAAAGTTAGTTTGTAAAAAAGAATGTCAAATTAATGAATTCAAAAGAATGTTCACAGGTCACCAATATGATGTGAAAAAACAGATGATTATAGAGAAACTGCACAAAGTTTACACAAAGTTTACATTCTTGCAATTCTTGAAGTACCCAAGTGCCCATCTGGAATTTGGCCAAAAGAGAAGAGGTTTCCACTAAAGCTTAACAGGGCATGCATCATTTCTGGGCACCCTGCCAGTAGGACTGACTCCCCACAGTGATGACATTATAATGAGAAAAAGTGCATGCAAATAAAGTAAATACTATTTAGAGGTGGAGCCATACATAATCTGCTTTGGAGAAAGATTTGGGAAGATTGGGAAGGAGATGAGACAGTTAAATTATGGATGCACTCTCCAGAGAACTTGGGGAAAGTGTTTATCTGTTATTGCTCCCAATAACTGGTTGAAACCAGTGTGGATAGATAATAAAGGATACAATTGCCTATTTGTATTCTCCTTTGTAGCCATTGACATGGCTGAGTAGAATAAACTTCTAACAGAAAAGTGGGGAAGCTCAGCCTCCTGGTGACCACTGTAATTTTATTTGGGTTTAATGCAATTGAAACAGCTTAAAGCTTAGATGACTTTACCTGTCCAAGAAAGTTGTAGCCTTCCAGAGAAAGGGCAGAAGGAGTAGAAATGAGAATCAAAATATATCAGAAATTTAAAAGTGTACTGATAAAAAGAAATAAGAAAGTGATGTATCATTTATTGCTTATTAAAGTCATAGAGTTGAACAGCCTTCGAAAAATCCAGTGAATTGATTTGTCTAACTTGCTTCAGATTTACCTAAACATTTTAGGTAACAATTATGTGCTTAGATTTGATATCCTAAAATATTTATTAAGAGACTCTTATTAAAACAGTTACCAGATATAAAGCTCTTAGAACAATGTCTGGCACATAAAAGGACCCAGATAAGATTAGACATTAGTCTTACTAGCTCTCACTAAATGTAAAGTGTTGGGCTAAATACTGTGGGATATAGACAGAGGACAAAGACATAGGCCTAAGCTCTCAGAGATTTAAATCTAAGGGCTCTACGGAAGGCAATTCTGTAACTTTTCTGATCATACAGTCTACTATAGGAGTCCCCAAAGCATTGAGCTTGACATCTATCCATTTTCTCCCTGTCATCCCCCACTCTGAAAGTTCAGAGTCTTCCCCAAGAGAGAGGAGATCATGGGGTGCACAACTATTCCCATCCTCCTCTTCAACAACGTGTTCAACCCATCTTTCTTGCAACACACACACACACACACACACACACACACACACACTCCTCCACAAAATTGTTAATCATGAGACTTTGGAAAGATAAAAATATTTTTGTCTTGTATAGTGTTTAGTTTTTTGTACAATATTGAATGATGTAAATATAACTGTTAGGGAGGAATATTTAAATTTGTTAGGCAGCACCTCAAAGACAGCCTGATTTTCACATATACTTTTAATTCTCAACGGATAGCATGGAATCACATTCCTCATTAGATCATAGTTTTTCCAGAATGACTGAGTTAATAATCTGAGAAGCAATTTCCAGTCACCTGTCTTGATATAAAATGTTAAAAATCTTAAGTTCTCTTGGCTAAAGGATTTAGGAATACAGTTAGTTTATGGTTTGGAAGCCTATTTAATACAAATACATCTATTTTAATGTATAGCACACCCAGACAGAAATACATTTTGTTAGCCACAATCTTGACTAATACAGGAGGCAGCCATCCAGAGGCTATGTCACTGATTCATGACAATATCAGAAGGGGTTCTTTAACTCAGACCAATGTCTGATAACAAAATGGCCAATGAGAATGAATGAGTTCAGACTCTGGGATGTGAACCAGATGCATTTTACCATATAGTTAATTTGGATTCAAATGTTTACGACTATGAATGCCATACACTGGGGTTCTATAGGTTGGGTTCCTCTGAAAGCAGAGCCTGAGACAAGAACTCAGGTCAGATTGTTTATTTAGGAGATGATCAAGAGTAAGGAGCAAGAGAATGAGACAGGAAAAGGAAAAAAGCCCTATCTATGGCATGTTATAGGGATCACTGCTATGAGCAGTAAGATACTTGATTCCACTGGGAAATCTGCATAATGTCTTCCAGAACTGTCCACTTGAAAACAGGGGACTGGATCATTTATTCATGAGCTGTGTCATCTATTGTTTCAGAGTTAACTCAAGGTCATAATGCCCCCACTCTCTGGGGCTTATGCTTGCATGAGGATAAAGGAAGCCACCTCCTACAGACAAGATCCTGTGTAAAGATCTTGTCTTTACAAGATCTGCCCACTTGAGAGTGATCTGTCCACTGCTGCAGCTCAACATCAGAGGCAGGCCGAGGGCACCAAGAAGGTCGGCTGCAGGGGTCCTGCCAGCCATTGGTGCACCTCCTTACTAAGCAATGCGTGATGGAGGGTGGAGCCTAGCTCTGCCGCATCTGGTGTGTGCTCCTTTTTTTTTGGACAGCCCACAGTACTTCAGGCCTCTGATCTCAACCTCTGCTTGTGCCCTTGCACAAAATGAAGGCTTTGGGCCTCTTCTGACTTCCTGTTAACTGATGTCCACAGAAGTCTTTAGCTTCTTTCAAAATGCTCTGTGAAATGGTAATTTTGTACATCAGTAATGGCTAAATAATGCACAGGACTCCATATCTATCTCTCTCATCTGAGAACATCCTTTGACAGTGTGTCAGCTGCATTTCTTTTAATGCTGCAACCAGCACAGTCCATGCCCTGGACTATGCAGGTGTATAGGGATGTGCAGGTGTATAGGGGTAGGGTTTTTAATCCCTTCTGGCTAGAAAGTTCGCTTTCTCATGGGATCCAAGAAGAGATGGCTTTTCCTTTCTTGAAAGCACCAGAACAATGGTTATGTCTTAATAAGTTGCAGTACAAGGGTGTTACTATTTAACTATTTCATGCCTATCATGGTGTGGGCTACAGTTGCATAAAAGCTAATGTGAACAATTTCCAGTAGCAAAGACTTCTGTGAATCTCATATGATTGATATTAATACCATCCTTAGCCTCTTAAGTTATCTTGGAATAAGGCCCAGAGCTTTGCTTTTTAGATAATGTCAAGTCCAGTGGCTGTCAGCAGATGGCAATTTTGCTCCCCTCTCTGAGGGGCATTTGACAACGTCTGGAGACATTTTTGATTGTGGTGACTTTGCTGGGAGGCTACAGGCATCTAGTGAACAGAGGCCAGAGATGCTGCTAAACATTCTACCATGCACAGGACCAGCTCTCTCACCCCTCAAAAAAGAACTGCCAGGTTTAAAATATCAGTATTGCCCATGTTGAGAAACTCTGGTCTAGAAGCATTGACATTTTACTTCTATTGACTTTTTTGGAAGATTAACACAGACGTTCTTTGTGACTTTTTGCAAATCATTGCACCTTTCCTGGCTTTTTTGTTTGTTTGTTTTTTCATTTTTTGGTGTGTGTTTGTTTTGTTTTGAGACAGGGCCTTGTCCTGTCATCCAGTCTGGAGTGCAGTGGTGCAATCACAGCTCACTGCAGCCTCAACTTCCTGAGATTAAGCAGTCCTCCCACCTCAGCCTCCCAAGTAACTAGGACCACAGGTGTGTGCCACCATGCTTGGCTACTTTTTTCTATTTTTTGTAGAGATGGGGTCTCACTATGTTGCCCAGGCTGGTCTCAAACTCCTGGGCTCAAACAATCCTTTCGCCTCAGCCTCCCAAAGTGTTGGGATTATAGACATAAGCCACCACACCTGGCCTGTTTTTTAATTTGATGGTGAGAATATTGTCCCAGAAAATCTCTAAGGTCTCTTCCAACTCCGATATTTTGTGATTCTATGAATCTGCTCCTTCCATTACTATATTATTCCCATAAAGTTTTTGACATCATAAGGCTAGTCTGCTATTGGAAAAGTTAAATGTAAATAAGAATTGATTCTTAAACATGTACCCTCAGAAGTAGAAAATTAATTATTGAGTTGCTGTTGAGAGAGCAGGATTACTGATTTAACTCTGCTGCATGATGAATTTTAATATATGTAAAAGATTAAAGTCACGGCACATTTAAGACGAGTAAGAGACAATTTTTTTCTTTCCTGAACCTCATTACCCTTTGGCTATGAGTGTCAGTGAACTCTGTGGGTAGTCCCAAGACTGATTCAGAAGGTGCCAGCAAGGAGAAGAAACAGGTTTGGGAGAGCATTGCTTTTGGAGTCTTGGGACCAGTGTTCTGATTGTCTGTGTGCATGTATAGTGGTATAATTAGTGAGGGATCCTGGAAACATTGAACAGATCCTTTTCCTTCTACTTCAAGAAATCCATGTTTCTCAAAAAGAAAAAGAAACCTGTCTCAGGAAGTGCCATTACATTATTGTAACTATCTAGCAATATAAATACAGAGATTATTTCCTTCTGTTAGGCAACCCTGAAGATGAAAAGATTACCTAGGAGGGCGTCCTTGTAGTTCTTATTGCTAAGATCTAGAATATAGAAGACATAGAAACAAGCATCTCTAAGATTGTGAGTCCAAAATCAGGAGGAATTAAGAAATACGGTAAATTGCAAGTTGCAATTGTGTATTCTGGGATAGCTTCTTTTAACAGCCAAATGCTTCCTCATCGCACTTACCAGGATGTTTGGAAAAAAAAAAAAAAACACTAGCCTCTGAAGTGCCTTTCCATTCTCCAAGTCACCATTTTGCCAGCTCCAATTAGGGCTTTTGGAAATAATGAATGCTCTCACGTTATTCCTGGTTTCAATTTTGACTCTTCCCAAGAGTCCTAGCAATGCACCAGTATGTAAGAAAATACCCCTCTGGGATTGACTCAGTCTCTGGAGGCGCTTCTTCACCTGTGCTGCACCCCTCCCCAATTCATTTCTGTTTCAAAAGGCCATGGATAAATGTTAAATGCCCAATGCTGCAGTGTCATGAAATTCTAAGATTCAAAAAACTTCCGACAGAGCCTAATGCCAGCCAAAACTATGAAAATAGACTTTAACAAGGATAAAGGTAACATCCTGCATTTGGTGCTAAAATGAAAAACCTGACTACACACAGAATAGAGATCAATTTTCATCATGATTCACATGAGAAAGCCCTGAAGATATTAGTGGACTTAAATCCCAGTGTGACCAAGAAATATAATATTGATTAAAATCTATACATTAGGCTGCATAAATAGAAAAACAGCACCCAGCTAAACAGAGATCATCGTCCTCCTGGCCAAATTCACATCCTGTTCAAGAATTCTCATTTTAAGAGGGAGACTGAACAATGGCAAAAGGTCTTAATATAATGTAAAAAGAACTATCAAGAAACTGAGGATGTTTATCCTATAAAGTAGGTGACCACAGAGAGATGTGACAACTAACCCCAATAGTAGGCCCTTCCAGGTTGACTTGTGGGAAGGGAGGAATCAATCCAGTTTTGCTTTGGGAGCAGAACAATGGTCACTTGAGGCTATATGGAGGTAGAAGACTTTTGTCTTAAATGAAGTAGTTTCTAACAATTACAAATTTCCGGGTATATAATTAACTACTTCCTGTAGTGGAAATTCCCTGTCACTATAACAGAATAAGCAGGGAATGTTTAACCACAAGTTAGGATAATAAACACAGGGCATCTAGGGACTAGATACTTCTAAAGTCCATTCTAACCCTAAGAAATACAATTATTATTAATGCTTATTTGTATTTATGACTGCCCGACTTAGCTAGTAAGCGTAGAGGTTAGCACAGACTCTGGAGACAGACTATGTAGGCTCAACTTCCACAAGCCTTCTGCCATCTTAATAATTGGGTGACCTTGAGCAAAGTTACTTTACCTCTCTGTGCTTCACTTGAGGAAACTGAAGTACAGAGAGGTAAGGTAACTTTGCTCAAGGTGGATACTGAATGTACGCATCTCAGGTGGTCTGAAGATTGATTTAGTTAATCAATATGAAGCCAAAGAGCAATGCTGGGTACATAGTAATGCTACATAAGACTAATTATCAGAATGTATGACTATAGTCTCAAAGACAAGGAAGTAATTTGTTCAACCACTTTTTTTTTCTTTTTTTGTGGAGACAGAGTCTCACTCTGTCCCCCAGGCTGGACTGCAATGGTGTGATCTCGGCTCACTGCAACCTCTGCCTCCCAGGTTCAAGCAATTCTCTTGCCTCAGCCTCCAGAGTAGCTGGGATTATGGCCGCCCACCACCACACCCGGGTAATTTTTGTACTTTTAGTAGAGACAGAGTTTCGCCATGTTGGCCAGGCTGGTCTTGAACTCCTGACCTCAGATGATCCGCCCCCATTGGCCTCTCAAAGTGTTGGGATTACAGGCGTGAGCTACTGTGCTTGGCTTGTTCAACCACTTCTATGTGGAGTACCCATTTTCAGACTGACTTTAGAACCTCAACCTGTATCATCATCTGTTTTTCAGGGGATGACAGACGGCATTCAGATGAAATTCAATTTTCTCTGAGCCAAATTATGAAAAGTGCAGCAAACGTTTTCTTGTCCAACTAAGTTAAACACAAATTTACTGCCTTCTTGACAGTGAAATTCTTGAGGGATAAGAGAGCTACTTGAAGTCATGTTGCTTTTCTTTTTTAAAATTTTAATTTAAAATTTTTTTAGAGATGGCGGTCTCACTGTGTTGCCCAGGCTGGAGTGCAGTGGCTATTCACAGCTGTGATAATAACTCACTACAGCCACAAACTCCTGGCTTCAAGAGATCTTCCTGCCTCAGCCTCCCAAGTAGCTGAGATTACAGGCCTGTACCACAACACCTGGCTCATGCATTGAGACCTGGTCCTGATGACCAGGTCTCGGGACCACTGAGCAGTGGCCACCAGTTCTGTCTGTTGTGAAGGCTAGCCCTGTTTAGAATACATGATCCTCAAATTTGTGTATCTAGATGTTCTTTCAAAAATGGCTAAAATTTATAAAACCTCACAGGCTAAGGATAAAGCCCTCATTTTGCTGTTAGTTGATTAAAAGTGATTGGGATTATAAAATAGTAATGGACTTAAAATGGCTAATGATATCTTATCTGTTCAGCAAACTGTGAACCAATTCTTGTAAGAGCCAATTAAGGCATATGTTAACTTTTAGGGACCCTACCAACATTTCCTATTCACTTAGGTCTTCTTTCTATTCCTTGGGTCAGCTGTTCTCCTGGTACAGATTTTCTTATGAATAATTCTACTCCATTATTTAAACTAAATCAGTAATATTTAAAAGCTGTGTATGTCCCACAATATCAACTTCCTCTATCCTGAGATATCAAAGCATAGAAACTCTCAGGCAACTCTTCTATCATCTCGCCAAATGAAGTGGCATTACTGACACTTCCTTTGGACCTTGTTAGGAAATGCCCCCGTGTACATGATGAATGAATAGGAGACGCTGAATCAAGAGGCTGCTAAAGACAAAGCTGCCAGAAGTGTCAGCACTTGCCAGCAGCTAGCACTAAATATAGTAAGGGTGGAGGAGGTGAAGGTGAATGGGATCCTGCAGAAGTTTTCTAAGTTATTTGTGAACAAACTAGTCAGTGTTATCTCCTTAATTTATTTAAAATCTTTGTAAGTTAAAAGTATTCCTGAAGCAAAAACAAGCAAACAAAAAAAGCCGGTATCTATAATCTGGCACCAATATTTTGTCACTGTTCATCACTTGTAATTTCAGGATAATTTTGATAAAAGAAGAATACATATTAAATCGGGACAAAAGTAAATATAGGTCTGGTGGTATGCTGGTAAATGTTTAACAACCAGCTCTCTGAAAAAAATGTTTCTTGAGAAGCCCCAATTTTTAGCACTTGCTGATTTTTCTGTGATAAGTACTCCCAGCACGGCTGACTGCAGGCCACCGCTATGACCTTACTGAACATGCCTTTGGAAAGAGAGATTCACAGTCTGCTCTGGTGAGCAAGTCAGTCACTCATCCTCTCATTGACGCTAATAACAGTACTTACTCTAATGACCATAACAGGCTTAGCACAATACACAAGGAAGTGATTGGTAGTTGTAGGAGAACCAATATGTGACTATATCATCTTATATTGAGAATCATTCTCAATGTGAGATTAGTTTACAAAATTCATCTTGAAAACGTTGACAGCTCTAGGCTCTGCTGTCCCCACATTCTTTTCTTTCTCTGTTCTAGAGTCCTTTCTTGGAAATATTCCCCCAAAAAATCTACCCTACTCTAACTCTGAGGCTTTCCCCAACATAATCAAGTCAAAAACATTCCAAAGTATAAATTTTAAAACTCCAAAAATGCATGTATTAGAAGTTTTTGTGCTACTTCTATTGTTGTAATGTTATATTTACATTGTAGTCATAATAGCAATAATGTATCTTTGTGACTGTTTTTCATGTATCTTCTCCCAGTTTGTGGTATTGCTGTAAATTACTCATTGGTATATTTAAAAATGAAGCACTTTTATTTAGGCATGCACCTCTTCAAGAAAACCCAATGCAGAAAATCAAAATCAAACAAATTTGGCAGTGATTATTTTCTTCACAAAATGTATTCAACAAATAAAACTGATTCTTAAATATCTAGCTTATTCATTAATTTAAAACTATTGAGCACTGTTATGTGTCAGACACTATTCTTATGCTAGAAAAAGTGTAGAATGAGAATAAAAGTTTCTTGCCTTTTTTGTGTATGGAACAAACTGTCTAACCTTTATGTATATTTAAAATAGAGCTCATTTAAAGGGAAATTATTTCAAGAATATATTTATTGGAAAAAAATCAAGGCATAAACAGTGGGTATAAACCACAGGCCACAAATTCAACTGTGTGAGAATTTATATTTTGCTTTGATTATTCAGCTTTACCTCTAATTCCACTTGGATAGCAGCACCTTACCCTTGTCAATTCTTTGCTCCCCATCCCTCCCTAAACATCTCAGCATTGTGCCTCAGAGTGGGAGTCTTCAGAATGCCCGGGCATGGGAGAAAGTACAATCTAGTCCATGCAGTCACTACTGAGATGCTTTCTTTGTATCTGAATGGCCCTTTCGGAACCACCAGAAGCCAGATCATGATAGATCAGGTTGAGGATGCAGAAATATTTCTACCGCTGTCTTGCCACATGAGGCACAGATATTTCTGTAAAGCTGTCTATGGCCCTTCTACCTAAAAGCCCATGCACTCTTTTCCTATCTTGGCCTTTCTACTTCCACCCTGGGACTCTGCCCAGAAGGAGAAAGAAAGATATATTATGTATATTTTTTCTTTTTGGCCAGGTTTCTATTCTGTGGTACTTCTCTTCCTCCTCTTCATCTCCCAAACACGCACACATTTACACACTTGGCAATGAAAATAGGATCTACCTGAAATGAAGAGAATATCTTGAAGGGAAATATTCAACTAATATTACAAAACTGTCTCATATATATTGTCTATATACATATAAGTCCTATGATCAAATTTTTGTGAAGCAAAATGTTTCTATGACCTCAAAAAGTGAGTTGTATAACCTGAAACATAAAAAGAAATGTGTAATAAATAAACATCTCTGTAACTCTTCTTCACTTCTCCTTTACTTTAAAATAATATTCAGAAAACTTTATCATGAAGAACTACAAACATTCCTGAAGAACTAGGATAAAGTACATCTCAAAAAAAGCAAGAGATCAGAATGAAAAATACCTTCTTCCCAAATATGAATCTTAAACAAAAATCAGAAAGCAAAGTTAAAAAATGTAAATAGCAAAAACAAAAGACAAAAACAAAACAAACCAAAACAACAAGCCAGAAGACAAAACTCTTTCAAAATGCCCTTCTTTGTGAGTGGGAGTTATCAGTGCCACCTCTTCCCATGGGCTGCCACCAGGGATTTTTTTTCATGCAACTGCAGGGTCTATCTAAGGCCTTTATGTGATTCTAAATATATTCAAAACCCAGAAGCAAAACCTTTCTAAAAATGGTTTCAATCCCAGAAAAAAAAAGGTACAGCAGATTCTTTTTAAGCTCTCCAGCCGTATTGCTATAATAGACTGTGATCCTGGCCAATGCTGGGCTGAGGACCGCAAGACTAGACTCCCGGGTCACTGGTAGCTCTCAGAGGCCTCTCGAATACTGTGTGTAAAATCAGAATCTGATCTACTTTATCTTGGACTCCGAGGTCTCAGTCACTGCCTTTTATATTCCTCCGAGTTCACCCTGTCAGCATCAATCCACTCCAATCCAGCAAAATGCAAGTAACTGCACATTCTGTACAGAGCCACATTTAATAAGCAGAGAATGAACAAAGCAGTATTACTATAGCTGCACTAGGAGAACGTTATGAAGCAGGAGGGCCAAAGGGGGAACAGTGCCCCCATGAAATGGTAAGTGTGGTGGTGCACAGACCCAGGGGTTTCCTGAGACTAAGTGAACCCTGACCACCACAGATGCCAGGCTTCCGACTGGACATTTTAGCTTTTTGTTCAGTGAAATGAAAAATTCGGGATGAGAGATAAGTATACATTTGTAATCACTAAGAAATTCCTAATGATTTTAAAGTTCTGCTCCTTGCAATTCTGACCTCTTGGTAAATGGAAGCTAGGACAAAATGGCTCTTTTAAAATGGACTGAAGCTTTCTCCTCCAGTTCTCCAGGGTTAGAGCAGAATCTGTGTCTAATGTGTCTCCGGGACAGACCCCTTGGTTTTAGGAGGTAGCCCGTGGGTCTGGGATCGATCCTGCTGATGTGAGTCCAGTGATCCTCCAGCTTGACCTGGGGTCATCCTGACAGGACACTCCATGCACAATACCTCACAGCAGGCTCCAGGTATCTGTTTAATCACATGAAACGCTGTGGAGGGGAGGTGGGGCATGTGTCCACAGAAAGGTTTTCAGTTGCTTTCCCTCCATTAGCACCTATGTGACTAATCCCCTCACTGGTAGGTAAGTACTTCTGAAGGGACTTTGGCATCTCTAACCAAAACCTGAGGCACACACAGAATTAACATCAACATTTATATCATGTCTCATTAAAAATAATTTAACATACTTTTACTTCATTTTGTTCCCTCTCCCTTCCATCCATTATATTGATCTCATCTGAAGAGTTTGCCCTCTGTATCTGCAGGTTCCACACCCAAAGATTCAATCAATCATTGATCTAAAATATTTGAGAAAAATAAAAATAAAATAACACAACAATAAAAAAATACAAATAAAAATATAGTATAACAATGATTTACATACCATTTACAGTGTATTAGGTATTATGAGTAAAATAGAGATGATTTAAAGTATACAGGAGGATGGTGTAGGTTATATGCTAATACAGTACTACACCATTTTATATCAGAATTTGAGCATCTGTGGATTTTGGTATTTGTGGGAGTTCCTGGAACCAGTCCCACTGGGGGCACTGAGGGATGACTACATGTCATTCCAGGTAATTAATTTTCCAAATATCTGCTTATTTGCACTTCATAATAGCCGTCTACTAATGCGTTTGCTCACATTGCTTCTTAAATTTCAACATTCTTCCTTCTCTTCTTGTTTTTCTTCTTCCTGGAGAACATATCCCAGTAATTCTCTCAGAAAGGTTCTGTGGATGATACATTTTCTGAGTCATTACATGTCGGAAAATATCACTATTCCCACTTTGTTTGGGTATGGCATTCTGTGGTCAATGTCATTTTCCTTCAGAACCACTTAAAAATATTTTTATTTATGTGCTACTTCGTATATATTTTTCTTTTGTACATATATGTGTGTATATGTACATACAAAGGCAGTATGTGTGATATTGAATTTGGAGTAAAATGTAAAATAATGAAATCCATAAATAATAAATACTAAATTATTAATAAAGCAATATTCGTAAAGCAAGATCCAACTTAAAAAATGGAAATATAACCAATAATACTGAAACGGTTCATGTGTTCCTGCCCAGGCCTCACCCCTGATCTGTTTCTCCTCCCACTGTCACTACTCCCAAAAATAGTCTGGGAATTTGCGTTTACTGTTCCCTTGCATTTTCCCCACAGTTTTACCATAGATGTATACATCTCTAAACATCATATGTAATTTTATTTGTTTCTGGACTTTATAAAAATGGGGCCATGCCATAAATAGTTTTCTGTAGTTACTGTTTTATTTTACCTTATGACAATTTAAAATCCTACAGCAATGTACAAAATTTCCACAATGCCACATTTCCTCCAACCTTGGTATTATCAGACTACTTAATTTCTCTCGGTCTGTGAGATATAAAATACATCTCTTATGGTATAAATTCTCATTTTGGTTTGATGGCATTTGCTTACTGTTTTTTTTTTTTTTTTTGCATCTGTGTTAATTAATGTAACTGGCCTATATTTTTTCCTTTTTCATGCTGTCCTTGTCTGGTTTTTGTATAAAGATTATAGTAGTTTTATAAAATGTTTCCTTGTCATCTTCCATCTAATGTTGCTGATGAGAAATCTATCGGTCTTCTAGTCTGTCTTTAAAATTTCCTTCCTGAAGGTTGTTCGGATTTTCTCTTTTTTTTTTTTTTTTTTTTGAGACGGAGACTCGCTCTGTTGCCCAGGCTGGAGTGCAGTGGCACAATCTCGGCTCACTGCAAGCTCCGCCTCCCAGGTTCACGCTATTCTCCTGCCTCAGCCTCCTGAGTAGCTGGGACTACAGGTGCCCGCCACCACACCCAGCTAATTTTTTGTGTTTTTAGTAGAGACGGGGTTTCATCATGTTAGCCAGGATGATCCCGATCTCCTGACCTCGTGATCCAACCGCCTTGGCCTCCCAAAGTGCTGGGATTACAGGCGTGAGCCACCGCGCCCGGCCGGGATTTTCTCTTATTTCTTGTTGCTCTAAAATTTTGTTATAGTGTATCTAGATATAAAGATTTTGTTCTTGGTTGTGGTATTTTGTGTCATTTTTGGCACTCAGTAGGTTCCTTTAGCCAGGGAAAAAAAGTCTTCTTTCATTCTAGAATTTTTCTTCTACTGTTTCTGTGACTATTGCCTCCCTTCTTCTGGAATTCCAACTAGACCAAAGTTGGGATGTTTGGAGCTTGACCAGAATACAGGAGGCACCCTTTCCCTGTACAAAAAATGATATTAGAAACGGTTCTTAACTTTTTTCTTTTTCTTCAGATTTAACATCTTTTTATCCCTTTGCTGCACTCTGGGATATTTTTTGGTCTTGATCTTAAGCTCATTCATTTGTCCTCCAGCTTTGTCTATTCTGCTATTCAAGCCACCTATTGTTATTTTGTATTTGTATTTTAATAATCATGCTTTTAAAAATATGTGATGTCTAATTAATTATTTTTATAAATGTGATGTAATCTCAGTTCTTTCTGGCAATTTCAAACTCATGGAACAAAAAGTTGGATTAAAGAAAACTAAAATAATGCAATAAGATGCAAGAAATTGAATGGAAGAGAAGGAGTAAAAGAACCAGCTAGAAACTGCGATAAGTAGAAAGCAAACAGGATAAAATTGGAGGAAGGATCCTCAATGTAATCAGTAAATGTACAATATAAATGTAACCAGCTCATGAAAAGAAAGAGACTCTAAGGCTGTATAAAATAAATCCAGCCACAAGCTATTTACAGGGGATATATTTGTTAAAAATAGCTCAGAAAGTTTTAAAATCAAAGTATAAAACACATATCACAAGCTGTGGAAACAGAAAATCATAATTACCATTTATTGCTATTTTATCCTTGATGAATAAGCTGACACCAGAGGCCACAAGTCTCAAATGGCAATTTAGTGAAGAACCTTGAAAATAAGGGAGACTATTAATATAGATGCTATGAAAATGAATGCAAAGTGATGAACTAGCCATTACCTCCTATAATATGAATAAATGCAAAAACCGAAAATATTTACAAAACGTCTAACTTAAGGACGCTAAGAAAATAAACATTAGTCAAGGTAAGTTGAAGCTTCTTTCTTGTCAGGTTTATGCTTAATTATATATATTGCCAACATAAAATTGAGTTTCTGAGTCTATTTACAACAAAGGGAAATGAGCTTTCTGACAATGTTGAACAGTTTAATTATCCCAAAGATGGTTGACCTGTGACCTTGACCTTGAGACCATGAGACCTAATGTAGTTTGCTATAGGAACAGATTTTTTAGAATGTTTGCCATAGAAAACCATGCTTGCTCATCATGATACTCTAAATTTTGGTGTAGAAATAAATTTTATTCACCAATCCTGTGATAAATAATCTACTAGTATCTCATTATTAGGACTAACACAACCATTATGCCCATTATGATAAAGATTGTACTGATTTTCTTAGGACTGAGGATATAGATTAAGGCGGTCCTTTTTTTCTTACAAGTAAATAACTAACTGTGCTTTAAACAAGTAAAAGCATATTTTTATAAGTAAATAAGTGAAGCAAGTTAACTTTAAAAATATTTTAGTATTTTAAAAATTATTAATAAATAATACATACAGAAGGTTCCACTTTTATTAGTTTTATATAATGATGCACCAAGGTTTGTCTTGGGCCTCAGAATTTAGCTAACATATGTGTTTTAGTTTTCACATGGCCTTCAGTATTGTGGAGGCTGAGAAACCAAATACCTACTTCAATGTCATTTATTATTTTCCCCTAGAAAAGTTTCTGAAATTGTGCATAAAGCAAAAGCTGAAATAAAATGGAAATTCACAGGCAATTTATTGTCTTAAAAGCCAATTTTGTTGTTCTAATGCTACGTTTTAAGTCCAATGTTTAACAACAAATATTTCTCAAGTGAATGTTTTAAGAATACAAAATACAACTGAAGATAATAACCTGAAGTCTGCATATACATTCCGTGGGATCACGTCATTTAAAGTGCACCAAATCTTCAAATCCAGGAGTTAAGTCTCTTTTTTTTTTTTTCTCTTAGAGAAGACAACAAAATTAATAGTACACTGGCAATAGCACTAACAGCAGGAGCTTACACTGCCAGACCTGGTTTAAAAAGCCTCTTGTTCCTATATTAACTTTGGTTGGAAGAATAAAACTATTTGTTATTTAACATGTCCAGTATATGTTCCCATAACAGCTGACAGTGTTAAAAAAAAAAAAAGAATTATTGTCTCTGGACTATAGTGTCATACTTTTAAAATGTGACTAATAAATTTTAATAATAAAATTGTAATTATAACTAAACATTGTTATGTATGTTTATATATATTTTCTTGAATCCCAGAGGATTGCTTTATGATGTTGATTTTTTGCTTCAGACTTGAGCTTAGCTATTTATTAATTTTTAACATTCAACCATCAGCATTGGGCTAAAATATGTAGTTAAGTACAAAATTAGTTTTTTGTGTACCTTCTAGTATTTTTTAATGCAAATACAAGCAAATTCTAGTATATATTCTTATTTTTTCTCTTTCTAACATAAAACGTAACATACACACTCTTCTGTACTTTAATATGCCAAGTTTAAAATACAATCCAGAATCTCAATTTTCCATGACAAACACAAATACTGACTGAAGCAGCTGCAGAATATTCCTATCAGATATAGTAGAATTCAATGTAAAAAAGCCTTAGAAGGCACAAAAATTTTCATACTGGTAAAATAAATAATTAACCAAAAAAACGAAATGGCCACAAACTTTTATGCCTCTCTAACAACATGGCTTTAAAATATGTTAAGTAAAAATTGACAACGCTACAAGGAATAATAGATGAATCCGCAGTTCTACTATGAGGCTTTAACATAAGTCTCTCAGAAAAGAACATATGATGGAAACAAAATATAAATAAGAATACAGAGAATTTGGATGACCTGGTTTCAAGCATGCTCTAGTAGGTAAGTATGGAGAAAACATTGTACCCAACAGAGGATACACATTCTTTCCAAACATACTTGAAGGATTTTTCAAAATTGCCCATGTATTAACAAAGGAAATCTCAGGAAATCCCAAAGATTTATACTATATAGGCCACATTTACTGAGCACAATGTGATACAATTAGAAATTGGTGACAAAATTAATCCAGAAAGTTAGAAAATCTACATCTGTAAATTCAAAAAATAAAAACACTTCTAAACAAGTATTAGCTGAAAAAAGTAATCTAAATAAAAAGTTCGAATGATTCAGGACAGAAGTAACTCCAAAGTTCTAAATACCAAAAGAAAAATTTAAAATAAATGAAGTAGGTGCAGCAAACCACCATGGCACACATATAGCTATATAACAAACTTACACGCTATGGACTTGTATCCTGGAACTTAAAGTAAAATAAAAAATAAAAATAAAATAAAATAAATGAACTAACCTTTTGATTCCAGAAGATAATACAGTTGACCCTTGGACAACACAAATGTGAAATGCATGAGTCCACTTACATAGATTTTTTTCTGCCTCTGCCAGTCCTGAGACAAGACCAACCCCTCTTCTTTCTCCTTCTCAGCCTAATCAATGTGAAGATGATGAGGATGAAGACCTTTATGATGATCCACTTCCACTTAATGAATAGTAAATATATTTTATCTTCCTTATGATTTTTTTTTTGGGGGGGGGGCGGGGGACAGAGTCTCGTCCTGTAGCCCAGGCTGGAGTGCAGTGGCACAATCTCGGCTCACTACAAGCTCTGCTTCCCGGGTTCACGCCATTCTCCTGTCAGCCTCCCAAGTAGCTGGGACTACAGGCGCCCGCCACCGTGCCCGGCTAATTTTTTGTATTTTTAGTAGAGCTGGGGTTTCACCGTGTTAGCCAGGATGGTCTCGATCTCCTGACCTCTTGATCCGCCCACCTTGGCCTCCCAATGTGCTGGGATTACAGACCGTGAGCCACCGCGCCCGGCCTATGATTTTCTTAATAACATTTTATTTTCTCTATTTCTTTAAGAATAGAGTATATAATACATATAGCATATAAAATATGTGTTATTCAACTATTTATATTATAAATAAGGCTTCCTGTCAACAGTAGGCCATTAGTAACTCAGTTTTGGGGAAGTCAAAAGTTACACAAAGATTTCCGACTGAACAGGGGATCGGTGCCCCTAACCCTCCCATTGTTCAGGAGTCAACTGTAAATGCCAAAAATAGGAAGGAATTAATGAAAGAAAACTAAAAGTTAATCAATAAACTAAAAGGGAAAAGTAACACCCAGAATAAAAAATGCTAAGTGACTAGAGAGACAGGGAAAATTTACATTGTAAGAGAAAAATAGATTCACCTTTATACCAATACATTTGAAAGCCTAAATAGAAAATGACAATTTTGTAGGAAAATTCAAATTTTTAAAATTAGCTCGAGAAGATATGGATAACCTGAGTAATAGAATTGAAATTATAGCCTCCCTCCCCACCACCCTCCCAATGGCACCGTGCCCAGGCAATTTTATAGGTCATTTCTACCAAACCTTTAAGGAACAGATAGTTATTTCTTTTACAACTGTTTTAGAGCATAGATATATTTGGGAAGCCATATAACTCATTTTATGGGATATAATCCTGATAAAAACAATTCTCAAAGAAATAATAAGCAATATCATATATGGGTATACATGTAAAAATATTAATTGAATTCTGTAAAGTATTAAAAATGGGATTAGTGCCTCTTAAAATAGGGCAAGTAGTGTTTGTCCCAAGAATGCAAATCAGGTTCAGTGGTTGAGAAGATATGAACCAATGGGACCCTGTCAGAAAAGATTAAAGGAGAATCATGTAAACTTCTCAAGACAAGCCCAAAAAAGTTTTTATTAAATTTGACACCCATTTATGAAATAAACTCATATAAAACTAGGAAACACCTTTAACTTGATAAAGGCTAGCTGCCAAAACCCAAGAGTAAACACCATATTTAATTCTGAAACTAGGCTAAGATTAGAGTCAAGCAAGTAAGGCACTCGCCTCAGGTGCAGAATTTAAGGGGGAGCACCACAAACCTAGGTAATCAGATAAATAATATTTTAATGCAGTATTTTTTTAAAATTAGTGTTAATACACAAGATGAAGACTTTAAAGTACCAAAATTTTGAATGAAAACCCATGCCATGCGGAGCCCTATGGGAGCCATATACATAGTCTTGAGTGGTTTTATTTTTAATGGTTACTTTTTTCCAGAACATTAAAGTAGCTGAAAAAATATTGAAAATGAAACATAGGTATATTAAAAACCACATTATTTTAAGTTTAAACTTTTATTTATATCCCAATCAGAATTTATTACATTTTTACTTTCCTGGCTTTAAATGAACTCCAACTCATCAGTAATATTTTCAAACTCTTTCTTGGCTTCTCAGTTGAGAACATAGCCATGTTTCACAATTTCTCCTGACCGAGTGACTGTATTAAATAACCACTAATAGGGCAAAAAAATAGGATACAGAATTTCTAAATTAATAGAAGAAAAAAATGTCCAAGGAAAAATAAAAATCATTATAATAAAGTCAGAAAAGGTAGAAAAAAGGAAAATACCAAAAAAAAAACCATCAAATAAGATAACAAGAATCAGATCAAACATATTGATTACATAGTAAATGTAAAATGATAGATTTCTCAATTAACAAAGATTATCAGATAGAGTGAAAAAGACATTCTGTACGTACTGTTTGCAAGAGATACGCTTATAACTAAAAGACCCTGAAACCTTGTCAATTAAATAACAAGGAATATTAGATAAACGAATACAAAAAAGGGAGCAGGATGGCAATATTAATATAAAAAAAGTAGAATTCAAAGAAAAACACATTAAATGGGACAAAAGTATAAAGTCTAAATGGAAACTATAGTAGCAGCGAAACAAAGTAATAACAGTGAAACATAAGCAAAAACATTTTCAAAAGGACAAAATAAAATTTTACATAAATCATAATTAAAGTGGGAGACTTTCACACATTTTTTCCACAGTTTGATCAAGTAAACCAAAAAATTGTTAAATGTATAATTATCAAATAATACCATTAAGACACTTGATTTGATTAATATATTTAAACTCTACAGAGAATATTCTACTCAAATGTCCATAAGACACGTACAATAAACAGCCCCAAAGAAAAGTTAAATAAATTCTCAGACCAACAGGCCACATTCTCTTATAAAGATATAATAAAATGAGAAATTTACAATAAAAAATGCACACAGGACTGGAAATTTACCAATATTGTACTCTCCTAAATGACTCCTGGATTAGAGAAAAGAAATCAAAATTAAAATCATAAACTATTACCCATACATGTGCGTACTATGTGCCAAGCACTCTTCTGCCTGCTAGAAATACAATAGTGAAGAAATTGAGTTGCTGGGTTGGGGGCGGGGTTCATATACTCACAAACAATAAGCAAATAAACCAATAAGTGTTTGTGTGTGAAATCTCACAACAATCTTATGAGGTATTTTATTAGCTCAATACGACAGATAAGGAAATGGAAACAGGAAGAGGTTAAGTAATTAGCCCAAGATCACCTATCTAGTAAGTGAGAAGGCTGGGATTCAAATCTAGCAGCCTGGCTTCAGAGTCCACACTACAGTGTACAGCCTCTTGTATGTGAGAAAGAAGCCTATGCTAACAAATATAAAAATGTAGATTTTTTTCAGAAAACACAACTACTGAAATCAGTTAAAGAAAAGGTAGAAAATCCAAACAGACCAATAGACATGGAAGAAATTGGAAAGTTAATCAAATACATAATGTCTGTTAAAGCTCCAGGGTTAAATGGCTAATTAGTAATTAGCTAGGTAATTCTTACGTTATTTTAAATATTTCCGAGCCTCGATATTAATAGCTTCATATTAAAGCTCTTATTTTATGAAGCTAGCATGACCTTAACACCAAACTTGACAGAGGTAACACACACATACACACACACACACACACACACACACACAAACACAATTTTGGCTCATTCTCATCTAAAAATAGAAATAACAGCTAAGCCGTACATAGTGCTTACTAAGTGCCAGGCTATTCTTACATAGTGCCAGGATATTCTAACCAGCTTAATGTATTAACTCATTTATTCTTCAAAACAATGCTGTTTTCATCTTATAAAAGAGAAACACACAGAAGGTTATGGGACTTGCCCAAAATTACACTGCAAGTTAGTGGCAGGTAGTTAATGGCAAAGCTGGAATATCAACCCAGGCATAGAGACTTGGTTCAGAATTAGGAAATGTGCTAATTCTACTCATTACATAAACAAAATAAAGTAGAATAACTGTATTATCATATCTATAAAGGCTGAAAAGGCACTTGATAAAATTCAGTTTCTAATTAACAAACAAAGAAACTCATGGTGAATTAGAAATTTTCTTAATATATTAGGGCAGTGGTCCCCAACCTTTTTGGCACCAGGAGCCCATTTTGTGGAAGACAATTTTTCCACGGACGAGTGGGGTGGTTTCAGAATGATTGAAACCCATTACATTTATTGTGCACTTTATTTCTATTATTATTACATTGTAATACATAATGAAATAATTATACAACTCACCATAATGTAGAATTAGTGGGAGCCCTGAGCTTGTTTTCCTGCAACTAGACGGTCCTATCTGGGGGTGACGGGGAACAGTGTCAGATCATCAGGCATTAGATTCTCAGGAGCACACAACTTAGGTTTCGAATTTGCAGTTCATCATGGGGTTTGTTATGAGAATCTAATCCTCCCACTGACCTGACAGAAGGCAGAGAGCAGGCGGTAATGTGAGTGATGGGGAGCAGCTGTAAACACAGATGAAGCTTCGCTTGCTTGCCTCCTGCTGTGTGGCCTGGTTCCTAACAGGCCACAGACGGTTGGGGACCCCTGTGCTAGAGAATACAACATAAAACAAAGTAACAAGTAAAACACCAGATGCTTTTTCACTAAAATAGGTACATAAATAATCAATTTTTAAAAATATATAAAATGGCAAGCTATACATTTGTTGAGGGATAAAAAGGACTTTACACATTTATAGACAAAGGTATACCTATATTTGTAATCAATTCACACATAGTCCCAATCTATGTTTTAAAAATAAACAGAATCCTGAGTTATTAATCTCTTTATTTTGTGGGACTATAGTTTGGATGATAATATATATAACTCCTACTTCTTTTTGGATGTTTCTGATATTTCTGAGGACTTTTGTCTATTCAGGTAAAGGAAGCAGCAATAGAAAGGCAATCTTCCAAATTAATATTTTTAGGGATTTTGTGTTTCATTCCTCATACTAATAAACCCACAACTTCCCCTACCCTCTCCCTACATCCCAGCTCCTAATTCAGTCATCAGTGGTTGATGAGCTGATTAGGGTTTCCAGACTTAACAAGTAAAAATATAGAATGAATACTCAATTTAAAAATTTAAAACAATAATAGCTTTTATTAAGCATTTATTAAGACTTTATAATAACCAGGTACTTTGCTGAGTACTCTGCAGACATTATTTCACATTGAATTCTAGCAACACCTATGAGGTAGATATTATTGTGAGTATCTCCATTTTACACAGGAAAAAAAATGGAATCTCAGAGGTTGAATCATTTGCCAAAGACCACAGCTAATAATGGTGGGGCCAAACTTCAATCCCACAATCTTAAGTCTTAACTCTTCTGCTCCGGAGCCTACCAGCTGTGCAGATTCCGAGTGATGGGAAAGGTGAAGCGGCACCTGACACATTGCAGGTGCTCAGTGGTGGGATGTGCTCTTCTGTTGTGCAATCCAAAGGTGTGATCGGCTGCACCTGCCACCTTCACTGTCTCTCGATGAGCAGCACACCTGCCCTCAGGCACACTGCTCACCCCATCCCCACTTCAAACCCCATGAACATCGCGTCTGCTAAAGAGGCTGTTCCCTTAGAGCAGAAAGGCAGTATGGTAGAGGGTGGGCTGCCAAGCTGGGTCCCTGCCACACTGCCACGCTGGCTTTTACTTTTTTTTTTTTTTTTTTTTTTTGCAACAGAGTCTCACTCTGTTGCCCAGGCTGGAGTGCAGCGGCGCAATCTCGGTTCCCAGGCTCCCAGGTTCAAGCTATTCCTGCAATATCCGCCTCCCAAGCTCCCAGGCTCAAGTGATTCTTGTGCCTCAGTTTCCCGAGTAGCTGGGATTACAAGCGCTCGCCACCATGCCCGGCTAATTTACTTTTATATTTAAAAAATTAAAATTGAAATTGTATATATTTAAGACGTATCGTGTGGTGTTTTGATACACATATACATAGCGAACTGCTCAGTGCAGTTAAACTAATACACTCAACTTTTTACATAGTTACCTTGTTTTATGTTTGGTAAGAACACTTAAGATCTACGTGTTAGCAAATTTTAAGTATACATGCAGTATTATTAACTAGAGTCCTTATGCTGTACATTAGATCTCCGGTACTAATCCATCCTGCATAACTGAAACTTTGTTCCCTGTGACCAACACCTCTCTGTTTCCCTAAATTTGTATTTCAGATACGCAGTGAGTAATTTTTTTAGGACATGGAATATTTAGGACATACTTATACTAAAAAAGTATTAATTAACAGGAATTCCAATTAAACTGGGCAAACTGAATTATTTTACCTGGTAGCCCTAAGGCTGATCCTAGGTTTTAAATTTTGCACTGTGTTTCTCTGAAGGCGTGGCTAGCCACTAGACTGAAGATTTTTCAGCACAAAGTTTTCCTGCCTTGTGTCAGCTGTAAGTTCCATTTACACAGTGAATCTGAGATATCTGCTTTTTAGCAGTCTTATATATGGATATAAGTTCTTACATATGAATATTGTATAATTAAACTTTATTTGATTCCTATCTACCAGCCAAAAAAATACAAATCTGTAAATGTTTAGCTAGAACAAGTAGACAAATGGGTGTTTTCTAGAGGCATTCCTTACTAAAAAGAATTGCAGCGGAAGCATTTATGTACACCAAAAACAGGGTCCCAAAGAGCAAGACATACTACTTTTCATGATACCCATTGAATATAAAATTAGAAAATGTGCACTTGGGTAGTACAAAATGTTTATGTCCTAATCATCAGATTTTAAAGGCTTCAGTTTCCTGGGGCTCATATTTAGACATTTTAATAACACTGATTTGAAAATAAGTGTTTTTACGGTATATGAACTAGTTCTGCAAATATATACTGTGAGATTTGAGTGAAACTGTTTTCACTACATTAAAAATTAAATTACAATATTTACTAGCAGTATGATTTTTAAATATGTATCATACACATTTTTTATTTTGAAATGTTTTAAATTCATAGAAAAGTTGAAAGAAAAAGCTCATATACTCGTCCTCCAGATTCACAAAGTATCATCATCTTGACACATGCACACATACATACACACACTGCCCTTTTGCCAAATCACTTTCTTGTAGACCACAGATATAGTGATATTTCATCTCTAGGTACCACGGTATGCATCTCCCGAGAACGAGAACATTCTTATAACCAATCACAATAATATTATTGCACCTAAGAAAATTAACATGAATTCAATGATGTCATTCAACGTATGAATCATACTTGAATTTCTCTAATTATCTAAAAAAATGTCCATTACAGCTCCCTATCCCAGCCCCATCCAATATCAACCAAGAATCATGCATTACATTTGGCCCTTTTTTGGGGGGTGTCTCATTATGCTCCCTCTATCCAGAACCGTTCTCCACCTTCCTTTTTTTTCGCAACACTGAGTTCATTGAAGAGTCTAGGCCAATTGTCTTGGGAGATGGTACCACATTCTGGATTCTTCTGATTCTTTCTTTATGAAAATTTTCTAGCATGAGCAGCACCATGGCAATGTCTTACATCTCCCACGACATCACATCAGGAGGCATAGAATGCTATGATGTCACGCTGTTCCACTACTGGCACTTCTCATTATAGAGACATACTTTCCCTTTGGTAATTACTGAGTAATTTGTGGAGTGATCATTTGAGGTCATGTAAACATTCTGTGCCTCAATACATCCTCACCTCATGGCTTAACCACTCATTAATAATTTATGCCTGTGTCAGTTATTATATTGCATGTTACAAAATGAGGATTTTCTAATCTTATCATTTCTTTGTACATTTATTAGCTGTCATTATACTATAAAGAAGAGCCTTCTTTCTCTCTCCTCCCTCTCTCTTCTGATATCACATAAGTTTGTGATTCATTTTTAAAAATTCAATGTGTTATAATTCATTACCATCATTTTTCTTTTTGATGCTGAAATTGTCCCAAATTTGGTCAGCGGGTAGCACTTCATGCTGGCTCCTGGGACCTTTTGACACGCCTCATTAATCTTTCAGTACATTGTTGCTTATGGCACAAGATGTTCCAAGCTCACTTTGTACTTGTACTTTCCTGGCCTCAGACCTAGAATCCTCCATTTCTCCAAGAATTCCTGGTTCCTTTTAATGGGAAATAATTTTTGGATATTAAGATCTGGATTCCAAATACAATTACTACAGGATGTAATATCTTCTCTCTCTCTCTCTCTCTCTCATATATATATGTATCTTAAAATCATGAGTTAATATGAATAGGCACAATTGGAATCCAACACTACAGGATTCTTTCTCATCATCTCTTCAGTGAAGTGAAATCAACTGAGATTTCCAACAACATTAAAATATTTACTCACTAATTTTATCCTAATAAACAAAAAATAGTCCCAGAATTACAACAGTAATACTACCACCAATGGCAAATCTAGTAAGTAAAACTGTAAAATTACCTGAAACATCCTTATATTTCGTACCAAAGTATACAGTCTACAGAGCATGCTTAAAAGCCACTTGAATTAATTATTTTCTGTGTGGATAGGTTATTAATTTCACATACTGTGAAAATCATTTATTTGTGTTTAAATTCCATTTTAGTGCTTGATTTGTCATACTTTTTATTTACTTTTATTTTTTCTATATATATATAAAACATTGATATATTTCACAAGTCGAAACTATATAAAAAGGTATACTCAGTGAAGTCTTATTCAAACCCCTCTACTTTGTTCCCACCATAGATAAGATTATGTGTCTATCTGTTGATATACATCCTTATCTATTTATGACTATCTATTGATATATATCCTAGTTTACCTTCTTTCTTGCACAAAAGGTAGCATACTATATATATATTCTTTTGTTTTGTTTTTTTACTTAACAATATAGTCTAGATATGACACCATATCAATTCACAGGAAGCTGTAGATCCGTTGTTTATTCAACCAGTCAATCCTTTAGGTAAGGGCATTTAGGTTGTTACAATATTTTGCCATTACACATAGTGCCATAATAAATAAACTTGTGCATATATTGTTTTGAATTTGTGGAGCTGTATATTAAGGGTAAATTCTTAGGGTTGGAATGTCTGAATAATAAAGCAAATACCTATACAGTTTTGTTAGATATTGACAAATTCTCCTTCACAGGGGTTATAACATTTTGCATTCCCACCAGCAGTGGATGGAAATTTCTTTCTCCCTAGCACCTGGCCATTGGAGCACGTGGTCAAGTTGCCAAGCTTATAGATAAGAAATGATAAATTTAAAACTATTTTAAATTTACAAGAGTAATCACAGGCAAGTTACTGAGTCTGTCTGAGCCTTAGCTTTCCAGTTAAGATAAAAATGCCCATCTTAATTGTTCAGATGACCAAATCTGAAACATATAGATTTGTGGATATATAAAAATCTATGACTTGGCACATAATAAATATTCAATATGTGGTATTTTAGAATTAATATTATTATGTATTTAGTAGGTAATAAATTTCTATTGTATTTTAATAAATAAGCCTTGCTAACATGGAAAACTATCATACCTATAATTATAGAGAATAAGCACCAGAGACCTTAAAGATCATTAAAGGCAAAATGTTTTTATCTCATATTCCATTTTTAATTACTTGGTAGTAACTTCCAGGGTGCTATGTTAATAATGATTCAAATGACAAATTTTTGTTTAGCAGTAAGAGATTGACAAGTTATATCTACTACAGACATGAATATGAATTTTACATACATATTTCCTATCAGTGATTTGGTTGAATCCATTGTTTTTGTAGTTAAGGAAATGAGGGCAAATAGATTGTAATATTCTATAGATGATACAGCAAATTAATATCAAAGTCAAGGTTATAAATTAGAATTTCTAACAGTGTCATGCTTTTTCTATTATGCCACAGCATACACACTCTCTCTTTAACACACTCTCTCATAGCACACTTTCTAACTTGGTCACTCGTTCACTTGCTCACACATACACACACACACACACACACACACAGAGATGTACTCTCGTTTTTTCTCTTAGTTAATTGTAACACAATTTAGCCCTCTCTTTCTGGAGGAAAACTCTACCCTCATAATGCATATGGATTTTACATCTGTAAAATTTATCCACAATATGAATTAAGGTAGGGATTTATTTATGGTATTTAAGTTGCAAAAAATGGCATTTGCACAGGGGAGATTCTTTTATGCAGAGCATGATCACTTGACAATTAAGTTTCTTTTCATGGAAGAATGGTAAGCATCAAAGAAATGGAAAGGTTCCTCAAATTTAGGCCTAGCTGATTTAATGTGAATTAAAAACTGAAGGGTAAACAGCTTTTCAAGTGGATAAAAAAAATTGATCATTACAGGCATCATATCATTGATTCTGTTGTTCATTTTTACTTTTCCAAAGTGTGAGATAAGCAGAAGCAATAAGCCATCACTGATGGTGTGAGAGCCATATGGTGGGGAGGTAAAGGGTTACTTGAAGAACAGTCTGGTTGCAGAGGCAGAAAGTGAAAAACAAAATGACAAGCATTCCTACAAAGCAATATATCAAGTGCAAATTAATACACGGTTACACCTTATCAAGCCACCACTTATCTAACCATCTCAACTCTGGAACACAGCCTTAAATCCTGAATATGCAAAACAGCTCCTGAACAATAAAAATACAAGTTAGAAAATGTATGCAATTTACCAGAAACATGTAATTTAATACCAATATTGAATATTCTAAGGACTCTGGCTTCTATTCTTGAGAAAGGAAAGAAGGCATTGCAGGGTTTTGAGCAGAGGAGTAGCATGAACTAACTCCTTTTGGCCGGGATCATTTTCTCTACCATGTTGTGAACAGACTGGTCAGGGAGGTCGGGGGCAATGGTAGAAGCAGGGAGACCAGTTGGGAGGTTATTGCAACAATCCAGGCAGGAGATGACAGAGGACTCCCCTGAATGCAAAGAGTGTAGTCTGTAAAAACTGGTCAGATTCTGGGTATATGATAGAGGTAGATCCAACAGGATTTACTCTTGGAATAGATTTGGGGATTGAGAGATACGGAGGAGAGAAGGATGACTCCAAATTTTTTGCTGGGCAATGATAAGTATGGTATTGCTGATAAATGAAATGGGAAAGACTATAGGAGGAGCAGTTTGGACAGTTTGAGCATCAAGAAAAAAATATATTCAATAGACTTGGTTATAAAACGTAGAACAAATAGGTGACATATCATTACAGAAAATTTACCTTTAAAAATAGGTGACTAACGATTAACAATTAAGAAATAAACTTAAGCCTTTAAAATTTTCCTTTCTGTAGAATAGATTATTCCTTCAAAAAAACCTGAAAAATGAAGCATTACACTTTCATTATTAAGAACTGAGGGGACACAAAGTGCAGGAAAAATGAGATTTAACTGGGCTAATTTGGAGAAAGTCTTCAGAAATAGTTAAGGTTTAATCCACAAGAAAGATTTCCCAGAAGACAGACAGAAAGGGCAGGCACCTGTAGGATCTTGTCAGGAATCTTAGAGATCGTGTGGCTCTCCTACTTGGAGAATTCAAGAAGCCTCCAGCTAGAATCCAAGTCTATTGATTTACAGACATAGGGGAGAAAATTGATCTGTGAAAGGCTCTGAGAGAAAGAGGAGGTTGAGCCAAGGAGTCACAAAACAAGAAAAAGAATAAATGGTTAGGCATTGGAAGATCTGAGGCCCTACTAACTTAATGGGCAAGTATTCATTTCATCTCCAGAGGAGTTGGCCAAATTGTGCCAAAGGCAGCTTTACACCCCAATTAAAATTCTCTGATTTTAAATGAGACTTCCTCTTTAAGCCTGGGAAGGGGTTATTATTCAGAAGGTATTAAGCAACTGTTCATCACCTCCAATAAGTACCGGATGTGAGGAAAAAGATAGGTTAATTCTAACAGAATTTATTGCTTGTTATTAAATCCCAGAATGAGGTCCTGAGAACAATCTGCCACCAAATTAATCTTAAGTACCACTTTGATTGTGTCATTGGCCTTTGCCAAACCCCCATGGCTTTTTGTTGCTACCAACTCAAGTCTCACTTGCTCAGATTTCTGTGGTCTGGCCCCACTGTGTCTGGGCAGACTCATCGCCCACCCTCCCTGTCCCCATGCCTAAAGTCACGTGATAACCCATAAATCCATTAACCCCTTAATCCATGAATGGATTAACCCATTTATGCATGTAGAGCCCTCATGAACTAATAATCTCTTAAAGGTCCCACCTTTCAATACTGCTGCATTGGGTGTTAAGTTTCAATATGAGTTTCAGAGGAGACAAACATTTAAACCATAGCACCTAGTAATGCCTAGATAACTCCAGGCAAAGTGGGGCCAGACCACAGAAATCTGAGCAAGTGAGACTTGAGTTCGTAGCAACAAAAAGCCATGGGGGTTTGGCAAAGGCCAATGACACAATCAAAGTGGTACTTAAGATTAATCTGGTGGCAGATTGCCAAAGTGTCAATTTATTTTATTATTTATCTAGCACTTATATCCTGCCTTGTGGCTTCATTATGTGTACACATTCATTGATCATCTCTGGTATCCTTAACATATCCCTCACAGTATCTTAGTACAGCTTAGCGAGCTATAAACAAGGGAGTGGTTATTCCATTGATCCTTTTAGAAAATAAGACAGAATGGTTTCCTATCAGTCTTGGATAACATAAAGTTCTGATTAAGAAGCAGGGAAAAGATTAAGAATACGCCTAATTAATGTTCACAAGTTTCCAGTTTGACATGCATATTCACTCTTCTTGTTGGGTATCCAACAAGACCAGTGTTATGCTGTCATGTGTGCTGGTTAATTCCAGATACTGACTTTGATGAAGTGTGTTTTTGTTTATAGTACAGAAAATCAGCAACAATTTAAGAAAACCAAAAGCACAAAACATGTTATTTTAGGCTATACATTTTTAATATATCCAACAAGTGAGAATCATATGTATTTGTAAATTAGTTAAAATTAGGAATTGAGAGTGAGGAGGACAAAAGGAGACAGTTGGGAAGGGATGAAGAGAGGCAAAACAATATGAGGCTTCCTGATAGAGAGAAGAATAAATGATTTAGTGCCAATGATGAACTGAATTGGAAATTTACCCCTTTAAAAACCATGATTAAAAGTATGAATATATTCCTCAAACTTTGAGAAACATTCGATTAAAATTAGAGAAAGTACTCTTATTTCACTCTAGGAAGTAAAAACAAACAAACAAAAACAAAAACAAACAAACAAACAAGAAAGAAAGATGGAGACCTTTGTAGTGAGGGCAAGGAAGCCATATTTCATTAGTAAATAGTGGCAAAACTGGAGATAGAATTTCAAATCTGTCCTGTAGGCAAAGTGATTGGATTTATTGATTGTACTAATATATGCCTAATTCTGCATGGCAGTACATATATTAAATTCCATTGGCCTGCAGCTGAGGATCCCTACACCAAAACACATACAATCCCTGGAACATTTTGCATTTCCCCAGCGTTGGAAGTTTTATAGATCTCTGTGTTACTGTGGTCATTTATGTTTATGTTTCATTTACGATAACTCCCTCAGGATGGATGGTCACTTGGTAAAATCATCACATTGGAAAAAACACTGATATTAATAACCTGATTTGATGTAGGGGAAAATAATGCCATCATAAGATAAATCAGCATTCCTTTCATCTCAAGTTTGGAATTCCTAACTCTATGTATGGCTCAGACCTTAGATTTTAAAAGGTCTTTTTTTTTTTAATGTAAAACCATTTGTTTAATTCTAAATCAAATCACTTTCACAACAGTGAAAATTAGTGACTGGTTAAGGTGTGCCACTGTACATATCATCATTTTCTGACTGGGGTCAGGACCTGGTCTTAGTCCACAAGGGTGGCAGGAGGAGGGTGGAGGCTAAGAACACAGAAAACACACAAAAGAAAGGAAAGCTGCCTTGGCAGAAGGATGAGGTGGTGAGCTTGCCGAGGGATGGTGGGAAGGGGGCTCCCTGTTGGGGCCAAGCCAGGAGTCCCAAGTCAGCTCTCCTGACTTACTTAGCTCCTGGCAGAGGGTGAGTGGGGACCTACAAGGTTCAAAATCAAATGGCATTTGGCCTGGCTTTACTAACAGGTTCCCAGAGTGCCTCTGTTGGTTGAGCTCTCCTGGGTTCACTCCATTTCATTGAAGAGTCCAAATGATTCATTTTCCTACCCACAACTTTTCATTATTCTTCTGGAAACCCATTTCTGTTGAGTCCATCTGACTTAAGTCCTCTCTCCCTCCACTAGTTGGGGCCACTGCACTGAGGGGGGTCCCACCAATTCTCTCTAGAGCAGAGACACTCCAGAGGCCCCTGCAACTTTGGGGATTTCCAGAAGGTGATAAAAAGAACACTCTTGAGTGGGTGCCCAGGAATGTTTAAAATCTATCAGGCACACTATAAAGCTGGTGGTTTCTTCCTACCAAGTGGATTCGGCATATGAACCACCTACTCAATACTTTATATTCTGTCTGTTTAAACACTGAACTCTGGTGTTGACAGGTACAAAGGAGAAGAGATGGGGACTATGAAGAGGGGAGGGCTTCCCTCATCTTCCTCAAGATCTTTGTTTCCACAAACTATGCAGTCATAATTGAGAAAAAGCAATAGGTGGGGCTTCCTACCATTTGTTGGTTATTGCTGGGGTTAGCCAGGAGCAGTGTGGATGGCAAAGTAAGAAAGAGGCCCAGAGGAAGCCCATCTCCCCCCAGCTTTGCGGTCTCCAGAAAGAGGCTGGATTTGTGGGATGAAGCCTAGAAGGCAGAGCAAGAACTGTTCCACCAGGTGAACAGTCCTACCTGCTTGGTACCATACTCCCTCAATAAGATTCAGAGGAAGAAGCTTGTGAAACTGAAAATCAAATCAAGGTATTGGGAAGAATAATTTCCCCTCGATTCCACAGGAGGGAAGACCACACAATATCATTGTGCTGGGGCTCCCCAGGCCCTGCCACCTGGCTTTACAAATCATCAGGGGTTGCCTGCTTGGCAGTCACATGCTTCCCTGGTTTTAGCACACATAAAAGGAGTTTTCAGGGAACTCTATCAAGCCATACCAAAATCAGGGTCACATGTGGGTTTCCCCTTTCCTTGCCTCTTCATAAAAGACAACTTGGCTTCTGAGGATGGTGGTCTTCTGCATGCAGTTGGGCTGACCTGACAAAGCCCCCAGTTTCCTGTGGCAGGTTCTGGGAGAGGATGCATTCAAGCTTCTGCAGCCTAGGGGACAGGGCTGCTTGTTCAGTTATTACTGCCTCGGAGCTCCAAATCCCACCAAAGTCCTGACTCCAGGTCTTTCCTAATGCACAGTAGTCAGTCTCAGCTTCAGCAGTATTCTCGGCTGTATGTTCTCAGGCAGAGAGAGGCAGATGCACATAGTTTTAGGGAGAAAGCTGATGGGAAATCTGTGAGTTAAGCCACATGTCTCACCAGGAATAATTTATGCCAGGAAACCAGGAAGTCATTCAAGTTGTTCTCTGAGGCCAAAGACACTGAGCACAGCCCAGAGCCAATAAAAGATCTTTGAGTCTCTGATGAATTTACGAAGTGACCCCAGCTTTAGCTACTGCAATTATGATTTTTATGGGACAGCAATTTCTTGCATCTCTACAGAGGAAGAAGAGGGGGAGTGGGAGGGGAAGGAAAGAGAACAGAGCGGCACTGGGATTTGAAAGGGGAACATCTCTATCTGAGGAGCCCCCACTGGCTTCAGAGGCAACTTACCAAGGGGTATTTAAAGACATGAAAATTTCCAGAAATACCATTTGGTGCATCCCTTTGTTTCTGTAATATTAAACTCAGGTGAAATTATACTCTGACAGTTTCTCTCTTTCTGCCTCTTCCCTCTGCAGAGTCAGGACCTGCAGAACTGGCTGAAACAAGATTTCATGGTGTCACCCATAAGAGAGGACTCAATGCCAAGGCCTGAGGTTATAGGGTGTTTACAGCAGTGGCGATACTCAGGGGTCATCGCCAACTGGTCTCGAGTTCCAAAGCTCTGATGAAGAAACAAGACTCCTTGATGTGTTACTGATCCCACTGATTCCAGGAGTCAAGATTAGCCAGGAAGCCAAACACCAGGAGTTGGGGTGGCATGTCACCAGTCCAGAGCCCTGCCACGGATGTAGGCAGGAGCCCAGCATTAGGCAATCAGGAGCCAGAACATGATCACCAGGGCCACAAATAGGAAGAGGCGTGACAGGAACTGCTCGTCCACATACTGGGGTGTCCCAGGGACAGCTGGAGGAGGCCGCCCATCATTTATATTAAATGCTGTGGCAAATATCCCAAAGGGAAATGCCCCAATTCCAAAAGACATCTGGAAGCCACCATCTCCAAATCCAAATCCTTGAAATCCCTCTGGATTGGTGTGGTTATAAGTGACTTTTTTCCCCCTCTTTTCCTTTCTGTATTTTACAAGTTTTCCTTTACTTTTATAATCAAGGAGAAAAATTGTAAGGCTAAGAAGGAAACGTCTAAAGCCATCAGCTCATTTGTAGAAGCTTCTCCTAGAATGTTCCTCACCCCTCTATTCTCCGGCTCTGGCCTCTGTCCTTGAGGACGAGGAGGGGTCTTCTCCCTGGGGTCCTGTTGCCCAGTGCTGCTCCTTCCATAGAGGGGGATGATAAAAGGTATTTAAAAAAAAAAAAAAAAAAAAAAGAGGAGAAAGCGCTCACATATGACAGTTGTTCTAAAAACTGTGAATTTCAAGCATTTCTCTCTTAAAACTAGTCCAAAATATTCTCATCACTTTTAGGAAGCTCTACATCCCTAATTAAGTAAAAAGTTCCTTTCTTTACCTTCTTCTTTTTCTTTCCAGGAAGAAAAGTCTCACTTGCTCAGACTTCTGTGGTCTGGCCCCACTGTGTCTGGGCAGACTCATCGCCCATCCTTCCTGTCCCCATCCCTAAAGGTCCAGTCAATCTGGCTGCCACCAGTCTTCAGATATTTCTTCCAGAAAAAGAAGAAGGCAAAGAAATTTTTAAATTTAATAAACTTTATTCTTGTTGGTGGAAGAGGGAGGGGAAATAAAAGCCACCTACTCCACTCCTCTCAATAAATTAAATAACACATAGCCAATTCCCAGACCCTAAGCAAACCTTGGGCACTTGAGCCAGTCCCACTGTTTCTTTATGGCCCAGTCTGCTTCTTCTTCACAGAAGAGAGTTTTTCCTACTGCTGCCAGGTTATGTCATGACCACGGGCCACATCCCCTCTATGGAGAGGGTCCCAGGCCCAGAGAGGATGTTAGGGGTGGCCAGGGAAAGGAAGAAGGGGATGCTCTTCCTCAAAGATTGGGGCAGAGAGGACAGGTCCTGGAGTAGAGCTGTGGCTGACTGTTCCTCCCTCCTCAGCTTCCCCCAGATGTGGGTACAGGAAGAGCAGGAGAGTAATGGATCCTTTCTTCAGGGAGTATCAAGAGCCCAAAGGGACCCCTAGAGCTAATGAGGCCACCGAGAAAAAGTTAATTTAAGGAATTTCAATTCCTTAAATTAACTAATTGACAAAATGCCATGTTTTGTGGAAAAACAATGATAACATCAGTTATGGAATAAGGAAAGAACCTAAAATATTCCATTGCAAATAACAAAATCTACCTTCTTTAGGTTGTTTTCTGTTTTGTTTTGTTTTGCTTTTGTAGAGATGGGGTTTTGCCATGTTGCCCAGGCTGGTCTAGATCTCCTGACTCAAGTTATCCACTCCACCTGCCTCAGCCTCCCAAAGTGCTGGGATTTCTGGTGTGAGCCACCACACCCAGCCTAGGTTGTTATTCTTATAAGGATTTTTTTTTTGTCCTTGTGAGGTATCATGTGAGTGTATGTGTGTGTGTTTAAATTGATTTTTTGAGTTTTTGGTGGTGGTGGTGGTGGTGTTTAATCGGCAGCCTAGATGCTTTTCCTTGTTATCTGATGTGATAATGATAGAAATGTTAGATGACTATGATAGAGATACTGGACCATAAATGTTATGCTAATCTCATAAGAGTAGTTACATGTAAATAACATGCACAACTAAGTACACATGGTGCTTGTATTGGATTTTACATGAATTAAAATGTCTTAGTGTCAGATATCCCCATCAGAATTAACTTTCCCCTTAAGTAAATTCCTGTGACACTTGAGTGTCTGTTATGGTTTGGCTCTATGTCCCCACCCAAATCTCATGTGTAAGTGTAATCCCCACGTGGTGAAGGTGGGGCTTGGTGGGAAGGGACTGGATCATGGGGGTGGTTTCTAATGGTTTGGCGCCATTCCCCTAGTGCTGTCTTGTGACAGAGTTCTCACGAGATCTGGTTGTTTAAAAGTGTGTGGCACTTCCTCCTTCACTCTCTCTTTCTCCTGCTCCACCATTGTGAAGAGATGTGCATGCTTTCCCTTAACCTTCTGCCATGATTGTAACTTCCCTGAGGCCTCCCAGTCATGCTTCCTGTTAAGCCTGAGAAAATGTGAGTCAATTAAACCTCTTTTCTTTATAAGTTACCCAGTCTCAGGTAGTTCTTTATAGCAGTGTGAGAATGGACTAATACAGTGCCCATCCAGTTTATATTACAGACTGCCTCATTTTCCAGTAATTTGTAAAGGCAAAGGAAATGTGGGAAGCCCCACTCAACAGCTACTCAACCCAGAGACGCTAAGCTGGGTTGGGAGTTTGATGCAACCTAGGTTAATGTTTCCTAATGAAAAAAAAGAAGAAATTGTAAATAGAAATTTTCGCTCAGCCATAGCAGCTGACAGGGGTCACACCAACTAAGAGAGGCCAGTAAAATTGCCTTTGTAAAGGGGAAAGAAGAAAGAGGAGGGAGGGCAATGCTTAGAGGAAAGTTCAGCAAAGATTTTAAGAGAAAAGGGATGGGGGTCAATGAGAAGAGGACCAAGAGAAAGGCGTTATTTTCATGCATGTTTAAGGGGCATGCATTAACTGAGCCAATGCAAGTCAAATTAGATATGTATTGATTAATGTTAATTCTATAAATAAGATAAAAGTGATCAAAGAATGAAAGAAAAATTCTGGCCAGTGATGACTACTTTGTAATTTAGATAATTTTACTTTTATATGATTCAAGACTATCCCTTAGACAAATAGTTATAGTTTCAGAAGAACCAAATTGGAATGCTCCGTGTTTCACCCATTTAAAAGCCTGATATTTATGGTGCTGGCTCAGCTCAGCCCTTAATTAGTAAGCTTGAATATTTGGTTCCCTCAGTGGAGTGTGTCACTTTTACCTATTGATCCTGGCTTTGAAGCTAGACTACCAGAGCCTGGGATGGATCTGCCTTTAAGTATTAGGGCTTTCAATCTTCTAAATTATTATGACTGGGCTCTATTGACTTAGTCTATTGGGGGAGATTCCTATAGGTGCCTTGTTACTGATTTTTGCTCTCTCCACCTACACTTTAATTAATAGAGTGAACACCTTCTGCTTAGTAAGAACAGTCCTTCTCACAGTAAAATCTAATTCTACTCTTAATGAAAGTTTAATGTATATTCTGTTACATCCTGTGACCTAGCAAGGACAGAAAAATTAAAAGTAGCAGGATGAGATAGAATGTGAAATACTGCAAGATGGAAATCAAGGAGTCAAGCTGCAACTAGGGACTCAGATCCAACTCCAAATGGCAGGAAATTCAGCCAAGTGATGGTGCACTGTATCCAGAGAGAATAGTTCTAGAAGGCTCTGGTTATCATCAGAAAAAAAGAAGAAATAGGAAAAGGAGAGTAGGGCAATCATTTGTGTCATATCATTTCATTTCTTGCAAAAGCAAAAAGATCTAGTGCAAATACAGCAAAATATGAAGATTTATTAAATCTGGGTAGTGGGTGCATATATATATGTAATAAACTGGTGGTCCTCAAGATGTGGTCCCCAGATCAGCAGCATCAGCATCACCTGGAAACTTGTTAGAAACGCAAATCTCAGGCCTCACTCTAGACCTACTGAATCAGAAGTTCTGGGGATAAAACCCAACAACTTGTGTTTTAACAAGCCTTCCAGGTGATTATGGTACACACTAAAGTTCAAGAACCAATGTAATAGAGTATTCATTCTCTCTACTTTTCTATATGTTTCTTAAAAAAAACAATCACAGTAGTAATGTGAGAGTCCTGACAAGGGGAGTCGGTGGAGGGCAGCTATGGAGAGGGGTTCAATTGGCCTGGCCATCAGCAGAGTTTCAGAAATAGGTCCTTGGTGCCCTGCAGAGTGAGAGATGGGGTGGGCAAGGGCTGGGTTAGAACAAATCAGTGAAAGCCATGACTGTTGTCTAAAAGGAATGGTGCTGGGCAGGATAACTGCGACAAAGTCTCGAGTACAGGATATTAAGGCAAGGACCTTGTTAGCAAAGGACATGCTGGTGTTACCAAGCAGGGTCTCATTTCAGCACTGGACTAACAGCATAGCAAGGCTGACTTGGCGCTAAAATGCTTGGGCCACAGAACTCCCTTTCCTTTCTCCCTCTTTCACTTCCTACTCATGGGACTCCCTTCATTCTCTTTCTCCCTCCTTCCCTTCCCACCCAGGGTAAACCAAAGGCAAAACTGCAGGGGAGGGTAAAGGGGCTTCGCAGCAATTGGAGGGTCAGACCAGCCAAGAGTAAGGCAAACTGATGCCTTTAGACAACACTTCTTCCTGTTACCAAGGTGCCCCTTTACTTGTCTATTTCAGACTTAAGCAACGAGAAGACAGCTAATATTTAACATAATTTCAACTGTATAAAACATAGTATATAGTTTTAAATGCACAGAATAAGTTTTCCAACAATCATAACCATGAATTATATTTCACAAAACCTCCAAGTCTTCAGATTTGGCCTGAATTAACCCAGATGTTTTTCTCATATTTTGAGTTTCTCTTATGTTGTTATTCTCTTATGTACACCTTCTTTCATCCCTGAAAGTTCTTAAAGCTCCTGGAGGTTTAATGTGCTGACCTAGAGCTCCCTGCCAAGACATTAGTACTAATGGCCCAGTCTGAAGAGGTTGCTGTATTAAGACATCAGTGCCTGATGCTTGAGTCACATTTACCTTGCTCAAGGATCCCTTATTATTTTGCCTCAACAGTGGATGCTGAGAAGGAAAAAAAACATGCAGAAATGCAGAGAGCCAGAACTCTAACTTTTTAACATTGCTTTTGAATTTAGTACAAATGGCACATCATAAACAACAGTATTTCAACACACTGAAGTTTATAGAAACTAGTTGAATTAAGTGTTTTATGTCCTCAAAGAGCTAGCACACCCTGGAAATGTTTACATTGCAATTCTGTCATTTACAAAAATGTAGGAAAAACACCAAATCGCCTCACAGGGATGTCTAAAATCTCTAAGTTCTACTAAAAGGCAAAGTATATCATTATACTAAAGTTCTACTAAAAGGCACAGTATATCATTATACTGTGCTTAAATGATAATCAAGGTACTCATTTCAGTTTCTTTCCTCCAATACAGCAGTAAAATTTCCCAGGAAGCATGCCATGTGGAATTAGAAGATCTAGGGAAAGTAAACACGTTCCAAAATGAAAATTCCAATTTTGTATTAATAAAAATTATTCTGAACACAAACATGATGATAGTAGGTGTGGTAAGCAGAATTAATGCTCCTGGGAAGATGGCCACATCCAGATACTCAGAACCTATGAATATGTTAGGTCACCCAAAGAGAGGTATGATGGTTGTTAATATGGAGACTTTAAAATGGGGAGAGTATCATAGATTATCCAGGTAGCCCCAATGTAATCACAAGGGTTCTTAAAGGGGAAGTTGTGGGAGGGCAGAAGAGTGACAGCCAGTGAGATGGCAGCAGGAAAACTCAGCCTGAGGCTGCTGGCTTTGAAGGTGGGAAAGGGCCATGAGCCAAGGACAGTGGGTAGCCTCTAAAAGCTGGAAAAGGTTAGGAAATGGATTTACCCCTAAAACCTGCAGAAGGAATGCAGTCTTGCCAACACCTTGGTTTTCAACCAAATGAGACCCATTTCAGAATTCCGACCTTCAGAACTGTAAGATAATAAATTTGTGTTGTCTTAAGTCACTAAGTTTGTGGTAATTCATTATAGGCAATAGGAAACTAATAGAGTTGGTTTCTGTGAGACAGAGTAGAAAAGCCAGAATCTCTGCTTTCTAAGACCTACTTTAGAAACTCATCTATTTTGAACACTGCTAAGAGGGAGGGGGCGCAGGCAGGTTTCCTGTAGTCATACAGGGCAGGTTCTTCTCTCAATCTCTCTGGTCGTGAATCTTCCCCTACAAGAGAGAATTCTGGAGGAAAGTAGAGCTGGGTTATGGAGGTGAAGTCTGAGCACTGACTTCTTAATTTATAAATAAGACATTTAGGTCACATCATTTCAAGAGAAAAACCAGTTCTCTCTCTGAAGTGCCAGGTGGTATAATAAGAACTATATTTGGTCTTTGTCCCTGGTTCCTAGCACAAAGCCCCTAAAGCCTTTAGAAGCTCCTGAGTGATAGGAGGGTCTTTTGTTATTCATAATAAGTTCCTTTGGATCACATGTGAATTTATGCTAATGAGATGACTCAGGGTGAGGCCTCTAGTTAGCCTCAACATGGAAATGGTCACCAGAAAGACCAAATGATCAGAGGGCTGGAATTTTCAGCCCTATCCACCAACCTCCAGGAAAAGCACTGGAGATCAAGCTGTATAAAAACTCTTCAACAAGAGGATTTGATCAGTTTCCACGTTGGTGAACACATCAAGGTGCTGGGAGGATGGCATGCCTGGAGAGGGAACAGAAGCTTCATGTCCCTTCCCCATACCTTATACCATGTACCTATTCATCTGGCTGTGTTCATTTGTATCAATTATAATATCGTTTATGACTGGTAAATGTAAAGAAAGTGTCTCCCTGAGTTCTGTGAGCTGTTATATCAAGTTATTGAACATGTGGGGTTGTGGGAACCCAAAATTCATAGCCAAGTCAGTCAGGAGTGTAGGTAACCTAGGAGTGCACTACTTGTAATTGGCATCTGAAATGGGAAGGAGTCTGTGGGAGGGAGCCCCGAATAACCTGTGGGGTCTGCACAAACTTGGGGTAGTCAGTATCCAAATTAAGTTAAATTCTAGGACAGCCAGTTGGTGTCCAAAGAGAAATGGAGAATTCTTCACTGTGGAAAACCTACACATTTGGTGGGTGTCAGAAGTGTAAGTAGAAAGAGTTTTCCTTTTATACCTTAATTCTATCAATGAGATAAGGTTATCTAAAACATGTGTAGACTCAATTATATTCATCACTTCAGGTTTTAAAAAGCCTCAAAAATGTAAATCTGTATGTTGGTTAAAGAGTGAGGATTTTGGATATTCTACACCATTTCATTGTTTGAAAGGCCTATATTTTCCATATGAGAAAACACCTGAACTTGATTCATAATTCCTCAAACATGGGGCTAAATTACAACCAAGAAGAATTTAGGTGGTCAGTATATGGGTGTTTACTATAAAATTAGGAAATTTGTATAATAAAACATTGAAAAAAGTATAACCAAGGAAGTTACTATAGTCTGCCTGGTTTTCTGAATATGAAATGACTGGAAGAACAATAACTGCTAAGGGAGAAACTAAGGTTGTGTGTCAAGGTGAAGCTCAACAGGATGGGATAGTGTGATGTGTGCAAGGGTGAGATATCTTCCTACGGTAGAGCACTAGTCTCTAGCTGCCCCTCATGTGATTCTGCTTCTGAAGAATCCACAATGTTTCAGCTACTATACTTATTGAAGAATGAATGAATAAATGAGTGAGTGGATTTATATGCCAGCTTTTGACTGCTTGTATTTATTTATTCTACTCTCTATACAGCCGGGAAGTGGGAAAATACAGTGGCTGCTGATGCCCAATACATACCTGATTTGCATTACTCCATCCATGTTTGTACTATCATATAGAGAAGATAAAGCTGTCTTTTTGGAAAAACTGAAAATGTCGCTCTGACAAAAATTCTCACACTAATGAGATGAAGTAGAAAGAATTCCTTCAGCATCTAACAACTAAAATCCATTAACATTCCTAAGGAATAATAAAGATTTTAAAATGTCAACCTGATAAAAGTGAGTTTCTGACTTAGACTGAGTTGTAAAAACATGAAAAACTGACTGAAATGATCTGCACGTGTCATCCTTGCATTTTTCTCTCTTTACTCTTCAACTCATCTTCCACTTAATTTTCTATTTGTACAATTACCCAAGTTCTGATATCAACTCATGTGTCATGAGTTTCTCCCAGTGGTCTTATGTTTGAATGAATTGGGATTGGCTATCTAAAATAGATTGACCAATTTTCTGAAGCAAGAATGAGTTAATCTTTCAATGTATATTCCCCCACCATCTAAAACTAATATTACAGCAGAGATTCACCTGAGGGAGTATCAGAAATAACAATAAGAGAAGAATACAGAGAACTGGTTTCCAGATAATAACTACTAGCGTATTTTTTCCCAAAGTACTAAGAAATTTTAAATAATTAGGTGAAATAGTTCTTAAATAGAATAAGTTATTCATGGAATGTGCCTAACAACATATAGTATTTGAAAGTACCTATTAGATTAGTGTAAGATCACTTAATTGTCTTGCCAAAATAAAAGTCTTGGGAAGAATTTATCCTTTCTTTTTTTTTTCCTGTCCTGAAAGTTTTGGCCAAGTTGAGTGAAATAATACATTTCCTACTTTCCATTTCCCATGATGCTGGAATATTACCCAGGAAATAAACATGATTGAGTCTGTTTGTTTCCTAAAGCCATGAGAAAAATGTGGACCACTTGGAAAGTTTCACCCAAGGGAAAAGGCTCATGCTGAGATCATTGATGTTGCAAACGTGTTTGGTTACTTTTCTCAAGAGTCCACTTCTGATCGCTGGATTAGGAAGCTTGCAGCCCATAAGAAACAGCCTCTCGTCCAAGGTCAACAGAGTTGGGAAAAAGGACTAAGCTTAATAGATTTTCTCAATGTCCAAGGATGTTGACAGTAGCAGAAATATTGCACCCAGCCTTCTACCTATGTCAGCTCCTTTGCAAGGCATGAATTTGATATTTGAAGTATAATTTACTTGATGCCTTCAACCTAATAAAAAATTCACATTAATATCTTTCTCCTACTCCCCCAGCTGCCTTTGTTTACAGTTGTGGCCTCAGCTCTCATAGAGTTAATTCTTTGTTTAGCTTGCTTGCAGTCAGTCAAATTTATAAATAAAGTGGCAGACCATAAAGGATTTTTTTGGACAACTGCCATCATGAGAATAGGGAGTAGTAGGCAGAGCCAGAAAATAATGGTGGAGAGAAACAGGAGGAGGAGAAAGGAAAGGGAAGACTCAGGGACAAAGGTGTCATGAGGAGCACGAACACATGAAAAACCCAAGATGGGTTAGGGGAATCAACAAGCAAAACAGTCAGGATATGGATCTTTTGCAAGGTGCAGCAGAAGAGACAGGGTATTGAGTTTGATTACTTTCTAAAAATAGCTCCCATGGCCAAAAGATCAGGAAACTGGCTGAGAAGTTAACTGGCTGAGAAGGCAGAATCTATAGAGGATAGTGAAAAATTCAGATGAGTTGTTTGCATTATATCTTAGTATAGATGCTATAAACTTTGAATTAAAAAACTAGTGATTATAGAGTTAAAATGAATACTTACAATGCTTTCTTGAAAAAGAAAGCTCTAGAATCTTCTTCCTTCTTTTGAGAAAGCTGTGCTAGCTCCTTTATTAGTTTCCTTGTTCCTCATGACACTGCTTTCTGAGTTTGGCTTATTTGGAGCTTTTCACCTAGCTAGGATTGCATTTGCTTTCTGGGGTCTAGGATCTTTCTTTTCTTTTAAATTTTTTGGGAGCATGGGATCTTGCTATGTTGCCCAGGCCAAAGTGCAGTGGCTATTCACTAACTAGATCCCACTGCTGATCAGCATGGGAGTTTTGACTCACTATTTCTGACCTGGGCCAGTCTGACCTGGGCCAGTTCACTCCTCCTTAGGCAAACTGGCAGTCCCGGGAGGTCACCATATTGATGCTGAACTTAGTGCAGACATCCCATCGGCATAGTGTACTACAGCCCGGAATGCCTGGGTTCAGATGGTCCTCTCTCTCAGCCTCCAGAATGGCTGGAACTACAGGTGTGTGCCACCTTACCCAGCAAGGCTCTTTCTATTGGACATTTCACACTTCATCTCATATCTCCCTGTCTTCTTGATCAGGTACTCTCTGCCTGCTACTGGCTTTTTCACCATAAAAAATTTCAAAGAACAAAGGCAAAATCATGGCAAGTCTTGTTCTCTTAGCAGCTCATAACATTGCAATAGCCCTAGAACTCAATTTAAAGGTCATTACTATTCCTAAGAGCCATTTGTTTCCCCATAGGTATCCTTTCTGCCCCTCCCCTTCAGCTATTAAAAAGCCTTTAAGTCTATAGGCCTCCTTGAGTTACACTTTTCTGTGAATTCCTGTATGTATTGAAATCAAATTTTGTCTCTTCTCTTGCTAACCTGTCAGTTTAACTCACACGCCCGCAGACACAAAACCCACGAGGGTAAAGTTTCTCCTCTCTAACACAAGGCATTCAGTATGAGCTTTTTGGATGTCCTACCACCACGCAGACTCAAGATAGCAGTGTGTCTGCTCATCCACTGCTCCATCCTACACTGGTCCTGGCCCTCGTCCTTACCACTTCTCATGGGCCTCCCTGTCTGCTTGTCAACCTCTTTTTAGGAAATATTTAAGATTTAGTCCTGGATTCTCTTTGTTTTTCCTTCATGGATTAGCAAATTCTAACAGTGGCAATAGTTAACATCTCACTGAACACTTAAACTTAACCATGCCAGGCAGTGTTCCTAGTACCTTCCATAGAGCTTAAATAACTTGCCAGAGTACGAAACCTCCAGAGGGTGAAGGGCAAGTTTTCCCTTTGCCCTACAGTAGAAATTAATAAAGTCTGAACATAAATGTGTGCAAAAGAATCCAGAAAATACTTCACAAGCAAAGCCTATTAGAAACCGAGGTCAAAGCGGCTGTGAGACCCAGCTGGTCTCTTCCATGCTTCTTTCTCCCTGGCTTCTCTGCTTCTCTCCATGCATCAGCCGCCTCATCCCCCTGCCCTCCAAAAACTGGTTCTCTTTGCTTATTCATAATTTGAGCCTATGTAATGCCAGGACCACCTCTACATGACCTCCCAGGTTCAGGGGTCACCACCACCTGGAACAGTGTTTCAGTCCCACAATTTGAAAGTCCCTGAAAAGCAAGCTGACTCACCTGTTCATCATTTCTCACCCAGCTTTTAGGAGAAAACCTGTATTTTTTCTTATGTTGCTTTAGAATAGTTTGCTGTGTGTCGCTCTGAGGTGGAAGAGTACAGGAGTGAATATTTCCAGCTTTTTACTATCCTTTAAATGTCCCTTGTCATGGGAGGTCCAATGTCTTATCTCATTGGTGAGATTATAAAGGACCTGGCTTCCTTGGGCTATCTGATTAATAAGAGGGTGCTGTGTCCCCCAAACCACCAGCACTCTGATTCTTTCATTCCCTTTCCTTCTCCTTCCCCCTCATACAACTGCCTTTTCTTCTCTTTTCTCTTCCCTCCCCCTTCATTCTCTTCTTCCCTCCCCCTTTTCCTCTCACTCTCTCCCCTCTTTCTTTCTCCCTCTCTTCTCCTTCTTCCCCTCAGGAGCACTTCGGGAGGTAGACTCACCTTGTATATCCACTCTCCATGAAGCAGGTACACCAACCCACCTAGCTAGAGCTCCACTTTTTGGTTCCACTTTTCTGCCTACACCTGAGTCTATTAGGTCTCCCCTTTCTTAGGAGCTGATATTCTGGAAGGCTTCATTTTGGTTTCAGACCCAAGTTCCCTAATCCAGCTTTACCAGGAAGCCTGTACTTTGAGAATGACTGAACCTATGCAATAAAACTTGATCTCCATTATATCTATTCTTAATTTGTTAGAATACAGAGCAAAGAAAGAGTATGATATTTCTCCCTTTGGAATCCAACACAGACCACAGACCAGCTTATAGTTGGGATGGCCAGGAGTCAGGTGTAGCCAGGAGTCTGGGTCATGTTGTCTTATTGCTGGGGTAACTCCACCTCCTGATTTGCCAGGGACAACCCCAGTTTACAACTCATGACCCTACATACTTATTATTATAGCCTTCTTTCTCTCAAAATAGTGTGCTAGTAAGGTCAATAAGTCATGTAGTCACCCTATCTTTTGCTCCCCTAACAAGAGCTGTTCATCAGTCAAGTTCCTTCAGAAGGGAGCATATGTGCAGCTATCACTGTAAAATATGTCATGTACAAGCTGTAGATTTCTCAATTTGGCATTTAAGATCCTTCACAATCCTTTTCCTGATTACAGGTTTCCATGCTTCTTACCCTTCAGCTAGACTAATGTGCCTGGTATTTTTTTATAATTACAAAATATGCAAATTGTGGCATAGTCATACAATAGTATATTATTCAGCAATATAAAAAACTACTAGTACATACAACATCATAGATTTATTTATATATTTAGATTCCACTTATATGAAGTTTCCAAACTGGTAAGTCTATTCTATGATGATCAAAATCAGAACAGCATTTGCCTATGGGGGATATAGATTGACTGTATGGGGGAACAATAACACTTTTGGGGAAGAGGGGAATAATTAATATCCCGATTTGGTTGATTTTATTTGGGTATATATATTTCTCTACATTCATTGAATTGCACATTCAAGATATGTGCATTTCACTCTATGTAAATTTTATCTCAATTTTTAAATAGGGGAAAAGTTGGGCACTTTTTTATTTTTATTTTTTTGAGACGGAATCTCGCTCTGTCCCCCAGGCTGGAGTGCAGTGGCGCGATCTCGGGTCACTGCAAGCTCCGCCTCCCGGGTTCAGGCCATTCTCCTGCCTCAGCCTCTCGAGTAGCTAGGACTACAGGCGCCTGCAACCACGCCCGGCTAATTTTTTCTATTTTTAGTAGAGACGGGGTTTCACTGTGTTAGCCAGGACGGTCTCGATCTCCTGACCTCGTGATCCGCCCGCCTCGGCCTCCCAAAGTGCTGGGATTACAGGCGTGAGCCACCGCGCCCGGCCGGGCACTTTTAAAAGATAAAATATTTTCTTTTAAAACTTAAATCACGTTATTACTTTCAGTCAAAAATACGTCAAGCCTTAAATGAACGTTTTCTCTTTCTGCCACACTGTCAAACTGAGAAAGTATGTTTTAAAAAAAAAAAAAAAAAATTGTGTATTTCCATAGGTTATTGGAGAATAGGTGGTGTCTGGTTACAGGAGTAAGTTCTTTAGTGATGACTTGTGAGATTTTGGTGCACCCATCACCTGAGCAGTGTATACTGCACCCAATTTGTAGTCTTTTATCCCTCACCCCCTTCCTACCCTTCCACCCTGAGTTCCCAAAGTCCATTGTGTCATTCTTATGCTTTGCATTCTCATAACTTAGCTCCCACTTATGAGTGAGAACATACAATGTTTGTTTTACCATTCCTGGTTTACTTGCTGCTTTCACACTATACCAGCATAGTTGAGTAGTTGCAACAGAGACTCTATGTCCTATAAAGCTGAAAGTGTTTATCAACTGGCCCTTTACAGAAAAAGTTTACTGACCTCTGCTCTAAGAGACTAAATGACTTTTCCAAAATTATACAGCTTGTAGGACAAAGTTCTGCAACTTGAATCCAGATCCGTTGATTATCTCAATGAACAGGCTTACTAATTAGAAGTCTCTTTGCTTTTTATATACATATATATATGTATATGCAATGTTTTTATGCTTTTGAATCATTTTGGGGACAGCCAAGATTCTTAACTTCAACTTCAATTGTAAAAAGCTTTAATTATGGAGGCATGGTAAATGCAAAACCCACAGATGCAGCCTCTTGAGTGCAGCTGACGTGAGCACCTCCTTCTCACAACTAATCAAACAGCTCCACTCTTCTGTCCCAAGCTACACTCAAGCTGAAGTGTGTCACCTGCAGGATACTTATCTCTCCCAACAGTGCCATGATGGGATGTATTCTCAGCCTGACCCCAGCCAAAATACTTGTCAAGAGTATTATACCCCTTGGTGCTCTTATGACTAAGGAAAATCAATATAATATATGATCTGATGAAGAAAAGAAGTATCACCCTCACATTATACCTTATTAGTGGCTTCTCAAAAAATTTTTTTAACATTTACTGACAATATCTGCTCTGCATACTGTGTATACAAGGAATGCATTTGAAGCTCAAATATTTACCTCTTTTACTTCAAAACAGCTTTGTCAGATGGCAAGCTTACAATAACTTGGTAGATAGTCATCTGTTCTCAATAGGAAGTAAGTTGCTCAAAGGATTTGAATAGGAGCAAGATGGCCAATTTGGGCAGTTTCCCAATTATTACTGTGTTGGTTCATGGTATCTATTATTTTCTTTTTCTATATAAATTCCCAGAAAATTAATCACATCCATTTCTAAAATTAAATACACACACATATTTCAAAACCCAGCTAATTTTTGAAACACTCTAAGTTTTGGAATAAGGCCCATTCTCCCTTTCCTGGTTGAGGGCTCATAGCCCAGAACTGAACAAATGGTTTCTTAAATGTCAGAAAATATATGCATTTCACTCTATGTAATTTCTTTCCCAAATATTACATGGAATTCTAAGACAAATGATCCATTAGGCCTTCGTGTGCTATTAGCTCATGTTGATTACAGTTATTAATGAACTTGTCAAGAAAGAAGGCAAAACACATATATACTACAATAAGAAAATCTCTATGAGATACAGTTGTAAGGCAGTTTACTTCATCATCATCATCATTGTTGCTAATAAAAGCCTATTGGTCTTCCACTGGTTGAGGATTGAAAAATAAAAAATAAAAGCCAATAGGAATTATACTGGGCTTGACTTTCTACTGAGCTGTCAGGGAAACCTCTAGCAATGTGGTAATCTAGAGTAGAGAGAATGGGTACGGCATAAAGTGCTTTACCTGCCTTAGTTAAAATGTGCATCAGGTCATGGAGCCCTCCTAATGCTATACAAAACAGTTTGCAATGTATCCTTCCACTGCAGGTTTTGTTTCTTAAGTTTTTATTTTGAAATACAGGAAAGTTCCAAAAATTTTCATATACCCTTCACCCAGATTCCCCCAAAGTTAATATTTTACATTTGATTTATCATTGTTGTATAGTATAGAGATAGACAGATGGATAGACACAATGATGATTTTGCATCACTTGAGAGTAAGTTAGACACACAATGCTCCTTTCCCACTAAATACTTCAGTGTGCATTTCCTGAAACCAAGAACATTCTCTTATGTAATCACAATACAGTTATCAAAATCAGGAAATTAAATTTAATACAATTAAATCAGAAGACTAACTTTCATCTACAGATCTCTTTCAAATTTTGCTAATTGTCTCACAAATATCCTTTATAGAAAAAGAAAAATATTCTGTTCCAGGAGTTCATCTAGGAGAACAAATTGCATTTAGTTTTCTTCTTTCTTTAGTCTCCTTTAATCTAGAATCTCCAGTTTGATGACCTTGATGCTTTTGAAGAATCCAGACCATTTATTTTAAAAAATATCTCTCAACTTGTAGATTCTGATATTTCCTCATGGTTAGACTCACAATATATGTTTTGAGCAGGAATACAGAGAGATGTTTGGCTCTTTCTCGGCACATCATATCCAAGGTACATGATATCCAGCTGTCCAGTTACAGGTGATATTAACCTTGTACCTTGGTTAAGGTAGTATCTGCTGGGTTTCTTCATTGTAAGTTATTATATTTCTCCTTTGTCATTAATAAATATCTTGTGTGAGGTTACATTGAGACTACATAATATCCTCTTTCTCACCAAACTTTCAGCCAGTAATTGTATCATACACTGGTGGTTCTTGCATGAAATAATTATTACTATGAATTATTACTATGGAGGTTACCAAAAGTGATTTTTAAAATTTAAACATTTTTTCTACACTGATTACTATATGGATGGGCTTTTTCCTTCTTGCCTATTTATTTATGTGCTCATTTATGTCAGAATAGATTCATTAATTCTTATTTGATTCAATAAATTTTAAACTAGTACTATCCTTGTTTATTTTGATGCACAAATGGTTCCAGTTTTGACTAGTGGAAGCCCTGCTGCAAATCTCTGAGGTGGGCAGTAAGGTAATCTGAACTATGTCTTATGGTGTTACTGCTGGCAGCACTGTAAAGGGTGCTTTAGAAACACAAGAGATAAGAGGTGGAGAAAACCATTAGCAATGAGGAGAGCACTAGGTACAGAAAGGACAAAATGGATTTTAGTGATCTGGGGAAGCAGAATCAATAAGATTTGGAATCTACATGTAGACGTAAAGGAGAAAGGGTTTTTGGCCTGAGTACCTGGGAGTTAGTAATGCCACAGGTAGAAGCAGAGGATAAAGAAGCAGAGGCAAGGGTGCAAATGAAGACAAGGAGTTTTGTTTTAGGCTTGTGAGTTAAAGCCTCCAAGTATACATCCATGTGGAAATGCCCAGCACAAGTAGAGGCCTGGAGCTCAGAAAAGAAATACAGTAGTTCCCCCTTTATCCACAGGGGAGATGTTCAAAGATCCCCTAGTGGATGCCTGAAATTCTATATACACTATGATTTTTTTTATCTGATTACCAAGCTGACTATGAAGTGACTAGCAGGTAGGTAGTGTACTGAGTGTAGATATGTTGGAAGGGATGATTCACGTCTGGAAAAGAATGGAGCTAGATGGCATGAGGTTTCTTCATGCTACTCAAAAGAGTGTGCAATTTAAAACCTATGAATTGTTTATTTCTGGAATTTTTCATTCGACATTTTTGGACCATGGTTGACCATGGATGACTGAAACTGCACAAAGTGAAACCCCAGATAAGGAGAGACTACTTTAATGGTAAAGAAGTAGGTTGATTTAGGAATTGTCAAAAACTGAGGCTTTGGAAGAGGCTCACTTAGCAGGAGTGTGAGGCCAAAATAGAAGAAAAGAGGACCTTTGTTCTATTCAAATTTGACTCCAGTTACTACTCCTTCCCTTTTGAAATTGTCTTTTATCTAGATTTTGATAATATATCAAAAAGATTTTTTGATATTCTTACTTTCTATAGCGTCTTTCCCTTACTCCACCACTGGCATTTTAATTGTAGGCATTCCCTAAGACTAACCCTCTTTTCTTGTATTTTTCCTTTACGATCCTGATAAAGGAGCTCATTTACTTCCAAAACCTTAGTGTTGGGCAATTCCCAAATTCACTTCTTCTTTTTCTTTTTTTTTGAGACGGAGTCTCGCTCTATCACCCAGGCTGGAATGCAGTGGTGCGATCTCGGCTCACTGCAAACTCTGCCTCCCAGGTTCATGCCATTCTCCTCCCGCAGCCTCCCGAGTAACTGGGACTACAGGCACCCGCCACCGCACATGGCTACTTTTTTGTATTTTTAGTAGAGACGGGGTTTCACCTTTTTAGCCAGGATGGTCTCGATCTCCTGACCTTGTGATCCACCTGCCTCGGCTTCCCAAAGTGCTGGGATTACAGGCGTGAGCCACCGTGCCCAGGCCCAAATTCACTTGTTTACTATTACAGTAGTCCCACCTTATTTGTGGTTTCATTTTGCACAGTTTCAGTCACCCATGGTCAACCACAGCCCAAAAATATTAAATAGAAAATTCCAGAAATGAAGGATCAGATGAGGCCATGAACTTGACAATTAGGAAGCCAGTGTTATCTTTGAGAGAACTATCTTCATAGAACAGTGTGAACAGAAACCAATATATAGGTTAGTATGGTGAGGCGAGGAAGTGATAATAGTGAATATGATCCACACTTTGGGAAAGTTTGGCAGTGTGAGGAAGATAGAGAGTGCCTTTGGATGAGGCAGGAACAAGAGGATCTTTCTTTGATTGGCGGGCCTACCATTGTTTTATGCTAAGGGATGTAACAAGTGACAACATCAAGAATGCAAGGGTTACTATTGCAAAGCAAAAAGTCTTACCTTACCTGGACTGTAGAGAGAAGAATTAGTGAAAGCATAGAGGAGTCTTGAAGTGAAGGGAAAAGCTTTTGAGGGAAGATGATGTTCAGGCTAAGTAACCCTGATTTTCTCAGTGTAGTCAGAGCAAAAGGAAAATAATAAGTTCAGAGATTTTTGAAGAGTGAAAATGATTTTGGAGCAGCCATGAGGAGGGAAATATACCTAAGAATAATATGGCAGCATTCTCCTTTTTTATAAAGACCCAATCATATATAACACCATGTCAGTGATGGCTGTACACATGAACACCTCAAATCCTCTACAGATTAGAGAATATGAATATCATGAATGTGTTAGGCTACTTCAGAAGCTGATGTCAATTCAGGATTAAAGTTACAAGAGATTTATCGTGGTGGAGGCATTGGGGGTAATGCCTGCGTATTAGTCCATTTTCACACTGCTGATAAAAACATACCCGAGTGTGAGTAATTTATTTAAAAAAAAAAAAGAAAAAAGAGGTTTAATGGACTCACAGTTACATGTGGCTGGAGAGGCCTCACAATCATGGCAGAAGGCGAAAGGCACGCCTTACATGGCAGCAGGCAAGAGAGAGAATGGGAACCAAGCAAAAGGGGTTTCCCCTTATAAAACCATCAGTTCTCATGAGACTTATTTACTATCACAAGAACAGTATGGGGGAAATGGCCCACATGATTCAATTATCTCCCATCAGGTCCCTTCCTCAACATGTGGGAATTATGGGATCTACAATTCAAGATGAGATTTGGGTGGGGACACAGCCAAACTATATCAGCCTGTGAAAGATAAAAGGGTGGGAGTCACAGGCAGGATGGTGATGTGGATCTGACCCCTGTGAAGGAGAAGGTGAATTCTGGAAGCAGGATTAGGTAGGAAGAGCCTCAGTCTACAGTGTCACTCTAGAAAGTTTGACCAAGCCATAGGGGAATCTTTGAGCCAAAGTCATCTGTTAATGGAGGCTTCTGTCTTGCAAGAAAGGACCAGCTTTACTATTTCTGCCATGGATAGTCACTGGCTGGAAGCAGCCTGTGGGAAGCATGGAGTGAGCCTAGGGCTTGATCCAAGGGGAAGCAGCACAATTTTGCTCTGCAGCAGAGGATTTGAGTGCCACATTTCCATGGCTGTACAGTGGGCATGTAATAAATATATATTTTGCAAGAAATAGATATGTCTTTCTGGAAGAAAGAAAATTACCTGATAGAGTGTCCAATGGAAGCTCCAAAGATGGGCCAAGCTGAAAACCTTAGCCTGGGAGGACGTGTTAATGTCTAGTCAGTTGTGACATAGGGCTAAAAATTCGACCATCCAAGTGCATAGATGAACTCAGGGGGTTGTGGAAGGTTTGAAACGCTGGATCAAAGTGGAGAAGTGTAACCTAGACAACATCTGGTACATTGACTTACAGAGGCTCTGAGGACCTTATTTAGCCAAACTTGAATAGGCAGGCAGGGTGTCGGGAAGAAAGTAAGCAAAGGTGCCTGAACATTGTACTCATTAAACAGGAATAAGAGTGCTGTTACACTGCGATGAATAAATTGGGTTTCAGTAAAGGTCTTTGCTGCTTCCCTGGAAAGTTTAACATTAAAAAAATCTGTCATTTGTAAAGGCATTTCTAGCATTTCCAACTGCTGAAATTAGGGTTCAGTGAGTAAGGCAGAGTTGTCAGAATGAAGGGCTGGATCCTGTCTTTAAGATTTTAATACTTTGTGCATCACAGATTTTGCAACTTTTTTTTTTTAGTATTGCATAAAAATGTTTATCTAGATTACTGAGGTTTTGGTGCCCCCTTATATATTACGCCTAAGGTGAGTGCCTCACCCTTGTGCCAACCCTGTTTCAATTTTGTAAACATTTTTTTCTGTTTTTGATGCTGGACCATCTATCTCATGTGGTGGCAAAAGGCATTAAAAAGAGATAACACCACTGGGGGTGCAAGCATTTGGGGGAAGAAACAAGGATCTCTCTCTCTCTCTCTCTCTCAATAGACTTTGTTTTTTAGAGCAGTTTTAGGTTCACAGCAAAATTGAGAGGAAGGTACAGAGATTTCCCATATACCCACTGCTCTTATACATGCATGGACTACCCCATTATCAACATCCTCCACCAGAGTGGTACCTTTGTTGTTGATGAACCTATTGACAAAACATTATCACCCAAAGACCACAGTTTACATTAGGGTTTACTCTTGGTGTTGTACATTCTATGGGTTTGAAAAAATGTATAATGACATGTATCTGCCATTATGGCTTCATGCAGAGTAGTTTCACTGCCCTAAAAATCCTCTGTGCTGTACATCATTTTAAAAATTCTTCCTCATTTTTTAATTTTTCTTGATCAAATATTGGATCATTTTGTGCTCTACATTAATAAGAGAAGCCATTTCCTGATAGGTGAATAAAAAGATTGACTAGAACATTCAGGGCCTAGATAGGGTTGGATAAATTGTATTTTTAATAGTACCAGATAACATAAATATAGGAACATTGTCAGAAAGCTAAGGATTAGCAGAGGCTATGTAGAAGAAGCAGGGAGGAGGTAACCTAGGATGTTGGTCATAGCCTCCATCCATCACTCCTCCTTTCATTCTTCCAGAAAGCCCTTGCTAATCCTTAACTTAGGGTTAACCTAAACAAAATTATTTTATTATTTACATGCTCCTGAACAATTATGGCCAAGATGCATACTACTGTGTAGAACATTGCCTGGAACATACTAGGCACTCCATAAGTATTTGTTGCATAAATGAAAATATGTCCACTGAGATTTCATGAGATATCAAAGGTCATTTTGGAGGACAAACAAGAAAACGAAGAAATGAAAATCTTTTTATTTTTTTTCCTGAATATTCCAACTAAAGAAAGCATCAGGTCGTTTTCATTAATGTATCACCTCTATTACATATCTTTGTTACCTCCACATGTCCTGTTGCTGTTATTACCTATTACAGATAACAGATGTCTCTACTTTGAAAGTTGCTAATTGCAAATATAAGAAAATTAAGTTCTGTGAATAAAATAATTAAATAAGTGACACTTCCTTAAACTATTCCTATGAAGATAACTTCCTCCTGGGTGGCTTCAATGTAGACAGAAATAAAAATCAGACTTCGTTAATTTCCACGTTTTCAGAATTACGAGGTTGCCTAAATAAGAACATTAATAAAGGCAAGACTGTTAAAAAGAGACTACTCCCATTTTAATACAAAGTGTCCATAATGCATCTAAAAGATGCAAAGAGTTCAGTGGCAGACTGCAGCCTCCTAGGTCAGAACAATCTCAGCTCTGGTGATGTATCGTCATCTTCCAAGATATGAGCAAGGAGGCAGAGCCAGAAGACTTCCAATTTTAACTAATGGGTTATGTCATTTTAGAATAAAGTCAGTTGTTTTTCTAACTCAGTGTTGGACTTTACAAAGCATTGCTCTGAACTCAGTTGTTCTGTTGTGCAATTTGTATGTGCCCAACTTTTGAGCAGCAAACAAGCAGAACCCATAAAATTGCTACCAGCCTTGACCACACTCTGTACAGGGTCATGTTCAAAGAAATGCTCCCCTATCAGTGCCTCCTCTGATCACTCCCCAGATATTAAATTTTTATTTTCAACAAGTGGGTACAAAACTCATTCAAAACTCATTTGTCAGCTTGAGTAAATATGATTAAAAAGAAAAAAACAGAAACTCTTCATTTGGAAAATATCTAATCTTCATTTAGAAAATTCTGTTTCCAAGTTTTTTAAGTAGACAGTTACAATATTTTTTAATGGGGGTAACAGTTACATCATTTTTGGTTGTAAAAATAATATAACAATGGCAGCATCTCTTTATATCTGTTATCAAAATCCTTTCTCTTTCAAAAAGGAGATTTTTTTCTCATTCATTTTTTCAAACATCATCCTTGCTTTAATGGCATAAATGAACTTTTTAAAAGATTTTGAAAAATAAATGCTTGTCAGGTATGATTAGACATAATAGCTTTAACCTCTTCAAGTGACCCAAAAGCCTTGTAGTTCAAGTAAAAGATTTGTCTCTGCCATATCCTTTCGTTAACCTGTGCTTGTTATATGATTTCTATCTTTGATCTGAGATATCTTTGCAGGAATACTTTTGAGGTCACTTGTTTATTTTCTGAAAACCAGTTTTGTTAAAGCTAGATGATACAATCTATAAAGACGTTCATTGGGACACATGTAAACTGAACTTTGCATGTGCTAAAGCAAGCAAGTATGTGAGACTGTCATGTTAACCACTCCCAATGAATCCTACCCTCTCCTCAGGGTATATCCTGTATCAGAACTCATGTGACCATCTGACAGGCAGATGACATTAGAGTACCAGAGTCAATTTTCCTATTAAATAGTAGTATATCTTATTTTTTTCACCCTCCCACTGGGGATCTAATTTCATCTTGGAGTCATTTGTGGGTCCATTCCCTGTGAAGCCAAGGAAATTCCAAATATGAGTCGCTGCAGAAACATTTAGGTCCTTCTAATTCTTCTGCATGAAGCATTATCAAGACAAATAAGCCTTCCTCTTCCTAATACCAATACGCTCTCATAACATAACTTTGTTGTATTACTTTGCTAATGGAACTTCTACATCTTCATTCTGACTTGCTCTAAATACTCTGCCTATGTAGGAATGGGTGGTAGGAAAAAATAAGGACTCATTTTTTTCTGTGATTCCATTGGATGTTAGGTCCCACTTAGTCTGTGGCAGGCATGGAACCAAACTCAGCCTGGAAGGCCCCCTCTAACACTGACATTCCATGAATCTTGGTGAAAGCCACCTATATTGGCTGGCAGTGCCATTCCTGGGTGATGTACACATTTTCCAAGTCCTCACTTGCCCCCATGTGAACATGTCCCACTCTATCTTTGGTGAAACACAACGATAGCTTCAAAAGATGCGACTGAAAAAGGATATTCATGAGAATTAGAAACAAATCACTGCAGGGAGCTAACAACATAGAAATGCTTCAAACTGTGAGGAATTGCAGCAACAGTTCCTGTTGTGAGGTACACAATGGACACAGCATGTGGGAAGCTATAAAAAAACACTGGAAGAAAAAGTGTGTCTATGAAAAACAACTTAAAAAAAAAAACCTACAGAGAGCTCAAATTCCTCATGTGCAGAGTTTAACTACCACAGAAAAGTCTCTGGGGCCAAGAGGGTAAATCTCTAGGCTAAGTTTAGAGTTTGAATCCCAAAGTCTTTACCAGGTCTCATCTATTTCATGGTGCCTACAAATATCCTCTCAGTGCAACCAAAGGTCCTCCTGCTTCTATCAGCCCCCAGGAGCTACGTTTACAAGCAAGATGAACAAGGTTACCATGTCCATTCCAAAAATCACTTAATTATATAAAACTATATGAGGAAGAAGATTGATCCAGATTCAGTCCTCAATCTACAAGGTGTTTATTTCTAAACGAGTGTTTTAACACAGCTCAAAGTGGCTTATGACTTGTTATGCATATATGTGATTACTAAATCAAATTAAATCATCACCATATTATTTTTAAATATCAACCTACCCTAGCATCTCAAGGCAAAATTACTCTGAATTGAACAAAGAGTAAAATTAAAAGTATAAGCCCCTAAAATCATCATGTAATATTATGTATGACCAAAGAAATTATTTTAACATAAGGATGGTATTCCTCTGGAAAAATAAAAAGAAAAGAATTTTTAGAAAATCATACTTAACAGATAGAGAGATATATCTGATGGTGACCCAGAAATCCTCTTCAATATTGAAAGAATAGCTTTTCCTTATTGGGTAACTAATGGGAACTTTATTACACTCAATCTCTTTTTATAATCATTATCTCTAGATTGTAAAGTCCAAAAGGCAATGACTGCACATTTTGTTCAGTGATTTAAAGACCTTTCTCAGCTGGTATAGTATTAAATAAGCAAGAAAATTTTGTATCACTTAGGATAGTTTCAGCTGGAATTAACAGAAATACACGTCTCAAGCATTTGAGATATATATTATTTTACATAACAAGTAGTCTTGAGTTAGGGGAAGTTATCAAGAGGCTCAGTCACATTGTCAAAGACCCAAGTTCTTTACATCTTTCCATTATCCTACCTGAGAATGTCAACTTTCGCTTAGAGGCCAGCTCCCCTCATGATTGTGACATGGCCTTCAGTTCCTGGCATTACAGGCAGAAATGTCAAAGCTTGATGGATAAAGTGGCCATCTCTTCCCATGTATCTCTTTCAAAAAAAAAGAAACATTTTCCAGAGCCCCCTACATTCCTTTCTTTAGGAACTGGGTCACATGACTACTATTAAACCATCACTGGTAAGACAAATAAAACCAAATGATTAACATAGAATAATAAAAATTTAATTCTGAGGTTCATGAGGGAAAGATGGACAATGATATCAGGTAAGAATAAGTTTGGTTGTATGTAACAGAGATCCAAAATAATTCAGGCTTAAATAAGAAAGAATATTACCTATATGGAAATATAAGTTATAGGCTGGGCATGGTGGCTCACACCTGTAATTCAACAAGGCAGGTGGATCACTTGAGGTCAGGAGTTCAAGACCAGCCTGGCCAACATGGTGAAACCCTGTCTCTACTAAAAATACAAAAATTAGCTGGGTGTGGTGGCACATGCCTCTAATCCCAGTTACTCAGGAGGCTGAGGCAGAAGAATCCCTTAAACCCGGGAGGCGGAGATTGCAGTGAGCTGAGATCACGCCACTGCCCTCCAGCCTGGGTGACAGAACAAGACTCTGTCTCAAAAAAAAGAAAAAAAGAAAAGAAAGGAAGAAAATGTAAGTTATCTATCACCACCCAATGTCTTAACATAATAAACCTAAATTTAGCTTATGAAGCTGAGGGTCGACCAAGTGGTTCTTCTGATCTTGGCTGGATTTCCTCTGTGTATCGCAATCAGTGGCTGAGACAGCCACAGGTTAAACCTATTTTTGGTGGATGGTTTTCCTCATATGTCAGCTGAGAGAAGTAGGCTGACTCCACTATATTCCACTTTGTCTCTAAACCTGAAGTAGATTAGTTCAGGCTTATTCCTATGGCAGAGGCAAGTGTCCAGGAGAACAACCAGAAATATGCAAAGCTTTCTGTTATGACATAACAAATCTCCCCAAAACGTATGGTCTAAAACGACAACCATTTACTTAGCATGTAAGTTTGCAAGTTGATAACTTATGTTGGTCTCTTCTGGGCTCCTCTACCTGTTTATGTGCAGCTATGTTATGACAAGGTAGTTGTGCAGTCAGGCCCGGCTGGCTGTCAGCTGGGACTCCTCAGCTCTCATTCACATGGTCTCTCGTTCACCTGCAAGCTAGCCAAAGCTTGTGCTAATGGTGGGAGTAGGGGTCCAAGAGAGAAAGTGGAAGCACGCAGGGGTGCTTGAGATCAAGGCATGAAACTGGCACATGGCCGCTTCTGCTGCATTCTCTTGGCCAGATGCAAGGTGTGAGGAAATAGACTTCACATCTTGATGAGCATAGCAGCAAAGTCAAGTTGCAGGGATCATGGATTCGGGGAGGGAAATAACTGGGGTCATTTTTGCAAACCCATCTACCACAGCAGCAGCTCTGCTCCTCTCAGCTCACCACCCTGCTATGTCGAGGTCCAACATATCTTGGACCTTTTGGTCCAAGATAGCAGCCATTGCATCCACAATCCAGGCTGCAGATTGAGAAAACGAATAAAGAAAAGGAGTGAATGGCATACCGGCTGCGTTTTAAACAACATTCTTAGAGGCTACAAAGTCACTCTTTAGTTTACATCCCATTGGCCAGAACTTAGTCACATGGCCACATATGGGAGTGTGGGAAAAGCAGTCTTCATTCTGAGTGTCCAAGGGTGTTGAAAAGAAAATCCTATTGATACAAAGGAAGAGGATAAGCATTATTGCAGGAAATCTATCAATCTGCCACAACACCCAAAGTATGTCAAGCAAGGAAGGGGAAGGGGGTTAGATATAGGTAGCCCAACCAGCAGTCTCTGATACACTTTCCCATAAATGTTTTCAATTTATAAAAACAAAACCCCTTGAATAAAATGTTTTTCTTTTTAACAAACTACCACCATGATTAGAAAAGAAAATCCACATTAATTTTATGACTGCCATTTTTCTTTCTCTATAGAGGTGAAAACTGCTCTGAGCTAAACTAGGAAGGATAAAGAATCCCTTTCCACTCTGCTCCCAGCTCAGCTTGCACCTGGATGAATTGATGAATCTCCCAAACACCACTTGTAGCCACCCTGGAGAAGAGTGTTGTTACATTACTTCTAAGCCAGGATGATACAATTTCTCAAGAATCACACTGAGAATTTGTTCCTGCACTCTCTCATTCATCTAGATTATTGATCCACATATATCTTTGTGGGATAGAGAGAAGCTCTGAAATTAGAGGATGTACTTGTCACAATTTTCCATTGCATCAGAAATCAAGTTCGGTTACACAGTAAAGGAATTTCTTGAAAGGGATAAGACATGTTCAGAGAATTGGTGAGAAGGCTGGAGAACAAGGACTGGGCAGGACTCAAAGGTGATAAGGCAAAGCTGAGATCAGCTTCAGTTATGTCTGCTTAGGAGTTGGCCTCTGGGCTAGTGCCTCTGGACACTCTCCACCACAGCACTGGCTTCTAGACTTCACAGCAGCCACCTGAAAACCCTGTGACTCAGCCTGCTCCTCCAACTCAGTTGTTTAAGATCCAGAGTTCCAGGCAGAAGCACCTGATTGGCCACTTTTAGGTCAGATGCCATGCTCTGGTTGCCAGGGCAATGAAGAGAGAAATATCTCTCTCTCCTTCAGTTTTTATAAAAAGAATTTAAGCTGGTTCTTCCCACCTGACTTTAGATTTTCCACAAATAAGAATAATGTTTGGAAGCCAGTCAGCCCAAACAATACCCACTACAGAGGCCACGGGTGGGTGCTAGAGAGGGCAGGATAGCTTCACTCAGCTGTGCAGGACATTGGGATGATGGAGTGGAGACACAGTGAGCTAACATGGGGAAAATGAAATTAATTTTATGTGTATTCGAATATATGCTGATTATCAGAATTCCATGGGGGGGGATGTGAATCAGCTCAAATGATTTAAATATTTTATCTTTCAATATTGGAAACAAACATTCAGTTAAATGAATAGTGCAAACATAATAACATTCTCATGGAATCTTTACATCTTTACATTTGGACATCACAGGAATGTTAAAGTGGGGTGGGAAAGAATTGAAATTGAGGGCCACTCACCAATAGAAAAGGTTAAGTAGTAGATTAAAATGAAAATTTTCAGACATGCAAGATCTCAAAATATGTTCATTTTTATATCCTTTATAGGGAACTGCTAGGGCATGTATGACACTCAAACAAGGAAATAAACCAAGAAAGAGAAAGGCATGAGAATCAAGAATTAAGGTGCCCAGTGTAGGAGAGCACTGTGAAGAACTCTTAGGATGAGGGAAAGAAGACCCCAGGTCACAGCTCTGCAACAGGCCTAGCCAGCTACCAACTCCTAGTGAGGAGAAGGATGGAGGACTGCAGGACTGAGGGCTCCAAAGAGTGGGGGAAATAGATACATATGGATAAATGTATGCAGATATTTGAGGGATAGACTGGTGATAGATACATAAAATACAAAGCAAGTAGAAAATGAGTTAATTATTAACTCCAGGGGAGATATAAAATTATAAAAGAAAGAAAATATAATCATAATCTACTAGATAGCTCAGCTGTAAACAATACACAGGGATAATAATACCAACATTGAATATTAATCTAATAAGAAAATATGATAAAAACCAGATGTCTTGGATTTGCTTTGAATTGGCATGAGATGGTGTGGAAAGTGGGTGGGGTGTGGATGGGGCAGGATTATCCACAGGTTAATGGCTATTGGGGCTGTGTGATAAGTACATGAGGGTTCATTATATAATATCCTTCTACGAGTATGCTCAAAATTCCTCATAATAAAATGGGGAATTTTAAAATTTTCAGTTTTGTTTTACTCGATTTCTGCATCATGGCTGGGGTCTCTGCATTTTAAAATTTAAGTTTTTAAATTTTAAAATGACAATATAACCATATTGGAAGACATGGGAAGAAAAGGAGCAGGGGTATGAGTGTGATAGAGTTAATCTTCATTTTCCACAGTAGGAAATCCACAGATAGTGTCTGAAACTAAAAATTCAGGTAGTAGCTCAGTACACATGTGAGTTAGAAATATGGATATAAAAACCAGATGGTTTTTATAAAATAAAACCAGAGAGATAAAAGAGATAAAATCAGGCACTCTGGGGAGAAGGAACCAAAAATGAGGAGAGTGAGCCTGCTGTTTTCCATTGTCGACCCCATAGAACAACTTGGCTTTTAAAGCTATGTGTCTGCACGTCTTTCAAAATAAAAATTAAGTCATTAACATTCAAATAAAATAACTTCTTAAATGAAAGAAAGAGAAATGTGTAGTGGCTGGGAGCAATGATTCATGCTTGTAACCCCAGCACTTTGGGAAGCCGAGGCAGGTGGATCACTCGAGCCCAGGAGTTAAAGCCAGCTCAGGCAACATGGCAAAACCCATATTTTTTCTATAAAAACTACAAAAATTAGTAGGGCATGGTGGCGCATACCTGTAGTCCCAGATACTCAGGAGGCTGAGGTGGGAGGCTCACTTGAGCCTGCGAGGGCGAGGCTGCAGTGAGCCATACTCACGCCATTGCACTCAGACCTGGGAAAGAGAGTGAGACCGTGTCTCAGGAAAAAAAAAAAAAAAAAAGAAGAAGAAGAAGAAATAAATAAAGCAAAGAAACTAGTCTGAAAAAGATACACCTTGCTGTGTACCACCTCTCTAGGCTGAATAGCCAGAGCACCTGGAGGGAGCAGGGGGCAAGATTGAAATCAGACATGAGCTAGACTCAGCCCACAAGCAGTTTCCCAACTGCTACCTAAAGCGTACATTAAAGTTAACAACAAGATGATTAGGTAATCACAAATATGCTTCTGGAATGCCAATTACACAAAATCACAAACTGTCTAGCTACTCATAAGCTGAATTTCTAGCTTTGAGATGAGCACTGCTAAATACTCCTGAGGGCCCTCTCAATGATTTTCTGCTGCCTAGAAGAAGGAAGCTGACACTGAAGCTGCCATTCTTGCAACACATCTTTGGGCTCTAGTCTGTCCTTTTCCTTGTGGCCTCTGCAGATATTTTAGCTTGAGGTGTTATCAAATATGTTTAATAGTTGATACAGCATATGCCTTGATCAATTAGAAGGGACCCCAGTCTGATGCAGAAATAGAGTCTCTAGGCTACCTGCCAGACCAGGCATTAATCCTTTAGTTGCCAGACTGTAGGGAGATCCTGAGGGTCCCATGGGCTATGGCAGTGTTAGGGGGCATTCATGAGGCTTGGGACATTAGCTCCTTACCAACTCTTACCAACATATTTCAATATTTTTAGCAAACCTTATCTATAGTAGTACAAATCAGCTGAATACTAGTCCTATTTCAGGATTTCCATCATTTAGCAGCTGGGCTGAGATGGGAATGATTATATTTTGCGCAGGTCTGAAGTTTGGATCTGCTTAAGGGCACCATCAAGGATTTTAGCACTGTTACTAGGACGTAGCCTTGGGAGAAAGGGATAATGAACTCTGTTTATCAACCTATCATTGATGTTTATTAGGTAGCTGAGTGGCACAATATCTTTTTAGTTTTTACTAGTTTGACATTTTCCTCCATCCTGCTATCTCCTTAATGCTTACTTTTCATCTAATGTCCATTATCCAGCTGTCTTAGTTTGTTCACTGCTGTATCCCCATTGCTTAGAATGGTGCCAGGCACATAGAGGCACTCAATAGTGCCAGGCATGTAGACGCCATCAATAAATGAATTGATGGCTTCTAGAAAAGAGGAAAGGCACCATGCACAGAGAAAAGATATGAAAGAAGATCTGAAAGAGATCACTGGAACTCTGATTATATTCTGAGAGAGGGTAATTCATGTATGGAAACGGTGCTAGAGGACAGCACCAAAGGGTCCCATTCATTTCTCAAATGGCAAGACTGTGCAAGTCAAAGAGAATCTTAGACAGCCAAGTATGTTAAGAAAAGGGCAGTGGGTGTTTAATGCTTTTACATTCTTCTCAGTTCTATCTGCCAACAGGCCAGTTCACTTTAACAGGAAAAGGAAATTGCTTTGCTCTTAGGTAAGCATGACCGCCTTATCCTTACCCCTAACTGCTTCCTCAAAACCTGTCCAATTTGAATGAGAACCCTCCCTTACAACCTAACCATGCATTTCTCTTACTCTGCCCTCTTCAAATGCACCTGTCCTTGGATTTAAAACTTGTTGAGTCATGTATTGGTTTAATGCTTTTATTCTGCTCTATGTCCACATCCAAATATCTTGGATTCTAAATTCCAGGAAAAGCAGGGATGTAACTGTCACATTAAATACACATGCAGTGAGACCAGTCCTTTGGTTTGCATGGGAGCTGGGTGGGCCCTGTGACTGCCGGCTTTCCCCCACTTCCCTGACAACCTGCCTGACTCCACAGAGGCATTCATAATCCTCCTAGGTACACAACTCCAGTGAACTGGGAATCTCACCCCCCTCCCCAACAGCAGCCACATAAAGACCCACCCAAGGAGAGTCTGAGCTCAGACACACCTAGTCCCACCCCCTCCTGATGGTCCTCCCCTATCCACCCTGGTAGCAGAAGACAAAGGGCATTTAATCTTGGGAGTTCTAGGGCCCAGCCCACCGCTGGTCCCTCTCCATGCTATTACAGCTGATGCTTTCTGGAAAGCATAATAATAGACCATTACAAAAGCTAACAACCCTCATGGAGTCCATTGCCTTCTCCGCCACCTCCAATGGAACAGGCACTGGGATCCAGCTGAGAGACCCATAGACAGTTCATATCACAGGACTCTGCAGACAACCCCCTGTACCAGCCTGGAGCCAGGTAGACTCACTGGGTGGCTAGATCCAGAAGAGAGACAACAATCACTGAAGCTCAGCTCACAGGAAGCCACATCCACAGGAAAAGGGGGAGAGTACTACATCAAGGGAACACCCTGTGGGACAAAAAAAAAAAATCTGAACAACAGCCTTCAGCCCTAGACTTCCCTCTGACAGAGGCTACCCAAATGAGAAGGAACCAGAAAACCAACCCTGGCAATATGACAAAACAGGGCTCTTCGACACCCCCCAAAAATCACACTAGTTTACCAGCAGTGGATCCAAACCCAGAGTGTGGGTCCCTGATTTACCTGAAAAAGAATTCAGGAGGTTAGTTATTAAGCTAATTAGGTAGGGACCAGAGAAAGGTGAAGCCCAATGCAAGGAAACCCAAAAAAATGATACAAGAAGTGAATGGAGAAATATTCAAGGAAATAGATAGCTTAAGGAAAAAACACTTAAAAATTCAAGAAACTTTGGACACACTTTTAGAAATGTGAAATGCTCTGGAAAGTCTCAGCAATAGAACTGAACAAGTAGGAGAAAGAAATTCAGAGCTCAAAGACAAGGTCTTCAAATTAACCCAATCCAACAAAGACAAAGAAAGAAGAATAAGAAAATATGAAAAATCCTCCAAGAAGTCTGGGATTATGTTAAATGACCAAACCTAAAAATAATTGCTGTTCCTGAGGAAGACAATTCTAAAAGCTTGGAAAACATATTTGGGGGAAAAATCAAAGAAAACTTTCCTGGCCTTGCTAGAGACCTAGACATGCAAACAGAAGAAGCACAAAGAATACCTGGGAAATTCATTGCAAAAAGATCTTCACCTGGGCACATTGTCATCAGGTTATCCAAAGTTAATACAAGGGAAAGAATCTTAAGAGCAGTGAGACAGAAGCACCAGGTAACCTATAAAGGAAAACCTATCAGATTAACAGCAGATTTCTGAGCAGAAACCCTATAAGCTAGAAGGGATTAGGGCCCTATCTTCAGCCTCCTCAAACAAAACAATTATCAGTCACCATAGGACCTCTGCAGAGGCTAGAACTGGCACACGATTTTTGCCATTTTCCAGGGCACAAAAAATGCCCAAGTAGGAGATTCACTGCTTCATTATTTGACCAATATTTTTAAAATATAGACCCGAATGATAAGAAGCCATTTATTCCAGGATTGGAGAGCAGAGGTTTTAGGCTGAAAAAACAGGAACAAATTTGGAGGGTGTGATGGTCAGTTTGACATGTCAGCTTGGCTAGACTGTATTACTCAGTTATTTAATCAAACAGATAAATCAAAAATTTAATATAGGTGTTGCTGTATTTTGATTTTTTTAAACAGATGTATGTGATTAACATCTACAATCAGTTGACTTTCATTAAAGAGATTACTTTCTATAATGTGAGTGAGCCTCATTCAGTCAGTTTAAAGTCCTTAAGAGCAAAAACGGGCGGAGGAGGAGCCAAGATGGCCGAATAGGAACAGCTCGGGTCTACAGCTCCCAGCGTGAGCGACGCAGAAGACGGGTGATTTCTGCATTTCCATCTGAGGTACCAGGTTCATCTCACTAGGGAGTGCCAGACAGTGGGCGCAGGTCAGTGGGTGCACGCACCGTGCGCAAGTGGAAGCAGGGTGAGGCATTGCCTCACTCCGGAAGCACAAGGGATCAGGGAGTTCCCTTTCCTAGTCAAAGAAAGGGGTGACGAACGGCACCTGGAAAATCGGGTCACTCCCACCCGAATACTGCGCTGTTCCGACCAACTTAAAAAACGGCGCACCATGAGATTATATCCCACACCTGGCTCAGAGGGTCCTAACGCCCACGGAGTCTCGCTGATTGCTAGCACAGCAGTCTGAGATCAAACTGCAAGGTGGCAGCGAGGCTGGGGGAGGGGCGCCCGCCATTGCCCAGGCTTGCTTAGGTAAACAAAGCAGTCTGGAAGCTGGAACTGGGTGGAGCCCACCACAGCTCAAGGAGGCCTGCCTGCCTCTGCAGGCTCCACCTCTGGGGGCAGGGCACAGACAAAAAGACAGCAGTAACCTCTGCAGACTTAAATGTCCCTGTCTGACAGCTTTGAAGAGAGCACTGGTTCTCCCAGTACGCAGCTGGAGATCTGAGAACGGGCAGACTGCCTCCTCAAGTGGGTCCCTGACCCCTGACCCCCAAGCAGCCTAACTGGGAGGCACCCCCCAGCAGGGGCACACTGACACCTCACACGGCAGGGTACTCCAACAGACCTGCAGCTGAGGGTCCTGTCCGTTAGAAGGAAAACTAACAAACAGAAAGGACATCCACACCAAAAACCCATCTGTACATCACCATCATCAAAGACCAAAAGTAGATAAAACCACAAAGATGGGGAAAAAACAGAACAGAAAAACTGGAAACTCTAAAAAGCAGAGCACCTCTCCTCCTCCAAAGGAACGCAGTTCCTCACCAGCAACGGAACAAAGCTGGACGGAGAACGACTTTGACGAGCTGAGAGAAGAAGGCTTCAGACGATCAAATTACTCTGAGCTACGGGAGGACATTCATACCAAAGGCAAAGAAGTTGAAAACTTTGAAAAAAATTTAGACAAATGTATAACTAGAATAACCAATACAGAGAAGTGCTTAAAGGAGCTGATGGAGCTGAAAACCAAGGCTTGAGAACTACGTGAAGAATGCAGAAGCCTCAGGAGCCGATGCGATCAACTGGAAGAAAGGGTATCAGCAATGGAAGATGAAATGAATGAAATGAAGCCAGAAGGGAAGTTTAGAGAAAAAAGAATAAAAAGAAATGAGCAAAGCCTCCAAGAAATATGGGACTATGTGAAAAGACCAAATCTACGTCTGATTGGTGTACCTGAAAGTGACGGGGAGAATGGAACCAAGTTGGAAAACACTCTGCAGGATATTATCCAAGAGAACTTCCCCAATCTAGCAAGGCAGGCCAACATTCAGATTCAGGAAATACAGAGAACGCCACAAAGATACTCCTCGAGAAGAGCAACTCCAAGACACATAATAGTCAGATTCACCAAAGTTGAAATGAAGGAAAAAATGTTAAGGGCAGCCAGAGAGAAAGGTCGGGTTACCCTCAAAGGGAAGCCCATCAGACTAACAGCGGATCTCTCGGCAGAAACCCTACAAGCCAGAAGAGAGTGGGGGCCAATATTCAACATTCTTAAAGAAAAGAATTTTCAACCCAGAATTTCATATCCAGCCAAACTAAGCTTCATAAGTGAAGGAGAAATAAAATACTTTACAGACAAGCAAATGCTAAGAGATTTTGTCACCACCAGGCCTGCCCCACAAGAGCTCCTGAAGGAAGCGCTAAACATGGAAAGGAACAACCGGTACTAGCCGCTGCAAAATCATGCCAAAATGTAAAGACCATCGAGACTAGGAAGAAACTGCATCAACTAACGAGCAAAATAACCAGCTAACATCATAATGACAGGATCAAATTCACACAAACAATATTAACTTTAAATGTAAATGGACTAAATGCTCCAATTAAAAGACACAGACTGGCAAGTTGGATAAAGAGTCAAGACCCATCAGTGTGCTGTATTCAGGAAACCCATCTCACGTGCAGAGACACACATAGGTTCAAAATAAAAGGATGGAGGAAGGTCTACCAAGCAAATGGAAAACAAAAAAAGGCAGGGGTTGGAATCCTAGTCTCTGATAAAACAGACTTTAAACCAACAAAGATCAAAAGAGACAAAGAAGGCCATTACATAATGGTAAAGGGATCAATTCAACAAGAAGAGCTAACTATCCTAAATACATATGCACCCAGTACAGGAACACCCAGATTCATAAAGCAAGTCCTAAGTGACTTACAAAGAGACTTAGACTCCCACACATTAATAATGGGAGACTTTAACACCCCACTGTCAACATTAGACAGATCAACGAGACAGAAAGTCAAGAAGGATACCCAGGAATTGAACTCAGCTCTGCACCAAGTGGACCTAATAGACATCTACAGAACTCTCCACCCCAAATCAACAGAATATACATTTTTTTCAGCACCACACCACACCTATTCCAAAATTGACCACATAGTTGGAAGTAAAGCACTCCTCAGCAAATGTAAAAGAAGAGAAATTGTAACAAACTATCTCTCAGACCACAGTGCAATCAAACTAGAACTCAGGATTAAGAATCTCACTCAAAACCACTCAATTACATGGAAACTGAACAACCTGCTCCTGAATGACTACTGGGTACATAACGAAATGAAGGCAGAAATAAAGATGTTCTTTGAAACCAACGAGAACAAAGACACAACATACCAGAATCTCTGGGACACATTCAAAGCAGTGTGTAGAGGGAAATTTATGGCACTAAATGCCCACAAGAGAAAGCAGGAAAGATCCAAAATTGACACCCTAACATCACAATTAAAAGAACTAGAAAAGCAAGAGCAAACACATTCAAAAGCTAGCAGAAGGCAAGAAATAACTAAAATCAGAGCAGAACTGAAGGAAATAGAGACACAAAAAACCCTTCAAAAAATTAATGAATCCAGGAGCTGGTTTTTTGAAAGGATCAACAAAATTGATAGACCACTAGCAAGACTAATAAAGAAAAAAAGAGAGAAGAATCAAATAGATGCAATAAAAAATGATAAAGGGGATATCACCACCGATCCCACAGAAATACAAACTACCATCAGAGAATACTACAAACACCTCTACGCAAATAAACTAGAAAATCTAGAAGAAATGGATAAATTTCTCGACACATACACTCTCCCAAGACTAAACCAGGAAGAAGTTGAATCTCTGAATAGACCAATAACAGGATCTGAAATTGTGGCAATAATCAGTAGCTTACCAACCAAAAAGAGTCCAGGACCAGATGGATTCACAGCCGAATTCTACCAGAGGTACAAGGAGGAACTGGTACCATTCCTTCTGAAACTATTCCAATCAATAGAAAAAGAGGGAATCCTCCCTAACTCATTTTATGAGGCCAGCATCATTCTGATACCAAAGCCTGGCAGAGACACAACCAAAAAAGAGAATTTTAGACCAATATCCTTGATGAATATTGATGCAAAAATCCTCAATAAAATACTGGCAAAACGAATCCAGCAACACATCGAAAAGCTTATCCACCATGATCAAGTGGGCTTCATCCCTGGGATGCAAGGCTGGTTCAATATACACAAATCAATAAATGTAATCCAGCATATAAACAGAGCCAAAGACAAAAACCACGTGATTATCTCAATAGATGCAGAAAAGGCCGTTGACAAAATTCAACAACCCTTCATGCTAAAAACTCTCAATAAATTAGGTATTGATGGGACATATCTCAAAATAATAAGAGCTATCTATGACAAACCCACAGCCAATATCATACTGAATGGGCAAAAACTGGAAGCATTCCCTTTGAAAACTGGCACAAGACAGGGATGCCCTCTCTCACCACTCCTATTCAACATAGTGTTGGAAGTTCTGGCCAGGGCAATTAGGCAGGAGAAGGAAATAAAGGGTATTCAATTAGGAAAAGAGGAAGTCAAATTGTCCCTGTTTGCAGACGACATGATTGTGTATCTAGAAAACCCCATTGACTCAGCCCAAAATCTCCTTAAGCTGATAAGCAACTTCAGCAAAGTCTCAGGATACAAAATCAATGTACAAAAATCACAAGCATTCTTATACACCAACAACAGACAAAGAGAGCCAAATCATGAGTGAACTCCCATTCACAATTGCTTCAAAGAGAATAAAATACTTAGGAATCCAACTTACAAGGGATGTGAAGGACCTCTTCAAGGAGAACTACAAACCGCTGCTCAAGGAAATAAAAGAGGATACAAACAAATGGAAGAACATTCCATGCTCATGGGTAGGAAGAATCAATATCGTAAAAATGGCCATACTGCCCAAGGTAATTTATAGATTCAATGCCATCCCCATCAAGCTACCAATGCCTTTCTTCACAGAATTGGAAAAAACTACTTTAAAGTTCCTATGGAAGCAAAAAAGAGCCCGCATCGCCAAGTCAATCCTAAGCCAAAAGAACAAAGCTGGAGGTATCACCCTACCTGACTTCAAACTATACTACAAGGCTACAGTAACCAAAACAGCATGGTACTGGTACCAAAACAGAGAGATAGATCAATGGAACAGAACAGAGCCCTCAGAAATAATGCCGCATATCTACAACTATCTGATCTTTGACAAACCTGAGAAAAACAAGCAATGGGGAAAGGATTCCCTATTTAATAAATGGTGCTGGGAAAACTGGCTAGCCATATGTAGAAAGCTGAAACTGGATCCCTTCCTTACATCTTATACAAAAATCAATTCAAGATGGATTAAAGACTTAAACGTTAGACCTAAAACCATAAAAACTCTAGAAGAAAACCTAGGCAATACCATTCAGGACATAGGCATGGGCAAGGACTTCACATCTAAAACACCAAAAGCAATGGCAACAAAAGCCAAAATTGACAAATGGGATCTAATTAAACTAAAGAGCTTCTGTACAGCAAAAGAAACTACCATCAGAGTGAATAGGCAACCTACAAAATGGGAGAAAATTTTTAAACCTACTCATCTGACAAAGGGCTAATATCCAGAATCTACAATGAACTCAAACAAATTTACAAGAAAAACACAAACAACCCCATCAAAAAGTGGGCAAAGGACATGAACAGACACTTCTCAAAAGAAGACATTTATGCAGCCAAAAAACACATGAAAAAATGCTCACCATCACTGGCCATCAGAGAAATGCAAATCAAAACCACAATGAGATACCATCTCACACCAGTTAGAATGGCAATCATTAAAAAGTCAGGAAACAACAGGTGCTGGAGAGGATGTGGAGAAATAGGAACACTTTGACACTGTTGGTGGGACTGTAAACTAGTTCAACCATTGTGGAAGTCAGTGTGGCGATTCCTCAGGGATCTAGAACTAGAAATACCATTTGACCTAGCCATCCCATTACTGGCTATATACCCAAAGGACTATAAATCATGCTGCTATAAAGACACATGCACACGTATGTTTATTGCATCACTATTCACAATAGCAAAGACTTGGAACCAACCCAAATGTCCAACAATGATAGACTGGATTAAGAAAATGTGGCACATATACACCATGGAATAATATGCAGCCATAAAAAATGATGAGTTCATGTGCTTTGTAGGGACATGGATGAAATTGGAAATCATCATTCTCAGTAAACTATCGCAAGAACAAAAAACCAAACACCGCATATTCTCACTCATAGGTGGGAATTAAACAATGAGATCACATGGACACAGGAAGGGGAATATCACACTCTGGGGACTGTTGTGGGGTGGGGAGAGGGGGGAGGGATAGCATTGGGAGATATACCTAATGCTAGATGACGAGTTGGTGGGTGCAGCGCACCAGCATGGCACATGTATACATATGTAACTAACCTGCACAATGTGCACATGTACCCTAAAACTTGAAGTATAATAATAAAAGAAAAAAAAAAGAGCAAAAACGGGTTTCCCAGAGAAGATATGCTGCCTCATGACCGCAGCATTAACAACTATTGCTTGTTTCCACCTTGCCAGTCTGCCCTACGGCTTTTGAACTTGTCAGCTCCACAATTGCATAAACTAATTCCTTAAAATAAATCTCTCTCTCTCCCCTCTTTCTCTCTTTCTGTTGATCAATCAACAGAGAGAGATATACAGAAAGATATCTATATAGAAAAATACCTGGATATCTAGATATATATCTAGAAATAGATATACAGAAATATAAAGATTCTTATATTTATTTATTACGATTTGCTAATATAAATACATAAATTTTATATTCATTTAAATATAAAGGACTTTATATAAATTTAAAATGTATACAAATTTATATTTATATAGAGATCTGTCTAGACAAAGAGAGAGTGAGAAAGATCTCTTTCAGCACTATTTTGATATCTCATTTCCTTTTTTCTCTCTGTTTTTTTTTAAGACAGGGTCTTGCTCTATCACCCAGGCTGGGGTGTAGTGGTACATTCATAGCCCACTATAACCTCAAACTGCTGGGCTCAAGCGATCTTCCACCTTAGCCCCTCTAATAGCTGAAACTACAGGCATGAACCACTGCACCCAGCTCAGCATCTCATTTCAAGTCTCATTGCAGCATTTGCTTCTGAAGTTCCAGCCTGCAATAGTTGCTACAAAATATATACCATATGAATTCTGTTTCTCTGGGGAACCGTAACTGATGTGGAGTGCTTGAGGAACAGAAAGAAGGCCAGAATTACTGGAGAACAATGGAAGCAGAGTGAGGAAGGATAGACTGGTGGGAGGGTGATGTGCAATGAGGGCAAAGAGGTAGGGAATGGCCAGGCTATCTTAGGCCTTGTAATTCCACAAAACAAGAATCCACAGATCAGATAACAAGTAACAGGTTAAATGAAGAAAAATATCAAACTTTTACAGATCTGAAAATTGGATTAGGTTTCTTACCTATCAGATTAACAAATATTCCAAAGATTGACAACCCACTTTGTTGGTGAGGCTATATGAAAACAAGCACTCTCAAAAATCTCTGGTGGGAGGATAAAAACGCATAATCCTTATGGAGGGGAATTTGGCAATATCTAACAAAACCCCACATGCATTTATCAGTTGACCAAGCATTCCCAATTCAAGGAATTTACGTTGAAGATGTGGAAGTAGGAAAACCACAAAAGGTTATTCTTTGCAGCATTGTTTGTACTAGCACAATATTGGAAATGACCTAAATGTCCATCCATAGGCAATTGGTTAGTGAAATGTAGTATATGCATACTGTAGAGTTCCATGCAGCTGTTGAAAAAAAAAAAAATTCTTATGTACTAATATGGAGTGCCGCCTAGGATATTTGTTAAGTAAAAAGCAAGGGGCAAATGAATATAAAGAGAATGCTAACTTCAACATAAGAAGGAAAGAGAAATGAGAGAGAGAGAGAGAGAGGAGAGAGAGAGAGTGTGTGTGTTTATTTTTGCAAAAACAAAAATTCAGACCAAAAAAAAAAAAAAAAAGCAGGAACTAAGAAAATGGTTTCCTACGGAGTGGAAGGGAAGGGGATAGAAATGAGACTTCCTTGAGGATAACTTTTTACATGATTTTGACTTTAGACTACATAAATATTTCAAGTAATCTAAAAAAAAAACAATGTGGTAGATACAGAAATGTACTCCTGGATTCTCTTCAAGGAAGCACCAGCTGCCCAGATGTGGGGAGTGCAGACAGCAGACAATCTCCAGCTGTCAGTAATTTCAGGGTGCCCTGGGCTGCAGAACTGTCTCATGAAAAGTCACACCCTTCCTGGAGACAACCACATCCTATGACTAAGAGAAGCAGAGGCATAAGGCCCAATGCAGGACAACTCTGTTGGACAGTATTCCAGAGCTCTCCACCAGGTTGGCCAAGGCTTTGTATTGCCTGCATCGCAGTTGTCATCTCTCTTTTCCTAAATCCTATATCCTCTGTCTTCTTTTCACAAGTGTTGATCTTTAATCTTGCACCCCAAGCTCTGTTGCAGCATCTGCTTCTGAATAATCTAGTCTGCAACATTTGCAGCCAAGAACAGGATTTCCAATCACTGGCTAGCAATAAGGACCTCTTCACTGATGGTTAGGGAGAAGATACACAGCCCTTGACACAGATGGTGGTCCAATTGTTCAATGGTTATGATTTGTTGGAAAGGTTCACCAGCAAAAGGAAATGCACTAGAGAGTGCTTTGTATCGCCTGTCTGAGAAGTATGGAGGAAGTAGTAGCTCTAAGGATAACAATATTGGGTAGCTATCTCCAAGTGCCATTGATGTCTTAAAGAAAGATAGTGAATAGCTGAGGGCCCCTAACAGACAATTTAAAAGGTCTCTGATAGCCAGAAGTGCTCTTTGTTTACATACAAATTAGCTTATCTCCTATAGCCAGGAGGGCAGAGAAAGTTGAGGATAAAGTTAAAGACTTAATAGTCTAAGCAGTGAATTTTAAAGAAAGTTAATGTTCAATAATGACAGGCCTGTTATACCAAGGTTAGAGTGCTGATGGGGAAAATCCAGGCAACTGACTCTGGGATGGAAACATCTGTACCTATATATTAAGAGTGTAAAAGTAATTGTGGTTTACTTTTGCATCAACCTAATATATATATAGAGAGATAGATACATAGAGAGGAAGGTCTCTGCAACACCATGGCAAGTAAACATGGTGATTTCTCCAGTCTTTCCCTAAAGAGACATATGGTCATGTATTTGGGTAACTATACACTAGGGAAAGGAAATATCCAGACATTTAAAGGACTAGTGAACCCGGTGTCTAGGCTGACATTGATATCTAGAGCGCTGAAGTATCATTATTGTTCCCTGTTAGAGTGGAAATATGTTAAGGCCAAGTAATAGAGTCCTGGTGAACATCATGCTTACACTGCGATCTTTGAGTCTGTATTCACACCCATTTGCCATTTCTGCAGTCTTAGAATTAGAATTGATATATTTGGTAATTAGCATAACCCTCACATTGGCTTCTTAGCCTGTGGAGTAAGAGTGGAGAAGGCCAAAGGGAAGCCTCGACAACTACCACCCCTTGCCAAGATAATAGATACAAAACACAGTATTGTTTCCCAAGAGCAGCAGAAATTAGTGTTGCCCTTAAGAATCTGAAGGATACAGCAGTGGTGGTTCCATCTATTTAATTCACTAGTCTGACCCCTGCAGAAACTGGATAAATCCTGGAGAACAACTAAACTACCATAAGCTTAACCAGCTAGTACCCCTGCTCACAGCCACCATGCCAGACACAGTATCTTTCCTAGAGAAGATTAATATGATGTCATATTGTATGGTATGTAACCACTGATTTAGCGGATATATATATTTTTTTCTTGAGTCTCAATCAGGATTACCTGGAACAGTTTTGCCCCAATATCTCTGTTGGCTTTCCCATTCTCTGTCATTAAATACTGCCAAAGAGATCTAGACCATCTGGACATTCTATAGAACATCACTTAATCCACTATATTAATAGCATTATGTTGACACGCTACGTAAGCAAGAATTGGCCAGCATGCTGGAGGTGTTAGTAAAACACGTGTGTTTGGAAGGGTGGAAGATAAACCCTACAGAGTTTCAGGGGCCTACCACATCTATAAAACATTTAAAGTTTCAGTGATCAGAGCTGTGTTGGGACATTTCCTTAAAAGATAAGTTATTGAATCTGGTACCTTCTTCCACAAAACAGGAAGTATATGATCTAGTAGGCTTTGGGTCCTAGAGGCAACACATTCCATATCTAGTGGTGTTTCTCTGACTCATATACTGAGTGATGAATGGTTGCCAGCTTTGAATACACCCCAGAGTAAGAAAGGGCTCTGCAACAGGTCCAAGTTGCTAGGTAAGCAGCTCTGCCACTGGGGTCACATGAACCGCAGACCCAGTGGGGTGGGGTTATTAGTGGTGAGAAAGGATGCTGTGTGGAGTTTGTAGAAACCTTATGGAAGAAAATCACAAAGCATGACCCCCGAGGTTCCAGAGCAAGGCCATGCCATCTGCAGCAGAAAATTATGTACCTGGCGTGTCACTTGGGCCCTATAAAGATGGAAAGCTTGACCATGGGAAACCAAGTGATCACACATCTGGAATTGCCTCTCATGAGCAGTGAACAGGCAAATGCACAAATTCATAAGATGGGGCATGCCAGCAGCAATCCCTCACAAGATGGAAATGGAACCTCAGGATTGGGCATGATCAGAACCAGAGCTGCATGCTAACCCAGACTCCCATGGCACCCACCATGGTTGCACCAGTGCCCCTCTCTCAGATGAAGGAGGTAGAAAAAGGCTGATCTTGGTTTCTGGATGGGTCAGTTCCATGTGTGGAAGCTGAGATAAAGGGCAGCTGACTATAGTATCATTTAGAGGTGGCTTCAGCAGGGAGGAAGGAAAATTAGCTTAATGGGCAGAGGCCTCAGTGACAAGGAGGTCTGGGATAGAGGCATGTGGATGGACATATGGAAGTACACAAAATGTGTGAAGATTTTTGTATCACAACTTCGTGTCCACCAGAGAGCATCCGCTATGGAAGATAACCAAGTAGACAAAATTACTTGGCCAGTAGATGTCCGCCAGCCTTTTTCATTGTCTACTTAAGTACTGGTACAATAGGCACAAGTATCAGTATGAAGTCATGATACGAAAATATGCTTATTTCCTATCTCTAGTTCCTGAAGTGACCTAAAAGCAATTATACTCTAGTAGCAAAGAGCACATCTAGTTACCAAATCTTGATTTTTAAAATACTAATCTCCATAAAAGGAAGAAGGCTCTTTGGACAAATGGTTGATTCTAGGTCTGGAACAGAGAAAGTACAAGGTGCAGCTGGAACATATTTTTATACCAAAGAAACAAGAAAGTGCTCAAAAGGTCACAAGAGCCAGCTTGAAGGAGTTCCCACCAACCAAACTTGGGACTATTTAAGCAACAAAATAAGTAATGTTAATAAATCATATCACATTCATTAAAAAGATAAGTATAAGTCCATAGCGTTCTTTTGTTAAAAATAGGGGTGAGGGGAGAAAGGGAAAATGTTTATCTACAAAAGAATCCAGCTAATGGATGCAGTAGACATGATATACAGGAACATTACCATTTTGTAACCACCAGTTGATATAGGTAAGAATCATTAATAGATGCTAAAACCAATGAGTAAAAAGTTATTGGGGAGGCCGGGCGCGGTGGCTCACGCCTGTAATCCCAGCACTTTGGGAGGCGGAGACGGGCGGATCACGAGGTCAGGAGATCGAGACCATCCTGGCTAACACCGTTACACCCCGTCTCTACTAAAAATACAAAAAATTAGCCGGGCATGGTGGCGGGCGCCTGTAGTCCCAGCTACTCGGGAGGCTGAGGCAGGAGAATGGCGTGAACCCGGGAGGCGGAGCTTGCCGTGAGCCGAGACCGCGCCACTGCACTCCAGCCTGGGGGACAGAGCGAGACTCCTTGTCAAAAAAAAAAAAAAAGTTATTGGGGAACATGCAACAGGATATTTGCACAGTTTCTAAATGTCATTCCACAAATTAATTATACATTACAAAGCAGAAAAAAGATGTGCTTTTACAATGGAGAGATCTGGTGGACAACATCATAGCTATGTGATCAAATTTTGCCTCATCAGCAATGGAGTAGACGATATTAGTTGTCTTTCATTGTGATGCACTGAGAAGGAGACAACCTTGCCTGGCCTACCCTCTTGCCAGAATGTTTAATTTGAATCTACCAGGAGAAAACAATAAGATAAATCCAGATTATGGGACAGCTTACAATAAAATAAGCTTTCCAAAATTTCAAATGAAGGCAAAATAAAAAGTAAGGGAATTATAGATTAAAGAAGACTAAAGAGTTATGATAGCCAAATGTAATACATGATCTTTGATTGCATACTGGGTCAAAAACAAAAGCAAAAACAAAGCAAAATAAATTCTAGAAAGTACATTCGTGGACAATTGAAGAAAATTGAGTATTGGATAGTGTATTTGATAAAACTATTGTTAGCATTAAATTTGGGGGGTATAATAATGATATTGTGGTCATGGAGCAGAATTTACTTATCTTTAGGAGATCCTGAAGTATGAAGGAGATACTTACTGAAGCGATGAAGTGTCCTGAGAGATAAAGGGAATGTGGCAAAATGATAACAATGGGTAAATGACACTGAAGGAGAAATGAGTATTCAATGTTTACTATTTGTTCAGTTTTTCTGTGAGCTTTATTTGAAGTTTTTCAGAATGAAGTGTTGAGGGCACATGGATTTTCAAAATAATGTGCTGTATTCAGACTCATTGCAATATTAGGTTGGTACAAAAGTAATTGCAGTTTTTGCCACATTACTTCTAATGGCAAGAACTGCAATTACTTTTATACTGACCTAATATGATTTTGGGCTCTTAATACACAAAATAAAGCATTTTAAATGGGGAACAGCAGAACACAGTATAGACAAGGCTGGAAAAAAAATGACATGGAGGAAAAGCTTACAACAATCCCAGTAAATGCAGGGGAGAAAAACAAAGAAATAGCAAGAAACTGCATTTGTGGTTCCGTATTTCCGCAGCTGGAAGGAAAGTGGTGTGCAGAAAGTTTTATTTTATTTTATTTTATTTTACTTATTTTTTGAGACAGGGTCTTGCTCTTTTACCCAGGCTGGAGTGCAGTGGTGCAATCACAACTAACTGTAGCCTTGACCTCCCAGGCTCAAGCAATCCTGCCACTTCGGCCTCTCCTGTAGCTGGGACTACAGGTTTGCACCACCACACTGGCTAAATTTTTGTATTTTTTATGGAGACGGGGTTTTGCCATGTTGCCAAGACTGGTCTTGAATTCCTGGGCTCAAGCCATCCTCTAACCTCAGACTCCCAAGTAGGTGGGACCACAGGCATGCACCATGGTGCCGGCAATTTTTTAAAATTTTTCGTAGATATGAGTTCTCACTATGTTTCTCAGACTTGTCTCAAACTCTTGAGCTCAAGCAATCCTCCCACCTGGGCCTTTCGAAGTGTTGGAATTACAGGCGTGAGCCACCGCACCTGGTCTGGAAATGATTTTAATAGGACTCCTCCTAAAACTGAAACCATTTTCCCAGGTACAGTGGGAAGTTTATGGCAAGAGAGTGAGGTTAATGGAAGGTAAAGGAGAGAAAAGGGCAGAATAAGGAGGTTTTAGGTCATTATCTGTGAACATTTTCTGTTCTTCCTACTAGTTTGTGTGACTTCAGGATACACACACTCAAACACATAAACCCTTTGTACATGCCTCAAAAAAGGGGCAGATTCTGAGGTCACCTTGGGACCTCAGTTTGTCTGTTGGCTTTTCTTTCTTTCTTTCTTTCTTTCTTTTCTTTTCTTTTCTTTTTTTTTTTTTTTTTTGTACGTAACTCATAGTTCCAACTGTGTAGCCACCAGAAGATCTCAGATCAACTTTTCTTAAAGTTGTGTAGCAAGGTCCTTCTTTTATGAGCCCTGAAAAGAAACTGAAATATGACATGATTTTGATGTTAGAAATAAATTATTGAAAACCCAGCATTTCCTAACCAGTTATAACTATGAGATTAAGTGCTGAAAACACCTAGAGCTTTCTCCAGACAAGAAAGACAATATGATACATTCACCATCCAATTCACTTTCCCCCTGTTTCTACATTTGTTCATCATCAATATTTCTCTCTCAACAAGTCAAGGTGGCATCAACAACACAAATGTCTGTCTTTGGCTGCTTTGGGAACCGTCATGTACATCACTACTGGCATTCCATCTGAGGAGATTGACTCTTTTTTAGGAAAATGAAAAACTCTTTACAGTCCAGCAACTGTCTCATTAGTTTTCTATGCTTTTTCTTGGGTGAAATATTGTTACATATTTTCACATTGACTCTGGTAATTCCAATTGTATTCCTTTAATGTTGTGCATAATAGTTTTCTCCACCACTGCAGAGAAAAAGAGATTTATTGTCAAGTCTTCAAGATACACGAGGCAAATACCAATAGCTCAGTGTTCCTTGTCCTTGATGAGTTTCATCCCAAGTTTTAGCTGGGCCTTGAGATGGTTTCCCTAACATTTCCATTAGTACATGGGATGACAACTGATTCTGTACTTCCCTTCACTGAAATGAGAGAATAGATTGACAGGTCGTTTATATTTTCATAATTACTTTATTATTTTCATTTTTATTTTTAATTGATACATAATAATTTTACATATATATGGGGTACATGTGACATTTTGAAACATAGATATAATATGTAAAGATCAGCTAAGGGTATTTAGGATATCCATCACCTCAGACATTAATCATTTATTTGTGTTGGGAACATTTCAAATATTTTCTTCTAGTTATTTTGAAATATACAATAAACTATTGTTAACCACAGTTACCCTACTGTGTGTATGTTTGTACTGATTAATCAACTTCTCTTCCTCCCCAACCCCCTCCACCCTCCATACCTCCCTCCACCCTCCCCAGTTTCTAGTAATCATCATTTGACTCTCTACCTCCATGAGATCAATTTTTTCAAGACGGGTTTTTTATGTGCTGTTTGCAGGTTTGTAACATCACATCCTCTTCCTTTTTTTCTCTTTCCATTTTAACATTCTTTGCACTTCCTCACCTTTAACTTCTCCATCACTTCGCTTTCAATGAGAGACAAGAGAGCTTTGTGAGGCACGTTTTTCCAAACCGTTTACTATGATAGGCTTTGCAATCATTCTAGATGCTTGAAATGCTAGTGAAGGTATCAATATAAGACTAATGAAACCCTATGTTGTCTTCAAGGATAAGCCACAATTGGACAGGAATAGATTTTGAAAATAAGGTTTCCCCCAGTTGTTCTCAGGATCCAAAAAAAAAAAAAAAAATCATGATTGTTGTCTCACATTTATGTATATTAATTAATGTTTTAGCAAAACACTTTGTTGCTGTCTAGAGAATGTCTGACTTTTTTAAAATGTATTTTTATTCCATTCAGAAAAAGACATACAGTTTTTTAAAATGTATTATTTTTCTCATTGGAACATAGAGCAAGTCTGTGCCAGCTAAAACTCAGAAGAGAAAGGTTGTAGGATGTTAGAGTTACAAGGAGCCTCAGAGATCATTCAGGGCTCTCCTTATCTGGTTTATGAAACCCATATGCGATATCTCCAACTAGATAAAGAATTGAATTTAAAATTCATCCAACAAAAGCAATACTAGAACGACTTGCTTTTCAGAGGTCTTGAGGAAGATACTTGAAATTCTTTTTGGAAAACTCTAAAACTGAGTCTTTGAAGAATCACCTATAGATAATATTTACAAACACAGTTCTAGGAAGCCAAATTCCTTTTTCAAACAAAATAATTTTCTTGCTTGATTAGTGCAATAGGCCTGCTAGGCCTCATAGAACAACCTTAAAGTGTTTTTATTAGATGAGCAACGCAACTGTTATGCATAAGAATGAAATATTCCTATGTCCATTTGTATATTTGTAGTATTTATTTTCACTCTATTTTTAAGGTGCCTAAGAGGCAGAGTTGGGCTAACCTTACTCCTCAGTTCTTAGCATATTATCAGTATCTGTCCACATCCTTATTTGCATTCTTCTCTGACCTTAGGTCACCATTATAATTAAAAACAATTATAAGGATAAATGTCATTAACTGTATATTTATCCTTGTAAACTATGTAGTACTAGATATAGTGCTGTTTTAGTATGTATAGTATTGTGCTGTAAATCTCATTCTTAGCTCTTTTTATAACTTTTAACACCTATCCATACTGTCCATAAGTATAACATATATATAACTATATACAAATAAATATCTATATCTATGTGTGTGTATATACATGTATATGCCACTTCTGTTATGTGTATATGATATGTATTAGTCCATGGTATGCATCTATCATATTTTATACATCCATTCGTCTAGCCTCCGGCTCTCCAAGATCAGTAACAATGCCACTGGGAATATCTCCAAAAATTGCCCATCAGGGACCTCTTAAAGCATTTCTTTGGGAGACACCCAGGATGGGATCACTGGGTCTGGGGCAAACACACACCTAAATTACTGTGAGCACAGTGAGTTTCCAGAATGAAACTCCCACCAGCAGTGCACTACTTACCAAAACTTGGTATCATTCATCTTTATAATTTTTGCCACTTGACAGCTTCTTATGGTATCTCATTAAAAATGTCAATTTCTCTGGTTATTAATTTGATAATTTTTTAGTGTGTATACTGGACACTGGGCTTCCTTGCCTATGAGTGCTTCTTTACATCATATGCCCATTTTAAAATTATATCCTCACTTCAATTACATCTCCACTTCATTTTAAATTTGTTTAGTTTTGATATTGATTTTGTTGGTTTCAAATCTTGCAAATAATTTTCTTAGTCAGTTACCTGTTTATTAGTGTTAACTATGGTGTCTCATCCTGAACAGAAGTTGTTAATTTTTGTCTTAATTTTGATGTAGCCAATATCCATTTTTCATCTTATTGTTTGCCTTTAGAGTCTTGTTTAGGAAGATTTTCTCCAGTTATATATCACGAATGAATTCTCCTGTATTTTCTTCCATTATCTCTATTGTTTACCTATTTTCTGTCTACTTATTTGGATGGCATAAGGTAGGGACCAAATTATATATTTCTAATGAAGTAGTTATTTCACTATCAAAAACAGGCACTTTCATTTCTCCATTGTTTTAGGGTGTAAATTTTGAATATCAATTTTTAATACACACATACATACAAATGTTCTGTGTTCTGTTTCACTGGCCTACTTATTCATTCCTGTTCCAGTATCATATTGTCTTTTACTAGTAAAGCTTTGATTCTGTCTTAATAACTGGTAAGATATGCCTCTTCTCTTTCCTCTTATTTATTAAAATTGACAGTATAAATCTCTATTCATCAGTATAAAATTTATATGAGTTTGTTGGGTTTCTCGAAATGTCAGCTGAATTTACTGGGGAAATTGTCTTTAATTTATATGTTAAATACGATTTATACTATTTTAAACTGAACCATCAGGAGCATAGTTCTCTCTCCACTTACTCACATCTTCTATATTCTTTAAAGTTTTGCCCATGAAGGTTTACATGTTTTGGTTAATGACTAGTTCTTGTTGGTTTTGATAATGATATCCTATTTTCTATTATATTTAAAGCTGGAAGTGGTTAATGAAAGTATATTATAGTATATAGTGTTATAGTGATTAAAACAAATATCACTGCTTTTGAAAGGAAATTCATTTTGTAGTAAGTTCATGTTTGTAAAATGAAGACTTTTTTGAATTATTATTATACTTTAAGTTCTGGGGTACATGAGCACAACGTGCAGGTTTGTTACATAGGTATACATTTGCCATGTTGGTTTGCTGCACCCATTAACTCATCATTTACATCGGGTATTTCTCCTAATGCTATCCCTCCCCCAGCCCCCCACCCCACGACAGGCCCCAGTGTGTGATGTTCCCCTCCCTGTGTCCAAGTGTTCTCATTGTTCAATTCCCACCTATGAGTGAGAACATGCGGTGTTCGGTTTTCTGTACTTGTGATAGTTTGCTCAGAATGATGGTTTCCAGCTGCATCCATGTCCCTGCAAAGGACATGAACTCATCCTTTTTTATGGCTGCATAGTATTCCATGGTATATATGTGCCACATTTTCTTAATCCAGTCTATCATTGATGGGCATTTGGGTTGGTTCCAAGTCTTTGCTATTGTGAATAGTGCTGCAATAAACATACTTGTGCATGTGTCTTTATAGTAGCATGATTTATAATCCTTTGGGTATATACCCAGTAATGGGATCGCTGGGTCAAATGGTATTTCTAGTTCTAGATCCTTGAGGAATCACCAACCCTGTCTGCACATCCATCTCCTTCCATGAGGAATCTCATACTTAATTGTATTTATTCATTTCCGCCCTGCTCGGGATCACCATTCTAGCTTTATTTTCCCCAATATTCAAAATATAATCTTTAATGAAAGCAAAATAATATGGAGTCTGTGTATAACCTCTATATTTACACACGTTTAAGGTTTTTTCTTTCATTCAAATTCTTTTCAACTCTGACATTTCTTAACTCAAAAGAGAAGTGCTTTCAAGGTGTTTTCAGACCCAGAAGTACCCAGCCTGTTTCCAGTATCTTACCAATGTTTGGTATCAGCTGTGAGGAAGATGACCCATTTATATAAACTGAGATGAATCATGCTATAATTTCTTGCTTTGTAAGAATTACCATTATGATTTAGAAAAAAAAGTGGTTGTGGACTGCTTATGATAGCTGCATGAGTAGGGCAATAATTTAATTACATGTTATTGCAGTGAGAGTTTATGGAAGAGAAAATATGATTATAGAGTTTAAGAGAAGTATACACTAGAGAATTCTATCTTTGTGTGTAGTAACAAAGATATTACCATATTTTGTTTTGATGAAGATGATAACATTTTGAATTGTGACCCTGACATTACTTAGTGTGAGCTATAAATCTGCTGCTGATCTTAGATAAGTTGCATAAGGAAGAAAAAAAAAAGGTTTTAAAGTAAGAAAAAAAAAAACCCTGCTGCTGAGAATTCTATCAATTTCTAATAAATTTTAGTAATAATTCTATTGTAGGACGTCTCGATGTAAGCCTGAGAGTAACAGAAAAAAGCTTATTTCCAGAATAATAAACTTGGGCTTATGTGTAATTTACTGAAATATATTTTTTCCTGTCAGTTTATAAAGAAGGTTGAGCACCTTTGCTGTTACTCAAGATATTTTGATTCTGATAAGCAGAAATGATGGGAAAATTAAGTCAAATTTAGGGAATTTTTAATTTTAGTTTTCATATCTAGTAACTCATCAAAATTAGAATCAATGCTATAGGTTTTTTTTGTCCAGATAAGCTCTCTCCTAAGTTCTCTGTCTTTAAAATGTCTATCTCCCCAGTAACTGACACTCTTCCAGAAATAAATAATACTCACAGTTCCCCTACCTCATTTTGTGGTGTATGAAAAGTTCATCATTCAGTTGTAATTGCATTTTTTAGTTCTCACTATGGAACATAGTTTCATTTTGAATCATTAACCTCCTTTGGCTTCCTTGCCATCATCCTATTGTGGTTTCCTTTCAGGGGTCCTCCTGGTTCGGCCTCCTGAGTAGCTGGGACTATAGGCCTGCACTGCCATGCCCAGCTCCTCTTTCATTTCTGATACAGATAACTTGTATCTTGTCTCTTTTTTTCCTTGGTTAATTTGGCTAGAGGTTTATCAAATTTACTGATCTTTTCAAATAACCAATGTTTTGTATTGTTGATTTTCTCTATTGTTTTCCTGTTTTCAATTTTATTGATCTTTGCTCTAATTTTTAGTATTTCTTCTGCTTTCTTTCAGATTAAATTGCTCTTCTTTGTCTAATGTCCTAAGATGGGGGCTTAGATTATCAATTCTAGATATTTCTTCTTTACTAATATATTTTATTTGAGACCTTGAAGGAGGTTTTATTATTTATTTATGTATAAAGTTAACTAATGTATTACTTCAACACACTATAAATCTCCTTGTAATTATTGCTTTTACTGCATCTTACAAATTCAATAAGTTGTATTTTAATTTTCCTTCAGTTCAGAATATTTTAAAATTTCTCTTGAGGCTTCTTCTTTGGCCCATGTGTTATTTAGAAGTGTGTTGCTTAATTTTCAAATACATGAGGAATTTTCCAACTATCTTATTGATTTCTAGTTTAATTCTATTGTTGTTTGATAGCATTCATTGCATAATTTTTATTCTTTTAAATTTGTTAAGGTATGCTTTATGTCTCAGGATGTGGTCTAGCTTGATGAATATTCCATGTGAGCTTGAGAAGAATGTGTATTTTGCTGTTGTTGGATGGAGTGTTCTGAAAATGTCAATTAGGTCAAGTTGATTGAGCATGTTGTTCAGTCAACTATATCCTTACTAATTTTTTGCCTGCTTACTCTATCAATTACTGGCAGAGGGATCCCAACTATAGTAGTGAATTTGTCTATTTCTCCTGTGACTTCTATCATTATTTTTTCTTTTTCTTTTTGAGTCAGGGTCTTGCTATGTTGCCCTGGCTGGAGTCCAGTGGTATGATCATAGCTCACTGCAGCCTCAATGAGTTTCATCACTTTTTGCCTCACATGTTCTGATGCCTCCTTCAACCTAGACAATTTTCCTCATTCTGAAGTCTGCTTTGTCTGAAATCATTATAGCTATTCCAGCTATCTTCTGATTTGTGTTAGCATAGTATAGCTTTCTCTAACTCTTTACTTTTAACCTATTTGAATCTTCATACTTAAAGTGAGTTTCAGCCAAGTGTCATGGTGCATACCTGCAGTCCTAGCTACTCAGGAAGCTGAGACAGGAGTATCACTTGAGACTAGGAGTTTGAGGCTATAATGGGACAAAAGACCTTGTCTGCTACCCCTGCCTATAATATAACTCCCATAACACGAGGCTGGGAGAGATGAAAAATACCAGCTACCTGCCCATCTTTGATCATCATAGCCCTAGACTGGTATCAGGGTGGTGTGAAGTAGATGGGATGGTAGGAAGGGGGAGAGGAATCCCATTCTTTTTGGTACAGATACCTGAAGTAGAGCTTCCATCATGTGGAACTGAGGGAGGCCATAATGGAATAGTCTGTGGCTTAAATGTTCCAGCCTCTCACTTTTCTTACTCAAGATTTAGTAAATCCTCTTGAATGTTTCTTCTTTTGCTGTGTGTCCTTAGTACAATTCCAGAGGTAGAAATGATTGGTTTTTATCATTTTCATTAGGTAAATTGTTGTTTTGCTGGCGAGAGGACCTACTGAGCTCCTTAATTCATCATTCTAAAAGTCCTTCCCCAAACACATTTTTAGCAGGTGCAGGGGTCTGGTATGGTGAATTGGTATGTGGAGGAGCAAGGTAGGACAGAGTACAACAATACAAGCTTTCATCATGGTACTCAGAATGACACAAAATGTAAAACTTATGAATTGTTAATTTCTGGAATTTTCCATTTAATATTTTCAGACTGGTTGACATCAAGTAACTGAAACTGCAGAAGCCAAAACCATGCATAAGGAAGGACTACTGTTTTCTCTTATCATATCAATTAGTATTTTAAAATGTTTTAGTGGTTACCCTAGAGTTTCCATTAGAGGTCTTAAAAATGTCACAAAAAATGAGTATTTTGAAAACACTGTGCATTGATTTAAAAATTTTTTTGCATTGAGATAAGCTTGCTAAAACATGTCTAAACAGGATCTAGCTTGAGGCACAAAAATGGATAAAACATCAGTTTGAAAAGAACCCCTATCAAAGCAATACAAATTTGTTACAATTGAAGCAAGAAAAAGCATCACATTTATGCTTAAGCTTGGGTGGGAAAATGGTGAAATCATTGATGCTTTACAAAAAGTTTATGGGGATAATGCCCCAAAGCAATCAACAGTTTACAGATGGATAACTCATTTCAAGAAGGGATGAGACAATGTTGAAGAGAAGCCCATATAGCAGCAGGCCAACCACATCAATTTGCAAGGGAAAAATTCATCTTGTTTGTGGCCTAATTGAAGAGGACTAATGATTAACACTAGCCAATAACATTGGTTCAGTTTACACAATTCTGACTAAGAAGTTAAAAGCTGAACAAACCGTCTACTCAATTGGTGCCAAAACCATTGATCCCAGATGAACTGCAGACCAGAGCAGAGCTTTAGATGGAAATTTTAAACAAGCGCCATCGAAGCCCTGAAGCATTTCTTCAAAGAATCATAACAGAAAATGAAACGTGGTTTACCAGTACAATCTTGAAGACAAAGCAACGGCTATAAAGAGGAGGAAGTGGTTGAAGCAAAGCAAAAGCAGGCCAGTCAAGAGCAAAGATTATGGCAACAGTTTTTTGAGGATGCTCAAGGTATTTTGCTTGTTGATTTTCTGGAAGGCCAAAAAGTAATAATATATGCTTATTATAAGAGAGTTTTGAGAAAGTTAGCCAAAGCTTTAGCAGAAAAATGCCCAGGAAAGCTTCACCAGAGAATTCTCTACCACAACAATGCTCCTTCTTATTCTTCTCATCAAACAAGGGCAATTTTGTGAGTGTTTTGATGGGAAATCATTGGGAAATCATTAGGCATTCAGTTTGCCATCTTAATTCGGTTCTTTCTGACTTCTTTTTGTTTCCTGATCTCAAAAAAATCTTTAAAGGGCACCCATTTTTCTTCATTATTAAATTTTTTACATTATTAAATGTAAAAAATACTGCATTGACTTGGTTAAATTCCCAGAACCCTCAGTTCTTTAGGGATGGACTAAATGGCTGGTACATTTCTTACAAAAGTGTCAAACTTGATGGAGCTTACGTTAAGAAATAAAGTTTTTATTTTTATTTTTATCTATTAATTTCATTTTTCCATGAACTTTGTCTCCTCATGTAATTTAAACTATTCTAAATCTACCTTTAAATAACCCTATACCACTTCACACATAGTACAGATACCTTATTACAGTATTTTTAATTCTTCTATCTCATCCTTTATGACATTGTCAACCTAAAAGGTTATTACAGTATTTTTAATTCTTCTATCTCATCCTTTATGACATTGTTAACCTAAAAGGAAAAAACTGAGGTAAAATTAATGTAAGTAGGGAGTTTATTTGGACCAAACTTTAGGACTGCAACCTGAGAGCATAGATTCAAGTTGCCCTAAATATACGCTCCAATTAATGGTAATTACAATTGGTTTTTAAAGAAAAAGAAGAGGCAATTCCTGAGTTGCTTACCAAGAATTTTGCATTAAAATAATATAAGCGATTGATTGGCTATATATTGTTCTTTTGTATCACAAATTCCAGAAATTTCCAGAAGCTAATGGGAAAAGCAGCTCATCAAGAACAAAATGACTATAAACAATTGCCCTCAGGCATGGGTGGGTGAGGTTAGGTAACTGAAGTCCCATTAGTCTCTCTGGGCCTGATAAAGTTTGCACAACTAGCAAAACTAAGACTGCTCTGAGCTATTTTTCTTTTCTCAACATTACTGTCGTTCTTTTCATTTATCTTATGCTGTAATCACCCAGCACTATTACTACCATCGTTGCTTTAAACAAAGTTATTCTTCAGATCAATTAAGAATAAGAAAAATATCATGACAAACAGAAGCTTAATCCCCAAAAAAGAAAAATATAATTTATTTTACCTTATTTCTTCTCTAATGCTTTTTGTTTCTTTATGTAAATCCAAGTTTCTGACTGATGTAGTTTTACTTTTTAAATAATTTCTTTTACTATTTCTTTTAGAGTATGTCTGCTGGCAATGAATTCCCAGTTTTTGTTTGTCTGAGAAAATATACATATTTTTACTTTTGAACTTTAATTTCTTTTGGATATAGAATTCTACATTTATGAGATTTTTCTTTTAATGATTTAAGTACTTCATTCCATTCTTTTCTTGTTTGCATGATTTCTGATGGGAAGCCTACTGTTATTCTTATCCTGTTACCTCTAAAAGCAACGTGGGTTTTTTCCTCTGACATTTTTCAAGATTTTCTCCTTGTCTTTTATTTTCTGTAGCTTGAGTATAACAAATCTAAATGTAGTTTTTTGGTATTTTTCCTGCTTGGTGTTCTCTGAATTTACCGGACCTGTGGTTTGGTGTCTGTTATTAATTTTGAAAGATTCTCAGCCATTATAAATTCTGAGAGCTACCAGCCTCCCTTTAACAGTTGTCCAACAAGACAGCATCCTTAGGCATGGATGTGAGTCCCTTCAGGCAGACTTGCAAAGTTCTTTCTCTTTATGGTCTGCCTTACCCACTGGGCAGAACTCCTGCACCACTGCACTAAAGCTCTGGGCTTCCTCCCCTCTCTAATTCTAGTGACTACCCACTGCAGGGGAGAGGGAGCAGATCTGGTGTTCTCAGCTTGTTCTTACTAGTGCAGGACCTTCTGCCTACTAGCCAGTCAGGGCTGAGGTAAATTGGAGCCCTAGTGTCTTCAGACTGCCATACCGGGGGTAGGGTTTTTGTCTTTGAGAAGAGGCTGTTTGGGAAGAGAGACCTTGTCTGCTATTCCTGCCTGAAATAGAGCTTCCATAACACAGGGCTTGGTGGGGGTAGGAGAAACACCAGCTACCTGCCCATCATTGGTCACCATAGCCCTAAACTGGGAGCAGGGGAGGTGTGAGGTTGGGGTAGTAGGAAGGGGGAGATGAATCCCATTCTTTTTGGTACAGATACCTGAAGTACAGCTTCCATCATGTGGAGCTGATAGGGTCCATAATGGAGTAGTCTGTGCTTAAATGTCCCAGCCTTTCACTTTTCTTACCCAAGATTTAGTAAATTCTCTTGAATGAATGTTTTTTCTTTTGCTGTATGTCCTTAGTACAGATCCAGAGATGGGAATGATTTTTTTTTTATCACTTTCATTAGGTAAATTGTTGTTTTGCTGGGGAGAGGTCCTACTGAGCTCCTTAATTCAACATTCCAAAAGTCCTTCCCCAAACGTTTTTAACAGGTGCAGGAGTTTGGTATGGTGAATCGAAAGGTGGAGGAAACACAGTAAATAATTAGTCCTCACCATCTGCCAGGAGCCAGAGAAAAATGCTTTCCCATTTCTTCCCCAGATGGATGGTCTGGAGACACATTTCTTATAGTGTGCAGTCAAGGAACCAGTCATACATAGAGGCAGCCAACTTCTGCAAGTGCTCCACTTCTTTCCTTGCTTTTCTTCTCCTTTACTTCCTGGTCAAGCACTTGCTCTTAAGCCTATGCCTTAGGTTCTGCTTTCTGGCGAACTCAGAATAAACCATATGCCATGCCTTTAATTATACTCCTTGCTTTATAAATAACTTATAATTTTGAGTATCATATTGGATTATAAGTAGTGAAAACAAGCATGAAATTTATTATTGGGTTTATAGCTTACTGTGAAAATGAAAAATATTATATTAGATTTTAATATTCATTGTCTTACTGTTAGTACTCTTTCTTATGGTTTATTTTTCAGTGATATTATTCATCAGAATGCATATTAGCACTTTCATTTGAATTGAAAGTTAACATTAAGCTTTTCTTTTTAATGGAAAGTAAATCTGTTTTGGCTGACTGATATAACAACAAAGCCTGACTTTGCTAATTAGTTTTAATGTAGACATTTTCCATAAATAAGCTTATTCTGCAGCTCTACAGTTTGTCAAAAACATATTTAAAACTTTTTTTGTGGGGGTTGGAGACAGGGTCTCATTAATTAATGTCACCCAGACTGGAGCGCAGTCTGCTGCAACCTGTGTCTCCTGGGCTCAAGCAATCCTCCTACCTTAGTCTCCCAAGTAGCTGGGACTACAGGTGCATAGCCACCATGCCTGGATAATATTTTGTAGTTTTTTGTAGAGATGGGGTTTCACCATGTTGACCAGGCTAACATTTTAATCAAACATATAATATGAAAAAAAAATGCTGAAATTAGCAATACAGTTGTTTCTTGAACAACACAGGTTTGTGGGAGCTTTTTGTTTGGGGTTTTTTTTGTGCTATTAATTTTATTTATTTCTGCAATCATTATACCCAGTCAACAATGCCAAGCAATTGCATTTTTTTTAAAACCTCAAAACAATTTCAACCTTCTTGTCTTTCTCATCAGTCTCAATATGCTTCCTATGTTGATACGTATGCAAGGGGTGCGCATTTCTTTTTAAACAAAATTCCAATGAGTCCAGCAAATAACTACATTACTATTTTAAAAATACATTGGTTGCGACAGCGCGGTGGTCCACGCCTGTAATCCCAGCACTTTGGGAGGCTGAGGCGGGCGGATCACGAGGTCAGGAGATAGAGACCATCCTGGCTAACACGGTGAAATCCTGTCTGTACTAAAAATACAAAAAAAAAAAAAAAAAAAAAAAAAAAATTAGCCGGGCGTGGCGCCGGGTGCCTGTAGTCCCAGCTACTTGGGAGGCTGAGGCAGGAGAATGGCGTGAACCCGAGGCGGAGCTTGCAGTGAGCCGAGATCGCGCCACTGCACTCCAGCCTGGGCAACAGAGGGAGAAAGTAATAATATAATGATGATGAGTTGCTGGTTTATGAAATGTTTACTTTCTCAGAAATATGGACCACTCACCTTTACTTCCCCCCACAATTTAACTAGTTCCTAAAGACTGCTTATTATGAAATTTGATATGAAATAAGCTGATAACTTTTAATCCAGTTTTTCAAGTTTAGAAAATCTAGTATAAAGAAGACCTGGTAGCCTGAATGACACAAGTTTGAATGGTGTGGATTCACTTATGTGAGATTTTTCTTCTGCCTCTTCCATCCCCTTGTCTTCAAGTTGAGTAGGCTGAGGAGGAGGAGGAAGAAGAGCAAGACAAACCCCTCTTCTTCCTCCCCTTCCTCAGCCTACTCAACTTGAAGACAATGAAGATAAAGACCTTTATAATGATCTACTTCCACTTAATGAATAGCAAATATATTTTTTCTCCCTCATGATTTTCTTAAAAACATTTTCTTTCCCCTAGCTTACTTTATTGTAAGAATATAGTATATAATGCATATAACGTAAAAATATATGTTAATGGACGTTTATGTTATCAGTAAGGCTTCTAGTCAACAGGCTATTAGTAGGTAAGTTTTGGGGGAGTCAAAAGTTATACATGGATTTTCGACTGTATGCAGTCGGCACCCCTAACCCCTGTGTTGTTCAAGGGCCAGCTGTATTTCAAATTTCCCAACTCTTTTTAAGTACAACAGGTTAAACAAGGTACTTCTAAGTGAAAAGAATAATAAACATAATTACTAGGCTGGCGCAGTGGCTCATACCTGCAATCCCAGCACTTTAGGAGGCTGAGGTGGGCAATTGCTTGATTTTAGGAGTTTGAGACCAGCCTGGGCAACATAGCAAAACCCTGTTCTCTACAAAAAATACAAAAAGTGACTGGGCATGGTCGCATGCACCTGTAGGTAGTCCCAGCTACTGGGGAAGCTGAGGCAGGAGAATCATCTGAGCTTGGGGGTTTGAGGCTGCAGTGAACCGTGATCATGCCACTGCACTCCAGTCTGGGTGACAGAGTGAGACCCTGTCTCAAAAAAACAAAAGACAAACAACAACAAAAATACCCCACAAACAAACAAACAAAATCCCCAAAAATCAAAAGCATAATTATTATCATTTGTGAAGTTTTGGTAAATTCATTTTGAATTAAATGAGTAATAACTAGGCAATAATCATTTGCAACCAAAAGTTCTGATTGATTTCTTTTTTTCTTTTTCTTTTTCTTTTCTTTTTTATTTCTTTTTTTTTCTTTTTTTTTCTTTTTTTTTTTTTTGAGACAGTCTCACTTTGTTGCCCAGGCTGGAATGCAGTGGCACAATCTTGGCTCACTTCAGCCTCTGCCTCCTGGGTTCAAGCGATTGTCCTGCCTCAGCCTCCTGAGTAGCTGGGATTACAGGCATGCACCACCAAACCTAACTTTTGTTTTGTTGTTGTTGTAGTTGTTTGTTTGTTTGTTTGTTTGTTTTAGTATAGACAGGGTTTGACCATGTTGGCCAGGCTGGTCTTGAACTCCTGACATCAAGCGATCCATGCACCTCGGCTTCCCAAAGTGCTGGGATTACAGGCATGAGCCACCGCGCCTGACCTGGTTATGATTGGTTTCTAATTCTTAGTGTTACAAGCGCCTAATCAAAAAAATTTTGATAATGAGAAATAATATGATTTTGGGTATGTAACGCTGGAAGAGCTTAGATAATTAAGTAATATAATATTAGGTCCTATGCCAGACCTTGAATCAGAATCTGTATTTTAAAAGGAACTCTCAGTGATTTATGTGCACATGAAAGTGAGGAGCACTGATGTACAAATGAATAATTTAGACAATGCAGTGACAGTCAAGGTGTTTATTTTTGCTTAGAAAAAGTCGCCATTTGCTAGATTTCAGGCTTAAAATTAAAAAGTAATATCTAGCTAGTACAAAGCCTCAAAAACACCCAAGTTCTTGGCCTACCTTCTCTTCAACCTTATCCACCTGTCCCAATTTCTCTGTGCCCTGGCCAAATAGACTGTCAATTCCTTGTGCATGACAAGTTTTGTTTCCTCAGGGCTTCTACATGTGCTGTTCCTGGAATGCTACTCCTCTCCCTCTTCACACAACCAAATCATCCTAATATTTCTCTCTCTTTTTAAAAAAGATGTATTTCAGCTTTTATTTTAGGTTTAGGGGTACATATGCAGGTTTTTTACATGAGTATATTGCGTGATGCTGAGGTTTGGGGTATGAATGATCCTGTCACCCAGGTTGTAAGCATAATACCTAATAGGTAGTTTTTCAGCCCTTGCCCCTCATCTTCTCTTTCCCTTTCCACCCTCTAGTAATGCCCAGTGTCCATTGTAACCATCTTCATGTCCATTGGTACTCAATGTTTAGCTCCCACTTATAAGTGAGAACATACAGTATTTAGTTTTCTGTTGCTGTATTAATTTGCTTAGGATAATGGCCTCCAGCTGCATCCATGTTGCTGTAAAGGATAAGATTTCATTCTTTATTGTGGCTGCATAGTATTCCATGGTGTATGTGTACCACATTTTCTTTATCGAATCCACCATTGAAGAGCACCTGGGTAGATTCCATGTCATTGCTATTGTGAATAGTGCTGTGCTGAATATATGTGTGCATATCTTCTTGGTGGAATGATTTATTTTCCTTCGGGTATATATCCAGGAATGAGATTGCTGGGCAAATGGTAACTCTGTTTTAAATTCTTAGAGAAATCTCCAACTGCTTTCCATAGTGGATGAACTAATTTACATTCCCACCAACAGTGTGTTAGGGTCTCCTTTTCTCCACATCCTTGCCAGTATTCATTACTGCCTGGATTTTGAATAAAAGCCATTTTAACTGGGGTGACAGGATATCTCACTATAGTTTTGATTCACATTTCTTTGATGGTCAATGATGTTGAGCACCTTTTCATATACCTGTTTGCCATTTGATATGGTTTGGCTGTGTCACAACCCAAATTTCATCTTCAATTTTAACTCCCAAAATTCCCACAGCTGTGGGAGGAACCTGGTGAGTAGTGATTGAATTATGGGAGCAGGTCTTTCCTGCACGGTTCTTGTGACAGTGAGTGAGTCTCACAAGATCTGATGGTTTTAAAAATGGAAGTCTCCCTGCACAGCTCTCTTTTGCCTGCTGACATTCATGTAAGACGTGACTTGCTCCTCCTTGTCTTCTGCTATGACTGTTAGGCCTTCTCAGCCATGTGGAACTGTAAGTTCATTAAATCCTTTTTTCTGTATAAATTACCCAGTCTTAGGTATGTCTTTATCAGCAGCGTGAAAATGAACTAATACACCATTTGTATGTCTTCTTTTGAGAAATGTCTATTCAGATCTTTTGCCCAATTTTTAATTGGATTATTAGATTTTTTTCCTTAGAGTTGTTTGAGCTCCTTATATATTCTGGTTATTAATCCCTTGTCAGATGGGTAGTTTGCAAATATTTTCTCCCATTCTGTGGGTTGTTGTTTCACTTTGTTGATAGTTTCCTTTGCTGTGCAGGAGTTTTTTTTAACTTGATGTGGTTCCATTTGTCCATTTTTGCTTTGGTTGCCTAGGCTTGTGGGGTATTAGTCAAGAAATCTTTGCCCAGACCAGTGTCCTGTAGAGTTTCCCCAAACTTTTACTAGTTTCGTAGTTTAAGGTCTTAGATTTAAGTCTTTAATCCATTTTGACTTGATTGTATATGGTGAGAGATAAGGGTCTAGTTTCATTCTTCTATATATGAATATGAATATTTCCCAGCACCATTTATTGAAGAGACTGTCCTTTCCCCAGTGTATATTCTTGGCAACTTTTTTAAAAATGACTTCACTGTAGATTTATGGATTTGTTTCTAGGTTCTCAGTTATGTTCCATTGGTCTATGTGTCTGTTTTTATGCCAGTACTATGCTGTTTTGTTTACTACAGCTCTGTAGTATGCTTAAAATCAGGTAGTGTGATTCTATCAGTTTTGCTTTTTTTTTTTTTTTCCTCAGAATGGTTTGGCTATTCTGGGTCTTTTCTGTTTCCATATAAATTTTAGGATTTTTTTTATTTCTGTGAAGACTGTCATGGATATTATGATAGGGATTGCATTGAATCTGTAGATTTCATTGGGCAGTACAGATGTTTTAACCATATTGATTCTTCTTATCCATGAACATGGAGTATCTTTTCATTTTTAAATGTCTTCAATTACATGCAACAATGTTTTATAGTTTTCACTGTAAAGACCCTTCACTTCTTTGATTAAAGTTTATTCCTAGGTATCTTATTTTAATTGTAGCTATTGTAAACGGGACTATTTTCTTGATTTCTTTTTTCAGATTGTTCACTTTTGGCATTTAGAAATGCTACTGATTTTTGTATGTTAATTTTGTATCCTGTGTCTTTACAGAATTTATGAGTTCTAAAAGTTGTTTTTGTGGAGTCTTTAGTTTTTTCCAAATAAAATATTATATCACTTGCAAACAAGGATAATTTTACTTCTTCCTTTCCAACTTGGATGTACTTTATTTCTTTCTGTTGTCTGACTGCTCTAGTTAGAACATCTAGTAATATATGTTGTATAACAGTGGTGTAAGTGGGCATCCTTGTCTTGTTCCAGATCTTAGATGAAAGGCTTTCAGTTTTTCACCATTCAGTATAATACTAGCTGTGGGTTTGTTGTATATAGCTTTTATTATGTTGAGGTATGTTCCTTCTATACCCAGTTTTTGAGGGTTTTTATCATGAAGGGACATTGAACTTTATCAAATGCATTTTTAGCATGACTTGAAATGATCATATGGTTTTTGTCTTTCACTGTGTTGGTACGATGTATCACATTGATTAGTTTGTGTATGTTGCAACATCCTTGCATCCATGGGATAAAAGCCACATGGTCAGTGTGTTGCTAAATTTGATCTGTTAGCATTTTTTTGAGGATCTTCGTATCAATATTCGTCAGGGCTATGGGCCTTTAGTTTTCTTTATTTGACGTGTCTTTGGTTTTGTTATCGTGGTAATAGTGGCCCAGCAGAATGAGTTTGGAAGTATTTTCTCCTCCTCCATTTTTCAGAATAGTTTGAGTAGGATTGGTATTAGTTTTTTTTTTTTTGAGATGGAGTCTTGCTCTGTCCCCCAGGCTGGAGTGCAGTGTTGCGATCTTGGCTCACTGCAGCCTCTGCCTCCCGGGTTCAAGCAATTCTCTGCCTCAGCCTCCTGAGTAGTTGGGATTACAGGCACCCACCACCAGGCCCTGCTAATTTATTTTGTATTTTTAGTAAAGACAGGTTTTTACCATCTTGGCCAGGCTGGTCTTGAATTCCTGACCTCGTGATTCACCTGCCTTGGCCTCCCAAGGTTTGGGGATTACAGGTGTGAGCCACCGCATCCGGCTGGTATTAGTTCTTTTTCAAATGTTTGGTAAAACTCAGTAGGGAAGCCATTGTCTCCTGGGCCTTTCTTTACTGGGAGATTTTTTATTATGGTTTATATCTCATTACTTGTTATTGATCTGTTCAGATTTTGGATTTTGTCATGGTCCAATTTTGGCAGGTTATATGTTTCTAGGAATTTATCCATTTCTCCTAGGTTTTCCAATTTACTGGCATGTAGTTGTTCATAGTAGTGTCTAATGATCATTTAAATTTCTGTGGTATCAGTTGTAATATCTCCTTTTTCATCTCTAATTTTATTTATTTAAATTTTAGCTCTTTTTTTCTTAGTCTGGCTAAAAGTTTGTGAATTTTGTTTATCTTTTTAAAAAACCAACTTTTAATTTCACTGATTTTTAAGTTTTTTATATATTTTTTATTTTTGAGACAGTGTCTCGCTCTGTTGCCCAGGCTGGAGTGCAGTGGTGGGATCTCGGCTCACTGCAACTTCCGTCTCCTGGGATCAAGCAATTCTCTGCCTCAGCCTCCCGAGTAGCTGAGATTACAGGTGCCCACCACCATGCCCGGCTAATTTTTTTTTTGTATTTTTAGTAGAGATAGGGTTTCACCATCTTGGCCAGGCTGGTCTTGAAACTTGTGATCCACCCGCTTTGGCCTCCCAAAATGCTGGGATTACAGGCGTGAGCCACTGCACCCGGCCTTCACTGATCTTTTTATTTTTTCTCATTTCAATTTTATTTATTTCTGCTTGGATCTTTGTAATTTCTTTCCTTCTACTAATTTTGGGTTTAGTTTTGTCGTTTGTCTAGTTCTTTAAGATGCACTCTCAGGTTGTTTATTTCAAGTTTTTCTACTTTTTTATGTAGGCATTTATTACTATAAACTTTCCTCTTAGTATTGCTTTCTTCGTATCCCATAGGTTGTGTTATGTTGTGTTTTCTCTTTCATTTGTTTCAAAACGTTTTGAATTTCATTCTTTATTTCTTCATTGACCCACTGGTCATTCAGGAGCATAGTGCTTAATTCCTATGTTTTTGTATAGTTGCCAATGTTTCTATTGTTATTGACTTCTAATTTTATTCCATTGTGGTCAAAGAAGATACTTGATATGATCTCAATTTTTAAAATGTTTTAAGACTTGTTTAGTGGCCTAACATATGAGCTATCCTTAAGAAGGATCTATGTGCTGAGAAGAATATGTATTCTGCAGCCATCGGCTGAAATGTTCTATAAATATCTGTTAGATTCATTTAGTCAATAGTGCACATTATGTCTGATGTTTCTTTGTTGATTTTCTGTCTGGAAGACCTGTCCAGTGCTGAAAGTGGGCTGTTGAAGTCTCCAACTATTATTGCATTGGGGTCTATCTTTCTCTTAAGCTTTAAAAATATTTGCTTTATAAAATATCTAGCTGCTCCAGTGTTGGGTGCATATGTATTTACAGTTGTTATGTTCTCTTGCTGACTTGACTCCTTTATCATTTATAATGACCTTGTCTCTGTCATGAAATCTATTTTGTGTGACATAAGTATAGCTCATTTCAGTTGGTTTTTTGGTTTCCATTTGCATGAAATATCTCTTTCCATCCCTTTATTTTCAGTCTATGTGTGCCTTTATAAATGAAGTGTGTTTCTTGCAGGAAATAGATCATTGGATGTTGTTTTCTAAAAATCCATCCAGCCACCCTATGTATTTTGGTTTGAGAGTTTAGTTCATTTACATTCAGTATTATTATTGATAAGTCAGGACTCACTCCTGCCATTTTAAACAATTGGTTTCCTGGTTGTTTTGTGGTCTTCTGTTCCTTACTGTCTTATTTTTTGTGAAGGTGATTTTTTCTTGCTGTATGTTTTAATTTCTTCCTTTTTATTTTTTACATATCTGTTGTAGGTTTTTTGATTTGAGGTTACCATGAGGCTTGAAAATTACATCTTATAACCCATTATTTGAAATTGATGGCAACTTAGCCCAGATTGCAAAAACAAACTAACGAAGCAAAGAAAAAACGAATACTAATTCTACAACTTTAGTTCATCCCTCCTGCTTTTTAACTTTTTATTGTTACTATTTATATCTCTTTATACTATCTATGTCTCGAAAAGTGTTTGCTGTTACTATTTTTACTAAGTTCTTTTAGTCTTTCTTTTAGTATACAAGTAGTTTACACACCACTATTACAGTGTAATAATATGTTTATCTGTGTACTTACTATCACCAGTGAGTTTTGTACCTTAAGATGATTTCTTATTGCTTGTTAATGTCCTTTTCTTTCAGACTGAAGAACTCTGTTTAGCATTTCTTGTAGGACAGGTCTGGTGTTCATTAATTCCCTCAGCTTTCACTTATCTGCGAAAGTCTTTATTTCTCCTTCATGTTTGAAAGATATTTTGCTGGACACACTATTCCAGGATAAAAGTTTTTTTTTTCCTTTATTACTTTAAATACATCATGCCACTCTCTCCTGGGCTGTATGGTTTCCACTGAGATGTCTGCTGCTAGACGTATTGGAGCTTCTTCTATGTAATTGTTTCCTTTTCTCCTGCTGTTTTTAGGGTTCTTTCGTTATCCTTGACCTTTAGAAATTTGATTATTAAATGCCTTGAAATAGTCTTATTTGGTTTAAGTCTGCTTAGTGTTTTATAACCTTCTTTAATTTGAATATTGATATCTCTCTCTAGGTTTGTAAAGTTTTCTGTTATTATGCCTTTGAATAAACTTTCTACCTCCTCCTTGAGGCCAATAACTCTTGGATTTGCCCTTTTGAGGCAATTTTCTAATATCTTAAATTCATGCTTTATTCTTTTTTTATTCTTTTTTTGTCTTCTCTGACTTTGTATTTTCAAATAGCCTGTTTCATGCCCACTAATTCTTTCTTCTGCTTAATTTTGCTATTAAGAGATGCTGATGCATTCTTCACTATGTCAGTTGAATTTTTCAGCTCCAGAATTTCTGCTTGATTCTTTTTAATTATTTCAGTGTTTTTGCTAAATTTATCTGATAGGAGTCTGAATTCCTTCTCTGTGTTATCTTGAATTTCTTTGAGTTTCCTCAAAATAGCTATTTTGAATTCTCTGTCTGAAAGGTCACATATCTCTTTTTCTCCTGGATTGGTGCCTTAGTTTGCTTGGTGAAGTCATGTTTTCCTGGATGGTCTTGACGCTTGTGGATGTTAGTTGGTGTCTGGGCATTGAAGACTTAGGCATTTATTGTAGTTTTTGCAGTCTGGGCTTGTTTGTTCACATCCTTCTTGAGAAAGCATTCCAGGTATTTGAAAGGACTTGGGTGTTGTGATCTAAGTTTTTGGTCACTACAGCTATATCTGTATTAGGGGCCACACCAAGCCCATTAATGCTATGACTCTTGCAGACTCACAGAGGTACCACCTTAGATAAGATCTGGGAAAATTCTCTGGATTACTAGACAGAGACTCTTGTTCTCCTCTGTCACTTCCCCTACTAACTCCCCAAAATGGAGTCTCTGTGTGTGTGTTGAGATACTTGGGATTAGGAGAGAGGTGATACAGGTACTCCTGTGACCACCATACTGGAACAGTGCAGGGTCAGACCTGAAGCCAGCATAGCACTGGGTGTTACCAAGGCCAACGGCAACCACTGCCTGGCTACTGCCAATGTTCACTCAAGGTTCAAAAGCTCTTCAGTCAGCAGTTAGCCAATGTAGCCATGCTTGTGTTCTTCCCTTCAGGGCAGCAAGCTCCCCTCTGGCTCAGGGAAAGTTCAGAAATGTCATCTTGAGCCAGGCTCTAGAGTCAGGAACCTTAGGAAGCTACTTGGTGCTCTATTCTACTGCAGTTGAGCTGGCACCCAAGACACAAGACAAAGCCCTTCCCACTTTTTTCTCCCTTTCCTCATCCGGAAGAAGACTCTTCTCATGGCTACCACCATCCCAGGCCCACGACGAGTACTACCTGGCTACCTTCGATATTGACTTAAGACCCAAGAGCTCTTCAGTCAGCTTATGGTGAATGCTGCCATGGGTCTCTCCCTTCAGGGCAGCAGGCTCCCCTCCGGCCCAGGGCAGGTCCAGAAATGCTGTTCAGGAGCCAAAGCCTGGAATTGGGGACCACAGGAGCCTGCTTGGTGCTCTACCCCACTGTGGCCAACCTGGTACCTGAACTACAGAACGAAGTCTCCCTTATTCTTCCCCCTTCTTTTCTCAAGGAGGTGTCTCTCCCTATGTCCACCACAGCTGGGAATGTACTGGTTCACACTAAAGCCAGCATGTCTCTGAGTCTCACTCAGTGAGTACTACCTTATTATTATTGATGTTTATTCAAGACCCAAGAACTCTTTGGTTAGCAGGTGATGAATCCTGCCAGGACTGGGTCCTTCCTTCAAGACAGCAGGTTTCCTTCTGGCTCAGGGTGTATTTATTATGCCCCCCTGGGAGCTAGGGCCTAAAATGGGGACTTCAAGACAGCCTGTGCCATATTCTACTGTGGCTGAACTGGTATCCAAGTTGCAAGACAAAGTCCTCTTTACTTTCTCCTGTCCTCTCCTCAAGTGGAAGGGAAGAATCTCTCCCGAAGCTGCAAGCTGCACTGCCTGGGACTGGGGAAGGTTGACACAAACACCCCCTTGGCCTCCCCAGCTGTTGTCTCAGTAGGATGCATGCACCCCAAGTCCACTGGCTCTGAGTGTAGCACAGAACCAGGACTTGCCCAGGAATTGTAGTCCCTGTGGCCTAGACTGCCTATTAAGTTTATTTAGGACTCCAGAGCGCTTTAGCCCATGGTGGAGAGGCTTGCTGGAACTCAGGTTCTGGCCGCTGGGATGGACAATTCAACTCTTGCTAGGGCTGGTCTAAATGCTCAGGTGGACATCAGCTGATTTCTGCCCTGTGTTGCTTTCCACTGTGACAGGGCATCACTGAATTCCAAAGTGAAGTCCCACAATCACTGCACTCTCCTTCCCCAAGTATACAGATTCTTTTTGCAGAAGATGTGGGAGGGGTGGTTTCATCGATTCAAGACTGTCTTTTCTACCGACTTCAGTGCTCTTTCCTTGATATGATGTTAAAATCAAATACTGTGATCACTCACCTGATTTTTGGTTTTTATGAAGGTGCTTTCTTGTGTGGACAGTTCTGGTGTTCCTGAGTGGGGAATGATCACTGGAGGATTTTATTCGGCCTTCTTACTGCACTCCTCTTCCAGTCAACGTATACTAACAATAGCAGTTGTTATAATGATTATTTCAATCAGCAAATATGAATATGCAGTGTTAGTCAAAAATGTAATGTCCTTTAAATATAACAGATGTTTAATTATTGCATCATACTTTAAGTTGAGAAGTATAGGCAGTAACTGCGAGCACTAGATGATGGTAACGTTACTTTTAAAGTATGGTTCATTTAATGGAAATTCAAATAAAGTATGTGGTAGTTCACATTCAAATGCAAGGTGTGACATTTATTGGTTTTTAAACATTCTTTAACATGTTTATTTTAATATAATGTTGTATTATCTGAAGCTAATTGTTTCTTCCTTCCTTTATTTAATAACCATTTATTGAATGTTTACCTTATACAGGACTCACTGCTAGGCCTAAATACAAAGATCTGTAAGACATAATTCCTTCCTCAGAGAATTTACAGTCTAGTATGGAAACAATAGGTATTTCAAAACAGAAAAATTGGAAACCATCATGATACACACTTTATTGATAACATAATTGTAGTGCATAGTTGGTACTAGCTGTGATTCTGGAGGTAGAGAACATGACTAAGGCCTACAGTGGGCAACCTTATCTCAGTTCTCACACCACTGCAATTGGATTGAGAATAAGCATGGAACCCAAAAGCAGTCAATGAATCAGAAGTCAGTGTGACAAGATTCTTGATCTTTCTTGCTGGATCAAAAAAGGAAGAGTGTAAGACTAGAGTTCTGCCAGCATCTTGCTGCCATTGAAGTATGAGATTGAAGCCAGCATAGCAACTGGTTTTGCTGAGAGTCCTCTTACAAGAGATTAGGACACATAGTGAGATAGGAGGGATGTGACTGCACAGAGAAAGGACTATGTGAAGACACAGGAAGAAGATGGATATCTGCAAACCAAGGAGAGAGGCCTCAGGAGAAACTGAACCTCCTGACACCTTGCTCTTGGACTTTCAGCTCCCAGAACTATGAGAAAACAAATTTCCGTTGTTTAAGCCATCTGATCTGTGGTGTTTTGTTACGACAGCCCTAGTAAACTAAAACAAGTGTCAATTCATATTAGGTGTAGACAGAGAAAGTATAAATTGAAGGGAGAGCTAAAGAAAAAGATAGTTAATGTCATCAAACTATGTTATTTTACTTTAGAATCAGTAATACATGCATACATTACAAAATGTCATATATGTTTAATAAATGGTTAGTTTTTATTTACTGCATGTTCGAAACACATTTTATTTTACTCTAGTATAGAACATTTTCATGGTGAAAATATCAATGTAAATAGAAAGCAGCTAAATCTTGGCTAACTTGGTGGCTACCTTTGTATTTTGAAAGCAATCTATTTTATCTCTAAATAATCCTTTTATTGTGTCTGAAATTATACAGTTAGAAATTTATTACATTCGATCTCTTTAAACTTGAAGATTTTTGTCTTCATTGATTTATTTTTAGGGCTTTATATAAAAGTGAAATTTAGGCTGGGCGTGGTGACTCATGCCTGTAATCCCAGCACTTTGGGAGGCCAAGGCAGGCGGATCACTTGAGGTCAGGAGTTCGAGACCAGCCTGGCCAACATGGTGAAACCCTGTCTCTAGTAAAAATACAAAAAAAAAAAAAATAGTCGGTTGTGGTGGCAGGCACCTGTAATCCCAGCTACTCGAGAGGCTGAGGCAGGAGAATCACTTGAACCCGGGAGGCAGAGTTTGCAGTGAGCTGAGATCGCGCCATTGCGCTCCAGCCTGGGGGACAAGAGCGAGACTTTGTCTCAAAAAAAAAAAAAAGTGAAATTTATAGGGGCAGGAAGAGGTATGGAGGATAACTTCAGGGAGGCCACGAAAGCCTTATTTAATCTGACTCAGAAGCTGACCTTTGTATGTAAACCTCTGAATGGAAAATAAGAGGACCAAGGGGGAAAAGAGAGAGCTCAAATAGATAAACTTCACCTTTTCACCGTGAGCCCACCTTAAAAACATAGTGTTCTACAGGGAAAGGATTCCCTATTCAATAAATGGTGCTGGGAGAACTGGCTAGCTATATGCAGAAGATTTAAGCTGGTCCCTTTCCTTACACCATACACAAAAATTAACTCAAGATGGATTAAAGACTTAAATGTAAAACCTAAAACTATAAAAATCCTGGAAGAAAACCAAAGCAATACCATTCAGGAAACAGGTACGGGCAAAGATTTCATGACGAAGATGCCAAAAGCAATCGCAACGAAAGCAAAAGTTGACAATTGGGAGCTAATTAAACTAAAGAGCTTGTGCAGAGCAAATGAGACTATCAACAGAGTAAATAGACAACTTATAGAATGGGAGAAAATTTTTGTAAAGTACGCATGTGACAAAGGTCTAATATCCAGCATTTATAAAGAACTTAAACTTACAAGAAAAAAACAAACAACTCCATTAGAAATTGGGCAAAGGACATGAACAGACCCTTCTCAAAAGAAGAAATACATGCGGCCAACAATGATATGAGAAAACTCAACATCATTGATCACTGGAGAAATGCAAAACAAAACCACAAATGCAAATCAAAATCACATCACTCAAAATGGCTATTACTAAAATGTCAAAAAAAAAAAAAAAACAGGTGCTGGTGAGGTTGCAGAGAAAAAGGAACATGTATACACTGTTGGTAGGAGTGTAAATTAGTCCAACTATCGTGGAAGACAGTGTGGCAATTCCTCAAAGACCTAGAGACAGAAAAGCCATTTGACCCAGCAATCCCATTACTGGGTATATACCCAAAGGAATATAAATCATTCTATTATAAAGACACATGCATACGTATCTTCATTTACAGCATTATTCACAATAGCAAAGACATGGAATCTACCTAAACGCCCATTAATGATAGACTGGATAAAGCAAATGTGGTACATATATACCATGTAATACTATACAGCCATAAAAAGAATGAGATCATGTCCTTTGTAGGGACATGGATAGAGCTGGAGGGCGTTATCCTTAGCAAACTAACGCAGGAACAGAAAACCAAACACCACATGTTCTCACTTATAAGTGGGAACTAAATGAAGAGAACTCATGGACAAACAGAAGGGAAAAACACACACTGGTGGCTATGGGAGGGTGAAGGTGGATGAGGGAGAGGATCAAGAAAACTAACTGAGTACTAGGCTTAATACCTGGGTGATGAAATGTTCTGTACAACAAACCCCCATGACACCACAAGTTTACCTATGTGACAAACCTGCACATGCACCCTTGAACTTAAAATAGAAGTTTAAAAAACAATGCTTTTTAGTGGCCAAAATTTCCTGTGTTGTTTTCCTTTTTAAAAAATCACTAGACCACACAAACAAACCTGTACACTATTGTTTATAGTAGCTTTATTTGTAATAGCCTCAAACTGAAAACAACAAAATGTTCCTCAATGGGTGAATGATTAGACTGTGGAACATCCATATATTGGAATACTGCTCAGCAATCAAAAGATCACACTATTGATATAGATGACAATTTGGATACAGTTCAAGTGAATTATGTAGAGTGAAAAAAGCCTGTTCCTAAAGGTTACACACTGTACACTTTCATTTATATAACATCCTCAAAATGATAAAATTACAAAGATGGAAGACAGATTACTGGTTGCCAAGAGTTAGGGTTGTTATATGGGGAGGAGGGGTGGGTGCATCTATAAAGGGGTAGTAAAAGGGAGATCTTTGTGGTGATAAAAGAGGTCTGTATTGTTTGTAGTGATAGTCACATGGAATTACACACGATAAAATGACATAGAGCTACATACAGACATTGTACTAATGTCAGATTCCTGGTTTTCTTACTGTACTATAATTATACAAGATGTAACTATGGGGGAAACTGGGTGAAGAGTACATGAGACCACTCTGAACTATCTTTGCAACTTCCTGTGAATTTATAATTATTTCAAATAAAAAGTAAGATATAAAAAATCACTTGAAGGCTTTCATCATTAGAGAAATTCTTCTTGGATTCAATGGAGACAGTTTCTTTGGCATCCTTACTTTAACGGCATGCTAGAGAAAAATGAAAAATAGGTGGGAGACTGGAGAAGGCAGTAAGCCTTGCCATGCAAATTTAGTGAGCCATATGAAATGTCAAAGAGCATAATTATTTTCACAAGACTAAAGGCCTTTAGAATAGAGGCTTCTAAAATAAATAATTCATTTATACAATGTCGCCTAATGCATAGCTGTAGTTACAGGGTGACTCTTGATCACAGGGATGGAAAGGAAGTAGAGGCAGAAACTTCCAGATTCCCACAGTCCCCTCACACGGTTACAGAAAGGCCATAGTGAACTTCCTTCTCTCCTCTCCCCTCTGCTACAGTGCAACTTAGTTTCAGTTTAGTTTTTGATTTGGGGAACTTGAACCATCTCTAGGTAATTTCTAGTCCAGAGAACTTGTACTTGCACAATGTCCTTCTTGGGCAAAATCCGAAGTTTGGCTGTAGCAAATTTGAATCCTTGTGGTGGTTCCCTTATTACAAAACAAAGATTGACTAGAAATCTTCCAGATGTTGAAAAAGACAACTGAAATTAATTTCTTTGTAGAGGGGCAGAAATAAACTCTAAAGAGTTAATTGACATAAGGCCAGTACCAGTGTCCAGGTAGCAGAAGGAAGTAACTAAGACAGTGCATGCTTTTCTCCTTTTGGTTTTCATCCAGTCCTTCCATAAACCACTTCTGTCTGGGCCTCTATTTCCTTATATGCAATAACAGTTAATTGTTGTACCTCGTGTGTTTTCTGGCATTATCTTAAATTTGGTTTCATATCTGTTCCTTTTGAGGTGAGAGTGGAACAGCCATGTGGAAATATTAAGGTTGTAGTAAGTACCTCAGCTCCGGAAAGAAGTCAGAACTAGAGATTTAGACATTTGGAACTTCAGAGGCAGTATACAGTAATACTTTGGAGCCACATTTCTTGGGTCCAAACCCTGGTTCTCTAGCAAGTTATTTAACCTCTCAGTGTCTTAGTTTTTCAATTTGTGAAATGGAGATAAACGGGGATGAGAATAGCCTCACAGGATTTTGGAAGGATTAGTCAATAAGCCCTGCTAAACACTGTTTACTATTGCTAGTATATAGCGCAGACAAATAAATATCTGCGACATTCCTCTAATTCCAAGAAGTCGTTTGCCTTGGTTCACCCGCTAAATAATATTAAGAGCCTTTCTCTTTAAAAAGAGGAGCAGCAAATTACTTTTCATTAATATCATCAGCATAATAATAGACTTAGTTGAGAGATTCAGCGTGGCAGCACTTCACACAATCGAGCTCTCTTATTGATCATGTCATAACAGCATCTCTATTTCTTAAGGACTCATTTCACGTCATACACCCATCCGATGCTCCTTTTTCGTTAGCCTCCGTCTCCTAAGTGGGCTTATCTGTCTCCTGCTATCAGGAAGGCACTAACTTTTCCTTTGGGTTGTTAGGGTAGCAAAGTGATTTTCAAATTCAGGGTTCTGGCTCCTTCTGCAGCCCAGAGAGGAGGAAACAGGGCGGGACGCCGCCGGATTCCTGGGCAGGGCTTGAGTGGCGCACCTCGAGGCGCCGGCGACGCTGGCGTGTGACGTTGCTGCCTGACGCAGGCGCAGTGCCGCCCGGCCTCGGTTGGGACCCCTCCCCTCCTCCTCCGCCCCCTTGGGTGTCGGTGGCTGCGGCCAGGGTCTGGACCTGGGCGGCGGCCCCGGGCGGCGGGGCTAAAGGGTGTGGGCACCGGCAGAGCTTCGCAGGCTGCATCCGGCTCGGTGCTGCTGCCGTCGCCGCCCCTGCCGCCGCCCAAGGCCCTCGGCGTTCCCCGGAGAGAGGCCAGAGGGATTTCGGGCTGCCTCGGCACTCGCCCAGGTGAGGGGATGGGCCGGGCCAGACGGGGTTGAGGTCGTCAGCCCCTTTTTCCAGTGTCTCTGGAACTCAACCTGGTCGGAGTCTGAGAGCTTTGGCTTAGTAGTGGCTGCCTGCGGCGGCGACTCCTTCATATTCCTTTGCCATCCTTACCTACAGCCCTGGCACCTATAAACCGAGGGTTGGAGGTCAGTGGCAAAGTCTGGAAGGGCCATGGCAGTCGGATGGCTGGGGACTTTGATACAGGAGCAGTTCCTGCGGGTGATGGTAAGGCGCTCCACTTGCTGGTGTGTGGACTCGGCAGGAAGGACCGTGCACCCGCAGGCTCGGACTGCAGCCTTGCCAGCTGCACTGGGTTGTAGTAGACCCCATGCTGCTTAATATAGGGTCGGTTGACCGAGGGCGGGGAAGCCTTGGAACAACCCCCGCTTTCTTCTCTGGGATTGATGTGTTTTGTATTCTGAATTGGTGCTTGCTGCACTGCACTCTAGAAGACTACGTTTCAGCAGAATTTCCTATTGGTCAAAGGAAGGTGAAGAGAAGTTGATTTTTCTTCCGGAGAGTATTAGTTGTTGTCGTTTTTTTTTTTTTTTTTTTTACCTTCCTGTTGGCCTTAGTGTTGACGTTTGTTAAAGGTAAAAGTTCATGTGAATTTCCTTTTTAAGGAAATCATGGGCTTTATAACTGTCTAAGCGCCTGTAAGTTTCAACCGGTTTAGTGGTTTCTGCTTTCACCCTGTGCATAGCAATGAAGTTGTTTTATTCCAAGTTAAATATACAAAGTATAAAAATAGATGAATAACCAGAATACTTTGTAACTATTGAGTGGTACATATAATTATGTGCATATATTATCACATTTAATCATCAAAACAATCCTATAATGTAAAGTCTACTATTCCCATTTTCTAGATGAAAGAACAGAATAGACCTACAAAGTAACATGTTCAAAGTCAGAGCTGTGACTGAAACCAGGTAATCTGACTCGTTTGCAGTCCCTTAGTCAGTATGCCATACCAACTCCCAAGCACCCTGTGATTTTGCAAGATTTTCATTTGATAAAAAGTATGCCAGGAAGGACATTATGGCACTGTTCTTGCCGGCAAGGACCCAACAGTTTGAGAGAAACTTTCTCAATGTGCATTTTGAGTTATGTTTTAAACATAGGATTTGATCTCTAGGACCTTTGATTACCAAACTCATGCTCTTAAGTACAGTGGTTTTGGAGTCTTTGGAAGGCTTCAGTTTGGAAGTTGTAGTTTTATTTTATACTTAGGAGTATTTGTTGTTTGGAAACTTTAAACAAGGAAACGTAATATTGGACTAAAAGAGTTTCGTCCTGTTTGTGCATGATTAAGTAACGAAATCATATAATCAGAAATGGTTATGCTGCTCGTAAAGCCAGAATACCTTGTATAATTAGTTAAAATGCCATACTTTTCAGGTTTGTTAAGATGAAACACTGCAGAAAGGCTATCTGAAGAAAAGTAGAAGGAAAAACAGAACGTTGCAAACTCTGGAAAAAAACTTGGGTAAGTATTTTTGGCTAAGTTTTAAAAAGGTCAAATTTTCGGTTAAAGACTTTTTTTTTTTTTTTTTTTTTTTTTTTTTTTGAGACGGAGTCTCGCTCTGTTGCCCAGGCTGGAGTGCAGTGGTGCGATCTTGGCTCACTGCAAGCTCCACCTCCCGGGTTCACGCCATTCTCCTGCCTCAGCCTCCCAAGTAGCTGGGTCTTCTGACTTTCTGCTTCAGTTGTGGTTTAATCTGCCTATATTGCTAGGGAATGGGGGTGGGGTGGTGGTGATATGTAATGTAACCTGTTAGTCATTTTACTTGACTTTTGAGCTATTGATACCTGATTGACAAATTAAGTCATGTGCTTAGCCTGTGCATTGGCAGGAGAAAGCAGGGAAATCCTTTGCTTAACAGGTGTCAAAATTCTGTTCTCTCTTTTGCTTGCTCTTTAATCTACCTATGTTTGTAAAGTGTTTTAAGAAGAAATTGAGAAAATGGCCGGGCGCGGTGGCTCACGCCTGTAATCCCAGCACTTTGGGAGGCCGAGGCGGGCGGATCACAAGGTCAGGAGATCGAGACCATCCTGGCTAACATGGTGAAACCCCGTGTCTACTAAAAATACAAAAATTTAGCGGACGTGGTGGCGGGTGCCTGTAGTCCCAGCTACTCGGGAGGCTGAGGCAGGAGAATGGCATGAACCCAGGAGGCAGAGCTTGCAGTGAGCTGAGATCGCACCACTGCACTCCAGCCTGGGCGACAGAGCGAGACTCCATCTCAAAAAACAAAAATTGAGAAAATGAAGAAAAGTAGTTGACTTTTGGTTTGTTTTTCATAGAATATTGTGTATGGCTGAACTCAAGTATATTTTTTATGAATTCTACAGAGAATAATGGAAGACATGATCAAAGGTGATTAAGAAGCAGTGTAATTCATTTCATAACTAGCTATTGAGTATCATGTGTCAGACATCCAGGCTTCTGGTAATAGAGCAATGGTCTTCATGGCCCTGGAGAACACTACAGTAGTGCATTTTCTCTTAGAAGGTAACATTTTTTGTGAATTAATATGTTTTCTTTATTTGATAAGCAAGTATGTTTTTGGTTTATGTAAGAGACTAGAAAGTGAGCATTACTCATATAGTAAGAATTTATAATAAATTTTATATTATTTTAGTTGGTAAAGCAGGATTCTCTATGAATGCTGCATTAATGTACAGTGGGAAGCTAGGATTTTTTTTTTTTTTTTGGAGACACAATTTCACTCTGCCTCCCAGGCTGGAGTGCAGTGGCGCAATCTCTTCTCACTGCAACCTCTGCCTCCTGGGTTCAAGTAATTCTCATGCCTCAAGCTCCCGAGTAGCTGGGATTACAGGCATGTGCCACCACGCCTGGCCAATTTTTGTATTTTTGGTAGAGACAGAGTTTCACCATGTTGGCCAGGCTGGTCTCGAACTCCTAACCTCAAGTGATCCACCCGCCTCGGCTTCCCTAAGTGGTGGGATTACAGGTGTGAGCCACCGCGCCTGGTGAAATGAGGATTTTTGTAGACTTAATTTTAGCATACTGTATTTCATATTAAAGATAATATGGGAGCTTAGCAAAATTAATTTTTTAATTTGAGAAAATTTTGAGGAACTTGTATAGAAGATACATGGTCAGATAGGGAACTGTTTAGGTGATGAATTGGAGGGAGGTGAGCTTTGAAGACTGGTGATTAGTTAGAGGCTATTATAGTTATCCAGGTGGGAAATGAGAACTGCAGTGCATATTGGAATTAAGAAATGGAGATGGATTTAATAGATGTAAAGAGGGTAGATGGATAGGATTTAGTGGGCTTGAGGGAAAATGAAGTCAGGGTAGTTTCTAGCCACCATCATCTTTATGCATATGTTAATGTTTAATAAATACTTTTGAGATGCTTAGAATGAATTCTCTGGCTTGGGAAACTGAGTAGATTCTGGGGCCATTTACTGAGGTAGGAAGTGTAGGAAGAACAGTAGATTGGGGAACATGATTGGAGGAGATGAGTTCAGTTTGGTCCATTAAATCTGAGGCATCCGTGACTTCTAAGAAATGTCATTAGTGAGTTGTATATATGGATCTGAATTAAGCAGAATACCCAGCTTGAGATGTAAATTTTGGAGTCACAATTTAAAGATGATAGTTAAAAGCAACGGCAATGGATGAGATCACTCAGGAAAATGTAGAGTGAAAATAGAAGAGAAATGAGGTTGGAGAACAACAGCATTTAAGGGTGAGGTTAAAGAAAAATACACCTCAAAGGAGTGGGCAGGGAAGTAAGATTGGGTAAGAGAGTCACAAAAGTCAGTGGAAGAACCGAGTTTAGAGAAAAGGAATGAGTATTAGACATCTATAGACATCAAATAGGATGAGGACAACTAAAGTATCCATTGGACATATCACTTAAGAAATCGTTGATGACCTGAGCAAGAGCAGTTTTATAAGTGAAGCTAATTCACACTGGGCAAGAGACATGGATGTTGAAATAGCTAATGTCATTTACTATTTCAGAAAGTTTAGTTGTAAATGAATAGAGAAGGATATAGCTAAAGCTATGAGTTTGAGAGAAGGTTTTTGTTTTTTAAGGTATAAGGGATATAAGCACATGTTTATTTGCTGAAGATAAAGAGTCATCAGTAAGAAAATCTGAAGATAAAGGAATGAGGCAAAATAATTGGTGAAGCAAAGTCACTGAACAAACTGGAAAGGATATAATACAAGGGCTCAGGTCAAGGGTACTTTAGGTAGACTTCTACTGAGACAGGAAGGAAGGAGATGATGATGATGATATATTACAGATAAATTTGTAGGAGGCAGGATAAAGGGCTACTCTACAAAGTTTATGCAGGAGACTCTGACTTATGGTAGAAAGAGGAAATGGTTCACTCTTGTAATCAGTAGCCTTCTTGATGTGGCATTGCTGACTCCTGATCTTTTAGTAGGGAGGAGGAGGAGAGTGAGGTGGTTTAGCTTAAGATGACGTATATGAATCATCAAGTTAGAGATACCTTGAAGATCTCTTGCAAAATTACCCTTCTCATACTTTGTATTAGTATCTATGGCTAAATAACAAATTATCCCAGAACTTAGGGGTTTAAACCGATAAATGTTTTTTATTTCAATTTCTGTGGATCAAAAATTTGGGAATGACTAAACTGGGTGCTTCTGGCTCAGGGTCTTTGAGGAGGATGCAGCAAAGATGTAGGTTGGGACTTTAGTTATCTAGGGTAGTGGTCCTCAACCTTTTTGGCACTAGGGACCAGTTTTGTAGAACAATTTTTCCGTGCACCTGACAGGGGTGGGGTTGGTGGGGGGATGGTTTCAGGATGAAACTGTTCCACCTCAGATCATCAGGCATTAGATTCTCTTAAGGAGTGCACAACCTAAATCCCTCGCAGGTGCAGTTCATAATTGGGTTTGTGCTCCTATGAGAATAATGCCACCTGCTGATCTGACAGGAGGCAGAGCTCAGGTGGTAATCCTCACTCACCTCCTGCTGTGTGGCCTAGTTCCTAACAGGCCACAGACCAGTACCAGTCTGCGGCCTGGGGGTTGGGGACCCCTGATCTAGGGGCTCAACTGGGGCTGGAAGGGTTTAATTCCATGATGGCTCACTAGTTTAGCTGCTGGATGGAGACCAACAGCTTTTTTTGTCATAGTCACGTAAAAATTCAATTTCAGTTATAGTAATATTCTTGGTTCACAGGAATTGGCTATTATGTGGATCCATTTGGCTCTCTGCCTAGCAACACTCCAATTAAAAAAATATTTTCTTTGAACTTGATATGATGAGAGTGTTGGTAAACACATGTGACCATTTTCCCCTCCCTGTCTCCCAAGTCCCTGTTTTTTTGGGTGGGTAGTTTGCTGTGTATCAGGTGAGGGTTCCTGATCCAAGTGGCTTAAGACTGGAAGATATGAGAAAAGCCTAAATGCTACATAGGAAAAAAGAAATAGTTTTACTTCAAAAAAACCTTTAGAATTTTACTTTGTTGATGCTAGCATTTTAGTGTTATTTAGTGTTTTAGAGTATTTTAAATAAAAATGGAAGTGAGAAATTGAATTGTTGATTAAAAGAAACTTACAGAATGTGTTTGTTAGCCAATATGAAAAAAGCATAAATGAAGCCCTATAACTAATTAATTTATGGTATGAGGACTAACCCTTTCATTCGTGGTAGTTTCTATTTATCTCTTTGTATTGCTCACCATTTTAAGGAGTATGCTGAAGGTAGTAATTACCACTAAAGTATTACCATTAAAAGTAGATAACATTTAAAAGTCATGATTTCTTCTAGATTTAGAGAGATTGTAGTTAGCTCTCTCTGTCCTCTTAGTTGATATGTTTTCTACAGCTTTTTAAGTTTTTGAGGCTGGGCACAGTGGCTCACTCCTGTAATCCTAGCACTTTGGGAGGCTGAGGTGGGTGGATTACAAGGTCAGGAGATTGAGACCATCCTGGCTAACACGGTGAAACCCCACCTCTACTAAAAATATAAAAACAAAATTAGCCGGGCGTGGTGGCGGGCACCTGTAGTCTCAGCTACTCGGAAGGCTGAGGCAGGAGAATGGCGTGAACCCAGGAGGAGGGGCTTGCAGTGAGCTGAGATTGCGCCACTGCACTCCAGCCTGGGCAACACAGCGAGACTCCGTCTCAAAAAAAAAATAGTTTTTGAAAAAATTATTTTGATAAGTATTTAGGTGAACCAGCATAAATTTCTGGCTATGGAGGTGAGGTTTGGTAAAATACAGCATTTTTGGTTGGGTGATATGACTTCTTAGATATTCAGAGTTCTTCGATATATAAGCATGAAGAACCATTTTTGTAGCATAGATTATGATATTAAAAATTATGTTTGTTTCATTTGCTGATTTATAGTGTTTGGATCATCAGTCGCCATACCTGAATATTTCTTTTGCCTAGTATTTGATTTTCTTCTAAGAATCATGCTCACTAGTACTTGTGGAACTATGTTATTCATGTTGGTACTTTCTTGATTGTTATTTGTGGCAACTAATTTCTTTTGGTTATAAGTACAATTCTGTTATTAAATATGGTTTTTGGCTGGGCGCGGTGGGTGGCTCATGCCTGTAATCCCAGCACTTTGGGAGGCCGAGGCAGGTGGATCATGAGGTCAGGAGATCGAGACCATCCTGGCTAACATGGTGAAACCCCGTCTCTATTAAAAATACAAAAAATTAGCCGGGCGTGGTGGCAGGCGCCTGTGGTCCCAGCTACTCGGGAGGCTGAGGCAGGAGAATCGCTTGGACCCGGGAGGCGGAGGTTGCAGTGAGCCAGATCGTGCCACTGCACTCCAGCCTGGGCAACAGAGTGAGACTCTGTCCCAAAAAAAAAAAAAAGTTTTTATTTTACTTATTGTAAGGAATGAAATACATTTTAATCGTTGTTTACTGCCATGGACTTTATTGTTTTTTAGCTTTCACTTTGTTGTTGAATTGATTTTTTCTTTAAGAATATTAATAAAAGTAGCTTAGCTACTACTGTTATAATGTTTTTTGTCAAGTGCTGTGCTGTGAGTTTTATGTTTGCTTTATGTTTTTAATGCCTTCAGCATCTCTTCAAGGAAGAGATGGCCATCCTACTATTTGGAAACAGGCGCAAAGAGATTCAGAGGCTTGCTCACAGCTAACAGAAGTATAAAAGGGATGAAGCCAGCTTTCCATTTCAAATCTGGTTTTAAAGCCTACTCTATTTCTAAGATACCAGACAATTTCTATTATTTCTGATTGAATGTTATTTTACCACATAATTCTGTTGGGCTTTAGAACTAGTTAACAGGTGAAATTGTGTTTGTTGTGTATAGAATCCTGGGACTGAAAAGGACCTGGAGTGACCCTTCCTAGGTAGCAAGGATTATACCTAATCTATTTTACCTAAGAGGATAATTGTTTATTTTGTCTGCTTGAATAAACAGAATAGGACATTATATAATTTTGATTTATGTGCACAAAGATGCTGGCCCTGTCCAGAATTGTTAAGGAGCCTAAGTTTGTATTTGTCGCCCATCTCTTTTGAAGATTTTCCACATCTTCGGGAATCTTAGGCTTTTTGTAATATTCATAGGTCCTGCTTGTGAATGAGAAAAGCACTCTAATGAATCAATTTACACTAATACCACATGGTAATCATGAATGGTAGGTATTATTGAAATCCCATTAAGATATCTTTCCATTCTTAAGAATATTGGTTAGCGTTCTATTTAAATAAATGGGTGGTGTAATTTTAGGCCTTGTTGTGTCATGATGGGAGCAATTTTTAAGCAGAGAGGGTCCTACAAATCACTGTACATGTAATGAGTAATGTCAACCTTTTTATACATTCCAGTACTATCTTAAATGTATAAAGTTTACATAGTTATTTTAAGTGAGGTATTCAATTGCAGTAGACACATATTTTGTATACTTTATCTGTATAGCATCATAGAATTGGAAGGAACTTCACAAAGTCATTTGTTCCAGGCCATCTGCCTGAGGCTTGGTTAGTGCTTAGACCATTTTTGTCACTTTACAAACAGTTTACATGAATTAAACACTCCTTGAAACTTTATTTTGAATAAAAATGTTGTATGATCTGATTTGTATTTTACTTTTGTTTTGGGATCTCCTTAGGCCATGGCAAAGATAAACAATCTGTTCAGGCAGATCTTTTGTTTTGGTATTTACTGAGATATTTGGATCAATTACTTGGTGTTTTAATTGTTAAGGAGGAGATAAATGTCTTTAGAATTGGTAACCCTACACAAATTATCTGAAGATAATTTGTTACATATGCGCAGAGACCAGTTAAAGGTTTTCAAGTTAAGCGTTTGGTCTGCAACATTTAATATTGATCACTAAATGTAGAAAGCAATGTAGAAATGTGATTGTGCAGAGTACATAATTCACAGAATTTCTAGTATACAGTAATGGTGCTATGTGCTAACAGGTACTTAACCTTACTTGGTGATGAAGAGAGTGTATGTTGGTGGAGTTCAAAGGAGAGCTCTAAAGTTGGTTTATTTTCCAGCCCTTAAAGAACTGTGATGAAATCCAGAAGACTTTAATATAATGGTGTGAAGATTTGTGGATGGCTTAGGTCCAAAGATTGTGATTTCATTGTTGCATGAGGGATTTGGGTACGATTAAATTTTTTTTTTCATTTTTGTTCTATTTGGAATTGGGTTGTTAAAATATTGAATGTTCTGTTTCTTTACTTTTTTTTGGCAGGCCGGTTGTAGGGGGTGGGTGAGAAATACTGTAATGAGATCTCTTCTTAGCTCTAGAAAATGAGAGCCATTTTTTTCTTTTTTCTTTTGTTTTCTTTTTTTTTTTTTGAGACAGGGTCTTGCTCTGTCACCCAGGCTGGTATGCAGTGGTGCAGTCACAGCTCACTGTAGCCTTGACTTCCCAGGCTTAAGTGTCCTTCCCATTTCAGTCTCTCCAGTAGATGGAACTACAGGTGCTTGCCACCACACCCAGCTAATTTTTGTATTTTTTTGTAGAGACGGCGTTTCCTCATGTTACCCAGGCTGGTCTCCTGGGCTCAAGTGATCGCCCACTTCAGCCTCCCAAAGTGCTGGGATTACAGGCGTGAGCCACAACACTCAACCAGAGAATCAAATTTTCTTAAGGGTAAAAAAGATCATTTAGGAGTGTCTTTGGCCCTGAATACATTAGAAATACTTGCCTATCTTTGACAATAGCTCATAATGATGTATTTTTTATAATGATGCATTTATTTCATTCATTTATGAAGCAAATATTTATTGAGAGACTGCTCAATGCCAGGAACTTTGTTGGATATTGGATACCCAAATGAGTACAGCAAGCACATCCTTAAGGAGCAGTCATTAGTGGGGGAGATACATTTCTAAACCGATAATTACAATACAGTGTGATAAGTACTAAGAGACAGGTTGTCATTCAAGCAGCATTTATTTAGCATTTTCTATATTGTTAGACATTCTAGTAAAGATTATGAATATTCTAACTCTTAAACTTAATACTCAGAATTTCTGAGCTGTATGGTAGAATTTTTAAGCCCAATAAATATTTATTGAATGGATAAGCAAAAACACATAGAAAAGGTTATATTGTACTTTCTATGTTGCTCCAAATAATCAAAATCAAATATACTTTCCCATGACAGTGCCAGGGTAAGCTGTGGCTCTTCACAGTTAGGTCTTCTCAAGTGATAAGTAATGTTATATGGATATATTCCAGCTTAAGCCTGATAAAGGAAAACCTTATTTCACACAGTTCTGTTCAACTTATGGGATATTTGTTTCAGAGGAGCCATGAAGCCCTGGAAGGGGATTAACCAGTGCACTGAGCTTTCTTGAGGACCTGTGGGCAGGTTCACAGATGGGAATTGGGAAAATTGTAATCAACCAGTTCTTTCCAACTCTTCTTCTTTGAGTTAATCAAATCTTGCTGAGATGGGGTGGAGTTGGGGGATTTGGGTCAAGCTGTGGTGACGAAAGTCCTCTCATCCATAATTCCTTTCAGCTATCACCCTAGGGTCATCCTTCTGCTAGCTGTTATTAACACAAATTAAATGTTAAGAAAAATAGAAGAGGAAAAGGGACAGTAGAAGGTAATGGGGTTATAACAACAACAACAAAAAAAAAACTGGGAGTAATAAGAAGAAAAAGGATGAAGTAAAAATGTTTTAAAATAAATATGAACTTGACTCATACTTTAAAAATATATGGAAGCAATCAGAGTCTGTCATTCTTTTCTCTACAGAATCTCCTTGCATTTGGGTTCATTCTTTCTCTGTTGTTCCTGTTCTGATAAAAGAAATGTTCCTCTTTCTATCAAAAGCTAGTTCCTGCACATATGTATGCTCTGGATTGAGATTTTAAAAGTCTTATGTATTAAATATTGTGCGCCTTCAGTCATATGGTTTCATGGTCTCTTCTAAAGCACACAGTCATGTTTCTTGTAAAGAAAATTGTCCTTAGATTTGATAGGCCTAGTTATAAATAATAAAAACACAGTGCTTTGTTTTGGGTTTCCCCAGAAACAAACCTGGGATAAAGATTCAAGGGTATATAGTTTATTGGGAAATGATCATAGGAAACACTGGTAGAAGTGGGGAAGGAAGAAAAGAAAGGGATAGAAGTGAATAAAGGGCATTATTCTGGCTGTTACCACTGTGGGCACCTGGAGTTCACTCATATTGGGAACTCTGAAGACATCAAATAAACTACCATCGGAGTTATCCCAAACCAAGAGCAAGGACAATTTGAGTGTTAAATCCACCAACTTCCTAGCCATAATTGACATTAACTCTCTGGCGTTTCTCGCTTGTCCCTGGAGTGCAAGCTGAGTGTGTCCTTGCAGTCAGAAAGCAGCACTCAGCAGGGTATCACAGGTGTTCATAATGAGCAGGTTTCCTGTGTAGAGGTGAGTGCCAACAGTATATGGGCAAGACACCAATAGCATTGGCTGCCAATAGCAAACATTTATACAATTCAGTATCTATGATGTGCCAGAAGTTCTAAATGCTTTACATCAACTTATCAATTTACACACTATAACTCTATGAGATAGGTACTATTAGTGTCCTCACTTTACACATGAGGAAACAGAGTACAGAGAGGTTAGGTATTTTGCCCACAATCACACAGCTATAATTTCAGAACTGACATTTGAACCCAGGTGAAGCATAGTATAGAGTCTATGCTTTTAATCCATATAGTGATCTGCTTCTGGAACAATATAGTCTGAAGCAGCATCTTTTGATTCTACTGTTGTTCCATAATAACTGCCTTCTCTTTCTCCTTTCCCCTAATCTCTTTTGTTTTAGTGTTCTGTGTCTACTTCCTTATTTGTAGTTGTCTCCGCCCCTCCCTGCAATTCTAGAACATTGTAGGCATTCCTCTTTCCATTTTACACTCAAGGCTATCATATCAAATAATTCTTGCTAAGGTATTAACTGATATTTCTGAGTTTATGTGAAGGCCTCTGAGTTTGGTATTGCTTGGTGAGTATCTGCATGTTAATTACAAAATACAAATATTTAAGAACCATAGAAAGAAAGATGTGATTATAGAGTTACAGATGACTAGGTTAGAATTTTGGGATTGGGAGACACCTATACCTTGGCCATGGTTATAAGGAGAGGCCAAGAAATGTGTGCTTAGGCAAAAAAAGCCGTTTTCCCAACTACAGCATCCTGTCCTCCAGCCATCACTTTGTCTTTTTCTTTTTAAATTATGGAAATATTACACGCCAGTTGTAAAACAAACAGTATGTGAGTGCCCAGAATAAAAGTGAAAGTCTGGTTTTGTTGCTGCTTCTCCTTCCCCCAGAATCTCCTTCCACTGATTAGATTAGATTCAAGCTATATGCATCTTTGGCAGGAATATCACAGAAGTGAGACTGTGTTCTATTAAGAGGCTCACAGTTTTGACTTATCCTATTGCTGCTGGTATTTACATTGATCACTTAACTTGCCTTTCTCAAAGTTCCTCTTTTTCCCTTTGTCATTAATAATTATTTTTTGGGGTGTGGGGAAAGAGTTATTTTGATGTGACTATATAGAATTTTGTTAGCCATCAAAATTTGATTATATTGGTATGGACTCAGATACCTGTTTTATTAAATGGGTGGTAATCCATTACTATCATTTATTTTATTTTTTTTTTTGCATTAAAATATAAAGTAATCAAATGTTAATACAAAACTTTTCCTAGAAATGTAAAGCTTCTTCTTGTGTTTGAGTTGCTAATGAAATACACCCATGTCTCTGCATTTTACATTATCACATTCATGGTGATATGTAAGAATATAATTATTTAGACCATATTCCAAAATGCCAATATAGAAGAAGGTATTTATAGCATGAATTTGAATATTGTCTTCATTTAAATACAAACGTATGCACTGTAAGTAGGTGCAAGCCTCAGACTACTTCATAGTTTCTTCTAGTGTAGTTGCACCTATGTTGTCACATTTTTTTTTTAATTATACTTTTTTAGGGTACATGTGCATAACGTGCAGGTTAGTTACATACGTGTACATGTGCCATGCTGGTGTGCTGCACCCATTAACTCATCATTTAACATTAGGTATATCTCCTAATGCTGTCCCTCCCCTCTCCCCCGCACCCTATGATAGGCCCCGGTGTGTGATGTTCCCCTTCCTGTGTCCATGTGTTCTCACTGTTCAATTCCCACCTATGAGTGAGAACATGTGGTGTTTGGTTTTTTGTCCTTGCGATAGTTTGCTGAGAATGATGGTTTCCAGCTTCATCCATGTCCCTACAAAGGACATGAACTCATCCTTTTTTATGGCTGCATAGTATTCCATGGTGTATATGTGCCACATTTTCTTAATCCAGTCTAACATTGTTGGACATTTGGGTTGGTTCCAAGTCTTTGCTATTGTGAATAGTGCCGCAATAAACATAGGTGTGCATGCGTCTTTATAGCAGCTTGTTTTATAATCCTTTGGGTATATACCCAGTAATAGGATGGCTGGGTCAAATGGTATTTCTAGTTCTAGATGCCTGAGGAATCGCCACACTGACTTCCACAGTGGTTGAACTAGTTTACAGTCTCACCAACAGTGTAAAAGTGTTCCTATTTCTCCACATGCTCTCCAGCACCTGTTGTTTCTTGACTTTTTAATGATTGCCATTCTAACTGGTGTGAGATGGTATCTCATTGTGGTTTTGATTTGCATTTCTCTGATGGCCAGTGATGATGAGCATTTTTTCATGTGTCTGTTGGCTGCATAAATGTCTTCTTTTGAGAAGTGTCTGTTCATATCCTTCGCCCACTTTTTGATGGGGTTGTTTGTTTTTTTCTTGTAAATTTGTTTGAGTTCATTGTAGATTCTGGATATTAGCCCTTTGTCAGATGAGTAGATTGCAAAAATTTTCTCCCATTCTGTAAGTTGCCTGTTCACTCTAATGGTAGTTTCTTTTGCTGTGCAGAAGCTCTTTAGTTTAATTAGATCCCATTTGTCAATTTTGGCTTTTGTTGCCATTGCTTTTGGTATTTTAGACATGAAATCCTTGCCCATGCCTATGTCCTGAATGGTATTGCCTAGGTTTTCTTCTAGGGTTTTTATGGTTTTAGGTCTAACGTTTAAGTCTTTAATCCATCTTGAATTAATTTTTGTATAAGGTGTAAGGAAGGGATCCAGTTTCAGCTTTCTACATATGGCTAGCCAGTTTTCCCAGCACCATTTATTAAATAGGGAATCCTTTCCCCATTTCTTGATTTTGTCAGGTTTGTCAAAGTTCAAATAGTTGTAGATATGCGGCACTATTTCTGAGGGCTCTGTTCCGTTCCATTGGTCTATATCTCTGTTTTGGTACCAGTACCATGCTGTTTTGGTTACTGTAGCCTTGTAGTATAGTTTGAAGTCAGGTACCGTGATGCCTCCAGCTTTGTTCTTTTGGGTTAGGATTGGCTTGGCAATGCAGGCTCTTTTTTGGTTCCATATGAACTTTAAAGTAGTTTTTTCCAATTCTGTGAGGAAAGTCATTGGTAGCTTGATAGGGATGGCATTGAATCTGTAAATTACCTTGGGCAGTATGGCCATTTTCACGATACTGATTCTTCCTACCCATGAGCATGGAATGTTCTTCCATTTGTTTGTATCCTCTTTTATTTCCTTGAGCAGTGGTTTGTAGTTCTCCTTGAAGAGGTCCTTCACATCCCTTGTAAGTTGGATTCCTAAGTATTTTATTCTCTTTGAAGCAATTGTGAATGGGAGTTCACTCATGATTTGGCTCTCTATCATTCATTTTTATGTTTAGTCTGTCCCAGGTTTTTCCAGCGGGAGCCTCTTTAAGCTGGCTTCTGTGTCCTTTTGACATGTTCATATCATTCTTTGGGTACTTCTTTCCTTTCTGGAAAACAAGGCTTATCTTTACTTTCTGTCCCTTAGTTGTGGAATCAGCCACTTTTGCAAGGGGCCCTCTTTCCTCTTAGTAGAAAATAGCTTTTAGAAGGAAAGTTTTCTGCTCCTTTTTATTGAGGTGTTGTTGCTCTCAGGACCTGTTAGTGAACATATGCCTGCACATATACGGTACATAAATACATTTACAGCTATATTTATGTCTATATCCATTTATATTGAAAACCATAGCTCCAGTTCTTATCTACCATTTTAGGTTTCATTCTAATTTTCTTCCTTTATATATCTCAAACAGTGAGACATTGTAATAATGGCTCCCATTATCCTTAATATGTTTATTCATCTCCCAGGTGTGTCCTCCTTATCCTATTTCTGCCGCAACATACTTTTCAGCTTGTTCTCCTGCATGGAAACCCTACTTAGCTCTTTTGGGTCTGGGACCTTTCTCTTGGGCTCTGACACCCTATGCCAGGCAGCCTTCTTGAGTAGATGCTCTTTTCTCTCTGCTCAGGCTCTCATTCCTCTCAGTCTCTGAAACCTTAATCTGGTTGCTTCTCCTGTGCCGCCTCCTGCCCCTACTGGCCATGGATGTTCTTCTCCTTCCACTCAGGCTCCAGCATCCTGTGCCTAACTTCTCCCCTACAAGTGTATGCTCCTCATCTCACTCTGGTTTTGACACCCTTAGGTGCTGCCACTACTCCACAAGCTTGTCCGTCATGCCATTGGATACTTAATTTATTCATATCAGGCTCTGACATCCAGCTCTAGGCCGCTGAGACTTCTGTTTCTCTCTTCCCCATGTGCAGACGCATGCTTTACTCTGCTTCACCTTGCAACTCTTAGATTGAACTGTTCAGGAAGGGTAGAGGAAGAGGAAACAACCAGTTTGTATTTTGTTCCACCGTTTGCTCCATGAAGATTTTGCAATAGATTACCATAAGTCTCCAGTCTCTCACTATTAAGGAATTGGTGATATACTACTTCATGTGGCTGAGCATACAACATTTTTGTTTGGATTCTGTGTCTAGTGTTGCCTTACTTTCTTTATACCAGAATATCTACTTCTTACTTTAGGGGCTTTTTAAATCTTAGCCTTTATTTCTGTACTTGCTTAAAATATGTTCTTTTAAATATTGAGCCTTTATCTGTTGATTTCTCTTAAAGGCTTTGCATTAATCTAATATTTGGGAAATATTGATTGAAACTTGTTTGATACTGTAGGGTTTCTGTCTTTACAGCCTAAACAACCTCTTCCCACATTCTTTTTCACTATGGTTTGTTACTGTGGTAGGTCATGATTATTTTAGATGAGGTATTTTTGGTGGATAGGTCCTTTCCCCTTGAATTTGATTAGAAACAGATTTCCTTTTTATGTGGAGACTTGAATGCTGGGACACATCTCTCATGAAACTTCCAGAGTCTTTTCCTCCTTAGTGATGTGCTGGCTAGCAATCTGTAGAATGGTAAAAATAAGTATGAAATTGATACATATGTTATTTTATGATATGTAAACCATTATGTAATATGTGAATATTTGGTTTTAGATTTTTTAAGATAGTTTTTTTCAAAGTATTTGCTTCCTTTTTAAAGTTAAAAAAAAAACTTAAGAGGGAAGAAAGAGAAAGCTCATGTTATAAAGTTAGCCGTCAAATTTTAAGGTGCTGACAGGGATTTTTCAAAGCTTTGAAAAATACGAGAACATTTTTTACTCAGTTTCTACACTGTAGGAAAAAAAAGGATTATTGTAAACTGAAAACATTTTCTTAATCTTCTCTAGCTCCTGCGTTTAGGTTTTCATATCACTGTTAATAATAAACCTTCTGTTATTGAGCTCTGTATTATTTTCTTAAGAGATGTTTAATTTGCCTCTGTAAATTATAAGATTTCAACAGTGTAGAAATATGAAACATAATGTGTTGTAGATTGTGTCTGGCAATGTTATCTCATTCAATTTTTATTTATTTATTTATTTTAGAAGGGGTCTCCCTCTCTCAACTGGGCTGGAGTGCAGTAGCATGATCATAGCTCACCGTAACCTTGAACTCCTAGGCTCAAGCAATCCTCCTGCCCCCATGCCCTGAGTAGCTAGGACTACAGGTGCACACCACCATGCCTGGCTAGTTTTTTATTTTTATTTTTTTGGCAGAGATGGGGTCTCACTGTGTTGCCCAGGCTGGATTCCAACTTCTGGCCTCAAGAGTTCTTCCTACCTTTGCCTCCCAAAGCACTGGGATTATAGGTTCTTGGCCTCATCCAATTTTTAAACTTGTTTTGTGATGTCCAAAGATAAGAGTTGTGGTGAATAAACAGAAAACAGGTTTAGAAAGTTAAGTCAGATGTACCAAATTTCAATTAGAAAGTTATCTTTCCTTATTCTTTACTGCAGAAAAAATTTGCTGTTTTTGTAGTTATCTGTAAAAATCTCCTCTGCTGTTTAGTCTTAAAGTAGTATTAACTGTGTAGGTCTCTTTGTGATTAAGTCTAGCTTTTTTTTTGCTCTTTCTGGTTTATTATGAGATAGTTTTGTTATCGGTAGGTTGGGTTAGTCATATGTTACTATGGTATTATGAAGGAATATTTTCTTGTTTCTTGGATCATAAAATATGAACTTTGTTCCTTTTTTCTTATTGTTGGTACATCTCAATATTCATATTCATCCTACTGTGTGTGCATATATACATATACACACATATCTATATACATACATATGTATATGCACACATATGTGTATGCATACAAATATTTGTCAGAAGTTGGGTCACAGTTCTACAGTGAATTTTTCTTTATCCTAAGTATCTGATAGCAGGAGGTCTCTTTACTGTTCAGACTACCTAGAGTGAATCTGAACTAGGAAGATTGTTTCCCCATGGAATAATGGAGAATACATAGAGGTGATGGAGGGTAAGAGGGATTTATCTAGCTTAATATGATAATATTAAGTGGTGGCTTTGGGACAAGTCTGGATGAATTTGTTTAATGTAGATGGCTAGTATTTCTGATTGTTGAGATGTTTTTGATTAAAGAATAATCACGCTGGGCGCGGTGGCTCACGCATGTAATCCCAGCACTTTGGGAGGTCGAGGCAGGCGGATCACCTGATGTCAGGAGTTCAAGACCAGCCTGACCAACATGGAGAAACCCCATCTCTACTAAAAATACAAAATTAGCCAGGCGTGGTGACGCATGCCTGTAATCCCAGCTACGAGGTAGGCTGAGGCAGGAGAATCGCTTGAAACTGGGAGGTGGAGGTTGCCTGAGCCGAGATCATGCCATTGCACTCCAGCCTGGGCAACAACAGCAAAACTCCTTCTCAAAAAAAAAAAAAAAAAAAAAAAGAATAATCACATTCCTGTTATTTTGAGCCAGAGTATAGTAATTGAACCTTAGTTAGTGCTTACATTTAGAATGGTGAAATCAGGACATTACAAGTATGATCCATTCTCTTACATTTTAGTAGAAATGTGGGCATTTTTGTTGTATTTTTGCATTCTCATCATTGAAGGAAACAGAAAGGTGATTTAATCAACTTCGTTTATTAAATTCACCCTTTTTTTCCCTTAATGATTTCTGTTGCAATTTTATAAATCTCTGATTCTAAATTTAACCTTTGAAATCTTTTAGGCCTTTAGATGTTGTTCTGGAAAAACTTTAGTAATGGATCAAAGGAAGAATGAGAGTATTGTTCCTAGTATAACTCAATTAGAAGATTTTCTTACAGAACACAATTCCAATGTTGTTTGGCTCCTTGTTGGTAAGTGGAATATTTTTCTTCTATTTTATTGTGTTTTAAGTATGGATTAACAGCTGCCAGATTTTAAACAGTGGTTGACTGAAGTTGGAACACTAACACTACCATTTATTTATTTTTAGGAAGGAAGATTGTTATTTATATTTCTTGAACATTTGTTCTGGAAACTGCTCTGAAATGCTCTACTTTTTCTTAGGCTGCATTCTCATCTGACTTAGGGGAAGTGGAAAGAGAAGAAGAACACTGCACTTAGCTTATCTTTCTGGTTTCAGGTCACCTCCCCAACTTCTCGACTCAACACACACCCAAACACTTTTGTTTTGTTACAGAAATAATAAATCCTCAAATATAATTTTACTGTAAAAATAATTCTATTTTTATAGTAAAATAGAATTATATGCCTAATCTTTTAATCTCTTTCCTCATTCCTTGTGCACTTGGCAGTGAGATCTGCTATTAATAATTTTTTGGTATAATCTAGAAGTTTTCTAGGTATATAGAAATAGCTTAAACTAAATAGCAGAGGGAGAAAGGAAATATGAGTGAATGAATGAGTGAATATGAATGAATGAGAGGGAGAAATACAAAAATAATACAGGGAAGGGAGAAATTATTGTAGGTTGTTTCTGCTCTGGAAGTTTTCATGGGAGAATGGTATTTGACTTTAATTTTGGCATAAGAATTGGAAACAGAGGAAATGAGGAAGGGAAAGAGAGGAAACAAAGGGTAATGATAATATGTTAAGCATCTTCTGTGTGCTAGATGCCAGGTTGTACATATGTTGTCTCACTTAATGCTCAGAGTAGCTTTATGAAGGTAGGTTTTTATTCTTTTCCTTTTAATTCCCTGTTGGGGAATTGAGGCCCATAAAGATTAAGTAATTTATATGGGTTACACAGGTTTTTTTTTTTTTTTTTTTCTGAGGGGATGCTTATGCTTCTTTCATGACACCCAAGGATGTGGGTAGGAATATAAGTAGAGATGAAGTGTCTGTTCCCTTTCCTATCACCTAGAATTTTTCAGACTTTTTCCTGTTATAAACACCTCCTTTCTTTAAGAAAAAAACAACAATAACAAGCAGAAAAACATTGAGCAATTGTTTAATCCCTCTGTTTTACTATGAGCATAGGGGGGCGTGATATAATGAAAAGACTACGATTCCTGGCTTGTTTAATATTGAAAGCATATTTTCTCAGCAAATGCCTGTTGCCATTCTGAAGGACTCATATAACAACCTACTGTTGACACAGTGATTTATAGTAAAAATTTATACAAAATGACTTTAAACTTGAGATATAATGGCATATCATCAAAATAACTTTACAAAATATTTTTTCTAGAATTTTTTTTTTTAAAATGGCAAATCATAGCACTTGCTATGTCAAAGCTATTACCATCAATCTAAGCTGCCCTGGGAATTGTATTTTATGTTGACTCTCAGTGATTGTTTTGCTTTATCCATAATACATAATTGTTTAAAAGTTAAGGACTTAATATGATGTTACTAAAGGGTTATACAGGTTAAGTTGCTTTTCTATAACTTTCTCATAATTTAGAAGTAATACTTTTGAAAAGGATAAGTAAGAGCAAATTGATTATCAAAACAATGTTTTCCTGTTTTGCCTTTTGTATATTCATGAACTAGATTTTTTGAGAATATGAATTTTATAAGTAACCATATACTTTCATTAAAAAAATAAATTTAGAATATCATTTACTGTAGCATATTCAATGACATCATAACTTATTGTCTTACCCATCACAGCAAAATATCTAGTTACAGGTGGCCTATTTGATATGCCTTTATACTAAATTCCGACTTCTTTTACTTAAAGCACAGCTTTAAAAAGCAGAAGGTTTTTCTTTAAAGCAGAGATTTTAAAAATCATTACTTTTCTTCCTTTACAAGTGGCTATAGCTTGTTTCAGGAAATAACTTGGGAATGAACTTGTGTATAGATGAGTTTTTGGCCTAATAAAGGTGAATTTGTTTCAGAATATTCAGAAATATGGCCTTTCTTCTCCCAGGCCATATTTTTTACATAATGTTTATTAACTAAAACAGTACAAAGCAGTGATAAAGTAAACAGAAATGAAAGCAGGCATACTTGAAACATTGCTCTAATGGATCTGATCGGAATTTATGCTTTTCTGGATTATGAATGAAGAAGAGGAAGAAAGCTGGATAAAGTATAATCAACCTCTGGTTTTAAAATTCCAAGTATTAAATTGTAAGAGGACACATTACTGTGTAGAAGTAAATCCTATTATTTCTGATTTTTTTCCTCCCAACAGCTACCATTTTGTCCTGTGGATGGATTATTTACCTCACATATTATAATTCCCGGAATGTTGGTCTTATTTTAACACTAGTTCTTAACAGATTATACAAGCATGGCTATATCCATATTGGTGAGTTTGAGTTAACACTGAATTTTTTTCTTCCTTATAATCTTGAGATGTTGTCTTACCATTTTTTGTTGCTATAACTGAATGCCTGAGACTAGGTCATTTATAAAGAGAAGCAATTTATGTCTGATAGTTCTGGAGGCTGGGAAGTCCCAAGTTGAGGGGGTGCATCTGGTAAGGACCTTTTTACCAGTGGGGACTCTGCAGAGTCTTGAGGTGGCACAGGGTGTCACATGGTGAGGGGGCTGAGCTTGCTTGCTCAGGTCTCTTTTTCCTCTTGTAAAGCCACTGATGTCCCAACATCATGGCCTCATTTAATCCTGAGTACTTCCCAAATGTCTCACATCTCAAATACTGTAGTCAGATTTCCCACCCTTCTAACACTGTTAAAATGAGAATTAAGTTTCAACGTGAGTTTTAGAGGGAACAAACATTCAAACCATAGCAGATGTATATTATAAATTTATATTTCATGAACAGATAGTAGCATTAGAAATTTACCTTTGTTTCATGATAGTTAAGATAATCTAACTGGAATTTCTCTCACACAGCACTCCATTACTTCATGATAATATCCGCTTGGTTATGTCCTTTACCCCATTATTTATTACTTCTTTAAGTGTTTCTGTAGTAACTTTTTGACTTTTTTTTAACTTATAAAAGATGCTCATTAAAAGAGTTTGAAAAACTTGGATATGTATTAAATGTGGAAATAGAAATTTCTTGTGAGTCCACCATTCAAAGAAAGTTTTTCATGTTCAATGTAGTTTTGGTTATTTTTAAAGTAACCCATACTTTAAAAATATGTAAGTTAGAATCATCTTGTATGTTTCATTTTATGGCCTGCTTTATTAATTAAATTTTTGACTACTTAAAAGTAGGAAATTTGCAGGTAAATAGGAGGGTGTATTAGGAAGCTATGTGCTTTGAAAGCCCTAAACCAGTGGGAGAAAGGGATGGGGAGAGATGACTGGAGAGAACCATTCTAACCTGCCTTATAATTGAGTACCTTTTAGTCGACATAAAACTTCTTTCAAACATAAATCGTCTTCCATTAATTTGAGGCAATGGCTGGTTCCTGCAGTCACTCAAGATTCTAAAGAAAAATGGTGAATTAGTCACTACTTTGGGTTTATTTAATGGCAGTGCATAATTAAGGGAATTATCCATACAAAGCAGTTACTTAAACTAATATCCTCTTCAGGTTATTTAGTAGCTTACTTCATAGTGATCATATGTATGGCACTTTTTGTTTTATTGGGGAAAGAATGATGGAAAATCAGTAAGGCTGTAAGGGTATCAGGAAGAGAGTGAGAAGAGATGCTTATTGAATAAATTTAGTGCTAATGTTATTTTAAACTTTAAGGGCCCTACTGTCTGTTAAAACAGTTACATTAACTGCTGTTTTTTCCTTCCTATAACAGGTTCCTTCTCTTTCTCTGTTCTTTCTGGAAAAGTCATGGTTCGTGAAATCTATTACATTACAGAAGACATGTCTATTAGGTAACAAAATTAAAAAATTGAAAAGGACCCATGTTAAACATACTTTAAAAATATTGTTAAAATGTTTTATGATATTTTATTGAATGTGACTTGCTTCTTCAAATAAAACTAAATCAAATTTTTTTTTCCAGTAAATCATACTTGATGAATTGATGTTTTAAAATATTTTGTCAGTGGATTAATTTAGCAGAATATAAAAATAGCTGTTTATAGAAATGAATAATCTTTCATTTCTAGATGAGAAAGTGAACCTTTAAATTGCCTGACCATTTTATATCACAGAGTTCATAGTAGTCATTCGTTATATACAGCAAGGTTTAGAGATGTTGGTCTGTCATCCATTAGCTCCTTATTAGAGATAATAAGTTTATAGAATTGTTTAGCATTTGTTAGAAACTCTTAATTTTATTCAAAGAAGGAAACACAAATATGAATATAATAAGGATATGATTGAAATGTTCCTTCTTCTGTAAGTCTTGAAAGAAAAGCCTACTCAATTTTTGTGATTTTCTTCAAATTTGTGACTTAGGTAGAATTCAAAAGTTTTGAATTAATTGAGAGGTGCTAGAGTTTGGCAGTGCTCACACCTCACTTAAAACTAGAGGAGACAACTTCTATACTAGTCTAAAATTATTTCCCAATCAAAAGTGAAAAATAAAAAGCTCAGAGACTGTAAGTTCATCCTTTTGGGGCATGAGATGATAGGTTATTTATGAGAAATGAAGGAACATCCTTAAAAGTTTCTCTTTTGTGTGCTAACATCCCTCTTTCAAGATTTGGCTTATTGTTACATAATTTTTTTCCCTCTCTCCTGTAGAACTAGGTATCTGTAATTTTTTATTTTAAAAAATATCATTTAAAAAGGAAAACATTTCTGTTAGCGCTTCATTTTCCTGTGACCATTAATTAGAAGAATATGATATTTCAAAACATGTTGTATATGATAAATATATGCAATTTTTATGCATCAAGAATCTTTAGCTATGCAAAGTCTCTTCCTTTTTTAACTAGAAGATCATGAAACATACTTCATAAGTCTTTGTTCACGAAAAGATGTGTGTTTATGTATGCCAATGTTCTTTTGAGGATTTCCTGTATTTCCTTGTTCATTATCAATTGGCTTCCTTTTGGAATAACTAAGAAATGAGTTAAGTAAATTGTTACTTAAATTCTAATTTTGTAATTTCCCTTTCTTAGGATTCAAGATGGATTCATCATTTTTCGGTGGTGGAAAATGTATAACCCAAAACAGAAGCAACATGGTGAGTTTTCATTTTTTATGTGTTTAAAATGTTCAATCATATAATCAGGATTTTATGAAAACTAATTAAAATTAGATATGACCAGTTAGAAAAGTTTAATTTTTAGGCCAGTCACGGTGGCTTATGTCTGTAATCCCAGCACTTTGGGAGGCTGAGGCAGGTGGATCACCTGAGGTCAGGAATTTGAGACCAGCCTGGCCAGCATGATGAAACCCTGTCTCTACTAAAAATACAAAAAATTAGCTGGGCGTGGTGGTGGGCACCTGTAATCCCAGCTATTCAGGAGGCTGAGGCAGGAGAATTGCTTGAACCCAGGAGGCGGAGGTTGCAGTGAGCCAAGATCGTGCCACTGCACTCCAGCCTGGGCAACAGAGCGATACTCTGTCTCAAAAAAAAAAGAAAAAGAAAAGTTTAATTTTTAAAAATGAGTGAAGAGAATTATTATTAACTTTTGTAGCATTAGCTGTGATTTAAATGAGAGGTATATACTCTTCAGTAAGGCATCACATTTTACCAAAATTAATAATTTGAATTGTTTGTAAAAATATATATAAAATAGAAAATATTCCAAACAAAGGTAAATTTTAAACCAACAAATTAAAAGTACACTACCACTCATGTTTTAAAAATGAACTAAGGAAAATGAATCAGCAACATTCACTTTCACTTCATAGTATCTTTCATATAGTAATATTTTTATGAGTAATTTACTTGTTAAACAATTTTTCAGGTAAATTCTTTTGCTTCTACTCCAGTGTAGGTTTTTTCTATTATGACTTCTTAGGATAATTGATAAAAAAAAATGATAAAGGCCCAATCCTTCAAAAAACAAATATTTAGAAGATGTAATTTTCCTAATATTTTGCCGTAGTTCTTTGGCCTGTGTTCCCTCCTGTTTCCTCAGATTTATCACATGACTAACAGCTAAAATAATCTCTAAACTGTTATATCAAGCACTTCATCACCTTTACTTGCTGTAGTTTAAATCTTAAACAGACTCTAGGAAACACACTGGTGTTTTAATATGTATGAAGTATTCTGAGATTTGATAGTAATAAACCCAGTTTTAAACACATTAAACTCTGTCATTCACTAGCGTTAAACCTTTCCTCAGTCATCATCCTTGATTTCTCCTCAGACCACTAGGGTCAAATATCTAGCAGCCTACTCAGCGTCTCCAATTTTATGTGTAACAGGTTTCTTACACTTGAAATATTCAACCAAACACCTGATCTTCCCACCCAAACCTACCCCACGGTATTTTCCATCTTATCAACAGCAAGTCTATCTTTTCTATTGCTCAGGCCAAAAATCTTGACTGCTGTCTTTTGTGTCCCAGAGGTCATCATCAAATCTTGTCAGCTTTCCTTTCATCCTACATCCAGAATCCAACTACTTCTCCCCACACTGGCCCAAGTCGCCATCATCTTCCACCTGTTTTATCACATAGTCTCTTAACTAGTCTCCCTGCTTCTGTGCACTTGTTCCTCAACCTGCTCTTAATACACTGGCCAGATCTTTTAAAAATGTAAGATCATTTTATTCCTCTCTCTTCCCAGATTTTCCCGTGGCTTCCCATCTCACTCAGAACAACACCAAGGTCTTGTAAGTGACCTATAGAATCCTACGAACTTTCTATAAATAGCTTATAAAATCCTATATTATATCCCTATAAATATTCTATAAAATTCCTTCTACCTCCTGATCATCTTACCTTCCACCCCACTCCAGATAAACTGGCCTGTTAGTGTTGGTGATGAAACTGCAGCAGAGCCACCATGAAATGTTGGCCTCTGGATATTCACAGTATTCATTCCCTTATTTGCTTGGTGGTTCTGGTTAACTATCCTCTATCAATGAAGCTTTTCCTGAATACTTTTGTAAAGCAGCACCCTCCCCCACAAACTAGCACTCTTTGTTCCACTAACCTTGCTTTTATTTTCTTCAATGCTGTATTTTTCTCATGCATTCCTTGATGCTGTATATATATTTATACTTGCTTATTAGTGGAATCTACCTAACTTGAATGAAGCAAACTCTGTAAATGGTGGGACTTGTTTTGTTCTGTACTGTATACTTGGTGTCTAGAAAAATGCTTAGTACATAGAAGAACTCATTTGTATAAAAGAGTAACAGAGTATCTTTCTCCTAGTCATACTTCTAAGTAAAACAAAACATTGAGAAACATCTTATAGAATGCTTGAAAATCTAACATGTGGAGGCATAATAAACCTAAAATATGATATGTTTCTATTCCCAGATAGACCTATACCAGTAGAAATTAATTCTTATGAGATTCTTCAAGGTTATAAACAACTCAATCAAAATTTACCAGGAAACTCTTTTAAATTGTTTGTTTTCAAATTTACATAAGCAATAGTTTACTAATGATACCTGCATACAAATGTCCTGATTATTAGGCATACACTTTAAAGGCCAGTTGGTGAGCTGCAGAAGCAGCAATGAGGGAAATTAAGAGCCTGGACCTGCCCCTAATTGGATCAGCAGTGATGCATAAACAAACGGTGACTGTATAAAAATGAAAACAGGATTACTCTCAAATCCGTCTCTAACTTGCTGGGCATGTACGACAGATTCTCTCCTTTCAATATAACAGCTATGATAAGATATGGCTTCATTAATTGGAGACGCCAAGGCATAAAGAGAAAGGTATTAATTTCTGAATGTACGTTGACAACACTGATAAACACTAAATACTGAATACTAAAATATTGTAAGATCCTCCTCAACATTCCTTATCCTGTTTTTCAGCTTTTATTCCATTATTATCTCATTTATTATTTTATTATTTATTTTCACCTCTGCAGCCAGAATGCACCCTTCTGCATTAGTGCATAATTTTTCCTATGTTCACTGCCATATCTCTGGTGCCTAAAACAGTGACTAGTACATAGAAGATGTTGAATAAATAATTGTTAAATTATTAAATAAAAATAATAAATAGGTTTAAAAATTTTAAGGTTGAACAAAATGCGTAAATCACTCTTTTCCTTCCAAAAATCACCTTAGAAAAGTATTGAACAAATAGCAAGTCTGTAAGCATTTAAAAAGCACCTTTTGAGGCAAGGCATGTTGGCTCATGCCTGTAATCGCAGTGCTTTGGGAGGCTGAGGTGGGAGGATTGCTTGAGCCAGGAGTTTGAGACCAGCTTATACAACATTAGCAAGACCATGTCTCTATAAAAATTTTAAAAAATGAGCTGGGTGTGCTGGTATATGCCAGTAGGCTTAGCTACTTGGCCTGAGGTGGGAACATGCCTCAGGCTGAGTTACAGTAAGCTATGATTACACCACTGCACTCCAGCCTGGGTGGCAGAGGAAGACCTTTTCTCTAAAAAATAAATAAATAAATAAATAAATAGATAAATGCACTGCTTGGTCTCATATTTTAAAAGAGAAACATTTAGCTCAGTTCACATCCCACCTTTATTTGTTCTCTTGTTTCTATTTAGTTCACCTGCATTAATAATATTCCAGCCAAAGACCTGTATGATTAAACAGTAAACCAGATCTCCAAGCGTGGGCTGATCTCCATGCTTACATGGTCTGTATTTTCTTCAAGGCTTCTGTCCAGGATCTTTTTTGTTAATATTCCTAGCCTTCTACCATCCTCAGGAGTATTTTATGTGGCAACACTCCTTTCATCCTCCGTACCTGTACCCCAGTATTACACACTTAGATACAAAGAGACAGGTTGCCTAAAAGCACACCCATAGAACAGAAACACAGGGAAAAGGACACATACAGAGAGGCATATATATGCATACAGAAATGGGCGTGCACATATAGGTACACTTATGTACAGAGAAACATTTTCAAAGATGAGCACATACATGCACACACACTCACACAGCCACACATTGCATGCCCACACAAGTGCTAGTACACTCACTGTATCCCCCTCACAGAGATAAATACACAGAGGCTACATGCAAAGTATCCTCCCTGCCCCCCACATACAGACAGGGGTACCATTCCAGATCAATGGAGGCATATCCCCAGCAGTGAGCATGTCCCCTCATAAACAAGTATCCCTCCAAAAGACAGGCACTTCTTCCAAAGGCATCCATCTCTCATATACACGTGCATGTACACACACACACACACACATACACACACACACACACACACACACACACGGCTTCTTTAAAAAAACCTAATATGTTGAGAATGGCTGCATTGGATTCTTCAGGAACTGGACAAAGGAGGTAAATAAATAGTAGAAAGAATATAGGATGTGATCCCTGTAACGTCATTTACTAATATTGTGACTTAAGGCAAGAATTTTAACCACTCTGAGCCTCATTTTTTTCATCTATAAAATGAGAACACCTCTACTTACCTGTAGGATTGCTGTACAAAATAAATACTAGTTTTTTTCTCTTTGAAGGTCAAATTCTTACTAGTCATGTAAATTATATATTTGTTTTCAAGTTATTCTTTTAAGATAATCTTTCAGAATGTGATATAATGTTCAGAATAATGATAAAGGCAGCTCAGCTCTATTGCACTCTTGCTGTGTTCCAGGTACTGTTCTAGGCACTCTATGCACATAATTTTATTTAATCCTCACAACAACTCTAGTGATTGGAGCCCAAGATTACACAACCAGCAAGAAGTAGATTGGAACCCAGATACTAAACTCTTCACAAAACAAAAGTAAAAGTAAATGCATTTTGTAGAACTGCTTAAGTCTTCTGAACAAACAGCTAATTGAGACTCCTTGTTTTCCAAAGAGAAATTAGAAAAAAGATACGTATTTAATTATGTAATTGGGACACATGCTATTTGTAGTAAAAAAGGCAAGGTGCAGAAGTGCTGCCAAGGCATTACAATTCTGAGAATCAATACAAAGACAAAACAGTCTACTGACCTTTTAAAAACTGCTCAGGGTTTTCTATTTATGTAATTTATTTAACAAACAAGGTTTAGATGTAACCAGTTTTAAATTACACTAATAGATTATAGTAGGCTAAAACCTCTAAGTAATAAAATAACAGAAAGGGACATACTTTACCATCATTCTTTCACTTCTTGGTATAAGAATTTCTTGTGGTTAAGAAGAAAGCATGACTATTTATTCAGATCCATATTCATTTAAACATTATGATATATCATTGCCTGTTAAGAGGCAACTGGTCTTACAGTTTATTTTCCAAAAGACAGTCTTTATCCTAAAAACAAAATAAAGATTTTTGACAGATATAATTGGTCTTTAGCTGACAATCATCTATAAAGCAGATCACTAATTTTATAACCTAGGGAGTATTTACAAACATTCTATGATAAACAAATTAGATGCGTTCTTTTTTTTTAAAAGAGCTATACTGGACAACTGACAGATCTAAATGTGCTCCTGGCGCAGAATTTGGGCACTTGAACACTCCTCTTTTTTCCTGATAGAGCAATTCAAAAACTTAGTAATAAAAATCTTGGTCCTACCTACAGACAGACTTTGGTCCATCTCCTTGGAAGGCTGAATGCACATCTGTCTATTCAGGCATATGCCCCAATTAGGCTTCTAATTTTTCCACCAAGAAACATCAACTTCCTTCTTGGTTAACTGCCAAGCATATGGATCTGCCCTTAATCAGAGAGAGAAATACTGATTATAAGGTCTTGTTAGTGAACATAATCTGTTTTTATATTATATATAATGATTGTATAAGCTGCTAATCTTGTTAGACTTTTATCAAAAGCTTCATTTGCAGCCTATTCATTCCTCTATCTAGTATAGTCTAAATTCTGTCCCTGAGTAATGGTAGACCGATAATGTACTCAAACCAAATTATTTATTCCTGCATTACTATTTGACATCATGTCTTTACTTTTGAAGGACATTGAGTATGTTGTTAAGAATGTCATCCTCCATACTAGAGAATTTCCTTTAAAAAAGCACAGGGAAGAAAAACTTAATTGACTCTTCACCAATGTTGTGCTCCTCTTGATGAGAATTAAATGTCATATTGTAGGTAAAAGTATGAGCAAATTATTAGTAATTGCAAAAGTAATAATTGATAACATCTACCAACCTCTAACATCGCTATAAAATAGAGGTGTGGAATCTTTTTTTCTATTGAAAATCATTGGCACACAAAAAATTTAAAAAAGAACACTTAAGCCAAAAACAATTTAAATATTCTTAAATGTTAAGAAGAATACAGAATATCCAAAAATTATAATATTTCTATTCTAGATTATGGACAATTACAGAGAGCATACAGAGAGACAGCAATATGCTAATATTAAAAGAGTGACAAAAAGAATTCAAGACATTGACAGAAATTATGGGGGAAAGCCAGTCAAGGGAAGGCCAGTATTTAAGCTATTTCTGTTAACCTGAGGTGTATGAATCTGAAGTAGTGACTACATTTTGCTATGTCCTTTCAAAGAAGCTGAGTTTATGGCACTCCCCTGCCCTCCCCTGAGTTTATTGACTGTGCCTGCCAGGTGTTCAGGGTCCTCCATACACAGTTTCCAAATCATCCCCTATTACCCCATTACCTTAAATTTACCACCACCAAATTGAATTTCTAAACACACACATTTTCTAACCTCAGTGCCATTGGTCTAATCAGTTATTCCATCTGAGCTCCCCTCCGCTCCACATCTGTCTGACATAATCCTACTCACTCATCATCATGCATGCTCCTTGAGGAATAAGGCATTCACAGGAGCCCTCCATCTACCATTCTGCTTCCTGACAAATGGGCAGAACTTTATTGTCAAACCATGACCCTGTTGGGACCATACGAAATGTTCTGTATCAAAGTTAGAAGTTCTCAGTATTTTTCCTCCATTCACATTCACTGCTCCCTTTCTCCTTTAATTGTAATTGTTTATATGCATCTGCTCTACCAAATCGATTCAAGTAGCACTCATTTCCCTCTTTCTTTTTTTAAATCCCTCTCCCAGCTTAACACAATGATTAATAAAGTGAATGCCAAATAAATACCTGTTAAAGATTTTTATCAAAAACCACCTCTTTCTTGAAAGACACTTGGGTCACTTATTCTTGACTTCATACGTGTATTCTGGTGAGGAGCAATTCATTTTAATGAGATGTAATATTTCATGATCAAATGAAGTAACTACTTTTCTCAAAAAGAAAAAAAGCTGGGTTGGTTGCAGTAGCTCACACTGGTAATCCCAGCACTTTGGAAGGCCTAAGTGGGAGGATTGCTTGAGCCCAGAAGTTTGAGACCAACCTGGATAACATAGTGAAACCCTGTTTCTACAAAAAATACAAAAATTAGCCAGACATGGTGACACGTGCCTGGGGTCCCAGCTACTTGGGAGGCTGAGGTGGGAGGATCACTTGAGCCATGGAGATTGAGGCTGCAGTGAGCCATGGTTGCACCACTGCATGCCACACTGGGGGACAGAGCGAGACCCTGTCTCAAAAAAAAAAAAAAAAGCTTAAACAATTTAAGATTTACATTCTGCACTCTAGAAATTCTAGAATCAGAGAATTTCTAAAATCAGAAAATTCTAAAGTGGTCAGTGTCATTAGGCTTATAGCTTTAAACTGTCACTTGCCTCTGGATACTGCAGATGTCCATCCTTTCCACAAGCTGCAATCAATATTTATGATAAGAATTTCCAAGGACTTATTTGGGCCCCAGTTAACAAGGCTGTTTTATAATACAAGGAGCACTGGACTAGAATTTAGCAGACCTAGGTTTTTGCTTTGACTCTACAAGTTACAATCACAGGAATTTCTTTCTTAATCAGCAAAATGAGAGGTTTTTAAAGTATTAGTTATTTCCAAGTTGATGAGGGGTTTTGAGAAGATCAATTTTTTCCAAGTTTTGTTCTTTGGAACAAAATTCTAGGGTTAATAGCATGGGATATTAGTTCAAATGGACCTTCTTCTCTACTTTCCAACCTCACTGTCCCCCTACAGCTTTATTTATTCACACAAATATCCTAAATACTGAAAATAATTGAGATTAAAAGATCTAGTGTAAATATCCACAAAGAGGTACATTTTTTTTTTCAAAATCATAAACCAGCTATGTAAACAAAAAATTTTGTTTCAGCTCCACTGTAATCTTGTTAACAATATGGCTTATGTTAACTAAATATTTTTTTAAAAAAGAAAAGTTTAGTCAAAAGAGCAAATCATCTAACAAATAGACTGCAAGATTAATAGAAGCATGACATGTAGGGGAAAATATGCACCTAAAGTAAATCTCTCTAAGGAACAAACTAGATAGACTTTATAAATGAAATCAAAGGCAGAAATATTGGGCCTGCTCAAAGTTAAGTGAATGTGTCAAAAGCCAAGACTGAAAAGAACGTGGCTCTTAGGAATAAGTTTAGCCATCTCTGCAGTGTAAGTAAGATATCTTCACTTAAATGCCACCTAAAATTATTTTTTAGATAGTTGATAGCAGTTGCTAAGAAAAAAAGTTTGTAGGGCTGGGTGTGGTGGCTCACTCCTGTAATCCCAGCACTTTGGAAGGCTGAGGCGGGCAGATCACCTGAGGTCAGGAGCTCGAGACCAGCCTGGACAACATGGTGAAACCGCTTCTCTACTAAAAATACAAAAATTAGCCAGGCATGATGGCGGGTGTCTGTAATCCCATCTCACTGGGAGGCTGAGGTGGGAGAATTGCTGGAACTTGGGAGGTGCCAGGTTGCAGTGAGCTGAGATTGTGCCATTGCACTCCAGCCTGGGCAACAGAGGGAGACTCCGTCTCAAAAAAAAACCAAAAAACAAAAAACATTCATAGCAGTTGCTAAGAAAAAAAGGTAAAAATGCTGGTTTAACAACTGGTACTATACAGTCACAGTCTAGAGACTCATTAGCATACTGCCTTTCTAAGCCACACATGAGAAACTGCAAAATGCCCATTTCATACTCTCTCAGAATATTGTATGACAAAACTTAGCCTTTGTTCAAACTTATCTAATGAACAGCTGCTCTAGCTGTTGGAATACTTTTTCCAGACATGAAATCTGCCCCTAATATTCTGATTTCATTATTCCTACAGATGCCAAATACTAGCCCATTTACGCCAGTCTTCATCAGGGAAGAGTATATCATATAGTATAGAAGAGGGGAAAAGCTATGTGGGGCAAGAGAATGATAGCAAAACGATAGAAGACTAAATACTAGTGAAGTAATAGTGAAATCTAAAGTAATTTTGGCTGGCTCAGACTTGTAAGTTTAAATCTATATTCCTGTAGGAATGAAGTTATAAATTACAGTAGATTACTAGGTGAAAAGAAAGGATTTTTCAACCAAGTGATGATAAAATCAGAGTTTTGTAAACTCCATAGTTTTCTAAAACATCTGTTATAAAGTGGAAAACATTTAAATATCCGTAAATGTTTGAATTTGTTCAATAGAGATAAAAATGGATAGAGGTTATAAAAAAGAGGTCTCAGAAAACATGGTAGTTCTTTCATTTGGTAACAAAAGAAAGCATTGATTGTGGTACCTTTCTTCTGTGGCTCTCTTTGGTTGACATGTGATGCATTGTTTTAGATTATTTCCTTAGTAGAAACAAGTGCCTCATCCATCACTTTAAATGGATTCATTAATTACTATTGCTATTTCTACTTAATGTAATTATGTCTTTTATTTGAGAAGATTGAAGTCCACAGTTCATAAAACCTATGTTTTAGTGTTGTGTATGTTTATGGAAATAAGTATTTATGAAAAATTGTAGTTTCTGTGATGCAAAAGTTCAAATACCAATATGATAGTTAAATAAAGCATCATACTTTAAACATTTTACTGCATATATTTTGGTATAAAAATATGGATATATTAGGGTAAAGGTGTACTTTTACTCTTTAAGTGGTACTTTACTGTTCTTAGCATAAAAATCTTTAAATTTTTTCAGTATATAACTGGAATCTAGAAATTAAAGTTGTTTTTAGAATGCTAAATTAAAATATAACAGAAACATCAAGTTTTTTCTTTTTTTGGCCAGTGTTTTGTATTTATTTTATTAATATGCTTCTCTGTATCATGGAATTCTATTTTAAAATAAATTGAATTACTTTGGGTGTATAAAAATGTTTGAGTAAAAACTTTGAAGTTCTTAAAAAGTTGACTAAAAATTTTTTTGTAATTGGTGTCTTTAGATCCAAAGGCAGAAACCAGGTTATACATCACAGTCAATGACTTTGAATTTCATGTCTATAATCGCTCGGATCTTTATGGACGCCTTCAAGAGTTGTTTGGTTTGGAGCCAACAATAATTCCACCTAAGAAAGATGATGATAAAACACGGGAAATTGGAAGAACAAGAACCCAATCGAAAATTGAAAGGTTCAGTATCATACTTGAATTTTATTAAACTCTAGCATTTAAACATTTGCCTTTATTAGAATATCATTGAGGCTATGCACCTAAACAGAGCCTAATATTTCTTTGCAAATTAACTGAAACTTTTAGTAACATAAATAATTATATAATTATTTTAGAAATTGAGATAATATAGAATATGTAATCTAAAAAAGTCCCGTTCTATTCCCTTGCACACAAATCCTACTTTTCTCCGTATTAATAACTAATGTTATCAATTTAGTTTTTATCCTTTTGAATGTATGTACATAAATGTATACATACATATTTAAGGTGCTTATAAAATACATGATTTTGTTCTGTGTGTTTCTAAACATATGTGTTTAGAATATGTGCCTCATATAGTGTGTATTGTTCTGTAATTTGCTTTTTATGTAGCAGTTTGTCTGTAAGATTGTTCCATATCTGTATATGTAGGTCTGCTTTTAAAAATACATATCTGTGTATGTAGGTCTACCTACAAAATTATTCTGGAACAGGATCAGCAAACTTAGACCTATACTATAGCACAAGTCTAGCCCACTGCCTGTTTTGTATATAGAGTTTTATTGGGACATAGCCACACCTATTTATTTATATATTATCTATCTGTTTAGTGAATTGCTGTGAAATTTTGATTTCTTAACATTTGTGTACTTTGTATATGGCCAGTTTTCTTACTCTTGGCTTATCATTTTCATTTCATTAAGGGAAAATTAATTTGGCACAAGGCATTTGGGTGAGGGAAGGAAGAGGAGCAACTGGATTGTTTTCAGAAGTGCTTAAAACAGTAGACAAACATCAAAGTGACTTGTACCTTAATCATTTATGTTTAATAATAACTTTGGCTGTCTTATAAAATGTCGTATAGTAACATAATGGGCAAAATGGTAGATGTAATGACAGCATATCATCCCTTATAGTTTTGTCATTAAAGCTTGTTATTCTAAAAACATAGTTTTGTTATAATAGCTTATCCATCTAAAAGTTGATATGATAAGAGTGCTCCAGTAGACAGCTGTAGGAATATTAGTATTCCTTCAGATGATCATTGTTCTGTTTACTGAAGTAGTCACTAGATGTATTTGGAAAGGTAAACTGAAACTGTGAGGTATGGTATTGTGAGGAAGTGAACTATGTCCTCAGGTATTTAAGGTTTTCTTATTCATGTCAGTTTTATTTTTTCTTGTTAGAGTTAAAGTAAAAACAGAATCCCAAGACCCCACATCTTCATGGAGATCACTTATTCCAGTCATAAAGGTCAATGTGAGCACAGTAAGTAAATTCTGCTACAATTACTGTTTCATGGGGTAGTAATGTAGAACTTTTAATTTTTGCAAATATGATTTTAATGTAAGAAAATTAAATAGTTTTGTGGAGTTTTTTTTAGTTCCCATTTCTGTATAGTGTGAGTGAAATAATTATTTTAAAATACTGTTTTCTGATAAATTTGTGTTTAAATTTCTTTAAGTACTTAAATTTTCTTTTAACTACTGGTTTAAATTGACCAGTGGAATAGTTTAAATAGCACATAGTCCTAAAGTGGAATCATTAAGCTGTTGTTTGAAAATGTTTGTTATTAGTTTAGCTAAAGAAAGAAATATGGCCAGAATAGCATGATATAATATCTCTTATCTGTTTATTTTTTTTTTTTTAGGGACGTTTGGCCTTTGGAAATCACTACCAGCCGCAAACTCTGTGCATCAACTTTGATGATGCTTTCTTAACTTATACTACAAAACCACCTTCAAGTCATCTTGACCAATTCATGCATATTGTGAAAGGAAAGCTTGAAAATGTTCGAGTCATGCTTGTTCCTAGTCCAAGATATGTTGGTCTTCAAAATGATGAGTAAGAAAATCTTATAAAAATAATAAAAAACTTCTTATAGGTAATACAGATACAGCTAGAAACTTTAACATCCTTTTACTTTTTTTGCTACAAGTTGTACAAAAATTAGGTATATTTCTCTATTAAAGCAGTTAACAATGTAGTCCTTCTTTATAGGATAAATGGATATGCTATCCAGTGATAAACTCTAATTTTAAATATTTTTCTGCATGATTATAACTATAATTTTTTTATCCTTTTCTCCTTCTAATTGTATTTTGGAAACTTACTTTGTGCAATTAGTTCCTGTTTGTATGTTAGGAGATACACATTACAGGTAGGTTTTTGTTTCTAGAAGATGTGACTAAAGAGTAAATTGAACAGATTCATTGCAGTGGAATACCACTTTGAGTTATTGAAAGTCGAAAATTGAATCGAAATTACTCTTGGAAAATTTGGTGAAGTTAAGATGGTATAGTTTTGAGACCCACTTGACATTTCTTTAAGTTCCAAACTGTCAGTTTTCCATCTAGCTTTCCATTTTTTTTTTTTTCCTTCAGTGAAGTAGCTGCTTGTATTTATAAGACTCATTATAGGAATGATGTACACTAGACTCAGTGTGATGGGATGCTGAGTGGGAGATGGGCTCTTGTGATTTTTATGTTTTTTCTCAATTTTTGTGTGTGTAAAGGATACTCTGGTTGAATTTAAGTGTTCATATGGAGAGTTTTCAGTACAGTGTCTCAGCTTTTATCTTTGTGTGTAGGTACCTTATGAGGTTTTATGTGAAACATGATTATTCCTTTTTAGTTGTAACTCTTGGCTGGCCTGGTATTCGATTTTCCAGGATTTGGCTAGAATGATAGAAAGAGGGTTTTTCCTTTTTGAGTATCGCGGTGACTGTGGGTCTTCCTGGCCTCACTCTTCAAGATCATGGACTTGGTTAAGAATCTTCTGGAATGTGGACTGTGCACACAAATGTGTATGAGTGAAGGTATAATACTGAATAAATCAGGATTTTTTTGAAAAATTATAGAGAGTAAGATGAAAAAGTGTCTTGCTATTAATAATTTGTATAAAAAGATTTAAAATTGTATTTTTCACTTAAGTGTGGAGATTACATGATGATATTAAACATTAAGCTTTGTGATTTAATACATATTTAGAAAAAAATTGCAAGTTTTTGCATTTAATATCATCTAATGATTGAGAAGTTAATTTTGATATGCAAGAAGATATTGTGATGTATGTATGACAAAGAGAAAAGTTGTTTAATCAAAGCAAGCAAAGATTAATGGTTTCTGGGAAATTATTGATGGTAGAAAAACGTTCATTCCAGAGTTAGAGTTCACGATGTTTGCTCTAGATTTATTTCAAGTTGATTAAATATTCATGGAAATAGGTAATAAGAAGATAAAAATGATAACTTTTTTATTATTTAATGTTTTTGAATGATTATAGTTTAATATACAGATAGATAAAATGATACTTATTAGTTATTAATATTAAGTGGTCAAATTTTAATTTTGTTGTAAATGCAGAATATGATCATTTTATTCCAGTGATCATCATTCCATTGTATTTAAACTTTGTTTTAAATCGATTTCTCTCATTCAAAACTGAAAATGAAAAATATAAAACTAAATTTTTTCTTTTTAAAACCAAATTTTTTTTTCTTCTTGAAGTAATTTACTGATAAATTTTTAGTATCATTTTATTATTAAGTCCAACATAGAATAAAACATGGAACAATTTCTTAGGATGATTGTTCATTGGAAAGATGTTTTTCTTTCTTTTCAGGATGCTACTTGTTATGTGCTTGTTAGTTTTTTTTTCCTTTTCTTTTCACCTATTGCCAGCATTAACTAGGATACTGAACATTTTATATTCTGGAGATTTGTTTAGTTTGCTTTCCCCTCCACCTTCTTATAGACCACCGAGATTAATGGGAGAAGGTTTTGTGGTGATGCAGTCAAATGATGTTGACATCTACTACTACATGGATGAGCCAGGTATTGTTGTTGTTGTTGTTGCTGTTTTTTTTAAAGTGACAGAGTGAGACTCTGTCACACAGGCTGGAATGCAGTGGCGTAATCATAGTCCACTATACCCTTGACCTTCCAGGCTCAAACAATCCTCCTACTTCAGCCTCCTGAGTTGCTAAGATGACAGGAATATGCCACTATGCCTGACTAATTTTTAAAGTTTTGTAGAGATGGTATTTCGCTATATTGCCCAGGCTGATCTCAAATTCCTGGCCTTAAGTGATCCTCCTGCCTCATTCTCCCAAAGTGCTGGGATTGTAGTCATGAGCCCATGGTGCCTGGCCTGTTTTTTTTTAAAAGTATGTTTCATAGCTACAATTCTATTTCTTCTATGAAATGCTGATATCTAGTAATATTTTAAATCTTCTTGCTTAGCCATCAGGAAATGGTAAATGTAGATAAGAGTGAAAATATCTGAAAAATATCTGTGTCATTTCTCAAAACTTGAATATTAGTTTAGTATTATAGATTAAAAGAGAACATTATTTTTTTCAAATTCAGTTTTCATAGATAAACCTCAAAAATTGAGAATGCAAATGATCATGAGTGAAAACCTTTAAAGGATGTAGTGATAGTTAAGGTAGTTCATCTTAGCTTAGAAGCTTAGTATATTAGATTTGAGACTTAAAGTTTGAGGATTGAAATTCATCTAGTTAGAATTCTTGACAGGTGGCTTCCATTTTCTAAAAGTATCTAAACATTGGGTTTTAAGCTCTTTTTTCATACTTCTGCTCTTTTTATACCTTTCAGAGTATAAAAGTATTTAAGGTCAAAGTATTTTGAAAGTAAAACTAAGATGTTATTTGCCTTTTCACCATGTTGACATTTGTGCTAATGGTGCAGAGCAATGGTGGGTAAAACTGTTGTTGCTTTAACACTAATCAAGGAAATGGTTCCTAATTATACTAGTAGTCATTGTATTTTTCAACTGCCACACATTTACGGTAAAACAAAATGTCAAAATCACATTAAAATTTCCTTGATTAAGCAATAGAAATTATTTATTTTGTCAAATGTTGACCTTTGATTAAAGTGTTTTTAATATTTGGTGTGAGAAAATGGGAAGTACACATAAAGTGCTTGTGCTGCATACCAAAATATTCTGGTGTCTTGAGGAAAAGCACTTGTATGATTAAGTTGCAAGCTGCACTAATTGCATTTTTTTTTTTCATGGAGTGCCAGTTTTATTTGAAAGAGTAATTAGAGACAAACTATAATTTGAGCTTTCTTGTGAAAATTAGAACTTTGGAAAATTGGAGTCTGCTGTTATGAGCTTGACAGCATCCCAATAGTTAACATCTTTTATGATGAGACCACCAATGATATAGCAAGTGTGATGTTTTTAAATGTTTAATAATGGAATTGGTGAATATTTGGAAAAAATTTGCATTACTCAGTGAACCCGTATTTCCCAATGCATGATGTTACAAAAGTCATGCATAGATAAATGTATTCAAAGTGCAAGATAGACCAGTAGATTTTAACATAACAGTGTATGAAAAGTTTAGTGATATGGCTTCAGATTCCACATTGCAATTAACCTTTAAGAAATTTCCATTTGTTGAATTTTGGGGTAGTATCAAAGAAGAGTATTAAAAATTATCTGAAAAAGCTATTAAAATACTCCTCCCTTTTCTATCTACATATCTTTACGAGGCCAGATCTTTTCCAAATCCTTCAGTAACAGATTGAATGCCGAAACAGCTATGAGAATCCACCTGTTTTCTATTAAGCTAGACATTAGAGATTTGCCAAAAAAACCTCTTATACTTATCACTAAATTATTTTGTTTTAGAAAATAGTTATTCTTCATTAAAAGTGAGATTAAAATTTCATTTAATTTTATATTACATGTTATATTTAATTACATTAAATATTTTATGTCAACATGAGTTTATTTTTAAAATATTTTTTAAAATTGCTAAATTTTAATTTTGAACATAGTAATTCTTGATAGACATAAGACAATATGAGAACAACCCCTTTTAGGTTCTCAATAATTTTTAAGAGTGTAAAGGTTTCCTGAGACCAAAAAATGTTGGAGCTACTGATCTAAGGAAACTTTTTAATGGCCATTTTAAATAACTGCCTTTATATTGTATGTTCTGGAATATAGGACTTGTTCCGGAAGAAACAGAAGAAAATATTGAAGGAGAAATGAGCAGTGAGGATTGCAAATTACAAGACTTGCCTCCATGTTGGGGACTGGATATAGTTTGTGGTAAAGGAACAGATTTTAATTATGGACCATGGGCCGATAGGCAGAGGTACTTGAGTATGTTATATTTCTAATAAGTTTTTTAGATGTATTTAGATGTATATAATTTTAAATAAAAGCTAGCTTAAAATTTTTATAAACTATTTTATTATGGCAGAGGAAGATATCACTAAACATTTTGATCCAAAGAAAAACTTGCTTGTGGCTTCTCCACAAGCAAGTTCATTCCAAAGGTGGAGCTGATCGATTAGACTTAGTATCTAATTCTGATTGATTAGAATTAGATTGATTAGAATGAGGAGCATATTTGTTGGTTCATTTTTTTTTCTTTTGGATTTAATCAACAACGATTTCTTCATTGATCCCCTACTATATGCCAGATATTGTTGGGACTATGGGAATTCAGAAATAAAAGACATATATCTTCCAGTTTTAGTGGGGAAGAAAGAACCAAAAGACTAATATTAGGTGCTATAATAAAGGTAAGTAAAGGGTCTTCATGAAGAACTTAGAAAAGTACTCTACTAGTTTGCTAGGGCTGCCTTAATAAAGCATCACAGATAATGTGGCTTAAGCAACAGAAATGTATTTTCTCACAATTCTAGAGTCTAAGAGTCCTCCAACAAGGTGGTGGCATGATTGGTTCCTTCTGAGGGCTATGAGAGAAGGATGTGATCTAGGCCTCTCTCCTTGACTTGTAGATGGCTGTTGTTTTCCAGTATCTTCATGTGGTCTTTCCCTTGTGTACCTCTGTGTCCAGATCATACTATCCAGTCATATTGGATTAGGACAGCATACACTAATGACTTCATTTTAACTTAATTACCCTTCTTAAGACCCCATCTCCAAATATAGTCACATTCTGAGGTACTGGGGGTTAGGACTTCAGCATATGAATTTTAGGGGTTAGGACTTCAATGTATGAATTTTTAGGTTACTTGGTATTCCTAGTATATAGTATATAATTTATATTAAAGATTAGGGGAGAGAAGAAGGCTGTTTGGTTGAGGTAACGTGTAAATTAAGTTTTGAAAGATAATTGAGAGTTAGCCAGGGAAAGAAGAGGAGGGTGAATCATTGAGGCAAGGGAAGAGTTTTATAAATGCATGAGGATAGTGGAGAATTGTTCTATAGTTATAGTCTATAGTGGTTAAGAGGTATAGATTTTATAATGTCATTTTATTTTAAAGTATTTTTAATTTTTAATATATTATGAACATTTTTCTACTTCTTGAAGAATTTTAAACAAAGAAGGGGACATTTACCATTAAATATGAGGGAGCATCTAAGTTTTTATGTACAAAATTAGACATTTCTTAAAATTAGTTAAATTAGTTTAGTTTTTCTATTCATGAACTAGCTTTTTTGAATAGAGAAATACAAGCCAAGTCGTTCACTTGAGCAGATATTACGGGGCCATTGATAGATTAGTGAAAGAGTGCTGATACTAACTTGATGTATTGACTTTTTAAATGCTTTTTTAAAAAGTGCCATCTAGCTAGCATTATTAGAATTATATATTTTGTCAAGTAGTATATTCTTTTTTTTTTGAGACGGAGTCTCGCTCTGTCGCCCAGGCTGGAGTGCAGTGGCGGGATCTCGGCTCACTGCAAGCTCCGCCTCCCGGGTTCACGCCATTCTCCTGCCTCAGCCTCCCAAGTAGCTGGGACTACAGGCGCCCGCCACTACGCCCGGCTAATTTTTTGTATTTTTAGTAGAGACGGGGTTTCACCGTTTTAGCCGGGATGGTCTCGATCTCCTGACCTCGTGATCCGCCCGCTTCGGCCTCTCAAAGTGCTGGGATTACAGGCGTGAGCCACTGCGCCCGGCCTCAAGTAGTATATTCTAAGAAGGCTGGTTGAGGTATAATATACCGAACAGTATATTCTATTAATCTTGTTATCTGTAGTATATAGGAATACCTGCCTCATTAAGTAGCTAACTAACAATTATATGGTAAATGAATAAGCTCGTTATTTGAAAATTCTTGCATTATGCTAAAACAATACTTCATTAAGTTCTGCATTAGGTCATTTGTTAAACTTGAAAGTAAGCAGAGCATAAAATTTCACGTTAGAAAGAAAATACTTTTCACATTATTGGATTTAAATTTTCCTCTTCTGGTAAAATTTTCCTATAAGTCATGCTATATTTGACATATAGCATATAGTTGAAAATGAGAGATTTTACATTTCATTAAGTAATAGAGCTACATCTATTTAAACTATATTGAGAAATCTCAAGAAAGGTTTATTTTATTAGGTTGGCAGAACAGTTATGTATTGTTTGCGAAGAAAAAATGAAAATAATGCTTTAACATAGGGCCATGAAGTGTGTTTGCATTTTTTAGCACTTAAATAAAGTGTGATTCTTCTTAAACTGTATTTAATTTCATTATGTATTTTTCATAAATTTTAGGGTATATTTACACAAAAACCCAAACTAAAATGCAGTAGAGAAATGACAGTGAAGATAGAAATTTGCTTTAACCACTCCTTTCAGTAGATTTTTCCACTGCCAGGAGAGAAGAGCAATGCATTTCTAACCCGGACTTTAAAAAAAACACTCAGGTTTATTTAAAAAAGAAAAAAAAAAGAAATCTATTTTTCACATATATTAAATTCACTAATGTGAGCAATATTTGTCTCCTCAATTACATGTTCAAAAGGTCTTATGCAGCCGTTTCCTCTTCTCCTTCCCTGTATTGAGTTTCTGCACAAATACAAACTGTAATCAGTAATGAATAGTAAGGACAGTTTTCTTAGCAGCCATCTATTAACATAAGGCATACAGAAAGAAATCTCAGCTGTTTTGCTATTGGATAATTCACTCAGCATTGTGAGGAGTTACTGACTTTTGAAATAGCATGGTTTTAGCCTATAGATTTTATAATCATAACATGATTTTAGTTTCTAGATTTTGGTGTCAGTTCTACTACCTTTACATGGTTGTCTGAATATTTAAGATATTATTCAGTTTTTACTTCATGTTTTCTTTTTATGAATTTTCATGACAGAGTTGAAATACAAACTGTTTTACAATGAAACTTAATCTTCAGATGATGATTATAATAATACAAACCTTCCTAACATTGTCTGGCATTTTTTTTTTTATTGCTTTCACTTAAAGTACTTTCATTAGTATTTTCTGACTTGATCCTTATAACTCAGTGAGATTCATAGGACAGATGTAATGAACTCATTAAACTTGTGCGAAAATGGAGACGCAGAGAGGTTCAGTGATTTGGGCAAGATAGTGAAGCTACAGCATGAAGTGCTGAGGTTCAAAGCAGCCCTTCAGGTCTACTGCCCTTCTCATTATGTCCTCCTATCTACCCACCTTGTAGTCAATGATCATCTAATGGATTCTCTATCCTTAATATTCTTAATTTTCTATATTTATGTGTCTTAAAACATTTGCAGAACTTTATTTTCCTTTCATATATTTTAATTTAACGGTAGCAAGTTAAAGTCTGTGAGACTTAGTGTACAGATTTTGTCTGGTTCATCTAATTTTTCCCAGTCTTAATTTATTCTAGGTAGCATTTTCTGTCACTGCTGACTCAACCCTTCCTGTTTTAAAGCCATAGACTGGCACCTTCTTTGAATGTATGAGTAACATTATACAATACTAATGTTAGCTCATGTAGAAGACTCTGAATTGAAAATATCTTGGGCTCTTTCATTTTTGTCAAATGATAAGGGGAGGCAAAAACATTAGTACTTTAGCCTCCAAATACCTATTTACCTTTTAGAAATCTATTGCTCTTTAGCCTTTTAATGATATAATATTGATTTAAAGTGATTATGAAACTGATAGAAATAGCCAATTCTTCCATGTGCCATGCACTGCTAAGTGTTTTCCATGTGTCTTACCATTTAAACCTCTGAGCCTTTGTATGAGACAAGGTATATTATTCCTGTGTTACAGAAGAGGAAGCAGCTCAAATTTTCTGGGGAAGATTGAGTAACTTGTCCAGGTTGGAATGATGATTTTAATTAAGCTATCCTCTGTCAGTTCTTTGTTTGCCATTTGAGCAATTTATATACTTGTAGAGAGTCTTTAGTTTGTCGTAGTAATCTTGAATAGTGCAAATTTTCTCTTATGTCTCATTTGATAATAGTATATCTATTGAGTAATCAAGGCTCATTGATCTCTGGAAGTGTTAAATACTACAGAAAACAGTCTAATTGTCAAATGTGATAGCAATGATAATAAAAAATTAGAATATTGATTATGTTCCTTTATCAGAAGTAATTTTGTTTGAATAACATGTCATTATTCTTTCTACCTCCTTAATGTAGAGATTGTTTGTGGAAGTTTTTCTTTCCACCTGACTATCAAGTTCTGAAAGTTTCTGAAATTGCACAGCCTGGGAGACCAAGACAGATCCTTGCTTTTGAATTACGAATGAATATTATTGCAGATGCTACAATTGATTTGCTGTTTACCAAAAATAGGGTAATTATTATAATAATATAGTAGAAAATAGTATTTAAAATTTTGACATTATTTTTCAGAGTTTTTTCCTGGTGACTAGTCCCATACTTGGATTAATTTATATGAGCTGTTTTCCCTTGAAATAATTTTATGTATTTTACTATCATCATAATTTTGTTAAATGTCAAATAATGGGAAGAAATTAATAGTAATAGACCTTCATGCTATATTCTGGCTCATTTTCTCCTTTATATCTGGCTAAATTGTTTTAGTGTATTTTTGGTAAAAATTTGAACTTTTGTTCTTAGGAACTTGTAATACTTACTTAACATCAATAATTTCTTCTGTAATAATAACTGAAAAGTAAAGATGGGAGAATAATTATAATTAATGTTTTATATGAATTAATTTTTTTCTTTTGGTAGGAAACAAATGCTGTACATGTAAATGTAGGAGCTGGCTCATATTTAGAAATTAATATTCCAATGACAGTTGAAGAAAATGGTAAGCTGCAACTGTTACTTTTCTTTTTAAATAATTAGGGAAATAATTATAAATAATAAAGTTTGTTAATCATCTTAGACTAACATTAATAAGGTTTTCTTTTTCAGTTTTTTAATTATATTTTGATGTGCCTATACTCATTAAAGGGAAATATTATATAATTGAGCATTTAGAGAAAAGGGAAACCTTTTCTAATCAAGTTCAGTCTTATATGCTTTTATTATAACGTATACATTTCTTTTGTAGAACTGAGCATAATTTACTTAATGCATGGTTTTCCAGTTAGACTGTTGCACTTTGAGAGCAGGTGCTGTTTTTTTTCTTTAGTGTATTCTCAGTGCTGAACCCTGTACCAGACGTTTGGGCAGTAATTGATTGGATGACTGCAAGGCTTTGTTTTAGGTTATATTATTAGTAGATTTCGTCAGGGAGTAAGCCGGGTGGGTACTTTGAGTGGCATAACTTTAATAAACATTTCATGTTAAAAATGTTAAAGTGTGTCCTCACAGCTTTAGTTTCATCTGAGCTGAGATGATCTAAGTTGATCATGCACTTGAAATATGGGCACTGACACAGTTAATAACATGAATAAATACTTTTTGTTAAATTTATCAAATTGTTATAACTTCATTTTGCCTTGTAATTGAGAGCAGTTAAGATGAAATTCTGCTTTATTTTCTTTCTTGAGAGTAAAGAGTAGCAACTTACCCACATTTAAAATCAATCATCATTAGTGTTTCTGTTGCTAAGTATAATTCATTTTTGTGTAATTCTTAGCTCTTGTTTCTTGGTTCTGTCACTTATTTTGGTGCTGTAAGAGGAAAGCAGGCAGAGGGTTGACTACGTTCATTAGTTTATGTAAAGTGGTAGCATTCAGGCCTGCCTGCTTAGATAATCAATTGAAAAAGTGACTGTGAATGGCATAGTGTATCTTTTCCCCATAACTCTGAGGCTATTTTAGTGAATAACTAACCCTTATCTAGTGTTAAAAATACAATCTTACTAAGGCTTGAAGGAAATGTTTGAGATTCTCTAGGAGTGCTAATTCAGAGTACGCAGTTCGAAAGAAGCATCTTTTAGAAAAGCCAAAAGCATCTTTTAGAAAAGCCATACATCTTTTACAGGTGTATGATGGGGTATAAAGGCAGTTGAGAGTTTTACGCAATTGATAATGTTTCAGTTAAGGAAGTGCTTCTGCCTTTTCACAACTGATGATACACATAGGAAATAGTATTTTTACTGTTTTATGCAGTATTATACAAATACTGGTACACTGGAGTAAAGGAGTCACCTGAGGACTGAGGAGTCAATATCTTGAGTATATCTATTATAAATGTGTGGCAAGTACCACAGCATACTTGTTGTGGAACTCTTGAGTTAAGGGTCTAAGGAAAGCCCAGTCAGGTTTTGGGTATAGAGGTTAGGTAGCTTTTAAGACAACTGGCAAAGAGAAAATGGACTTAGGTGTCAGGCAAGAACAATATATAACAAAACTTTTTAGAGATTCAGGTATTTAAAAAAAGAAAAAAAGCCCAGAGCAGAATGCAGGATGCATGTGGAACTAGCCATATAATAGTGACCACAGAAGTAGTGTTCATAGGAAGAGATTTCTTTAAGAAAGGAAATACAATACTCTAAACTATTCAGCTTTTGTTGAGAATGGACTATATTGCTGAGAAACTGTCATTACATGAGGGGAATAGCTGTTACTTAGTAACCATCATTATATAAGGAGTAGTTGAAAATGATGAAAATATGTACCCTTGAGTCAGTGGAAGAAGAAAAGTAGTTGTGTTCTGTAACTGAAAACTACTGTTTAAAGAATAGACTTGTAGTTTTGCAAACTACAAAGGAAAGTAAAATCAGAATAGATATTATATGGAGTTGGAACTTTGTTCCTTTAGAACATGAGAAGGATCACCTATTAAGTTAGCAAGCTCCCTGTCACTGAGGTGTGTTTAAATAGTGACTACCATTTTTCAAGGATTCCTTCTTTGAGTGGTGGTAGGAGTTGGTTCTAGTCCAAAGATGTTTCATTTTGTAATTGTTTTCCTGGTTCTTAGTTTTTATGTTTTTATTATTAGGTTACACTCCTGCTATTAAGGGACAACTCTTACATGTGGATGCCACTACCAGCATGCAATATCGGACCCTTTTAGAAGCAGAAATGTTAGCAGTAAGTCTGTAGTACATGATGATATACATACTTGTATGAAAAACAATTGATTTTAATTTTCTTATATTAAGTTTAAGTAACCAGGAAATCATCAAATGGTCCATCTTCTAGTTCAAGAACAGCTAGGGAAGAGGAGTGGATTCCCAGTGCTATGGACTCCTGTTGGCATCTCTCTGTTGCTCTCCTTCTAGTATGAGGGAGGTGAATAAAAGGCAATGATACATGTTTTTGGCCTGAAAAATATGAGAAGTTGTTAGAATATTGTTTTTAAAGTACATTGTGTGGCTGGATTAAATCTCTTCTAAGTTCTAAGTAAGATAATTCTTTAATATATGTTTTCTAGCCCCGCTGGATTTCTTTCCCAGGGTTTAAATAATGTAATTTATTGTGCCTTTTACTTGATGAGTAAGGTAAAATGAAGAAAATCTTGTTGATACCCTGGATTGTTTCATATTATAAAGAGAAACAATATGTAAATGCCCATGATTAAAATTGCTGATTGGGGACTCATTAATCAAGCAGATTATTATTATTATTACTATCAGGGACAACAACACTAACAATAACAAAAGCTGCTATGTAAAATGGTTAATATTCAGAGATTCTTTCATATAAGATGGTGCCATAAGGTTCTTAATTTCTTGTCTTAAACATTTTACATATGACATATGTAAATTAAGAGAAAAATTCTGCAATTAACAGGAATATATAAAATACTATAAATATACCTTAAAGTGGCATATTCAGTATTTTAATGAATTCTTCATCTATTGCTGATAAATAGTGCTGTGTGACAATGCTCTTCCTAGGTAGGCAGCTTTTCCCTTTGCAGAAATGCCAAACTGCGCAGGATGTGGTGACTCACACCTGTAATCCCAGCACTTTGGGAGGCTGAGGCAGGCGGATCACTTGAGGTCAGGAGTTCGAGACCAGCCTGACCAATATGGTGAAACCCTGCCTCTACTAAAAATACAAAAATTAGCCAGGTGTGATGGCGCGCATGCCTGTAATCCCAGCTACTCTGGAGGCTGAGGCACAAGAATTGCTTGAAGCTGGGAGGCGGAGGTTGCAGTGAGGCGAGATGTGTCACTGCACTCCAGCTTGGGCAATAGAGTGAGACTCCGTCTCAAAACAAAAAAAAAAAAAAAAAAATGCCAAACTGCAGAAATACTAATGTTACTTTGTGTGACAGTACGCATCACACTCTATCTTCCTTCACACTGAGCCTGTCACTTAACAGATGAGGCTTAAGGAGAAATTAGGGATGTCGGTTGTTACCCCATTGGTTTATCTGGAGTGCAGTATCAACACTGTAGCCTGATTTGTTGTTCTGAAAGTTTTTTGACCACATCTTGACTTAATATTTCAAGGAGCTAGATGTAGCCATGGATATTGACCTTCAGCCACAGCAATATTAAAGTCTCAAAGGGACCTTCTGTTCAGCTCAGTAGGAAAATGTTTTAATTACTCACTAGCGTGTGTAACTTCATTTCTAATGCTGTTCACACAGTGTCACATTTTAAGCCTTAATTACTTTTACCTAACATTTGTTTTGCAGTTCCACATCAATGCCAGCTACCCCCGAATATGGAACATGCCGCAGACATGGCAGTGTGAATTAGAGGTTTATAAAGCCACTTACCACTTCATCTTTGCACAGAAAAACTTCTTTACAGGTAATTTTCTAATAGATATAAATACAGTGAGATTTATCACAGTGAACTTGTTTACATTTGATAAGTTTTACTTTTAAATTACATAGGGATATGATATGATTCATATTTTCTTCAACATTTCATTTTGGGCTGAAAATGTTAAAGAGAAAATTTAAATATAGACATTTTGCATTCTTTTCTAACCTAAACAAGGAAAATATAAACCCCAAATTGAGCTTAGAAGGAAATGAAAGAACTCAATTTAGGCTGCTGCTTTGTATCAGTCTAGTTGGAGGGTAGGATGGAGATGATGAATCAATTTCTCTCTCTTCCCAAATTAGGCATCAGCATGGCTTCATTATTTTGTTTTAATAATTATAATACACAACAGTATACGCAAATAGCTAAATGTTATTTTTATACTTGGAGCCCTTATTTAATCTTTTCTGTTGGCATGGATAATTGAGTTGGTGCTGTCACTAGTTGGAAGAAACATTCCTTTATTTCTTGCAGCATTTATTGATAGCTTTGCATATTTTGTGACTATAAGAACACATATTGTTGGTCTATGAATAGCATAAATATTACTACATTAAAATAAGTGGCATTTATTGAGTCTTCTTCTAAAAAGTTTAGCCCCATAAAGTTGGTCTAATTTGCCAGGGTCAGTTGGCTGTTCCACAGAAACCTAATCTTTGCTTGACTGCTTGCTACATTTATCCATCCATCCATCCATCCATTTGTGCAACAGTTGTTTTATACAAGCGTCTCATCGATGCTGAGTACTATTAGATATTTGGAGGTGTAGTGGTGTTTAAGGCATATGTAGGTAGTCCTCTCCTGACAATACTGCTCTATAATGTTGTGTAAATGATTTCACTGTTTAAGCTTCAGTTTCCTTGTTTGTGAAATAGGGATAACAATTTCTACCCTAATTTTGCTATTACTAGAGTTTTGACCTTTTAAAATGCCTCTTATTGCAATATGTTCAATCAAGTCTTTCATATTTCTTTTCTGGTTTGACTGGGAGCCTTGGGGACTAGATAGACTGCTTCTGCTTTCCTGGAGTTACATACTTCTCCAAGGCTTGAACCAATGTCCCAGTAGTAGAAATTTTGACAGTCCCTGGCAAGTTAAGCTTTTGCTAGTGAAGCAGAGCATTGAATAAACACTTCTCAGTTCAAATTTATGAAAAAAATTATAGCTAAAACTTATAGTGTTTATTATGTGTCTGGCTCTGTCCTAAGCAGTTTGCACATATTAAATTATTGAATCCTCACAATAACTCTCAGGGATCAATATTATTATTATTTTCCTTACTTTATAGATGAGGAAGATGAGTTACAGAGAGGTAAAACAGTATGTCCAGGGTCACACTTGGTTGAGCTGGAATTCTAACTCAAGTAGTCTGGCTCAAGAATCTGTTACATTACTTACCTCTTTGACTAGCCTTTTGCTTCTCACTTAAGATTTTGTATTTTTTAACTTTACTAATCTTTTAAAATAGATACCTATCATCAAGTATTTACTCCTTCACATTACTTTTCTTCCAGACATTTCCCATCTTTAGACTCTTGCAGTGCTAAGAATAGCTGCAGTAGACATATACATTCTTCATGATTTGAAAATATTATTTTGTACTAGCACTTTCATTTACACTATTGTGTTAGTTACATCGAAACAGCTAAGTACACATTTCCTAAATTGCAACTGATTTTCCTTAAATTATTTTCTTTCTCTAACTCTAATTTTTATGCTTTCTCTATTGAAATTCACTCTTTTGGTTATTTTTTTAATAAAATTTATTTGGAGAAATTTTTAAAAACATAGATACAAAAGTAAACATAATCACCGTTTTACAGATTTAACAACTAACAATTGGTCATATTCTGTTGTTTTTAAAAGACATATAGCATAACAAATAACTGTAGAGTCCTTTTTAAACTTATTCTCTAAAAAGGACAACTACTAGAGAATAATATTAGTTTAGTATTGGAGTGAACCTACTTGGTCATAGTGTTTGGATTGCTTTGTCTATTGTTGGAATTCTATAGAAAAGAAATTATCTCTCTGATGTGAGGGAATGCCTAATGTTCCTGAACAGCCATTCTCATACCATTTATTAATAAGATAAAATTGTTCTTAAGAGATTTCAATGTGGGACAAAGATAGCTTTATGATAAATATAATATAGAGCCTCAGAAATGAAAGCTATAAAACAAAAGCAGAAACTGAAGCCTCTTCTGGGAATAATGAAAATAACTTAGATTTACTCTGATAAGGAGGAGAAGAAAATAATACACTGGCATTGAAAAGCTCTAATACCAATTGATTGATGTATTATAGGGTGTTTGCCTAACAACTTAAAGATAAAGTGAGTTGTTGGTGGGTTTTTTCAGAGTAACATTTAGCTTGCCATAACTTTTTAATTCATTGTACAAATGAGTAAGGCAGTCATCAGGAAAGTGCTTCCTTTTTCTAATCAGATTATTTGATAAGACTATCTGGTAATGAGAAACAGATTTTGGTTTAATAACAATGCATATTAAAAAATTGTTGATGCTCCTAATAAAAATATTTTGTCACCATAATTTTTAATATTTATCAGTAAAGATGTTATAGAAACTGGTAGGTAAACTAATTATAAAATGATATGTTGAAATTTTAAATTAGTTATTAAAGAAAAAAACTAACACGATTTATTAGAAATAGACTAATAGCTGCAACATTTCACATGAGTTGTTAAAGAATAAAATAATAAGATTTGTTAAAATAGAATTTGGCTAATAACTTTATAAAATTATACTTGTTTCTTCAAATAAGTAGTAATCTGAATTTCTGTTTAGTTCAATTTTTGTTTATTTCACTAGCAATCGTATCTCAATCTTTTGACTAATAGAAGTATAAAGTAGATAAAATACAACCAATATACATTGTAAGTCTCATACATGAATAGAGATTCAAAACAAACATTAAATATGATCTCTGCCCTCACTTATGGGCATTTCTTGTTTTGTATTATTTGTCTCAAGTACATTGGCATGTGTACTAGACATAGACAAATGAAACAATACCAGACATTATGTATATTGAGTGCAAGTGCAAAATGCAAGTGTGAAATGTGAAGCTGACAAATGCATGTAAGACCTGAGTACAGAGGAAATCACTGTTGTCTGAAGGTAATCAGAGAAAGTAAGGAAAGACACTAAGGTCTGAAATGGTGTTTTTAAATGAATTCAGTAGTTTTAACTAAAATAGGATAGTATTTTGCCATTTACAAAGCATGTTCACTTGTATTATCTTCACATAACTCTAAAATAGGGTAGCTGTTATTACTATCCCTGAGTTAATAATGAGGAACTTGAGGCATAGAAACATTGCATGACTTGGGCAGACTTATGAGGCTAGGAGGTGGAAGACATTTAAGAACAATTTTCAGACTGCAGACTGTTTGCCTTCTCTGTAATATTATGTTGGCAATAAAGATGGTTAGTTTTTCCTTAGCAGAGAGGATATGAAAGACAGTATTTAGTTTGACCAAAAATGCTGAACTATGAATGAGTGAAAAAGGTGAGAAAATCAGTCTGATGAATGATGAATATATTGTAGAGTTGGTTATATCCGGAGATGATTTTTGGGCATTTCCCAAGTGTTAGACGCTGTGCTAAAGACTAAAGTTAGAAAGCAGGGATAGAGTCAGCCTAGTTAGGTAGGAGTAAAAGATTTGAGGTAAGCATAGATTATGTAAAGTGTGATGAATCACTGTGATTGTTAAATAAAAATATATTTAAGGTAAATTTGATAAATGGAATTTTCTGTTGTCTATTAATAGAACAGGTTAATAGCCACATGCCTTTTATTGTTGATGCAGTAAAACTCTATATCTCATTAATATTAATTTGTGATTGTCATTTGACATTAAGTATGTTATTCTGCCATTTTAGTAAGACAAGAGTTTCTAATACATTTGTGCTAGCTTCTGTATGTGGCAGCTAAATTTTAAATGGGTTCATATGATATTATGTAAGATAAATTTACTCTGAGTTCATTATTGAATCTTTTTTCTGTTTAAATATCACCTTTAAAATACAAGGAAAACTACTTTAAATATTTCACAGTTTTACCTGTAATTTTCCTTAGGATATCTTTAATAATAAACGCTACCATTTGTGGAGTGCTTACCCTGTGCCAGTTACTTTGTTCAAACTTTACATAAATCGTCTGAATTCTCATCATAAGTCTGTGAGGTTGTTCTTATTTTGTACAAGAGAAAACTGATAACATTTAAGTCACTTTTTTCAAGGTTACACAGCTAGTAAAATGATAAAGTCAGAATTTAAACCCAGGACTGTCTAATGTCAGTCTGTGCTATAATAATACTGTTTCCAATTGTTTCTCTCTCTCTCTCTCTCTCTCTCTCTAGTGTCAAAGTCTGTGCTATAATAATACTGTTTCCAATTGTTTCCCTCTCTCTCTCTCTCTCTAGTATCAAAGTCTGTGCTATAATAATACTGTTTCCAATTGTTTCCCCCCCCTTCTCTCTCTCTCTCTCTCTCTAGTGTCAAAGTCTGTGCTATAATAATACTGTTTCCAATTGTTTCCCTCTCTCTCTCTCTCTAAAGTCTGTGCTATAATAATACCTTTTCCAGTTGTTTCTCTCTCTCTCTTTCTCTGTCACATACACACACACACACACACACACACACACACACGTTCTAATTTTATGTACATGGTATTGTGTTATGTACTGTGAGTATACAAAGGTGAGTTTGACACCTCTAGGAGGAGCCCTTTTATTGAAAGACATTGCTGGGAGTGTACAATGCATGTAAAACATTGTGGAGGCCAGAAGATAAAGTTGTACAAACTGCTATGGTAGATGGTAGATCAGTGCTAATGTCTTTAAAGAGCTTTTATTTATTGGGATTAAAAAAACTTAAAGTACCAAAGGGTAAACAGACAAAATATATGAACACAATTTTAAAAAGCAGTTTAAACATACAGTGAATTGGCAATGAACAAATATGATTGATTATAATTCTAAGAAAGTCAAGTCTATGTTTCATTCACCATTGTAGTCCTAGAGTCTAGAACAGAGCCTGAGACACAGTAGACAGTAGATATTTGTTTAATTAATAAAACAACATGAAAAATTGTTCAGCCATGCTTGTAGTTAAGAAGTTCAGTGAAAGCGAGATACCATTTTTCAGTTATTAAATGTCAAGTAAAACAAAACAAAAAACAGATAGATGATAGAAAGAAATAGAATGCAGAAGAAAGTTCAGTGAAATAGGTAGTCAAGCATACCTTTCCGGTAGGAGTGTAAATGGACTCACTTCTCTTCGAGTGCAATTTATAATAGTCTTGAAAAATATTCCTAAATTTTGACCCAGCAATTCCACTTCTAGAATCTATACTGACAAGTAATCCTGAATATGTAAAATATCTTTTACAAAAATATATAATACATGATAATATATATAACACAAAAATTTGGAAAGAGTATAAATATCCAACTATAAAAAATGGTTAAGTAGGTCCTGACAAATCTCATTAATGAGCTATTATGCCAAATTTATGTAAACGTGTGAAATAACACGGAAAAATATTTGAGTTCAGTGAAAGAAGCAACACATAAAAAATGTGCATATAGGATAGTGTCAGTCTGTGTAGAAAAATAACTGGAAGAAACTGTATCCACAATGTTGGCTATTTGGGTAGTGGAACAGCAGGTGATTTTTTTTTAATTTTCTAAAATTCCTTAAAAATAGATATATTAATATATAAAATTTCTCTTATTTGGAACTGTGATTAGTAAGTAAACATCTGTTTACTGTCAAATTATTTAAATACATCCTAATCACCTTTTAAATATTTCAGTATAAAATTTTTTTAGTTACACAAAAGAAAAATTCATTTTTGACTGGTGTTAGAAAATCTGTGTTTTACTTTTCTGAGTTTCAACTAACTTTACAATTTCTATTCACTACCCCAATAATTTTAGATTTAATTCAAGACTGGTCTAGTGACAGTCCTCCAGACATTTTTTCATTTGTTCCATATACGTGGAATTTTAAAATCATGTTTCATCAGTTTGAAATGATTTGGGCTGCTAATCAACACAATTGGATCGACTGTTCTACTAAACAACAGGAAAATGGTAAGACATTAAAAAAAATTAGGTTAAATATTTCTCTCATTAAGGCAAATACCAACTAAGAAAATTAGTATTGATTTGATAGTTTTAACAGATACTAGAAGTTATTTCCCCCCATTATCTTTGTGAGACTCTCAGAAGACTGTTTCAGAGTTTGTATTGGACTAAAACTTAATTTTGTTTAGTTGTGCATTTTAGGCAATTTTATAATTGAAATTTAATGGACATTAAAAGTAAATTTACTTTTTCTTCTTTTTTTTTTTTTTTTTCTTTTGTAGTGTATCTGGCAGCCTGTGGAGAAACACTAAACATTGATTTTTCTTTGCCTTTTACGGACTTTGTTCCAGCTACATGTAATACCAAGTTCTCTTTAAGAGTATGTATAGTTGAATGCATTATTTATTCCACAGGTGTATTAGTAAATTTGATTTCCCAAAGCTTATCTTCACTCTCTTCTCCCCAGTCCATTGCAACTTCAAAGTATTTTTAGCTTTCCTCCAATGTCTACTACCTTTAGTGTCACAGAGTTCCTGTTGTTTTCTTTTTGTAGTTAACTGCATCTAAGAAATTGGTCAATTAAAAATATCTCAAGTTGATTATTTTCTTAGAGTTCATTTCTGATCTCTGTGGCTAATCTGTATGTTAGCCCTTCTAGCTCTAATGTTTACTAATTCATATGAACTAATTTTATACTTCCCTTTATTTGATTCTTAATTGTAAACATGAATTCAAGGAGTAACCACAGTAGCTTTCTTCCTTTTATCTGAATGCCAGCTCTTATGTACTTCTAAGCTCAAAATTTTATGGAACATTTTTGGTATGGATAACCAGTAGTACTTGTAGTATTAATAGTGGTTATACTGGTAAAATTAGCAACATATAGAAACAGCTAACATCTATTAAACATTTTCTGGGTACTACATAGACACTATTCCATGTGCTTTATGTAGTAACTCAATTCTCAGAACAACCCTATTGAGATTATTATTAACTGCATTTATACATTAGGAAAGTGAGGAACAGAGCTTTTGTAACTCATCATACAACTAGAGAGTTATTGGGCAGTATAGCTTAGGGCTCCATTCTTTTAACCACTCTACCTTGCTGCCTGTTAAGAAACTAGTCATCAAGATGAACAAAGAATAGAAGTCCTATTAGGAAAAAAGTAAAGCCAAATGAAGATCCTTTGATTTGCCAGTTCTGAATTATTAAAAGCCAGTTGAAGAAATGAGACTTACTAGAATCAAATGAGACAATACTATCTGAAAAATTAATAAAAATATAGAACATAGTCCACCTGAGCTTATAAAAGTTTTTTTAAAAACTGAACTTAAAAAAAATATCTGTGGATACCCATGGAAGACATTCTTTTCACTGTTTGGAAACTATGCTGTTTCTTTCCCTGATTATTTTGTTGTTTTTCAATTCAAATTTAGTTTTAGTCAATGTAAAATCTTATTCATTATTTACCTGACTGTCGAATGCAAAATCTGCCATTTCAAATTTGTTTATCTCACTCGTGTAATCCCAGCACTTTGGGAGCCTGAGGCAAGATGGTTGCTTGAGGTCAGGAGTTTGAGACTAGCCTTGGCAACACAGCAAGACCCTGTCTCTAAAAAAAACAAAAAACAGCACATTCCTCTAGTCCCAGCTACTTGGTAGGATCACTTGAGTGCAGGAGTTCAAGGCTTCACTCCAACCTCAGTGACAGAGTGAGACCATTAAAAAAAAAAAAAAAAAAAGATAAATAATACAATAAAATAAAAATAAATAAAATTTGTTAATTTTCTTTCAAACTTATTTCCAAGATTGTTGTAGACAGGTTTGCCCGTAAGTATTAACCAACATATTTATGCACTAATTTTATTACTTTGGCTTATTATAATTATTTTTTAGGGAGAAGATGTTGATCTTCATTTGTTTCTACCAGACTGCCACCCTAGTAAATATTCTTTATTTATGCTGGTAAAAAATTGCCATCCAAATAAGATGATTCATGATACTGGTATTCCTGCTGAGTGTCAAAGTGGCCAGAAAACAGTTAAACCAAAATGGCGCAACGTTACTCAGGAAAAGTGAGTACGTAAAATTAGTGACACAGGCCAGGCACAGTGGCTCACGCCTGTAATCCCAGCACTTTGGGAGGCCGAGATGGGTGGATCACCTGAGATCAGGAGTTCGAGACCAGCCTGGCCAACATGGTGAAACCTTGTCTCTAGTAAATATACAAAAATTAGCTGGGCATCATGGCGCATGCCTGTAGTCCTAGCTACCTGGGAGGCTAAGGTAGGGGAATGGCTTGAACCCAGGAGGCGGAGGTTGCAGTGAGCTAAGATCGCACCACTGCACTCCAGCTTGGGCAACAGAGACCCCATCTCAAAAAATAAATCAATTAGTAAAATAAAATAAAATTAGTGACAAGTATTTTGTGCTTATATGTGGAGAAATTCTTCTTTCAAAAAATAATAATAAAATTTGATTATCTGCAACTGGTATCTCTGTACAATTAAAGGAATGAGTATCTGACTAGAAACTGTCTGTTTTACTCTTCAAAGGTCTGGTTGGGTTGAATGCTGGACTGTCCCAAGTGTCATGCTTACAATTGATTATACATGGCATCCAATTTATCCACAAAAAGCAGATGAACAGCTGAAACAATCATGTAAGTGTTTTTATATAATTTGTGCTTTTATACAGCTGCTATTATGATTGATAATCATGAAAAATAAGAAGCAAATAAATTGAAATGCATCTATTCTTGTGACATAGTATAAATATAGTCTTACATATTTTAGATTAATTGTAGCTACCTTTTGAGCATTTACTTTGTGTCAAATGTTGGGCCAAGCAATTTTCTGGCTTCTATTATCTTCTATTATGTTTAATCCTTATAACAACTCTGTGAGAAAGATATTATCATTATTTTTATCTTAAAGTTGAGGAAATATGCTCAGAAAAGGTAAGTAATATTCTCAAAGTCTGCCAAGCTAGAAGCAGCAGAGCCTGAATATGAAACAAGGTATGTGTGAATCTGCATATTTAAGGTGCATGATTTTGTGAAATGTTAGTTTCTTTAATGCATTTTGACAGTTCTCATATGATTTATAGTTTCCTGAAGGTAATTTGCCTTATTACCTAGGTCCAAAAAAGAATTAGAGCCAAATGATGATGTTTTCTTTGTATTTTTCCAGTGAGTTAAGTTTCAAAGGATAGTTTTCATAGTTGTTTCATAGTGGCTTGATAACATTACACTGTATTTAAATAGCTATTTATATGAAAAAATTTTGTAGTTAGTGCCCAAGAATAGTTAAGGTCTTGATGTGACCCAAATTTATATTGCAGGGACTCAATAAGAATGTTGTTTATGTTAACAGAAAGTTTTCATTGATTCTCTGCAGGCTGATTTATGTATTTCTCTCATATTTCAATGATTTATTCTTTATTTGCTTTCTTAATTATTGGTCTTTTAGGTCTGTTTTCATTATATATACATTATGTAAAGATTAGTTGATGTCATATTTGCAAAGTAAAATTTCTTAGTGAATATTTCCTTGAAGATCTTCCAAGAAGTCTTTTGTCCCCCACCCCTCAAACATTAGTCTTTTTTTTCTTAATTTATTACAGTATCAGAAATGGAAGAGACAATGCTATCTGTATTAAGGCCATCCCAGAAGACATCAGACAGAGTTGTTTCTTCTCCCTCTACTTCTTCACGCCCACCTATTGATCCCTCAGAACTTCCACCTGATAAACTTCATGTAGAAATGGAACTTTCTCCAGATTCTCAGATAACTCTCTATGGACCTCTACTAAATGCCTTTTTGTGTATAAAGGTATGATTCTTAAAAACAACTTACATACTTTTAAATATAGACAAAGCAATTAAAATTTAATTGAAAATTGAGACCGTTTGAAATAGCCAGTTGGATTATTTAAAGTGTTGAGGATATACCAGATATGTTGACTGGACTTGGGGTGCTAGACTCAATTACAAAATTATTTATTAAAAATAGTACTCCTCAGTTCAGCATTCTTTTGTGCATTTAGTATGTTCTAGGAATGGTGCTAGTTGCTATAGATAGAGATGATGTAGCATCTGTTCTCAGGGAGGTAAGCTAGAGGGATAGCTAGGATAGACAGATATATGGACAAATTTTAACACATTGTAAGTAATGTAGCAATAGAAGTACTACATATATCTGAGAATAATTGGTAATGGAAAAGACTACTTTAAGTGAATCCCTTAAAAATAAGTGACAACGTTTTATGATAATGAACAAATATTTGCTTGGTGCTTTATTTGAAAAACTGAAGGAAATATATGAAAATAAGTTTATTTCAGAGTATATCAAACTTAGGTTCTAAATAAATATGCACTAATGCTTAGAACAAAGAACAAGTGTTGACTCATTTTGGTATAATTTTTTCCACTGAAATTGTGTAATTGCACAGTATGACAGCACTTTAAAGTTGATCTCTGTAGAATGATTATGAAGAGAGGCTATTTTTGGATAAATATTTGAGGAGTTCATCAGTTTTTTGGAAATCACTCTTATTCTTTTGATGTTCAAATCATGTTTTAAATGTCCCCAACAGATTATCAACAATTCTTACTGATTTAATCTTTATGGTAACTACTATAATCCTTGCTGATCCTTACTTATCACCTTTGCCTGTGATTAGAGGAGTTATCCAACATCACTTTCAACAACTTAAGAAATTTTGCATTTTTACAGGATCGGCAGATTCACTTTGGATATCGAATACCTAGCTGACAAGGAATCCTGTAATGTACAGTAATTAATTCTGGAGAGAGGGACTAGGATGTTTAGGGTTGGACAGGGAAGCACAATCAAGGTTTGTTAGTAAAGGCTCTCTGCAGGAAGTGCTGGCTGAACTGGGTTTTGAAGGTATATAGCATCTCAATATTTGAGTTATTATATTGTATTTATGAAAAACTACCATAAATCATCAGATGATGTAACTTAGTATAAAAGATGCAAGGGAAAATGTGGTTAATATTTGTAGATACCTAGAGTTTCTGTTGATTACATACACACTTTTCTTCCTTCTTGTGACCATCGTTTGACCTAAAATGTATGTCAAATATGTCTCCCAATGTCTTACTTTCTTGAGATTGCATGTGAATAACTATAAAGGATTTAAAAGGTAATTTTCAAGCTATAGTCTTCCTGAAGAGGCTGCATTGTATTTTACTTAAATATAAGTAATGATTTAATTAGTAGGTGAAGGTAGTCATAGTGATACAGCATCAGTTTTTGAATACTACTAGAGTGGTATTAACTTTTGTTTTTGTGTTACTATGTACACATGGAACCTCAGTTTGTTTTTATCAAAAAAAAAACTGATAGTAATACATATTCACCAAAAATAAGAGGACTCTAACAAAACAGAATACAGTGAAATAAATATATGCTTTCATTTTAGACTTGTTTATAAGTTCTCTGCAGATGTAGCCATTGCTGATAGGTTATTGTTTTCATACAGACTTTTGTGCATTAAAGGCTTTAAAGCAACTTTTTGGTAGTTTCAAAAGTTTGTCTTGCCCTAAATATTATATTAGTGATGACATTCATCTAATTAGCTTAGAAGTTGTATAAAATGTCTATTAAAGCAAATTGTAAAATTTTAAATTTTGACATGTTTACTAAATATATATCAAAGACATGACAGGTAAAAACTTTGTCTAGCCCAATGAACGCTATGCTTCCTTTTATAAGGAATTTGTGCAATTCTTTGAGTTTCTGGTTTTGGTTTCGGTTTTTAAGAGACAGGGTCTTGCTTTGTCATTCAGGTTGGAGTGCAGTGGAGCAATCATAGCTCTTTGTAATCTGGAACTCCAGGGCTCAAGTGATCCTCCTGCTTCAGCCTGTTGAGTAGCTAGGTCTACAGGCGAGCACCACCACACCCATCTAATTTTTAAAAAATTATTTTTTGGAGAGACTGGGTCCTGCCATGTTGCCCAGATTTGTCTCAAACTTCTTCCTGGCCTCAAGTGATCCTCCCACCTTGGCCTCCCAAAGTGTTGGGATTATAGGTGTGAACCACCATTCCTGGTCTGTTTGTTTAACTATATAATGTGTATTTTACTTGGTATCAGTATTAGTACCTTAAAACTTTTTGGAAGTTCAAAAATGTATATATTATTTTTATAATATATTCAAATTCATATATGAAATTTTCTTGTTCATGTATTTTCATGTATACATGAAAAATAAAATGGGAATTTAAAGGAATGTAAAAATTCATGTAACCGAGATTGTCTTTTTTTAGTTATCAAAATTAAACATCAAGAAATTATAAAGAATAAACTAGGAAAAAAATCACTATATTTGTTTGGCTGTATATGAAAGACTGCTTTCCAAAATCCATGGAAGAAACTAGACCTGGCATTATCATTAAAAAAATTCTAAGAAGAATATGTCTACTGAATATGCATTAAAATTTATGAGGACATGTATGGAAATGGAAGGTCTTCTGCAGATGTAGACAATATTGTAATTCTAACTGTCAGCCCAAAGTCATTTCAGTCATATTAAAACTTTGTCATTTCTTCTGTTGTGGATATAAGGTTGGATAACAATGCTACTTATATTACTTTTCTGAATTGACTTCTCTTTAGTCTTATTTCATTTTTTTGTTAATGAAGAAAAATAAATCTTTTTATAGTGATAACATGTCAGTGGTAGCAAATAACTGCATGAAAGGGTATATATGGCATATATGTTCTTATTAAAAATAATTTTAATAATCTTGAACAGAAACCTGGCTATTAATTTTTCTTTTTTCAAAAAAGTATAATTTTGGAAACAGTACTTGTGGACTTTTCCTACTGTTTCTCTGATTGTATTAGCTGTCATCTTTTAGCCTATTGTTATTTTTTTTTTCTGTTTTGAGAAATGAGCATCATTGGATAAGTATACATTTTTAGCTAGGAAAAACATTGCAGTCTCTTACTTGAAGTAGGTGACAAGACACTCATATACCAAAATACCATTATGTAAAGAAAATTTTGGAGAATTCTTAAGTAAATTGAAATGTAGTTTATCATTCATAAATTCAAGCATAATGTAAATTTGACAAAAGAACACATTTTCTCGGTTCTATAAGCCAGTGAATTTTTTCTGGGGTTGTTTGGAATTTATTTTAAAGATAGTTTAAGCTTACATGCCATCTATTATAAAATGAAATTGAAAGTTTTATTTGTATTTGTAAATATTTGTGTACATTTATTAATCTTAAAGTACCATAAAAGTTTGCCGTAATGTATTACCATCTACCTTACATTTGATCAACCTTTTTGGTAACTATTTTTTTTTTTTTCAGTAAATTCTTTTTTTTTTTTTTTTTTTTTTTTTTGAGACAGGGTCTCACTTTGTCACTCAGGCAGTGGCATGGTCATGGTTCACTGCAGCCTCGACTTCCTGGGCTCAGGTGATTTTCTTAGCCTCCCAAGTAGCTGGGACCACATGCATGCGCCACCATGCCTGGATAATTTTTGTATTTTTTGTGGAGACAGGGTTTCGCCATGTTGCGCAGGCTGGTCTCGAACTCCTAGGCTCAAGTGATCTGCCCACCTGGGCCTCCTGAAGTGCTGGGATTACAGGCATGAGCCACTGTGCCTGGCCTTTCAGTTAATTCTTAGGAAATTAACTAATAGATTTGGAATTCATAAATTAAGAGAAACCCTTAAGTCACACACCCAGCATTAGACATATAACATTAGACAAAGTTCTTAAAGGAGTTATAATTTTAAAAGTACATTTTGTTGATAATATTCAGTAACTACAAATGTATTAACTCATGAAAGAATCCTAGTGTTTTATAACTCCTTTAGAGCAAAGTCACTGACACATTTAATAAAAATTAGCAAATGTTCTCTGCTATGTTGGACATTCAGTGTTCCCTAAAGAATTTGATATGAATTATTTCCATTTCAGATAATTAAATGGAGATTGCTTTAGTAGCAAATTGAACATTAGACCCAAGGGTATCTTTTTTCTTTTTACTGTAATAATCTACAGGAATCTAAATTTTTTTAAGATTTACAATGATAACAGACTACAAGGGAATTTTTAAAAAATAAGAGATCTGTTGGCTAGGATCATTAAAAATGACTTAAAATGAGTGCTGGTAACTGTTTTGTTGGTACATGTTAGTATGCTGAAACCTAATAGTAGTTGAGTCCTTAGATCAGCTGTTTGGGGAGAAGGTGGGACAGAGGTGATTTTCTGGGGGCCATTTACAGATGGAAGTATCAAAGGAGTTTTTCCACTTTACACTTGACCCTGGACTCTGCCTACTGCAAACTTTGTGAACAGTCATCAGGACTGGGGTGGAATGTGTATTTCATAAAGGCTTCTGGAGGGGAGAACTACTGCTTTGAACATCTTTAAGTTTTGTTTGTTTGTTTACTTTATTTCAATAGTTTTGGGGAACAGGTAGTTTTTGGTTACGTGGATAAGTTCTTTAGTGGTGATTTCTGAGATTTTGCTGCACCCGTCACCTGAGCAGTGTACACTATACTCAACGTGTAGTCTTTTATCCCTCACCCCCCCCATCCTTCCTCTCGAGTCTCCAAAGTCTGTTATATCATTCTTATGCCTTTGTGACCTCATAGCTTATCCCCCACTTATGAGTGCAAACATATATTTGGTTTTCCATTAATAAGTTACTTCACTTAGAATAATGGTCTCCAATTCCATCCAGGTTGCTGTGAATGCCATTATTTCATTCCTTTTTATGGCTGAGTAGTATTCCATGGTATATATATGTGTGTGTGTGTGTATCTATCTTTGTCTGTCTATCTATCTATCTATCTATCTATCTATCTATCTATCTATCTATCTATCTATCTATCTACCACATTTTCTTTATCCACTCATTGGTTGTTGGGCATTAAGGTTGGTTCCATATTTTTCAATTGTGGACTGCGCTTCTATGAACATGTGTGTGCAAGTGTCTTTTTCATATAATGACTTCTTTTCTTTTGGGTAAATACCCAGTAGTGGAATTGCTGGATCAAATGGTAGTTCTGCATTTAGTGGGAGTCTCCATTCTGTTTTCCATAGTGGTTGTACTAGTTTACATTCCCACCAGCAGTGTAAAAGTGTTCCCTTTTCACCACATCCACACCAACATCTATTATTTTTAACTTTTAAATTATGGCCATTCTTGCAGGAGTAAGGTGGTATCATGTTGCGGTTTTGATTGCATTTCCCTAATCATTAGTGATGTTGAACATTTTTCGTATGTTTGTTGTCCATTTGTATATCTTCTTTTGAGAAATGTCTATTCATGTACTTTGCCCACTTTTTGATGGGATTATTTGTTTTTTCCTTGCTGATTTGTTTGAGTTCCCTGTAAATTCTGTATATTAGTCCTTTGTCAGATGCATAGTTTGTGAAGATTTTCTTCCACTCTGTGGGTTGTCTGTTTATTCTGCTGATTATTTCTTTTGCTGTGCAGAAGTTTTTTAGTTTAATTAGGTCCCGTTTATTTGTTTTTGTTTTCGTTGCATTTGCTTTTGGGCTCTTGGTGAAGAATTCTTTGCCTAAGCCAATGTCTAGAAGAGTCTTTCTGATGTTATCTTAGAATTTTTATGGTTTCGTGTCTTAGATTTAAGTCTTTGATCTATCTTGAGTTGATTTTTCTATAAGGTGACAGAAGAGGATACAGTTTCATTCTTCTACTTGTGGCTTGCCAGTTATCCCAGCACAATTTGCTGAATAGGTTTTTGTTTCTTATTTTGTTTATGTGATGTGTCACATTTATTGATTTGTGTATAAACCATCCCTGCATCCCTGGTATGAAACCCACTTTTCGCACTTTATGTTTTTGTATGCTTTGTCGATGATCAGTTGGCTGCAAGTATTTGGCTCCACTCTGGCTTTATTTTGGGTTCTCTATTCTGTTCCATTGGTCTGCGTGCCTGTTTTTATAACAGTACCTTGCTGTTTTGGTAATGATAGCCTTGTAGTATATAGTTTGAAGTCGGGTAATGTGATGCCTCCAGATTTGTTCTTTTTGCTTAGTCTTACTTTTGCTATGCAGGTTCTTTTTTGGTTCCATATGAATTTTAGGATTTTTTTTTTTTCTAGTTGAGTGAAGAATTACGGTAGTATTTTAATGGGAATTGCAATTAATTCATAGATTGCTTTTGGCATTATGGTCATTTTCACAATATTGATTCTACCCAATTGTTGAATAGGTTTTTGTTTCTAATTTTGTTTATGTGATATATCACATTTATTGACTCATCCCTTCATCCCTGGTGTGAAACCCACTTGATCATGGTGAATTATCTTTTTGATATGCTCTTAGATTCAGTTAGCTAGTATTTTGTTGAGGATTTTTGCATCTTTGTTCATCAGGGATATTGATCTTTAGTTTCCTTTTTTAAATGTCTTTTTCTGGTTTTGGTATTCGGGTGATTACTGTCTTCAAAGAATGATTTAGGGAGGACTCCCTCTTTATCTTTTGGAATAGTTTCAGTAGGATTGGTACCATTTCTTTTTTAAATGTCTGATAGAATTCAGCTGTGAATCCATCTGGTCCTGGGCTTTTTTTTGTTGGCAATTTTTAAAAATTACTTTTTCTCTCTCACTGTTTGTTATTCATCTGTTCAGAGTTTCTGTTTCTTCCTGGTTTAATCTAGGAGGGTTGCATATTTCCAGGAATTTATCCATCTCCTCTGGATTTTCCAGTTTGTTCACCTAAAGGTGTTCATAGTAGCCTTGAATGATCTTTTGTATTTCTGTGGTATCGGTTATAATATCTCCAGTTTTGTTTCTAATTGATCTTATTTGGATCTTCTCTCTTCTCTTCTTGGTTAATCTCATGGATGGTCCATCATTTTTTTTTGTCTTGTCAAAGAACCAGCCTTTTGTTTTATCTCTTCAAGTTTTTAATGTTGATCGAACTCACTTAGACATTTATGTTATTTTTTAAAAATTCAATGTTGGAATTTAAAATATAACCCAGTGTTTTCTGTTATATTTGTGCATAAATTTGTCCATGCTTCAGAATTGTATTATAAAGACAGTTATTAAGATTTCAAGCAGGTTTCAAGTGGCATCTGTAATTAGGAGGTGGACAGCAATAGGGAATAGAGGAAAAAGCACTGGTTTTGTGAGCCGGTAGGTTTGGGATTTAAATATTAATCCCCCTACCAATTAACTGTATGACTTTAAGCCCTTCAACATTATTTCCTATGAAAAGATATTATGTACTGATGTCCATAACTCTAGTCAGAAGATAATTTTGTCAATAACCAAAGTGCAGAATTTACCAAAATACTGTCTTGGTTCTAATATTTAACAGATATGCTGACAATGTTAACAGGAATATTTAACAACTTTTATTTACTACTGAGAGATCAAATGGCCAAAATTTAAATATAGAATCAATGGGAAAAAATAAATTAAATTGAAGCTAAATTTATATTTTCATGCAAAAGAAAACAGTAGTTGAAACACTTCTGCATAAAAAACCAGGATGAACTATGTGAAAGGAATTTTTGTTAATTGTTGGTAACACATGCCTTTATCTCATCAATAACCAAGATTGGATATTTTTATTAAAGCTGTTAAAACATGCCCAATAAATATTCCAACAGGAATATGTGAATTGTACTAGTTACCTAATTGAATTTAGCCAGACTGATTTTCAGTGAATTGCTTCCCCCAAAGGATGTCCTCGGTATTGCCTGAGAACTCTGAGGAGCAGTGATTGAAAACTGTTTAACCATGCAAACCTTCAGAGGTCTCTGAGGACCTAAATTACAAGGTTTTGCTGTAATTGGGGCAATGCCATGAAGTTTTTCTATAAAATAGGCTCTGTAACTTTTTGCATTTTTTGCTACTGAATATTTGCCAAGCAGCTATGTGTAAGTCTTAACATATGTTTTCTTTTGTATTTTAAGACAATAGGCCTGATGCCTTTTTATTAAATATAATAGGTTAAGGAAATGCATAATTTACAAATTTAGGCTCATAGGTGAAAATATATTTACATACCTCTTTTGACAGCAATTTGTGTTTTCTTAATATTTATAGGAAAACTACTTTGGGGAAGATGACATGTATATGGATTTTGAAGAGGTTATCTCAAGTCCTGTTTTGTCACTGTCAACATCATCCAGCTCTGGGTGGACTGCTGTTGGAATGGAAAATGACAAAAAGGAAAATGAAGGTTCAGCCAAGTCAATTCATCCACTTGCCTTGCGTCCTTGGGATATTACTGTACTTGTTAATTTGTACAAAGTTCATGGGCGTCTTCCTGTTGTAAGTGTTTACACATGAAAGTAGTCTGGAATATATTATAACATCCACCTGTGTATAGATGTGAAGCATTCAGCACACACTTAGAAAAAGAAAATCAGATTTAGAAACTTCTAAATTTATTCTTTTACTGTTATAAAACTCATGTATTTTCTTCATAATATGATTACTTGATCATTGGTAATTTTTATTTTCTATTTTTCTTCTAATTTAACTTTAGCTCCTTCTTTGCTATATGTGTAATGTCAGGACATCGTGTCATACATTGAGTTGTTGGGTTTATAATTAACCTGATGGGTGTTCAAGGACTTTACATTTTCTTAGCTTTTATCTCTAGACCCCAGACCAGTTTGGGGCCTTATGGTGGACCTGTTATAAAATGGAGTTTCTGGCTTGACCCTGGGGGTTGAATTATGTAGTTTGGATCTAGCACGGTATCCTGGGTCGCTCTAAGGACAACCTGTGGACCTGTTCTGGCTGACATGGAATGATATTAAATTGCCCCAAGAACCCAGGGACTTTGGTGCAGGGCCAGATGAGGTGTGTGTCCGGGTTGCAGTGGGGTGGTGGGGCCGGTGGCCCTCTGTTGCTTAGTGCAGCTAACGATCCTACTGAGGTACAGAATAGTTATTTTTCTCAGTAATCATAGTTTCTCTGTTTTTGAAAAACAAATTCTCTTAATCATGACAGATGTAATTTTTATTTTCCTATACTTCCTTACTTTTTGCCTTTTCTGCATTTCAACTGTGCTATTTCATTTGACTGTAGCATGGAACTACTGATGGTCCTGAATGCCCTACAGCTTTCTTGGAAAGACTATGTTTTGAAATGAAAAAAGGATTTAGGGAGACCATGCTGCAACTTATCCTGTCACCCCTGAATGTGTTTGTCAGTGATAACTATCAGGTAAGGTGAAAATGAAATATGGTGGAGACATAGAGATTTATTATTAATATTTATTGGGTTAAAACAATGTATTAGCTTCTGTGCATGGACTTTGTAGCTCTTTAAGTTGGAGACTTTTAAGTTAACTGTATTAAGAAGTTTTGTATGTATGTTTATGTGTATGAGAGTTGTTTCAAGAATCTCAATTTTCTTTTGCTGCTCCCTATTTCTGTGATCCCAATTATATTTTATACCTTTTGCTATTATAATAGAAATGGAAATAAGTACTTTCTCAAATATTTATGGAAGGGAAAAATTAACTATATAAAATGTTGGTAGGTTCTGTTGAGTATCACAGCATAAATGTTAATATTAACCAGTACCATAATATTTTAAAACGTGTGTATCTACATGATCAATGATTTATTCTTATTCATCTAACATAAGATACTTTGTTAATTCCTTCAAGATACCTCTGGGCTCTTTTAAAAGAGAACCAATGATATTCATCAAGTGAGAATTTGAAAATGTATTACATTTCTGGGTAGATTATAATTTTATTATTTTTTTCATGCCAAATGGCTTTCTGTGGCAACTACCACCACTTTATATGCCCCTGTCTTACTTTTAATCAAGTTGTGTGATTTAGAAATATAAATGGAACTTAATACAAGACAAAGTAAAATTATAAATGGGAAGGTGAATCTGACAACCAGAAATCATCAATGAATGATCATTTATTATGATTATATGTAGTAATTGATCATTTTATTTAAAATAGCATATCTCCTTTTCATTCTTTTGCCATCACTGACTATATTTTTCTTCATGGAATTTTAATTTAATTTTTCATACATATATTTGACATATATGAGATCATATTAGCTAAAACTTAATATGTGCTAGGCATTGTTTTTGTTTTGCCACAGAATGTGTGTTTCTGGTTTTAAACTTTTATTTTGAAATAATTATAGTTTCACAGGAAGTTGCAAAGATCAGAGCGATCCTGTGTGTACTCTTTACCCAGTTTTTTTCCATGGTTAAGTTATTTTACATAATTATAGTATCAAAACAAGGAAACTGACGTTGATACAATGTGTGTGCGTAGTTCTAGGTCTTCTTATCATGTGTAGATTCATGTAACCACCAAAATGAAGATACAGAACTATTCTGTCATCACAAAGATCTCACATAACACATTATTTTAACTTGCCATATTAACCTTAAAAAAAAAAACCTCTTGTCCTCTCTATAATTAGCAGGTCATTAGAATCGGTTGTTTTTTATTCTGGGAGGCAGGTATGTGGAGAGGAAGCCCATCTCCCTTTTTCAGTCTATTAAGGAAATTAATAAAGGGAAAAGGGAAAGTCTTCTATGGATGAGTTCTGAGAAACTTAGATGACTATCCCTGGTTTTTTATGAGTACCTGGTAGCCCTTCAACTTTTAATCACTGCACTTTTAAAAGGCTTTTCCAGACATAGAAAACATTTTATTGAGCTGATTATGAATGTTCACATTAATTCTTATTATAGAGGTATGCAAACTTGTGGAGAGACTGAATTATAAAGTATGACTTATTTGGGGATTAGAGAAGGAGTTCATGGAGTAGAGATACCAAGGTGAAAGTAGAAGTACTAGTGATAATTCATTTCCCCGATTGTTGACAACTTACCCCGAAGACAAAGGTACCATATATATCCTCTTGGAATTTGCTTGTCTACTTACCTTGTTTACATTCTATAGTGTTGACACGACTATTCCTAAGAATTTTTTTCTTCATCTGTCGTTATACTATCTAATGTTCTTTCACAGTGAGAGGGTTCACACTGTGTCTACTCCCAAGGCTCAAATCTGGGTTACCCACTTGTAGTTTATCCTGGGTAGCATCAGTCTCTTAACTCAAGGCTTCAAGATGAAGGTTCTAAGGTGACTGATGGACTACTGTGTCCCATTATGACACTATGCACTTTTTACTTTGTGGTCATCTTATGTATTAATTTCATAGGGATGCCGTAACAAAGTATCCTATGCTAGGTGACATAAAAGAACAGAAATTTATTCTCTCACAGTTCTGGAGGTTCAAAGTCCTAAATCAAGGTGTTGGCAGGGTCACATTCTGTCTGAGCTGTAGGGGAAGATCCTTCCTTGCCTCTTCTTAGGCTCTGGTGGTTGCTAGCAATCTCTGGTATTCACTCAAATTTCTGCCTCCATCTCGACTGGCTGCCACTCTCTCTCTGTGCCTGCATGTCCCACTTTTTCTCCTCTTATAGGGATACCAGTCATATTGGATTAGGGCCCACCATCAATGTAACCTTATCATAACCTAATTATATCCGCAAAAATCCTGTTTTCAAAAAAGATCATATTCACAGGTTCCAGGGCTTCAGACTTGAACATATATTTTTGAGGGATGCCATTCAACCCACGCATGATGCAAACTGTAATAACATTTAGAATATAATATTTATTGGTGTATCATGTAGGCTATACCTTAGGAAAGCCCAAGATCCACATGTAATTTTGAGATTAAAAAATTTCATAAAAATTTTATACTGAGAATTATTGAGTCTCAGCGTCAGAAGATAACTTTCTTGACCACTCTCCCCAGTTCCCTCAGTAAAAAAGGTAAGGAAATTAATGCCTGGAGAAGTCAGGTGATTTTATATAAAGTCACACAGCTTGGATGAAAATAAAATGAAAATTGGATCAGAAGAGCTTCTAGAGTGATTATTGTAGTCACAATTTGAATTTTTTTAAAAAAAGTTTCTTATGAATTAGAGTTAGCCCTTATCCTTAAAAAAAATTTTTTTAAGACTGTTTCCCAACATATATTGAAAGCAAAGAACACTAACCCTGTGAGATAGCCTAGACATACATGAAGAGGACTACTGTAATAAAACTAGGTTGAGAAATAATTTGCGAACTGCCTCAATGTATACTGGTATGTTGAAGGCTCTGTGAACACTTGCTGTGAAGAAATCTGTCTAATCAGCAGCATCTACTTTTTGTGGTCACTGTTAGGTGCAGTGATACTTAGTACACAAGGCAGAAATGGTTATTAATGAACCTGGGGGAGAAGATAAATATTGAGAACATTAAAATTAAGATAAATAATTTCAAGTGTAAAAAGCGCCACAAGGTGAGGTAGGCAGTGCTCTGGTAGCATTTAATGGTCTGGAGGCAAGAACAGGATCAGATTTGTATGTTTAGAAGATCTCTGTGATTACTCATAGAGTATGGAGCAGAGAGATGTAAAAAGTTAATGCCTTGAAAAGGTCCTGGCAAGAGGTGATACTATTTGGACCAGGATGAGAGCACTGAAGATGAAAAAAAGTCAATGCATTTGTCAGAGACTGGGAGGTAGTTTTAACAGAAATTGGTGACTGATCAGTAGGGCATTCCCAAACTTATTTGATTCTTTATTCTTAATAATGTGTGGAACTAGTGTTCCATGAAATAATCTGTTTTATGACATATCCTTTATTTCTCTGAATACGTTAGAAATGTTCCCTTTGAAATACGTGCTGCTTTTTAGTAGTGAGTATGAAATTATTCTCTGTAAGAAAACTCTCCTTGTATTTACATAGTCCTCAGAATCTATATGGAAGTTTACTTTTCCCCACCATTCTTCATTGTTTGGTCTTAATGGTCTGAGTTCTTCAATGTTGTCTTCCTTTTAAAAATATTTTAATCTCATGATTCTTAGATTTCTTACAAAAGACTGGTCTCTTGTATTCCCTGTCAAAGTACTACTGTAGTTTCTTGTTATTCATAAAGGCAGTTACCAATCAGAGATCTGTCTACTATTTAAGACTCAGCTATCTTGCTTTTTATAATAGTTGGACTCTCATAGGTATTGTTCATTAAAGATGCTTAACTCAGAATACCTCTGCGGGTACAAGGTTGTGTTAGGAGCTTGTGGATTCTGAAACCTTATAGATGGCATGAGTTTATTGTTCATCTCTGCAGGGGGTGTGGGGGGAAACAACTAGAAATTATAATGTGATTTTCTTATACATTTTACAGTCTCATCATTATTGTTTTCAGCAGCGACCCCCTGTGGATGAAGTACTCAGGGAAGGTCACATCAATTTGTCAGGTCTCCAGCTGAGAGCACACGCTATGTTCTCAGCAGAAGGTCTTCCTTTGGGAAGCGATTCCTTAGAATACGCATGGTTAATTGATGTGCAGGCTGGAAGTCTTACAGCTAAGGTCACAGCACCACAGGTATGGTTTTCAGAGTACTATCTCCTGACTTATTTTCTTTTTCCTTTCTCTACCCACCTTCTCAAGAATAACTTGTATGCCTGTTTGAATGTTCATTGCATTTCCACTGATGGCATTCTGATGGGAGTCATTCTTGCCATTCAGAATTTTAGTTATAGGTGAATCAGAGACAAGTTTGACTTTTCTGAGCCACATATAATTTGTTGGGTGTAATGTGTGTAGACCTATATAATATTTCAAAGAATTTGAGACTTTCTTTGGGAAAAATTCAGGATGAGTACTTTTCTAGAAGTCATTAATATATTATTAAAATTATATTACTTGGCCCTCCATTGTTGGAAAAATCTTATTTTTCTACTATATGGAGTAATTTTCTAAGAACTTTGTTTTCTTACATATGTTTAAAGTAGGATTTGAAAGTAGCCCTTATGATACTAAGGATTAGGTAATAAGGTTCTTTGCTTGTCATGTCCCAAAGCAAGATTACATCATTTGTACCTGCTGTTAGTGATGTGGATAATAGTTTCAAAAAACAAAAGTGAATTTACTGGTATGTAAGTCTGGTCTAGAATTCTAGATGTGATCCTTTTGGATAAATTGTCCCCCACCACCCCTTTCACTTAATCCTTAGAAGGCACAAAAGCCTTAATGTATTATTTGTTTCTAATTGGCCACTGAAGTTTAGTTGAATTGCCGTATTATTGTAACATTTCACCTGAGTCATATATTTATTATAATATGAATGCTCATCTTGATATTTCAAAAGACTGGAATTTGATAGGAATGTTACATACTCAATTTTGATAAAAAGTTTTAGAATGGGTATAAAACATATAATTTAGAGGTAGGTAGTAGCAACAAGAAAGTAATAAAGAACCTAGATGCCCTTTATACCTGGAAGAAATCGTCAGAGGGTAGCAAAAATTAATATTCTAGAAATGGTGAGAAAATGAATAGAATTGAAAAGGGATATTTTGGAGTTGAACGTCATCTCAATATAATATTAGAATGTATAATGATATTTATAAAAATATGTGAAAAGAAATGCATAATGGAATGTATAAAAATGGATGAAAAGCAATAGTCATTGCTCACTGGTCTTGTAACTGTCCTCTCCTTATTATCTCCCATTTCCCATCCCTAAGTATACTAGTAAAAACTGAAGCATATTCCAAAGCAGCTTGTTCCCTACGAAGGGAATAAAGCCATGCTGATCCTGCAAGACTGGGTACAATTCCTTTATTCCAAGGCCTGCTAGAATCTTACATGTTTATAAATTGCCTTTATAAGGTAAAACATTTCTCTTTCTCCTGCATAAAATCTTGGCATCACTGTTTGCTGCACAGTTCATGACTCTGTAGGCACTTTTATGTTTATTCCATTCTCTGTATGTTTTAAAAGTAAAATTTATATTTTCCAAGAGTTTAAATTATGTACTTATTTGAGGGGATAATGTCATGTGTATCTATCCCTCAATGTTTTTAACAGCTCTAATCAATTAGGGTGTTTTTTTTTTTTAAACTGAAGATTTGAAGAATTATGATATATACTTACTTAAGCTTCTATTTACATAAACAAAAGTGCTTTAATCTTCAAAATACCTGGTTTTAAAAAAACTGTAGCTCAATGTGATATTTAGATACTTTTTCACATAAAAGTTTGGTTTATGATTGGAGAATTTTAGGTGCTTTTCTATGTGGAGATTTCAGTTAGCTATATAAGAGGGAAGATATATAACCTTGAATAAAAGGATTTGCGTTAAAAGTTGCTGAAGTGAAATTTTTCAGTTGCAATTAGTTTTCATTTTGACAGTGCATTTTGTCATTCATAAAGGAAAAGTAACATAAGCATGTAAATGATATTAAAGGTAGAAAAAAATCATTGGCTAACAAGTTGCTTATTTAGCAGAAGTTTTAAGACAGTGTTTGGGTTCTTTCAAGCTACGTTAACATTCTTCAGAAGCTTTTGAACTCTAAACCCTTGTTTAGAATGCTAACAGTGTTGTCAACTTGTCACTGATTATCTGTAGCTGGCATGCCTCTTGGAGTGGGGACAGACATTTGTTTTTCATGTGGTATGTCGGGAGTATGAACTGGAAAGACCGAAATCAGTTATAATATGTCAGCATGGAATTGATCGTCGGTTCTGTGAATCCAAGGTATATTAACAAATATGTTAGCAATATTATAAACATTTATGAATTTTAAAAAATGGAATATTGAGATATCAGCTTCAAGTCAAATACACATAGCCATGCAGCAAACTACAGTTTTTTCAGTTAATAAAATTATTTTTTAAATTCTTACCCATTTTAGTTTTAAGTATCTAAAATATGAGATAATTATTAAAACATACAAATTAAAAAAGAAACAGAATTATAAAAATTATATTTTGCTTACATTTTTACTGTTAACATTCATGTCATATTGCATTATTATACTTGTTGGGATATGGCTATATATTTATGTAGAAGATTTAGAAATTGAAGCAAAGAGAAGGTTGAATTCTTCACATGACATGGTTTGCAGACCACTCTGGACATGCCGTTTCTCCCATAATGTAATAGCAAGGTTGGTCATTTGCCAGGTTTCCTGACTCCACATGTTATGCTCTTTTCACAACATTGTGCCACCTTCATTAAGAGTCATTACAATATCTTCACAAGGGTTGCAAAAAGTAGATGGTAATCCCTAAAACCATGTGCAGTGGCAATGAAATGCCATAGTATTATTGTGCAATAAATACTCTCCCTTATGAATTTGGGGAGGGAGGCATTTTCTTCCCCTGATTTTGGAAGCATGGTTATTTCAGAAAATCTGGAAAACATGGCTGTTTCAAAAGAGAAAAATAACTTACCCTGGTTCTACAACACAGTGGTTAACAACTTAGTTTTTCTTTCTAGTTCGTTCCTATATGTCTTTCCTTTTTTGTTCTTCTGCTATACAAATTATATTTGTTTGCTGTTATATTACTGTGAATTGAAATTAGTTCATCCTACTTTTATGTCCAAAAAAAATCTGTAACGCATCCTTATATATTGACAATAAAGGAAACAGCTATACTTGGTGATAAAAATTTTTTTTCTTATTATAAACACATTTCCAGGCTCCACAGAATTGGTTCCTTAGTCACAGGTCAGGGAGGCAGTTTTTTATGGATAATACGCACATACCTTTAGGTGCCTCCCCCTCCTTTTTCTTTTTTTTTTTTTAACTTGAAGTTTTTATGTTGCATTAAAATTTTTTTTTTTTTTTGAGACAGAGTCTTGCTCTGTCGCCCAGGCTGGAGTGCAGTGGCGCCATCTCGACTCACTGCAAACTCCGCCTCCTGGGTTCATGCCACTCTCTTGCCTCAGCCTCCCGAGTAGCTGGGACTACAGGCGCCCACCACCACGCCCGGCTAATTTTTTGTGTTTTTAGTAGAGATAGGGTTTCACTGTGTTAGCCAGGATGGTCTTGATCTCCTGACCTCGTGATCCGCCTGCCTTTGCCTCCCAAAGTGCTGGGATTACAGGCGTGAGCCACTGTGCCCGGCTCTTAAATTTTTAAAAATAAGTTTCATTGAGGCATAATTTACATAATTTACAGTAAATTCATCCTTTTAAAGTTGTACAGTTTGAGTTTTGACAAATGCTGTATATACCTGTGTAACTATTACCACCAGTGAAGATATAGAACATTTCTATCACCTTAGAAAATTCCTTTGTGTGTCTTTGCAGTCAGCCCCTACCTCAGGCAACTACTGATCTCCATTCTGTCACTTCAGTTTGTTTAGGTCTATTTTTGTCCAGAGGAAATATATCCTTATAGAGTATTGACTACACTGTAAGACACCTGTTTCTAGTTCTGGCTCTGCCACTAATGAGCATTTTCATGCTATTGGGCCAATAATTTAATCAGGGCTGCCATCTCCTCAAGAAATTTATTGATATAGGTGATATATACATTTTCTTCTAACCTAAACATCATAAAAATCTGTGTTTTAGGAGTAAAATAAAATTAATGTGGATTGTCTTAGTGAATTTGTGTGTGTGTGTGTGTGAAAATACATCTGTGCGTATGGAGTACCTGTAAGAAAACCTTACAACTCTAAACTCATACAATTCTTGTAAACCTGTGGCACTGTTTTACTTTTCACTTTACTTTGCTTATCCTCTCTAGTTTCAGTAAGAAATTGTCTATGTATTGTCCATTAGACTTGCTATTTGCCCCTTCTGAATGAAAATGGTGCATGCTTACTTATTGTTTTCTAACGTATAGTTTTCTAATTGATAACACTTTAACTGCTGATTTCATTTATTATTATAAAAGAATGAAATTAGACTGATTTTTAAAAAATACATCAATAACTAGATTTTTTGTGTTTATTTAAAGAAGATGACTTAAGTATCAAAATAATAAGTTGATGGTGATGATTTAGATGTACAATCCTTTTTTATTTTAGTTGAGTTGTATTCCTGGGCCTTGTCCAACTTCAGATGATTTGAAATATACTATGATTCGTTTAGCAGTAGATGGAGCCGATATTTACATTGTTGAGCATGGTTGTGCTACAAATATAAAGGTAAGTGTTTTGCTTGGCTGGTGTAGTGCTTTTTCGTTTTTACTAAACCAAACCTCTATTTCTTGAAATAAAACACACATTTATAGTTTGTCATCTCACAGACAGCCACAAAATTTTAGGAGAAAACTTTCTAATTTTTACTAATCCATGTTCTCTTCCAGTATTATTTTTTTCAAGGCATACTTTCACCAGTTATTTACTCTGAGTTATTGTAACATTGCTTTATGGGAAGGATATAAAATAGTAGGTTACTTTTATGTCAGGGATATAAACTGGCAGTGCTTTTAAATGATTTGATTTTTGAATGTCTTTAGGATTCATACATTTATATTTTCTGCCTGGCTCTTGAAAACATTTGTTTCCCACTCTTTTATGGATTGTAGTGCAAAATCAAGCCTTGTTAAGTTTCTACTATTTCATTATTTACTTCTCTTGTTCGCCTGTGGATTTCTGCTTTTTTCCTTTTCTCCTTTTTAAAAAATTGTCTATTTTTGTTTTTATTTTGTTTAACTTTTCTGTTCCCTTCTTGTCCCTTTCCCATTTTTTCCTTTTTTATTTCTTTTTCCTTTATTTTCTCCTTCCATTTATGTTTTACTCTATTTGAAATGATCACCTATTCAGTAGTTTTGGCTAAGCTACTTAAAAATACAGAAATTACACTTTTGTTTCATTTTCTTCATTCAATTTTAGATGGGTGCAATTCGAGTTGCAAACTGTAATCTCCACAATCAATCGGTTGGGGAAGGAATCAGTGCTGCAATTCAGGATTTTCAAGTGAGACAGTACATTGAGCAATTAAATAATTGCAGAATTGGACTTCAGCCTGCAGTGCTACGGAGGGCCTATTGGCTTGAAGCTGGGTCAGCCAATTTAGGACTTATTACTGTTGATATTGCTTTAGCTGCTGACCATCATTCTAAACATGAGGCACAAAGACATTTCTTAGAAACTCATGATGCCAGAACTAAGAGGTAGGTGAAAATGTTAAGAATGGCAGTAGTCTCCTGTTCAGATGAAAAAAACTAGATAATTGTAGAGGAAATTCTACTGAGAGAATGGACTAAGAATATTTTAAATAAAGACCTAACATGATTGTGCTGCTGCACCTCAATGAATATATAAGGACCTGATATTTAAGTAAATATATATCTTGTCTCTGGTGATGGTGTAGTTGTTGGAAATAACATTATTTTCTGATGTGTTTCTAAGTCTATACCATGTATGCCAACAGTGAAACAAGTTTAAGTTATGGTCCCCAAATAACGTTTTGTAAAGTACTACATTTTCTCTCTCACCACAGCTCTCCACTTTCAAGTCATCATTCATTCCTAGAAATCACAGTACTACTATCGTCTACTGTATAAAACTCCTTTTATGGGCCTTCAGAACTGCAAGGAAGACTAAGAGTACTCAGGCCTATTTCCTTGGTCCTTAGGAAATTATTATTATATATGATTTAAAAAGTTGCCAGCACCTCTTACTGAATCACTTCCATTTAAAATGACAGTGTGACTTTTTCCATCCCCATCTTCCCCATTGTATATTTAATATGTGCTAATTCTAGAAATATAGGAAACTATTAAGAAACAAAAGAAAATAATGATCATAACCCCACCATATGAAATTTTATCTCCAGGATTTTGCTGTATTTTTTTAATGCTTGAAATCATCCTGTATATACAGTTTAAAATTCTGCATGTTTGTATTAAACTTATATCCCAAGCATCTGGCCACATGATTAAACATTTTATAAAGATCCTTTTAAACAAATGATAATACATTACCAAAAAGACAAAACATGTTTTATTTAGCCATTGCCCTTATATTAAATATTTAGATTGTTTCTAAATTTCCCATTATAAATGATAGAGGAACATTTTTGCACATAAAATATTTTCCCATGCTTTCTGGCTGTTTCCTTTAGATAATTTCCTGGAAGGGAGTATGAATGAGTTGAAAATTAAGACTTTTCATATGCATTCCCAAATTACTTGCCAGAAATTAATTTCAGTTTATATCCACAATGGCTTTTTAGCTAGTCCCTGTCACCCTGCACCATTGCTACCTTTTGAGTGTTTTCTGATAAGTGAAAGGTGGCATCTCTTTATTTTGCATTTATATATTTCTGAAATTAACACTTTAAAAACCACATTTGTTAGCTGTTTCGATTTCTTCACTTGTGAATTGAATGTTTATATTCTGTGTACATTTATTTACTGGGGTCTTGGTGGTTTTCAATTTTTAAGAGCTCTTTATAGATGATCACCTTTTTGTGATCTCTGTTGCTAGTATTTTACAGTTTGTTTTATCTTTTAATTTTGTTTTTATTTTCATATATGACTTTAATTTTATGCATTCAAGTATGTCAGTTACTAATTTGAGAAAGCCATTCTTTTGCTAGTAATCAAATAGCATCTGTATTATTTTTTTCTTTTCCTTTTTCTTGTTAACATATAAAACTCGAATCCCTCTGGATTTTATATGGGGTGCATGTGTATATTATTCTAGGTAAGGAGATAAATCGACATATTCATTTCTCTGTTTAACAAAATGTTTATTGTTACCTGTTAACTTTCCCAAAAGAACCTGGGGTCCATTTTTCTGGTTAAAAAAAGAAAATCTGTTGAGATTTTTATTGAAATTACATTAATCTTTTAAATTAATTGAGGAAGATTTGACATATATCCGAGTATGAAAGCTCATGTATGAAGAATATTGTGTAAAATAAATTGGATTTCTTTGTTATATGTTGTGCAGGAAGCCACTTAGTGTGAACCAAATGCCTGTCTTTGATTAGGTTAGGTGGTAGAGCAAGGTGCGAATGGAACTAAGGAGGTTACTTCAGGTGACTCGAGTTGCTCCAAGTAGCTCATTTAGGTTGGTTTCAGTGCTGTAGCTTGTGAAAAATTGTGAAGAGTCTGGGGTTTTTATCTTTCTTACGAGTTAACAAGTTAGCTGTTACAATTTCATGGATGCTGGAAAAATACACAAAACTTCTGATCAGAGACTATATTACAGCCAAAGCGGTAGCCAGTCATGTGTGGGCGGGTTGGTTCCCTGTATCCCCCAAGTAGAGTTGCCAGGGAAAATACAGGATGCCCAGTTAAATTTAACTTTCAGATAAACAACAAAACACATTTTAGTATAAGTTTGTCCCACATATTGCATAGAACAAACTTATTTTTGTTTGTATTTTATTCGCTAAATCTAGCAACTCTGTCCCTGAGTCCTATAGGGGATAACGTAGTCCCAGCTACTTGGGAGGCTGAGGCGGGAGAATCGCTGGAACCTGGGAGGCGGAGGTTGCAGTGAGCCAAGATTGCGCCACTGCACTCCAGCCTGGGCAACAGAGTGAGACTCTGTCTCAAAAAAAATAAGATAAAAAACATAAAGCCCCATCATGATGAATATGTGCATAAAGTAGATTACGTTATAGAAGAGGAACACTGAACTTAGGGTATCTTACTATTTTTATAGTAAGTGGAAGCAAGCCTACTCTTTTCCAGAGAGAAAGATTACCTCAACCCTCAAGGTTGCTTGCTCCCAACACAACCCTGTGAAATAGCCTGGACAGAGCTTGCATTCATGTCATACCCAGCAGGAACATACAGGGATTCCTAGGACTCGTGACGATTTGCCTCTCCCCACATGGTAACTCACTGACCTTCAGGTTTGGCTGCCTTTGTGCATATTGGATTCCCAGGAGTTTTAGAGAAATGTATATTCATTTCTGATATTACTGGAAGAGCTACTGAATACATAGGCCATTAGTTCCATTAGATTAATGTTTTTTAAAAATATGGCTCCCAAACTACCAGCATCAACATCTCCTTGGAACTTATTACAAATATACATAATCAGGCCTTGCCAGACCTCAATCAGAAACTCTGGAGGTGAAGCCCAGCCACCTACAGTTCAACGAGCCATTCAGTTGATTCTAATACAAGCTAACGTTTGAGAACTAGTGCATTGGATTATGCAAAGATAGGAAAGGAGAGCTAACGTTTGTTGTGTAACTTGTGTAGTCCACATTTTGCATCTCAGGTGCTTTACACGTGTTATGCTATTTTATGCCCACAATGATCTTTAATTAGATATATCATACCATCATTTTGCAGATGAGGAAACTGAGGCTCAGAGATGTTAACTTGTCTGAAGTTGTAGAGTTAGTAAGTGGCATAGCTAGAATTTGAACTCAGGTCTAGAGGACTCAAAGCCATGCATTCTACCAAGCTTTTGCTGTGGAAATGAAGTAAAAAAAGTCTATTATGTATATAAGTTCTTTTATTTTGATGGTGTTTTAAGATATCTTTGCTGCTTGACTTAATACTTTAAAATACAGAAGTGATTTGAAATGGATAACATCCGACCAGTGCAATCTCAAGCTCTCCCTCATCTTAAGGCCTGCTCATACATTTTTCCTTCTGTCTTCTCTAGATAGATGTTCCACTTCTAAGTTGTTTCACCTTATCTTTAATGTCTCTATGTTACTTTTTGAAAGATTCTCCCTATTTTCTTTGTCACAACACCTTGTTTACCTCATAACACTTAATACAATTTATGATTAGTTATTATTTTCTTGTTTATTGTTTGTCTTTGCCTCTGTATTGTAAACTTCATATGGATAAGGACTATATCAGTTTGCTTAGCATGACACTAGGCACTTAATAGATATGTTCAAGAAATATAAATTAATGAATGTAAAATGAAGGTGATAATACCTATTCTGTTTCCCTGTGAGGGTCTTGAGAATCCAAGGTGATAATACATGTAAAAATGCTTAGAAAAATAGACTGTAAATATGAGGGGATTTTATTAAAGTAAAAAAAAAGGAATAAAGGTATATCTCACAGATTTCTATTATATAATATTGTTTAAGAAAAGAGGGGAGTTAATAAATACTGACAGATCTATGAGTCACTTATACAGAACCTGAAGTTTACATACATTTTTAATACTTTATTTGTAGTCCTTATTACAAAGGAGTAGACCTCGATATTATTTTTCTCTAAAATATGGAGTGGTTCATTATTTTAATTTTATTGAGAAATAATTTCTTAGTTGCTTCATATTTGTAATTTTTCAGTGTTTTAAATTTGCAATGTGAAATAGGCCCTGAGATGCTAAAGGTAATGAGCTATCAAGCATAATCTATACTAATGGTTTTTTTGGATTAGTGTCTTAAAATTTTAGTGTTTTTGAGAATGTTTACTACATTGTAAAACTGGACTTAAATGTCTGATTTTTATATTTGCTTTTTTTTTAATGCTTTGGGCTTTTTAATGTATGCCGTATCTCTATTATTATTGATTCTGCTTATTTCCGTCTCACTTGCTCTGGTAAGACTATATTTTTTAGAAAGGCAAATGATTTAAAAAAACACAGTGGGAATAAACCTTTGTGTTTGTGTTTACTTTGTCATTTAAAAATATTTACAATTAACTTATATTTAATTATCTATCAAAAAGTTTTTCATTTCTTAATGATTTTTTTTATGTTGTTGTTTTTTGTTTTCTTTTGGGGTCGGTTTAGGTTGTGGTTTTTATGGCCAGATGATATCCTGAAGAATAAGAGGTGTAGAAACAAATGTGGTTGTCTCGGTGGCTGCAGATTCTTTGGTGGCACAGTAACTGGCCTAGATTTCTTCAAACTTGAAGAGTTGACACCTTCCAGTAGCTCTGCATTTTCAAGCACAAGTGCAGAGTCTGATATGTATTATGGACAGTCTCTGCTACAGCCTGGAGAATGGATAATTACTAAAGAAATTCCCAAAATTATAGATGGTAATAAAATGTTTCGTCACTTGTGCTAATTGTTTACTTTCTTCATCACTATGCCATTTTGAGAGAAATTCAGTGTTAACTCTGTTCAACTCAATTTACTTTGTGTGATGTTATGAGTAGGGTTTAGTATAATCCACCTTTGTTTTGCACATGACTTAACTAAAGCCAGATAAAACTAGTGATTTTTTCAGAGTTAGAAGTAGGTCTGCTATTCAGATCTTCTGTTGACGTGGGTGGCTTTCCTCACAGAATTTTTTCTAAATATTTCCTTACATACTGTTATTTTCCTGTAGCACAGCATCCAGATAAATACTTAGGAATAGCTGTGCTTCAAGGTAACAATTGTTTCACCAGCTTGCTTTTATAGGATAACTTTTGGATAGTAATATTTATACTGTTGGCCCCCATGTTACCAATTATATTTGCAGAATAGTTTCCTTATAGTAAAATTAAACATGTCAAGAAAAGAACTCCAGTCTTAGAATCTTTAGCATAACTCTGGCCGGGCGTGGTGGCTCACACCTGTAATCCCAGCACTTTGGGAGGCCAAGGTGGGCGGATCACGAGGTCAGGAGATCAAGACCATCCTGGCTAACGTGGTGAAACCCCATCTCTGCTAAAAATACAAAAAATTAGCCGGGCGTGGTGGCGGGCGCCTGTAGTCCCAGCTACTCGGGAGGCTGAGGCAGGAGAATGGTGTGAACGCGGGACGCGGAGCTTGCAGGGAGAGGAGATGGCGCCACTGCACTCCAGCCTGGGCGACAGAGCGAGACTCCGTCTCAAAAAAGAAAAAAAAAAAAGAATCTTTAGCGTAACTCTGCAAATACACCAGTTTGCTATGAGCAGTGAAGAGTGGCTTTAAGTGTATTATATTTAGATTTACCTAGAGTCTTTTCTCCAGAGACTTCAGAAACAGATTTTTCCTCTGGATTTTTTTAGTTCTGTGTTCCTATGATTCAGTGCAATATTTACTGTTTAAGTTGCCATGCTGTGAAGATGTTAATTGTAGAAAAGTCTTGATACTTCACGAATATTTAGCCATTTCCCCTTAATTAATTTAAAAATATTAATTTACCTCTGCCTTTTATCAGTACACACAAAAAGATAGGAAAGGGGTAATTTTACCTTCAAGAGTTGATCAGATTGCTTTCCCATGTATAGGAGCTCTTAGAGGAAACAGCTGGACTACATATACTAAATTCCTAAATGATTTTTTTACTGAGTAGTAGTAAGTGTGCACAAGTTATTTTAAGGTCATTGTACTTTGGCAGGTTTGCTAGAATGAGAGCAGATTATCTTATAAAATCAGCAAACACCAAAACTTCTTGGCATTTAAGTGATAAGATAGATTGTAATAATTTAGCTGTCTTCTTATATAACTTTTTTACATTTGAATAATGTTCATTTTTAAAGATTTACACTGGCATTTTCTCATTTAATCCCTAAGCTACCATGTAAAGTGGATATTATCCTTGTTTTTTAGTAAGGACACTGAGGCCTGTCAGTGAGACTGAGTTGCATGAAGTGATATAGCCAAGTATGGCTGAGAAGAAAATAGAATCAGGGCCATTGAAGCCACTTTGTTGTTCTCTCTAATGTTCTACAACTGGTGCTAATTATAAAGATTGCTTGATTTTCAAAGATTAACCATCACAAACTCAAGAAAGAATATTTGCAGGGAATTTATACTGATGTGAAATGAGGAAAATAGTAAATTCTCTTTCTAACATTGAAGAAAGTAAAATTCTTATAATGTGTAATAGGAAGTGTCTGTATCTCTTGGTGATTCTCTTAGTAGTGAGTTGTAATTGCCGAATTGCCATAAGTTTCTTGTCCAGGGAAGCTTGGAAATAACCCCTACATACGTACCTGAGTTTCTGATTGTTGAGTCTTCCAGGAATGGAGTACAGATGCAGTGTCAGGATAAAATCAAGGAGGGCATATGGGTAGAATTAAGGATCTATTTGGAAGGTCAGTGAGCACTATGTTCCTGTATCACTTAGAAGCAAATCAAGACCATTTTTTCTTTTGACTTTCATTGCTCTATTTTACATTTGTGGTAGTAGAAGTAACTAATATTATATTTTAGGTTTATGACTCTTACCCCTTGAATGCCACTAGAACTGCATTCTGTTCACAGAGATGTTTTTTTCCATTAGCGGATTTACTTTTTTTGGCTAAAACAGGGATGGTAGGAGGAGGGGGAAGTTGAGCAAGAGTTATTTTTTTTGGATCTAGGCAGCTATAGAATTCTCTTTTTATTTCCCCCAGCCCCTCAGTTTATATAACACATCACAGAGCTCTTTATGAAACTGTGAAACAGTGGTGCTTCACTCTGATCCTAAAGTCGTTATTTGTTCATTCATAAAATCATGTATTGAGTGCCTTCTGTGTATGAGGCATTATTCTAGGCACTGGAGGTACATCAGTGAATGAAAAATGATACAGTCCCTGTCAACATTGAACTTTTAGAGCAAAAGGGGAAAATGCTTAAAATAAGTAAATCCGAATAGAAGATATATGGGGTTCTTTGTACTATTCTTGAAAGTTTTCTGTAAGTTTGAAAATTTTCCAATAAAAGATTTAAAAAGAAGAAAAAAATTCACTGTTTATGGGCCTGGGATCTATACTTATGTAGATATATTTCTAAAACGTTTAACAAATTGCTATATGGAATTAGTCACTTGTGCTTTTTACACGCCTGTAATCCCAGCACTTTGGGAGGCTGAGGAGGGCGGATCACGAAGTCAAGAGATCAAGACCGTCCTGGCCAACATGGGGAAACCCTTTCTCTACTGAAAATACAAAAATTAGCTGGGTGTGGTGGTGCGTGCCTGTAGTCCCAGCTACTTGGCAGGCTGAGGCAGGAGAATCTCTTGAACCCGGGAGGCAGAGGTTGCAGTGAGCCAAGATCGTGCCACTGTATTCCAGCCTGGTGACAGAGCGAGACTCCATCTCAAAAAAAAAAAAAAAAAAAATTATACTTAAAAATGGATTAGATTGCCATGTTTTTTATAAACTGCTGTTGAGATTTGTGTGTTCACTTAACCCACCTTTTGTTTGTTTAGGTAATGTGAATGGCATGAAGAGGAAAGAATGGGAAAACAAATCAGTGGGAATAGAAGTAGAGAGAAAAACTCAGCACCTTAGTCTTCAAGTACCATTACGATCTCATAGTTCATCCTCTTCCTCAGAAGAGAACAGTAGTTCTAGTGCTGCACAGCCTTTGTTGGCTGGTGAAAAGGAAAGTCCTTCATCTGTTGCTGATGACCATTTGGTTCAAAAAGAGTTCTTGCATGGGACAAAAAGAGATGATGGCCAAGCAAGGTCAGTATTCACTTAGATTTAGAAGCCTGATCATAAATAGGATTATAATTGTTTAAAATTCTGGCAAGAAAAACTTCTTCCCTCTCCACTCCCCCACTTTAGAAAATTGTTACCTGTATATCTGAACATATTTTGAAATGTCAGTTTGCTGTTGTCTGATTATAAAAGTCATACATACATATATTCATTCAAGATATGAGGAAAGTACAGGAAAGTGTAATGAAAGTGGAAGTTTCTTGTCATCCCACCACTCAGAGTGAATCACTGTTAACATTCAGATATTATCCTTCTAGTCTAATGGATACTTTTTGTTCCTCCTCTTGCCACCTTAATAGTTGGCCACTCCCTTCTTGAATCACAGTTTCCTCTTGGTTTGATAGCACATTTCAAAATTTCGTCCCACCTCCTTGGCTATTCCTTCTCAGTCTCCATTGTCCTGTCCTCCATTTCTTCCTCCTTTCTTTTTTCTCTTCCTTTTATAGCCTGCCCTTTGTTGAACATTCTCTCCTTTTTCTCCACTTACTCTATATTATTTCCCTAGGGAGTCTCAATAACTGTTTGGTTTCAATTATGTTCTCTAGCTAACATCTTTTAAATGTAAAACTCCAGCCAAAACCTTTGTTCCTAAGGCCTAGCTACCTTCTTGATGTATCTGCTTGGATGTTTCATGGAGACTTCAAACTCAACATATTAAAAATGGCCTTATTCTTACCAGTTTTAACTTGTTCTGCCTTAGTAAATGGCACTACTACATCAGTTGCTGAAGTCAGAAATACTGGGGTTATGTATAACTTCTTCCTCCAGTCTCCTTTAATCAGAGGCACCTGGTGTATTTTGTTGGACAAGTTTTTAAAGGATGTGAAAGAAAAAAAACCTTTATAAGTGCATTAGTGTCCATGGATTATGGATAGAAGATTACATTCTGGGGTTTCTTTAAGTTTTTATTGTGTTTTAAGCTACCTCAAAATTTTTTGGAACTAATGGGGGATGTGAACACATATTGTACTGTTTTGCTACTTTGGGTATTTTATTATAAAATTGTAGATTTTCTTTTACTTGTAAAGTACATGATTAAAATTACTAAAAGGATTTTTATTGATATTTGTTTTTATGCTTAAATTTTATGATGTATAGAAAATGGTAATAGCTTTGCTTTCTGTTTTAGTATCCCTACAGAAATTTCAGGAAACAGCCCTGTGTCTCCTAATACTCAGGATAAGTCAGTAGGTCAATCTCCTCTTAGATCTCCCTTGAAACGACAAGCCTCTGTCTGTTCCACCCGTCTTGGAAGTACTAAGAGTCTTACTGCTGCTTTCTATGGGGACAAGCAGCCTGTAACAGTTGGAGTCCAGTTTAGTAGTGATGTCTCTCGAAGTGATGAGAATGTACTAGACTCACCAAAGCAGAGGAGAAGTTTTGGTTCATTCCCATATACACCATCAGCAGACTCTAATTCATTTCATCAGTATCGATCAATGGATTCCAGCATGTCAATGGCTGATAGTGAAGCCTACTTTTCTGCTGCTGAGGAATTTGAGCCCATTAGCAGTGATGAAGGCCCTGGAACTTATCCGGGTAGAAAAAAGAAGAAAAAGCAAACCCAGCAGATTGACTACAGTAGGGGTTCCATATATCACAGTGTAGAAGGGCCACTTACTGGACATGGAGAAAGCATTCAGGATTCCAGAACTCTGCCATTCAAAACTCATCCTTCTCAGGCTTCATTTGTTTCTGCGTTAGGTGGAGAAGATGATGTTATAGAACATCTATATATTGTAGAAGGTGAGAAAACAGTGGAGAGTGAACAGATTACTCCGCAACAACCCGTGATGAATTGTTATCAGACTTACCTTACTCAGTTCCAGGTAATTAATTGGTCAGTTAAGCACCCAACCAACAAAAGAACCTCTAAATCCTCATTGCATCGTCCCCTTGATCTGGATACACCAACCAGTGAAGAAAGTTCATCGTCATTTGAACAGCTTTCTGTTCCAACTTTTAAGGTATAAACCAAATCATTAGTTTCCATTGATATCTTGATTTAGAAAAACAGATTTTTAAGAAGTTATTTTCATAATTACTCTCATTCTTTTTAGCTACCTTTCTGAGAGAGAGACTTTCTGAAGCCATAGCTTTATGTATGATAGGTCACAGAGTTATTGATGAATATTAGAAATTTAAGTAAATTAAATTGAGAAATGGTTTATGAGTTGCCACTGCATTAATCTAATCAACACATATTCTGTGTCTGCATTATACTCTAAGATTAGGATCAACTCTCTCTGAATTCATATCTTCCGTGTCTTAAAAATAAAATTTTGAAGTTGTTTTTAATGATGTTCTTTTTATTAATTCATAACTCCTTCCATGCAAAGGCTTCAATGTCCACTTACTTGACATTTGAGTTCTTATAATTCAGTATGAATATGGTTATTGGGCATTTCCGTAATGTATTCTGAAAATGCATTACAGAATGTTTTAGGTAAGCTAAAAATACCTCAAAATAAATTTAGGGGTCATAGCCAATATGAAATACTATACTTATTTGAAGTGTCTAAATGCTTATTTAGTTATTCTTAATTCAGATATTTATTATACAGTATTGTGAACAAGGCACTTGATGTAGAGTGGTGAGGGAAATGGATATGGAGCTTATGGTTTAGAGGTGGAAAATGACAATTAATAGATCAGTATATCATTACAAAGTGAGAAGAGTCTATGATGATAACCAAGGGATGCTGGGATAGAGAATAACAAGGGGTGGGGACACCTAGATTGTATTGAGATGAAAGGTCCATCTGAGGAGATAATATTTAGACTTAAATTTGAAGGATGATGAGGAATTGAAGATAGGAGGACCTAGGGGCACTGCATTTCAGGCAGAGGCAACTGCCTTCCTAAAGCCCTGAAGAGGGAAAGAGGTCAGCATGCCCGAGAAATAGTGAGTGGAGAGACTTGCTCGTAATGAGGCTGGAGACCTAAGCAAAGGCTAGGTCATTTAGAGCTTATAGACCATGGCATCAGGAGTTTGAATTTCATTTTAGTTTAATTTATTAACTCTTCAGAGTTTTAAGGAAATATGATAGGATCTCATGTACTTTGAATACTACGTAGAATTGAATTGTCATTAAGCAAGAGAGGAATTGGGGTGATCACTTAGGAGACTGTCTCAGTAGTCTGTGCAAGAAACGACCAGGGCTTGGACTTAAACTGTATTAGTAATGATGGGACATGATACATGGAGTTGAATATTCTCATAGATTATGTAGGCATTTGAATAATATGTATTGAAGGAAGAAGAAACATTAGTGAAAGTTGCAAAATTTTGTTTTTAAGGTTGTACTGTTTTCTTATCTTGCCCAAAACCAATTGCCCATGCTAAGATTTCAAAATGTCCTTTTTAGTACATGTGGAAATATGTTGGTATATGAATTTTCCAGTGTAAAACTGAATGGCCCTTGTGCAGAATAGTACCTGAGAGGATAGAATTATTTCAGTATTTTAAATAAATCTTTCTAGTTTGATTAGGCAGTCAAATCTCTAGAGAAGACAGGTCAAGGAATTAGTATTTTTAGACAGCTTCAAAAACAGAACATAGGCCATTGTCAGAAAGACAAAAAAATGACATGTATTGGTGAGGATGTAGAGAAAAGGGAACACTTGTGCGCTGTTGGTGGAAATGTAAATTAGTATAGCCATTATGAAAAACAGTATGGAGATTCCTCAAAAAATTAAAAATAGAATTCCATATGATCCAGCAATCCCACTACTGGGTAATATCCAAAGGCAATTAATTCAGTTTATTAAAGAGATGTCTGTACTCCCATGTTAATTACAGGAGTATTCACAATAGCTAATATATGGGATCAACCTAAATGTCCATCAATGAATAGACAGATAAAGAAAATGTAGTATATACACACAGTGAAATATTCTTCTGCCATAAAAAAAGTAGGAAATCGTGTCATTTGTGACAATATGAATGAATCTGGAGGGCACTCTGTTAAGTGAAATAAGTAAGGCACTAAAAGACAAATACCTCATGATTTCACTCGTAGAATCTAAGCAAGCTCTTACAGATGTAGAGAGTAGAATGGTGGTTACCAGAGGCTTGGGTAGTTGGGGGGAAAAAAGTAACCTGGGAGGTAAGAAAGTTATTTTTTGCCATTAAGTCTAAATAACTGACAAGCATTTGTAAAGGTTCAATTTGATTAGTCAGGTTCATTTATTTATTTTCCTTGTTATCATTTATGGATATAAAATACAAGACTAGTTTTTCCTATAGTTTAATGTTTCTGTGGCTCTCTTTCCCACTTAAAGGTTGGTTTTGCTAGGAGAAGTCTAAAATTAGCTTGAGAAAAAACTCAATTTAAAAAGAAACTCTGGAGGAAAGACATTTGAAACACTTGCTTTTAAGTTTCAGTTATAGCCTTTTACCCTCACAACCCTGCTTTGCCATTTATTTGAATCAACAAAGTGAAACTGCCAATTGAATATATTATTTGATTTGCTTAATTTGTCTGTTAAATGTTTATATCAAATATATCAAAATCATATTAGGTAATTCAGGTATTTACATATATCAGTTGATATCATAAAATTAGGGAAATATATTAAAAATCTAGACTATAGTATTTTATATTCTAGGTTATCAAGCAGGGGCTCACAGCTAATTCTTTGCTAGACAGAGGCATGCAACTTTCAGGATCAACTTCAAAGTAAGTAAAAATATCATGCTTTTAAAGTGTCTTCCTTGATTATGAGATGGGTAGAGTTTATTCTGAATAATAATCATTCTTTATTTGAGTATGAACTTTATATTAAGAATAAATTACCAAAATAATTCAGCTCTTTTCTCTGCCATGGCTTTGGCTACATTTATAAGTAGTCAGTAGCATTTCTATTAAACATGCTGTAACTTGGCATATCAAAATTGCTGACTAATAAGACTTCAGTATCATATTTTTCATAATTTGGCAAAGGTACATCAGGTAAATATATTAAAATTTTCTCATTCAATGTATTAGCCATCTTTGATCAATTAGCATTTTAGTACTTCTTTTTGGCCTGTCTTTGGAAGGTCTTTGGGACATAAAATGTCAAGTCCAGGCCAGGCATGGTGGTTCACACCTGTAATCCCAGCATTTTGGGAGGCCATGGCTGGCAGATCACTTGAGGTCAGGAATTCGAGACCAGCCTGGCCAACATGGCAAAACCCCATCTCTACTTTTTAGTACAAAAAATACAAAAAAATTAGGCATAGTGGCGCATGCCTGTAATCCCAGCTACTTGGGAGGAGGAGGTTGCAGTGAGCTGAGATCGCACCACTGCACTCCAGCCTAGGTGACAGAGTGAGACTCTATCTCAAAGAAAAAAAAAAAGTCAAGTCCAATTCCATAAAATTTTTAGTTGTAATGAATGCATGTGTTCACTCATCTTAAGGAAGCTCCAACTTCTAATTCATGGTCTTTTTAATATACAATTTGCTTGTTAAATTGTATAGTACGCCGTATACTCCATTGGAAAAAAAACTCGCTGATAACACAGATGATGAAACATTAACAGAAGAGTGGACCCTGGATCAACCAGTGTCCCAGACCAGGACAACAGCCATAGTTGAAGTAAAAGGAACTGTTGATATTGTTTTGACTCCCCTGGTGGCTGAAGCTTTAGACAGGTATTGATTTTGTCTAGAAATACAACTGTTGCTTTATACAATGATTACTCTGTGATATGATAAGTATATGTGATATGTTCGTGTAGAAGATTGTTGATAGTTATAAGTATATGTGATATATGTTCATATAGAAGATTATTGATAGCTATTTTGATTGAATAAAAATGAAAATATGCTTAAAGAGGTCTGTGTTTCAGTTATCATTTGCTACTTTCTCAGCCTAAATAATTGGAGTTGTCCCTCCATATCTGTTGGCTATTGGTTCCAGAACACCTGTGGATACCAAAATCCACAGATGCTCAAGTCTTGCAAGTTGGTCCTGTGGAACCCGCGGATCAAAAAAGTCAACCTTCTGTATTGGTGGGTTCTGCATCCCACAAATACTGTATTCTGAATACTGTATTTTCAGTCTGCGCTTGGTTAAATGTGTGGATTTGGAACCCACAGATATGGAGAGCTGACTGTATATTCAAATTAATTATTATATTGCAATAATATAATAATATTACAATAATATAATATTACATATTATTATATAAAACTAACATGAATAAAAATGAGAATGGAACATAATGGAAGTGGTGTAGAAGCGGTTGGGAAGAGAAAAGGGGTTCGGTGGAAACGAGCTTTCATGAAAATCTTCCTTTTCCTGCAAAAGCACATAATTTTCTTCGATAACTTATACTATTAAGATTCTTATGATATGTCATATAAATGAAGAACACAGGAAATCTTCTTCAGAAGTTTGTTAAAGAAAAGATCATTGCCCAGTGTGGAACACTTCATCTTGGGGTGAAGGTGGTGATGTGGGGATAACCTCAGAAATGTTTCCCTTGTATAATTTCTAAATATGTGGCTTAGACATTCTCATTTCAATGTTGAGCAATTGTTGTACATATTCAGATGGTGCTACGTTTCATGATATGTTTACATAAACTAAGTTGTAGAATCAACGACATTTAAATATTTCATTTACTGTTTTTTCCCCTCAGATATATTGAAGCAATGGTTCATTGTGCTAGTACCCGACATCCAGCTGCAATTGTAGATGATCTTCATGCTAAAGTCCTCAGGGAAGCTGTCCAAAATAGCAAGACTACCTTTTCAGAAAATGTAAGAACTTTTTAATTCAATGGGCATAGCAAATTGAATATTTATCATGGTTACAGAATATTCAAACTTGAAAAATTTTCTTTACAAGTTAAATCAGAATATTTGGACATGTTCTAAAAGCGTTTATATGTCATTGGCTCTGTAAAAGATAGGACATATAACTGTACTATAGATGGAATAGTAGTAAAAATATTTATTTAAAAAATATATTAATAGCTTTCTTTGTTTCTTTTATTTCAGAAGCAGCTTAGTTCCAAGCCTTTTCTAAAGTGCTTTGGCCCTAAGTGAATGAATATTCTTTAGGACTGACACCTTGCTTTTCTAAGACAGCTGTTTATGTTTTGATTTTCCTCTATGATTAGATGACTTGTATCTTAATATTACTTTTGAGATTTTCCTCGTTCACTTCAGTGAATCAAGTCACTACTCTCATTGTATGATATTCTACTTACATTGTGGTTCCAGCCACGAAGCCAGTTGCTTAGCAGTCATATCCCAGTGCTCTTCCAGAGCTTCTCCATTTGATTTTCAAATTTATCTGGATTATACTTAGAGTAGGGACCAGAAGAGAGATGAAAGTGAGACTGATTATTTTAGTTAACTATTTATTTAATATATATTGGCATTTCATGTGATAGAGTAGAAGAGTGAAAAAAAGAAATTTGAAAATATTCCTAGCCAAAAAGGGGCCAATTATCAGAAACCAAGTTTGTTTTCAAGCCAGAAGAGTTTAGTGATCTTAAAAAATGCCTGTAATTACTGTACCATTTTTTCTGTCTGCTTCTCTGTAGGCTGATTTCAATTTAATGTGTATTACTTTTCTCAACCATGATGCTACCAGTCTTTTTCCTAGCTTATCGAAAGTTTGGATTTTAAGGTGGGATATAAAACTAGAACGCAGCTGGCACATAGATAGGCATAGAGGGGCAGCGTGAATAAGTGAGTTGCTGTTGTGGATGATGTGGAAGTTATGAAAAGCTTGTGAAATAATTTCACTTACGATCTTTTTAGTTATCTTCCAAACAAGACATTAGAGGAACAAAAACTGAGCAGTCTACAATAGGAACGACTAACCAAGGACAAGCACAGACAAATCTTACAATGAAGCAAGATAATGTAACAATTAAAGGTCTTCAGACTAATGTTAGCATACCAAAGGTAACAATTTAATATTTAAAAATTTTTTCCTGAAAGAGGAGAGCATTTTGATGGTGTTTGTCCTTTTCAGTTACCAACGTGAATAATGGTAGAACAGTGTGTAATATTAAAAAAATATGTTTTATTTCTATGATCTAATGTAGATCTAATGGAATGTAAATAGTTTACTTAAGCAGAATATTAGGTAATAGTAGAATGTTCCACATCCATCCAGTAAAAATTTAATTATGATTATTTTATGAGAATCTGTATTCATAAGCTTTGTCTTCACTGTCAAATACATAGATATGCCATTCTTAACAGTAGTTTTTCATTTTTGTGCATATTTTATGTTTAAGTGGTAATTTTTCACTTGTCAGTTCTGAAATTTTGTGTGTGTGTTAGGTAAACTTATGTTTGTTACAAGCCTCAGTGGAAGAATCTCCAACTACGGCTCCTAGTAGGAGTGTGACTCATGTTTCCCTAGTGGCATTGTGTTTTGACAGAATTGCTACACAGGTTCGCATGAACAGGTAAGAAATACTTTATTAATCTGAGCCATGATTATCTTGCTGGATGTAAAAGCAAGCCTTGATCATCTTTTCTTTTAAAAATACATTTCTAAGAATGTAATGTTAAAACTCAGAACTGGTTTTGGAATTTCAAATCTTAATTTATAGATTAGTAACATATGTCTTTAAAAAATTTTTACTGTTTCTATTCATAGTATCTTTCAGTAAACATTGAATAATTTTTTACTACTATTGGTGTATAATAGTAGAGTGTTTTGTTTTTTTTAAAGGAAACCTTTTAGGTAAATGTTTTCTCTGAACTGTATTATTTAAATGTTAAACATTTTACTCTCTTTTTTTTCATAAAGAGGTGTGGTTGAAGAGACTTCAAACAATGCAGAACCTGGTAGAACATCAAATTTTGATAGGTATGTTCATGCCACAAAGATGCAGCCTCAGTCATCTGGATCTCTCAGATCAAATGCTGGAGCAGAAAAAGGCAAAGAAATTGCAGCTAAGTTAAACATTCATCGAGTTCATGGGCAACTTAGGGGTCTTGATACAACAGGTAGGATTCTACAACAAATATGTTTTTTCTTGGCATATATAAATGTAAGATGATTTTGCAGAAGGGAACATGTTTTTTTCCTTTGACTATTGCTACAATTCGGTATTCTATAAGAAAGAGAAAGGTATTTCTCCCTATATTGAACACGTGGTATTTAGCTACTTGTCACTCACATTCTGTACAGAATAGAAAATAAACTTTGGTAAGAAAATTAAGTGGTATGGCCCCAAATTAGGAACTTCTATTTCCCATGTTTCTATTTCCCATGTGTTTTTTCCATGCTATTTACTTGCTCGTTATAGAACAGAGAAGACATGATCTTTATAGTCTTTCTTATTTTTTAAGTCATTCTGTTTGTAAAACAGTGTTAGAAAGAATTAATTGTAATATTAATCAAAACCAGAGAGTCTGTAAAATACAGCAGCAATAAGGTGACACACATTCCTCTTAAAGTCCCTAGTTAGGTAAAAGGAAAGTAGAGCTGTTATACATCATTTTAATATTTTTGATTCTTATTTAGCACATTTTATCATTTAGATGCTTAAATGTTTTCAGAATGTCAGAGATTCAATTCAGAAAAAGTTAGATTTGCTAATCGTATTTGAGATGATTGCTCTGCTGAAATCTTTATGTGGGACTGGTGACCAATTCTGAGTAAACAAATGAATTCCCTGAATTTGCTTACTGTATTTTATAGGTTCTGAAGTTTCCATGATTCCTGTCTGCATTCTGGGTCTGTGTACCTGTTTTGACTTTCTCAAGGCTTATTTTTTTCATCCCAGGTGTGAGGCTGAAAGCATTTGACCTGAGGTTTTCAAGGGACTTTTCATGACTACCTAAGATCTGTAGTCCTAAAACTGGTGAAAAATGTGGTGGCTTGAGTGAAGACACTTTTATCAGCTCTGTAGTTTGCGTGGGTAACCAATTTGCACTGGGTATTATACAGACCATAAGCAGAACCTTATATAATTTTGAAAGGCATTATCATGCAGAAAACACTCTCATTGAAGACAAAACTCCCAACGAAATTCCAAGGTGGACATTTCTGTAAAAATGTAGATGTCTTTGCTTATATGTACATTAGTTATCTGCCAAAGGTTACTTAATAACCTCATAATATTTGTTACCCTTATAGGGAGGGGAACTAGGTGTCTGGTTGTGGTGTTAGAGGCTTTTCATTGCGTACTTTTTCATAATTTTTTGAACTTTGATACATCTGAATATGTATGGGATTAAAGACAAATACAAAAAAATTAAATAATGAGAAAATTATAGGAAAATGTAGGTGAATGTTTATTCTCTGAATAAGACCTTTTAATTATAAATGCAAAGAATGACATTTCCATAGCATAGAATATTATATAGCTATTAAAATGATATCTTTGAAAAAATTTTAATGACCTGAGGAAATTATTTACTGTTGCATGAAAATGGGAGCCAAAGCTGGGTTTGCAAAGTGATCTCTAAAGGGCTAGAGTGCAGTGTACTTCAAATATAAACAAGTTCTCCTTGAATGGTAAATTTACATGTGTTTTTAATATTCTTTTTGTTTTTTTATATTCATTAGCAATAATCAGAGAGAGAAATGAAAAAAGTAAGATAAAGTAAAACTTCTCTCAGGCACTTGGGGTGTTAATTTCCACAGTGTATCTGTAAGCAGTGGAACCATGACAAGGTCTATGATGAATTGTAGTTATGTAAAATATGTCAGTATAAAACAGTCTTTTAGTAAAAGCTATAATTTGCCTAGAAAATAATGTTTTTCCTAAGGCTTGGTAATTAATTGAATTTTTTTTTTATTTTGTGAGATGATGAAAGTATTTAAAACTACTGTGAAGATAAATTATTTAGGATATTTTTAACTTTATATTTTTTAGAGTATCCTGTAATCATTCAGAAACAAATTCATACTACCTTTGAGCAACTTGTTAATCATAAAATCTTCTTTTCTTCCTCTTAGGCAGCATTATTCTAAAAGTTAGCTCATTTGCCTGTTTTTCTATCTTTTTGACAGAGCACTAAGATATCTTTTAAAGACAACCAGTGTGCCATATGTCCAAATGTTTGTGTTTTTTAATGTAAGCTTATGTCTTTAAAAATGGTCATTTTGCTCTCTTTTGATAATAGACATTGGGACCTGTGCAATCACTGCTATTCCTTTTGAGAAGTCCAAAGTTTTATTTACTCTTGAAGAGTTGGATGAATTTACTTTTGTGGATGAAACTGATCAGCAAGCTGTTCCAGATGTAACTCGAATAGGTCCCAGCCAAGAAAAATGGGGATGGATAATGTTTGAATGTGGACTTGAAAATTTAACCATAAAAGGCAAGCATTTTTTATTGAATTCTGCTTAAGGTGGGGACAAATATGTCCTATATTGCAGAAATGTTTTGAACAATCATGGCTTTCAGTAACCTGAATCAACATAATAAAGCAGAAAGTGTGGTATCTGGGATTATTTACCGGGGGTGAGTGCCTCATACCAATTGCTTAAGTGGAGCTTTTCCTCCATTATGTGATTTCCAAAGTAGGTAGAGCTTGAAAAACAACAATATGTTTTTCCGAATAAATTCCCAAATAAAATATAAAGCCACCCAATTTTTTGAAACTTTGCATCTTTGAAAACTGGATCTTTGGTCAGTAGAATTATGCCATATAGGATATAAAAACTGTAAATTCTTTATTCAGCGAAAAATATCTACTTAGAATTATATTTGCTTTTTTATATATTCTTGAGTAATAGCTCAAAAAGGAAGGTTGAAATGTGTATAACACTTTTTTTAGGTTTAGTAATATATAATATAGTAACTACTATAAATAATAGTAGTTGTATATGCCTACAATTATTTACCTGATAATTCAGTGATACATTACTTTTATAGATTAGGGCAAAGACTTGGTGAGAAAAAAATAGTCTTTATGAAATTTTATACAGATATTGTAGAGTACAGCATTAAGACACTTATTCACCATTTATAATAAATGCTTTTTTTTATTTTTATAGGAGGAAGACAGTCTGGTGCTGTTTTATATAACAGTTTTGGAATTATGGGTAAAGCTAGTGACACAGAAAGGGGTGGAGTGCTGACATCCAATAATTCTTCTGATTCTCCAACCGGCAGTGGCTATAATACTGATGTCTCTGATGATAATCTTCCATGTGACCGGACAAGCCCTTCCTCAGACTTAAATGGAAATTCTGTTTCAGATGAACAGGTTAGTGACTTTCTAATAGTAATAATAATGGTGCTTTAGAAAAATAACAAAGAAAACTACATATGCAATTCAAAATTAGTTTCTGGAGTGTATTTGCCTGTCTTTCCCTATTTTGGATTTATGATATCTGCTTAAATGTTAGTCAAAGTGTGTTGGTGAATATACTACTAGAATATAATTTCCAAAGTATATCATAGATATATTTATATCCATCATAGTCCTAGCATTATGCCTTGCTCAAATTAGATACCTAATAAATATTTGTTGAATTAATAAATTAACAAAATTTAAGAGAAATCCACCTATAGGGTGTGGAGGATTTTAGCAGGCAGAAGTCATTTTGTTATTGGTAGTATTTTATGTCAGTTCTAAATATTTTTGTCAGTGTTTGCTTATTTCAGTTAAGAGTTCTGAATGGCACCTTATATTCAACTCACTTTTTATTTTTATTATGGTAGAATTACATGGGTGGTGATGAGTACAGTAACAGCAACAACAAAAATATTCCAAATTTTTGGTTGAAGAAATGTCGTGCCACTAACTGGTGACCTGGGGCAAGTTCCTAACCTTTTCCTAAGTCTCTTTACCTGTAATAGGAGTATGGTCATGTTATTGACCTTGCAGCGTTGTGAAGACTGAAGCAGGTAATACATATGAAGGGCTTAGCTCAGTATGTAGTATGTAATAAGAATGTAGTAACTGTTGTTCTTAAACGTATGTACATATATTTCTGATCACTTTGAAAATTAGGCCAATTGGAGAGGAAAAAGTTCCAAAGAAACCACTTTTTAATTAGGAAGTCTAGTATGGGTATCTAGTAATCATGGGTATACTCACCTTTACCCCCCAGATTCCTAGGGATTTATTTTTAAAACATTTGTTTTTATTTAATATGTAGTTTAATGAGTTTAATCACAGTTTTATTTTGGTGTCTTTGGAAATGTTTAGGGGATGGATTATCACTTTAATTAAGGAAATTTAAAAATACAATAGCTACTCACTGGACAAAAGAGCTGAGAAAAGCCTAGCTGTTCTTTCCTTCTCCTTCACCTACTAAAATACTTGACAGAAATTCAGGCATCTTTCTTGATCTCTCAGATCCTACTCTTCTTGCTGAAAGCCCTTGAATTGGCTAACATTACTTTCTTTGGGTTCTCTGACTTTATTGGTCCATTTCTTTATGGAATTTTTTCTTCTTCTTAAATGTGGTGGTTTCCTCAGGTTCTGTTCTTGGCTCTTCCTTTCTTCTTGCTATTTGTCTACTACTCCCTGATGAATTTCATTTCCTAGGTCAGTTCCGTAATTTAATGACACTTCTCTTTCCCACTGGCCACACCTTTAGCACCAGCTCTTCACCTGAGCTCCAGGATTGTGTTTAGTGGCCTTTTAGACATCATCATTTAGTATTTAACAGAGTCATGAAGCCTCCATTGCAGACCCTAGCTCCTGGACAACATTTCTAGACACACCCTAGGCCAGAAGGGAACCCACTGCATTGAAGGAAAGGACCCAGTCCTGGCAGGATCAATCACCTGCTGACTAAAGAGCCTTTGAGCCCTGAATAACCAGCAGCAGTACCCAGGTAGCATATCATGGGCCTTGGGTGACCCTCTACGATGTGCTGGTTTAGGTGTGACCTAGCACGTTCCTAGCTGTGGTGGCTATAGTGAGAGATTCTTTCTGCTTGAGAAAGCAGAGGGAGAAGTAATGGGGACTTTGTCTTGCACCTTAGATGCCAGCACAGCCACAATGTGCAGAGCACTAAGCAGGCTCTTGGGGTACCTGATTTCAGGACATGGCTCCTGGATGGCATTTCTGGACCTGCCCTGGGTCAGCAGGGAGCCCACTGTCCTGAAGGGTGAGTTTCAGGCCTGGCAGCATTCACCACAAGCTGACAGAACAGCCCTTGGGCCTTAAGTGAACATCAGTGGTAGTGTGACAGTACTCCCCATGGGCCTGTGATGGTGGTGGCCATGGGGTAAGGATTCTCTGCCTGTGGAAAGGGGAGGGAAGAGTGGGAAGGTCTGTGTCTTGTGATATGAGTGCCAGCTCAGCCATGGTAGAATAAAACACCAAGTAGATTTATAAGGTTTTTGTCTCCAGTTGTTGGCTCCTGGATAGCATCTCTAGACCTGCCCAGAGCCTGGCGAACTCGCCACCCTGAAGGGAAAGACACAAGCCTGGCTGGCTTCGCCACCTGCTGATTGTACAGCTCTAGGTCTGTGAGCAAACGTAGGCAGAAGCCAGGTAGTGGTTACAGGGGGCCCTGGGTGAGACCCAGTGCTATGCTGGCTTCAGGTCTAACCCCACACAGTTCCACTGGTGGTAGCCACAGGGGTGCTTGTGTCACTGCACCAGCTCCAGGAAGCTCAGCACACACAGAGAGAGACTCTGCTTGGGAGAAAGTAAGGGAAGATAATAAGAGCCTCTGTCTGGTAATCCAGAGAATCTTCTGGATCTTATCCAAGACCACCAAGGTGGTACCTCTATAAGTTGCAAGAACAGTGATACAGGGCTTGGGATGCCCCCTAATGCAGATATGACTTTGCTGACCAGAAACTTATAACACCCAAGTCCCTTTGAATACCTGAAAAGCCTTCCCAAGAAGGATGGGTACAAACAAGCCCAGAGTGTGAAGACTACAATAAACACCTAACTCTTCAATGCCCAGACATTGATGAACGTCCACAAACATCAAAAACAGCCAGCAAACTACGACCTCACCAAATGAATTAAATAAGGCACCAGAGACTAATCCCAGAGAAGCAGATGTGTGACCTTTCAGACAAAGAATTCAAAATAACTGTGTTGAGGAAAGTCAGAGAAATTCAAGGTAACACAGAGAAGGGATTCAGAATCTTATTAGATAAATTTGACAAATAATTAAAAAGAATCCAGCAGAAATTCTAGAGTTGAAAAATCCAAGTGACATAGTGAAGAATGCATCAGAGTCTCTTAACAGCAAAATTGTTCAAGCAGAAGAAAGAATTAATGAGCTTGAAGACAGACTGTTTGAAAATACATAGAGGAGACAAAAGAAAAAAGGAATGAAAAAGAACGAAGCATGCCTACAAGATCTAGAAAATAGCCTCAAAAGGGCAAATCTAATAGTTACTGGCCTTAAAGAGAAGGTAGAGAAAGACGGGTGGAAAGTTTGTTTAAAGGGGTAACAACAGAGAACTTCCCAAACCTTGAGAAAGATATCAATATTCAAGTACAAGAAGGTAGAGAATACCGAGCAGATTTAAACCAATTAAGACTACCTCAGGATATTTAATCATTAAACTCCCAAAGATCAAGCATAAAGAAAGGATCCCAAAAGCAGCAAGAGAAAAGAAACAAATAACATACGATGGAGCTCTGATAAAACTGGCAGCAGACTTTTCAGTGGAATCTTTACAGGCCAGGAGAGAGTGGCATGACATATTTAAAGTGCTGAAGGAAAAACACTTTTAAAAGAATAGTATATCTGGCAAAAATATCCTTCAAACCTGAAGGAGAAGTAAAGACTTTCCCAGACTTGATTTGATGAAAAGGTTTTGCACTTAAAACATTAGCCTCTGTGTTAGTGGTTTTAAGGGGCTGTATGTTAATAAGTTTTTGGCATTCTATTTTATATAGGATGAAGGAGTCGAATCTGATGATTTGAAAAAAGATCTACCTCTGATGCCTCCTCCTCCAGATTCATGTAGCATGAAGTTGACCATTAAAGAAATTTGGTTTAGTTTTGCAGCTCCCACCAATGTGAGATCTCACACACATGCATTTTCTAGGTAAAGAGTTTTTAAAATATAGTAGTATCGCTTGATGTTTCTTTATTTTAAATAGTATACAATTCTGTTTCATATTTTTAAAAATTACTTTTCTGGTATATATAGTATTAAGGTTGCAACTTTTTCATCATTCTTACTTCATATGTTCTGTAGACATTAGTCTTACCTTGTTTGACCCAATTTCTTTCATAGTACTTTAGTTTTATTTTTATATGTTCCTCTGCCTTAGACTTTTGTTTACTCTTTTTATCTCTGACAGGCTTTTTTTTTTCTTTCTTTTCTATTGTCCATTTTTTTTAACATTTCTTAGTTATGCTTTCATAATTTATCAGTGCTCAAAAAGAAAAGAAATTAATTTTGCCTGAGTAAAACAACCACTAAGTACAGTAGGTATGGGAGATTGTTTGGAATACAAATTTTGACACTTGTTTTTATAATTTTTTATTTATGTTAAAAAGGCAGCTGAACCTTTTAAGCACTGCAACACCAGCTGTTGGTGCATGGCTTGTTCCCATTGACCAACTCAAGTCATCTTTAAACAAATTGGAAACTGAGGGAACCTTGAGAATTTGTGCTGTTATGGGATGCATAATGACAGAAGCATTAGAGGTATGTCTTTAAATAATACAAGGTATTATACAAACTTTAGTATTGAAAATGACCCCTTATTGTTAATCATTATTGGAAAATATCAGATTTACAAGTTCTTAATTACTGAATGTCTTTTATTTGTAGGCTCTTTCATACCTATCACTCTAAATCTATTGTTGTTTCTTGATTTTAGAATAAAAGTGTACATTTTCCCCTAAGAAGTAAATACAACAGGCTTACAAAAGTTGCTCGCTTTCTCCAAGAAAATCCTTCATGTTTACTATGTAATATACTACACCACTATCTGCACCAGGCAAATTACTCCATCATTGATGATGCTACAATGGTAAGTTACTGAAACTACATTAGTTTTAAGGAATTCTCTATTCTGTTGGTGGACCACTGATACACAGGGTTTGAGATGCATGTGAGAATGGTTAGAAATACAAGTCTATAGGCCTGTAATCCCAGCACTTTGGGAGGCTGAGGCGGTTGGATCATTTGAGGCCAAGAGCTGGCCAACATGGCAAAACTCTGTCTCTACTAAAAATACAAAAAATTAGCTGGGCGTGCTGGCTGTCACCTGTAATCCCAGCTACTTGGGAGGCTGAGGCAGGAGAACTGGTTGAACCTGGGAGGCAGAGGCTGCAGCAAACCAAGATCGCACCATTTCACTCCAGCCTGGGCAACAAGAGCAAAACTCTGTCTCAAGAAAAAGAAAAAAAAAGAAATACAAGTCTATAGACAAAGAGTGTGCTCAGACTAATGATTTGGGAGTTGCCAGCATAAAGGTGTTAGTAGAAGCTGTAGACATGGATGAGATTTCCAGGAATGCTATGTTGGGTAAGAAATTGCTCAGGGATGGAATCCTGAAGAAAGCCAAAATTAAAGGGGGTGTAGGTGGTTGGATAGGGATACACCAAGTGATGGGAAGGGAAAGAAAGAGGTAGGAGAACTAGGAAAGAGTGATGTCTTGGAAGCTAAAGGTATAAAGAGTTTTTAAGCAAGAGAATAATCACCAGAGCCAAATTTCACATACAGTTTGATGAAACAGGGACTAATTGATGATTGAGGGGAGAATATACAATCACACAAAATAAATACAATCCATCTCTGCCTCTGGAAAAGCAGATAACATCATGATTAGAGTTTTAGAACTTTTAGGATCTCTCTTCTCCAAGTTGCTGGCCAATAGGGGACACACAAGAATCTTTAGTCAAATTAGGGACCAATGTATCAGTATTATTAATGGCCAGTCAAGCCATTGTTCAGGCAAGTCAAGAATCTCTAGTAAGTGTTGGATTTGAAAAAGACACTTAGACCTAAGGCTGGTGTAGTACTTTTTACTCCCTCCCTGTGAATTGAAGACTGGGAAATCTACAGTTTAAGCCTAACTTGCCTGTGTAGTTATAGGTAGAGAAGCTTGAACAGAGAGAATGGCAGGTGTTTCCCATGGATGGATGCTCTGCCAGATGTGTTTTCCATGTAAGAGGAAGAGGCACAACATGGCCGTCATGCAAGGCTGGGAATGAAAGGAGAGGCTAGTGGACTTGGTGTTCCTCAGAAAGTAAACGGGGTGATTCCTGCCTTCTAGTAAATAGTGCTCTTCAATCAAATTAACCATTTCTCCTAAAATGAGGAATGATAGGAAACAGGATGGAGAGGAGTTAGATATTTTTCTCTTTCTTTAGGCTAAGGCAAGGTAATTAGACTAAGGTAACAGGAAAAGAGCCAAAAGTTTCTTTCTTACAATCATCACCATGTGGAATAAAATGTATTTTAAACTATATAATTATTACTGATAATACAGTTAACTTTCAAGGCAGTTACAAATTCATCTATGTCTAGCATACTACATAAGTTATAGTAATTTATTTTTTTAAATGTTAACACAATGGTAGTTACCTAATCTTTGAAGGAAATAATTTTACTTCCTCTTTGCTTATTGAATGTTCCAAGTAGCTCAAAATGCATTTTGATTCTTCACTTGGGCAAAATAAGTAAAGTTGATTGAATGCTTCTTAAGGAAAATTCCAACTTTGCACTCCACATCTAGTATCATATTGACCTGTGCTATTGTGTTGTTTTATGACACAAAGATGAAACGTTGTGCCTAGAGATTAGATTCTGTAGTCTACATTATAATTGAAATCCTGACTCTCTTGGGTAACTTTGAACAAATTACTTAACATCTAAGTTTTAATTTCTTTATCTCTAAATGAGTATTATGAGATTTGAATAAATACATGCAAAGCACTTAAATGGTAACTGATATTATTACATTAGATTACTTCTAACCACATGATTATTGTTACAGAGCGATGGACTTCCTGCTTTGGTAACTTTGAAGAAAGGTTTAGTTGCACTGGCAAGGCAGTGGATGAAGTTTATTGTGGTGACACCAGCCTTTAAAGGAGTTAGCTTACATAGACCAGCTCAGCCTCTGAAACCTCAAATAGCTATGGACCATGAACATGAAGATGGACTTGGATTGGACAATGGGGGTGGTCTTCAAAGTGATACCAGTGCTGATGGAGCAGAATTTGAGTTCGATGCAGGTAGTTTTGTAAGCCTCTATTGAGTACTTTCTTACACCTCACAAAACTAGGGTGTTTTCTTACTCAACACAATTACTGTATGTTTTTTGCTTAGATATTATGCATCTTTTATCAGTAAGTTAATATACCTCTTTAAAAATGTCAAGACCCTTTGTTTTTCCTCACAGTTACAAATAAATTACTAATATAAGCAATTTTAGATATTACATACTTGTTAATATGGTACTTGTGATAATTTTAATAATTCATGTCCCAAATTGGAAAATGGTCATGGCTTAAGTATACACGTATGATTTTTATTGGCCAAGTAAGTGATAATGATTAGGAATCTTCATACTGACCTGATTTTATAAGTTCAGTTTTGTGAAATACAGTAGACTTCTCTTGATCTATCCAGGACAAAGATAATATAAGTAGAACGTTTTGAATGAAACACATAAACCTCTATTTAAAACTTGTATTTGTCTGTCATCTTCCCTATGCCACAGTATTTTAAAGGGGCCTTTGTCTTTTTACCTGATGCCTGCTTGATCCTGAATTTATGTAAACTTTGGGGCCTGCGCTCAGCCTACAATTTTGTCAACAAAATGGCTGTGTCAGAATAAAGATAGTGGATATACATTTATGAAATGTACTTGCATACCTTAAGCTTTGCCAAAGATTAATTTTTATTATCATGACCTATCATATTTATTGAAAATGCATGTTATGATGTTTTGAAAAAAATATTGAAAGAGTAGTCTTAGAGATTTTAGAACATTGATATATAAAACTTTACCAAGCTTAGTTTTAAAAATAACTTGATATTTAACAAATAAATGAGTTATGAGGAATAGGGTAGATTTTATTACTTATTTTAGAAAATTTCAAATCTACACAAAAGTTTGAAAACCAGTACACTGAATATCCCTTCCAATTATCTGCAAATCCCTCTGTTAATCTATGAGCAGTCTGTGCTTTCTTGCGCTTAGTTGAATTGACTTTTGGTCCGAGTATCATTTGCATGGAATATGTGAAAGTCTAATAAAAGCCGTTTGTTCCTTTCTTGAAACTGAGTGAGAGGATTGGGGTGGGGGAGAAAATAATAAATATTTGTCAAGGAATATGAAAGTTGAGTGTCATTATATAACTAGAAACATAGGGGCTGATGTTTCATGAAAATGTGTGATAATCTATTGCTCACTTATTCTTTTGAACTGTTTCAGCCACAGTCAGTGAACACACAATGCTATTAGAAGGAACAGCTAACCGGCCTCCACCTGGTAGCTCTGGACCTGTAACTGGAGCTGAGATAATGAGGAAACTTTCTAAAACTCATACCCATAGTGACTCTGCATTAAAAATAAAGGTATATTATTGCTCTTTTTGGTTAGAGTTATCCAGACTTACAGAGAAAACCTAAAATTTTATCTCAAATTTAAATGTTAGGTGTCCACCCTAAATATTCAGATAGCATTTTCGTGTTGAAATTAACTTGATTTGTAATTTCAGTGTAAATATTTCTTTGAAAATTGTATCATCAGTAACTGCTGTTGATTAAGGACCACTATAACTACCAAGCCTTAGAGCTGTCTCCAGTTTATTGAATACTGTATTCCATAAAATCCCAAATTGAAAATGTTGATAATCTTATAATTATCAGTTTTAATGAGAAGCCTTTTAGGCAGTGTGTGATCAATAGGTGGTTTGGGTTAGACTGTTTTATGATTTTAATTTTTTTGGTTTTATGAATTTAATGGATGCTTGATAAGAGACATATAGCAAAGTGGTTAGAGTACCACCTTGCAAGCCAGACTGCCTTGGTTTGAAACCTGCCCCGCCACTTAGTTGCTCTCTGACTGAACAGGCTTTAACTGTACGTCAGTTTCCTTGGTGTAAGATGGAGATTATAATAGTAAACTTCTGAAGAGGGTTGTGAGAAATAATTGAGTTAATTCATGAAAAATGCCTAGAGCAATATCTGACCCTTAATGAATCATTTGTTGTTGGTTCTTTATTTTTTGCTAGTTATTGTTGTTGGTGGTTCTTTATTTTGTGCTAGTTTACTTTTGTGAGCACTGAAAAAGTTAAAATTTTAACTTTCTGGCCAGGCGCGGTGGTTCATGCCTATAATTCCAGCACTTTGGGAGGCCAAGGCGGGTGGATCACAAGGTCAGGAGTTCAAGACCAGCCTGGCCAAGATGGTGAAACCCCATTTCTACTAAAAATACAAAAATTAGCCGGGTGTGGTGGCAGGCGCCTGTAATCCCAGCTACTCGGGAGGCTGAGGCAGAGAACTGCTTGAACCTGGGAGGTGGAGGTTGCAGTGAGCCTAGATCCTGCCACTGCACTCCAGCCTGGGCGACAGAGCGAGACGCCATCTCAAAAAAAAAAAATTTTAACTTTCTTTGAAAGTCTGTGTATAGACTCACATTGATACCCAGAATCTGTAAAATGATAATTTTGACAATATTAAATAAAAATTTCTACACAGAACAAAGTAATATATAGTCATGCATCACTTAATGACAGGGATGATGCATTCTGAGAAATGGATCATTAGGCAATTTGTCATTGTGTAAACATCATAGCCTGTACTTACACAAACCTAGATGATGGTACAGCCTACTACACACCTAGACTATATGGGATAGATAGCCTGTTGCTCCTAGGCTACAAACCTGTACAGCATATTACTATCCTGAAACCAGTGGGCAATTGGAATGCAATGGTGTTTGTGTATTTCAACACAGAAAAGATACAGTAAAAATATGATATTATAATCTTATGGGTTCACTGTTGTATACGTTGCCTGTAGTTCACTTAAACTGTAATTATGTGGCACATGACTGTATTGTAAACAGAACAGTAAGACACATGACAAAAGGCTAATTTTCTAAAATATAAAGATCTCATCCTTATCAGTAAGAAAAAAGCCAATACCAAATAGAAAAAATGGTTAAATGATATAAACAGGTAGTTCACAGAAAAATACATATACACATACAAAAATGTTTTCTTATAATTAAAGAAATGTAAATTAAAATGAGATTTCCATTCTCACTTATCAGATTGAAAGACTAAAACTTTTGAATAGTGTACATTGTTGGTGAAGATGTAAGAAAACAGATACTCATACGGCATTGATGAGAATCAAATTGGTGCAACCTCTTTGAATAACAATGTGGCAATATGTGTCAAAATTTAGAAGGTGATGCTCTTTTATCTAGTATTTCCATATTGAGGAATTCATTCTAGAGAAAGTCATAGATGTGCGAAGACATGATGAGTCTAAGAACGTTCTTTGCAGCACTATTTATAAAAGGAAAATAGTGGAAACAACACAAATGACTAATCATTAGAGGACTAATAAACTAGCGTACACTGATATAGATGCATACTATGAAATCTTTTAGATGAAGTAGATCTGTAAGTGGATATGGAATGATCACCGAAGTACACTGATAAAGTATAGGATGATATCTATTTGTGTGTTTAAAAACGGATAAATATGTATGTACTTATATAGGCCTAACTGATTTATGTAAAGATAGATAAGAAACAGTTAAGAGAGTCTCTGGGAAAGGGATCCAGTATATTGGAACACAGGACTTACTTTCTATTGAATAGTCTCTTGGGCTTTCAAAGTTTTTATTCTGTGTAAGTATGGCTCTTTTAGTTAAAACATTCAATGATAGTTTGATATACTTTAAAAAGAAGACTGAACTATTGAGCTTATTGTTTCCACAGTATAGTTAGACGCTTGGGACACTTTAATCTGTCTTAGCTTTTTTTCCTGATGGACAGTTTTTTCAACCTTCTGAATCATATTTAGGTGTTTTCCTGTTAAAGCTGTTCATTTTCAGAATTGTTTTGAACATTCTTTTGCTATGGGTTATTAAAGTCCTCTAAAAATGTGAAATTCCAAATGCTTAGTTTCCGATCTTTGCTTTTCAAGATCTTTTTTGCCTGTGTAGTCTTTTTTTGTACTGTATTTTAAATTGATCGGCCATTCTAATCATAGATGTGACAGAAGATAGAAATCGAAAAATTCTGTAATTTTTAATTTTTTTTCATTAATTGTGGAAAGTCTTTTTGGCATTTCAGAGCTCTCCAGAGAATTAAATCTTAACACACCTTGATTATTAGAGTAGTAGGAAGGATAATTTAGTGTTAAGAATTTGAAGGTAGAAGTTAGGTAGATGGGTTAAAAATCTGGCTTTTTCCTTAGTAAGTATGTAAGGGACTTTTCTTCATCCTTTAGGACAGAATATCTTACCTTGGAGAACTTAAGGATTAAATAAGCTAATACATGAAACATGCTTATCAAGTGTTTAATACGTTGTGAGTGTTCTTTTACTTCCTGTGTCAACACCCTTCCTCCACCTTTCCTCATCTAAGTGAGGATGACTGGGAGGGCATTGAAAAGGGAATAAGCTTTTCTGCTTTTCAGAGGAGGTTAAGACATTTAAGGGCTTCACAGCACTGGTATCCATTGCGTCAACATTTCTTGCTATTAGCAAAAAGCCTCTAGTTTCCTTCCAGGTAGATGTCTATTCTGACTCCCGTAAAAAAATGCAGGGAAGGTTGCTGAAGATAGATAGCTTTTCTTTCTTTAGTTTCTTTGAGTACCTAGACTTACTTTTGATGGGATCAGTCATGTTACAGATCCTTTGTGTGTGTGTGTGTGTGTGTGTGTGTGTGTGTGTGTGTATAGTAAGTTTTTCTAGGGAATATTTTGTGTAAGGGATATTGTGTCTAGGTATCAGTTTGCTGGTTCAGTAAATAAGCAGTGATATAAATATTTCAGGCTACTGTTTTTCTTTGCTACCCATATGAATGTTCTCTGGCACTTCCACAAACATGCTATGTATAACTTTCTGAAGTTTCAATATACTATTTACTGCTCCTTAGGTATGAATAGTGCTTCATTTCCACCATCTATTTGATATACGGTGCTATGTGGTTTTATGTCTTGTCACCAGATTCCCTCATCAGATTAAGAAGGGAATTAAAGATCCATGGTTAAAATAAGTGGATGTGCTTCATTATAATATTGATAATAAAAGTGGCTCTTTGTCTTGTACTATAGAGTTGCAAAACATTTTTACCTACATTTAAGGACGTATGTAAAAAGGATTCACCACAATCCTAGTATACATGATCAGTTTTGGTATTAATGTGCAAAGTAGCTAGCAGTTATAGCAACAGTAATAGTAATAGTGGTTGTAGTTATCAGCTGTCATTTTTATATACATAAGAAATAACCCTAAGTTACACTTTCTGTAGGGCATTCACCCATATCATTCTCTGAGCTATACCAGTGGAGACACTGCCACTGATTCTCCAGTGCATGTTGGACGTGCTGGGATGCCAGTAAAGGACAGTCCAAGGAAGGAGAGCCTACTCAGCTACCTGACTGGAAGCTTCCCAAGCCTGCACAACCTCCTGGAAGGTACTCCTCAGAGAAGCAGTGCTGCTGTGAAAAGTAGCTCCCTAACGAGAACAGGTACGTCCTCTAGATTTGATAATTACATGTTTATATTTACGGGGGAATTGAGATGAAACAGGACTTAAGTTTAGTTAGATATATACTTTGGTAGTACAACTAATCTCTCATACCTTATCTTTGAGAAAAAATTTTAGGAATCCATTGTTCTGTTTGTAACTTTTCGGAGTCTTCATGCCCTTAGTTTGCATTTTTAAATTGCAGCTCTGACGAATGTCAATGTAGGCATTTGGTGTGGGGTACTGTCTAGACCAGCAACATAGAATTTCCCCTGTTATAATAAAAATAAGCTATTTATTAATGCATTAATATCCAAATACCAACATTATGCAGTGAGAATTCAAAACCATCTGCAAACATACATTTTAACTTGATTCTTCAAATATAGGTATATAAATTACATTTTTTTGCTCCTTAGTATATAAATAATATTATACTCAGAAACATTTTATTTTCAGGAAATACAGTAGCCACTGATATGTTATCTGAACATCCCTTGCTATCTGAGCCATCATCTGTGAGTTTCTATAATTGGATGTCAAATGCTGTGGGTAATCGAGGAAGTGTGTTACAAGAATCTCCTGTTACAAAATCAGGACACAATAGTCTTCCCACAGGTATTGAGTTATCACATTATTTTGCTTAACTGTCTTAAGGGGAACATATACCAAAATCTTATTTTTCAGGGGATGGGTTAAAAATCAAACAAGTACTGTTTGGTTGAAATTGGTCCATTTATATTTTTAAATGCCTTTGATAATATTGTAATTGAGAGAGTAGTAAGCAGTCACTCAGTGTTCTTGTTGAAAGGCAAATATGTCAAATGTGAGATTGTATATAAAGAGTTTAAAGCTTCCTTTTAATGTGGCTGGTTTAAGTGGTAAATGAAAAAATGCAAAGTGTAATTACAACATCATATACTTGATATTACAAAAGATAGTTTTAATTTATCTAGATCCCTCTGAGACCTAATAACTATCATTCTAAACCTTTAGTTACTTAACAAATATTTAATTAAATCTAAAACAGTATGTATGTATAAGGATAGATAAGGATGACATGTGTTCTGAAAAGTTAATTTCATTTTTCACTAATAAATCATGTCTGTAAAATAACCTAAAAGTATGCATTATTTTTTTTCTTTTCAATTTAATCAGTCTTGAAATGGTACTACTATACAGGCTTCAAAAGTTTACCCTGCTGTACACTTTTATGTGTTTCTATTCCCCAATAATTTACATTTTATTCTTAAAAATTTACTCCATTAGGTGTTGCACCCAATCTTCCAACAATACCCTCAGCCTCAGATTTCAACACTGTCTTGTCTAGTGACCAAAATACTTTGGATGGGACACATTCTCAGCATAGCACCAGTCAGGATGATGTGGCAGGTGTAGAAGAAGCAAACCAAGGGTTTCCTGCTGTTCAGCTTGCTGATGCACAGGTGAGCCAGCCTGCTTTTTCCTAATTATAATAATACCTCCTTAGGCATTGCTTAGCAACTGGAACCTCCAATAGTACGCACCTTGGAATTCTAGTGAGGCTATACCTTACCTATCTGCCTACAGCCTTCATGCAAAACAGGAGGAGCCTTTAAAAAGTACATGGCTTAGTTATAAATGCAAATTAATTATCTATATGTAATCATTAAATAGAAGAGTCTCATATAGTAACCTTTTTGTTATTCGTAACAAATTGGCTAAGCAACATGAATAGATAATCATACCCTATGGTTTTTAGTGCTACGTTAAGACTTTATTGAGCGAGCAGTGGGGAAGCATTGATGATTTTAGAGCAGAGGAATAAAGTAAAAAACTATAGATGTAGAAATATTATATGAGTAGCAAATGTATTAAATTGATTGAAATAGAGAAACTAGTGTTGAAAAGATGAATTATTGAAATAGTTCACCCAGTGGTAATGAGACTCTAGGCTTAGATGTTTATGGCTTTGAAAAGGTAAATGAGGATATGGTGAAAGTCTTATTTAATTGCTTAAATATGGCGAATAAAGAGTGAAACCCTTTAAAACATACTCTTTGGTTTGAACAGCCAGCAGGCAAGTGTGAGAGTGGGACGTGGGTGAGAGGAGGCATCATTTTTTCAGGATAAAGGTGTCTTGAGCATATTTACATACAGCTCTCCCTCAGTATTCAAGGGATTGGTTGCAGGACCAACCCCCTACCCACCCTCTGATCCGCCACCCAGGATACCAAAATCTGTGGTATGCCCAAGTCCCTTATATAGAATGGCATATATTTGCATACAACATACATACATCCTTCTGTATACTTTAAATCTTTTCTAGATTACTTATAATACCTAATGCAATGTAAATGCTACGTCAATAATTGTTACACTGTATTGGGTTTTTATTTGTATTTTTTAATTGTTACATTGTTATATTTTATTGGTTTTTACTCCCTAATATTTTCAATGTGGTTGGTTGAGTCCTTGGATGCAGAACCCTTGGATATGGAGGGCCAACTGTACTTGAGAAATTAGGAAGCTAATGATCAAAAATAAAGGAAAGAACGGTTAGCAGATGGAGCAAAATCAGTAGAAAAATGAGAAGTATTGGAATTTAGAGTCAGTTAAAGAGAGAGCTGTCTTCCCAAGCACACACAAAAAAATGAGGTGACCTAGGACAATCGGAAATACAGGCTTGGCTCTCATTGTGTAAATGGCACTTGTCCATTTAGATATTTTTTTGTTGTTGTTTGTTTGTTTGTTTGAGACAGAGTCTTGATCTATAGCCCAGGCTGGAGTGCAGTAGTGCAATCTTGGCTCACTGCAAGCTCCACCTCCCGGGTTCACGCCATTCTCCTGCCTCAGCCTCCCAAGTAGCTGGAATACAGGCACCCGCCACTATGCCCAGCTAATTTTTTGTATTTTTAGTAGAGACAGGGTTTCACCGTGTTAGCCAGGATGGTCTCGATCTGACCTCGTGATCCACCTGCCTTGGCCTCCCAAAGTGCTGGGATTACAGGCATGAGCCACCGTGCCCGGCCTAGATAGGGTTTTTTTAAGCTTCAGGAAAAGATCACTAAGGTAGAATGTGTAGTGAAAGAGGAGGCTGAGAAAAGCACTGGATAGCACCTATATTTAGAATGTAGAAGGGGGAAAAGGAACCATGTGGCAGAGGATGAGTAGTCAGAGTGATTTTAGTGCTCTAGCATTGAACACATGTAGTTCTTTCTGTTCAGGTTAGTGCTGTGTCTGAAATTCAGTTAACTAGAGATTTAACCAGAATAATCTATCTCCATAAGCATGTATGATACTTAAAATGTAAAGGAAGTTCTCTGAAGATAAATGTTAAATGACTATTACAACCAAGTGCTTCCATTTAAAAATAGGTCAGATATTCATAACATTTATAATGTTTTTATATTAACACAGGAAGTTGAAAAGTCAACTTTGTGAATGTAATATATGTTTTTTTTTGTAAATGGAAACACAATAGGAATTCATACCTGTTTTAAAAGCAAGAGGTAGAATGATTTAACTAATTCATAATTTTATTTTCCTTGTACTTTCAGACACTTAGGTAGGGTCAAGGAATCTGTGTCCTTATTTATTATTATTAATTTGAAGATGAGTGGCCTATAATAGGTACTAAAAATATTAAATTTTAAGTAAAGTTAGAGTCAATTATATGAGACCATTTTTGCTTCACACTATGATAATAATAATATGTACTGAGGTAGGGTAAGAAATAAAAGCTGCATTTTCCTACATGTAATTTCTACAGTAAATGATAAGCTGTAAGTTGAGCTAATATGAATGTTTATGTCTTTTAGGTTGTTTTCAAGCCTCTTCTGAGTCATACAGGGATCCAGTCACAGGATACAATGCCATTCTGCTACCGAATGTACTTTGGAGAACACCTTTCATTTTCAGGGACTTTGGACTGCCTCAGAGCAGATATTGTGGATTCAGACACAGCCAAAGAGAGAAAAGGCAAAAGAGCAAGAAGGTGTCTTTTGCATTTTTGTGTATAATTTTGTGCAAGAATTATAATACGTTTGTTTTTTAACGTTACTTTCGTGTAATCCAAATAAGGAAGTAATTTTTTTTTTTTTTTTTTTTTTTTTGAGACGGAGTCTCGCTCTGTCGCCCAGGCTGGAGTGCAGTGGCGCAATCTCGGCTTACTGCAAGCTCCACCTCCCGGGTTCATGCCATTCTCCTGCCTCAGCCTGCCGAGTAGCCGGGACCACAAGCGCCTGCCACCATGCCTGGCTAATGTTTTTGTATTTTTAGTAGAGACGGGGTTTCACTGTGTTAGCCAGGATGGTCTTGAACTCCTGACCTCGTGATCCACCCGCCTCGGCCTCCCAAAGTGCTGGGATTACAGGCGTGAGCCATCGTGCCCAGCCAAGAAAGTAATTTTAATATGTTAATCAGAAGATAATTACCTTTTAGTAAAAGTAGTAGCCACATTTTCTTATTAATAACTAGTTGCATTTATGAACAGATTATGAGGCCTATTTTTAGGCATATTTTTGAACCACGTTAGCACATAGATGAGGGTCATATATATTGATATATGCACTCACCATTTATTTACTTGGCTCTTGTAATAGTGGAATTTTTATGATCTTAAGGGTTCTGGGTTGACGTGTCAGGTAGTATTTTGTATTAGAAATAGGGCAGAAGTCATATTGAGAGTCTAGCCATCAGAAACAAATAGAAATGTAGCATGGTAAAAGTTAAGAACCATCTTTTGCTGTTATTTTATATTGTCATGGATGGTTCTTCAGTTTCTTTAGTGTTTAATAGGAAATAATATACCCACTAACAGGATTTGAGTAATATTTTGGGAACTTGGGATTTTATTTTCAGTGGGACTTAAATCGATAGAAATAGTAGAATATGGAGATAAATGGCATTTATGACAAGAGGTTTCTGTAGTATTGTTTCTTTCATCCTTTTTGTGTTTTTGCAAGGTGGTAAATTAAAATACTTGTGTCTGATATATAGCTAAGTAAAATATATTTTTCATTTGAAATATTTCTATTTAAATTTTAAATAATTTAACAAAAGTTCTTGCTTTTCACAATAGTCTTATACCATAACAATGACCGTACAAGCTGAAACTACAAGGCAATTTTAATAATCGGTGAAAAAAATTACTTTTGTGACATTGACAGTATTTGTAAAAACATTAAAAATGTTCTTACTATTTATTATAAATGTATAGGGAAATAAAAAAAAGTAAAACTAATATTTAGTACATTGGAATTTAAAATGTTAGAAACACTGAGAATTAGACTATTTTATTTCTTTTTAAAAACTTATCAAAGAGTAGTTTGAATGGTCCTGTCCTTATGATATAACATATAATACAGAACAAGGAGCTTTTGTGTGCCTTGGTAAAATGTCGAACTCCTTTGTATGTATGGATCAGTTTTCAGCATTTTATCCTTTGCACTTTCAATGTCATGAAATAATCTTTGATTCCCTTTACTATGAAGTTTTTTGTCAGCATCACTTCCTCTGGGATATCTTCATCCTTTCTGTCGTGGCCACTTTCCTCTTTATGTCAATAATTTTGCCTCCACTGAGTTTTTCTGGCTAGATATTAAGAGTGTCTCAAACAGTGGAAGTATCAACATTTCCATGGTCAGCTGTTTCTTCTATAACACCGTTCAATTGATCTTCCCTACCAATATCTTCATTTTTAGTTTCTTTGCTGCATTTTCATCTTTGTTGTCCAATTCCCTCATTTGATTATTCATTTTTGTAAAATGTTATGGGGATTTATTACAGAGAGAGAAACAAGGAGGCAACACAAGTAACTACATATTGTGCTTTCTGTGCATGAAGTGAACAATAGGTATGCTTCAACTAATCACTATCACTGACACATTTTGAAGTGATGTGACTAGTCAATGATCACAGTGCTCATCTGTTGTTTTGTACTGACTTGTGGGCTGAAGAGCTAGCAGTAAGTTTGTGCTTTATGCAGTTTTCACAGTAAGTCTTTGTTACAAATTTGTATCGCCTTATTGGGAGACTTGTTATTTAAGTAAACCACAGTAACTGAAATTTTAAAATATTGGAACCATCAAATCCAGACCCAAAACATTAATACCTACACATACTCTCTAGGGTTAAAATATCTGAGCTAAATTTATATTTAAATTTGCAAGAGACAGCTTTCATACAAATATATCCATTTATATATAAATATGTTTATATGTATACATACAGTCTATGTTTTCATATATATAACTAGGTTATATATAATTCAATTATATATAATTTATATGTAATAGGCTGTATATAGAGATATAGATTATATAAATAAAATTATAGCTGTAGCCTATTTATTGGCCTAGTAAAAACCATATAATACTACAACAGACTAGACCTTCATTTGAGCACACAAGTAAGTCTGTTTTGAGTGAGAGCTTCTTTGAGTGATTCTGTGAACTTCATTGCGTTTGGTCTAGCTGAACTTGACATTCCTTTTAATTTTTCTACTAACGCGCCAGCTCCGATGCTCCACATTCTTACAACTAACTCATGATCAGCTTTTATTTCTCAGATCTCCTGTAATTCCATCTTAAGCTCTTATTTATTTGGAGACCTTCACCGCAATATACTTTTCCCAGCCATTAATTTCAGTATTGTCTGGGTTTTTTGTTTGTTTTTGTAGCAGATTGTTCATTCTGCTGATTGTTGTATATTAGTTTGGGGTTACAGTTTCTTGTATGAATATGTATAACTCTCCTACTACTTTGTAAAGCCAGGGCAGTTACTAAACATTTAGCATTGAGTCTGGCATGTAGTAAGTCCTCATACATGATAGTTTCTTTGTCTCTTTGCTGTCTCTAGTAAAAGTAGCTGCACGTATCAGGGACTTATATTTTAAAATTTTAATTGTAACTTTGGCTCTGCAGTGCCCATGTCAGGCTTTTACTTGTCAGGCAAATTGTTATGGTATACCATTTTCTTTTTCTCCTTTATTTGAATCTCCCCTCTTTAAGATTTTCTTACTACCCTTACATGTTTTAGATTCTTGTTTTTGCAATTGTGGATTATTTTCATCTCTTTTTAGTCTTCTCCTGTCTGTTCTAATTCTCAAAATCAAGTTTTTCCATCTCTGACCATATGCTTAGTTGGCATTGATTGTACACTTCCTGTGAGTTTATGCATTTACATAAATTACACTACAATGGGGCATTTTTCTTATTAATTAAGAAATACTAGTATTCATTAAGGAATTATTGCTCTGTAGTTATAAATTCTTTAAGTTAAATGCAAAATATCAAAGCAGCTTCTGATTTTTTTCTTTTTGTTACAGAAAAAACTCCCATGTCTGCACATTCATAGTGTGCATGGAAGAAGAGGGAAAAATACCTTTTTACAGTTTTGGTGCTTGGGGCTTATTGTTATTATTGGTAGCTGGTTTATAGAAATTTGAGATATTTTTGACTTTCTATATTAAAATTTACTATAATAGTCTTACATGAAAATCTTTAGATAAGCAGGAGGATTTGCCAAAATAATTTTTTTATCAGATTTTAAGGTTTTGTGTGTATTTCTAATTTTTGTTTCAATTGCTTTTCCTGTCTGCTTTCAACTTAGCATGAGGGCTTCCTATCTAATATCAAATAAAATTATGTTAAATATGAATATATTAGATACAGATTGTAGGAGGGGGGGATGGTTAAGTGAGGTATCCTAATTGATCTATACTTAACTCTAAATTCCAATACTCTACGGCAATACCATCAAATGACAGTAAAAGTTGTGTTATCACTTCAGTGAAATCATTTCTTAACATAAGAAGACTGATTTTGACTTACTAGTTTTAGAATAAGATTAAGTAAGAAGACTTAAAGGCCCACCTTTGAACTCATAAAAAGCCTGGCCTAGTGAAAAAGCATATTTTACTGGTTTGCTTGCTTAAAATTATTTAAGACTCATATTTTACCTTGGAGATGATTTTGCCTATAAATTAATAAAGATGTATGTTTCTGGAAAAATGGAAGAAAAACCGTGTCCTTTTTTTATTTCACGTTTTTAGGCAAGGCCATGTGAATCTTCCTCCACTTGAGTTCAAACCAGCATTAATGTTGGGAACCTTTAGCATCAGTGCTGTTGTAATGGAAAAGTCCGTGTGCACCCCTCAGAACTCTACCAGTGCCCTTTCTTTTCATGATCTCAGCAAGCGGTATTATAACACCTTTCACTGCAACTTTACTATTTCCTGTCAGTCAATAAGCCAGCATGTAGATATGGCTTTGGTTCGTCTTATTCATCAGTTTAGCACAATGATAGATGACATCAAAGCAACTCAGACTGATATTAAACTTAGCAGATATACAGCCGGATCTGCTTCCCCAACACCTACCTTCAAAACCAGAAAACATCGGGACTTTCGTTCATCTGACTTTAGCCGCAGTTCTAGAGGAAGTCTTAATGGTGGCAATAGAGTAAATAATGCAAAGAACAAACGGACCAACAATGAGAATAACAAAAAGGAATCTCGAAACAAGAATTCATTAGGAAGATCTGAAAGAAGAACATCAAAAGTGTCTAGGAAAGGTTCAAAAGATGTGGTGGATCACATGACTATTCATATGGATGACTCTGATTCAATTACAGTGTCAGAACAAAGTGAGCCTTCAGCTGAGTGCTGGCAGAATATGTATAAATTGCTTAACTTCTATTCACTTATCTCCGATCCAACAGGAATATTGGAAAAGTCTTCAGAAACATTTGGACCAGCAGGTAACAGACATTTTTATGTTTTAAAAATTTCCATTTACAATAACAATAATACCAAAGAAGCAGAAGACTGTTCATCATGTTTTCTTAATGTCGTAAGTGGATAATTGAAATGGAGAGAAATTGTCTATCACCAGGGAAATAAAACAGTAATGGAATTCAGATATCCTGCCACCACATTTCCCAACCTTTTAAACTCTTACGTGGTATGTTCTTAAAGGATTTAGACAGACCTGATTTAAAATATCTGGCTCTACTATTCACTTTCAGTAGGAACTTGGAAAAATGTTGAAGAAATTTTTAATCATTTTGTTGGGGATTAGGAGAAAGAGGACTGGTTGGGAATGTGAAGGAAAGAAAGGTAAGACAATGTTTGGAATGTCCTTCCATTTTTCAGTCTTCGTATCTAAAATTGTATATTTTCATTTACTTATAAAGGAGTTCGGAGCCCTACAGAGCCAACATGTAAAGTTGTGTTTGAGAATGAACAAGACAACAGCAGTTTGACTAAGACTCAGAGGAAACGTAGCTTGGTAACTTCTGAACCTCAGCATGTTACTCTAATAGTGTTTGGGATTGGCATGGTGAACCGCACACACCTAGAGGCAGATATTGGTGGACTAACAATGGAATCAGAACTGAAGAGGATCCATGGCAGTTTTACTCTTAAGGAAAAAATGAAAGGTATGAATGATTTTTCTAATAAAGTGCTATGTATACATAATAATTAGTGCTACTTCTCTGAAGAAAACCACTGCCATGTCTCCAAAATTCCTAATTGGCAAATTTTTTTTTTCCCAGAAAAACTGGACTTCCCAAATTCTGAGGTACCAAGAACTTTGTTGTAATTGAGTATCAGTGAATTGAGGCAGCTTTGATGTCTAAATATTTTAGCACATAAATATTGAGTCGATGTACCTATACTCGGTGACATTTATTCTTTGTCTTTTAATATCAACTACTAAGATGTCTCTAAAGGCTGAACATTTTACCAAAATAATGAAATTTATGAAAAATTTGCTTTTGTTAACTACCATAGAAATCTTATAATCTAATACTAAGTATCTCTATAAAAAGAAGTCCCTTTAGTTGATATAAAATTTCCTAGGTTAGTGAAAACATACCATTTATCTTGAGAATGATTACACAAGGTATGATATTTTGTCAAATCCAGGAGCCCATCAATTTGAAGATGCCCTATTATTTTATGTATCACAAAGAAAATACCATTGCCAGATATGGTCAGATGCCATTGATTGTAAACTGCATCCCACTTTCAGAGATGCTAAAATAAAAAAGCAAATGTTTCTTAGACTCAGTGGATACAGCAATAAAGTTGCAGGGATTCTCTTGCAGCAATGATTATATAAAACCAGTGTGGTTTTTTTTCTGGTTGTGAAAATAACCTGACAGATTATATTACATGAGAAAAGGAAGTTATCAATCACCATGTGTTTTTATTGTTAACTTTATGATTCAGAAATTTGTAAGGTCTAATCAAAACTTACTTTGAACCTACTTTTTGTTATATACCCTTCTTTACCTGTTTTGTACCCTAAACATTTATTATTTACTCAAAAAACTAATTTTAAATTTGAGGATTATGTACTTGGGATTGACATGGTGAACCACACACACGGTTCTCTGAAAAAATTAGGTGGACTGACTGCAAATTGCTAAGAAAAATACAAATACATCAGCCTTCCCTGGAAATATCACAAAGGATATAAACAATACACAAATGCTCAGATGTCTAAGTTGATATTTAAAAAAAAAAAATTGTCAGTTTTTTCATCTGTTTAGCCAAAGTTAAGAATGACCATACTCATTTATGGTGAGAATTAGAGAAATGGACATTTTCATTCACTTTTAAATTGATATAAATTGGTTTAACCTGCCTGAAGGTTAATTTAATAGCTTTTATCAGTAGTCTTTAGAGCACATTTATCTTTTGACTCAGCAATTCGAGGTCTGCAAACCTAGGTATAAGAAATGATCAGAATTGTGTGAAAAGATATCTGTACAAAGAAGCCGCCAAGTGTCTGGCATTAAAGAACTGGTTATTTTTATAAACAAACATATGCCAGTTTACAATTTACCCATTAAAATTATACTGCAGAATTTATTAATATGAACAATAATGCTAAATGAAAAAAGTAGGCAAAATTGTTTATGTGATTTCATTTTTTTAAGTAATTAAAATATTTATACCCTCCATTAAAATCACAGGAATTATATGGACCAAGAGTGCTGGTTTATGTGGTTTCTTTTTCTTATTTTTTAAAATTTTCCAACTTTTCTGCAGTAAGTATTATTTCTGAGATGTAAAATGCCATTAGGCTATGTAATGCCAGTAGACTAATGCAGGAATGGCATATTGAAGTGTATATTTTGCATTATTGCAATTTTGACATTTAATATGTATGTATGTATTAAATGCAGAGAAATGAAAAACTAAGGAAATTTTTTAAAAAGTAGCTCTGAAATAGTTGAACAAAATTTACCATAACTTTAAAATTATCTTTTGCTACTGAATATATTATGAATAAAATGTAATTTTAATATGAAATGCAAGTATCTTATATCCAGAATTCAAATAAATATTTTTTCTCATATTTAAGATGTTTTACATCAAAAGATGACTGAGACTTGTGCTACTGCTCATATTGGTGGGGTTAATATTGTGCTGCTTGAAGGGATTACACCAAATATACAGTAAGTATGTCAGTTTTTATTTTCTTACACTTATAGTTTTAGACAAAAATGGAAATTCTTTGGATAAACATGCTGAATTTTGAGGTTTGTATATACAATATCAGTTCCCAGATACTGAGAATCCTGTCGTTAAGAATATCACCAAATAAAATATTTTAGAAAAATACTTTTTGTCTTTCTAAAATTGGTGGTATATACCTTCATTCCTAACTTCCATTCAGCAGAGCAGTTTCATGTTAACTACAAAACAGCCTTTGATAATTTAGGTCAGATTTTCAGAATTTGCTCTTTCTTAATATTATGACTAGTTAATGTTGTGCTACTGTTATCCTGTAACACATCCAACATGACTAAATAGAGGATTTGGTTCAGCGTTATAAAAATTAAGTATTAGTCCTAGATTGACTAAGAAGTATGATATGTTACAGCTCTAATAATATTTTAAAAATCTGAATAATGTGATAGCTACCTTGGGGAATATTTCCTGAAATGGATGTTTATTAATGGGCCATAGCTTTCTGCAATGAGTTTTGGCTAAAATCAGCAACTCAGACAGGGCCCATTCTCAAGACTTCCTGGAGACTGTCTGAGGTTCGGTTTGGACCTATAAGTGTAGAACTAAAGACTGTATATTTCATAATAGCTGCCTACTATTCAGATCACATTTCCTAAGAAGTCTTTTCAAGAAAGGCAGGAAATTCCGGTGGTTGTGAGAGATGAGATCTTTTTTTGTTCATTCAATATAGGAGAAGGGGTTATTATTATGTATTAATTATAATATTATTAAGTGCCTACTGTGGGCCAGAAGCCTCACCTAGATTATTATATTTAATCTTCACTGCAATTTTGGGAACTGGAGTGGTCTTATCTACCTTTACAGAACAATAAATTGAGGTTCAGAAAGATCAACATAGTGCCTAAAATACTTAATATAGTCAGTAAGAAGAGATGCCTGAATCTATACTCTTTCGACCTTATAATGCTTCTACTGAAAGTCATAGACCATGGATTCCACGAATCCTTCATTTACTCTAAATTTGAAGTACCATGGGTACGTTACCTTCAGAAAGTAAACTAAATTTCTTTAGGTGTCCCATGAGTTTTATTTACTCTATCCTCCTGGATCACTTCTCTTCATTATTTGTTATCTCTTAAGAGAAGGGCTTCCAATAGTCTTTAACCTTGCAAAACATAATGTTTATAGAACAGATTTTTGGTAAAGTATTATATAGCTGATATTTCTTGCTCTTTTTTCCCCCAAGTAAAGATCCCTTAACTGTTTTATTTGAAAAATAAAAATTATTTATTAGTTACTGCCAAACTCGTAGTGTATTCTTTGGTATTTCATTTTCAATTGCAATGAAGAGGAAATGGAATGGAAAAAAATGGTTCAAATGGTACTTTAAAGGAACATTTTAAGAGTGGGAAATTAGAAAAGCTTTCCAGATGATTGGTCATATTGTAACTAATTTGTGCATGAATGTTTATTTGCCTCCTTTTTGTTTTCCCACTTTCTCTTGACTCTTCATCTGTAGACTGGAGGATTTTCCTACATCTCCTACAAGTACAGCCAAACAAGAGTTTCTGTATGTCATATTATTCTTTTTCATGGCTTTGTAATTACTGTAGTATTGAATAGTTTTTAAAATATTTAAATTTTTTTCATGGCTGTGAATTATTTAGTTATTGTTTTGTAGCTGTAATATAGGCCCTTTTATATAATAGATTAAAGCTTACTGGTAATCAAGGAAAACACAGGTAAGGGCTGCTTTTTTGGTAATTCATACCTTGTCTGTTGTTGTTGACAAGTTGTAACACTGTAGTTGTGTGTTGCTTGTGCCTTTTCAGACATGTTACTATTAAAATTTCTATGATCAAAGTACTTAATTTTTGATATGATAATGGAAGCTTAAAAAATTCACTTTGCAAGAAAGAGTTTTCACTAATTGTAGAAATAATTATTAAAACACTAACAAAACATCTGTACATCTCAGCCTTATAATTCTGTATTTAAGATGGGGAGAGTTGACTACTCTGTTAATAGATTTTCATGGCCTTTACTATATGTAAATATGTGTTTAGTTTCATTCAATAGATGAATGCTGTTCACATCTAGAGAGCCATTTGCATGTCAGCACCATCTGGGTGTGTTCTGGCTTATGTTGAAACTGAACTTGAAATGTTGGTGTTAAACAATGGTTTTAATTATTATAATGTTAGAAATGATTCAAAATTCAGTAAGTAGCAGCATTTCAGAGCCTACCTTCATGCTGACTAGGCCAATTCCGTAAACTACTGCCTCCACCCTCTGGTGATCATCTCTGAGAAATAGTGTCTTGTGGAAGAAAAAAGTGTATTTCTCTAGTAATTGGTTTTGAATTTTATGTAATACCTAGATTTTACTGTTTATAAACAATCAAGACCTCTGATAGAGCTACTGTTGGGCTTTGCGTTTATCCTAATAAAAGTTAAATGTGATGAACTGGTTCTTCATATCTTTGAGACTATAAATAATTGGCAAATTTTCTGCAGCCCAGCAGAGATTATGTAAACTGGCCTGTAATTAATATGAAATATGTATTTTGTGTATTTTGCCAAATTTAGTGATTGTCAAGAATCATTTGCCCATTTGAAGGATCACATTTATATTAGAAGTTATTGGAGCCAAGGTGGGAGGATTGCTTGAGGCCAGGAGTTTGAGACCAGCCTGAGAAATATAATGAGACCCTGTCTCTACAAAAAATTTAAAAACAAGTTAGCTGGGCATGGTGGCACGTCTCTGTAGTCCCAGCCACTTGAGAGACTGAGTTGGGAGGATCACTTGAGCCCAAGAGGTCCAGGCTATAGTGAGCTATGATGGTGTCACTGCACTCCAGCCTGGGCAACAACGAGACCCCATCTTAAAAAACAAATAATGTATGTGAGGGTGTGTGTATGTGTCAAACACTACTTCATTATGGCTTCTACATAAATGTCCTATCATATCCTATCTGTGGAATTCCACAGTTGTAGTGGTAGAAGTCATTCTTTTGCTTTACTTCTTTCTGCTCTTTCATTTCACAAATATTTGGCAAGTGTCTATTTTAATCTCCCAGGAACTGTTCTAGGCATTGGAAAGAGCAAAAGAAATCAAGAAAGATCGTATCTTTGCTTTATATCTGTACTAGTAATTAAAGGATACCAATTCTTAATAAAAGTAATAGCCTTGCTCATTATGAATCAGACTTTTATCATTTGTTTACCACTCACTGAAAATGAAAAGCAGAAAATGCAAGTTACACTTCCTCCTTCCTATCAATTTCTTGTAACATAGTGGATGATTGTTATTCTAATTTCTTTGACTCCCTAATTAGATTTTAAGAAGTATAGTGAATATTTTTTCTTTTCATATTTAATGTCTGTATAGTGGTTGTACAGATCTCTAAAATAAGGTGGAGAAGAAAAGAGTTCTGAATGGGGGTAAAATAAAAAGTGGAATGTTGTGTGTCTGTGTATGTAATATAAAATATCTTGTTCATGTTTTTACTTACATGTGAGAATATACTTATTTTCTTCTATAGATTCTTCCTATTAAAGAAATTAAACACTATTCAGTGCAAATAGCATAAAATAAATATATTAATATTTTTAGATAACATTGTTTCTTCATTGTATAAACACATAAAAATTTTTAAGTCGTTTCAGTTCATTCAGTTACGAGGGGGCTTCACAAACTGTGGAAAATGGAATTAAAGATATAAAAAAAATAAACTTTATTTCCCAACATAAGGTCCATCAAGTTCAAGACACTTTTCTAATCAGTGATACCAGCCATTTATTCCTTCGCTAATGAACAGAGGGGTCCCATGACAATGCAGTCTTTTTCACATTATTAACTGAAGAGAAATGCGCACCCTTTAATTTTTTTTCTTTTTAATTAGGAAACAAAAAAAGTCAGAAGGAGCCAAATTAAGACTGTGAAATGGATGCCTACTGATTTCCCATCAAAACTCTTAACAGAATTGCTCTTGTTTGACAAGAGGAATGAGCGAGAGCATTGTTGTGGTGGAGGACTGGTAAAGCTTTCCCGAGCATTTTTCTAGTAAAGCTAGGGCTACCTTTCTGAAATCACTCTCTTAATAAGCAGATGTTATCATTCTTTGGCCCTCAAGAAAGTCAACAAGCAAAATGCCTTGAGCATCCCAAAAAACTGTTGCCATGACCTTTGCTTTTGACTGGTCCACTTTTATCTGCTCCCCATGCGGGAGTGCAGTGGTGCAATCTCAGCTCACTGCAATCTCCGTCTCCTGGGTTCACGCAATCCTCCCACCTCATCCTTCCAAGTAGCAGGGACTGCAGGTATGTGCCACTATACCCAGCTAATTTTTATATTTTTTCTAGAGATGGGTTTTTTCCTTGTTGCCCAGGCTGATTTCAAACTCCCGAGCTCAAGTGATCTGCTCACCTCACTTTCAAAGTGTTGGGATTACAGGTGGGAGCCACCATGCCCAGCCATGACTGATCTGCTTTTGATTTGACTGGACCACTTCCACTTCTTTGTAGCCATTGCTTTGATTGTACTTTAGTTTTAGTATTGTACTGGTAAAGCTATGTTTAATCTCCCATTACAATTCTTTGAAGAAATGCTTCAGGATCTTGATCTCACTTGTTTAAAATTTCCATTGAAAGCTCTGCCTTTGTTTGGAGTTGATCTGGGAGCAATGGTTTTGGCACCCATCGAGTGGAAAAGTTTGCTCAACTTTGATTTTTTAGTCAGAATTGTGTAAGCTGAATCAATTGAAGTTGTCTATGGTGTTGGCTGTTGTTTGTGCTGTTAATTGTTGGTCCTCTTCAGTTAGACACAAAGAAGATAAAATTTTTCCTTGCAAATTGATACTTGGTTTGCCACTGTGGGCTTCATCAACATTGTCTTGTCCCTTCTTGAGTTATCCATTTGTAAACTGCTGATTGCTTTGGGATACTATCCCCAAAGGCTTTTTATAAAGCATCAATGATTTTGCTATAATTCGCCCAAACTTCACCATAAACTTGATGCTTGTTCTTGCTTCAATTTTAGCAGAATTCATGTTGTTTTGATGGGGGCTCTGTCAAACTGATATCTTATCCTTCTTGGTACTTTAAAGAAGATCATGTTCACATGTTTCAACAAGTGAATATGAGTTTATTTTGGTGCAAAATAATTCTGAAATCTACACTTTTTTTGTAATACACATTTTCCATGAACTTTTTGAAGACCTCTCAAATTTATAAGTATTTTTCTTGCTCTCAATATTTTTTCAAAATTTCTCTTTACTTGGCTGTTGGCTGTATTTTAATAGTCTTCTTTCTCTATTGATAGAACTGTAGTGAAATGTAGTATTGCCAAGTCCCAAGCCCTCTACAGTGCCCAAAGAGGGCTGAAGACAAACAATGCTGCTGTGTTCAAAGTAGGAGCTATCAGTATCAACATTCCTCAGCACCCTGCCACCTTACATAGCATGATGGTTCGAAGTTCTCACCAACTATCTAAACAAATCTCAGACCTAATCAGACAGCCTTCTACAGCGTAAGTTATTTTATTTGTTCACATTCTGTGATTCCATATACTACCTCAGGGTATTCTTTGCTGCATTAACAAAAGTTTGGAGGGAGATGAAGGGTTACTTCTAAGTATCGACCATTATGGACAGTGGAGCAAGAGGAGAGTAGCCAATTGTGATCATGTGAGAATGACTTTTGAAAGCATTAAAGTACAGTGTCGTCAGTGCAATTGTCAGTGTTCCATATTGCATAAACAAAGCTTAAGAGATCCTAGAGATTTGTGGGTATTGTAAGAGGTACTAATAAAAAGCAAATTGGTGAATTCCAGGACCATGTCAATCCTTGTTTACTTTGAATTCATTGGAAACTTATGACTGCACAGATTTAAGAAAGTATAGCAGTGGTCATTTATGTCCCAAGGCAGCATTTGACCATGCCACATAAATGTTTTAAAGGGCAGTAAATTTGAGCATTAACCTTTATTCCCTATGTCTGTAGCCTTTGTTCATACATCTTCACTGCTGAGCCTTATTCCTGGTCTCCAAAAACTGTAACTAATAAAAATACGTGGTGGCAGGCATCTGTAATCCCAACTACTTGGGAGGCTGAGGCAGGAGAATCGCTTGAACCCGGGAGGCAGAGGTTGCAGTGAGCCAAGACTGCACCATTGCACTCCAGCCTGGGCAACAACAGCGAAATTCCATCTAAAAAAAAAAAAAAAAAAAACAACCATGTAAAAGGTTAAAAATTTGTCTTACGTTTTATTTCCCACATCCTATAAGTGGGAAAACATTAGTGTGTCTTTTGAAGGTGCCTCAAAGCTGATTTTTCCAATTGTTTTATCTAAATCTTTAATTCTGATATAATGTTTAATCATGGCTGAAGCTAAGTAGTAAAAATTTAAATGTTTTTCCTCTGAATAGAAATATGGAATCCAGAGTGTATACTTAAATTTTAGTTTTAAAATGCTCCAAGGAGCTTTTCCTTACTATAGTATCAGTAGAGTGTAGTAGTTGAAAAATCAGACCCTGGAGTCAGACTGATTGGGTTCAAATCCTAGTTTCAGCACTCTAGCTATGCTTCCTCATTTTGCAACGTGGAGACAATAGTACCTACTTATTAAAGTGAGATAAATGAGACAAAGCACACAATGCACTAAGAACAGTACCTGCCACTCAAATTGTTATTATTGTTATTGTTGGGGTTGGTGTTGTCATTCTTAACAGTAGTAGTAGTAGTAATGTCAATAATATCAGTAGTAGCGTGTAATAGTTAAGTGATAGAATTTGGAATCAGACAAATCTGAGTTTAAATCCCAGTTTTGTAATAATGATAAGAATCACCTTCACAGTATAACATTCTAAGAGTCTCATATTGTTATTACTTTTTCTTGTCTACTTTTCCATATCATCATTGTTCAACAGGTGTTTTAGAAAGTCTGAATATGATCTGATATTGGAAAGAAAACATCTATTCACAGTATATATTTGCTATTTTTCACTGAGAAATCCAGTGATTTTCTACAATAAAATGGTACGTCCTGTGTTTATTTTTTAATTATTTTTTTTTTGCTTTCTAGCCCACAGCCTGTAAAAGAAGATATTGCAACCCCACTACCTTCTGAAAAAACCCCAACAAGTGTTAATCAAACTCCTGTTGAAACAAATGAATTTCCTCAGCTACCAGAAGGCTTAGAAAAGAAGCCTATTGTTCTTAAATTCAGTGCCATGTTAGATGGTATAGCCATTGGAGCAGCACTTTTACCATCTCTGAAAGCAGAATACAAGATGGGAAGAATGAGAAGTCATGGAATGACAGGTAATATTGAATTCTGAATTCACTCTCTTAAAATTTATGATTTGTTTGAGAAATTAGTAATATTTTGATAAAAAGGTAAATTTGGTTTTATAGATATTATAAGTAATTTTGATTATAACATTTAAAGTTCATTAATGATGTTCTCTAGTCAAGTAAAAATATCAATCCCCCACCCCAAAACCTTGAATGACCAGAATGAACTCTTTTGAACTCCATAAAATTATTCAACTATGGAGGCCATTTCTCCAATTTAAACTTAAGTTGAAGAAATTAACCCATTTCTACATCTATTAAGTTTTTAATAGACTGAATAACTTGGTTTATTTTCACATTGGGTTCATTTAGCTCAAATCAGGGGTCATTTGATTTCTTCAAAACAGCTAATTCTGTATGGTTTTGTGACCCTTATATTAATATATCCTATCTCAAAATTCCTTGCTTTTAATATTTATGAAATATATCATGTATACAAAGCATGTAAATTATACATATACACATTTTAAAGAATAATTAAGTACTGTGAACTCACCAACCCACAATATAGCCTAAGAATTGGCACATTACCAATACTTTGAAGCCTTCTTTGGCCGGGCGCAGTGGCTCACACCTGTAATCCCAGTACTTTGGGAGGCTGAGGCGGGTGGATCACCCGAGGTCAGGACTTCAAGACCAGTCTGGAAAACATAGCAAAACCCCATCTCTGTTAAAAATACAAAAATTAGCTGGGCATGATGGCAGGCACCTGTAATCCCAGCTACTCAGGAAGCTGAGGCAGGAGAATCGCTTGAATCCGGGAGGCGGAGGTTGCAGTGAGCTGAGAGTGTGCCACTGCACTCCAGCCTTGGCGACAGAGTGAGACTTCATCTCAAAAAAAAAGGCAGTCTTCACTTTTCATGGAATTACTGCTATCATGAATTTTGTCTTACCCATTCTTTTGCTTTCCCATATAGTTTTACCATATATGTATATACTCATAAATGATTTAAAGTTTGCTTTTAGCTGTTTTGAACTTTGTTTATATGGAATCTCACATTTTTTAACTAGGAATTTTTTTATTTGACTAAGAGCTCCTTACGAGTTTATATATATAAAATGCCAGTTGATGGTTCTTTTTTTTTGCTCACTTTACCATTGAGTCATTTGTATTTTTCTTGATTCGCAATAATTCTTCATAAATTCTGTATATTAACTCTTTGATATCATGTTTATATGTTGTCACCTAGTTGGAGGCTTATCATTTAACTTTTTCTTTTGATCAGCAGACATTCTTCATTTTCATGTAATTGAATTTACCATTATTTTTCCTGTATGATGTGTATTTTTATGTCCTGAAGAAATGCTTCTCTTCCTAGGATAATAAAAATATTTTGTTACATTTTTTCTTGAATGTTTTGAGTTTTGCTATTCATATTTAAGTTTTTAATCTATCTTAATCAATTATTATTGTTCTTAGATTTGGCATGGGATAGTATATAACCAGTGATCATTGTATATAACCAGTGATCATTGTATATAACCAATGATCTCAGCATCACTTATTGATTATTCTTTTTTTCCAGTGGCATATAATCCAGAAATTTGTCACATCTTAAGTGTTATTTTTAATGTGGGAGTCTAGTTCTGAGTTTTCTATTCTGCTTCATTGATCTCTTTGTACCAGTATCATGTTGCTGCCTGACTTTTTCTTTTTCAGGAATTGTCCTGGCTGTTTTTGATCCTTTGCTCTTTCATATACGTTGTTTATTTTTATTTTTTGAGACAGGGTCTCACTTTGTTGCCCAGGCTGGAGGGCAGTGGCATGATCACAGCTCTCTGCAGCCTTGACCTCCTCAAGTGATCCTCCAGTCTCAGCCCTGTGAGTAGCCAGGACTATAGGCATGCACCACCACATCTGGCTAATTTTAAAATTTTTTGTAGAGATGGTGGGATTTCACTGTGTTGCCTAGGCTGGTGTTGAACTCCTGGCCTCAAGCGATCCGCCTGCCTTGGTCTCCCAAAGTGCTGGTATTACAGGCATCAGCCACCATGCCTGGCCTCATAAACATTTTAGAATCAGTTTAAGTTCCCTGAAAAAGCCTGTTTAGACTTTTGTAGGAACTTAATTGAATCTATAGATTTATTTGGGGAGAAATGACAACTAAACAATATTCAACCTTCCTATCCTTGAGTAAGTCTTATTTCTCTGTTGTTTAGGTCTTCTTTAATGTTTTTGTATAAAGTTTAAAATTTTTCTACTTAAAGGTTTTTGTGCGTCTTTTACAAGATGTATTTATTTATTAAGATATCTAGGTATCTTGTGGTGTTGTAGCTATTACAAATGTTATCTTTTGTAAAATGGCATTTTTCTAAACTGTTGGTAGTCTACAAGTGTGCTTGATGCTTTTTTGTTAATCTGATACTCAGCAACCACATTAAACTATTATTACCAATAAGTTGTAGATTCTTAGGAGTTTTATCTATAGACAGTCATACTGTTTAAACAGCAAATAATGATACTTTTGTTTCTTTCCAACTTTTATTTCTTTTTCTTGCCTTATGGTGCTTGCCTTGTCTGATTTTCTTAAAGGAATCAACATTACATGAATAAGTCTGATGTCTGCTCTAGGTTTCTGCTATCAGGTTAAGAAAATGTACTTATTTTCCCACTGTGCTTAAGAGTTTCTATGAAGAATTATTGGTAAATGTAATCAGATACTTTGTTCTGTATCTAATGAAATGAAAATGTATTGTCTCCTTTATTATGTTAACATAATTTAAAAATATATACATATATATGAATATATGCAGACATGTACATATTTATGTAAGTATGTGTATACAGTAGTCCCTGCTTATTCATGTGTTTTGTCTCTTCACGTTTCAGTTACCTATGGTCAACTGTAGTCCAAAAATATTACATACAATAAGGTATTTTGAGAGAGACCATATTTACAAAGATATTTACAGAACTTTTGTTACAGTATAACTGTTCTATTTTGTTATCGTTGTTATTAATCTCTTGTTGTGCCTGATTTATAAATTAAACTTTATCATAGGAGTGTATGTATAGGCAAAGACATATATACGGTTTGATACTATCTATGATTTCAGGCATCCACTGGGGATCTTAGAACACATCTTCCCCAAATAAAGGGAGATTACTGTATATGTGTACTCCCATCTCTACCATTTTAGGCTTTCTTTATTAAGAGTAATTTTGCTGAACATTTAGAACTTTCTATTACCAGAAAGAGAAGCATTTTAAAGTAAATTTCTAGATTTGGCAGAGTCAGAAGTCTTAGGCCTTCAGATATTAGAGTCCAGGGCTGACAATAAGTTACACACATTTGGTCACTTATTCAGGGCACCCATGAAATACAGGGGTCCACAGAAACAGCAAGTCGAAAGCCAGATAGGCAGTTTAGGATCTTAGAGTAAACATATTGTTAAATATCCAGAGAGATAAGAACCCAAAATTCTTATTGAAATTGAAGGAAAGGGATAAAAACAGTAAAAGAATGACTATACTAGTAATAAGGGATGACTCAGTAACTGAGGCCTAGGATTATTTCAATCTTGGCGTTTTTATTTCAATCTTGGAGTTTTTATTTGGTGGTGTGCTAGCAATAGTAGTGGTGGCAGCGACAGTGGTAGACAGTCCCCACCCCTTGCAGTTTGTAAATGATAGTCAAGGAGTCTCTTGGTTGGAGTAGTGAGAGGAGATCAGGGCAGTCATGACTCATCTGGCCATTCACAGATGCCCCAGTTGGTGAGTGAGCATTTTTCTGTTTTTGGCTAACTCATTCTAGGTGCAAACATTAGTTAATGAATATAGTGAATGTGACATATAGGAGATGACCCTTGATTAGTATTTTGAAAAAAAGAGAATTATTTCTGGCTCAGTTGAGAGCAGTAGGGATATATAATAAATTATATATGTAGGCTAAATAGGCAATTTGATGATGTTTGAGTGGAGAGAATTGGTAATGTGCAGAAGAATATCAGTAGATTTTGCTGGTTTGAAAGGAGCATGTGTATGTACATTACATGTGTAAAGGGCAATAACAGATCTTGATTTTAATAAGGCTTCTCCTTATGCCCTCATAAACAGTTGGAGAAATATGGACTGAATAATAGTAAAGCTGGTATATTTATATTTGTTTGAATAATTATGTGCTAGATTATTGATTTAAGTGTTTAAGGTCAATAGTAAACTAAAATTCATAACATATCCTTATTTGATATATGGTCCCATGAATAATTATGAAGGTCAAAGAGACATATGTTTGTATAATTTTATACTTTATGAATGTTTCAGTGAGTACAATTTAATTGATTTGGCAATTTTAGCTACTTCCACACTGAATCAGGATCAGTAGACATATTGTTAACTACCTACTATTCTCTGTGAATAAAGCACTGTGTGGACTGGGGAAATTTTTTTAACTTGATTTTCTTGTTACAATGCTTCTGTAATAAGGGCACTTTATTTCTGTTCTACCTTCTATGAAATAAAGAACATAAGTGTTTTTCTAGTGCCTAACACACTGCCAGTCTTAATAAATAATACTTGCTTAATAATACTGGCTTAATAATACTTGCTGATTGACTTGCGTATTTAAAGATAGGGAATATTTTATAAGCAACTTTAAAATATCCTTTCATATATTTCAAGATAGGTTTGGGAATATCCATGCATTTTTCTTAGATACCCTTTTTGGAAAAAGTGAGGAATGAATGAGTGAATGAACACTAGCACAAACAATAACTTTTCTCATTTCTTACAGGTGCACAGACAAGATTTACATTTGAGCTGCCAAATCACAGATTGCGTTTTACTTCAAAAGTTTCTGCCACAGATATGTCAACCATTCCTCCTTCTGCCAGTCTTAACCTTCCCCCTGTTACCATGTCAGGGAAATATATAATGGAAGAACATGATAGTTATTCGGATCAGGTGTGGAGTATAGATGAACTGCCTTCTAAACAAGGTTACTATTTACAGGGAAATTATCTGCGTTGTGTGGCAGAAGTAAGTTTACTTTAAAATTTTCTTACTCTTCGTAATTTAGGAGTCTTCAAGATTTATATGTACCAAAATATGTAGTAATCCAAACTTTTAAGGTAAAGTCTTAAAATAATTTGTTTTCACAGAAGAATTCTATACCAAATCAAGTGTGTGTGTGTGGGTGTATGTGTGTTTTTGTGTCTGTTAGTCTGACTACCCTGTAGTTTTATTTACACATGCTTTTAAAAATATGTATTAGTTATGTATTCCATCTCTGCAATATTTTCATAGTTCAAATGATTATTAAAAGCAAATCACAGCTAACATTCATTATGTGCTTTACACGCATTGACTTCTGCAGTGCTTAAGTAAATCCTATGAGGTAGAAATATTTGTTCTCATTTTGTAAGTGAGCAAACTAAGCCTTAGCAAGGTAACAAATTCATACAGGTATACATAATTATTAAGATAATCTAAAGGTCATATTGAAAGATAAATTAGACTTACAGATTAATTTCTTTACTAAGGTTAAGTTGAAAGTAGCATATCTAATTCCATCATAATTTTTTCACTTTGTATAGCTGTCAAAAGTTTAAAAAGCATTTGGACACATTTTTCATTTGATTTGTGGTAAGCAGGTCATCTGTTATTTTCCTAATTTGATATAAACTTGAAGCGGAGAAGTAAACACCTTTCCTTAAGTCTCGAGACCTAGCTATCAACTGAGAGAGGCAGGAGCCACGCCTTAGTGGTCTGCCTTCAGACACACTGTGCTGTGTCTCAGCTTACCTTGTCAGTTTGTCAAAAACTGTTGCAACTTTATGAAAAAGCAATGTGCTATTTGTTTTATAAATTTTGTTCTCCATAACCTGAAGCATCTATAAGAATGCTCTTTGGGTTCTCTGATAGAAATATTATAACTGCGGGGGACATATTTAAGTCTGATTTACCTTCTTAGGTCCTGCTTGCCCTGGAAGCTCTCTAAGAGTTGGGATTTCTGTGTATGAAAAACAAGTGTACGAAAAAATAGTGTTCAGATTCTAACAAGTCAAAGATTTAACTGAAAATATTTTAAAGTGTATCCCACTTGTACTTTCTACTCTGAAAACTAAAAGCCCCAAGCTCTATTTTAGCAATACTATTATTAATGTTCCATTTAAAAGAAAATACACGAATACAGTGTATTGTATAATTCCTTGCTAATACTAGATATTAGAAAGGTATAAGTTTGTAACGAGGTGGAACACAATCCCAAATTTAGTAAAAAATGTATTTAATTTCAACCATTTCAAAGACTCTAAAATTGCATCCCTCTTAGAGTTGCCTATTTTACTATGGCCTGAAATAAACATACCTGAAAATAGTTTCTGGCAAATTGGTTTATTAACTAATTAGTTTATTAACTAATTTGCCAGAAATTTAATACCTTGTACTAATCATAGGACACAAATTATAGGACACAAATTAAGGACACAAACCTTAACTGGGTATCTCTGATGATTTACTAATTCACTCAAATGTAAGCCTGAGACCCAGAATTTTGTTGGTTTTTATTCATAGCTGCATCCTTAGCACCTAACATGGTACATAGAGTAGACAGTCATTAAATATATATTTGATTAAATAAATCTATTTTTGGCTGGACATAGTGGCTCACACCTGTAATCCCAGCACTTTGGGAGGCCAAAGTGGGCGGATCGCTTGAGGCCAGGAGTTTGAGACCAGCCTGGCCAACATGGTGAAACCCTATCATAGTGGTGGGTGCTCGTAGTCCCAGCTACTCAGGAGCCTGAGGCAGGAGAATCGCTTGAACCCAGGAGGTAGAGGTTAGAGTGAGCCAAGATTGCGCCACTGCACTCCAGCCTGGGTGACAGAGCAAGACTCCGTCTCTAAATAAATAAATAAATAAATAAATAAATAAATAAATAAATAAATCTATTTTTACTTAACTCGTCTATGATTCTAAGACCACAAAAGTGGCCATTAAAATGATCATTAAAAGTAAATTTTACTCTAGGAGAAAATTTAATTTCAAAATTAGCAAGTTAAATATATAACTTCGATTTGCTCCCCAGACTTCTCATACCTTATTAACTACTGTTATTAAAAAACAAAAAACAAAACCCATTTTGGGAGTGTACTATAATAGTTTCTGGCCAGTAACGTATTAGGAACGCTGAATATTTTTAACTTTTCTTCAATATATTGATTTCAAATCATATAGAGATAATTATCTCTTTTTTCCTCAGTTTAGGGTGATTTATGTAAGAAAAAAGTGTAAAGCTAATGTAATCAGTGTTAATCTAATATGATTTTGTCTGGCAGGTTGGTTCCTTTGAACATAATCTTACAACTGATCTTCTAAACCACTTGGTATTTGTACAGAAAGTGTTCATGAAGGAAGTTAATGAAGTAATACAAAAAGTTTCTGGTAAGATGATCTAGTACCTTATAGTATAGGTGTAGGTTTTTATTCTCATTGAGCGTGTGATATCCCATATATCTGTGGTATAAGTATTGATCCAGCATTTGGATATAGTTGTCAAATAACTCCTAAGAAACTGTGCATTCCTTTTATGGCTTTTCCACCTACAGTGTTTGCTTATCATTTTTGTCATGTATAATATACACATTTAAGATTCATAAACTTCAGAAAGCTCCTTTATGTTTCACCCTGAAAAAAGAAAAGCTTACAGTATGTCTATTAACCAAATTAATCATACTCATTTGGGAACAACATTTAGGTAACTACTAAGATTTCAACCTTTTGTCTATACCAGATGATGGCTATATGCTGGCAGCATGGTAAATTGTCTGTGGAAACCCTCATTATATTTTTGCTGTTCCTCAAGAATAGCTTACAGTTGAGCTTAGTCATTGCTCTACATTTTTCACAAGCTAAAGTATTAGGGAATTAGGGTGAAAAGTTGACTGTATAACAGTTCTTAATGCTGAGTATTTTTTGTATGAATGTTATCATGTTAAAAGAATTTTTAAGCCACATCCATAAATTGGCATCAAAAGGAGTTTCCTTTATGCTCATGGATTAATTCATTCATTTAACAAATTTATGAAGTATCTAGGTATTCACTTACAATTTTGATGAGTTCTGCGAATGACAAGAACAGGGTGCTATGAGTCTGTGTCATAGGAAAAACTACTGTAGTCTAAAGGATCAGAAAAGGCTTCTCAGAAGAAGTCGTATCCCAAAACTTAAGAATGAAGCCTAGTTTGGCAAGAAAGGAGAGGTAGAGAGGACGCAGACAGAGCATATGTACCAGTATTTGATAAGGGTCTGAAGGAGGACAGTGCTCCTTGGATGAAGGAACTACATTATGTAGCAGCTGTGTGAGCAGCCAGTTTCCTTGATTCTCCTGGGCTGGTTCTGGTTGTATCTGAGGTCAGGAAGCTACTTAATGATCATATTGAGGAAGCCCTGCAGAGCTGTAGAATTTTACAAGTTAGGTCTTAAAAGATCAGATCATTGGTAGCCATGGAGTTTTTCCAAAAATGGTTGACTAGAAATCATTAAGGAAGAAATAAATATATAGTAAAATTCCTTTCTGCCACTGAAGAAGCCTTAACTTGGGAAACATACAGAAGTTTTGGTGTGTCCCATTTACCTGGTAAAAATCACATTATGACATTTTTTATGATAGGAAAGTTGTTAAGACTATATCAAGCTGGTAAACTTATGAGTTCTAAAGAATACTTTCAAGATAGTTTTATTACTGAAAAAATATAAGCCAGGCATGGTGGCTCACGCCTGTAATCCCAGCACTTTGGGAGGCCGAGGCGGGTGGATCATTAGGTCAGGAGGTCAAAACCATCCTGGCTAACACAGTGAAACCCCATCTCTATTAAAAATACAAAAAATTAGCCTGGTGTGGTGGTGGGCGCCTGTAGTCCCAGCTACTCGGGAGGCTGAGGCAGGAGAATGGCGTGAACCTGGGAGGTGGAGCTTGCAGTGAGCTGAGATGGCGCCACTGTGCTCCAGCCTCGGTGGTAGAGCAAGATTCCGTCTCAAAAAAAAAAAAAAAAAAAAAAATATACACACACACACACACACACACACACACACACACACATAATATTATATATATTATATAACATACTATATAATATATATTATATATAATATATAATTAAAAAATAAATAGACTCTTACATGAACTAATCTTGTATTTCTTATGGTAAAAAAAACAAGTGTTGTGGAGTTCCTAGTATCAGACTGTCAGGGTAAGCCTCTCTTAAGGTAGTTTTGATTAAAGAGAAAGGCTTTTCTTAACCTTTAGATTGTAGTCAGGAGATGAAAGTATATCCCAAGGTCTATGAAGAATAAGATGGACAAAGAGGACTGGAAATTAATATTTCTAACCATGAAGACTTGCTGTTTACTGTGAGAGAATCAGATGATAGTGACAAAGGAGTGGCTAGATCTGCTCCTTGAACCATTTCTTTCTGACTTTAGCGACAGCCATGAACCTTGAGAAAATAGCTAAAGTGTAAATCACATATGATTTAGCTGGCCACAGGGCCTGATGGCGCATAGGCATTCAGTTATTCTGTCAAGACCAAGGAACATAACAGAATATTGAGAGGGAATACTTTGAACCCTTGTAGCTCAAATTTCTCAGTACTCTGATCTCTGTATTGCTTCTTCCCTCTCCCATAATCTTCAGTTATTTTCCTAATTTTTTCTTATATTCTTCATGATTTTCCATCATGTTACGTTTAGTGTTAGGACATTTTCTGTTATGTAGGAAGACTAATGTTCATAACAATCATCAAGTTTGTTAGGAAAATACTTTTTTAAAAAATTGATTACCTTATTTGTCCACGAAGGACTTTCAAGAATGCTTGGGTTTCAGAAAGATGTAAGTAAGCACTGATCAAGTAAACAGAATAGACTATTTTTAATGTACAGCCATCTTAGAAGCATATAAGGAGGTTACCATCTTAGAATTGGGCCAGGTATATATTTGTTGATAAAGACATAAAATACTATGGAATTAATGCAAATAATATAATAGCGTCTCTTATGGTTCCATAAGCTAAAATTATTGTTTAGTATGTTTTGTGAATGGTTGAGCTTTTGCTTTTAAATTTTAAACTTTTCTTTCTGAAACTAGATAAAAGGTATTCAAGGTTGTGATAGGCAAACAAAACAAATAGGCCTTTAAGGTGTGCTCATGCATCAAACAGTTTTTTTTTTTTTTTTTTTTTTTGAGATGGAGTCGCACTTTGTCGCCAGGCTGGAGTGCAATGGCGCGATCTCAGCTCACTTCAACCTCTACCTCCCGGGTTCAGGCGATTCTCCTGCCTCAGCCTCCCAAGTAGCTGGGACTACAGGCATGCACCACCACACCCAGCTATTTTTTGTATTTTTAGTAGAGACGGGGTTTCACCATGTTGGCCAGGATGGTCTTGATCTCTTGACCTTGTGATCTGCGTGCCTTGGCTTCCAAAGTGCTGGGATTACAGGCGTGAGCCACTGTGCCCAGCCCATCAAACAGTTTTATCTTCAGAGATGGATTATCAAATGAACAGACACAAAGCCATTATTTTTTTTGTAAAACAACTTGAGTATAAGAAAAATTAGACAGATGTGAATATTCACAAAGCTCTAGACATTTAGAGTATTAGTATTACAATATTCAAAGTGAAAGTGTGCTAAGCAATGTAAAAATCTAAGATTATTTCAGATATGTTAAAACATGTATTTGTTTAGCAAAATGATTTAAGAGAATATGAAAAAGTGAAAGGCTTACATTTAGACTGTCAGAAGAAAATAGTATGTTAACGAAGTATACTGTTAGGTAATATAACATGAAGATTTCGCTCTACTTAAGTAAGTGAAAATTGAAAAAGAATCTGCTTTTAACCAAGTGAAAAGGATAATTAAAAAGCATGAATATTAAGAAAATGGAAATTGATGAGATATTTGCCTGGTTATGAGAATAACTAGAGAAACAATAAGCCTATCCAACCAACTTGTATATAAATCTACAGGTCCAAATGAGACACATCGAAGTTATTTAAAAGAACTAATGGAGGTCCTCTTGGTACCTCTGAGAATGTACTTCAGTAAATCATGGGTATCAGGAGAGGTCTCCAAACACAGGAAAATTGGGGTACCTAACTTAAAGAAGGGTTGGAAAGGAGCCTCAAGGAACTGATACCCCAAAGGCTAATCCAAAAAAAAAAATCTGATGTTTTTTACTTAGTCTAGTCTCCCTTAGGAAATAACCTCCTTAATAACACTTCTTAAGTCATGCTAATACTTTTCAGAAAAATATGAGGCTAGCTATAATTTCAAAATAATTTAAGCAAGTTAATAGCTTAATCAAGTATAGAGGATATGATGCACTTAAACTTATATATTTATGCCATACTATGAAATAAAACTTGATTGACACAAAAGTAGGACAGTGGGCCATATTTATACTATGAAATAAAACTTGATTGACACAAAAGTAGGACGGTAGAAGCAGCTGTAGTCCAGGACTCTCACACAGAGGAATGAAAATGGTGAGTGAATTCAGCACTTTCAACTGACGTATTCAGTTTCTTGCTTTGGGAGGGACTAGGCAGACAGCTCCACCACGGAGGGCAAGGAAAAGCAGGGTGAGGTGATGGCCCACCCAGGAGCAGCAAAAAGCCAGGGAGCCCCCACCCCCAGGCAAGGGAGGCTATGTGTGACTGTGTGACCCTGCCAGGGAAAACCAGGTTTTTCCCACAGATCTTTGCAACCTGTGGATCAGGAGATTCCCCTTGTGAGTCCTACCACCAGGGCCTTGGGTCCGAAGCACAGAGCTGTGTGGAGTCTCGGTGAAGCAGCCACTCGGGCACGCACAGAGACACAGGAGTTTTGCATACTCTGGCCCTGGGAATTCCAGCAAGGCAGGAAATCCATCCATGCATTCCCCTAGGAAGGAGGCTGAATCCAGGGATTCAAGCAGTGTCATTTTATAGACCCCACTCCCAGGGCAACTCACAAGTTAAGAACCACTGGCTTGGAATTCCAGCCGGCCAACAGCAGAAGGCTGGAGACTGCCTGAGACGGCCCCTGGGAGAGCTGCCATCTCTGCAGTTCAAGTCAGCAGGTCTAGCCTGCCTGCTCCAGGGAGTCCGGGCAGTCCAGACTGGGAGGAGTTCCCTACAAGACAGCACAGCTGCTATGCCAGATTGTGGCCAGACTGCTTCTTTAAGTGGGACTCCACTATGCCAGATTGTGGCCAGACTATTTCTTTAAGTGGGACTCCGGTCCATCCCTCCTCACTGGGCAGGGCCTCCCTGCAGGAATTTCAGCAACTCCAACCAGAGTTATACATACAGAACTCACAGAACTCTGATCTCTCCCTGGGGGGTGGGGCGCTGCCATCTCTGCAGTTCAGCTGACTTAGCCTTTTCAGCCTGCTGGCTCTGGAGAGTCCCGGTGGTCTGGATGAGGGGCGTTTCCCCCAGGACAGCACACCTGCTCTGCCAAGGGGCAGCCAGACTGCTTCTTTAAGCAGGTCCTTGACCCCATTCTGCCCAACTGGATGAGACCTCCCAACAGGGGTCTCCAGACACCTCCTGTAGGAGTGTTCGGTCCAGCATTAGGTCGGTACCTGGGGCAGAGGCCCCAGAGGAAGGGGCAGGCTGTCATCTTTGCTGTTTCACAGCCTTCACTGATACCTGGTGCAGGAGGAACCTGGTGCAGGAGGAACTCAGAACACTAGAGTCTGGAGGGGACCCCCAGCAAACTGCAGCAGCCCTACAGAAGAGTGGCCCCACTGTAAAAAGAAAAATAAACAGAAAACAGCAACATCAACCAAAAAGCCCCACAACAACCCCATTCAGAGGTCAGCAAACTCAAAGATTGAAGGTAGATATGCCCGCAAAGATGAGAAAAAAAATCAATCCAAAAATGCTGAAAACTCAAAAAGCCAGAGTGTCTGTTCTCTCCCAGATGACTGCAACACCTCTCCAGCAAGGGCGCAGGACTGGGCTGAGGCTAAGATGGCTGAATTGACAGAAGTAGGCTTCAGAAGGTGGGTAATAATAAACTTAGCTGAGCTAAAAGAACATGTTCTAACCCAATGGAAAGAAGCTGAGGATCGTGACAAAACATACAGGAGCTGATAACCAAAATAGCCATTTTAAAGAGGAACATAACTGACCTGTTGGAGCTGAAAAACACAGCAGGAGAACTTCACAATGCACTCACAAGTATCAACAGCACAATAGACCAAGTGGAGGAAAGAATCTCAGAGCTTGAAGACTGTCTTTCTGAAATAAGACAGGCAGAAAAGAATAGAGAAAAAAGAAAAGGAACAAACAAAACCTCTGAGAACTATGAGATTATTTAAAAAGACCAAACCTATGACTGATTGGGGTACCTGAAAGAGATGGGGAGAATGGAACCAACTTGGAAAACATACTTCAGGATATCATCCAGGAGAACTTCCCCAACTGAGCAAGACAGGCCAACATTCGAATTCAGGAAATGCAGAGAACCCCAGTAAGACACTCCACGAGAAGATCAACCCCAAGACACATAATCATCAGATTATCCAAGGCTGAAATGAAAGAAAAAAAGTTAAGGGCAGCCAGCGAGAAAGGCCAGGTCACTTACAATGGGAAACCCATCAGCCTAATAGCAGACCTCTCAGTGGAAACCCTACAAGCCAGAAAACATTGGGGGCCAATATTCAACATCCTTAAAGAAAAACATTTCCAACCTAGAATTTCACATCTGGCCAGATGTACAAAGAAGAGCTTGTACCATTTCTATTGAAACTATTCCAAAAAAATGAAAAGGAGGGACTCCTCCCTAACTCATTTTATAAGGCCACTATCATCCTCATACCTAAACCTGACATAGATACGACAAAAAAAGAAAACTTCAGGCCAATATCCCTGTTCAACATTGATGCAAAAATCCTCAAAAAAATACTGACAAACCGAATCCAGAAGCATATCAAAAAGCTTATCCACCACAATCAAGTGGGCTTCATCCCCAGGATGCAAGGTTGGTTCAAATCAATAAATGCAACTCATCACAGAAACAGAACTAAAGACAAAAACCACATGATTATCTCAATAGATGCATAAAAGGCCTTTGATAAAACTCAACATCCCTTCATGTTAAAAACTCTCAATAAACTAGGTATTGAAGATACATACCTCAAAATAATAAGATATATATGACAAACCCACAGCTAATATCGTACTGAATGTGCAAAAGCTGGAAGCATTCCCCTTGAAAACTGGCACAAGACAAGAATGCCCTCTCTTTCACCACTCTTATTCAACATAGTATTGGAAGTTCTGGCCAGGGCAGTCCGGCAAGAGAAAGAAAGTGTATACAAATAGGAAGAGAAGTCAAATTATCTTTGTTTGCAGATGATAGGATCCTATATTTGGAAAACCCCATCATCTCAGCCCAAAAGCTTCTTAAGCTGATAAGCAACTTCAGCAAAGTTGTGCAATGTGCAAAAATTGCTAGCATTCCTATACACCAATAACAGGCAAGAAGAGACCCAAATCATGAATGAACTCCCATTCACAATCACTTCAAAGAGAATAAAATACCTAGGAATACAGCTAACAATGGAAGTGATGGACCTCTTCAAGGAGAACTACAAAGCACTGCTCAAGGAAATCAGAGAGGACACAAACAAATGGAAAAACATTTCATGCACATGGATAGGAAGAGTCAATATTGTGAAAATGGCCATACTGCCCAAAGTAATTTATAGATTCAATGTTATTCCCATTAAACTACCATTGGCATTCTTTACAACATTAGAAAAAACTATTTTAAAATTCACATGGAACCAAAAAGAGCCCAAATAGCCAAGACAATCCTAAGCAAAAAGAAAAAAGTTGGAGGCATCACACTACCTGACTTCAAACTATACTACAAGGCTACAGTAACTAACACAGCATTGTACTGGTACAAAAACAGACACATAGGCCAATGAAACAGAATAGAGAACTCAGAAATAAGACCACACACCTACAACCATCTGATCTTTGACAAACTTGACAAAAAACAAACAATGGGGAAAAAGGGTTCCCTGTTTAATAAATGGTGCTGAGAAAATTGGTTAGCCATATGCAGAAAATTTAAACTGGACCTCTTCTTTACACCTTATACAAAAATTAACTCAAGATGGATTAAAGACTTAAATGTAAAACCCAAAACTATAAAAACCCTAGAAGAAAATCTAGACAATACCATTTAGGACATAGGCACCAGCAAAGATTTCATGATGCAAACTCCAAAAGCAATTGCAACAAAAGCAAAAATTGATAAATGGGATCTAATTAAACTAAAGAGCTGCTTCTGCACAGCAAAAGAAACTACCATCAGAGTAAACAGACAGAATGGGGAAAATTTTTTTAAATCTACCCATCTGACAGATGTAATATCCAGAGTCTACAAGTAATTTAAATTTACAAGAAAAAAAAGCTCATTAAAAAGTGGGCAAAGGACATGAACAGACACTTCTCAAAAGAAGACATTCACGTGGCCAACAAACGTATGAAAAAAGCTCAGCATCACTGATCATCAGAGAAATGCAAATCAAAACCACAATTAGATACTATCTCACACCAGTCAGGATGGCTATTATTAAAAAGTCAAGAAACAACAGATGCTGGCGAAGTTGCAGAGAAAAAGGAATGCTTTCACATTGTTGGTGGGAGCGTAAATTAGTTCAACCATTGTAGAAGACAGTGTTGGGGCAATTCCTAAAAAATCTGGAAGCAAAAATACCATTTTGCCCAGCAATCCCATTACTGGGTATATACCCAAAGGAACATAAATCATTCTATTGTAAAGATACATGCATGCGTATGTTCATTGCAGCACTATTCACAATAGCAAAGACATGGAATCAACCTAAATGCCCATCAATGATAGACTGGATAAAGAAAATGTGGTATATATACACCATGGAATGCTGTGCAGCCACAAAAAGGAATGAGATCATGTCCTTTGCAGGGATATTGATGGAGCTGGAAGCCGTTATCCCCAGCATACTAATGCAGGAACAGAAAAGCAAACACTGCATGTTCTCACTTATCAGTGGGAGCTGAACAATGAGAACACATGAACACAGGGAGGGGAACAACACACACTGGGACCTGTCAGCAGGGACAGCAGGAGGGAGGGCATCAGGAAGAATAGCTAATGGATACTGGGCTTCATACCTAGGTGATGGGTTGATGTGTGCAGCAAACCACCATGGCAGACATTTACCTATGTAACAAATGTGCATATCCTACAGAACTTAAAATAAAAGGTTGAAGAAAAAGAAAAGACAAGAGTAGCCAATATTAGATACATAGATAGATCATAATAGTAGATTCATATTTTCTTCAGATTTGTTTTGATTCTTATTACTTAGATAAAATACTATTTATTATTTAATTGAATAAATAGATAAGACAGCTAACTTTCAAAATCAGAATCATGTAGTTTTTATTTGATCACCTATTGTGTTGTGTTTGTTGTATCTCATGATGATTCCTAAATAACCTGCACCATGCTCTTGCCTATAGAGCCAAGAGAAACTAAGAACTCTCTTAGCTTAATTTCACCCATCCTGTTAGAAAGTGTCAAGATATACATAGAGTCATAAACAATTTTTTGTGGCAGTATTCTAACAAATCCTCAAAATGTAGACATTATTTCATGTAATATTTTCCTCTCTATAACATAACTCATTCTGTATTTCAGAGTAGAAATTGCAACCGTATCTTAGAAAATATAAAAGAAGATTCTATAATCCATTCCATAGTTACTTATTCAGAACTTTAAAAACATATGACCCCAAACTAGGTGATAAGCAAATTACAAAGATATGTGGGTAAAAATTTTACTTACTTCTGTTTGGAACATTAGGTATTTAAACATATAATAATAAAAAGATTTAAATGAATTTTTGATGAATGAAGAAGTTAAGTAGTATAAATAGAGGATGTATTGAGGCATAGGAATGATTCGAACTGATACTTGAGTAAGTTCTACTTTTTGATGATTGAGCGCCTTTCAAGAGAGGGACAGTTTGATGAAAGAAAATAGCAAGAAACTGGGACTGAAAGACACATTTATTTGCTGAGAATGAGATAAGAATTGTGGGAGTATGAGGAAAATTATAAAGACTTGCAGTAATTGTTGTGAGGAGTGTGTTGGAGAAATGACAGAAGATGAAGAGTTGGATCACCAAGCAACACAGGTGCTTTATACTTGCGTTCAGGAAAAGACTGAGGGTCAGCTAAGGTACTGCTTGCTAGGATCCACATATATATGGCCCTTCCCCTTAAGAATTATTTAATTAGGGAAATTGCTGTGTAGATAAATTAATATACAGAAATGTGTATTTTTTGGCAAACATCATGTAGGAAGGAAGGACCAAATGCTGATAAGGGTGTATCAGAAAGAGTTTGAATAAACAAAATGTGATAAAGAACTTAGAAGAGCACTTGGCACTCAGTAAGCACTCAAATATTAGGTATTAGAATTGATAAATATATGCACTCAGTAAGCAAATATTAGGTATTAGAATTTACACATAACTACTTAGGAGTAAAAAATAAATAAGAACAGAATGTAAGTGAGGGGATAAAGTCATTTAAGGAAAGTGAGCTCAAGGAACAGGGATGTGTAAGAGGGCTGTGGTTTGGAATTCAAATGATGAAAAGCAGAGACAGTAGTAGTTTAATGTTTTGGAAATAGCATTGAAAAGTAAGCTAAACACCATCTGCTGCTGGATCAAAGGAATGAATGAATTTGAGATTTCCAAATAATAATGGCAACAAAAAGCCATATGCAAATGAAGTTAGAGAATCAGGGAAATGAAAAGCATAATGTAAGACAGTGGAAGCTTTCCTGGTAGTAGATGGAAGATAGAGACAACAGGGATGGGAAGAGGTAGTTGATAGCTGGGTTGGGGGGGTGATATTATATACACACAAATACACACATACATATATGTATGTATGTATATGGCTGTAGGTAGGGTTATCAATGATGAGGCTTAGGTAAGGGATGATTGTAGATTTGAGTTAGGAGGCAGAGAGAAGTACTTAATTATAAGTTGAAGAAAAGAAAATGTAATCTGTATGCTGTATATTTTAGAGAAGGATAGCTCAGAGAGGAAAGGTACAAGCGTACAGGCAGGCACTAAGTGTACAAAGACACATATAATCTACAAAGACACATATAGTTTATTCTTCCAAAATACAAATATATATTTTTTTATTTTGTTTTTGAGTCAGTCTCTGTCATCCAGGCTGGAATGTAGTGGTGCCATCTCGGCTCACTGCAACTTCTGCCTCCTCCTGGGTTCAAGTGATTCTCCTGCCACAGCCTCTCGAGTAGCTGGGATTACAGGTGCCCACCAGCACACCCAGCTAATTTTTTTTATTTTTAGTAGAGATGGGGTTTCTCCATGTTGGCCAGGCTAGTCCCGAACTCCTGACCTCAGGTCATCCACCCATCTTAGCCTCCCAAAGTGCTGGGATTAAGGCATGAGCCACCGTGCCTGGCCCAAATATATGTTAATTAATATGTTCTGGTATAACCAATCCACAAATCCTTAATACTTTACTTTCCATCTCTTCATCCATATCATTCTTTCATTCCCTTTCTGGTGTATTTATTCATCTTTATGTACAAAGGTCTTTTTTGGGGGGCCAAGTTATGTCCTTGTCTCTCTTTTCTTGGTCTTATCTTGGATGTACCTTCTGTTGACTGTTGCCTCTATTTTCTTCCTATTTTCTGTTCTAGTAGAAAACTAAAAAATATTTTTATCATAGTACTAACTAAATAGATTTTTGACCCCTAAATTTCAAAAGCCCAAAAAAGATTAATTTCTCCTTCAAAACAAACAAAATCTGCTTTTTATCTATTTGGTTCTTAGTTATTTTGATAATATCTGTGGTCCCTAATAGGGGAAGAAAACATTCCATCCCACCTATACAGACTCCCTGGGATGATGATCAACTCAACATATGTACAAAAAGATTAATCATTGTAAGAAAGAATATTTGAAAGATAGGCAGGCAGAATGTTTTCAAATCAATGGAAAGAGAAGTGGAAACAGAAGTAAGATATTAAGATATTAGAACATTATTTTCTGTATGCCACATTGCCCAGGCAAAAAAAAAAAAAAATGCTCTCTTAATAGTAACTTCACCACCAGGGGCTCTGCAACAGAATTCACATTATTAGTTGAAGAAATTAGTCCAGTTTACTTTTTTCCCTCAAATGTGTTTTCTGAGATGTATAAACACATGTTTTGGTTCAATAATATATACAGTGTTTTAATTGAATATAAAATGTTATTAATAAATGTCTACATATGCAGAATTATCCCTATCTTTCATATATCTGTCTCAGTTAAATGTAACTTAGCTAAAGATCTCTGTATCAGTGGTCAGTAAAAAGAAAATATTTTGTGAGGATTTTTTTTTAATGCACAAAATAGTTATTTTTTTTCTTTAAAAAAAAAAATTGTCCCGAACTCTTCTTTCCTTTAGGTGGGGAGCAGCCTATTCCTCTCTGGAACGAACATGATGGAACAGCAGATGGAGATAAACCTAAAATTCTCCTCTATTCCCTAAACTTGCAGTTCAAGGTAACATAAATATAATGATACTTTTATAAAAATTTTTCTAATCAATTAATATATGCTTGTTATAGAAAATTTGTATCTTACATAAATTACCAAACAGAAAATAAAAATGATCTATAACTCCATCTACTCAGAGAAAAAGCTTTAACAATAATTATTTGAATATTCTTTAGGACTTTTTTCCTGTTAGTATTTTTATATATGCATATATTTATACATTTGAAAAATAATTGGATACCTTTCCATATTAGAATATTTAGATTAGTTTTATCTTCTTGAACATCTGTATTGTATGTTGTACAGTTGTAACAATTTATTCAGCCACTCCCTTCTGACGAACATTTTGTTTTTCTTCAAGTACTGCTGTTATAATTTACTCTGCAAGAAATATTTTATGCACTTTTCCAGTTAACTATATTACTTTTAGAAGGCTGATGCAGGAGGATTGCTTGAGCCCAGGAGTTTGAGACTAGCTCTGGCAACATAGCGAGACTTTGTCTCTACAAAAAATTTGAAAAAACAAAAAAATTAGCCAGGTGGGTGGCACACACCTGTAGTCTCAGTTACTTCGGAGGCTAAAGCAGGAGGATTGCTTCAGTCTGGAAGTTCAAGGCTACAGTGAGCTGTGGTTGTGCCACTGCATTTGAGCCTGGGCAACAGAGTGAGACCTGTCTTAAAAAACAAACAAAGACTATATTATTTTAATAGAAAACTTAATATTTCCAATATTTAAGATACTGGTGTTCATAAAAGTTATTTAATTGTATTTAATGTATTCAATCCATTGAATACTAAATTTTAAATATAAAATATCAAAATGAAACATAATGGGAAAAAATTGCTACTAACACGAGAAATTAACGTTGCCAGTTTTATCAGTTCATTAGACATATCCTATACAGGCATACCTTGTTTTATTGCACTTCGCTTTATTGTGTTTCACAGGTATTGAGGTTTTTTTATGAATTGAAGGTGCCATTTTTCCAATAGCATATATTCACTTTCTGTGTGTCATATTTTACTAATTCTCACAATATTTCAAACTTTTTCATTAGTATTATATGTCTGTTATAATGCTCTGTGATCAGAAATCTTTGATGTTGCTGCGGGAATTGTTTAGGGGCGCCAGGAGCTGCACCAATGTAGGATAGCAAACTAAATCGTTAAATGTTGTTGCACATCTCTCACTTTCAATCAAAAGCTAGAAACGATTAAGCTTGGTGAGGAAGATATGTCAAAAGCCAAGACAGGCTGAAAGCTAGGTCTCTTGCGCCAGTTAGCCAAGTTGTGAATGCAAAGGTGAAGTTCTTAAACGAAATTAAAAGTGCTACTCCAGTGAACACAGGAATGATAAGAAAGCCAAACAGCCTTATTGCAGATATGGAGAAAGTTTGAATGGTGTGGATAGACCAGCCACAACATTCCCCTAAGCTAAAGCCTAATCCAGAGCAATGCCCTAATTTTCTTCAATTCTATGAAGGCTGGGAGAGGTGAGGAAGCTGCAAAAGAAAACTTGGAAGCTAGCAGAGATTGGTTCATAATGTTTAAGGAAAGAACCTGTCTTCATAACATAAAAGTGCAAACTGAGGATCAAGCTAGAATAATTGATGAAGGTGGTTACGCTAAACGACAGATTTTTCCATGTAGCCTTCTATGGGAAAAAGATGCTAGCTAGGACTTTCACAGCTAGAGAGAAATCAATGCCTGGCTTCAAAGGACAGGCTGACTCTTGTTAGGGTCAAATGCAGCTGGTGACTTTAAGTGGAAGCCAGTGCTCATTTACCATTCTGAAAATCCTAGGGCCTTTAAGAATTACGCTAAATCTCTGCCTATGCTCTATCAGTGGAACAACAAAGTCTTGATGACAGCACATCTTTTTACAACATGGTTCACTGAATATTTTAAGCCCGCTATGGGTCTACTGCTCAGAACAAAGAGTCCTTTAAAAATATTACTGCTCACTGACAATGCACCTGGTCACCTAAGAGCTCTGGTGAAAATTTACAAGGAAATTAACGTTTTTATGCCTAACACATTTCTTCTGCAGCTCATGAATTGAGTAATTTCAACTTTCAAGTGTATGATTTAAGAAATACATTTTGTAAGGCTACAGTTTTCATAGATAGTGATTCCTCAGATGGATCTGGGCAAAGTAAATTGAAAACCTTCTGGAAGAGAGAACACTTTGATTCATGAGAGGAGGTGCTAATATCAACATTACTAGGACTTTGGAAGAAGTCGGTTCCAACTCTCATGGATTACTTTGAGGGACTCAAGACACTTCAGTAGAGGAAGTAAATGCAGACAGGGTGGAAATAGCAAGGGAACTAGAATTAAATGTGGAGCGTGAAGATGGGACTGAATTGCTGCAATCTTATGATAAAACTTGAATGGGTGAAGAGTTCCTTCTTATGAATGAGCAAAGAAATTCTATCTTCAGATAGAATCTACTCCTGGTGAAGATGCTGTAAACACTGTTGAAATGACAAAGGATTTAGAATGTTCCATAAACTTAGTTGATGAAGCAGTGGCAAGGTATGGAAAGGATTGACTGTAACTTTGGAAGAGGTTCTGCTGTGGGTAAAATGCTATCAAACAGCATCATATGCTACAGAGAAGTCTTTCATGAAAGGAAGAGTCAATCAGTGACACAAACCTCATTGTCATTTTATTTGAAGAAACTGCCACAGTCACCCCAGACTTCAACAACCACTACCATGATCAGTCAGCAGCCATCAACATCAAGGCAAGACCCTCCACTAGCAAAAAGATTACAACCCACTAAAAGCTCAGATGATTGTTGGCATTTTTTAGCAATAAAGTTTTGTTTTGTTTTTGAGACAGAGTCTTGCTCTGTCTCAGGCTGGAGTGCAGTTGCATGATCTCGGCTCACTGCAACCTCCGACTCCCTGGTTCAAGCTATTCTCCTGCCTCAGCCTACTGAGTAGCTGGGATTACAGGCACACACCACCATGCCCATCTAATTTTGTATTTTTAGTAGAGATAGGGTTTCACCATGTTGGCCAGGGTGGTCTCGACCTCATGACCTCAAGTGATCTGCCTGCCTCAGCCTCCCAATGTGGTGAGATTACAGGCGTGAGCCACCACGCCCAGCCAAAGTATTTTTTAAATTAAGGCATGTACAATGTTTTTTAGACATAATGGTATTACACATTTAATGGACTGTAGTATAACCTTTTATATGCACTGGAAAACAAAAAAATTTGTGTGACCCACTTTATTACAATGGTCTGGAACCAAACCCATATTATCTCCAAGGTATGCCTGTTCATGGTTTAAAACACGACTATTTTATTTATCATATACTGAAAGACTACATTTGAGTAGGTATATGTTGTTGATTTAAGATTCATTTTTTTCCTCCTAACATATAATCTGCTAGGGTATTCAAGTAACGGCCACTACTCCATCAATGAGAGCTGTAAGATTTGAAACTGGATTGATTGAACTGGAACTTTCTAACCGACTTCAAACCAAAGCTTCACCAGGAAGTAGCAGCTATCTGAAACTGTTTGGCAAATGCCAGGTGGATTTAAATCTGGCATTAGGACAAATTGTCAAACATCAGGTGAGTACAGAATATGTTGATGTTAGAACGATGGCTTTTAAATTTTGCACATCAATTTTAACTACTGTAACTTATGTATTATTATATTTACAAAAATATTTAGTTTAATTTCCTAAAGTTTCTGATTATAAATTCAGTGAAAACTCATTTACCTTGGCATTTCATTGAAAATTGTAGCCGCATATTGTTATAGTTTAGTGCAGATGCACTCACATAAAACTTAATCCAGTATCTTCGTAATCATTTGCTTGTAATTTTTTTTATTTTGCTAAACATTTTTTATTTCAAAGTCTTGTGCTAACATTACTCAGTTCTTAAAATGTTAAGTGTATACCTTTCCTGTAGAATATTAGCAAGTTCTGCATATAGTAATGTTAAATAAAGTTAAAAAACAGCAGTTAGATTCTCTATTTTATAAAAATGAATGTTCACAGCTTATTGGAGATTTTTTTTGTTTTTATTTTGCCAAAAATTATTATGTAGATTTTAATCTTTTTTCCTCTTTGAAGAACCAAGTAGAAAAATGCCAGTCACAGTTTCAAAACTGAATCGCTGCATTAAAGATACGAGGAAAAAATGAACAAAAATTTCTTGTCATCTCTTAGAGGTTCTAATTATTCTGAAATATTTAATACATTGCCATTTAGAATATGGACCTCATCCTAACTTTTATATAAAGTTTATCTATGACTTCATATTTACTTCTTGCATGGCTATTTTGTATATTAATTTCAAGTGTTTATGGTACAGAGTATAAGGAATATACATTAACAGCTGAATTTGAGAAAAATGTATTATAGTTTTTTTGGTGAACAATACCATTAATAATGTTTAGTTTCATATTAAAACTTTTTCCATTATTTTATTTTATTGAGCTTTAAATTTTATTTTAGGTTTATGAGGAAGCTGGTTCTGATTTTCATCAAGTTGCCTATTTTAAAACCAGAATTGGATTAAGAAATGCCCTCCGAGAAGAAATCAGTGGTTCTTCAGATAGGGAAGCTGTGCTTATTACTTTGAATAGACCAATTGTTTATGCACAGCCTGTGGCCTTTGATAGAGGTAAGATAAAGTCAATCACTACTATCCTCTGGGATCTAGGAATGCTTTGTTAATGCTAGATAAGAATCTTGTAGTTTACTGGTGTAAATGCTTGACAGCTAAATGGTTCCTAAATCTGAAATGTGTGTATCCAAAAAAAAAATCTTGCTTTTTGCCTTCAGTTTTTAAAAGTTATTTTACATTTTAAAGTTATTTTGTCTTCTGGCTGGATAACATAAGAGTGTCTGCTTCAGATTATGTAATTGTAATGCTGATTTTTTTTGTTTTGATAATTAATGCACCCATTTGTGTTTTGGCACTGTGTTTATTTTTATATTCTATAAACATTTATCAGGTACTGCCTAGAAGTGGAATACAAAAATAAACAACAGTATCCCTGCCCTCAAGGACCTGTCAGTCCAGTGGAAAAGAAAACAAAGTAGACTACACAGTGGAGTCAGAGATGTGTTCTTGGTTCTGAGGAATTCTCTACCTTTGCCTATGCTTCTTAGAGGAGAAACTAATTCTTGATTTGACTTTGAATTAGGAGTTCACCAGGGAGATAAGGAAATGAAATTTACTTTTATATCCCAGGGCCTAGAACAGTCCCTGGCATACAATAAGAACGAAATAAACATTGAGTAAGAGAGAATAAGAATGAATGTGTTTAAACACATAAGTCTAAGAAAATATAGCAGTAGGTTTCATAGAAGAAAATAATGGGAAAGAAGGCTGAACAGGTAGACAAGGTCTAATTAATGTGGATTGGGCAAATATATTTGAACTGTATTTTAGAAGTAATGAGGAGCCATTTAAGAAGCCATTTAAGATCTTCATCAGTGATGGACATAGGCTAGTAACAGAATCCTGTTAGAAAATTGCCCTTTTGGCAGTGTTACAGATAGCATTTTATTTTGCTGAATCCCATGTACATGTTTTTCAGTTCTCATTTTACTGACCTCTCATCAGCTTTCATCAGCTTCTTAAAGTATTTTGTACCCTTGGTGTCCTTGACACAAAACAGGTTGAGTACTGGTTTTCCAAAGTAATTGGGACAGGAAGTGTTTCAGATTTTGGATTTTTTCAGATTTTGGTATATTTGTGTATACATAATGAGATATCTTGGGGCTGGGACCCAAGTTTAAACATGAAATTTATTTATGTTTCATATACACCATATACACATAGCCTGAAGATAATTTTATAAAATATTTTAAATAATTTTGTGCATGAAACAAAGTTTTGACAGCATTTTGGCTGCAGTCTCACATGAGTTCAGATGTGGAATTTTCCACTTGTAGCATCATATCAACATTCAGAAAGTTTTGGGATTTTGGATTTCGGATTAGGGATGCTCAACCTGCATTTGCTTTTCCTCCTACTTCTCTGGCCTCTCCATCTTTATGTCCTTTTTAGAGGCCCCTCCATCTATACACTGCTGTGAAATGAAGGTTTTCCTTAAGGTTTGTTTCTGTTTAACAAACTCAAACATCTTTGACTTTTCTCTGTAAATCAGATCCTTTTAATGGTATGTTCCTAGCATTATGTACCTTAAAGAATTTTAAAAGAAGTAACAGCTCTACAGATGAAGTTAAGCACCATGTCTGTTTTCATTTGTTATTCCATCCCAGTATCTAACATATAATAGGCATTTCACAAATAAGTTAGAGGGAATGAACAGACCTGGATTTTCTTCTTCCTTGTGCCATTATGTGGTTGCCTGCTTTCTGTTTTATTTTTTCATTTGTTATTTAAAAAATGGTGACTATATGTCCTCTTAGATCTTTCCTAATTCTAATGCTACAGTTTTCTGGGTGTAATTTTTATTAAGCAACAGGATTTTGCAGCTTTTGAGTTTTACTTAACATATAGATTTACAGTGTTGATTTTAATTTTCTTTCTGCCCTGTCTTAATTATCAAAAGCTGTGCTGTTTTGGCTGAATTATAAGGCCGCCTATGACAACTGGAATGAACAACGAATGGCTTTACATAAGGATATTCATATGGCTACAAAGGAAGTAGTAGATATGCTACCTGGTATCCAGCAAACATCAGCCCAGGCCTTTGGGACTCTTTTTCTCCAGCTCACTGTCAATGATCTGGGAATTTGCCTACCTATCACAAATACTGCACAGGTACAAAAAGTCAAGTCATATTCCAGGATTAAGAGCCAGGCATTTCTACATAACCATTTCTAAGTATTTAGAATATAACAGTACATTTTTCAGTGTAACAGTTTATAACTGTTTAGTAGGTAGCAAGTAAGATTGAATTCCTTCAACCATTACTCATCTCAATGTATTAAATCTTAATCTCATGGGACTTTTCTCTGAAGCACTCTTATATGCTTCAGAATAGTGATAAGATTGATACCCCCCAGATAACTCTTAATTTTTACCTTCATAAAAAGAAGCTTAGTTTCAGAATCATTTTATTGTTTTCTTTTTTAACAAGGAAGTCATTGGTATGGACTTGTTTATAAGATGGAAATAAAAGGACATTTAAGAATACTGTTTAATGAACTTAACCTGTAATAGAATAGGGAATTCCAAAATGCTTTTATACTGTAATATTTAATGGTAATGAAACTTCAAAGCAGTGTGCACATAAACCAGGAATTTTCTCTTTGCAACTTAAGACCAATTTTCAGGAATATGTAACTGCATGCACATGTGTGTATGAGAGAGAGAAAAGGCTATGAACACCTGTCAGGCCAAGAAGCAACAGTTATTAACAATAGCATATAGAGATCTATATTTTACTGTTACAATTTACCTTAATAACTTGTAACCAGTTGTTGAATTAATTTATCTTTTAGGATTCTGTTCGGTAAGACAGTGTTAAGAAAAACTTCAGGTTGAGGATGGGTGGCATTGGTATGTTTGTGTTTCAGGAACTGAAATATAGTAGTTTTTTAATAGCATAATGGGCACTGCCTAGGAAGGCCATAAACACCACAGGTGGGTGGCATAGTGAGATCATCTCCCCACAACTAAAAGAGAGGCTTGAGATAGAAATGTAGATAGCCCTTTGTATGTTAAGTAAGAAAAAAAATGCACATGGCAAGTACATTGCACTTAAGCAATTTAATTTTTAAAAGGCATCTTTCTAAGCTGCTCTTTAATGAACATATCTAGGCTTGACCGTTTCTAGATTTCTATTCCTATGAATCCTGTGAGGATTTCTAAGTTTAAAAAATTGTCACCTTTTGTCTTATTTCTTCTTTAATATATTTTGCAGTCTAATCATACTGGAGACCTTGACACTGGTTCTGCTTTGGTATTAACCATTGAAAGTACTCTCATCACTGCATGCTCTTCAGAGTCTCTGGTTAGCAAAGGGCATTTCAAAAACTTTTGTATCCGTTTTGCTGATGGATTTGAGACATCATGGGATGACTGGAAACCAGAAATTCATGGGGATTTAGTGATGAATGCCTGTGAGTATCTTTTATTTCTATATACAGTTTAGAACTTAAAAAATAAAACATTAAGTCTCCATTTGTGAAATTAAAAGATGCTTAGATATAGCAAATGTTTTTAGACTTTGAGAAAGAAGGGCTATTTCTAGTTACAGGTAACAAACCATATTCGTGAAAAACTACAGCATTGAGTAGTTTTGGTAAGTAAACCAACCAGGCATTCTTTTTGGTACTATAACATTTGAATGTTTACACAGTCCCTGATTTTTCCTGTAATTGATCCATGTTTGACCAGATAAAGCATTTTTGACCTGTCGGAATCTTGAAAAAAAATGATAAATGTGCAATATCCAACTCACCATAAAACACAGAACAGGTTGTAAATAGCCAGGACCAGGAACGCCAGCCTTAATTAATATTGACGTGAATAAATCCACATGTTCAAATTTGTAGGAGTGCAGAGTGTAACATGAATTCCTGCAATTCCATAATATTCAAGGTTGGGTATAACTAAAGCTGTGTTTATAGGCCGTATTGAAGATACGGAATTTATTTGTATATATTTTTATATTTTAAATATTATAGCAGAGTTGGTAAAGCATCATTAATCTTAATAATAAAGAAAAATTATAAATAAGGAGTTAAAAGGTTATGAACTAAAATTCCTCAATCTTGTAAACTAAATTACTTACTTTTTAGAAAGCGGTAGCCCATTGTTTATGTAATTTTTTCCTCTCTCCACTAGAGGGAAATCTTTCTACTTCCCATTTTCTTTGAGGAATGAGAAAATTTCTATTATTTTTACAAAAATTGAAGTTTTAGCATTCAAAATGAAAAAGTCTTGGTTTTAATGTGTAGGGAAGGAAAAATATCTTTTCCTACTACCCTTTTAGGCTATTTGCTGGGGGGCTTGTGTAATAAAAGACCAATTAATGAGAGAAAAGCATACAGGTTTATTTAATATGAGGTTTTTTTGTGACATGGAGCCTTCATAAGGAAATGAAGATCCAAAGAAATGGTTAAACCTGAGTATTTTTATGCTAGGTTTGATGAAGAGTAGAGAGTTGTAGAGCAATGTGAGAAAATAAAAAGGGGTATGAGTTAAGCGTAGTAAACTGGGGGAAACTAACCAAGGTCTGTTTGTTCAGATTCATCTCAGTGTCCCTCCACTTTGGAGATGAGGATGCTCCTTTCCTCTGGGTATAGGAAGGGCATCTCTCACATGTGGTTCATATGACCTACTTCAGAAGAAAGTCAAAGTCCTTCCTGCATCTGCTGCTTCTCAAATTGCTTCAGTTTAAAATACCTTCCATATGACAAGGTGCCATTTTAGAAGGCAGTGTGTACTAAACCCCATCAAATACTTTGCATTTAGATAATTATAGGTAAAATACCAGTACTTATTTGAAATACTTCAGGTTACTGAGAAGACTTGATATGGAAATACTCATGCCTATTATCCAAAAGACCAGTATCAGCCTACAACAGAAATCTTTATAGATTTATTATTTTACACAATAGTTATACATGGCTTTTTAAAAATCACTAAAACATATCTTTTGTTTTTTTAATAAAAGACAAAAATAAATTTAAACTTAGTGATTTTTATTAAGGTGACAGCTTTACCATCATTGTATTTATTAAAATAAGTAGAATATATTTGGAAAAAAAGGAAGTAAACCATTTCCTTAACAGTTTATCTTAAAGGGCAAATGCATAAGATATAAAATGAGAAATACGCTCTGACTCAGAATCAGAAACATGCATTAAAAAATGAACAAATAATTTAGCACCTCAGTATATATTCTGTTAATACAGAACACTAACATGCTGGTAATCATGATACTCAGAATAATTTATTTTGGGTTTTAGAGGGGACTAACTGACATGCTTCTGTAACATGCTTATTGTTTGGGTTTCTTGGGAGGGGGCCAGAAGGAGATAAGCAGAGTAGTTATGTAACTGACATATTTATAAAACTTCCAAATGATAAAATGGACAAATTAGTTTACTAGCTTATAGTTTTTATTAGTAATAAGTATACCTCAATATTTTTGAACAAAGGTGATGTGTATAGGGCAGAGAAATAAGGAATGTTAGGATTATGCCTTAGAATTTTTTTAACAGGTCATTTTTAAAACATACTCTAAAAAAAAAGTGACCCAGTAAAATTTCTTCTCTAGGTGATAATGTTTATTGAGAAATGCATTAGAAATTAACAAGGACAGTCTATAGGAAGAGTTCAAAGAACGATTTAAGTAGATAGTAAATATTAGGACAATATCATGAATGTGTATTCAGACAAAATAAACCATCAGAAGTTTAGATGTCTGCAAGCTCTCTGTAAAACCTAGGTAGCCTTTGGTCATCAGAGCAGAAAAATTACCATCCTGCATTCAGCCTAATGGTTGCTCCAAGTCATCATTCTGTCTGTGATACAGAAACCACAGGTATTATGGGGAAGAGACTAGTTGATTTCTTAGTCCTCATTTTCAGGATTCAGATCTACATCTAAAAATCGTAATATTCCTTATTAATTCATCGTGGCTCTATATTCTATGAGTTTATATATTCATCTTTTAAGCTTAATGTTTTTGTTGCTTTTTAGAGACAGAATCTTGCTCTGTTACCTAGGCTGGAGTGCAGTGGTGCCATCATAGCTCACTGCAGCCTTGAACTACTGAGCTCAAGCAATCCTCCCGCCTCAGCCCCCCAAGTAGCTGGGACCACAGGCACATGCCGCCATACCTGGCTAATTTTTAAATTTCCTGTATAGATGGAGTCTCACTATGTTGCCCAGGCTGGTCATGAACTCCTAGCCTCAAGTGATCTTGTGGCTTTGACCTCCCAAAGCACTGGGATTATAGGTGTGAGCCACCACACCTAGCCTTTAAGCTTAATTTTTAAAAATTCTCTACTACTCCTTGGGATAGGAAATCCTAAAAGTTTTCTTCTCCCTTTTTATTTACTAATTCTTCCTTTCACTTGGCCTCAGTTATGTTATTCAGATTTCAAAGGGTTTTCTTTTCATTCTAGCATTCTTGGATTTGAAAGGGTAATGTGGGTCTTATTGTTCAGATTTGTAACCATGACTACAAAGGTGAATTGGGTGATACTCCAAAATCAAATCTAGTTATTTCTTAATTAGAATTTGTATGTGAGACACAGGTACTATACAGTTCAAAGGTATAATTTAGATGTTAAACTTATTGGCAGTCTTTAAAAAAACATAATAACAAGTAGATCCTCTCTCACAAACTAAGTTGTAATATTTCTAAGTTGGAAAGATTTTTCCCTTTTGAAATTTTTCAAAGACAGAAATGTAATACCAAATTACCTAAAATATGAATAGTAAGCTCAAATTTAAGTAACATTTGAATACCAATTTAGGATTCTCAGAGTGAATTACAAAAGGACATTAAAGATATATGTACTCTGGAGTTTAAATTGATATTTAGTTTCTTCTAAGGATGACTGAGGAAGGTCTTAATTCTATGTTTAGAGTTTACTTTGTTTAAAAGTTGTTTCAACTTTTACTATGTAAAATTGTTGAATTTAATTAACATCTTTTTTGAAGCTGAAGTTACCAGATTAAAGCCAGTTGGTAGTAAATGTTTCAAAGTTAAAGTAGATATATTCTGGAGATAGGTCCATGATCTTGAGATTGACATCATAGCCTTCAGCCATTTTTTTTCTCATAAAATGTTCCATGTCAAAAGAGAAGGTAAGACTGATGAATCATGTGTCTGACCTAATGTGGCAGCTCTTAGTTACCAAAATTCTATTTTAAGTCATTTGCATTCTCAAAGTGCCATTCATTTATGATAACAAATTGTCACAGCATCCTGGATATTAGTAGATAAGCCATCTAGAGTGTCAGAGTTGGCCAGGTGTTGTCACTCAAATAAGGAAATCACATGCAGAAAGTAAAGCTAAAACTGCAGTTAAATTATTTAAATCATAGAATAAAATATTGTGAAATATTTTATTTCACAATAAGAATCGATCTTATGAGTCATTAAGATAGCCCTTTCATTCCAAAGATTAAGAACTAAAATCTAGGAAGGATAGTAATCCTCTTTGTATTTAGACAATAATCTTGTGTGAAAAATTAAAGAGTACAATATATAGTCACAAATGTATTTTTATTGAAAACTATTTTTGGGGTGATTTTTGTACAGGTGTAGTTCCAGATGGCACCTATGAAGTATGTTCAAGAACTACAGGACAAGCAGCAGCTGGTAGGTTCACATGCAGCATTATTTTATGTTAGATAGAATTCTGCCTTTATTTTAATGGCAAGAGAATCTTTTGGCTAAGCTAATTCTGGTGTTCACTAATTTAAAAAAAAACTATTTTGTATTAGAACATTTGTATTTATTTAACAATTATTAATCAGACACCTACTGTGTGTTTATATATATATATATAAATATATACATATATATATACTACAAGATGTTTTAGAAAAGATTAAAATGAATAAGATATACTTTCTATCCTTCATACTTTTAAATTTTTACAATGTAGTTAAGGCACATGTACAAAATTACATTGAAATATGTGATATGTACAATAAAACATAAAATTCCGGTTGCTATTGAAATGTATAAAAAGAAGAGAATATTTTCAAATATGGGAGAATACTGGGATCAGAGAAAACTTCATGGAGGGACAAACATTTAAACAAGCACTCAAAGGACAGGATAAATCTTTCTTAAGCAAAAACTGGGAGATGTGGGCCAGGGAAAATTCAGGCAGAGAGAATAATGTAACATGAATCATGATGTTAAAGCGCAGTATTCAGATTTGTCCAATTTAGCTAGAATAGAGTTATATAAAAAAAAAGATGGAAAAATGTTAAATGCCAAATTAAGGAGTTTGATTTGGTGGGTAGTGAGTAGGCTAGCCATTGAATGTTTCTGAACAAGAAGGCAAATGACGACACTATCAAAGGAACACTTTCAAAGATTAGAGGGCAAAAAAGCCTAGGAAATCAGTTAGGAGGTAACTATGAAAGTGGTAATTGACTAAGATGATAGCACAATATAAATTTTTATTGTTTTGCTTGTTATAAAATTGGACAGGGACAGGGTGAGCTACAGAGATACTTATTTAAGGGCTCTTAAAATGTTGAGAGAGGTAGAAATTGATTAAGGTTAGTAGATTGCCAGTCTCTCCTTACCATTCTGTTTTCCTCCCCAAGCCTAGCCTTAGTGCTCATCCTAAGTTACCTTAGAAAGCACCAAGGCCTAGAGTCTGACAAAGAACTGGAAAAGTTAGAGAATTTTCAACTGAGGTCACAAATAAATCTTCGTCAGGACTTTTAAGTGACAACAACCCACTTAGACTAGATTAACCAAAAGGGGATGCTTATTAAAAGGATATTTTCAGACTACAGTTAAACTTAGGAATGGTTATTTCAGGGAAGAGAAGGAACCAGGTCAATTCAGGAGCCCTTAGGAACTACTAGAACCAAGATCCCAACTGTCACCAAGACTCTTTGTAGCTCTTGTCTTTGCTTCTTTGCTCCCCTCTTGGCTACTTGTTTTTCTTCTTCTTCTAACTTGTAACCTCTTTCTTATACATGGCAAGAAACACAGTGGAGTCTCGTTTCTCCACCCTCAGTCATTAGAGAACGACCAACCTTTCCTCAAGTCCAGGCAAAATATCTTATTTTTCCAACTTTGACCTTCACCTGGACCAATTAACCTAATTAATTCTGTCTAATGAGCTAAGGTCATGGCAATTCCTACTGTAGCTATAGGATGGTGGATCAACTTGGGGTCAGGGAGTGAACCTGTAGTTCATAGGGAAAAAGAAAATAGGTGCTATACAGAGGAAACAGTAGATGCACACTGTACACATAGAGAAATCAATCCTGTAGTCTGATGTTTCTGACAAGTTTAGCAGTGAAAGACATTAGTTATTATATGTGGCCATTATTACTTTGTAAAGTTATTTCAATTTCTATACCCAGGACTTAACAAAAATGCAACTTCTTTATTTAAACAGAAAGCAGTAGTGCTGGAACCTGGACACTCAACGTATTGTGGAAAATGTGTGGGATTGATGTTCACATGGATCCTAACATTGGCAAAAGGCTTAATGCTCTGGGCAATACTCTTACAACACTGACAGGAGAGGAAGACATAGATGACATTGCTGACTTAAATTCAGTGAACATAGCTGACCTGTCAGATGAGGATGAAGTTGATACTATGTCTCCCACTATCCATACTGTAAGTAAACTCACTGTTAGAATTTTTCAGGATTGGCTTTTACCCTGAGACAGGGATATTTTTTGTTCAGTGTTATTTAGTATATTATAGTTGCTATTTGTGGAGGAAGAGAAGGGAATGGTGGTTCACTGTGTCTACATTTCATAATACTGTCTTTTAATCGAGTTCTGTGCTACATGTTGACTGTCATCCAACTTGTGCTTTAACCTATAGGTAAAATAATAATATTAAAACTGAAATGAGTAGGGAGTGGGGCAGGGTGGGGAATGGGAAGAAATTGCTAACAGGTATGAGGTTTCTGAGTGATGAAAATATTCCCAACTAAGATTTTAATGATGGTTGTACAACTTTGTGAATATACTAAATGGGTGAGTTTTATGGTACGTGAGTTATATCTCAATAAAGATGTTCAAGATGAATTTCAAAGCAAAGTGCATATACAAAATGAAATGATACATTTTAAAAATACGTATTTTCATCTATACTATACACTCTGTAGTTTCAAGTTATTTTGTGGCAAAAAGAAACTTATTCTTTGATTTCATTCTGGTATTGATTTTTAAAAATTATTTTCAATATCTTTTAACTATTATACCATGAAATAGTTTTGTTCTTGGGAAGAAATTTTTTTAAATTTAATATTACTGTTTATTACTTAGAGTTCAGATGGAAGTTCAATAAGTGGAGATGGCCACAAACTCACCTTTGGGCAGCGACTTGTAAATCACCTACTAGGCCTGACACCCCCAAATCAGCGCCATTCTGTTCCTGCAGAGTATCTGTGTGACCCAGAGATGTGGGGCTCCCCTCAGTCTAGCCAGTCCCATTTGAAAGCATGCAGAGCACACTCATGGGGAAACGTAGGTAGCAACTAAATAGATTCCTTATGAAATTGAAGGGATTTAAATCAATGGAGAATTCCAACCTTAATATAGATGGTTTTGATTCTTGCATGCTTTGATTTAAGGTGTTAATTTTGTGATAGTATAGATTTGCTGTGTGACTTGAGGGTGGTATTGACAGATACACTTTTGACTTTTCAGGAAGCCACAGATTATCGAAGACAGGCAGCATCTGCTAGCCAGCCGGGAGAACTTAGAGGAAGAAAAATTATGAAGCGTATAGTGGATATCAGAGAACTGAATGAACAGGCCAAAGTAATAGATGATCTGAAGTATGTACAATGATTTTTAATTTAATATAATGTTCCCTAATTTTAGAATCATAAGATGTTAAAAGTGGAAGAAACTGTATTTGGTCTAATACAAACTCTTTAGTTTATCTGTGATATCACCAGGGTCCAGAGTTGTTTAATAATTTGGTCAAGATTATACACTCATTAGTGATAAAGTTAGGCATGAGGCTGGGCATGGTGGCTGATGCCTGTAATCCCAGCACTTTGGGAGGCCGAGGCAGGTGGGTCACCTGAGGTCAGGAGTTCAAGACCAGCCTGGGTGACATGGTGAAACCCTGTCTCTACTAAAAATACAAAAATTAGCTGGGCGTGGTGGTACATGCCTATAATCCCTGCTACTCGGGAGGCTGAGGCAGGAGAATCGCTTGAGCCCGGGAGGAGGAGGTTGCAGTGAGCCAAGATTGCGCCATTGCACTCCAGCCTGGGTGACACAGCGAGACTCCATCTCCAAAAAAAAAAAAGGCATGAAATCCTAGTGTCCTAGTGTTTTTCACAACTTATTTCTGAGCACTTTATGACTGATGGTTTATATCACATATATGTATCTTTACATGTGTATTTACTCTTATATGTATCTTCACAGGCATATATAAATAAATCCATTAATCTTTATCTGTTGCCTGCTGGATATTACTAAGTAATACTTCTTCTATTACAGTAAATATTCTTGTTGCTAAACTTCGCAATTTTATTTTCCCAAAAGGTAATGGTCATGCCTCATCTTTTCTAATCTGCATATACTTGTACTGGTGCTTTTTTTTTTTTTAAACAATCAAGGACCTTACACAACTATATGCATTTTGTATAGCAAAATGTATTGTCTGAAACTTGTCTGTAAGTTATCATGCAGTGATTCACATTTTCCTGTTGACTTACATTACAATTTGAGTTTTGGTCTCAGGGGAAAAAATGACTTGAAGCAAAATATACCTTTCCTCCAAAATCGTACCCAAGGCTTATATTATATGTAGAATTTTACATCCAGACATTTTTTTTGCAGAGTGGGTCTATGGTTTTCATGAGATTGCCAAAGAGACTCTTGATGCAGCAATGGATAAGACACATTTCCTCAAACATTAGAGAGAGATGTTTTTTGTTTTCTTAACAGTTCGCCAAATATGAGTGTTAAGCTTATTGAGGGTTTTGGCTTGTCTGTATATAATCATCTTTGGTATTCTGACAAGAATTAAAAAGGAGCAAGTAAAAAATCAGTCTTACTTTGTTATTTATTTACAATAATTGCCATATTTGTTTTGCATCCAGAAAATTAGGTGCAAGTGAAGGAACCATAAACCAGGAAATTCAACGTTACCAACAGTTAGAATCTGTGGCTGTGAATGACATTAGAAGAGATGTTCGTAAAAAATTACGGAGGTCCAGTATGCGGGTGAGTTCTCTTTTTTCTTTCAATGCTGGTGACAAAACCACCTGACTTTTTCCTATCATATCTACTGCGTACCAGGTACCATCTAAAGCACGTTACATGTAATCACCCATTAAATCCTAACAACAAACTTAGGAGGTAGCTTGTGTTATTTTCCTATTTTAACGATGAAGAAACTGAGACACAGGTCAAGTAATTTGACCAAAGTTATACAGCTAGTAATCCTGGGGAAGACAATAGTCAAACCTAGGTTGTAGGACTCGATAGTCTATGCCCTTAGACACTGTGTTTTGTCTGTTTTTCATGAAATCACTCTTCTTTTTAGTCTCTAATGTGAACTCTGCAAAAAATGTGAAAAATTTTAAGATGTCTGTTCTTCACCTATCCCATTCTCCCAGGTCAGAATTTACCTGTCAGCTACTGTGCATTGTAATGCACTTTATAATCTTTATTTTTTGCAGGTTTAGTCGGTCCCATTAGAGTTTGAGTCTAGGAGTAGAAAACTTTTTTTAAAAACCATTTTGCCCTTTTGTTGCTTCATTTTTTAAATTAAAGGTAACTTGTTAAGAGTTATCGATTCACAAGTGTACCCACCTGGGCCTGCTGCTTTTTGTTTTGTAAAGTTATTAATCCAGTCCTTTAATAAATGCAGGCCTATTTGGATTGTCTTTTTCGTCTCTCCATTTTAGAAAATTGTATGTTTCAAGGAATCGGTCTATTTCATCTAGGTGATCAAATCTGTGGGCATAGATTTGTTCACTGTATTCCTGTATTCTTTAAATAGCCATAGGGTCTGTTGTTGTATACCCTCCTTTATTGCTGATGTTAGTAATTTGTGTCTTTCTTTTTTTCTTAGTTGTCCTGGCTAGAGGCTTATCAATTTTATTGATCTTTTCAAAGAACCAGCTTTGGTTTTGTTGATTTTTCTCTATTGATTTCCTGTTTGTTTTATTTCTTCTCTAATTTTTATTATTACTTTTCTTATGCTTAATTTGGATTTAATTTGCCCTTTTTTTTCTAGTTTTCTAAGATAGAAGTTTAGATAATTGATTTTAGATCTTTTCTGATGTATGCATTCAGTTCTATAAATTATCCTCTAAGCACTGCTTTTGCTGTGTCGCACTAATTTTGATAAGTGTGTTTTGATTTTCTTTTATATTTTAAAATTTCTCTTTAGATTTTTTTCTTCAACTCATGTTCAGGTATCTTTCTGTTGTTGATTTCTGGTTAAATTCCACTGTGGTCTAAGAGCAGACATTTTATGATTTATAATTTTTTTTTTTTTTTTTTTTGACACAGAGTCTCGCTCTGTTGCCCAGATTGGAGTGAAGTGGTGTGATCTTGGTGTACTGCAACCACCACCTCCCGGGTTCAAGCAGTTCTCTCCCTCAGCCTCCCAAGTAGCTGGGATTACAGGCACCCACCACCATACCTGGCTAATTTTTGTATTTTTAGTAGAGACGGGGTTTCACCATCTTGGCCAGGCTGGTCTTGAATGTCTTACCTCGTGATCCACCCGCCTTGGCCTCCCAAAATGCTGGGATTACAGGTGTGAGCCACCATGCCTGGCCATGATTTATAATTTTTAAAAATGTGTTAAGTTATGCTTTTTGGTCCAGAATGTGGTCTCTCTTGGTGAAAGTTCCACGTGAGCTTGAGAAGAATGTGTTATTATGATGTTGTTAGATGAAGTTGTCTGTAGGTGTTGATTATATCCAATTGACTGATGATATGTTGAGTTCAACTATGTCCTTATTGATTTTTTTGTGTGCTAGATATGTCCATTTCTGATAAAGGGTTATTGAGTCTCAAACTGTAATAGTGGATTCATCTGTTTCTCCTTGCATTTCTCTTAGTTTGGGCCTCACATAGTTTGACACTCAGTTGTTTTGTTTTTAAGAAATAGGGTTTCACTCTGTTGCACAGGCTGGAGTGCAGTGGTGCAATCATAGCTCATTACAACCTCAAATTCCTGGGCTCAAGCAATCCTCCTGCTTCAGCCTCCCAAGTAGCTGGGACCACAGCACATGACACCATGCCTGGCAGGATTTTAAAACATTTTTTGTGGGGACAGGGTCTTGCTATGTTGCCCAGGCTGGTCTCAAACTCCTGGCCTCAGGCAATCCTCCTGCTTTCGACTCTCAAAGCACTAGGATTACAGGTGTGAGCCACCATGCTCAGCCCACTTTGTTGTTAGGCATGTACACATTAGGGATTGTTATTTGTTCTTGAAGACTAGACCCCTTTATCATTTCATAATGCTCTTCTTTTTCTTTATACCTGATAATTTTCTTTGCTTTGAAATCTGCTCTGTCTGAAATTAATATAGCTATCCCTGCTTTCTTTTAATTAGTGATAGGATGGTATATTTTTCTCAATCTGTATACTTTTAATCTATGTGTCTTTAAATATATATGCTTAAATATGTATATATAAGTGGGTTTCTTGTAGCAACACATTGTCAGATCTTTTTTAATCCACTCTGACAGTCTGTCTTTTAAGATCATTTTACACCACTGACATTTAAAGTGATTAATGATAGCTTTGAATTAATATCTACTGTATTTGTTACTATTTTCTACTTTTTGCCTTTTCTCTTTGTTCCTGTCTTTGTCTTCTCGTTTTTCTGCCTTTTGTGGTTTTAATTGAGCCATTTATATAATCTCATTTTCTGTTTTTTCTTAGCATATCAGTTACACTTCTTTTTTTACTTTTTCTTTTCTTTTTTTTTTTTTTTTAGTGGTTGCCCTAGAGACTGCAGTCTACAGATTCTTCTCGGCTTATGATTGGGTTACATCCCAATAAACCCATAAGTTGAAAAGTCAAAATGACTTATGATATCTTCAACTTATGACAGGTTTATCCAGCTTGAACCCCATCATAAGTTGAGGACTGTACTGAATGTTACCTCTTTTGTGCCATCATAAAGTCAAAAAATCGTAAGTCAAACCATTATGAGTCAAGGACCATCTGTACACGTATAATTAATCCAAGTCTACTTTCAGTAACACTATACCACTTTATGGGCAGTGGGAGTACCTTAAAACAAAATAATCATAATCCCTCCCTCCTGTCTCTTGTATCATTACTGTCATTCATTTCTCTTATATTTAAGCATATATAAGCATATACATAAATGCGTGTGCACATATATACACACACATATATACACATGCACACACATTTATACATACATGTGCACATATACATGCGATTTATATATAGTCATACATTATTGGTATTAAATGTGTGCATGTGTATATATGTGTGTGTATATATACACACACTCACACACATGTGATATATATAGTCAAATACATTATTGGTATTATTTTGAACAAACTTACCTGTTAGGTCGATTATGAATAAGATAAAGGTTTTACCTTCATTTCTTCTTTAATGCTCTTCCTTTTTTAAATAGAGATCTATATCATTTTCCTTCTCTCTATAAAACTTCTTTTAACATTGCTTGCAAGGCAGGTCTGCTGGCAACAAATTCCCTCAATTTTTGTGTCTGAGAAAGTCTTCACTTTTCAAGAATAATTTTGCAAGGTATATGATTCTAGGTTGTTGGGTTGTTTTTTTCCTCTCAACACTTTAAATATTTTACTCCACTGCCTTCTACCTGGCATAGTTTCTGAGGAAAAAGTCAGGCTTTTTTCATTATCTTTTTTTTTTTTTTGTAGTTTGATAATGATATAACTACATGTAATTTTTTTTTTTTTTTTTTTTTTTTTTTTTTTTTTTTGGCATTTATCCTGCTTGGTGTTCTTTGAGCTTCCTCTATCTGTGGTTTGGCATCTGACAACAATTTGAGAAAACTCTCAGTCATTATTGGTTCAGATATTTCTTCTATTCCTTTCTCTTTCTCTTTTCTTTCTGGTATTCCATTACACATACTTACACATTTTGTAGTTGTCCCACAGTCCTTAGATATACTGTTTTGTTTTGTTTTTTTAGTCTCTGTTCTGCTTTTCACTTTTTGCAGTTCCTATTGATATATCCTCAAGTTCAAATATCCTTTCCTCAGCCATGTCCAGTCTACTAATAAGTTCATCAAAGTAATTCATTTCTGTCACAGTGTTTTTGATTGCTAGCATTTCTTTCTGGTTCTTAGAATTGTCATCTTTCAACTTACAGTGTCCAGCTGATCTTGCATGCTGTCCACTTTATGTTAGAGCCCTTGGCATAGTAATCATAGTTGGTTTAAATTTCTAGTCTGATAATTCCAACATCCCTTCTATGAGGTTCTGATGCTTGTTCTGTCTCTTTAGATTGTGTTTTTTGCTATTTGATATGCCTTGTAATTTTTTATTGATAGCCAGACATGATTTACCAAGTAAAAAGAGCTGCTGTAAAGAAGCTTTAGTGAGGTAATGTTAAGGTGTCAGGGTAAGAGAAGCATTTTATCGTCTTTTAATGAGCCTATGCCTCTGAACTGTGAACTTCATGTTTGTCAGTTTTTTCCTCCCAACTTAGATGGACCAGTATGGATAGAACTGACTGCATTGGTATTGTATTTCCCTTCCCCAGGTCAGTTATACTCTGATAATATTCCCACTGGTTAGGCTCTGGTTAGCTAATTTCTCCTAAGGGCATTTTTTCTTATTCAGAAAAAGAAAGTACTCTTAGTGTTTTTTCAAAATGTTTCCTTTTCCCTTCCCCGTGTTGGAAGCCTAGGGGACTTTTCTCCTGAGGGGATTTTTTTCCCCTGACATTTTCTGTGGGAACCTGGTGGAACTACTGAAAGGCGATCTCACAATATTGCAGGGGCACCGGTGACTGGGTCCCCCTGGAGTTTTTAACTCTCAGACTTGTCTGCACTGAACCTTCCAGCAATTCTTCAATTACAGTTCAGGTGTTCCTACCCCAGTGTTGGTTCCTGCAGCAGTTTTTACTTGTGCATCTCTGTCCTGGTAAGCTGTAACTCACTGTATTTACTGGTCTCTTTCTCCAATGTGAGGGGCAGAAGTTGTCCTTCCTTGTCGCCTTTCTTACAGCTCCAAGAACAGCTGTTGATTCTTAAGTTTGTTCAGCTTTTTACTTCTTGTTAGGATGGAATGGTGACTTCCAAACTCCTTACATGTGAAACTGAAAACAAAGTCTAAAAACCACTTAAAAGGAAAAAAAAAGTAATTGGTTTTAAAATTTTTTAAACCAACAGAGAACCCTCTTTTTTTTTTTTTTTAACCAGGATGAGATTTTTAGGTGGTACCCCAACACATGAAAAACATATTAAATCAGAGCTGCAGGTGTCAAAGGAAAGGGGAAAGTTTGATGCAGGGTTCCAGGAGCTATTGGCTTGACCTGCCCTTCCTTGATCACTTCTTAACTCCCAGAGAATATAGTTTGAATACTGCTCTCCAATTTATTTGTCACTAGTCTCTGATAGTAATAATGGATAGTGAGATCTGTAACATGTAATTTTATATTTTAAATTTTTGCTGTCTACACAACAGTCATACAATATAATTAAAATATTACTTGTGTCCTGTTACAAGTCATATTTGGTAATTGACTGTTAAAAATAAAACTAGATAGAATTAGGGAAGTTGTTAAAACATCTGCATTCTTAACACATCTCATTCCACATATTCCCCTCAATTCCCATTATCCATCTTAGACTCCAAAACTCCACTGTATTAAAATCTTTTAACTATCTAGCACCATCACGAGTTTCTAGAAGAGGGACTTAGAGACAGGGAGAGTGTTAAGTCATTAACACTCTTACTTTCCTTTGTTGTAATGAAGAGTCCTACAAACGGGATGCCCTTGGAGAAAAGTGATCTTTTGTCTCCACTGCCCCGAACTTAGCTTTCTCCCAAAACTTTAATTCTCAGTTTCTTTCTCCATTCTTAATTTTAAAATCATTTCCTTTCTTCTCACCATGTTTCTGTACCCTCATCCCTACCCCCAAACTTTCTCTTTTCTTCTTTTTTCTCAGGTCAGCTGGTGGCTCCTGTTTTCATTGCGCCTCCTAATTGGTGTTAGAACCAAAGAATAGCTGATTCCTCCTCTATTTTGACTCATATTGTTAAGTAACATTAAAGTCCCCTGGGGAAAACAACTTATTTAATAGTAGAATATTTTCTTTTATTTGAAGTCAAATACAGTAAATAATCACCTATAGTCACCCTTTTTTCTCTCCCATTTTGTTAGGCTGCTTCCCTAAAGGATAAGTGGGGTTTGAGTTACAAACCAAGTTACAGCCGATCAAAAAGCATTTCTGCTTCTGGAAGACCACCTCTTAAGCGAATGGAAAGGGCAAGGTAATATATATTTCAGCCATTGAAACAAGTAATAAAATTGTTGACTCTTTTACCAAGGTCAACTACTTTTTTATGTTCTAATTATAAAATTAAGATAACAAAAATTAATTTTATTAGTAAAATAGCAATAACAGTGGATACTATCAAACTCAGAAGTTTATTTAAGGAATCTCTCATCACATTTATAACCACAATGCGGTAAGTGCTTTTTAGTAATGAAGTACGCTGCTATTTAGACAAGTTTCTGTTTTATTTACATAAAACTGTGGTTTAGAAGGATAGACAAGTTTTATGCGTAAACTTATAGATTATCCAAAGAAATTAAAAGGTGCATACTAGTAGCTACTGCTCTAGATTTGTCAGTTTAGAAAAGGTATAGTCACACAGACATTTAGCATATGAAAAAATGGAAATTTTACATTTTATTGAAGTGAATACAGTTTTAATAGTAAATCAGCACTATAACGTAAGAAGTATAAATTCTTTTTATATGATTTAGTTTTAGAAAAATCTTGAGTTAACCAAAACATTGACTCTTTTTTATGGGATGCTAAAGGTTAAGAGAAAGTTCAATCCTTTGATTAGGTAAATACTTACAAATAAAATGTCATTGCCATTAATCAGACTTTTATAAAGTCCAGGAATTTTTTTAATGAGAATATTGGTGTTTTATAACTTTATATTTACTTGCAGTTCTCGAGTAGGAGAAACTGAAGAGCTCCCAGAAATCCGTGTGGATGCAGCATCTCCTGGACCTAGAGTAACTTTTAATATCCAGGATACAGTAAGAGATATATAATTTGTTAGAGATATACATTGCTAAGTAGTTTTTACAAATTACAAAATTATGGTATTATACTATTTCAAAATACTGATTTCTTACTATAATCAAAGTATGGATTGTGATGACTGAACTGTGCATATTACCAAGTAGTGGGCACTGCCCTTATAACATTTTCTGAGAGCCATGAAGCAGGTGTTAGTATTTTACATTTTACATGCACAATAAAGGCTCCATAACTGCTTTCTCTTAAGTAGAAAGGTTTTTGTTGAATAATTTTTCTTTCAAGTGAGAATCCATATTAAACTACATCTTACACAAATGTAAACGTGGAATATTGATACTCATTTATGTATTTTATTTATAGATAGCAGAAATTAGAAGGAAGAAGATCAGCTTCAAAGTTGTATTCTAATTTCATAGCATATTAAACATTATATTAAAATGTTTATTTTGTTTTTTGTGTATTTACTTTTAAGTCATTGTTATTTTTCATGAGTTTTTTTTTTTTTTACTTTTCTCATTATTTTAATTAAGTTGAAAAATACAGTATGGGGAAGTACACCACAATCCAGCTGTCCTGGGGAAGGGTATTTTCAGGTACTTACTAAGAACAATATAAATTTTGCTTTAAAACTAATCAACCACACTGAAAATCTACTTTCAAAATATCTTCCTCTCATTTCAAACTTAACTTAGACCTCAGAAATATTTTACATAATGGTTTAAGACTGTTTGAATCTCATAACCTCTTGCATGCATTTGTCTTGGTTTTTACTTCTGTGTAGTTTAATACTATTAAAGACTAAATCAGCTAATCAAATCAATTCAACCAAATCATAAAAAAAACTACAATTTATTATTTCCTAATCCCTAAGTGAAGCAGTTTTTCCTTATATTCAACTACAAAATGAATTTTTTCATAAACAAAGATCAGTTCAAACTAGAATTAAATTTAATTCAGAACAAACATTAATAATTGAACATTCTTTTGAGTCACTGGTGTAAAAGAACATTTATGAAACTATCCATTTTTTAAATTATTCTCTTGTTCAAAACAATGTGGAAGAATGAATAGATCTTTTTTGTCAAGGTACATTTAAAAATTAGCACTTATCCAAATATATTTTGTTTCCCTTTTGTCACTCTCTTCAAGCTTGAGTCTCAACATGTATCTCATACTGAATTTAGTCAAACTGGATTTTTTAAAGAACTATTTAATTGTAATGTAGTGAGCTTGTTCTTTTTTTATGAAGAAAACTTGGAAAGAAAGAATTTACACGAATGGAGTGGGTTCTGCTAACTAGATGATTCTCAAAGGGATTAATATTTGAAGTGATTCAATTCAAGTCCCATTTTAAATTAGCCATGTACTGCTTGTAAAAAAATGGTATATAAAAAATCATGAATTATATAATAGCTATGAGATTAAATATTAGATTTTTCTAATCATAAATTAGAAAATAATTAAAGCATGGTTAAATATAAAGTAAATATGAAACAAATATTTATTGTCTCTTACCAAAGTTTTAAAAATTGGCTGTTCTAACAGTCTAATTTACTTGTTAACTCAGTAACATGTATACTATATAAAATGAAGAACACCTGGATTTGAAATTTTCAATGTAGGACTTAACTGTATATGGAATAGCAGCATCCAGTAGTTTTAATAACAAATTGCACATAAATTACCTTGCACATTAAACTTTATAAAGGCTTATTACTGCTCAAGTAACTCTGTGACTCTGTGAAGCTGGGCATCAAAATTAGGTCATAGGGGGGTGTTTTGTTTTGTTTTGTTTTGTTTTGTTTTGTTTGACCTATTTAAATGCAGTGGCCTCCTGGTGAAATCCTGAGTTAGTGACATGGTGTTTATACAAACTGTAGTCATCTCTCAATATCTGTGGGGGATTGGTTCTAGGACCCCCATGCATACCAATATCCACAAATACTCGAGTCCCTTTTATAAATGGTGCAATATTTGCACATAACCTACATACATCCTCCCATATACATTAAATCATCTCTAGATTACTTATAATGCCTAGTAGTACACTTCAAATGCTATTGTAAACAGTTGTTAAATCTTTTATATGTATTATTTTTTATTGTACTATTATTTTTATTTTTCCCCCAATATTTTCCATCTGCACTTGATTGAATCTGTAGGTGTTTACAGAGAGCCGGCTGTATTTACCTTAAAATACAGCATTCTTCAGTTTGATTGATACATGTTTTATTACTCGGCTATTTGCACATTTTTCTTTAACTCATGTGGGGCTCATTTTTAAAAGATCCACAAAAAGCATCCACAAAAAAGCATCTACTAGCTTTTAAAAGATCCACAAAAAGCATCTACTAGCATTTAAAAGATCCACAAAAAGCATCTACTAGCATGATGAGAAAACAATAAACTTTGTACTGATACTGCATGCTCTTCCATCACTAATTGCTCTTGCCATTCTGATTTAATCATGTTTCTTTTGCTTCCACATGTTTAACTTCTGCTTTAAAGAATTACAGTGTTATTGATACAGTAATATATGTTTATATTAAGTAAAATTTCATTCTGATTTTTAGTATGTCAGTAGTGTAACTTTCTGTGGTTGGCCCTTTTGCTTCCTTCCTTGGTGTACTATTTCATATGTTCATGAATCTGACCTTTCTTTCAGTTCAGAGTGAAGAAATTCAACTCTGAGATAATTTTTAAATGTTTAAATTTATATATTTTTTCTTTTTTTAATTGAAATATGAATCTGATTCATGTTTTTTCTTTTTACAATCAGTTTCCAGAGGAGACAGAACTGGACCTTTTGTCAGTAACCATTGAAGGTCCATCCCATTATTCATCAAATAGTGAAGGATCATGTTCTGTGTTCAGTTCTCCCAAAACTCCAGGAGGCTTTTCACCAGGCATTCCTTTCCAAACTGAAGAGGGCCGACGGGATGACAGTTTGTCTTCTACCAGTGAAGATTCCGAGAAGGATGAAAAAGATGAAGACCATGAGAGGGAAAGGTTTTATATTTACAGGAAACCCTCGTGAGTAACCTTATTTTAAGATCATAATGTAGTATTTCAGAATCTAGAAATGAGCACAAAATGTTATATATAACTCAGCTTTTACAAAAAACATTTTTAATGTGCCTCGCTTGAGTGAGACTAACAGACTCATTAAAATAAAATTTATTTTAATAAAATTTATCACATGGTTTATTGTGATGTAGCTCCATATAACATTATTTTTTAAATTTAAATTTTTTTTTCATGTCACCTAAGTTTAATTATCTAAAATAAAATGGAAATAAAGATGTGGTTACGAGTAAATTAAAGGAGAGGGCTGTATTCCTGTGGCATTACATTAACAGATTGCAGCAAGGAGATATGTAATAGTGAAGGCTAGTTAAGAAAAGTAGTAAAGGGAAATGGTTAGCAATGGATGAAAGACTTAAGCAAATTCTTAGAAGAAAGAAATAACATGAAATGGTGTTAATGAAATAAATGACATATGTGAAACTTTGCTCTGAATATGCCCTCAAGAGGAGCGGCAAGGATCTTTGGAACTGGTCTATTTAAACCGCCCTCAAGTGAGGTTGTGACAATAATAGTAAGAGTTTCTAATAATGGTAATAAATAATGAGAAATTGGCTTAGCACAAGAGTGTAACCAAAAGCTGATCTATAAGAAACTCTCTGTCTTCAATCTTCTACATTTTGAGTTTTAGGGATTCTTTCCTCCCTTTCCTAGACTGAAGCCACTGACTGCTGAATCCCATACATCAGCATATTTGGTTTTATTCCTTCATTTTTCTGGAGTACATTCTCAAATAACTTACTATGAAAAGTTATTATTGCAGATCTACTTCATTTTCTTCATGTCTAAAGTAGCTTTACTATTTTTGTGTTTATTATTGAGTTGGGAACAGAATTCTAGTCTAATATGTATTTCTTCTCCTAAGTAAGAAAAACTGTTCTGTTATCTTCCAGCATCCATATTCGGCATATGCTGGTTATCTTTTTCAGTTCTGTCAATGTGACTTAAGTTTTTTTGATATTTTATATCTGTTTTCTTCCTGGACATTTTTAGAATCTTGTCATTATATTTAATTTCATGGTGGTCCAAGTTTGCGTCTTTTCTAACAATTTTTCTAGGTATTTTGGTATTTCTTAGAATATAAATTTGGTTATAGGAAATATTACTTTATAGTTGTGTGGATAAATTCTTCCCTTTTTTTTTTGTTTTGTCTTAACAGTAATCGGACATTTGCCTTCCTGGACAGATGATCTATATCTCTTTACTTTTTATGTTTTACGTTGCCTTCGTAAAAACTATTTTGTCAGTTTTATTGAGATATAATTTACATTAGTGTAACCATATTTTCCAGATATACAATTTGATAAGTTCTTTAAATATTTTATTTTGGTAAGATCACTTAGCATGAGATCTACCCTCTTAACACCTTTTTAAGTGTGCCATACAACAGTGTTATCTGTAGGCACAATCTCTAGAACTTATTAATCTTGCGTAACTAAAACTTTATACATGATTGATTAGCAACGGCCAACCTCCCCCAGACCCTTAACCCCTGACAACCACCATTCTATTCTCTACTTCTATGAGTTGGACAATTTTAGATACCTCATGTAAGTGGAATCATGCAGTATTTGTCCTTCTGTATCTGGCATACTTCATGTAGCATAATGTCCTCAAGTTCATACATGTTGTCACATAGTGCAGCATTTCCGTCTTTTTTTTAAGGCTGATAAAATTCCATTGTATGTATGCACCACATTTTTTAATTCATTTGTCTGTCAATGGACATTTTAGGTTGTTTCTACATCTTGGCTGTTGTGAAAAATGCTGCAGTGAACTTGGGAGTGCTAATATCTCTTTGAGATCCCGATTTCAATTCTTTTGGATAAATACCCAGAAGTGGGATCTCTGGATCATGTTGTAGTTCTACTGTAATCTCTTGAGGAATCTCCATACTATTTTCCCTAGCAGCTGCTCTGTTTTGCATTCCTACCAAAATATGCAAGGATTCTGTTTTCTCCATGTCCTTGCCAACACACTTGTTTTTGCTTTTTGTTTAAATAATAGTCATGTTACCAGGTATGAAGTCATATTTCATTGTGGTTTTGGTTTGCATTTCCTTGATGACTGGTAATATTGAACACCTTTTCAATATACTTGTTGGCTGATTCTTTGGAGAAATGTGTACTTAAGTTCTTAGCCAATTATTAAAATCGGATTTTTCTGGTTTCTGAATGCTAGGATTTTGTTACATACTTTGGGAATTACTCCCTTGTCAGATATATGGTTACAAATATTTTCTCCCATTCCATGGGTTGCCTTTTCACCCTATTGTTTCCATTGCTTTGCAGAAGCTTTTTTAGTTTGATGTTGTCCCACTTGTCTTTTTTTACTTTTGTTGTCTGTGCTTTTGGTGTCAGGAAATCATTGCCAAGACCAGTGTTATGAAGCCTTTTCCCTATGTTTTCTTCTAAGAGTTTAACAGTTTCAGGTGTTAAGTCTTTAATCCATTTTGAGTTGATTTTTTTGTATGGTATAACATAAGGGTTCAATTTCATTTTTTTTGATGTGGATATCCAGTTTTTCCGGCACCATTTGTTAAAGATCACATGGCATTATTTTTCTTTCCTTGTTGTTCTGTCTTTAATAAAATCTGGAAAGTAACATTTAAATGTTATAATTTGAGAAAATGAAATATTTTCCAACATACACAGTATATTTTATATACTGATATTCAGACTCCTTAAAAGTGGTGATTATGTCTGTGTCCTCATCACCTAGCAAATAGCCTGGCATATAATAGTTATTCAGTACATAGTAGCTGAATAAAGTGTGGCTCCATTAAACTCACTCATGTGAATTTACAAAATAGTAAAATTTATTTACAGACTGTTGCTCACATAACATGTTGGAAAATAGTTTGTTAAAAAGAACTCTCATTTTACTACAATGTAATGATCAATTGTTCTTTCTGTAGACATACGTCTCGTAAAAAAGCAACAGGCTTTGCTGCTGTTCATCAGCTATTTACAGAACGCTGGCCAACAACACCAGTCAATAGAAGTCTTAGTGGCACAGCTACAGAGAGAAATATTGACTTTGAACTTGATATACGGGTTGAAATTGATAGTGGAAAATGTGTACTCCACCCAACCACCCTTCTACAAGAACATGATGATATAAGTTTGAGAAGGTAAGAAATTGATTGGAAAAGGATACATGAAACTTTATCTATTAGAAATACTATTCATATATCACTGAATTATAACAAACTTCTCCATCCCAAAATGCAGATTTGAAGTGTAAATGTAATTATAGTTATAATGGTCAAGTGTATATTTCTTATACAGTTTCTTATAAACAAGTGCATAATATTTTCTGGCAACTAGAAATGGATGTCTGACTTAGATTTTTGCAAGTTTTTTAATTAAAATAGTTATATCTTTGGAATTCTTTTAACACACATGAATTTCTCAGTGTCTGTCCCTGTATTATACATATTTCAGTTTTAAAGAACAACACAATGCTCAGAAGTATCTTGGTTATTGAGAGTTTGATAAGTTCATAAAGAAATAAGAAAGACTGGGAGACAGTTACACAGACCTCAGTAGACTGAAATTGTGTTCAGGATATAACTGCAGCTTTACTATTTGTTTACATCACTAACTAAATGATGATATAAACAGGATTAACATTTTTTTCTTTAAATTTTGTTTTCCTTTTCTAATCTAAAAATGAACTGTAAAAAAAATAGTTATAATTGAGCGGATGGGTGGAGATGTAGATAAAAAGAATGCTGACAATTATTGAAACTGGGTAGTGGGAACATGGAGGATCATTAATGATACTATTCTGATTATTTTTTATACATTCAAAGATTTCCATAATAAAATATTTAATTGAGGCTTTTATAAAATATGAGAAAATAAAAAAGGTACTATAAACAGTTAAAATGTCTTACAAATGTAGTAGTGATGATAAAAAGGATGACTATTAGTTTATTTTTGATTGAAACATAACCCATAATAAATTGCTAATATTTAGCTGTATTTTTACTATATAAAGGGCAGTTTCATTTGGTTCAACCTAATATATTCAAATGAAAGTCACGACCTTAGGAAAGAATAAAGGTAACTGCCCTGTATAGTTACGGAACATACAACATTTACATCACTCATGCAAGGCATTAACCAGTCTCGCTAGAGATACTGATGAACTTTACTTTTTTCAACTTCTTAAATGAAGGATTGTATTCCATTTACTGTAAAAATAAAAGTTTGCTTTTTTTTTTTTTTATTATACTCTAAGTTTTAGGGTACATGTGCACATTGTGCAGGTTAGTTACATATGTATACATGTGCCATGCTGGTGTGCTGCACCCACTAACTCGTCATCTAGCATTAGGTATATCTCCCAATGCTATCCCTCCCCCCTCCCCCCACCCCCCACAGTCCCCAGAGTGTGATATTCCCCTTCCTGTGTCCATGTGATCTCATTGTTCAATTCCCACCTATGAGTGAGAATATGCGGTGTTTGGTTTTTTGTTCTTGCGATAGTTTACTGAGAATGATGGTTTCCAATTTCATCCATGTCCCTACAAAGGATATGAACTCATCATTTTTTATGGCTGCATAGTATTCCATGGTGTATATGTGCCACATTTTGTTAATCCAGTCTATCATTGTTGGACATTTGGGTTGGTTCCAAGTCTTTGCTATTGTGAATAGTGCCGCAATAAACATACGTGTGCATGTGTCTTTATAGCAGCATGATTTATACTCATTTGGGTATATACCCAGTAATGGGATGGCTGGGTCAAATGGTATTTCTAGTTCTAGATCCCTGAGGAATCGCCACACTGACTTCCACAATGGTTGAACTAGTTTACAGTCCCACCAACAGTGTAAAAGTGTTCCTATTTCTCCGCATCCTCTCCAGCACCTGTTGTTTCCTGACTTTTTAATGATTGCCATTCTAACTGGTGTGAGATGATATCTCATAGTGGTTTTGATTTGCATTTCTCTGATGGCCAGTGATGATGAGCATTTCTTCATGTGTTTTTTGGCTGCATAAATGTCTTCTTTTGAGAAGTGTCTGTTCATGTCCTTTGCCCACTTTTTGATGGGGTTGTTTGTTTTTTTCTTGTAAATTTGTTTGAGTTCATTGTAGATTCTGGATATTAGCCCTTTGTCAGATGAGTAGGTTGCGAAAAGTTTGCTTTTAAACAAAAAGATAAATGTGTCATTTTTTAAAAAGATAAGAACATTTTTCTGTTCACAGGAGTTATGATCGAAGTTCCAGGAGCTTAGATCAAGATTCACCTTCAAAAAAGAAGAAGTTTCAAACTAATTATGCTTCTACCACCCATTTAATGACCGGCAAGAAAGTGCCATCATCTCTACAGACAAAGCCTAGTGACTTAGAAACAACAGTATTTTACATTCCCGGAGTTGATGTAAAGGTAAAAACCCAATTGCCTAGGGTAAGGGATTAGACTATTGGTAGCAATGTTTATTTTCTATCATATATGTTCATCTTTTTCTCATTATATTAAAATGAGACTTAGTGACTTCTTTGTCTAATATAGCCATATTCTGGACAGAAGAACATCAAAACTGCAGGTTCCCACTTCATTTATGTAGCATTTTCCATGAAAGTTTGATGGAAAGAAGTTCGGTTTTTTAATAAATTGATATTCGTAACAAACTTGCTAAACCTTGCTAGTGCAACTTCATTAAACAACAGTTTTTTAGATTCTGGAATTATAGAATCATAGACTATTCAGTTCGAAAGGACATTAAAGATTATCTGAAATGACCTTTTTATTTTAAAAAATGAATAAAAGCAAAGAAACTTGCCAGGATCACAAAGCTAACTTTTAAAAGTTAAAACAGTCTTCTGACTTCCAATGTTCTTTCTACCACATTTTTCTATATTTCTTGATTTTCCTCATCTTCATAATTTTAATTTTAAAAGTTTATTTATTTCAATACAGTTGCATTACAATTCCAAGACGCTAAAGACTGAATCACCTAATGCCTCCAGGGGATCTTCCTTGCCAAGAACACTGTCCAAAGAGTCCAAGCTGTATGGTATGAAAGATAGTGCAACATCTCCTCCTTCTCCTCCTTTACCTTCCACTGTCCAGAGCAAGACTAACACCTTACTTCCTCCCCAGCCCCCACCTATTCCTGCAGGTATTTAAGGAGTATATACTTTATTTTTTGTCATTTTAAAAATTTTTAGTTATTACCTACTTGCTCTTTTGAGACTTTCCAATGCACATGTTTAAGAAAAAAGGACATACATTTGTCAATAATGACTCTACAGACTTCATATATGGAAGTGTGGGCCAACCATTTTCACCTGTTTTTGAAATTGACATTACTTTAGAATATCTGTTATAAAATAAATAATATACCAAATAGTTTACGTAATTAAATTTTTAGGTCTGTATATATAAAAAGAGTAGTTTTATGTAGCTCAAATTTGGGAGCTTATGAGCAGATGGAAATATCAAACTTGAGAGTACATTGGGTTTAACCACATTTATTACTTCTCTGTTGTATAACACATTACCCAGAATTTAGTGGCTTACAACCTCAACCACAGGTTCTGCTGATCAGAAATGTAGGCACAGTTTGGCTCAGTGGATCTAACTTATGGTCTTTTACAAGATTGCAGTCATGGCAGATTTTTCAGCCCCAGTCAAGTATTCAGATGACAATACTTGACTGGGGCTGAAACATCTGCCTCCATCATGTCTCAGTCATGTGACTGGCTAATTGGTACTTCCCTTCCTCTCATGTGGGCTTCTCTACTGGGCTTCTTGAGTGTTCTCATGATATGGCAGTTGACTTCCCTTAAAAGGAGTGATCCAAAAGATACCATGGCTGAAGCTGCATTATCTCTTATGGCTTAGCCTTAGAAGTCACACACCATCACTGCCACAAGGTTTTACTCATCACACAGGTCAGTACGGAAGTAAACTACACAAGGGCATGAATACCAGGAGGCAAGGATCATTGAATGTCATCTTGGAATCTGGCTACCATAGCACATGAATGATACCGTACATACATGGCAGGATTTCCAAAAAAAGGAATATCAGACTAGACAAGAATTATTTGAGAAAGTTTCATTTGGGAGACAAAACTTGATATATAAACCTTTTAAAATAGTAATCATGCTGAGAATGCCTAGTATCACTTTTCAGCTAACAAGGCACATCTGTGTCCATTAAGTGCATGGCAGCTATTAACCCCTTTTATAAAGGAAAGTTAAGGCTCATAGAAGTTGGATGTCTTTCCTGGATTTGAACAACTAATAAATGTTAAAAGTTGGAAACCTTAGCCAAAGCTAACTAAGTCTTAGATGTTTTACTCATTCTCCTGAAGCAGATATATTTAGTTAGGTAAAAGGAAAGAGAAATGGCATCCCATGTAGGGAAGCATTATAAATACATGCAAGCTAAGCACAGGAAAGCCTGAAAACAGTGACGTTTTTCTTCACTTGCCACTAAATATTGTTAAAGTTCTCTATATCTTCTTAAATGGACAAAAGGACTAATGCTAATGAGAGTCTAACCAAAATATAAAGCTGAAAAACTGGACCAAAACTTGTGACGCAGAGCAAGTAGGAATAACCAACTTATTATATGTTATTAATCGCCTCTGTATTCTAACATTAACATATCATTCCTATCAACCTGCTACTTTTATTATTTTCTTGTAAGGCCTTAAATGTGAGGTACTTTGCTTGATTAAACTTTAATATAATTCAAATTTCTGTTTAATTGGAACTTTTTATAAAATCCATTAAATGGAATTTATAAATGTTCTAGCCAAAGGAAAAGGAAGTGGAGGAGTAAAAACAGCCAAGTTATATGCCTGGGTAGCACTTCAGTCATTGCCAGAAGAAATGGTTATTAGTCCCTGCCTATTAGACTTTCTGGAAAAAGCTCTGGAAACTATCCCAATTACACCAGTTGAAAGGAATTATACAGGTAAGCATCCTTCTTATATACCTCCCCATAACATATATTTTGGGATCTTATTATATAGAAGGTTTTCTTAATGCTATTATACATTATTACATAATATATGCAATTATAAATGTTAAAGAATTATAAACTGTAAAAGAACTTGAGAGATCATCTAATTGTCATTTACAAATGAAGAAACTAAGTCCTGGTGAGGTTACATAACTTTCCCATGGCCCCACCTAGTTAATGACAAAATTAACATAAGTTCTACATCCTTAGTGTGTCCCTTGGACTGGAATCTCTTTGAGGGCAAGGATATAATCACTAGTTTCTTTGTACAGTGTTTGGTATAGCAGCAGGAAAATTTGAGTTTGGGGGAATGAGCAAGAGGTGCGAACAGGGAAAAACGTATAGAATGAAGGGCTACAGAAGCAAATGTTTCCGGGTGTTCATACCTTTCATCTCACTCTAGTATAAACAATAAGGATCTTTTAATAAATAGTTTGCCTTTGATCTAATAATAAAACTTAACCAAATATTTTAAACAGCTGTCAGCTCACAAGATGAAGATATGGGACATTTTGAAATACCAGATCCTATGGAAGAATCAACAACATCACTAGTGTCGTCTTCAACATCTGCTTACTCTTCCTTCCCTGTAGATGTTGTGGTTTATGTACGAGTTCAGGTGACATACTTCATTTCTTTCTTTTTGTTTTAAAGAGAAATGTTTTTCTTAAGTTTATTTGAACATTTCAACATTATTACTGTTTAAAAGTTTTCTTAACCTCAGGTTCATGAACCTTTAGTATGTTTGTGATGGCTTGGAGGTTGCCAGAATATGTGTGAAGTATGTGTAAAATTTTATGTATATACAGATGCTCAAGTTATGATGCTGTTCTGATTAACCCATCACAAACTGAATAGCGTAAGTCAGTAATGCATTTAATACACTTAACTTACTGAACATCATAGCTTAAACTAGCTTACCTTAAATGTGCTCAGAACACATTACTCTTCAGTTGGGTAAAACCGTCTAATACAAAGCCTTTTTTATAATAAAATATTGAATATCTCATGTAATTTATTGAATGTTGTACTGAAAGTGAAATGCAGAATGGTTGTATGGGTCCTCAAAGTACAGTTTCTACTGAATGTGTATCACTTTCGCCCAGCCTAAATTGGAGATCATCTATATTCACTTTTCTACCAAGAAGTTTCATAGATCTTTGGGTTTTCAAAAATTAAAGCTCATACTTCTGTGACAAAAATAAAAATATTTAAGTTAAAACCCTTTTTTAAGCATTTTATGCCTTTATTTTGGCACCTTAATTTCTTGCCATTATAGTTCTTTCTGGGCAGATATAAAGTGTAATTGAGATATAAAGTCACAATAGTACCTTTGTTCAAATTTTTGCTAAGTGTTACCTAGTTTTTATTTAATATTTTATTCTAAAATGCAGTCCTACCAATAGGCCTTTGGGAGTATATATTAGCATATATACTATACCAAATATATTAGTATATATTATATATAATAAAATATATATTAGCATATATACTATACAAAATATAGTACATATTTAATTAAATCTGTTTATCAAGGAGGATTTAAAACTACTTGTATCAAAACTTCAGGGTTTAGTTGATCCTCAATTAAAATCTAATAATCTTAAGAGTAAGGAAACACTAATGGTCATCTGTTCCAACTATCTTCTATAACAGTAATGTGGCCAAAAGAGCTTCAGTCTTACATTCCAGAATTTTTAGCTAGCTTTTTTAAAGGTCTGATGAAAACAGAATGAATGAGGGTTTGAGGGTTATAAAACCTTTGGGCTGGGTGCAGTGGCTCACACCTGTAATCACAGCACTTTGGGAGGCTGAGGCGGGTAGATCACTTGAGCCTGGTAGATCACTTGAGCCCAGGAGTTTGAGACCAGCCTGGGCAACACATGGAGACCCCATCTCTACCAAAAAAAAATAAAATAAAATTAGCGAGGCGTGATTGTATGTATCTGTGGTCCTAGCAACTTGGGAGGCTGAGATGGGAAGATGGCTTGAGACTGGTAGGTTCAAAGGCTGCAGTGAGCCATAATTGTACCACTGCAGTCCAGCCTGGACAACAGAGTGGTCTCTAAAAAAACAGAGTGTCTCTAAAAAAACAAAAACCAACCTTTGTTAATTATGAACAAGTTTAATATGAGCATAAATTTTTTTAAGGTTCTGAACTATCTAAATATCTAAATACAGTCCCTCCGTGTACTTAGGAGACTGGCTGTAGGACTACCCCTGCCCCCTACCATGTATACCGAAATCCACACATACTCAAGTACCGCAGTCAGCCCTGAGGAATTACTAAAAAAAGAGACACCCCTCTGTATATGCGGGTTTTTCATCCCAAATACTGTATTTTCAATCCATGTTTGGCGGAAAAAAATTCATATGTTAATTGGACCAGCACAGTTCAAACCTGTGGTGTTCAAGGGTCAACTGTCTTATTGTTCTGAGATGGCTCCTCAAATATTTAGGTTTTTAAAAATGATAGCATTTTGTTTATACATTTTGATTTTTATATCATGCTTCTGTTTAAAAAGCTAGGACAATGAACACAAAATCTTAAGTATCAAATGAGTAAACATGATCAATATATGTAGACAGAAATGGAAATTAAATGTAACTTTTGAAATCCAAGGTGAAATTTCTTAACTTTCCTGTAGATGTTGTGGTTTATGTATGAGTTCAGGTGATATACTTTATTTCTTTCTGTTTAAAAAAAATGTTTCTTAAGTTTATTTGAACATTTCAATATTATTTCTATTTAAAACTTTTCTTTTATCCAGTTCCTAGAAACCTTTTGCTGTCTGTTATTTTTAGCCCTCACAGATCAAATTTAGCTGTTTACCAGTATCAAGAGTAGAATGCATGTTAAAGCTGCCATCCCTGGATTTGGTGTTTTCTTCAAACCGAGGAGAACTGGAGACTTTAGGGACTACATATCCTGCAGAGACTTTATCCCCTGGAGGTAATGCTACTCAGAGTGGAACAAAGACTTCTGCTAGCAAAACTGGAATACCAGGTATAGATAATGTTCTTTTATTCCTCTAGTATAAAGCCAAATACTATTTTTAAATCAATATTTTAATAGTAATTAATACATATTTTAAAATATATTTGGAAAAGGGGAATATTTGAGGATTATTTATAGAAAGAAATCTATAGCAGACCAATGTTTTGAGTATATTTCATGTGTTATTTGAACTTGAGTTACCCTTTGGTTTCTGTTTTTAGCTGAATGGCAATTAGACAGCATTTTGAATATGGCTTGAATGTACATACTACAAGCGCTATGACATAACTACTATATAATAATCCACATGTTCAAGTACTTTTGAATATCTTTTATCTTAAGCTACATTTGACATTAAGGAGTAATCAGTATTATAAATGGAAAATAAGAAACATAGTGTTACCTTACAGGGATTTCTTATCACACTGGGTGAAAACTGTATCAAGTAGCAGTAGCATATGTATTTTTAAATGGCAAATTTGGTTATACAACTCAAATATGTGTTTCATAAAGGTTTTGTTTTTAAAATATAATTGATTTCCTGAGATGATAGGCATTCCTCACTATGTTAAAGCTGGGTGCCACTTCTGTCCTAAAAATGAAATAGAGATCACACATGCAAATGGTAAAAATTTTATTGAATACCTCTGAAAAAAAGAGACTAGACTGAATGAAAACTGATAAGAAGACTGGAATGTCATTAAAATATTGGTTCTTAACCAGGAGCTATCTTGTTGGCAATATTAGGAGACAATTTTGATAGTCGTAACTGAGGGTGTACAGCTGGCAGCTAGAAGAGAAACCAGAGATGCTGCTAAACATTCTATAGTATATATGACAACCCCCTCCACTCCCAAATAATTATCTGGTTGAAAATGTCAATAATGGCAAGGCTGAGAAGGTTTGCATTAAGCGTGAAAAAAATAAAATCCCAAATTCCATTTTTGAGAGAGGCATGAAGACAGTGGAGGGGGAAATACCTTTCTGATTTGTAAGGAAATACAGCTTAGGTTTTGGGTCCTATTTTTAGAGAGTCATCTTAGATTCAAATCTTTATTCTAACAATCTCATCAAGCATCAGTTGGAAAAATTATTACAAACTGGCTTGTGAGAAAGCATCCCAAAAGTCATCTTTGAAAAACTGAAATTATATCTCTTAACACAGTATTTACTTGTATTAATGGGGAAATGGTTATAGGAAATCATTTGTTTTGCTGTGTGAATCTTTGAAAGTTTTCACAACAAAATTGGAAAACAAAAAGGCTGATACCTTAGAAATAAAGCTTTTGCTAATGTGGTCACCCATTATCTAGTACTTAGCTTCAAAATATTGCTGTTGGAGTTGTGTTGTCAACAAAATATTGTAGTGGTAGTGTTGGTTTTTGAAAAACATTTTCTGATTATAAAAGTTACACTCACTATTCATTATAGAAAATGAAAAGTACTAAAGGTGAAATGAAAATGAGAATATCCCTTTATCCTAGATAACTAGTGTTGTCAGCGATAACACTACAACATTTCTGTAGTGATACCATATTTTTCCAAGGCAAAAATTGAAATATGGCCTCTTCTGCTATGTAACTTTTTAAAATTTAAAGTATCATAGGTATTTTCCTAAATTATTAAATATTCATCTCTAAAATTAATGGCTATAAGATATTCCATTGTTTGGATCATATACTTGAGATTCTGTGGGTTATTTTGCTTTCAAAATAATACTAAAATCAACATCTTTGTATGTAAATATTTTTAAACAAAGATATATTCTTAGGAGAAATTCTTAAAAGTGGAATTTCTAGGTTAGGAAGTATGAACATTTTGAAAGTGTTTGATACATTTGCTTTCTGGTAAGACTGTAAGATTTCTACACTCTCATCACAGTGTGTATGGACACCAGCTCACTGTATTCTTCCCAACACTGCTTTAAATTTAATTTTAATCATTGTCAATGTGATGGATTAAATTTGGATTTTATTATTTTAATCTGTACTCTATTACTTTATTAGCTATTTCTTGGGAGTGGTAAATATATGCCCATGCCCATTTCTCTTTTGGAATGTTAATCTTTTAATGACAAACTGTCATAATGTCATAAATTATTAGCACTTAAATTAATATAGCAGTATATATGCACCATGCTAGGAATAGGTAGTGAAAGGAATATGAAATGAGAAATTTTTTATGCCCAAATTTTATGATTCCTTAGAAAACAACATAAATGAATAGCACCCCTCATTTTATCATTATTTATTCAAGGAATGATGATAAGAATATATAGGTTGCGACAATATCCATTCTTTCAAAGGATCTTTACTTTGTGGTCTGGGTCAGTGCTAGGGCATAGTAATAGTGAACTTAGCTAGTAGATGTGGTCCATACTTACTAATGTGGAGCCTAAACTGAATTTGGAGAAACAAGTAATAGCCCAGCAAACAAGTTTATTTTAAATGGAAACGTGAAGTAAGTATGGGTTAGCGAAGCAGAGAACTGGGGGAATGGACACTCCCAGGAGAGAATACAAAATGCACGAAGAAGAAACAGTTTGTCAACTCTGAATAACAAAAAGGAAAAAAAAGCCATTGTTAAGTGTGGAGACTGGCATAAGAAAGGTTTAGAGAGATAGGAAAGAGCCAACTCATGTGGGAAAGCCACTGAAAGGTTAAGCAAGGGAGTGGATATGATTCACACACATACTTTTAGAATACCAGTCCAGCTGCAGTGTGGCAGTTGATTGGAGTAGCATGAGGCAAGGAGAGCCATTTCTGCAGTCCAGGCAGAGTTAATAATTGCTTAAGCTAGAATGGCAGCAGTGAGATGGAAGGAAATGGACAGACTTTATATGCCTGAGATATAGAAATGATGAATGATAAATTGCATGACAGAGTCAGGAGTAGGAAGGATGACGGATAACTCCCAGGTTTTGGTTGAGCTATTTTCTTTTTATTTATTTATTTATTTATTTATTTTTTTTTTTGAGACTAAGTCTCACTCTGTTGTCCAGGCTGGAGTGTAGTGGCGCCATCTCAGCTCACTGCAGCCTCTGCCTCCTGGGTTCAAGCAATTCTCCTGCCTCAGCCTCCTGAGTAGCTGGGATTACAGGTGCGTGCCACCACGCCCGGCTAGTTTTTGTACTTTTAGTAGAGATGGGGTTTCACCACATTGGTCAGGCTGGTCTCAAACTCCTGACCTCGTGATCTGCCCACTTCGGCCTCCCAGAGTGCTGGGATTATAGGCATGAGCCACTGTGCCCAGCCTGGTTGAGCTGTTTTCATGGAAGTATTCATTTACTGGAGATGGGGACCACTGGAAGAAAAACAAATTCAAGGAAAAAGATCAAGAGTGCAGTTCAGTTTAAATGCCTGTGACCCATTCTAATAGGAGGTCAAGTAGGCAGTTGTAATATATAAATCCAAAGGAGGTCTGGTCTGGACATACATTTTGGAATCACCAGCAAAATCATTTAATAATCTATTCAAATGGTCTCATATTTTTTATGTTTTTGGAATTTACCTGTCCATCCCTAGTAAATGTTACCAACAAGGACACTTGGCTCTCTAACAGATTTTTTTACTTTCTGCTTTTGCATACCTTGCCCTGTTTCCACTGCACCTACTGAAATGTGGACTCCAAGTATATGATATGGATTTTTTTACAGTATGTTCTCCCCCACTTTGCTTAAGCCCTAGCTATTTTGGGCCTCTTCCACTGCCTGCTTCTAGTAGTGAAGGAGAAAAGAAATAGGAAACCATGCAGTAGGCCAAACATATATATAAAAATAATTGTTTTAAGGATGAACAGAGTATTCAACCCTGGTGTAAATTAATTGGAAAATACATCTAAGTCTTTATTTCAGTTTTAAGGATTTAAATCTATTGATCTGTTAAATCTATTGATCTGATGTTTGAGTGTTTCCATTTTATTCTGAAGTCATGTCTGGTTCTTAAGAACATATTATTGACTGGCCTTTTTTTCTTGTAGCTTATATTTTCAATTTCCTGTGCTCACTGTAGGTTCATCGGGATTAGGCAGCCCTCTTGGCCGAAGTCGACATAGTAGTAGTCAGTCAGACCTGACCAGTTCCAGCAGTAGTTCATCTGGCTTGAGCTTCACTGCATGCATGTCTGACTTTTCCCTTTATGTATTTCATCCATATGGAGCAGGGAAACAAAAAACTGCTGTTTCTGGCCTCACACCTGGATCAGGAGGATTAGGTATACTTTGCATGTTTATGTCTTTTTCAGATTTACAGCATCTTTTCAAGCTTTCAAGCTTTATTTTCATAAATCATAAGGACATAGCCAAGATCAGATGCTTTTTGTATTTTTCCTCTTTGATAATACCTATCTCATATTTACGTAATAAGTAGACATATACAATAAGTAATTCAGGTGAATTAATTATACAAGAATTTTAAAATTCAGAATATTTTCTAAGCGGTATACACAGCACAGTAATCTCTGGATATCAGAGATTACTTATGTTATTGAAATATTTAAATGTCTTAGCAAATCACTGTCCATTTATACAACAAACTGCGTAGAAAGTAAAATTTTAAAGTGCATGGGTCACAATTGTTAATTTAAAAAGAGACTATAATTTAAGTCAGCCATTTCGTGAAATTAAATTTCATTGTCACTTTGAAGAGCAGATAAAACACTGCAAATGCATAAAAGCTTCTTATTAGTAACTAACTCTTGACTTGTATTTAAATAAATGATGAAAACATATATTCCACGTCAATTCTAGTTTCTATTGTTGGAGAAGGGTTGTAAAAATCACCAATTATGTTTGTGGGTTTGAACCTCTTAAATTGTTGTTAGAAATGCTAATGCTCATTAGATCCCTCTGCTTAAATTTTTACCTCAAGTGATTTTAATTCATGGCATATTACAGTATATTAGATAATTTTCACCTAACTAGACAGCTGTGTGTATATATGTATATATAGATGTGGGGGTTGTGTTTGTTTGTTTGTTTTAAAGGGAATGTGGATGAGGAGCCCACTTCAGTCACTGGTCGAAAAGATTCACTCAGTATAAACCTTGAGTTTGTAAAAGTGAGTTTGTCACGGATCAGGCGTTCAGGAGGTGCCTCATTTTTTGAAAGTCAGTCTGTAAGCAAGTCTGCAAGCAAAATGGATACTACGTTAATAAATATATCTGGTACTCAATTTTATAGTTTTTAAATTAAAATACTGTTTTCCAAAATTAAATAATGGCCTCTGTTTTAATAGTGTTTAAATATTAAGTCACTTAATGTTAAGCTTTCAGTGATAAGTTGATATAAAGGAGAGGAATGCCCAGCCTACGGTACTGTGTCAATCCAAGTAATAAATGTTAGGAATATAATTTCTAGATAAATAGACATATCACCCAAGGGCCAAGTATGCCTAATTAAATCAGTAAAAGTTGCTTCTTTTCTTCACTTTTTCTCCACCATGAATTGGTACAGTTTCTTTTTGTTCTTCTAATTGTAAATGCTTAAAACACTAAAACGGGATGAGTGATGTTTAAAAATGTTTACTTGATGTCAGAAAACCTTGAATTGTGTGCATGTATACTGCTGGTTTTATAAACATCTATATAACTATGGGCAAGTCATTTCCTTTACATTGCGATTTGAGTGTTTAAAAGTAAATGCAAATAGACATTCTGAAGAATCCAGAATACTGAGTAAAAACTTTCATAATTATGAATCAAATAAATATGGTATGTTCACTTAACCCAATATTCTGAAAATATATATTAAGCCTGTGTTTTAGGGTAAACTTTTACCTGAGATTGCTAGGTGATTGAGGGGAGCAGGCATGAATAAGACAAGGTCTTATGTGTAGACAAATAAATGAGTCCAGGATAATAAATGCTATAATGGAGCTTTCTACAAAGAGAAGGAAACAATAAATTCTGTCTTGTATGAGAAATCAGAAAAGGCTTCACATAGGAAATGTTATTTGGCCCACATTTTGAAAAATGAGTAGGAATATTCTTGGAGGTAGCAACATGGTATTCAATGGCACAGAAGCATCAAAATGTATGCTTCTGGATCATACTTTGATTTGCTGTGGCTGAAGCACAGGGTATAAGTGAACATTTAATTGGTTGGAGCCAATTAAATGTTGAACATTTAATTGGTTTAAGTGGATGGAGCCAGAAATAGAGAGGCTAGAGGTAAAGCTGATAAAATAGGACCTGATTGTGGAGGGACTCATATCATATGCCATGATAAAGAATTGGGTTCTGATTATTTCGGCACTGAGAAGCCATTAGAAGTTAAGAAATGGGTTGATGCTTCAGAATGGTGTTTTAGAAAGAGAGTTGAGGGTAGCCTGAAAGACAGGAAAGAAAAGATGCTTGAGGAGGCTGCTGAAGTAGACCATGCAATAGTAGATGAGAGCATGAACTGTGGCAGTAAAAAAAGGAGAAAAGGGAATGAGGAGTGGGTTCAAGAGAGATAGAAGAGAATCCATAAACTTAAGTATAAGTTGTATTAGGGGCAACAGAGGAGACAAGAATGCCTCAAACTTTTAGCTTAGATGACTGAAGGAGCAGTGAAGCCATTAACTTAGAAAATAAAGAAGGAAATGTCTATAGGACATTTAGGTGGAAGGTTCTGGTAGACAACTGACTTAGCGGGTATCGCTATGTAGGTATGGGCTCAGACAAAAACAGAAATTTTAGCTGTGGGAGTCATTGGCATGTAAACCCTATAGAAACTATGGTAGAAGAATAGAAGAGCACATACAACAGGAGTAGAAGAATGCTCCAGAGCAGAACTCTGGAAGAAGGCCATCAAAATGTTTTTTGTCTAAAGTCACTGCTATTAGTCTGATAGGAAAATAGTAGTCCCTGCCACACAGCTATTTGGTTTACAATTCCTTTTGAGAAAATTTGTATACCAGCTCATCCTGATGATTCATTTTCCATAATAGAAAAGACTGCTGTGTTAAAATTGAAAGCTGGCTATCAGACTGATCTTTAGAACTTCTCTGAGGATTTCATGATAAAGTGATAATAGAATTCCAACTTGCCATCACCTCAAAAAAGGGAAGTGGTACTAACAGTGTTAGAATGTGCTGTTTTTGTAATTTGTGGAAGAATGTAACACTAATCATAATATGTAACTTAAGTATAATTCAGCTGTGTAATAACCCTGTCTTATACCTACCATGTGAAAACATTAAAGGTTTTAGAAATCTGTACTAACAAATGTTATTTATGTATCAGCTGTTTGTGATATAGGGTCTGCCTCCTTTAAATATGATATGCGCCGACTCAGTGAAATTCTGGCATTTCCAAGAGCATGGTATAGAAGAAGTATTGCAAGACGTCTATTCCTTGGAGACCAAACTATAAATTTGCCAAGTAAGCTTGTTATGTAATTTTAATTTTGGTTACTGTAGCAGCAAGACCTACAATTGATAACACAAACGTGATCTTACTTGGCAGGGTGTACCATGTGATGCGTTCAGTCATTCAAGAAATGTCCATTGGGCCCCTCTAATATGCCAACCACAAGGGATATATTAGCACTGAGGATATATCAGAGAACCAAAAAGACAAAAAGTTTTGTCTTCTTTGAGATTACATTCTGGCTGAATAAATATAGTTTATTCTATAACTATCCTAACAAATTAGTAAATTTATAAGTTAGTTAATTTGTTAGTAAATTTATTCTATAATGATTACTCTGTAATCCTTTTAAATATCCAAGTTAATCATGGTTAGCGAAGCATGGGAAACAGAAGATGCTGGGGACATGTTACTAGCTTGCCTGCATTTGTCTGCTGGATTTAGATATTGTTGTAGGTAATGAAATCAAGAGATTTTTGGAAATGAAAACTAGAGTCAGTTACATAGAGGTAAATTTGAGAAACCCTAAGTCTGAGTGTATTCCCTCACCTGTAAACTGAGACCAGAGGTCCTGTTTTGCTCTTTTCATGGAGTTTAAACAAAACACTGGCATGTTCTTTGCAAACTGTAAATTGCTGTACAGCTGCTAAATAGAGAACTAGAAGGAATATGTAATGTGATTAGAAATGATGGATGGGTGAACTTATTTTATAACATAGGGATTTTACCCTGTTACTTTGGATTTTTTGTTTGTTTTGTTTGTTTTCTACTAGCATCTGGCCCAGGGACACCTGATTCCATTGAAGGGGTAAGCCAACACCTTTCCCCTGAATCATCAAGAAAAGCTTACTGCAAGACCTGGGAGCAGCCAAGTCAGTCAGCCTCCTTCACCCACATGCCTCAGTCACCTAATGTGTTCAATGAGCATATGACAAACAGCACCATGTCACCAGGGACAGTAGGACAGAGCCTAAAATCCCCAGCTTCCATAAGATCAAGGAGTGTATCTGATTCTTCAGTTCCTCGAAGAGGTAACACTGCTCTTTTTGTTATCAGTAGCCCTACAGTGTTCTCAGGATAAAATCTTAGTTACTCTCAGATTTCAGCCCTAACTATAGGAAAATAAATTCTTGAGGTTTTTATGACACGTCAAAAAAAAAAAAAAAAATCCCCAACACAGTAAAAACAACAAAACAAATATTTCAAAGTATTGCCATCAAGACAGCTAGATGGCCAGTAGCTTTACAAATAGATAAGGGGAGAGGAATTAGCATATTGTTTGTGTGCTCCATATGGGCTTGGCCTTGTACTTGTGCCTGATTGTATAAAAATGAATGATGTAGTTCTCGTCAAAAGATTAAAATATAATGAGCAAATGCAGGATTCAAGATATATACTAAGTCCATAAGAACACAAAAGACAGGCACCCCAACCGGCATCTGCATTTCAGAATGGTTTCTGCCTTTGAGTCCTGTATTTGGCAACAGCACCTTATGATTTTCTTCTTTGTTAAACAGAATCCTAGGGTGATGCATGATCTGTGCTGCTATATCCCATGCACACCAGAATTTCCTCATATAAAATGGGGGCCATACATAATTTTATGAGCTTTCAAGAGGTAAAGCTGCCAGCACTTATAAACATTTAGTAAGTGGTAACTATTATTTTAGAGGCAATAGGATAACCATTAAACATTAGATTCTAATACAAGAATATTATATTTTTACTTTTTGGATTATAGCAATAAAAATAGTTTTTGCTTTGTAACTAGCTTGGCATTTATGTGAATGAACATGTATTTGATTTTTCTATTTTTAGATTCACTTTCAAAAACATCAACTCCTTTTAACAAATCAAACAAAGCAGCAAGCCAACAAGGGACCCCATGGGAAACACTTGTCGTGTTTGCTATCAACTTGAAGCAATTAAACGTTCAAATGAATATGAGTAATGTAATGGGAAATACAACGTAAGCTATTCAGATACAAAGGAAATGTATTTAATCATTTTTGTAACTTTTCTTCTACTGTAGTAAAGATATTCAGAACCTTTTTTGAATGCTAAATATTTGAAAAAGAAGTAGATAAACGATATAAAATGTTTTATCCTGAAAATGGCTTAATTCTAAGGATACTGCAATATAAAACATCATGAAATATATGTTCTATAAAAAGGGAATCAATTATAAGGAGAACAGGGTAATTTTCTAGCTTTTCTAGCTAGGAGTAAAGCTTCATTATCAATGTTAATATTCAAATATTTACCACACAGTTTTTATATAAAGTATGTTGTTTCATTGTCAAACTTGACCTTTTAAATAATCTGATTTAACTCCTTTTTAATTTAAATCCTGTTTTAATTCATGACACTGGAAGCTATATATATAATAACCTTTTTTTCATTTTTTAGTTGGACAACTAGTGGTTTGAAGAGCCAGGGCCGTCTGTCAGTAGGAAGTAATCGTGATCGAGAGATCAGCATGTCTGTTGGTCTGGGAAGATCACAATTAGATTCTAAAGGAGGAGTAGTTGGAGGGACCATAGATGTCAATGCTTTGGAGATGGTTGGTATGTTGAAATTTTAAAACTGACCTAACATATCCTTAAGATATATATATCAAAAAAAATGCTTTTGGAGATGGATTCTCATGAGTTTTTCCCATGGACATGTCTGTCAAAATTAATTATTGTTTCTATTTTAGCTCATATTTCTGAACATCCAAATCAGCAACCCAGTCACAAAATTCAGATTACTATGGGTTCTACTGAAGCTCGTGTTGATTACATGGGCTCAAGTATCCTCATGGGCATCTTCAGTAATGCTGATCTTAAGCTTCAGGATGAATGGAAAGTAAACTTGTATAATACATTGGATTCAAGCATAACTGATAAAAGGTATTTATTAAGGATTACTTTTTGGACACTTTACATGACTGTTCTCAACATATTGTCTATCATCTGGTGAGAAAACAGCAATTTTTCTTACAAAACTCTTATTTATTATGCAATTAATACAAATTAAAAAGCTGGGCGGGGGAAGAAAATGTTTCTTGTACTTTTTGAGTATCTGCTGTAAGACATCTGACAAAGATTTTGTTTTATGCTCTAGTGAGATTTTCGTCCATGGAGATTTGAAGTGGGATATTTTCCAAGTAATGATATCAAGGTCAACCACACCAGATCTGATAAAAATAGGAATGAAGCTCCAGGAATTTTTCACACAACAATTTGATACCAGCAAACGAGCTCTGTCTACCTGGGGACCAGTTCCTTACCTTCCGCCAAAGACAATGACTAGCAACCTAGAAAAAAGTTCACAAGAACAATGTAAGAATTAGAAGTAAGCTTTTATATATGCTTTATCTTTCACTAAATATGTTACATTTTTAATTTAAAATAATAATAATCTGTATGCCCCACTTAGAAAATAGCCCACAGGCTCTTTATCTCACTCAGTTAGCAAAGGACCAGAATTTCTACCTGCCAATGGAATTAGAGGCCATCATTTAGGAAGACATCATTTGTTATCTCTTCCCCCTGCTGCAGTGCATCTGCATCCATACCCACTCCACGCTCTTGAATAGTGTTTATGAGAATATCATGTTCTGGTTTAGAATGTCTGTGGAGTCAGAATATCTGAATTTGGATTTATTAGGTGATAAGCAGGTCATTATTTTCACTTAGCAATTCAATTGGCAAATATTTATTAAGCTACAACCATGTGCTTAGGCACTATTCTAGGCACAGGAGATCTAGTGGTGGACAGAATCACTACCCTCATGAAGCTCAGATTCTAATGGGAGAGAAAGACCATAATAAATTTACTAACTAAATATATAAGATAATTTCAGTAAGAGAGAAGTGCTAAGCAAAAGAACAAAACGGGAAGAATATAGAGAATGATTAAATGTGAGGATAGCTATTTTAGAAAGGGTGATCATTTAGGCCTTTTCTGAAGTGACATTTTAGTGGAAATGTGAATGAAAGAACAAGGCTAAGATGTGGGGGAAGAGAGTTCCAGGCATCGGGGGATACTGAGTCCAAAGTTCCCCTAGTAGGAACAAACTTGGCTTGAGGATCATTAAGGTTGCCACTGTGGCTGGAACAGAAATGAGCAAGGACGAAAATGCCGGACATGAATTCACAGAGGTCTACTACAGGTAAGATTTTTAATATGATGGTTAGCTATCAGAGAGTTTTAAACAGATTTGATATCGGATTTATCTTTTCAAAAAATACTCCCTTTTAAAGTTCACTCTGGCTACTGTGTGAAGAACAGACTATAGGCAGTTAAGAATGGAAGGAAACCATTGCAATAATTACCATTATCATTGTTATGTACATAGTTACATCATTATTGTAAGGAAGCCATTGCAAGAGTCCAGGCAAGAAATGGTGGCTTTCACTAGGATGATAGAGGTGTAAGTGGTGAGAAACAGTCAGAATGAGGATAGCTTTTTAATAACTTTATTATCACAGAAGTAATACGTATACATTGAAAAAAACTAGAAAACACAAGAGAAGCAAAAAATAAAACCATCACATTCCACTCAGAAATCACTGTGAACACCTTAGAGCATACACCTCCAGATATTTTTCTGTGTATCTGTATATATGCGTACATTTTAAGAAAATATCAAAATTCATACCATTTTGTAGGTCAACAATCTCCAACTTTCCATTTTGCTAATTATCTCCTTTAGCTTTCAAAACACATTCAAATTTCCATGATTGATCTAAAAATGTCCTCTATAATGGTTTTGTCCAAACCAGTTTATCCAATCCAAAGTCACAGGTTAAATATGGTTATGTTCCTTTGCCTTCTTTTAATTTAGCACAGTTCATTTTTTATATGAACTGACTTATTGAAGAGATGTAGCCAACTGTCCTAAAGAATTCCCTACCTTCTAGATCTTTTTCAGTTACTTCTTTGTGGTGTCATTTATGTTTTTCCTGTAGTCCATGTATTTCCTTTAAACTAAAATTTATATTAGGCATATAAAAATTGAGGGATGTTCTGCAAAATGCCTGGCCTGGATTCTTCAAAAAAACTCCTCGTCACAAAAAACAAACATAAAGGCTTAGGGAATTGTTTAAAGGAAAACATAATAAATGAATACAATTCATGATCTTTGGTTGGATTATGGGTGAGAGGTATGGAAAACAGCCAAAAGGAACATTATTGGAATAAATGGAAAATAAACGTTGTATGTTTGATTAGTGCTTCTCAAACTTAACATGCATCTGAAACCCCTGGAGATGTTATTAAAATAAAGATTTTGATATAGTAGGTACAGGTGGGCTTAAGAGTCGGCATTTCTCACAAGCTCCCAGGCAATGCTGATTCTGCTGGCCCTCTGACCTTTGAGTAGCAAAGGAATATGAGTTTAAAAGCAGTACTTAAAATAAGGGGGTCTGCATTTGATTTCTAGGTCTTCCAGTTACTGGTTCACTTAACCTCTTTGTTCTTCTGCTTATTCACTTGAAATCAGTCAAGATGAAATATCTAGTTTACAAAGTTATAATGAGAATTGAGAATTACATAAAATTCCATGCAAGTACTTTGTAACTCATTAATCATTACAGACATATTAGGTTTTGGTTTTTCTTTTTTTTTTTTTTTTTTTTTTGAGACAGGTTCTCACTCTGTCATCCAGGCTGGAGTGCAGTGGCACGATCTCAGCTCACTACAACCTCTGCCTCCTGGGTTCAAGCAATTCTCCTGCCTTAACCTCCCAAGTAGCTGGGACTACAGGCGTGCTCCACCGCACCCAGCTAATTTTGGTATTTTTAGTAGAGACAGGGTTTCACCATGTTGGCCAGGCTGGTCTCGAACTCCTGACCTCAAATGATCCACCCGCTACGGCTTCCAAAAGTGCTGGGTTTACAGGCGTGAGCCACAGCACCCAGCCTCAGACATATTAGTTTTAATTATTTTTAGCAAGTTACTACTTTCCTTAGCTATATCCATCCTCATGCAGCATCTTTTCCTAGAATGTCTCTTTATTAGCTATTGCTTAATGTTTAACAGGCACTGGACACTGTTTTCATCCCTCACCTGAGACTGTAGAAAGTAGCCACTTGCTGCCTCACTCTACCCTATCCAAGGGTACTCATTAGGCACTTCAGGATATGTGTTTTTTGGTTTTCTTGCAGTACTTGATGCAGCACATCATCGACACTGGCCTGGAGTATTGAAGGTGGTATCAGGATGCCACATATCCTTATTTCAGATTCCATTACCAGAAGATGGAATGCAATTTGGAGGATCAATGAGCTTACATGGAAATCATATGACACTGGCATGTTTTCATGGTCCAAATTTTCGTTCAAAATCTTGGGCCCTTTTTCATTTAGAAGAACCAAATATTGCTTTTTGGACTGAAGCTCAGAAAATCTGGGAAGATGGTAAACTGACACATTTCCAGCTTTTACTTTCTCCTATCTTCTGTTATGACTATAAATGACAATTGTATTTCTGAAGTCCATCTCTGTTTGTTATCATGTATCTGACATGTTAAGGAGTTCACTACCAATAAGTCAATATTTATAATGTCTGGAACATGTTAATTTCTGAACTTGCCATCTTACTCCATGTTTCTTACTTAGGCAATTAAAGTTTCTGCTGCTGTGGCTAAACATAAGTCATGGTAATAGTTACTGTAATCTTTCTTATAAAAACATGAAGTGAAGGCAACATAGTGGTAGTGTGAGGAAATTATTTGCCAGTCAAGACTATATTATAAAATATATAGGCAAGGCTGTGCTTTTATCTCTACAGTGATAAACCCATTTCCTTTGAGCTTTACTTTTCTACTTGGTGGTTTCTACATTGAGGGAAAAAAATGTTTGATGTTTGATGCTTTCTTCATCTTACTAGGGACAAATCCAATTACCACTAATAGAAGAATTATTTGTGAATTATTTGGTTTTTATCCTCATTTATTCTTCATTTTTATAGCCTTCCTATATATGACAACTGAATTTATAGCTCTGAGGCCACAATTATCATCTTGAATCTAAATATGGTTTATTACTTTAAAAAAGTATTTTTATTTTGTTGTAGGCTCCAGTGATCATTCTACATATATTGTACAAACACTAGATTTTCACCTGGGTCATAATACTATGGTTACCAAACCATGTGGTGCTTTGGAAAGTCCTATGGCAACAATAACCAAGATAACAAGGCGTCGCCATGAAAATCCACCCCATGGAGTAGCAAGTGTGAAAGAATGGTTCAATTATGTTACAGCTACAAGGAATGAAGGTTAAAATTTTGAGTCTTTGGAGAGATTTATTTTGTTTTTTCCATTTTGGATTCTGTTGACTGTGTTTAGAATTTAAATGGAGATGGTGTTTTCATTTCCTTAAACAATTTTCATTTTAATCTTGCTGGCTGACACAAGTAATAATTATTTAATACCACCCTGGTAATGTGGCATCTCATGGACTCAACTTATTTTAGATGTTATTGAAAACATTCTAAATAAAATTGGCTTTAAATAAAATTAAGTTTATTACATTGAGAAATATTTTAGGAAATATTTAGGAAATGATTCTGGAAAAATATTTTTCTAGTAATGCTAAAAAATGGAAGTTTGGGGAGGTTGTTACACAACTAAATAAAGGAATACCACAAACTTAAAGTTCGAATAGCTAGAACAAAATGAAACCAAATATTATCATTCTATCAAGTTGTAAGTTTAAAAGAAAGTGCTTTTGATAGTTTTTTTTTTTCATTTGATTAGATACAACAGTCTTGTGATAGTGTGGTCATGATAACTTATTTTGTGGTGCTTTTGGGATTTGGGTTTATAGTATTGCTTTTACCAATTATCTCTGTGTATTGGAAAGCTGACTAGATTGACAGGTGTTGAGACTTTTCAATGTTTTACATAAAAATGACCTTTTTTCTTTTCTTTTTTTTTTTTTTTGAGACAGAGTCTTGCTCTGTTGCCCAGACTGAAGTACAGTGGCATGATCTTGGCTCACTGCAACCTCCATTTCCTGGGTTCAAGCGATTCTCCTGCCTCAGCCTCCTGAGTAGCTGGGATTACAGGTGTGCGCCACCACGCCCGGCTAATTTTTGTATTTTTAGTAGAGACAGGGTTTCACCATGTTGTTCAGGCTGGTCTCGAACTCCTGACCTCGTGATACACCCGCCTCAGCCTCCCAAAGTGCTGGGATTACAGGCATGAGCCACCATGCACAGCCAAAAATGACCTTTTTTCAAAATGGAAAAGATTAGGCCCCATGAGAACAGTTACCATGGAATAGGCCATCTCATGGATTGAATAGAGACTGTTAAAAATGTTCCTAGAACAAAGGAGAATAAGAAAGTGAATCAGAAGATTATGCCTGTACTGACTATTTTACCTTCCAAACAGGGATTTGGGGGAAGGGGGATCTTTATGGCTGGAGTGTCCTAAAGCGTCTATTAGCATAATGAACTGCTGTCTGAAGAAAAATACTAATTATTATAATTCTAAGACCTATAAAAGGTCTTTATAAAACTAAGACTCTATAGTTTAATCATAGCACATATGTTGGGGAAAATCAGTACTTCTACCTGATTTCAAGACCAGGATCCTATTTAATCTCAAATTCTTTAAGAGTGAAGTGTTCAATCTATGGAGCCCTTTGGGCTTAGTGAAATTCCAACTTCAGACATGAATTCAGTTGAGAATAATATTCATTTTAAAATCCCAGAAACCAAAGCTAGAATGTATTGGGTTTATACAAATCCCATTATAAAGCTTTGGTCTTGACAACAGTGAGCTACTGATATAGATATACTACATATATATCTATATCATATGTATATATATAAATATATGTATATATACATATGTATATATATACATATGTGTCCATGTATATGTATATATCTGTATACATAGATATATGTAGTATATCTATATATAATGTGATTCTTTCCAACTTTGGAAATAATAGTTCTGTATATTATAGTTGTCTTGAAAGCTATATAGGCTTGTCAATGCCTATTGTTTTAATTTGACTCTCTCTTTATCATTATGCATGTAGAGCTAAATCTGCTTCGTAATGTTGATGCTAACAACACTGAGAATAGCACTACTGTGAAGAATTCTAGTTTGTTGAGTGGATTCAGAGGAGGTTCTAGCTACAACCATGAAACAGAGACTATCTTTGCATTACCAAGGATGCAGCTTGACTTTAAATCCATTCATGTTCAAGAACCACAGGAGCCTTCATTACAGGGTATGTAGAAAAACAATTTAAAGTTAATAAGAAAATTCTAAAGGCACTTCAAACTACTGCTGTGTTCCCATGGATTTTTTGTAATACTAATATCTAATGAAATTAATTTTCTAGGCAAAATTGATTTATTTTCTTATCAGCTATATGACCTCTGGAAAATTATTTAACCAACTTATACCTCTCTCTCCTCAGTAAAATGAAGAAGAATAATTGGACTTCATTTATAGGACTATTATCAGGAATAAATGGCATATATAGGTTGAGCATCCCAATCCAAAAATCTGAAATGCCCTAAAATCCAAAATATTTTGAACACTGACATGACACAGGAAATGCTCATTGGAGGATTTCAGATTTTTGGATTGGGGTTCTAAAACCAGTAAGTATAATGCAAATATTCCAGAATCCAAAATTTGAAAGACATCTGATCCCAAGCATAATTGGATAAAGGATACTCAATCTGTACTAGGGAAGTGCTTAACAAACTATCATCATCCTGTAAATCACATACAGATATTACTCATTTCTTTACAGTTGCATTTCATGTGGATGCATTTACATAGACCTATATAAATCCTTATTAATGGGAAGATGACTCATTTTATTAAATCTTTTACCATATTATTGCAGATGCCAGCCTGAAGCCAAAAGTAGAATGTAGTGTGGTGACAGAGTTCACTGACCACATTTGTGTGACTATGGATGCTGAGCTCATCATGTTTCTTCATGATTTAGTATCAGCTTATCTTAAAGAAAAAGAAAAAGGTGGGTGGAATACTCTTTTTCTTTTAGGCTGCAAGAATGGCAGCTGTCAATGCCATTTACATGAATTGTTATGGTCTAATGAGAAAATGAGTGGAATATATCTCCCGTGAGTTGAAGATATCAGTAAATAGCGTTAGTAAGACTATCACAGACTTTCTGAGTACTTGCTATATATACAGCACCAATGGTGTTTTATACTTTACAAAGTGTTTCTGTATACATTATCTTATGTACATTTTCAGTTAGATCTTACAGGAGATTCTTGAAAAATAGGAAAATGTGAGAAAATACTGCAAATCAAAGTGAAATGACTAAAGAAACAACTACATAATAAAGAAGCATGAGTTATTTACCTAATTGTGAAAACTGAATTGAGAAAGCTGATAAATGTTTGGAATGCAGAAAACATTTTCTTTTTAATACATAAATTATTTAAATCTCAGTGGTGGTATTTGGGTTCATGAGCTTGCTAACATTGGTTTACACACTGGTAACTTAATGTTTACCCATTAAGAAATGTATGGTGGCTGGGGGCGGTGGCTCATGTCTGTAATACCAGCACTTTGGGATGCCAAGGAGGATGGACTGCTTGAGCCCAGGGCTTTGAGACCAGCCTAGGCAACAAAGTGAGACCCCATTTCTACAAAAAATACAAAAATTAGCCAGGTGTGGTGGCACATACCTGTAGTCCCCAGCTACTCGGGAGGCTGTGAGGTGGGAGGATCGCTTGAGCCTGGGAGTTCAAGGCTACAGTGAGCTGTGAGCCATAATTGCACCACCACACTCCAGCCTGGGTGACAGAGATCCTGTCTCAAAAAAAAAAAAAAAAAGTATGGCAGCCCTAATATCTGGAATTAGCTAATACATTATAGTACTCTCTAACTGTTTAAAAGAATGAGGTAGTTTGAAATGTAATGATTTGGAATGCTTACAAAATATATGGCCATTTATTCATTCAATATTTATTGCACCGTTATGAATATACAATGGTAAAATCACATATGTGCTTCCTAATAAATAACTTGGAATAAATGTAATTTGTTCAAGTCACACTATAATATTGTTTCATTTTCTTCATGAGGAAAAAATATAAAATTTGTCTTGACTTTTAAAAATAAAGATTATCAAACGACCATGTTGAAAGAGTACAAAGGTAGCATAGCATACATTGAAATGCTCTTTTATTAATATTCAATTGAGATGTGCCCAAAATTCAGTGAGAGAGTAAAATCAATAATGATGGCTGGGAGAAATCTATATGACCTCAGTAGAAACTTCAAGTAAAATGACAGAAACTGTATAATAGGCAATCTTGTATATTATATATAAGTAGATAAAATCTTCACATACAGCCCCAACAGATACCAGTCACTGGCAATCCTTTTTGTTTTTATGCCTTAATATTTAAACTTAATGTAGAAAAAAACAGATTCAAGACAAACCTGTGAAGTTCAGAATTATTTTCTAGTCTACCTATATTTGAAAACCTGACAAATTTGTTTCTCTTGGGTATGATGTGAAACATTTGTCATTTTATGAAATAGTGTGTTGGTCTTGGTCTGCCACAAACTACGTGTATTTCTAAAAAACAACAACAAAAAGACCGTTTTAATATAAACTGTTATAAAACATTTCAATGGGAAAAGGGGGTGGATTTACAATAACAAAATATGTATGTGAGGATTTCAATTATAAATAAGTTATTACAAACAACAAGCACTTCGTTTTGGCCAAAATACTCAAATATACCTGAGAAAATGCTTAACAGCATGTCAGACTATACCAGAATCAACATATTTAGAGAACATCAAAATAAATTGTAGCACTGTAACCACCACCAGTAATAAACAAAAACCCAGCAACTGAGCAGGCCTTAACTGAACAGGGCATCTGTGTTCTTACGTAGTGCGTTACTATGGCTTAATTTTGAGGCTCATTCCCAATCAAGTTATAACCGGAGCTATATAACACATATTACCTAATTATTCAATTATTTCACGTCCAGTTTGTGTATTGAAACTAATGCCCTAAGAGGAAAGCTGTATTCATTAAATAAGATCATATGAAAATATTAATGGCAAAAACTGCAATTACTTTTGCACCACCCTAATACCTATGTTGCAGATTACACTTTATATATAATTATTATAGCCAATTAAAAGACTTGTCTTTATAAAGAGTGAAAAGTCTGCTTAAATAAAAACCTCTTTAGTACCACTGTTCAAATATATATACAACTAGCCATTAGCATACAAAAACCATTGAATTACACAGCTTAAATTAATGAATGGTATGGTGTGTGAATTATATCTCAAAGCTGTTAAAAAAAAAAACAAAAAAGGGAGCGGGGAGGGATAGCATTAGGAGATATACCTAATGCTAAATGACGAGTTAATGGGTGCAGCACACCAGCATGGCACATGTATACATATGTAACTAACCTGCACATTGTGCACATGTACCCTAAAACTTAAAAGTATAATAATAATAAAATAAAAAATAAAAAATAAACCTACTACAGCCATTCTTTAGGAAACCTACAACTATCAATTTCAGTGCCATAGGCTTGCTATCAAGTCAATGATCTCAGCATTTTTTATCATTAATGTTGACACTGTTAATCTCTAAGAATTATCAATAATTGGTACTTATGGCTTATTTTAAAATATTATTTTTAAGAAATGCAATTAAATGAGGCTTTGGCCAGGTCATAGATAAAATGAGAAATGAAACCAATTCTGTTCTAATTCTTATGGTGATTTAACATAAATGTATCATACTAATCTAAATTTTCCTTATAGCCATCTTTCCACCTCGGATTTTATCTACTCGACCAGGACAAAAAAGTCCAATTATTATACATGACGACAATTCCTCTGATAAAGATAGAGAAGATAGCATCACTTATACTACTGTGGACTGGAGAGATTTTATGTGCAATACATGGCATCTAGAACCTACTCTTAGGTAAGTAATGAGTATATACATTTACCCATATGCTAAGGGATTACTATGAGCAAAAAGTTATGAATAATGTAAGTTACATATGATTATCAAAAAATATATTCAGAAGTTAGTCTCCTGTAATGTCTATAGCTTCTGTGTGCTGTCTTTGCTGCTTCTTTCTGTATTTGTTTCTAGGTAAGGCGAATGAAGTACAAATGTTGAGAATAGCTCAGCACTGATGAGTTGTCCAATGGGTGACATTACTAAAATATGAGAATAATTGTCCTTCCACTGTTGCCACTAGTTTTTCACCTTCTCACCAAGATGTTATTTTCAGGGTTTGAGGTAGCTACTGTAAACTGTTTTGTTACTTAGTATGGCAAGATGCAGCAGAAGTCATATTTAATTGTTAAGGAACTATTTTAATTTCTTGCTGTATATATGTCATAACACTGTAATAAAACCTGCAGCATCACAGTGCCCCTCTCTTTGCATACTAAGCATTATAAAACCATGCCTAATATCTCAAATTTAACACTATCAGATTAAGGTTCCCTTACTGAGTCATGGTCTACTACAATTATCCCAATTAAATCACTATCCCAAAATTTCAAAAGTATTTTTTAGTTTCAGTTATATTTATGATAGTTTCTATAACTAGTGGTGCTTGCTTTGTGTGTCCTTGTTTGTGATTAACACTAACAGCCTTCCTGTTTTTTTTCCTTTCATCTCATCTGCTTTGTTAATCCTGTTGTAACTGTCTGAATCCTGAAATAACACTATTTTTAAAAATCCATTACATCCCAGCACAACATTCTGCAAAATGATATACATTTTATTTAGATAAGGTTTTTATTCAGACATATTTATGTCACAAAATAATTCCAAAATAAAATCTCCATTATGCAGTGAGGACTCTTGTATAGGCAGAAAGTACTGACTTGGTGTGTTAATAAATAATTGGCATACAGTAAAATTTGTTGTAACTAAATAAGCAAAACACTTTGGTACTAATAGTGCATATACCCATGAGAAATATTAACTGTTAAAATACTGCAGAGGTCCTAATGCAGAAAACTATTTGTAAAATCTGTTTTGTATTTGCAAATTTAAATAATAATGTATTTAAATTGAATACAAAATGAATTTAGTTTCAAGTGAGCATAAAAATAGTTACCATATTCCTTTTTTTAGCAAACTATCAAGAGTATCTAGTTAAGTAATGTGGTATAGTGGTAGAGAGCGTGGTTTAAGAGCTCTGGCTGTAAGCCCAGCTCTTTTGCATAGTAGCTGACTGAGCTAGGCCAAAACACCTAACCCCTCTGTTCTCTCTGCCTCAGTTGACTCATGAAAAATTTGGAAAATGGTATTACCCACCTTGTAGGATCGTTACACTGGTTAAATGAATTAACGCAAAATGCTTATAACTATTTGAGTTTGAGGAGATCAATGCCTAACCACCCCCAACCCCCACCCTGAGTTCAGAACCAATTGAAATAGTGGGAGAGATTAATATGGATAAAGCTGATAACAAGACATGTGGCTTAGATATACGGCAACAATAGCTTTCTACAAAGTTCGGGTTTGGTCCTACCTGCAGGGCATCGATGCAGAACTTAACTTCGGGGAAGGGCGGGATGGGGGTTGCTGGAGTTGTACAATCAGCAGCTCTATGTATGTACTCAGCCACAGACAACATAGAATACTCTGGGGCTAACCTGTTTAGGGGCTTGCTCCTGAAAAACCTGTGGTATGAAGGAACAGACTAAAATGAAGGGCTCCATGAGGGAGGAGGGTACTGAACTGTTACTTCCTCTGTTAACTTTGCCTGTTGGATAAATCATCAATACAGGGGCAGAAGGTGGCCAGGAGCGGTTCAGTAACAGCTGTTTCTCCACGTATAAGGAAATAGCAAGAATAGGGAAAAAATGGTTCTCCCTTCAAATATGTTTAGCACATAGCACTCAGTAAATTTTAGCCTTTTTCTCCCATTATGCCACATGCTTATGAAATCTACTAAAATTAACCAGATGTCCTTTTATATGTTTAAGATAACTGTATAACAGGCCTAAAATATTCAGGATGAAATATAGTAAACACTATTGCTGTGTTTAGGTTGTCAAAGAGATTTATAATCATACATATATTATTTTTTGAATGCTATTATTATGGTGAATCCAGGAATTATGGGCTCATTTATACAAATGTACCTACTGAAAATATTTTGTCTTGAGTATATTATAGAGGCTTAGTGATGTTCTTTTCCTACCATTAGAACCATGCTTTAGGGCATTACACTCCTTAATAATAACTGTAATTTTTATTTTAGATTAATTTCTTGGACTGGAAGAAAGATTGATCCAGTAGGTGTTGATTATATTCTTCAAAAATTGGGCTTTCATCATGCTAGGACTACTATTCCTAAATGGCTTCAAAGAGGAGTCATGGATCCACTGGACAAGGTTCTGTCAGTTCTTATCAAAAAGCTCGGTACTGCACTACAGGATGAAAAGGAAAAGAAAGGCAAAGACAAAGAAGAACACTAAAAAAGTAATTTGATCTGTGAACAAATTATGATTGTGTCTGTTTTATTACACTGGAGTGTTTTTTTAGTATAATAATTTGAAATATAACTTTAAAATAATTCTAAATTTGTGGCTATAATTAAAAGTTTGTAAGTTAACCTGTTCTAGTTCCATCATTCTGTGTACAGTGAAGTATTGCATGATAATGTAAATTTTGTGAAAAACTAGATTAAAATATATAACTGCTTGTTATGGTTTATAATTATATAATGTGCAATACAATTCCTGCATCTTTAAAATGTCTGCAGAATAACTGTGAATTTTTTTGTTATTGGATTGGCCGTAACTTTTAGAAAAAAATCTTGTTGATGATAATGTGATTTTGGGGAGGTCATTAATTGCTTTTTCTTTTTTAAATGTAGACTTATATAAATACCTGTTTGTATATAGCTTGAGTAATTGTGATATGATTGTATACCACTAAAATATTGTTAACTATTATAATAAAGTCACAGTAATGGTTTAAGTCTGTAGTAGTTTTTCAATCTTTTTCTCCTTTTTATAATTAATAGATGCCCATGCTGTGTCACAGCTGATCAGATGCTTTCATAGAAGATGATGATTTATACCTATATTAGAGTTGGGCCATAGGTTCTACCTCTGTGGATTCAATGAACTGCAGATCGAAAACAAACATTCAGGAAAAAAAAAATATTCCACCCAAGTTCCAAAAAGCAAAACTTTTGTATTTACCAAGTACATTAAGTCCACATGAATGAAGTGATGTGTAGGCATTTTATTAGGTATTGTAAATAATCTACAGATGATTTTTAAAGAGTATCCAGGAGAATGTGCGTAAGTTATATTCAAACACTACACAATTTTACATGAGGAACTTGAGCATCTACGGATGTTCTGGAACCAATCCCCCAAGAACACAGGAAGATGACTATGTTTATAAAAAATTAGGGACAGGCACACAAGAGGTATATTAATAATACCTACGAGAAATATTAGGTATTGTTCTTTCTTAAGCTAATGGGAAATTCACAGCAAGTAATTTTTATTATACTATATTCCTTACGTGTTTGTATTTTTTGTGTGTATGAAGTTATATATAATGTATGTTATATATTACAGATACATATGTGTATTATGTACACACATTAAGTATAAAAAATTTAAAATGGCAAGATCTAAAATAATACTCAAAGGTAGCTATAATTACCTCAGGTTGGAAATTAGCCAAGTCAGTATGGCCAGTTTAAAGATTGGGTAAACAGTAGAATTGAAGAGCTAGAGTTAGAAAACACCTAAAGAAAGCCTCTAGTGCAGACTCTTAGATTTAGGTAGATAAGACAGTTTTACCTCTAACAGATTAAACAACAAAAAACTCCAGAAGAGCTGGGGTACTTAGCCAAGGGTGTAGATCTAGTAAATGTTAGTAGGGGAATTAAGATTTGCTGTCTAATGTCACAAAGCAACTTAGTCACACAACCAAAACCCTAGTGTTTTAACAGTCCTAATTTTGTATTCTTTCTGCTAGGCCATCATAGCTGTCATCTATCTGATCTCTGAATCTGACCCCCAAATCTCTTAACATTGGTGCATATAAAATAACAAGTATAAACTTACCCTATTTCTGGCACTAACTGATAACGTTATAAAAAGCAAAAGGACAAATCTGTAACTACTTAAAATTTCTATGACTGTTGGACAAAGCTATGAGAAAACTAGCACATCTGTGCACTACTGATGAGAATGTAAATTGGTACAACTCCCATGAAGGACAATTAAGTAACAGCTGTCAAAATAATAAAGGCATATAATTTTTACTGGACATACATACAATACTTCCCTGTGTGAAATAATTATACAAGCATGTATATTTGCGGTATTCTGCAACAGTGCAGTATTGTGGAAGTATGTTGCAGTATTCTTTGTAATAAATGGCTGGAAACAATTCAAATGTTCATCAGTGTAAGACAGGTTAATTAAAAGTGACATCCATTCAGTAGCATAGTATGCAACCATGAAAAAAAAGATGATCTCTAAGATTTATTCCTAAATTAAAAAACATGGTCAGCCGCTTAGATTACAAAGCTTCCAAGTGGTCTATTATAGTTATTTTTTGAGTATCACGTACCTTGTTCTATTCCAGTAAATCACACGGTGCATCCAGATAACTTGTAAAATTTCAATAACATGTAAAAAAAAATTACATAAAGGATTTTGCTTTCCTATCGGCAAATATTGTACTTCTAGGCTTACTAGAGATCTGTGATTTGCAAACTGTCTATAGTGAAGAACCCTTTTTTAGAAAAAGTTGAACATGATATAAATCAATAATCTTGTAAAATATAGTAACAATTATTCAAAATGAAAAAAATTAAAATACACAAAGCTCAAATTTTTAATTATTAGGTTTGATTTACTAGATTCAAATGTTCCATCAATTGCTGTAAGAATTTCTAGGGTATTTCTGGCAACATAGCCCAATAGGAACAGCTCCAGTCTGCAGCTCCCAGCGAGACTGACACAGAAGAGGGTGACTTCTGCATTTCCAACTGAGGTACCTGGTTCATCTCATTGGGAATGGTTGGACAGTGGGTACAGCCCACGGAGGGCAAACCGAAGCAGGGTCGGGAGTCGCCTCACCCGGGAAGCGCAAGGGTTGAGGGGATTTCCCGTTCCTAGCCAAGGGAAGCTGCGAGTGACTGTACTTGGGGGAATGGTACACTCCTGCCCCAATACTGCACTTTTTCCACAGTCTTCGCAACCGGAAGACCAGGAGATTCCCTCTGGTGCCTGGCTCGGTGAGTCCCATGCCCACAGAGGCCAGCAAGCTAAGATCCATTGGCTTGAAATTCTCAATTCTAGCATAGCAGTCTGAGATCGACCGGGGATGCTACAGCTTGGTGGGGGGAGGGGCTCGGCCATTGCTGAGGCTTGAGTAGGCAGTTTTATGCTGACAGTGTAAACAAAGCCTCCAGGAAGTATGAACTGGGCGGAGCCCACCGCAGCTCAGCAAGGCTGCCTCTCTAGATTCTACCTCTGTGGGCAGGACATCTCTGAACAAAAGGCAGCAGCCCCAGTCGGGGACTTATAGATAAATCCCCCATCTCCCTGGGACAGAGCACTCAGGGGAAGGGGCAGCTGTGGGCACACCTTCAACAGACTTTAAATGTCCCTGCCTGACAGCTCTGAAGAGAGTAGCGGTTCTCCCAGCACAGCGTTCGAGCTCTGATAACGGACAGACTGCCTCCTTAAGTGGGTCCCTGACCCCCGTGTAGCCTGACTGGGAGACACCTCCCAGTAGGGGCTGACAGACACCTTATACAGGAGAGCTCCGGCTGGCATCTGGCGGGTGCCCCCCTAGGATGAACGTTCTAGAGGAAGGATCAGGCAGCAATATGTGCTGTTCTGCAGCCTCCACTGGTGATACACAGGCAAACAGGGTCTGGGTGGACCTCCAGCAAACTCTAACAGACCTGCAGCTGAGAGGCCTGACTGTTAGAAGGAAAACTAACAAACAAGAAGGACATCCACACCAAAACCCCATCCATAGGTCAGCAACATCAAAGAACAAAGGTAGATAAAACCACAAAGATGGGGAGAAACCAGCACAGAAGGGCTGAAAATTCCAAAAACCAGAATGCCTCTTCTCCTCCAAAGGATCACAACTCCTCACCAGCAAGGGAACAAAACTGGACAGAGAACGAGTTTGACAAATTGACAGAAGTAGGCTTCAGAAGGTGGGTAATAACAAACTCCTCTGAGCTAAAGGAACATGTTCTAACCCAATGGAAGGAAGCTAAGAACCTTGAAGAAAGGTTAGACGAATTGCTAACTAGAATAACCAGTGTAGAGAAGAACATAAATGACCTGATGGAGCTGAGAAACACAGCAAGAGAACTTCGTGAAGCACACACAAGCTTCAAAAGTTGAATCGGTCAAGTGGAAGAAAGAATATCAGTGACTGAAGATCAAATTAATGAAATAAAGGGAGAAGACAAGATTAGAGAAAAAAGAGTGAAAAGAAATGAACAAAGCCTCCAAGAAATATGGGACTATGTGAATAGACCAAACATACGTTTGATTCATGTACCTAAAAGTGATGGGGAGAATGGAACCAAGTTGGAAAACACTCTTCAGGATATTATCCAGGAGAACTTCCCCAACCTAACAGGGCAGGCCAACATTCAAATTCAGGAAATACAGAGAACACCACAAAGGTATTCCTCGAGAAGAGCAACCCCAAGACACATAATCGTCAGTTTCACCAAGGTTGAAATGAAGGAAAAAATGTTCAGGGCAGCCAGAGAGAAATATTGGGTTACCCACAAAGGGAAGCCCATCAGACTAACAGCGGATTTCTCAGCAGAAACCTTACAAGCCAGAAGAGAGTGGGGGCCAATATTCAACATTCTTAAAGAAAAGAATTTACAACCCAGAATTTCATATCCAGCCAAACTAAGCTTTATAAGTGAAGGAGAAATAAAATCCTTTACAGACAAGCAAATGCTGAGAAATTCTGTCAACAACATGCTTGCCTTGCAAGAGCTCCTGAAGAAAGCACTAAACATGGAAAGGAAAAACCGGTACCAGCCACTGCAAAAACATACCAAATTGTAAAGGCCATCAACGCTATGAAGAAACTGCCTCAACTAATGGGCAAAATAACCAGCTAGCATCATAATGACAGGATCAAATTCACACATAACAAAATTAATCTTAAATGTAAATGGGCTAAATGCCCCAATTAAAAGACACAGACTGGGAAATTGGATAAAGAGTCAGGACCCACTGGTGTGTTGTATTCAGAAGACCCATCTCCTAATGGAGATGGAGAAAGATCTACCAAGCAAATGGAAAACAAAAAAAAGCAGAGGTTGCAATCCTAGTCTCTGATAAAACAGACTTTAAACCAACAAAGATCAGAAAAGACAAAGAAGGGCATTACATAATGGTAAAGAGATCAATGCAACAAGAAGAGCTAACTATCCTAAATATATATGCACCCAATACAGGAGCACCCCGATTCATAAAGCAAGTTCTTGAAGACCTCCAAAGAGACTTAGACTCCCACACAATAATAGTGGGAGACTTTAACACACCACTGACAATATTAGACAGATCAATGAGACAGAAGGTTAACAAGGATATCCAGGACTTGAATTCATCTCTGGACCAAGCTGACCTAATAGACATCTACAGAACTCTAAACCCCAAATCAACAGAATATACATTCTTCTCAGCACCACATCACACTTATTCTAAAATTGACCACATAATTCAAAGTAAAACATTCCTCAGCAAATGTAAAAAAGCAGAAATCACAATAAACTGTCTCTCAGACCACAGTGCAATCAAATTAGAACTCAGGATTAAGAAGCCCACTCAAAACCACACAACTACATGGAAACTGAGCAACCTGATACTGAATGACTACTGGGTACATAACAAAATGAAGGCAGAAACAAAGATGTTCTTTGAAACCAATGAGAACTAAGACACAACATACAAGAATCTCTGGGACACAATTAAAGCAGTGTTTAGAGGGAAATTTATAGCACTAAATGCCCACAAGAGAAAGCAGGCAAGATAAAAAATAGACACCCTAACATCACAAATAAAAGAACTAGAGAAGCAAGAGCAAACAAATTCAAAAGCTAGCAGAAGGCAAGAAATAACTAAGATCAGAGCAGAACTGAAGGAGATAGAGACACAAAAATCCCCTCAAAAAAATCAATGAATGCAGGAGCTGGTTTTTTGAAAAGATCAACAAAATAGATAGACTGCTAGCCAGACTAATAAAGAAGGAAAGAGAGAAGAATCAAATAGATGCAATTAAAAAAAAGATAAAGGGGATATCACCACTGATCCCACAGAAATACAAACTACCATCAGAAAATACTATAAACACTTCTATGCAAATAAACTAGAAAATCTAGAAGAAATGGATAAATTCCTGGACACATACACCCTCCCAAGACTAAACCAGGAAGAAGCTGAGTCTCTGAACAGACCAATAACAGGTTCTGAAATTGAGGCAATAATTAATAGCCTACCAACAAGTCCAGGACCAGAAGGATTCACAGCCAAATTCTACCAGAGGTACAAAGAGGAGCTGGTACCATTCCTTCTGAAACTATTCCAATGAATAGAAAAAGAAGGAATCCTCCCTAACTCATTTTTTGAGGCCGGCATCATCTTGATGCCAAAACCAGGAAGAGACACAACAAAAAAAGAAAATTTTAGGCCAATATCCCTGATGAACATCATGTAAAAATCCTCAATAAAATACTGGCAAACCAAATACAGCAGCACATCAAAAAGCTTATCCACCACAATCAAGTCGGCTTCATCCTGGGATGCAACGCTGGTTCAATGTATGCAAATCAATAAACGTAATCCATCACATAAACAGAACCAATGACAAAAACCACATGATTATCTCAATAGATGCAGGAAAGGCCTTTGACAAAATTCAACAGCTCTTCATGCTAAAAAAACTCTCAATAAACTAGGTATTGATGAACATATCTCAAAATAATAAGAGCTATTTATGACAAACCCACAACTAATATCATACTGAATGGGCAAAAACTGGAAGCATTCCCTTTGAAAACTGGCACAAGACAAGGATGCCCTGTCTCACCACTCCTATTTGACATAGTATTGGAAGTTCTAGCCAGGGCAATCAGGCAAGTGAAAGAAATAAAGGGCATTCAATTAGGAAAAGAGGAAGTCAAATTGTCTCTGTTCGCAGATGACATGATTGTCTATTTAGAGAACCCATAGTCTCAGCCCAAAATCTCCTTAAGCTGATAAGCAACTTCAGCGAAGTCTCAGGATACAAAATCAATGTGCAAAAATCACACGCATTCCTATACACCAATAACAGACAAGCAGAGAGCCAAATCTTAAGTGAACTCCCATTCACAATTGCTACAAAGTAAATAAAATACCGGGGAATCCAACTTACAAGGGATGTGAAGGACATCTTCAAGGAGAACTACAAACCACTGCTCAAGGAAATAAAAAGAGGACACAAACAAATGGAAGAACATTCCATGCTCTTGCATAGGAAGAATCAATATTGTGAAAATGGCATACTGCCCAAAGTAATTTAGAGATTCAATGTTATGCCCATCAAGCTACCACTGACTTTCTTCACAGAATTAGAAAAAACTACTTTAAATTTCATACGGAACCAAAAAAGAGCCCACATAGCCAAGACAATCCTAAACAAAAGGAACAAAGCTGGAGGCATCACACTACCTGACTTCAAACTATACTACAAGGCTACAATAACCAAAACAGCATGGTACTGGTACCAAAACAGATATATAGAACAATGGAACAGAACAGAGGCCTCAGAAATAACACCACACATCTACTGCCATCGATCTTTGACAAACCTGACAAAAACAAGCAATGGGGAAACGATTCCCTATTTAATAAATGATGTTGGGAAAACTGGCTAGCCATAAGCAGAAACCTGAAACTGGACTCCTTCCTTACACCTTATACAAAAATTAACTCAAGATGGATTAAAGACTTAAATGTAAAACCCAAAACCATAAAAACCCTAGATGAAAACCTAGGCAATACCATTCAGGACACAGGCATGAGCAAAGACTTCATGACTAAAACACCAAAAGCAATGGCAACAAAAGCCAAAATTGATAAATGGGATCTAATTAAACTAAAGAGCTTCTGCACAGCAAAAGAAACTATCATCAGAGTGAACAGGCAACCTACAGAATGGGAGAAAATTTTTGCAATCTATCCATCTGACAAAGAGCTAATATCCAGAATCTACAAAGAACTTAAACAAATTTACAAGAAAAAAACCCCATCAAAAAGTGGGCGAAGGATATGAACAGACACATCTCAAAAGAAGACATTTATGCAGCCAACAAACTTATGAAAAAATGCTCATCATCACTGGTCATTAGAGAAATGCAAATCAAAACCACAATGAGATACCATCTCACGCCAGTTAGAATGGCGATCATTAAAAAGACAGGAAACAACAGACGCTGGAAAGGATGTGGAGAAATAGGAAAGCTTTTACACTGTTGGTGGGAGTGTAATGCTCAATATCACTAATCATCAGAGAAATGCAAATTAAAACCACAATGAGGCTGGGTACCGTGGCTCATCTGGCCAAGGTGGGCAGATTACTTGAGGTCAGGAGTTTGAGACCATCCTGGCCAACATGGTGAAACCCATCTCTACTAAGAATACAAAAAATTAGCTGGGTGTGGTGGCACACACCTATAATCCCAGCTACTCAGGAAGTTGAGGCATGAGAATCACTTGAACCTGGGAGGCCGATGTTGTGGTGAGCCAAGATCATGCCACTGGACTCCAGAGCGAGACTCTGTCTCAAGAAAAAAAAAAAAAAAAACACCACACAGTGAGATATCATCTTTACACCAGTCACAATGGCTATTTATTACAAAGACAACAACAAATGTTGGCAAGGATTCAGAGAAAAGAGAACACTGTTTCACTGCTGAACACTTATTCACTATTGGTGGGAATGTAAATTAGTACAACCTCTATGGAAAACAGTGTGGAAATTTCTCAAAGAACTAAAAATAGAACTACCATTTGCTCCAACAATCCTACTACTGGGTAGCAGAGGATTTCTTTTCCTCTTTCCAAAGGAAAAGGAATTATTATGCCAAAAAGATACCTGCACTGTTATGTTTATCACATCACTATTCACAATAGCAAAGATATGGAATCAACCTAAGCATCCAACAATGGATGACTGGATAAAGAAAATGTGGTATATATACACAACAGAACACTACTCAGCCATAAAAAAGAATGGAATCCTATTCTGCAGCAATATGGATGGAATTGGAGGCTATTATTTTAAGTGAAACAACTCAGAAACACAAAGACAAATACTGCATCTTCTCACTTATAAGCAGGAGCTAAATAATGTATACACATGGACATAGAGTGTGGAATGGATAGACAATGGAGACTCAAGGGTAGAGGGCTGGGGAGAATGATATTTCCCAATTGCTTAATGGATACAATGTACGTTATTTGGGTGATGGATACACTAAAAGCCCTAACTACATCACTATGCAATATATCCATGTAACAATATTACACTTATCTTCTACGAGTAAAATGCGGAACATTTATTGGACAGTTAAGAGGGGCAAGAGTGGGAAGCAGGAAGACCTGTTCATAAGCTATCACAGAAATCCCAGGAAAAGGTAATAGTTGTTTGGACTAGGGTGGCAGCAGTGGAAGTGGTAAGAAGTGGATTCATTTGGGCAATGTTGTGGAGACAGCCAACAGAACTAACTGATGGAATGGGAGTTGGGGGAAAGAAAGGAGTCAAGGATAATTCTTGGGCATGGTCAGATAACTTATATTAATTAGATTAGAAATTAGGAAGAGCATCCATTCCTCAAGCCAAGGCAGCCCCAAACCAAGGTATATGTCTTGCTTAGCAGAGTAAAGCTGTACTTCAGCCCCACTCACTCCCTTGGCTTGGTGTTCTTGTTCACAACCTTATACTCTGGCCTTGCTTCTGAGGTTCTGGCTTTAGCAACTGAGTTAATGAGCAACTGAGTATCATGTACTGAGATGAAGAATTCACTATCATGCCCAATTGCCCACTGCCTTGCCAAATCATAAGAGTCACATAATAAAAAGATGACAGTAATATAGTTCAGCAGTTGCCAAAACATCCTGCAACTCATTGGGCCATCTGATGTCAAGTTAATTTACACCAGTATTCAGAAATATGTGGAAGGAAGTATTTAAAATCTGGTATGTTTTCATGTATCCATTAGACAATCAATCATTTGTTAATAAATATATGGTATCGAATCTGAGGCAGTTTACTAAAACCAATACAGAAGCAACATTCAGTGTGGTCTTGAAATATGAAACATATTTAAATTACACTGAAACATCTTAAACACTAAACTACTAAACATATTATTTTACAATATAACTCATTAGAAATTGTTATGCAAATTATGTGGATTATCTGCCTCATAGCCTAAATTGGATAAACCTCAACCAAAATTATCAGGCTATGACTGTATGAATATTTTAAGCATATTTTAAAAATAAGAACCAAAACTTCATTATCTCTCCAGTCTTCACATGCTAAACTTAACACGTTGTGGCTGAAACAAAATGGAATAGGCCACTATGTATTTAATAAACCTGACAGGGCTCAGACAGAATGTATGAGCTGATAAACATTTTGGCCCAATCAAAGGGCTGGCCATTTTCTAAGCATGTTATTTATTCTTTATTTTACTGTAAGCTCCAAGATCAGGGCTATGTTTTAACCTGCCTTGTGATATAGTTTGACTCTGTGTCCCCACCCAAATCTCATGTTGAATTATAATCCCCAATGCCGGGGGAGAGTCCTGGTGGGAGGTCATTGGATCATGGGGACAGATTTCTCCCTTGCTGTTCTTGTAATAATGAGTGAGTTTTCATGAGATGTGGTTTTTTTTTTAAGTGTGTAGTACTGCCCCCTTCGCTGTCTCTCCTGACACCATGTAAAGACAGACGTGCTTGCTTCCCCTTCAACATTCCCCCATGACTGTAAGTTGCTTTGGCTAGAGTAAGGAAAAGAGAGTTTGGAGGGGAGGGAGTAGAGGGATGGGAGCAAATAGTGAAACAAGAAACTACTTAGAAGGCTACTGAGTAATAAACGCAAGAGAAGATAGTTGTTTACATTAGAGTTGTAACACTTAAGGTAGTAAGGTCAGATTTTTATATTACAAAGTATAATATCAAAGATTATGAAAGATTTTTCTAAAGGAGTTTCTCTCTACCACCAAAGATTCATTCTTATTCCTATGCCAAACAACATTCTATAACACACTTAATTTTATTATCATATATTGACTTTTCTGTCATATTTTTTTTTTTGAGACAGCATCTTGCTCTGTTGCCCAGGCTGGAGTACAGTGGTGTGATCTCGGCTCACTACAACCTCCACCTCCTGGGTTCAAGCAATTCTTCTGCCTCAGCCTCCTGAGTGGCAGGGATGAGAGAAGCATGACACCATGCCTGGCTAATTTTTGTATTTTTAGTAGAGATGGGGTTTCACCGTTATTGGCCAGGCTGGTCTTGAACTCCTGACCTCAAGTGATCCACCTGCCTCAGCCTCCTAAAGTACTAGGATTACGAGCGTGAGCCACTGCACCCAGCCTTCTGTCATATTCTTGATGTGATTTGCATTATTAGTGTCATCAAGGTTATGGGTTACTTAATTATAGCTACCATATGGGTATATCTCTATTTAGCACCAAGCAAAGCAACATGGGCAATAATCCCTACTTAAAATGTTTGGTGATGTTGAACATGTTTTATCTTCTACAAATCTTTTAGGAGTTCCCTTGCACCATAAGGGCTTATCTCCAAAGGCTCACCACCATTCTACATATTTGCTTTGATGAAAGGGTTTGGTTTTGATGGTAGACCTGAATTTGAATACCTGCTCCAACATATGCTGAACAAGACTTTGACAATAAATAGTTAAAATATACTTCACAACGCAGATGTACAGTTTCCATAAAGTAATAGCTAAAAAAAATGGTAGTTCCCTTTCCTCATCCTATCTTGCAGCAGTGCCAGAATTAGGGTGAAGAGATAAGGGTGTTATATCATTCTTTGTAAATGTATCCATTGAGAGTATTGTAGGGATTTGAGATCCAACATCATTCATTTAAAAACCTATGAACAAAAGACTTAAAGTTTCAGTTTGGAATTAGTACAAGTGCAGGGTTAAATGGTATCTTTATTTGAAATTTTGACATATTGTTAAACTTTTGGCAATAATTTTGATTTTTTAAAATATTGCAATAAAACATTTATCTAAATTACTGAGTTTTTTGATGCACCCTTCAAGTTTGAGCATGAGGTGAATGTCTCACTCCTCCACCCCAGTAAGTGACTCTGACTTAAAGGGTGATGCCAGCAGGAATGCATTCCTTTAGAACAAACAGCCCAGTGGATGAAATAGGGTCAGAAAAAGTGAGTAATGTCCTACCTTTCTCCCAATCTAATTAAGCACTGGTCTTCAAACAAGTCCCTTGTTTTCTAATTTTGAAAAACTATTCATAACATTTTACATATTTTAAAGTTGATGTATTTTTTCCAGCATAATTAGTTGAAAAGGATGTAATTTCTGGCATACTGGAAGTATTGACACTTAACTACATCTTGATTTATCATTCATTTTAATGTATCCAGTTGAATCTAAGTATCCTAGAGATGTGAGGCCCACCATCACTCATTTAAAGATATATGAACAACTTGAAAAAGTAGAGAGATGGTAAAAGCACTGTGCTCACCCTTAGAACAATTTTAAAAGCTGGACAAACTTTAACAATTTTTCTTGAACCCATCAGTAAACAAGGGTCACAGTACAAAAAACTAACTTGAAATCTGGAGAAAGATAGGCATAGGAACACTTGGGCCAGATGTTCAGCTATTGCCCTTCCCTTTGCAGATTAAGGTTTTTTTCCTTGGGAGACATAAAGGACAAAGGTGCTCACAGAGGAGACAAAGATGAATCCAGAGAAAGCTTTCCCCCATGGCACTGGCTGAACAGGGAAGAACACCTAGCAATGAAATTCTGCGCAGACCCATGTGAGAATGCAAAAATGATACAATCACTTTGGAAAAGTTTGGAAGTTTCTTATAAAGTTAAACATACACTTACCATACGACCCAGCAATCCCATTCCTAGGTATTTGCCCAAATGAATTGAAAATTTATGTACACAAATGTTTATAGCAGCTGTATTCATAATTTCCTCAAACTGGAAACAACCAAGATATCTTTCAACAGATGAACATATAAACAGTGGTACAATGGAATATTATTCTGCAATAAATAGGAAGAAACTATTGATTCACCCAACAACGTGGATGAATCTTAAATGTGTTTTTCTAAGTGAAAGAAGCCAGATCCAAAATGTTACATATTTTATGATGCAATTTATATGGCATTATGGAAAAGGAAAAACTATAGAAACAGAAAACAGATCAATGGTTTCCAGGAGTTAGGAGAGAGAAGAAGGGTTAACTACAAAATGACCACACAAGGGAAATTTGGGGGTGATGAAATTATTCTGTACACAGTACTGTACTGGTGGATACATGACCATATATTTGTCAAAACCCATAGAACTATAAACAAATAACCAACCTAAGTAACTTTGGGAAACTGTTTTGACTAGATAATGTAAGATTAAAGAAAAAAAATCAAAGAAATATCCTGGTCAATAAGGTTAAAGAAATAAAAATGAAATAAATAAATGCTAAACTCTTCTTGGTGGTAAATTTGTTTCTCACAAAGGTACAAGTTAACCAATATGCATCTACTATACACTGAAAAATAAAATACATTTTAGATATTGCCAGATTTCTCATTGTCAGAGAAAGAAATCACAAATAAAGGGAAGCAGGAATGACTGCTGGGTGTCAGATTACAGTCAAAGGTGTAAGTATAAATTTGTTTTTATATATAAATATAGATGTGTCTGTATACAGGAGTTAGTACATACAAATATATTTCCTAGCTCTGTCTGTCCTCTGTGCAGGCATAGAAGCAATGACACCCCAGCAGCAATAAGCACTCCTAATGCTCAGAGCTTAGTTTCTAAATACCATTCTCCTGTAAAAGTAACCACAACTTTTTGTTAGATGTAGGGCAGGGAAAATACCTCAAAAAAAAAAAAAGATGAGGACATGTCAAGAGGATACAAGAGCCAACATGAAAGAGTTCCCAATGACCAAAGCTGAAATAATTTGAACAACAAAATCAATAATGGTAGTGCCAACCCCGGTGGCTCATGCCTGTAATCCCAGCACTATGGGGGACCCAGGTGTATGGACTGCTTGAGTCCAGGAGTTTGAGACGAGCCTGGGTGATACGGCGAAACCCCGTCTCTACAAAAAATTAAAATAAAATAAAATACAAAAATTAGCTAGGTGTGGTCACACATGCCTGTAGTCCCAGCTACTCAGGAGACTGAGGTGAAAGTATCTTTCAGCCTGGGTGACAAAGCAAGACCTCGTGTCAAAAAAAAAAAAATTAAAACGAAATTAAACAAAAAGATAGTATTGGATTATACTCAAATGACAGAATAAATACCTCCATACTGATATAATGAAATAACTGAATAAATATAAAGGAAAGAGGCAAGGTTTTCTTACATAATTCCAAATAATAAATGTAGAAAGAATGAAGGAAATTGAAAAGAACCATTAGAACACAATAGTAATAACTGCTTTGGGTAAGACTACAAAGGTGAATGCTAAAATTAGTGGGTGAAACTCTAGGGTGAAACAGTGCATATACATAACCTTAAAGTATTCCCCCCCAAATATTTATTAATACGTGGTTTGAACATATGTCCACAAGTTCTGTGATACTCCTCTCTCTAAGAGGTGAACTTTCTAACAAACAGAGAATAGAGAAGGAAAAACAGAAATTGAACAGTGGAGAAAACTGACAGACACAACCATAACCAAGTCAGCAAAGTTAACATCACCAGCTATACTCATTATGTTACTCCCTAATACACCCTGTGAACTTTATCTATGTAGTATTCTTCCCAAATACCGTAACTCTGTAGTCATGAGAAAATACCTGACAGATCCAAATTGAGGGCCATTCTACAAAACACCTGACCAGCTCTCTTCAAAATTACCTAGGTCATGAAAAATAAAGAAGGGCTGAAAAACTATCACAGACCATGGGATACTTAGGAGATATGACCACTAAATGCAATATGGCAACCTGAATCCTGGAACAGAAAATGGACATTGGTTGAAAAACTGGTGAAATCCAAATAAAGTGTGTTGTATAGTCAGTAGTGTTGTACTAATGTTAATTTATTAGTTTCCATCAATGTGCCACAGTTACATGAGACAAAGTAGCAAACATCTGCCTCTGGCCAGCCAGAGTCCACTCTTGCTGTGATGAAGCCATGTTTGCTCACTCTGCTTGTGAGCATAACTTCACAACTCCCTGACTCAGTGACTGAGTGCAGCCAGAAGGAATATCCTGAAGATGATAAGCAGGAAAGCAGGATAGAGAACAGGTTCCCATGTCTCTTGCCTGAATCACTGCATTTCTAGAAAAGAAGTTCAATGATCCTAGCCTTTGTCTTTTCCTGTACATGAGATAATGTCTGACAGGAATAATTATTATGCCTCTGTAATCTATAACCAATGTACTCCTCTCCCACCCAAACTTTGATGAGATGTTGCTCTACTGTAACTTCTGAGCACATGCTGAACATCCACATCACGTGACATATAAGCTATGGGCTGAAACATGGCTTTGGTGCAGTGAAACAGAAATCCTCTGAAAGACTCTCCTGGGTTGCAATCCTAAGACTGAACAAAACTAACTTTAATTCTTTAAAAGCCTGATTTCTTTGTCTTTAGTTGACAGTTATGTAAGATAATATTGGGGAAAGTGGATGGAAGGAATGGAAAGACTATACTATCTTTACAATTCCTTTGTAAATCTAAAATTACTTCAAAATAAAACATAATTTATATATTTGTGTATGCAGTAGGGAAATTTGTACCTCATTCCTTTCACTCGAGCTTTTATTTCCATTGCATGTCTCTCCTCAAATTTGATCCTAATGTACTTAGAAGTTGTATTATCATCCTTTTACTTCTTGACATTTGAATTTTTTAATTTCCTGTAACCAGAAGTCTCTAAATGTTAATTAAAAATTCTAGGCCGGGCGCGGTGGCTCACGCCTGTAATCCCAGCACTTTGGGAGGCCGAGGCGGGCGGATCACGAGGTCAGGAGATCGAGACCATCCCGGCTAAAACGGTGAAACCCCGTCTCTACTAAAAATACAAAAAATTAGCCGGGCGTAGTGGCGGGCGCCTGTAGTCCCAGCTACTTGGGAGGCTGAGGCAGGAGAATGGCGTGAACCCGGGAGGCGGAGCTTGCAGTGAGCCGAGATCCCGCCACTGCACTCCAGCCTGGGCGACAGAGCGAGACTCCGTCTCAAAAAAAAAAAAAAAAAAAAAAAAAAAAAAAAAAAAAAAATTCTAGATTATCATTGAGATCATTAATGGGCACTTGATCGAAGCAACATAATGAACACACATTTTAATAACCACTAAAGAAAAATATTTTTATTGAAAATGCACTGCTTAACGAGGGGGATGGGACTTTTCTTCCAATAAGCCCATCTACTTCCGGATGCAAATTACGTCTATTTGTTCTTTTCCTTTTTCTTTTTCTTTCTTTTTTAAAGAGATGGCAGTCTCACTAATGTTGCCCAGGCTGGACTTGATCTCCTGGGCTCAATTGGTCCTCCTGCCTCAGCCTCTCCAGTATCTGGGAATACCAGTGCCCACCACCATGCCTGGCTTCCTTCTTTTTTTTAAAAAAAAAGATTTACATCTGACTTAATTACTGAGAAAACTTATCCCTATAAAAAGGTAGATGGACACTGAAATTTTGTTATAACAAAGTTACTCCATCCTTTGGATTACTTTTTGTTTACATGCCGAAATTTGTTGGGTGACTTAGTATTCTTATTTTCCACGAACTATCACCTAACACCTCGAGTAGGGCCTCCTTCAACCTTTAGGAGAGCAAAGAATTGAAAACATCCACACTGGATTTGTCATCCGGATAGCAGAGCCATTTGCTCTCAAAGACTCCATCTGTTTTCATGATTGTTCGCTCACTGGCCAAGCTTCAGGACGTGTGAGGTAGTTTTTCTGTAAACAGGAAGGCCACAGTGGAGGCCAAGCCTTCCCCATGGGCACCTTCTCAGATTGCGATTGTGGATGAAATGAGGGATTTTCTTGAAACAACCCTCACGCAGGTACCCCTTGGGCAGCCTTCAACCGCTCTGGGGAAGGAGGCCCCAGGCATAGACAACTGCAGTATAAATAATCATCCCTACAGTGCTCTGTCAGGGCTGTAGGGGGGCACGGGACAGTAAGGGAGGAGGCTGAACTGCGCGATTTTACCTGGCTTCTCCAGAAGGGTAAGGCGGCCAGTTGGACCCGGTCCTTGTGTTCGGAGAACAGAGTCACCCAGGCCTCGAACGCCTGCGATGGTCGGCGTCTCTTCCCTAGGTGACGCAAGACGCGGAGCTCGGCTGCACGACGCTGGCGCAAGCGCGGGGGCAAGAGCGCCGGCCTCCGAGACGGTTAGTGATTGGACGAAGCAGGGCGCGGGGGCGCAAGCCCGGGTCCTGCAGGGGCGACGCGAGGCCTCTTTTGAAAGATGCGGCCCTGACCCTGTGAACCTCGCGCAGAGCGGCCTGAAGCGAGAGGTTGAGGCTGGGAGGTGGGAGCAACGGCGGCGGCGGCCGCCTGCGAGCCCCCGGCCTGAGGCGCAGCAGCAGCTGCCCGTCTTCCCACATAGAGGGCAGGAAGGACAACTTTGGTGGGTAGGGGTTGGGCCAGGACTCAGGAGGCCACCTACGAGCTGATTTTTTTTTCTTTTTTTCTTTTTTCCTGACCTTGCTAATATCTTCCCTAACTCCTGAGTAGTTTTAAGGTCTTTTACAGGGACCTCTCTCTGTTCCTTCTTTCCTCCTTTGTAGCAGAGGTTTAGGGAAGGGATTCAGGAGAGAAGAGGTCCGTGTCTATGAAAACTCAAAAAGCAGTCGTGAGATCAGTTCAAGAGGGATTTGACTCTAGTCATCTGAATATGTGCCAAGGCCATTTATGGAAATAATGGGGGGGTGGGGTTTGGAGTAAATATTTTCAGTTTACATAGCGTTTTGTCTTGTTTTCTGCCAATTTTATCGTGACCTCTAGGTGAGAAAATGGCTAGCAACAATCATTGGTTTCAGAGTTCGCAGGTCCCCAGCTTTGCCCAGATGCTGAAAAAGAACCTGCCAGTTCAACCAGCGACAAAGACGATAACTACACCCACAGGATGGTCCTCAGAAAGTTACGGCCTGTCCAAGATGGCATCCAAGGTTACGCAAGTAACGGGTACGACTTTTTTCATTTGTAACAATGAGTCAGTTCTTTAAGATTCTAGGATGGCCAGTAAGTTCTGTCGAGTCTCTGGTTTAAAGGTTTCGTGGTTGTATAGACATTTACCCGTGGCCGTGTACCTGGAGCTGGCATCTGACTCAACATTTGGAGGAGGCCTGTAGAGCTCTTTACCTGTGCCGCTCGTTTAACCATCTGTTACCACCTTGACTGTTCAAACCCCCCCCTTCAAGTGTGGCTTGCCTTTCTGAGGTGAGGCGCAAGGGAAGATACTGGACTTACACTGGTCTGTATTCCACATAGCACTTAGCGTAGTGTTAAGTATAAAGCAGGGGCAAACATACTTTAAAATTCGGTGGAATCCAGTGAGAAAATGAGTGGATGGGAGCCAGAAGCTACGTTTTAGTCCCAGATCTGTGTCTTTCTGTATTCTAGGCCTTAGTGATATTATCTGTAAAAATTTCTTGGTTTCTGGAGACCCTGACATCACTAAAATTCCATGACCCTTGATATCACTTAATAATGACATGTTGATATTACCTTTTTGCAAAATAGTCTTAGTACTCGATAGATGCAATAACATGTGGTGCTTGTCATGTGTGCCAAAATTGTTTAGTAGAAACTTAAGAAAAACATATGATGAAGTGTATCTGGGACAACCTTCCATTTCGGGGAGGATTTATTGCTTTTGCTCATTTTTGTTTGTTTGTTTTAAACCAAATTGACAAGTATAACATTTGTTTTTAGGTAATTTTCCAGAGCCGTTGCTTTCCAAGAATCTTTCATCTATTTCAAATCCTGTCCTTCCTCCAAAAAAAATACCTAAGGAATTTATAATGAAATACAAACGTGGAGAGATAAATCCTGTGTCAGCCTTGCACCAGTTTGCACAAATGCAGCGAGTTCAGCTTGACCTTAAGGAAACTGTGACAACAGGCAAGTGTAAAATTGTATTTGTCTCAAAAACAAAACGAAAAGTATAGCAAAATAATTGTGCTAAGTTTAGTTCTTTCTTCTAATATTGGAGTTAGGTAACTGATTGTATGTTTTCACAAGAATACTTAAATGTTTATGTTCACACTTCTTTAGCCTTTGCAGCCTCTACAAATAACTCACATATACCAAAGTTTTATAATCATTGAATTGTAATTTTCTTATGTGTCGCTAGCTGAATGGAAATTAGTCTCATGGACTATTTTGGGGTGTAATTACTTCCTGTATCATAAACATGCTTTTGTAAAGATGTTAAATATTTGGACTATGATTATTTTATGAGAAGGATTCTGTGAGGATGATGACTAAGAAAAGGTCAAATTTGCCTTCTGAAACTCAAGCATTAGATTATATGATTGGTACTTTGTCTGCAGACTAGTCTGTTACAGTTTTCTCAATTCTCTCTTAAACTCCCCAAACAGAATAATCTGTAACCATGCTGTGCCTGTGAAAGGCTACACGAGTACAGATAAGGAAAATGCAGAAAGTAGTTTCTGATCTCTTCACATTATAGCCAATGATTAGGAAGATTTTAGGAAAGTGGAAGGATAAGTGCTCTTAAGAGGCATTGACAGCTTAAAATTTTAAATTTTAAAAACTTTGTGTATATGTACATGTGTGTGTGTTTGTACACACACATGAGTAGTTAGGTTGTTTCTTTAATTTTCCTGGTGCTAACTTGCCAATATGGATCTCAAAGCTAACATCTTTGCTAAATAACTTTAACATGTCAAGATTTTAGTAAAGATAGTTACAGCGACATCAAGTTTCAGTCTGTTGTTTTAGGTGGAATACCAGTAAACTAACAGGTGACAGAAATAGTATCTTAACATAGATGGTGGTGGTAATGTAGAAGGTGGACTTAATTTCCGTGTAACTAGTTAGCTTTCCTCCAGTAATCTCACACTGCTCTTGGAAAATGTAAACTGTTGGTCATTGTAAGAAAAAATAAATGATCAGGACAAATCTTCACTGCTCTGAGCAAAAACTACTAAAAAACATGACCTGTTGGTTGTTAATGGTGTACATTTTATGCTCAAAGTATATAGTTCAATAATCCAGTGTGTTTGGTAGTGAAACCACAGTGTCAGAATTTTTTAATAGCTCTATGTGTGATTTAGATTTACACTAAAGTTTGAGAACCTGAGTTATAAACAGGCTGAAGCTTAAAGGCTCCGCATTCTGACACAGAAGACTTACTAATAAATTTTAGGTAAAATATCTTTTTTTTTCTTTAGATAGAGGCTCTCACTCTGTTATCCAGGCTGGAGTGCAGTGGTGATCCTCCCACCCCAGCCTCCCAAATAGCTAAGACTGCTGCAGGCATCCACCACCAGGCCTGGCTAATTTTCAAAATGTCCTGTAGAGAAGGAGTCTCACTATATTGCCTAGGCTGACCTCGAACTCCTGGCATCAAGAGATCCTCCAACCTCAGCTTCCCAAAGTGATGGGATTATGAGTGTGAGCCAGTGCACCCAGCCAAGATGTGTAATATACATAAGAATCATCTGGGCCACTTGTTGATTATACAAAATTCTCTCTGATTTAGTAAACCTGGATTGGAACCCAGGTGATCATGAAGAAAAGAACTTGGGAAACTGAAGTCTGAGATGTTATGGGGAAAGCAGTTTACCCAGAAGCAGTCAGGAGTTGCTTGTAAAACCTAGATGTACATATTAAAGAGTTAATGTAATATAATTGTGAGTATGTGAGGAAATAAGAGTGGGGTTTATGTGTGGCAGCATTGTATGTAGCCATCTGTAACCAAAGAGTGGAGAGTCAGATTCCTAAAGGCCTCCTAAAGTCTAAATACTAACAAGCAAAACCTCAAACAGAAGAATCTTTGACCTGTAAATACGGGAGACAAGACAATTCTATTTCATTTTTTATCCAAATATAAAAGCTAAGTAAATAAATTGTGATGACTGGACATTCAGTTTAATTCTTTAGTTTATCATTATGTTTTGGTTTTCTCTTCCTCTCTCTCCCCACCTCCTCTCCCACTCCCCAACCTTCACAGCTGTAATGGGTTGAGTTGCTTATAATGCCCTGATAGTACACAGGGTTTCTTCAAAGAGATCTCTTATATTCTGGAGCTTAAAAGTATATTAGGGCAATCCAAGGGGTGGGGGAAATTCAGCTTTCTTTGTTTTAAAGTTTTAAAGACGTTTGTATTTAAGTTTTAAAGATGTGAGATGTTACGTGAAATCTCCACATTTTATCTCTCACTAGCCGTTTGACAGATAGTGGAGTGTTTACCATTGCCAGGCATTATACTAGACACTCACTGTTACTCCACGTGTGATCAGTACTCTACTACTGGCCCTATTGCTCACACTGAATCTGGAGCTGGCCTAAGCTGCTTGAATCCTCAGAGTTAGTTCAGATGCCCATTCAGTTTTAGTTTAACTCCTATTGGTCCTACAAAAGGACTTGTAAAGTTGGTGTTTATGAGGTAGTTTTTGAGAATTTTTGTACTGGAATGTTTTCCTATGTACATACATTGTTTGCAAGAATATAATAAAAATTATTGTAGCATTCATTCTGAGTTCTTTTTCAAGGTAATGTTATGGGACCATATTTTGCCTTTTGTGCTGTGGTGGATGGTATTCAGTACAAGACTGGACTGGGACAAAATAAAAAGGAGTCTAGATCCAATGCAGCAAAATTAGCTCTTGATGAGCTTCTACAACTGGATGAACCTGAACCACGAATTTTAGAAACATCAGGTAAATACTCTTGATTATAAAGTATTTATAAGAGGTATCATTTTTCAAAAGGAATCACCTGAAAGATTTATGTTAATGAGAGTTACTTGGCAGCTACAAGATAGAAGTTGCAGGATTTGAATAATTTATTTCAGTTGCTGTCCACTGATGTATTTAATAGTAGTTAAAATGCTCTTGCATATTTCAGCACTGAAAGGTATAATCATGTTGCTAAACTGTCCGGTAACTTGTCAGGTTGTTAATTGACAGATTAAGTCCTAAAATATAGTTTTCTTTGTAATTTGTTAGATTCTTATTATGAATGTAATACTGTACATTTAATACTTAGAGGTTTTAAATGCAGCGTTTGTGAAGTTTATGTTAAATTCAGTAAATGGTAGAATTACTTGAGAAAATGGCCTAAGGTAGCATAGCAAATAGGTTAAGTGTGTGAACTCCAGAATTCGATTGCTCAGGTTGGAATATTGACCCTATGCTGACAAGTTGTTTGCCCTCTAAACCTGTTTTATTTGGAGAGGGGAGACAGTGATAGTTATACCTTCTGTGGTTGTCATTAGGATTAGATAAACAATGCATGCAAAGTCCTTAACCAGTGCCTACTGAAGAATACACAATCAAATTACAAAGTATTTAAAATACTTTGTTGAACTCAAGTTAAAACATACCTATAGAATTTCCTAAGCATCCAGTTAAATTGTGAGAAAAATATATTGATGATTAGTTTCTCCTGCCTTTTCCCTAATAGCTTTCAGAATGTTTATGTAGGGCTAGCGAATGTTTTGCCCACTGGTCTGCAAACTTTAGTTTCTAAAACATTTATTTTTTTCCCTCCTTCATAAAAATTAAGGTGGCATTTAACCATGTCTGCTGCCACTACTTTGAAAACTAAGGCAGCATTTACCCATGTCTGCTGTCGGCACTTCTATATTCATTATTGTTTTCTCCAAAAAGTACCAATGGTGCCTTAATTACAACTAAAAGTTCTTTAACGATATATTCTGTCTTGGGCTAGAGCCTGAAAAAATAATAAGGTCATCTTTTTCCCTATAGTAAGCTAGAGTTTCTTCTTTATTTTTTCTACTGTAGACAGCTGAGTTTAAATATCTATTTGTGTTATGAAAGGATGTAGAAGATAAGAGTTCAGTATTCATTATTAACAATTTTTCTAGTCTTCTCCTTCTTATTCACAACATAAAACTTTTAAAACTTTAGTTTTTTTCAAAATTTTGAGCTCATCACTGTTTTAAAATTATTTTTCATGTATATCTTCTTTAATATTTTGCACATGGTTTTTTTATGTAGTGTTTTTCGTTTTGTTTTGTTTGAGACAGAGTCTCACTCTGTCACCCAGGCTGGAGTGCAGTGGTGCGATCTCTGCTCACTGCAACCTCCCCCTCCCGGGTTCAAGTGATTCTCATTCCTCAGCCTCCCTAGTAGCTGGGATTATAGGTGCCTGCCACCACACCCGGCTAATTTTTGTATTTTTAGTAGAGATGGGGTTTCACCATGTTGGCCAGGCTGGTCTTGAACTCCTGACCTCAAGTGATCCTCCCACCTTGGCCTCCCAAAGTGCTGGGATTATAGGCATGAGCCACTGCACCTGGACTGATGTAGTTTGTTTGTTTTTTTAAAGGATACGTGTGCAGAACATGCCAGTTTGTTACATAGGTATACATGTGCCATGGCAGTTTGCTTTACCTATTAACCTGTCCTCTGTTCCCTCCCTCAACTCCCACCCCCTAAAAGGCCCTGGTGTGTGTTGTTCCCCTCTCTGTGTCCATGTGTTCTCAATGTTCAGCTCCCACTTATGAGTGAGAACTTCAGTATTTGGTTTTCTGTTCCTGTGTTAGTTTGCTGAGGATGATGGCTTCTGGCTTCATCCATGTCCCTTCAAAGGACATGATCTCATTCCTTTTTATGGCCGCATAGTATTCCATGGTGTATATGTACCATATTTTCTTTATCCATTCTATCATTGATGGCCATTTGGGTTGGTTCCATGTCTTCGCTATTGTAAATAGTGCTGCAGTAAACATACGTGTGCATGTGTCTTTATAGTAGAATGATTTATATTCCTTTGGATATATATCCAGTAATGGTATTGCTGGGTCAAATGGTATTTCTGGTTCTAGATCCTTGAAGAATCACCATGCTGTCCTCCACAATGGTTAAACTAATTTACATTCCCACCAATAGTATAAAAGCATTCCTATTTCTCCACAGCCTCACCAGCATGTATTGTTTCCTGACTTTTTAGTAATAGCCATTCTGACTGGCATGAGATGGTATCTCATTGTGGTTTTGATTTGCATTTCTCTGATGATCAGTGATATTGAGCTTGCTTTTTTCATATGTTTGTTGGCCGCATAAATGTCTTCTTTTGAGAAGTGTCTGTTCATATCTGTGGCCCACTTTTTGATGGGATTGTTTTTTTCTTGTAAATATGTTTAAGTTCCTTGTAAATTCTGGATATTAGACCTTTGTCAGATGTGTAGATCAAAAATTTTCTCCCATTTTGTAGGTTGCCTGTTTGATCACAGTTTCTTTTGCTGTGCAGAAGCTCTTCAGTTTAATTAGATCACATTTGTCAATTTTGGCTTTTGTTGCAATCGCTTTTAGCATTTTTAACATGAAGTCTTTGCCCATGCCTGTGTCCTGAATGGTATTGCCTAGGTTTTCTTCTAGGGATTTTATGGTTTTGGATTTTACATTTAAGTCTTTAATCCATCTTGAGTTAATTTTTGTATAAGGTGTAAGGAAGGGGTACAGTTTCCATTTTCTGCATATGGCCAGCCAGTTTTCCCAGCACCATTTACTGAATAGGAGATCCTTTCCCTATTGCTTGTTTTTGTTCAGTTTGTTGAAGATCAGATGGTTGTAGATGTGTGGAGTTATTTCTGAGGTATCTATTCTGCTCCAATGGTCTACATGTCCGTTTTGGTGCCAGTACCATGCTGTTTTGGTTACTGTATTCTTGTAGTATAGTTTGAAGTCAGGTAGCATGATGCCTCCAGCTTTGTTCTTTTTGCTTAGGATTGTCTTGGCTATATGGGGTCTTCTTTGATTTCATATGAAATTTAAAATAGTTTTTTCTAATTCTGTGAAGAATGTCAATGGTAGTTGCGAAAGTAGCATTGAATCTATAAATTAGTTTGGGCAGTATGGCCATTTTCTTTTCACGATATTGATTCTTCTATCCGTGAGGATGGAATGTTTTTCCATTTGTTTGTGTCCTCTGTTATTTCCCCGAGCAGTGGTTTGTAGTTCTTCTTGAAGAGGTCCTTCACATTCCTTGTTAGTTGTATTCCTAGGTATTTTATTCTCTTTGTAGTGATTGTGAATGGGAGTTTATTCATGCTTTGGCTCTCTGCTTGCCTACTGTTGGTGTAAAGGAATGCTTGTGATTTTTGCACATTGATTTTGTATCCTGAGACTTTGCTGAAGTTGCTTATCAATTCAGGAAGTTTTGGGGCTGAAAAGATGGGGTTTTCTAAATACAAAATCATGTCGTCTACAAACAGAGACAAATTGACTTCCTCTCTTCTTATTTGAATACCTTTTATTTCTTTCTCTTCCCTGATTGCCCTGGCCAGAACTTCCAAAACTATGTTGAATAGGAGTTCAACATACAAAAGTATGTTGAATAATAGTGTGCCAGTTTTCAAAGGGAATGCTTCCAGCTTTTGCCCATTCAATATTATATTGGCTTTGGTTTGTCATAAATAGCTCTTATTATTTTGAGACATGTTCCATCAATACCTTATATATTGAGAGGTTTTTTTTTTTTGTTTTTTGTTTTTTGTTTTTTTTTGAGACGGAGTCTTGCTCTGTTGCCCAGGCTGGAGTGCAATGGCATGATCTCGGCTCACTGCAAGCTCTGCCTCCTGGGTTCATGCCATTCTCCTGCCTGAGCCTCCCGAGTAGCTGGGACTACAGGCACCTGCCACCACACCCAGCTAATTTTTTGTATTTTTAGTAGAAACAGGGTTTTACCGTGTTAGCCAGGATGGTCTTGATCTCCTGACCTCGTGATCCACCCGCCTTGGCCTACCAGAGTGCTGGGATTACAGGCATGAGCCACTGCGCCCGGCTGAGAGTTTTTAACATGAAAGGATGTTGAAATTTATCAAAGGCCTTTTCTGCATATATTAAGATAGTCATGTGGTTTTTGTCTTTGGTTCTGTGTATATGATGGATTACATTTATTGATTTGTGTATGTTGAACCAGCCTTGCATTCCAGGGATGAAGCCGACTTGATTGTGGTGAATAAGTTTTTTGATGTGCTGCTGGATTTCATTTGCCAGTATTTCATTGAAGATTTTCCCATTGATGTTCATCAGGTATATTGGCCTGAAGTTTTCCTTTTTTGTTGTGTCTTTTCCTGGTTTTAGTATCAGGATGATGCTGGCTTCATAAAATGAGTTAGGGAGGAGTCCTTCCTTTTCAATTGTTTGGAATAGTTTCAGAAGGAATGGTACCAGCTCCTCTTTGTATTTCTGGTAGAATTCAGCTGTGAATCCATCTGGTCCTGGACTTTTTTTTGGTTGGTAGGCTACTAATTGCTGCCTCAATTTCAGAGCTTGTTATTGGTCTATTCAGGGATTTGACTTCTTCCTCGTTTAGTCTTGGGAGGTTGTATGCATCCAGGAATTTATCTATTTCTTCCAGATTTTCTAGTTTATTTGTGTAGAGGTGTTTGTAGCATTCTCTGATGATAGTTTATATTTCTGTGGGGTCAGTGGTGATATCCCCTTTATCATTTTTTATTGTGTCTATTTGATTCTTTTCTCTTCTTCTTTATTAGTCTAGCTAGCAGTCTATTTTGTTAATTTGTTTCAAAGAAAAAAAACAGCTTCTGGATTCGATTTTTTTTGGAGGGTTTTTCATGTCTCTGTCTCCTTCAGTTCTGCTCTGATCTTAGTTATTTCTTGTCTTCTGCTAGCTTTTGGATTAGTTTACTCTTGCCTCCGAAGCTCTTTTAATTGATGTTCGGGTATCAATATCAGATCTTTCTAGCTTTCTGATGTGGGCATTTAGTGCTATAAATTTCCCTCTTAACACTACTTTAGCTGTGTCCCAGAGATTCTGGTACATTGTCTCTTTGTTCTTATTGGTTTCAAAGAACTTCTTGATTTCTGCCTTGATTTCATTATTTACCCAGGAGTCATTCAGGAACAGTTGTTCAATTTCCAATAAATTGTGTGGTTTTGAGTGAGTTTCTTAATCCTGAGTTCTAATTTTATTGCACTGTAGTCTGAGAGACTGTTAGGATTTCAGTTCTTTTGCATTTGCTGAGTGTTTTACTTCCAATTACATGGTCCATTTTAGAATTAAGTGCCACGTGGCACTGAGAAGAATGTATATTCTGTTGACTTGGGGTGGAGAATTCTGTAGATGTCTGCCAGGTCCACTTGATCCAGAGCTGAGTTCAAATCCTGAATATGCTTGTTAATTATCTGTCTCATTGATCTAATACTGACAGTGTGGTGTTAAAGTCTCCCACTATTATTGTGTGGGACTTTAAGTCTCTTTGTAGGTTTCTAAGAACTTGTTTTATGAATCTGGGTGCTCCTGTATTGGGTGCATATATATTTAGAATAGTTAGCTCTTCTTGGTGAATTTTTCCCTTTACCATTAGGTAATGCCCTCCTTTGTCTTTTTTGATCTTTGTTGGTTTAAAGTCTGTTTTGTCAGAGACTAGGATTGCAACCTCTGCTTTTTTCACTTTCCATTTACTTGGTAGATTTTCCTCCATCCCTTTATTTTGAGCCTGTGTGTGTCTTTGCACATAAGATGGATCTCCTGAATACATCACACCAATGGGTCTTGACTCCTTACCCAGTGTGCCAGTCTGTGTGCTTTAATTGGGGCATTTAACCCATTGACATTTAAGGTTAGTGTTGTTATGTGTGAATTTGATCCTGTCATCATGATGCTATTTGGTTATTTTGCACACTAGTTGATGCACTAGTTTATTCATAGTGTCATTGGTCTTTATATTTTGGTGTGTTTTTGCAGTGGCTCTTTCCGATTTTTCATTTCCGTATTTAGTGCTTCTTTCAGGAGTTCTTGCAGGGCACATCTGGTGGTAATGAAATCCCTCAGCATTTGTTTCTCTGAAAAGGATTTTATTTCTTCTTCACTTATGAAGCTTAGTTTGGCTGGATGTGAAATTCTGGGTTGATAGTTCTTTTGTTTAAGAATGTTGAATATTGGCCCCCAATCTCTCCTGGCTAGCAGAGTTTCTGCTGAGAGATCCCCTGTTAGTCTGAAGAGTTTCCCTTTGTAGGTGACCTGGCCTTTCTTTCTGGCTGCCCTTAATAGTTTTTCCTTCATTTCAGCCTTGGAGAATCTGATGATTATGTGTCTTGGGGTTGATCTTCTTGTGGAGTATCTTAATGGTGTTCTCTGTATTTCCTGAATTTGCACTTTGTCCTGTCTTGCTAGGTTGTGGAAGTTCTCCTGGATAACATCCTGAAGTGTGTTTTCCAGCTTGTTTCCATTCTCTCTGTCTCCTTCTGGTACTCCAGTCAATCATAGGTTTGGTCTTTTTATGAAGTCCCATATTAGAGTCTTTGTTCATTCATTTTCATGTTTTTGTCTATTCTTGTTTGCATGTCTTATTTCAGTAAGGTGGTCTTCAAATTCTGATATCCTTTTCTCTGCTTAGTCAATTCAGCTGTTGATACTTGTGTATGCTTCACAAAGTTCTCATGCAGTTTTTTTCAGCTCCATCAGGTAGTTTATGTTCCTCTCTACACTGGTTATTCTAGTTAGCAATTCCTCTATCCTTTTACCAAGGTTCTTAGCTTGCTTCTTTGCATTGGGTTAGAACATGCTCCTTTAGCTCAGCGAAGTTTTTTGTTACCCATCTTCTGAATCCTACTTCTGTCAATTTGTCCATGTGATCCTCCATTCAGTTATGTGCCCTTGATGGAGAGACATCGTGATCATTTGTAGAAGAGGCACTCTGGCCTTTTGGGTTTTCAGTATTTTTTCATTGATTCTTTATCATCTTCGTGAGGTTGTCTAGTTTCAGTCTTTGAGCCTGCTGACCCTTGGATAGGGTTTTTGTGGGGAGCTTTTTTGTTCTTGTTGATGCTATTGTTGCTTTCTGCTTGTTCGTTTTTCTTTCAATAGTCAGGTCCCTCTTCTGCAAGGCTGCTGCAGTCTGTTGGGGTTCACTTCAGGCCCTATTTATCTGATTCTCTCCCGTGCCTGGAGATGTCACTCAGGGAGGCTGGAGAACAGCAAAGATGGGTGCCTGCTCCTCCCTCTGGGGCCTCTGACTTTGAGGGGCACCAACCTGATGCCGGTAGGATCACTCCTGTATAAGGTGCCTGACAACCCCTGTTGGAATGTCTCACCCAGTTGGGTGGCACGGGGAGCAGGACCCGCTTAACAAGGCACTTTGTCCTTTGTTGGAGAGGGTGTGCTTCGCTGTGGAGAAACCCACTCCTCTGCGTTGCCCAGATTCCTCAGAACTACCAGGAAGAAAGGCTAAGTCTGCTGGTCCGCAGAGACTATGGCCACCCCTCCCACTTAGGGGCTCAGGCCCAGGGAGATCCAAATTCTGTCCCTGAGCCTCTAGCTGGAGTTATTGGAGATCCTCCAGGGAAGCCCCGCCCAATGAGGAAGGATGGGTCAGGTTTAGGCCTGAAGAGGCCCTTTGGCCACAGACTGCCACAGCCGGTATGTTGGGCTGTGGGGATAAGTCTTGGGACTTGTCTTTTTTGTTTGTTTGTTTTTTGTTTTTTGTTTTGAGACAGAGTCTCTCTGTCACCCATACTGGAGGGCAATGGCGCAGTCTTAGCTCACTGCAACCTTTGTCTTCCAGGTTCAAGTGATTCTTGTGTCTCAGCTTCCTGAGTAGCTGGAATTACAGGTGCGCGCCACCATGCCCAGCTGACCTTTGTATTTTTAGTAAAGATAGGGTTTCGCCATGTTGCCCAGGCTGGTCTCAAACTCCCAGCCTCAAGTGATCTGCCCAACTCAGCCTCCCAAAATGCTGGGATTACAAGCATGAGCCAACATGCCTGACCTTGTACTTGGTGTTTTAAAATGCAAAACATCTTGTACAGTCTTTCTTTCTTTGTTTATTGAAATTATTTATGCCTAATAAACAGGATTTAATATCTTTAATTTTCATTCCATGGAATTAAATCTATCTGTCTCTGAGTTTTAAAGTTCTGCTTATCTAAAATCCAGAATGTCAACAACTCTATTACTGGGTTTATAACCAAAAGAAAATAAATTATTCTTTCAAAAAGACACATGCAATCTTATGTTCATCTCTGCACTATTCACAACAGCAAAGACATCAAATCAACCCAGGTGCCCATCAGTGGTAGATTGGATAAAGAAAGTGTGGTACATACACAACTGTGGACTACTATGCAGCCATTAAAAAAATAAAGTCATGTCCTTTGCAGCAACATGGATGGAGCTGGAGGCCATAATCCTAAGCAAATAAACGCAGGAATGTAAAACCAAATACCTCAAGTTCTCACTTGTTGTTAATATTAGGAGCTACTCATTAAGCATGTGTAGCCATAAATATTGGAACAATAGATGCTGTGGACTACTAAAGGGTGGAGGGAGGTGGGGGTAAAAGAAAAACTACCTTTGGATACTATGGTCACTATCAGGTGATGGAATCCATACTCTAAACCTCAGCATCATGCAGTATTCCCATTTAACAAACCTACACATGTACCTCCTGTATCTAAAAAGTTGAAAGTTTTTGAAAAAAGTTTATACTTTATAAATTGTTACTATATGGTATATGGGGGATGTAGTGCTCTAAATAAATAAAACTGGAATTTCTTATCAGATAAAAAAATAAAAAGTCCAGCGTCTATGTATCTAAACCATACTTAGTATTTTTCTTTTACTCGTATGAGCTCTAAGGTGACATTGTCACTCTTTGTTCACTTCTGTCTTCCTCAAAATTAATTCCAGAGAAGCAGTTCTGTTTGCTTTCTTTGTCTTTATGAATGATTCTTAAGAGAAACTGACTACTTTAATTGGTACCTTAGCTTCTGCAGCCTCTTCCTTAAATTTTCCTGATTTTTTTTTTTTTTTTTTGTCCCTCAGGTTTAGTGGTTTTTAAACTTTTTTCTGTACTCCCTAACTTTGGAGACCAAATTGAAAAGCAGTTGTAAAGAGTGAGACTAAAAGCATTGAAAACTGCGAATGTAGCATTCCCTTAGAAAAATGGCCTGGTAAAATAGTGTTATTTATAAAATGATATATTTTACTCATTAATTTTTAATAGAACATTAATTTAAAATGTTTTTCACAGTATTATAAATAGAAAGTTGTTTATATGTATCTAAAATAGGATTTCATTTTAGCAGCTTTTCAGGATGTTGCATCTATTATAAAGCAAGCAATATTGTACTGTAAGATTAGGAAACTCAGAAATTTGTTTGCATAAACAATTTCAAAATAGGAAAGACATTTATCAGGGCTGAGCTAATGAGTATTTGATGGCCCAGAGTTGGCAAAAATACGGAAAAAAAAATTTTTGGATTGCTGTTTTATTACAGAATAAAAGAAATACCAGCTCTTTGGAATGTTGAAGTTTCATGTTTCCTTATGTTTTTGTTTTGTTTACAGGTCCTCCTCCTTTCCCTGCAGAACCTGTTGTTTTATCTGAACTAGCATATGTTTCAAAAGTACATTATGGTAGGAAAGTTTTTTGTGACGTTCTTCTTTAGAAGAGTAGCCCAATTAAAAATAGTAACAACATAATTAAAATAAGCATAGGTATGAAAATGTACATTAACACTTTATCATCCAAACCTTTCACACTTCTACAAAAAGAAGAATTTTTTTCTATACTATGCTAAAAATGAAAGAAACAAGGAATGGAGAGGACAGATTGAAGAAAAGATTTTTTTTTCCTATAAGGAGATGTTTTATCAATTTCATACATCTTTTTTAGAATTCTTTGCTTTGGTGGGCTTGTCATGAACGAAAACCAATGGCTTTGTGATACTTGGAGGTCATTTGACACATTCATTTCAAATAATTTGTTTATTTTGTTTTAATGACCATTATTTGTCACTCAAGCCCGAGAAAGCTGCAACTTCAATTGAAGTTACTAGTTGTGTGACCTAGGACCAGTTACTTCTCTGTGTACCTTTTTTACTCATCTATGAGATAGTCATTACGGTAATTATCTTATAGGGTTATCATGAGGATTAAATGAATTCATAAATGTAAAATTCTTAACATCAGTGCCTAACACACCATAGATACTCACTAAATAGTAACTAATATTATTTTATTATAACAATCATATTTCACATTGTATGGTAGTTATTATATATTTTGCCTTTTAGATTATGAATCTCCTGAAAGCTAGACAATTATTCTTAATTTTTACTTTTACTACCAAGTGGGCACACTTCAGACTTTAAAGTTTAGAGTATTTGTAAGAGGAAAAAGGAAAGGAGCCTTTATTTTCCATTTTCAGGCCTGCAGGTTAGGATTTGACAAGTTCCATGCCTATTCAGCATCCATTGTCTTTCTAAGACAGGAAAAAGGCCTTGCACATTTGTGTGCTTGCGTGAAGTAAAAGGACCAGACCAGGGAAAATAGGCCCATTCAAAAGACAAAAATCCACCAATAGTTAGATATAGTGTGTGGCCTAACAGTTGTAAGAACTGATGAAGAGAGGGCAATGAGGGATCAGTCCTACAGCAGTGATCTCTTAATATGGGAAGAGGTTCTTGTCTTTCCTTTCAGCTTCTGTGTACATTTTTAACGAATAAGAGGATAGAATCCTAAGTCAAGGATGGCAAATAATATAGATTGCTATTACTTCAGGAAAACAGGTGATAATCTGTGAGAAAGAATATGTAGTTTTTAAAAATACCAGGTTTGGTAGGCTTAGGTCAGGAGACATATCTGTCATAAAAGGGAAAGCAAATTCTTTAAATTTATGGGTAAGAACAAGTTTTGGATGTTATAACTTTTGAAGAAGAAAGATTTGAGACCCACAAATTGTTGGGCCAGTTACAGAGGTAGTCACTATTTCCCAGCCTGTGTGGTTTGCTATATATATGTGTGTGTGTATTTATTTATTTATTTGAGGTGGAGTTTTGCTCTTGTCGCCCAGGCTGGAGTGCAGTGGCACAATCTCAGCTCACTGCAACCTCTGCCTCCCAAGTTCAAGTGATTCTCCTGCCTCAGGCTCCCAAGTAGCTGGGATTACAGGCACCCACCACCATGCCTGGCTAATTTTTGCATTTTTAGTAGAGACAGGGTTTCACCATGTAGACCAGACTGGTCCCAAACTCTTGACCTCAAGCGATCCACCTCCCTCAGCCTCCCAAAGTACTGGGATTACAGGTGTAAGCCACCGCGCCCAGCCTACTTTGCTATATGTTTCTAACTGGACCATATCTTCATTAAAAATAATGAGGCCGGGCGCGGTGGCTCACGCCTATGATCCCAGCACTTTGTGAGGCCAAGGCGGGTGGATCATGAGGTCAGGAGTTCAAGACCAGTCTGGCCAATATGGTGAAACCCTGTCTCTACTAAAAATACAAAAATTAGCCGGGCATGGTGGCGCACGCTTGTAGTCCCAACTACTTGGGAGGCTGAGACAGAAGAATCGCTTGAACCCGGGAGGCCGAGATCATGCCACTGCACTCCAGTCTGGGCAACAGAGCAAGACTCCATCTCAAAAAAAAAAAAAGGATCCATAGATAACTTTTGATGTATATTCTTGGTTATAAACTGTTCTATGGTAATCCTGGGTTACTTAGAGCTATCCTCCTCCTCTTTCAAAATTTCTGTCTTTTTTAGTGAGAACATGGAACTATATCAAGAATCTAAATGCTTAGTGGTTTATAGCGGTTCTCAATGGGACAAATAATAAGAGAATGTATTTTGGTTGTCACAATGATTAGGGCATTCAGTGGGGTGCTGGTCATCTTGCAAAGTGTGGCACAGTCCTGTACAACAAAGAATTGTCTTGTGTCCTGTATGACTTTTGAATATATCATCAGAGAAACTCTACAGATATAAATCAGTAGTCTGCTAGTATGTAATACTGACACATCTTTTTATAAGTTATCCAAAAAGCTCAATAACTCATATTCTTTTAGAATTGAAAACTTTGAAATCTCAGTCATGACCTAAATTATAAATTTGCTTACAGATGTCTATATATTATTAAATAATTTGATTGTAAGGTTATAATAAGAATAATAAGACAGCTCTAGGAGGAGCACAATGTTCTTGAAATTTATGTTTTGATTTTTTTCTAGAAGGGAGACATATTCAATATGCAAAGATTTCACAGATCGTTAAAGAAAGATTTAATCAACTAATTTCTAATCGTTCAGAATACCTGAAATATAGCAGTTCATTGGCTGCTTTTATAATTGAAAGAGGTAAGTCCACATATTTGGGAAAAACTAATATTGTAATAATCTAATAGTAATATTTTAGTTAACTATCTTTGCCCCTGTACACAATGGTGTTGCATTGATTTGAAGTGACTTTTTCTAGTAAGTGTGGGTCATTAAACACAAAGCTTCTCCAAGGTAGAGATAAAGCACACTGACCAGGACCCAACAGAGAACTGCAAAATGGTGAAAGTCCTAACATTTTAAACCTTAGCCCTGCTGGCATCACTACCCTTCTGAAATCTAGTCCTCAGTAACATTAAGAGTAGCATCTTTTCTTCATTTTCAAGTAAGAAAAGATTGAAATATGGAATCTTATTCTTGTGGACATATAATGTGATTCTAACTATGTTTTTATCTTGTGTTAACGCTTTAATGTTCTGAGTTCATCATTAATTAAAACCATTTGAGTCTTACATTCATCTCTGAATTAGATATTATAAATTATATAGAAACAATTTGAGATTTGATTCCTATTCTTAAGGAGTTGTTATGATCTAAGTAGGCAGAGTAGATAAATATACTAGTCGAAAGTCTAAGATGATAAAAGTTAAAACTTGTTTTCCATAATGCAAAAAGTGTGTGAGAATTCATAGATAGGAAAGAAATGATAGGGTTTAGAATCTTTTGGAATAGGCATGACTTAAGCTGTAACTTTAAGGGTTGATAAAATTTGGATAAATAGAAGAAAGGAAGACATTTTTGCAGAGAGAAAGGAATGAGGGAAGCAGCAGTGAGAAAACTGCAGGACAATGAGGTAAATTTATTGCTAGCACAGATTAGTCTGTGTACAGGAGTAATACAAAATGCAGTTAGATTGATAAAATAGTGCCAGATTATGGAGTGGTTTAAAAACAGGTCAAAAGTTAAATTTAATAAGATCAGTTAAAGCTGTAATTTCAAACAGTGATAGACCATGGGCTGTAATTGTTGGGAGCATTAATCAGACTCAGTTCTGCTATTTAAATTACTTTGGGCAAATTATATACTTAACGTCTCTATGCTTTAATTTTTTCTCATTTCTTAAAAGTAGAGATAATAGAAACAGTGACAACCCAACTTCATGGAGTTGTTAGGATTAGATATAATAATGTCAATATTAGTACTTGGCATTTAGTAAAAGCCTAATTTCATTTGTAATGATTAAGATAAATGAATATTTAAACAATAATTGACAAATAATTTTTTAAAAGATTGCAGGGGTTGAACCTGAATTATGGAATCACAATTTATGTGGTTGTGATGGAGTGCCTACATTAGAGTTGAGGTGGACATAAATGGGAAGGGAAAAATACATTTTTAAAAAAATTTGATAAGGTGAAAGTGACAATAAATGATAGATGAAGTGACATGAATAAAAAGTAATACCAACATTTAAAGTTGACGTAGGATAATCATGTTTCCTCATCCATAGGGAATCTAGAAGCTAGTGTGAAGCTGATTGAAGAAGAGCATGGATAAGAATAATAAATGTAGTTTTAGATAATATGAGTATGAATATAAGCAGGAAAAGCTTGAGTGCAATCAGATGAACATTCCTGGAGTAACTCACATAATCAGTACATATTTAAGATGTATTATTAGAAATTTTGCCTCATCAGTTTTTAAAAAATTTCAGTAGTTTTGGGGGAATGGGTGGTGTTTGGTTATAGGGATAAGTTCTTTAGTGGCGATTTCTGAGATTTTGGTGCACCCATGACACAAGCAGTCTATGCTGTACCCAGTGTGTAGTCTTTTATCCCTCATCCCCCCTGCTACCCTTCCCCCGGTGCCCCAGAGTCCATTATATCATTCTTATGCCTTCTTGTCTTCCTGGCTTAGCTCCCACTTGTAAGTGAGAACATAGAATGTTTGATTTTCCATTCCTCGTTACTTCCCTTAGAATAATGGTCTCCAACTCTATCCAGGCTGAGTAGTATTCCAGGGTGTGTGTGTGTGTGTGTGTGTGTGTGTGTCTGCGCCACAATTTCTTTATCCACTCATGATTGATGGGCATTTGGGCTTGTTCCATATTTTTGCAGTTGCAAATTGTGCTGCTATAAACGTGTGTGCAAGTGTCTTTTTCATATAATGACTTTTTTTCCTCTGGGTAGATACCTAGTAGTGGGATTGTTGGATCAAATGATAATTCTACCTTTAGTTCTTTAAGGAGTCTCCATACTGTTTTCCATAGAAATTGTACTAGTTTACATTCCCACCAGCATTGTAAAAGTATTCCTTTTACACCACATACACGTCAACATCCATTATTATTTTAATTTTTAAATTATAGCCAGTCTTGCAGGAGTAAGGTGGTATTGCATTGTGGTTTTGATTTGCATTTCCCTAATAATTAGTGATGTTGAGTATTTTTCATATATTTTTGTCCATGTTATATCTTCTTTTGAGAATTGTCTATTCATGTCCTTAGCCCATTTTTTTGATGGGATTATTTTTTTTTTTCTTGCTGATTTGAGTTCCTTGTAGACTCTGGTTATTAGTCCTTTGTCAGATGCATAGTTTGCAAAGATTTTCTCCCACTCTGTGGCTTGTCTGATTACTCTGCTGATTATTTCTTTTGCTGTGCAGAAGTGTTTTAGTTTAAGCCTCATCTGTTTATCTTTGTTTTTGTTGCATTTGCTTTTGGGTTCTTGGTCATGAACTCTTTGCCTAAGCCAAAATGTAGAAGAGTTTTTCCAATGTTATCTTCTAGAATTTTTATGGCTTAATGTCTTAGATTTAAGTCTTTGATCCATCTTGAGTTGATTTTTGTATAAGGTGAGAGATGAGGGTCCCAGTTTTATTGTTATACATGTGGCTTGCCAATTATCCCAGCATCATTTGCTGAATAGGATGTCCTTTCTCCACTTTATGTATTTGTTTGCTGTGTCAAAGGCCAGTTGACTGTATTTTGTTTTATTTCTGGGTTCTCCATTCTGTTCCATTATTCTGTTCCATTATTCTGCGTGCCTAGTTGTATACCAATACCAATACCATGTTGTTTTGGTAATTATAGCCTTGTAGTGTATAGTTTGAAGTCTGGTAATGTGATGCCTCCAGATTTGTTCTTTTTGATTAGTCTTACTTAGACTATGCAGGTTGTTTTTTGGTTCTATGTGAATTTTAGGATTTTTTCTAGTTCTGTGAAGAACAGTGATGGTATTTCTATGGGAATTGCATTGAATCTGTAGATTGCTTTTGGCAGTATGGTGATTTTCACAATATTGATGCTACCCATCTTTGAGCATGGGAGATGGGAGGTGTTTCCATTTGTTTCTGTCATCTGTGATTTCTTTCAGCAGTGTATTGTAGTTTCCCTTGTAGAGATCTTTCATCTCCTTGGTTAGGTATATTCCTAATTTTCTTTTCTTTTTTTTTTTTTTTTTTAGCTGTTGTAAAGGGGGTTTAGTTCTTGATTTGATTCTCAGCTTGGTCACTGTTGATGTATAGCAGAGATACTGATTTTTGTACATTGATTTTGTATCCTGGAACTTTATTGAATTCATTTATCATATCTGGGAGGTTTTTGGATGAATCTTTAGGGTGTTCTAGATATGCGATCATACCATCAGTGAACAGTGACAGTTTGACTCCCTCTTTACTGATGTGGACGTTCTTTATTTCTGTCTTTTGTCAGGTTGCTCTGGCTAGGACTTCCAGTACTATGTTGAATAGAAATGATGAGAGAAGGCATCCTTGTCTTGTTCCAGTTCTTTCTCAGGGTGAATACTTTGAACATTTCCCTGTTCAGTATAATGTTGGCTGTGTGTTAGTCATAGATGGCTTTTATTACCTTAAGGTATGTCCCTCCTATGCCAATTTTGCTGAGGGTTTTAATCTTAAAGCGATGCTGGATTTTGTCAAATGCTTTTTCTTTATCTATTGAGATGATCACATAATTTTTGTTTTTAATTCTGTTTATGTGGTGTATCACATTTATCACCTTGCATATGTTAAACCATCCCTACATCCCTAGTATGAAACCCACTTGATCATGGTATATGATCTTTTTATGCTCTTGGATTCAGTTAGCTAGTATTTTTGTTGAGGATTTTTGCATCTATGTTACTCAGGGATATTGGTCTTTAGTTTTCTTTTTATTTAATGTCTTTTGCTGGTTTTGGTATTAGGGTGATACTGGCTTCATAGAATGTTTTAGGGATCATTCCCTCTTTCTCCATCTTTTGGAATAGTTTCAGTAAGATTGGTACCAATTCTTCTTTGAATGTCTGATAGAATTCAGCTGTGAATCTGTTCGGTTGCGAACTTTTTTGTTGGGATTTTTTAGATTATGGTTTCACTCTGACTGCTTGTTATTGGTTTGTTCAGAGTTTTATTTCTTCCTGGCTTAATCTAGGAGGGTTGTCTGTTTCCAGGAATTTATCCATCTCTTCTAGATTTTCTAGTTTGTGCATGTGAAAGTGTTCATAGTAACCTTGAATGATCTTTTGTATTTCTGTGTCATCACTTATCTCCTGTCTTGTTTCTAGTTGAGCTTATTTGGATCTTGTCTCTTCTTTTCTTGGTTAATCTCACTACTGGTCTATCAATTTTGTTTGTCTTTTCAAAGAACCAGCTTTTCGTTTCATTTATCTTTTGTTTTTGGTGTTTTTTGTTTCAATTTTGTTTATTTCTGCTCTGATCTTTATTATATCTTTTCTTCTGCTGTGTTTGGGTTTGGTTTGTTCTTGTTTCTCTAGTTCCTTGAGGTGTCACTTTAGATTAGTCTGTTTGTGCCCTTTCAGACTTTTGATATAGGCATTTAATGCTATGAACTTCCCGCTTAGCACCCCTTTTGCTGTATCCCAGAGGTTTTGATAGATTGTGTCACAATTATTGTTCAGTTCAAATAATTTTTTAATTTCCATTTGATTTCATTGTTGATACAAAGATCATTCAAGAGCAGATTAATGTCCATATACTTGTATAGTTTTGAGTGTTCCTTTTGGAGTTAATTTTCAAATTTATTCCACTGTAGTCTGAGAGAGTACTTGATATAATTTCAATTTTCTTAAATTTACTGAGACTTGTTTTGTGACCTGTCATATGGTGTATCTGGTAGAATATTCCAGGTGCTAATAAATAGAATGTATATTCTGCAGTTGTTGGATAGAATGTTCTGTAAATATCTGCTAAGTTCATTTGTTGTAGGGTATAGTTTAAGTCCATTGTTTCTTTGTTGACTTTTGTCTTGATGACCTGTGTAGTGTTGTTAGTGGAGTATTAAAGTCCCCGACTATTATTGTGTTGCCGTCTATCTTTTTTCTTAGGTAGTAGTAATTATTTTATAAATTTGTGAGCTCCAGTGTTAAGTGCATATATATTTAGGATTATGATATTTTCTTGTTGGACTAATCCTTTTATCATTATATGATGTCCCTCTGTGTCTTTTTTAACTGCTTCTGCTTTAAAGTTTGTTTTATCTGATATAAGAATAGCTACTCCTGCTTGCTTTTGGTTTCCATTTGCATGGAGTATCTTTTTCCACCTCTTTACCTTATGTGAGTCCTTATGTGTTAGGTGAGTCTCTTGAAGACAGCAGAAATTTGGTTGGTGAGTTCTTATCCATTCTGCAATTCTGTATCTTTTAAGTGGAGCATTTAGGCCATTTACATACAACATTAGTCTTGAGATATAGGGTACTGTTCTATTCATCATAGTAGTTGTTGCCTGAATACCTTGGGTGTTTTTTTTTTAATTGTGTTATTGTTTTATAGGCCCTGTGAAATTTATGCTTTTATGAGCTTCTATTTTGGTGTATTTTGACATTTTGTTTCAAGATTCATAAGTCCTTTTAGCATTTATTTAATACTGGCTTCGCAGTGGTGAATTCTCTTAGCATTTGTTTGTCTGAAAAAGACTTTATCTTTCCTTCATTCATGAAGCTCAGTTTTGCTAGATACAATATTCTTGGCTGATAATTATTGTTTAAGGAGTCTAAAGGTAAGACCCCAATCCCTTCTGACTTGTAGGGTTTCTGCTGAGAAATCTACTGTAAATCTGATAGGTTTTCCTTTATAGGTTACCTGATGCTTTTTTCTCACAGCTCTTAAGATTCTTTCCTTCATCTTGACTTTAGATAGCCTGATGACTTTGTGCCTGGGTGATGATCTTTTTGTGATGAATTTCCCAGGTGTTCTTTGAGCTGCTTATATTTGGATGTCTACATCTCTAGCAAGGCCTGTGAAGTTTTCCTAAATTTTTCCTTCAAATATGTTTTCCAAACTTTTAGATTTCTCTTCTTCCTCAAGAACACCATAGTTATTATGTTTAGTCATTTAACATAATCCCAAATTTCTTGGAGGCTTTGTTCATTTTTTTATATTCTGTTTTCTTTGTCTTTGTCAGATTGGATTAATTAAAAGCATTGTCTTTGAGCTCTGAAGTTATTTCTTCTACCTCTTCTAGTCTATTGCTGAAACTTTCCAGTGCATTTTGTATTTCTCTAAGTGTGTCTTTTCCAGAAGTCATGATTTTATTTTCATTATGATAGCTATTTCTCTGGAGACTTTTTTATCCATACCCTATATATGTTTTTAATTTCTTTAAGTTGGTTTTCACCTTTCTCTGGTACCTCCTTGAGGAGCTTAATAATCTTCTGAATTCTTTATCTGGCAGTTCAGAGATTTATTCTTGGTTTGGATGCATTGCTTGGAGAGCTAGTGTGAACTTTTGGGGGTGTTACAGAATCTTGTTTTGTCATATTACCAGATTTACTTTTCTGGTTCCTTCTCATTTGGGGAGACTGTTTCAGTGGAAATATCTGGAACTCAAGGCCTGCTCTTCACATTCTTTTTTTTCCATGGGGTGAGCCCTTGATGTGGTGCTCTCCCCCTTCCCCTAAGGATGGGTTTTCCTGAGAGCCAGACTGCAGTGATTATTATTGCCCTTCTGGGTGTAGCCATCCAGCAGGATTACCGGGCTCCAGGCTGGTGCTGGAGAACGTCTGCAAAGAGTCCTGTGATGTGATCCATCTTCAGGTCTCCCAGCCATAAATACCAGAACCTGCTCTGGTAGAGGTGGCAGGGTAGCGAAGTGGACTCTGTGGGAATCCTTGGTTATAGTTTTGTTTAGTGTGCTGGTTTTCTCAAATGCTGGTTACACTGGCAGTGAAGTTGTCACATGGACAGACTCAGGACCTCTGCTTAGCCAGGATGTTGCAGGCGGTGAAATTAGCTGTTGTTTTCTCCTTCTTTGGAGCAGGGTGGTTCTGTTACGAGTTGCTGTAATGGCTTGAGTTGATTGGCCTCCAGTCAGGAGGTGGCACTTTCAAGAGGGCACCATCTGTCGTAGGAGAATGGGGGGATATAAGCTTGCCCTACCTTAGCCAGGATAAGTATTCAGGTTTCTCTGGCAGTGGATGGGGCTGTAGAGCTCCCAAGAGTGCCTTTTGTCTTCGGCTACCAGCATAGGTTGAGAAAAACCATCAGATAGAAGCAGGGTTAGGTGGGTCTGAGCTCAGACTCTTCTTGTGCTGTGGCCACGGTGGGGAATGGCAGGATGCTTCTCAGTCCAATGGAGTTATGTTTTAGGGGGATTATGGCTGCCTCTGCTCTGTCATACATGTCACCAGGGAAGTTGGGGAAAGCCAGCACTGACAGGCCTCACCCAGCCCCCACACAGCCAACAAGGCCAGTCTCACTCCTGCAGTGCCCCGCCAACAGAGCCCAGTTTATATTCAGGCTGCAGCAGGCAGCGCTGAGATCTTGCACGAGGAGGCTATAATCCTCCCCACTGAGAAAGCAAGCAGGGCTTTCAGGCCTGGAGCCTGTCATAGGGTGTGGCTTCTGCACTCCTATCTGCACTTCCCATTCACCCCCATGGATTCTGCTCAGGAAAATTTGTGCTTGGTCAAAATTATTACAGACTTCAGCTAGAAGCTTCCTTTAACCTGTAGCCCCTTCCCAGTCCCACTGGCTGCGTTACTCAAGGACCCCTGTGAGATAAAGCCAGGGATGACTTCCATAGGCTGGGGACTGGGATCTCCTACAGGGCTCTTCCCGCTGTTGGTCTTCTGTTTTGCTTGGCTCCCTAAATTTATTTCATCTCTAGGGAAAGTTAAATCCTTCTCCTGTGATCTGGATTTTTAGGTTCCCCAGTAGGGATGTGTGTTCAGAGGTAGGCTTTTCCCCACCTCACACTTTGGGAACTCAGTTTTTCAGCTGTCTCACAGAGTTTGCAATGGCAAGCTACTTCTTTCAAAGGGTCTGTAAATTCCTTTGGTTTTCCTGGTATGTTCCTGCAGTGGTTCTTGGAGTAAAAGTTCATGATGTGAGTCTCCACACGCTATTCTGTTCATCCAAGTGGAAGCTGCATGTTAGTCCTGTGTCCTATCTGCCATTTTCCCCCATCAAAAATCACCTTATCATTTTTAATTGGGTCTATAAGAAGCTATCAGATCTAAATGTCCTTCCCTCCCCTGCCACCAAATCTATATACTTTCCTGCACTTGTACCCATCTTCTCTACTGTGACAGTAGAGGAAGCATCACTCCTCCTATAGGCTAATTCTTCTACTTAAATTCTGATTCCATTCCTTCTCACATCTTGCTAAATTCCTTCTTTTGGTTAACTCTTCTTTTTTCCGGCAATAACAAACAAGTATCTCCCTGAAGCATTGCAAGTTGAGTTACAGAGCTGAGAAAGAAGCTGAGTTCTTTGCTACATTATTACCCTTTACAACTCAGAGCTTATTATCACCATTCCGGAACTTATACTGACACTATATAATTCTATTTAAGGGAAGGTTTACGGACCTGGTTATTGAGTCAGATTCAGCATTCATGGCATGACATCCGTATCCTAGGAATGAAAGCAGAGTCTGTGCCCAGGTGTCCATGAATAATATATCTTTGCTTTCATCTCTTCAGTATTCTGGAAAGCCTGGCTTCCCAAATTTCCATCCTAAAAATAAAACAAAGAAACCCTCCTTTAAACCCATGACACCTTTCTACTTAACCCAGTCATTATTTATTTGACTTTGTAGCCAGACTTCATCAAGAAGCTCCTGACAGCCACTGTGTCTACTCTTTACTTCAACTTAGTTTTTTCTTTTTCTCCACTACTTCTTGGAAATTAGCCTTGCCAAGGTACCCACTGCCTGCATGTTGCACAATCCAGTGGATTTTGTTACCTATTCACTTGACTTTCTAGAAACATTTAACACAGTTTACCACTCCTTGTTTTTTCTACCACAGTACCCTCCTGGTCTACCTGCTCTCCACCCTACCACCCACAATATTGACAACAAATTTCAAATATACAATACATTATTATTAACTGTAGTCTCCATGCTCTACATTAGGTCTCCAGGAGTTATTAGTTTTACAACTCCAAGTTTGTACCCTTTGATCAATGTGTCTCCATTTCCCCTTCTTTCTAACCGCTAGTAACCACCATTCTACTCTGTTTTTACGAGTTCAACCTTTTTAGATTCCACATATGAGTGAGATTATGCAGTGTTTGTCTTTCTGTGTCTGGCTTACTTCACTTAACATAATGTCTTCCAGGTTCATTCATATTGTTGAAAATGGCAGAATTTTCTTCTTTTTGGGGGGGCTGAAAAATATTCCATTATATATATGTCATGGTTTCTTTATCTGTTCCTTTATTGGGACATGTAGGTTTTTTCTGTATCTTGGCTATTGTGAATAATGCTACAGTGAACATGGGAGTGTAGATATTTCTTCCAATCTTAATTTCACTTCCTTTGGATATATACACAGAAGTGGGATTGCTGGATTATATGGCAAGTTATATTTTTATTTTGTTGAGGAATCTCCATAGTTTTCCACAATGCCTATAAAAATTTACATTTCTGCCAACAACATATAAGGGTTTTATCTACATCCTCACGAAAACTTACATTTTGACTTTTTGATAATAGACATCCTAACAGGAGTGAGGATATCTCATTGTGATTTTGACTTGCATTTCTCTGGTGATTAGTGATGTTGAGCACCTTTTCATATACCTGTTTGTATGTCTTCTATAAAAGAAAATGTCTGTTCAGGTTCTGTTTCCATTTTTAAATCAAGTTACTTGCTTTTTACTGTTGAGTTGTGGGAGTTACATATATACTTTGGGTATTAACCCCTTATTGGAGATATGGTTTGCAAATATTTTCTTCTGTTCCGTAAGTTGTCTTTTTATTTTGTCGATTATTTTGTTTGCTTTGTAGGAAGGAAATGTAACCCAAGATGGTTTTTACTTCAGTAGCTTCCCCATAGCTCTTTGGTAAAAATCCATAAACTTCTCAGTATAGTATACTATATAACACCTCTTTCTCCAACTTCATCTTACACCATCCCCTTCACCCCACTTACTAGATTAGCTATACTTCTCTCTTTGCCCAGGAGAGAAATAGTCTTCTGTCTTTGCCCAGGGCAGTGTGCACGTGTTATTTCTTTTGGCTAGAATACCCTTTGTCTCGCTGGTGCTGAAGCTTAAATTTCAGCTCGTTAGGGAGGGATTCTGCAACTGGTCTGCATGAGGTAAGCTTTTCTCTCATTATCTTCATATAAGCCCCATAATTGTTTCCTTCAAAGCACTTATCACACTTTGGGGTTGGTTTAATCTTTTTTCTGTTTCTTCTGCTGTAAGCCTCATGAAGGTATGTCTTGCTCAACATTTTATTCCTAACATCTACTTTTGTTGCCTGGTACTTGGTAACACCTCAGCAATTGTTGCTGAGTTATTAGGTTGGTGCCAAAAAAAAAAATGACAAGAACTGCAGTTACATTTGCACCAGCCTAATAGTAAAAATCCATTAGGCGGTTGTGAATGTAGAACTGAACTTTGTTTGAAAAACGAAAACTCAAGATTTCCTGAAGTAAGAGATAGAAAGAATGAGGAGTATATTCAAAGGGGAATATGGGGAAAAAAAAGAGTGATCTAGTCACTGGGGAATGGAAAGACCTAATCAGAATGTGAGAGGAAAAAAGACTGCCAATTTGAATTGTGTATTTTTGGAGCATAGAATTTCCAGGAGATTTCAAGCAGGCCACAGCAAAATGTGAATGGAGCAAAGTTACTGGAAAAAGCATAAGGTTTTTTTGTTTGTTTGTTTTTTGTTTTTAAGAAAGCAGCTTCAGTAGAACAGAGAAAGAAATTAATTTGATTTATAGGGTTTGAGTGGATTAAGAAAAATTAGAGGCATTAAATATAGATAATTTAAGACAGAAGCAGAATGGCAAATGAAGTGTCTTAGAAGATCAAATACATCTAGATGTAGAAGAAATAGAAAGCGATATTTGAAAGCCAAGGACATTTGGTAATTCCATTGATCATGGTAAAGATTTAGATGAAGTATTATAAAACATCTGCCTTTTTCATTTATATTTCATTATAAAACATCTGCCTTTTTAATTTTGCTTCTTAGAAGACTCTAAGACTCTTATTTTAAATTGTGGAATTATTTTTTCATCTTTTCAGTTAATATATTCTACTAAATTAAAAATGATGAGATAGAGGTAAGAGGTGAATGTAGGGAAGAGAGAGGTTAAATTAACCTGCTACTGTCTACCTTTTTCTTTCAGCTGGACAACATGAGGTTGTAGCTATAGGCACAGGTGAATACAATTACAGCCAGGACATTAAGCCAGATGGAAGAGTATTGCATGACACTCATGCTGTTGTTACAGCAAGAAGGTCTCTTCTTAGGTAAGACAATACATATATTAATGTTATTAAATATGAATGCCCTCAGCCCAAAGTAACTTCATATAAATGTCTTCATTTACAAATGGAATTTTATTGATCATAGAGCCAAGGATGTCACATTTTCTTATCTAAGTCATCGGATTAATTCCATGTCACCTTTGGAACATTTATCATAGTAACGCCAATGTCTACCCTGTGGATTTTAGTGGCTTCTATTATTAAGAACTGTGAACTCAGTTTTTGTTGTTTTGTTTTGTTTTGAAATGGAGTTTCACTTTTGCTGCCCAGGCTGGAATACAGTGGCACAAATCTCGGCTTACTGCAACCTCTGGCTTCCAGGTCCAAGCGATTCTATTGTCTCAACCTCCCAAATAGCTGGGATTACAGGCATGCGCCAACACACCCGGCTACTTTTTTGTATTTTAGTAGAGACAAGGTTTCACCATGTTGGTCAGGCTGGTCTTGAACTCCTGATCTCAGGTGAGCCACTTGCCTTGGCCTCCCAAAGTGCTGGGATTACAGGGGTGAGCCACCGCACCCGGCCAAACTCAGTTTTAAGAATCCTGCAATCAGCTGGGCATAGTAGCTCTCACCTGTAATCCCAACACTTTGGGAAGCTGAGGTGGGAGGATTGCTTGAGTACAAGAGTTCGAGACCAGCCTGGGCAACATTGTGGGACCTAGTTTCTACAAAAAAATAAAATTAACCAGGTATGGTGGCACACAACTGTAGTCCCATCTACTTTGGAGAATGAGGTGGGAGGATTGATTGAGCCCAGAAAATCGAGGTTGCAGTGAACCAAGACTGCTCCACTGCTCTCCATCATGGGCAATAGACGTACATCTTGTCTCAAAAAAAAAAAAATCCTACAATATATTTTTTTGAAAGATAAAAATAACACTTTTTTATGACTAAAGTTACTGGAAAGTGTAGCTTTTGACCCGCACTAAGTAGGCTTGGTCTTATTTCACCCCTGAATTAGCCATAATTGTCCAAGGACAGCACCAGAAACCAACAGGTTTTTATTCATGAGGATTACACAAAGTTTACCATAAAGCAGAGTATATAGATAAGGGATTCTTGAGGCTGACATATCTTGAAGAGAGAGGGAGAAAAGGGCTTAGGTGAGCATGCCTAGTTTCTTTTTCCAGACTCAGTCACTCTGTTCTTTACAAGAGGAATGAATAGCAAGTGGGAAAGAAAGGAATTTGCAAGTCACTTCATATGAAAACATGTAAAATGGGAAATGAGTGCTACTTCTCATAATATCCACCAGCTTTTGGTTATTTTTTGTTTTGTTTTTAATTCTTCTTTATTCCTACTAAATTAGGAATTCTTTTTTAAATTTTATAATTTCTTATTTTTAATTTTTGTGGGTACATAGTGTATATGTTTATAGCGTTCATAAGCTATTTTGACACAGGCATACAGTGCATAATAGTCACTTTAGGGTAAATGGAGTATGTATCACCTCAAGCATTTATCTTGTGTTACAAAGATTTCAATTATAGTCATTTAGTTATTTTAAAATGTACAATTAAATTATTGACTATTGTCATCCTGTTGTGCCATCAAATACTAGATCTTATTCATTTTGGTTCTTTAAACCATTAAAATGACTTTTTATTTAACTTTTTCTTATGGATGTTTTGGGCGGTTTTTTGTGTGTTTTGTTTGTTTGTTTTTGAGACGGAGTCTTACGCTGTTGCCCAGGCTGGAGTGCAATGGCGAGATCTCCACTCACTGCAACCTCCGCCTCCCAGGTTCAAGCAATTCTCCTGCCTCAGCCTCCCGAGTAGCTGGGATTACAGGCACCTGCCACCATACCCGGCCTTTTTTTGTATCTTTAGTAGAGAATGTTGCTGGTCTTGACCTCCTGACCTTGTGATCTGCCCCCCTCGGCCTCCCAAAATGCTGGGATTACAGGGGTGAGCCACCGTGCCTGGCCTCTTACGGATGTTTTCAAAGACACTCAAGTGAGAATAGGATAACAAATTCTCATTCAGCTTCAACAGTTATTAGCATTCTACTGTCCTTGTTAAATCTCTGCATTCTCACTTTTTGTGTTGGTGTTTTCTTCACTAGAGTATTTTAAAATAAATTTAGATACATACACCTGAAAAAATATAAATTTGTGTCTCTAATAATGAGGAATCCTATAATCTTAAACATTATTCAGCAAGACTATGAGGGTAATGCATCTCATTGCCCTCCACCCCTCTTGGTGCTTATGGAATTATTTGACCTCTTTAAAAGCTACCTCTTTTGTGTTACTTATTCCTGTGCTTGGCGTTTTTACATACTGCTGCTTAATTTTTACTATATATTTTTGATGATGGGATTCAAGGGAGTATATCTTAAAGTCATGGTTTATTAAATAAGCAAAATAGTATTTGTCCTTGATTTGATTAGTTGTAGTCTTTCAGGAGATCTGCTTCCCTTTTTAGAAAAAAAAATTTGAATTTTAAAATTTTTAATTATTGTGAATATATAATCTGCATATTTATAAGGTAAATGTGATATTTTGATACAACCATTAAATGTGTAATGATCAAGTCAGGGTAATTGGGATATCCCTCTCCTCAATCGTTTTTCATTTCTTTGTGTTAGGAGCATTCCATTTCCACTCATTTAGTTATTTTGAAACATACAATAAATTATTGGTAACTGTATCTGCTTCATTTCTTAATACAGCTTCTGGTGTTCATTGTATTGTTCCTATGCTCTTGTATTTTTTCTTTAAAACCATTAAGGAGCAGGGACCACAGTTTTTGTCATTTTTGTAGTAGTTTGTTTGGGTAGGTAAGGGGAAATAGAAGTAAGGCAGAAAGTTGGCAGTTCATCTGGGAGGCTGGGAGCAGAACTCTCTGAGGAAGAAGGGAGCAATCAGTAGAGAAATGAGTCTTTTGGAGAAGATGATAGTTGGGAGACTCTAATGTGAAACAAAAGTGGAGTAGTAGAGAAAGGATGGTGTTTTAAGTCAGGTTACAGGGCAGACTGGGCTCCAGTTGAGAACTTTCAAGAAACTTAATTTTTCATTAAATAAAGCTAAGATTGATTTAGGAGTTCTTACCTGTGTCAAAACTTTTAACATGCAGGACATTGCTTCTGACACATGTGGACATGATGCTCATTAAGATATATCTTTTATAAAGTTTATTACTTGACAAAATTATAACATTTATTTTAGGTACTTTTATAGACAACTTCTGCTCTTCTACAGCAAAAATCCTGCTATGATGGAAAAATCAATATTTTGTACAGAACCAACTTCTAATCTACTCACTCTTAAACAGAATATCAACATTTGCCTTTACATGAACCAGTTGCCTAAAGGATCAGCCCAGATTAAGTCACAGTTGTAAGTATTATAGAAGTTGTTTTTAAAAGCAAGTAGGATGGCCATGCCATACATTCTGACTTTCTACAGCAAATAGAACATATAAATTCTAATTACCCGTATTTTCTCTTCAGCTTTGAGTTGTTATTTGTGGCCTGCAGGAGACCCCAAATCCTTTTCCCTTCCCGTCAATCTAATCTATTACTTCTACAGGTTGAGCTTCCCAAATCCAAAAGTCTGAGATTCAAAATGCTCCAGAATTGGAAACTTTTTGAGCACTGACATGACGCTCAAAGGAAATTCTCATTGGAGCATTTCATATTTCAGATTTTTGGATTTGTGTTCAACTGGTATGTATAAAGCAAATATTCCAGTGTGAAAAAAATAAAATCTGAAACACTTCTAGTTCCAAGCATTTTAGATAAGCAACACTCAACCTGTGACTAAAAGTTCCATGTACTTCACCACTTTTTTTGCTATGCTATGCTTTAAAAAAATCTTCTACTCCTTTCTACTTTTAAGACCTCATAAACTTGAGGAAGTATGGATTTATGCACTACTCACATACAAATACGAGAGTTAAGAAAAACTTTAACCTATGGCCAAAATATTATTGCTTTGATGAATGAATATCATCAGGTAGCATAACATTTAAACAGTACAAACAAGAACAAAGAAGACAGTAAAAGTCACTTTAAGTCTGACCATCTAGTGGTAAACATGGGTAATATTTTAATAAAAATCCCTCTAGGAACACCTTTGAAATTAAGGTCAGTGTTCTCTAGAAAGAACCTTAAAGAAAAATAATTTTGCATTTTTATTGAAGATGACAAAGAAAAATAGTTTTCCTTTTTTTCATTCTTTCATTTTGTAATTTTAAAAAATTTTCATACAGAGGAAGGAACTAATTCACAAACTATGATAGGGATAACAATTAGTGTTTCTTTGGGTTTTAAGGGACATAAAGTGGTGATAATATGAAAAATATCTCTGTTGGAAGCTCTAGATGTGGTTCATTTCTGTTTTATAGTACTATTGTAGAATAAAGGCACTCCACTCCTACCTTGCTTTCTTGCATCTGTTTCTGTTACTGGAATTAAATGTACACTGGGAAGTTAAACATGTTACAGAACAGCTGTTAGGTACAGGTAGATTTTGTTCTGTCACCTTTGTTTTTTAAAGGAAGAAACTTTCTTTTCTTTCTCTAGACGTCTTAATCCACATTCTATATCTGCATTTGAAGCCAATGAAGAACTCTGTCTCCACGTGGCTGTTGAAGGCAAAATTTATCTGACTGTTTACTGTCCTAAAGATGGTGTTAATAGAATAAGCAGTATGTCCTCAAGTGACAAATTGACCAGATGGGAAGTGCTTGGTGTACAGGGAGCATTGCTGAGTCATTTTATACAGCCAGTTTACATCAGCAGTATACTTATTGGTGAGTGGGATTTCAGAACCTCCTGGGCCTCTCACTCACTAAGCAAATTCTCTGTATTTTACTTATCAGTATAAAATTAGTTTTAGTTTTTGCATACGTGAAACTTTATTTAAGGTCAAAACACAGATCTGCTGTTTTGTAGAGCTGTTGGTTTCATGATAAATTATCAGGGAGAATGAATGAATCCCAAAGGTGGGAGGCAGAGGTTGTGGGATAAAGATGCCATAAGTTGTAGTGACCGTCCAGCTGGATAAGGAAATTCCAGAGAGAGCTCCTTCTGGTGCTTTGGGAAAGATCAGAGACACAGGGAAATGAGGGAAAGATCAGAGAAAAACCTTGGTTGTGAAGCTTATTTCTGAGGCCTTTCAATTTTCAAAGCACTCAGCATGCTGAAGTTTCATATTTTGAGGAATTGTTTTCTGTACCCCAACATTATTTTAAAGCATTATTTTACTTTTCAAAAAGTTTGCAGAAACAAATTTTATGCTGTGGATGTTCTGTAGATAATCATTTTGTCATTTTATGGTGGTGGAATTTTTAAATTTAAAACATGGGATCTAGGCTTGCATTAAAAGGGCATTTACTATATTTAAACAGAACTATTTAGATAGAGTAATCTGGAAAAAAATTCTCTTTCTTGACTATTAAAAAATAGCTAGATTTATATTCATTCTCAAGCTTTTTACAATATATCTTGCAAATTTGGTAACCCCATTACAATTATTTTTTCTGCTTAAGTACTTCAAAAATGTTTGTCCAGAAGTTATTTCCATCCAGAGGTCCTTTTCATATACTGATTTGATTTGTATAATTGAAGTGTAGAGAATCCTTCCTAGTGAAGAAATCCACTTTAAATATAGTTCGTGGACTTTTAAGAAGCAGCTGATAACCTTAGGGAATCTGTTATTCAGTCCTTTCTTTTTCAGATCACATTCAGAATGTTAATAAAATGCTTGCCTAAAGTCAGTCAGTTTGCTTAGTGGTAGAGCCTGAATTCAAACCCAGTTTTCATAACTTTTCACGCTGCTGCTTATGATAGATCATATATATATATATATATATATATATGAATTATTGTCAGGTCAGGTCTTCTATAGTGTTTGATTAGATTTAACCTTTGACTTTAACCTTGGAGTTTCGTGTTATTTCAGATCCTTTTGAATGAATCAAATCATAATTTTTCAATTATATGGTATAATTTTAGATATTTATTTTCTAGGAACAAGATTGAGCCTCAAGATGTATTAAAATCATACCTCAGATATAGTAAATTATTAATGCACACATATATGAAGGGAAAAAGTAAAATTTATAATAAAATATTTATAAACTTTTTTCTATTATATTAGGTTTTATACTTCCCATTAAAGCATCTACGTAAACAATTTGATGTTTAAAGCATTTCATGAGGAATTTGACTTACAGGTGTTTTTTTTTTCTTCCTTTTTCCAAATGTCTTTTTTTTTGGGGGGGGGGGTACAACTACTGTCATTATTTCATTGCAGAATGTAATAAATACATTAGGCTTTTTAAAAATCCTTATTATCTACTGTTCATTGTAGATATATTAACTATTCCTCACACATTTTTTTTCCAACTTTTATTCTGTGCCCAAGTATATTTTTATTTGATTAGTTTTCTTTTGTCACTCTTGTTTTGTCTTGATCATTTGTCACTCTTGATAAACACTTAAGGAAGTGTTTAGAAAAAGGATACCAAAAGCAGTACATGTCCTTTTTACATCATTTTCTAGTGCCCAGATAGTCATAATGCAGCCCTAGTAACTATCTCAACAATTTTAATCATAAGGACACAAAACTTTATTTGTGAAATATGTCTAGTGGTTTACAAAGATTCTGTTGTTGCAAGAACTTCTGACCTTCTGAGGAAGAAAGAGATATGCTTTAGAATTACTGTTTTTTAAATAAGAATGACTGCTTCCTAACTTCTGTTTTAAGTTTGATGCAGCTCACTGTTTTTTAGTAGTAACATTGCATCTTTTTGAGATCTCTCCTTCAATAATTATTATAACTGAGAATTCAAAGCTTTTGGTATTGGCACAGTTTTAACCAGAAATGGTCATTCTTTAAATTATTTTGCAGTGTGAAATTGAAGCATTGTGGTATTGGCAAAGTTGTAATTTGTGGCCCTTAGATGTTTGAAAGTAACTCACTTTCACCAGTTATTTCTCATCCAGATTTGTCAACTGTACTTGCAAGAAATCAGCATACAATGCGGTCAACAAATCTGGATGTACCAGATTTCTTTCTGAGTCAGTTACTAAAGTACCAGTTTCTGAGCAGCTGTGACTCTTTGCTAATATTCAGTAGAGGGACCTGTCATTATTTTCTGTATCAGAGTCTTTTTTAAAATGGAAAATCTGTTATTACCTTGTTCTGGTTCTGATTAAGAATATGGAGTAGATGCTAAGAGAATAGAACTAGGAAAGGGAAGGTTGAAAGATAAAGGATAGAGAAATGGGCTTTAGACGATTTCCAATCATTTCATTTATTTTATTTTGGGATGTTCTTTTAATATTGAACTTGAGTGTTTTGTTTTTGCTTTCTAGGTGATGGGAATTGCAGTGATACCAGAGGCTTAGAAATCGCTATAAAGCAACGTGTTGATGATGCACTCACTTCAAAACTTCCAATGTTTTACTTAGTCAACAGACCTCATATTAGTTTAGTACCCTCTGCATATCCCCTTCAAATGAACTTGGAATATAAATTTCTGAGTCTGAATTGGGCACAAGGAGATGTTTCTTTGGAGATTGTGGATGGCCTGAGTGGGAAGATCACTGAAAGGTTAAAATTACTAATTTCTTTAAACCATATATTACTTAAGCAAAAGAAGACATTTTATTGCAGTTTTTATTCTGACTCTTTTGGATACTATTTATTGAACTCTGAACAATAATTATTATCATTAGTCAAGTGTGACTATGTTACAGGCATTGTACTAATTTTAAAAATTTTTTAATTTTAAATTTTTTTTCTGATGAGAAGACAGATGTGGAGAAGTTATATAGCTTACTGAAATTACATACTAAATGGCAGAGTCACCTTTCAAACCCAAGGAATCTGGCTCCATAACGTATGTTTCTCCAACTGTAATTTCATATCATTAGTATTAGAATCATGTAAATTTTTTTAGAAATTCAATTTCTTCTACTGAATCTGACTTTGGATCTGGGACTCAGGAATTATATTTTTTTATGCTCTTCCAAATATTACTTATGTACCCTTACGTGTAAGAACTATGGTACTGTGTTATACTGTCTTATAATAACCCTGTAGGTTGAGAGATTTTATTTATTTATTTTTTACAGTTTCTGAGACTCAAGCTAGGTTAAATATCTTGCCTAAGGTTACCCAAGTAGTTAATGACACAGCTTGGGTTCTAACCCAGACATTTTATTTTCAAAGCCCTTGTTCTTAACTATGATGTTGTGTGCCTTCTAGACATTTCTTCGTAATGTCTCTGCCATTGATTATTAAGTAAAAGTAAAACTGTTCTTTTAGTGTGAACATACATTTGTAATGAGGCAGTGAATAATGTTAAAAATTTAAATGCTTAAAATTGCTTTCTTTGTGAAGGAGAAATTTAAATGAAGACCACATACAAATGTTTCTTAGCAGTCAAGAAAGCTCATACCTGTAATCCTAGCAGTTTGGGAGGCTGAGGCAGGAGCATGGCTTGAAGCCAAGAGTTCAAGACCAATCTGGGAAACATAGTGAGAAATCCAGTCTTTTTTATAAAAAATAAAAAGTATTAACCAGGAGTGGGAGTGCATACCTGGAGTTCCAGCTATTTGGGAGGCTGAGACAGGAGGATCACTTGAACCTAGGAGTTTGAAGCTGCAGTGAGCTATGACTGTATCACTGCACTCCAGCCTGGGCAACAGAGTGAGACCCTATCTCAAAAAGGGAAAAAAAAAAGAAAAAAACAGACAAACCCATAAACATTTCTTAGTATGGACTCAGTTAAGCATAACACTGATATTTTAACTAGGATGAATTATACTATTATCAAATGACTTAGGCCAGCATAAACAAGTGCTTTACTATTAATAACAGACTCAACTAAACACACAGACAAACAGGTCTTCTATGAAAGACATCAAAAAATTATTCACTGAAAACATAAAATAATGGCATAACAAGATGAAATTAAGTGTGTGAGCTTATCACTTTTTACGGCCAAATACTTGCCAAGTAATTACAAATAAAAAGAAAGCAGAGGCCGGGTGCAGTGGCTCACGCCTATAACCCCAAGACTTTGGGAGGCTGAGGCGGGCAGATCAGCTGAGGTCAGGAGTTTGAGACCAGCCTGACCAATATGGCGAAACCCCATCTCTACTAAAAATACAAAAGATTAGCTGGGCATGGTGGCAGGTTCCTGTAATCCCAGCTACTTGGGAGGCTGAGACAGGGAAAATCACTGGAAACCAGGAGGTGGAGGTTGCAGTGAGCTGAGATTGCACCATTGCACTCCAGCCTGAGCAACAAAGTGAGCCTCCATCTTTAAAAAAAAAAAAAAAAAAAGCCAGAATATATAGTCTAAATATTAGACAAGGTGTAATTCAGTCTCAAAGCATTACAATAAGACAAAAAAAACCTTAGCAATATAGACAGTATAATTTATACGGAAGACAGAACAGTTAAGAATGTTTATGCAGAACGTGACATAGCCACATTCACAAAGCGGAAATTATAGATGACAAGAGGAAAGGAAAACTAGAAACACACTGCTAATAGAGACAACAATTCACCTCTTTCAGTTCATGGTAGATCAGGTGGACAAAACAGTAAACAAAGATATAGCCGTTTTAAATAACAGTAAGGTAGATTTCATTACTTTAAACTCTGCATCATAAAAATATAAAATGTACCTAGTCCTCAAGAAACTATAGAACACTAACAAAAAGCTGACTGTGTGTTAAACGACAAAGAAAATAACAAATTCCAAAGGAAAAGTAGAAGCAATGTAGACATATTCTCTGATTATGAGGAGATAAAACTGTGAATAACAAACCAGAATACTAGGAGCTGATTTTACTGGAAAAATTCTGACTCCTGGTTCAAAGGGGAAATATAAACTGAAATTGCAGAATATTTAGAAAATAGGGATATTGAAAATATTACATATCAGAACTTGTAGGTTATACAGTTTAAACAAAGCTGAATAGAAAAGTCAGAGCCTTAAGTGCATGTAACAATAAATGATAGAAATAAATTAGAAATATAAAGAAAAGAGCTTTAAAAAACAAAAAAGTCAGAATTACTTATGAAATGCTGATAAGAAAAATCACCAATGTCATATAAAATAATAGATAAGGATGCAATCAGAAATAGAGAAAATTAAGAGGATCATAAGCTATTTTAGGTAACCACACAAATATAATTTAAAACCTGAATGAAATGGATAAATTTCTAGGAAAACATTACTTGCAAAACTTATATATAGAAGGAGGAAAAATATAAACGTTATTTTCTTTTTTTTTTTTTTTTTTTTTGAGACGGAGTCTTGCTCTGTCGCCCAGGCTGGAGTGCAGTGGCGCGATATCGGCTCACTGCAAGCTCCACCTTCCAGGTTCACCTTCCTGGTTCACGCCATTCTCCTGCCTCAGCCTCCCGAGTAGCTGAGACTACAGGCGCCCGCCACCACACCCAGCTAATTTTTTGTATTTTTAGTAGAAAGGAGGTTTCACCGTGTTATCCAGGATGGTCTCTATCTCCTGACCTCATGATCCGCCCGCCTTGGCCTCCCAAAGTGCTGGGATTACAGGCGTGAGCCACCAATAAACGTTATTTTCATGAGAAAGTTACCAAGAAGGCACCTTAGCTGTTCCTCAAAGTACCATTCTGAGGTAGTTCAGAGGGTTTTTTTCTAAACCTTTAAAAAGCAGATAATTCCACTGCTATCCAAAAAGATGGAAAGCATCCAAATACTTTTATGAAACAAGTATATAATACTTAAATCTGATTTTTTAAAATTGCTAATCAAAGCCACAATGAGATACTATCTCACACCAATCAGAATGGCTATTATCAAAAAGTCAAAAAACAGATGCTGGTGAGGTTGTGGAGAGAAAGGAACACATATACACTATTGGTGGAAGTGTAAATTAGTTCAACCGTTGTGGAAGACAGTGTGGCAATTCCTCAAAGACCTAAGGATGGAAATACCATTTGACCCAGCAATCCCATTACTGGGTATATACCCCAAGGAATATAAATCATTCTGTTATAAAGACACTTGCACGCATATGCTCATTGCAGCACTATTCACAATAGCAAAGACATGGAATCATTCCAAATGTCCATCAATGATGGACTGGATAAAGAAAATGTGGTACATATACATCATGGAATACTATGCAGACATAAAAAAGAATGAGATCATGTCCTCTGCAGGGCCATGGATGGAGCTGGAGGCCGCTATCGTTAGCAAATGAACATGGGAACAGAAAACCAAATCTCGCATGTTCTCTCTTATAAGTAGGAGCTAAATGATGAGAACACGTGGACACATAGAGGGGAACAACACACAGTGAGGCCTTTCAGATGGTGGAGAGTGGGAGGAGGGAGACGATCAGGAAAAATAACTAATGAATACTAGGCTTAATACTTGGGTGATGAAATAGTCTGTACAACAAACCCCCATGACACACATTTATCTATAGAAAAAACCTGCACATGTACCCCTGAACTTAAAAGTTTACAAAAGAAATTGCTGCTCCTCCTCTCCACCACACAAAATTACAGACCAAACTCACCTATATCCAAGAAAAATTGCTGTATAAAAGATCAGGGAGCAGAATTTAACAGCACATTACAATAATATGTTTTATACAGTAACACCAACTGGCATTTTTTTCTAGGAATACTAAGATAGTAACGTAATAGAAATAATACCAGACTAGAAACTCTTACTAATGTGTCATATTAATTAATCTAGGGAAAATATCATATGTTTATCTCTATAAATTCTAAGAAGGTGTATAAATAATTTAGCTCTACAACTATTCTAGATTAAGATACTCAATAAAAAGGAATAGCTAGGTAGTTTTTTTACAGGATAAAGTATATCTTTATTAGTCAAAAAATATTATCATGATTGATAAAATGTCAGAGGCATTCCCACTAACATTCAGAGCAAGACATTATTTACTGTTATTGCTGTTACTCAGCATTTTACTGGAGGCATTAATACATTTGGACAAGGGAAATGAGAGAGAGAAAATATTGGAAAGAAGGAGCTACAATTATCACTCTTTGAAGATGGTATTTATATCCAAAAATCAAGAAAATTATCAAAACCACTGCAACAAAAGTGTCATGGTGGAAAATTAATATGTAGAAATCAATAGATTTTGTACACATGAGTGTATGTTAGCTATTGCTGTGTATAAACTACCTCAAAACTTAGTTGTTTAAAACAACTATTGTTACTACTTGGAAGTTCTTGAGTCAGCTGAATGGTTTTTCTGGATTTTCTTGGGCTTTCCCACACATCTGGGGTCAACTGTTGGTCAACTAAAGGTCAGGTGAGCTGATCTTAGCCTGTGTTCACTTACCCTCTAATAGGCTAGTCCTAGCAGGGTCACATGGGAGAGGCAGCAGTGCCAAGAAAATAAGAACACAAGGTATCTCCAGGCCTAGATTCAGAATTATCACACTGTCTATTGTGTTTGCTAAAACAAATCACAAGGCTACTAAAATTCAAGGGAAGGGAAAATCAGCCATGCCTGTTGATGTGAGGATCTGAAAAGTCACATTGCAAATAACTGGAAACTAGGAGGAATGAAGGATTTTGACTGTTTTTGTTATCTATCCTAAGAACAACTAATGAGAAGATACAATAAAGGGGAAAAGTTACAGTAGCAAAAATGTTCATGATCTAGGGACCCACTTTCATTAGAAACCCAAATTACACATCTACATGCACATAATATACACATACAGGAAGGCTTGTGACATAGGTTATGTGTATATGTTACACTTTTATTGAGCCAAAACTTCTTGCAGTGAAACACAAAATAGATTATACAATTTCATTAATTTTGATATATTTGTATACCTATGTAACCATCATTCTAGTCAAAATGCAGAAAGTATTTCCATACCCATTTCCAGTGAATCCCTCATAGAACTGCTGTTTAATTTGTATCATCATAGGTTAATTTTGCTTCATACAATAGAAATGTTCCAAGGTCAATCTTCTACATTAATTTTTGATGCAATACTAAATAATTTAAAATGTAATTTAAGAAATTTACTTCAGAAAGTAAATATTAAGAATGCCTCTTATGTAAAAAAAAAATTACTATGTATATTGCAAATAATCAAGAAATATTTTGTAGATCCATATTGATTTTAATCTATACAATTGCCAACATAAATTACTGAAAAAGAAATTTAAAAAATTTTATTTCTCTCTGCTTAGTTCCCCATTTAAAAGTGGTATGTCAATGGCAAGTCGGCTTTGTAAGGCTGCAATGTTAAGTCGGTTTAACCTGCTTGCCAAAGAAGCTAAAAAAGAATTACTTGAAGCTGGTACATATCATGCAGCTAAGGTAAGTCCTTAAAGGAATAAAGTTATCATAGGAATAAAATTTAAGACATTAATGTGGTCATTTTAAAATGGTTATCCTTAGCAAAAGTTTGTTGAATACTTCCTGAATATAAGATATTACCAGGTAATGGTAAAATTGGTTTTTAAATGAACATGTCAGAAATTAGATATGTAAATAAGTATTGCCATTTAAAGTAGCCATTTTAGTATGGTATATACTTATTTTGACAGTGTAGGTTACATAGCACTTAAAACCTGCTATGTCATACCAGAGAAACAAAATGTTAATAAAATTTATTCTGTATATGGTATTAATTGTACTAACTATAGAATGTTAAGTATTCTAAAAGAATATATTATTTAAGATATATGAATTTTTCTATTTTAAAGTTGTGAGAAAAACTTTAATTTCAGCATCTTGATTTGAACCTGATTTAGTAGGTAAGGTACATAGCCTTTTTTTCTCTCTTCCAAAATATATTTTACATAAACATAATGTAAGTTTAAGTCAAAAATTTGAAGAAGTTTTAAAAATACAGAAAAAATATTATTAATACTTGTAATTCCACTTACTATTCAAAGTTAATACTCAGTCTTTTAATGTGAGCATGTTATTTCAGTTCCTTCTCATATATACGTATTTGTGTATGTATCTGTTTAAAAATAAGGCCATATTGGGTATGGTATGTTTTAATCTACTTTTTCTTTCTATGTGATATGACATGAACATCCTTTTTTTTTTTTTTTTTTTTTGAGATGGAGTCTCACTCTGTTGTCCAGGCTAGAGTGCAATGGCACGATCTCAGCTCACTGCAACTTCTGCCTCCTGGGTTCAAGCAATTCTCCTGCCTCAGCCTCCTGAGTAGCTGAGATTATAGGTGCACACCACCATGCTGGGCTAATTTTTGTACTTTCAGTAGAGACGGGGTTTCGCCATGTTGGCCGGGCTGGTCTTGAACTCCTCACGTCAGGTGATCCACCCGCCTCAGCCTCCCAGAGTTCTGGGATTACAGGCTTGAGCCACCGTGCCTGGCTGACATGAACATACTTCCATGTTACCATTATTAAATATTAAATGTAAATTGTTTTGCTATCCTAATGCCAATAATGATACAGCATTATATGAAAGTCTTTTAATTTTACCAATTTTACCAACTTAATGCTCAACCTGTATAATTACAGCCTGTAAAGCCGTTACATTAATTACAGGTGTATGTATACATAATCACATATTTTTAAGTATAAAAGCTTTTCTAGACTATTTCTAGTTTTGTGGCATAAAGAAGTTGTAAATCACTATAAAAACAAGTAGAAAACCAGACAAAATTGTCAAAACTTCCTTCCATAACTCTGGACATTGACAAAAGGCAGAAAAAACATTAAAAAGTGTGTATTCCTCACAAACTCTTATTATTAGCTGGACATGGTGGCCCACAGCTCTAGTTCTGGCTACTTGGGAGGCTGAGGTGGGAGGATCACTTGAGCCCAGGAGTTCAAGGCTGCTGTGAGCTATAATCACACCACTGCACTTCAGCCTGGGGGACAGAGCAAGACCCTATTTCTCTTTAAAAAAAAAAAAAAAAAAAAAAAGAAGAAGAAGAAGAAGAAGGAAAAACTGCTATTACTTTGAGCAAGAATTACAGGAGTACATGGCCTTGCCCAAGGCTTTTCTCATTCATTTTCTCATTCTCATTTTCTTCCTCTCTGCTGGTTTCAATGCCAAGAACTGTAGTTTTTTGACCCAGTGAGGCTACCACCAAAAGCAGCAGCTTTGCTTTCAGAGGAGGTATACTTGATTTGGGACAGGGGAATGAAAGTTTGCAGTTTTGTTGGCTTAAATGCCAAACTTGGTAGGAAATTAATGGGGAAAACTGGTAACTTTGCTGGCCCAAGGTTGCCATCCTGGTTGGAGGCAAGTGGTAGGCCAACTAGCAAGTTAACAAGGAGATTTGGAAAATGAGAGAGCCCTGAAAGGGCTGAGGTAAATTCTTCATATTTTCCTGGCTGACTGAAAAACTACACTCATGTGCAGGGAATACCCAAGAGAGCCCATCAAGGATACAAGCCAAGGGATACTTGAGAGCTGACTGTAACATTCAGTACATTCTCTTTCACATACAAGTTGATCAGAAGATGGTAGAAGTTTTACAAAGGCTTAATGTGTTGATTTCTTATTAGCAACAGTGGAGGCCATCCCAAAATAGCCAAAAAAATTTGAAAAAGAAAAAAAGTTGAAAAATACATAGTTCTTAATTTCAAAACTTTCTATAAAACTACAGTAATCAAGACAGTGTGGTACTGGCATATAGACAGTGGAATATAATTGAGAGCCCAGATACAATAAGATATTATGTCAAGTGAAAGAATGCATAGGCCCCATATCATATGGTTTGATTTATATGAAATGTCTATTATAGGCAAATGCATAGAGACAGAAAATAGTGGTTTTCAGGTGCTAGAGGAGGAAGAATTAGGAGTGACTGCTAATAGATACAAAGTTCTTTCTGGGATGATGGATAAGATCTAAAATTAATGGTGATGGCTGCACAAATTATTGAATATACTGAAAGCTGAATTGTACACTTTAAAGGGTAAATTTTGTGACTCGTGAATTATATCTTAACAAAGCTGTCATAAAAGAGACAGTGGAGGCCCAAAGGGCAGTATAATGGCAGGTTCAAGGTGCTGAAGGAAAAATCCTGGCAACCAAGGATTCTATGTCCAGGAAAATAATCCTTCAGAAATAAAAGCAAAATAAGAACATTCACAGGTTAAACTAACGTTAAGAAAATGTGTTGTTAGCAGTACTTCCCTAAATGGAATTCCAAAGAAAGTACTTGAGGCTTGGAAAAAATTATACCAGATGATAGCAAATCCACAGGAAGGAATAATAAATACTGAAAATGATAATTATGTGGATAAACATGAGACCTATGAGTATGTGTGCGTGCATGTCTATATATTTGCTCTTATTTTCTTTCTAAAAAGTTGTTTAAAACAACACTGTGTTGTTGAGTTTATGACTTAGATGCAGTATATATGACAATATAACAAAGGATTTGGTAAGAAATCGCTCTATATTGAAATAAAGTTGCTGTTTTACCATAAGCCAGTATGAATCTGAAATCAAATATGTAAGGTAAAGAGGTATATTGTAATTCCTAATGTAACCATGAAGAAAATAAATGAAAAACTATTGATAAAATACCAACAGAAGGATTAAAATAGTTCAGTAAAACATTTTTCTTAAACTATACGACAGTAAGGAAAAAGAAGAGAAATTGTAAAAAGACATAAGATGTGAGAAATACATAGTAAAATGGCAGATATAAATTCACCATATCAATAATTACAATAAAGTAGACTAACTGCTCCAGTCAAATGACAGATTGTCAGATTGGGTTAAAAAAAAGCCTGATTCAAATATATGCTGTCTGCAACAAACACATTTTAAATTCAGTCTCAAATAAATTGCAAGTTATAAGGATGAAAAAAGACCTATCATGTAAATGATAACAAGACAGCTGGAATGTTTATATTAATATTAAATATACATGAAGAGGAGAAATATTGCTAGAGACAGAGCAACATCTTACAGTGGTAAAAAGGTCAATACATCAGAAAGATATGTGTATGTGGGTGTAACAACAAAGCCGTAAAATACACAAGCAAAATCTGATGGAATTGTAAAGTAAAATAGACAATTCAGCAACTGTAGTTGGTTTTAATTCTCCTTTGTCAGTAATTGATAGAACAACTCCACAGAAAATCAGTAAAAATATAGGATATTTGAACACTACCAACCAATCAAAACTCACTGACCTGTAGAAAACACTCTACACAACAGCAGAATATATGTTCTTTTCAAGCCCACATGGAGCATTCTTCAGCATAGGTCATAAAACAAGTCTCAGTAATCTTAAAAGGATTAAAATCATGCCAAGTTGTTCTAACCACTGTGGAATTAAATTAGAAATCAAGAACAGAATGAAATATGAGAAATTGCTATATATTTGGAAGTTAACTTGCCTCTGAATAACTCATGGTTCAAGGAAGAAATTATTAGGAAAACTAAGAAATATCTTGAACTAAGTGAAAGTGAAATGTGATATATTAAAATTTATGGAATACAGGTGGCCATTTGTATCCATAAGTTATGCATCCTCAGATTCAACCAACTATGGATCGAAAATATTTGGGGGAAGAAAAGGAAAAGTAAAAAAAAAAATACAAAAATAAAAATAATACAAATAAAATACAGTATAACAACTATTTACATTGAATTTATATTGTATTAGGTATTATAAATAATCTAGGGATGATTTAAAGTATATGAGAGAATGTACCTAGGTTATATGCAAATACCATGCCATTTTATATAAGGGACTTGAGCATCTGCAGATTTCGGTATTTCTAGGGGGTCCTCGAACCAATTCCCCATGGATACCAAGGAATGACTATATAAATAAGTACTTAGAAATGTATAGCTTTAAATGCTTGTGTTAGAAAAGAATCTTAAAAATCAGTTATTGGAGCTTCCAGTTCAAGAAGCCAGAAGAAGAAGAGCAAATCAGAATCAAAGTAAGTGGAAGGAAGGAAATAATGAAATGTAATGAATCAGAATAGAAATCAGTGAAATTGAAAATAGAAAAAAATAGTAGGAAAAAATCTAAATTTGGTTCATTAAAAAGTTAAACTCGGTAATCCTTTAGCTAGATTAACCAAGAAAAAAATAACAGATAACACAAATTATCAAAATCTGGAATTTTAAAAAAGGTGGTTATCACTACAGACCTTAAGAAGCTTAAAATTATTATAAGGGATTATGAACAACTGTTTGTCAGCAGACACATTAGATGAAATGGACATGTTCCTAGAAAGACACAAATCATAAAAACTGACTTAACAATAGAATATCCAAATAGAACTTAAGAAATCAAATTACTAATTAAATTATTTTCCTAAAGAAAATCTCAGACACATATATGACTTCACTGGTGAATTCTGTCAAACATATAAGCAAACTATAAGACAAATCCTACAAAAGCTCTTTCAGAAAATGGAGGAGAAAACACTTCTCTACTCATTTTACAAGTCCAGTGTTACCCTGGTACCAAAAGTGGGCAAGAAAACCTTACAAGAAATGAAAACTACAAACCAATCTCTCTCATAAAAATAAATGTGAAAATCCTTAGCAAGATATTGACAAACCAAATTCAGCAACATACAAAAAGGATTATACTCCACAACCAAGGTGGTTTATACCAGGAATGCAAGGTTGATTTGAGATCAGAAAATTATTTTATGTAACACACCATATGAATAAATTCAAGTTTAAAATTTGTATAATTATCTCAAAAGACATACAAAATGCGTTTGACAAAGTCCAGCACCCATTCACAATAAAAACACTGAACAAACAAGGAATAGAAGTGAACTTCCTCACCTTCATAAAGGGCATCAATGAAGAGCCTACCATTGACATTCTGCTTAATGGTGAAAAGACTGAATAACTCCTTTCCCTACTCAAGATTGGGGAAGAAGGCGAGAATGTGTGCTCTCAGCACTTGTATTCAACACTGTTCTCTAGGTCCTAGCCAGTGCAGCACGGAAAGAAAAAGAGATTAAAAGGTACCTATACTGTAAAGGATGAAGAAATATTCCTAAATTGTATCATCTTGTAGGTAAAATATACTTTGGCAACTACCAAAAACAAACAACTGGATCATATATGACTTTAGCAAGGTCACAAGATATAAGAGCAATATAGAAAAATAAATTGTTTATATACTAGGAATGAATGCTCAAAAAATTGAGAAAACAGCTTCATCCACAATAGCACCAAACGTGTACATTTGTGTGTGTGTGTGTTCGTGTGTAAACACAGAGGAATAAATTTAACAAAAGAAATGGAAGACCTGTACACTGGAAATGATGAAACATAGATGAGAGAAATTGAAGGAGACCTAAGTAAATGGAGAGATGTACCATCATCATGCATTGGAAAACAGTATTGTTAGGTGTCACTTCTCTCCAAATTAATTTATAGTTTCAATGCAAAATTAAAGTTCCAGCAGGGTTTTGTGTAGAAATTGACAAGCTGATTGTGAAATTGATATGGAAATCCAAAGGCCTTTTTTTTTTTTTTTTTTTTTTTTTTCCTGATGCGGAGTCTTGCTCTGTCACCCAGGCTGGAATGTGATGGTATGATCTCGGCTCACTGCAACCTCTGCCTTCTGGGTTCAAGTGATTCTCCTGCCTCAGCCTCCCGAGTAGCTGGCATTACAGGCACCCGCCACCACGCCCGGCTAATTTTTTGTATCTTTAGTAGAGATGGGGTTTCACCATGTTGGCCAGGCAGGTCTCGAACTTCTGACCTCAAGTGCTCCACCCACCAAAGTGCTGGGATTACAGGTGTAAGCCACCACACCCAGCGCAATCCAAAGGCCATTTAAGAACCAAAAGAATTTTGAAAAAGAAGAAAGTTGGAAAACTTACCTACTTTCAAAACTTACAATAAGGCTATAGTAATTAAGACAATGTATTGATGTAATAATAGAAATATAGATCAGTGGAACAGAAATAAACCTATACACATATGATCAATTGCTTTTGTACAAAAGTGCCAATTCTATGGGAGAATCATTTTTTCAACAAATAGTGCTGAAATGGTGGGATATGTGTGGGTAAAACAATTAACTTAGATCTTTATGTCAGTCATACACAAAAATTAACTCAAAGTGGACTTTAGATCTAACTGTAAGAGCTAAAACTATAAAACTTTCAAATAAAATATGAGAAAATATTTACATTATTAAATATAAATTAGAAAATATTTACATTATTAGGCAAATTTCTTAGATGTGATACCAAAAGTATAACCCAAAAAGAAATTGATCATTTGACTCCAAAATAAAATGCTTGCTTTTCAAAATTCATCATTAAGAAAATGAAAATACAAACTACAGACTATGAGAAAATGCCACTTTGGAAAACAGTTTGGCATTTTCTTAAGATGGTAAATGTGTGATCAGCAATTCCACCGGTATTTACATGCATGTTTATAATAGCATTATTCAGAAAAGCCAAAAACTGGAAGCAATTCAAATGTTAATCAGCTGGTGAATACATAAACAAAATGTGTTATACCCCTACAATGGAATATTATACCCCTGCAATGGAATATTAATCAGCAATAAAAAGGAACAAGCTACTGATACATGAAACAACGTAAATGAACTGAAAGAAGCCTGACATAACAGGATCCTTATTGTGTTAGTTAATTTATATGAATTTTTTAGAAAAAGCAAAACTCTAGAGACAGCAAGTAGATTCATGGTTGTCTGGGTTTAGGGCTGGTACTGGCACCAGGACTGCAGGTGAGTACAGTGGAACTTTTTAGAGGTGAGGGATTTGTTTCACAACTGGACTATGCTGATATTTACATGCCTCTATGAATTCATTAAAAAACACCAAACAATGCACTTAACAATGGATGAATTTCATGGTATGTAAATTGTATCTCAATAAAACCAGCTTGTTAAAAGTTCATTTATATTTTCATTTATAAAAAATGAAAATTCGCCAAAATATTAATGGTGGCTATCTACCACCATTAGTTTTATCTGCCACCATCGAGTTTTGTGATTACCGATAATTTTTATTTCCTTCTTTATATTTTGTCTGTTTTTCAAATTTTCTGCAATTAGTATGATTAATCTTTTAATTTAAAATGTTAAAAAAAAAAAAGAACAAGAAGAAAAACTGGCCAGGTGTGGTGGCTCATGCCTGGCCAGAGCTTTGGGAGGCCAAGGTGGGAGGACCACTTGAGGCCAGGAGTTCAAGACCACCCTAGGCAACATGCAAGACCTTGCCTCTGCAAAAAATAAAAAAAAAATAGCAGGGCATGGTGGTGCATGCCTGTAGTCCTAGCAACTCAGGAGGCTGAGGCTGGAAGATGGCTTGAGCCCAGGAATTCAGTGATCATGCCACCATACTCCAACCTGCATGACAGAACAAGACCTTGGCTCTTAGGAAAAAAAAAAAAAGGAGAATAATTGCTCTTTAGGAGTGTTGGGAAGGAAATTTTTTAGCTTCAAAAATATTAAAATATAGGAATTAAAAAAGACTTTGATTAACTTTTTTAAATTTCAAGCTAAAGAAACAGTATTGGGGCTACTTTTCAGCAATCAAATGCTGCCTATTTTCTATAATTCATTTTTTCTTTCTTCTCTAGTGTATGTCTGCCTCCTATCAAGAAGCTAAATGTAAGTTGAAATCCTACTTACAACAACATGGCTATGGATCCTGGATTGTGAAATCTCCCTGCATAGAGCAATTTAACATGTGAAATAGGCAATCCATTATCACATTAAAAATCTTGTTTTGTTTGGTGTGTTTTGACTAGTAAAAATGTTTTTAAAATATTGGTGGTTTTCAACTTTCAGAATCAGAGTCTTATTCAGCAATGTGCAATGATTGCTGAAAATTTCTAAATATTCCTGCCAAATTACATTGAAACATTAGGGCTTTTTACTTTTTCATTTTCTCAGAAAATGACTTACCTGTTTGAATATGTAGCCATTTTGTATTTATTTTGATAGATATTGTAAAGCCATTTTCCTTTTTGTAGTTTAATAGAGATTTCCTTTTAAGTTTTTGCTTTAAAGCTGTCCATATGGCTACCATATTCAACATTGTATCCTGGCATCTCACTCAGTTTTTTAAAAATTAAATATTGGAAGTCAAGAATAAAAATAATGATTTGTACTCATTGATGAATTCAACAAACATTTGACTGCCTAATATTTGCCAGTCACCATGCTAGGTGTTAGTAAAGAAACAATACCTGAAACAGCTCTCATGTTAAAGGAGTTCATGAATGCAAACTGCACATATAAATGTAGAAAAATATTAACCATGTTAAGGAATAGTTTGATAAAGTAGTTATTCTATTAATAGAGGATTATCGTATGTGCATTAAATAAGATTGCCCATTTTCAACTGTTCTACAAGATCTATCTGTACCAAATGTGATTTAATTATTTATAATTTAGATTAACAGGGATTTCTAAGTCAGTAAAAGACTGCTTAGCTTTATATCTGTATGTGTTTATACAGTGATTAGAAAGAAAAAAGGGAAAGTTTACTTACTTTTGAGTTAGGATAAGTATCTTTAGTGAAATTGTTTGTCCCTTACTTCTACATCCTATTCCTTGGTTTACAATCACAGATATATTAAACATGATTGGTTCTCAGAGTTTGTCCCCCTTACCTTAGATCTTTACTAAACTTATAAATCTCACAACTACCCCACATGAACTATTATAATCACAGACGAGGTTTATATAAATTGTTTTGGTTTATTGTCTGTTCTAAAAGTATGGTAGAATTTAGTTAATGAACAGTGAAGTCATGCTGGAAAGACATCTTTCAGTAATCTAAACTCTACTGATACTAGGTTGAATCATGTGAAGTTGCCTTTTTGGTGGATTAAAAAGGATCAAAATATGGGCAGTTTCATGTGGATTAAAATAAACACAATATTAATAAATTCCATTTCCATTAGTTACATAGTATTTATTGCTTATTTCTGCAACTGCTATTTCCCTCTTAAATATTTTTATTTTCTTTGCAGGGCTGTTTCTTTTCATAGCAAATGTTCAGCCTTCTATTATTTCACTTCTTGATAGTAAATTTGCCTTTGAAAATACAAGATCTTTCACCTTCTCTTGGCTCTTCCACCTTCTCTTGGCTCTTCCATTCATAAGTATTTTGCTTTTAGCTGACACTTATAAAATGTGGGAAAGCACCAAGTACTTTTATTTGTGTCTGAAAGTTCTGCCTCATTAGTAAAAAGCCCAGAGTTAAGCACTGCCATGAGGACCAGTAAAAGACAATTTATTTCCTCAAGAAATTTGCAGTTTTAAGGGAAAGATAAAAATGCCCAACTGCTTTATAGACAAAATCTACTAAGTACCACTCATTTATTCAACATGTAGTCGCTGTCTCTATATACTATGTGTATTCAATTATATGTGGTGTTTTGGTTTAGAGAAAGGAAGGATTTTGTCTAGATAAGGGATATCAAGAGAGACTTCATAAAGGATAAAGGAGATGGCATGGAGTAGAAGGCAGTCATTTAGTAGAAAGGTCAGGAAATGGACGTGAAGCCCAACATTTGCTTTTATGGCTGAGACTACTGTAAATCATTTAATCTCTCTTCAGTTCTTTATCTTTGCAAGGATGAAGTTTAGACTAATGATTTTCATTCTTTGTTCAAGGATAAAGGCGTGGGAAGGGCTCCGGGCTGCCCTTCGTCAAAAACAGCTGTGCTTTTCATCTCTCATATGTTATGTATTGAAGTTCTACAAGATAGTTTGCTTGAAGAAAACCAAACTTCTAAATTCAGACTTCTAAACTTCCACTTTTAAAATTGTTCAAAAACCACTAAATTGCTCATTTCTAAGTTTAAGCCCCCTTTTAGCTCTCAGGTGATCTAAGGCAAGCACTGAAGGATGGGTAAAATTTGGTAGGCTGAAATGGGAGAGAAAATGCATTATATTTGGAAATAATAAAGATTAGAGATGAATTGTGTTCAAGATTAGAGAAGAGAAAACTAGAAATTTAGGAGGCCATGATAATAGCCTACATAATAGATAATGATGACCCAAACCAGGGTTGTTACCATTTATAAAGAAGATAAATTCAAATAACGATGGGATGCTAGGCAATGAAAACAGAATATATGAAATAAAGGAGATGGACTAGACAAAGGTAACTCCATGACTTTGAGCTGGGTGACTGGAGGTACCATTACTACAAGTAGAGAAGTCAAGAATGGAATATGATTTGGCTGAAAAGATTTGAAGTTTTGACATTTTTAAGATGGTAATAAGATGGTTAATTGGAGATAGATAGCAATAAGAAATATGGTAACAGAGACCTTAAGAAAGTTTTGGACCTTTGGTAAAAGGTTGGGAAATCAGTCGTTCGCAAATATTATGCAGATAATTAACGGTAATTATTGAAGTTGTGAGAAAAGATGTTTGCCTCTTCAGGGAGTATACAAAGAGGATTAGGGCTAGAACCTCAAGGAACACTCAAATATTGGATTTGGAAAAATAAGGAAACATGGAGTTATTTGACAGGTAAGTGTAGAGTGAGGATAGCACAAAGAGAATAAAATAAGCATTCTAAAGTGCTGCAGAGGGGTCAAGGAGAATGAGAACTATAAAAATAACTTTTGATTTGGCAACCATGAGTTCACTGGTGTCTAAAACAGCAGTTCGCAAACCTGGTTGCTCGGGAGAAGCACCACTCCAAGATAGTCTGAGCAAATCAGGGGAAAGTTCCCAAATCTGCATTTTGACAAGTTATTACAGGTGATTTGATACAGGTGGTACTTTGTCCACACTTTGAAAAATACCACCCTGCAGAATAATAATAAAAAGTAGTATCAGAATTGAGATTGGCCATCATTAAGGAATGAATGGAAGATGAGAAGTTGTAGGCAATGTCTGCATTCTATTCTTCCTAGCAGTTTGGTGATGAGAATAATATGGTTAGGATGTTTTAAATGTTTGTTTAAAGATTACGGAGATTTCTGCCAGGCGAGGTGGCTGACGCCTGTAATCCCAGCACTTTGGGAGGCCGAGGCGGGCAGATCACCTGAGGTCAGGAGTTCAAGGCTAGCCTGGCTAACATGGTGAAACCCCGTTTCTACTAAAAAATGCCAAAAATGAGCCAGGTGTGGTGGCACGCACCTGTAATCCCAGCTACTCAGGAGGCTGAGGCAGGAGAATCACTTGAACCTGGGAGGCGGAGGTTGCAGTGAGCTGAGATTGCATCATTGCACTCCAGCTTGGGCAACGAGCAAAACTCAGTCTAAAAAAAAATTTTTGGAGATTTCGTGTACATGCATGAATTTATAGTGGAGCCACCTAATGTGATTTTTACAACTTGTTTTGGGTCCTAATGGATGTTAGCCAGGTCAGAGAATTGACCCAGCTGTAATTGGGTCAGCTGTGATTATAGAGAATCTAGGCTGATATGAATATATTACTGAAATGGCTGAAGCCAAAATGAGGGAAATAAGAGTAAAGAGAAGAATTGAGTGGAAGTAAAGCAGTTTCATTGAGTAATGGGCAGATTATGTTCAGGGTATTTTCAGTGTGAGTTCATAGAAATTTAACCCTGGCCTGTATTTTTTCATGCTCCCCTCCACCTTATCCCCAACTGAACTCAATTATTAGCAGAAATAGTACAGTAGTTAAAATAGACATGAATGATGGCTTATGAATGGAGACTTAATAGTGGGTTGTTTTAGCCTTTGAGAGGTGTGTATGGGCCCTGAGACAGCTAGAGCCCTGGACAGTTAACTCTGGCCTCAGGCAGCCTGTTATTTACTCCACTGTGCAATGCCATTTTCTTATCTGTGCCATGGCATAAGTAAGTATGGTTAGAAAGTACTGCTCTAAACTTTTAAATGACAAATATGATTGTCTTGATCATGTATTGAGGTAGTGCCTATAAAAGATAGAACAGACATTTAGTTATATCTGTTTTAGAAACAATGTTTTAAACAGAAGGTATTTTTAGATATATATATGCAGTCATCCCCCAGTATAACAGTGGTATTGTTTGGTTCCAGCACACCCTCCCACTTCTGCATATACCAGAATCCACACAATCTCAAATCCTGCAGTCAGCCCTGTAGAACCCACATAAATTGGCTCTCTCTATAGGTAGGTTTTGCATCCCCAAAATACTGTGTTTTTCATTTGTATTTGGTTGGAAAAACGTGTGTGTTAAGTGGACCAGCTCAGTTCAAACCCATGTTGTATTTTATTTTGCACATGAAGTGAAGTGATATGACAGAATTATTCCAAGGGGCATTAGATGGAACTTGTGAAAAATAACGAGTATAATATGTACATAAGATATGTACAAATACTTTGAAAATATTGATGATCCCCATCAGTCAACCTTAATGTGACCATCTTCACGCTTTAAAACAATAATGAAAGAACACTGTGACTTCCAAATGCAACTTTGTCTTTGAGAATGAGCTGAAATTGATGGTTCCTAGATAAAGGTAATTGTTCTTTGATGTGAGAAAGAAGAAAGAATATTGTTAAGTAAAACAGGAAGCATGCGAATTTCCTTTTCAGAACCTTTTGATCCTCATAGCATCCTATAAATTAAAGTACAACTTACTATTCTGTTACTTCTTGTGTTACAATAGATGTCAGAAATATTTAGTTTTATTTAGCTTAATGGTTATACTGTTAAGGAGCATCCTGGTTACCAAAACGTTACTAGTTCCTGGAAATAATATACATGTTTCTAGTGTTAAAATTTCTGCTGAGCCTGAGTTGCCTTTCTCTATGGTGTTCTAAGTCTGGATTACTTTCTATTTTCATGGAAACTGTAATTTTCATTTGTTAAATGATGGTAGAAATGAAAAGGTGTGCTACTCAGTGGTTGGTGTTGCTATTTAAAATTTTTAAATGAATGATTTCCTGAGAATTAAGTTTTATTTTTTCTACATGCGTTAATATACTTGTCAGAGTCTTGCTTTACACTTTGACTGTAATGTAAAGGGAATTCATTATTGTAGAAACATTCTAATATGTAACTTGTTTGGACAGATGACTTTATAAATTTTTAAGCTATATCTTCGGGTACTTGTTCAAAATGTTAATTCTTTGTAAGTTTTTTTCATCAACTGTTGCATTGTTTCATTAGTAGAAAGATATTTTAGAGTACAGTTTGGTAGTACGTCAAGTCAGACTGAATATTTTAGCCCTGAAACTGTCAAAGTTTACTAGAATTTGAGAACTGAAAAAATTTGATGGCATCTGCAGTGTTCTGCACAATAGGAAATTCTATGATTTTTTTTTTTTGGACTCTACACAAGTAATCTATTTACTACTTCCCACTTCTTTAACAATACTATGTTCTTCAACCAATTTAAATCTGTGTTTCTTGAATATATCATGTATTTCTTGCTGTATTCTCTTTACTTATGTTCTCCCCTTAGCTTAGCAAGACCAAACATTTCCACTTCATCTTTATCCAAATTCTGTCCTTTCTAGGGCAGCTGAAATAGAATTTCTCCATGAAATTGTCTTTGAAATCTCCTGCTCTTAAATGTTTCTTCTGCCTCTGAACTCTCATATACTATGTCATGCTATGCTATACTCTCTTATCACATTCATTTTTGCATGTCTTAGCACTGTTAACAAAATTGTAAATTTATTTACTTATTTATTGCCTCCTAGGCAATGACTTTCCTATAAAAGTTAGTTAATATTTACTTATTGAAAACATTAAAACTTTTTATTTTCAAGAGTGAAAGTACAAGCCAGGTGTGGTGGCTCACGCCTGTAATCCTAGCATTTTGAGAGGCCAAGGTGGAAGAATCCCTTGAGCTCAAGAGTTCGGGACTAACCTAGGCAACATGGTGTGACCACAACTCTACCAAAAAATATTTTTTAGTTACCTGGACTTGGTGGTGCGTGCTTGTAGTCTCAGCTACTCAGTTGGCTGAGGAGAGAGGATCACTTGAGCCCAGGAGGTCAAGGCTGCAGTGAACTATGATCTGGCCACTGTACTCCAACCTGGGTGATAGAGTGAGACCCTGTCTCAAAACAAAAAAAAAAAACAGCTATTTTTCATGTCTAGAAACATCTAAATTTACTGGTAGGGTTCTTTAGATATAGTCTCTTACAAACGAGTTGTCTTCTTTGATCATTTACTGCTAAATTTTTAATGAGTACTCTTTCTGTATAACTGCACTAGATGACTTGTATATTTCTTCCTTTTTTTGTTTTTTTTTTGTCTGTTTGTTTATTTTTTGAGACAGAGTCTCACTCTGTCACCCAGACTGGAGTGTAATGGCGTGATCTTGGCTCACTGCAACCTCTGCCTCCCGGGTTCAAGTGATTCTCCCTGCCTCAGCCTCCCAAGTAGCTGGGATTACAGGTGCCCGTCATCATGCCTAATTTTTGTATTTTTAGTAGCGACGGGGTTTTGCCATGTTGGCTAGACTGGTCTTGAACTCCTGACCTCAGGGGATCCACCCACCTCGGCCTCCCAAAGTGCTGGGATTACAGGCATGAGCCACTGCACCCAGCCGACTTGTATTTTGCAAATCCAAAAACTTCCTGGAATATTAAGAATGTATATGATACCAATTTTAATGTGTGCTTTTTTAAGTAAAGGAATTATTCTTCTCTCAGAATTTTAAAAAATGTTTTATTCTGAAACAGAGGCTCATAAGAAGTTGCAGAGAGGTCCTGTGTACCCAGCACCCAGCTTCCTTCAATGGTGCTACATAATTATGTTATCAAAACCAATAAAGTGACATAATACAATATAACTAACAAGACCACAGACCCTACTCAGGTTTCACCAGTTTTTGCATTCATTCCTTTTTTGTGTGTATAGTTTTATGAAATATTTTCTTATATGTAGATTTGAAAAATTACCACCACAAAGTACAGAATTGTTTCATCACCACAGAATAACTCTGTCATGCTGCTCCTTTATAGTCAAATTCTGTCCCCTAACCTCTGGCAACCACTGATCTGTTGTCTTAATATATTTTTGTTGCTGAGATTCCATATTATATAAATCATATAACCTTTGGAAACTGGCTTTTTTTTAACTCAGGATAATAATCTGGAGCTCATTCCAAGTTGTATGTATCATAGTTGCCCTTTTTCATTACTGAACAGTATTCTATTATATACATTACCACAGTTTGTTTATCCTTTCACCCATGTAGGGACATTTGAGTTGTTTTCAATTTATTCTATTATAAATACAGCTACAATGAATATTCATGCATTTTATATTGTGGTAAAATATACGTGACATAAAATTTACTATTTTAACCATTTTTTGTACAATTCTGTATTATTAAGTTCACAATGTTGTACTGCACTGTGTTCTCCATTTCCAGAAGTTTTTCATCATCCCAAAAAGAAACTTTGTACCCATTGAAAGTAACTCCCCATTCCTTATTTCCCCAGGCCCCTTGGACGTTCCAGTCTATTGAATGTTTTATGGATTTGCTTGTTCTACATAATTCACTTAAGTGGAATAATATAATATTTGTCCTTTTGTGTGTCTGGCTTATTTTACCTAGCATGACATTTTCAAGGTTCATCCATGTTTGTAGCATGTGTCAGAACTTTCATCCTCTTTTAAAGCTGAATAATATTTTATTGTATTGATACACAGCACTTTTGTTGTTTAAAAGTTCATCTGGGCTGGGCGCGGTGGCTCACACCTGTAATCCCAGCACTTTGGGAGGCCAAGGTGGGTGGATCATGAGGTCAGGAGATCGAGACCATCCTGGCTAACACGGTGAAACCCCGTCTCTACTAAAAAATACAAAAAATTAGCCGGGTGTGGTGGCGGGCGCCTGTAGTCCCAGCTACTCAGGAGGCTGAGGCAGGAGAATGGCATGAACCTGGGAGGCAGAGCTTGCAGTGAGCCGAGATTGCGCCACTGCACTCCAGCCTGGGTGACAGAGCGAGACTCCGTCTCGAAAAAAAAAAAAAAGTTCATCTGTTAGACATTTGGGTTGTTTCTACCCCTTGGCTATTGGCAATCTTGCTGCTATGAACATGAGTGTGCAAGTATCTCTTTAAGTCTCTCATTTCTTTTGGCAATATACCTAGGAGTAGAATTGCTGAATCATATGGCAATTTTGTTTAACTTTTTGAGGAACTGCCAAACTGATTTCCACAGTGGCCGCACCATTTTGCATTCCTACAAGTGATGCGCAAGGACTCTAATTTTCCACATGCTCACCAACACTTGTTATTTTTCATTTTTTGACATAACGTTCAAGAACTTTTAAAAATATGGCCGGTTGACATAGCGGCATTTATTGAAAACACCATCATTTTTCCTCTGGATTGGAGTTGTACATCTGATGTAACCTTATATATATAGGTCTTTTTTCCAGTGTCAAGTCTTTATACCAATACTACACTGTCTTAATTACTATGTAGCTTTATAATGTCTTGATATTTGGTAATATAAGCGTTCCAGTTTGTTTTTCTTCAAGTATATTTGGCTATTTTAGAGTCTTTGTATGGCCATAAAAATGTAAGATTCACTTTGTTGGTTTCATGGTCTCCCCTCTACCACTCACACCTATATAAAATCTGAAATTTTGAATGAGATTGCATTCACTCTGTGGATCAGGGAGAATTAAGAAAAGTGAAAATTACAAATCAGGAACATGATATAACCATTTATTTAGGTCTTAATTTCAGTAATGTTTTGTAGGGGCATATATTTCATTATATTCTCAGTTATTTGTTTTTTTGTGCTATTACAAATGGTACTGTTTTTAAGTATATTTGATAATGGCATGTAAAAATAAATGGACTTTTATGTATATTAACCTTGATAACTGTTAATCTTAACTAAATTCACTTATTCTAATAATTTGTAGTTACAGATTTTTTTAGATATCCTGTTCATACAATAATGTCGTCTATGACTAGTGATAATTATTGTACTTCTTCCTTTCCAATCTCTTTTTTTTCTTACTACAGTCAATAAAACCTACACTTCACCATTGAATAGAAATGGTGATGGACCTTCTTATCTTAGTCTTACTCCCAAACTAGGGGAAAATGTTCCATATTTTATCATTATGTTAGTTATGGTATTTGGTTTCGTTTTTTTGTAGATACCTTTTGTCAGATTAAGAAAATTCTGTTTTTCTCGGTGCCACTGATTTTTATTTTCTTCTCTTTTCTTTCTTTCTTTCTCTTTTTTTTTTTTTTTTTTTTGGAGTTGGAGTCTCGCTGTGTCACCCAGGCTGGAGTACAGTGGTGCAATCTCGGCTCACTGCAACTTCCGCCTCCCGGGTTCAAGCAATTCTCCTGCCTCAGCCTCCCGAGCAGCTGGGACTACAGGCGTGCCACCACACACAGCTAATTTTTGTATTTTTAGTAGAGATGGGGTGTCAACATATTGGCCAGGCTGGTCTCGAACTCCTGACCTCGTGATCCACCTGCCTTGGCCTCCCAGTAATTTGTGTTTTCTTAACGTGAGTTTTATGCACCAATTGCGTTGATTCATGTAGGCTATATCATTGTTTTGTTGTTGTTAATATAGTGGGTTACATTTTTTTAGAAACATATAATCAATCTTGCATTCCTGGATAAATTCCAGTTTGGTCACATATATTATCTTTTACAGATAGCAAATTTTAAATTTACTAATATTTTAATACTAAAAGTTTTGCATTATGTTTATGAGAGATGCTGACCTATATATACTTGTTCTTTTTTTGTAATGTTAGTTTGGTGTCAAGGTTATGCTGACCTAATAGAATGATTTTTGAAGCATCCACTCTTTTTCTGTCCTTTGAAATTGTGTAAGATTGCTAGTAGTCAGTCTTTATTTCTTCAGTGTCTAAACTCCTATTATGCCCATATAGTTAATTTTTCATTTCATATAATTTTCACTGCTAGAACTTCTGTTCTGGAACATTGGTTAATTTTTATAGATTTTTTTATACTTTCAATTTTTATGGTTTCCCTTTTTCTGTTGGATTCACTATTTGTCCCCTCATTGTGTTCAGATTTTGCTTTAAATCTTGAACATGTTTGTAATAACTAATTCCTTCATCTTTGTTATATTTTTTATTCCTTTTTTATTATACTTTAAGTTCTGGGGTACATGTGCAGAACGTGCAGGTTTGTTAGGTATACACCTGCCATGGTGGTTGGCTGCACCCATCAACCCGTCATCTACATTAGGTATTTCTCCTAATGCTCTCCCTCCCCTAGCCCCCCACCCCCCAACAGGCCCTGGTGCGTGATGTTCACCTCCCTGTGTCCATATGTTCTCATTCTTCAACTCCCACTTACAAGTGAGAACATGCAGTGTTTGGTTTTCTGTTCTTGTGTTAGTTTACTGAGAATGATGGTTTCCAGCTTCATCCATGTCCCTGCAAAGGACATGAACTCATCCTTTTTTATGGCTGCAAAGTATTCCATGGTATATATGTGCCACATTTTCTTTATCCAGTCTATCATTGATGGGCATTTGGGTTGGTTCCAAGTCTTTGCTATTGTGAACAGTGCCGCAATAAACATACCTGTGCATGTGTCTTTATAGTAGAATGACTTATAATCCTTTGGGTATATGCCCAGTAATGGGATTGCTGGGTCAAATGGTATTTCTGGTTCTAGATCCTTGAGGAATTGCCACACTGTCTTCCACAATGGTTGAACTAATTTACACTCTCACCAACCATGTAAAAGTGTTCCTATTTCTCCACATCCTCTCCAGCATCTGTTGTTTCCTGACTTTTTAAAAATCACCATTCTAACTATAGTGAGATGATATCTCATTGTGGTTTTGATTGACATTTCTCTAATGACCATTAGATCACATTTCTCTAATGACAATTGATGATGAGCTTTCTTTGAAATGTTTGTTGGCTGCATAAATGTCTTCTTCTGAGAAGTATCTGTTCGTATCCTTTGCCCACTTTTTGGTGGGGTTGTTTGTTTTTTTCTTGTAAATGTGTTTAAGTTCTTTGTAGATTCTGGATATTAGCCCTTTGTCAGATGGATAGATTGCAAAAATTTTCTCCCGTCCTGTAGGTTGCCTGTTCACTCTGATGGTAGTTTCTTTTGCTGTGCAGAAGCTCTTTAGTTTAATTAGATCCTATTTGTCAATTTTGGCTTTTGTTGCCATTGCTTTTGGTGTTTTAGTCATGAAGTCTTTGCCCATGCCTATGTCCTGAATGGTATTGCCTAGATTTTCTTCTAGGGTTTTTATGGTTTTAGGTCTTAAGTCTTTAATCCATCTTGAATTAATTTTTGTATAAGGTGTAAGGAAGGGGTCCAGTTTCAGGTTTCTGCATATGGCTAGCCAGTTTTCCCAACACCATTTATTAAATAGGGAATCCTTTCCCCATTGCTTTTGTCAGGTTTGTCAAAGATCAGATGGCTGTAGATGTGTGGTGTTATTTCTGAGGCCTCTGTTTTGTTCCATTGGTCTATATATCTGTTTTTGTACCAGTACCATGCTGTTTTGGTTACTGTAGCATTGCAGTATAGTTTGAAGTCAGGTAGCATGATGCCTCCAGCTTTGTTCTTTTTGCTTAGGATTGTCTTGGCTATGCGGGCTCTTTTTTTGTTCCATATGAAATTTAATAGTTTTTTCTAATTCTGTGAAGAAAGTCAAATGGTAGCTTGACGGGGATAGCATTGAATCTCTAAATTACTTTGGGCAGTATGGCCATTTTCACGATACTGATTCTTCCTATCCATGAGCATGGAATGTTTGTGTGTGTTTTTTTAATTTTTTTATTATACTTTAAGTTCTTGGATACATGTGCAGAACGTGCAGGTTTGTTACATAGGTATATGTGTGCCATGGCGGTTTGCGGCACCCATCAACCTATCATCTACATTAGGTATTTCTCCTAATGCTATCCCTCCCCTAACCCCCCACCCCCCAACAGGCCCTGGTGTGTGATGTTCCCCTCACTGAGTTCTCATTGTTCAACTTCCACTTATGAGTGAGAACAGAGCATGGAATGTTTTTCCATTTGTTTGTGTCCTCTTTTCTTTCCTTGAGCAGTGGTTTGTAGTCCTCCTTGAAGAGGTCCTTCACATCCCTTGTAAGTTGGATTCCTAGGTATTTTATTCTCTTTGTAGCAATTGCGACTGTGAGTTCACTCATGATTTGGCTGTTTGTCTGTTATTGGTGTATATGAATACTTGTGATGTTTGCATATTGATTTTTGTATCCTGAGACTTTGCTGAAGTTGCTTATCAGGTTAAGGAGATTTTGGGCTGAGATAATGGGGTTTTCTAAATATACAATCATGTCATCTGCAAACAGGGACAATTTGACTTCCTCTCTTCCTATCTGAATAACCTTTATTTCTTTCTCTTGCCTGATTGTCCTGGCCAGAACTTCCAATACTATGTTGAATTGCAGTGGTGAGAGAGGGCATCCTTGTCTTGTGGCAGTTTTTAAAGGGAATTTTTGTTCATTTTGTATGATATTGGCTGTGGGTTTGTCAGAAGTAGTGTATTTTGAGATATGGTCCATCAGTACCTAGTTTATTGAGAGTTTTTAGCATGAAGGGGTGTTGAATTTTGTCAAAGGCCTTTTCTGCATCTTTTGAGATAATCCTGTGGTTTTTGTCATTGGTTCTGTTTATGTGATGGATTATGTTTATTGATTTGCTTATGTTGAACCAGCCTTGCATCCCAGGGATGAAGCCGACTTGATCGTGGTGGATAAGCTTTTTGATGTGCTGCTGGATTCAGTTTGCCAGTATTTTATTGAGGATTTTCGCATCAATGTTCATCAGGGATATTGGCCTGAAATTTTCTTTTTTTCTTGTGTCTCTGCCAGGTTTTGGTATCAGGATGATGCTGGCCTTATAAAATGAGTGAGGGAGGATTTCCTCTTTTTCTGTTGTTTGGAATAGTTTCAGAAGGAATGCTTCCAGCTCCTCTTTGTACCTCTGGTAGTTTGGCTGTGAGTTCATCTGGTCCTAGACTTTTTTTTGTTCGTAGGATATTAATTATTACCTAAATTTCAGAACTTGTTATTGGTCTATTCAGGGATTCAACTTCTTCCTGGCTTAGACTTGGGAGGGTGTATGTGTCGAGGAATTTATCCATTTCTTCTAGATTTTCTAGTTTATTTGCATAGAAGTGTTTATAGTATTCTCTGATGATAGTTTGTATTTCTCTGGGATCAGTGGTGATATTCCCTTTATCATTTTTTATTGTGTCCATTTGATTCTTCTCTCTTTTCTTCTTTGTTAGTCTGGCTAGTGGTCTATTTTGTTGATCTTTTCAAAAAACAAGCTCCTGGATTCATTGATTTCTTTTGAAGGGTTTTTCATGTCTCTATCTCCTTCAGTTCTGCTCTGATCTTAGTTATTTCTTGTCTTCTGCTAGCTTTTGGATTTGTTTGCTCATGCTTCTCTAGCTCTTTTAATTGTAATGTTAGGGTGTTGATTTACTATCTTTCCTACCTTGTCTTGTGGGCATTTAGTGCTATAAATTCCCCTCTACACACTGCTTTAAATGTGTCCCAGAGATTCTGCTATGTTATGTCTTTGTTCTCATTGGTTTCAAAGAACTTACTTATTTCTGCCTTAATTTTGTTATTTACCCAGTAGTCCTTCAGGAGCAGGTTGTTCAGTTTCCATGTAGTTGTGAGGTTTTGAGTGAGTTTCTTAATCCTGACTTCTAATTTGGTTGCACTGTGGTCTGAGAGACTGTTTGCTATGATTTCCATTCTTTTGCATTTGCTCAGGAGTGTTTTACTTCCAATTACGTGGTCAATTTTAGAATAAGTGCAATGTGGTGCTGAGAAGAACGTATATTCTGTTGATTTGGGGTGGAGAGTTCTATAGATGTCTGTTAGGTCCACTTGGTCCACAGGTGAGTTCAAGCCCTGAATATCCTTGTTAATTTTCTGTCTTGTTGATCTGTCTAATATTGACAATGGGGTGTTAAAGTCTCCCACTATTTTTGTATGGGAGTCTAAGAACTTGCTTTATGAATCTGGGTGCTCTTGTATTGGGTGCATATATATTTAGGATAGTTAGCTCTTCTTGTTGCATTGATCCCTTTACCATTATGTAATGTCATTCTTTGTCTCTTTTGATCCTTGTTGGTTTAAAGTCAGTTTTATCAGAGACTAGGATTCCAACCTCTGCTTTTTTTTTTTTTTTTTTTGCTTTCCATTTACTTGGTAAATATTCCTCCATCCGTTTATTTTAAGCCTATGTGTGTTTGCACGTGAGATTGGTCTCTTGAATACAGCACACCAGTGGGTCTTGACTCTATCCAGTTTGCCAGTCTGTGTCTTTTAATTGGAGCATTTAGCCTGTTTACATTTAAGGTTAATATTGTTACATGTGAATTTGATCCTGTCATTATGATGCTAGCTGGTTATTTTGCCTGTTAGTTGATGCAGTTTCTTCATAGTGTCGATGGTCTTTACAATTTGCTATGTTTTTGCAGTGGCTGGTAGCTGTTATTCCTTTCTATGTTTAGTGCTTCCTTCAGGAGGTCTTTTAAGGCAGGCCTGGTGGTGACAAAATCTCTCGGCATTTGCTTGTCTATAAAGGATTTTATTTGTCCTTCCCTTAGGAAGCTTAGTTTGGCTGGATATGAAATTCTGGGTTGAAAATTCTTTAAGAATGTTGAATATTGGCCCCCACTCTCTTCTGGCTTGTAGGTTTTCTGCCGAGAGATAATGCTGTTAGTCTGATGGGCTTCCCTTTGTGGGTAACCCGATCTTTCTCTCTGGCTGCCCTTAACATTTTTTCCTTCATTTCAACCTTGGTGAATCTGACGATTATGTGTCTTGGGGTTGCTCTTCTCGAGGAGTATCTTTGTGGTGTTCTCTGTATTTCCTGAATTTGAATGTTGGCCTGTCTTCCTAGATTGGGAAAGTTCTCCTGGATAATATCCTGCAGAGTATTTTCCAACTTGGTTTCATTCTCCCTGTCACTTTCAGGTACACCAATAAAATGTAGGTTTTATCTTTTCACATAGTCCCGTATTTCTTAGAGGCTTTGTTCATTCCTTTTTTTTCCCTCTAATCTGTCTTCACACTTTATTTCATTAAGTTGATCTTAATCTCTGATATCCTTTCTTCTGCTTGACTGATTTGGCTATTAATACTTCACGAATGTGTATGCTTCACGAAGTTCTCATGCTGTGTTTTTCTGCTCCATCAGGTCATATGTTCTTCTCTAAACTGGTTATTATTCTAGTTAGAAATTCCTCTAACCTTTTTTCAAGGTCCTTAGCTTCCTTCCATTGGGTTGGAATATGCTCCTTTAGCTTGGAGGAGTTTGTTATTACCCATCTTCTGAAGCCTACTTCTGTCAGTTCGTCAAACTCATTCTCCGTCCAGTTTTGTTCCCTTGCTGGCAAGAAGTTGTGATTTTTTTTGGAGAAGAGGCATTCTGGTTTTTGGAGTTGTCAGTGTTTTTGCGCTGGTTTCTCCCCATCTTCGTGGATTTGTCTACCTTTGGTCTTTGATGTTGGTGACCTTCGGATGGGGTTTCTGAGTGGATGTCCTTTTTGTTAATGTTGATGCTATCCCTTTCTGTTTGTTAGATCTCCTTCTAACAGTCAGGCCCCTCTGCTGCAGGTCTGCTGGAGTTTGCTGGAGGTCCACCCCAGACCCTGTTTGCCTGGGTATCACCAGCAGAGGCTGCAGAACAACAAAGATTGCTGCCTGTTCCTTCCTCTGGAAGCTTTTTCCCAGTGGGGCACCCACCAGATGCCAGCTGGAGCTCTCCCATATGAGGTGTCTGTTGGTCCCTGCTGGGAGGTGTCTTCTAGTCAGGAGACATGGGGGTCAGGGGCCCACTTGAGGAGGCAGTCTGACCCTTAGAGGTCGAGCACTGTGCTGGGAGATCCACTGTACAGAGCCAGCAGGCAGGGACATTTAAATCTGCCGAAGCCGTGCCCACAGCCGCCGCTTCCCCTTGATGCTCTTTCCCAGGAAGATGGGAGTTTTATCTATAAGCCCCTAACTGGGGCTGCTGCCTTTTTTTCAGAGATGCCCTGCCCAAAGTGGAGGAATCTAGAGAAGCAGTCTGTCTACAGTGGCTTTGCTGAGATGTGGAGGGCTCTGCCCGGGTGGAACTTCCCGGTGGCTTTGTTTACACTGTGAGGGGAAAACCGCCTACTCAAGACTCAGTAATGGTGGACGTCCCTCCCCTGACCAAGCTCGAGCATCCCAGGTCGACTTCAGACTGCTTATCAAGGCAGAAGTCTTGGTCTTTATATTTTGAAGCTATATATTTTGTTCAGCAATACATACCAATTCTAAATTTAATTTAGAATTTAATTTAGCTTTAAATTTAGAATTTTGTAAAACTTAGTTTAATAGTAAAACAAATTAAATTTGGAATTGGTATGTACTGTTGAATGAAATTTCTCTTTATCTCTGGTTATATAATTCTTGCTTTAAAGTCTGTTTTTTTCATCGTGTTGTTAATCTGCCTACCTCTGGTTTTTGGTTTTGGTTTTTGGTTAGTGTTTGCACATTATATTCCCTTTTCCTTTTTCTTTTAATCTTTTTCCTTTTATTTAAAATATGTTTTTTATAAACAGTGTATAATTGGGTTTGATTTTTATTTCATCTTACAATCTTTTTTTTAATTGGAGTTTGTAGTTCATTTGTATTTAATGACAATGACATAGAGTTTGGTTTAAGTCTGCCTTCTTGCTATTTGTTTCTGTCTCATTGTGGGTGTTTTGCTTTTTTCACCTTTATTCCTCTCTTCATTCTTTCTTGCCTTATTTTAGGATTATTAGTATTATATTACATTTTCTTCTTTATTGCTTTTCATTTATACAGGTTGAACATCCCTAATCCAAAAATTCAAAATGCAAAATGCTCCAAAATCCAAAACATTTTGAGCTCTGACATGATGCTCAAAGATCATGCTCAAAGGAAATACTCATCTGAGCATTTTGGATTTCAGTTTAGGGATGCTTAAGTAGTAAATATAATGCAAATATTCAAAAATCCAAAATAATCCAAAATTTAAAACACCTCTGGTCCCAAGATTTCAGATAAGGGATACTCAACATGTATTATTCTTTTAGAAGTTACCTTAGATTATAACATGCAGCTTTGACTTATTGCAGTCTATCTTAAATTCATTAGTTTAACACTTCCCAAGTAATGCAAGGATCCTGCAACATTTTAATGCCATTTATCACCTTTTGCCCTTATATATTTTGTCAAATATTTTAATTGTGCATATGTTAAAATGCCCCAAGACCTATTGTCTCCTTAACTAGTAACTTTCTATCTATACTATATGGTACTCTTTTGTTTTGTTTTTGCACACCTGTGCTTCATTTGGATTTTTTTCTCCAGCCTAAAATTATTTAGTTATTTCTTCAGTACTTCTTACGGTTCCAGTCTGCTTTTGCTCAGCTTTCTTAGCTTTTGTTGGCTGAAGTGTCTGTTTTACCTTTTCTAAGGAATTATGGTGCAGAATTCTAGTTTGCCAAGTTTTTTTTAATTAAGTATGTCATTCCATTGTTTTCCCAACTTTCATAGATTTTGCTGAAATATTTGCTGACGAATATATTGTTGCTTTGTGAAGGCAGTGCCTTTTTTCAGTTAGCTGCCTTTTATCTTTACTTTTCAGCAGTTTAATTGTGATTTGCCTGTGTATGGATCTGAGGGTTGTCTGTGAGTGTGTTTTGCTGTTGTTGTTTTGTGTTTATTCTGCTTGGGTTTTACCAACCTTTAATATGTAGGTAGATGTCTTTTCATTTGGTTATGAAAATTATCAGCCATTACATCTTCACCATTCCTTCTTTCCTCTCCTCTTGTTTTTTCTTTTTTTAATGACTCTAATTACCTCTGTGTTACTATGTTCTTTTTTTATATATATATCTTTTTTTCTGTTTGGATATTTTTTATTGTCTTATCTGTAGATCATTAATACAGTCTTTTGCTACATCCAGTATGCCGTTAAGCACACCTAGTGATTTCTTGATTTCACACATGGTATTTTTTTAGTTCTGGAATGTTCCTTTAATTTGTAAAAATATAATTCAATTTTTGGCAAAAATTTATCTTTTCATCTATTGTCTAGATATGATGCTTTATTTTCTTGAACATATTATATTAGTTAAAGTCTGTATCTTATAACTACACTTGAATCCTATGTTGGAGATGTTTATTGTTTCCCCTTGCCGCCCAACTTAATTTTGAGAGAGAGAGAGAGAGAGAGAGAGAGAGAGAGAGAGAGAGAGAGAGAGAGAGAGAGTGTGTGTGTGTGTGTGTGTGTGTTAGCAGGTCTCTTTTTTTTTTTTTTTTTTTTTTTTTTTTTTTGAGATGGAGTCTTGCTCTGTCACCCAGGCTGGAGTGCAATGGCACGATCTTGGCTCACTGCAAGCTCTGCCTACCAGGTTCACGCCATTCTCCTGCCTCAGCCTCCTGAGTAGCTGGGACTACAGGCGCCCGCCACCACACTCAGCTAATTTTTTTTTTTTGTATTTTTGGTAGTGACAAGGTTTCACGTGTTAGCCAGTAGGTTTCATAATTTTTAAGCTGATGCTACATGTGTCTGAAATAGTGTAGAGGCTCTGGATGATGTTATTTTTATCTAAATTAGATTAAGCTGTCTTCAGAAGACAAATAGAATCTAGAATATTCATTTGATCTTATTGAAGCTTGTTTTTAGTCTTTGTTAGGGCTGGTATATTTCAGATTTGTCCTTATTCCAAGACATGTTCACCTAGAGCCTTGGCTTTTTTTTTTTTTTTTTTTTTTTTTTCTTAAATCCTGTCATGTTTACTAGACCCTTTCTCCATGGCAGGGCTTTGGCTCCAACCTGTGTCTTCTCAGCACGATACAGCTTATTTGCCTCCTACCTGCTGTTTTCTGCCATATCTTTTGGTGGTTGGGAAGTGTCTTATATTCCATAAGCAGCTGATGGATCAGCCAGTGAACTGAGGGGAATTTATATGTAGATACATGGGTTCCTTCCCTGCAGGTCATTCCTTTATGGGGTTTTGTCACTTAAATTCCATCTACTTTGACAACCCTCAACTACTCCTGCCTCTTAACTCCTCATAGGACTGCCACTTCATTCCTTCATTCTTGGGTTCCATTTTCTTATGTCACAATTTGGAAAATGCCCTCAGGAAAAAGCAATAATGTCTGTTGTGTGCATTCCTTCTTTTGAGGACTGAAACCTGCAAGACCTGCCTGTATTGGTTGCTTTCATCACACAGGGAAACAGCTACTGCACCTAGGCCTGAAGAGAAGTATAGAGGAGTAGGTACTAGAACCTTGAAAGATAGGTAATAAAAGGCAACTTTGAGGGGAATTTCATCTTTGGTCAAGTGATACAGCTATCCCATGGTGATCTCACATTCACCTCTTACCAGGAATCCCATGTGGTCAAACTCAGCTAGAAACCAGAAGGCAAGAAAATACATTAATGTATTCCACACAATTTGACTTAGCAGGCTGAAGATCAGGATGGAAAAGGATATAGTGTTGTTTTTGAGGGAAAAGTAGAAGATACACGGTTCACACCTTCATTCCTCAGCATGTGCTCTCTTCCTTCCTTTGGGAAGAAGGTTTGTGTTCCTAGCAAAGGAGACACATGAAATCCCATCAGTTATTGTATCATTATAGGGTAATGTCAATTCAGCAATACTTTTCCTGAAATCTAAAATGTTAGGTATCACCAGTGTTCTTCACATAAAGAATAAGAGACGATGTCAAGTCCAACTTGACATAGTAAAGTATAAAAAATGGAGAAAAACAAAACTGCTCAAGTCTGTTCTCTGCCTCAATAGCTAGTCATGAAAATTGGTTAGTACAGCTGCATTCTTCCACTACCCTTTGCGTGTTCCCCTTTACCCTCTGCCATTACTTTGGTTGGGTGGCATTATTTACCTGGTGGTATACTCTATATCTCACTTCTGTGAAATCTGAGTCTTTGATGTTCTTGAATTTTAAGGATTGTTACAGTTTTCCATTGACCAATACTACTAAGGATAGAAAGCTAAGAGATTCCCCACTGAATTTCCTGAGTTCCAAATATAGTATTACCTATTGTGTAGTCGTTGCCCGGTTCTATAGAAGGCACTGAGTTTCCCCCTTTTCATCAAAATCAGTCACCCTGCTCAGTACGGTGGTCCTTTACGTGCTTGTTGGTTCAGCTATATGAAGAACCCCTAAATGGCCAAAAGGTAGTCTCAGCCATTTCATCAGTTCTCTGGTAGAAGTCAAGGCACCTGGTAGAAGAATGCCTCATTGAGCACTAAGACCTTAAAACTGACCAAGATAAGATTTAGTGGATGAGATGTGAAAAAAAAATCTTCCAAGTGAGGTATTTAATGAGAAGGGTCCCTTTTACTTCTACTCCTTGGCAATTTTGAAGAGAGGAACGACTTCTTCAAAGCTGCTGAAGAGGCATTCTGGTTGCCCATGTATGTTTTTAATTGTATGTTGATAACTTTTTTTTTCCTTTGTTCTCTGTCTGGGGTCATCATCATCAAAAGAATCTAGGTAATAATCATAATTTTTATAACTGTTGTTTCTGTAGCAACTAAGTGCCACAGCCATTTGACCTCACAACATCTTGCCATCTGTCTGCATTTCATCCCATTCTACCATTGATGATAAGTTCAGTAATTGCGATGCTACTACATTCCGTAGATTTCCCATGTCCTATTATCCTTGCATTCCTTGAATATATGAACAACCCAGTCCCAGAATCCTATTTTGAGGGTCTATTTTCTGGGGCTATTTCTGATACAATTACTGTATCTGAGTCCCAGCAGGAAATAGATGGCATACTCAATCAAAAGGAGGATTTAATAAAAGGACTATTTAAAAAGCTATGGTCAGAGTTCAGGGAAACTGCAAGGGATGGTACAAGTACCCTGGAGTTGCTAACAGCAAAAGTACCACCCTCCCTAGGCTTAAAGGGACAAGGGAAGATTACCAGAATCACTCAGAAGGAAAAAGTACCCAGAGTGCCACCTTGAGGTAATCTGGGTTCCTTGCTTGAGAGACACAGCCATCCTGGGTCTACTCCACAAGGAGGGAGTCAAGGGAATCTCTTATGTTCCTCATAGTTCCTACCAGCACTCCCCAGTGGCAGGACCCAATGGAAAGCCAAAGGGCAGGGAAGACCTTTGATATAGGCCATACAGGTGAGCCTCCTCACAGCACTGGGCAGGGTGTAAGATATTGGAGAATTCATAGCCACACCAAATCTATGAAGAGTTTCAAGAGTGTTTGTGTTTGGCATTTTAAGAAGAAGGAAAATATAATCTGCTAAGAGATGCCAGAACTAAGGGTCTGATCAGCCCTTGAAAGGACAAAGCAAGGGCTTTTGAGAAGTCTACATCTCTGTTCTACATATTTCTTCAGAGAAAGAGTGACTTTTGTAAGCATTTTAACCATCCTACAGTTCACACAAGTAACTAAGAAATATTTAAATGCTTACTCTGTGCTGTTTCCAAAATAACAAATATCCAGGCTTGTTTATATTTATCAAATTTATTAAATAGTTTTACTAACCAATCTACATAGATACTATATTTAACATTCAACATAATAATAAATATTTTGGGATAAATAAGTGAAACCATTTTAGAGCCCCTAGGGCTTACAAAAAGAATCATAAAAGATCCATATTTATAGTTTTAAGATTAAGAATAATAGTTACAATAGGTAGCAAACCATACATTCAACAATAAATATAAAATTTAAATATTTAAATAAATAGAAGGCCTGATATGTTTTAAGTGGGAAGCACTTAATTATCAAGTCAGTGTTGAGATGATGCTTTGACAAAAGGTAATCCATCTGTTCAGAAATTCTACAATGGTTGCTGTCTCATCAGCATATTCACACATGAATGTTGTTTCAGATCCCTATAAAAGAAAAATGTTAATTTTTTAAAGTACAGAGTAGTTTACCTTATATACAGTTATTCCCAATTGAAGTCTTATAGGCCTGTTGCCTTTATTTTCAAGCTTACCAAACATATTAATTATTCACATTTTCTTGAAATGATCAAAATGAATGCCAAAATTACATATTTTGTTATGATACCAAATGATAGTAACACAGAAGCTGAGATTTTCCTCATTTGTTAATTCAGTCAATGAACACAAAAATTTTTTCCCTAAATTGGGTGCAAATAAAGATTTAAATAAAAATAGATCTAGACAAATATTAAATGCTGGATGTGAAATAAACTTGATCGCTTTTCCTCTGAATGTACACCTATATTTGTGTAAGTTAAATGTATGAATTGATATGCACATTATACTTTCTTCTTTTCTAAATCTTGATTAGAGTCTCCTATTTTTCTACTTAAGTGAATCTCCTTATATTTTCCCCAAAGCAGAACAGAACTACACTAGAGTAAGCTAGGACATGCTTCTGTTTGGGATAAATTTGTGTGAAGAACATCTTCATAAATACTTACACCTATCCCTACCCCATCATAGTATCAATGCAGGTGAATTTGCCAACTTTTAAAAGTTTAAACATTAGAAATTTTGTTCTGTGGACTGGCTTTTTAGAAATTAGGCTTCTCTGCTGAAAGGAGCTATTTAAACGCTTCCTCTAGTTGATAAGCTAAGGAGGAAATATTTTGATATATAGTGAGATTTAAAAGAGAGCTTTTCAAATTTGAAGTGATTCCTACCCTGGGAACAAAAGCAGGTGAGATAGAGTGTTCCCTTTAAATAAGTATTCTCTTTTAAAAAACTGTTGCAGTGTTCTGTATCCTCTTAAGCATAATTGTTTAAATATTGTCATATCTTGGGATTTTTTTATTTTAAAAAGTGTTTGGCTTTTGAAACACAGTTTTCAGATTTTTGCATGGTTTTGTCTTAAATTTGTATCAAGAGTTAAGAATGAGTTTTCTGATGTTAATTATTTTAGAGTAAAACTCTTGCCATAGATAAGGAACTGAATCTGTCAATGTCTAGATGACATTGATCTCAATGTATTTTTTTAATTCAACTGAAACAGTCCACTAATAAGTGATTCATTTGGACACAACTGGAGTTACTTTTAGGAATGTCTTTTACTACTATACTTATGCTGCTTATTTAGGATACCTATTAACTCATGAATTTTATACCTTAGGAGACGGGATATAAAAAGACAAAAGTGAATCTCTTTTACATCACCTGAGTCCCTTGCATATTTTATGCTTCCTGTGCATTTAAAAATACTTAAGATTCTGAAAGTGGGGATTGCCTCTAAAAAGATTGTTGTTTGTTTAGTCCACTGGCCATTTTAATGGCTCCAGTTTTTTTTTTTAAGACAAATCTCTTATGGGTAGTCCTTCCATCAAATGATAAGGAAACACCATTTGAAAAGCCTTTCAGGTAATCAGTATTGGCTATTCCAGTAAATGATCTGAAGGAATTGAAAAATATATAGTAAAATCTGCCTGCTTTCTGTGAAACTCAACTCAGTACCTTCTCTCACTCCCAGTTTTGTGTTAATATGAAAGGTGATGGAGTTTGGGATGAGGCTTGTCCATTAGTAGATGGTAGGTGCAAACTCAGTAGCTTATACTCCCCAGTTAATCATTTAACATTAGAAATGATTCATGTTCACAGTGTACTTAAAATGTAGGCTAATTACATGCATGGGTACTTTACAAATACCAAAAATGTTATGTCACTTTAAAATGTGGTACTTTTCCCCCTACTTTTTTTTTTTTATTTCCAGGAGAGCAAATAAAGTAATGCCTTACCTTTAGTTCCAGAACTATTACGTTGATATTGCTGATTAAGTCCCTGGGTCTTAAGTGAAAGTTTTTGCTTTGAGCTAAATTTAGCACTTCCTCCAGAGGTTTGAGTTCTTCTTCTAGACACTGAAGATGTTTCAGTTCTGTGGCCTAGAATAATAATTATCATCAGCTCAGTTTACATAGAGGTCAGAATCAGAAATTAATTTCCAATTTATTTTATTTGGAGTAGCAGTATGTAGTTTTTACCATTCTCTCTGTTCTCAATGTCACTGTAAAGATGGACCAGTAGAGTTTACATTATAAAACTGGAAAAACTAGGGCTCAAGTACCTATGACTAGCGTTAAGTGATAGTTGACTCACTGGTTTTAGCTTAATTTGGCTTTGCAAAATGTTAGACTTTCTGCATCTAAATGCCTATTACAGATGTAGGCTGATTACTTTTCCAATCTGCATAGAAAATCATTAGAACCAGATGAGTTAGAATGTGGAAGCATAAAAATCACATTCTATGATTATAATATTTGATAGTCTAAGAGTTAAGAATCACAGAATGTTGAGAGAGAAGGAACTCTTGGATGCCATCTATCACAATCCCAACATTTTACACTAGGTAACAATAATCATGTAGTAGTGGCTCTCAATATAGCCTTGAGCAAGACACATTTTTAAATATGTCTTAAATTTTTACTTTTCTACAATCACTACATTAAGATGCATTTTAAAAATGTTTGTCCCAGTGAAATAAAAAATTATAATACTTTGGGAGGACTTTTGGACAGGCCTCTTGATTCTATATTATATATAATATTTCATATTTCTATGGTATATTACAATTTAAAAGAATTTTCTCCAAAATAGGCCCATTTACTTCTCACAGTCATCTTTTGAAGTAGGCAGTGAAGTATCATCTCCACTTTATAAATAAGCACACTAAATCTCAGAATTTGACCACATAAGTAGGTAGAGCCAGAATTAGATTTCATTTCTTTCTCATTATAGCATTAACATAGCATCCTTGGAATCAAATATTTTTATTAGTTTCTAAAATCTTTTGTAAATGTGCAATGAGGGTTAAATGAACAAATGAATAGAGTTTATCATTACTTTTGGTTTCAAACTTAGATTTCCATGAATTCTACCACCCCCTAAATTATGCACATAATCTCATCTTTCTAACACTCTTTAGTGGGAAAGGTAGGTCAAGACAATACCAATCCCCTGATATGTCCATCTATTGCGCTTTCAATTCACCACTACAAATTCTACAAATTCGGGTTTAAGTTTTTGGCATGAACAATGTGGAGAAATTTTCTTCAGAAAACAGCATCTAGTATCTTTATGTTGCTGGAGTTGCATTATGTGGCTCTGATTAAACTAGAGTAACATCTGTAAGCTGTCTCCTTTACATCTTTCAGAAGGGTAGTTAGAAGCAGATTTCTCTTGAATTAATAGAATTTGAGTCAATGGGATTGCATCTGTGTCCCCTTAAATCCTATTATTTTCTGGGCTTGGATTCACCCTGGCACAAGCTCTTTCTGGCACCAGATTTTGTTCATTCTCTCTTAACTGGCACAGCTACTAGGTAGCTTTACACACCTAATGTAGCCTAGGAGCTTGGATGATTATGCTTATGCTCTATCTGAATCCAAAAACAACCTAATGAAGCTTTTAATCTTGGAAAATAAGTCATATAGCATTATAAATCTCAAGTTCTATTGGTAAAAAGATAAAGTCCAAAATTTTACTTTGTATTTCTCAGTGAAAATTTTATCTTTAATACTACTAATAATAGCTAATGCTTGTATGGTATTTACCTTATGCCAGACACGGTTCTGAGTGCTTTACATTTACTTACTAATTCTCACAAAGCCATATTAAGTATATACAGTTATTCATTTAAGTAGACATGAAACTGAATCACAAACAGAGTAGGTAATTTGCCAAAGATCATGAAAGCTAGGACATGGCAGAGCTGAGATTTCACTTCAGATATCTGGCCCCAGACTCTGTGCTATTAGTGTTATGCTGCCTCTCACTTAGAAACCTTTCCTAAAACAAGAAAAGATTTTTAAAAGTGGGCTCCTTGGAAATAGATTTTGGTATTTTACATACTAAAATGACATAATCAAATATTTTAGAGTTTTACATTTTTAAATGAAACCATAAATGAACATTTTTGTTTAGAATTGTCTTATCGATAAAGTGAGAATATTATTTTTATGTTTTCTTCCCACCCCCACCAACACACAAATATATATTAAAAATATAGGTAAAACTGTTTTAATAGAGGCTTCATTATCAAACTTGGGTTTTCAAAAAAACAAATTAAAGTTACTCTTTACCTCAGATGAGCTGCTATTAGTCCCATCTGTGCAAATTTTCATATTACTTTGAATTTTATTAAAACAGAAATTGAACATAAAATATTGTACTTACCTTCTTGGGCATGTAAAACTTAAATGTGAGCATCCTGGTGAGTTTGGGATTCTTGTAATTCTAAGAAAGTATAATGCATTGTTATTAAGAAATGATCTCCAGCTAGATTACTAAATGTAATAATTTTAGTAAGAAAGGAAATATACTTACATTAATTCCATTCAAAATCATCTGTAAATCCAGCAGTAAATGCTCCAGTTGTAGCTGTGTTTTCTTTGTAGAACTTGAAGTAGGTGCACTGTTTGTGACAAGTGCAAGACTTAGTGCAATGCAAGACAGGAGTTGCATCCTGTACATTGTGGCAGGAGTTGAGGTTACTGTGAGTAGTGATTAAAGAGAGTGATAGGGAACTCTTGAACAAGAGATGCAATTTATACTGTTAATTCTGGAAAAATATTATGGGGGTGTCAAAATGTTTTACATATTACACATATTTTCAAAGACTTTACCTGTCTGAAAAAACATTACCTTCATTTTTCCTCTTCTGATGACTCTTTGGAATTTCTTTAAACCCCCAAAGACTGACTGAATGGATGTAGGTGAAATCCCTCTTTGTTACATTAGCCCACACTTAGGTGATAGCTCTAATTCATGCAATTAACGCCTTCTGTATGAAACAGTTTTTCCTCCTTTCTTTAAGGGGGTGGGGATACAAAAGTAACTCAGAAAATTTTCTTTGTCATAAAACTACACTGAACATGTGAATAGCATATTGTGGTGGACAAGAGCAAGAGTAAACAGATGAAAAGAATAAATGTTTAGATTTGTTGATAAAACAGGAAGTGTATTGGTTTCCTGTTTCAGAATGGTTTTACCTTTTTATCCACACAATGAGCTAATTGCATACAATAAGATAGATTGCTTCTTACATGTCAGCTAGAGAAATACTAAGATTAGAATACTTAAAATGCTTATTGAGCTTGAGGTACTGTTTAACGCTATTTTAATTTAAAATGATTATATATCTGTTTAAGTCTCTTAATGTCTATTGTACATTTTTTAAAGGGTGCGATTGTTAAATACTCAGAAAAAGGTTTGCATTCAAGGATACTGATGCTAGTTTTATAATAGACTTTGTATGTGTTATGTGTAAACCAGTCCATGTTTCTCGTTTTTATGTCTTTACCTCTTTAATGGATTTTTATTTATCCTCTAAATCACCTGGGACACTATGAATGTAACAATAATCGTTATGAAATATGATCTTGTTTTTAGTCAGAAGACTAGGATATTTAGGATAGGTGTTCATTCATCCTCAGTACAGTGCACAAACTGGCTGAACAATTGTACGGATATATACTTCTAATTTAACCTGGGGACACTTGAGGAGATCCTGTCTCAGAGAGAGTCCTTGTAAAGCTTCCATTCTATGGCCTTATTTATTTCTTACCTGGACTTTTTTTTTTTTTTTAAAGATGGTATTGTCTGTGTTTTTGTTTGTTTTTTTAAGACAATATTGTCTGGTCTTTAAACAGACATCTAGCACCTATAATGCCTTCAGGTATATAGAAAGAGAGAAAAGAGAACAGTGTACAGGCAGGCACTTAGTCTAATATAAGTCTTACAGACTTGTGAAGTGATGGCTCCTATTTTGCAGATTAGAAAACTGAGGCTCAGAGAAGTTAAGTAATTTGCTCTAGGTCACTCAGCCCTTATTGCCAGTAAGGGGCAGAAGAAGGATTTGAAAAGAGAATGTTCTGACTCCAAAAATCCACTCTCTTACCATTTGTATTTTTTCAAAGAACCTGATTTGTAATAGGGAAGATATGTACATACACAAGTGTAGTCCTGGGTGATAGGTGATTGCTGCCCCAAGGGAGGTGGATATAAGGAATCTTGAATAAGGAACAATTAATTTAAACTGGATTTTGAGGAGGGTGCATAGGCAGGAATGATTAAAGCAGTCTAAGGAACAGTCAAATGTAATATTTTACAAAGAACAGAGAAAAATGGTTCAATAAGAGTTTTCTATGCGTTAGGTAATGTTCGGAGAATATAAAACAAATTTAAAAATAAAGATTATAGTCCCTCAAGTAGAAAAAAAAATGAAGAAAAGGTCAGATTAGGGCCAAATCTCATGAACTTTTTATACGAAAAAATGCAAAATGTCTCTATACATTTCAGATCAAAATCACATTAACGCTGTTATAAGGGGCAGGCTATTTGGTAGTCTGTGTGTTATTTATTTAATATAATAAAGTACAGCTTTATTATACTTGTTTTGCTTCTCTAAAGAGTTTCAGTGTCTAATCCCAGCATCATCACTCAGGCCTTTACCCTTCCAGAATGGAAGAATTCAAGCCCACACATTTTCCTATGTGGGGGCTTTTCCAATGAGGTATTTGATGTTCTCCAGTCTTGATATTTCTATTTCTCTGGCTATTTCCATTAGAGAATGGGGCAATATATGGCTATACTTCTGGGACCCTGTAGAAAACTGAGTTCTTAGACCCCTAGTTTATCTCTGTTAATGCACAGTAGGCACCATTATAGAAGTTGGCTTTTTCATTTCTTTCTTGAAATACGTGTGGAAAAGCTACATTCGCTGTGACATACTTTCGCTTTCTCACGTCTGACACATCAGCTGGCTTTTCTGGTTGTGGCAGTAAAGTCACTAGTAGACTGCTAACTACCACGTGTGTCATACCCCCTGCTTCTCCTTTTACTATGCAGAATTTTACTATTAAACAAGAAGCTATTTTTAGTTGCTTAGCATTGTTTGTGACTTAGCCTCTTAGACTCAAGAGTGGCCCAAGTCCTTTCAAAGGGCAACCCCCATCCCTGAAGCTGCCTACCTAAGAGATTGCTCACTGTGTTGCACATATTGTCACTCCATCAAAGCTGACTTTCCAGGACTCTGCTTCCCATAAGTTTCTTCTTTCTGACCCTCTTTCAAAGTTTTGTAAAACTTTAATTTGGTCTGTAGCTTGATACCTATATTAATTCATCTCTTGTCAGTTTCTGTAAAGGCCTCTTGGGTTTTCAAGATTCAGTTCTGTTTCTTTGAAATTAGGAACGTGTTGGACAATTTCCACACCATCCAGAGATAATTCAGCTAGAAGCTCTGTGTTTCCTGTAAAAATCTGAATGAGCTCGGACATAGCTTGGTGATGCATTTGTCTTTATCAGCCCTATGGCCCTCCATAATGAAACACCACTTTTGTAAATCTGTTTATGATCACAGTTATGTCTCTGTGGTGTGTGCTCTTCCATGTGGCAAATTTTAATAATGTTCATAACCTTTTGGGATTGAAGAATTATTTCCATGGTACTTTCAATTTTGCAAAGTATTTTCAAATTTATTGTCTTGTATAGTCACATTTTACTGATAAGAAATTTGACATTTACAGAGGTTAAAGTGGCTTACCCAAGATCACATTCTTAATTAGTGGTGAAGTTAGAGCAAAAACTCAAAGCCTCCCTGACCCCTCATAATCTCATCTTTTTTCCAGTGTAAAATAGTGATAATAAATTCTGGACCCATTAGGCTACATAGAGTAGGATGAATGAGATTGTGCCCACTATTCCATCTCACTTCACTCTGTCGGTGGTAGCTGATGATTCAAGGAAGGCATCATCCATCTTCACCTAAACAACAATTTGAGTATCCTTAGGATTTCTTTTTTACTTTATTTATTTATTTTAATTATACTTTAAGTTTTAGAGTACATGTGCACAACGTGTGGGTTTGTTACATATGTATACATGTGCCATGTTGGTGTGCTGCACCCATTAAATCGTCATTTAACATTAGGTATGTCTCCTAATGCTATCCCTCCCCACTCCCCCCACCCCACAACAGGCCCCAGTGCGTGATGTTCCCCTTCCTGTGACCATGTGTTCTCATTGTTCAGTTACCACCTATGAGTGAGAACATGCGGTGTTTGGTTTTTTATCCTTGCGATAGTTTGCTGAGAATGATGGTTTCCAGCTTCATCCATGTCCCTACAAAGGACATGAACTCATCCTTTTTTATGGCTGCAAAGTATTCCATAGTGTATATGTGCCACATTTTCTTAATCTAGTCTATCATTGTTGGACATTTGGGTTGGTTCCAAGTCTTTGCTATTGTGAATAGTACCACAATAAACATATGTGTGCAAGTGTCTTTATAGCAGCATGATTTATAATCCTTTGGGTATATACCCAGTAATGGGATGGCTGGGTCAAATGGTATTTCTAGTTCTAGATCCCTGAGGAATCGCCATACTGACTTCCACAATGTTGAACTAGTTTACAGTCCCACTAACAGTGTAAAAGTGTTCCTATTTCTCCACATCCTCTCCAGCACCTGTTGTTTCTTGACTTTTTAATGATCGCCATTCTAACTGGTGTGAGATGGTATCTCATTGTGGTTTTGATTTGCATTTCTCTGATGGCCAGTGATGATGAGAATTTTTTCATGTGTCTTTTGGCTGCATAAATGTCTTCTTTTGAGAAGTGACTGTTCTTATCCTTTGCCCACTTTTTGATGGGGTTGTTTGTTTTTTTCTTGTAAATTTGTTTTTTTCTTGTAAATTTTGTTTTTTTCTTGTAAATTTGTTTTTTTCTTGTAAATTTGTTTGAGTTCATTGTAGATTCTGGATATTAGCCCTTTGTCAGATGCAAAAATTAGCCCTTTTGTCAGATTGCAAAAATTTTCTCCCATTCTGTAGGTTGCCTCTTCACTCTGATGGTAGTTTCTTTTGCTGTGCAGAAGCTCTTTAGTTTAATTAGACCCATTTGTCAATTTTGGCTTTTGTTGCCATTACTTTTGGTGTTCTAGACATGAAGTTCTTGCCCATGCCTATGTCCTGAATGGTATTGCCTAGGTTTTCTTCTAGGGTTTTTATGGTTTTAGGTCTAACATTTAAGTCTGTAATCCATCTTGAATTAATTTTTGTACAAGGTGTAAGGAAGGGATCCAATTTCAGCTTTCTACATATGGCTAGCCAGTTTTCCCAGCACCATTTATTAAATAGGGAATCCTTTCCCCATTGCTTGTTTTTGTCAGGTTTGTCAAAGATCAGATGGTTGTAGATATGCAGTATTATTTCTGAGGGCACTGTTTTGTTCCATTGGTCTATATCTCTGCTTTGGTACCAGTACCATGCTGTTTTGGTTACTGTAGCCTTGTAGTATAGTTTGAAGTCAGGTAGTGTGATGCCTCTAGCTTTGTTCTTTTGGCTTAGGATTGACTTGGCAATGCGGGCTCTTTTTTGGTTCCATATGAACTTTAAAGTAGTTTTTTCCAATTCTGTGAAGAAAGTCATTGGTAGCTTGATGGGGATGGCATTGAATCTATAAATTACCTTGGGCAGTATGGCCATTTTCACGATATTGATTCTTCCTACCCATGAGCATGGAATGTTCTTCCATTTATCTGTATCCTCTCATTTCATTGAGCAGTGGTTTATAGTTCTCCTTGAAGAGGTCCTTCACATCCCTTGTGAGTTGGATTCCTAGGTATTTTATTCTCTTTGAAGCAATTGTGAATGGGAGTTCACTCATGATTTGGCTCTCTGTTTGTCTGTTATTGGTGTATAAGAATGCTTGTGATTTTTGCACATTGATTTTGTATCCTGAGACTTTGCTGAAGTTGCTTATCAGCTTAAGGAGATTTTGGGCTGAGACAATGGGGTTTTCTATATATACAATCATGTCATCTGCAAACAGGGACAATTTGACCTCCTCTTTTCCTAATTGAATACCCTTTATTTCTTTCTCCTGCCTGATTGCCCTGCCAGAACTTCGAACACTGTGTTGAATAGGAGTGGTGAGAGAGGGCATCCCTGTCTTGTGCCAGTTTTCAAAGGGAATGCTTCCAGTTTTTGCCCATCCAGTATGATATTGGCTGTGGGTTGGTCATAGATAGCGCTTATTATTTTGAGATACGTCCCATCAGTACCTAATTTATTGAGAGTTTTTAGCATGAAGGGCTGTTGAATTTTGTCAAAGGCCTTTTCTGCATCTGTTGAGATAATCATGTGTTTTTTGTTGTTGGTTCTGTTTATATGCTGGATTACATTTATTGATTTTCGTATGTTGAACCAGCCTTGCATCCCAGGAATGAAGCCAGCTTGATCATGGTGGATAAGCTTTGTGGTGTGCTGCTGGATTCAGTTTGCCAGTATTTTATTAAAGATTTTTGCATCGATGTTCATCAGGGATATTGGTCTGAAATTCTCTTTTTTTGTTGTGTCTCTGCCAGGCTTTGGTATCAGGATGATGCTGGCCTCATAAAATGAGTTAGGGAGGATTCCCTCTTTTTCTATTGATTGGAATAGTTTCAGAAGGAATCGTACCAGCTCCTCCTTGTACCTCTGGTAGAATTTGGCTGTGAATCCATCTGGTCCTGGACTTTTATTGGTTGGTAAGGTGTTAATTGTTGCCTCAATTTCAGAGCCTGTTATTGGTCTATTCAGAGATTCAGCTTCTTCCTGGTTTAGTCTTGGGAGGGTGTATGTGTCGAGGAATTTATCCATTTCTTCTAGATTTTCTAGTTTATTTGCATAGAGGTGTTTATAGTATTCTTTGATGGTAGTTTGTATTTCTGTGGGATCAGTGGTGATATCCCGTTTATCATTTTTTATTGTGTCTATTTGATTCTTCTCTCTTCTGTATTAGTTTTGCTAGTGGTCTATCAATTTTGTTGATCTTTTCAAAAAACCAGCTCCTGGATTCATTGATTTTTTGAAGGGTTTTTTGTATGTCTCTATCTCCTTCAGTTCTGCTCTGATTGTAGTTATTTCTTGCCTTCTGCTAGCTTTTGAATGTGTTTGCTCTTGTTTCTCTAGTTCTTTTAATTGTGATGTTAGGCTGTCAATTTTAGATCTTTCCTGCTTTCTCTTGTGGGCATTTAGTGCTATAAATTTTCCTCTACACACTGCTTTGAATGTGTCCCAGAGATTCTGGTATGTTGTGTCTTTGTTCTCGTTGGTTTCAAAGAACATCTTTACTTCTGCCTTCATTTCGTTATGTACCCAGTAGTCATTCAGGAGCAGGTTGTTCAGTTTCCATGTAGTTGAGCGGTTTTGAGTGAGTTTCTTAATCCTGAGTTTTAGTTTGATTGCACTGTGGTCTGAGAGACAGTTTGTTGTACTTTCTGTTCTTTTACATTTGCTGAGGAGTGCTTTACTTCCAACTATGTGTTCAATTTTGGAATCGGTGTGGTGTGGTGCCGAAAAGAATGTATATTCTGTTGATTTGGGGTGGAGAGTTCTGTAGATGTCTATTAGGTCCGCTTGGTGCAGAGTTGAGTTCAATTCCTGGATATCCTTGTTAATTTTCTGTCTCATTGATCTGTCTAATGTTGACAGTGGGGTGTTAAAGTCTCCCATTATTATTGTGTGGGAGTCTAAGTCTCTTTGTAGGTCTCTAAGGACTTGCTTTATGAATCTAGGTGCTCCTGTATTGGGTGCATATATATTTAGGATAGTTAACTCTTCTTGTTGAATTGATCCCTTTACCATTATGTAATGGCCTTCTGTGTCTCTTTTGATCTTTGTTGGTTTAAAGTCTGTTTTATCAGAGACTAGGATTGCAACCCCTGCCTTTTTTTGTTTTCCATTTGCTTGGTAGATCTTCCTCCATCCCTTTATTTTGAGCCTATGTGTGTCTCTGCACGTGAGATGGGTTTCCTGAATACAGCACACTGATGGGTCTTGACTCTTTATCCAGTTTGCCAGTCTGTGTCTTTTAATTGGAGCATTTAGCCTATTTACATTTAAGGTTAATATTGTTATGTGTGAATTTGATCCTGTCATGATGATGTTAGCTGGTTATTTTGCTCGTTAGTTGATGCAGTTTCTTCCTGGCCTCAATGGTGTTTACAATTTGGCATGTTTTTGCAGTGGCTGGTACCGGTTGTTCCTTTCCATGTTTAGCGCTTCCTTCAGGAGCTCTTGTAGGGCAGGCCTGGTGGTGACAAAATCTTTCAGCGTTCACTTGTCTATATTTTATTTCTCCTTCACTTATGAAGCATAGTTTGGCTGGATATGAAATTCTGGGTTGAAAATTCTTTTCTTTAAGAATGTTGAATATTGGCCCCCACTCTCTTCTGGCTTGTAGAGTTTCTGCCGAGAGATCAGCTGTTAATCTGATGGGCTTTCCTTTGTGGGTAAGCTGACCTTTCTCTCTGGCTGCCCTTAACATTTTTTCCTTCATTTCAACTTTAGTGAATCTAACAATTATGTGTCTTGGAGTTGCTCTTCTCGAGGATTATATTTGTGGCGTTCTCTGTATTTCCTGAATTTGAATGTCAGCCTGCCTTGCTAGATTGGGGAAGTTCTCTTGGATAATATCCTGCAGAGTGTTTTCCAGCTTGGTTCCATTCTCCCCATCACTTTCAGGTACACCAATCAGACGTAGATTTGGTCTTTTCACATAGTCCCATATTTCTTGGAGGCTTTGTTCATTTCTTTTTTTTCTTTTTTCTCTAAACTTCTCTTCTTGCTTCATTTCATTCATTTGATCTTCCATCACTGATACCCTTTCTTCCAGTTGATCGAATCAGCTACTGAGGCTTGTGCATTTGTCATGTAGTTCTTGTGCCATGGTTTTCAGCTCCATCAGGTCCTTTAAGGACTTCTCTGCATTGGTTATTCTAGTTAGCCATTCATCTAATTTTTTTCAAGGTTTTTAACTTCTTTGCCGTGGGTTCGAACTTCCTCCTTTAGCTCAGAGTAGTTTGATCATCTGAAGCCTTCTTCTCTCAACTCGTCAAAGTCATTCTCCGTCCAGCTTGGTTCCATTGCTGGTGAGGAGCTGCGTTCCTTTGGAGGAGGAGAAGCGCTCTAATTTTTAGAGTTACCAGTTTTTCTGCTGTGTTTTTTTCCCCATCTTTGTGGTTTTATCTACCTTTGGTCTTTGATGATGGTGCCGTACAGATAGGGTTTTGGTGTGGATGTCCTTTCTGTTTGTTAGTTTTCCTTCTAACAGTCAGGACCCTCAGCTGTAGGTCTGTTGGAGCTTGCTGGAGGTCCACTCCAGACCCTATTTGCCTGGGTATTAGCAGCGGAGGCTGCAGAACAGTGGATATTGGTGAACAGCAAATGTTGCTGCCTGATCGTTCCTCTGGAAGTTTTTTCTCAGAGGAGTACCCAGCCATGTGAGGTGTCAGTCTGCCCCTACTTGGGGGTGCCTCCCAGTTAGGTTACTCGGGGGTCAGGGACCCACTTGAGGAGGCAGTCTGTCCATTCTCAGATCTCAAGCTGCATGCTGGGAGAACCACTACTCTCTTCCAAGCTGTCAGACAGGGACATTTAAGTCTGCAGAGGTTTCTGCTGCCTTTTGTTTGGCTATGCCCTGCCCCCGGAGGTGGAGTCTACAGAGGCAGGCAGGCCTCCTTGAGCTGCAGTGGGCTCCACCCAGTTCGAGCTTCCCAGCTGCTTTGTTTACCTACTCAAGCCTCGGCAATGGTGCGCACCCCTCTCCCAGCCTCGCTGCCACCTTGCAGTTTGATCTCAGACTGCTGTGCTAGCAGTGAGTGAGGCTCCGTGGGCATAGGACCCTCTGAGCCAGGTGCTGGATATAATCTCTTGGTGGTGTGCTGTTTGCTAAGACCATTGGAAAAGCGCAGTATTAGGGTGGGAGTGACACGATTTTCCAGGTGCTGTCTGTCACCCCTTTCTTTGACTAGGAAAAGGGAATTCCCTAACCCCTTTCACTTCCCTGGTGAGGTGATGCCTCGCCCTGCTTTGGCTCAGGCTTGGTGCACTGCACCCACTGTCCTGTACCCACTGTCCGACACTCCCCAGTGAGATGAACCCGGTACCTCAGTTGGAAATGCAGAAATCATCCGTCTTCTGCGTCGCTCATGCTGGGAGCTGTAGACTGGAGCTGTTCCTATTCGGCCATCTTGGCTCCACCCCCCAAGCCTTAGGATTTCTAAGAACTTGGAGCAGCTGAATTCACACAGGAGCTACAAATGCTGAGCTTTGCTCATGTTTTTGAATCTCTTTCTGGAGTCTTTTAAAAACACCAGCACACTTGATGTTTTCCAACATTTCTCCCATATCTAAAGTTAGGCGATGATTGTATCCACTGTGGATTAAAGCTGCACTGTGCTTTTCAGAGTGCAGTGTTTCTTAGGCTAACATGGAAATATCACACTAGGCAATTGTCTGCATTGGCAGCCAAGAGATACCTTACTACTTAAATGTGATGAGAAGAGGAAAATCTTCAAAACCTTTGGAAATTTACTTTTTGTGTAAATATGACAAGTCACACAGCAGTTACTAGAGGTAGAATATGATAGTCTTCTGACAGTAACGGTAATGGATTTGCAAAGTGCTTCAAGTTTATAAAGCACTTTCACATCTGTTTATCTCATTTCACATCTTTTAATTTACCACAAAATAGTTAAGGAAAGAAACATGTGTTTCATATGGGCAGAACTTTTTTTCTTCATACATTAAGAATTAAGCCTTCCAACTTACAGATAAATATTAGCTTTCTCCTCTGCCAAGATAAATGCTTTTATTAAAATTTTGTGAAAATAAAGTTATTTACAGTCATTTAAGCTTATCTACATCTAATTGTGTTTCCTATCTTATTTCTAAGTTATCTGTCAACAGTTTGTTCTTTTCTCCTGTAGTGGCTTTGGGTATACCATTGACAGAGAGTCCATTGTTCATCATTCCTAAATAGTATACATATTTTAAAGATTCTGATCTGATTTTTTTATATTTTAAAATTTATAACATTTTCTAGTTAGAAAATAATACATATTCATTATAGAAAATTTGGGTGGTACACAGAATCTAAAAAAAATTGAAAAACAAAGATCAACTGTAATCTAATCAGCTAGAGATAACCATCGTTAACATATTTCATTTCACACTTCTGCAGATCAAGGGTGAACGATTTGCTATAGAAAACAATAATGCTAGAGAATAGGAGGAAGTCAAGCAAATCAGCACATCTACAGGACCTACTCATGTAACTCATGGATATAAGGGGAGGGGCCAGCCTCTGCAAATGAGATACATCTGTAGTTCTCGTTACTGGGAAGAGAGGGAAAGCTTTCCATCGCCTCATGGTAACTGTGCATTTTTTACTGGTAGAGCTTCTAGAAGTTGTTACATAGGTGGCTAATTTTAGAGTCGTTTGCCTCATATAATATTTTTAAGTGTGTGAATATGCACCTCATTCTTAATTCTCTTCTCTATCCTTGACCTGTATCAGGCTAGTACCACAGTATTGGACAAACAACTCTGGACTTCTCACTGGATGATATTAGGATTACTGTAGAGTTCATTTCATCTCTTAGCCCAAGTTTGTTGGCAGACTAACCCACGTAGACCTTCTGTCCCTTATAGGGTTGAATCTTCTGTTTCCTATAGTTTAGACTAATAGGGTAGACTATACTTGGATTATTTGACATCATTTCTCAATGAGGATAACTTGGGAGTACAGCTTACAACTTGTAAGAGCTGAGGTAATACAATGCTTTCCTGCCAACAGTCCCTGCACTCTAGAATAGAGAACAACCAATTAATCAGAAAAAAAGAAAGAATAAGCTCCACATTCATCCCAGGCTTATCTAAGTCCATTGTTACAGGGGCAGCTATGAGACACTGAATTACTTTGGAACTTCCTAAATACCTAACTTTCTTTAGTCCCAAAGAGATTTTTTTAAAAAAGTTACCCCCTTATTCCTGTTGTAGAGAATGCTGTTTTTCCTCTTAATATCTATCCCTCCTTTCTACTTATAATAAGAATCCTGATTTTTAGCTGGACATATTGCTGTTCCCCAAAAAAGACCATATTCTCTAGTTTCACTTGGCAGTGAGGTGTGGCCCTGCAGATTTAATGGCTAGAGCTCTAGTGGCTTTTCAGTACCTTGAGGACAGGGAACTGCTCTAGGGATGGTAGGACTGAGAGCTAGGATACAGATAAATTCGGTGAGCTGCCAAATCAACTCTGATTGCCTAGTTTCGAATTCTTTTATGTGAGAGAAACAAGCATATCTTATTTAAGCCACTGTTATTTTGGGTTTCTCATATGCAACTAACAGTACTCTGAGTGTACTGTGCCATAATTTTTAGAAAGTTCTATTTGTATGGTAAATGCAAAATAAGGAACCTCATTAAATATGATTATGGTCTATGGGAGATACAAAATGTGTAGCTATAGTTATCCTACAGAATTTTATATTTAAGTAAGAAAAACAGACATATATGCAATGCTCCAATATAAGACAATGACTATAAGGGGATGGATAAGGAGTTAATTCCCAAGTGTAAGATACATTTATGGCCAATTGGTTTTTAACAAGGGTGCCAAGACAATTCAGTGGGAGAAGAAAAGTCTTTTCAACAGATGGTGCTTGGGATAACTGGATATCTACATGCAAAAGTATGAGATTGGACCCTTTATACCATATACAAACATTAACTCAAAATGAATCACAGACCTCAGTGTAAGAGCTAAAATTATATTAGGTTGGTGCAAAAGTAATGGAAAAAACTGCAATTACTTTTGCACCAACCTAATAAAACTTTTACAAGAAAACATATGAGTAAATATTCTTGACCTTGAATGAGGCAATGGCTACTTAGATATGTCACCAAAAGCAAAACTAACAAAAATAAATTGGAGCTCATCAAAATTTTATGCTTCAAAGGACACCATGAAGAAAGACAATCCCAGAATGGGAGAAAATATTTGCAAATTATGTATTTTATATGAGGTTTGTATTCAGAATATACAAATAAGTCTCACAACTTAACAGTAAAAATACAACTAGCCCAATTTAAAAATGACCAAACGATTTCAACAGACATTTCTCCAAAAGAGATGCACATATGACCAAAAAGCACATGAAAAGATGATCAACATCATTAATAGTTAGGGAAAACCAAACCAAAACCACAATGAAATGCCCCTTCACACCCATTAGATAATACCCCATTAAAATAATAATAAATTTTTAAAAGGACAATAACAAATGTTGATAAAAATATGAAAAAACAATAACCATCATGCATTGCTGGTAGAAATGTAAAATAGTATAGCTGCTTTGGAAACATTGGCAATTCCTCAAAATATTAAACATAGAATTACCATGCAACCCAGCAATTCCGCTCCTGGTTATATACCCAAGAAAAATGAAAACATATCTCCACACAAAGACTTGTACACAAATATTCATAGCAGCATTATTCATAAAAATCAAAAAGTGGAAGCAACCTAAGTGCCCAACAACTGATATTGAATAAATTAAATGTGGTATATCCATACAATGGAATCTTATTTAACAATAAAAATTGAAATACTGTTACATTTTACAACATGGGTGAACCTTGAAAATAATACGCTAAGTGAAAGATGCAATCACAACAGGTCAAATATTTTATGATTCCATTTATATGAAATGTCCTGAATAAATATATGCATAGTGACAGAAAGCAGATTTGTAGTTTCCAGGGGCTGCAGGGAAGGGAGAATGGGGAGTGACTGCTAATGAGTATGAGGTTTCTTTTTCGGATGATGAAAATGTTCTAAAATTAGATAGTGGTGATGGTTGTACAACTCTGTGAATATATAGAAACCACTGAATTGTACACTATGGTATGTAAATTATATCTTAAAGCTGCTAAAAAAATTTCCTAGCTTCACAATTGTGGTTGAAACAGATGCAGTATGATTTTGGTTTGTGGCCATACTGAAATAAATAATATCCCAGAATGAAACTAAATTTATCTCTAAGAATTGGGTATATAACCAGTGTATGTAAAACAAGTATAAAGAGAATGAAATGAACAAGTTAAAATTTAAAATTGTCTCTATTGTTAAATAGTAAAATATACTATATGGCATTCAATCAGTATTCTCATTACTGATTATTGTCACCTACTTAAGTCCCAAACATCAAAGAAGTGGCAATACATTTTCTTTGATTATTAAATGACATATTTTAAAACATCAGTATATTTAAATGTTTGAAAAATATTTTAAGATAAATAAGTGTATTAATAAATACTACAGAAATATGGGACTAGTTCAAGAAAACCTGGAAGCTAAAATATGGTATATGATGCTTATAAACAACCAGACCTAACTTTAGGTAACAAGTACCCCTGTTCTTGTAGCCAAATGTTTGATTACTCCAACCCTTGACTGGTGTACTAAGCAGCAGAACACTTTATGAAAAGCAGAAACCCCTAGGTCAGAAGATGCATATTGTGACTTAAATGTATTTAGCCCTCATAGTGTTTGTTTTGTATTTTAAGCCAACATTTAAAAATTGATAGAGGATGCAGATTGTGACTTAAATGTACTTAGTCCTCATAGTGTTTGTTTGTTTTGTATTTTAATTAAGGCAACATTTTAAAATTGGTACATTTAACTTAAAATTCTGGATTGGAGCTTGTGTTTAAACCTGTAAAGATAGGGAAAAAAAAAAAACCACCTCTGAAGACATGGCAGCACTGGTAGTCATTTGCTGAAGCTGGAAGCTACTTCCCTCCTTAAATGCCCTCATGCTGTGGTTACCAGTGGTCTTCCAACCGGCCACTTTGCTCATTATGTCATGTGATATAGTTTGGCTGTGTCCCCACCCAAATATCATCTTAAATTATAGTTCCGATAATCTCCATGTGTCTTGGGAGGGACCCAGTGGGAAGTAATTGAATCATGGGAGTGGGTTTTTCCTGTGCTATTCTGGTGATAGTGTATAAGTCTCACGAGATCTGATGGTTTTATAAAGGGCAGTTCCCCTGCACGCATTGTCTTGCCTGCTGCCATGTAAGATGTTCCTTTGGCACCCCCTTGCCTTCTGCCATAATTGTGAGGCCTCCCCAGGCATGTGGAACTGTGAGTCCATTAAACTTCTTTTTCTTTATAAATTACCCAGTCTCAGGTATGTCTTTATTAGCAGTGTGAGAATAGACTAATACACCATGGATCTAGCTTTGTAGGCCTTTGAGTTTGCAATCCTAAACCTAGGGAGAAGTTTAACCTGCTTTGTGACCTTGGGCATGATGCCGCGTATTTATAAGTCTTATTTAGCTCCTATTAAATGGGTCAAAGAATACCTGTCCTTCCTCTGTTCCTCATAGTACTGTTATAAAGATTTAACAAAATGATGTATTGAATGTACTTTTACAACTAAGAAGTCCTTACTTTTGGTCTTCTCTGTGAAACCTATGATATCAGTCTGACCGTTGAACCAAAGAGATTGTTTTTCCCTCAGCTTTATGGAAGTACCTTAAAAAATACATAAAAATTGTATTTAAGGTATACAACTTGATGTTTTGATATATGTGTACATTGTGAAATAATTGCCAAAATCAAACTACAGGCATACCTCATTTTATGGAGCTTTGACTTATTGCACTACACAGACATTGCTTTTTGGTTGTTCTGTCTTTTAACAAATGAAAGGTTTGTGGCAATTCTGTGTGGAGCAAATCTATCAGCAGCATTTTGCTAACGGCATGTGCTCATTTTATGCCTCTGTGTCACATTTTGTTAATTCTCACGATTTTTCAAACTTTTTCATTATTATTATTCTGTTATGGTACTCTGTGATTGGTGATCTTTGATCTTACTGTTGTAATTATTTTTGAGCCCCAGAAACCATCATGATACAAGACCACAAATTTATTGATATATGTTGTGTGTATTCTGACTCTTCCCCTGACTGGCCATTCCCCTGTCTCTCTCCCTTTCCCCAGGCCTTCCTGTTCCCAAAACACAATATTGAAATTGGACCAACAAGTAATTGGACCAACCTACAAAGGGCTCTAAGTGTTCAAGTGAAAGGAGGAGTCACATGGCTCTCACTTTAAATAAAAAACTAGAAGTGATTAAACTTAGTGAAGAAGTCATGTTGAAAACCAAGGTAGGCTGAAAGCTAGGACTGTTGTGCCAAACAGCCAAGTTTTAAATGCAAAGGAAAAGTTCTTAAAGGAAATTAAAAATGCTAATCCAATGAACACACGAATAGTAAGAGAGCAAAACAGCCTTATTGTTTATATGGAGAATGTCTGAGTGGTCTGAATAGAGGATCAAACCAGCCACAACATTTCCTTAAGCCAGTGCCTAAGTCAGAGCAAGGACTTAACTCTGTTCAATGCTATGAAGGCTGAGAGGTGAGGAAGTTGCAGAAGAAAAGTTAGAAGCTAGGAGATATTGGCTCATGAGGTTTAAGGAAAGAAGCTGTCTCCATGACATAAAAGTGCAAATTGAAGCAGCAAATGCTGATATAGAAGCTGCAGCAAGTTATCCAGAGATCTAGCTAAGTTAGTTGATGAAAGTAGTTACACTAAACAACAGATTTTCAGCATACACAAAACAACCTTCTATGGAACTAGATGCCATCTAGGACTTTCATAGCTAGAGAAGAGAAGTCAATGCCTAGCTTCAAAGCTTCAAAGGACAGCCTGACTCTCTTGTTAGGACCTAATGCACCTGGTGACTTTAAATAGAAGCCAGTGCTCATTTACCATTCTGAAAATGCTAGGGCCCTTAAATCTACTGTGCTCTATCAATGGAACAACACAGCTTGGATGACAGAACATCTTTGTATAGCATGGCTTACTGAATATGTTAAGCCCACTGTTGAGACCTACTACTCAGAAGAAAAGACTTCTTTCAAAATACTACTGCTCTTTGACAGTGCATCTGGTCATTCAAGAGCCCTGATGGAGGGATTAATGGGTTTTTTTTTTATGCCTACTAACACAACATTTGTTCTGCAGCCCATGGATCAAGGAGTAATTTCGACTCTCAATTCTTATAATTTAAGAAAGACATTTTGTAAGGCTGTAGCTGCCATAGACAGTGATTCCTCCAATGGATCTTGGCAAAGTAAGTTGAAAACCTTCTGGAAAAGATTCACCATTCTAGATGTCATTAAGAACATTTTGATTCATGAGAGGAGGTCAAAATATCAACATTACTAGGATTGTGGAAGAAGTTGGTCCCAACTCTCATGGATGACTTTGAGGGATTCAAGTCTACAATAGAGGAAGTAACTGCTTTCTCCACTGTAGTCTTGAATAGAGAGATGGGATAGAAATAGCAAGAGAACTAGAGTAAAAGTGGTGGGTGCCTGTTATCCCAGCTACTTGGGAGGCTGAAGCAGGAGAATCGCTCGAACCCAGGAAGCAGAGGTTGCAGTGAGCCGAGATGGCACCACTGCACTCCAGCCTGGGTGATAGAGCGAGACTCCATCTCAAATAAATAAATAAAAATAAATAAGTAAATAAAAGTGGAGCCTGAAGATGGGACTGAATTGTTGCAACTTCATGATAAAATTTGGATGGACAAGGAGTTACTTTCTATGGAGGAGCAAAGAAAGTGGTTTCTTGAGATGGAATTTATTCTGGGTGAAGAAACACTGTAGACATTGTTGAAATGACAAGGATTTAAAATAATAAACTTAGTTAATGAAACTGGGGTTTGAGGAGACATTCTACTGTGGATAAAATGCTATCAAACAGTGTCACATGCTACAGAGAACTATTTTATGAAAGGAAGAGTCAATGTGGCAAACATCATTATTTTCTTATTTAAAGAAATTGCCACAGCCACACCAACTGTCAGTTGTCAGTTATAGTATAAACATAACTTTTATGCACTGGAAACCAAAAAGAATTCGTGTGACTCACTTTATTGAAATATTTACTTTGTTGTGCTCATCTGGAGCCTAATCCTAATATATCTCAGGTATGCCTATACTGAGCATATCCATCATCTCACATAATTATGATTTTGTGTCTGTGTGTTGGTGGGGTGTTGCCATGAGAATATATAACATCTACCCTCTTAGCAAATTTCAAGTATAGAGTATTGTTAACTATAGTCATGCTGTACACTAGATCTCCAGAACTTATGCATCTTGCATAACTGAAACTTAATATCTTTACCAGTATCTCCCCATTTTCCCCTTCTCCCCCGCCCCGGCAACTACCATTCTATATGATGTTTCTATGAGTTTAATTATTTTAGATTCCATATTTAAGTGAGATAATACAGTATTTGTATATCTGTGTCTGGCTAATTTCACTCAGCATAATGTCCTCCAGGTTCACACTTGTCACAATTAGCAGGATTTTCTTTTTAAAGGCTGAATAGTATTCCATTGTGCATGTGTGTGTGTGTGCACCAATCACATTTTCTTTAACTGTTCATTCAAAGATGGATATTTATCTTGGTTATTGTGAATAATACTAAAATGAACATGAAGTGCAGATATCTCTTTGAGATCTTGATTTCATTTCCTTTCTATATATACCCAGAAGTAGGATCACTAGATTATATGGTAGTTCTAGTTTTAATTTTTTGAAGAACATCCATACTGTCTTCCAAAATGGCTGTACCAATTTACATTCCCTCCAACAGTGTACAAATGTTCTACTGTCTCCACAACCTCACCAACACTTGTTATCTTTTGTCTTTTTGATAATAGCCATTCTAACAGGTGTGAGGTGATATCTCCTTGTGATTTTGGTTTGCATTTCTGTGATGGTTAGTGATGTTGAACACCTTTTCATATACCTGTTGGCCGTTTGTATGTCTTCTTTGGAGAAATGTCTATTCAGATCCTTTGCCCATTTTTTAATTGGGCTATTTGTGTTTTTGCTATTGAGTTGTATGAATTTCTTATAAATTTTAGAAACTTACTCCTTCTTAAATATATGGTTCAGAAATATTTCTCCCATTCCATGGATTGCCTTTTAACTCTGTTAATTGTTTCCTTTGCTGTGCAGAAACTTTTTAGCTTGAAGGAACACCATTTACTGATTTTTGCTTTTGTTGCCTATGCTTTTGGTGTCATAGCCAAAAAAATTATTGCCAAGACCAATTTCAAAAAGATTTTTACCCTGTTTTTTTCTAGTAGCTTTACAGGTTCAGATCTTATATTTAAGTCTTTAATCCATTTTAAATTTATTTTTATATATGGTGTCAGATAAAGGCCCAATTTCATTTTTTTGTGGATATACAATTTTCTCAACACCATTTATTTACTTATTTATTTATTTAACTTCTATTTTCGTTTCAGGGGTACATGTGCAGGTTTGTATTATAGTAAATTGCATGTCATGGGGGATTTGGTGTACAGATTATCACCCAGGTAATAAGCATAGTGTCCAATAGGTAGTTTTTCAGTCCTCTCTCTCCTCCCACCCTCCACCCTCAAGTAGGCCCCAGTGTCTCTTGTTCTCTTCTTTGTGTCTATGCATTCCCAGTGTTTGGCTTTCACTTATAAATGAAAACGTAGTATTTGGTTTTCTGTTTCTGCATTAGTTCACTTAGGATAATGGTCTCTAGCTCTATCTATGTCACTGTAAAGAACATGATCTCAGTCTTTTTTATGGCTGCATAGTATTCTATGGTTCAACACCATTTATTAAAAAGGCTATCATTTCTCCATCGTGTGTTCTTGGTACTCTTGGTGACAATCAATTGACCGTAAGTGGGTGGATTCATATCTGGTCTCTCTATTCAGTTTCATTGGTCTATATATCTATTATTGTTTCAGTATTATAGTGTTTTGACTACTGTAGCTTTGCAATATATTTTGAAATCTGGATGTGTGATGCCTCCATCTATCTTTTTCTTGTTCAAGGTTGCTTTGGCAATTCAGGGTTTTTTGTGGTTCCATATGAATTTTATAATTTTTTTTCTATTTCTGTAAATAATATCATTGAAATTTTGATAGGGATTGCATTAAATCTGCAAACCGCTTTGGGTAGTGTAGACATTTTAACAATATTAATTCTTCCAGTCCATGAACACAGGATGTCTTTCCATTCATTTCTTTCTTCTTCATTTACTTTCATCAATGTTTTATAGTTTTCCGTGTACACATCTCTCACTTCCTTGGCTAAATTTGCTCCTATTTTATCTATCTATGTATTTATTTCTGGTGCTATTATAAATAGGATTATTTCCTTAATTTCCTTTTTCCATCATTTGTTGGTGGTATAGGAACACAACTGAGTTTTGTATGTTGATTTGTATATTGCAACATAGTTCCAACAGAATTTTTTGAGTAGTATTTAGGATTTTCTACATCTACTAGAAATACTACTTCTAGATGTAGATTATATCATCTATAAACAGAGATACTTTTACTACTTCTTTCGAAATTTAATGCTTTTTATTTCTTTGTCTTGCTTCATTGCTCTCTCTGACTAGGACTTCTAGTACCAGACTGAATTGAAGAGGTGAGAGTAGTCATCCTTGCCTTGTTACACATCACTGATTATGATATTAGCTGTGTGCTTTTCATGTATGGCTTTACTGTGTTAAGGTAAGTTCCTCCTGTACCTAATTTGTTGAGAGTTTTTATCATGAAAGGGTGTTAATTTTTGCCAAATGCTTTTTCTGCTTTTATTGAGATGATCATGGGATTCTTATTCTTTAGTCTGTTAGTGTGGTATATCACATTGATTGATTTACAAATGTTGAACCATCCTTTCATTCCCGGGATAAATTTTGCTTGGTCATGGTGCATTAACTGACTAATGTACTGTTCAATTCAGTTTGCTAATATTTTGTTGAGGATTTTTGTATCCATGTTCATCAAGGATATAGACCTGTAGTTTTCTTGAGGTGTCTTTGTCTGGCTTTGGTATTAGGGTGATGTCGATATCATGAATGTGAAAGTCTTCCCTCTTCTATTTTTAGAAGAGTTTAAAAAGGCCTGGTATTAATTCTTTTTTAAATGTTTAGTGTAATTCACCCATGAAGCCATCTGCTCCTGGGCTTTTCTTTGATGAGAAGTTTCAGATGATTCAGTCCTTTTATGTGTACTCATCTGTTCAGGTTTTCTATTTCTTGACTCAATCTTAATAGTTTGCATGTTTCTAGGAACTTGTCTATGCCTTCTGTGTTGTTTGATATTTTGGCATATAGTCATTCAGAATAGTCCCTTATGAACATTTTTATTTCTGTGTCACCAGGTGTAATGTCTCTTCTTTTATTTCTGACTTTGAGTTTTCTCTTTTTCTTTTCTTGGTTGGTCGAGCTAAGTATTTGTTGATTCTGTTTAGCTTTCAAAAAACCAACTGTTAGTTTTCTCCATTTTTGTGATATTTTTCTATTCTCTATTTCATTTTATTCTTTCCTTATATCTGCTAACTTTGGGCATACTTTGTTCTTTTTTTTTTTTTTGTAGTTCTTTGAGGTGTAATATTAGGTTGTTTATTTGAGATCTTTCTTCTTCTTCTTCTTCTTCTTTTTTTTTTTTTTTTTTTTGAGACAGAGTCTCACTTTGTCTCCCAGGCTAGAGTACAGTGGCATGATCTCGACTAACTGCAGCCTCCCACTCCCAGGTTCAAGTGATTCTCCTGCCCCACCCTCCCACATAGCTGGGATTACAAGCTCCCACCTGCCACCACGCCCAGCTAATTTTTGTATTTTTAGTAGAGACAGGGTTTCACCATGTTGGCCAGACTGGTCACGAACTCCTGACCTCAAGTGATCCGCCCACCTGGACCTCCCAAAGTGCTGGGATTACAGGCGTGAGCCACTGTGCCTGGCCTTTTCTTCATTTTTTGATGTGGGCATTTATCTCCCAAAGTGCTGGGATTACAGACTTGAGCCCCTGTGCGTGGACTTTTCTTCATTTCTTGATGTAGGCATTTATCTCTATAAAATTCCCTCTTATTACTGTTTTTGTTCTATCCTATAAGTTTTGGTATGCATGTTTTTGTCTTCATTTTTCTCAAGATTTTTATAATTTCCCTTTGATTTCTTCATTGACCCAATGGTTGTTCAAAAGTGTATTGTTTAATTAGTATGTATTTGTGAGTTTTACCATTTTCCCTTTGTTATAGATCTCTACTTTCATTCCATTGTGGTCAGAAAAGAAACTTGGGATGATTTCAATCTTCTTAATTTGTTAAGACTTGTTTTGTGACCTAATGAGTGATCTTTCCTAGAGAATATTTCATGTGTGCTTGAGAAGACTGCATGCTGCTGCAATGTTCTGTATATGTCTGTTAGGTCGATTTGGGCTATAGTGTTGTTCCAGTCTAATGCTTCCTATTTATTTTATTATCTGGATGACCTATTGATTATTGAAAGTGGGTACTGAAGTCTCTTACTGTTATTTTATTGCTGTCTGTTTCTCCCGTCCTGTCAATTTTTTAAATAAATATTTAGGTGCTCTGATTATGTTTGGTGCATATGTGTGTGTGTGTGTGTGTATATATATATGTTTATAATTATTATAAGCTTTTGATGAATTGACACACATCGTTATATGATGACCTTTTCCTGTCTCTTATAACCTCTTTTTACTTAAAAAGTCTATTTTGGGCTGGGCACGGTGGCTCACACCTGTAATCCCAGCATTTTGGGAGGCCGAGGTGGGTGGATCACCTGGAGTCAGGAGTTCAAGACCAGCCTGACCAACATGGTGAAACCCTGTCTCTACTAAAAATACAAAAATTAGCTGAGCATGGTGGCGGTCACCTGTAATCCCAGTTACTCAGGAAGCTAAGGCAGGAGAATCACTTGAACCCAGGAGGCAGAGATTGCAGTGAGCTGAGATTGTACCATTGCACTCCAGCCTAGGTGACAAAGTGAGACTCCATCTAAAAAAAAAAAAATTAATTAATTAAAAAAATGAAAAGTCTATTTTGTCTGATGTAAGTACAGCTACCTTTGTTCCCTTTTGGCTACCATTTGCATGGAATATCTTTTTTCATCTCTTTACTCTCAGCCTATATGTGTCTGTAAATCTAAAATGAGTCTCTTACAGGCAGGGTATAGCTGGATCTTGTTTTGGTTTTTTTTTTTTAATCTATGTAGCCACTATATGTCTTTTGATTGGTGAATTTAATCCATTTGCATTTAAAGTAATTATATATTGGTAAGGACTTTCTACTGCCGTTTATTGGTAGTTTTCTGACTGTTTTATAGTTCCTTTGTTCCCTTCTTTTACTCTTCCTGTTATCCTTTGTGATTTCGTGATTTTTTTTATAGTGGTATGCTTTGATTCCTTTCACTTTATCTTTTGTGTATTTACTACAGATTTTTTTTTACTTGGGATTACTGTGAGGTTTATGATTATATAAAAACACTTTATAACAGTCTATTTTAAGCCAATAACCACTTAACTCTGACCACAAGCAAAAACTACACTTTAACTTCTCCTCTCCCAACATCTTATGTAACTGACATCACAATTTACATCTTTTAATTTTATGTATCCATTAACAAATTATTGTAGCTATATTTTAACTTTTATAATAGAGTTAAAAAGTATTTACACACCACCATTACAGCATTAGAGTATTCTAAATTTGACTCTATTCTAACCTTTACAGTGAGTTTTTATACTTCTATGTGTTTTCATGTTGTTAGTTAGCGTCTTTTCATTTAAGATTGAAGAATTCCCATTAGTGCTTCTGGTAAAGCAGATCTAAAAGTGTCAGATCACATTATAAAAGAATTCCTTTGGGTGCCCTTAGCGTGAGTGTCCTTATAAGACCTTACAGATCAGCTGAGTCTAACTGATCTGGGAACCCCACCCATGCACCAAAACCTAGGGCTTACAGGGAAGATCCGCTCCATGATCCAGATGGAGGGAACTAGGACAGGGACTGGAAAGGAACCAGGAAGAAGTAAAGGGTTAGGGTAGAGAGAAATAGTCTGCAAAATCTTCACCTAGAGGGGAGAAATCTTAGATCTAGGGGAGCTTACCAAGCTTCCTCTCAGCACCGTCGGGGAGACAGCTGAGCTGTAGACCTTGGTGCATTGACTTTGATCACATTAGGGGAATCCAGGATTCTCTGTGGATCCCACCCTTATCACCAGTCATGTCAACTGAAGAATGCTAAGGGATTTATGCTGAGCACGGTAGCTGAATATAGATATTTAATAAGCTGTAGGAGGAGTTATGTATATTTATGGAAGAAGAAATATGCATATGTGCAGTTGAGCTTCATGTCCCTTCATGACGGCACTAGCATGATTCAGAGGTGGAGTTTTCAGTCCTTTGACATCAAAAGGTGAAGCAAAGGACGTGAAAGCCCTCCCTGGGCATCCTCTATAGACAGGCCAGAACCACTCTGTCATCAGTAGTCTCTTATCAGGAAGGAATGCTGGTTTGCTGTTGTGCCAAAACCAAAAAAGGAAGGGGGCAGTGTCAGGCAGTTGGTTAATATCAACAGTGGAGTCTTCAAAGGGCTGGTTTCTGTTTAACCCACAGGGAAGAAAGGCTAATGGTGGTGAGCGAGGAAGGACGTATAATGAGATGTGTCTGACCTCCCATCCTGTCATGGTTAGAAATTTAGTTTTTAAGGTTTCTCTGGGGTCCCCTTGGTGAAGAGGGGGGGCATTCAGTCAGCTGGGGGGCTTGGAATTTTATTTTTATTTCTCAGGTGTCTAAATCTCTCTGGTGTGCCATGGGTTTGTGGTTTTATCTTTTTTTTTTTTCTAATTAGATCTCATACTGATTTAAAATTGGTAAGAGGGTTTATTTTTCTTAGAAAGTGGATCTCTCTGAGGAGGAACCCTTAGGTAGGGAGAATTGAGTTTGCTCCCAAGCTCACTAATGCCAATTCCCCACCAACACCCAGCCCTCCTGTTGTCTCTCTGGGAAAATAGAAGAAATATTAGGTTGAATAATTTGGATTGAATAGTAAAGTAAAATATGAGATGGTGGGAGAATAACCATTTTCTACTTACTTTAATAAATTTAAGGCTTTTCCTACTGTTTCTAGTTACTGACTTATTTATGACTTGGATACTAATTTTAAGCCCAATTTATATGGTCAAGCAACACTAAAATCCAGGGGAATGGTTAGGGGGATGAATATTTGAAGAAATGTAAAAGATTTTTAATACAGTGATTTTCTTGCTAAAATGCTACAAGACACACAGATAAAAGTGGATGATAAAAGATTTCTTTACCTATTTTGAAGAAATGGAGATAGCATTTCAACCTGAAAATATACTATTCCACAGAAATGAGGAAGTCATAAATAAAATGTATCTCTGTAGCTGTCATTCTTGTGTGTAACTGCTGACTTATGTAACTTGAGTAATCAATTTAAAAATTGGTGTTTCTCAGTAATGTCAATTCAGCCTTAAGTTAATAACTGTTATTTCCCTAATCCATGAATCCAGTCTTATAGTCCCAATCTGGAATTTGTTTTTTAGGAAATAAAAATAATTTCAATAATATTTAAAGTATAAATTCCCTGAATCATAAGAACAGAAAGTGAAATGTATATTTATACTGGGACAGATAAGGTTTGAATTTCACAATTACGATTACCATTTAATGTGACATAGAGTCCATTCCATAACTTTGTACTTTATGTTAATCTATATTGCTAGTTTTCTGGCTAAGAAGAACTGAAAGAGCTCTTTTTAAAAATCAAATAGCTAAGTGAATGACTATTGTTTCTGTCCTGCTGAGCAAATAATAGTCAAAGGAAAACCTCTTATATAGTCATCTCATTTGTGAGCTTTCTCCTTGGGCCTACTTTTATACCTGTATAAGGTAAGTGCAATTATAAAGAACCTTAGTTCTAAGAGGACAGTCTCTGATTAGCGGCCATAAGGGACTCCAGTGCCTTACATGTTTAAGCACAATGGGAATATCAAAAATTTTTAAATGACATATACTAGTGTTATGAGTAGTCTGAAAAATTCTCTTGACTAAATTACAGAGCAAAAATCTGACTTAAAATAGTTAAGATTTCTCATACATTCATAACTGCCAGTTTTGGATTCCACACAGGATTAACAATGAAGGTTGCTCCATTTTGTATTCTAATAGTTAAAACTCCTGATCAGCAAATTGCTGGGCAAGATGTCAGAGTCCTGGCATTGGAAAGTGGTTGACTCATGGGTTGGTAAAAAGAATTTACCGACAACAAACAATATAGGTTTAAAAAGAAAAGTTTTATTAGAGAGAAAGAATGCTGCGGAAGAGTGCAGGAGGAAGCCTCAGCAAGAAAGGACTGACTGCACGGATGGATTTTCCTTAGGTACATTTGTGAACATTAAAGTGGGAGCTTAAGGGAAACTTGGACCATACTAGCCATGTAGGTCATAATAAATTATTACATTTGTAGACATTTTGGTGCCTTAATGTCAGCAAGGGTTGCACAATGAGTTCTGGCTTGCATGCCTTCTGGAGATTTATAGAAATTCTAGTTACTTATAAATGTTTTGGAAAGAGGCCTGGAACCAGATGCTGGCTTTAGATAATAGGGAAGTCTAATTATTTCTAAATTCCTCAGATGAGTTTTGTCTCCCGATGGCCTCTTGATGGTCACCAGGTGATCTTTGCTCTCCTCAGGAATCAGTCCCTTTTGGTTTGATATTTGTATGACTTTGGAACTTATTGATCCTCTTCCCATCCATGGACAGATTTTGATTTCTTGTTTCCTGTCTGTGGCAGCACACTGGGATTTGGGGCCTTTGTGTGTTGACAGTCAGCTGGGAAACTGAAAGTCTGGAGAATATGGCTGGACAGAAATGTAAGTTGTACTATATTTGTTGCTAGTGAAACTTTCCTTTATTTGAGCTATCTTTGGGGTGGTTCTAGATCTTGTGAGGACCACTTTGAACCGCTTTAGAGATGCCTTGTGCGTCCTTGCTTAAGTCATAATCTTGGTTAAGGCTTATTGTTTTCACTTGGGAGAATACCTTTGGTAAATAACTTCAAAAGCCAGAAATAAGAGCTGTCTGAACCAGCTAAAATATGATAATAAGAAACCTAAAAGGATATTTATATAAATATATACAAATTGTGTGTGTGTGTGTGAGAGAGAGAGAGAGAGAGAGTAAATATATATAAAAGGCTTTTATGCTTTTTCTCTTTTTGGATTTTGTTTGGGGAATTTTTTTCAGTTGACTGAAACCATTTTTTTAAAATTATGTGCTTGGTCTCTCCATTTGCTTCTACTCATCCCTACTCCTCTTGTAACCACCCAGCGAGTTCACCTTGCCCACTGCCTAAGACAGAGCTGATTTAACAAGACAGGGGAATTGCAATACAGGAAAAGTAATTCACGCAGAGCTGGCTGTGCGGGAGCCCAGAGTTATATTATTACTCAAATCAGTCTCCCCAAGCATTCGGGGATTGGAGTTTTTAAAGATAATTTGGTGTGTTGGGTAGCGGGAGCAGTGGATCGGGAATGCTAATTGGTTGGGTTGAAGATGAAATCATAGGAAGTCGAAGTTGTCCTCTTGCATTGAGTCAGTTCCTGGATGGGGGCCACAGGATCAGATGAGCCAGTTTATCGATCTGGATGGTGCAAGCTAGTCCATCAAGTGCAGAGTCTGCAAAATATCTCAAGCACTGATCTTAGGTTTTACAATAGTGCCTCAGGAGCAATTTGGGGAGGGTCAGAATCTTGTAGCTTCCAGCTGCATGACTCCTAAACCATAATTTCTAATCTTGTGGCTAATTTGTTAGTCCTACAAATGCAGTCTAGTCCCCAGGAAAGACGGGGATTTGTTTTGGGAAGGGCTGTTAACATGTTTGTTTCAAACTATAAACTAAACTAAGTGTCTCCCAAAGTTAATTCTGGCTACACCCAGGAGTGAACAAGGACAGCTTGGAGGTTAGAAGCAAGATGGAGTTGGTTAGGTCAGATCTCTTTCACTGCCTTAGTTACGATTTTGCAATGATGGTTTCAGTCCCTCCCTTTGAGTTTTATAACACCTTATTCTTACGACGTGGTCTATGAAGATGGGAAAAGGCTGACCACTGCTCTGGCTTTTTCTTCCTGTCAGGGGACATAGTGGGAATAGGAGATGACCCCAAGGTGAGAAGAGTGGAACTGCTTTCCCAGATGTCTTAGAATACTCAGTGTGGGCTGGGCTGGGGTTCCAAGGCTTGTATGATAAAGGCATTAGTATTCTCATCTATAGTTTTAGTACAGCATTTAAGCAAGCAGTGTACTATCGGGTAAATAATGAGTCCTAGGATAAGGAGTGCAATTCCTAGTTTTAAAAATAAAGATTTGAAAGCATTAGTTTGGGGACTTGTAGCCCACAAGGAATTTAAGATTTAGTTCAAATTGTAGAAAATAATAAAAACTCAAGAATAGCTAACAACAGTTGTACTATAGTTTTTGAAACATAATTTTCTCCCTCCAGTGCCCATTTTTATTAAAGATACATCATTATAGGACAAATTTACTTGTAAAATAAGTTATAGTTTTATTATGTTTGAGCTGATTATTTGCATAAAGTGCAGTAGGAATAATTTTTTGCCATATAGGCTCTTTTTTTAAATTGGCTTTGCTGAAACTTTCTTCTGTAAGGAATCTCAAATTGTACTTTTTAAAGCCTTGAAACTGAGCCACGGATTTTCTTTGCCTGCAAATACCAGTATGAGTTGGGTGCATTTCCCTCCTCTTGAGGTCCCCAAGATAACTTGGGGTTCCTGGGCCTGTCAGAAAGTGACATTCTTTACTTACCACCAGTCAGGAACCCTGAACAGGGAATGTGTAGACGAAGTATGAGGCCAACTTTCCCAAGGGGCTTTTACTGGCTCTATAAGTCAACCTTGATCTTTAAAGAAAGTATGCCATTCCAGTCAAAAACTTGGTAAAATAACCAGTTTCTCCAATTGTGCCTTGTTACAAAAGAAAACAGATTCTTATTGTACTCATGCAAATAACTATACTGCCATAAGTTGAGAATACTCACAAATAGTTTTTATATTAGGGAGAAATCACATAGAGAAAAAGCAATATGCTCCACATTTTCCTTCCAAGAGTATAATTTATTCAATTGCTAAAAGTTTTAAATAGATAAAAAGGAAAAAGTTTTCTTGACTCTGAGAAGCAAAAGAATTATTAACACATCAGTTCTCCTTGAGAGTCCTAGAAGTTTGTTTTTTTTCCTCTATTCCGATAACACAATTTCTAAGATTATCAGAGACCTGCATTCAAGAGTACCCATCAGAGTCCTATATCTGATTATAAATTGCATTCTGAAAAGGGTCAAAACAAGACAACAATTGTCCATGGATGACAGAAGTCTCAGGACAGCCATAGTTAAAGATGCAATCAACAAGAAAATCTGGCATCTCTGTGATACACAACAAATTAACATAACAATTACAGTTTTTGCTAACATATATTGAGACATATCAAAATTATAGGAATCTTATATAATTTCATAACACATACAAATACATATTTATATAACTATAACCCAAAGAAAATTAAATAGCATTTTATATTTGACAGTGCTCCCTTCATGATTTTAATACATCAAATAAGTGAAATGTGTCCTTTTTGGACTTAAAAGGACCTAATTTTTTTCTTTTTTTAACTTAACTTAGAATTTGATCTTAGAAGGTTTTACAAATATTAAAGGTTTAAAACACTGGATATCACAAAATAGAATCACAGATTATTCATTTAGCTGAAATGTTCAACTTATGTAAAAACTAAATAATACCCTTTTAGCTTTAGCCAATATGTTTACACACAGAATTTCTTTTATAAGATTAATCTTTCACAAACCTTTCACAACTTGCTCAAACCTTTAGCTATATTCTGTCTAACTTAAAACAATCCAATCCTTTAATCCTCAAAACTAGACAAAACCCAAATTCCCATGCCTTTTTATAATCTTTTACCAAAAACACATTCTATTTTCCTTACACACCTGGCATGTAAAATTGTTTCCCCAGTAGTCTTAATTACATGTTTCAATGTTACTTTTAGCAACTTATATTTTTGGTAAAAATCTGGCAAGTAAGTAATTCTATTTATGTACCAGGTGTGGAGCCTAGAACACCAGAGAGAAGTGCAGATAAAGTTTGACTCTTTCCAGCATAGCTAGGGAGCATGGCTGACTCCGCATGTCCCCAGGCCTTACCTCAAAGTCAAAGAAGCAGTTTATGACATTAAAGCATTTAGCAAATCTAATCTCTGACTTACTTTAAATGTCTAAATTTGTCAAATGTCTAAATATTTTCAAATGTTTAAATTTTATAGACATTTTTATTTTACTAATAATCTTTAAAACCATCTTTATTTCCCAGGGATTACTAAAGTCATGTAAACTAAAAGGCATTAAAGTTTCTATTTTTCTGACAAAGCGTTTAAGCACTTATTATTTCTTAAGCCAATTAAACAGAGCGCTTTTCTAAACATCACACACAACACATAAAAATACACAGAAAGAAGAAGATTCAGCAGTTGTGACATTTTTTGTTTGCCAGTTTCTTAACTGGATTCCTGGCTTCAGGGTGGAGCCCTTCAAGGAACAGGGCCAGGACTAGGGCCCAATAAGCAGACACAGCTGAAAGGCAAAAACAGATCCCCAAAATTTAAGGTTCCATTTTTATACAGGATCTTGGATCCTCCCTATAATGGGATTGCTGGGTTGAATGGTACTTCTGTCTTTAGCTATTTGAGGAATTACCACACTGCTTTCCACAATGGTTGAACTAATTTACCCTCCCACCAACAGCGTATTAAGTGTTTCCTTTTTGCTGCAACCTCACCAGCATCTGTTATTTTTTGACTTTTTAGTAATTAATATCCATTCTGACTGGTGTGAGATGGTGTCTCATGGTGGGTTTGATTTGCATTTCTCTAATCAGTAATATTGAGCTTTTTCATATGTTTGTTTTCCACATGTATGTTTTCTTTTGAAAAGTATCTGTTCATGTCATTTGCCCACTTTTTAATGGGGTTGTTTTTTTTCTTGTAAATTTGTTTAAGTTCTTTATAAATGCTGGATATTAGACCTTTGTCAGATGCATTGTTTGCAAAATTTTTCTCCCATTCTGTAGGTTGTCTGTTTACTCTGTTGATAGTTTCTTTGTGCTGTGCAGAAGCTCTTAAATTTAATTCGATCTCTTTTGTCAATTTTTGCTTTTGTTGCAATTGTTTTTCGTGTCTTTGTCATGAAATCTTTGCCATTTCTATGTCCAGAATGATATTGCCTAGATTGTCTTCCAGGGTTTTCATAGTTTGGGGTTTTACATTTAAGTCTTTAAACCATCTTGAGTTGACTTTTGTATATCGTGTAAGGAAGGGTCATTTTCAATCTTCTGCATATGGCTAGCCAGTTATCCCAGTATCATTTATTGAATAGGGAGTCATTTCCCCATTGCTTGCTTTTGCCAGCTTTGTTGAAGATCACATGGTTGTAGGTGTGTGGCCTTATTTCTGCACTCTCTATTCTGTTTCATTGGTCTGTGTCTCTGTTTTTATACCAGTACCATGCTGTTTTGGTTACCATAGCCCTGTAGTATAGTTTGAAGTTGGGTAGGGTGATGCCTCCTGCTTTGTTCTTTTTGCTTAGGATTTCCCTGTCTATTCAGGTTGTGTTTTGGTTTCATGCAAACTTTAAAGTAGTTTTTTCTAGTTCTGTGAAGAATGTCATTTGTAGTTTGATAGGAATATCATGGAATCTGTAAATTGCTTTGGTCAGTATGGCCATTTTAATGATTAATTCTTTCTATCCATGAGCATAGAATGTTTTTCCATTTGTTTATGTCCTCTGATTTCTTTGAGCAGTATTTTGTAATTCTCATTTTAGAGATCTTTCACCTTCCTGGTTAGCTGTATTCCTAGGTATTTATTCTTTTTGTGGCAATTGTGAGTGGGATTGTGTTTCTGATTTGGCTCTTGTCTTAGCTGTTGATTTTTGTGATTTTTGTATGTTGCTAGTTATTTCTGTATGTTGATTTTGTATCCTGAAACTTTGCTGATGTTCTTTATCAGCTTAAGGAGTTTTTGGGCCAAGACTATGATTTTCTAGTTACAGATTCCTGTGTCTGCAAATAGGGATAGTTTGACTTCCTCTCTTCCTAGTTGGATGCCTTTCTTTCTTTCTTTTGACTGATTGCTCTGGCCAGGACTTCCAGTACTATATTGAATAAGAGTGGTGAGAGAGGGCATCCTTGTCTTGTGCCAGTTTTCAAGGGGAATTCTTCCAGCTTTTCCCCATTTATTATGATATTTGCTGTGGGTTTGTTATAAATGGTTTATTATTTTGAAGTATGTTTCTTCAATACCTAGTTTATTGAGAGTTTTTAACATGAAGAGATGTTGAATTTTATCAAAAGCCTTTTCTGCATCTATTGAGATAAACATGTGGTTTTGGCTTTAGTTCTGTTTATGTGATGAATTACATTTATTGATTTGTGTATATTGAACCAACCTTGGGTCTGTTTTTTGTTGTTATCCATTCAGCCATTATATACTTTTTAATTGGGGAATTTAGTTCATTTACATTTAAGTTTACTATGGATAAGTGAAGACTTACTTCTGCCATTTTGTTAATAGTTTTCTGGTTGTTTTGTATAGCTTTTGTTTCTTCTTCCATTATTGTATATCTTTGTGGTTTGGAGGTTTTCTATAGTAATAAAGTTTAATTCCTTTTTCTCACTTGTGTATCTGCTGGGTTTTTTTTTTCTGGTTACTGTGGGGCTTACATTAAAAATCTTGTATTTAGGCTGAGCACAGTGGCTCACACCTGTAATCCTAGCACTGTTGGAGGCTGAGGTAGGAGGATTGCTTGGACCCAGGAGTTTGAGACCAGCCTAGGCAACATGGCAAGACCCCAACTTTACAAAAAGTAAAAACAAATTTTGTTGGACATAGTGGTGTGTATTTGTGGTCCCAGCTACTTGGGAGGCTGGGGCAGGAGAATTGATAGAGCCCAGGAGTTTGAGACTGCAGTAAGCCATGTTCATGCCACTGAACTCCAACCTGGGTGAAAGAGTAAGACCCTGTCTCAAAAACAACAACAACAAAAATCTTGTGTTTATTACAGACTATTTTAAGCTGATAACAACTTAACTTTGGTCATATACAAATACTTTTTATTTTACCCAACCCACACAATCTACAATTTTGTGGCCTTAATTTTAATGTGTTCTACTTGTAGCTATAATTATCATTGACCATTTTGACTTTTAACCTTTATATTAGAGATTTAAAAGATTATATGCCACCATTACATTATTGGGTTATTCTGAGTTTGATAGTGAATTTACTCTACTAGTACTGAATTTGATTTTGAGTTTATGTCTATCAATGACTTTTATACTTTTGTGTGTTTTCATCCTTTCACATCCAGTTGTAGCACTCCCATGAACATTTCTTGTAAGGCTGGTCTAGTGGTGATGAATTCCTCCAGCTTGTGCTTGTCTGGGAACTTTATTTCCCTTTCTTTTCTGAAGGATAGCTTTGTTGGACATAGTATTCTTGGTTGACATGGGTTTTCTTTTCTTTTTGCACTTTGAATATATCATCTTACTCTCTCCTAGCCTTCAAGGCTTCTGCTGAGTAATCTGCTGATAGTCTAATGGACATTCCCTTATATATAACTTGACCTTATATGTGACTTGATGCTTTTTTCTTGCTATCTTTAGAATTCTCTTTGACTTTTGACAGTTTGACCATAATATGCCTTAGACAGGACTTTTTGGGTTGACTATATTTGTGGACATTGAGCTTCCTGGATTTGGATGTCCATATCTTTTTCACGACTTGGGAAGTTTTCATTTATTATTTCATTAAATAGGTTTTTCTATCCATTTTCCCATGTATTTCCCTTCTTAAAAAAAAACCCATAATTTGAGTATTTGTTCACTTAATGGTGTCCCATAAGTTCTGTAGGCTTTCTTTATTCTCTTTTTTTTTTTTTCCAAAAGAAAGGGTTATTTCAGAGGCCTGTCTCTAGTCTGTTGTTGAAGCTCTTGATTGTATTTTTATTTTATTCATTGTATTCTTCAGCTTCAAGATTTCTGTTTCATTTTTTTACTATTATTATGTCTATCTCTTTGCTTAATTCTTCCTTCAGATTGTGAATTATTTTCCAGATTTTGTTGAGTCATCTTTCTGTATTCTCTTATATCTTACTGAGTTTCCTGGAGATCATAGTTTTGAATTTCTTTTCAGGCATTTCACAGATTTTCTTCTCTTTGGGGGTCTCTTACTTGAGAATTACTTTGTTCCTTTTGAGGTTTCATATTTCCTTGCCTCTTCATGTTTCTTGTGTCCCTGTATATATATCTGCACAGCTGGTGGAACATTCTCCTCTTCCAGCTGTATCAAGTAGCTTTCACAGGGAAAGATATTCCTGTAGATGGGTCCTAGATGCCCGTTGGGTAGCATGTTTGACATTGGTTTAGGTAGGTGCAGTAGTGTAGTCTTCATGTAATTTCTTTAGCTATAATCAATGTTAGCAGTTTCTGCATATGCCTCCGTGGTCTAGGATTTGGGCGTTTATGGAGGTGGTGGCATGGCTTTGCTGGGCCTGGTGCCATTAGGGATGGTAGTCTTCAGCCCTGGGAGGATGTGCATAAGGCAGACAGTGACTCCACCCATCATGGAGGCAGAGTTGCTGGGTGCCACTGAGTGGGCTATTTCTCAGGCCTTGAGGGGTCACAAAGTGCAGTGGCTTTGTTCACAGGAGTGGTCACAGAGGAGACCTCCATGCTGTACAGGACCACCTTGGGGTGCAGGATGCTGCATAAACTTTGTCACCAGGATAGCAACTATCCCCTGGGTCTAGGTTCTGAGTAGTTGGGGTCAAGGCATTGCTGCCACTTGTTTGAGCATGGTTGAATAACAGTAAGTCCTCAGGGACGAGGAGATACACTGGCTGTTGGTCCCTGGCACAGGGCATACTCTAGTAGCGGCTCTGGTCTCAAGATGGTGTCACAGGTCACAAGAGCAACTTGGGTCACAGGAAGTAGTGGGGGCACAATATGTGCTTATTCTCTGGAACAATTCAGCCATATGGTCTCTGGGAGATTCCCTAAACTGGGTTTAGAGCTTGTATGAAGCACCCTAAACTGGGCTCAAGGAGCCACAACACTCACCTGTAGCAAGGTCTGCAGATGTTTGCAACAGTACACTATTAGAGCTGCTAGAGATCTGCGTACCTTTTCCCCACAGTGAGAAGTCTCTCCTAGTTCTGAGCTATTCCCAGCCAAGGAGATGAGGTCACAGAGGTAGGGTGCTTAACTTCCCTCTCTATTCTGCCACCATGAGTGTCAGTGCTTCACAGGGTTTCCATCACTTTCTTGCTATATTCTCCTTTAAACTCTAGTCAAATTGAGGTTGTTTATTTGCTGCATTGGTCCTTTTTTTGTGGAGGTCAGTGGGGAAACAAGAGTTAGGCATATCTAGTCAGCTATCTTGCTGACATCACTAGAGTGTTCTTGGTTTTAAAATGCATCTCTAATTCCCTGAATAAACTATCAGCTGCTCAGGAATGATTCTTAGGGTGCTACAAGGGGAAAAGGGAAGGAAACTTTGCAAGTCATTTAGCTTATTTCACTGTCTCCAGAAAGAGCCTGACCCAGATTCCTTCACACAAATGGACCTCTGAATTCCATGTATCCAGCAATAAAGAGTATAGAGCTTTTGTTTTTAAGGTCATATGTTTTTCTTTTTTTCTCACAATTAGAGCCTACTGCATGTTCATTGTGGAGATTTTGGAAAATAGAAAAAAAATACAAAGAAGAAAAAAATCATCTACAGTCTCATATGCCTAGCAACAATTACTCCTAACAATCTGATGCATTTCTTTCTATTTCTTCCCTGTCTCTTTATTTATGTTTACACCCTTTACTTAATTGGGATAATAACCATACACATGATTTTGTATTCTGCTTTTTTCACCCTACATTATATCATGGCTATTTTCTCAGGCAAATAAATATTTTTTGAAACACTCCTAACAATGCTTTGGGAACATTTTATTGAATGAATGTATCATACATAGTTTATTTCATCATTCTCTTGATAATAACCCTTTTTTTAAAACAAGTTTTATTTTATTTCATGTTTCAGGATACATGTGCAGGTTTGTTACATAGGCAAACATGTGTCATGGTGGTTTGCTGCACCTCTCAATCCATCACCTAGGTATTAAGCACTGCATGCATTAGCTATTTATCCTGATGCTCTCCCTCCCATTATCCCCCAACAGGACCCAGTGTGTGTTGTTCCCCTTTCTGTGTCCATGTGTTCTCATTTTGAAGAAGTTTTTAAAAAAATTACCTTGCCTAAAATGTCACCAAACAAGTGTTAACATTATTTATATAGTACCTTCATATAGAAGCTAGATTAAAATTAAGACTTTTAATAACACACATGAAATATGCAGTGCCCTGTGCTATATGCTATAAATTAAATGAAAAACTTGAAGTCCAGTTCTCTATTCTAAAGAGATTTTAAGCTGAGCGTGGTGGCTCATGCCTGTAATCCTAGCACTTTGGGAGGCCGAGGTGGGTGGATCCCTTGAGGCCAGGGGTTCAAGACTAGCCTGGACAACATGGTGAAACCCCATCTCTACTTAAAATACAAAGATTAGCCAGGTGTGGTGGCAGGCGCCTGTAATCCCAGCTACTCAGGAGGCTGAGACAGGAGAATCGCTTGAACCCAGGAGGCAGAGGTTACAGTGAGCCAAGATAGCACCACTGCACTCCAGCCTGGGTGACAGAGTGAGACTTCGTTTCAAAAAAAAAAAAGAAGAAGAAGAGGAAACAAAAATAATAATAAAGAGATTTTAGGTTCATTATGGTATGTTTTATTAAAAATTGAGAGTTTTATATAGCTTAATACGTAGAACATATACCTTACAATTTAGTACTTAAAATTAATTATTTTTAAACTCTATTTCTTTTACATTCTTTTTAATTTCTAAAACCATGTGAGGCAACTTACAATAAAATAAACTGCTAAAATAAGAGTGCAGACCATTATGAGAAAAGGAAAAAGACCGGAGTCTAGCCATAAAGTGTAAAGGAAGGAAGGAAAGAAGGAAGAAGAGACCTATGAAACCAGAAAACCTAACTTAAGAACAACTACTGGAGGGTGGAGCCAAGATGGCCGAATAGGAACAGCTCCGGTCTACAGCTCCCAGTGTGAGTGACGCAGAAGACAGGTGATTTCTGCATTTCCATTTGAGGTACCGGGTTCCTCTCACTAGGGAGTGCCAGACAGTGGGTACAGTGGGTGCAGTGCACCGTGCGCGAGCCAAAGCAGGGTGAGGCATTGCCTCACTCGGGAAGCGCAAGGGGTCAGGGAGTTCCCTTTCCTAGTCAAAGAAAGGGGTGACAGACGGCACCTGGAAAATCGGGTCACTCCCACCCCAATACTGCGCTTTTCTGACGGGCTTAAAAAACGGCACACCAGGAGATTATATCCCGCACCTAGCTTGGAAGGTCCTACACCCACAGAGTCTCACTGATTGCTAGCACAGCAGTCTGAGATCAAACTGCAAGGTGGCAGTGAGGCTGAGGGAGGGGCGCCCACCATTGCCCAGGCTTGCTTAGGTAAACAAAGCAGCCGGGAAGCTCAAACTGGGTGGAGCCCACCACAGCTCAAGGAGGCCTGCCTGCCTCAGTAGGCTCCACCTCTGGGGGCAGGGCACAGACAAACAAAAAGACAGCAGTAACCTCTACAGATTTAAATGTCCCTGTCTGACAGCTCTGAAGAGAGCAGTGGTTCTCCCAGCACGCAGCTGGAGATCTGAGAACGGGCAGACTGCCTCCTCAAGTGGGTCCCTGACCCCTGACCCCCGAGCAGCCTAACTGGGAGTCACCCGCCAGTAGGGGCAGACTGACACCTCACACAGTCGGGTACTCCTCTGAGACAAAACTTCCAGAGGAACAATCAGACAGCAGCATTCGCGGTTCACGAAAATCTGCTGTTCTGCAGCCACCGCTGCTGGTACCCAGGCAAGCAGGGTCTGGAGTGGACCTCTAGCAAACTCTAACAGACCTGCAGCTGAGGGTCCTGTCTGTTAGAAGGAAAACTAACAAACAGAAAGGACATCCACACCAAAAACGCATCTGTACATCACCATCGTCAAAGACCAAAAGTAGATAAAACCACAAAGATGGGGAAAAAACAGAGCAGAAAAACTGGAAACTCTAAAAAGCAGAGCACCTCTCCTCCTCCAAAGGAACGCAGTTCCTCATGAGCAATGGAACAAAGCTGGACGGAGAATGACTTTGACGAGTTGAGAGAAGAAGGCTTCAGACAATCAAACTACTCCGAGCTACCGGAGGAAATTCAAACCAAAGGCAAAGAAGTTGAAAACTTTGAAAAAAATTTAGACAAATGTATAACTAGAATAACCAATACAGAGAAGTGCTTAAAGGAGCTGATGGAGCTGAAAGCCAAGGCTCGAGAACTACGTGAAGAATGCAGAAGCCTCAGGAGCTGATGCAATCAACTGGAAGAAAGGGTATCAGTGATGGAAGATGAAATGAATGAAATGAAGCGAGAAGGGAAGTTTAGAGAAAAAAGAACAAAAAGAAACGAACAAAGCCTCCAAGAAATATGGGACTATGTGAAAAGACCAAATCTACATCTGATTGGTGTACCTGAAAGTGATGGGGAGAATGGAACCAAGCTGGAAAACACTCTGCAGGATATTATCCAGGAGAACTTCCCCAATCTAGCAAGGCAGGCCAACATTCAGATTCAGGAAATACAGAGAACGCCACAAAGATACTCCTCGAGTAGAGCAATTCCAAGACACATATTGTCAGATTCAGCAAAGTTGAAATGAAGGAAACAATGTTAAGGGCAGCCAGAGAGAAAGGTCGGGTTACCCACAATGGGAAGCCCATCAGACTAACAGTGGATCTCTCAGCAGAAACTCTACAAGCCAGAAGAGAGTGGGGGCCAATATTCAACATTCTTAAAGAAAAGAATTTTCAACCCAGAATTTCATATCCAGCCAAACTAAGCTTCATAAGTAAAGGAGAAATAAAATACTTTACAGACAAGCAAATGCTGAGAGATTTTGTCACCACCAGGCCTGCCCTACAAGAGCTCCTGAAGGAAGCACTAAATATGGAAAGGAACAACCAGTACCAGCCACTGCAAAATCATGCCAAATTGTAAAGACCATCAAGGCTAGGAAGAAACTGCATCAACTAATGAGCAAAATAACCAGCTAACATCATAATGACAGGATCAAATTCACACATAACAATATTAACTTTAAATGTAAATGGACTAAATGCTCCAATTAAAAGACACAGACTGGCAAATTGGATAAAGAGTCAAGACCCATCAGTGTGCTGTATTCAGGAAACCCATCTCATGTGCAGAGACACACATAGGCTCAAAATAAAAGGATGGAGGAAGATCTACCAAGCAAATGGAAAACAAAAAAAGGCAGGGGTTGCAGTCCTAGTCTCTGATGAAACAGACTTTAAACCAACAAAGATCAAAAGAGACAAAGAAGGCCATTACATAATGGTAAAGGGATCAATTCAACAAGAAGAGCTAACTATCCTAAATATATATGCACCCAATACAGGAACACCCAGATTCATAAAGCAAGTCCTGAGTGACCTACAAAGAGACTTAGACTCCCACACATTAATAATGGGAGACTTTAACACCCCACTGTCAACATTAGACAGATCAACGAGACAGAAAGTTAACAAGGATACCCAGGAATTGAACTCAGCTCTGCACCAAGTGGACCTAATAGACATCTACAGAACTCTCCACCCCAAATCAACAGAATATACATTTTTTTCAGCACTACACCACACCTATTCCAAAATTGACCACATACTTGGAAGTAAAGCTCTCCTCAGGAAATGTAAAAGAACAGAAAGTGTAACAATCTCTCAGACCACAGTGCAATCAAACTAGAACTCAGGATTAAGAAACTCACTCAAAACCGCTCAACTACATAGAAACTGAACAACCTGCTCCTGAATGACTACTGGGTACATAACGAAATGAAGGCAGAAATAAAGATGTTCTTTGAAGCCAACGAGAACAAAGACACAACATACCAGAATCTCTGGGACACATTCAAAGCGGTGTGTAGAGGGAAATTCATAGCACTAAATGCCCACAAGAGAAAGCAGGAAAGATCCAAAATTGACACCCTGACATCACAATTAAAAGAACTAGAGAAGCAAGAGCAAACACATTCAAAAGCTAGCAGAAGGCAAGAAATAACTAAAATCAGAGCAGAACTGAAGGAAATAGAGACACAAAAAACCCTTCAAAAAATTAATGAATCCATGAGCTGTTTTTTTGAAAGAATCAACAAAATTGATAGACCACTAGCAAGACTAATAAAGAAGAAAAGAGAGAAGAATCTAATAGACGCAATAAAAAATGATAAAGGGGATATCACCACCAATCCCACAGAAATACAAACTACCATCAGAGAACACTACAAACACGTCTACGCAAATAAACTAGAAAATCTAGAAGAAAGGGATAAATTCCTCGACACATACACCCTCCCAGGACTAAACCAGGAAGAAGTTGACTCTCTGGATAGACCAATAACAGGCTCTGAAATTGTGGCAATAATCAATAGCTCACCAACCAAAAAGAGTCCAGGACCAGATGGATTCACAGCCGAATTCTACCAGAGGTACAAGGAGGAACTGGTACCATTCCTTCTGAAACTATTCCGATCAATAGAAAAAGAGGGAATCCTCCCTAACTCATTTTATGAGGCCAACATCATCCTGATACCAAAGCTGGGCAGAGACACAACCAAAAAAGATAATTTTAGACCAATATCCTTGATGAACATTAATGCAAAAATCCTCAATAAAATACTGGCAAAACGAATCCAGCAGCACATCAAAAAGCTTATCCACTGTGATCAAGTGGCCTTAATCCCTGGGATGCAAGGCTGGTTCAATATATGCAAATCAATAAATGTAATCCAGCATATAAACAGAACCAAATACAAAAACCACATGATTATCTCAATAGATGCAGAAAAGGCCTTTGACAAAATTCAACAGCCCTTCATGCTAAAAACTCTCAATAAATTAGGTATTGATGGGACGTATCTCAAAATAATAAGAGCTATCTATGACAAACCCACAGCCAATATCATACTGAATGTGCAAAAACTGGAAGCATTCCCTTTGAAAACTGACACAAAACAGGGATGTCCTCTCTCACCACTCCTATTCAACATAGTGTTGGAAGTTCTGGCCAGGGCAATTAGGCAGGAGAAGGAAATAAAGGGTATTCAATTAGGAAAAGAAGAAGTCAAATTGTCCCTGTTTGCAGATGACATGATTGTATATCTAGAAAGCCCCATTGTCTCAGCCCAAAATCTCCTTAAGCTGATAAGCAACTTCAGCAAAGTCTCAGGATACAAAATTAATGTACAAAAATCACAAGCATTCTTATACACCAATAACAGACAGACAGAGAGCCAAATCATGAGTGAACTCCCATTCACAATTGCTTCAAAGAGAATAAAATACCTAGGAATCCAACTTACAAGGGATGTGAAGGACCTCTTCAAGGAGAGCTACAAACCACTGCTCAATGAAATAAAAGAGGATACAAACAAATGGAAGAACATTCTATGCTCATGGGTAGGAAGAATCAATATCATGAAAATGGCCATACTTCCCAAGGTAATTTATAGATTCAATGCCATCCCCATCAAGCTACCAATGACTTTCTTCACAGAATTGGAAAAAACTACTTTAAAGTTCATATGGAACCAAAAAAGAGCCCGCATCACCAAGTCAATCCTAATCCAAAAGAACAAAGCTGGAGGCATCACGGTACCTGACTTCAAACTATACTACAAGGCTACAGTAACCAAAACAGCACAGTACTGGTACCAAAACAGAGATATAGATCAATGGAACAGAACAGAGCCCTCAGAAATAACGCCACGTATCTACAACTATCTGATCTTTAACAAACCTGAGAAAAACAAGCAATGGGGAAAGGATTCCCTATTTAATAAATGGTGCTGGGAAAACTGGCTAGCCATATGTAGAAAGCTGAAACTGGATCCCTTCCTTACACCTTATACAAAAATTAATTCAAGATGGATTAAAGACTTAAACATTAGACCTAAAACCATAAAAACCCTAGAAGAAAACCTAGGCATTACCATTCAGGACATAGGCATGGGCAAGGACTTCATGTCTAAAACACCAAAAGCAATGGCAACAAAAGCCAAAATTGACAAATGGGATCTAATTAAACTAAAGAGCTTCTGCACAGCAAAAGAAACTACCATCAGAGTGAACAGGCAACCTACAGAATGGGAGAAAATTTTCGCAACCTACTCATCTGACAAAGGGCTAATATCCAGAATCTACAATGAACTCCAACGAATTTACAAGAAAAATACAAACAACCCCATCAAAAAGTGGGCAAAGGACATGAACAGACACTTCTCAAAAGAAGACATTTATGCAGCCAAAAAACACATGAAAAAATGCTCATCATCACTGGCCATCAGAGAAATGCAAATCAAAACCGCAATGAGATATCATCTCACACCAGTTAGAATGGCAATCATTAAAAAGTCAGGAAACAACATATGCTGGAGAGGATGTGGAGAAATAGGAACACTTTTACACTGTTGGTGGGACTGTAAACTATTTCAACCCTTGTGGAAGTCAGTGTGGCGATTCCTCAGGGATCTAGAACTAGAAATACCATTTGACCCAGCCATCCCATTACTGGGTATATACCCAAAGGACTATAAATCATGCTGCTATAAAGACACATGCACACGTATGTTTATTGCGGCACTATTCACAATAGCAAAGACTTGGAACCAACCCAAATGTCCAACAATGATAGACTGGATTAAGAAAATGTGGCACATATACACCATGGAATACTATGCAGCCATAAAAAAGGATGAGTTCATGTCCTCTGTAGGGACATGGATGAAATTGGAAATCATCATTCTCAGTAAACTATCGCAAGAACCAAAAACCAAACACCGCATATTGTCACTCATAGGTGGGAATTGAACAATGAGAACACATGGACATAGGAAGGGGAACATCACACTCTGGGGACTGATGTGGGGTGGGGCGAGGGGGGAGGGATAGCTTTAGGAGGTATACCTAATGCTAAATGATGAGTTAGTTAATGGGTGCAGCACACCAGCATGGCACATGTGTACATATGTAACTAACCCGCACATTGTGCACATGTACCCTAAAACTTAAAGTATAATAATAATAAAATAAAATAAAAAGAACAACTACTGCAGTGAGCTGAGAGGCATGCAGCTTTTTATTATCTAAAGGTCATTTATTCCATTATCTATTTATTCTTCCAGTCCACAGATATTTATTGAGCACTTCCTATGTGCCAGGCACTGGGTTAGGGGCTGGGAAACAATGATGACCAGCATAGACATGTTCTTTTGGAACCTATATTTCACAAAGAGAGAGAAACTTTCCTGTCTCTGAAGGGTAGTGTCGTCAATGGAACAGAGATCTTCTACAACTCTTCATTTGTCTTATAAATCCTAGAAAAAGCAATGGGTAGTATGTTAAGTGAAAGAATTCGGCATAAGGTTTAAAAATAAAGTCCATTAATGTCAAATTTTAAATAGAGATAATGAAGTTTGGATAATATAAATTTATTGTTCAATAGAAATGTGAATGAGTAATACATTCTTTGTGAATTCCATATGTATGTTAACTGTATTTGTGTTTTGATAATAGTAATGCATTTGGCCATTTTAAAATATTTCTTTTTTTAAAATTAAGAAATGTGAGTACATTTCTAACATTTTGAAAATGAGAGAAGAAAACTTCCCTTTAAGACCTTGACCTGACCTAACGATTATTAACATTTACATCTCATTCTAGTTTTTTAAGTTGGCGTACTTTACATACCGTAATCACACCTTACATAAAATTGTTATTAAATTGTTTTTACAAAGCATTACATCGTAAACATTTTTCGTGATATATAGTCTTCATGAGCATAATTTATTTAGCTATCTCATATTATACTTTTTGTTATTTCCAGTTTTTTCTTCTTACAAATAACACCAGGGTGGACATGATCATCATATAAACATTTCTCTGTTTTTAAACTCTTTGTTTGGAATAGCTCCCCAAGAAGGGTTTCTTTTAGTTTGGGGGCTGAGATGTATAAGTTTCCTAGAGCTGCCATAACAAAATACTGCACACTGAGTGGCTTAAAATAACAGAAAAATTTATTTTCTCATGGTTCTGGAGGCTAGAAGTCTGAAATCAAGGTTTTGGTAGAGTTGGTTCTTTCTGGGGGCTCTGAGGAGGAGTTTGATCTGTGCCTCTCTCCAAGCTTCTGGTGGTTACCAAAAATCCTTGGTGTTCCTTGGCTTGTAGATGCATCACTCCAGTCTTTGTCTGCGTCTTCACATAATGTTCTATTTTATGCATCTTTACATAAGGACATCAGTCACTGGATTTAGGGATCACTCTAATCCTGTATGACCTTATCTGAACCAATTATATCTGCAAAATCCTATTTCCAAATAACATCACTTTCACAGATATCGGGGTTAGGATTCCAACGTATCTTTTAAGGGGACACAATTCAACCAATAGTAGGTATCTAATTATTACTGACATATATTGTCAAAATTTCTCTCTAAAAGACCTGTACTTATATGAAATATGCCAGAAGAGTATGAGAGTGGTTTTATTTTATGTGTTTATTATGCCTAAAATAGTTATGTTTTACTGGTGAAATGACCCTTTTATCATCTTGTAGTGACTCCCTTCCTCTCAAGTAATGTTTTGCATCTGGGACTAACACTGCTAACAGTATTCTCATGGTGAGATGATATACAGGTTTTCACAGGCTGTTCAGAGTGTGGGGAAAACTGGCAGAAAGGCACTGCATTATTTGAGTTCTTACAAGTTGCAAATAGCATGTGTCAGTTACCTAAGGAGAAAAGAGATTCTTATAAGAACATGTGGCAAATCTGGAGCATTCAGACACAGCAGTCTCTTGAAGACTGGTTCAAGAGAACCAGTGTTTCATTCTGGAAACAACTGCCGTTACTCAGTCAGACATCCAGAACAACAGGCACAGCAAGCACATTCAGGATATAGTGCTGCTGCAGTGGCTGCCAATTTTACTTTTTTTTCTCTAAGTAGCAGGTATTGGCTGCTCCCTACTAGACTGCTCCACCATTGTGGGAACTCAGCTGCATCTTGTTGGTGCTTTCATTACTTTTGCTGCTAACAATAATTGACCCTAATTTCCTTATAGCTTTTGTTTACTCACGGCTTCAGCTCTACTGTGGCTTTTGTTATCGCCTCCTGTTTGTGTCTCTTGGCTTCTGTCCACACTCTTGGCTGCTGATACTGATGCTGAGTGTTCTACCTTCAAACTCCCCAAGAGAGTTGGCTCAGCCTAGATTGGGCCATATTTTCCCCTGCTGAGCACACTGGTAGATTAAGTAGAGCTGCTCATATGATAGGCCTCACGGGTAAGGGATAGTCTATTGTTGGCTATATTTGAATCTGGTGGCTCTCCCTGATGCAATCAACTGTAACCATGGTGGTGGTCCTGTGTTAATGCATATGGCAACTCAGGCTAATAGTCCTCTCTGAGTGTGGTGGCAGAAACTCTGAGGCTTTCCCAAGTGGGTCAGTGCATCTGGCAGGCATCTGGTGTGGTCTGTCTATTGCCAGCACTTGGCTCAACCCTGAGAAGACTACCAGGAGGAGATGCTAATAGGGCAGTAAGAGTTGATTAAGGAGGGAGAATACCAAGCAGAGGTTACAGCTCGAATAAAGGCACAGATACATGAAACATGATGGCACATGTGGGAAACAAGTAGTTCAGTGTTACTAGAATACAAATGTGGAGGAAAAACAGTGTAGGATATGTAGGAACCAGTTTGTGAAAGTTTGGGCTTTTGGTAAATGGAAGTCGCTGAAACATTTTTGTTTTAAGTTGAGAAAGAGAATAACCTCTAATTCAAGTATAAAAACCTAGGCTTAAAGGGAGCAGAACTAGCAGCATATTAACTGGTTGGGAAGCTATCAAAATAGCCATAAAAGCGATAGGAAAGTGGCAAGAGAGACGGAGAACAGGGAACATATTTGAGGAATATTTGGAAGATAAACTGGCAAAACTTGATAAAATAACTGCTATAGACAGTGATTGTCCAGTGAGTTCGGAATGACTCCCAGGATTCTGGCATGGGCAATGGATGAGTGGTGCCCCTTTAACTGAAGTTTAAGAACACTGGACAAAAGGCAGCCTTGGAAGAAAAGGTACGAATTCAGTTTTGGACATGTTGAGTTTCACATACCCCAAGTGCACATATTTGGATATATGCATTTAAGTTCAGGTGTCATTTCTTCAAAGAAGGTTTCTCTTTTTTTCTCCAAATCTATTGAAGTATAATTGACAAATAAAAATTGTATACATTTATGGCATACAATATGGTAATTTGATATATGTACACACTCTAAAATGATTACCACAATCGAACCAATTAACCTATCCAACAAAGAAAGCTTCTCTAACCAGATAGATATAGGGTTCCCATCTCAGAGCACCCTATACTATTCTATACTGTTCAGTTAATCACACAATGGGTTACTTACCTTAAATTGTGATGGTACGATTTAAAGTAAGCAACCCATTGTATGATTAACTGTTTAATGTAACCTTCAGGAGAACAGGTGCTGCTGTTTCCCTGGCCAGAGCCCCCTCCACACTAGGTGCTCAGTAAATATCTACTGAACAAATGCTAGGTTCTCCTCAATAATCTAAGAGTTATTATCCCACGTCTTACATATGTAGAGCTGGCAGTTCTGAAAAATAAAGTGCATTGTGCAAGATCACATGATAAGTGAGCGCTGGGTTGCCAGATTTAGCACTTTAAAATATAGGATGGCTAGTTAAAATTGAGTTTTAATTAAATAACAAATACTTCTTTAGTATAAGTATGTCCAAAATATTGTATAGAATATAGTTATATGGCCCTAAATAAGTGAGATTTGATTCAGAATCATGTTACCACCAAAGTCCATCTGTTTCTATGCTGCCACTAAGATGGAATGACACTCCTATCCTGAAAGTCACTGGGGGAATAATATCAGCCGTAATCCTCTTCTTCATTACTACAAGTTTTTGTTTTATTTTGTTTCATGTTGTTTTATTTTTAAATTCCTGCTTTGATGAAAAATAAGTCCGCTTATCCTGACTTATAAGCAGATATTTCTAAAGGTTGACATTTTCACATGGTAGAAAACTTTGGGGCAGAGAGATCTGGTAAAACCTTGAGCCAGCAACTGATTTCAAAAGTTTTGTTGGAGTTTTTCAAGGATGCCTACCTCCAAATGTGGAGGTAAACTAAAACTACTTGGACTTTCTCCAGTATCAGGCAGGAAAATGAGTTAAAGGACTCTCCCTGGGTAGAAAGGCTCCCAACCCACTTCTGTGGTATTTTGAGCCACTCAGGAACTGTGGCCCCTATCAGATGACTATATACGTCAAAGACAATGCTTTATAGTTTATGAGTTTCCTCACGGATGTTCTGAATTGTTCTGGAAACAAGATAACAATGTGGTTCTAGCAATTTTCATGAGCAATCTTTAGGGCTGTCCTGTGTGGTTAATTTGATCTGTGGAGCTGCTGCGTTATGGGTAATTTTGAAACACAGGTTTGCTTATCTGTCTATCTGCCCAAGGTGACAACATTTAGTCAGTGGTTCAAGTACCAGGCTTTGCTTGAGGGACTTAGAAAGGTTATTTCTCTCTCTGTCTCTCTCTCTCTCTGTATGTATGTATTTATATGGAGACACAAGTAAGCTGTTTCCTAAAACATTAATAGTGATTTTCTTCTAAACGGTATGATTTGGAAATAATTTTTACTTTTCCTTTATATCTTTTTATATTTTTCTGAATTTTTGACGTAAGTAGTATTGCTACTTCTGTAATAACAACAATAATGACTATTTTCTTTCTGAGAGATAAAAAGTTTCAGCCTTCCCTTCGGGGACCATGTTTGTCCTTATATCTGATACTCTTCTATTTCTTCTTCCTATTCTTCACTTATAACAGAAAGATAAAAGAGAAATAAGAATAGAATCTTCTAAAAGTTTATTCAGTAAAGACAATAAAGACGCAAAAATAAAAATGAATAACAGCCCTTTAAAAAGTAAAATATAATACTGGTCAAAATCACAAAGAGAAATGTCCTTTGGTTTAAATTATAACCAATGAAAACATGTAAACTCAGTATATGATGTACAGACTCTTTTCAGAGAAATTTGCAAGCAAATGTTTTCAAAGGTTGACATTTCCACATGGTAGAAAACTTTGGGAATAGCACCTGCTAGAACCTTGAGCCTCAGGCATTAGTACAGATTACCATAGATGAGACAAAGCAATCATCATCATTCAGTTCCTAGTGTTTGATTCTTACCCAACAATATATGCCCACTTTCCAGATTAATTTCTCCTCCCTGCAGCACCCAAGCATCTGCTATCATTTCCAGGAATTCCTGTCAAATAGTCTTTGAAACATATTTGTCTATAGAAAACAAATAGAATACAGAAGGCCTGCTGGGGTTCCAAAGAACAAACATTTCAACTTCATCTATATTTTAGGCTTTGGGTCCCCAGCCCAGACTGGGGTGCACAAGTAGAGTCCCAGTAACAGTCACAGAAAACAGTATTTCTCTTGTGCTCCTACCTGCTTTGCAGAAATTCCTCCCAGTTAATTCTGACAGGCCAGGCAAGAGGTCATGTGTGCTTGCTAATTCACTCTCTGCTTCTTCTTAGTACTTACCATTTCTGTTCTCTTTGGCTCACTATGGTGATGCCCTGAAGCTGTGGATATTGTCAAGGCCCTGTTGCTTCCACCAAAGCATTCGATGTCAGACAAAACTCTCCTCTCCCATTTTTTTCTGGAAAGCATTGTCTTAGGTTTCTTAAGGTCTACCAAGTTGGGTAAAACAACTCTCTTAGTTTTTATTCACACTTTATTGTAGCCCCTTCTGCCTGCTGCCCTAGAATTAAATCCATGGAGGTTGGACTGAAGGACATTCTGAGTGGCAAACCCTTTCGTCTACTCCCTCCCTTGACCTTCCACTTTTTTCCTTTGTTTTGTCTTTTGTTTGTTTGTTTGTTTGTTTATTTATTTAAGACAGAGTCTCATTACATTGCCTCAGCTGATCTCCAACTCTGGGCTTCAAGCAATCCTCCCTCCTGCCTCAGTGTTGGGATTATGGGCATGAGCCCCCACACATAGTCTCATCTTTTGTTCTTGAACCAAACTTGAGGATATGGAATTGTGTATGTTTGGATGAGGTCTTTCTTCCCAGAAGGCTCTTCAGTCCTTTAGGCAAATAAGCCCATTTCAGGCCACCCTGTTGGCCTTCAAGACAGGCTCAGACATACCTGAATTCCAAGATGAATGTATCGTAAGGCCAAATCCACTCGGCTTTACATGAATTTAGATTTGGTGTTCTAGTTATAACAAAATGCTTAATGGGGTAGAGATGTAGGAACTTCAGGCAGCACATGAAGCAGCCAACACTTCCCTGGCATAGGTGGGCACAAGGGATTGTGTTTTTCAAAATAGCCATTCGCATGAACTCCACATAGTTATGCAAACAAAAGGTACATAGGCACCCATTACCCCAGCAGATGGGTGAACAGAATCTTAATGTGACATGACCACGAGACTCCCCCAACAACTCCTGATGTACATAGCTGGTTGCTTGAGAAGAAGTAGGTAAGTTTGCATAAATGCCTCCTGGGAGAGTCTTTTTAAATTTGGTGTCATTAGACCCTTTCTGGTGCATTGGGATGACTCTGGCTGAGATTTTCTTGCAGTTTGAAGGAATAACTGGACCCAGAGAGGAGCACATTATAAGAGATGAGGAGCCTACTCTGATAGGTTCATGGGGCAAGGAGGAGATCTGTACCATGTGGCTAAGGCTGAACAGCCTTCCCAGTGAGCCCCTCTGACCTTGAACTCAGCCTTTGGAATGTCTGTGAACATGTGAACCAGCCACCTCTCTCCTTGTCTTAGTCTATTTTGTGCTTCTATAGCAGAATGCCTGAGACTCAGTAATTTTAAAAGAACATAAGTGTATTTCTCACAGGACTGGAGGCTGAGAGTCCAAGATTAGAGAACCAGCAGGTTCAGGGTCTGGAGAATGCCCAGTCTCTGCTTCCAAGGTGTCTCTTTGAATGCTGCATCCTCCAGAGGGAAGGAATGCTGTGTCCTCACATGGCCGAAGGCAGAAGGGCAAAAAAGGAACAAACTCTCTGTCAAGCCCTTTTATAATGGTATCAATCTATTCCCAAGGGTAGAACCCTCATGACCTAAATACCCCGTAAAAGTCTCCACCTCCCAACACTGTTGCATTGGAGATTAAGTGTCCAACACATGAATTATGGGGAAAGCATTCAGATTGTAGTACTCCTTAAAGCCCCGTGTGGCAATACTGAGGCCTGGGCAGGGTCTGGAAAGCAAGAGCATCAGCCCAGCAGGAGACAATGTTCGTTGACCTGTGAGGGACCGATGGCAACAACGAAAACGAGTCTCTGCTACCTGGTGATTGGAATCAAGACAGACTTCTTTGAACTGAGTAGTCACCTGACTTTCTTGGCAATTCATACGGGCTATGGACTTGGGAAGTGGAAGAGGCTCAAGATTGAGTCATTGGACTTGCTGAAAACTTGAAGGTGAGGCTAAAACAATTAACTGCTAAACTAGGAGCACTGTGACTGCTTTTGAGCCCGTAAACTGATAAAGCCAATCATATGAGTTACATGGGAACAAAGAAAGGGCTCACTCACCTTTTGTAGTTTTAAGATTATTGCCCACTATAATTATAATTTAGGGCTCAAAGGAGGTGGTAGATTCATATTTTTATCTTTAATTTCTAAAATATTACATAATTCTGGGTTTTAGGAGTTAACATAGTTGTGTGCCCTCCCCTGGTCTCTTTAATAAACCAAACCCATCCACTCAGATCTTTAGAATTAACCCAGATCATCTCCTCTTTGTCTGGGGTGTCATTCACCAGTTCTTGCCCTGTGATTCTTGGTTCTTTGATCTGAGTCCATCTTCAGACCTCTCCCTATTTTCCCAGCCCACTTGTACTGACCATCTCTTCTGGGCTGGATTTTTTAGCCACACAGAGATACTCTTTTTCCAGCCAGGCCTTTGGTAAATGCCCAGCTTTTTCCTGCCTTCAGCACCCTCCTTGTTAGTGGAGGGGCATCAGCCAGAGCACTGGGAATCAGAAGCCAAAGTGTTCACTCAGGCAACATGAATCCCTGCCTGCGGGCTCATCTTTTTGAGCTATTTCAAACTCTGTTTTTTCACCTATGAAATGTGGATAGTGAACTGTATGGTCTCACTATATGTTATGAATTAAGAAACAAACATTATTTTTGGTGCTGCATAGTATTTATAATAATATTGAGATACACAAACAAACAAAAAAAGTTTCCTTCAAATCAAATGTGAATTTTTGCCCTGGAGCATTTCTAGAGCATTCAAAGTTCTCAGTTTTTGACAGGATCATAATGATGTGGAATTTTTAAAAAGTTAAAACCCCTGAAAAAATGGAAAACTTTAACCAGTTACACAGCATTGTCGCAAACATTGGTATGTATTTTCCCTTCCGAACAGGGAAAGATGAAGGGTGATTACAGAGTTGATATAATGGAAAGACATGCTACAATCCTGGCATTAATATTACCTTAAAAGACTGGAGTTTTTATTCACATCAAGTTGAAAATATAAGCAAAAGCAATGGAGAAATTTGCCCAAGACTTGGTCTTCCCACCTTTATTCAAATTATCCTCTTTCTTACTTTCCATATCTTAACAAGGGAAAAACTGAAAGTAAGGGAGGTGTGCGCATCACAGTGATTGCAGTCATACCTTCCATCACCGAAAATGAGAACGAGCAAGCAATTTGTTTTTCCATATGCAGAAATTGTATTTTTTTAAAAAGCTCAAATTTTAATGGCATTAAGATTGAAAGCAATCAACAAAGGCAACGAAATTCACTGTGAAGGAAATGAAATTCCTTCTTAAATGACAAACCCAAGAAAACATAGTGTAACAATTTGATCATATCAGGAATCCCCTGCCCATACTCAAAAACAATCTTTTTTCCTGGTAACACGTCTTTTTACTCAGGCAAAGAATCATCTCATACACACAATCATGAAGAGATTTTTTTTAAATCAAATTCTTAAGAGGCTTATTAAGTGGGGTTGTTTGTATCTTTCTTAGAGGTTCTTGTGATAAGAATTATCAAACTACAAAAACTTTCTAAGATTTCAAACCTGAAAAGATGAAAGAAAAAAATTTCTTTTTGGTTAGTCAGTAAATACAGGTCTACTTTTTATCTGTAGTGAAATCTCGATGAGTAAACTGAAAGGAAGATTGGGTTGGGGATTATGCAAACATGGTTTCTTCCTCTCTACTTCTCTACCCTGCCCTGTCTGCAGAGAGAGGAACTTTTGCATTTCTGTGTTTCAGTCCTTCATTTCCAGAGCATTGCTAATTCAGTCCTGGGCAATTCTAGCATTTCATTGTATAAAGTCTTCAATTGAGTGAACCTGTTCAAGGTTTCTTAGAGTCAGCCTGTAAAAGCAGAGTCTCCAAACTGAAAAATATTATAATACTCACTGGTCATTCTAACAGGAATCATTCGGGGGTATGTGGCCATAACTACCAAGACATATTTTTCAGGCATCCATTTACATATAAAACTGAACTCAATAAAATAGTGAATAGCATAGGCACAGTCCTAACCCTAGGAGGCACAGTTAATAGCAATAGTGATGATAACAGCAACTAACACTTAGCAGGTACTTACCATATGCCAGGCATTTATATTCTCATTTAATCCTTATAGCCACCCTCATAATTAGATATTACTATGGCCATTTTATAAACAAACAAACAGAAAAACCATTAAGCAATTTGCCCAAGAAGACTAAGTGAAGGTTGAGTGTATAAGACTAGAGACACCTTCTTCCCCACCTGTCTGCTTGATTCACTATGTAAGTGAATGGGGTCCTTGGATGGAGGGCAAAATAGAGAAAGTAATAGAATCTGTGCTCTAGATGGTCTAGAATACAGTCTCCTGGAATAGCTCCCTAGAAGCAGTAAGGAGGAAGCAGATACTAAAGGAATCATAAAATATCTATATGGTTGGGTCATTTTATTTGTAGGACAAAAAGAAATATATCCTAGTTAAAAATTCAAGCAAGGCAATGTATGTATGTAAGGCTTATATATGTATAAGCATATATAAAAGAGTCCAATCAGAGAAGATTGCTGTTAATGGTTTATGTGTATTCTAGATTTTTCCCACATATTAATATATAATTATTTTTAAATGGGATTATAAAATACACACATATATCTCATCTAATAATATGCTATATACTTTTTTCCATGACTCCTTAGTATCTCATATGGCTATACCATAATTTATTAAGTATTTCTATTGTCTTGAACATTTAAATTTGTTTTTAAGCTTTCATTATTACAAATATTCTACAACAAATACTTTTATGCACACATTTTTGCAATGTGTAAACCAAATCCCTGGAAGTGGAATCATCAGATTTTTTAAAAAGGCATATTAAAAATTATAAGTGGCTATTGTCAAATGCCCTACAAAAAGGTTGTACCATTTTATATTTCCACCATCATGTATAAGAGTGTCTGTTCTCCTACACCTTTCCCAACACTGGATATTATTGATGTTTTTAACAGTTGCTGATAAGATGGGCAAAAATTGTGTCTTGTTATTTTGATTTGAATTTTTTTCTTTTTTTCTTTTTTTTTTTTTTTTTTGAGACAGAGTCTCACTCTACTGCCTAAGTTGGAGTGCAGTGGTGTGATCATGGCTTGCTACAGCCTCAAACTCCTGGGCTCAAGCCATCCTCCTGCCTCAGCCTTCTGAGTAGCTGAGACTATAGGGGGACTCCACCATGCCCAGCTAAATTTTAGATTTTTTTGTAGTGACAGGGTCTCGCTTTGCTGCCTATGAATTTTTTTCATTGTTAGGGAGTTAAAATGTCATTTTATATGTTTATTTGGAACTTGCGTTTTTTGTCTACGAATTCTTAAGTCTACTTTTTCTATTGGGAATTTAATCATTCTTATGGATTTTACTGAGTTTTCTTGTATATTAGGGATATTTGAGCATTTGTCTACTATATATACTATGAATTTTTTTTTCTAATTTGTCTTTAGGCTTCCTCCTCTTACTTCTCCTCCTCCCTTTCCTTCTTCTCACTCTCTTTTTCTGTCTCTTTTGCTATTTATATTTTTAAATTTTTATGTAAAAAGTTTTTTACAGATTTTGGACTTCATGTATTAGAAAGATATTTTATCTCCCAAGAGTATGCAAATAGCAACTCATGGCTTTCTTCTGGTACTTGAATGGTTTTTTTTCATATTTACATATTTGATCTAACTTGCATCATTTCATAAAAGCTAGAAATCCAGGTTTTCATATGAAAACTTCTGTTTGGAAATGTCTGCTTTTTAAATATAATTTTAAAGAATAAGCCAAATAAAATAAATGTGATAGCCAGATTTAGCCATGGGCTGCTGGTTTGTGACTTCTAGTTACAAAGATTCCACATAAGAAATTAAACAAGACTTAAGAGGCCGAGGCAGGCGGATCATGAGGTCAGGAGATGAAGACCATCCTGGCTAACACGGTGAAACCCCGTCTCTACTAAAAATCCAAAAACTTAGCCAGGCGTGGTGGCAGGCGCCTGTAGTCCCAGCTACTCGGGAAGCTGAGGCAGGAGAATGGTGTGAACCCGGGAGGTGTAATTTGCAGTGAGCCGAGATCGTGCCACTGCACTCCAGCCTGGGCAACAGAGCGAGACTCCATCTCAAAAAAAAAAAAAAAAGAAATTAAGCAAGACTATACTGTTTCTATTAAAAAATTAAACAGGCCATATTACTGATGGATAAAAGGAGTACATATAGTGCGTAATTAAATGCAGGAAAAATTGTGCAGCGACCCTCTTGAAGATAATAACGTTTTAGCTTTATCTCTTGAGGAAGATTACTTAACCTCTCTCTGTTTTCCCATCTGCAAAATGGAGGTAATAATACATTTGGAGGAACATTGTGTTTTGGGCTTGTATGGGGGTCTGGCCAATGAAATAAATCATTAAGTGTAGCTATTATGAGGAGTTTTAGGGAATTATAAATGTGATATCTACCACTCCCAGTCATCTTTTTGTTGTTGTTGTTGTTGTTGTTGTTGTTGTTGTTTGTTTTTTTGAGACAGAGTCTCTCTTACCTAGGCTGGAGTGCAGTGGCACGATCTCAGCTGACTGCAACCTTTGCCTCCTGGGTTCGAGCAATTCTCCTGCCTCAGCCTCCTGAGTAGCTCAGATTACAGGCACCTGCCCACCACCATGCCTGGCTAATTTTTGTATTTTCATAGAGACAGGGTTTCACCATGTTGGCCAGGCTGGTCTTGAACTCCTGACCTCAGGTGATCTGCCCTCCTCAGCCTCCCAAAGTGCTGGGATTACAGGCATGAGCCACCGCTGCCACCACAGCCATCTTTGTGGCATGTTCTAGGGTTGTTTCAGAAAGAACTGACTCAAGTGGAGATTCTATTCAAGTCAAATTCCCAGTTTGTCTGTGATTTACTAATGGATTCAATGGGACCTAGAAGAATCCGAGAACCAATAAACATAGTCTTTACACTTAGGAAGTCCCCAGTTTGGTTGAAAAAATTAAATTTTCATTCAAAGAACAAAAGAAAATACAAATAAAGATGCTGTAATTAAGTACCTAATTGACATAGACAAGATGTGTTTTAGCTCAAGAAGATAAAGTTCTAAAGGTGCTTTTCTTTAGGAATTGAAGGCCATGATGAATGGGTAGGATTTGGTTAGTGCCAAGTAAATGGCATTTCAGGCTTGGAAAACAGGATGGAAAAACGCATAGACATGGTATGGCACATGTCATTGTGTGCCACTGCAGATGATGGGGAGAGTGAGAGAGGGAGTGTGAATAGTGCTGCGAGGCTGGAACAGAGAGAAAGGGGCATGGTCAGGGCAGAATTGTGGGAGGTATGCTGGGGCAGCCACATTGAACTCAGTAAAGAGAGGGTTACAACTCTGAGCAGATTTTGGAGGGAGAGGCACAGGGCCTGCGACAGTGCAATGTTTGGTAACAAGGGCTGATCGGTAATTAGAAATTATGAGTATTCACGTGCAAGTTGAAGTTGAGACTATGATCATTTAAAACTAATAATAGGTATCATTTATTGTCACTAACACTATCAATAATATGTCATTAACATAAGACATGGTTTTAAGAGATGTTTATTGTATCATTTAGGCTTATTTCTTAAGCATTACAATTGTAATAAGTTAGGTGCTATTGTTATTCTCATTTTATAATGACAACATTGAGATGCAAAAACTTACTCAAGAAGAGAAATATGTCCCCCATTACACTAACGGGGCTGCCACTTCGGGATCTTCTTAAGGTTAGAAGTAAAGCAATTTTTGTAAAATCAATCCAGTGGCCACATTTCAAAGGATAAATGCCAAGCCCTCATCCTCTTTTGAAGCTACCTTGGGATGCAGATCAATAGGCAAGATGAGGATGGGGTCATAGTGTATTTACCCTCACCATGTGATATGTCCAACAACCTTCCATAGGAGTCAAAATTGATGAGACAATAAAGCTTGCAGAGCAGAGAAAGTCTATTCAGGTGAAAAATGGTTCATTTTTGACTCATTGATTTTCTCTGCTCATTGAGTCATGATGGCTTCATGGTGTCAGGTGCTTCAGTAATTCCCTTCTTCCTTTTTTGACTATTAGGTACTTTCTGTCACTTTTCCTTTTCAGTTTTGGGGATTTTTCAGATTTTAATTTGCTATCAAGCAACTGAGGGAGAGAGAATAATTGATTTTTATAACTATTTAACATTTAGGTAAATGAAGTCATAGAATAATCAAGAATCTTGTCCAGGACAACAAAGTTAATCTCTGTCAGCAATAGGACTAAAATGTCTTAACATTCCTCTTTGGATTTTTATTATTCAAGCACATTTTAAAGCATCAGCTTCTAGGATACTGTGGTACTTTCCTTCCTGAGAGCTGATAAATGCAGCGTTTATTTCACAAGTCCCTAAAAGCTAGTCAACTAATTATCTTGATACTTGTACATTAGCTAAATGTGTCTGGTAAAAAGTGGAGAAGACCGGAATTCTGACAGATAATTTGTCCTGATGTTAAGTTTACCTCATCAAAAGGCAATTAAGGGCAGGTTCTTTCATATGATGAAAGGAAATCCATTTTCCTGGTATACCAACTCACAAATCTAATGTTGCCTTCAGTGCTACTACCTAGGGCTAAACCAAATCTAGTGTTTAATAATGTGAACCCAGAATGAGACTGGGACCCGTTGTTCTACGCCAAGGAACAGCAGAGCACAGACTCTGTGATTGTTGTGAGTTCACTCTTCCTTTCATTCATGTTTTCAGAACAGACAATGCCAGCTGTTCTAAATCTGGAATATGCTTGGCCACTAGTCACCAATACAAACAGAAATTCTACTACATATTAATTTCCATGTGTTCCAATGAACACAATGAAGTTTTGTTATTCATTTATTTATAATAAAGGAATAGTTTGAGATTTGATCGTTGTCAACAGCTTGATTTTGGCTTGGTGATATAAAAATTAAAACATGCCTGTATATCATTTGAGACACTGGTCTCTAGGCTAAAATGTTGAAATGCTCTGATTAATCAACATATACTTTCACCAGTAATATTTCAGTGATCTGTGTTTGGTTACAAAGGGACTGTCACAAACTCAAGAGTGTTCAGAGGAAACAATTAAGATGAAGGAATGTCTAGAAATTATGGAGTTTCCATAGGGATCTACAGAGGAGGAACAGAAGATGAGGATTTTAATGTCAACTGGGGATAGAATTATGAAAAAATGAAGTAAGATGGACATCAAAGTGCTGTTATATAGAAGAGATTTAAATGTATTCAGAATTGTTCCAGAAGGAGAACTAAGGTCAGAAAAACTTATTCAGATCATCATAAAGGAGAACTTTCATAGTTGTCCAAAAATAAAACAAGCCTCCTTGTGAGGAACTAAGCTTTTGTCATGACAAATGTTCAGACAAGGTTAATAATGTTTTCAAAAATATTAGTGTGGGCTGGGCGCAGGAGCTCACACCTGTAATCCCAGCACTTTCGGAGTCTGAGGTAGACAGATTGCTTGAGCCCCGGAGTTTGAGCCCAGCCTGGGCAACATGGCAAAATCTTGTCTCTACAAAAAATACAAAAATTAGCTGGTTGTGGTGGTGTACGCCTGTAGTCCCAGTTACTCAGGAGACTGAGGTGGGAGGATGGATGGAGACCAGGAGGTTGAGGCTGCAGTGAGCAGTGATTGCAACACTGCACTCCAGCCTGGGTGACCGAGCAAGACCCTGTCTCAAAAATATATGTATTATATATAATATATAACTTACATACTATATATAAGTGTGAATAATGTTATACATAGTGACTTAAAAATCATAAATACTCAATTTATGTTTGGTAAATCAATGAGTGTATTACTATACAAGGTTGGATCAAGTGACCCAAGAAGTCTGGAAGATTGCTAATACTCTTTCATTTGTCTAGTATCTACCCCACCCCATGTGGGAGATACATGTTCCTTACTTTAAAAGTAGCTGAAAAGGTAAAGGAAATTCTTGAAACAATGAGAAATTGTAATGAATTGTTTTAACGGGATTTTAGAGAAAGTGAAAAACTCTAAGTTGGTGTAAAACTTTTGTTAACAGAAGAGTTGTGTGAGTTGGTCTTCAAAATATTAAGAAAAACACAATAAAGACGATGTGGCATTTTAGAGAATTAGTACAAAGTTCTGGAGATAAAATTGAGCATGGTATGAGAGACAGTGAGCAGACAGATTAGTTGGAGTGGTATGTTTCCCCTGGGGCAGGAAGAAATGAGGCAGCAAGCACATACAAACTCGACTGGGGAGTTTGAGCTTGATGCAGGGGATGCATGGAAGTTTTGTAGATTATTAAGCAAAGAAAAGCATAATTAACACATGTGTAAGACAGTCACCTAACAGATACACAGTGCATGAAATGGAGCTGTGCTTCTCAAACTGAGATGTACACTCCCCTCGTATTCACACACCAAAATATTCACAGAGCATAAATTGTACTTGAAGATTATGGGAAATGGTAACTTTCTTATAAGTAATTGAAGATATTATTTTATATCAAATATGATAAAACTTTATACTTCAGTGAAATGACATTCTTGTGCTGAGTGGCTGTAGGCTGTGCTCCGGAGGCCTGTCAGCTCTCTTGGGCTCTCTGCGGCCCCCAGGTCCACAGACAGGGAAGTGTGAGAAGCCTGTGAGAGAAGGCTGAAGAGCAGGAGTGTCTTACTGCACACTGAAATCGTGCTGTGCTGGGTGCTGTGCTTAGAACTGGGGGTAGAAAGATGAAGACAGTGCCACCGTGGAGAAGTTATTCGTCTGTTGGGGAGATAGATTTATAAACAGATAACTTCAATAAATTTTTGAAACCAATAAAAACCATTTATGCACATAGTGGGGTCCAGCATAAACTAGAGGACACAACTAGAGAATATAGTGGGAAATGGAATGCTAAAGGAGATGTAAGAAAGGCCAGACTAGGATTTCTAGCCCAGGAGGCCTGAAGAATGAAGCTGCTGCTAAGAAAAGAAGGTAGATACGTGATTATATGCACAAAATGGGTGTTGTTACTAAACATCTTCTGCATAACTGAGAACCCATGCTAGGGAAGAAAACAAGTACATGAAAAAGACAGACACCCACTTAAAGAACTTGTTGTTTACACCCACACTGTCTTACCTCATTCTGGAGCTCTCCCACCTACCACCACCTAAACTCATCCCTATCAATAGTTCTGAGACACAAGTTCTGATATTTTCCAATTTTTAACTTACCCTGCCTTTTGAAAGTAAAACCAGTCAAAAACTTCGGATTAACCTTAAAATAAGAACTCAGAATCCTACAGCTCTTGATAAAAATTAAAATAAAGATCTAACTTGTAAAAATGGAATAGACCTTGATAAGGATGATACTTGAACTATACACATGACTTAGATTTTCGGCTTTTGCAAAGAAAATAGAATTGCAGCAAATTCAAAATACATAGTTTCTACCTTTCTTTTAGAGTAATAGTTTTTATTCATAGTGTTGAATTGAATTGAATACCAGTGGAATACAGATAAATGAAGTCATTAGTTAATAATAGTTTTTAAATAATAATAGTCATAAGTAGCTATTGCTACTAGCTACCATTTTTTGAATGTTTAGTACATGCTTAGACACTTTTATCTCAGTGATTTTCACTGATGGTACAAAAGATAAATTCATTTAATTTTCACACAACCAAATTTGGTGGATATCATTATCATCTATATTTTATAAAGTGAAGCAGGAGAGGTGAAGATGTTTGTCCAAACTTATAATTAGGAAGTGACATAAACTGGATTGTTTAAGAACACCAGAGCCTAAGTACTTAAATACTGTACTTTGCTCAAACAACACTAATAATCACTAAAAATGATCTGTATGTTTCTTAAAAGATGGTTATCTCTGTATGATTCTCTCAGTAGACATCCCCTTGATCAGGAGGGTGAGGGAGAGAAAGAGCAGGTTACAATGAGAGCACCAGGAGTTGAACATACCTTAGGAAAGCCCATGAGAGTATATGATGAACAGGTACATCATCTGGCATGTGTATCTCAGTGAAAAAAAATTCTCAGAATTCTGCCATAGAGAATGGGGTGACGTTCAGATAAATTCAATTCCAAGTAGCATGTGAGAAAACTCAGTGAGCAACCTTTTGTATATTACCAATAAACAGGAGCATAGCATATATTTTCTCAAAAACATGTCACACTTGGCCTTATAAAATGAGTTTGGAAGTATTCCCTCTTCCTCAATTTTCTGAAAGATATTTTATTCATTGTTTAATATAATTCTCCAGTGAAGAAATTGAGCCGGGAATTTTCTTTATGAAAAGGCTGATAATTATGAATTGAATTTCTTTACTAGATATGGAATTATTTAGTTCCCTGTTTTTTCTTGCAAACCTTTTAGTGATTTGTGTCTTTTAAAGAATTTGTCCATTTTATTTGATTGATTGTCAAATTTTTTGGCATAAAATTGTTTGTAACATTTCCTGATTACCCTTTTAATAGCTGTAAGATCTGTGTTGGTATCTCCTTTTTCATCCCTGACTTGGTAATTTAGATTTTCTTTATTTTTTGTCTTGATCATTGTAAGCTAGAGGTTTATTAATTTTATTGATTTTTCAAAGAATCAACTTTTGATTTCATTTATCTACAGTTTATATTTTTTATATTTTGTTGATTTCTGTTCTTATCTTTATTGTTTTCATTCTTCCTTCTACTTACTAGCCATTGAGGAAACAGTTTTCAAGAGGAAGACTAGTGGATTTATTTGCATCTCTGAGGACGGTCCACTAAGCTGGACCTCATACTACTTGGGCTTTAATGATAAAAAAAAAAAAGCTACAGTTCTTTCAAAATAAACTAAGAAATTACTGATAATTTGAGGAACTAGTGTTCTGATAACTTTAAGGGCCATATGAATGTTGTTTTCTGATGACTAAGTGATTTAAAGGTTGACATTAGAGGAAATGAGAAAAATTATTGTGGGAAGGAGGGAGATTTGGGCAATGAGCTTTTAATGAAAATTAGGTCTCTAAATTAACTTTTTTTTCTTAAGTCCTCAAAAAAATGAAAGATTTAAGTTTGGAGAGAGGTATAAATTACACTCCACCAGTCCTGTGTAAGAGGAAAGATCCTAGGTCACTTACACTTGTATTGTTACTTTTAGAATAATTTTACTTGACTAAAACCCTTTTTCCCCAAATTTCTCCACATCATTTTATTGAATGAATCCATTCCTTTTTCATTGATTTAAAATATGGGAGCTAATTTTTTTATTTTTGTGAGTACATTGCAGTTGTATATATTTACAGGGTACATGAGATGTTTTGATACAGGCATGCAATGTGAAATTAGCATATCATGGAAAATGGGGTATTCATCCCTTCAAGCATTTATCCTTTGTGTTACAAACAATCCAATTATATTCTTTAAGTTATTTTTAAATATGCAACTCAGTTATTATTGACTATGGTCACCCTACTGTGCTATCAAATAGTAGGTCTTATTCTATTTTTTTTTTTTTTTATCCATTAACCATCCCCACCTCCCCCTCAACTCCCCACTATCCTTCCAAGCCTCTGGTAACCATATTTCTACTCTCTATGTCAATGACTTCAATTGATTTGATTTTTAGATCCCACAAATAAGTGAGAACATGTGATGTCTATCTTTCTGTCCTGGCTTATTTCACTTAACATAATGATCTTCAGTTCCATTGATGTTGTCACAAATAACTGAATCGCATTTTCTTTTATGCATAAATAGTACACCACTGTATGTATGTACCACATTTTCCTTTCTATTCATCTGTTGATGGACACTTAGATTGCTTCCAAATCTTAGCTATTGTAAACAGTGCTACAACAAACATAGGAGAGCAAATCTCTTCCTCATACTGATTTCCTTTCTGTGGGATGTATACCCAGCAGTAGGATGGCTGGATTATATGGTAGCTCAATTTTTAGTTTTTTGAGGAACCTCCAAACTTTTCTCCATAATGGCTGTACTAATTTACGTTCCCACCAACAGTGTACAAGAGTTCCCTGTTCTCCACATCCAGGCCAGCATTTGTTATTGCCTGTCTTTTGGATATAAGCCATTTTAACTAGGATGAGATGATTGTAGTTTTGATTTGCATTTCTGTGATGATCAGCGGTGTTGAGCACTTCTTCATATGCCTGTTTGCCATTTTATGTCTTCTTTTGAGAAATGTCTATTCAAATCTTTTGCCCATCTTTTCATTGGATTATTGGACTTCTTTCCTGTAGATTTTAGTTCCTTATGTATTCTAGTTATTAATCTCTTATCATAGGGGTAGTTTGCAAATATTTTCTCCCATTCTGTGGATTGTCTCTTCACTTTGTTGGTTGTTTTATATACTGTGCAGAAGCTTTGTAACTTAATGTGATTACATTTGTCCATGTTTGCTTTGGTTGCCTGTGCTTGTGGGTTATGGCTCAATAAGTCTTTGCCCAGTCCAATGTCCTGGAGAGTTGCCCCAATGTTTTCTTTTAGTAGTTTCATAGTTTAAGGTCTTAGATTTAAGTCTTTAATACATTCTTATTTGATTTTTGTATATGGCAAGAGATTTGATATGGTTTGGCTGTGTCCCCATTGAAATCTCATCTTGAATTCCCACATGTTGTGGGAGAAACCCGGTGGGAGGTAATTGAATCATGGGGGCAGGTCTTTCTCATGCTGTTCTCGTGATAGTGAATAAATCTCACGAGATCTGATGGCTTCATAAGGTGGAGTTTCCCTGCACAAGCTCTCTCTCTTTGCCTGCCACCATCCGTGTAAGATGTAACTTGCTCCTCTTTGCCTTCTATTATGATTGTGAGGCTTCCCCAGCCACAAGGAACTGTAAGTTCTTTAAACCTCTTTATTTTGTAAATTGCCCAGTCTCAGGTATGTCCTTATTAGCAGCATGAAAATGGACTAAGAGGTCTAGGTTCATTCTTTTGCATATGGATATCCAGTCTTCCTAGCATCATTTATTGAAGAGACTATCTTTTTCCCCAGTGTATGTTCTTGGAACCTTTGTCAAAAATGAATTCACTGTAGGTGTGTGGATTTATTTCTGGGGTCTCCACTCTGTTCCATTGGTCTGTGTGTCTGTTTTTATGCCAGTACCATGGTGTTTTGGTTACTGCAGCTCTGCAGTATAATTTGAAGTCAGGTAATGTGATTTCTCCAGTTTTATTCTTTTTACTTAGGATAGCTTTGGCTATTCTGGGTCTTTTGCAGTTCCACATAAATTTTTTAGTTGTTTTTCTATTTCTGTGAAGAATGTCATTGGTATTTTGGCAGGGATTGCATTGAATCTGTAGATTGCTTTGGGTGGTATGCACATTTTAACACTATTGATTTTTTTCAAATATAAACATGGAATTTTTTGCATTTTTTATGTCCTCTTCAATTTCTTTCATCAATGTTTTATAGTTTTAATTATAGACATCTTTCAACTCTTTGGTTAATTCCTAGGTATTTAATTTTATGTGTTGCTACTGTAAACGGTATTACTATTTTATTTCTTTTTCACATTGTTCACAGTTGGCATACAGAAATGCTACTGATTTTTGTTTGTTGATTTGTATCCTGCAATTTTACTGAATCTGTTTATCAGTTCTAATAGTTTTCTCGTGGAGTCTTTAGCTTTTTCTAAATATAAGATCATATCATGAGTAAATCAGGATAATTTGACTTCTTCCTTTCCAATTTGGATGCCCTTTATACCTTTCTGATTGCTCTAGCTAGGAATTCTAGTAGTATTAATACATTGAATAACAGTGGTGACAGTGGGCACCCTTGTTGTGTTCCAGATCTTAATGGAAAGGCTTTCAACATTCCCCCATTCAGTATGATACTAGCTGTGGGTCTGTCATATATGGCTTATATTATGTTGAGGTATGTTCATTCTATACCCAGTTTTTTTGAGGGTTTTGTCTTGAAGGGGTGTTGAATTTTATCAAATGCTTTTCAGCATCAATTAAAATGATCATGTGGTTTTTATCCTTAATTCTGTTGATATGATGTATCACATTGATTGATTGGTGTATGTTGAGCCATTCTTGTATCCCAGGGATAAATCTCACTTTGTCATGATGAATGATCTTTCTAATGTATTGTTGAATTTTGTTTGTAGTATTTTGTTGAGGATTTTTTGCATCAATATTCATCAGAGATATTGTCCTGCAGTTTTCCTTTTTTGATGTGTCTTTGTCTGGTTTTGGCATAAGGGTAATACTGGCGTCATAGAATGAGTTTGGAAGTATTCCTTTCTCCTCTACTTTTCAGAATAGTTTGAGTAGAATTGGTATTAGTTCTTCTTTAAATATTTGGTAGAATTCAGCAGTGAAGCCATCAGGTCCACGTCCTGGGCTTTTCTTTACTGGAGGACATTTTATTATGGCTTCAATCTCATTACTCCTATTTTTTTTTTTTTTTTTTTTGAGACAGGGTCTCACTTTTTCACCCAAGGTGGAGTGCAGTGGTGCAATCTTCGCTCACTGCAGCCTTGACCTCCCAGGTTCAAACTATCCTGCTGCCTCAGCCCCCCAAGTAGCTGAGACTACAGGCATGTGCCACCATGCCCAGCTAATTTTTTGTATTTTTTTGTAGAGACGAGGTTTCACCCATGTTACCCAGGCTGGTCTCAAACTCCTGAGCTCAAGCAATCAGCCCTCCTTGGCTTCCCAAAGTGCTAGGATTACAGGCATGAACCACCATCCCTTGCCCATTAATTCTTACTGGTCTGTTTAGGTCTTAGATTTCTTCCTGGTTCAATCTTGGTAGGTTTTATGTAACTAGGAATTTGTCCATTTCTTCTAAATTTTCTAATTTATTGGCATATAGTTGCTCAGTAGCCACTAACGATCCTTTTAAAATCTGCATTATCAGTTGTAATGTCTCCTTTTTAATTTCTGATTTTATTTATTTGGATCTTCTCTCTTCTTTTCTTAGGCTGGTTAAAGGTTTGTCAATTTGTTTAACTTTTCAAAAAAACAACATTTTGTTTCATTGATCCTTTTTTCATTTCAATATTATTTATTTCTGCTCTGATCTTTGTTATTGCTTTTCTTCTACTAATTTTGGGCTTGGTTTGCTCTAGCTTTTCCAGTTCTTTAAGAAGCATCAGGCCAGGCGCGGTGGCTCATACCTGTAATCCCAGCACTTTGGGAGGCTGAGGTGGGCGGATCACGAGGTCAGGAGATCGAGACCATCCTGGCTAACACAGTGAAACCCCGTCTCTACTAAAAATACAAAAAACTAGCCAGGCGTGGTGGCGGGCGCCTGTAGTTCCAGCTACTTCGGAGGCTGAGACAGGAGAATGGCATGAACCCAGGAGGCAGAGCTTGAAGTGAGCCAAGATTGCGCCACTGCACTCTAGCCTGGGTGACAGAGCGAGACTCTGTCTCAAAAAAAAAAAAAAAAAAAAGCATCATTAGATTGTTTATTGAAGTTTTTCATCTTTTTTGATGTCATCACTTATAGCTATAAACTTCCCTCTTAGTACTGCTTTTGCTGTATCCCATAGGTTTTGGTATATTGTGTTTCCATTTATGATTGATTTCAAGAAATTTTTCAATTTCCTTTTTTTTTTTTTTTTTTTTGAGACAGAGTCTCGTTCTGTCGTCAGGCTAGAGTGCTGTGGCGTGATTCTTGGCCCACTGCAACCTCCAACTCCCTGGTTCAAGGGATTCTCCTGCCTCTGCCTCCCGAGTAGCTGGGATTACAGGCATGCACCACCATGCCCGGCTAATTTTTGTATTTTTAGTAGAGTTGGGGTTTCACTATGTTGGCCAGGATGGTCTCTATCTCCTGACCTCGTGACAATTTCCTTCTTGTTTCATTGATCCACTGGTCATTCAGGAGCATATTGTTTGATTTCTACATATTTATATAGTTTCCAAAATTCCTCTCATTATTAATTTCTAGTTTTATTCCATTGTGGTCAGAGAAGATGCTTGATATTATTTCAGGTTTTTAAAAATGTTTTAAGACCTGTTTTGAGACCCAACATATGGTCTATCCTTGAGAATGATCCTTGTGTTGAGAAAAAGAATGTTTATTCTGCAGCTCTTAGATGAAATGCTCTGCAAATATCTATTAAATTCATTTGGTCTACATTATAGATTAAGTCTGATGTTTCTTTGTTGATTTTCTGTCTGGAAGATCTGCCCAATGCTGACAGTGGGGTGTTGAAGTCTCCAGCTATTATTGTATTGACATCCATCTCTCTCTTCAGCTCTCATAATATTTCTTTTATATATCTGGGTGCTCCCATGTTGGGTGCATATATATTTAAAATTGTCATATTCTCTTGCTGAAATTGATCCCTTTATCATTATATAGTGGCTTTCTTTTTCTTTTACAGTTTTTGTCTTGAAATCTATTTTGTCTGATAAAAGTGTAGCAACTCATGCTCTTTTTTGGTTTCCATTGGCATGGAACATCTTTTTCCATCCTTTTATTTTCAGCCTATGTGCGTCTTTATAGGTAAAATACACTTCTTGTGCAATGGACCAATGAGTCTTGTTTTTTCATCCATTCAGGAGTCTATGTGTTTTGATTGGAGAATTTAGTCCATTTACATTCAGTGTTATTATTAGTAAGTAATTACTTACTCCTGACATTTTATGATTTATTTTCTGGTTGTTTTGTTGTCTTCTCTTCTTTCTTTCATTCCTGTCTTCCTCTAGTGAAGATGATTTTCTCTGGTGATATGATTTAGTTTCTTGCTTTTTTTGTGTATTCATTGTATGTTTTTTGGTTTGAGGTTACCATGAGGCTTGTAAATACTACCTTATAATCCATTATTTTAAACTGATAGCAACTTAACACTATTTGCGTAAACAAAAAGAAAGCTAATAAAAACTTGCCTTCATCCCCGCACTTTTTAACTTTTTGTTGTTTCTATTTATCTCTTATTGTACTATATCTTGAAAAGTTGTTGTAGTTATTATTTTTAATTAGTTCATCATTTAGTCTTTTTACTTAGGATAAGAGTAGTTTACACACCAGTTACAGTGTTACAATGTTTTGTGTTTTTCTGTGTACTCACTATTACTAGTAAGTTTTGTACAGTCAGGTGACAATTTATTGCTCATTACTGTCCTTTTCTGTCTGATTGAAGTACTCCCTTTAACATTTCTTCTTGGACAGGTCTAGTGTTGATGAAATCCCTCAGCTTTTGTTTGTCTGGGAAAGTCTTTATTTCCCCTTCATGTTTGAAACATATTTTCTCCAGATATACTATTCTAGGGTAAAAGTTTTTTTTCTTCAGCACTTTAAATATGTCATGCCACTCTCTCCTGGCCTATAAGGTATCCATTGAAAAGTCTGCTGGCAGACATATTGGAGCTCCATTGTATGTTATTTGTTTCTTTTCTCTTGCCACTTTAGGATCCTTTTTTTATCCTTGACCTTTGTGAGTTTTATTATTAAATGCCTTGAGTAGTCTTCTTTGGGTTAAATCTGCTTGGTGTTCTATAACCTTCTTGTACTTGGATATTAATATATTTCTTTAGGTTTGGGAAGTTCTCTGATATTATCTATTTGAACAACCTTTCTACCACTTTCTCTTTCTCTACCTCCTCTTTATAGGCAATAACTTGCTCCTTTGGGGCTGTTTTCTAAATCCTGCAGGTGTGCTTCATTTTTTTTTCTTTTTACCTTTGTCTCCTCTGACTGTGTATTTTCAAATAGCCTGTCTTCATGCTTGCTAATTCCTTCTTCTACTTGATCTATTCTGCTGTTAAAGGACTCTGATGCATTCTTCAGTATCCCAATTGCATTTCTCAGCTCCAGAATTTCTGCTTGATTCTTTTTCATTATTTCAGTCTTTCTGTTAAATTTATCTGATAGAATTCTGAATTCCTTCTCTGTGTTATCTTGAATTTCTTTGAACCCCCTAAACACAGCTATTTTGAATTCTCTGTCTGAAAGGTCACATATCTCTGTTTCTCCAGGATTGTTCCTTGGTGACTTAGTTAGTTCATTTGGTGAGGTCATGCTTTCCTGGAAGGTGTTGATGCTAGTAGATGTTCTTTGGTGTCTGGGCATTGAAGAGTTAGGTATTATTGTAGTCTTCGTTTTTGGTGTCTGGGTTTATTTGTAGCCATTCTTCTTGAGAAGGCTTTCCAGATATTTGAATGGACTTGAGTGTTGTAATCTAAGCTGTTTCTGTGTTAGAGGTCACCTCAAGCTTAGTAAATCTGTGGTTCTTGCAGACTTGTAGAGGTAAGGCCTTGATGGTCTTGGATAAGATCTGAGAGAATTTTCTGGATTACCAGTCAGAGACTCTCATTCTCTTCCCTTACTCTCTCCCAAACATGCAGAGTCTCACCCCATAGCCACCAGTACCCCAGCCATAAGGAGTACTGCTAGATTACCACCAATGTTCCCTTAAGGCCCAAGGTCTCTTATGTCAACTTGTGGTGAATGCTGTCTGGCTTGGCACTCACCCTTCAGGGCAGTGGGATCCCCTCTGTCCCAGGGTAGGTCCAGAAATGCCATCCAAGAGTCAAGTCCTGGATCGGGGACCTCAAGAGGCTGCTTGGTGTTCTACCCCACTGTGGCAGTGTTGGTACCTAAGGTGAAAGACAAAGTCCCCTTTCTTTTTCCTTCTGCTTTTCTCAGGCAGAAACAGTTTTGCCCCATAGCCATCATAGGTGGTAATGGGCTGAGTCTCACCAAAAGCCAGCAAGTCTCAGTCTCACCAAGGCCCCCAGTATAATACCTGGGTATCACTGTTGGTTATTCAGGGACCAAGGGCTTTTCAGTTAGTAGGTGATGAATGCTGGCAGGACCTAGTCCGTTCCTTCAAGGCAGCTGGTTCTTTGTTTCCTTCTGGCCCAGGGTGTATATAGTAATGTCATCTTGGAGCTAGGGCCTGGAACAGAGGGCTCTTGACTCTGACCAGTTCCCTATCCTGTTGTGGCTAAGCTGGTATGCAATATGCAAAACAAAGTCCTCTCCACTCCTCTCTCCTTTCCTCATGTGGAAGGAAGGAGTGTCTTTTGGAGCTGTGAGCTGTGCAGCCTGGGTTAGAAGAGGAGTGATGCCAGCACTCCCTTAGCCACCCAGTTGATGTCTCAGTATTTCACACCCCACCGCCACCCCAGTCTACTGGTTCTGGGCCCAGTTAAGCACTAGGACTCACCTAAAAGTTTCAGTCCTTGGGGTCTAGACACGTTTTCAAGTTTATTTGTAATCCCAGACCACTTCATCCCATGGTAGTGAGGCTTGTGGGAACTCAAGTTCTGATCACTGGGATTGGTGATTCCTCATTGGCTAAGGCTGGTTAAAATGCTTTCCCTGTGGGCAGGCATCAGCTGAATTTGGTCCAGTTTTCCTTTCTACTATAACAGGACAGCATTGAGTTCATTGCCTCACAATTGCTGAACTCTCCCTCCCCCAGTGCTCAGAAATGCCCTTTGTACCACATCACTGCTGCTGGAGGGTGGGAAAAGTGTGGCGTTGGTGATTCAGTACTTTTTTTTTAACCTCTTCACTACCTCTTTCATTGTTATAAAGTTAAAACCAGGTACTGTGAGTGCTCACCTGATTTTTTGTTCTTATGAAGATGCTTTAAGTTGTTACATTGGTGTCCTTGTTGAGGTTATGATCAATGGAGCCTTCTATTCTGTCATCTGCCACCCACCTTCCAATGACTGTTATTTTCATCTGTGCCACACTGGAGGTTCTGGGCAAAATTTATAATAGAATAGACTAGAATTAAGTGGCTCCAAAACAATTCTATAAAACTTTACTTCCCTTAAATAAATGACAGGAAGTTATTCATATTTCCCCCCACTTTTGGAGGAGAACTATGGTGGTGCCCACCTTCACCCTACTTCCCAACTCAAAAAGGTACTAGAAAAGCAAAAGGAGAGCAATTTAAAGAAAAATTCTTGATTTTAAATTTTACAATACTAGATCAAATTTTACATTAAAGGAATGACCTTATCATCTTAAAAAGTTATTGAATTTTATGTAGCATATACATCTCCCTCAAAGTTTTTATAGAAATATTTTTACTTTATGTATGTATGTGTGTGTGTGTGTGTATGTGTGATTGTTTGACAGTCTTTCTCCCCTATCAAATTTCTGTTGTGTGTTCAATGACAGAAGAGACTACTTACCCAAATCTGAGTTTTTCAATAAGGAATCATTGAGTAAATGAATGAATTTTTGGCATGAAATATAATACCTTCCTGTAAATTATTTAAATGTTGACCTGAAACTTTTTTAGTCCTGTTAGTTACTAATCTGACCAATTCAGTTTCAAAGGAACTTATCAAGACTTCAGTTAGAGATTAGACATACACAGAGTTTCATTTCTGACTGGATTTTGTGATTGCGTATGTAATTTTTTTTTCCTGGAGGCTGCAGAAACTGCACAACTTGGCAGATTGGATAACTTCATGTTTCTAAACTGTATAATACACCTGTTATAACAACCAGGGAAAGTTACCAGATTTACATTTCAGAAACACTATCCTTCTAAATAGAAGTCTAAAAAATATTTATCTTAAAACATCTCAAATTCTTTGCTCATTAATTTCATCAGTCAAATGTAAATGCCATTGTAATAAGATTCTTCAGAGTATTCAGAGAAACAAAACCAATAGGGTAAAGTATATAGATAGAAGGCCGGGCACGGTTGCTCTTGCCTATAATCCCTGCACTTTGGGAGGCTGAGGCGGGCGGATCACCTGAGGTCAGGAGTTTGAGACCAGCCTGGCCAACATGGTAAAATTCCATCCCTACTAAAAAGACAAAAAATTAGCCGGGTGTGGTGGTGGCCACCTATAATCCCAGCTACTCGGGAGGCTGAGGCAGGAGAATCACTTGAACCTTGGAGGTGGAGGTTGCAGTGAGCTGAGATCGTGCCATTGCACTCCAGCCTGGGCAACCAGAGTGAAACTTTGTCTCAAAAAAAAAAAGGATTGATAGATATTTATACATATATACACATACATGATATAATATATATTATAAAATGTATGTATATAATGTATATATATGTATATATAATATGTAATATGTAATTATATATAATATAGTGTATTATACTATATTATATGTATTATGTTATACATATGTTTAATATAATGTATATTATAAAATATATATATCATCATCCTATTGGTTTTATTTCTCTGAAAACGCTGAGGAACCCTATTACAGTGGCATTTTCATTGTAATAGAATGGAATTACATTCTGTTCATATAATATATATATGAAGAATAGCTATTAAGTGGCTCCAAAACAATTCTATAAAACTTTACCTTCCTCAAATAAATGACAGGAAGTTATTCATATTTACCTGCACTTTTGGAGGAGAACTATGTTGATGCCCACCTTCAACCTACTTCCCGACTCAAAAAACCACTAGAAAAGCAAAAGGAGTGAAGGATAAGTTTTGAAAGTGAAGGATAAGTTGTTGTATCTGGCCCCTCCTGTATTAGTCCATTCTTATTAAAGAACTACCTGAGACTGGGTAATTTATAAAGAAAAGAGGTTTAATTGGCTTACGGTTCTGCAGGCTGAATGGGAAGCATGGCTGGGGAAGCCTCAGGAAACTTACAATTATGGTGGAAGTCGAAGGGAAAGTAAGTACATCCTATATGGTTGGAGCAGGAGGAAGAGAGTGAAGGGGGAAGTTCTATACAACTTCAAACAACAATATCTCACAAGAACTCACTCATTATGATGAGAACAGCAAGGGGGAAATTAGCCCCCATCATCCAGTCACCTCCTACCAGACCCCTCCTCCAACACTGGGGATTACAATTTGACATGAGATTTGGGTGGTGACACAAATTCAAAGCATATTACCTTCTGCAACCAAAAAAGAGGCACAACACCAAGTGGGCCTCTTTGGATTTTGGAAGCAGCATATTCCTGCATAGCAGTCTGGACCTGTTACAGAGCCTTCTCTTGTTCTGGACCCCACTCAAAACTGTCAGCTTTCTGGGCCACTTAGTAAGTGTACCAGAATAACACACCCAAACATACCCTTCATATATATATTATCTATGAATATATATAGTACATATATTTTATAATATATGTCTATATATTATATATAGGTATATTTTTATATATACATATATTATAAGGTTACATTTATAATATATATACACACATATTTTATATGGAATTGGTCCACCCCTTATGAAGGCTAAGTCCCAAGATCTGTAGTCAACAAGCTGGAGACCCAGGAGAGCCTATGTGTAGTTCCAGTCTAACTTTGAAGGTCTGAAAACCAGGAAAGCCAGTGATGTATGTGCTAGTTCAAAAGCTGGCAGGCTTGAGACCCAAGAAGTGCTAATGTCTCAGTCTGAGTCTGAAGACCAAACGTCCAGGTCCAACAGTCAGGCAGCTGGAGTTCCCTCTTAATCAGGCTTCTTGTTCTATTCAAATATTCAGTTGATTAGATGAGGCCCACCCATGTTAGGGAAGCCAATCTGCTTTACTCAGTCTACAATTCAAATGTTAATCTCATACAGAAACATCTTCCAGACACACCCAAAATAATGTTTGACCAAACATCTGGGCACTCTGTCAAGTTGACATATAAATTAACTGTCACAAGTCTATACCTCGTCATCTTGGTACCCATATGCGTTTCCTTAAACCATCCTTAATCTCCAAATAAAGACAAGAGCAAGGTCGTAATTCCAACTAACATGATACAGCCATCCCGTGTACAACTGAAGATGCACCAACCCCTTCCCCAGAAGAATAGGTAGAGTGCTTGAGTGATGGTTACTTTTCTCCATGATATCCCATAACTTGAATACTAAGATATAAAATTAACAATGCTTAAATAGTATGATATAAAGTTAATAATCTTCTGTTAATAAGGAAATCAGAAAAGAAAGAAAACTAAGATTATACATACACACACACACATATTCATAACAAAATAAGGAGGAAATATTCAGAACTACAGTGCTCATTTTTCTAACTGGTCACATGGTCATACCTGGTATTTATTACCACTTCTTTTACTATTCATTCTGTATACCCTCTGCCTTCAGCAGGCACTTCAGCTGGTCATGGTTCTTTACCTGGTGGAGCAACACACATCTTCAGTTCCTGAAGGGTCTAGGCCATATGTTAGTCCTTTTTGGATTGGGTTGTTGTAGTTTTCCATTGACCTTAATCATAGGGTATGATAATACTAAGAGATACCCTAAAGGATCTCCTGTGTTCCAGAAATACTCTTCCTTATCTTCACTGTGAAGTAGAAGTTCAATTTTCCTCTGGTGGTAAGGATTAATCACCCCAGTCAGTGCAGTAACTCTCTTCTTTGCCTGTTGATTCAAAGGAACACAAAGTGGCCAAGCGGCAGTTTTAACTTCCAATTCAATGGAAGATTGAACTGAAAGAAGAAAAGATAACCATATCATTGTTGTGTCTCCTGATAGAAGCATTTCTCCCTTGAAACTAAATCCTCTAGGGCAGCAGCGTTTAAGGTCACAGGAACAAGAAAGAAAAGTTTTTGCTAAGGGAGCAGTAGGGGTAATAGCCATTCCCATTTCCACCCTGTGATTCTTGAACCTGTAAATCCTGGCTATGGGAGAAGTAGCACCATATATTGGACAACAGTTCTGAACATATATAACCCCCTGGATGACCATGATCCAACCCTGCAAGGTATTGCCACATAGCTAATGCTGTAACTGAGATTTCAAATGGTCATTACAATGTTTTATCAAGCCAGCTGCTTCGGGATGGTAAGAACATGGTAAGACCAATTAATTCATAAGCATGAGCTCATTGCCAACTTCCTTTGCTGTGAAGTGAGTTCCTTGATCAGAGGTAATGTTGTGTGGAATAACATGACAGTGAATAAAGCATCCTCTAATTCCACAAATGGTAGTTCTGACAGAAGCAATTTATGCAGGGGAGGAAAGTCCGTAGCCATAGTTGTTGTCTATTCCAGTAAGATCAAAATACTTCCTCTTTCATGATGGAAGTGTCCAGTGTAATCAACCTTCCACCTTGTAGGTGGCTGATCACCCCAGGGAATGGTACCAAATTGGGAACTCATTGTTGGTCTCTGTTGCTGGCAGATTGACCATTCAGAAGTAGTTACAACCAGGTTAGACATGGTGAGTGGAAGTCTATGTTGTTGAGCTCATACATAACCTTCATCCCTGCCACCATGAGCACTTTGTTCATGAGCCTATTGGGTGAAGACAGGGGTGACTGGGAAATGAGGCTGACTGGTATCCACACACACAAAAAAATCATCTACTTGATTCTTAAAATACTCCTCTGCTGAGATCATTCTTTGGTAAGCATTCACATGGGACACAAAAATCTTCACATTTTTTTGTCCATTTGGGGAGGTCTATCCACATACCTCTTTCCCAGATTTCCTTGTCACCAATTTTTCAATCATTTTCCTTTCTAGTCCCTGACCATTCAGCTGACCATTAGCCACAGTCCATGTATCAGTCTATAGTTATATGTCTGGCCATATAAGCACAGTGAACAAGTAGTTGCAGAGAACTCCCCTTTTTGAGAAATGGCTTTTGGCTTACTACTAGACCTTAGTAGAGACTGAACACTTAACCATATGCTATCAAGTTCTAGTTACCATGTGACCTGACTTTCCATCATGAACTTGGTGCTATTTGACTCACCAAGCCATAAAGTTGGGCATGCATAGCAGCATTCTATTATCAAATGAAAGTGGCATATACCTGAGTAGGTCCGAGCAGTTCCTGAAGGCACAGCAAGTTACCTGAAGAAGTGGCCCAAATGCCCATGGTCCCTGTTCCTGCTACACTGCCTTCTATCATCCAATCTGCACCCAGTGGCCTCATGGGGAGTACCCTATGATCAGTTGGCAGAGAATGAGAAGACTAGTGAAATTGAATGCCTACAAAATTGTTACTTAATCCATATAAGTACAATAGAAAACTTCTAAGTCAAGTGAACAAAAGCTTAACCTGAACTATGAAAATGGAAAGTCGTGGTCCCTCAATCATTTCCCAGACCTCGTCCTCTTTTTTGTTGTTGTTGAGACAGTCTTGCTGTGTCACCCAGGCTGCAGTGCAGTGGTGCAATATCTGCTCACTGCAACTTCTGCTTACTTGGAGGATTTCCTTTCATTGCTGTCCTTCAGGGTGTCCCAGAAATGGGCTGTAGTGCTGCAGCTGTCTGCTTTTGGGTGTTGCCTGCATATGGTGCAGAACCCTCTAGAAACCAAGCACTCGTCTTCTCATTCTCTCTCAACTGATCATAGAGTACTCCCCATGAGGCCATGGGTGCAGGTTGGATGATAGAAGGCAGTGTAGCAGGAACAGGGACCATGGGCATTTGGGCCATTTCTTCACATAACTTGCCGTGCCTTCAGGACCTGCTTGGACCCACTCAGGTATATGCCACTTTCATTTGATAATAGAATGCTGCTATGCATGCCCAACTTTATGGCTTGGTGAGTCAAATAGTACCAAGTTCATGATGGGACGCTCAGGTCACATGATAACTTGAACTTGATAGCATATGGTTAAGTGTTCAGTCTCTACTAAGGCCCAGTAGTAAGCCAAAAATCATTTCTCAAAAAAAGGGAGTAGTTCTCTGAAGATGATAGCAGGGCTTTGCTACAAAATCCTAAAGGTCTGTGCTACAATTCACTAATGGGAGCCTGCCAAAGGCTCCAAACCAGCATCCCTATCTGCTGCTGCCACTTGAAACACCATGGAATCTGGTGGCCCAAGTGGCAAAGAAGTTTGCGTAGCAGCCTGGACCTGTTGCAGAGCCTTCTCTTGTTCCAGCCCCTACTCGAAACTAATCAGCTTTCTTGTTCACTTAGTAAATGGGCCAGAATAACACACCCAAATGAGGAATATGTTATCTCCAAAATCCAGAGGCCCACCAGGTGTTGTGTCTTAGAAATAATATCTTGGCATGCCCCACATCACTAGATCCCTTGAAATTTAACTGAGGTAGAAGGCCCCTGGATTTTTGTTGGATTTATTTTCCACCCTCTGACATGCAAATGTCTCACCAATAAATCTAGAGTAGTTGCAACTTTTTGCTCACTAGGCCCCATTCACATAATGTAGTCAGTGTAATGGATCAGTGTGATATCTTGCCAAAGGGAAAGGTGATCAAGATCTTTTAAGCTAAATCATGATATAGTGCTTGACATTTGATATATCCCTGAGCTCGTATGGTGAAGGTTGGTCTTGACAGCTGAAAGAAAATGGCTTTTTGTGGGCCTTATTGACAGGCTAGAGAAAACGGCATTTGCCAGATTGACAGCTGCCTACTGTGTATCAGGGAATGTATTAATTTGCTCAAGCAATAAAACCACATCCTGTATAGCAACTGAAATTGGAGTTACCACATGGTTAAGCTTACAATAATCCACTTTCATTCTTCAAGATTCATCTGTCTTCTGCACAGGCCAAATAGGCAAGTTGAATGGGGATGTGGGAATCACCACCCCTGTATCTTTCAAGTCTTTGATAGTGGCAAAAACTAATCTCTGTGATTCCCTCCAGAAATGCAGTATTGCTTTTGGGATATATATAAATATATACGTATATTAGGTAGGGGCAGTTCTGTGGCTCCCACATGGCCTTTCCCATCATAATAACCCTCACTTCACAGGTCAGGGAACCAATGTGGGGCTCTGCAAGCTTCTGAGTATATCTGTTCCAATTATGCATTCCAGGACTGGGGAAATAACCACAGGATGGGTTTGGAAACCCACTGAGTCCACTGTGAGACAGACCTGAACTAAAACTCCACTGATAGCTGGACCCAGTGGCTCACGTCTGTATTCCCAACACTTTGGGAGTCAGGGTGGGTGGATCACTTGAGGCCAGGAGTTCAAGACCAGTCTGGCCAGCATAGTGAAACCCTGTCCCTGCTAAAAATGCAAAAATTAGCTGGGCAGTGGTGCATACCTGTAATCTCAGCTACTCAGGAGACTGAGGTTTGAGAATCGCTTGAATCCAGTGGGCAGAAGTTGCAATGAGCAGAGATTGCACCACTACACTGCAGTCTGGGTGACACAGCGAGACTGTCTCAACAACAAAAAAGAGGCTCAGGTCTGGGAAATGATTGAGGAACTATGACTCTCCATTTTTATAATTCAAGTTAGGCTTTTGTTCACTTGACCTAGAAGTTTTCTATTGTACTTACGTAGATCAAGTAACAATTTAGTAGGCATTCAATTTCCCTTCTAAGAACACCCTGACCAACTAGCCAATGTCATAGGTCTACATAAGTCAGACTGTTATGACTGCTGCTTTGGCTCTGCTGTCCATTGTGGAAATCATTCCCACACTAATGGTTGAGTGCTCCCACTTGGCGCCTAACACCCCAGGATCTGATTAGTCCCATTGCATTTAGGTTTTCCAGTTCAGTGACTGCAGTTCCCGCTGTGAGGTCTGGCCTACAGAGAAGAGCAATCACAGATCTCTTAAGTATGCCAAATCTGCCCTCATAAATTTACTTCTAGTAGTTGTGGTGAAAGCTATGATACTCTCCCAGTGGAAGTGAATAGGTCTTAAATGACAAATCCACTCCAACAATTCAATCTCCCTAAACCTTTGAATCCCTTCCTCTACAATAAACCAAGTCAGGTCCAGAATTTCCAACTTGCTCAACTGTGAACCAGTTGTGTTTCAGCCAACCAACCAAATTATTAGAGCCCTTTCTAACTTCGTGAGCTGCAACTTCCTGCTCTGCAAACAAAGATCATGCAAAATCTCATCTTACTGAGCCTGTATCAATAAATTCAGCTCAACCAAACTTTATGTTCCTTCAACCATTATCTCATACTCTTAATATCCGTTCCCACACATGTTCTTAGATTTGTATCTGTATAAGTTAGAAAACCAAATAGTTCTTTTGAAGTGTAATATACTTCCTTATGGGTCATACTTTCTGCATCTTTGGGGGCCTGCTGGAGCTTGAGTCTAGTTATAGGTCTAGAAGCAAAGAGGAATCATGAGGTGGATCCTGAGGAGACTCAGCATTGTCTTAACAACTGTTTCAGGGGGTGCCATCATAATTTCCTCAGACAGTGCAGGGCTAATCCCCTCAGATAGGAATATAGAGGCTGCTCCTGCTTGGGGTGGAGAGGCTGTGCTATTGCAAGTGGGAAGGACTCTTCCACTGGCAAAAATATTTACCATAATTTAGGAGCTCAGAATACCCAGCTTCATAAAGGTCTTCCCACACATACCCATTTCAACTTTCAGGATCCAGTTTTTTCCCAATCAATGCACTTACTTTAACAATAGTCACCCTGTGAGGCTAGAAGTTCAACTTGCATTGCAGTTCTGCTAGTCACAGGATGAGATTCCACATTTGATTTTCAGCAATCTCAGCACTGTAGTTATAGGAGATAAGGGTCTGCTTGAGGGCATAGAAGCTTTCAGGTTATTTATGTAGTGCTTGACTTGGAATTCAAATCCCTGAGCTCATACTTTTCTTTCTACACTTTGTCCTGAAATAACAAGAGTGATCAGACAATTTCATTATATTCATTAGTTTGCCAAAAATATTTGAAAATATCATATACACAGTCAGATTCTTGCTTCTTATAAGTGATTAATTGGGAGTATCCAATGGTGATATTTTGCATATCTCTACTGCCAGATCATACCATGGACTATCAATGCTCTCCTTACTACTAGAAATAGAGTAATTAGCATCTTTAAATCTAAGCAGACAATAGAACAAATTCTTGAATCCCCGGAACCAATTCAGAATACTCACTCTTAAAATTCTTTTCCTCTAGAACCACTCTCAGTACCAAAACCTGTATTTGTCAGAGTTCTCTAAAGAAATAGAACCAATAGGATCTGTGCGTGTGTAAACATATTATGGAGAGAGAGAGAGACAAAAATTTATTAAAAGGAATTGGGTCCCATGAAGGCCATGAAGGATGAAGAGTCCCAAGATCTGCAGTTGGTAAGCTGGAGACGCAGGAGAGCTGATGTGTGAGTTCCAGTTCAAGAAACCAAAACAGCACTATTTCAGCCCAAGTTCAAAAGCTGAAAAAGACCAATGTCTGGCTCAAACAATCAGATAGGAGGAGCTCTCTCTCATTCAGGCTTTTTGTTCTATTCGGGTCTTCGATTGATTGAATGAAGCCCACCTATACTAGGGAGCCAATCTACTTTACTCTCTCTACCAATTCAAATGCTAATCTCTTTCAGAAATACCCTCACAGACACACCTAGAATAATATTTGACCAAATGTCTGGGCACCCTGAGGCACAGTCAAGTTGACACATAAAATTAACCGTCATGGCCATTTCATTATTTTCACAAATATTTTCTATATTTGTAGAATAGATTTGATTCAAGTTCTCATTATTTCTCACCTAAATTAATGGAATAGACTTACAAGTAATCCCATGACCTCCAACTTCTCCTTTCTTGCATTCATCTCCTAAACTACCACCAATAGTACAGATTAATAGTGTTTTTCACCCTTACCCTTTCTTCTGAACACTGTAGAAATGATTCTCATAGGCCTTGGGATCCAGCCTAATCTCAGTAGCATAGCCACAAGTATGCCTTCTTATCATCTTCCTCTCCACCTCTCCGCATCAGGAATGCCTGCTTATCATTCTAATGCTAAACCAGTGCAACACAATATAGTAACTATTAAGTTGAACTATATGAAACTGCCATTTTTGTAAGTAAAAAAAAAAGGCAAATTGCTAGAACATGATTCATTTTAACCCAATAATGTAAAAGAAGAAATGTAACTTGTCAAGAGCAGAGCCCTTGTTTCATTCATCTCAGTTTACCTAGTAGCTAGCATGATTTTTTGCACACTATAGGCCTTAAGGAAATGTTTACTGAATCAATAAATCACTTATATATTAAAGAAAAAGAAAAAGCATTAGAATATGTCATAAATTTTCATTATCTTCAGTTTTGCTCTGACTTTACACAAATGACTTTATCTTTCATTTTTTAGAATTATATTCAAAGATTCAAGTTAAATATCAATTATTCTTTGAATTAAGAAGTATTTTTAGTTTTATCTAGACATTCAAAAATGTTTTTAATCTGAATGGAGAAGAAATAGACAATACATTTAACTCAAGCCACATTTTACTTCACTTGAAAAGTATTCCACCACTTGTGGCCAAAAACTCCCTTCTGAAAATTAGCAATTTGGGGTTGTTGGGATTTTTGGGTGACTCCTTTTCTGGCTTCAGAAAAATGCTAAAAATATAACCTATTGAACTCATGGGAAAAGTGAGCCACCATGATCAGATAGAGCCTGTTCAATCCATGAATGCACTGGAAACATTTTTGAATTTGACAGGAAATAGAAAGTTTTGCAGTGGAGGATCTCTCAGGGCTAATTATAATCTTACATAATTGAAGGGCTAGCAGGGAGTTTAAGAGATCAATTTATCTACTCTGTGTTTTCCAGGAGTATAATGTTTAAACCATACTCAACAAGTAAGAATCCATATTATGTTATTTTGTATTTATTTATTTTTAAAGACCTTAACTGGCTTTATTTACAGTTCTACAAGCAGGCAACACTTCATTCTATAAAACAAAATGAGTGTTCCCTATCCTATTTTAAAGAAATCTGTAAAACAGTGGGAATTTTAAATCATAAAGCCTCTTGTGGATTTAAATAAACAGCATATCTCCCATAGGGATTGTCAGTACTGAAATTATCTAACACATGAAGTAGTGAAAATCAGACTCATTTTAAAGATTTGTGTATGTACAGAACTACTCTTAATTCCTCCCTACCACTGTTTTGGGATAAATTCAGCATACCACAATGCGGCATAGGTAGAACTTGGCACACTTCTGTCATGCAGACTATGATGGCATACCTGTGGATCTCTCATGAGCAAAGTTTCTCAACAGAGTACATACTGGCATTTTGAGTGAGACAATTTATTGTGCAGTGTTCCTGGCTCCATCCCACTAAATGCTAGCAGTGCCCCCTAGTTACTGTGACAACCAAAAAAGGCTCATCACCCATCTCCAAATATTACTGGGCAGAGTGGTATCACCCCAGCTTGAGAATCACTGCACTAGTCTATGGACTTGTTATGAATGGTCAATACTATTTGTAGGCATACATTTATTTATTTACACATGGAAATATATAAACAGTTTATTCAATGTAGTATACAAATAAGGTAACAGCTTTTATTTTTCAGAGATTTACTCAGTCCAATGGGGATCTTTTCATCCCACTGGGTTTCTATTCAAGCATAGTGTGACCCAGTTTGAAGGAAAGTGCTTGTCCACTGTTCGGGGATGCTCATGCTGGTCCAGGGCCAGCTCTGCCACTCTGTCTCCTCTTGCTGAGCCACAGTTTACAATGGACAAAGAAAGTAAAGCATCTGGCCTGTGACCCATTAATTTCCTTTACCAAGGGCCAACCTCTGAGAGAAAGAAAAGAGGGCAAGTGCCCCAATCTGATTTTCTTATCAATTGGACCTCTAAGTAAATAGATGAATGATGTTTGTTAGCAGGAAGAGATTTCATCTGTTGAATACCACTGACTTAGTGTAAATAAATCTACGATATATGGCGACATAAGGCACAGCTCCCTGGAAAATGTCATTCTTTGAGATATAAAATGGAGATATTGTATGACTCAAATGCTCCTCCTTCTGCGTGAGAAAAAAAAAACCTTTAAATGTCACTAGAAGATCCTCATTTATTATTCTGGGCCAGAGAGTAAATGTTTGACATGAAAAGATAGGATCCAAGGAACCACCCTCAATGTCTCAGATCCCTCTTTGCTTCATTTGAGTCTCTTGATTGCCTGTATCTTGAAATTTTTGTAAAAGCTCAATGTTGGGTAAAGGTTTGGATTTAGGTGAGTCTGACTTGACTAGCTAATTTTTTGTGTTATCTCATTCCCCAAACCCTCTTTTGTCTCTGCTGTAAGAGCCCAAAGGTACTCTGGCACTAGTCCCAAGACTATGCTCATAGCAATCCTCACTCATGACCATCCTCGTGAGCCTTTCCTTGACCCCAGAGAACCATCCTAGACTTTACCTTTCTCAAAATAATTTCATTTCAAAGGCCTTAATTCCTTTCCCTATCTCCTGGTCTGGATTTGTCCCAAAGGCTTTGAGCTCTTTAAAAACTTGATCCATTACAAAAAAAAAAAAAAAAATGAGAGTAGACCGGATTCAATACTAGTCACAGTGGGGTTTGCAGAGATGTTTCAGTGAGCTGAAATACATGAAAAATTACTTAAGATAATTGCTAATTATAAAAAAGCCATGCAGGTATTTGGCAATACTCTCATTTTGAAATGAGATAAACTGAGAATATTTTAAATATATTATAGATAAGTTAACTTCCTTTTAAGCCAGGAAAGTAAAATTATAATAAATTCTGATTTTGATATAAATAAAATGTGGAAAATTCAAACAAACAAACATAATCTACCTCCTCTCCAGTGACAGGGGTCTTAGGAAATGATAGCACTGATGGAGTAAGTCATCATCATCATCAAAAAATAATAATGCCTTTTTATATTCTAACCCATGATAACTGGTGTCTATGCTTGAGAGATAATAGAGTATAGTGAGTGACAGCAAAGGCTTTAGAGCCAGACTCCTTAGGTTTAAATCCCAGCTTGCCCACTTGCTGCCCAAGATATTGGGCAGGTTATTTGGCCCTTTAAGTCTTAATTTTTTTCATCTACAAATTGGGAAGAATAATAATATGTACTTCATAGGATTTGTTTAAGAAATGAATTAATACAGGTAAATAGCATAAAATGGTATTTATGGTACCTGGGTGTATTTGGGAGATTATAAGTCATCAATAGTTATTGACTATAAGTATTATTTGCATAATTAAGATGGTCAGAAAAAAATAAGCATATTTCCTGAAACTAAGAGAAACTAGTTTCTCTTTTAAAAAAGCATAGTGTTAGTGTATCTACCTATCTATGTAATTATTGTGTAACTGGATGATACACATGGTATACTGGAAAACATATGAGCAATAGAGACTTCAGAAGATGTTGGTTTAAATTCTCTCTCTCCTAAATGTCTTCTTAAAATGGGTACATCTATACAAACCTACCTCGCAGGAGGACTGTTGTGCAGATTAAATATCTTGTTTGTAAAATGTTTTGTACAGTGCTTGTCCTTTGCGAGTCCTTCACAAATAGTTCCTATTGCTAGTACTAGGACTCAGCATAGCATTCAACACATGCTTGAGAAAGAGTAAATAACGAATGTGTAGTACTATGCAGTCAATTTGTGAAGTGACAAGCATGACTCTACAGGGAAGGCCACATTTCTTACACTGTTCCTACAAAAGCTGGATATTCACAAATCAAGAATGTGAAAGTAGATATTCCTTCATTTGAAGGGAGAGAGAACTGTATAATGGATAACAGACTGAGCTAATGCTCTGAATCACCTAGGAACCTTCTAAAAGTACAGATTCTGGAGCTCCAAGTCAGACCTAGAAAATCAGTATCTCCGGGGGTGGGGAGAAGAGAAAAGGAATCTTGTATTTTTAAAAAGCAACAAAAAACAGCCTCAGGTGATTCCCATGATAAGTCAGTGAGATGACCTCTCTATTCCCTTCAAGATTTAAATTCTATGATTCTAATCACACCTTCTAAGTGAGTCAGAGCCCAGAATTATCAGGCAAAATGAGGTAATTTGTGGTTTCCTGTCTTTCTGATTATGGTAGAGGGAAGTGTCACATAATGGGCATTGTCTAAGTTGCTGTAACAGAAAAGTGAAAAATTGTCTGATTTATAAACCCTTCAGTTTTAAATCCCTAATATTCTGACTAATAAAATTAGCAAAGCAGACTGCATTTCGACACTGTAGATATATTCTGCGCCATAAAATAAATAAATAAATAACCCTGACAAAAAGAAAAAAACACCCAGGGAATACCCAAACAAGCTGCAGACATGGGAGTGATGGTGAATTAAGCTGAAGGTAATAACAGACAGGGAGACACCTCATTTTACCTTGCAGTTGAACAACTGCAGTCTTGAGGCTGAATCAATAAAGAAAAAGAATAAGTCCTCAGGGGACTGGAGTGATATTCTATACAGAATTACAGGGCAGGATTGCTGTCTGAAACCCATATGGTCAAGAGAAATGTTGATAAATTAGAGTTCACAAACATAGTTGATTCGATCAAAGAAAGAAATCTCATACCAGTTTTGCAACATGTCACAGACTGATGCAGCAGATTGTGACCCCCATGATAAATCACTCTTCTCTGGAGTAAGAGCAAACTTTTATATTTCCAGCACCAGGTCTGGCTTCCAGAAAGAAACTAAGGTTTTTTTATGGCTGTCAGTTTCCAGCAAGCAGATGAATTCTCAGTGAAAGTCTCATTCTGGGAAGGAAGCAGCAAGGGTTGCCTTTCACTCCTGAATTGCTACAGGCAGAACTAAGTCATGGACAATTGATGACGCCACTCTCAGAAACATTTGCCTACTGCATATACATACATGGAGTCAGTGCCTTTGCACTTGGGGTGGGCTGATCACACTGCACTAATCTTGGAAATAAACAGGTACCCTGAAGGCCTCAAATCTTAGCAAAACATTGGAACCATACTATGCTTCCAACTAGGTGTGTAATTTTTAAAAAATTTCTCATTGATGTGTACAATCTTAGGTTCACATCGACAATGGTGTTAGCACACTTTGGAGAGGGCAAGTAACCATGTAGCTCTCTCTAAGACCCTGATCAGAAAAAGCCAATCAGTCACAAGATGGAGAGGGGTGTGATTCTTGAGTGTCTTACTCTGGCTAGAACTCTCATTAAGGGTTTTCTGGCTTTACAACTGATAGGGACAGGAGTCAGGGAAATTCTGTGCAGAAGAGGGTGGGTCCCTGGCAAACGCCCCACCCTCGAGCCTGGAACCGCTGTCTGAAGTTAGAACTTTGCATCCCTGTTTTCCCACTTGAATCTTGTCTTTTCCAAAACCACCCATAGCCCACGCCACCCCTAATCTGTGCCCATAAAAACCCCAGCAGAGGGAGGAGAGGAAGAGAATAGGAGAAGCCGCTAGCGGAGGGAGGTGAGAAAGAAAAGGGGAGAAGGAGCTGGCCGTCAGGGACTACAGTTTGATGTTGGAAAGAAGCAGCTTGTCTTCAGAGGGACAGCTTGATGGTATGGCTTTGGAGAGAAGTCCTGCCATCCCTGGGGAAGATCACCTTCCTGCTCTATCCCCTGTCCAGCTCCCCTTCTCACTGAGAGCCACTTTCATCAGCAATAAATTCCTCCACATTCACCACCCTTCAATTCGTTCATGACACCTGATTTTTCCTGGACGTTGAACATGAGCTTGGGTCTCATGGGTGCAGATGAAAAGGCTGTCACACTGACCCTCCACTGAGCTATTAACACTTAAGCCATCCGTGGATGGCAAAGCTGAAAGAGCGCTGACTGTAACACTTCTTCTGGGGCTTCAGGGGTTGTGAGTACTCCCCCATAGATGCTGCTGTGGGGCCCACATGGAGTTTTGCTCCTGCTAGCACCCAAAAGCACTCACCCCAGCTCCTGAACCCACTCACCTGCATGCTCCCTCCCACAAGGGGTTGAGTGCAATGGGGTCCAGTGAATGGAGTTTGCCCCTGCCAGCACTGAAGCAGCTGGCTAGCTCCAGCACCTGCACTCCACTTCCCACCCATGAAGGGGTCAAGGAACATTTCCTGCTTCACAACCATACACCATCTCGTAACTAGAAAACCCTGTCCTGTCACTTGCTAATCTGCATCATGATGAAGCTTATCAGGGTTGATAAAGTTGAGGTCCGAGGCTAACATTGACTTCTCTACAGGAAAGAGTTCTCAAAAGCTCTATAGCCTGTCCTGTTTTTAACTCTCTGAAATGTACTAACCTATTCACCCCTTGCATAGATTACACAGAAAAGGAAATGATCAAGTTTTATAACTATTTTTAACTTTCTGATTCATTCTTGGCCTCAGAGATCTGTGGGTGTTTACTACAGCTTAGCAACTTTCTTTCATAAAGAAATGCCCAGTAAACCTCTTTTTGGACCACAGCCATGTAAAAATGGTCTCATAGTCCTGTTTTGTGTAAGTGCTCTTGATTGCCTTCAAAGAAGGTGAGGACCCAGCAAAGAGAAAATCCTCTTGGGAGCTAACTAACCATCTTGAGAGCCTGTCAAGAACAGGATTCTTGATTACTAACACATATTTTCAGTTACAACTCCTAGATTCAGGGCTGTATTTAAAGAGGCCCACTTAACGGAAGAAGTTAAGTCTAGCTGTAGAGTCATTTGGGGGAAAACATACAAGGCTGTTTTCCTTCCCCGAATGTCAACTCTGGCAACAAGGGAAGAGAGTAAACCTGGCTTCCTCAGAGACCTATCTTTGGAACAAGGCATTCAGTTTTAAAGTAGTCCCAAAGTGCTTGAATCAGCACTTCTAGCAGTATTTCCTCTCTATGAATTTAAGACAGATTGTCTTCTAGGCTTTTCTCACTTTCTCTTTCTCTCTCACACTTACACTGTAACTCCTTGTTTCCCTGAATTTCTCTTATCTGCTTTTTACCCTCATTCCCTCTTTCTCATCCTTTAAGAACTTCTCAAACAGGGTGTGGATAGGGATCGTGGAAAAAACATGCTTATCTGACTTAAAAAACTCTATAGGAAACAGCCAGATAAAGTCAAGGATTTCTGTTTGTTTTGTAAATTCAAAACCTCTAAAAACCTCTAAACATGTTAGAGATCATGGTTATGAGATCCTAGTTAGATCAGCTGCACTACCCAAAAATTGTCCTGACAAACTTTTTTGTCTTTTTTCAGAGATAGAGTTTCTCTCTGTTGCCCAGGCTGGTGTGTAGTGGCATGATCATAGCTCACTGCAGCCTCTAACTCCTGGCCTCCCAAAGTAGCTGCAACTACAGGCACATGCCACCATGCCTGACTAAGTTTTTTATTTTTTGTAGTGATGGAGTCTCACTATGTTGCCCAGGTGGGTCTCAAATTCCTGGCATCAAGCAATCCTCCTGCCTTAGCCTCCCAAAGTACTAGAATTTCAGGTATGAGCCACTATGCCAGGCCTTCTAATAAATTCTTTGATGTTGTCTTCCAAAGTCTGCTTTTGGTTTGAGATCACTTTGGGGAAGTGCTTGGAGACCAGCTGGCATTATCTAAATGCCTAAATGTCTAAATAGGAGGCCTGGCAGATTGAATAGTAAAGACCTTGGCAGGCAAGAGAGTCCCCAAGGTGGTGTTCCATGAACCTGGAAAATCCAATCTTTTTCATACAAATAAAAGAAGAATTGGTTGAAAACAATCTATTAGATTTCCCTAGCATACATGAGAATTTCAGTGAAAGTTGAGTTTTGGCTGTTGGCAAATGGTACAGAATTCTCGGTTTCAAAACAAGAATCCTAAAATGGCTTGTGACATGATTTACTGCCTGAGGAATAGATTGTGTCTTTCAGTGTTTGAATTATAACATGGCATTGGACTGACTGACCCAGGTCTTGGGCCCTGCTAACATGGATAACACTCTCTGCTTTTGTCTCACCCTCCCCACCCTCAGCAGTTGTTTTTGCATCCACTTAAAGCAAGAGAATTTTGAAGAGAGGAGAGAGAAGTGTTCTAGGGTCTGGGCCACAGCAGGAGAAAGAAATTGTGGCAAATGGAGTGATGGTAGAAGATCTGTTCCCTGCCTGGTTCCTTGAACTAGGTTCAAACCTAGGTATTGAAGTAGAGATGGCCCTTGACCTCTGTTACCCTTTGGACTGAGAGAGAAGAGAAGCTTGGGGTCAAAAGGAAATGTTTTTTGGATAGGCTGAGTGACAAAATGTGTACCAAGTTATAGAGAAGCCTGGTCCCCTTCTCAAGGCCAGTATGGCTGTGGTTCCCTGAGGATCATCAGCTTTGGGAGCACCAGAGAAAGAGAAGCACCCCTGGCATAGACCTTTATGTTTTTCTGAGAGGCTGTAGTGATGCTCCTTCCAGTGGCCCTCTAGACTGTAGAAAAGTGTGATAGAGCCAAGACAGACACATGTGAAGTACACCCTTTGCACTGATACAATTAACTGTGAAAGATTTTTAGGGCAAGTTGAAACCCTGCAATAAAAAATGAGAATGTAGTAATTTGGAAATTTCTGATGTAGCCTGATACATGCCTGTTAGGTAGTTACTGAGAAAGTAACTATCTGAGAGGGTGTCCCACGTATTGAGTCCAGGGAATCCTTCACACATTCCAAACCCTATAATGAGCCTTCACCGAAGCAAGTTCAGAGCACTCCTATGGATTTCATTTCAAAGACCAGGAAGAAGCCCAAGAATAACTTAATGAGATTTAAAATATTCATTCATTCATTCAGTATACCTTCACTGAGCACATACTGTGTATATAAGGCTCAATGGTAGACTTTGGGGGAAATAGAAAGATGTTTACATTTTACTTCCTGCTCTTAAGGAGTCTTTAATAAGGACGTAAGACATATATACACTTTAACACAGGTAAAAGTAGTGTTATTACAAATGTTCTTTTTTTAAGACTGGGAGGTGCTACAGAATATTATTGATTTGAAGAGAATGTCAATGTAGAAGGAATGATTAAAGAGCCAAGACATAGAGAATTTTTTTGAGAAAATGATGTTCCTGAAGTGAAATGTGGTGGGATCAACTTTGCAGAGGGCTTAGGAAAGAGACATTAAATGAAAGATGAGTTTGGGTGGTGAGAAATACTGAGAAAATGTAACTTGAAAAAAGAAAATATAAGAGATTTATATTGAGTGGCCTTGGTTTATGTTAAATTGTATGGGAAACTATTCAGTGAATATTCAGCAGTGATTTGGGGGCTTGATTGAGGAAACATTTAGAATAAGTATCCTTAGACCTGTAATGGGGCAACCATTAAAGAGAAAGCAAATTTAAAAATTAGCTGGATGTAGTGCATGTCTTATAGTCCTAGCTACTAGGGAGGCTGAGACGGGAGGATGGCTTGAGCCTAGGAGTTTAAGGCTGCGGTGAGCTATGGTTATACACTGCACTCCAGCCTGGGCAACAGAGCAAGACTGGCCTCAGGAAAAAAAAAAAAAGATTTAATTTAATTTAAAAAATAAGAATAAAGAGAGAGCATTGTCGAGTAGCAGGAAGGGTCAAACTGGGTTATATAACTTGGTTTTGTTGTGGCTTCATTCAGCCCAGGTTTGTAACTTTATTCTATGGTTAAACACAGATACAGCAAGAATGGATTGAAGAATACAGCTAACTGGAGTTTGCCAAGAAGGCATAGGTAAGGAAGAGAGGGTGAGGAACTGATGTCTTCCCTGACCCTATCATATAATTTCTACCTGGTAATCTCCACTTTTTGCCTTGCCTGTGAATCTCCTCAAATCTAAGGATCTTCAGTGGGAGAAGAGATGCCTGTGTGTGGTGACAGGGCCCCAGAGGACAGAATATTAATAATGCAGTTTAACCTTCAACACAGTTAGGCTTACTGTAGGCATAATTCATGGAAATAAAAATACATAATTTCCCATTAAATTTTTAAAAATGTAAATAAACAATGAAGAGCAAAAATATAAATCTATATAAGTCATATTGTTAAAAATACAGAAAGATGATTAAATAAATAAAGACAGCAACAACTGGGTACTTTGCAAATTCTTAGCTGTCATTAATCATTGTTTAATCTTGCCCTGTGTTCATTGGGTTTACACAGATTTCTTTTTTTCTTTTCACCTTGAATCTTTATACTTAGTTGAAAACCATTCCAGAATTGAAAAAGCTACCCCAGGAATCAATATATCTTTGGCCTTTATTTTGCTATAGACTTTAGTTTCCCTGAAACGGTGATTTTTCTTTTTTCTCTATTGTTTCTTTCTTTGTGTTCTAAAAAGAAGAAACCACTCTTCTCCATTGCACTTCTGAAAGGGAATGTGTTAAGTGACTAAGTAAAACCCTGTCTTCTCCTCAGTCAAGATTTTCTAGCTCCTTTTTTCTTCTTGGGAAGGACTCACTTCTGTTCCTGTCCCCCAGCCAACATCCTTTAGGGATTATCTCCTTTAGGACAGCTATATCTCCACGTTGCTGGGTAAATTCTAACACAGAATTTTGGTTGTAAAGTCAGATCTCCCAGAACATGACTTTGAAGGTGAGAATTCACTAAGCTTTTAAGGCAGAGCTTAAATCTCAGGTAGACCTGTCCTGATGGTGGAATCATTTTCACAGCCTTGGGCCATTGGGGAATCAAAGTCTATGAGACCACCTAGGACAAAACTTACAAGGTATTGTCCTTGGTCCTAGCTACTTTTGGCTGATTTGATAATAATGTCCTCCTATCACCCAGGTTCTACTTTAGCGGTTCTGCCATGCCAGCCCTCACTGAGATCTCTGTTGCGCACTCATTGCTCAGGTTCACTGATTATGTGGGTGACATTTAAAGGAAAAGAGGCTCTTTGAAAAAGTCAATAAAAGGGATCACAACTGAATCAATGACTTTTCCCTGGAAACACTAGACAGCCCCAAGTTTGAAACCTGGTTTCCTCACTTACTCTGTGAACCTATGCTGAGTACCAGGCTCATGGGAAGTCCCAGCTCTGCAGTAGCACATTATCTTTTCTTCTCAAGTCTACCTTTGGAGGAAAAACTGAGTGAAGCACTATGAATTCCAGCTTTGTAAAGTGAAATCAATTGGGAGGGAGGGCGGCAAGGAAGGAATTTTTGCCCCTCTCTCTTGTTCTTATCTCTTGGTCTCAGAGTAGGAGTCACCCACTGTGGGGTCCCCTCCCTGGTGGTTGGGATTAATATTGTTGTAAAGCCTCCTCCAAAAGGTGGCTGACCTTCCCCAAGGCCCTGACCTTGGACTTGTTGAATTTGGGTTGAGGAGGGAGAACTAGAGGAGTAGAGCTGGGTTTCAGGTTCAACTTCAGGACAAGAAAGGTATGAAATAGCAATGGTAGAAGCCTGCAGTGTGTCCAGAGCAATGTCTCAAACTATTTGCTCTTTAGAATAAAATCAGGGGCTTTTGAAAAAATGCCAGCGGCTAGGGTCATCTCAGATTAATTGAATTAGTAACTCTGAGAGTGGAGTCCAGGCATGGTATTTTTTGAAAAGTTCTCCAAGTGTTTCTAATACATAGGCATGTTTGAGAGCCACTGGTTGAGAACTTGTTTTTTTTCCAGTCCCTCTTTCTTATCTTTGGGTCCTTCAGCTTACTGGCCTTTCTCTCCCAAGATGCCTCAGAGGAAGTAGACTTTAATCCATGTTTGCAATGTAGCCACTGATGCCACAGATGTTCTTGAGACTATTTCTCTTTGTTTCATTGTGAGCCTCAGTCCATCAGCTACCTACAGGTCATCTGGTGAATTGTTTAGTTTTCACAAAATAGTATATAGTTTATTTAGAGGCAGGATGTGTCACGGTTAAGGGCACAGGCTCTGAAATCGACCTGCCTAGTTCTAATTTCAACTTCGCCACTTATTAGCTTTGTGATCTTGAGTAATTTATTTAACCTCTAGCACTTAAGTAACTGTTATATTGGGTAGTAATAGTGTCTTCCTGTGTGTGTGTGTGTGTGTGTGTGTGTGTGTGTGAAAGAATAACTATTTCAAGTGCTTAGAGTAGTGTTTGACAGTAACTGTTCAACAAATGGTAGTGTATGTTTTTAAAATGATGGATCTCTTTCCTACCAAGACTCACTGATTAGCAGCAAGAGCTCACATTTACTGATAACTTTATCTTACCCAGGGAAGCACTACAACTAAACACCTGTGTGTCTTACATCTGCTAGAGTAATTCGTCTTACAAATGCTAGAGTTTTCATCAATTATGCACACCAAACAATATATCTTAAGCCCATCCATTGTTACAACCTAAATCCACATATATCCTGTATGATTTTAATATCCTAGAATGGTTTTCAAGGCAAACAAAATAGGGCAAGATAACTTGGCACAAGGAACTGGCCAGGCTGATGTGGCTCAGTGTAGATAAGCACAGGATGTGGAATCCCAAGTGGTATGGATTGCGTGCAATGTGTCTGAGCCCCAGTACTTCAGAATGTGACCTTATTTGGAAATACCATTGTTGCTGATGTAACTAGTTAAGGTGAGATCATACAGGAGTAAGGTTGGTCCCTAATCCAATATGACTAGTGTCTTTATGAGAAGACAGCCCTGTGAAGACAGAGACACACAGGAAGAACACACATGATGGTGAAGGCAAAGACTGGAGTATGTAGCTGCAAAACAAGGAATGACAGCAAACTACCAAAACCAAGGAAGAGGCAATGTGGTATTCCTCTGCAGGTTTCAGAGTGAGCATGGCCCTGCCGACATCTGGATTCTGGACTTCCAGCCTTTAGAAATGTGAGATAATAAATTTCTATTGCTTTAAGCCACCTCCCAGTTTTTAGTGCTTTGTTACAGAAGCCCTAGGGTCTGATACACCAAGGAATACAGAAGTGAAACAGAAGGCAATACAAACCTAGCATGAAAAAAAAGGAGGAGGTTCTGCATGGCACCTGGGCAGGCACTACCCAGCCACTTGCAGCAAGTGTTTTATTGGTGAGGACTTAACACCAGAACAACACTGCATTGGTACCTACATATTATCCTTGTTCTGGATATATGTATAACTATGTACAAATGATTAGAACTGTAAACAATTTTCATTCAAAATGTAATTTTGTGGATTCTCAATGCAGCCTTTGGTGTAGATACTATTATTATCCCCACTTTACAAGTGAGAAAACTGAAGTGCTGAGAGATTAAGTAAATTTGCATGGCTATTAAGTGGCAGAGCTGAGAGTCAAGCTCCAGAGTTCATGATCCTAATCACGGCTGTTTTAACATTAGCTAAAAGGGCAACTTTGAAAGGAAAGAAGAAATCACCCAAGTTGCTTGTTCGTAGTTGGGCAGGGACCGTCCATCTTGTACTTCCTAGGCATGGGAGGCAAAGATACAACACTCAAGGAAGACATTGCCCTATACAAGTTTCCAGTGACACGATCCCCATCAATTCTCCACTGGCTGTAAGAGATTTAGATTCAAAAGGAAAGTAATAGAGGTAAAAGCAGTACCCAATGACAGCCACCTTTGGGTTTTGAAAATTTTGCTGTACTGAGAAAATAAAAACATAACTCAGACTTTTTTAGCAGAGTTGATAGAACTTTATTTTTTATTATTAATACTCAAATGTATAACATGAAACTTGCTGTATTTACACAGGGATGCTTACTGATTATACTATACTATAGGCTGAGTTCCACAAATACAGGAATTCTGGTGAACTTTATTTGTGTAGTCCCCATAAAAGTCTACGTGCATTTATAATTGTACATGTTGCATTATTGTGAGAAGCAAAACTTCTATTTTATGACTTAGTGTAAGTCAACATATAAAAAAAGTTCATCACTAACCATCAGAGAAGTACAAATTAAAACCACGATGAAATACTATCTCACACCAGTCAGAATGGCGATTATTAAAAAGTCAAAAACTAATAGAGGTTGGCAAGGATATGGTAAAAAGGGAATGCTTATACACTGTTGGTGGGAATGTAAATTAGTTCAACCCCTATGGAAACACAATGGAGATTTCTCAAAGAACTAAAAATAGAACTACTGTTCGACCCAGCAATCCCACTACTGGCTATCTACAAAAAGGAAAATAAATCATTTTGTCAAAAAGACCCCTGCACCTACATGTTTATCTCAGCACTATTAACAAGAGCAAAGATATGGAATCAACCTAAGTGTCCCTCAGTGGTGGACTGGATAAAGGAAACGTGGTAAATATACAACATGGAATACTGTATAACCATAAAAGGAATGAAATCATGTTCTTTGCTGCAACATGCATGCATTATCCTAAGTGAAGTAACTCAGAAACAGAAAATCAAATTTCACATGTTCTCACTTATAAGTGGGCACTAAACAATGGGTACACATGGAAATAAAGATGGAAATAATAGACACTGAGGACTGCAAAAGGGGGGGAGGGTTAAAGGCGACTTATTGGATACAATGTTCACTATTTGGGTGATGGGTTCACTAGAAACCCAAACCCCAGAATTATGCAGTCTACCCATGTAACAAACCTGCCCATGTACCCCCTGAGTCTACAATTTTGAGAAAAACTGAATCCTTTATTTATGCATTTACATGTCTGATGATGAGAAGAATTTTTCACAGAGTAGCTTCTAACTTTTTACATTTCAAGCCCCTTTTCACCTCACTGCTACCTATATCTTCTGGGGCTGGGCATGGCAGGAAATATTCATATAACCTCTAGCTCTGTCATGTCATGTCATAACATAGATAAGTTTTCACAGAGGGCAATAGGAGCATTTCTGGAGGCCATTCCTACAATAGCTTAAATATAAATGAAAGGGAATGCAAACCACATATGTACATGCCACCAAACCTAAACTAAATGTATTAATATTTCCAACTTAATTTCCCCCTTAGCCCAGTGTTTCTCAACTTATTTTTCATCATCACCCTTCTCTAAGGAACATTCTTAGACTTCTTTTTTCCTAACAGTTCCATGAAATTTTAATAGCGCAGATATATTGCATATTTGTTTATGTACTATATGTATCTGTGCTTTATAAATAAATAAAAAGAGTAGGATGTTTTGCCCCTGTTGGGTGTGTTATCACCCCATTGGGAAAGTATGCCTCAGCAAAATCTCCCCAGATGTTCATGCCACTCCAGTGCCACTCAGCCCAAGGGAAATGTGATGGAGGGTAAATGGGAAGGGAGAGAAACATAGGACCATGTGAATACATTGATAGGTGACTTCCCAGTGCCTTGGAAGGAAACAGTTTATGTGAGGAGCCCTGAGGTTTAACCTCCTTTTTCTTCACAGTAAATCCACCTCTGCTAATATGGTGTGACTTTTGTGGCATGACAGGTAAGAAAAGCACTGGAAAAATTAGAACATGTTCTCCCTTTAGAAAACCAGGCAAATATCCTAACATCATTCTTAGACCTCAGAAACAAGATATTTGCTTACTTCAGACTGAAAGAACAAAGAAATAGAGAAATAAAAGTCCCCAGAAAAGATTGTGAGAAACCCACAGATAAATGAGTCTCTCCCATTATCTCAAAAGTGTGTGATTTCTCATAGTGAATATATTTTGTATTATAATTGTATTTTTTAAAGATTGTTTTGTTGTAAAGTGTTCATTGCATTTACAATGATGATTGAAACCATTTAAAATAATTGAAATACTTTTATAGTTGTCAATATGTTATCCTAATCATTAGTTTTTAAAACAACCCTAAATTTATTTTAATAATGTGTTAGGCCTTGACAAGTAATAAGAAAGCATCCAAATTATAACCAGTGTGTGTAAATATTGGTATAGTACTACAAGCAGAATGTACTGATTTTCACAAACCTTCATGCTTTGAAGGACAACTAAATCTGTAGGATATATATATATTTGATATCACTATGATTACAAAATGTGGTGTTTTGAGGATCAGTTGGGTCTTATATAACTAGTTATTTAATCCCCACAATAGGGTCTAATATAACTAGTTATTTAATCTACCCCTGGGTAGTGAAATGTGGGTTGATGCAGCTGTTGTTTGCCAATTGTGGGGCCTGAGAATATTGACTGCAATGTAAAGGATCATTGAACATGTTTTTACAGACTCAAAATAGAAAGACAGGTTTTACTTTTTTTTCCCATGTAGGAGAGAGTGGAACATTTTAAAATTGAGAAACTTAAAAAGAATTCCAAGATAAAAGAAAGTGAGACTTGAAATTTCTAAGTAGTTCTGGGTGTCTTTTAGTCACAGTGCCCAAGCTATTTCTCATAAGGTGCTTTTATCTTTGGTAAATTGCACACCTGCACATATAAAAAGAAATCTTATTTACGTTTTTGAATACAAAAGAGTTTAACTTAGAAAACTGATAATTATCAAATAGCATTCAGTACAGATATGCTCATAATGAACAGAGCACTATGTGCTATTTGTTGTCGTTAAGATGTGAAAGCAGTCCATCAGAGTAACGTAGCTTCCCTAAGCCATAGTTTCCTCATCTGTGAAGGGTTATAATAAGATATTTTTCAAAAAGCTTGTTATGGGGATTAAATGAGATAATATATGTTTCAGAAGTTTAGAACTTGTCATATGCTCTGCAAGTATGAAGAATTGTGCCATTTTTATTGTTACGAGTTGGAGTATCAGGAAAAACACAGTTCTTCTTGCCAAAGCTCTTCTGATTCCTGTGTGGTAGTCTACTTGTAATCTCATCACCCTTATTTTTTAAATATAAGGATTCAGGATTTGTTGACTATCCTGTATATAATTGTCTATTAAGTGTATTATAATTGTACTCTATTGAAATTTCCTGTTTACTTGTCTGTATCTACTACTAGAGGGTAGGCTAGAAAGGCAGCCTGTCTATTTCATTCATTCATACTCTATCCCAGTATCTAGCATATGTGGCTTAGCACCCAGTCCAGTAGCTACTCGATTATGTGTTGAATGAATACAAGAACAGATGAATAATGATGTCATGATAGATGGTTATACACTTTGATTTCCTCAGGTAAGATGTTTTTCCCATGTGGTTTTAAAACCTGCTTCAATTGTGACCTGAAGGCCTCCATGACTCATTCAGCCTCCCATCCAAAAACACCGGGATTGCTAATTACTGTAAAAGGCAATGTCTTCAGAAAAAAAAGTTGTCTACCTACAGTAACTAAACACCCACCTACCATCTAATTTCATGTTGGCCCATGAACCATCAAAGAGGGCAGGAATTTTCCATCCCCATCTAAGAAGACTGCCATTTAACAAGTAGTGTAAATCACTTTGGATGGTGTTTGGATGAGAGCAAAGAAAATGATTGTGCCGTGCACTCATTAAAGCCTTCTTGAGCTCCTACTATGTGAACCACACTGTACTAGGTTCCTTGTGGGTTACAAAGAAATAGAAGCCCCTTGCCCTTGCCCTGCAAGAACTTGTTACTGCTTCAAGGAGATAAGTGCATACTAGAGAAGGGATGATTGATTTAGAAGTGGCTTAAGGGATGACAGGCAAGCAAGTTATTGGTGTTTGGCTTGTGACTTCTGGTGTTTTTACTAAGGGAAAACAAAAACTGTGTTGGTTTTTAAAAAATTTTAGTCTTAGAATTTAATTATTTCATTATTAATTTAATTTGTATGGATGGCATATAAAAAGGGTGGGGTGATATCAGAAGAAAGAGCCTAGCAAAATTCTCCCATTCTGCTTTCTACAAATTTTTGCTTCTTCTGCATAGCACTGTAGTTGAAAAGAAACTTTGTTCCAGAGTCCTTCCTGTTCCTCTGAGGATGGAACAGTTCATAAATGTAATGCTAGCTCTGGGAAGCTGATGAAAACTTCATTCTGATCAGAACTAGAGATGGGGGGAAATGGAACTGGGTACTCTCATGCTCTCCAGTCCTTTCTGTCCCCATTATGTTATCTCTGCTCTGTCTGAGTAGAACATGGTAGGGCAGGTGAGAGCAGCTGAGAACAGCGTGGGGCAGGCTAGAACAGGCTAACAAGGCAAGGGGGGCTGAGTGCTACTGAGTAAGGACACCACTGAAGGTTAAAAGCCTGAAAGAAGGTAAATACTGGGAGAGTGAGACAACGATAGAGACCATATTCACAGGTGGAGATAGAATGATGAATGGTTCAAATTCAAGGCAGGTAAAAAAAAAAAAGATGTCGCTGATTGATAGGATTCTACTATGATAATTGGATTGGAGCTAGACTTGAGCATTTTCCTTGAGCTAGTCACCTTTCCATAAAGGAAATGTTTAGGTGAAGCAGTAGCCAGAGGCCTGCACAGACTGGACTGGCCAAGGCTTAATAGGACCCAGCCCTATTGGGATTTGCATTGCCTCTATATCAGTTTGGACTTTCTTCCTTGTTTGTCACTTCATGTTTATAAGATGGACACTACAGCTCTGAACATCACATTCATGTTCATCTAAGACTGTAGAAGAGGAGCAGGGAGAAAGAGGTTAGTGTCAACAGATTTTCTCTAATGTTTTTGTTTTTGAGACAGAGTCTCATTCTGTCGCCCAGGCGGGAGCACAGATGTGCAATCTCGGCTCACTGCAACCTGTGCCTCCCAGGTTCAAGCGATTCTCGTGCCTCAGCCACCCAAGTAGTTGGGATTACAGGCATGCACCACCACGCCCAGCTAATTTTTGTATTTTTAGTAGAGACGAGGTTTCATCATGTTGGCCAGGCTGGTCTCAAACACCTGACCTCAAGTCTCCCAAAGTGCCTCAGCCTCCCAAGGTGCTGGGATTACAGGCATGAGCCACTGCACCTGGCCATTCTCTAGTGCTTTGTTGCCAGAATGATATCACGTGGTAATTCTAGGTATTCTAGCAAAGAAGACTGGGAAATAAACTATTTAGCTTTTGCATCCTCTCAAATAGAGATAGTCAGTAGGGAGTTGAACTGGGGTGGGGGGAGCCAGCATACAGGTGTCTATCTCTGGCTCTGACACACTCCTCACCACTTGCTCCCTTCCCAGCCTACCCTATTTCTTTTAAAATTAAAAAAAAGCAAGGGAACACCCAAGGATGTTTCTAGTGGAAATAGTCATTAAACTCATTCAAGTCTTCATCTTGCACCCACCCCCATCTGTTCAGATACCCAGAAAGCCTGTTTCTCTAGTTTTATCATATTTCATTCTTAGAACAGATGTGTTTTTCTCTCAGTTTACCTTTGATTTCAACTGCAGCCATGGTGAACAGTGCTATGCATGCCATTAATCATACATCAGGCATCCATCATAAGCCTTTCCTCTTTCCTGTCCTGTGGTTTTTATCAAAATCAGCAGAATTCATTGGCCCGTATATATGAGCAGCCCGGGAGTGCAGAAAGGTTTATTTTCCTGGAGATAACCTTCCTCCAGGGGTAGAAGGGAGTCAGTAGATAAATGCCTCTTCTGCACTTGAACAATCTGCTGGGGCATTCTGCATTACTTCCTTGGAGGGTCTCCTTGGGATTGGGTCCCAGTTGTTCACAGTAGAAACCAGCTCAGTAAACCAGTAAACCCTTCTTTCCTGTTTTTGGTTTTTGTTTTTTTTTTTTTTTCTTCTCTAACTCTCCCTTCTCCCTCACTCCTGCTTCCTGGGAGCACCACCCAAATATGGAGAGATCTGCTCCCATGTTCTTATCTCAGGCTCACTTTGGAGGGGACCCAAACTAAGGCAAATCACTCTTCATTGAAACTTCTTGACAATTTTTTTAAAATTTTATTTTATTATTATTATACTTTAAGTTTTAGGGTACATGTGCACAATGTGCAGGTTAGTTACATATGTATCCATGTGCCATGCTGGTGTGCTGCACCCATTAACTCGTCATTTAGCATTAGGTATATCTCCTAAAGCTATCCCTCCCCCCTCCCCCCACCCCACAACAGTCCCCAGAGTGTGATGTTCCCCTTCCTGTGTCCATGTGTTTTCATTGTTCAATTCCCACCTATGAGTGAGAATATGCGGTGTTTGGTTTTTTTTCTTGCGATAGTTTACTGAGAATGATGATTTCCAATTTCATCCATGTCCCTACAAAGGACATGAACTCATCATTTTTTATGGCTGCATAGTATTTGGCATTTTCATGGGATCCTTTCCTTTATGTACTTCCTTTTGAAGGGAAAGTGGGCTTGATTTCAGTACAGAAATTAAAAATCTTGATTTCTCTATAGAAATTATAGTGAGAACTATAATCCACTAGAAAAATGTAAATGTATCATGTGCTTTTCTATTAAAAGAAACAAATATATCAAAGGATGTTCTTCATCCTTATTTCAGCAGTCCCCAACCTTTTTTGGCATCAGGAACCAGTTTTGTGGAAGACCGTTATTCCACAGACAGGGGGTTGGGGGATGGTTTGGGGATGATTCAAGCATATTACATTTATTGTGCACTTTATTTCTATTATTATTACATTGTAATATATATTGAAATAATTATACAATTCATCAAAATATAGAATCAGTGGGAGCCCTGAGCTTATTTTCCTGCAACTAGATAGTCCCAACTGGGGGTGGTGTGAGACTGTGACAGATCATCAGTCATTAGATTCTCATAAGGAGCATGCAACCTAGATCCCTTGCATGTGCAGTTCACAATGAGGTTCACACTCCTATAAGAATCTAATGCTGCCGCTGATCTGACGGGAGGTGGAGCTCAGGTCATAATGCTCCTTGGACTGCTGCTCACCTCCTGCTGTGCAGCAGAGTTCCTAACAGGCCACGGACTAATACCAGTCCCTGGCCTGAGGGTTGGGGACCTCTGCCTTATTGGACCCAAGCATTGAGCAATGCTTGTAAATTATATGTGTTCAGGAGAATCAGCAACAATACAGAAACATTTGCAAAGCCACTAGTGTACCAAGTACCAGGCTCAGTGGTATGAACTAAGGATTCATAATTGAATAGACATAGCTTCTGCTTTCAAATTGCTCATGTAGTGGAGGTGGGGCACGGGGAAGGTCAAGTCAACAAGGATCTGTGTGGTATGTGCTGTAAGAATCCACCTATCTTAGTGACTGATGAAATGTGAGATGGGAACAAAAAAGATACAAGAATCTAGGATGACTCCAAGTTTTCCAGCCTGGGCAAGTGGGTGGATAGGATGTCATTAACCAAAACAGACAATGAAAGGACAATAGCAGATTTGAAAAGAAAATATGTTGAGTTCAGAATGCCTGGAAGTTATTAAGGTGGATATATCTAGTAGACAGATATATAGGTCTGGAGATAAGGAAAGAAATCAGGACTGGAATGTAGATTTGGGAGTCATTTATACATAAAATTAAAGCTAAAAAAATAAGTTAGATCAGCAGGAAAAAAAAAGGAGAAGAAAAGCAAATGAAGGAAAAATTCAAGGAAACAGCAGGACTAATAAATGGATTAAGAAACAGGAACCAGCAATGAGTCTGAGGAGGACTGAACAGAGAGGTAGAAGAATCAGATAGAAGTGTTCCTCAATTCCTTTTTTAAAAAAATACAGGGGTCTTACTATGTGGCCCAGGCTGAACTTGAACTCCTGGGCTCAAGCATTCCTCCCATCTCAGCCTCCCGGGTAGCTGGAACTACAGTCCTGTGCCCCCACATGTGGCTTCAATTCCTAAAAACCAAGAGAGGAGGCCGGACGCAGTGGCTCACGCCTGTAATCCTAGCACTGTGGGAGGCCGAGGTGGGCGGATCACAAGGTCAGGAGATCCAGACCATCCTGGTTAACACGGTGAAACCCCGTCTCTACTAAAAATACAAAAAATCAGCCGGGCGTGGCAGCATGCGCCTGTAGTCCCAGCTGCTGGGGAGGCTGAGGCAGGAGAATGGCGTGAACCCGGGAAGCGGAGCTTGCATTGAGCCGAGATCGCGCCACTGCACTCCAGCCTGGGCGACAGAGACAGACTCCATCTCAAACAAAAACAAAAACAAAAACAAAAAACAAAACAAGAGAGGAGGCTTACAGAGATGATGCAATTTATAGTGCCTGATGCTATGGAGAGGCCAGGTGGGAAGGATGAAGACAAGGACCTTCAGCATTAGTGACTTCAGAGGTGTCAGTTTTGGTAGAGAGGTGGATAAAGGACCTGTAGTGTATTATTTTACTCACCTCGACCCATGTCTCCTTAACAGCCATCAAAGTTGGGTGTCAACATTACCTTCTAGAGACTGTATCATATGAGCTTTTTCTGACAACCAAAAGTAGGTTTCTTCACTTTCCCTTTTTCTTTCTCCCTTCACCTCCTCAAACACATTGAGGTTTCTTTTCCTCCTATACGATGTATTTATTGTTCTCTCCATTTCTATTTGCCATATAGAAGATGCTGCTATTTCTTGGCTTATTTGCACACCAAGTTCTCATAAAAAGAACTCTTTGCTCCTATCTGAACATAAGTTATCTGAGCCAGTGGATGGCTTCTAACAGGTATTAATGAACTTTGCAAATAGCACTCCTAGTAGACCCTTGCTCTACCCACAAGACCGTGTGGCACATACCAGATGATCTAATTAGAACAGTTTTGATTGAGAAGACGAATTGGTGGAAACTCAGAACTAGTTGCAAAATCACATTTCCAGTCTTTTGTTTTGCATCCTTTCAAGCAGTAATGCTTATTTTACTTTCATAATGGTGAGGCATATAATGAAGCTAGTCCTGCATGTTGGGGAGGCTTTGCCAAATGCAGAAAAATTACCAAAAATAATTGGAAAAAATATTTTTTTATGAAAATTATTATGGGAATTACATAATCACATAAAATCAGAAGCAAATTGTGATGTGAAGCATGATATAGGTCATAGTAAGCTGTGTTGTCTGAAGGCAGCAAACACAGAGGGATCGGAAAGCTGCTTCATGTGGTATTGGTTGTGTGCCTGTAGGCTTTAAGCTTCAGAGAACTATGTGAAAATTGGTTTGGGGGTTTAGAAAGATGATCATAAATTTAGTTTAGATTGTTGAATTTGAGATTCTAATCTATCTTGAGAAAGATCTGGATGGAAAACTCTACCAGGAATTTGTAAATTGGAAAGGGAAGGCTGAAGGGAAACAGAAGCTGAAAGAGATTTGAGGGGCTCTGCATGGAATAATGGGATTAGTTCAGATTACCAATGTATAATAAATATACTGTCAGATAAAAGAAGGTTTGCAGAGACTGCTAGGTACCTACCCAATAGCCATTTCCCCCATCTTCTTTAGTAACAAGAAGCTAACTTTTTTTTGAGACAGAGTCTTGCTCTGTCTCCCAGGCTGGAGTGCAATAACGCGATCTTGGCTCACGGCAACCTCCGCCTCCTGGGTTCAAGCGATTCTCCTGCCTCAGCCTCCTGAGTAGCTGGGATTACAGACTCCTGCCACCACCCCTGGTGGCTAATTTTTGTGTTTTTAGTAGAGATGGGGTTTCCCCATGTTGGCCAGGCTGGTCTCGAACTCCTGACTTCAAGTGATCTGCCCGCTTTGGCCTCCCAAAGGGCTGGGATTACAGGTGTGAGCCACTGATCCCAGCCTACAAAATGCTTTTAGCTGAGCCTATCACCTCCTGAAATAAAAGACCACATTTCTCAGCCTTCCATGCAGTTGTTGGCCACATGACTAAGTTCTAGCCAATTATTTGTAGGCATAAGTGTTGTATGGAAAGAGTAAGCCCTATTTCTCCATTTCTCCTTCCTGTTGCTTGGAATGCAGAGGTGATGGCTGACTCTAGCATCACATTGGCCATGGGGTAGACTTGAGGAAGCCATATTTGGTGGACGGACCAAAGTAGAAGTACTTGAATTCTGTTGACTTTGTGGGGCTGTTGTATAGCAACTCTGGGCATTCTGTAACCAGATTTCTTTTACTGCAGAGAGTAAATCATGGTGTGTATAAACCACTGTAGTTCGGTCTTGGTTACTTTTAGCTGAACATAATCTAATTAATACAAACACAAAGTGAAAAAAAGATACTAAGGAAAAAGACAAAGAAGACATAATCTGAAAGGTAAGACAGTGTGTATCAGGGAACCAACGGGGAAGAAAAATGGGAGTGGATCAACAGTATTAAATATTGAAGAGAGAATAATTTTTTTCCTTTTTTTATTATACTTTAAGCTCTAGGGTACATGTGCACAACGTGCAGGTTTGATACACAGGTATACATATGCCATGTTGTTTTGCTGCACCCATCGACTCATCATTTACATTAGGTATTTCTCCTAATGCTATCCCTCCCCCAGCTCCTCAACCCCTGACAGGCCCCGGTGTGTGATGTTCCCCACCCTGTGTCCAAGGTGGGGACACATTGTTCAGTTCTCACCTACGAGTGAGAACATGCAGTGTTTGGTTTTCTGTCCGTGTGATAGTTTGCTGAGAATGATGGTTTCCAGCTTCATCCATGTCCCTGCAAAGGACATGAACTCATCCTTTTTTATGGCTGCATAGTATTCCATGGTGGGTATGTGCCACATTTTCTTCTTCTTTTTTTGAGATGGAGTCTAGCTCTGTCGCCCAGGCTGGAGTGCAGTGGCGCGATCTCAGCTCACTGCAACCTCCGCCTCCTGGGTTCACGCAGTTCTCCTGCCTCAGCCTCCCAAGTAGCTGGGACTACAGGCGCCCGCCACCATGCCCGGCTAATTTTTTTGTATTTTTAGTAGAAATGGGGTTTCACCGTATTAGCCAGGCACATTTTCTTAATCTAGTCTATCATTGATGGACATTTGGGTTGGTTCCAAGTCTTTGCTATTGTGAATAGTGCCACAATAAACATACATGTGCATGTCTTTGTAGTAGCATGATTTATAATCCTTTGGGTACATACCCAGTAATGGGATTGCTGGGTCAAATGGTAATTCTAATTCTAGATCCTTGAGGAATCTCCACACTGTCTTCCACAGTGGTTGAACCAATTTATACTCCCATCAACATTATAAAAGCGTTCCTCTTTCTGCACATCCTCTCCAGCATCTGTTGTTTCCTGACTTTTTAATGATTGCCATTCTAACTGGCATGAGATGGTATCTCGTTGTGGTTTTGATTTGCATTTCTCTGATGACCAGTGATGATGAGCATTTTTTCATGTGTCTGTTGGCTGCATAGGTGTCTTCTTTTGAGAAGTGTCTGTTCATATCCTTTGCCCACTTTTTGATGGGATTTTTTGTTTTTTTCTTGTAAATTTGTTTGAGTTCTTTGTAGATTCTGGATATTAGCCCTTTGTCAGATGGGTAGATTGCAAAATTTTTCTCCCATTCTGTAGGTTGCCTGTTCCCTCTGATGGTAGTTTCTTTTGCTGTGCAGAAGCGAAGAGAGAATAATTATATTTCTTTCTATGCACATTACACTTGTGATAGAAAAATAAATCTATTAATCATAATAGATTATGCATCATTTATTTGATGTTTAAAAAGACCCGGAGCTTGTAATTTTTATTATTTTAAAAGACTTTATAAAATATCTCTTAATTTTCTTTCAACTGAGCCACAAAACTTCATAAATTGTGTTTCATGTGTAAGTTTGACAATAACGACTATGTCATAGAATAGATAGTAGCAAAGAGGCTACAAAAATATTCCAGGTGTGAAAAATATAATTTACACATATCTAAATAAGTTAATTGTAGAGCTTTCTAATGGATTCTAAACCATATGATCATACTGGATTTTTTTTGTTTAGTTTTCAGTGTCTTTGTTCTAAGACAGAAAATTTATATCCATCTTATTGACAGTATTCATCTCCAAAAATGAATATACTGACTAGAACAGAATTTTATTAAGGGAGACTTTGCAATCACTTAAAATCCAAAATTGAATGACAATCTTATACATAACAAAGAAATGAAGTGTAGGAGATTCTCTCAATCAGCAAATTGCATTTCACAACCTGCTACACTTATGTCTGAAGATATGCAATAACTTTCATGGATTATATATAAAATGGATTATATACAAAGTTATTTCATCTTTCCAAGGTCTCCTTCATTACTAAAATATGCTAAGACTTATCCTGAATTCCTTTATTTGGTAGTCTTGCTTATTGAGAAATCCAAGAATTAGGAAATAAACCCCAAAAGACCTTGGAGCAGGTAAAAATAGTACTTAAACACACATGCCTGCACGGGCACCTGCGTACTTTATTTAATAGATTTCCTTGAATCTCTCCTCATGTTCTAATTATTCTGGCTTTTTAATATAGTGCTCATAGCAGATTTAAAATAAAATTTATCATCCATGTAAGTGTCATATCATACATGGCTAAAGGCAAAGCTTGGCCAAGAATCCAGTTTGTGTGTGTGTGTGTGTGTGTGTGTGTGTGTGTGTGTGTGTGTGTGTTTCTGCAGGGTTCTGGCTTTATCTCAAATCTGTCTTCCCGCATAGCTGTAATGTGTCTGTCAGCAGCACCCAGTACAAATACCTCCTCATTTATGCCCACCAGAGGTCTTTTTTGCTGACTCTCAAGCATGAAAAGGGAAACTGTTTTCTCATAAACTCCCATGAAATTCTCTTAATACCTCAATCAGCCCAAATTAAGTCACGTGTCCACTGCTGCACCAATCACCATGGTCAGGACAATGTGGTATCTTATATTAACTGGCTTCACCCTGGGCCTATTCTGGAACTGAGATTTGGAGCCAATTCTACTAAAAATATGTGACTGAAAATTTAGAGAGCTATTAGGAAGGAGGAAGTGAACTTAAGGAAGAAAAGAAAAATTTATTATCAGGCTATGGAGATACCTTATGGATCCCAAGGATAGGAATGTTCCGGGCTCCAGGAAGGAATGGAACTGGGAATGGGTCCATTGGCAATCCTTGGCACTGTTTCACTGCCTCTTATTTCTCCTTCTTGTTAAGCCTATCTTTTCTTTTTTTATTAGAAAGAAAGTATCCAGATCATGTGATGGGCAGAAGACAGCTTCTCATATTTCCCAAGTTCACATGTTACAATTACAGACACACAGAGAATTTAACACTCACTCTGGCTCCAGATTCCACATTGCCTGGGAAGGGACCTGAATTAGCCTAACAACAGTCAGCTGCCCACCCTTTATGCAATTAACCATTCCCAGGAATGGGGTCATTATAAACAAACTTGGCTTCTAGAATCCTACTCCTGTGTATCAGGGAGTAGTTAAAGGGATTACAGGGAGCTAGGCAGCCTTCACACAATGTGTCTATCACAGGCAGTAACTGCTGGAGAACATTGCATTGCTGCAAACTGTCAGCAACAAGAGAAAAAGAATTTATGAATCAGATACAGAAATATAAGTGTATGGCACAGAATCAGGACAGACCATTCCATGTGCTCCAATTGTCCATGTTCATGACAATAATTCTGGGTCATTTAATGTTACACTAGCTTCACACTATTGTAGTTAAAATGAAATTTTACACAGTTAAATGTATGGCCATTATTATACTACTTTCTATGACCTAAAGCTACCTTAATTTTGTCTTCTTAACCTGTCTACATTGTTGTTATTCATTGTTAATAAAAATCATGTTCTAAATGATCGTAGTGATTCAGAATTGATATCAAAAATAACTGAATCATTGCGATCGTTTCTAACATGAATTATTTCAACAAACATTTCAGTATCACTAAATAGCATGCTTTCCTTCTTTCATAATGTATGCAGTTTTACTTACATAGTTTTGACTGAACTAATGAAGGTGAGTTTTATTCATCTTACTTCCCAGGGATGCACTTGCCATTAAACTGTTTATAGATTTTCTAATTCCCAAGTTTTGGTGGCAAAACTCAATGCACCTACTGAATGAATAGTTTCTCTACATTGAAGTCAGATTCACTTAAGAAGTAATGTGGCTGGGCTGAAGAAACCCTAAGCGCACCCTAAGCACACAGTCCTGGAATTAAAAAAAAAGATAGGCCCAGATATTTATTAACAAAGAGACTCAAATAAATCATACTTATCTGTCAGTGTGACAGGAATGCTGTGAAGCTAGACCCAGGACTGCCTCTATTGAGCCTCTGTTCTGCTTTTCCTTAACTGTTCTAGATTAAGGGGAGGACCCTTCAGGGGAGGACAGCATCATGGTTAAAAATGCAGCCCCTAGAGTCAGGAGTCCATGGGAGCAGTTTAAAAGCATGGGCTGAATTAGAATCCTACCTCTTCCACTGAGGATCTTTGGGAAAATTACTTACCTTCCCTGGCTCAGTTTCCTTCTTCATGCAAGAATAATAATACCTACCCCATAATGGCTTATACAAACCCAAGTTAAGAGCTTAGTAAAATGCTCATATTCAGTACACTGCCCTCTATAAATTCTCCTTCTCTTCTTATTCTATCCTAACCTGTTTGCTTGCTCTGGTCTACGTTACCTAACAGTTAGGTTCCTTGTTTTCTGTTCTTAATGAATCTTTGTATACCAATAAAAGATACCTGAAAAATCTTGCCATATTGAATACCAAATCATTCTTATTTTCTTTTTCAAATATTTTCCAAACAAAACTTTTCTGGAAACCCCATACCTTGGTGAAATCCTAAGTCTTTTGGTCAATTCAGATCCCTTTGTAAGGAAAAAAGGCCAAATTTCTTTGTGGTAACTGGTGTTTTCATCTGATCTAAAGATTTTATTTCTATTTTCTAGAAAGTGCCAGTAACCCTCTGGTGCTCATATTTTTTAAATTATTTTTAATTTTATGGATACAAAGTCAGGATAAATATATATAGGGTACATGAGATATTTTGATACAGGCATACATTGTGTAATAATCACATCAGGGTAAATGGGGTATCTATCGCCTCAAGCATTTATCATTTCTTTGGGTACAAACATTCTAATTACACTCTTAGTTATTTTGAAACACACAATAAATTTTTGTTTACTATAGTCACCCTGTTGTGCTATCAAATACTAGATCTTATTCACTCTATCTAACTATATTTTTGTGCTCACTAACTGTCTCCTCTTTCTCCCTCTCCCCACCACCCTTCCCAGCCTTGGGTAACCATCAGTCTACTCTCTATCTGCATGAGTTCAGTTGTTTTAATTTTTAGCTCCCACAAATAAATGAGAAGATGTGAAGTTTGTCTTTCTGTGCCTGGCTTATTCACTTAACATAATATCCTCCAGTTCCATTCATGTTGTTGCAAATGACAGTATCCCATTCTCTTCTATGGTTGTATAATAATCCATTGTGTATATGTACCACATTTTCTTTATCTAGTCATCTGTTTATGGACTTTTGGTTGCTTCCAAATCTTGACTATTGTGAATAGTGCTGCAATAAACATGGGAGTACAGATATCTGTTAGAGATATTGATTGCTTTGCTTTTGGGTATACATCTAGTGGTGGGATGGCTGGATTACACAGTAGCTCTATTTTTAGTTTTTTGAGAAACCTCCATACTGGTCTCCATAATGACTATACTAATTTACATTCTCACCAACAGTGTATGAGAGTTTCCTTTTCTCCACATCCTTGCCAACATTCCTTATTGCCTGTCTTTTGGGTATGAGCCATTTAAGTGGAGTGAGATGATATCTGATTGTGGTTTTGATTTGCATTTCTCTGATGATCAATGGTGTTGAGCACATTTTCATATACCTGTTTGTCATTTGTATGTCTTCTTTTGAGAAATGTCTATTCAGATCATTTGCCAAATTTTTAAAAATATTATTAGATTTGTTTTCCTATAGAGTTGTTTGAGCTCCTTTTATATTCTGGTTATTAATTGCTTGTCAGGTGGGTAGCTTGCAAATATTTTCTCCCATTCTGTGGGTTGTCTCTTCAGTTTGTTGGTTGTTTCATATACTGTGCAGCATCTTTTTAACTTGATGTGATCCCATTTGTCCATTTTTTGCTTTAGTTGCCTGGGCTTTTGGGGTATTACTCAAGAAATTTTTGCCCAAACCAATGTTCTAGAGAGTTCTCCCAATATTTTCTTTTAGCAGTTTCATAGTTTGAGGTTTTATATTTAAGTTTTTAATTCATTTTTATTTTATTTTATTTTTCCATATGGCAAGGGATATGGGTCTAGCTTCATTCTTCTGCATATGGGTACCCAGTTTTCCCAGCACCGTTTATTGAAGAGACTGTCCTTTCCCCCATGTATGTTCTTGGCACCTTTGTCAAAAATGAGTTCACTGTAGATATATAGATTTATTTTTGAGTTCACAATTCTGTTCCATTGGTCTATGTGTCTGTTTTCATAGCAATACCATGCTGTTTTGGTTACTACAGCTCTGTAGTATAATTTGAAGTCAGGAAATGTGATTCCTCCAGTTTTGTTCTTTTTGCTCAGGATGGCTGATATGATTTGGCTGTGTCCCCACCCAAACCTCATCTTGAATTATAGTACCCATAATCCCCATGTGTCATGGGAGGGACCTGGTGGGAGGTAATTGAATCATGGGGTCAGGTTTTTTCAGTGCTGTTCTCATGATAGTGAATAAGTCTCATGAGATTTGATGGTTTTATAAAAGTCAGTTCCCTTGAACATGCTGTCTTGCCTACTGCCATGTAAGACACGCCTTTGCTTCTCCTTTGCCTTCCACCATGATTGTGGGCCTCCCAGCCATGTGGGACTGTGAGTACATTAAACCTCTTTTTCTTTATAAATTACCCAGTCTTGAGTATTTCTTCATAACAGTATGAAAATGGACTAATACAATGGCTTTGGCTATTCTGGGTCTTTTGTGGTTCCATATAAATTTTAGGATTGTTTTTTCTATTTCTTTGAAGAATGTTACTGATATTTTGATAGGGATTGCATTGAATTTGTAGATTGCTGTGGGAAATGTGGACATTTCAACAATATTAATTCTTCCAATCCATACACATGGAATATTTTTCCATTTTTTTGTGTCCTCTTCAATTTCTTGCATCAATGATTTATAGTTTTCATCAGACATATTTTACTGCTTTGGTTAATTCCTAGGTATTTTATTTTATTTGTAGCTATTGAAAATGGGCTTACATTCTTGATTTCTTTTTCAGATTGTTCACTGATTATATATAGAAATGCTACTGATTTTTATACGTTGATTTTGTATCCTGTAACATTACTGAATTTATCAGTTCTAACAGTTTTTTGGTTGAGTATTTAGGTTTTTCTAAATATAAGATTATGTTATCTGCAAACAAGGATAATTTGACTTCTTCTTTTCAAATTTTGATGCTGTGTATTTCTTTCTCTTGTCTGATTGCTCTAGCTAAGACTTCCAGTACTATGTTGAATAACAGTCGTGAAAGTGGGCATCCTTCTCTTGTTCCAGATTTTAGAAGAAAAGCTTTCAGGTTTTACCCATTCAGTATGATACTAGCTGTGGGTCTGTCATATATGGCTTTTATTTTGTTGAGGTACGTTCCTTCTATATTTAATTTGTTGAGAGTTTTATCATGAAGGGATGTTGAATTTTATCAAATGCTTTTTCAGCATCAGTTAAAACGATCGTATGGTTTTTGTCCTTCATTCTGTTGATAGAATGTATCACATTGATTGATTTGCATATGTTGAACCATTCTTGCATCCCTGGAATAAATCCTACTTGGTCATGATGAATAATCTTTTTAATGAGTTGTCGAATTTGGTTTACTAGTATCTTTTACAGGCAATATTGGCCTGTAGTTTTCTTTTTTTAGATGTGTCTTTGGTTTTGGTATCAGGGTAATACTGGCCTAATAGAATGAGTTTGGAAGAATACTCCTCTCTTCTATTTTTTGAAATCATTTGAGTAGGATTGGTATTAGTTCCTCTCTAACCATTTGGTAAAATTCAGCAGTGAAGCAATTGGGTTTTGGTCTTTTCTTCGCTAGGAGACTTTTTATTATGGCTTCAATCTCATTACTTGTTATTGGTCTGTTCAGGTTTTAGATTTCTCATGGTTCAATGTTCGTATGTTTTATATTTCTAGAAATTTATCCATTTATTCTAGGTTTTACAGTTTATTGTTATATGGTCATTCCTAGTGCTCTCTCATGATCCTTTGACTTTCTGCAGTATCAGTTGTAATGTCTCCTTTTTTATCTCTGATTTTATTTATTTGGATCTTTTCTTTTTTTCTTATTCTGGCTAAAGCTCTTTTGGTTTTGCTTATCTTTTCAAAAAAACTAACTTTTCATTTTATTGATCTTTTGTGTTGTTTTTTATTTCAATATTATTTATTTCTGATCTGGTCTTTATTGCTTCTTTTCTACTAATTTTGGGTTTGGTTTGCTCTTGCTTTTCTAGTTCATTAAGAAGCATCGTTAGATTGTTTATTTGAAGTTTCTCTACTTTTTTTATTTAGGCACTTATTGCTTTAAACTTTCCTCTTAGTACTGCTTTTGCTGCATCTCATAGGTTTTGGTATATTGTGTTTCTATTTTCATTTGTTAAAGAGTTTTTTCAATTTCCTTCTTAATTTCTTCATTGACCCACTGGTCCATCAGGAGCATATTGATTAATTTCCATATGTTTGTATAGTTTCCAAAGTTCCTCTTGATTTCTAGTTTTATTCCATTGTAGTCAGAGGAGATATTTAATGTGATTTCAGTTTTTTTGAATTTTTAAAGACTTGTTTTGTGCCCTAATATATGGTCTACCTTTAAGAATGATTCATGTGCTGAGGAGAATAATGTGTATTCTGAGCCATTGGATGAAATGTTCTGTAAATATCTATTAAATCCATTTGATCTATAGTGCAGATTAAGTCTGATGTTTCTTTGTTGATTTTCTGTCTGGATGATCTGTCCAATGCTGCAAGTGGAGTGTTGAAGTCTCCAGTGATTATATTATTGGGGTCTATCTCTCTCTTTAGCTCTAATAATATTTGCTTTATATATCTAATAATATTAGCTCTAATAATATTTGCTTTAGATATATATTTATATATGTATCCAGTGTTCAGTGCATATATACTTTAAATTGTTAATATCTTATTGCTGAATTAATCCCTTTATCATTACATAATGACCTTTTTGTCTCTTTTTATAGATTTTATCTTGAAATCTATATTTACCTGATATAAATATAGCTACTCCTGCTTTTTTTGGGTTACCATTTGCATGAAATGTCTTTTTCCATCCCTTTGTTTCACTCTTTGTGTGTTTTAATAGGTGAAGTGTGTTTCTTTTTTTTTTTTTTAATTATACTTTAAGTTCTAGGGTACATGTGCACAACATGCAGGTTTGTTACATGTGTATACATGTGCCATGTTGGTGTGCTGCACCCATTAACTCGTCATTTACATTAGGTATATCTCCTAATGCTATCCCTCCCCACTCCCCCCACCCCACAATAGGCCCTGGTGTGTGATGTCCCCCTTCCTGTGTCCAAGGGTTCTAATTGTTCAATTCCCACCTATGAATGAGAACATGTGGTGTTTGGTTTTTTGTCCTTGCGATAGTTTGCTGAGAATGATGGTTTCCAGCTTCATCCATGTCCCTACAAAGGACATGAACTCATCATTTTTTATGGCTACATAGTATTCCATGGTGTATATGTGCCACATTTTCTTAATCCAGTCTATCATTGTTGGACATTTGGGTTGGTTCCAAGTCTTTGCTATTGTGAATAGTGCTGCAATAAACATACATGTGGTGTGTCTTTATAGCAGCATGATTTATAATCCTTTGGGTATATACCCAGTAATGGGATGGCTGGGTCAAATGGTATTTCCAGTTCTAGATCCCTGAGGAATCACCCCACTGTCTTCCACAATGGTTGAACTAGTTTACAGTCCCACCAACAGTGTAAAAGTGTTTGTATTTCTCCACATCCTCTCCAGCACCTGTTGTTTCCTGACTTTTTAGTGATCGCCATTCTAACTGGTGTGAGATGGTATCTCGTTGTGGTTTTGATTTGCATTTCTCTGATGGCCAGTGATGATGAGCATTTATTCATGTGTCTTTTGACTGCATAAATGTCTTCTTTTGAGAAGTGTCTGTTCATATCCTTCGCCCACTTTTTGATGGGGTTGTTTGTTTTTTTCTTGTAAATTTGTTGGAGTTCATTGTAGATTCTGGATATTAGCCCTTTGTCAGATGAGTAGATTGCAAAAATTTTCTCCCATTCTGTAGGTTGCCTGTTCACTCTGATGGTAGTTTCTTTTGCTGTGCAGAAGCTCTTTAGTTTAATTAGATCCCATTTGTCAATTTTGGCTTTTGTTGCCATTGCTTTTGGTGTTTTAGTCATGAAGTCCTTGCCCATGCCTATGTCCTGAATGGTATTGCCTAGGTTTTCTTCTAGGGTTTTTATGGTTTTAGGTCTAACATTTAAGTCTGTAATCCATCTTGAATTAATTTTTGTATAAGGTGTAAGGAAGGGATCCAATTTCAGCTTTCTACATATGGCTAGCCAGTTTTCCCAGCACCATTTATTAAATAGGGAATCCTTTCCCCATTTCTTCTTTTTGTCAGGTTGGTCAAAGATCAGATAGTTGTAGATGTGTGGTATTATTTCTGAGGGCTGTGTTCTGTTCCATTGGTCTATATCTCTGTTTTGGTACCAGTACCATGCTGTATTGGTTACTGTAGCCTTGTAGTATAGTTTGAAACCAGGCAGCTAGATGCCTCCAGCCTTGTTCTTTTGGCTTAGGATTGACTTGGCAATGCGGGCTCTTTTTTGGTTCCATATGAACTTTAAAGTAGTTTTTTCCAATTCTGTGAGGAAAGTCACTGGAAGCTTGATGGGGATGGCATTGAGTCTATAAATTACCTTGGGCATTATGGCCATTTTCACGATATTGATTCTTCCTATCCATGAGCTTGAAATGTTCTTCCATTTGTTTGTATCCTCTTTTATTTTGTTGAGCAGTGGTTTGTAGTTCTCCTTGAAGAGGTCCTTCACATCCCTTGTAAGTTGGATTCCTAGGTATTTTATTCTCTTTGAAGCAATTGTGAATGGGAGTTCACTCATGATTTGGCTCTCAGGTTGTCTGTTATTGGTGTATGAGAATGCTTGCAATTTTTGCACATTGATTTTGTATCCTGAGACTTTGCTGAAGTTGCTTATCAGCTTGAGGAGATTTTGGGCTGAGACAATGGGGTTTTCTAGATATACAATCATGTCATATCTGCACACAGGGACAATTTGACTTCCTCTTTTCCTAATTGAATACCTTTATTTCTTTCTCCTGCCTGATTGCCCTGCCAGAACTTCGAACACTTGTGTTGAATAGGAGTGGTGAGAGAGGGCATCCCTGTCTTGTGCCAGTTTTCAAAGGTAATGCTTCCAGGTTTTTGCCCATTCAGTATGATATTGGCTGTGGGTTTGTCATAAATAGCTCTTATTATTTTGCGGTACGTACCATCAATACCTAATTTATTGAGAGCTTTTAGCATGAAGCGCTGTTGAATTTTGTCAAAGGCCTTTTCTGCATCTATTGAGATAATCATGTGGCTTTTGTCGTTGGTTCTGTTTATATGCTGGATTACATTTATTGATTTTCGTATGTTGAACCAGCCTTGCATACCAGGAATGAAGCCAACTTGATCATGGTGGATAAGCTTTTTGATGTGCTGCCGGATTCGGTTTGCCAGTATTTTATTGAGGATTTTTGCATTGATGTTCATCAAGGATATTGGTCTAAAATTCTCTTTTTTTGTTGTGTCTCTGCCAGTCTTTGGTATCAGGATGATGCTGGCCTCATAAAATGAGTTAGGGAGGATTCCCTCTTTTTCTATTGATTGGAATAGTTTCAGAAGGAATGGTACCACCTCCTCCTTGTACCTCTAGTAGAATTCGGCTGTGAATCCGTCTGGTCCTGTACTTTTTTTGGTTGGTAAGCTATTAATTATTGCCTCAATTTCAGAGCCTGTTATTGGTCTATTCAGAGATTCAACCTCTTCCTGGTTTAGTCTTGGGAGAGTGTATGTGTTGAGGAATTTATCCCTTTCTTCTAGATTTTCTAGTTTATTTGCATAGAGGTGTTTATAGTATTCTCTGATGGTAGTTTGTATTTCTGTGGGATCAGTGGTGATATCCCCTTTATCATTTTTTATTGTGTCTATTTGATTCTTCTCTCTTTTCTTCTTTATTAGTCTTGCTAGCGGTCTATCAATTTTGTTGATCTTTTCAAAAAACCAGCTCCTGGATTCATTGATTTTTTGAAGGTTTCTTTGTGTGTCTCTAATTCCTTCAGTTCTGCTCTGATCTTAGTTATTTCTTGCCTTCTGCTAGCTTTTGAATGTGTTTGCTCTTGCTTCTCTAGTTCTTTTAATTGTGATGTTAGGGTGTCAATTTTAGATCTTTCCTGCTTTCTCTTGTGGGCATTTAGTGCTATAAATTTCCCTCTACACACTGCTTTAAATGTGTCCCCGAGATTCTGGTATGGTGTGTCTTTGTTCTCGTTGGTTTCAAAGAACATCTTTATTTCTGCCTTCATTTCGTTATGTACCCAGTAGTCATTCAGGAGCAGGTTGTTCAGTTTCCATGTAGTTGAGCGATTTTGAGTGAGTTTCTTAATCCTGAGTTTTAGTTTGATTGCACTGTGGTCTGAGAGACAGTTTGTTATACTTTCTGTTCTTTTACATTTGCTGAGGAGTGCTTTACTTCCAACTATGTGGTCAATTTTGGAGTAAGTGCAGTTTGGTGCTGAGAAGAATGTATATTCTGTTGATTTGGGGTGGAGAGTTCTGTAGATGTCTATTAGGTCCACTTGGTGCAGAGCTGAGTTCAATTCCTGGATGTCCTTGTTAACTTTCTGTCTCATTGATCTGTCTAATGTTGACAGTAGGGTGTTAAAGTCTCCCATTATTATTGTGTGGGAGTCTAAGTCTCTTTGTAGGTCTCTAAGGACTTGCTTTATGAATCTAGGTGCTCCTGTATTGGGTGCATATATATTTAGGATAGTTAACTCTTCTTGTTGAATTGATCCCTTTACCATTATGTAATGGCCTTCTGTGTCTCTTTTGATCTTTGTTGGTTTAAAGTCTGTTTTATCAGAGACTAGGATTGCAACCCCTGCCTTTTTTTGTTTTCCATTTGCTTGGTAGATCTTCCTCCATCCCTTTATTTTGAGCCTATGTGTGTCTCTGCACGTGAGATGGGTTTCCTGAATACAGCACACTGATGGGTCTTGACTCTTTATCCAATTTGCCAGTCTGTGTCTTTTAATTGGAGCATTTAGTCCATTTACATTTAAAGTTAATATTATTATGTGTGAATTTGATCCTGTCATTATGATGTTAGCTGGTTATTTTGCTCGTTAGTTGATGCAGTTTTTTCCTGGCCTCAATGGTGTTTACAATTTGGCATGTTTTTGCAGTGGCTGGAACTGGTTGTTCCTTTCCATGTTTAGTGCTTCCTTCAGGAGCTCTTGTAGGGCAGGCCTGGTGGTGACAAAATCTCTCAGCATTTGCTTGTCTGTAAAGTTTTTTATTTCTCCTTCACTTATGAAGCTTAGTTTGGCTGGATATGAAATTCTGGTTTGAAAATTCTTTTCTTTAAGAATGTTGAATATTGGCCCCCACTCTCTTCTGGCTTGTAGAGTTTCTGCTGAGAGCTCCGTTGTTAGTCTGATGGGCTTTCCTTTGTGAGTAACCCGACCTCTCTCTCTGGCTGCCCTTAACATTTTTTCCTTCATTTTAAGTTTAGTGAATCTGACAATTATGTGTCTTGGAGTTGCTCTTCTCAAGGAGTATCTTTGTGGCGTTCTCTGTATTTCCTGAATTTGAATGTTGGCCTGCCTTGCTGGATTGGGGAAGTTCTCCTGGATAATATCCTGCAGAGTGTTTTCCAACTTGGTTCCATTCTCCCCGTCACTTTCAGGTACACCAATCAGATGTAGAGTTGGTCTTTTCAGATGGTCCCATATTTCTTGGAGGCTTTGTTCATTTCTTTTTGTTCTTTTTTCTCTAAACTTCTCTTCTTGCTTCATTTTGTTCATTTGATCTTCAATCACTAATACCCTTCCTTCCAGTTGATTGAATCGGCTACTGAAGCTTGTGCATTTGTCACGTAGTTCTCGTGCCATGGTTTTCAGCTCCATCCAGTCCTTTAAGGACTTCTCTGTATTGGTTATTCCAGTTAGCCATTCGTCTGATCTGTTTTCAAGGTTTTTAACTTCTTTGCGTTGGGTTCGAACTTCCTCCTTTAGCTCAGAGTAGTTTGATCGTCTGAAGCCTTCTTCTCTCAACTCGTCAAAGTCATTCTCCGTCCAGCTTTGTGCCGTTGCTGGTGAGGAGCTGCATTCCTTTGGAGGAGGAGAGGTGCTCTGATTTTTAGAATTTTCAGTTTTTCTGCTCTGTTTTTTCCCCATCTTTGTGGTTTTATCTCCCTTTGGTCTTTGATGATGGTGACGTACAGATGGGGTTTTGGTGTGGATGTCCTTTGTGTTTGTTAGTTTTCCTTCTAACGGTCAGGACCCTCAGCTGCAGGTCTGTTGGAGTTTGCTGGAGGTCTACTCCAAACCCTGTTTGCGTGGATATCAGCAGCGGCGGCTGCAGAACAGCGAATATTGGTGAACAGCAAATGCTGCCTGATCGTTCCTCAGGAAGTTTCGTCTCAGAGGGGTACCCGGCCGTGTGAGGTGTCAGTCTGCCCCTACTGGGGGGTGCCTCCCAGTTGGCTGCTCGGGGGTCAGGGACCCACTTGAGGAGGCAATCTGTCTGTTCTCAGATCTCAAGCTCCATGCTGGAAGAACCACTACTCTCTTCAAAGCTGTCAGACAGGGACATTTAAGTCTGCAGAGGTTTCTGCTGCCTTTTGTTTGTCTGTGCCCTGCCCCCAGAGGTGGAGTCTACAGAGGTAGGCAGGCCTCTTTGAGCTGTGGTGGGCTCCACCCAGTTCGAGCTTCCCAGCCACTTTGTTTACCTACTCAAGCCTCAGCAATGGTGGACACCCCTGTCCCAGCCTTGCTGCCATGTTGCAGTTCAATCTCCGACTGCTGTGCTAGCAATCAGTGAGGCTCCGTGGGTGTTGGACCCTCCAAGCCAGGCGTGGGATATAATCTCCTGGTGTGCCATTTGCTAAGACCGTCAGAAAAGCACAGTATTAGGGTGGGAGTGACCCGATTTTCCAGGTGCCATTTGTCCCCCCTTCCCTTGGCTAGGAAAGGGAATTCCCTGACCTCTTGCACTTCCCGGGTGAGGCGATGCCTTGCCCTGCTTCGGCTCACGCTCGGTGCACTGCACCCACTTTCCTGTACCCACTGTCCGACAGTCCCCAGTGAGATGAACCCAGTACCTCAGTTGGAAATGCAGAAATCACCCGTCTTCTGTGTCGCACATGCTGGGAGCTGTAGACAGAGCTGTTCCTATTCAGCCATCTTGGAACCATCCCCAGGTGAAGTGTGTTTCTTATAGGCAGCAAATAGTTAGGTCTTATTTTTTTCCATTCAACCACTCTATGTCTTTTGACTGGAGAGTTTAGTCTATTTACATTTAATATTATTATTGATAAGTAAGGACTTACCTCTGCCATTTTATTGTTTTCTGGTTGTTTTATGGTCTTCTTTTCCTTCCTTCCTTTCTCCCTTTCTTCGTTTCTGTCTTCCTTTTTGTGAAAGTAATTTTCTCTGGTAGTATGTTTTAATTTCTTGCTTTTTATTTTTTGTGTATTTGTTGTAGTTTTTTTATTTGAGGTTACCATGAGCCTTGCAAATAACATCTTATAACTCGTTATTTAATTTAATTGATTTATCCATTTATTTATTTGAGACAGGGTCTTGCTCCATTGCCCAGGCTGGAGTGCAGCGGGGTGATCTTGGCTTACCATAATCTCTGCTTCCTAGGCTCAAGTGATCCTCCCACTTCAGCCTCCAAAGTAGCTGCGACTATAGGCACATGCCATCATGCCTGGCTCATTTTTGTATTTTTTGTAGAGATGGGGCTTCTTCATGTCACCCAGGCTGGTCTTGAACTCCTGGTCTCAAACAATCCGCCCACCTCAGCCTCCTAAATTGCTGGGATTATAGGCATGAGCCACTGAGCCCAGCCATAACCCATGATTTTAAACTAATGACAACGTAAGCTTGATTGCAAAAACAAAGAAGCAAAGATAAAAGCTAATACAAACTCTACCCTTTTACTTAATCCTCCCTTTAAACTTTTGGTTGTTTCATGTTATATTTTATTATATACTATGTCTTAAAAGCTGTTGTAGTTATTTTTGATAGGTTCATCTTTTATTGTTTCTACTCAAGATATGAGTGGTTTATACACCACAATTGCAGTGTTACAATATTCTGTATTTGTTTATGTACCCACTATTACCAATAAGTTTTATACCTTCAGATAATTTCTTATTGCTCATTAACATCCTTTTCTTTCTTAAAATGAAAGTGAAGCAAATACTATGTCCACATTTATGAGTAGGCTCCTAGTGATAATGGAGCAAAGCAACTAGCCCTCAGGCAGGGCCTGGTAAGGTCACCATGCTTCACTCAGCACCTGGAGTCTCGCATAGCAAGCTCAGATGTGCCAGTTTAGAGGGTCTGACTCACATTAACCAATTCACAATATGCTGATCAGTTCCCAGGGTCTTTATAATAAAGCGGGAAATTACTCAACAGACTGGATATTTGTAAGTATGTAATTTTTACCAACAGGAGAGTGGCTTCCTTTAAAGTTCAGAGAACCCCTTATTCTGTAGTCCTCTCACAACACTGTCTGAAAGGGCTAATTCTAAAAAATATCTCATCATCCAAACTTTGTGGCTGGTACCCTAAAGAGGCCCTGGTTGAATGCAATGACGTCTGGGCTTCTATTTTGATGTACATGTCACAGCACTATGTCCTAAGAGACATGTTTTAAAGAGGCCTGAGAGAATCGAAGACAACCTATTCATAAAAACATTGATATGAATATAGATGTATAAATGTGCACATCACCATAATGTGAGTTTAAAAGTAGAGAGAAAAAACATCATGGAGAAAAACAAGTTTTTAAAGCACAATATACAGAATAATTTTACAACTAAAACTTTGTGGCCTAGAGCATCAAGCCTGTTAATTCGTCATTTCTTTATCTGCATTGCCCCCCAGTGGTAAAATGGCATTAGTCCTTTGGAGAAATTAGGTAGATTGAGAGTAAAGGAGACAGGCTGGAACAAGAAAGAGGCAACAGTTCAGATTAAAAAATAAAATAGAAAAGAAGGAAAGTTTTTGTTTCCTGGAGCAGTAATCAGGAGAGTTTGGCATGAGAATGTTGGGGAGAGCCCCTGGCACCTGCAGGAGCAGCTTTTGCTGCCCATGGACATTGGTTAGGTCTCTTACATTTCTTAGAATTGACGAGGTTTTGCTTTGCTTTGTTTTGCAGGCCTGTGTAGGGTGGGTGTTGTGATACTGAGTCACATTGCTCAGCCACCACTGTACCTACCCTGTACTCCCCATCATCTCAGAGAAATGTGGCCTAGGAAATTGGATGACATGGTCCATAGTATGCATTTAGCAGAGGAGATGTTGGCAGAATAGCTTAGTGGCCCAGAAATGCAGGGCATTCTACCCTTTTTAGCTACCCTGGGGACTCACAGACAGACGAGGGCCTTTTAAAGAGGGTGTTTGTTTATAATTTATGTCCATCTATTTTCAATGAGACAAGGAGAGCTACAATGAATATCACAGTCAAATGGACATTAGAAAAATAAAGATGGCAAACTAGAAACAATCTTGAGGAAGGAGCAGAAACAGTACAGGGACTTTGGCACAAGGTGATTACCACAACTAAGCATTGCATTTAGTTCTAAATTATGGCTAATGCAAACTGGAAATGCAGGGAATTATATAGTTTCCATTGCCTGGAGCAAGAAAACTTAACTGATCTTCAGAGATACACAGTTCTTGGCATTATATGACAAGAGGAATTCCAGAAATCCTAGATCCATAAATAAATATTGCTATTGAAAATTGAAATATTGCATTCAATTGCATTGAAACTATCCAAATGTATAGTTGATTCTCTTCCATGAGAGCTTGCAGACCTGTTACTACACCTAGTTAGTTCCCCTAACCTCTGGTGAGACCTCTAGTGGGCCATGGAGTTACTGCAAAGTGTCCGTGAATCTCGATTCTAGAGGGATCGTTTCAGTAGTGAAAAAATGTTTTGTGCAAATAAATGTACCAATATTTTTCAAAAATATTTAATATGAAGATTATTATAACTAGTAAAATATAAATTTATTTAAAAGAACTACTGAATTCACATTAGCTTCTAGTTATTACAGACTTTCTTAATTAGAGTCTACTAATAATGCCATTATTTTAAAATTGTATATTACAAGTAGGTCCTTGTGCTTGTAAAGGTTGTAAACCATCACTGGTGCAGACTATCTAGATGGTGTTATTAATCTAAGCGGAGAGGGCAGACACTGCCCACCCCTCCTTAATCATACTCTCAATAACTTTTTCATGTTCTATGATGAGCTCCAAGGAAGGCACTTTGTGCTCGGATGCTCTGGGGCTTTGCTCAGTAGTTAGCTTTGTGGTTTTAGGAGGCCCAAGAGAACTTCAGGGCTTTCCACTCTGAGCACTTTGTTCAGGAAGCTTAAGAGACTTGTTGTGGTTTCGGAAATGACATGCTTGAAGTTGGAGTTCGCACAAACTACTGCTCCTGCTTAAACAGATGGTAGGAAGAAAGACAGCCATAGGGGCTGGTGGCCTGAAAACCGAAGCTGTGGTTGTCTCCACAGACAACTGTTCTTCAACAAGCTTGCAATTAATTGCTCCACAGAGACATACGCACTTCTTTCATGTGGGCAAAGAAAGAACTTTATCAGACAAAAAGCCTCATTTCTCTTAAAACGGGATGAAGGGGAGGAAGTTAGGCAGTCAATCGGGGCAGATTTTACAACACTGAAAATCACGTTTTTGTTGAGTTCTCCCTTAACATATGGGTGACTCCATGCTGCTATAGATGCTTCGTAGATATTTGTGTTACTGTCAACTGCTGGCTGATAACTGCCATAAAGCCCCTAGAGAGGGGGAGGCAGAGCTCCCTCAAGCAAGCCTAAAATCTTAACCTACTGTGGTCTAACTCAACCAGCTTAACTTGGCTGTCTGGGGACAGAAGCTGATGGCAACAAGATTTCAAAAGTAAAATGGGCATGTGCAAAGCCTTGTAAGAAACAAAGTATTTCAGCCTCACCTGATGCAGTGGTGCCATTAAACAAGCTACCAAATCAGCATCGCAAAAACAGACTGGCATATTTGTTAAATATAGTACCAAGGTCACAAATAGTTTTTAGTTATAACTTTAAATTTATATATAGACACATATAAATTTGAATGTCTAGACAAAAATGCCTCTCCCACAGTCTATCATGGCTCCTAAGTTATACCATTGGAAATTCATTGATTTGAGCCAAGAGTCTTTTCTATCTCAGAATGTGAACATTCTGGTGGATGTGTCTGGTAGAAATGGGGAAAATGACACACATCTGAAGATGGGACAAGGTGCCAGTAAGGAAAATAGAATGATAAAGGAAAATAAAAGGTAAGACAGATAGTTCTCACAGCTTGGAATGTTTGGAATCTATGGTCAGAAACAAGGTGGCCAAAGGCAAAAATCACAAACTGGGCAAGGTTCTGCCGGCTTGTGGCCCAACCTCTCAGCTCCCCTCCTCTTCCCTGCCAGGCCCTCCTCCCCTTTGGCAGACTTGATCTCAAGCTTTAAGCTCTTTTTTACCCTCTTTGCTTTAGCAAACCTATCATATAAAGCGCACTGAACCAAGGAAACACACATTCACATCTTGATTCTTTGGCTAAGACATTCCATCTCTTTCCATCTTTCTTGTAAAATATGGTTATTACTATATATTTATATAGTATATATATATATGCTAAATATATATTATATATTTATATAGTGTATATATATGCTAAATATATATTATATATTTATATATAAAAATATATTTTTTCTTGCATCTTAACATTACTGAAGTCTGGAAACATTTTTAAATGAGTACCTTTTTTTTTGCACTTTCTCACAGGTTACTGTGAGGGCTGAATGTGCAAAACTTTTTCTAAAGTGTTGCCAATGTATAACCGTAGACAAATAAAATGCCCTGAGATCATTCCCTACAGCATCTGCTGTCTATGGAATGATGGTCCAAATGATTGCCAGTGACATCTCACAGGTTCCTACACAGCATGCACATGAGGACTTATAAAGTATAAAGGCTGCTGGAAGATGAATGTTGGTCTTCTGGCAGATGAAGAAAGAGGAAGGTTTGAGGACAGGCCAGCCATGTGGTGCTTCTCAGTATACCAGGTGGATAATCCTCACTCTTATTCCTGGGCTATTCTTCAGCAATTTTTATAGTATAGCATCTATTGTCTTTAAAGTATTATGGTCAGGGAATGCATGGCGTCAGGCCTACTGGGGGTCTTGCTGTGGTCAGCATTCTTAAATTCCAAGAAGATGAATTTCTCAAAGTTAGACAATAAGTTATTGGCAGAGTCAGGATTCAAACTTAGAAACCCCTGTGTCCTGTGCAGATAAACAAACCTGTGCAGCCAGTGAATGGAGAGTCAACAAATATTTATTGAATGGCTGCTATGTGCTAGGTTCTACACCAGCCATCAGACATGCAAAAATGAATACATCCTCCTACAAACTGATAATAGATAGGAGAATGTGCTAAGAGCATGAAGTAGAAATTCACAAAAAAAATTTCAAATGACCAATAAATGTTTAAATGCGTGTAATTCACTAGCAAAATAAATTTAAGGCCAGGCATGGTGGGTCATGCCTGTAATCCCAGCACTCTAGGGGCCAAGGCAGGAGGATTGCTTGAGCCCAGGAGTTCAAGACCAGCCTGGGGAACATAGCAAGACCCCTTCTCTTAAAAAAAAAAAAAAAAAATTAACAGGTGGTGGTGCATGCCTGTAGTAACAACTACTCAGGAGGCTGTGGTGGAAGGATCCCTTGAGGTCGAGGCTGCCATGATCACAGCACTGCACTCCAGCCTGGGTGATAGAGCAAGACCCTGTAACAAAGAAAGAAAAAGAGAAAGAGATTGAGAGAGGAAGGAAAGAAGGAAGGAAGGAAAGAAGGAAGGAAGGAAGGAAGGAAGGAAGGAAGGAAGGAAGGAAGGAAGGAAGGAAGGAAGGAAGGAAAGAAGGAAGGAGAGAGAAAGGGAGCGAAAGAGAAAGAAATAAATTTAAGTTAAAAGGAGAAACCTTTTTTTTTTTTTTTGCTCTGTTTGTCAAAGGTTAAAAACATGACTATACTCAGTGTTAGGAGAGTGTGGGGTCACTTTCCTATCCAGGTGATGTTAAAATACTACCTTGCTAGGGGAGTTTGACAATATGTATCAAAATAAAAATGCCTGTCTTTGTCTTGGCAATTCCTAGTTCAGGAATTTAATCAAAGGAAATAATAGAAAAGGGGCTCAAGGATGTGTGTACAAATATTTTCATTGAAGTATTGTTCATAATAACGGTTTCATTTAAATGTTGTTTACAGTATTGTTAAATAGTTTATGGTCCATCCTTTCCATGGAATGCTGTGCAGTTGATAATGTATACCTATGTTAGGATAGTTATCCACAATATATAACTAAGTAAAAATAATGACAGCATGCTATATACAGCTTAATCCTATTTCTGTTTTTTAAAATGTGTACATGCTTATATACATAGAAATAAATTTTAAAAATCCTCCAAGATTGTAAACATGAACTAGCCTTTCATTTTTATACTTATTTCTTTAATTTTTTGCAATGATCTTTGATTACTGTTTTTTTTTTTTTTTTGAGACGGAGTCTCACTCTGTCACCCAGACTGGAGTGCAGTGGCGCAATCTCGGCTCACTGCAAGCTCTGCCTCCCGGGTTCGCACCATTCTCCTGCCTCAGCCTCCTGAGTAGCTGGGACTACAGGCGCCCGCCACCACGCCCGGCTAATTTTTTGTATTTTTAGTTGAGATGGGGTTTCACCATGTTAGCCAGGATGGTCTCGATCTCCTGACCTTGTGATCCTCCCACCTCGGCCTCCCAAAGTGCTGGGATTACAGGCGTGAGCCACCGTGCCCAGCCTGTTTACTTTTATTATCTGAAAAAAGCATTAAAATACAAATATTAAACACTCTACCCTAAAGGAGATCACATTTGTATATTCAGCATATTTTTTCAAGTTGGAATGTGAGTTGTCTACCAAGTCTAGAATCTACAGAATTGATAGCGCTAGCAAAGCTGTGAGACTGCCCCTCTTTTCAAAAACCTAAGCCCAGTCTCATGAAGAGAGCAGGGAATCCAGAGACAACCTGCCTCCAGTCCTGTTCTCGGCATTTTTCTACTTAAGATAAATCAGACCCAGGTGATATAATCATTTCTCTTGAGCAGGGAAGGAACTAAAGTTTATTGGGAGGTTCTTAACTTCTAGGCACTCTGCTGGATACTTTTATATCCTCCACCTGTGAGGCAAGTATCACTAGACAAAGTAACTGGTCGCAAATTGCACAGCTAGAAATTGGCAGTAATGACTCAAATCTAGCCCTGTGATTCCAAAACCTGTGCTATTTCCCTGGGTTCCTTACTATCTGCTTTTTTGTGTTTGTGTGTTTACCAATATAGATGCCTGGTTTAGTGTGAAATAGTCTATGCATTAAAATTTGCACTTAACTGAGTCTTCCTTAGAAGAGTCCTACAGTGGGCACATTCCTGTCATGACCTGGCTTTCTTTAACTGGCTAGTGACTCATATATTCTTCCATCCATCTATCCATCCTTACATATATCATCTGCATTCATCCATCCTTTTGTCTGGAATTTGTTAAGAGCAATATAGTTTATAGTTTAAAAGTATGATCCATAGAACCCAATTGGCTGGGTTCAAATTGTGGCTCTACTGCTTAGTAGATATAATGGACAAGTTGCTTAAAAACTTTGTGCCTTCTTTTCCTGTAAAATGGAAATGATAACAGTACCTACCTCATAATGTTGCTGTGAACATTAAATGAGTTAATCAACGTAAAGTACTTAAGGCAGAGCCTGGCATGTAATAAGCACATCATCCGCATCATTAGTATTAATACCACGCACCAGGTACTGGGCTAGATGCAGAAATTTCAAAATAGAACAAGATAGGGTTTCTGCCTTCAGGGAGCTTATAGTCTAGTGAAAGAAATAGATATGCCAATACCATACGGACAGAGTGTTGTGCTGGTAGCACTGGCGAGGGTGGGGCCAAGGGGGGCTTTCCAGGGAAGATGTTGTCTAATCTGAAGTGAACCCAGCAAACGTGGGAAAAGCAGGGACCAAGGCCTGGAAGCAAGGATGTGTGGCCAGCTTGAGGCACAAACTGGTGGAGAATTACTGAGGTGCAGAATGCTGGAGAGGTACTGGGGACTTGGAACTGGAGAGGGGACGTCAGCTCTTGTTCTTTGGCAACATTTTTTTTTTTTTTTTTTGAGATGGAGTCTCCCTCTGTTGCCCAGGCTGGAGTGCAGTGGCGCAATCTCTGCCCACTGCAACCTCCACCTCCCGGGTTCCAGTGATTCTCCTGCCTCAGCCTCCCAGGTAGCTGGGATTACAGGCACGTGCCACCACACCCAGCTAATTTTTGTATTTTTAGTAGAGACAGGGTTTCACCATGTTTGTCAGGCTGGTCTCCTGACCTCAGGTGATCCACCCGCCTTGACCTCCCAAAATGCTAGGATTACAGGCGTGAACCACAGTGCCTGGCCCTTTGGCAACTTTTATAAAGTCCCCTGAATCTAATGCACCTGACCATACTCCTCTCCTTTTCTTGCTTGTAAACTTTCTCCCTGTTACAGCCGTTAATTATATCAGACCTAAAAGATAAGGTCAGGATCATAGGCAAAACCTCTCCTTTCATTATGCATTCAGTTTCTGTGGTTGACTAACTGAATGTTCCAGCTACACCTGTGTCTGGAAACTTCAGCATATTTAGAGTCTCGGACCGTGAAAGTGGGATCCAAAGTGTCCCGGGCTTTGGGGAAAACTGACTTCCCAGGCATCTGAGTATGGCAGGCTTTTCTGCACAAGCTGCCTCCCAGTACACAGAGCAACATCATATGCTGGGGGCCATACCCCTGCCGTCAGCAGAAATCACAGCGTGCCTGCGGGGCAGGCTGACCGGCTTAGGCAGGCAGAGTTTATTACAGTTCTTATATTGTCCTTCTCAAAAATAATTATGTTCCAAGGACAGAATGCCAGTGATGCAACTCTACTGACTCTGAGTTTTACAAGTCTGTCTTAATCAGTCTCCAGGATTGCTCTCCCTCTATTTCTTAATTCCCCTTTAAAGTTTCAAGTAGTACATGTTTTCAGATTATTCAGCTTTAATTTATGCCCCATTCATCAAGAAAATTGTGTATTTTTAATTTTGGTCTTCAATCATTGCATTCCACAGGTGTTCTCTCTGTGTAAAATAATTAGGCCAAAAGATTCTCATTCTATTTTGAGATTCTGTTTGAAAGTGAATCAAGGGTGCTCACAAAACTGGTTACCATTTTCCAGAAATGGTTCAAACCCTGTTACCTATATTTATCTTCAAAAGGACTTTTGTAGTTTTATCATAATACCCTTGGTGTTTCTCTTTTGGCTTCAGCTTGCTTTCTGTTTTTTGGTGTAACATCCTCCATTGTGTATTTTTGGCAACAGAGCTAGTCTGAATCAGTCTTCCTTTCATTTCTGAGGCAAACTGGTGATTCATCTTTAGCATGGGAACCACTTTTACAAACACGGCTGTTACTGTTTTCTGTCACTGAGGTTTGAGTTAGGAAGATAGATCAAGGAAAGTTGTCTCAAGAGACATTCAAGTTTGCAATTCATTCTTCATGGTTGCTGCTGTCTACAGCACTCAAAAGAATGTGAGTGCAGGTCAGGTCCCTTTGGCCTGCCTTTGACACCACCCCTGCTTGAGGGGGAAGTTGAGATGTGTGGAGGAGGATGGGCTGAAAGTTGCATGGAAAAGTAATAAAATCATGTGCCTCCTCATGTGCTATACTGAGAAGGGCCTACCATCACCTACATTGTATTCCTGCCAAAAATGTTTAATCTGAACCTAATGGTGAGGAAACAATTGGGCACGTTCAAATTGAGAAGTATTTTGCAAAACAGCTGGCTTAGGCTCTTCAAAAATGTCAATGCAATGAAAAACAACAACAATAAAAACTTGGGGAATCGTTCTAGATTAGTTCTCAAAATGTAGGCCCTGGAACTAGCAGCATGGGTATCACCTAGGAGTTTATTGGAAAAGCATAATCTCAAACCCCACCACAGAACTATAGAGTTAGAATCTACATTTTAACAAGATCCCAGCTGATTTGTATGCACACTCAAATCTGAGAAGCTCTGCTCTAGTATACAATTAATATTCAAATTGTCCCAATAGTCTCAGCAATATCCCTCTTTCCTGTTCCCTGCCCTACACCCTCCCCAAGTCTTAATCTAGTCAAGTATCTCACATTACATTTGTCAAGTCTCTTTTACTTTAGAACTGTGGCTCTAAAACTTTAGCATGCATCAGATTCACTTGGAGGGTTTGTGGAAACACAGATTGCCACCCCTCCCCCAACCTTATTTCTTAGTGGTGGTGTTAGTTGCTGTTGACTCTGGGACCACACTTTGAGTACCAAGATGTCAAATAATAGTACATATTATTTCAGTGTTAAATTTCTAAGTGTAATAATCATGGTTATATAGGAAAAGGCCTTTGTCCCTAAGAGATTCTTGCTAAAGTATTTAGAGATTAAGTATCATGATATCTACAACTAACTCACAGATGATTCTGTAAAACCAAGAAACAACTAGATGGATGGATGGAGCATGGATGCATGGAGTGGATGGATGGATGTGATATGGACAGGCGATAGGGAAATACCGGGTAGGAGAGGGTGCTTCCCTGGCAAAGGCTACACCCTCCCTCAAGCCTGAAGACCCATGGCCGTAAGTGGGAACAGCCATTTCTGTTTTCATGCCCAAAAAGTTGCCTTTCAGCTCACCACACCCCCTATCCTGTACCCCGTACCTATATAAACCCCAAGTTCCAGAAGCAGAAGAGCAGATGAGGAGATAAGGAGACAAGCAAATGGCAGAATGATGTGGCAGAGAAAGAGAGAAGAGAATGTCTGAACACCAAGAGGAGTGTGACTGGGGGTGGTTGGAGAGAAGTTCGGCCACTGGACAGCCAAACTCCAGGGGAAGATCATCTTCCCACTCCATCTCCCCTTCCAGCTCCCCATCCATTGTGCTGAGAGCCACCTCCACCACTCAATAAAACCCACATTCATCCTTCAAGCCTGTGTGTGACCCGATTCTCCCAGGATACTGGGCAAGAGCTCAGAATACAAAAAGCTGTCACAGTGGCTCTCTGCCCTTGAGAAAAAGCAGAGGTCCATTGAGCTGGTTAACACTTAAGCCTTCTGTGCACAGCAAGGCTAGAAGAGCATTGTAACACTGGGGCCACAGGCACCCACCTCTAGACACTACTGTGGTGCCAGAGCCCAAAGCGCTCACCCCAGCTCCTGCACCTGCCTGTCTGCATGCTCCCCCATCCTGTCAGGGGTTTGAGCAGCCAACAGGCGAGCCACACCCCTGTCACACGTCCTATGAGGGAAATCAGAGAACTCTCCCATTTCAGGTGGATGAGGAATAGATGGATAAAACAAATGTGACAAAATATTAACAATCAGTGAACATTAACATAGATGAACAATGAACATAGTGAGCAAAATAGTTGAGGGAACAAATAAACAAACAAACTGTAGGGGAGGAAAAAACCTTTTCCTCTACCCTCTTAGGCTCACTACCCAGGACTCCGCAAATTAGACTATTAAAAGACAGATCGACAACTGAAAAGGCACACATATTTTATTTATGTTAATTTTTACATAACGAGGGGACCGTTTTTAGAAAAGAAGTGAAGACCCAAAGAAGCAGGTCTGGGAACTTATATGGCATTTTAAACAAAGAACAATACATTGCAAGATATGTGACAAGAAAAGAAAAGGGTTTGGGGCTTCCAAGCACTGCAACCTGTGGGTAGGTAAATATGTGGGGGAAATATGTGGAAGATAAAGCTATCTTAGCAAGATTTGTTTGTGCAGGTCCACCTCAGTGCTGACGTTCTGTTTTCTTCAAGGTCATGGTACTTTTCTGGGAGAAGAGATTTATGGCAGTCTTTATTTCTCAGGAGTTTCTGCTTTTACTCAGGTAAGGGAAGCTCTGGGAAGCCTTCTTTCTGCATCTGTTGAATCCCAAATGTCTTCAGCTCGAGATAATTTTGATGCTAAAGTGGCATATTTTAGTGCAGCATATTCTGATCCTCTTCAAAACAGTGTCGACCTAGAGGTTGTAGATTTTATGTGGAGTCTGGAAAGAGCAGTGTTTGGGTGGATCTGATTTGCAACTTCTCACTGCTTAGTGAGCAGAGTATAGTGTGTGACCCAATAACCAGCCCTATTATTTTAACCTGAAGAGCTGAATCAAAGCTGGTCTTGTAGGTAATGTTTTGTCCCATTATGACCAATGGGAGGGGTAACCATACTGAAATGATTTCACTAATATTAAATCTTCAACCAACATTTTCTTACCATTTGTTTATGGCGTCAGGAATATTTGACCCTTGCCATCTCTGTCCAGTCAGCAACCATCCATGGGTGTTTAGAGTAGGCAGTGGGAGGGGTGTTCCATTAATCACTCAGATGGGTAGGTCAAAGCACCCTGGTCTAGTTGAGGAAGGAATGCAGATTCTGGTTCTGGCAATGCCAATTAAGAGGTAATGTTGTCAAGGCAGGTCACTTAGGCCCTTTGGCTTGGTGTTTCCGTGTCTGTAGTCTGATTGTTGGACTAGAGCAGAGATTTTCAAATTGTGTTTTGTGGAACCTTCAGAGATTCCCTAAAGATACCTCAGGGACTACTGAAAGGAGTGAGGGGTACCTGTTAGGAAGGTTTGAGGGGAAGGTTCCTCCCCTACTCCAACCACACATAGTGAACCATTCACCCCTGTGTGGTGATGGCAGGTGGGACACTGATGGGAGGAATAAGGTGGTGGAGTGGGGAGAGAATACAAAGAAAGACAGGGTGCTCCTTGGCCACATATGAACCACCTCATTCTTGTGAAAGTTTATTGAGTGCCTCCTAGTTCAGGCCAGACATCCTCATGAAGACTGAAGAGGTGGCCAAGGCAGCACAGGGTCCAAGGACACAGGCTTCTTAGAGGAGGTGTTTTTCAGTCAGATCCCCAAAAGCAGCTCCAAAACCATGACTGATTCTAAGGCTGGTGTATGCCCTGTCTCGCTCTCCATAGCAAAAAGAGAGGACTCTTTTCATGTTGCCACTGTAAATGCCCTGTGTGAGCTACATGCTTCAGTAAGAAATGCCCAGTATCCCTTGGCACCAGCCAAAATTTGCCTTAAATTGTGAACTAATTCATTTTTCTTTGAATTATTTCACTGTTGCTTACACTTAGCTGTAATTCTAAACAAACAACTTTGCCAGCGAGCTGTAATGTTTACACTGACCATAACCGAGTTTCTAGATGTCCAGATACTTTCTTGACAGCACCTCCTGCCACAGCATACTGTCCCACCAGTCAGGCGAGGTCTTCAGGCCAGGTCCCCTGCAGGAAGACATGGCAATGCTAGCTAAGATGTCTTGGGTTAGGCATCTGTTTCTCCTGTGCATGCACACACACACAAATGTGCGCACACACACACACAGTAACTAGATAACTATTAGTCACCAAGGCATAAATTTTAAACTCTGAAAAATGTAAACGGACACCACATTCCCTATTGTTACAAGTTTAGTCCAGCAGTTAGTCCCACTTTTGCTTCTATAGGAACTAGGAAATAAACCCTAATCACATTGGTGACCCACAGTCTCAGATACTACAGAAGGCAAGAGTTTGATATTACTTTTCTTTAAAATCACATATATACACAAGCATACACACACACAAACAAGCCTCATATTAAAGATTTCTTCTTGGATTTGCATTCACTTCCTCTATATCCACTGTTGCACTTGCTTCTGGTCACACTGATCTGCCACAGTCTTGCATAAGTCACTTAGCCTTTCTCAGCCTTACCATCTCTATTTATAACATGAGAGAGTTTGCAAGTTCCCAAGGGGCCATGCTGTCTTTGGCCTAATTCTGTGCCATGTTCTCTGCCTAGAAGCCTGCACCACTCTCCAAGTTTGCCCCTCAGGAGACATTTGGCAATATCTAGAGACATTTTTGGTTGTCACAACTTTGAGGAAAGGGGATGTGACTGACATCTAAGTAGAGGCCAGAGATACTATTAAACATCCTATAATGCAAAAGTAAGCCCTTACAACAAATAGTTATCTGGTCCAAATGTCAGTAGTGCCAAGGTTGAGAAACCCTTTTCTAGACCTAGTAATTCCTACAAGTTCTTTACCTAGAAATTTAAATGTCACTTCCCCCAAAGACCCCTGTCTAATACCCTAAACTGAAGAAAAAGCTATCAGAGCACTTGTCCCCATATGCTGTAATTGTTCTTTACCCATTTTTTTCTTTTTAGAAGATGAAGGAATATTTCTTGTTTAGTGCTTTATGTATCTCTCAAGCTTAGCACATAATGTAGCAGAATAAGGGAATGGATAGATGGATGGATGGTGTCTTAGTCCATTTAATGTTGCTATACAGAATAACTGAAACTGGGTAATTTATTTTAAAAAGAGAGAGATTTATTTAGCTCAGGATTATACAGACTGGAAAGTTCGAGGGCGTGGCCCTGGCTTCTGGTGAGGTCTTTCATGCTGGGACATAACATGGTGGAGAAGGTCAATGGAGAAATAGACATGTGCAAAAGACACAAAACCCAAGGGGAATCGTTGGCTTTATAACAAACCACTATTATGGGAATTAGTTCAGTCTTGCCAGAGTGAGAACTCACTACCATGAGAACAGCACCAAGCCTTTCATGAGAGATTTACCTCCGTGACCCAAACGCCTCCCATTAGGCCCCACCTCCCAACACAGACACATTGTCATCTAAGACTCCAGGCAAGCTCCTTTAGACTGTAAGCCTGTAAAATAAAAAAATAAGTTACAGTTAATCATTATTGTACAACATTGGTTGGAACTTCATGGGTCCACTTATACATGAATTTTTTTCTGCTTCTGCCACCCCTAAGATAGCAAGGCCAAACACTTCTCTTCCTCCTCTTCCTCAGCCTACTCGAAATAAAGGATATTGACCTTTATAAGAATGAAGGATAAAGACCTTTATGAGGATGAAAACCTTTATGATGATCCACTTTCACTTGATAAAGAGTAAATGTATTTTCTCTTCTTTATTATTTTGTGAATAACATTTGCTTTTCTCTAGCCTACTTTATTATGAGAATATAGTATATAATACATATATAAAATATGTGTTCGTTCACTGTTCATGTTATTGGCAAGGCTTCTGGTCAACGGTAGGCTATTATAGTTAAGTTTTGGGGGAGACAAAAGTTATATGTAGATTTTTGACTCTGCAAGGGGTCAGCACCTGAACTCACACATTGTTCAGGGGGTCAACTGTATTTACTTCCAAGATAAAATGGTTGTACAGGCATTGGGTAAACATTCCCATTCCAAAAGGGAGAAATTAGTCAAAAGAAATAAATGACAAGCCCCACACAAGTCCAAAACCCAGAAAGGAAGTCATTAAATCTTAAAGCTCCAGAATAAACTCTCAGATTCCATGTTTCTCATCCTGGACTCAATGGTGCAAGGGGTGGACTCTCATGGCTTTGCTGGTTGTAGCCCACATGGCTGCTCTAACAGGCTGGAGTTAAATGTATGTGGCTTTTTCAGGCTATGGCTGAACACAGCCAGTGGCTCCACCACTGTGGGGTCCTGGCTGTAGCCCCACCTGTGTGGCTTCACTAGGCATTGCTGTGGTGGGGACTCTGCAGCACTCTGACTTCACATTTCTGCTCAGCATTTCCCTAGTAGTTGCACTCTGTGGTGGCTCCATTCTTTCAACAAATCTCTCCCTGGGCCCACAGGCTTTTCCATTCAGCCTTTGAAATGTAGGTGGAGAAAGCCACACTTCCATAGCTCTTGCATTCTGTGAGTCTGCAGACTTAGCATCACATGGAAGCCACAAAGGCTTACTGCTTCAGCCCTCCAGAGCTACAGCCTGAGCCATATGTGGGGCCATTTGAGACGTGGCTACTCTAGCTCAAGCAGCCAAGATGTGGGGAGCAGTGTCCTGAGATAGTGTAGGAGTGTGGTACCCTGGGGACTGTCCCCCAAAACCATTCTTTCCTCTCAGGCCTTTGGACTCATGATGGGAAGGGTGTCTTCAAAGATCTTTGAAATGCCTTTGAGACCTTTTTCCCAGTGTTTTGATTATTAGCACCTGGCTCCCTTTTGTCAATGCCCATCTCTATAGCAAGCAGTAGCTGAGTCACACCCTTGGATTCCTCTCCTGGAAACTCCTTTTTCATTCTCTGTCACATAGCCAGGCTGTGAATTCTCCAAGTTTTTAATACTCTGCTTCTCTTTTAATTTTAAATTCTGTCTTTAGGTCATTTCTGTGCTGCCATAACTGAGCATAAGTCGTTAAAAGTAACCACACAGCTTCTTGAGTGCTTTGCTGCCTAGAAATTTCTTCCGCCAGATATCCTAGTTCACTGACTTGAGTTCAGCCTTCCACAAGGCCCTAGGCATGGACACAATGCAGCCAAGTTCTTTTCCCTGGTGTAACATTGGTGACCTTTGCTCCAGTTCCCAATAAGTTTCTCCTCACTTCTGTCTGAGACCTTGTCAGAATGTCCTTTACTGTCCATGTTTCTATCATTATTTTGGTCATGACCACTCAGCCAGCCTTTAAAAAGTTCCAAACTTTCTCACGTCTTTTTGTCTTCTGAGCCTCCACCACAGTCACCCTCAATGCTCTGTTCATGGCAATACAGACTTTCTAGCCTGCTCTTCCAAACTCTTTCAACCTCTGCCCATTACCCAGTTCCAAAGCCACCTATCTTTATAGCCACACCCATTCCTCGGTACCAATTTTCTGTCTTAGTCTGTTTTGTGTTGCTATAACAGAATACCTGAGACTATGTAATTTATAAAGAGGCTCATTTATGCCATAGTTCTGCAGGCTGAGAAGTTCAAGGGCATGACCCTGGGCTCTGGAAAGGGCTTTCATGCTGTATCATTAAATGGTGGGGAAGATCAAAGGGGAAGTGGACATGTGCAAAGAAGAGAGGTGTCCTGGCTTTATAACCCACTCTGGAAGGAACTAATTTAGTCTTGCCAGAGTGAGAATTCACTACCACAAGAATGGCACTACATCATTCATGAGGGATCCACCTCCAAGACCCAAACACCTCCCACTAGGCCCCGCCTCCCATTACTGTTACATTGGGAATCAAATTTCAATAAGAGTTTTGGTGGGGACAAACAATATCCAAACTATGGCGGATGGATAAAGTATTATTAGTTTGCTAGAGCTGCTATAAAATGCCACAGGGTGGGTGGCTTAACCAAAATAAATTTATTTTCTCACAGTTCCAGAGGATGGAAATCCAAAATCGAGGTGTCAGCAGGTGTTATTGCTTGAATGTTTGTAACCTCCAAAACTCATGTTGAAACTTAGTCCCTGGTGTGGCAGTATTACAAGATTAAGAGATGGGGCCTTTAAGAGGTGATTGGGTCATGAGGACTTTGATCTCATGAATGGATTAATTCATTCTTGGATTAATGAATTAATAAATTATCATGGAATGGGACTTGTGGCTTTGTAGGAAAAGGCAGAGAGACCTGATCTAGCACACTCAGCCCCTTTGCCGTGTGATGCCCTGTGCTGCCTCAGGACACTGGAGAGAGTCCCCACCAGGAAGAAGGCTTTTACCAGATGCAGTCCTTTGTTCTTGGACTTCTCAGCCTCCATAGCTGTAAGAAATACATTTCTCTTCTTTATAATTTGCCCAGTTTCAGGTTTTCTGTTATGAACAACAGAAAACAGACTAAGACAGCAGGTTTAGTTTCTTCTGAAGCTTCTTTCCTTGACTTCCAGATTGCTCTCTGCTCAGTGTGTGTCCTCACAGTGACCATTTGGTACCACTTTAGAGCCTGACTTTTCTACATCCATCCAAATTTCTCCTTCTTATAAGGACACCAGTCAGATTGGATTAAATCCACCCTAATTTTTAACTTATCACCTATTTTATCTTAATCACCTCTTTACAGGCCCTATCTCCAAATATAGTCACAGTCTGAGGTACTAAAGGTTAGGTCTTTAACATATAAATTTGGGGGTGGGGAACACAATTCAGCCTGTAACAGATAGATTTTCATTATCTCTGACATTCTGAGGTTCAACTCCTTAGGAATATGTCTTAATTCAAGACAGTTCTCCTGGTCTCTTCCCAGTACTAGCAGCTTTTCTTCAACAGTCTCTCCACCTTTTATTTCAAATAACTGAGGACTGTGAGATCGGCAAATAAAAATTATCTGTTGTAACCTTAGAGCTCACATCCTTAAAGAGATTATCAAAGGCAGACATCAATCCATCATTGGATCCTGCCTCCCCTACTTACAAACTGTGTGCTCTTGGGCAATTTCAGTTTCTGCTCTGAAAAATGGTATGATAATTATATGAACCTCCAAAAGATAGTGCTAGGATTCAGTAAGATAATACATAAAATATGCCTAAGGTAGTGCCTGGCACATAGTAAGGATTCAGTGAATGTTGCGAGGGTGGGGGTGTTTGGGTGTTTCAGCTATTGAGGTTTTTTGTGTGTGTTAATTACACTTTTTTTCAATATCACAGTAAAGTTTTTCTTTCACGTTAGTAAAAGCTTTGATATTTTCAAGGCAAAACATATTTTGCTTTCTAAGTCCTTCCTTTTAGTTGAAGTTACAGATAACTTAAGAAACCAAATTGTCATCAAGTTTTTACTCACAACTCCTACCCTGATACCCTGTGTAACCCCAACTCTCAGAAGCTAATGATGGGCTAATGGAAAAATGAGAGGAAAGAGATTTTTAGGACCTAGATCCCCTCTGTCAACTTCATCATCTCCATCTCATCCATCCCAGCATTCACTCCTGCATTAATCTTGTAGATTCTTGTTCCTTACTATCTCTTAAATATTTCTCCTTCCTAATAGGCTCATCTCTCCACCTTGGCTGAGACCCTCACCACTTGTTCAGTACCACTTTAGAGCCTGACTTCCCTGATCCTGGACCATGTACCTTCACACCCACACCCTGACTCTGCCCTCAATTTGATTTTGCCAAAATATAATGCCTCAATGGCTTCCTCTAGCTTTCAGGATAAACTTCAAACTACTTAATCCATGAGCCCTTTCCAATTTGACCCCTACTTTCTTCTATAGCTTCTTCCTCTCCCTGCCCCTCCCTCTGAAGGCTCTGTGCTGTTTCACAGGTCTGTCCCTCTCCGCATGTCACACTTTCTACTTCAAATCCCCTTCCTCTGTCCTTCACCTAGTCAGCTCCTGCTTGTTCTTCAAACATCCACCTCCTCCAGGAAGCCTTCTTTACTCTCTAGGCTCCAATAGTAGCTTTTATTTATTGAGGAAAATTTGCATACAATGAAATGCACAAATCTTAAGTATTAATTCAAGAAGTTTTAATAAATGTATACACACCCATGTAACCACTACCTCAATAAAAATATAGAAAAATGTTTGTGCTCCTTCCCAGTCGATCCTCACCCCCACCATTCATAAACACCCACCCCACCCTCCTAATTTCTACCACCACAGATTAGTTTTGCCTATTCTTGAACTTCATATAAATGGAATCATGGAATCACACTCTTTTCTGTCTGTTTTCTTTTGCTTAATATAGTGTTATTGCAATTCATCCATGTAGTATGTTACAGTAGTTCATTCTCTTTTTTAAAATTGCTGAGTAGAATTCCATTGCATGAACATATTACAGTTTGGTTAAACATTCACTGCCCTATTGATGGGCATTTGAACTGCTTTTATTTTTTGGCTGTTATGAATAAAGCTGTTATGAACACTGCTAGCATTTTTTATACATCTATGCTTTGCTCTTGATCTTAAGAGAAGAGTTTAATATCTCACCATTAAGTTTAGTGTTAGCAGTAGGTTTTTTAAAATTTTCCTTTATCAGAATGAGGACGTTTTCTCCTTAGTTTGCAGAGCTTTTTTTTCTTTTTAAATGATGAAGAGGTGCTAAATATTTTCAAAAATTCTTTTGCATTTATTAAAATAATAATTTGTTTTTTCTCCTTTTTTCTGTTTATATAGTGAATTAATTGATTTTGAATGTTAAACAATCTTTGCATTCTTTGCATGAATCATAGTCATGATTAATACAATTTTATATATTGCTGGATAAAACTTGTCAATTTAAAAGTATTTTTTGCTTCTATGTTTATGAAGGATATTGGTCTCTGATTTTCTTTTCTCAAAAGATTTACTTAAGTTTTGGTATCGGTATTCTGCTGACCTCATAAAATAAATATGGAAGTATTCCCTCATCCTTTGTTTTCTAGAAGAGTCTTTGTAAACTTGATATCATTTCTTTAAAAAATGATCAATATAATACACTAGGGAAGCCCTGGGCTGACAGTGTTCCTGTGAGACTGTTTTTATTATTATTATGAACTCTATTTCTTTAATAGATATAGAGCTCTTCATATATTCTATTTTTTCTTGTATCCGTTTTAGTAAATTTATCTTTCAAAGAATTTGTCCATTTTATCTACTTCTTAAAATGTAAACAAATTTTAAAAATTATTTTAAAAATTTTAAAATTAATTTTATAATTGGTTATCTAAACCTCATTTTTTGTTTGTCAGCCTTGCTTGGGATTTGTCCTTTATTTTATTTTATTTTTTGAGGCAGTGTCTCGCTCTGTCACCCAGGCTGGAGTTCAGTGGCACGATCTTGGCTCACTGCAACCTCCCTCCCAGGTTCAAGAGATTCCTGTGCCTCAGCCTCCTCAGTAGCTGGAATTACAGGCACATGCCACCACATCCAGCTAAGTTTTTGAATTTTTAGTAGAGGCAGGGTTTCACTATGTTGGTCAGTCTGGTCTTGAACTCCTGGCCTCAACTGATCTGCCCTCTTTGGCCTCCCAAAATGCTGGGATTACAGGCATGAGCCACTATGCCAGTCTGGATTTGTTGATTTTATTAATCTTTTCAAAGAACATATTTTTGGCTTTTCTTAATTTTTTTGTTTGTTTTCTATTTCATAGATTTCTGCTCTTTTCCTTATTTTCTTCATTCTACTTCCTTCAAGTTTATTTTGCTCTTCTTTTTTTAGCTTCTTAAGATGGAATCCTAGTGATTTTAGACCTTTTTTTGTATTACAAGTATTTAATGCTAAAAAGTCCCTGTACAGGACGGGTGCGGTGGCTCAAGCCGGTAATCCCAGCACTTTGGGAGGCCGAGGCAAGCGGATCACGAGATCAGGAGTCCGAGACCAGCCTGCTCAGTATGGTGAAACCCCGTCTCTACTAAGAAAAAAAAAAAGCCGGGCATGGTGGCTCACACGCCTGTAGTCCCATCTGCTCGGGAGGCTGAGGCAGAAGAATCGCTTGAACCTGAGAGGCAGAGGTTACAGTGAGCCAAGATCATGCCACTGCACTCCAGCCTGGGCAACAGAGCAAGACTTTGTTCAAAAAAAAAAATTAATTAGCTGCATCCCACAATTTTGATATGTTGTGTTTGTATTATTACTAATTCAAAATATTTTCTAGTATCTTTTGCGATTTCTTCTTTGACTCATGGGTTATTTAGAAATCTATTTCTTAATTTCCAAATACTTAGGACTTATCTAGCTATCTTATTATTAATGATTTCTAATTTAATTTCATCGTGGTAATAAAACACATACTTTGAGATTTTGAAATTTATTGAGTTTTATTTTACGGCTGAGAATATGACCTGTCTTGCTGGTCATATTCTTGAATGTTCTATGTGCAATTATAAAGAATGTTTACATTGAAGTTGTTGTTAGTGTTCCATAAATAGTAGTTAGAGCAAGTTGTTTGATAGTTGTATTAGTCCATTCCTGTGTCACTATAAAGAAATACCTGAGGCTGGGTCATTTATAAAGAAAAGAGGTTTAATTGACTTACAGTTCTACAGGCTGTACAGTGCTGGCATTTGCTTCTGGTGAGGGCCTCAGGAAGCTTACAAGCATGGCAGAAGGTGAAGTGGGAGTAAGCACGTCACATGGTGAGCGAGGAAGCAAGAGAGCAAGGGGAGAGGTGCAACACATTTTTAAATAACCAGATACCGTGTGAACTAACTGAGCAAGAACTCATTTATCACCAAGGGGATGGTGCTAAACCATTCATGAGGGATCTGCTTCCATGAGCCAGTCATCTCCACCAGGCCCCACCTCCAACATTGGGAACCATATTTCAACATGAGATTTGGAGGGGACAAACATCTGAACCATATCATCAGTGATATTCAAATATTCTGTATACTCGGTGATTTTTTTTTTTTTTTGTCTAGTTGGTCTACAAATTACTGAGGGAGGTGTGTTAAAAATTGCCAATTATAACTGTGGATTTGGTTATTTGTTCCTTTAGTTTTTTCAGTATTTGCTTCATGTATTTTGAAGCTCTGTGTTAGACGCATACACACTTATAATTGTAACTTATTCCTGATGAAATGATTCATTTATCATTATGAAATGTTCAATGTGCATCTCTTTCACTGGTACTACTTCTTGCTTTGAAGTGTATTTTATCTGATATTAACATTAGAACACACCTTCTAATACTTAATATTTTTATCACATATCTTTTTCTGTTCCTTTAAACCTACCTATGATTTTATATTGAAAGTGTGTCTCTTGTAGAAAGCATATAGCTGTGTTTTGTATTTTTACAAAGTCTGTTTCTGCTTTTTAATAGTGTTTAGTCCATTTTCATTTAATATTATTAGTTATATGGTTGGATTGAAGTCTATCATTTTCCTGTGTGTTTTCTCTTCATCCCGTCTGCTTTTTATTCTTGTGTTTCTTCTTTCCTGCCTTCTTTGGGTTAATTGAATATCTTTATTATTATATTTTAATTTCCCTCATATTTAAGTATTCCCTCCTTTTTTTTTTTTTTTTTTTTGAGACAGAGTCTTGCTCTGTCGCCCGGGCTGGAGTACAGTGGCATGATCTCATCTCACTGCAACCTCCACCTCCTGGGTTCAAGAGATTCTCTTGCCTCAGCCTCCCGAGTAGCTGAGATTACAGGCACCCACACCATGCCCAGCTAATTTTTGTACTTTTAGTAGAGACGGGGTTTCACCATGCTGGCCAGACTGGTCTCGAACTCCTGACCTCAAGTGGTCCACCCGCCTCGGCCTCCCATAGTGCTGGGATTACAGGCGTGAGCCACCATGCCCGGCCTGGTATTCCTTTTTTAATCCTTTTGAGCTACTACTAGGATTATGATATAAATTTTTAATTCATCATAGTCTGTGTAGTGTTAATTTGTACCACTTCATGTTAAATTTAAGAATCCTAAACAATGTAATTTAATTTACCACTACTCCATCTTGTGTGCTGTTATTATAGATTTTTTATAATCTCCACAAGAAGATGTTATAATTTTAATTTTTGGCATTAAACAGTTACTTGTCTTTGAAGGAAATTAAGAGAAGAAAAATGATATCATTCAATATTTACCCATATATCAACTATTTCTATTATTCTTTATTTTTTCTTGTATATCTGAATTTCTTCTGAGATCAGATGCCATTGGGCATGGTCAGGGTGGTATGGCCATAGACAAATTTCTATCTGCTATTATTTCCTTTAGTTTGAAGGATTTCCTTTAATAGTTTTTGTAGGAAATCTATTCGCTTTTAAAACTTTTTTTGAAAATACATTTGTTTTGCCGAATTTTTGAAGGATATTTTTATTGAATATAGAATTTGGGGTTTAGTTTCTTTAAGGCATGCTAAGGATGTTTTTTCATTGTCATCTTTTTAAATGTTTTATTAATATCTCAAATTTGTTTTATCAGTTTTTTCATTTTCTTCTGTCTTTGTTTCTGATGAGAAGTCAGATATCATTCTCGTCATCTTTTTCCCGTAAATAAGGCATCTTTTTTTCTCTTCTGGATGCTTTAAATTTTTTTCAATTTTCCATTGGTTTTACCAGTTTAACTATGGTAGGCATCATCTTCTTTGCATTTATACTGCTTGAGATCCTCTAAGGTGCTTAGGTCCACATGTTAATGTTTTTTACCCAATTTGGAAAATTTTTGGCCACCATTTTTATAGATTTTTTCTGCTTCATTATCTCCCTTGTTTCCCTCTGGGACTCCAATTTCACATTTTAGACCAATTGATGTTATTCTATGTCCCCAAGGTTCTAACCACTCTTCAACTTTCATTCTCTGTGTTCTTCAAATGGGAATGTTCAAATATATGTGTACAAGTCCACTGACCCTTTATTCTGCTATATTCAACCAATTAAGTCCATCCAGTGGTTTTTTTACTTCTGATATTATACTCCTTGGTTTTATAATTACCACTGCTTTTATAATTTCTGTGTTTCCTAAGACTCTCATCTATTCACTCACTATAACCATTTTTCCTTTAAGCCCTTGAGCACATTTATAACAGTTGCTTTAAAGTTATTGTCTGCCAATACCAATCTTTGGATTATCCTGGGGTATGTTTCTCTTAAGTGCTTTCTATACTCATATTTTCCTATTTCTTTGTGTGCCTATTATTTTTTGTATACTGATGTTATGCATGATACATTGTAGAGACTGCAATCTGTTATCTTTCTCTAGAGATGATGCTATTTGTTGTAGTAGGCATTTAAATTACTGGCTCATCACTTGAATTTGTGGAGGCATGATTTCACATTTTTGTTAGGATATGTTTGTTTTTGTTTTGCTTTTAGTCTTAGGATTAATTCCTATATCTTGACTGCTAAGGACTAGCCTCTGTGAGGTTTCAATGGAAAGCCCAAGGTGTTTACCAAGTCTCTCTGACTTGATGGGAACTATATGCCAGCTCTATCTATACTGAAGTGAATACCAGCTGAAATCTCTGCTGAGCCTTTTAGATAGTGCTGTCCATTGGGCTCCTGAAGTCTCTCTTGTCCATGCACAGTTCAGGGACTGTTCAAGGATTTGAGGCAGTTTATAGGCAGGTTTAGAGGCTCCCTACTCCAACTTTCTCCCTCAATTTCCAGCTACTCTGCCACCCCAAACTGTGTTCTCTGATCCTGCAAATCAATACACTGAAAACTTCTGCTTGAGTTCTGGTTTCCCTACATCTCATGGATTGGAGAGAGCCCCCAAGGCAAAAGTCATCTAAATGTAGCTCTCACTCGTTATGATTTTCTTCTTTCAGTAATCAAACTCTCTTCACTTTTTGCCTACTTTTCACTGTTCTTGGTGGGTGAATTATAAATAGTGGCTTTTCATATTTTATTTGAGGCTTATCATTGTTATTTGTGGGATAGTTGGTCTAAACTACTTGACCATTACCAGAATCAGAGCTTTCCCATAGTATTTCTTTTAGAGATGGGTTTCGCTATGTTGCCCAGGCTGAACTTGAATTCCTGGGCTCAAGCAATCCTCCAGTCTTAGCCTCCTGAGTACCTGGGACTACAGGCGTCCACCACCACACCTAGATACCCATAGTAGTGAACATTCACCTATCACAGAGTGTACCACACTGTGCTGTAATTATGAATTTTAATTGTTATGTCTCCCCCACTAGACTCTAAATCCTTTCCAGCAAGATCTATTTTCTGTAGTAGATTCCAGACCAGAAAAAATATAGGATATTACACCAAATTCTGTATGTTTTAATATGTTACCAATCCGTGCTTGACAAAGTGATGTTTTCTGATTGTCAAAGGAACATAAACAGTACAAACAACTGTGGGATCTCAGAATGTTTTACTCAGTGTAACTCTTCTACATGATTAGGGACTTTTCTGCCATTTTCATGGTAATGTAGCCTTACTACAAAGCATGTATTCAGGGAGTGGACTCTGTATCTGGCTCTGTAACCTGCAAGAAGCCAGCCTACTACTGCTAAGACCTAATGCTCTAAGTTGACTAGTAGGCTTCATAAACTGACCGGGCTCATTTTACAAAGAGTGGGAAGGGGATTCTACATTCTTATTTTCTACAGTTGGTTAGCCAGAGAGGATACTCCTAGAGGGGGGTTACACCTTAATTTCATTTAACTAGGGGTTTGGTGAGGATCTGAATACCATCATTCTTTTATAAAAGTTGTGTGGAAGATAATTTAAAGTGTGGAATTGAGGAGTCTATGAATTCAGCACTCTTCAATTGTAAGTGACAGAAATACAATTGAAACAGGCTTAAATATAAAAGAGGATTTTTTTTTCTTTTTGGCTCACATAAATAGGTTAATGGTGAACCTTCAGGCACAATCTATCTCCCTTTCTCTTACTCGGCTTTTGTCTGGAGTCGGAAGGCATTCCCCAGAGAATGATAAAGATGGCCACTGGTACTCTAGCCCAAATCTCATCAGCTTAGCAACCCCAGTAAGAAAATAATATCTCTCTCTAAATAATTACAAGAAATAGTACAGAAAGTCTTCCCATTGCTCTAGCTTGTGTTATGTACTCACACCTGGAGCTGGGGATGGAGTGAGACCAACCCCAGTTGACCACATAGGCTGATAGTTGAGCAATGAGGGATTTGCAAAGAAAAAGAGGGATTCTGATAATGGAAGAAGGAGGATAGATGTTAGGCAGACAAAAACAAAGGGTTTTGGTTTTTTGTTGCTTTTCAACAGAGAAAAAGAAGTTACAACATTAAATGTAGAAGCAACAGAGGCTAGACTAGAAGTGAGCAGAATCAAGGGATAAAAGACACTAAATAACGCAGAAGTAGTTAAAACATTCAGACTATATTGAGGAAACATATATTACGCAGAAAATAATGATAAACTTTTGGAAGAAGGAAGTGTGATCAAAGGCAGCTGTAAAAGAAGATTTAATTTATGTGTTTAATTAAAATGCTGCAACCTCAAATCTTCTGTGGCAAACACTGGGAACATTTTTTTAAATGACTTCTTCAATTATTAAGAAACTGTGTATTAAAATACAGTTCAATGAGGCCAAGGTTGTAGAAAGGAGGTTCTCACATGGGCTATTTGTCATGAAAGAAATTCCCTAAGTGGGATGAGGTGGGAATTCAGCACAAGCTATTGTCACTACAGGCAAAATAAGTCTGAAAACAAGCTTCTACATTGTTGAATGTGTAAACACTTTATAAGACATTTTCCCATACCTTATTCCATTTTATCTTTGTGAACATTCTATGATCTTAGAGAGGCTGAATTATTACAGCTGTTTCACAGATGAGGAAATCTGCAGCATGTTTCTGGCTTCTTCACAAATGAAGGATAAAGCATAACAATTTCCCAGTTAAAGAACTAAAGAGAACCCCGACTAGATTAAGGTCACGTTACCAAGAGCCAGTGACCAGGCATTCTGCCAGTTTCAGGATCCTGCGAGCTCCCTTCTCTGCTGTTTCTGTGTGAGCAGGTCCATCCCGAAAGGTATGTCACAGCATGTTTCAAACAGTCCTGTTCTTCACACTTAAGTTCTGTGGGTCCAAGAAGAAATGATTTTCCTGGCCCTGAGGCTCCTTTTAGAACTGATTTAGGTAGCGGAAATCTTTGTAAAGTCCAGGATAGAAAAAGTTGAGAATTTTTTTTAGAATTTACATTGTTTGCTTTTCGCCGGGTACGGGGTGACAAGGTCCTGATGTTCTTAGAACTGGGTGTCTGTATGTATTTGCGTTGTTTCAATAGGTGGCAGCATGTCCTCTTCTTTAAAAGGTATCTTTTTAAAAGGACATAGTGAAAGCTTCTGTTGGGAAATGAAAAAGTGACAATAAGAGAGGCAAATAGGAAATGTTCCCTGTGACACACGGTACATATATTGCTCATAGTCACAACTCAAGTCATTTAACAGGTTTTGATCCATCAGTAATAACTTTAGAACAAAAGTTGTATCATGGCACTTCTACTTCAAACTATAATGCCACTTAGGTCTCTCCTCACTGGGGACTCAGTATATTGGAAAAGTTTTGGGTAAGCAATGTGAAGCACTTTCCCACACGCCATTTTGTCAATGATTCTGTTTCCATTTTGGCCGCACCCTTTCGTTGTCTACCTTCTTCAGTGTGAGCAGCTCCAATCTCTCTTCTCCCTTCAGGATGGATTTATTAATCAACAGGTGTAAATATTTTAATTCTATTCGCAATGGAGTTTCTCCCGAAGGGACCCTCCAAGGAATGTTTTGTTCTCACTGGGTCAAACAAGAAAGGGAGAGGCTTACTAGAAGCTTAGAACCTGACAACTGCCCTATGTTCCAATAATATTGAAAGAAGTTAGCCAGCTTGCTTTAGGCAGACAGTAAGGGAAGGGTCCCCTAGAATCTCTGACCCGTCCTACAAGTGTTTATACCAGATGTTTTGCGCAGATAAGGGAGCTTGCCTAAACATGCCTGCGGTGGAAAATTCCATTCCTTAACACAAGTGCAGTAAGGGAAACAAATCAATATGGAGCGGCTCAGTCTAAGGGCCCGAATGCGCACTGCAAGGAAGGGGTAGAGCCTCCAGGAATTCATGCCTTAAGCTGGGATATTTAACTGTGAAGGAGGCAACCGGATTTCAGGACCCCTCTCTTTGCTGAGAGCTTTCCTTTTGCTTAATAAATTCTACTCCGCTCACTCTCTTGGTTCGGTGCACCTAATTTTTCCTGGTTGTGAGAAAAGAAGCCAGACCTAGCTGAGCTAAGGAGCAAAAATCCTGCATTAATATAAATATCCCTATCTGGGAGAATTTATTCAGTTTGTGGCATGGAAGTGATGGCTGCCCTGGGGTAGGGGTTGGTTGGTCAGGAGGAAGTAGCAGGTCCTCTTGGTATGTAGGATGTAGGGTACACATCAGTAGTGTCATATTCTCTCACTTGAGCACTCGCTCTTCGTGCTGCAACTGTATTCATCTCCGTAAACTGGACTCCTTTAGGTTAAATGGGCTTAAAGATAAATTGTGACCAAAAAAAGAAATAATCTATATAAAATATATATAATAAATATATGTAATTATACATAATTTTACATGAACAAATATATCCTAACTTTCCTGAAACTCCCTCTATTATGACAATATAATTTATCTTTGCCTTAAGCCCTCCTATTTTAAAAATAAACTTTTTAAAGGAAAAAAATGCACTCCACCTGCCCAGATCTCCTTGGATTCTTTTTATCAGCTCTGTATGCTCATCCCCCAATCTTCTGCATGCTTTGATACCAGCTTGTGTTTGGGACACTCAGAGGATTGCCCTCTCTTTATTATGCAATTGGTATGCACTGGAGCAGCCTCTTCAGAATTCTGAAGCTTGGTAGAGGTGAGTGGCTAGTGTGGGAGGACAAAAAGCCCAGCCCCTTTGCCTCCAAGCACAGCTGACAACTCCGCAGGGTAATTTATGCCCTGAGGATCCCACAGGATCAGGCTGAACCTGGGGAGTCACCTAAAATCATGCCCTGGCTTGGCTTTCCCCTTCCCTATCCTGCTTTTCTCACTCAATTACTGATTTATCTGGGAGCGTCTCCTTAGTAAATCACAGGCACCTGAATCCTTAACTCATCACCTACTTACCTATGATGTGTGAGGAACGTAGGGCTGGGCAACATGGTGAAACCCCGTCTCTACTAAAAATACAAAAATTAGCTCCACATGGTGGCACTCATCTGTAGTCCCAGCTTCTTGGGAGACTGAGGCAGGAGAATCACTTGAACATGGGAGGTGTAGGTTGCAGTGAGCTGAGATCACATCACTGTACTCCAGCCTAGGTGATGGAGCAAGACCATGTCTCAAGAAAAAAAAAAAAAAAAAAAAAAGATTATAGGGGAAAGAACACATATACATATACACACACACAAACACACACAAAAAAACCCTTTCCTCCCCAAACTGACCACTTCTCGGCCATCTCTCACCAGGAAGATGGTGACGTGATCAGCACTAGTTTTAAAAAAATCTTAAAGTTGTTCTTGTTGACTGAAGTACCACAACTTAGAATCCTGTGGCAACTTCTGGGCTTTTACCTCACTCTCTTCCCAGTTATCACCTAGCCAATTGTTTTCCCTCTCCATAGCCTTCTCCAGCTTCTGCTGTGTGTCATTTATCAGATAGAACTTTTTAAAAAACACTTTTCCATCATTTATTTTCAATTTTTTATTGAAATATAACATACATAGAGAAAAAAATGGTATTAATCATAAGTATACAACTCAACAAATACCATCTTATAGGTCAAGAAATACAACATTACTAGTACCCCAGAAGCACCCGTTTATACTCTCTCTCAACTTATTGATGTGTTCAATTCCATTATATGATTGTTCCACAGTATTTCATTTTGAGAGAAGGTAGAACTCTTTTAGAGACTCATAAATGAACGTATAGATGCTTCGAATTTTCTATTTTTGTAAAGGGGGAGGAGATATAATATGGAAGGGTGTTCGTTGTATGATTGGATATTTTATTTGCCAGAAGAATTCTAGACAATACAAACCCAGAAGTTTTCTATAGAAAAATATTTTTGCTAAAATTTTAATGATAAGTGGAAGAACGTTTCCATTTTTATCTTTCAAGTTTCATACTGCTGAAGTCCAGTTTCAAAAATAAAGAAGAGGTGTGGTTACATCTGATAAGAGAATGGGGGAATATTTGCAGAAGATACAAGATAGATAATAGGAAGAAGTTATAAGGGAAAAAATCAATAGCACACAAATTGCATAATAAATAGAAGGCAAATTGTGTGTTAGGAATGAAAACGCTGTGGGAGACCTTCATTGCAGAACCCACCAATTCTTTCTGCAAATATTTAATGAGTTTTTTCAATGTTCAGGACATTGGTCTAATAGCCAGACATACAGCAGTGAATAAAAAAGACAAAAATTCCTGTCCACATGGAACTTATATTCTAGTGGAAGACAGAGACTATAAACACGTAAATGGTTAAAATATATGTGTCCAGGGTGGTAAGTGCTATGAAGAAAAATAAAGCAGAGGTATTTGGGCAATTTAAAGTAAGGTGGTAGTGAGGCAAGACCTGGTGGAGAAGATGATATTTGAGTAAAGTCATAAAGGAGGTGAGGGAATGGGCCACATGGACATTTGGCAGGAGAGCATCCAAACAGAGGAAATAAAAAGTGCAAATGCCTTAGGAGAGAGTGTTCCTGTAATGCTGGAGAACAGAAAGAGCGCCAATGTGGCTGGAGTCAAGTAAAAAGAGTGAAAACAAGGTTAGAGAGGCTGGAGGTGGAAGAGATGTGACCAAGTAACCCTTGTAGGACTCAGGTTTTACTCTGAATTATATGGGAAGTGTTGGAAGATTTTGAGCTGAGAGGTGGCATACTCTGATTGGTTTTTAAAGGGACCATTCAAGTTGTTTTGTTGCAGATAGATTTTGGTGAGGGGCAAGGACAAAAGCAGGAAAACTATTTGGGAAGGTGACCTGGTTTGAATCTGTGTCTGCACCAAATCTCATATTGCATTGTAATCCCCAGCTGGGGGTGGGGCCTGGTGGGAGGTAACTGGATCGTGGGGGCGGAGTTCTCATGAATGATTTAGCATCATCCCCCGCTTGGTACTGTATGCTCCCCCTGCCCGCTCCTCCTGCTCCAGCCATGTGAAGATGCCTGCTTTGGCTTTGCCTTCCACCATGAGTAAAAGCTCCCTGAAGCCTCCCCAGAAGCAGATGCAGCCATGCTTGTATGGCCTGTGGAGCCATGAGCCAATTAAACCTCTTTTCTTATAAATTACCCAGCCTCAGGCATTTCTTTAAAGCAATGTGAGAACAGACTAATACAGAAGATATTACAGTCATCTGAGTGAAGGATTATGGTGGCACCAACAAAGTAGAAACTGGAGGTGGTGAGAGAGGATTTTAGAGATACTTTGAAAACAGAACTGACTGGCTTTGGTGAGAATTTGATTCAGCATGTAAGAGGGAGATGTCAAGAAATACATCAATGAATAAATCATGTGTTTTGTGTTTAGTTCAATTTAATTTTGCCAACATTTGTTTTCTACTATATGTTATTTACTGTGTATGAGGCACTGTGCTTGCCTCATATACAGTAATTTCTCTTTCCATTTCTCTGGAAAGAGAAACTGACATATAAATAAATAAATCTGCATATACTATATTAAGTCTAATAATCAAAGTATGCTCAAGTTCTGAAAGTGGGAAGGGGTCAACACTGTCACAGAAATACAGTAAGATGGCAATGGAAATCCTTTGAGAAGAATGATGACTAAGTTGAATATTGATGGACATCTGAGTGTTTTCTTTTTCAGGTTATGTGTATATTTTTTCTTTCTTTTTTTAAATTTTCCTTTAAGTTCCAGGATACATGTGCAGAACGTGCAGTTTTGTTACATAGGTATATGTGTGCCATGGTGGTTTGCTGCACCTATTGACCTATCCTCTAAGTTCCCTCCCTTTACCCCCCACCCACCAACAGATGCTGGTGTGTGCTGTTCCCCTCCCTGTGTCCATGTGTTCTCAATGTTCAACTCCCACTTATAATTGAGAACATGTGGTGTTTGGTTTTCTGTTCCTGTGTTAGTTTGCTGAGGATGATAGCTTCCAGCTTCATCTATGTCCCTGCAAAAGACATATTCTCATTTCTTTTTATGGCTGCATAGTATTCCATGGTGTATATGCACCACATTTTCTCTATCCAGTCTATCATTGATGGGCATTTGGGTTGGTTCCATGACTTTGCTATTGTAAATAGCGCTGCAATAAACATATGTGTGCATGTGTCTTTGCAGTAGAATAATTTCTATCCCTTTGGGTGTATACCCGGTAATGGGATTGCTGGGTCAAACCTGAGTGTTTTCTAAGCATTACAAGGGGATGGAGGAATAATATTCTAGGGAGAGGTCACTGCCAGTGTGAAGTTACAGAGGAATGAAACAACATGGTGTGTCTAGGGAACTAGAAGCAGATTGGATTGGCTGGAATGTGAAGTCCAAGGTGAAGAGAAGCTGGGAGCTGAGTGCAGCATAAGAAAAAAGGACTTACATGCCCTGCTTCAGGCCTGGGCTTTGTTCTAGAGGAGAGCTAGTGAAAGATTTTAAATAAGGGAAAGTTGTGATAATGCTTACATTTGATCAAATATCACTCCAGCGGCCATGTGGAGGTGGATTGGAGAGAGTAGATGAGATGCTAGAAATCCAGTTGGAAGGTATTTTAACTATTGCAACAAGAGCTGATAGCCTGAATTAAGGTGATGGCAGAGGTAGTAGAAAAGAAATAATGAATTTAAAATATAGAAATAACAAGGCCCAGTTAGTGATCATGGTTATAGTGAGTAAAGGAGAAGGCAGAGTCTGGGAGGCTAGGAGGATGTAGTCCCCTCAATTAAGTTTAGGGAACTCTTGAAAAGGAGAAGGTCATGGAAGTGGGGGAAAGTGAAGAGATCAATTTTTAGCATGTTGAGATGAAGAGCCTGGGAGATAAAGAGGACATCTCCAGGGAGCAGTTGGATATGTGGCCCTGGGAATTAGCAGAGAGGTCTAGCCTTTAGCTATGGATTTAGGGGTCAACAGCATAGAGGGGGTATTTAAAAGAACAGGAGCACATTTGACTATCGAGGAGGAAGGCTTAAAGTGAAAAGATGACCAGAAACAGAATCGTCAGGAACATCAACTTCTAAGGAGAGGACACAGGAAGGCAAATCAACAACTGACACTGAGTATGTATGGTCAGAGAGTAAGACCTCAGCCAGACAAAAAGGGGCCTCCAAAGTCATAAGGAAAACGGAGGGGGTTGTTGAGAGTAGCAAAAACCATGATAAGATCAAGTAAGCTAAGGACTTAGATACATTGTGAATTGGTTATTAGGAGGCCATTGTTGACCAGAAACAGGGCAATTCCAATGATACAATGACAGTGTGTGAGATGGGTACAAATCAGATTATAGTGGTTTGATTAGTAGATAGGAGGTGAGAGAGTGTCTAGACACATGTATAGACTATTCTTTCAATGAGCTTGACTGTGAATATGAAAATTCCTTTCCTGCACACAGGTGAGGCTATGCCCAGGCTGACTGGGGACTGGAGTAGATGGAGGGGTCTCTTATCCAAAGCTGTGGCAGATGTTGAAAGCAGGTAAATATTCAGAGCTGAATGTGAAGTGGGAAACTGACTCCAGAATGCCAGGAAGTGGAGTTTGAAAGGACCTCCAAAGGCGAGGGGCTGGAGCCAATGTTTGAAGCTGGATTAGGGCACCGAGGATAAGATAGCCAGCTAGAATGTTTGTAGGCAGCTACTCAAGAAGAATGAGGAGGGCAGGGGATGGTGTGTGCTGCTTGGCCTGTAGTTCAAGGGACCGATCAGGGATGCTGGTTCTGTGAGGGAGGGAGTAAAACTAATAAATTGAGAGAATGGGGAGGGGTTAAGGCCTAGCTTTGGAGTCTCAGGACAGACACAGTAGAAGTAGGGCAGTTTGAGAGCTAAAAAACTAGCAGCTGATGGTTTTATATTTACATATATAAATCTTTACATAGATTTCTGAGAGAAAGGTGTCCCAGGTGATAAAGTCTGGGACATAGTCATGGCAGTGGACCACAGGATGGGGTAAAAAGATGCAGGTGCTCAGAACTGAGGAGGCTAAGGTTCTGAGACGCTGCAGTGCTGGTGGAATTTTCCCCGTGGGCACTGAAGTCGCCCAGATGATGGCAGACGTTGGATTTGAGAGAAGGAGCATCCTCAGTCCCCACTGAACATGGAGGAGTGGCCAGGAAATGACAATCATTAGTAAGAAGAGGACAGAAAAGCTAGATAGGATCAACTTGAACGCAGGAGAGAATTTTGCGCAAGAGTGTAGGTGCAGTGGTGGCAGTGGGCATTGGGAAGAATATCTCTAACTCCTCCTGAATGTGCCATACATTTGGGAGGGCTGCAAAGGAGGTGATATCCTTGAGGCAGAGACAGGATCCATTTCAGTGAGAACAGGTGAGAAGAGAAGATCATCTTTACCATGTACATGTAAAAACTATATGCTCCCAGAGACTAAGGATAATCTTTTATTTTCAGTCAGGACTATTGAATTAAGGGTTTCCAGGGAATCACAAAAGACGGTTGTACTGGGCGGGTAGTATTTAATATGATCAGGTCTTAAATAAGAAGCCATAAACATGAACATTTAAAATCAAATATATAATAAATAATTATTAAGTTATAAACTACATAGTTCATATTAGCTAAATTCTCAGATGCATATGTAAATACAACAGAGCAATAATATAGAATAATAATGCTACAATTTTATACAAGTGTTCCAAGAAGACACTTTGAACTAAAATAATAAAGATCATGATTAATTTTCCCTGAACTCTCATGACCTATAATAATGTTTCCTTTTCTCCCCTCCTTCCTTCCTTCCTTTTTTTTCTTGGAATATGTCCCTTGTTCCTGCAGTGAGTGTTGCTACAAATGTTATTGAAATAATACTGAGCAACTGAACATCAGACTCAGTAGAAAGTTTTACTCAGAAGTATGATCAGATGTTTCTGTAAGAATACCCAGAACTTTAGATATTCATAGACATTTAAAGCTTTAAAAAAGAAAGAATAGACATTAGAGATTAAGTCCAGCACTCTCATTCTACAGATAAAGAAATGGAAACCCAAAGAGTTTAAACAGTGACCACTATTTCATAGTCAACAAAATTTCACGTCTCCTGTATTACTGTCCATAGATGAACAGTTATATTTATGGGTTATCTTTATATTCCTTTTAAGAACTGGCCATCTTGAACATAGAGCAGTGAAGATGGAGCTGTTCAAGTCTCACTGCTTCATCTTGTTTATTCCAATGCATTGCCTTTCCTGGAGTGCTGGTGGGTTTAACTCTGGTTAAACAGCAGAGTTTATCTGGGTGTTTAAACTCTGTTTAATGAAGGCTCTTAGCCAAACCCTCACTGAGTTATTTTTACTTTTAAGATAGAGACCCTGATCAAAATAATTGGAACAGAAATTTTTAACAATAAACATGCCAAAAGAAATACATTATTTTAAATATGAAATACAATATCCAAGAAGTTAATAGCTATACATTCAGAAACAAGAAATACAGATTCCATCTTTCTCACTATCTTTGTGCCTGCTTCCACATTTTGTCACAACAACCCGGGCTGGCGTATTTGAAACTGAGGCACATTTTAGATATATATTATCATCATCAGGCACATAATTCCTTTGTCATACATGTTCTAAAATGTTAAAACAGAGTACCTTGTTTCTGATGATAAATTTTTTTTTCTTTTTTCTGAGTCTACTTGCTGATGATAAAACATTTCATTGAGATTTGATTAAATAATTCTCAATATATCTTTTAGAACTGTAGGTTAAGTCTGTATTTGTTTTAAGCACATAATTTTTCTTCTCAGAGCATAAAGCATTTCTCATCCCACATCCTCTTGCATAATCACAACTATTTTAACAATAAGAGATTCTCAAATAGCTTATACCATTCTAGCGAACATTTTACTTTTCTAGAGTTTTTAACTTCATGTTTAAACAAGCTGTGCTGGAGTTGATATGAAATGGCAGGTAGAGTAGGTTGCTTGTTTTTACTACCCAAGTCTGAAAGATTGGAATGCTTATGCGAAAGTCTGTTTTCAACTTGGACAGGAGTCCTGGCCTCTTGGTTTGTCTCCTGATTTTTAAATTATATAGGTGATTGAATTTGTCTTATCCAAAGTATAGTAACTATAAGTGTCCAAAATGTTAAACATGTTGTGAAATTTTGTCAAAGCAGAAGTTTCATTTTAAAAAGAAGGAAGAAAAGAAACGAAAGAAGAAAGAAGGAGACAAATATTTGGAGTTACTAGCTTGCTCATAATATGATCATTATAACAGTTTGAGAAGAGAGCTACAATACTTTTAAAACTATGTTTGGTTCCAGAAGACAACCTGGCATATGTCCCTCTATAGGTTTAAATTGCCATTTCCACAAGCTTAAAATGTTAGCTTATAAGGGGACTGGGGGCTGGAGGAAGGTAATATTAAATCCACTTCTTAATACTCTATTGCCACTGACTAAGAGTCTATTCCATAAATACATTCATATCTATAGTATTTAAATATTTTTATAAACCCCAATAAAGAAGTAAGGCTTTTATAGCCATCTAGTATCCCCCGGTGCATAAATAAATTACATATTTATATGTTAGACATTCTGAGATTTAAAAAACTATTCAGATATAAGTTTTTAAACACTCAGTTTTCATTTCCTTAAAAGAATAAAGATGTCAACTTTTCATTTTGCTTTTATATATTTTGCTTCTATGCTTCTATATTATCAGCTGGAATGAAGGTATATATGTTTTAAGTTATGATCATAATAGACCTCATTCTGGTGGTAATCAAGCTCAAGGTTAATATAAAATCAATAGATGTCAAAACTGTATTTTTGGTTAAAAATTTTAGCCTTCTCCTTCAACCAAGAAATGTCAAAGTTGGGCAGTGAGATAAAGTAAAAACTTCAGAAGTCATAGAAATCAATAACATAGGAAATCAGACTATTGTATAGTGATTATGGGGAAATAATCCTGACTTTGCACACTTATGAGTTTTTTTTTCCCATCGCTAATATATTGTACTCCTCCACTTGGAATACAAAGAAATGACTTTCACTACTATATTAGAGTATGTAACATAGTGTCCAACTGCAAGTTAGATCCTCAGGAATCTTCACTTCCGTGTGTTCTAGAGGACAGATGCTGATGAATCATCTGTGGAAATAGTATACCGTGAGTAACTAAGAAGCAAATCTGGATAGGTAAAGATAAAGCAGAAAATCAAATGAAACTTAAGGTAGATACCTTTTGGAGAAGTGATTTGAATCTTTCTAGGAATTCTTTGGGTGGTTTTTTCTCATAAGAATCACATGAAGGGCATGTCTAGAAATCAATGAAAAAGTAACAGTCTTCTTTAAAATTTTTTTCGTAATAAAATGTTTCTTAAAATTTTTTTTCATTAAAAACATAAATTATGTTCACTGAAAAACATTCGAGAAGTACATAAAACTGTTTGGAAAGTAACAATGGAAAAAGTCCTTGTAATCCCATTCCCAGAGATAGGAATCCCACTGCAATGTTTTAATGTATATTCTCTCTGTGTTTTGGGTATTTTTAATTATTATTGTGCATTTACATTATTTATACCAGTTGGTGATTTGCTTTTTTTTTTTCACACTTAACATATCACAGGATTTCCTAAGTGTTAAATAATCTTCAAAAATATGACATGTAGTGGTTGTTCTGTATTCCAACATAGGATGCAACTCTTACTATTTTTGGACCCAAAGGTTGCATCTAACTTTTTTTTTTTTTTTTTTTTTTTGGAGACAGTCTTGCTGTGTCACCCAGGCTGGAGTGCAGTGGCGCGATCTCCACTGACTGCAACTTCCACCTCCTGGATTCAAGCAATTATCCTGCCTTAGCCTCCCAAGTAGCTGGGATTACAGGCACGCACGACCATGCCTGGCTAATTTTTGTATTTTTAGTAGAGACCAGGTTTCACCATGTTGGCCAGGCTGGCCTCAAACTCCTGATCTCAGGTGATCCGCCTGCCTCGGCCTCCCAAAGTGCTGGGAATACAGGCATGAGCCACCACACCCAGCTGTATCTAACTTTTTATTTTTGTCTACATTACTCCAAAGAACATCTCTGTAAATAATTTTTCATATATATCTTTGCTTATTTGATATATTCCTAGAAGTAGAATTACTAAATTAAAGGGATAAAAATTTTAAGGCTTTGATATACATTATAAAGGGTTTTACCTCTTTTCACTTGGAGCATTCTTATTATTATAGGGTATTGTTTAAAATGTTTAATTGGAAAAAACAGGATTTCCTTGTTTTAACTCGCATTTATGTGATTACTAGGGAGATTGAACAGTTTTTCATATATGGATTGCTCACTTAGATTTTTAAAAAGCTTTCTTAGTTTATGCTCTTTGTCTTTATCCCTATTTAGATACCAAACACCAAGCCATTGCTTGGTAGTTAGCATCTCAATGCCAGTGTGATGTTGTAGTGAGAGCATTTCACTAAAAGATAGTAGATATACGTTCTAATTCTCATTCTGACACTATTTATGGAACTTGGGGCTAGTGACTTAACTCCTTTGTAGATCTCACTTTCCTCATCTATAAGATGAACATGCTTAACTGGAGAGTTCTAAGTTTAGCTCCAAAGCTACCACTTCATGAGTTTCAAAAATATGTTCAGCTCCTTTCTTTCTGAGGAAAGATTTAGAGGGATATTTTTCACATGGTCACCAGGCCAAGCAATCAAAAGAAATAAGAATAATTTTGATAATATAATTAAGATTTCATTTGAATCACATGTGGAATGTTTTTGGAGGCAAAAGAACTAATTTAAAAAATTTGAGGCTGGGTGCGATGGCTAACACCTGTAATCCCAGCACTTTGGGAGGCCGAGGCGGGCAGATCACCCGAGGTCAGGAGTTCGAGACCAGCCTGACCAACATGGTGAAACCCCGGCACTACTAAAAATACAAAAATTAGCCAGGCGTGATGGTGTGCGCCTGTAGTTCCAGCTACTTGGGAGGCTGAGGCAGGAGAATTGCTTGAACTGGGAGGTGGAAGCTGCAGTGAGCCAAGACCTTGCCACTGCACTCCAGCATGGGCGACAGACTGAGACTCTGTCTCAAAAAAAAAAATTTTTTTTGAGAGTAATTTATTTTATGTATTTTCCCACTGGCTTTAATCTTTGAATTACTCATGTTCTTGGGTATCTGCATTGCTCATGAGTTGGCATATACAAGAGGATCTCAGGGCTCCTAAAAGCTTGGGACTGTTAAAATTCCCCAGCCAAGTAATGAGGCCTCCCTATTTCAATTCAATACTGACTCTGCTGATGTACAGGATAGTAATATGATTTAAGAGAGGAGGCAAAGTTTAAGATTTGCCCTAGTCTTCTTGTAGGCTCTTTTCTTGTTAGAAAGCTAGGATCTAGCTCCTGTTAATAAGAATACAAGTTATCTGTGACCATATGAGAGGAAATAGTTCTTAACTCCAAAATCACAGTTGGATTCTCTGCCTAATGACTTCCTCACCTTGAGAAGCTATATTAACATATTCCAGCTGCCAAGGACTACTAGGAAATTATAATTGGGTTTTTGAATACTTTCAAGTCTGTGGGCTTAAAAGAGTGACCCTACTTCTTAAAATGCACCACGTATAGGCCGGGTGCGGTGGCTCATGCCTGTAATCCCCACACTTTGGGAGGCCAAGGCGGGCGGATCACGGGGTCAGGAGATCGAGACCATCCTGGCTAACATGGTGAAACCCTGTCTTTACTAAAAATACAAAAACAAAATTAGCCGGGCATGGTGGCGGGCACCTGTAGTCCCAGGTACTCAGGAGGCTGAGGTAGGAGGAGAATGGCGTGAAACCGGGAGGTGGATCTTGCGGTGAGCAGAGATCACGCCACTGCACTCCAGCCTGGGTGACAGAGTGAGACTCTGTCTTAAAAAAAAAAAAAAAAGCACCATGTATAATAAGGCATAACTATAGGTAAGGAAGACACCAGCAGCCCTGGCTACAGGTGTGTGTGTATGTTTATGTAATGCAAGATATATAGTTTATAAGTACAAATAAGAGAGATGACAAATGACAATCTTACTAGTCTGTGTTTCTGTCTTCTCCCTGCATTTGTGGAAGGTGGTTTCCTCTTCAGCTTTTTAATTGATACATTGATTATCCTTTCATTGTTTCCTGTATTTGCTGACTTTAGTTGGGCCTTCTGAAAGCAGGAAAAAGCTGACCACTCACAGTTTGTCTGAAAGATAAACAATTTGTATATATGTTAACAAACATTATTCAGAAAGTAAAAGATAGCTTTCCCAATCCTCTATTTCTATCTCTTCTGCAATGTCGTGCATTACATCGTTTCAACAGATGAGTGAGGTATGATTTCACCTCCTACTTAATCTTTGGGATGGGAAAAAGGGACAATCCCCTGCTTCGCAGATAAGAGAGAAAGGAGCCTCACTTCTTCACAATGCTTTATTCCTGATGCTACACAGAGGACCATTTTGATGTCTGGGTGGTGGACAAGACCTTTGTGTTTTATAAAGGAGAGTTAGTTCGGTTTAGGACACATTTGCTGAGTTATGAGGCTCTAAAACTTACACTGTGACTAGTGGCAGCTTTGGGTAAATTATGTTATAGTCTGATGAAGAACATTTTTCATTTGTTTGTGGTTTCTGTTAATGTATCTATCATGACATGTCTTGAGCAGCATTTTATTCTGTACAGCGCCAGGCATAGTGTCTTGCCAGTTAATGATCAACATATATTTGTAAAGTTAACAGATGAAGAAAATGAATTAAAGCCCCTCCTTTGGAGAAAGGAAGTGGGTACCTCCCTCTGATAGCATATTTTACATCTAAGATTCAATATACTTGCCATAGATCACACATGACTTTTCTAAAACCCTTTTCATACTCCCAGCTCAGTTAGGGTTAGGATTCTGCCTGAATCAAGCAGTTGAGGAACAGTTTGAGGCTTGTCCAACCAATGAGACGGAAAGTCATTTCTTAGAAGGTAAGAATAGGGTCTCAGAGAATGGAGGAGCGGATAAAATAAGCATCAAACACTTATCTCTTGGTTTGGAAAAATAGCTAATGACTAACAAGCCAAAAGCTTAGCCATCAAACTGGAAAGGAAATGGAATTTACTGGAAAAACCAAACATATACTGACTTGTTGAAAAATTTTAATGCTGATCCAAAAGCTTATATCCAGGTGACTTGTATCCAACTTACTTTTTTCTTTCAGCAAACGTGTGTATGTGATGCTATTTTCCCCCTGAAGTTGCTATATTTTCATTTCACTATGCATATGGAAGCTACTACCTTATAACCAGAAGCCTCAATCCCTCCCAGTCCCTACAAAGGCAGGCCTATACGTAACAATATTACCTGAATCTTCTTATGGACAATCAGCTGAACACAGCATCTGGCCTGCTTTGCATTTTCCAACCCATATGCTTACCCAATATGAATGTAGATTAATAATATGCATCTCTAAGACACAAACCTATCAGGTTTGCTTTGCATATATAGCCACAAGCCGAGAAGCAGCTTATCTGGTTTCCTTATATCAAGGCAGATTGCCTCTCATAAGGGCAAGGTGGTGTCCTTTCCATATGTTTGCCAAAATGCTTATTTAATAGAAACTATTTATAAATGTTCAATATAGCACTTTTTTTTCCTTGAAAACCACACGTTCATGTTTGTTGAAGTTTTTTCTTTTCTCTTCTTTTTGACCACAACCGGCTTAACTTACTGGAAAAAATAATATTCATATTTAAAGAGGTAAATTTTCCAGCTGAAACTGAAAATACTGACTGCTTCATCCGTGATGATCTGAAAAACCAGCATTTCTCACAGAGGCTCATTTTGCTGAGTTAACATTTACATGTGTATGCTGAAAGAAAATTAGGTTCCAAAGAAGTAGAGGGGCCCTGCCAGCCAAATGAACTCCCTTGAGATAATATTGCCAGGAATGGTCAGTACCGGTACTCAAAGCACTGAAATTGTAAAACTACAATTTCAGTTGTAAAAACAACTGAAAATCTTTTCTGAAAGCCTTTGAATGGTACCTGGACACTGACGCCCATATTGATGGGGCTGTGCTTCCTCTCCCACCCTTCCTTGTTTACCTCTGTTAACAGACAATGGGGTTTTGTTTTCTTCTGTTCTGCAAGCAGCAGAGCTGTGTCTGGCAATATGTGGTCCAGGATAAATAACTGCGGGAATTGGCTTTATATGCACATCAAAGGCAGCCTCAAAAGAGGAAAAGAAGTAGAGGGCTGTCGCCACTAAACTGCCTTAAGGATGTATTGAGAAGGAGAGTGAAAAGATTAACCTTGATTTAGGCAGCCTCAGGTGCCCTATCACTCAGGAGTCTACAGGATGCCAACTCCATATTTAGCACTGTCTGGAAGCATGAACATTGCTTTCCTTTGCTATGCCTTGGTGACAACAGACTCCAAAGGCAAGACTTTGTTTCCCTCATGCTTTAACATATGAGAACATGAGGAGTTTTCTGCTGCTACATTGTTTTGCAGACTAGAAGGAGCGGTAGTAAAGTCAAACGCAAGAATTAACAAACCATTCCTCTTCAGCTGAAGAACAAGTCAAGTGCTGCTTTTGCCAGGAGTCACACTTGGCTTTGTTGTTTTGCAATTGAATTTTTGAAATTTTTTACCTCCTTAGGGCTTTTTTTTTTTTCTTTTGTAGAAACAGGATGTCTCACTATTTTGCCCAGGTTGTTCTCAAACTCTTGACCTCAAGCAATCCTCCAAACTTGGCTTCCCAAAAGGATTACAGGCATTGGGATTACAGGCAGGAGCCACTTCACCCAGCTGAGGCCTATTTTTACATTTTTTTCCTTTTGCAAAGAAAGCCCTGGCCATTCACACTAAGAAGTCTTGCTAATTGGGCAAGACTACCTTTGTCCTGGCTGGGTGCAGTGGCTCACGCCTGTCATCCCAGCACTTTGGGAGGCCAAGGCAGGTGGATCACGGGGTCAAGAGATTGAGACCATCCTGGCCAACATGGTGAAACCCCGTCTCTACTAAAAAATACAAAAATTAGCTGGGTGTGGTGGCGTGCGCCTGTAGTCCCAGCTACTCGGGAGGCTGAGGCAGGAGAATCGCTTGAACCTGGGAGGCAGAGGTTGCAGTGAGCTGAGATCGCACCACTGCACTCCAGCCTAGCAACATATCGAGACTCCGTCTCAAAAAAAAAAAAAAAAAAAAAAAAAAAGGATTACCTTTGTCCTACACACAAACTAGGTTTATATCAGGGTTTCTCAACGGTGATACCACTGACATTTGGGGCTAGATAATTCTTTGTTGTCAGGGCTGTCTTGTGCATTCTAGAATGTTTAGTACCTGGCTTCTACCTACTAGATGCCAGTAGCACCCCCATTCTACCTCCAAGTGTGACAACCAGAAATTTTTCCAGCCAATGCCAAATGTTTTCTGGGGCACAAAAATCACCACCGGTTGAGAACCACTGGTTATATGATTAGACGGAAAGAAAAAGAGAAAAAGAAAGATGCCTGGCTAGGCCAATTAGAGATCTTAGATAATTACTATATGCATGCAACATTAGATAGTTTTATTTTCATTAAACTTTTAAATCTTTTAAAATCTCTTACAGACCCTACTTTGAAGCTAGCTTGATATAATGCTAATGTGACCTTGAACGATTTCTTTCTTCCTGAGTTTGCCTACTAGTATAGCTTAAAGATCCAAGTTACACTATTACTCACTTATATCATAGCCAGCATTGCTTGATCAGATTATCAGATAGATACAGTATCACGGAGACAAAATCCTTTCATTATGATGTAAGATAAAAAATATCTTTCATTAACAACACACGTAAAGGAAGTACCCACTGGACCAACTCAGGTTAGAAGGTGGAATCTCTTTCTTATTTCTTATTTTGCAAGTTATAGACTACAGCCAGGAAACTCTGGAAAGAACTCTAACCATAACAGTTAAACAAGGTGCATGAGATGCTAGAAATGTATGTTTTGATAATTAGGCACATTGATTAAGAAGTATTTTCAGTTATTGGAAAAGTCTTTCCAATAAGCTGAATGTGCTACTTTCATTTTAGATGCTGCTTATTAGAAAAGGACCTAGTAAATGAGAGTGTTTGGGTTCAGAGCTAGAGAGTGAATTTTAGAGAAAAGCAATAGTTGTGACTCATTCACTTTCTAAACTTTTACACATAGTCATTTACGATAATTGTTTTCTTTGCAATGTATCTTCTTAAGTCTCCCCCTTTGTAGTGTCCTAATTACTGGTAGCACTTTTAGTTATTCTAATTTATGCAATTAAAGGTCTGTGACAATGAAAACATTTCCCCAATTGCATTTATACTCTCAGGGTACCAGACCAGAAGATCAGATCGTAGAAGTTACTGGAGAAAAAGATCAGCGGACAGCACTCTTGAACTACATGCCAGGCCTCTTCTTCCTGGAACTCTAATGGATTTAAATGGCTTAAGAGACGGGATGAATTGTTGAAAATGGTTCTTTCAAAAGACCTCACGGAAGGCCAAAGACAAGACTCACTGAGGCCAAGGTATATGTGAATTATATTCTGAAGGACAGCTTTGATTTCCACACCACCATTTCTCCATGCTGTCCCTGTAATCTAATTCTTTCTTTCTTTCTTTTTTAAGTTTGTTATTAAAAGGTTAATTCTGCTTCCTACTGTATGTATCTATGTTTCTTCGGTAGGATAACAAAGAAGGCTCAAAAGCTTTCATGCCCAAGGGCTCTTAAAGAGTAACTAGCTGTGCATTGTTCAGAAACTGATCAGAGTATAGATTTCGTTTCTAGTTTTGTTATTCTGTCTCAGCAATACTACTTAGGAGTACTCTTAGAGATTCTTGAAGATAAACATAGTTTATGAGGAATATAATATAGCATTTTTTAGTTGGTTTTTGGTAAATCAATGAATTTAACCAAAATATAAATAAATATTTCATCAATTATTAGACCGCTAAGTTCATTAAAATTCAGTATACTCCTATATAATCATGCTAATGTCTTTCTTATTGGATTTAAAAACTTATGTCCAATGTATTTTCAGAAATAAATTCAACTGGTCTTACCTCTACATCTTCTGGAGCTGGCAGAAATTCAGGGACCTAGAGCAAAAGAAAATTTGTTCTGAGTTATTTTTATAAGCCAAACCCTCCTTTTATATTAATTGAAAAGTATGATTTAGATTTTGTTGTGACAAATATAGTCTTACCAAGTCATTCACATAATTTTTCAGCTGATCAACAATATCTATAAGTTGACGCATTCTAATCATGTGGCGATCTTGACCTTGGGAGCTTGATTTGTGGACCAGTGTCCCCAAGAAGATGACCATCAGACAGATGACAATCCTCTCCATGTTGCCAGGACTGGATCTCATAAGTACCAACAGTAGAGCTAGACCTTGGTCTCGTTTTCACTTCAGCTTGACTGAGAACAGGTTGTCAGTTAAGCTACCTATTTATTCATCCTTCAGGGAGAGGTAAAGCCCTCCCATTGCAGCCTGGAAATCTTTGTAAAATGGATGAATGTGAGTAACTCTTTTTTCTTTTCCACTGGCTAGGTATACGTGTGCATGTGCTAATGTGTGGGGGCAGGGATTGATGGAGTCAACGAAATGTGCCCCATCTGCATCTTTGACAGGAAAAAGAGAGAATGGGTGAATTCCAATTTTCAGCATGAATCAAGAAGTATGTATAATAAACAGTAGGTACTACAAGACTTCAAAAAAGTAAACAAAAACACTTTGATCTCTTTTTCTCGGCCTCCCCTGGCATCTTACCTGTTCTCTCTGACAGTCATAAGGGCACTTTGATAATGAGTAAGATGGCAACATGTGCTTTCATGCAGGACTTTTTCTTATGGTAATAACTATGTCTTTTGACTAAAATCATCCAGTATTCCATCATAAAAGTAGGAGGAGAGGCTACCTTTTAGGAAATTTTAAATAAAGAGGTATTTTCCAAATTAGCAAGAATATTTTAGGTTCTTACCAAGTTTCAAGGGTTTAAAATAGAATTTGCTTCCAACTGTTCACCAAAGCATCTTTACTAAGCATTTATTTTGGCTTCTGTCATGTTATTTAACAATCTGATTTATTAATATCACAAATGATTCTAAGGGAGTTGATAGAAAATCTATCCTTCCCAATCAAGATCTCACTCTACCATCATTTTAAAAATTATCTAATGTCCATCTCTTCTATATAATACATCAATTAAATGAGTCAAACTTGCTAATGCTCATTCTTGTCCAAACCAAAAAATGTTTCCAAACAGCAAAATAAAATATACCCATAAATGATTCGTTTTCTCTTAGGGTAGTGTTACTTATTTCTGTTAGATACTATTTCCTCTGGGTGTGAGCAACACATTTCTAACTGCATCTGTGACCGGGTAGAGGTTAATTAAAGATCCAAAGCCCAGAAATGGTTTTATCATCCTCCTTTCTTCTGCTTCTCTTGTCCCTGAGACTCTTTTAACCCATTTGAGAAAGTTGAATATAATATTCTAGCTAGAGAGTCATGTACTATATAAGACCATAGGTCTTATAAGTGAAACTCTTGACTATAGATTTTATTCATTCATTCATTCATTCATTCATTTCATTACATACTTTAGAATACCATACTTTATTCTAGACTGTTACGTAGCCAACATAAATTGGAGTTTTCACTTGATTTGCTCTGAAGTTGACTGTAATCTTTTTATTATGGAATATCTATTCAAGAGTATACAGGTTTGGCCTTATACAGTAGATAAGAGTTCATACAACATGATCAAGAATTCCTCCCTGTAATAGTTAAATTCTATATGACAAGATTCTGTGCAACTTATGAATGCATGTGGACTAAGGGTTGCCACTTGGTGCCTCCACATTGCCTGTATGGTCTTTGTACATGCACTCCTTATCCACCTAAACAGATGTGCATCTCCTTGAAGACACTAACCACGGTGGTTAGGAGGTCAATTTCTAAAGCTTGAGTTCAAATCAAGGTCCTAACAATTAATAGCACATATGATCCTGTGTGTGTAATTGCAAAAGGAAGGCAAGTACAGAATCTACTCATAGGGTTGTGATAAGGCTTAAATGAGACATTCCAAGTAAAAGGGCTAAGTACAGCACATAACATCCCGGGAGGTTTGCATGCTGATCGTGGATGAGGGTGAAGGGGAGAACTTTAAGAAGCCTAGGGGAGGCTAAACTGATCAGAGAAGGAGGAGAATGGACAGATCAGTGTTCAGCCAGAATACACTTGTGTGGTTGTACTGGTGGTTTAACAAAAAATAAAAAAGTCAAATATCTTTCATACTGCCTAGAGAGAACCATTGCTCCTGGCCCTGGAGTGCCTCACCACTATGTTAGACAACCCAGTCCCTCCCTGAGACATCCTAGCCCTCTCCATAATCCATCCACCAGTACATCAGGGGTCTCAGAGTCTTGCTCCAGCACTATGACCAGAGGGCTTTCTGAAAGTCAGAATTTCTACCTTAAGTGGCACATCAGTTGTTAAGAATTTTTGGATATCATCTCTGGTGTGATAGACTTACCAATGCCCCAAAGATATCCATGCCCTAATCCCTGGAACCTGTGAAAATGTTACCTTACATTGACCCAGGGGACTTCGCAGATGTGAAAAAATTAAAGATTTTTTACATGGGAAGATTATCCTAGATTATCTCGTGGGCCCAGTGCAATCACAGGAGCCTTTATAAGAGGAAGGCAGGAGAGTCAAAGTAAAAGAAGGAGCTGTTGTTTCAGAAGTAGAGGCTGGAGTGATGCAGGGCCAGAAGCCAAGGAATACAGATGGCTTCTAGAGTCTGGGAAAAGTAAGAAACAAATTCTTCCCTGGAGCCTTCAGAAAGAATGCAGCCCAGCCAAAAACACCTTGACTTTAGTCCCATAAAGCTCATTTTGAGTTATTATTCTGACCTTCAGAAATGTAAGATAATAAATTTATGCTGTTTTGTTCTTACCTGAATAGATACACATCTCCTTGAAGTGTTTGCGGTAATTTGTTACAGCAGCAATAGAAATGTAACATACATAGGTATGGGATTTTTAATCTCAGGGAAAAGGGCAGGAAAAGAGGGAAAGAGAGGAAAGGGTAATAAGAAAAGATCCAGCAAAGGTTGGAATTTTGTTGGGCTTTTGGGAGGTGCAGGTAGAGGATATAAGGAAGTGTGGACAAGAGAGGAAGTAAGATTAGTGTAGCTGCCACATGGTATGGGCCCTCAGCGATAAAAATGTATAATGAGGATGTTCTAGGAAGTCTTGTGTGTATTGTAACAACTCCTCCCTAGCCCTGAGAAAACTTCACTCAGGATTCACAACATCATTTAAAGTTATGGATCCCAATTTGCATTTCATTTGAATTTATCACTGTGTGGAGATGAACCTTAGGGTGGGAGCAAGGAGGCCCAAAAGTATTTGAGTCACTAGGGCAAAGTAAATTAGTCACTGCTCAGAAATATTAACGTTATTGCTACCTTTACAGTATCATTTCATTGGCGTTTTAAGGGCTGCTTACTCTTTAAATTATAATTATTTTTATAATCTAGATACAATCAGTCCTGCTATAAGGCTCATCTTGAAAATGATAATGTATTCCAATGAGGTTAATATATCAAGGAACAATTTGAGTATAACAAGAACTTTGTGTTTCTTTATGTTTAATTTCATCTGCAAGAAATGCTAAGTGAATGCAGAAAACTGCATCCAGCTGAACTGAGCCATGTAGGAATACATAAGATGTCCTCACACCTCTGACAGCCACCAGCATCCTCAGTTCACTGCATGTGTAATGAGCCACACCCATCGACATCTGGTGTCACAATTTTCCATCCCAGAGAACTCTCCTTCGCCATGTCTCAATAACTCACAAACTGTAACCCTTCCAACACCCACCTCCATGAACAAACTTAAAGTCCTTTTCTAGGTGAAACAATGTGTTTATTTTATTATTTATGTATTTCTTAACCATTTAACATGCCTAAAACAGCTATCTTTTTAAATTAGGTTGCTATCTTCTTTTTCAGTGTCACCGATGAAGTTTTTGAATGCTGTGCTCCTAATCTCATTTTCCTGTAAGCATGTGAGTTTTGATTCTATGATTTTGTATAGTGCAGTGATTTTTTAGAAACACGTGGGTCACATTATAGCAGAACTCACTGTATTTTGTCTCAAAGTGTCACACTTAAGCCCCAACAGCAACTACTTATATCCAGGCAGAAAACAAGACTAGAATATAGAATTTATTCTTAAGGTGGGGAATAAAAGGGAAGGGAAGAGAAAGGGAAGAGGAAGGGAGAGACAATGAAAAACAATTTGTCATTTCTACACATGGCCCATCTGAGTTATTAAAAAACTCCAGTGTCCATTTCTTCCTTGATCCTTTCCTGTTAGCACATGGGGGCTTAGCTTGGCATCTGTGGATTTCCCGGGTTCCATACATGTGTTTCAGAGATCCCCTAACCTCCTGAAATTATTTGCAAAATTTTGTATTTATATTGTGAGCAAAACAAAACCTTAAATTTCATCAAATTCTCAATGGAAATGTCATGCAACTGCTGTTTGTTTTCCAGCCTCCAGAGACTTCGGTGAAGGATGATGCAAACTGTGTTTCTTCAGCATGTGAGCACCATCAGCCATGAGTGTGGCAGCTCCAGAATGTCTATACCAGAGTGGCTGAGAGTCAGCAACTTGGCTGGAAGCTACACTTGAATAGCAAACAAACCACTTTTACTTAGTTTCCATGTCTATTTGGTACCTTGGAGTACAGTGATGAGTTTTACTAGATGTGGACTTTCCAGGAATATAGCCAAGGTCGTCACCATGAAAGTATGAAACTTTAGTCATTTACCCAAGGGGATTCATGGACATATATTAAGAATTTTCTTTAATGGACTGTGTTTATAGAACACCTGGTCAGGACGGAAATGAGGCCAGGGAACTAAAGGGGTAGAAGTCTGAAGAGGAATGGTTTTGCATGGGAAAACTGTGCCAGGTCTAAAACTGGGCTGAACACTATTTGTCCCCAACTCTCTGGCCCGGTCCTCATAGTTCTTTCTGTGATCCCTGCGTGGTGAATACTCCTTTTCTGCTTTCACTGGCTTTGGCCCCTCATGGATAGAATTAGATGTTCTGCATGGCAAACTGTGGGAAGAGAGGCCTCCAGTGTTTAGAGTGATATTATCATGTGTACCACTACTATTATACATACTAAAGGTATTCAGACAGGTGGCTTGTCTCTGGGCTTTATATAGATCTCTGTCAAGCTAGAAGAAAAATGTCACTAAAATAATTCAAGACAATTTTTGTACTTTCCAACGATGTTCAGGTAACAGCTGAAAATATTCTCACTTATTTGACTTGAGGAAGAAAATTCGAACGAGGAAAATCATCAAGGATTTGCTAAAGTCCCTTCTGTAAAATCTTCCTTAAGGAAGTTTAAACACTCCTATTCTCTCTTCTCTCATTCTTTTGAACTCACTGCATGTATTGATATCACTGACTTGGTTTGTTTTCTAGAATATATGTAAAAGTAAGAGTGTGTATATATAACCCATTATGTACATAACAAGAACAGTTCCTTCCAATATTCAAATTTCATGACTCTAGATCACTACTGTGCATTCTAAGAAGGTCAGGGACTCATGGAGACCAAAGGGTCAATCCTGGTCATTGTTGTCTTACGAGAGAAAAACAAGAGCCTTCTCGGGCCCCGTGTTCTCTAGCTCTTGATGTGGCCTCTTCGGTATCACTGGCAGCCCCACAGTCTGGTGGTCAGTGTGTCGCAGCAGAGGGTCATTCACCGATGCTGCTTATCCACAGCACCTTTTCTGTGGGGAATGGGGGCCTCTATTCTGCTAGTAGACTCAGGTGTGTCACTCTGTGATACTCTTAAGACTGGGTTCATTGAGGACAGGTCTCTTTGCTAACATTCACACAAAGTCATTGTTTGGAAGCACAGTCCTGCTTCTGAAATGCTAGGTCTGGAGGAGTTCCAGCAGCAGCCACATGGGCCCTCTCCTCAGATCTTGGCTCCAACATGGGATACTCAGCAGTGAGGCTAGAGATCAGATGTCCTTCATTCCTTGACCACTAAGCCTAGAGGATGGAGAGAAAGAAGTGGAACATCTGCACTCTTCAACCTGAGTCCACTCCAACTCCATCCCACAAGGTGAGGCAAGTTCCACCAGCCTCTCCAGCCTCCTGTCTAATATGATCAGAGAAATCCTCTTCTCTCTGGACTCAAGACCCATCCCTGTTTCCTTCCCTAAGGCGACAGGTGGCTATAGCACCCTTTGTCTTGGCCCTGCAGCCACCAATACACAACCATAAAAATAAAGTAGTCCAATTATTAGCCTTCGCTGTGTCCTGTGTCCTCCTCCCAAGAGATCTGCGGAACCTTCATTTATCACCTGAATGGGAGCCTCCTCCCCATGCTTTCCCAGGGGGCAGCCATAGGACCTCACAGAGATGTTACTGTGTATCACTCTAGACTCTTTTCCTATATACATAGAACAATAAAGGAATAGATAGGGACACATAGACACTTAAGGAAATAGAATTATGTATGGAGATAGAAACATAAAAATAAATAGCACAGACATATAGATATAGAAAACTGGTACTTTTACATAAAAACTTAATCTCACCATATGTAGTCTATAAATTTTTTTTTCACTCAACCTATGTCAGGGACAGGAGTCCATACAGGATTCACACACAGGGATATCTCATTAGATTAATATTCCATTGTATGGCAGTACCACAATTTATCCATTCATAACCCTACTGATAAACATTTAGATTGTTTCCAGTTTTTATCCACTGCAAACAATGCTGCAATGAACATCCTTAGACATAGAGATCTCTAAGCATATGTGAAATATATTCTTTTAATGTTGTATTTTAAAATACATGTCTTGAATTTCACTTCCTGAGTGGAAAGATACTTTGAAAAACTTTGTAGAAACTGCCAAATTTCCCTCTGACATGCCATACCAGTTTATACTCCCAACAACATAGAGTTTCTTTTCCTCTCATTAATACTTTATGTTATGAATATTTTAAATATCTACCAACATATTGGGGCAAAAATAGTATCCTCTCATTGGTTTGTCTTTCCTTGATCAATAGTTAGATCTGCTATATTTTCATCAGTGTGTTTATTTTTCCACAAATTGTCTGATTCATATTATTTGCCAATTTATTCATTTGTTTCTTATTTACTTATAAAGGCTCTTTTTCTATTAAAGATATGTTAAACATGTAGAAATTATTTTCTCTGTGGTATCCTTTGCCCTACTGAGGTTTTGAGCTTTCATGTTATTGTGTCTGAGAATCTTATGTTTTATGTCATGGACCTTCGTTTAATAGAAAGGGTGTCTCACCTAACAAAACCAAAAATGGCAGTAATTAATTTAGTGTTCTTTTTGGTTGAAGAATTCTAATGCCAAGGAGTCATGTTTAATTCAGGAGCGCTTTTAAATGAATTTGCATTTCATTTGTCACAAGATTAGCTACATACTTCTTTGAAATATAATAATACATTTATGGTTGGAAGTGATTTAGTCAGTTTATAGGCAACATCCTTCCTGTGCAGCAATGAATTCATGAGCCCTGTGAACATCATTATTTTAGAAAAAGAATTGGATATAATATATACTTCTTATATATAGAGAGATCCAATCATATACCACATTCAGGAGTGGGGAGGACAAGGGACCACAGAATCCTGAAACGGCATCTGAGCCATCAAAAGAATGTGCTCACTACAGTTTCAGTGCTGAATGTTTTATTTTACTTCAATTCTTTAAATATGGTTTCTCCATATACAGGGTGTACGGTAGTTCTAAAAACGCGAATGACTAATTAACAAAGTGCAGACCAGGAAAACACAGACTCTGTGAGATTTACCAAATTGGCTCCAAGACTACCCTGAAGTCACCCTTTAAACTGAGAAATAGTTATATCTGATAGACTCTGTTGCTGCAAATAAAGGGAAATGGGATGGCTCTTTCTGAAAAAAGACTTTGGGCCAATCAAAAAGATACTATCAATGATTATTCTAGCAAACACTTTTGTATCTAAGTGGTTTATAGACATAATCTCATTTAAAGCAACAACCATGAGAAATAGGTATTTTGAGTGTGCCTCTTTACTACCGAAGCACAAAGAAGATAAGTAAGACATTGAAGTGATTGGAGGAACTCTCTCCAGAGCCTGACGACTTCTCTCTACAGCAGGGAACTGCCTCCATTGCTGATGTTGGATTAAACAGAACAGCCTGTGCAGTTAGTTCATGGATTCCATAAAGGGACTGGACCTTAATGAAGACGTTCCTGACATGGGTTTGGGGTAAGAAGGAGAGTCTGTTTGCAAAATTATTATTGATAATAACTAGAATTTAAATGTATATCTTTTCTTGGTTAATTAAATAAATTAATCAGCTCCCCATCTGGGCCAGAATATCCAATTGCTTCTCTTTCATTGACTTTAACTAGTGACAACCTGGTCCAGTATAAGACCTAATAATAATTTTCCAGTGTTTTATATCCATAAAAGAAGAGAGAAAGAAATGAATAAACTTCTGCCGTCATTTGGGTCTTGAATAGCATAGACAAAAATCAATCAGGAAATCAGTTATCTTGACAACAAGAAAGGGCAAAAGTATGACTTAGTTATTTACATTTACTTATTGTTCATTTTCTATGTTTTTCAAGCCTTTTCATTGTTATGAGAACATCGAAACACTCACCTTTTGCTCCATTTAGCTCTCAGAACTTTAAAATACACACCAAGGGGGATATCAGTGCAAAAGAAGAAGGAAAACCAGGAATACAAAAGAAACATGCTTGTAACAAGAATCAACTAAAAGTAAATTTTCATGAAATTAAGAGATAGGTGGTTCAATGATTTTGGATATTGGCAGTTAAGTCATCACAGGTCAGATTAACGTATTTAGTCAAAGCTGTTCTGTCATCAAGATCTGCATCAATCAGAAGCTTTAATGACATGACAGGGATGAGGGACTCTCTGGCCCTTGACTTGACTTATCCAGCTCTCAGAACCACTGCTCTGGTCATTGCTACTGTCTTCAGAGAATTATTTTTAATGGCGCTGGTGTTCAGGTCAGCATTTAGAAATGTTTACATTTAGGTTATTAGAAACCTAATAGAGGCTGGGGAAGGTCAACAGTAATCGTTAAGAATGATGACTGCTAGCAGCCACCACCCAAGGGAGCCACAGACATGGCAAAGCTCTGCTTGTCTGCCTCCCTCTCCCTTCGTCTCCCTCCTGCTTCCTCTCTGGGTCTCTCTATTCCTCCTTCCTCTTTTGTTGCTCATTCCTCCCAGATTTCTTCTCCTCTTTACTTCACTTTTTTCTTCCACTTTGTTTCATATTCAAATCTGCATACCATGAAACTAAAACGTATTTTAATTGTAATTGTTTTATTAAATAAACCTTTCTAGCCTCTAAATAGTTGTTTAAAATAAAACAAATTGAATACTATAATCTCTCTAAGGACTAGAAAGAGGCTCTTTTAAATGACTTTTGGTATTTGAGCTTTGGGGTTTTTTTTTTCCTTCCTTGAATCAATGATCCTGTGCAGAAAAACAAATAACACTGTTTGACTTCTTCTAATTTACGGAAATATAAGTGAAGGAAAACTGTTATAAAGAGACAATATCTGCTTAGTATGTAGGAGAAAGATGATTTGGGAATATCCTGCTTACTTTCTGAATCCCTAAAGAGTAATTTTATTTTAGAAAACATTCTCTTACATGTTGTCAATTGTTCTCTGTGTCAAAGCTCTCTGAGTTGCCACAACCATGGGCTTCTGTGGAAACTGCCTTCAGTTAGCTCCTATTGTACACTGCACATAACTCATACCAAGCCTGAGTTATTCACATATACACAAATCCAGCAGGCACCATCAGAGAAGAAACACTTTACACAATTTGTGTGGGATACTGAATAGAGTAATTCTGTTTTCATTTATCTGCTAAGCTATATGTGAAGAATCCAGGAAAAGAAAGTTATGTTTCCCATAAGCTCATAATGGATACACAAAAATAGTTAAATTGGGCCAGGTGTGGTGGCTCACGCCTGTAATCCCAGCACTTTGGGAGGCTGAGGTGGGTGGATCACCTGAGGTCGGGAATTCAAGACCAGCCTGACCAACATGGAGAAACCCCGTCTCTACTAAAAATACAAAAAGTTAGCCGGGTGCGGTGGCGCATGCCTGTAATCCCAGCTACTCAGGAGGCTGAGGCAGGAGAATTGCTTAAACCCGGAAGGTGGAGGTTGTGGTGAGCCAAGATTGTGCCTTTGTACTCCAGGCTGGGTGACAAGAGCAAAACTCTGTCTCAAAAAAAAAAAAAAAAAAAAGTTAAATTGAATCTGTTATTGGGTGGAGGCTTTCTGAGATGGAGCTCAAGGAGGGTTTCAAGAAGAAGACATTAGAATAAAAAGTCCTTGAGAGCAGAAAGCTTTATATGGAATAAAAGTTCAACACCCTTCATGTTGTGTCTTCTGCGAGCATTACACTAAATCTGGGAAGGGTCATCAGGTGATCTGACTGAGATGAAAATATGGTCTCAGTTATGTTAGACAGATTGGAAGGAGTTTGGAGACCAAAGTGGAGGAAAGCAAGAAAAGTATAATAGAAAGTGTCTGTGCAATGCACATATTAAGTACTAAATGATTCAGCCCAATAAGGTGAAATATGACAAAGTTTGGAGTAATTAACAAACACCTGTAGGCGTGTTGGGAGACTCATGATCTTACTATGACAACAAGGTGAGATGACTGCCCTGAAAGGACTCTTGGTGGGGTTTCCCTGCAGGTAAAGGGGAGGAAAGATGATAGGCAGAGCTTGGTGCTCCTCCAGCCCTGCTTCAACCAGAACAAATCCTTTTATCTGTTTTACACTTCGGGTCCTATGTAAGATTTCATTTGGAAAAATATGTTTACCTGGTAGGAAAAAAGAAATTAAAGGTGACTAATCTAGCCCCCTATTTACAGAGGCCCAGAACAGTGGCATGACCTGCCCAGGAAAACTCAACAAGGATGTACTCCAGGTGTTCTTCCTCAGATGAAGAATCCATATCATGGCCCACAGGAGGCTTGACAAGCCCACTTTTACCCTGTTGCCCATGGGTCGCTAATAGATAATCTCAGTTGGCATCTGTTGGACACATCCTATTGTGCCAGGCACTATTCTTAATTTCGTACTTAGATATTTTTTAGCTATTACTATATGTCATCTATTCGTGGACATTATATTCATAAATTAATATTTCTGAAACCAGCTGCCTCTCACAATCAATGGCAATGTAGATTCAATGAAGTACCATAAACCTAAGCCTCACATTTGTGAGGTAGCTACTATTGTCATCCACTTTAGAGATGAGAAACTGGAGACACAGAGGGATGAGGAAACCTGCCCAAGGTCACACTTAATAAATGGTGATGGGATAGCTACTGCTAAGACACGAATATTGCTACTGGCACGGTGATACAGCGGCCTAGGATGATTTCTGTTAGTGTTAGGAATGGACGTGATTAATACGGGAACTGTGGTGAGGGTGGCAGAAAATCCCTGGCATTGTATAAAATGAAGAGCACCTTGTTGGCAATGGGAAGCCTAAGACTCACATATCTGTATGTTTTCTATAAACTCTGCTCACTCTAACTCCTTTATTCACAGGAAAAACTATCAGTCTTTAATGAAAAAGTAAGAAACTTTGACTTTAAATGATATATGTAAGTCCATTAAAACTTTCTTGCAAATAGCAGGGATTAACTCATTAAATGTTAGTTCCCTGCCTTTTTTCAGAAATTGAGGAAAAGCTTTCTTGTGGATCACACTTTTTTAAAAAGTGTGATAGTAGTGGCTGCTATCGCTGATGATAGAAAGTAAGCTTTGGGGAATGTGGTGGTTAGAACTTTGACAATCCCAGCCGATTTCTAAATAGATTTATAACGTGAAATAATTTTCCTAGCTACACAAAAGATAAGAAAAGCATTTTTGGCAAGAGAAGAGTAGCTATAATTGTTTAAGCTCACTGGAATATCATGGTGGAGGGGAGCGGTGAAGGTAATTTAAATTAATTGCTAAGGTCAGGTGCAGAATGTCTTAATTGCAAGAAAGGTGAATAAGAACAAGACCAACAGGGGAGCTTAGTGTACTTCCGCTTTGTGTGTGTATGAGGTGGGGAAAATACATGGTTTCCCTGTCACTTAATGAGAGCAAATAGGCAAATGACGTGTATTTAGCATACTTCACCTAAGAGGTCTGCGGCTTAGGAACATGCTGAGTCAATTTGTTACTTGAGAATTTACATAACTTTGGTAATGGACTTCCCCAAAAATGGAATTCTAAGCAACCTCATATCCCTAGCTGGGGAGGGCTGAGATTTCCTTTTTCCTCTATCTTGGACAGTCCAAATTATGAGGTGGATACAAACCAGACCTCATTCTCTCCACCCACATTTTCCTTTACCTAACAACAAAAAAGGTTTTTCCTACAAGCTTAGTCACTGGCAGATTAAATAGCATTCTGAAAATTAGGAGGTAAGGTGACAGAATTGCTTTCAAGGAATTTTTTAAACTCTAAGTTGAGGATTCTTAAATTCATTATTCAGCATTTACCATAAAAATGTGCCAATCTGAAAGATAAAATGACTTGCCATTAAAACAATAAATAGGAAGCATTACATCATCAGAAAACATTTATTGAGCATATGTGTGTTTGGTATTTCTCTAGATGCTATCAGGTCACTACTCTGTGAAGACACGAGCCAAACCATAATTACACACATGCTTGAGAAAACGAAAGCATGCTGGCCTTTATGTGTGAAGATGACAGAAATCATGATGAGACCAATATGCATTTGAGATGATTTTTCAGTTACATGGAGTTTTCCTTCCATAATTTCTGTAGGCCATTTACTGCTGGTGACCCATGTGAATGTCATGATTTTTATACGATGAGCAAGAGGTAAAAGGGTAGCCTTTGCTCATAAAATGATTTTTGTCTTTGAGATCTCCATAGTAATTAAAACCATGAGCAAATACTTAGCGTCATACTATGACTGAAGCTTCAGTAAAAATAACCTAGACTTATATGAATTTGGAGAAAGGCTTATAAAACACATATTAGTGTAAAACACTAGGAAGATAACGGAAGTCATGACATTAGTTACTTTTTTGTTATTTTATTTTATTTTAATTACACTTTAAGTTCTGGGGTAAATGTGCAGAACGTGCAGGTTTGTTACAAAGGTATACACCTGCCATGGTGGTTTGCTGCACCCATCAAACCATCAACTACATTAGGTATTTCTCCTAATGCTATCCCTCCCCCACCCCCCACCCCATAACAGGCCCTGGTGTGTGATGTTCCCCTCCCTGTGTCCATGTGTTCTCATTGTTCAGTTCCCACTTATGAATGAGTACCTGTGGTGTTTGGTTTTCTATTCTTGTGTTAGTTTGCTGAGAATGATGGTTTCCAGCTTCATCCATGTCCCTGCAAAGGACACAAACTCATCCTTTTTTATGGCTGCGTAGTATTCCATGGTGTATATGTGCCACATTTTCTTTATCCAGTCTACCATTGATGGGCATTTGGGTTGGTTCCAAGTCTTTGCTATTGTGAACAGTGCCACAATAAACATACATATGTATGTGTCTTTAGAGTAGAATGATTTATAGTCCCTTGGGTATATACTCAGTAATGAGATTTCTGGGTCAAATGGTATTTCTGGTTCTAGATCCTTGAGGAAATGCCACACTGTCTTCCCCAATGGTTGAACTAATTTACACTCCCACCAACAGTGTAAAAGCTTTCCTATTTCTCCACATCCTCTCCAGCATCTATTGTTTCATGACCTTCTAATGATCGCCATTCTAATTGGCATGAGATGGTATCTTGACATTAGTTACTTTTGAATTCATCTATTGGAGAAAATTAATTGGAGACATTATTATGGAACAAGAGCTCAGCTATATAACATGCTGTTGGCACTCCTTTGTTAGGCTTTGCAGTAGAATTCATCTTGACAATATTGGGTTACATTATTTGGTCATTTTTTTCACTTTATTTTAGGGAGGAGAACCTCAGATAACTGCCTTCTGTCACAGTGTAATGCAAGGATCTCATCTGAGTCTTGACCACTGCTGTCTTTCCATGGCCTGGCACAATGCCTGGCATGGAAAGGTCCTTACTAAATATTTGATGCATAAAAAATTGATTGGATTAATTAGTTGATTATTGGCATGTACAAGAAATATAATTAGATATAGCAGGAAACCAGTCACCAGCTGAATCCTGATTCTTGCAGATAGAATAAGATTTAGTGAGCATCAGAATGGGAGACCACCCACAGCCTATTCACCCAGGCGTCATGAAAATAGGTGACCTTGGTTCTAGAAAATTATGACGATGACTTCCCTATAGTTACATCCACCCAAAAAAGCCTGCAAGTGTGCTTTAGATAAGATGAACCGTTTTCATTCGTGAAGCAGATGCACTTGTTAATTAACAAAGAAGCGGTCAGTTAAGCAGGGCTAGGCAAACGCCTTGAGCAGTTAAAAAAATTTCCTGCAGAAAAGCATTTCTTTTGATGATAACTTTAAAAAATAATTTGTGTAGTTTCTTTTTCAGTAGCTGGGCTTGATCTGTACCGTGCAGTATTATTAGCATTTGTTAACAACAGAAGTGGTAAGGAAATTACTCACCACAATTGTTATACCGGGTTATTAGAGGCAGAGAGAGAAGAGTGGCCTTTGTGAGTACTCAGTTCAGATCACTGCAGTCAGCAGAGGTGTGGGCCACAGTGGGGAAGGATGTGAGAATGGAGGAAGCAATTGGCTTGCCTAGGTTTCTTGTGAAGCATTAAAATAGGTAATTGCAAGCCACCAAGTTTGGCAAGGGCAATCAGTTTTATTTGTTCTAGAAGAGAAAAAGCGTCACTGGGGAGTAAGTTCAGATGGGGAATAATGCAGCTCTAAAGTTTCTTGTAGTTTGAATTTCATGAAATAGAAAATAGAAGTAAGAAATATAATATGTATGTTAATATAGAAATCATAGAAATGAGGTGATGTCTTATGGAAACAGTACGTATTTTTTTTTTAAGTGTGCACAAATTAGATAAATGTGCACAGGAAATCAGTTATTTCTCGTGGATGAGTTGGTGCCATGGATTTGGGTTCTGGCTGTGAATTTGTGTGTCCCATGTGCTTTGGTCCCTATGTGTCTGTGTATAACGAGGGCATCTTTGCTCATTTAAAATTCACTCATTCAACAAGTATTTACTGAGCACCAACTAGTCACACTTCTCATAATTTTGTGTGTGTGTGAAAAATTGGGACACTCTTTAGCTGTGTTTTATTGGGCACAATTTGCAAGTGTTTTAGCAGGGACTTCCGAGCACATCTGGTGCTTTTGTGGAAATGCAAAAAACAAAACAACTCCTTTTCTGTGCAAAAAAATTATCTTCAAAAGTACCTCTTCCTCTGCGAGGAGGAAGATGTATGCTAGGACACAGGGCTTGGTGAGGGGGGTGCACTGTAGATTTCAGACCCTACCCAACCCTCACCTGGGCACCATTTTGCAGTACACAAAAGGCATACCTGTATGTACAAACTGGTCTTAGATGAAGCCTCACAAAAATCAGTGTGAATTTTGTTCAGCTTTTGGTGGTTTGGACCTAGAGGGGAGAATTCCTTTAAACCTTGTTAGTCAAAGAATCTCTACACCAAACACTTCTGGCTCTCAGTTGTCCATCTGCCAAATGAGGGAATTATACTAAATTCCTTTTTCTCTTTTTCTGAAAAAATAAGTATTTGGTTACAATAGTAGAAAGGTCGAGAGCATGACTCCAAAGAGTCAGACTGCCTGAATTTGATCCTGGCTCTATGACTTAAGCACAATTTGACCTTGAAGAAGCTGTCTGAGCCTCAGTTTCATTATTTGTAAAATGGAGCTAATGATATTACCTAATACCCAGTTCATAGAGTTATTATGAGAAATGAGAGAATGCATGTAAAGCATGTAGTATGACTGGAAGTGAGTGCTTAATAATCGTTAGCTATCATCACCATCATTATTATGTAGTCAGTGTGATTCTGTATCTCCAGAAAACCAGGGGCGGCCAAGCCCCATCTTCTACCTAAGAGTTCTAGCATCACTCATGTCACCACCCCACAGTCTGTCTGCATTTGCCACTCACCCAATTACAACACCCTCCAATCATTTGTCTATAGTAAATAAGAGCATTCATTTTGTAAGCCTTGACAAGGCTACTTCCTCTTTCTCCTAACACTACTGTAATACCCTGCAGATGTTTGCTGCCTTTCTAGGAGAAAGTCCAGTGGCAGACAGTTTTGCCTGAAACAAATGATTGTTATTTATACTAAGACTACAGCATGCTCCCCGAAATGGCCTCTAGAGATTCTTAAAAAATATTCCCTCAAGCAAAGAAAATCCTAATGCACCTAAGAAGACAGTGTATCAGCTAGCTACAGTTGCGTAACCAACAACACCAAAACTTTAGTGGTTAAAAACAACCAACATTTATTATTTCTTATGAGCCTGTGGATTGGCTTCATAGCTCAGCTCATCTGGGGTAGGCTTAACTGATCTTGGCTGGGCTTGCTCATTTATCTGGGATTAAAGGCAGATTGGCCTTGGCTGAGACAACTCAGTTCTTCTCAACATGGCTCTCACATCCCTCCAGCAGGCTAGCCTGGTCATACTCTGATGGGGGTCCAAGAAAGAAAGTGGAAACAAGCAAATCCCTTTCCAAGCCTTTGCTGGTGTCTCATTAGCCAAAGCAAACCACATGGCCAAACCCAGAGTCAGCACGGAGGGCTAGCACCAAAGGGTAAGGATAGAGGGAGGCATGAATATTGGGGCCATTATTGCAGTCCAGCACACATGATGATGATTATGTCATTTTTAAAAAATAATTTCAACTTTTAGTTTAAATTCAGGGGATACATGTGCAGGTTTTTTACGTATGCATATTGCATGACACTGTGTTTTGGGGTAAGAATGATCACTACCTAGGTAGTGAGCATAATACCCAATAGGTAGGTTTTCAGCCTTTGCTCTCTTCCCTCTCTAGCAGTCTCCAGTGTTTCCCATGTTTATGTCCATATGTACCCAATGTTTAGCTCCCACTTGTAATCATAAGAGAAATGCAAATAAAAACCACAGTGAGATACTATCTCACACCAGTCAAATGGCTAATAATAAAAAGTCCAAAAATAATAGATGTTGGCGAGGCTATGGATAGAAGGGAATGTAAATTAGTTCAGCCACTGTGGGAAACAGTTTGGATATTTCTCAGATAACTAAAAACAGAACTACCATTTGACCCAGCAATCTCATGCTTGTTATATACCCAAAGGAATATGGATTGTTCTACCATAAGACACATGTACATGTATGTTCATTGCAGCACTATTCAAAATAGCAAAGACATGGAATCAACCTAGGTGCCCATATTCAGTGGATTGGATAAAGAAAATGTGGTACATATACACCATGTAATACTACACAGTAAATATTAAAGATTTCTAGCTTATAATTTCATCTAGTAGTTTCATTGTTTCAAAATTTAGACACTATTATGGTTTGTAAATATAGATATATACTCGAATGTCTTGTTTTAGTCATAGAAGATGTAACTGAAAAGCAGTACAAAACCCAGGAACAGGTGTTAGTTTCTAATTAAATGATAAAATAATGTCTGAAGAGTTCTGTTTTATTTTTGACTTTTCTGCACACCTCAGTTGAGGTGATCTCACGAAGATGTTAATTGCCAACTGCCAGAGCAGCTAAACAACCTCTCTGTGCCCCATACAGTGCTTTATGGAAGTTTCAGTCTGGGAGAGCCACAGGTTGCCCCAAAAGAGCCTATGGGCTCTGTGAATGCTTTAGACGCAGAACAGAAAGCAGGCAAACAAGCAGGCATTTAAGGAATGTTAAAGATAAAGTGAAATATTGATCAAATTCTCTTCATGATCTTTTAATTTGTACTTTTGGAAATCCACGAGCAAAGTTCTTCTAAGGCTGATAAAAATGTGAATTTCTCTCTACTGGTATAAGAATGAATCAAGCAATGAATTATGCAGTTAAATCACCTGGTAGAGAATGCCACTTAAGACAGTGTGGAAGATGAGCTCCCGTTTACACACAATTGGCTGCAACATCCAACTAAGAAGGGGCAGGGGCAGAGGGCACCAATCAAAGAGCTGGCTCCAGCTGGTTTGCAAACCCACGGTTATTATGACCCACAAGTCTTCCAAGGTGGTTGTCTATTGGAATTCTCATTGGACTTTAGCTGTAGGAGCTGCAAAAATATTCTCAAGATTAGTAAATATACCCTCTAATTACATCTCCACCCTCTGCCACAGCAACACAATTGCTCACACCCTTAAATAAACCTCCACTTGTTTATTTGAAGACACCATGTGGTCTGTTCTCTAAATATTTCACCAAATGGGCTCAACATTCTTTTATAGGACCTAGTTTCCAATAATGCTATCATTTTTTCCCTAGTTTTTCTCTAGACATCACACTTTGCTACATCTGCTCTTAAATGTGGTGACAGTGCTGTCCCAGGTGTGGTAAGTTGGGATAGTTCCCAGGCCCCACATTTTGTGTGCCCCCTCCCCCCGCCGCCACTTCCTCCTCTCCCCACAATATAATGACAGGTGACTAGGAAATGACTCAAGAGGTGGAGTGTGGAGGAACAAGAGGAGGCTTTCAGCACAAGTGTGGAAAAAAAACTTGAGGGTTTCATATATGTGTATTCAGTTAATAAACTCCTCCTTCCTCACCAAAGACAAAGATAGTAGAAGAGTCCTTTCCTCGTTCCACAGACTTTCAGAATGGACATGTCTAATTAAGATTCCTGTCTCCTTCTAAGTTTATCCTTAATAATCACTGAAACAAGAGATTGCTTATAAACTGAAAGCACCAAATGATGTGATTTGCCCACACCTGTCTCACTGCACCAACTACAATGACCCCAGGTGATAGCCAATATCTGTTATGACTCTCTTAATTGCAAAACAAGCAAATACACAAAAAACTTCAGCTTTTCTAAGTCACTTTTCTAACAATGCAGCCTGACACATGTTTCTCTTTTGATCAGTGCTCCAGTGCCCACTATATTCAGGTTTGGTCTACTCCAACTCTCAGGTCTTTTTTTCCTTGTTTCTTTTTTCCTTATTTCTTTCCTTCACTACTGAAATCCGAGTACTTTCTCACAAAAGTAGCTGAAGTGGGTTGGTTGTGTGCATGTTGAGGAAGGATATCCCTACAGGTCCAGCTTTACATGCTTGCCTAGAATGTTGCTTCATTCTATTCTAATTTGGAGTTTCTACAAGTGTTTTTCAAATAAATGGTAAGGAGTTATGAATAAAAGTTCTCTACCATTGAATGTGTAGGGGAAAAGAATGAAAGTAGGCTCCTGTATTGCAGGGCTTTTCTTAGTGTCTAATACGCTATTTCAGCTATGACTATCCAAGAGTGCGAATGTGACCATGGAGGCTCCTCTTCATGGAGCATCACTGGGACAAGTCCTCCAGGATCCATTCTGGGAACTCTGGTCCTACTTGCCACGGGCATATCCCCAGCAGAGATGAGGAGTAGCCCTCCCAAGGGACGCTGCTAAAACAGAACAAGCTCCCTCTGGCCAGGCTTTTGTCCAGTCACTGGGCCTCAATAGCTGATTTTCAGTTGCCACCCCTCAGGCAAATGGGGAGATTCTATAAGATGCCTTTAAATTGGTCTTTGTTAGTGATCTAGCATGCAAGATCTCCCATTTATTTTCTCCCATTTATTTTCAGAGTCTAGAGTTTTACATCATTCACTCATTCAAACAATAGTCATTGAATACTTGTGCCAGGCAAATGGGCAAATGGACCAAGAATCCCAGCCCTTATGGAGCTTATAGTCTTGTGGGTAGAGACAGATAATGAACAGATAATAACATTAAAAAGGAAATATATCAGACAGATGATTTCCTAGGAGGAAAAAAAGCAGAGGAGGATGGGGAATATGGGTGCCGAGAAAGCAATTAGATGTTCAAGTCTGGAGTTTGGGAGAGAGTTCTGGGTAGAGACATAAATCTGGGAGCAATCAGCATGCTCAAAGTGCATGTTCAAAGCAGAGAACCTGGTTGAGATCACCAAGGAAGCTAGTGTGGATTGTGAAAAGAGGAGGTATGAAAACTAAGCCTCAAAGTTTAAACACTTCAAAGTTTAAAGTTTGGGGTGATGAGGAGCAATCAGCAAAGGTAACTGGAAAGAAACATACACTGACAGGGGAGGAAAACCAAGAGTGGAAGCCAGGTGAAGAAAGAGTGATTGATCCAATGAAATACCGAGAGATGAAGTAAGATGTAGTCTGCTAGTTGGCTGGGATATAGCAATGTGCAAGTCATTAGTGAACTTGAAAATGGCTATTTCAATGAATTAGGACAAAAATTAAGTTAAAATTGGGTTTAAGAGAGAATGGAAGGAAAGAAGAGACAGCAGGAAGAAGTAATTATTTCAAAGACTTTTGCCGTAAACAGGAGCAGAGAAATTAAATAATAGAAAATGTCAAGGAGTCAAAACTATTTTTCAGATGGGAAAAGCAATAGCCTGTTTTTATGCTAATGGAAATGACCATTAGAAATGGGAAAACTGAACATAACAGAGGAATGGGCGGAGAATTTCTGCAGTGATGACTATGAGTGATGAAGTGAAGATGGGACCTAGTTGTGCAGCTGGAAGGCTTGCCCTTAGGAGCACAAAGTGTTCCTCCAGTGTAACGGGAGGAAAGGCTGAATATATGGACACAGATACAGCTAGGTGAGAGGATATCACGGTGGGGGCATGAACAAGTTCTCTTCTGGTTGCTTCTCTTTTCTCAGAGAAAATGGAAGCTAGGTCATTAGCTGAAAGTGGGGCAGGGAAGGAAGTACTGGAGAAGAGGGTAAGATACAAAATAATATGGGAGTTGGAGAAAGTAAATGGACAAGAGAATTTAGTGAGATTAACAGGCAGCCCTAGGGCCCATTTGAGGCTGATGGTCATGTATGGATGGGTATTTTTCTCCAGCCAAGTGCATTTGTATGCATAGGAACACAGAGTAGGTGTAGATATGGATTTAAACAGGGCTGTACTTTTGTCAAGCAAAGACAATGATGTGAGAAAGGAAATGATAATGATAGATAAGGAGAGAAGTGATGATATGAGGATGGAGTAAGGGACAATCCGTAGCTAGTAGGATCAATAAGTTGTAAGTGGTGAAGAGGAGGATTTTTGGAGGTGGGGCACTAGAGAGAGTAAGCTGGAACAATAAGATGTAGTGGTCAGCGGGTTGGATGCTTGGAATTGAGGTTATAAAGGGATTTAAATAATTTATAATGACAAGATCTGGTGGAATATGACTGTGAAAGTGGGTGGCAGAGAATGGTGTAGACATGATCTTTGAAATGGATGAAGTCAAGGCACTGACAGGCCAGAATACCAGAAGGATTATGTGAACATTTAAATCACCAAGGATTGTCAGGAGTAACGGTGAAGGGAATGACAGTTAGGAGCTAAAATTTTAAGGACTGAGGGAAAAGGACTCTGATGGTGGGGGAGTGTAGAAGACTGAAACAAGGAGACGTGGCTGGGCATGTTGGGCTTATGGCACGCAACTCCAAGCAGGTGTTGTATTTTTAAGGTGAAGGGAGCAACAATAGACTGGAATTAGCAACGAAGGGCAAGCCATTTGCCAAGTTGTCTTCTTTCCTCTTTATTTCTAGTAACTTCTATAGTACATCCTTCCAATGAGGTATTTTAGGGGTATATTCCTTCTGGGTTTTCTTTTCTTCTAAACTTTTTTCTTTTCTTTTTTTGAGACAGAGTCTTACTCTGTTGCTCATGCTGGAGTGCAGTGGTGCGATCTTGGCTCACTGCAACCTCCATCTCCCAGGTTCAAGCAATCCTTGTGCCTCAACCTCCCGAATAGCTGGGATCACAGGCACATGCCAACACACTCGGCTCATTTTTGTACTTTTAGTAGAGACAGGGTTTGCTGTGTTGCCCAGGCTGGTCTCGAACTCCTGGCCACAAGTGACCCACCGTCCTCAGCCTCCCAAAGTGCTGGGATTACAGGCATGAGCCACCGTTCCTGGCATTTTTTTCCTATTGTGTTCAATTACAGGCACTTATTCTCAGCCTTAACTATACATTAACACCACCTGAAGAGGTTTTTTAAAATTATACTGTGCCCAAGCCCTACTCTAAGCTATACTGATTTAGTTGTTTGGGAATAGAATCCAGGTGTGTGTAATTTTTAAAGTTCTCCAGGTGATTCTAATGAGCTGACAAGTTGAAAACCAAAGTCCTAGGGAAAAGTTTGGAAAGGTTTGTCTTTGTGGGCCTATGCATTGTTATAGAGTGTGGTCCGTACTTTTCATCACATCCTTGAAAATATTCCTGACCCAAGAAGATGAAGACAAAGCCCCTTATTTTTTTTAATGAGAAAATGTAACTTTACTTGGTTTTTAAAAATCTTTCTTAATTGGGGATGGCAGTGGGTCTTGGGAATGGGAAGTTTGTTAAAATCTGGGACATACCAAATTCAGTAAAACATGGTGGTATCTTTTCCATAACATTCAGGTTCTGAAGCCTCCGTGCAGCAGAATCCATGGGCTAAACCACTGCTCTGTGCATCTCAGATCCTTTCTGTCCTCCCTTCCCACCCTCTAAAAATGCAAACTATGCTGGTGTAACTGACTCTGGGGTTCTCTGTCACTGCTGGTTTCTGCGTAGGAGTGTTGCACACACCAGGCTCAGTTAGCACCTGTGTTTTTATGATGTGAAAACTGCATATCCACCATATGAGCATTACCCCAAATTGTATAATTTTTTTCTCATAAAGTGGAAAAAAGAAGTTTCAGAATATGCATTCAACCTCTTCTAGCTTCCTATAGGGACAAGGTGGGTTAAGAATGGGGTTACTGAAGTTGAGGAGCCCTGAAGGCAGAGCCCCTTCTGAGGTGGTGATGTGGTGCCATTCAGCTTGCCTACTGTGTCCACTTTCTTGTTCCTTCACTTCCATGGCAAGGCTAGATCACCAGTGAATGCAGTTTCGTAAATTTACTTGCTTACTTAGTAAAATGCTGGTCCTAGTTCCTTCACCACAGAACTTGGTCCTAATTACAGTCTTTACATTTACTTAGCCACCCTTTTCTTATTCAGTCAGGTTTCTGAGATGCCCAAACCAAGCCCAGGACATTTCTAAGCAGTTAGCACAAAGACAATAGGGGACAGTTTATAACTTGTTAGGAAAGAAAGATTCTGGAGAAAACAGGGACCAGAAAATAAATCCTGAATTTAGTTCCCTTAGTAATACAATTGCCCATTTCTGGCCTAATGAGCATTAACACCTAATTGCCCCTGCATATATTGAGGGAAAATAAACATTAGCAGATAGAACATGTCTGCGAATGTACTCAGTGAAAGTGGCTTCTCCTTTCTCTCGCCTTTCTTTCCCCTTTTTAAAAAAATTTACTATTGGCTGTCATTCTCCCCTCTTTTCTCTTTCTACTCATCTACACACTGATCTCATATGCACACTTAACTCACACTTCACATGTCATCCACTGACATGCGTTCTCACTGTCAATTTTTCCCTGGGCAGTTCTAACAGGTCAATTTCTGTACAGATGCCTTGGTTTTAAGCTCTTACCTGATTCTCATCAGCAGTGGCCTGCGGGTCTGCAGGCTTCTTAGCATCCAAAGCAGCCCAACCAACCACAGAACTGGGTTGACCTGTGACCCTCTCCATCCCAGTAGTATTTGGATCAACTTTTGGAGGAGCCTACAGTGATATGCAGAAAGCCATGGAAGTCAGGAAAATTCTCTCTGGAGTGGAATTTTTCAAATGAGCAGCTTTGAGTGCCTCTAATCAGTGTTCTGGTTAGCCCATAAAACAGCTTAAAATACTGTTAGGACCACATTATCTTTAACAAAGGTACTGAGTCAATATTTAAAGTCAAGAGATATCACAACTTCTTTTATGTAACGCTGGGTCCTCATTCCAGCCAGAAAATCATTGGCCAGAGTTGATTAACTCCTGTGCGTCTTAGGTAGAGCACATCTCCCCAGTTTGCCACAGTCCTCACCACTTCTCATCCATCCCAACTCCCTATCTTTTCACTCATTTATAGTATCTGCCTGGCTCAAGGAGGCATTTGTGTTGGGCACTAACTCCAGAACTACTGCAAGTGGATCACCAGCCCAGCCTGACAAGAGCCCAAACCTAGAGAGATAGACTATCCAGCTGTTGGTTGTGAAAACCCAAAAGGAAGGGCAGCCCAGGGTTCTATGCTGTTGCAGGCTCTTTTAGTACAATATATAGAACATCTGCTTTGGGAACAAACACTCCTAGGTCTAAGTTCATCTGTTTGATAGTTTAACTTTGGATGGTTCACTTAGCTGCTGTAAAATTTTTATAAAATGGAGATATTAACTGAGATATTGTTGTGAGGGTAAGAGATAATAGCACAATAAGTGTTAGCTACTATCCTTATCTGCTTCCCCTCTCCTTTCTGGCCCATATACCTTCTCAAGTATTAATGAGGACATAGGCGCAGTACCAATAAGTGTATGTCAGCAGGGGACAAGACTGAGGCCAGCAATATTGGCCAATAAAGCCAAACAACCTCAACCATGTCCCAGAGATTTCTGGGTGCCCAAAAGAGCAAGATGGGCAATACCTTGGCATAGCAGATGGCTTTCTGAAGTGCCTACAAACAGGACTTGAAACTTGTGAAATGTCTTATGTCTCTGCTGTGCTGATAGACCAGGAAAAAGGGGCCAAGAATCTGAATTGGAGCAGTGATAACAGAGAAAGAAAGGAAGGGGTGGATATAGTTAGAAATCTGTACAAATTAAAATTGATTGATATGTAAAGAGTATATTGGTTTGTTACTCTATCAACTTAGTGAAACTGGAATTACATTTCCCAGGATTTCCTTGTCTGTATGGCTCTGGGTTAGGAGTGGCCACACATTTTGGTGTAATCTGGAAGGTGGAAATGAAACAGTAGCCATTATTTTATCACTGATCTGCTGGCTCACTTGGTCTGGGCTGGCTCACAGCTGGTCTAGCCCCTACCCACCTCCTCCTTCAGCTTCTCCATATGGACAGCTCTCAGACTAGTGATACAGCTTTTCCTGTTCATCACCAGGTGAGATGCAGTGAGAGACAAACATGAGTTCCAGTTTTTCCTTGTAGGTTCCAGTTTACCTTCATGATTCTAGTTTTTCCTCACTTTTTCCCAAGTACATCCAGCTTTCCATCCTGACTTCCAGCCCTGCTGGCCAAGAGTGACCCCAGGCCCACCACCAGATGGTTCACTGGGATTCACAGAGACAGTTGCCACAAAGACCCAAAAACCTTTCATAGACTTCAACACCAGCCTTCTTCATAGTTCCACTGCAGAAGCTGGTTAGTGGCTTTTCTTTGATCATTTTCAGGCCTTCATTTCCCTAGTTCCTCCCCATAGTTGTATAAAATCCTTGGTTCATTTTGTCCATAGTGGCTCTGCTTCCCTGATGGTACTCTGACCAATACAGGGAGTAAGGGAAGGAGATGTTGGAAGACTTCTAAGCTCTGACTTGGAAGATGAACCAAGAAGATGTATATGAAGAGTGCCCAAAAGATAGCTAGAGACATGTACCTAAAGCTCTTGGAAGGACTCCCCTTATGGCTCTCAAAAGAATGAAAGAGACAGTCGGATTAACCTAAAGAACTCAGAGATCTAGGGAAGCTCTCATTCCCAACCCGGGGCTCGCTACAATTAAGGCTTCATTGCTAGGTCACAGACTCATCTGCCCTGCTAACCTAGCTGTGTAGAAAGAGATTTATCCCTAAAAGAATTTGACTTTGGATATATCGGACCACCACTGTCCTTGTAGGAATAATGGCCAAAAATATTTATCCTAGATCTATATTAATATAAGTTTATTTATAATCCATTTGTATATTTGTTTGATATTTTTACTTTTATATATATATGTCTATCATATGCAGCCCCAACAATCCTAATAGATACAAAAGATTTACAGGATGTATTGCCGGGTGACTGTGTGCGCTTAAGGAGATTAAACTTTATTCTTTTGGGGGAAGGGGCTGCAGTGGAAGGTAGTTCCCACCCATAGTCCTTACACTCTTCTTTTGAAAGGGAGAATTTCTAAGAAGAAATGGTTAACCCAGTTTGAAATATACAGTTTATTTCCAAGATCCATTTTTAAGGCATATCATGATGGCCTCCTTTAGTTTTCTCCTACTGGTCATCAATTATACTGTCTACCATAGTTATATACTTCTGTAGTGGAGAGGAAAGGGGGCATCTGAGAGATGTGCTTAAAGAGCAACATTGCATTTGGTCTAATCCTTTATTTTAACACGAAGATTTGAGGCATACATAACTCACAATCATTGCATGTGTTTAAAGGTAATTTTTTCTAATTGGATGGGAATGGCCCTATAGTGTATGAACATTTTCTAAATATACAAGATAATATATTATAACTTTGTTCCTAGAGTACCAGAAAGTTGTTTGGTCAGCTGATTGTTATCTGAGAATCAACTCAGAAAAGAAAAATAGCCTAGAACAGTCTGAGCTATGTAAGGTATGCAAAATTTATCAGGCCCAGAGAGACATTAATTAGTGTGGAATTTCGGTCACCCCCTTACTCTACTTTTTCTTTTTTCCATTGCAATTATCACTGTCTAACATCCTATGTAATATATTACATACTACATTTATTATTTATTTTCTGTATCCTCCCACTAGAATGTAAGCGCTTGGGGGCAGGTATCTTTGATTTTTTGTATACTGATGGAACCAAAATACCTAGAACTGTGTTTGGCACATAATAAGGGCTCAATAAATAGGGGTGGAGTTGAATTGAACGTTTACACTAGGTAGTGAAGTTAATCAATTATAGTATAATGGCCTTTATTATGATACATTCAGAACCAGAAACAAAAGTGCAAAAAGATTTTTAAAAGACAGTCATAGAAGTTACCTCTCATACGTATGTCATGATATAAATCAGATTTTAAGTGCTTACTGCTTTTGTGTCCAGAGGTGATGGATGTTATTCACATCCATCTTGGATGTGATGACAGTCACTGTATTGCCTGAACGATAATAGAAGCAGCTTTCTATCTATCAAAACATCAAAAGAATCAAAGTATGTTTCAGAAGAGATGCTCAAATACTGTCACCTGAAATCAGTCATCCCTTGTGGATAATATTTAGGGACACTGAATTTTCAATAATTTAAATGCTGTTAGACTTTAGTAGCTGCTGAATGAATACAACGCAGTAGGGTCTGTGTAAGGTGCTTTACATGCTTCAATTCATTTAATATTCCCACAAACCAGCAAGAAGATATTATAATTTTGCAAATGAAGAAACTGAGATACAGAAATGACATCCAGCACCCTCAGTGTCACACAGAGAGTAAATGGACTGGCCTGAACCAGGCTGCCTCCTGGAACTGGTTTCTTTGGTGAGCATATAGATGAAAAATAAACTGCAGGGAATTTTTGTTTGCTTATTTGCAATTGTAACATAGACACTCCCATTTTCTCTTCTCCCTTCCTCCCCATCCAAAACAAAAAGCAACCATTCCCTTACTCAAAGAGCATTGACTGGCAATGCTTCAAAGCATGGATGGTTTCTGGGACTAAATATATTATATTATAATATAATATAAATACATTTGTCCCTCAGTGGTCCAAGGGAAATTGGTTTCAGGACCTCCTTGGATACTAAAATCCACAAGTGCTTGAGTCTCATATAAAATTGGATAGTGTTGCATATAACCTACACACATCCTCCTGTATACTTGAAATCATCTCTAGATTACTTATACCTAATACAATGTAAATGTTATGTAAATAGTTGTCATACTGTATTGTTTAGAGAATAATGGCAAGAAAAAAGGCTGTACATGTTCAGTAAAGATGTAACCATCCATTATTTTCCCCGAATATTTTCAAATTGAGGTTGGTTGAATCCATGGATGGAGAACTCGTGGATACAAGGGCTGACTATAATGAGAAGATATGAAAGCTGAAAAGACAAACATTACTACATATTTACATATGTCCAAAGAAGAAGGTAACAAAAGCCTACCTGACTTGAGTTTATGATATAGTTTTCTGAAAGATCTTGGAGATTGAGTTGGGCACTAATTTGGTATCAAGGCTATAGGATAAGATGGCAAAGAAGATTTGAAAGACATTTATCTAAGAATTTTGAAGGTAGTTCCCCCATGTCACTTTTAGGAAAGATTGTTGTAAAAGCTTAAATAGGCCAGGCGTGGTGGCTCACGCCTGTAATCCTAGCACTTTGGTAGGCCGAGGCAGGCAGATCATGAGGTCAGGAGATCGAGACCATCCTGGCTAACATGGTGAAACCCCTACTCTACTAAAAATTCAAAAAAATTAGCCAGGCGTGGTGGCGGGCGCCTGTAATCCCAGCTACTCAGGAGGCTGAGGCAGGAGAATGGCGTAAGCCCGGGAGGCAGAGGTTGCGGTGAGCCGAGATCGCGCCACTGCACTCCAGCCTGGGCGACAGAGCGAGACTCCGTCTCACAAAAAAAAAAAAAAAAAAAAAAAAAAAAAAAAAAAAAAAGCTTAAATAGTGTTCATCTACTTTTCAGTTCCCAGACAGTTGTTCCTTGAATGGAAGTTCATATGAAATTGGATCACAAACTGGCTTGTTGTTATGGATTATGTTTTGAAAAGAAAAAAAAATAGATAATCAGCTCCATCATCACCCAAGCTTGAGATCACAAAGTAATCTAATGCCTCTCCTATTATCTATGTATTACTGCATAGTAAATTACCCCAAAATTTAGTAACTAAAAATAATAATAAGCACTTATTATGTCTCACAGGTTCATCTCCACGTGGACCTCCCTATAGAGCTTCTTGAATGGCCTCACAACATGGCGGCTGGCTTCCCACAGAGTGAGCAATCCAAGAGTAGGTGGAAGCTGTGATGTCTTTTATGACCTAGCCTTCTTTAACATCATTCTTCTTTAACAGAGCTTGTTTTGTAATTATATTTAGTTATATGTATTTATTTTGCTTGTCTATATTTTAAAGCTTTTCCTTCAATGAACACATGTAATTGTAAAATTAAAACAATATTGAGAAAAAGAAATCACACACATGGACACTCAAAAACCAAGCAAGCAATGTGAAGGTCCTGTTATAAAGAATGACACAGTAGAGTAGAAAGGTTGATGAATGGGCTTTGGGTCATGACAGTCCTGGGTTCAAAGCCCAACTGTCCTACTTACTTACAGTGTGGCCTTAGGTAAGTTTCACACCCTTGCTAAGACTCAGTTTTGCCATCCATTAAAAATGAAGGGGGTAATGCATCAAAACCATCGGGCTTTGTGAGGAAACGCACATGAGCCAGAGGGTCTGGGATGGGATGTTGGGGATGGTGAGGGTAATGTACAGGGGATTACATGTAAATGGTTATATGTATTTCTACCCATTTATTTCCTACACTAGATTGAGAAGCTTTGAAGGTAGGGACTGATTCATACATCTGCAAATCTCCACAACTCCTAAACTGTGCCTTTGAGAGGTATGATAAGGAGAAAGGCAGTAGTGGGTCATGGTTAGTACAGAGACGGTTAAGCCAGATAAATGCTGAGTTTGAATCACAGCTCTGTCATTTGAAGGCTGTGAGATCTCAGGCAAGTGATTTAACCTCTCTGAGCCTATGTTTTCTCATTTCTAAAAAGCAAGTTAATATTAATTAACTTAGTAATTATAATATTTGTTACAATTATTATTTATCAGTAGTAATAACTGTTATAATAGTTAATAATGCCTGCCTTTCAGAGTGTGAGAATTGGATAATGTGTACAATGTTTTTAGCACTATGCCTTGCACATACTAAATGCTTAATAAGTGGTAGCCATTAATATGGTACATAGTTTGCATTTAATAGTTTTTTTAGGCTGGGTGCGGTAGCTCAAGCCTGTAATCCCAGCACTTTGTGAGGCCAAGGTGGATGGATCACTTGAGGCCAGGAATTCAAGACAAGCCTGGCCAACATGGCGAAACCCTGTCTCTTCTAAAAATACAAAAATTATCTGGGCATGGTGGGAGGAACCTGTAATCCCAGCTGTTCAGGAGGCTGAGGCAGGAAAATGGCTTGAACCCAGGAGGCTGAGGCTGCAATGAGCCAAGATGACACCACTGCACTCCAGCCTGGTGACACATTGAGACTCCATCTGAAAAAAAAAAAAAAAAAAGAGTTTTTTAAATAAGTTGACATTGAGGAAAAAAGAAGGCCCTGCCCCTGGAAATTCTCTTTCTCCAGTTTTCAGGGGCTTTCTATGGAGTTCTGGAGCAGCACTATCCACTAGAACTTGGCAATAAGGGAAATATTCAATATCTGGGCAGTTTCACAGGGTAGCCAATTACCACCTGTGGCTATTGAGTACTTGAAATGTGGTTGGTATGAGGAACTGTGTTTTTAATTTTATTACTTTTAATAAATTTAAATTTAAATAGTCACATGTAGTGAGTAGCTACATATTGTTCAAGACAGTCCTATAGTATTCACAGCATGGTGGGCATCCCAGTAGACCTTCTTTTCCTCTTCTTTATATCTATCTGTGATGCTATAAAACTGCTCTGTAACAATCTGAAGCTGAATGATTGCAGGTAAAGCCAGGGAGTATCATAATCCCCCTACTCAAGCAAGAAGCATTGACTGACATACACTCTTCCCATGCCCACAAACCAGGCACGCTGGAGAATAAAAAGAAGATATGACTTCTGTTTTGAGGAACATATGATGATCTGGGGAATTCAAATTGCATACACACCAAAAAACAACTTTGGTTAATATGTTAAGTGAGAGAAAATAATTGGTACATAATTGCTCTTTATGATTTTATTGTCAATGGAAACCATTTAAATGTAATCCTGTGTACATTACCCTCACCATCTTCAACATCCCATCCCAGACCCTCTGGCTCATGTGCGTTTCCTCACAAAGCCCGATGGTTTTGATGCATTACCCCCTCCCTTTTTAATGGATGGCAGAACTGAGTCTTAGCAAGGGTGTGAAACTTACCTAAGGCCACACTGTAAGTAAGCAGGAGAGTCGGACTTTGAACCCAGAACTGTCATGACCCAAAGCCCATTCATCAACCTTTCTGCTCTACTGTGTCATTCTTTATAACAGGACCTTCACATTGCTTGCTTGGTTTTTGAGTGTCCATGTGTGTGATTTCTTTTTCTCAATATTGTTTTAATTTTACAATTACATGTGTTCATTGAAGGAAAAGTTTTAAAATATAGAGAAGCAAAATAAATAAATACAGACAGCTTAACTTTGGCATTAGTGTAGCCTGGTTTACCTGTTGTCAAGAGTAATCACAGAACATAACTTCAGGAGTCCTGTCCTACCTACCCTGGCTCCCCTGGGGAGACAGGCAGCCCAGTGTGAACTGTAAGCTTACCAGTTCTTTGTGGGTCCAGTTTTTTATATTTTCTCACATGTGCACAATGAAATGTCAGAGTCTGAAGGGAACATATTGGTTATTAAATGATTCTAAACCAATTTCCTCATTTTTTCAAATGGTCTCATTCTAGACCATTTCTTCATGATTCTAGACTATACAAGCCCCGGGCATTTAAATAACTTGGCAATGATAATTCTCAAAAAGGTAAAATTATCCCTCACCAGAGAAAAGGCAGCAAAACATTTGGAAACTCTCTGTGCACACACAGGTTATGTTTTATTTCATAATATTCTTAAGTCCATTTGTTCATAAATTCAAAGTGCTGGTTTACAGGCAACCACTACTGCCATCTGTTGGTGGTGGACAGAGTTGATGCATTTCTGCATAAGGGCATAAAATGGTTCTTTTTTTTTTTTTTTTTTTTTTTTTAATAATTTTTTTTTTTTTATTATACTCTAAGTTTTAGGGTACATGTGCACATTGTGCAGGTTAGTTACATATGTATACATGTGCCATGCTGGTGCGCTGCACCCACTAACGTGTCATCTAGCATTAGGTATATCTCCCAATGCTATCCCTCCCCCCTCCCCCGACCCCACCACAGTCCCCAGAGTGTGATATTCCCCTTCCTGTGTCCATGTGATCTCATTGTTCAATTCCCACCTATGAGTGAGAATATGCGGTGTTTGGTTTTTTGTTCTTGCGATAGTTTACTGAGAATGATGATTTCCAATTTCATCCATGTCCCTACAAAGGACATGAACTCATCATTTTTTATGGCTGCATAGTATTCCATGGTGTATATGTGCCACATTTTCTTAATCCAGTCTATCATTGTTGGACATTTGGGTTGGTTCCAAGTCTTTGCTATTGTGAATAGTGCCGCAATAAACATACGTGTGCATGTGTCTTTATAGCAGCATGATTTATACTCATTTGGGTATATACCCAGTAATGGGATGGCTGGGTCAAATGGTATTTCTAGTTCTAGATCCCTGAGGAATCGCCACACTGACTTCCACAATGGTTGAACTAGTTTACAGTCCCACCAACAGTGTAAAAGTGTTCCTATTTCTCCACATCCTCTCCAGCACCTGTTGTTTCCTGACTTTTTAATGATTGCCATTCTAACTGGTGTGAGATGATATCTCATAGTGGTTTTGATTTGCATTTCTCTGATGGCCAGTGATGATGAGCATTTCTTCATGTGTTTTTTGGCTGCATAAATGTCTTCTTTTGAGAAGTGTCTGTTCATGTCCTTCGCCCACTTTTTGATGGGGTTGTTTGTTTTTTTCTTGTAAATTTGTTTGAGTTCATTGTAGATTCTGGATATTAGCCCTTTGTCAGATGAGTAGGTTGCGAAAATTTTCTCCCATGTTGTAGGTTGCCTGTTCACTCTGATGGTAGTTTCTTTTGCTGTGCAGAAGCTCTTGAGTTTAATTAGATCCCATTTGTCAATTTTGGCTTTTGTTGCCATTGCTTTTGGTGTTTTGGACATGAAGTCCTTGTCCACGCCTATGTCCTGAATGGTAATGCCTAGGTTTTCTTCTAGGGTTTTTATGGTTTTAGGTCTAACGTTTAAATCTTTAATCCATCTTGAATTGATTTTTGTATAAGGTGTAAGGAAGGGATCCAGTTTCAGCTTTCTACATATGGCTAGCCAGTTTTCCCAGCACCATTTATTAAATAGGGAATCCTTTCCCCATTGCTTGTTTTTCTCAGGTTTGTCAAAGATCAGATAGTTGTAGATATGCGGCATTATTTCTGAGGGCTCTGTTCTGTTCCATTGATCTATATCTCTGTTTTGGTACCAGTACCATGCTGTTTTGGTTACTGTAGCCTTGTAGTATAGTTTGAAGTCAGGTAGTGTGATGCCTCCAGCTTTGTTCTTTTGGCTTAGGATTGACTTGGCAATGCGGGCTCTTTTTTGGTTCCATATGAACTTTAAAGTAGTTTTTTCCAATTCTGTGAAGAAAGTCATTGGTAGCTTGATGGGGATGGCATTGAATCTGTAAATTACCTTGGGCAGTATGGCCATTTTCACGATATTGATTCTTCCTACCCATGAGCATGGAATGTTCTTCCATTTGTTTGTGTCCTCTTTTATTTCCTTGAGCAGTGGTTTGTAGTTCTCCTTGAAGAGGTCCTTCACATCCCTTGTAAGTTGGATTCCTAGGTATTTTACTCTCTTTGAAGCAATTGTGAATGGGAGTTCACTCATGATTTGGCTCTCTGTTTGTCTGTTGTTGGTGTATAAGAATGCTTGTGATTTTTGTACATTGATTTTGTATCCTGAGACTTTGCTGAAGTTGCTTATCAGCTTAAGGAGATTTTGGGCTGAGACGATGGGGTTTTCTAGATAAAGAATCATGTCGTCTGCAAACAGGGACAATTTGACTTCCTCTTTTCCTAATTGAATACCCTTTATTTCCTTCTCCTGCCTGATTGCCCTGGCCAGAACTTCCAACACTATGTTGAATAGGAGCGGTGAGAGAGGGCATCCCTGTCTTGTGCCAGTTTTCAAAGGGAATGCTTCCAGTTTTTGCCCATTCAGTATGATATTGGCTGTGGGTTTGTCATAGATAGCTCTTATTATTTTGAAATACGTCCCATCAATACCTAATTTATTGAGAGTTTTTAGCATGAAGGGTTGTTGAATTTTGTCAAAGGCTTTTTCTGCATCTATTGAGATAATCATGTGGTTTTTGTCTCTGGCTCTGTTTATATGCTGGATTACATTTATTGATTTGCGTATATTGAACCAGCCTTGCATCCCAGGGATGAAGCCCACTTGATCATGGTGGATAAGCTTTTTGATGTGCTGCTGGATTCGGTTTGCCAGTATTTTATTGAGGATTTTTGCATCAATGTTCATCAAGGATATTGGTCTAAAATTCTCTTTTTTGGTTGTGTCTCTGCCCAGCTTTGGTATCAGAATGATGCTGGCCTCATAAAATGAGTTAGGGAGGATTCCCTCTTTTTCTATTGATTGGAATAGTTTCAGAAGGAATGGTACCAGTTCCTCCTTGTACCTCTGGTAGAATTCGGCTGTGAATCCATCTGGTCCTGGACTCTTTTTGGTTGGTAAACTATTGATTATTGCCACAATTTCAGAGCCTGTTATTGGTCTATTCAGAGATTCAACTTCTTCCTGGTTTAGTCTTGGGAGGGTGTATGTGTCGAGGAATGTATCCATTTCTTCTAGATTTTCTAGTTTATTTGCGTAGAGGTGTTTGTAGTATTCTCTGATGGTAGTTTGTATTTCTGTGGGATCGGTGGTGATATCCCCTTTATCATTTTTTATTGTGTCTATTTGATTCTTCTCTCTTTTTTTCTTTATTAGTCTTGCTAGCGGTCTATCAATTTTGTTGATCCTTTCAAAAAACCAGCTCCTGGATTCATTGATTTTTTGAAGGGTTTTTTGTGTCTCTATTTCCTTCAGTTCTGCTCTGATTTTAGTTATTTCTTGCCTTCTGCTAGCTTTTGAATGTGTTTGCTCTTGCTTTTCTAGTTCTTTTAATTGTGATGTTAGGGTGTCAATTTTGGATCTTTCCTGCTTTCTCTTGTAGGCATTTAGTGCTATAAATTTCCCTCTACACACTGCTTTGAATGCGTCCCAGAGATTCTGGTATGTGGTGTCTTTGTTCTCGTTGGTTTCAAAGAACATCTTTATTTCTGCCTTCATTTCGTTATGTACCCAGTAGTCATTCAGGAGCAGGTTGTTCAGTTTCCATGTAGTTGAGCAGCTTTGAGTGAGATTCTTAATCCTGAGTTCTAGTTTGATTGCACTGTGGTCTGAGAGATAGTTTGTTATAATTTCTGTTCTTTTACATTTGCTGAGGAGAGCTTTACTTCCAACTATGTGGTCAATTTTGGAATAGGTGTGGTGTGGTGCTGAAAAAAATGTATATTCTGTTGATTTGGGGTGGAGAGTTCTGTAGATGTCTATTAGGTCTGCTTGGTGCAGAGCTGAGTTCAATTCCTGGGTATCCTTGTTGACTTTCTGTCTCGTTGATCTGTCTAATGTTGACAGTGGGGTGTTAAAGTCTCCCATTATTAATGTGTGGGAGTCTAAGTCTCTTTGTAGGTCACTCAGGACTTGCTTTATGAATCTGGGTGCTCCTGTATTGGGTGCATAAATATTTAGGATAGTTAGCTCCTCTTGTTGAATTGATCCCTTTACCATTATGTAATGGCCTTCTTTGTCTCTTTTGATCTTTGTTGGTTTAAAGTCTGTTTTATCAGAGACTAGGATTGCAACCCCTGCCTTTTTTTGTTTTCCATTTGCTTGGTAGATCTTCCTCCATCCTTTTATTTTGAGCCTATGTGTGTCTCTGCACGTGAGATGGGTTTCCTGAATACAGCACACTGATGGGTCTTGACTGTTTATCCAACTTGCCAGTCTGTGTCTTTTAATTGCAGAATTTAGTCCATTTATATTTAAAGTTAATATTGTTATGTGTGAATTTGATCCTGTCATTATGATGTTAGCTGGTGATTTTGCTCATTAGTTGATGCAGTTTCTTCCTAGTCTCGATGGTCTTTACATTTTGGCATGATTTTGCAGCGGCTGGTACCGGTTGTTCCTTTCCATGTTTAGTGCTTCCTTCAGGAGCTCTTTTAGGGAAAATGGTTCTTATCTGTGAAAGTCCTTGATGAAGTTCGCCACAGGAACTTCTGCGTTCAGGATAGAAAGAGAGAGATAGAGAGGGAGGGGGAGGCATGTGGAGTCAGACAGGCCTGCATTCAAATCTTGGCTATGCCTCATGCAAGAATTGTAGCCACTTTCATTTTCGGTTTTCCATTTGTAAAATGGGGATAATAACTATTTCATAGGGATGCTGTAAGAATTAAGTTTAAAAATGAGTATTCAGGTAAATGCTAGCCAAAATCTTGGTGGCCTCACAAGAGTAGTTTATTTCTTGCTCACATCACAGTTCAAAGGGGTCCTACTGATCACCAGACAGCTCTCCAACAAGTGTTGATTTGGGACCAAGCTCATTTTATCTTAATGACTCCACCATCTTCAACTTGGGCTTCCAAGGTCACCCTGGAGCCCAACATCCATCCAACAGAGCAGGAGGAGAGGGCATGAAGGAGGTTTTTATGAGCCAAGCCTGGAGCTTCATACACCAGTTCTACACCCATTCCTTTAGCCAGAACTCAGTGTCATGGTTGCATCTCACTGCTGGGAAGGCTGGGGAACATGGTCCAGCAGTCTCAGACACAGCATGCCAATTAACAAATACATGTAAAGTAATTAGCTCAGCTCCTCCTTCACAGTAAGTGATCACAAATGGTAGTAGCCACAATTTTTAGTAATAGAAACATAAGCAGCACTCTAATGCAGTTGGGCACTTTTATTTGTATACTATGTAATACTATTTCTAGTCTTCCAAGTTTTTAGCATGACACATATAAAACTAAGAGGCAATATGATGAGGTGAAAATAGCCTGGTCTTGGAGATGCAGCTTCTAATCCTGTGATCTTGGACAAATCACTCAATCTGAAACCCAGTTTCCTCATCTGGAGAATGGCAGGGTATCTGTGTAGTCTCCTCCTAACCCCAACTCCCCAGCTCTAAAGCTTTTTGCGTAGAAGTAATGCAAAATCAAGACAAACAAACATTCAGTGATTCTCAGAATAGGCAAGTCACAGAACATGAGTCTTGGATGGGCTTAGATGGGAAATATTTCTAAAGGAGAAAGAGCTTTAAGCCAGTTCTTGGAAGAAATGATGGTCCTGAATAGTGGGAATGAGGTATGGAATGTTATGCAGGGAAGGTAGGAGAGGCCTGTACACAAGAAAAATGTCGGGAGTGGCCGGGCGTGGTGGCTCACGCCTGTAATCCCAGCACTTTGGGAGGCCAAGGTGGGCAGATTACTTGAGGCTAGGAGTTCATGACCAGCCTTGCCAACATGGTGAAACCCTGTCTCTACTAAAAATATTTAAAAAGTTAGTCGGGTGTGGTGGCAGGTGCCTGTAATCCCAGCTACTCGGGAGGCTGAGAGAGGAGTATCACTTGAACCTGGGAGGCGGAGGTTGCAGTGAGCCGAGATCGTGCCACTGCACTCCAGCCTGGATAACAGAGCGAGACTCCATCCCCTCACCAAAAAAAAAAGAAAGAAAAAAGAAAAATATAGAGGAGGGAGCATAGTAAGGAGAAAAGCCTGGCTGAAAAAGGGAGTGTGTTGGGGTGGGGATGAAGAGTGAATTGAAGATGTTTGCTAGGTAGAGGGAAAGAAAAAGTTAACGATAGATTGCCAGGCTTAAGAGGTCATATTTAATCCAGAAAAGTCCCATTTGGAAACCAATTATGGGTTTTAGATGGGCAACTGACATCATGAAAATCTACTAGTCATTATGAAAAGAAATCTGATTAGATCATAGCACTTGATATAGAGTGGCTTTCCTTAAATTGCTGAACTTGTAAAATCTAAATGTTCCATTAAAAAATCTTCCAAATATGTTAGTTATCTGAATTCTCTATTCATTCCAAGGAAAAAGAAAGAGGTTCACATGGTAATGAAGAAAAAATGAAGGTATACGAAGAATCAATTTGTTGAAAGAGCGCCCAATTTCTCTTCTGTCTTTTATTTGATTCTTTTTAATTAAGAATAAATATGTAGGTAAGACATGAGTCAGAGCAAACTCAGAAAGTACCTAGAAGCTTTCAGTATTTGAGGCATGCTAGCTAGTTTCATGTGGGTGAAGTTTGGTTTTCAGGAAGACAAATTGAAAACAGAACTTGTTTGTTTAGATTTTGCCATTCTCTAGGTGACTTACAAGGATGTTCAATGAATTATAAGAAGAAAGAATTTCTTCTTGGCAACTGCTATAAAGAGCCTTGTTTGGAGAGAATATGGTCCCAGAGCAGACCTTGAGCACATGACAGTTGTTCTTGGGACCAGGTCTGGGGAGACCACGTCTTAGCTGAAATAAACACAAGCAGAAGTTCAGTCCAGTCCTCAAACCAGGTTTTCAATAAATGTCTGTGTCACCCCTTTAAGAAACAGGAGAGCTGTGAAACACTCCAGAGAAATGCTGTTAGATGATGTGCTTGACTCTCCTTCAACTCCAAGAAGCTCTTGGGAGGCGCCATTTTTTTTTTTTTTTTTTAGAAAAAGATTACATTTTAGAAGAAGAATAACTGTTATTTACTACATTATTAATTTACACAAATGAAATAGTCTACTATTAAATAACCACATGACTGTACAACGCACAAGTCTTTTCTGGGTTTCAGGTGTCAGTTTTCTTCTCTGTAAAATATGAGGATTAGATTTCAGGGCTTCTTCCTCATCTAAAATGATAAAATCCAACTCAAAGACCTTCTTCTTTCTGGTGAAGTAACATGAAGCTTGAAGTCACTTTATCACATTGTTCTACATCTCTATTACTCTTTTTTTTTTTTTTTTTTGACAGAGTCTCGCTCTGTTGCCCAGGCTGGAGTACAGTGGCACGATCTTGGCTCACTGCAAGCTCTGCCTTCTGGGTTCACACCATTCTCCTGCCTCAGCCTCCCAAGTAGCTGGGACTACAGGCGCCCGCCACCACACCTGGCTAATTTTTGTATTTTTAGTAGAGACAGGGTTTCACCACGTCAGCCAGGATGGTCTCAATCTCCTGACCTCGTGATCCGCCTGCCTTGGCCTCCCAGAGTGCTGGGATTAACTCAAGACACAGTAGTTGGCATTGACTCTCTGATGAAGTTCCAGATGGGAGAGTTAGTACATTTGTGTATATAGAGAGAGCAGAAGTTACAGGGATATGGATTTTGACTCCATTTAAGGAAGAACTCTGAAATACAAAGCTTTGGCGCAGTGAACCACCGTGCCCGGCCTCTATTACTCTTAATGTATAGGAAAACACTAGCAGACCATTGAGTAGGTACTGAGGGAAGAATCCTGCATTCAGCACAATAACACATCAGTGGGAGCCTCGAGCCTAAAGCTACTTCCCTCCCACCCCAAAGACAGCAAAGGACAGGAGCTGGTCTTCGTATCTTTATGCTTCTTAGAAACACCTGTGTTTTAATTGTGGCTCTACAATAGAGTGTTTGGACATGGGCACTTTCTAGTTTGGCAGTAGTTTATTTGCTATGTATCCTTATTCCTTATTCCAATTCAGTGTTTTTACATGGGTTCTACTTTTCTCTCAAGAAGGTGATTTTTTTCTAAAGCAGGACCATATCCTAAATAGAGCAATTTTATACGCAGTGTCCAGGACACAGTATTTGATTATAAAATGATAATGATGAGAGCTTAAAAAATTCAAACTATAGAGCTGGTAGAGATTTTAGAGCAGCACTGTCTAATATGGTAGCCACTAGCCACGTGTAGCTATTTAAATTAATTAGAATTAAATTAAATTAAAAAATCAGTTCCTCAGTCATACAAGTGCTCAATAAGCACAGGTAGTCAGTGACTACCATTTTGGACCTCACAGATACGGAACATTTCCATCACTGCAGAAAGTTATATAGTACAATGCTGCCTTAGCGATCAACGAGACACAAAATCATATTTGTAAAAGATGTCAGGGAACTTGGAATCCACTTAATACATTCTTATATCCAGGACATTTCAAATATTTTCAGTATCAAATAATATATCACCTTACAAAGTGGCCATTCCACCTTAGGAAAGCTTTGTATTTGAGAGTTCTTCCTTAAATGGAGTCAAAATCCATATCCCTGTAGCTTCTGCTCTCTCCATATACACAAGTATACTAACTCTCCCACTTGGAACTTCATCAGAGAGTCAATGCCAACTACTGTGTCTTGAGTTAATTCCTCTTTCCCAGTGAACCCGTGCCACAGATGAGGAGGCTGAGGCTGGAGTTAGCAGTCCTCCCTGGAGACTCCATGACAGAACTAAGACTGTTGATGTATTCCGGTCTAGCTGAACTGCTTTCAAGTCTAGAAACTAATTCATTAAAGAATGTGTGTGCATAAATTTGTAGAGTTTAAGTTCTTAGTCTTTTATCTTTTTTCCATTTTGTTGTTGCTGTTGTTGTTTTGTCATTGCTTTATTCTCTTTTTGCGCTGCATACTTCCTAAGAGACTGTAAGCTATTCCTTCCCCAGAAAAGCAAAGATTACTCAGGCTCTGCATGAGTGTTTCAGAATATAAAGCAATTGCCCTCATCCACACCCCAAATAACCCCAGATGCCAAGCATAGAAATCACCAAATGGCTTGCTTCAGTTTGACAGTTCAAAAGCAGTTTAAGGGTAAAAGAGGAAACCAGAAGCATTAAAGATCAATGATGTACTTCCACATGGTGTCTAGAAGAGAGGATGCCTTTGATAACGTATCATAAAGAAAGGGCATCTACCTCTCCAAAGTGGAGACTCTGCAGGTGAGATACTGTGTTAAGTGCCAATTGCAGCTTTGGATCTGTTCAACAAATGCACATTGAAGTGTGGAGTCTGTGCTGGGGCAACAAAGATGATTGAAACATTGTGTTTACCCTCTAGTCACTGGCAGGGAGGCCAAGTGGAGACAATAAACAGTCAATTACCACCATAGATGACTTCACTGGTCACTCCAATGGGTTTGTTTTCAAAGGAACCAGCAGGTCAGTCTTGGAAGTCAAACAGTTACAGGCTGTTGCTGTAACAGCAAAGCAACTCCTACGTGTCACTAGATAAGGGGAACTACAGATCAAGCTTCCTAGGGAAGAAGGTTCTCTGACCAAATCAGCCTGGGCCCAGAAAGTAAGTTGGCACTGTGTGAACAGCTAGCTATATGCTTTACCCACAAAAAAACTGGTACCCGATCCAGTATATTAACTTTGGCATATAATCAGAAATAATGCTACCATCTGTGCAGAACTATCTCTTCCTTTTACACAATCACCAGCCTCCACCAGCAACCATTCCCCTCAATATCCAGTACAGTGCTAGGTTCATGGTTGCACATACACACACACCACATAGATAGGATTTTATATAGAATTATTGTATATATATGTATATATACACACATATATAGGTATGATTTTGTTACATGTTTTATATGTTAATGATCATAATTTATACATAAATGTATATTTACATAAGGCACATACATTTACACTTATAAATACTTGTAATATTTTTATGTAACCCATATGTATGTATATGTATGCACACATATACACTGAAAACATTTCTAGAAGGATATAGAAGAAAGTTTTCATGGTGGTTACCTTAGCAGGGTAAGAATGGGGTTCTTGAGGTTAGAATAGGAAGATTACATTTGTATATTATTTTGTAGCCTTTTACATAGTTTAATTTTTTACACTGTCTATTACTTTTAAAACAACAAAACATTTTATTAATATTTGGTTATAACAAGGATACCATCATCTATCTTCACACTCCAAAGTGAGTTTTAACATGCAATTAGGCTGGGTTTATCAGGGTGGCTTACCTTAGACTATTTAAGTTAAGATTTCTTCTACATCTGATGACCTAAGTTAGCCCGAAATAAGATTAAATGAGGTGATATATGTGCCTATGTGACAGTGCTTTGCAAACTATAAATTCCTACATGTAGGTCTGTAACCTAGCTTGTTGGAGTGTGCCCAGAACCCAACTTGATGAAATCATCTAGGTCCTGGTCCTCTTCCCTAGACTATTTTTGGAAGGAAGTAAGAGGACACTACCACAGGCTAAGGTAGGAGAGGGGAGGGTAGGAAGCCTCCAGAAGTGCTACTGTAACATGAGTCTCCTTGTGGAGGAACGCTTCTCTCCTGTGTGATGCCTGAGCTGCCAGACCTTCCCCCTATTCTTAGCTGATGAGTGAAGACCTCTGCTGGGACAACGAAGTATCATGCTAGGGAATTTCATACAAATATGGTGAATTCATTGTCTCTTTGTTTAAAGGCTGAGCCACCTCCCACTCTACTTTTTCACTCCCCTTTATTGACTCTCTGGAATCCTCTTGTTTAATTTATTAATTGAACCAACACTTATTGAGTCTCTCCTCAATAAGTCCTGTCATGTCCTGGGGAGATGAGATGAATATGATATAGTCCTAGTCATTGAGATATTCACTGTTAATAGTGGATAAGGACATGGAAATTTTTTTTTAAATGCAATTCAGTCCATTGACTATTATAGCAAAAACATGCACAGAGAACTGTGACAGTGACTATGCAAAGGAAAGAAGAAGGGACATTGAAGAATGGGTAGGAGTTTGCCAGGCAGGAATTTTGAACAGACAGAGCAGCGCAGGCAAATGCAGAGAGGCTTGAAAATGCATGAGAGATTCAGGAGAAAGGGAATATAGTTGAGTTTGGCTGAAATACAGAATGGAGACAAAGTGACAGAGACAAATCTAAAAAGGCTAGACAGGGTCAGGTTGTAAATGGCATTGTGTATTGTGCTAAGGAGTTTGGACTCTGCCCAGTTGTCACTAAGATGGAAGGGAGTTCACTTGATTTTGCATCTTTTGTGAAGAAAAACTTACAAGCTACACAGTTATTTACTTTGAACTGGCTAATAATTTATTCATAAGAACTTTTTTACTTATTTATTTCATTAAAAATTGGAATTTGCCATTTATACACTTTCTGTTTTTCTCCATTTATTGTATGTGTATGTGTGTGTCACATACATATGTGTGTATGTGTGTGTCACATACATATGTGTGTATGTGTGTGTCACATACATGTGTATATGTGTGTGTCACATACATGTGTATATGTGTGTGTGTGATATACACATGTACGTATCTTAATATCGTCTATTTCCTTTTCTTGTTACATTTCCTGTGTGCTGAGCTGGGGTATTTATTCTTCTGAATGATGCAATGGGTTACCAAGATAATATATCAGGAAGGAAATCTTTCAAGATATAAGGACATTGACACTACCTTTTGTTTCAGTTTGATTAAACAGATGGAATTCCACGCAAGTGGAAAGTTGTGAAGGCGGACCCTATAGTATATACAACATCAGTGAACAAAAGCAGTGGGAAGTCACTGAAAGGAAAGGCAGCAGAACGGTTTCTAGCATCTCACTCTTTACCACGGCACTCTGCTGCTTTAGGACTTATTGTTCAAAATCCAGGTTTTATATCAATAACAAAAAGTGATGTTTTTACTTGTGAAATGCTAAAACTCCTAACCATCAGAGAAAGGAGTGGGTGATTGCCTGGAAAACGACTCATACATTCCTCGAACATTTTTCTCAAAAAGTAATTATTTTGTGAACATGTAGAGGGCACTGGCAACTACAGTAAATGTGGGAGTGTTTTCTGAATAAAAACTGAAATTTTTGATAAGGATTATTCTTCATTTTGTATATAGATGCTTTGGAGATGTCAAAAATCAACCAGAATTTTGAGCGTAGTATTTTAGAAAGTTTGGCATGACCTAATTTTAGTTAACTGGAAATATTCCTAATTAAAGATGAATATATTTGATGTGACAGAATGCCTTTAAGGATTTTAATGTTACAAGAATTAGTTCTAATTCTTTGTGTAATTAATATTACAAGAATTAGAACTAATTCTTGTAACATTGAAATGAGAATTAATGAAAAATAGTAATACGAAGATCCAAATTTAACTAGCTTCTTCATTTTTAAAAAGAATATAAGTCTTACTAATTTAACTATAACCTAATTTTTTCTCCTTAGTTGCATTTTTACAGTACACCAAGTTGGAGAAATTATCAATACTACCGTAAATATTTTAATGTTATATTAAGTTTAGATACGTTGTTTAAAAGCAGAAAAAACTTAGTCCAATATAGTGAACAGGAAATATGCTTAACGTTAGTGCTGTATGAGTTATGATCCATCTGTAAATAAAACAGTGAAGGAAGAAGCATATGTTTTAGAAAAGTATCCATCATCCAGTAAAACAAGAAATTTTGAATCTTGGCATTTGACATTTGTACCATATTGTACACTTGATTTCCCTTTGTTTCTCCTATTTGGTGGCACAGGTGGTTTGCAGCCATGAAACATGCCAATTGCTTAGCTATGTGCCATCACCGAATTCACCAGCACCCTGAGAAATAGCAGGCTACTCAGCAACAGTTAACAAACACCACGAGGAAAACACTTCAAAAAATGTAGGTCAGTGCCCACAAGAGGACAGTTTTACTGCAAAGTACCATGTCAAATAGTAATTACTTGCATATAGAGGAATGCTTAGGAAATAATGCTGTCAAGAAAGAGAAGGCGCAGAAAGGAGCTTACACAATCAAAATACCGTGTGGAGGAAAATACAGGGAGTTGGAGGACTGATTGCCCTGGGTTTCCATCCCAGTTTTAGACCCAGCTAGGAAAAGTCACTTAAGCTCTCTGTACCTCTGTCTTCTCAAATAGAAAATGGGAGGAAGGATACACCTAAGACCATTACAAAGTATAAAATAAGCTCAGTGCCTGGACTGTGGCGGGACTTGTTAGTTCCTCTTCCTAGTATTTCTGCTTAACACAAATTAATGAATACATGTATGCTGATTTGATGCTTTAACATAATCACCTACTCATTTACAAGAGCACCCATGACTTACTCAGGCCTCCCACACCCAGTGGACATGGGCCTGTGGGGTAGCATTAGCCCCCTCCAGGCAGCTCTAGAAACCTCACATCTCTAGGCTTCCCTGGCCCACCCCTGTCATGATAATTCAGATGAATTATCTGAGCTACATCAGTTTATGATTATGTTCTGCTCATCCAGAGAACACCAAGTGTTTTTAAGTACTTTCTAGAGTAACTCAGAAATAATTCAGAGTCTGCCTTTTCTATGGGCTTTCATTTCTCACACCTCCTTCTCCCATTTGAAAATTATAATAGTAACAGTAAACACAATGACAGTTGTCATTTAGTGAAGGCCTGCTACATACCAAGCACTGTGCTAAGTCCTTTAGGTACATTATCCTTCAGACAATTCAGAGAGGTATGTATTTTTATCCACACATGCACTCCTTGATAGCAAGAACCATCCCTTTCAAGGCAATCTTCCTGAAAGAGCTGGAATTTCCTTAGAAGCAAGTTTCCTGGATATTCTGGTTTTGCAGGCCAGAGGTGCCCCCATCTGCAGGGATCTCTTACACCTTCTGCCATTAGAAAGAACACTTGACACCCAGGCCATGTGGTGAGTTCTCATCCTGCTCAGCCATGCTCTATGGCTATACTTTCTAGGCCCCTCCTTCAAGCCTAGGTTGGAGGAAAAACTCTGTTGACCCAATTCTAGACCTTCCTGTCAACCCAGGGGGGTCACCTGGTTCTTTTTAGCCCAGAGCTCCTGGGCAAGACCCTTGCAATGTCCTCTTGACTCTCTCACCTCCTCCCACTATGCATTTTTGCTACATGTTACACTATTGATTCTACTAAATCACACCAAGGCAGATGAATCCCTCTCTGCAGCAAGCCCTCTAATGTAAAATAATCTCTCATGCCCATAATAAAATTCTGATATTATAGATAAGATGATGACTGAGATTCAAAGATAAATAGCTTTGCCTAAGATGACCCAGGTAATTACAGCCAGCACTAGAACACAGACTTCAAATTCAGGGCTTTTTATACCATGCTATTCTGTTTCCTGATCTTGTCCACTCAATATATTTCCAGGAATTTCAGAAATCAGACAGTATCCTTTCTTATCTCATTTAAATACTCAATTCTCTGGAAAATGTTTATCTTATAAAAATAGTTACAAGCATTCATAAATAGTAACAGCAAATTTATTGAATGTTAAATACTAAGGAACATTAAGTACTTAAAACATTTTAAAAGAGTGATTCACTAGCATTCCTAAGAAACTGCAATGGGGATGATTCACTACAGAAAGTTAAATGAGACTTTGAAATAGACTGTGTACGACTCATAAATTATAAAAAAAAAGAGAGAGAGTAAAGATTAAAAAAAAAAAACCCTTTGTGGTTGCTTTTCTTACAGCTGAATATCATTTTACTAGAAAAGGGGTTGGCCAACCTATTGATTCATCCTGGACGGATGCCACTTTTTGTTTTACATATCTTTTAAAGAACTATTGTTTATTTCACCTTCTTCTTCTTCTTCTTCTCCTTCTTTCTTCTCTACCTCCTCCTCCCTTTTCTTTTTTTGCATGGGGGGAGGGTAATTAAAATTAGTTCATACAAAAAAAATCACATATTGTGCTACAAAATTAATATCTATCAAACTGAATTTTATATTGGCTTCATTTGCCCTTTCTCCTTGTCCACAGATAATGCTTATAATTTTTTTCCAAGGGAGATAAAGATATTAGAATGATCTGCTTCTAAAGGTAGAATGAAAGTAAGGTCGGTGTTGAGATGTTATGAATTCACTCTTCAGGGAAGTTTCCAAGCTTATGTAGAACAATAAATTAGTTAAGGTTCTCCAGAGAAACAGAATCAACAGGATGTAGATAGATGATAGATAGATAGATAGATAGATAGATAGATAGATAGATAGATCAATTGATCTTCATCTGTCTATGTGTCTATTGAAAAAGAGAGAGAGATTTTAAGGAATTGACCCACACATGATTGCAGGGCTGGCAAGTTCAAAATCTGCAAGGAGGCCATCAGGCTGGAGACCCAGAGAACAGTCAGTGCTGCAGTTCAAGTCAGAAGGCCGACTGCCCACAGAATTCAGAAACCAGGCTTCTTAAAGCCTTTAACTGATTAAATGAGGCACATCCACATTATTGAGGGCAAGCTACTTCACTCAAAATATACCAATTTAAATGTAAATGTCATCTAGAAAACACTTTTTTATAAGACAGAAACATCTAGAATAATGTATCAAATATCTGGGTAATGCAGCCTGGCCACGTTGACACATGAAATCAACCATTACCCTATGTCCCATTCTCAACCTGGTCAGAATAATTTTCAATTTTCGAAATGTCCCATTTTCAACCTGGTCGCATAATAAACTCTACCAGACACACTCTTTTTCTCTCCCTGGCTTAGTCAGAAATTTTTATGGTTTTCACAAACTAAAATCTGGTTTGCTACATTTTTGAGAATTTAGAAGGGAAATTATTGCCTCAACTCTAACCGTAGTGTTACAAATCAATAGCAATTTTCTTTGCTAGCATAGGTGGGAAAATTATTTTCTTCAAGCTCCAAAGATTTGACGATTCCTTCCCTGCTAGTCACTATAAACAACGGCATAAATCTCTGGGATTATGGGAGTCACTTTCCCAGCATTTTAAAACAATTCCAGTTCTCTAATTCCTTTCTTTAAACTTCTAATATTGACTCATCCCTTACTCTGTTCCCTACTCTGTCTTATTCTTAACAGATGTAAGAAGAGCCCAACAGCAATTGAGTCAGAGCTGGGGAAAGATGAGAAGTTTGTGGGTCCTAACTCCCCTGATCCTAAATAATCTTGTTGGCACCAGGGATTCCACCCATGAAAGTTACCACTCTGAGTGTGTGCGTGCGTGTTGGTGTGTGTGTGTGCCTGTGTGTCTGTGTGTGTCTGTGTTTTGAAGGGAGGAGAGCAGAAATTAAGAGAAAGATGCAGAGGACATAGAAGAAAGAGGAGATTGATATTTTCTTTTTCTTAGCTCTTTGTCCCTAAATGCCTGAAAAATTAGGATTTAAAAGACGTAAGATTTTGAAAACATATGTTTGCTTTCATCTAAATCTTTCACCATCAAGATTGACATTGTGCTGGAGCCATGAAGAATGAGATGTAAAGGTTGGAGTCAGAAGAGGAAAAGGCATCCCAGGCACAGGAGTGGTGAAGAAAGCAGCCACTTTGTGGGAAAGCAGCCTGGCCAGAGTGAAGAACAGCAAGCAATGAGGCTGAACAGGCAGCCTAAAGCCACATTTTGAAGGGTCTCCAGAGCCCCACAGAGATGAAACTTGTCACAGCAGTGTTGCCATGAGACAGGAGACATGATGGGGAGATGGGTGGAATGAGAAGGAATGAACAGAAGGCCAAAGAAAGAACTTCGGGAAACCTGCTCCTGCAGTGTGAGAGGAGGAGAGTGGTGGTGTGTGTATGTTGTCCCAGGTCTGATTTTTCTCTCTGAAGTTAGGAGGCAGGTCGGATGCTGCAGGCAAGGGGAGAGAGTAGGATTGAAAGAAGATCATTCAGTTCAATTCCACAAGGATTTTGAAGCTCCTGCTCTGGACTGGCCACAATGCTAGGTGTTAGGAATACAAACATGGGTAAACCGTGGCCTGTCTTTTCAAGAAGCTTTCAGTCTTCAAGCAATAAAAAAAAAATTGTGTAAAAAAAAAAAAGTTAGTGGCACAAGACTTGGTCTCTTCCTTGACTCTGAAGGAAACCAGATTACACCACCTCAAAATATGCCTCTTTAACATAATTTTTTTACACTAAAGCAATTAAGAAGCAGATGCAGGAGAGCTCTGTCTTCCCTCTGTTTGCTTAAAAACAGGACAGAGAATTATAAAGACAAGATATCTGCCTTATTCTACCCCCTCCCACCTAAAAACAGATACAAATTCCCCTTGATAAATTCCCCTTGCTGAAGCCTGTGAGTCCAACCACTTTACTTCAGTGGCACAGTCTTGGCCAGGGCAGGACAAACCAGTCCACCAGTGCTTTTGGCACCTCCATATTTTCTTACTGGGGCACATGAGAAACATTCAGTCCCCCGAATTCCACGGTGACCTGTGGGCACTGCCTGTACCACTGAACCCTGTCTCCACTGTCCCCACACTCCACACTGAATCCCCATCAATCTGTGATTGGTGCAGCTCCTCTCTGGGTCACCTGAGAAAGTGGGTCATGTGTACTGATGCTTCAAAAGCAGCTACCAGGTTAGGCTTTTTTTTTTTTGAGACAGAGTCTCACTCTGTTGCCATCTGGAGTGCAGTGGCATTGAGAGGTTACAGCGTGCTGGCAGCCCTCACAGCCCTCGCAGCCCTTGCTTGCTCTGGACACCTCCTGGGCCCCACGCCCACTCTGGTCGTGCTTGAGGAGCCCTTCGGCCCTCTGCTGCACTGTGGGAGCCCCTTTCTGGGCTGGCCGAGGCCAGAGCCGGCTCCCTCAGGTGTGGAGGAAGAGGCGTGGGCAGGAACAAGGGCTGCCCGGGGTGCTTGCGTGCCAGTGCGAGTTCCAGGTGGGCGTGGGCTCGACGGGCCCTGTGCTCAGAGCTGCCTGCCGGTGCCGCCGGACCGGGCAGTGAGGGGCTTAGCACCCAGGCCAGCGGCTGCGGAGGGTACACCAGGTCCCCCAGCAGTGCTGGCCTGCCGGCGCTGCGCTCAAATTCTCGCTGGGCCTCAGCTGCCTCCCCATGGGGCAGGGCTCAGGACCTGCAGCCCGCCATGCCTGAGCCTCCCCTCACCGTGGGCTCCTGCAGGGCCCAAGCCTCCCCCGACGAGCGCCCCCCTGCTCCACGGCTCCTGGTCCCATCCACTGCCCAAGGGCTGAGGAGTGCAGGCGCCCTGCGGTGAGGGACTGGCAGGCAGCTCCACCTGTGGCCCCAGTGCCGGATCCACTGGGTGAAGCCAACTGGGCTCCTGAGTCTGGTGGGGACTTGGAGAATCTTTATGTCTAGCTAAGGGATTGTAAATACACCAATCAGCACTCTGTATCTAGCTCAAGGTTTGTAAATGCACCAATCAGCACTCTGTGTCTAGCTCAAGGTTTGTAAATGCACCAATCAGTGCTCTGTGTCTAGCTAATCTAGTGGGGACTGGGAGAACTTTTGTGTCTAGCTCAGGGATTGTAAATGCACCAATCAGCACCCTGTCAAAACGGACCAATCAGCTCTCTGTAAAACAGACCAATCAGCTCTCTGTAAAATGGACCAATCAGTAGGATGTGGGTGGGGCCAGATAAGGGAATAAAAGCAGGCTGCAGGAGCCAGCAGTGGCAACCCACTGGGGTGTCTTTCCACACTGTGGAAGGTTTGTTCTTTCACTCTTTGCAATAAATCTTGCTGCTGCTCACTCGTTGGGTCCACGCTGCCTTTATGAGCTGTAACACTCTCCACAAAGGTCTGTAGCTTCACTCCTGAAGCCAGCGAGACAACAAACCCACCAGAAGGAAGAAACTCTGAACACACCCGAACATCAGAAGGAACGAATTCCGGACACGCCGCCTTTAAGAACCGTAACACTCACTGCAAGGGTCCTCAGCTTCATTCTTGAAGTCAGTGAGACCAAGAACCCACCAATTCTGGACACAGCATGAACTCAGCTCACTGCAACCTCCGCCTCACAGGTTCAAGGTTCAAGTGATTCTTCTGCCTCAGCCTTCTGAGTAACTGGGATTACACGTGCGCACCACTACACCCGGCTATTTTTTGTATTTTTAGTAGAGATGGGGTTTCACCATATTAGCCAGGCTGGTCTTGAATTTGTCACCTCGTGATCTGCCCACCTTGGCCTCTGAAAGTGCTGGGATTACAGGTGTGAGCCACTCTGCCTGGCCGGTTTAGGCTTTTATGTGGGGGTGCAAGAACCTGTCTATCTGCCCTGTGCCCATCTCTACTGACAGCTTCTGGATCTTCTCCTTCCCATCATTTCTCCAGCTAAAGAGAGATTTTGAGCTTTTGACATTCTGTATGATATATCTCACTTTCTTACCTGGTTCTCAGTCACACAGAATTGGATTAATCCGAATTTTTCATTCATAATGTATTACTTTCATTGGTTTCATGCATGTTCCTCTTTTATTTTCAGTTGTTCATTTATTAATTAAATAATATAATGAGCCATCATGAAATCACCACCCAGTCCAGAAACTGAAACATTACCAGTATCTTATACCTATCTCTGTGCTTGCCGTCATCCTGCCCCTCTGCCTGTCCTCTAGAAGTAATTATTATCCTGAATTTTACACTATTTTTCTCTCTCTCTCTTTCTCTCTCTCTCACACACACAGTTCTATCACTTATATAGGCATCTGTGTACTATAACCAGCTCATACTAGTTCAAGAGAACCAAGTGTATGCGTCCCTTCTGAACTCTGGTGAGATCATGTTGGTAACTTGAAATCAGCCATGGTGGGAATATTTACAACATATAATTAGCAAGGACTGCACAGCAGAGCCCTTTTCTCCATAAGGCCAGTTTTAAACCTTTACCAACACGCCACTGCATGCATGTTCCTAAATAAAGAATGTTTGCCTCTTTTGTTCACTTGCTGTATTCCTAACACTTAGAACAATGCCCAGCACATAATAGACAGGAAGTTGTTTAATGTGTGAGTAAGTATCTTTCTCTATCTCTGTTCCTGGACCAAACTGAGGATGGGGCTGCTATTTCTCATGGCCCAATAACAAGATGCCGATGAACTGGAGAGAAAGAGAGTTTTTATTTCTGTAACCAGCTGCAGGGAGAAGGCCTGGAAATTATCGCCAGACCAACTCAAGATCACAAAGTTTTCCAGAGCTTACCTACCTTCTAAGCTATATGTCTTTGTGTAAGTGCGCATTCATCTAAAGACATATGTGATTAACTTCTTTTAGTCTGTAACTAAGGTCTGAGTCCTGAAGACCTTCCTCTGGAGCCTCAGTAAGTTTACTTAATCTAAATGGGTCCAGGTGCTGGGGTGATTACCCTTATCTTGTCTCCTGCTAAATCACGGAGGTTTGGAGAGTTCCTACAGACCCCCAATAAACTTGTTTGTGGAGGCCCAAGGAGCTTCTTCAGACCCACAATAAAACTTGTTTAATCCCAAATTGGTCCTGTTAATAATTCCTTCGTTATTTTGTCATGCTTTAAGGCCCAGGAAGGGCCTAGGCAAAACTCTTGGTGGGCTTTTGTTACATTCCAGCCTTTGTATAAGGGCACTGGCTTTTTTTAGCTTTTAACATTTAACTTAACCACTCAGTCAATAATGAAACAGTTGTTATGGAGGCCTGCATTAGTGAGACCTGGCCTGCCACATCCCTAGGGCAGTAAGTCTCATGACCTATAAGGCATGAGTGGAAGGTATTTTTTCTGCCCCCAGAAGAATTTCCATCGGGAGCTAAGTGAATTTAGAAAATTCTATCTCCTTCAGCAAAGCCTCGCTTTAGCCCAACACTATCTTCCACATAAATCCCTATTAGATATGATAAACTGAATATTAGCATTGTATGACTTTCTCCTCAGTTCAGCTAAAAACCAGTTTCTTGTCACTTGACCAGGAAACATTAGGCTCATGAACACATAGGAGGGTGAGAAAAACAGAATTTATTGGGCAAAAAAAAGACTCTCAGCAAAGCAACAGGGGTTCCTGTTAACAGGGCCGCATCTCACAGACTGAATCCCAGATTCCCACACAGGAACAGGAGAGAACAGGCTCCTCCCTGCTGCAAACAGCACGAACTTCCCAAGGCCCCACCCATCCTCCAAGTACACAGGCTGGTTGGAGATTCTCTGGGAAGCCCTTTTTACTTGACTGTCTCATTAGTGCTTCTGTTTTCTTTGCATTCCTGCTAGAACAGTACTAACCCTCTGTTAGGCAATAGATACCTCTAGAAAAATGGGGTGGGTGGGCAGTCTGTACAAGAGAATGCAAAGAAAAAATATTTCAAAAAATATTACCCCAGATACATATTACTTTTCCCAAGGACCAAAACCAAAAAGAAGGACACAGTGGCAGGCAATGGCAGATACTGAAGAGGGTAGGATATAGTGAAAGAAGCCAAGGAGAAGAGAGTATGTTTCCAGCAGAGATGTGTCTTGGAATCATGCAAATCATTTCGCAAAGGTTGGGGGTCTATTACTGTTAGCAGGACCAACTATGCTTCTCTATGTGTGTGAGGCCACAGTCTATTTGCAAGAAGTGCAGAATTAAGGAAATGCTGCTTGAATTTTAAATAGTTTATCTAAAACCTCAAAACACATATGTCATAGGTCTTATCACTATGACATCTTCCTCCCTCCTCTCCCCTCTCTCCCCCTATATGTCCCCATCTCTTCTTATTCCCTGCTCTTTTTCATTCTCCCCTTTTTCCTCTGTACTTCTCTCTTTGGTTTCTCCCTTTTTTAGACAGTCCACAATAAGGCAGGGTGCTGAGTGTGCCTGAAAGGAAAAATAAGGAAATGGACTAGAATTTCATCTTGCAGAGTTTTACATCCCTGGTGTTATCAAACTGAACCTGGGACTGCTCACACAGTACACAGCAAAACCAAATACTGACACGGGGATTTGTAGACAGAGAAGGCAAGGTGTTTATTGTAGGGCTTCAAACAAGGAGAATGGATGGCCAATGCTTGAGACCTGAGCTCCCCAGTGACTTACAAGTGTTTATAAATCAGGTGTGAGGGGCGTTCCAAAGTGAGTTAGGGGTTAAGGAATTTCTGGAATTCTTTTTCCATTTTCTGGTCTCAGTCTGTCTGAGGTCTATATTACAGTGGTTGGTATTTTCCATTTTCCATCTGGTGGTGGTCCTGGTTTCTGAAAAGCAACTCAAGGACATATGTAAAGATGTTATCTTTAGTTTTTACAGGAAACCAAACATCCTGTGGCTCTAACTTACTGTTAGATGACTATTGTTTATGCTGTGATTACCTTCTTGCTTCCCAAGTTACTTATTCACTTTTCTAATTGCTGGTTGCAGAACTAGCTAGGTGCCTGGAATTTATTTTGAAGGGATTCAAAGTTTTTATTTTTTTTAATTTCCATGCTTAGGAAGGAGGGCCAGCTGGCCCCAGAAAGGGGCCTTGTTCCATCTCACTAGGAATTGAACCACTGGATACTTTGAGTGGACACAGACGTGCTTGTGATTCTTTCTGAGTCTACTGTACATTTCTGGGGGGAAAAAGGCCATATATTGCATGTTTATTGAAATAAAATATTAATCCTGATATTTTCATGTCTTTAAGTGACTCTACAACTTTACTTTTTTCTATACTACCCCACCCCACCCTCATCATGTAACTGAAACAATCATATGTGTTTATCAAATCTTATTTCATTTTCCTCTCCTCTTCCTAGGCACATAGAAAGACAGTATTTCCCACCTCTCTTGGAACTAGGTTGAAGCCATGTGACTGGGTTTTGCCTGATGGACATAAATAAAACCTCGCCACGTGCCACCATATGCTCACCCCTCTTTTCCACCCCTCGTTTAAGATGGCAGTGTACAGGGTGCTGGATCACTGAGTCACCATTTAGAGGAGAGCCCCAAAGGGGATCCTCTAGCCCATCAGACTGTGACATGAGCAAAAAACATATTTGGTTAAGCCATTGAGCTTTCATGTTTGTTACTGCAGACTATTTGATCCTAGTCTGACACTTTTCTCAGGAACATCCTCACAAGTCCTAGATTAATTTTAATGGAACAAACATGGGTCATATGTCCATTCCAGAAATAATCATTGTGGCCAGAAAAATTTGATGCATTGATTGGCCAAGCTTGGGTCACATGTTCTATTCCTGGAGATGAACATGAACTTTGACAAACAAATGGATTGATATTGAGGTAAAAGTTGATATGCCAGAAAGAAATCATGGAGTTGTTTTTGGTTTTGTTTTTTGAGAAGTAGGAGAGGGCAAGGAGTGGACACTAATGTCTAAAAATATCGTAAGCTTTCAGGAATTATGAGTAGGCTATTTTAATAAATATTAATGGTAAGAATTAGTTTTAGGTAAGTCTGAAAGGTCAAATTAAATCCAATTTTAAAATTCTAACCCTGGAATGCCAAACTAAGGTAGGTTTTCTATTCTTAGGAAATCATGTATGTTTTTGCGTTGAGCAGTAATTTGATGAGTTTGATGAGAGGATTTATTTAAGAATAATAACTTGGTGGTAGTTTGAGATGGTGGAAAACTGGAGTTTAGAAAATTATAATAATTTGAGAATGCAAGAATGAGTGATAGTAGTAGTGATTGTAGAGGAAATTGATGCATATTGAGTTATATAAGAAAGGAAGAATTGACGGGTCTTTGTGGGGAGATAAGCAGGAAACAAGATTCAAAGGTTTGAAACTTTCACAGGGAGATTTTATTTGGGGAAAATGATACGCTTCAGGATGTTGAGTCTAAGATGCCTTTTAGATATTCAAATGGAAGACCAGTAGTTTTGCAGCTGGAATCTGGGAATAATGTGGTCTGGAGACATAGATTTGGTAGTCATCTACATAAAGATATTAGTTGATAAAATTATTTAATGAGAGTGTGGACGAAAAGCAGAAGTCTAATAATAACTCCTTGGAACTGGCTTGCCATATGCAGAAAATTGAGACTGGACCCCTTCCTCACACCTTATACAAAAATTAACTCAAGAAGGATTAAACACTTAAACATAAAACCCCAAACTGTAATAACCCTAGAAGAAAATCTAAGCAATATTCAGGACATAGGCATGGGCAAAGATTTCATGATGAAATTGCCAAAAGCAACTGCAATGAAAGCAAAAATTGACAGATGAGCTCTAATTAAACTAAAGAGCTTCTGCACAACTAAAGAAACTACCATCAGAACTAACAGGCAGTCTACACAGTGGGAGAAAATTTCTGCAATCTATTCATCTGACAAAGGTCTAATATCCAGAATCTACAAGAAACTCAAACAAATTTACAAGAAAAAAAACAAACAGCCTCATTATAAAGTGGGCAAAGGACATGAACAGATATTTCTCAAAAAAAGACATTCAGGCAGCCAACAAACATAAGAAAAAAAGCTCAACACCACCGATCATTAGAGAAATGCAAATTAAAATCACAATGAGATATCATCTCACACTGGTCAGAATGGTGATTATTAAAAAATCAAGAAACAACAGATGCTGGCGAGGTTGTGGAGAAATAGGAATGCTTTTACACTGTTGGTGGGAATGTAAATTAGTTCAACCATTGCGGAAGACAGTGTGGCAATTCCTCAAAAATCTAGAACCAGAAATACCATTTGACCCAGCAATTCCATTACTGGGTATATACCCAAATGACTATAAATCATTCTATTACAAAGTTACATGCACGCATACATTCATTGCAGCACTATTCACAATAGCAAAGACATGGAATCAACCCAAATGCCCATCAACAATAGACTGGATAAAGAAAATGTGGTACGTGTTCATCATGCAATACTATGCAGCCATAAAAAGAAATGAGATTATGTTCTTTGCAGGAACATGGATGAAGCTGGAAGCCATTATCCTTAGCAAACTAATGCAGGAACAGAAAACCAAACACCGCATATTCTCAATTATAAGTGGGAGTTGAATAATGAGAACAAATGGACACAGGGAGGGGAAAAACACACACTTGGGCTTGTCAGCGGGTGGGATGGAGAGAGGGAGAGCATTAGGAAAAATGCTAATACATGCTGGGCTTAATACCTAGGTGATGGATTGATAGGTACAGCAAATCACCATGGCACACGTTTACCTATAGAGCAAACCTGCACATCTTGCACATTGTACCCCAGAACTAAAAATAAAAATTAGAAGAAAAAAAAAGAATAACTCCTTGGGCAATAACCACCATTGTGACCCAGTAGAGGTAGGAGAAATTGACTGAAGAAGACAGAAGTAAAGAGAAGTAGGAAGACAATAAAATAGTGTGGAATCAAGGAATGGGAAAAATCTCAAGATCTCTTAAAATTGCCAAATGCTGCAGGGTAACACTAAGGAAGTCACTGGAATCTTGAAGCTCCAATAGAATGAAAACGAAGTTTCAGGAAAGCCAAATTTTGAAGTGTTAATGAGATGGCAACTGGTAAGGAAATAGCATTAAAAGGCAAGTAGGAAATAAATTAGTAGATTGAAGGTATACTACACTCAAACAAATGTTTCTGCAGAACTAAGGAATTCTGTGCATTTTTAAGTGAGAGGAAAAGAAGCCACAGAAGAGAGCTTTAGCTGTTGATATTCTAGGGTTTTTTGATTTTTTGAGCGTTTCTTTGGTTTTGTTTGGTTTTGTTTTTCAGAAAACTAGTGATAATGTTACCATTTATTGCCACCTAATATGTGTCAAGCACTGCAATAGATACTTTTCACTTATATTTTACCAATTATTGTACCTATTTTATAGATAAGGAAATGAAAAATTAGGGGCATATTCTGACAAAAATCAGCCATCTGTTAAATGGTGGAGCAGAGAATCTGCTACTTGGTGTGCATTCACTTTCCATTATGCCTCCCAGTCTCCAAAATGCCAATAGTGCTGGCATGAGATAATCTATCAGAAACTCCTCAGGAAATGATAGATGAAATGAAAGAGCCTGGATATAATCCAAAAAGATTTCCAGAGATTTCTAATAAGAGCCCTAAGAATTTATTTCAGCAAAATGAAGTCCCCTGAGGCTTCTCTTCTGTGCCCATTTACTATAGGTGATAACATGTAGTTAGATATGCCTTGAAATTTGTATCAGGAATAAATTAGTTTGAAGGTAAGCAAGCTTATTTTCTTTTATCAGATAAAAGAATATATAATCTTTTTGCCTTTTAAATTAGGAAAAACCAGAAACCAAATTAATTACTCTGCTGAGATAAGAGATGGACTCCAATACTCAAACATATGTATTCCCCAGCAACTTTGTTTTTCTTTCATTTTTTCCTGTTTTATGCTTATTTTTAAGTTCTTAAGTTCTTTGGAGATCCTTTGGGAAAGTGAGTGGTATATATGTAGGTTTATGTTTTATATACTATCTCATTGGTTGGTTGTTGTCTCTGGAGAGAGCTGAAGAATTGATAGGTTTTTAACAGGAACATATGCTAGTGAGGATATTCCAGGTGGAAAGATAATATAGACAAATGAGCAGAAAGCAAGCTAGCCCTGAGAGTTTCAGAGCACAAAGAGTTTGATGATGTTATAGAAATACAGAATAGAATTTTCAAATTAATAAGTTGTGGCTTACCATGCAGAAAGGAGAAGAGAGTCTAAAAATCCCCTAGATAGATAGAGTGGACAGCTCTATACTCTCAGCTTGCCTTAAAGTTAGAAATGACATTGTGTGTATTCTTATGCAAATCAATATGCAGAACTAACCTAACAGTGCAAACAAGCCATCCAGAATCTTTATCCAAGAATTTTTTGTCTTCCCAAGAAACTCTTTGGTGTCTTCAGGGGTTATTGTAACACAGTGAAGTTTTGGGCAGGGATACCTTGAACCCAGAAGGGAGGGTTTTGAACAAGGTATCTTGTGACACAGGGAAGTATGGATACTTCTGGAAGAGAAGGAGTTCATAAGGGCTTCATTGATGGTTCATGAGACACATGTAGGGGAATAGTAGGAGATGGGGGCTAGAAAGGAAAGTTTAGGTCACAATTGAGGACTGTGAATGTCAGACAGAGGAATCTGTACAGCAGAAGCTCTTTTAATGGATGCCCAATCAGTTCGCTCCTTAGATAATCAATGCTTCTCATTCTGTCTGTAGAACTTGTTCACTGATGCCCCCTGTGCCTGAGCTTGGGAGATTAGTCAGCCTTTCTCCACAGCTGCTGGCATTTCTGATCCCATTATCTGAATTCAAGGCTTACCAAGAATCCATTGCCTTTGCTCCTAAGCCTGTTGTGCCTTCTGTATTTGTAACTGGAATTATGTAACGTAATTTAATGCTATGTAACTTGATAAATTATGAATGTAGAGGAAATGATGGAAGAAGATTTTCTGTGACACGTAAGTACAATGCTTTGGAGATAACTGATAAAAATTGATTACCTAAAATAATTGATGTCAAATTAACTGTGAATAAGAAAGTTATTTTTTTAATTGGAGAAAATAACTAAAACTCCAGAAAGAGGCCTGGTGCAGTGGCTCATGCCTATAATACTACCACTTGGGAAGCCAAGGCAGGAGAATTTCTTGAGCCCAATTGCTTGAGCCCAGGAGTTCAACACCAGCCTGGACAACATAGCAAGACCCATCGCCAATATATTTTAAAATAATAATAATAAATAAAAATAAAACCCCAGAAGCATTCTGGGCTTAGATTGCTTTACAGTTATCTTTAAAGTTTTATTCCACTTTAAAGCAATTGAAACCACAGATCATAAGATGATGGAATCTGAGTGTGGTTAGATAAGGAGGCACCTTTGAACTCCACCAGAGGACTCATGCTCAAGACTGGGCCCTGGCTCCTAGCACATGTGGCTGCCCATGTTTCACATCAAATATAAAATATTAGGGTGTTTACACAGCATTTCTATGATTCTCTATTTTAACTGATATGTTCTATTGATCTCTTGAGAAGCCACGAAAGATTTTCAAGCAAGGAAGTGACATATTTAAGACAATTAAGGTATAATTTATTTCTAATTATTAAACATTTTAGGCCATGTGCAGTGGTTTATATCTGTAATCCCAGCACTTTGGGAGGTCGAGGCAAGATTGTTTGAGGCCAGGTGTTGGAGATCAGCCTGGACAACAGCATGAGACCTCGTCTCTTAAAAAAAAAATTAATCTGCCTTTCAACATGAAAACTTCAATACAGGAGAACTGAAAATATGTTCACTTGAAGGATGACTTAAATAGAATTCCTTCCATAATTTGATTTGAAATCAAGGTATGAAGACAGCAAGACGTTGTGGGTAAGAATTCAGGTGCTGAAGGCTGACTAATAGCTTTAAATCCTGGCATTACCACCGATATGGTTTGGCTCTGTGTCTCCACACAAATCTCATGTTGAATTGTAATTCCCAGTGTTGGAGGAGGAGCCTGGTGGGAGGTGACTGAATCATGAGGAAGGACATCCCCCTTGCTGTTCTTGTGATAGAGTTCTTACGAGATCTGGTTGTGTGAAGTGTATAGCACCTTCCCCTTCCCTCTCAATCTCTCTTCTGCTGGCCATGTGAAGATGTGCTTACTTCCCCTTCACCTTCCTCTATGATTGTAAGTTTCTTGAGGCCTTCCCAGAAGCAGAAGCCTGTACAGCCCACAGAACCATAGCCAATTAAACCTTTTTTCTTTATACTCAGTGTCAGGTATGTCTTTATAGCAGTGTGAGAAAGGATTAATAAAGAAAACTTGTACCAGAGAAGTAGAGCATTGCTATAAAGATACCTGAAAATGTGGAAGCAACATTGGAACTGGGTAATGGGCAGAGGTTGGAACAGTTTGGAGAGTTCAGAAGAGGACAGAAAGATGAAGGAAAGTTTGGAATTTCCTAGAGACTTGTTGAATGATTGTAACCAAAATGCTGATAGTGAAATGGACAACGAAGTCCAGGCTGAAGAAGTCTCAGATGGAGATGAGGAACTTATTGGGAACTGGAGTAAAGGTCACTCTTGCTATGCTTTAGCAAAGGGACTGGCTGCATTGTACCCCTGCTCTAGGGATCTGTGGAACTTTGAACTTGAGAGAGATGATTTAGGGTAATCTGACAGAAGAAATTTCTAAGCAGCAAAGCATTCAAGATGTGACCTGGCTTCTGCTAACAGCATAGGCTCATATGCATGCACAAAGAGATTATCTGAGACTGGAACTTATATTTAAAAGGGAAGCAGAGCATAAAAGTTTGAAAAATTTGTAGCCTGACCATGTGGTAGAAAAGAAAAACATATTTTCCATGAAGGAATTCAAGCCAGCTGCAGAAATTTGCAAAAGTAAAGAGGAGCCGAATGTTAATACTCAAGACAATGGGGAAAAAGCCTCAAAGTCATTTCAGAAACCTTCTCGGCAGCCCCTCCCATCACAGGCCCAGAGGCCTAGGAGAGAAAAATGGTTTTGTGAGCCAGGTCCAGGGCCCCACTGCTCTGCACAGCCTCAGGACATGGCATCTTGTGTCCCAGACACTCCAGCTGTGGCTAAAAGGGGCCAACGTACAGTTCATGCTGCTGTTCCAGAGGGTGCAAGCCACCAAGCTGAAAGCCACCAAGGCTTCCACATGGTGGTAAGCTTGCAGGTGCACAGAGGGCAAGAGTTGATGTTTGGAAGTCTCTGCCTAGATTTCAGAGGACATGTGGAAACAACTGGATGTTCAGGCAGAAGTCTACTGCAAGAGCAGAACTCTTATGGAGAACCTCTACTAGGGCAGTGAGGAAGGGAAATGTGGGGTTGCAGCCCCCACACAGAGTCCTCACTGGGGCACTGCCTACTGGAGCTGTGAGAAGAGGGCCACCATTCTCCACACCCCAGAATGGAAAAGCCACAGGCACTGAACGCCAGTCTGTGAAAGTAGCCATGGGGGTTGTACCCCTGCAGAGCCACAGGGGTGGAGTTTCCCAACATCTTGGGAGCCCACCTCTTGCATCAGTGTTGCCTGGATATGAGACATGGAGTCAAAGGAGATAATTTTGGAGCTTTAATATTTAATGACTGCCCTGCTAGGTTTCAGACTTGCATGGGGCCTGTAGCCTCTTTGTTTTGGCCAATTTCTGCCCTTTGGAATGGGAACATTTACCCAATGCCTGTATGTCCATTGTATCTTGGAAGTAACTAACTTCTTTTTGATTTTACAGGCTCATAGACAGAAGGGACTCGGTTTGTCTCAGATGAGACTTTGGACTTGGATTTTTGGGTTAATACTGGAGTGACTTAAGACTTTGGGGGACTGTTGGTAAGGCATGATTTTGTTTTGAAATGTGAAAAGGAAATGAAATTTGGGAGGGGCCAGTGTTACCAAAAAGGGGTCCAGATCGAGACCCCACGAGACAGTTCTTGAATCTTGCACAAGAAAGAATTCAGGGTGAATCCATAGAGTAAAGTGAAAGCAAGTTTATTAAGAAAGTGAAGGAATAAAAGAATGGCTACTCCATAGGCAGAGCAACCCCAAGGGCTACTGGTTGCCCATTTTTATATTTATTTCTTGATGATATGCTAAACGAGGGGTGGATCATTCATGTCTTCCCTTTTAGACCACATAGGGTAACTTCCTGACATTGCCATGGCATTTGTAAACTGTCATGGTGCTGGTGGGAGTATAGCACTGAGGATGATCAGAGGTCAGTCTTGTTGCCATCTTGGTTTTGGTGGGTTTTAGCTGGCTTCTTTACTGCAAACTGTTTTGTCAGCAAGGTCTCTATGACCTGTATCTTGGTCTGACCTCCTATTTCATCCTGTGACTTAGAATGCCTTAACCACCTGGGAATGTTGCCCAGTATGTCTTAGCCTCATTTTGCCCAGCCTCTATTCAAGATGAAGTTGCTCTGGTATGCACATCTCTGACACTGGGGCAGAATGTTATGGTTTGGCTCTATTTCCCTGCCTAAATCTCATGCTGAATTGTAATTCCAAATGTTGAGTGAGGGACCTGGTGAGAGGTGATTGGATCATGGGGGCAAATTTCCCCCTTGCTGTTCTCATGATAGTCAGTGAGTTCTTATGAGATCTGATGGTTTAAAAGTGTGTAACACTTCCTCCTTAGCTCTCTTTCTCTCCTTCTCTGCCATCTGAAGCTTGTGCCTGCCTCCTCTTTACCTTCTACCATGATTGTAAGTTTCCTGAGGCCTCCTCAGCCATGCCTTCTATACAGCCTGTGGAACTGTGAGTGAATTGAACCTCTACTCTCCATAAGTTACCCAGTCTCAGATATGTCTTTATAGCAGTGTGAGAATGGACTAATACAATCAACAATAGGTTCTTGCTGTGACCACTTAGATCTCAGGAAGGGAATGGGGCCAAGAGTGTGTTCCCTCCCTGAAACAGTTCCTTCTCACAGTCTTCCAGGTGCTCTCCATATTCGATTAAGGGGTTGAGAGGGTCACTGTGCTCTCCCATGGCCTAAATTATACATTTCTCCAGTGGGAAAGTGAACCAAAGAAACATACTCACTCTCTCTTGTACTGGGGACTCACCTTCCAGTTCCTAGCCAGTCCCAGCTACACAGGCTGATTGGTTTCATTCTCCTTTCTAGATTTTGGAGTTATTTTTCACTTTTCGGGGAGGTGATTGAATCATGGGGGCAGACTTCCCCCTTGCTGTTCTTGTGAGAGAGTTCTCACGAGATCCGGTTGTTTGAAAGTGTGTAGCACCTCCCTATTCTCTATCTCTGTCTCTCCTGCCAGCCATGTGAAGATGTGCCTGCTTCCCTTTTGCCTTTTGCCATGATTGTAAGTTTCCTGAGGCCTCCCCAGAAGCAGAAGCTTGTACAACCCACGGAACCATGAGCTGATTAAACTTAATTTCTTTATAAATTACCCAATCTCAGGTATGCCTTTATAGGAGTGTGAGAATGGACTAATACACCCCCCTACCAGGGTTTGGCTTTGGGCAAGTTAGTTGGCCTCTCTTTGCCTCGGGTTTCTCATGCCTTAAAGGAGGATAAGAATAGAACCTACTTAAGAGGAATGAAGCAGACACTTTTACTATTACTGTTATTATTAAAGAAAAATCAGGATAGATGTGTCTGTTGATCACAGAGTGGGGCAAAGATTAAAGATACTCATGCCAGACTCAAGAGTATATAATACTGTGCCTAACATAAGAGGGTAAGGATTTTGGTGAATTTGCATTGTACCTTTCTATAATAAAATATTACTAGAAAATAACCCCATACAGTGAACACACAAACCCCCAGAAAACACTACTTTATCACCCTGATGCTTTACTATTTACCAGACTGGCCAATTTTCAGCTCCTCTGAGCATCTGTTCTTGTACAAGGATGATCTAGTCAAGTGGGAGTCTCCTTCATGGCCAATGAAGTTTTGATCTTCCCCCAGCTTCTTATATTGAGGCCATTTTTTTCTCTGGTATTATTTTAGACACAGATGTCCTACATAAACTTTAGCCCAGAAGAGAATTATTTAGTAAGTCAAAAGCAATTACTAAAATCTGTCATTGGCTGAAGGTCACATTGTAAGTAAAAAGCAAAGTTTTCTACTATGCTGCAGCTACTTAAAAAGCAGAAAAAAATACCAGATTGTTTTCAGTAAATAAATTTTATAGGACCACCAGTTTCCATTGCCCATTACACAATAACAAACCAATACACCAAAATAAGGAGAGCTGCAGCAGAGAGTTTAATGATCATATGACAGCCAAATGAGGAGGTGGGCGGTAACCTCAAATCTGCTTCCCTGAGAAGTTTTGGGCCAGGGGTTTTAAGGGAATTTTGATGAGTAAGGGGCTGAGGAGCTGGAAGTCACTGATTGGTTAGGGTGTGGGGAATGAAATCATAAGGATATAGAAGCTGCATTCTTGCACTGGGTCAGTTCCTCAGAGGGAGTCTTCAGATTGGCTTGTGTCAGTGAATCCATTGGAATGCCGGATCTGGAAAATATCTCAAAATGGAAATCTGAGGTTCCTTAATGTTAAAGATGTTATCTATAGAAGTTAGGACCTTGTAACAGGGGCTAGGTGATTTCTAAGCAGTAAACAGCTATAAGGAAGCAGTCTATAGGGCAAGCTGCTATGCTTCTACTCAAATCTTATGCTTTTGTTAAAAACCTAGTAATTTAGTTTTATTAATTTTATGGGGATGATTTCAGAAATAAAATGTAATATATGCAAATACTGATTTTTCTCAAAACAATTGAACTCATGGAGATAGAGAATAGAAGGATGGTTACCAGAGAAAAGGCAGTGGGTGGGTGGGTGGGGAAAAGTTGGAATGGCTAATGTGTACCAAAAAAGTAGTTAGAAAGAATAAATAAGGCTGGACGTGGTAGCTCACGGCTGTAATCCCAGCAATTTGGGAGGCTGAGGTGGTTGGATCACTTGAGCTCAGGAGTTCGAGACTGGCCTGGCCAACATGGTGAAACCGCGTCTGTATTAAAAATGCAAAATAATTAGCTGGGCATGGTGGTGCGTGCCTGTAATCCCAGCTACTCAGGAGGCTGAGGCAGGAGAATCGCTTGAACCTGGGAGGCAGAAGTTGCAGTGAGCTGAGATCATGCCATTGCACTCCAGCCTGGGTGATAGAGTGAGACTCCATCTCAAAAAAATAAAATAAAATAAAATAAATAAGAGGTAGTATTTGATAGCACAACACAGGAACTATAGTCAATCCTAATTTAATTGTACATTTTAAAATAACTAAAAGAGCATAATTGGATTGTTTGTAACACAAAAATACTTGAGGAGATGAATACCCAATTTTCCATGATGTGATTATTATAAATTACATGCCTGTACCAAAATATCTCATGTACCCAATAAATATAAATAGCAGCCAGGCACAGTGGCTCACGCCTGTAATCCCAGCACTTTAGGAGGCCAAGGCAGGCAAATCACTTGAGGTCAAGAGTTCAAGACCAGCCTAACCAACATGGAGAAATAGCATCTCTACTAAAAATACAAAATTCGCCGGGCATGGTGGCACGTGCCTGTAATCCCAGCTACTCAGGAGGATGAGGCAGGAGAATCTCTTGAACCCGGGAGGCGGAGGTTGCAGTGAGCCGAGATCGCACCATTGCACTCCAGCCTAGGCAACAAGTGCGAAACTCTGTCTCAAAATAAATAAATAAATACCTATGTACCCACAAAAAATTGAAAATAAAAACAAAATACTGACTTTTCTGAGGACCCAGTCTTGCTATGATTCTCCAAGACTCAGAAATACTTTTGAACGTTCATATGTGTGTGTGTGTGTGTGTGTGTGTGTGTGTGTGTGTGTGTGCATGGACTTACATATGCACATTAACATATACAGAATAAAAGACATGCAAAATTCAGAACTCCTCACATCCTTAAAAAGATATTCTGAGTCGCGTGTCCTTCATCTTTCATGGTTAAAATGGCTTTTATGAATGTTCCTGTAGCATAATAAGAAGTACGTATTTGGTCTCTGCCCCTGGTTCCTGGCACAGAGCTTCTAAATTCTCATAACTTACTAAGTGATGGAGTGATGGGAGTATCTTTTGTTATTTTTGGTCTTAGTCTCAGGTTTCTGAAACCAGAACTTCTAAAACCCTTAGAATCTCTAGAGTGGTAAGAGTGTCTTTTTGTTTATATTAATGATATGACTGGTGGCTGAAAGCCCCTAGATATCTTCAGGATGAGGGCTAACTGCCAGAGCAACCAACAATGTGATTAGAAGATTAGAAATTTCTGCCCCTATACCTGCTACCCCACCTCTGGGGGGAGGGAGAAGGAATGGAGATTGAATTCAACCACCCATGGCCTATGGTTTAATCAATCATGCCTACTTATTGGAACCTCCACAAAACCCTAATCAATGGAGTTTGGAGGACTCCTGGCTTGGTGAATACAAGAGGTGCTGGGAGGGTGGCATGCCCAGAGAGAGCCTGGAAGCTTCCTGCCACTCTTCCATACTTTGCCCTATGCTTCTCTTTGTCTGGCTGTTTATTTGCATCGTTTAGAATATCCTTTGTAATAAATCGGTAATAGTAAATAAAGCACTCTATCTGAATTCTGTGAGGTGTTCTTACAAATTATCAGACCTAAGGAGGGGGTCATGAGACACCCTAATTTATAGCCGATTGGTCAGAAACATAGGTCACAACCTGGGACTTTCAACTCGTTTCTGAAAGAGGAGGCAGTCTTGTGGGACTAAGCCCTTAACCTTTGGGGCCTGCCCTAGCTCTGGGTGGGTAGCATCATAATTGAATTGAAGGATACTCACTTGGTGTCTCAAGAGTTGGAAAATTGCTTAATGTAAGAGAAAGACGCACACATTTGATGTCAAATGTGAAGTGGTGAATAGCAGAGAAAAAGAGTTTTATTTTTAGTCCCTGAGCTGTGTGGATATCTGTCACATTGTCAGTCAAATAAAATATGTAGAGATGAAGATCTAAATTTAACATTTCAAAATTCAAGCATTGCAATTCAGGGCATACACACAGACCCCACAGACCAGATGGTCTTTGGTATGTTTGAAGAACAAAGAGGAGGTTGGAAGTTTTATGAAAAGGAGAAGTGGTGTGTATTGTTTTTCCAGAAAATTGATTGACACTAGTAAGGTTCTGGGGAGCTGGCTTGCTCTGAGTGGTGAGTGATGAAAGTGGTGGGTAAAACTATTCTTAGAATCACAGCACGTTGTTTCAGATGATTACAGAAGACAGTTTCAGCAGCCAGGGTTACAGAGAATGACATTCTTGGAGCAATTTTATGTGCCCTGAGTGCTTTTCCCCACTGGCTTCTGGACTCTGGGTTAGTTAGGTGTCAGAAGAATGACCCAGTTCATCTGGTCAGTTTTCACAACGTTCAGTCATGGACATGGTTCTGTATCTTACCAAGTTTCACAGTGAACAGTGAGGAGAAATCTAAAAAGAAAGAAAAAGAGAGGGAAGGAGGGAGGGTGGGAAGGAAAGGAGAAAGGGAGGGAGGGAGGAAGGGAGGGAGATTCATTGCCCATTATTACCATAAGTGAAAAGTAACAGAAACTGTAGGTGGGGATAGTCTTTCTGGGACATTCCAGCATATAAACAATCCCCAAATAGCAGAAGCTGTTTTGGGGCATCTCTCCTTCTCTCTAGCTCCATCCTGGTTGAGCTGGAGCTCGCTGCAGGGAGAACCCACAGAGAGAGGGCGAGAATGGTGTGCCAGTCTGGCTTTTCCATTTCCTCTCTTTGTTTCTGTGTTTCCACTTTGCAGTTTCCTTGATTCAGAGAAAGAAGATAAAAACACATACAAAGAGACGGCACCAGCTCCTTTCCCAGTTGTGACCAGATTGCACGATACCCAAGCCATGGCTCCAAAGAGTGCGTGTACTGAAGCCTGGCCATTCATGACAGACTCATTTCCACACCTGAGTCCGGTTTTGCTCTGTGAGTGTTGGGCTTTCTCCAAGGGAATGGTTGGAGCTGTTGCGAGCGAACTTCCTGGCTGCCACAGAGTTGATTGGATTCCTTGGAAATGCACACTCACAGGCTGCTGCTCTTTGAAGCTGTCTCCTTCACTGGCCATGATTCTCCTGTCTCATTAGCTGTTGCCTATGACCCTGGTGTCGTTTTCTCCTTTTACTCATCAACACCCAAATCCACAGGGTTGTGATGGATTAGCAGCCTTTCTTATTAGCAAGAAGCCCTGTGGCCTCAAGAGGCAAAATGAATCGTGGTTAGAAATCTCCATCTCCTCCCTCCCTTGGTATAATGCCATCATTTAACTATCTGAAAATAGAGAAGACTCCGTTCCAATTGTAAAGCCCTAAGGAGAAAAACTGAGTTTGAAACTTTCCTTAATTATGCTGATATTTAACAATAAACTTTGTAGTATGAAAATCTCATCTCACTGTCCAGTATATTCTTTCACTTTCTTTTTAAATCAAGAGAAAAATGTGTTTGAACTTTCTTGAGTTATGCCAGGGTTTAAAATAAGTATGTGTAAAATATGTATGTGTGTATATATATATGCATGCACACACACATATATATGTTGCAAATATGTGTGAATATATATGTAGATTTTTGAATTCAAAAATCACTACTCAATATATTGATTATGTGTTTGAAGATATAAGAAGAGAGTACTGTTATTAATGTCACTTTCTGCCAATGTCTATAATTGCTACTTGCGGGTAAGGTTGCTTTGTTTTGTTTTGTTTTTCCTTCTGGTCTTGGAGTGTCATGGAAGGAGTGGGGTTTTATTTGTTTCATAAGAATCCTCTATCAGTATTATCAGTTTCTTGGGTGAGTGGGAAAAACAGACACCTCTCCCTTACTCCTGTATCCTTCCATGTGGAGAGAGTACCTTTCCCCTCGCACGCTACCCCTTTACTCATCTGTCCATTAGAGGAAGATGGGCTTTGTGGAAGATTGTTTGCAAAGGCGATCACAATAATTCCTCCCTCCCCAGGACCTTTACAATGTGGATTTGGCACTCCTCCCATCAAGAGGTGAAATTAATTTCTCCACCCTTTCCATCTGGCTGGTACTGTGACTTGCTTTCACCCACAGTATGTGTGCAAGTGATGGGCTGTCGCTTCAGAACCTCTCAGCCTCCAGCGGCCTTGCAGCTTCTGCTCTCAACCTTGTGTGCTGCTTCTACGTAAAGAAGCGCAGACTAGACTTCTTAATGATGAGAGGCTGCATGAGAAAGGGTCCAGCTAACAGCCAAAACCAATAGCCATATGTGGGCTTCTACCTACTTTCTACCCTCCAGCCCCAGGTGAGCTGCAGATGACTGCAGCTACATGTGTGCCCCAGACAAGACCAGCAGAATGGCCTCCCAAATGGGCCCAGTGAAAACTGCTGACATTGTGAACAGAGAGAATGGTGGTTGTTTGAAACCACTAAGTTTTCAGGTGGTTTTTAAGCAGCAGTAGATAATGGATACAGACTTAATCTGATTGGTGATCAGAAAGAGAATGAGGGTGCACAGCCCAACCCCTTTCTCTCACTCTCTGTTTGACAGGAGGCAGCCCACTGAAAATCCAAGTTCTCTCTTCCTCCCCCAGACCATAATCTTACAGTGCATCACTACTGATGCACTGATATATATATTTTGCCAAGTGCTAAAGGGCTGGAAATTAAAGTCAATATTTGACTGAAGCCAAGGCCAAAACCGAATATTGCCATTAAAAACTTCTAGGAATCAAGAATCAATATGAAAAAAATACAACCTGTAAAATTATTGTAATAATTTTAATTATGTAGTCATAGTTTTGAAATTCTATTAGTAAAATTAAGATATGTTTTAAATATTTAATTTGCTTCTAACAATGTATTCCATTTTGCATGACAGAATTGAAAGTAAGTTGTCAAGATTTTGAATTTTTCCCTCCTCATGAAATTTTAAGGTGTCAATAATGAGAATTTAATGCATCCTTATAAGATGCAAAAAATTCCCAAATAGGACTTTTTATTGAAAACACGTAGTATCCTTATATAGGATTTGGCCATGACACTTTCAGTTACTCATGTGAATTTCATCTTCCTGATTCTTAGGAGATTTTGTCCAAACAACTCCGATTATTTCTGTATAGAAAAATAACATAAAATAAAGTGATTTCTTTTTCTGAATTTTTCTTACTCTATTTGCCTGCCTCACTTTCATCTGGACCTTCTTTTTTCTTCATCTCTTGTTCCTTCCTGGTCCATTTTGATTCAGCTCCCACTGTTTTGCCTGAGTGTGGGGCCCGGTCAGGAAGGTGGGAAGCTGGTGCAGCCGGGCTTACCAAAGGTCCTTTGTCTCTCCTGCTAATTGAGGGCAAACCCAACCCTGTTCCTGCTGCTGCTCTCACATGGGCCCATACCTGCTGACCCCATACCTGCTGACCATGTTGGGGTCTTCCGTTGTGAGGCTGTCACTTGTTCCTGTGGCTTCCTCCTGCTTTCCCCTGCATAGATGCTGACAATGCACAGGTCTTATGGCTCTTAGTGGTTTATATTTTGGGGCTCAGTAAGTACCTTGTCACTTGGTTGTGTTGTAAATGTTGTCCATTGGTTTTTTAATTTTACCGTCTTTTTAAATGTGGGAATTCGAGAAGATCTAAAAGCTATGCCACTTCTACCACCATCTTTTCTACCGTCATCTTTTCAGAATTTGTTAAGAAGTTTAAACATAAGTTCAATGTAGACTATTTGCCCATAATTTGAAACTGAATATTCAGATATTTATTCAAATCAGGGTAAATCCAAATGGCACCTCCTGTTCACATCTCTTATTTGTGTTACTGTTACTGTTACACTGATTAGCTCCGATGGTTACCTCATGATGATATCACATGATCTCTGATTACCCGTAAGTTCCAGGATGTAAGAAATAACCTGAAAGCTGGATCTGTCAGTGAGCCCCTTGATAAAATGCAAAAGCCATGATAGAACTTCGGAGCATCCTTATTAATCAGTGATGTGTGTGTGGTGTGGTTGCCTGCCACTGGGTGGGTAAATTGAATTCGGGCTTCAGTATTAGGAAGCCCCCCCACCGCACATAGGTAGAAACCATGTCTTCCAGCCAAGATTTTATCAGTTTAAAAAGAAAGCTTCGTTTTACCTTCAGATGCCAACAAACTCCTTTATATCTGTTTTTTATTACTTCAGAACTTGTATAGGGAGAATTTTTTTTATTATTTGAAAAACAAACTACGATAGAATATTGGAGTTCATCTTAACACCTGGAGATAAAAGCATTTGGCAGGGCCAGGGAGAGTAACTTTAAGTTTCTGTAGGTCGTGCTAGGTGTTAGGGGTTGTGAATTGTGCCTCCCACACTCTGGCAAAGAAACACTGTGTTGATATCCTAATCCCCAGTACCTCAGAATGTGACCTTATTTGAAGACGGGGTTGTTGCAGATAAAATTCGTTAAGATGAAGTCATGCGTAGGGTGGAGCCCTAATCCAATGTGACTGATGTCCTTATGAGAAAATGGCCATGAAGACAGAGACAGAGGGAGCAATGAAAGCAGAAATCAAAGTTGTGTCATTGCAAGTTAAGGAATTCCAAAGATTGCCAGCAAACAAACCATCAGAAGTTAGGAAGAAGCAAGGAGGGATTTTTTTTACAGGTTTTGGAAGGAGCACGGTCCTGCTGACACCTTGATTTTAGCCTTCTACCTCCACAGCTGTGAGACAATAGGTTTTTATTGTTTTAAGCCACACAGTTTATGATACTTTGCTAAGGTCACCCTAAGAAATTAATACATTAAGTCAAGTCTATGGGGGTGTCATAGTCAGCTTTGGCTGCTATAACAAAATATCATAGACTAGGTGACTTAAATAACAGATATTTATTTCTTACAGTTCTGGAGGCTGAGAAGTCCAACATCAAGGAGCTGGTAGATTTTGTTGCTGGTAAGGGCCCTCTTTCTGGCTTGCACATGGCTACCTTCTCATTGTGTCCTCACATGGCAAAGAGGGAGAGAGAGAGAGGTGTTAGGAGCTCTCGGGTGTCTCTTCTTCTTTGTACAAGGACACTCATCCCACCATGGGGGTCCCACCCTCATGACCTCATCTCAACCTAATTACTTCCCAAAGGTTCCACCTCCAGACCACATCACACTGGGAGTTAGGGCTTCAATATACGAATTTTGGGGGGACACAAACATTCAGGGGAACAGCAGACTTCTTAACTTTGTGGTCTTCAGCCTGTATTGGGCAATACAGCTAGGTTTTGCAGTCACAGAGATGGCTTTTAACTCCTGCAGCCTAGACAAGAGACTCTAAACTTTGGGCCACATGGAGGTTTTCACCTTGGCTGGTCACTGCAACTTCTGGCATCTTTATCCACAAGTAAGTAATTGTTTTCCCACAAAAGAGTTGTTCTTTTTAAAATAGGCTGCTAGAGTGTTAGCAAAGGTTTGGGTCTCAGATTTCCACAAAAGATATGATACAAAGAATCTCACTTGCTTTTATGTTGAATTCAAAACTCATCACCCAAGAATTTGAAAGCAGCTAATACCTACTAATGTCTCTCTGCAGAAAAATCTCACTTTTTCCTTTCATTGACTGTTTGCTTTAGTCACATGAGCTAAGATAAAGCTTTACTCAGTTCTGTGTCAAATTGCAGCGGTTTGAGCCTAGAGAAATCCTTAAAGCACATATCTTTTTGTAATAATCCTATTAAGTAACTCTGAATTATTACCCAAGAATTCACACTCACTCTCCATGGAGAAGAAATACCTTTGCAAATTATGCCAAATATCTACCTAAAAGCTGTCACCTGGGCTTTGCTCAAGTATCATCTCTTCAATTTCAGAATCAATCTCATAGCTTACAGACAACATTTTCGTGGAGATAATTCCCTGAAAATTTGGATGGAATATGACTAAGCTAACACTATAATTACCTAAAACATGAAAGCAAGCTAATTTTTTCTTTTATTTAGAAAATATTCATTAAATGTCCCTTATATTCTAAACACTGCTAGGTATTATCTTTATGAAATAGACACACATTAGTTGAATAAGGAATAATTGAATTTGCACAAACAAATATATAATTATCTCTATGGTAAGTATATAAAGCAAAAGTAAATGGTGAACTATGAGCATATACTAGAGGGTTTTGACGTTATATGAAAAGTCTGGGAAGGCTTCCATAAGGAAATGGCAACTGAGCTGAGATCAGAAAATAGGGAGTAACTATGTAAACATACAAGGAAAAATATTACAGGAGGAGGGGATAGCATGGGCAAAGACTCATGTGGCAGAAATCAACAGAGATAGCAGCCAATATGGCTGGAGCCATAAAAATATCTTTTGGGGTAAAAAATTTACACCGGAGTTTTAAGTGACTCAGATTCATCATCTACATCATTTATGTGATCCATCTAGTATTTATGCAATTTGTTGTTCATTTCTATCAACCTGATGAAGCAGGTCATGAAGGTTTTAAAAGCATTTTAATGGAGCCAGTGCAATGTAATCTGGGATCTTTAGTGTCCAATGACTCAAGGCATCAGCATTTCTAGGCTTATATATGACCCTATAGTCATATGCATCCAGCAAAAGTTTCTAGAACTGCGAAAGTGGTAACCTCAGAGCAAAGGCATATTCTTGCCAGAGGAATAACAATGAAAGTTACCAAAAGGGTTTCTTCATCAAGCTTTGTGTGTTTAGTGTAGTGCCACTGTTATTATTCTTGAGAAAAAGGTTGTTGATACTTCAATGAGACCTGGCATTTTATGGCAAGACCTTCCCTACAGAAGAAAAAAAAAATGATTAGAGGAACCAGAAGGAAAAAAAATGTTAGAGGCCATTGTAATTGACTAAGGCAGTCGATAAAGTCGAGTAACAGCTGTTATTCATGGAAAGTATCTTCATTATGGTGAGTCCAATTTCACAGAATTTCTTTTCCAGTGGGCAAAGAAATAGTTCCATGATATTTACAGTTGGGAGGAAAAAAGAACAGAGAAAATAGTCATGAAAGAAAGATTCTTGTTTCTGGGTATGTGTACAATGAATTGTGCATATCTTATTTTATATGGTAGGGGCAGGTAGGGAGGAAAGGACATGGTAAATAGAAACAGCACTAGTGCAATAACCAAATATACTTATCATGGAAGGTAGCATTTTTCATTTCTCTCTTGTTCATTTAGATGTCAAAATGTTGTATTAAAATGTAGATGTTTCTAAAGTCTTTCTACTAGCTCATCTTTTATTGATTTCATTAATTGACATTGCTCTACCTAAAATCCAAGAAATGATGATCTCTCCGATACATTGAAAAATTCCAGGGAGAACAAATTTCTGGTATTTTATATCATAATGCCCTTCTGTGAGTAAAGGTCATATGATTGTTTGCAGTAGTGTCATCAATAATTAGCTATTAGTAAGTCTGAGCAAAGTGATGTTTTGGAAGATGCTTTCCCAGCAAAAACCTCAAGAAATGTTTGGTTAAGTGTACTGCTTAAATATCTTTTTTTACAAATCACTTGATGTCTTAATAAAATGTTGCTCTTTAATTCAGATTCAGTAACCTGCCCCTTTAATATAAATTACTGGTGCAATATGTAACAGAGTTTTTTGACTGCCTACTCTAGTCCTTGCTGACAGAACTTTCATTTGGATAGGGGTGGGAGGCTGTTTCCTTCTCCCCAGCATGACTTAAGTAGACACTGATTAATTAAAGCTTGTCACAGTACTTTCATTTCCCTTGTCAATGATTGTTTTTTGCAACCGAGTTCTGGCCAGTTAAACAAAATGGGAGTCTGCTGGAGAAATTCTGGAAAAGGTTACTGTTATGGTTTGGCTCTGTGTCCCCACCCAAATCTCATCTCGAATTGTAATCCCCACATGTTGGAGGAGAGGCCTGGTGGGAGGTGACTGAATTATGGGCGGACTTCTCCTTTGCAAGTGAGTTCTAGTGAGTTCTTGCAAGATCTGAATGTTTGAAAATGTGTGGCACTTCCACCTTTGCTCTCTTTCTCTCCCTCTTCTCTCTCTCCTGCCATCAAGTGAGACATGTCTTGCTTCCCCTTTGACTTCCACCATGAATGTAAGTTTCCTGAAGTCTCCCCAGCCATGCGGAACTGTGAGTTAATTAAACCTCTTTTCCTTATAGATTACCCAGTTTTAAGTAGTTCTTTATAGCAGTGTAAAAACGGACTAATACAGTTACCTTTCTGATTAAAAGGGCAGCAAGATATCTTCTTCCTGACATTGTTAAATTTGGACATGACATAACTATCTTATGACAATAAGGAATACTATCTTAAGAACAAGCCAACACATTAATGATGATAGAAATATGAACTTGGGTCCCTGATAATATCGTTGAAGTATTAAATTAACCAGTCTTGAAGACACCCTATCTCTGAATTCTTTCTGTATAAGAGCATATATTTCCCTTATTGTGTAAACTAGTTAAGTAGGGACTTTTGTTTCTTGTAACAGAGAACATGCCAAATAACACAATGTAAATGAGTTTGAGGATAAAATTGGGGAAATATAAATTAAAAACAAAATCTTCTGGCAACGAAGAAAAGTTCTCCATAAAAACAGAAAAGAAAGAAAACAGTTTTACTATTGAATAATCATTAAACCAAAATGTGATGTGTATCACAGGCAATCCACTAAGAGATTGCAAAAACAGAAACAAATCTCACCCTTTTATATAGCCAGGCAGAAACAACCCGTTATGTACATGTTTTCAAGATAAATGATCACTAGCCTTCAAGTAAGAAGACTAAACAACACCTATTATTTGTCACACATAATTCATCTTAAATTCACCTGGTATTTGGGGTGACCATCTGTGTGAGCTAAATTGGCTTTATACAAAGGAAAAATAAACTTCTTAAAACTTTATCACAGGAGATAGTTTTGCAATTTGGAGCAAGGCATCTGGTGGAGTTAGGCTCTGATTTTCCCACAGAACCTGGGATGTAGGAGCTCTATCTTTCTATCATTCTGGATAGTACATTTCAAAGAGATGGCTTCCAGGTGCTTGAGGAAACATTCTTGGGTTGTAAAATTGGCAAGAGGCTTATTTAGCTTTTAAAAAGATTTACATACATCTCAATGGGGGCAAAGAAAGAATTCACAATTACAAGTGTTCTTAAGTAATAGAAAGCAGAAGGATGATTACCAGAGGCTGAGAAGTATAGTGGGGGGAAGGGGGTTAGTTAATGAGTATTAAAAAAAAATGAATAAGACCTAGTATTTGATAACACAACAGGGTGATTGTAATCAATAATAATTTAATTATACATTTAAAAAGTAACTAAAAGAGTATAATTGGATTGCTTGTAACACAAAGGATAAATACTTGAGGAGATGGAGACTGCTTTCTACATGATGTGATTATTACACATAGCACACATAGCATGCCTGTATCAAAACATCTCATGTATGTACACCTACTATGTACCCACAAAAAATAAAATTGAAAAGAAACAAAAAACAAGATTTGTAAGTAAATGCTCTAGGAAAAGAGATTGGAAGGGGCACTTCTTTCTCTTTCTTGCACTGGGGAGAATTAAATCTCTTTCTTACTTGTGATTTTATTCACTCTTACAACAAAGAGTTGTTATAGTTATAGTTATCTCATGAAGTCCTTGAGCATTTGCCCACTCACAGTCCTCACTCATGCCCTCCAGCCCCCTCAGCCAGGATATCCCTTACTTAATTCTCAGGCAGCTCAGGTTGAGGGTATAGTAATGTGATTTTGGTAGGCAGCTGGAGGAGTTGGGCGGAAAGAAGGAGGGAAGGGAATGACTGGCCTTTAATTCCGGTGGAGTTTGTGTCTTACTAAGGAACCATCTTCATGTCTTGGTGGCACATGGCCTTGTGCTCACAGGGCCTGTGAGCACAGCTGTGCATTTACTGCTTTACATCGAGGCCAGCCAAGGGGGTGAGAGGGGCTAGAAGCCCAAATCCAGCCCATTCTTCCCTCACTAAGCCTTGTCCCCAGACGAAGGTGCACCTGCTTCTTCACACAAAAGTGTTATGTGGTTGCCAAGTCTTTAAGCCAAGGGAGTATGTCCCCATCCACCACCCTGGCCCTCTACCCTATATTCTTAGTGATTAAAGCACATTCAGGATGTATTAGTTTTCCGGGGCTGCTACAATGAAGTGTCATGGACTGGGAGGCTTAAACAAGAGAATTTTATTTTCTGGAGGCTGGAAGTTGGAGATAAGGTGTCAGCAAGTTTGGTTCTTTTTAAGTCATCTTTCCTTGGCTTGCAGATGGCTGCCTTCTTACTGTGTCTTCAAATGGTCTTCTCTTTGTATGTGACTGTTTCTTAATTTTTTCCTCTTATAAGAACACCCATCGTGTTGGATTAGGGCCCACTCTTATGACCTCATTTTAACTGAATTGCTTCTTTTTCTTTTTTTTTTTTCTGAGACAGAGTCTCTCTGTTGCCCAGGCTGGAGTGCAGTGGCACAATGTCAGCTCACAGCAACCTCCGCCTCCCAGGTTCAAGCAGTTCTCCTGCCTCAGCCTCGTGAGTAGCTAGGATTACAGGTGTGCACTACCACACCTGGCTAATTTTTGTATTTTTAGTAGAGACAGGGTTTCAGCATGTTGGCCAAGCTAGTCTCGATCTCCTAACCTCGTGATCCGCCTGCCTTGGCCTCCCAAAATGCTGGGATTACAGGTGTCAGCCACCAAGCCCGGCCCTGAATTACTTCTTTAAAGACCTTATCTCCACATACAGTCACATTTTCGAGTTCTGTGGGTTAGGACTTCAACATATAAATTTTGGAGGGACTCAACTGGTCCATAACAAAGGGCAATCTCTTTATTGTATTCTGGAGGTAAACAGATATTTAAAAATCCATTTTATAGGTAGACAAAATGAGGCCCAAAGCAAAGCAGGAATTTCCTGTGGCCTCATACTTAGGAGTAGCGGCTTTGGCGTCTGACCAATCTAGGTTCAAATTCTGGCTCTATCACGTCCAGCTGTGGTCAAACCACTTATTTCACCCAAGCCTCAATCTCCTAATCTATAAAATTAAGACTAATAATATATACTTCATGGTGTGACTATGAGACTAAAATAAGAAAATATATGTAAAGCACTTAGAAATAGTAAATCTATTTCTAAGATTTCTAATGATCAAACCTAGTTTGATCATTGCTAAAAATAACTGATAGCCTTCATTTAGTATTCCAATCAGATGTTGCAGGTAGATGTTAAAGGATTTTTTTAAAAAGTAAAGTCATGACTCCCATACAAATATAAAATAAGCACATATCTCACGCCTGTAATCCCAGCACTTTGAGAGGCTGAGGCGGGCAGATCACGAGGTGAGGAGTTCGAGACCAGCCTGACCAACATGGTGAAACCCTGTCTCTAATGAAAATACAAAAATTAGCTGGGCGTGGTGGTGCGCACCTGTAATCTCAGCTACTCAGGGGGCTGAGGCAAGAGAATCGCTTGAGCCGGGAGGTGGAGGTTGCAGTGAGCCGAGATAGTGCTACGGCACTCCAGCCTGGCAACAGAGCGAGACTCTGTCTCAAAAGAAAAAAAAAAGAAGAAAAAAAGCACATATCAAATATATTATTTAACTCATTAATGAAGAAACCAGTAAGAAGATATAACCAGCTCAAAAGTACACATTAATCGGCTATTGGGGATGCTGAAATGAATTTGCAAACAGATAGAAAACTGTCAATATCCACAGAGCCATAGCCAGTTTTATTCTACATGAAAATATTCCTTGGCTTTTCTTTGAGGAAAAATCATTTTCATTACTGAGTTATAAAATTGTTAAAAGACTGAAGTCTCTGACCCCCTGTAGAACCAGATGACCTGGAAGGTGTGCTAGAAAGGATGTCCAGTGATCTTTACTTTTTTTCCATTCTTTCACAATTTTTCCTGATATAAAGGATTAAATTTCCTTATTAGTAAAATGAAAGATTTGGAGTAGTGATTTTTGAGACCCTTTCAGTTCCAACATGCTGACTCCGATTCCTTGCCCATTGTCTTTTTGTGTGCATAAAGGCTCGTGGAATCTTTTGTTGTTATGTTAGAACTATTGTAGTCATTTGTACTAGTTGAAATCAGCCATAACTATGAATGCATTCCTTATGCTTTCTCTGTGTAAAAATAAAATCAAACCAAGATCCTACTTAATTTCCAGTTACTCTTAGGGTCTGTGTGTGTGCCCACACAAGTGTCAATGGAAGCAGAGCCTGAGAGCAGGCATTCCAGGTGTATTTGTTTACCTACTGCTACCTAAGGAAGACACTTGGTAACTTGGTTAATATGACAAACCAGGAAAATATTATGTAGACTTTGCAGATGGTAAAATTTAGGATGCAGTTAATCAAGATTTCTCTAATTCTTATAGGCTTTGATCTGCAGGGCAAATATAGCAGATCTTCCTGAGACTGCTTTGGGATAATTGAGGTGGTCATAGTAGTGTTGGTGCAGGACAGTTCTCTAGGCAGCCTTGGACTGGCCCAGTTCTCTCCCTTTTTCACTTGCAGTTCTCAATAATAACTGCAGAATGTGCTGGGAATGCACCATCCTGAGATAAGGGAGGAGCTGGCCGGAACAGCCTGGGCTCTGTTCCAGGCCTTCCCACGGACAGCACAGGATGTCCTCCACACTTCAGCCCAGTGTGTCATGTGACCCTGAAGTATATCACCTGGGGCAGGCTGCCTTTCAGAGTCCCTTTCCTGCGTTGCAAGTAAGGGAGCACAGTCCATGTTCCGTCCATCCTGGCCAGCTTTCTTGGGCCTTGAGGGAACAGCTCACAGTGAATCCGGATTCTGTTGTCCTTTGCTGCCTGTTGGTGAGTAATAAACCCTCTTCACATAACTCGTTGTGTGTGTGGGTGCTCTGCCTCACTGGGCTCAGACAAGTTGGTAACCGGTGCGCAGTAAAACTGCTTCACAGTTGAGGATGTCCAAATTGGTGTTGGAGCTGGTGGAGCCCATGTTAGGTAATGAAGGAGGATGGAAGGAGATGGAAGTGTGATTTTGTTGTTGTTTATTTCTCCTCTATTAGACTCTAAGCTCTAAACTTTACAGCAGTGGAGAAGAGGGTCAGAAGCTTATAAGTTATGTAATTTGATGCTTAATAAATGTTTGTTGAATGATTGAACTACTTCTTCCTTTCTCTAAACATAGAGCCCATGTAACCTAAAAAGCTCTTGATCTACTAAGCTTTTAGAAAACCTACCATAGTTAAAGGCATAAAAGCATGAGTAGTGATGCTGTGTGGCTGATATATTTTGAGGATAAATCTTCTGCTTTGTAGATTTTGTCAGGTAAAACCCTACTCAGTTTAGAAATCAACATCAAAACTTTTTTATTTAAATTTGTTTATTCTCATTTAAATAATCTCATTTTAACTAAAAGGATATTCTTGATGGTAAAACATGAAAACAATCACATTTCTTTGTTTTAATCTTCCTTTTCTTTCATCCTAGTCATTTCTGTAGAAACAGAGGCTGAAATGACTGGGTAGCATTATGGAGGATTTCTGGTAATAATAACACCTACACAGTGTGCTGCAGGAAATAGCGAGTCCATACCCGATAATTATGACGTGATGAATCATAGAAGAATTTAGGAGCATTGAGACTGAGTGTTGAAGATTTACATTCCAAATATATTTTTATTGCACCTATAACATAACTTACGGATTCAAGGAGAAAAATGTCAAAAGACCTACGTTTTATACATGCACATGTACACATTTATGTCTGTCTGCATAGATCTAGACATGCACAAATGTGGGGTAAGCAAGGAGCAGGAAGTGGACATGGAGGATGAGGTGGTGAGAGAAGATAGTGATTTTTCATTAATAGTGATGAATACCTCTAATGTGGAAGTCAAGTGACAGTTATTCATTTATTCTATCATTGAAATAACCCTGAGAAGTAGGCACTAGTGACACCACTTTATAGATGAAGAGAATGAGACTCAATAGTAAGTAGCAGAGCCCAGTTTTGAACCAAGATAAGCCTGGTTCCAAAGCAGATAGGACACATCATAAGACCTTTCCTGTTGTTCCTGAACTGCAACTAGGACCCCAAACTAAAGTAAAAATCCAGTGAGTACCTCCACATTTTAAAATCAGAGATCTGCCAGAAGCTGGAGCTTATCACATTCTCCTGGGGCTTCAAGCAGCATGATTGCTCCTGCCACTAATCCCAAGCTTCTCCCATCTCTGCTTCCTGTCCGCTGAAAGGACTGAAAGGAAAAGAGGTATAGCTTTCCTCTCCCCAAAGCTCATGGAAAGGGAGAAAAAAAAGCAACCAGAATTTCTTCTAAAGATCCAGGTGCCTACAAGAAGAGGAAACAATATATTTTTTTTAAGACAGGGTCTTGCTCTGTCACCCAGGCTAGAGTGCAGTTGCATAATAACAGCTCACTGCAGCCTTGAACTTCTGAGCTCAGGCGATCCTCCTGCCTCAGCACCCACAGTAGCTGGAACTACAGGCACATGCCACCAGCTAAGTTGTTCAAATTTTTTAGTAGAGATGCAGTCTTGCTCTGTTATCCAGACTGGAGACCAGCATTTTTATCATCATAATGGGGATTTGCTTCAAGAGTGGACATGTTGCTTAACCCCCATGTAACTGGAATAGGAGCAAAGAGATCTGGAGAGAGAGAGCATGGTGAGGTCCAAGGACCACTCTGTTCTTAATTTGTCAGTCTCTATTAGAAGATGGATCCTATATGTGCCTGCTGACCTAACACTTTGCTGAAAAATGAGAATTAGGGCTAGTCTTGGACAATGTCTGCAGGGTAGGCTATGTGTATATTGGAAAAGAGGATGCTGGCTAAGAGGCACATGCATTGCAGGCTAAATGCCATCAACTGGGCCTGCCTGGAATAGAAGGCCAAGCCTGGCAAAGGAGAGCCAGTGCCTAAGGAATCTTCACCCAAATAAACCCTTTATTCGCAAAGGATGTTAGCACCTCCTCATCAGGATGTTGACTGCATTGAATAGAAATGCATCATGGCCAACCAAGAAGAGGTCTGTAAGTCTGCCCTTCCTCCCTCATCCCCACTTGAAATTAGGAAAAGAGGAGGAGAAAAATGGATACAGAACAGATCTTTTGAGGCAGAACTACCCTGAGTTAGAGGAAGAAGAAGACAAACTTTCAATGAGTTTGAGGACAGGACTGAATATTATATAGGAGAATTAGAATGTTTTAATAACCAAAACGGGCTAAAAATTTGTAAAAATTTTGTTCCACAATTGTTATAGTAAAGTATAAAACTTTTATATTTATACCATCCCAATAAAAGCAAGCATAGTCACCAAACCAGTTACTTATCATTCTCTCCTCTTGCAATCCTGATTAGGTAGGGAGCCAGAGGCATATCGCCAGCTCCCTCTCTCTTCCTTGTTTGCTGTTTCCAGAGGAAGAGGAGGGGCTGGTTGGTTAAAGTTTATTGGGTCTCCTTTCCTAAGTGGGCAGAATTGCTGTATTGAAAGGCTATGAGGACCTGCCACTATCTTTCAGGTCTGTGTCCTCCCACACAATGTTTGTCTTCATGGACTTGGATTGCCCTGCAGTCTCTCTCTCTCTGCCTCGTAATCCTGATTAGGTAGGGAGCCAGAGGTATATCGCCAGCACTTCATGGCCCTTCTTAAGACTTTCCAAGCCAAGGGTAGTGGTGAATAGCTGTAGTCCCAGCTTCTCAGGAGGCTGGGGCAGGAGGATCACTTGATCCCAGAAGTTTGACGTTAGAGTGAGCTATGATGGTGCCACTGCACTCCAGCCTGGGCAACAGAGTGAGATCCCATCTCTTAAAAAATAAAAATTAAAAATAGACTTCCCCAATTAATTGGAATTTTTCAAAGCTGGTGAGAAGGTGCACATGCTTCCCATAGTACCTCCCTTGGTGCTTCTGTCTCTGTTGGGCATCCACTACCCATTAACCTGACTTAATAGGAAAGTTCCTAGCTAGCTCTACTTGCCACAGCTCTGAGATGAAGAAATAGGGATGCAGCAACCACTGCAGGACTAGTGGATCAAACTTTTAAAATTCAAATTCAGGAAAATCTTGAGTCTTTTATTTTTAATTAATTAATTTATTTATGCATGTATTAATTAATTTATTCATTTATTTATTGAGACAGAGTCATACTCTGTTGCCCAGGTTGGAGAGTGGGGTGCAATGATAGCTCATTGCAACCTCAAACTCCTGGGCTGAAGCCCTTTTCCTGCCTCAGCCTCTCGAACAGCTGGGACCACAGGCTTGCATCACCACACCCAGAAAATTCTTAATTGTTTTTGTAGAGACGGTATCCCACTGTGTTGCCCAGGCTGGTCATTAACTTTTGGGCTCAAGTGATGCTCCTGCCTCAGCATACCAAAGTGCTGGGATTACACGTGTGAGTCACCATGCCTGGCCAGGTCTTGAATCTTTAAATGGCAGAGTTAAGCACTGTGCCTTTGCAAAGCATGCCACTCAAAAGGTAACAGTAAAACAGCAAAAGAACTAACACAACTAACTCCATTTTTAAGGGGCTTCCCCATTCTTACATGTAAACTAGGATAATTTTAGAGCACTGAGATAAAATGCAAAAACAATAATCATGCAGTTTTAAAAACTAACTCTGGGATTAAAGGAAAAGTATATAAACAATTGGCTACGTTTTGTTAAAGACTTACAGGATCACTGTGACCTGACCAAGGACAAAGAAGATCCCAACTTCCTTGGACCCTAGCTGGCGCCCAGATGCCTGCAATCATCATCATCTCTTGATCCAAACCACCTTTTCTTCCTCATATTCGCCTCCCATAAAAACCCTCTTGCCAGGCAGGAAAATATAAGACGGTACTTTAGAAGTTAAGTTCTAAGCTAGTTCACCATTTTCTCCGTTTTGCTGGCTTTATGAATAAGCCTGCTTTTTCTGCCACTAATTCTTCTCTCTCATGTTTGGCTTTTGATCAGCCAAAGCTGGGTTCAGTTACAAAGAGCTTGCCCTGTTTCTTTGCCCTTATCCCCAAACATGGACACCTGACTCTCCAGGTAGAACTAATTTGAGTCCATTGGGCTCATAATCATTGTGGTAGATTGCATAATTGACTTCAATTCCAAGCCAGCCAGGAACTTTCCCATCAAGTCAGCCCCTTCCTGTGTCCACAGCCATTTCAGTGAACCTTGCAATTCTTCCCACTAACAAAGCAGAATATATTTCTTCACACCTTAACTTTGGGTTCAGCCATATGACTTGGTTTGGGCAACTGAAGGAAGTGGAAATGACAAAGTACCATGATGAGCTTAGGCCTTAAGATGCCTTGAATTTGCTTCATGCCCTCTTGCACATCTGCTCTCACCATAAGAAGAACTTCTGCGAACATTCTGTCCCCTCAGCCTAAGCACAAGAATGAGCACATTGGAAGCCAACCTGAGCCCAAATCATTGTGAGCAGCCAAGACTACCTGGATACATAACTTGAAAGGGTGCTGCCCAGATAGCTCAGCCTCAATCAGTCAGCCCTCAGACACGTGAGTCATATAAATAGTTTTTATTTTAAGCCACTGAATTTTGGGGTAGGGCTTAAGGTACCAAAAGCTAATTGAGGCCAGGTGCGGTGGCTCATGCGTGTAATCCTAGCACTTTGGGAGGCCAAGGTGGGAGGATTATTTGAGCCTAGGAGTTTCAGACCAGCCTTGGCAACACAGCAAAACCCTACCTCTACCAAAAACAAAACAAAAAATTTCTAAAGCTAACTGATAAAATCATTTATCTAGTTCAGTGAATAAGTGTGGTAGAAGTTAAAACAGAAAAAAATGCTATTATTTCTAAAATAATTTCCCCTTGGACTGCATTTGCTAAATTAGCAAGTGATTAAATTAATCCTAGTTTGTATTATTTGCTGAAATGTGTGTGTTTCCTGGCATAGCCTAAGAAGAAAATGTATCTACACTCTCATTTTGTAGAACTCTGAGAGGACCATCCAGTCATTGCTGACAAAGCCCAGTCCTACATATCATCATAGTACATGAGGGGCATGTACAGTTAATGTGAAAAATAAGCTCAATTGTCCTGATATGTTGCAGTCCAAAACTTCATTTATGAGTCATTTATTTAGAACTCAGAACACTCTTGCCCATAGAAACAATATTATAATGTTTCCAGGCAAACAACAAAAACCCATTTAACCCCAAAATATAACTGACTGATATCAGTAGTCAGTTGGGAGACGACTTCTTCCTCATTGCTTGGATTTCCTTCTCCCTTTATGCTTTCTCTTCCTTGTTTGCCCTTTTCAGAGGAAGAGGAGGGCTAGTTGATTAAATTTTATTGGGCCTCCTTTCCTAAGTGGGCAGAATTGCTGTATTGAAAGGCTGTGAGGACCTGCCACTATCTTTCAGGTCTGTGTCCTCCCACACAACGTTTGTCTTCATGGACTTGGAGTCTGCTCTGCACTTTCTCTCTCTCTGTCTCTCTCTGTCTCTTTCTCTCTCTCTTCCACCCTCCCTCCCTCTCCTTCCTTCCCAGACATACCTGAGCCTATGGTTCCCATGATTCATATTTGCAAAGAAAATTCTACTGTAGTCTCAGGCCTAAGACGAATTCTCCATCTCAAAATACTGAAAATCCTTTATTCAGGGAGTTGTGCAGATTTTTAATAAATCAATGCTTAATGTCTCTCATTTGGCTGGTGATCTTTTGCTGGATGCAGCATCAGTTTGAATGCTGGAGGGATCAGGGGTAACCAGCATTTAGAATTCCTAAGACTCTTCTTGGGAGGCTGAGGCAAGAGGACTCCTTGAGCCCGGGATTGCAAGACCAGCCTGAGTAACATGGCAAGACCCCATCTCAGAAAAGAAAAAAAAATTCCTAAGACTCATTCCTCTTCTGTTCATGATTTCTTTGGGAAAAATTTTTCCTATGTTCCAACTGTGGAAGACTGGATACACCTTGAATGCAACCTTCTTTCATGTCTTCAAGGTAAGACTCTCATTTCGCAATGACTTATCTTTTGGAAGAATCTCTAGTTCTTTCATGGAAAAGTAATGGTCATGTTTTGTTAGAAGAAAAGTTGATTTTGAAGAAACTAAGGCAGTAGAAACCATGTGCATGTTCCATTTCTTTGAAAATTCCATAAACGTGCATTAACTTATTCAGTTCAGAGCTCAGAGATTAAACTTTTCTCTAACATTGGGATATAAATTTATTCTGATATAAACTCTCAACATTACCTTTCTGAGATAATTCTGAGGTTGTTCAGTAACATCAATTTTACTAACTTTTTTCCTCAGTTAAAACTTTATAACTGTATTCATTTTGTCTCTCTCTCTCTCTCTTTTTTTTTTTTTTTTTTTTTTCAGAGAGAGAGAGATGGGGCCTTGCTATGTTGTCCAAGCTGTCCTCGAACTCATGGGCTCAAGCAATCCTCATGTGGCTTATCTCACAGTTTTAAAAACCAAAGTATTCAATATAGACATGTAGTCTCCCTGTTTATCACTAGAATTTTCTTTTTCAATTCTGAAAGCAATTTCCCTCCACAGTCTATGTCTCACATCCTAAAAGAGATCATGTAAATTATCATTTGTTTCCCCACAAATTTTATAGTCAGCAAAATACATCATTGAAACCATGTATCTTAACTATAAAAATTTAATAAAATTTTTTAAACTTTGAGATTTTCCAGCCTTCCTTTAATATAACTGGTACTTAAAAATGAATATAGATCTATATATCACATCTTACATATAGTTCAAATACTTTTTAAGACTTCACCTTCAGATAATAGTGGCTTGAACCATGGGCTTACAAATTGAGACCACCACGTGAATCAATTCTGTGTATCTACTACCAAAACCACTTTTAATATTCTCTCAGAAATGCATGCTCTTACACGTTGTTGAGTGGCTCAGGGCTAACTGCCACTCACTCTGGGCCAATGGAAGCCTCCACCCCTAGCCAGGCCAGTTGCACAGGTGCTGGCTCTTCTTAGAGGTAGGTAGAGATGGGAGGCTCTGGTGCAGTAGAAGGCCGACTTCTCCTGTGTGGAAGAAGTTCCCCTGCTCTGCTGTGGGAGAGCATAAGTGTTCTGAGAGAAGCAGGGGCAAGAGAGGAAAGGGGAAAACACTAGGAGAATTTGATCTTAGCTCCACGTACCCAAAGGCCAGATACATCACTGCCCCTGCCACAGTTACATTCTCTTTAAAACACATCAAGACACTCCTTTCCCTTCCTTCCTTCCTTCCTTCCTTCCTTCCTTTCTTTCTTTCTTTTCTCTCTTTCTCTCTTTTTTTTCTTTCCTTTTTTTTTTTTGTTTACAAGGTCCTGCTCTTTTGCCCAGGCTGGAGTACAGCGGGGCAATCATGGCTTACTGAAGCCTTGACCTCTCTGGCTCAAGTGATCCTCCCACATCAGCCTCCCGAGTAGCTGGGACCACAGGCACAGGCCACCATACCTGGCTAATTTTTCTATTTTTAGTAGAGACAGCATTTCACCATATTGCCCAAGCTGTCTTGAACTCCTGGGCTCAAGTGATCCACCTGCCTCAGCAAGATACCCCTTTCTTTGAATTACAGAAATGGGGATGTGTCTGACCCTGATCACTACTTTTGGCCACTTCATGAGCTCTCCTATGAGAGAGCTACCAGCTGTTAGGAGGCCAGGAAGGAGGGTCCCAGGTACAGGCCAAAATCCCCTAGAGTCCCTGGACACCAGCATACACACTTTCGAGATGCCCACCCTCTTAAGCTTTGGAGGAGATGGGGATAACACCCTGGCCCTAGCACTGCTCAACTTTCACCTGACATATATGGTATATTTCTTTTAGAAATCATAGCAAAAGTCATAACAGTAGTAGTAATTTATAAATCATAGTAAAATTTTTTTAAATGTCTTCTAAAATTTGGGATGTAGTATTATAAATATAAAAAAACTGTCACTAACAGTAAATTTCAAATATCTCATCATAAAAAATGATAGGTAATCAAGGTGATGGATATGTTAATTAGCTTGATTTAATCATTGCCACCTTCTATACAAGCTGTATAACAAAACATCACATTGTGCCCCGTACATGTATAAAATTATAATTTGTCCATTAAAAATGATATTAATAATAATTTTTAAAAATCATACAGCAAGTCAAAAAGCTGTCAATTAATAAATATGTTAATATTGAACTAAGGCTCATTGTTATAACTATCAACGGTATTAACGAACAATGATAAAGCATGTAAAATACTTTGTCCTTTGAGGTTACAAGGATGAAAAAAGCATGTGCCTAAGAAAGCAAAACAACACCAAGAAACTGAAGATGCAAACGATTTGTTTTATGAGTGTCTGTGTAGACGTGTGTGTGTGTATATATATATACTAATATACATATAATAATCAACAAAAACGTAACATAGGGACGATATTACAAACATACAATTCCTTTTTAGTGTCTGAGCGCTAAAGAAAGGTAGATCTTTATGTTAACATCTTGATTGACATAACTTTGAGGAAGAATTTTGCCTAACTGCTTACAGGGTTTTGTGATTTTGGTCCATTTATGTAGGAAATTCCCTTCAGGACTTATAATGGCAGAGTTTACTCAGTGTTTCTAAAAAATTATTAGAAGTTATGAGAAATAAAGAAACTTGATAAATGAACACTAAGAAATGATAGATGGGAGCTAAAAACATAGACTACAGGACAACTATGTTGCAATAATACAAATTAGGGGTTTCACTCTTGCTGGATAACTACCTTAATTCTCTGTCTCACTCTGATCCCCTAATAAAGAAGTTTATGATGACATGGATTCTAATAGGTTACTCAGTGACTTTGAAAGAAATGTCTTAATAATGATCATAATAAAAAGTGTCTCAATTTAATTGCTAGCTATAAAAATGATGGATTTTTGCAATTACATTTGTGCATATATATATATTCTTTCTTTTCTTTTCTTTTTTTGCAACAGAGTCTTGCTCTGTTGCCTAGGCTGGGTTGCAGTGGCGTGACCTTGGCTCACTGCAACCTCCACTTCCTGGGTTCAAGCTATTCTCCTGCCTCAGCCTCCCGAGTAGCTGGGATTACAGGCGTATGCCACCACACCTGGCTAATTTTTTGTATTTTTAGTAGAGACGGGATTTCACCACGTTGGCCAGGCTGGTCTCGAACTCCTAACCTCAACTGATCCACCCCTCTCAGCCTCCCAAAGTGCTGGGATTGCAGGCATGAGGTACTGTGCCTGGCAATACATTCTTTTCAAAACTCTCAGATCCTTTTTACATAGCACAGCTGCTATGAAATAGAAATTGAGATGTGGCTGAAAAAAGCCAAACAGCTTGATATATAAAAGTGCTCAAGTTTTTATCAGTTTTCCTCTGAAGGCTGCAACAACCTTAAACCTAAATCTTTTCATGGATATTATGTATACTGCCTAACTGCGGCGTAGGCACATCATCCCTCTGCCCTCAGAGTGGGGGACATTTTAGTGACTTCTTGATTTTTCATGCCAAAGGCGATGGTAGGTTATCCAAAAAAATCTTATTTGACCTTCCAATGCATATTACAATTGTATTTGACTATGAAAGAAATGCTCTAAAAATTCAGTCTTTGAAATTAAATAATAAAGATCTAAGGCAGGAGAAACTGGAAAGCCATTCAACTTCCCGTGTTGACTCCTACTCAGGAAACTTTCTTTTCCCAAGATAATGCAGGGAATCTGCATAGCACAACTGGGGCAGTATTTACTGGTCCATTGCTCAGAGAGCCCCATAAATGTAAGGAATTATTCATATCCAGTTGCGCATTTTAGCTGTTAAGTATTTTTCCAGTTCTGCTGGGTTAGAGAGGTATCGTGTTACAGTGGAAAGAAAAAGGCATGGATAGACTGACAGTTATGGAAAGAAGACGGAGCAGGGGACAGTGAAGGGGAAATGGATTCGTTATGACACACAAATGTAAAATTCCCTAGTCAAGAACAGTACAGCATTTGTGCGTTTTTTTTTTTAATACGTAAAGGTATTGTTCAGTACTTTTCCATTAATTTTTCAAAGGTCTTGACCTCCTAATGAAAAATTTCTGACTAAAAGGGGTTTTCCTCACCACTCAGTTCCTTCTTCTGCTAGGTCCTACAGTGAATCAATATCTCGTATTTGGTCCTTCAGACAGTTGCCACGGAAATGAGAGCTGCAAACACTTTCAGCTTTCTGGCTTCACTGTGGGATCCAGCATAGAACATGATTGAGCTGTCAGAGAACCTCCTGAAGGAAAGTTGTACCTGATAAGTAAGAGTTTCCAGAAAAATGGTGACACATACAGGAAGAAAAATAGATTGTTTAACTCAGTCTGAAAAATCCCTTTTGATTCATAAACTGTCTACATGATTGAAACATACGAAACCATCTCTTTCTCTAAGCAGATTCTTCTCAATTCACATACAAGCACCTCAGGGGCAAATAAAACTTCTCTGTGTAGGCATGAGGAGGAATCACTTTAGCAGAAGGAAAATAAGGTGCTGTAGAAATGAGAAAGTGCTGTAGAAATGAGAACACAAAATGCTAACCTGGAGGAGAGAGGGTGGCAGAGTGAGTGAAAGAGAGGGCATCTGATGCCGTTTAAATCATTTTTAAGGAAAACTAAACATCCTGATTGGAAAAAAAAAAAAAAAGGAAGTCACTGTGGATGTCAAAGAACACACAGGCTTTCCACAACTGGAATCACAGACAATTTGGAGCTTGATGGGCTCCACTGCAATAGACTTGAAACTTCATTTGTGTCATTTGGTCCCAGCAAATGGAACCTGGCTTTTCTGGGAAAGAATTCCAGCTGCCAGTTTGAATCCACTGAGTAGTTCTATCCAGTGCCAATTATAATCTTGAAAGATGCAGTCCCCAAATCCCCAAAATCACAACTACAAAAGATTAAAATCCTGAATGCTGAATTCTGGGACAGGATTAGTGTGTTTTCATTGCATGCTGGATAGTTGTATCATGTTAGTTGTATCAAGTTAGTCAAAACGATTACCTTGCTGTCTTTATTTGGAAATTAAATGTGGTTTAAGGAGATGCATATGAATGACAAAGGGTGGACTTGTGTACTGCCTACAAACCTGGTAAAGCATTATTTTGGATGTGTCTGTAAGGGCTTTTTCAGAGGAGATTATTGTGTGAGTCTGAGTGGATTAACCAGGTGTGGGGGAATCTGCTATCAATGTTGAAGGACACCATCCAATCAGCTGAAGGCCAGGAGAGAGAAGAAACACATAAGGCAAATTGGTCTCTCTCTCAGAGCTGGGGTAGACCTTCTGCTGCCTTGGACACCAGAACTCCAGGTTCACCAGTCTTTGGACTCAGGACTTTGACCAGCAGTCTCCTAGGTGCTGAGGCTTCCAGCCATGAACTAGGTTACAACCTCAGCTTTCCTGGTTCTGTGAACTTCAGACTTGGACTGAGCCAAGTCTCCAGCTTGCAGATGGCCTGTTGTGGAACTTTTCAGCCTCCATAATTGTGTGAGCCCATCCTACTGATAAGGCTCCTTCCTCTATCTATACACATATCCTATTGGTTCTGTCTCTCTGGAGAACCTTGACTAAAATAGATTTGATATTAAGGAAGCCAAATGTCATTCCTCCTTACTTTATTACTTGCAGCATAATGGGAGAGATCTGTGAAACTGTTCCCTCACAAAAGGCTATGATGGTCTAAGCATATGAGGCCTCTTAACAGTGAAAGATAAAACTTTAAAAGCTAATTACTATTGGCATTTTGAAAGCAGAAAATCACTTAATTGCAATGGTTGAGCAATAACCAGTCTTTCGAATGGACTGCACATACTTACAAAATTTGTAGACCACAGTCACTCTTCAAGTACAAATGCAGTGAGTGTTTCAAAAATCATAGAAGTGAAAATGCAAACGAAAAATACAGAAATCTCCCCTGCCAAATTATTCAATCATATAAGACTTCTGCCCTTTCACATATAGTGCCAATTTCCTATGCTACATATCTCATCTTTGCTTCATTTCCAATACTGGAGGTATAAGTTGTGTAAAGACTTCTGTAGAGTTCTAATTTGTTTTATGCATTTTTTGCAAATTTGACTCTATGAAAGTGTGTTATCGGAACGTTGACTTTGTGTGTAAGCACTGTGTGTGTGTATGAAAATATCAAAACTTCCTTAATAAAGATGTCCTTTCTGTACATCTGAATTTGTGAAAGATAAAATATCTCAAGATGTCAGCTACTTGGGCAACTGCATATGTGGTGGTGACTCACTGTGGTTTTTGATGGGTCTCATTGAAACATGCAGGTTGTCCATCATAGTATTTCAGATGACTGCAGTTATAAAGCTGGGTGCACGCAGTTACCAATCATAGTGATATGTGTTTATACATTTCACTTTTCGACTTATTTATTAATGAATATGGTTTGTCTGCTCATAACTGTTATATATATGTGGCTATCATTAGAATACTTGAGTGCTTATGCTTGCGAAAATGTGTATGTTATTATTGCCTATTTTATGGTGTAAAGTGGCCAATGATGTGTTCTGTCATGTTTTTATATGTTTCTCAAATAAATTCCCTTTAAAATGTAAATAAATGTATTTTTAATTTTTTTTTTAATTATTTTTTCTACCTGGGTTTGGTGGCACATGCTGTAGTCCCACCCAGCTACTTGGGACGCTGAAGCAGGAGGATTACTTGAGCCCAGGAGTTCAAGGCTGCAATATGCTATGATTGTGCCTGTGAAGAGCCATTGCACTCCAGCCTGGGCAACAAGCAAGACCCTATCTCTAAATAAATAAGTTTTTCTTCGAAATTACATATTTGGTATTTTGATCTTTCAGGATTTCAACATTTGGAATTAAGGCAATAGGGATTGTATCTTTTGGGATTATGCCCCAACTCAACTCTATCCTATGTCATTGACCTCTAGTGAGAGTCTATTGGATTGAGTAAGATCAGTGTTTTTCATGCTGGGATTAGAGAACAGATCACTCCTTGTGGTGTCATGGCTGTAAAAGATGAGATTTGATTGGCAGAAGCCAATATTTAGACAACTGCTTGGAAGACTTGCCAGATATTAGTGCAATGGGAAGGAGAAATTGCAATTTAAAAAGATTATACCCTTTTTCATTTGGGATTTTTAAGTTCTTCCAGGTAAAAATATCTCATGTATACAATTGTATACAATTGCTGGTGGGTATGTAAATTTTACAACTACTTTGGGGAATAATTTGGAAATACCTAGAAAAGTTGAAGATGCACTTTCCACACAACCCAGCAATTTCACTTCCAAGTAGCTGCTATGGACTGAATTGTGTCCTCTCAAATTCACATGTTAAAGCTTTAACCTTCAATATACGTTGACACAGGGTCTTTAGGAGATATTTAAGGTTAAATGTAGTAATAAGGATGAGGCCCTAATTCAATAGCACTGTGTCTTTCTAAGAAGAGAAAAAGAAAGAGATCTCATTCTCTCTCTCTTTCTGCCACATGAAGACACAGTGTGTGGCCACCTACAAGGCGGCAAAAGGGGCCTCACCAGAACCCTGTTATCCTTGGTACCTTGATCTCAGACTTCCGTCCTCCAGAACTGTGAGAAAATAAGTTTTGCTTGTTTAATCTACTCAGTCTACGGTATTTGTATTTGTATTTGCATGGTATTTTGCAGCCTGAGCAGGCCAAGATGGTGGCTATCCTAGAAAAGCTTTTATGTGTGTCCAAGAAGACAAAATACAAAATACATATTCATCATACCATTGTTCCTAATAATACAATTACAGAAACTGCCAGGCGTGGTGGCTCATGCCTATAATACCAGCACTTTGGGAGGCTGAGGCGGGCGCATCACATGAGGTCAGGAGTTCAAGACCAGCCTGGCCAACATGGTGAAACCCCGTCTCTACCAAATAAATATAAATATATATAAATATATACACACACACACACATATGTATAAACAAGCTAACTTCCTGTAAAGAAACAGAATTCCATACAACAGTTGAAATGAATGAACTCTAATAACAGGTACTCATATAAATAAATCTCAAAAATATAGTGTCAAGAAATAAGTCAAGCTTTAAAAGAATGCTTATACATGCTATCGTGTAAAATTTAAAACATAAAACAATAGTTTATAATTTTTTGGAAACATACTTGTATAAACAAAAATAAGCATTATTTAGTACATGCTTATCATGACAATACATGTCTATCATGTTTTACATAGTTGAGGAAACAGAATTTTGGCTATTTTAATTAGTTAGGGCCACCCAACACCAGATACCCGATGAGATTCTTTAACCTATAGTTCATGAAAAATAAATAAAGACTTGAAGGAGAATGACAAATTATTCTGAGGAATAATGGCTAAATACACAACTTATGTGTGCATAATTTCATACTACACAGTTGGAGGCATGATACTAGATAATATTTACACACACACACGCAAACTACATGCTTAGCCAGCATAGATAAGAAAATGGTCTTTACACTTGCTCAAATTAGATTGCTGTCTTTTTCATTATCCAGGCTTTGTGAATTCTCTAGCATGTCCTAAACCATTCTCATCCATCACTTTCACCATCAGAGTCCTTATCTCTATTTGAAAAAAAAAAAAAAAAGCTCAGCCTCCTGCTTATCTGATTGTCCAAAATTCACTTAAAATCCTGCTTTGACAAGTAGTATTTCTAAGGATGTTCTTGACTTTCAACATGCTTTGTGGTTCTCTGACCGGGTGCCTGTTTGATATTCCCCTACCTGGTAGGTTGAAGGGGTGTTTTAACTCTGGTCTTTGGCAGGAAGAGTGCGTTTTCATTTGGGCTAGCAGTGAAAACATGAACGTTTGTGATTTCTTATCTTCCACCACGAAACACTCCTCGGGGCACAGCAGTTCAAGGGTGCTTTGTAAGTGATATCCTGGAATCACTACTTGCATTTGTAGATTTTTACATCATTTTATATTGTTTCATTTTTTATTTATCCATGATATACTTCCAAGAGAAGTAAAAGAAACCTACACATTTCCAATAAAAACACAGAAAGAAAAAATATAATACAGTGCACCTATTTTTTCCATCCGCTTAAAATTAATATAAAGAATCTTATCCCAGGACATAATTTACTTTGACTTGGGTCAAATTTTTTATATACAGTTTGTTCTTTTGTTTATGTCAGTTTTTCCCAAACTGACTTTTATACAACTGTTATTAACTCTTTTGTTAAGTGTGAAGAAAAAAAGTGTTTCAATGTCAAATAAACGGGTATAATTGGGGTTAGACCAAATTCAATAAGTTTCACTTTTGAAGACTTTCTCAGAGGCTATATGTGGCTCTACATTAGAAACCCCAAGAGATGCTAAAGTATACAGTGTAACAACACCCTCACTTCCTTTTCAATGTTGTATTATAGAATGCTTATTGATGTCACAGATTCTGTATTTTTTCATATTTAGGCAGATTATAGTTCAAATCCCTTGGATTTATTGTTCAAATCCATTTTTATAATTAGCTTCCTAACCTCATTTTTAAATACAATTGAATTTTGTACTTCTTTTTATTTAAATTATGAAATTTACATTCATAAAAATTCAAATCACACAGAAGTATAGTGAATAAAAAGCAAACATTTTCACCCTCCCCAGAATCACATTCTCTTCCCTCAGAAGTAACCATTGACTAGAGTTTGGTGAGTCTCTTTTTAAGTCACTTTTATGCAAAACAATCAAGTTACTATTTCATATCATCTGAGGAAAACAACAGACATCTTCAAAATTGGATTAGAAAAAAAGTTGTAAAAGATATCTTCAAATTATATTTATATATACATATGTGTATATATACACATATGTATATATAAACATATGTATATATACACATATGTATGTATACACACATGTGTGTATATGCACATACACATATGTATATACACACGTGTGTGTATATGCACATACACATATGTGTATATATACACATATGTGTATGTGTGTGTATACATACACATATGTGTGTATATACACACACACGTGTGTGTGTATATATATAATTTCCCTGGTAATTCAATGGCTACATTTCAAATAGTGTCAGATTTGGTTTTAGGTGAAACTCCTGACTTTTCATTAACATAAGTGGTTACCAAGAAAATAAGTTGAAGAATATATAATTTCTTTACATTTTCCCCTAAATTATGCTAGATAAATTAAATCTTTAACTTTAGTCTTTCTTTAAACCCTTCACTAATTTATGTCAAACTATCAAAATAAGCATAAATCAAACCACACCCTCACTCACCGAACAGACAAGACCTCAACGCCCTCTAGTGGAGTGGCCTCCATGCTCCATTGTATGGGACCAACCCCTATTCCAGTGGGTAAGCCAAAGTGAATGAGCTCTTAATGAGGATGAGATTATAACTCGTCAAGGTTAGAATGGTACTCCCTCTTTCATTCATTTAACAAATAGCTAAACTTGCTTTAAAAGAAATTAAGTTAAAATGAGCCATGACCAAGAAAACAAGAAAAAACTATGAGGGGAAATATCCACATATAAGATACCAAATAATAACTTTATCACTATAGAAAATCAGTCTCTGATCTTCCAAGTATCTGTTTGTCTTGACTTCTTACTCTTGGCCACATCGCAACTCTTTACTACTGAATTTACAGAGATTTAAATCTATTCTTTCTTTTTTTTTAAGTGCTTAGCTTATGTTTGTCTTTAATTTCACTTCTCTGGATTTATCACTTTTCCTTAAGAATTACTTCACTCATTTTCCCAAACAACCACAAAAAAAATCACCATTTAATTCACTTTTCTGCTTTTGTTTCTTTTTTCTTGGAGACAAAGTCTCACTTTGTTGCCCAGGCTGGAGCGCAGTGGCGTGATCACGGCTCACTGTAACCTCGACCACCTGGGCTCAGGCAATCCTCCCACCTCAGCCCCCTGAGTAGCTGGGACCACAGCTGTGCACCACCGTGCCCAGCTAGTTTCTTAATTTTTGCAGAGATGGGGGTCTCACTGCTCAGGCTGGTCTTGAACTCCTGGCTCCAAGCAATCCTCCCACCTTGGCCTCCCAAAGTGCTGGGATTACAGGCATGAGCCACCACACCGAGCCACTTTTCTGCTTTTCTCCCCCTGAGAATGTGAGCTATCAGCCTCTCCCATTTAAAAGATAACTCCTATTCCATGGCATAATGAGAGGTAGTAGAGGATCGTGGTTAAAAGCATAGAGTGTGGAGCCAGCAGGCCTGCTTTCAAAGCCCAGAAGAGCAATTTACTGTCCATGTGATGTTGAGCTAGTCGTTTAAATCCTATGCATCTCAGTTTTCTCAACTGTAAAATCAGAATGATGATAATAGCATCCAATAGGCATTTGGCTTAAGTAAGAAAATCCATGTAGAGGAGGTAGAACAGTGCATAAAACATAGTAAGCACTCAATAACTGTTACTTGATATTACTACTTCATCAGAGTAAATAAAAATAAGACACCAGGAATGAAAGATTTTAATCCAACCTTTCTTTTCAAAACCAAAGGCAAACTGTTCATTAGCCAAACCCCACCATTCCTTGTTTAAATGATTGCGATCACCTCCTACCTAGCCTTGTAGCCAGCAGTCTCTCCCATTCATCTACTGTCATCAGTCAGATTTATTTTCCTAAAAATAATATTAACATTTCTAGTTCAGGATATGATGAACTAACTTCCTGCTGCAAACAAGTATAAAAACTAATATATAAAACAACTGTGTGAAGAAACTGGAAATCACCCAATTCCTGCAGGGTTGGAAAGGACAGGCTACAATACTTGAGAGGAGAAGCACAGGCAGTGAACTCTACTCTCAACAGGACTTTTTCCCTGACGGCATTTCCAAATTCATAAAATAGGGGAATAGATCCAAGCTGAAATTTTAATGGATTGAAGAGAAATAGATTGGAATCTGGGGCTGCTAAACTGGGCTAAGACTTGAGAGGAAAAAAATTATAGAGAACAGGGATTCGATGTGAAATGAAATGAAATGAAATGAAATGAAATGAAATGAAATGAAATGAAAAAGGTCATCCAAGCCCCACCCCACTGCTCTTTTAGGTTCCCGACTCTGTCTTTATTTTCTTCTTTGTTTGTTTTGAGAGGGAGTCTCGCTCTGTCACCCAGGCTGGAGTGCAGTGGCACAATCTCGGCTCACTGCAACCTCTGCCTTCCCGGGTTCACGCCATTCTCCTGCCTCAGCCTCCCGAGTAGCTGGGACTACAGGCGCCCACCACCATGCCCGGCTAATTTTTTATATTTTTCGTAGAGACAGAGTTTCACCATGTTAGCCAGGATGGTCTCGATCTCCTGACCTCGTGATCCGCCCACCTCAGCCTCCCAAAGCACTGGGATTATAGGCGTGAGCCACCGCGCCTGGCCTCTCTTTAGTTTCATATGCCCAAGACTGAGAGGTGAAGCCGGCTGGGCTTCTGGGTCAGGTGGGGACTTGGAGAACTTTTCTGTCTAGCTAAAAAATTGTAAACGCACCAATCAGTGCTCTGTGTCTAGCTAAAGGTTTGTAAATGCACCAATCAGCACTCTGTAAAATGGACTAATCAGCACTCTGTAAAATGGACCAATCAGCAGGACATGGGTGGGGCCAAATAAGGGAATAAAAGCTGGCCACCTGAGCCAGCAGCAGCAACCCACTCGGGTCGGCTTCCACGTCGTGGAAGCTTTGTTCTTTTGCTCTTCACAATAAATCTTGCTGCTGCTCAGTCTTTGGGTCCACACTACCTTTATGAGTTGTAACACTCACCGTGAGGGTCTGCAGCTTCATTCCTGAAGTCAGCGAGACCATGAACCCACCAGGAGGAACAAACAACTCCGGACGCACCACCTTTAAGAGCTGTAACACTCACTGAGAAGGTCTGCGGCGTCACTCCTGAAGTCAGCGAGACCATGAACCCACTGGAAGGAACCAATTCCCGACACAAGACTATGGAAAAACCTAGCAGAAAACAGGATCTGTGAGAACAAAGAGCTGAGCAAAAGTTTAATTAGACAGTTGTGCAATGCTGCAAAGATAGAAATTTGAGTTCAAGCCCAGGTTAGATGAAGGGGTCTTGGGGAAGGGTATGTCAGTAAAGATATCCTGGGCTTTCAATTGAGATGCAGAAGTATTTTACCCTATGAGTAAGGACAAATCTGAAAGAGGAAAACCTTAATAATGACTAAAACCATTCCCCATTCCGCCAAAGAATCAAAATGATCCTCTTATATCTTATCCACCTGCTGGAAGAAAACTTAATCTTCTTTGGAGGAAAGTAACAGTATTTATAGGCTCTACAATTTTTCACTCATATCTGGCTAAAAAACAAGACCAAATAACTAAAAGCTACACTTTTAAAAGTACAATAATAATAGACCTAAAGATAATGAAAACATTGAAGTAATCAGACAGGGAGCTGAAAATAAAGATCATTAATGTGTTCAATAAAACAGAGGATGCCTGAAATCCCAGCACTTTGGGAGGCTGAGGCGGGCAGATCACTTGAGGCCAGGAGTTCGAGACCAGCCTGGCCAACATGGCAAAACCCCATCTCTACTAAAAATACAAAAATTAGCCAGGCATGCTGGTGCACATCAGTAATCCCAGCTGCTCAGGATGCTGAGGCCCAAGAATGGCTTGAACCCAGGAGGCGGAGGTTGCAGTGAGCCAAGATCACACCACTGCACTCCAGCCTGGGCAACAGAGCGAGACTCTATCTCAAAAGAAAAGAAAACAAACAAAAAAAACAGAGGAAAATATTGATAATTTCAACAAAGACCTGGAATCTATTAGATGCAGCAGAACAGAGAACTTCCAGTAAACTGGAAAGCAAGCCAGTAAACTTACTTAGTTTGAAGCACAGAAAGGCAAAACGATGGAAAATACAGAAAAGAGTATGAGAGATACATGAAAAACAGTGATAAAGTCTAACACAATTGGAATCTTAGAAATAGAGAGGATATGATGATTCGGAAACAACATTTGAAGAAATACTGGCTCTAAAAATGTTCCAAAGTTGCTAAAAGACATGAAACCACAGAATCAAGACACTCTATGAATCTCATGTAAAATAAAATTATGAAGAAAACCACACTTGGGTACATCATAGTTAAGTTGCTAATAAGACAAATAGACAAGTCTTAAAATCACTCAGAATAAAAAAAAAAAAGCCACATGTTATTTTCAAAGAAGCAACAATAAAGTTATTAGGTTGGTGCAAAAGTAATTTTTGCCATTACTTTTGCACCAACCTAATATTAGCTTACTTTTCAACAGACATTATGGAAATTGGAATATACTGAAATGGAATTAAAATGCTAAAAGAAAAAAGAACTTCTTACCTTGCCACTTAGAAGTCTATACACAGCAAAAATATTATTCAAAAAAGGAGGCAAAAAGTAAGGCCTTTTCAGACAAAAGCTCAGAGAATTTATCACCAGCAGATCTTCACCACAATACCAAAGAGTTATTTAGGCTGATGAAAATTATCCCAGATGGAACAACAAGCCAGCATAAAAGAATGAAGAGCACCAGTTTATAAAAGACAAAAAATAATAATTATACCTTGTAGGGATTTGAATATATTTAGAAGTAAAATACATGACAATAGCACAGTAGATGAGGGAGATAAACAGAGCTAATCTGTTGTAAAATTATTCCATCTTTAGGGAATTGTTACAAGTAGGAATTAAATGTTAACCGTAATAACTCTAAGATGCATGTAATATTCTATTGTTTAAATAGCCACCACAAAACTTACTGGTCTAAAACAATCACAGCATTTATTTTATTCATGAATCTACAATTTAGGCAGGGTTTAGTGGGAGCAGATTGTCTATTATGCCCTACTCAGCATTAGCTAGGATGACTCAAAGGCTTGCTAACTTGTCTGTTTGGTAGTTGATGCTAGCTCTTGGCTGGAATCTCCATGGCACTATGTCCAGAACACCAAAATGTGGTCTTTCTATATAGCTCCCTGACTTGGGATGGTGGCTAGGTTCCAAGGCTGGGTGCCAGGCTAGAGAGCCAGGCAGAAACTATATCTCCTTTTCTAACCTATCCTCAGAAGTCATATAGTGTCACCTTTACCACATTTTATTGGTTAAAAGCAAGTCACTGAAGACATCCATATTCAAGGGGAGGGAAATTAAGCCTCTACCTGTTGATGAGAGGAATGTCAAATAACTTGTGGACATGCTTTAAAAACAGAGTTTCAACAAATTTCAAAGAGTTGTTTTTAGATCAAATTCTCTGACAACAATGCAATTCAGTTACAAATCATTATAAAAATGATATTTTCCTACATTTTCTCCTGGAAGCTTTATATTTTTACCTTTCATATCTAAATCCACAATCCTCTAGAATTGATTTTTATGTATGGTGTGAGACTGGGGGTCAAATTTTCTTTTATACCTTATGGATATACTATTGACTTGGAACCATTATTATGAAAATGTCCCTCTTCTCTGGAGAGCCACCTTTGTCTTAAATCAAGTCATGTAAGTATGGGCGTGTTTCAGGACTTTCTATTCTATTCCACCGGTCCACTAGTCTATCCTAGTCCATACCACACTATTTTGATAACTGTGGATCTATATTTAGTCTTGTTATTCAGGCAAGCTAGTCCTCTTACCTGTGCTTTGGTTGTGCATTGTCCCCTTGGATTTCCATGTAAAATTTAGAATCAACTTGTCAAGTTCTACACAAAAACACAAGCTAGGATTTTGATTGCACAATATCTGTAGATCAATAAGCAGACAACTAATGTCTTTATAACATTGAGACTTCCAACCCATGAACATAATAGCTCTCCATTTATTTATGTCTTCTTTAGTTTCTCTCAATACTTCTTAATAGATTTTTAATGTAGAAGACCTGTGTATCTTCATTAGATTTAGTCCTAAAATTTTTATATTTTTAACAATGTTATGGTCTCTTTATTATTTGTACCTGATACCTAAAAATACAATTGTGTCGATGTTTGTATTTGCATCACAACCTTACTTTCAGCAATCTATATAAATTCTTTTGGATTTTCTATTGTATGTATCATCATGTCACCTGCAAATAAGATTTTATATCTTCCTTTCCAGTCTTTATGTATATTTTTCCTTTTCTTACTTTATTGTACTGGCTAGCACTTCAGTACAATGTTGAATAAAGGACATTCTGTTCTTATTCCTCATCTTAGAAAGTTTTCCATGTTTTACAGTTTAACTGATGTTTATAGGTTTTCAAAATACCCTTACGCTGTTCACAGAAATTCTCTCTTGTTTTTTGTTTGCCCTGAGTTTTAATCATAAATGGACGTCAAATTTTATCAAGTGTGGGTTTTCTCTCCTATTAAAATTATTACATGATTCTTTAATTCTGAAAATATGATATATTCCATTAATCAAATTTCAAATGCTGAACAATTTGGTTGTCCTGGAACAAACCAAATTAGGTTTGAACTATCCTGGTAGGTTCTATCCTTGTAGAAATAATGAACTATCCTTGTAGGTTCCGGTAACAAGTTGTTGCCTACCTCACAAACCAAGTTTGGAAGCGTTATCTCTTTTTCTATTCTCTGAAAGAATTAAAAATGCTTTTCCTTAAATGGTAATAGACACCAATGAAATTATTTGGGCCTAGAGTTTTCTTTGTGGAAAAGTGTTTATTTTCAGATTCAATTTCTTAAATAATTACAGAAGCATTTAGCTTTCGCTCCATTTCCTTATATCCCCAGTTTTCTGCTTATTCTCAGACTTGACTGTGATCCATCCAATATGAATTTTTATCCATTCTGGAATGAAAGCAAGAACTGAAATTGGGTGTTGTGGCCTCTTTGATGTGTTTGTTATCAGTCTGTCTTTGGAGTTGCAAAAGTTCTGTCAGCACAAACCATAAATTTTCCCCACTTCTGATACTACCTGAAACCTGGCAGGTGGTTAATTTCATTGCCAACAATCTGCTTATTGCAACTAAAATATAAATCAGAACTCCAGGACATCTATACTAAACAACAGCTTAGAGGAAGAAAGTATTTGAGTGGCAGGTTCAGGGTGGCAGGAACTGCAAAATGGGATGTTTAAAAAAGTTCTTAATAGCCCTCTCATTGGTGAACTAAAGTCCCCATGATATCTAAGCTACAGAAAGAGGCAGCAAACTCACTGAGTTTCAGATGCGTGTGTGACAAGCAAATAGTTATAAAAGAGCATCACCCTAATAGATGATATTGCTATTTTAAATATGCCATCATGTAATAAGTCTATTTAATCTCATCTTTATTTAATATTTGATAGAACTCTTAGTTGGTTCCTTGTATATCTAGCCATTCAATAGGGGAGAAGTTAACACAAGTCTCAAGATGGAGGACTATAGCAGTAATCTATTGCTGCATAACTGTCCCATAACTCAGTAGCTTAAAATAATTGTTATTGCACAGTTTCTATAAATCAGAAATCCAGGGGTGGCTTCACTTGTTCCTCTGCTTCAGGGTCTCTCACTTGTTGTAATCAAAGTGTCAACTAGAGTTGTACTATCTCAAAGGTCAACTGGAAAAAGATCACTTTCAAAGCTCGTTCACATGGTTGTTGGCAGAATTTGGTTCCTCAGGAATGGTTGGAATAAAAGCCTCTTAAATTGTCCATATATTGATGAATTTGATCTTGCTCTGAAAAGAGGAGGAGAAACATAGAGAACTAGATATGCTTGAATTTGTTTTGGAATTAAAGCAAGTAAATTCTGTGATCTTTGACTAAAATTCTCCAACCCTTCTTATCTGACATATAAGATACAGTCTCAGACTCTTACCTTATCTGCCTTTACCTGACTGTGAAACCATAAAATAGTTATAATTTTCCCTTTTTTAAATAATAAAATTTATAAATTTCAACAGTATTTTGAGTAGGGAAGCATTTTGAGATGTAAGCACTCTATCAAATTCCAACTTATCTACCATAAAAGGGTCAGTTTCTACAAGGCAATCACAAAGTCCTGAATATGTTCCAGAATAGCTCAAGAGTTCTGTCCTGGTCTTTGATTTTTGTGTTCTAGTAATATTCCCAGGGCCATTCTTAGGATTTGAGGCATTTTAATTGGGTATACAAGAAGTTATCCCTAAAACACAGAGGGATAGATTTAAATAAATAGATCCAAAACTTACAAAACTTTCCCTTACTCCAGTATGGGCTTAAATCCAGATCATCTCAACTAAAAGGTAAAGATGATTATGTTTCAAAAGGAAAATTCAATGCCATGATTTTTTTTTAAATATCCTTTCTTTTTTTACTCTTAGAATTAGGCTACAGTCTGGTAAGAGTCATATGGCCATTATGAGACTAAATACTGTTAAAAGACAAAGCATTGCCATTTTACTGTTACATAGCACAAATATCTGTAGAAATCATCTCATGAAGTAAACTTAAAATGTAGAGGCTTGGGTAGAATCAATATTGTGAAAATGATCATACTGCCAAAAGCAATCTACATATTCAATGTAATTGCCATCAAAATACCACCATAATTCTTCACACAACTAGAAAAAACAATCCTAAGATTCATATGGAACCACAAAAGAGCCCGCATAGCCAAAGCAAGACTAAGCAAAAAGAACAAATCTGGAGGCATCACATTACTGGATTTCAAACTATACTATAAGCCCATAGTCACCACAACAGCATGGTACTGGTATAAAAATAGGCACATAGACCAATGGAACATAATAGAGAACGCAGAAATAAACCCAAATACTTACAGCCAACTGATCTTCGACAAAGCAAACAAAAACATAAAGTGGGGAAAGGACACCCTAATCAACAAATGGTGCTGGGATAATTGGCAAGCCACATGTAAGAGAATGAAACTAGATCCTCATCTCTCACCTTATATAAAAATCAACTCAAGGCCATGTGCAGTGGCTCTTGCCTGTAATCCTAGCACTTTGGGAGGCTGAGGTGGGAGGATCATGAGGTCAAGAGATTGAGACAATCCTGGCCAACATGGTGAAACCCCGTCTCTACTAAAAATACAAAAAATTAGCTGGGTGTGGTGGCACGAGCCTGTAGTCCCAGCTCCTCAGGAGGCTGAGGCAGGAGAATCGCTTAAACCCAGGAGGCAGAGGTTGCAGTGAGCTGGGATCATGTCACTGCACTCCAGCCTGGGTGACAGAGCAAGACTCTGTCTCAAAAAAAAAAAAAAAAAAAAAAAATCAAGATGGATCAAGGACACAAATCTAAAACCTGCGACTATAAAAATTCTAAAAGACGACATCGGAAATACCCTTCTAGACAATGGCTTAGGCAAAGACTTCATGACCAAGAACCCAAAAGCAAATGCAACAAAAACAAAAGGTAAATAGGTGGGACTTAATTAAACTAAAGAGCTTCTGCACAGCAAAAGGAACAGTCAGCAGAGTACACAGACAACCGACAGAGTGGGAGAAAATCTTCACAATCTACGCATCCAACAAAGGACCAATATCCAGAACCTACAAGGAATTCAAACAAATTAGCAAGAAAAAAAACGATGCCATCAAAAAGTGGGCTAAGGACATGAATAGACAATTCTCAAAAGAAGATATACAAATGGCCAATAAACATATGAAAAAATGCTCAACATCGCTAATGATCAGGGAAATGCAAATAAAAAACCACAATGCGATACCACTTTACTCCTGCAACAATGACCATAATCAAAAAATCAAAAAATAATAGATGTTGGTGTGGATGCGGTGAAGAGGGACCACTTCTACACTGCTGGTGGGAAGGTAAACTAATACAGCCACTATGGAAAAAACTGTGGAGATTCCTCAAAGAACTAAAAGTAGAAATACCATTTGATCCAGCAATCCCACTACTTTTCCCAGAGGAAAAGAAGTCATCATACAAAAAAGATACTTGCATATCCATGTTTATAGCAACAGATACTTGCACATCCATGTTTATAGCAGCACAATTCCAATTCGCCATTGCAAAAACATGGAACCAGCCCAAATGCCCATCAATCAACAAGTAGATAAGGAAATTGTCATATATATATAATATGGAATACTACTTAGCCATAAAAAGAAATGAGTTTATGGCATTTGCAGCAACCTGGATGGAACTGGAGACTATTATTCTAAGTGAAGTAACTCAGGAATAGAAAACCAAACATCATATGTTCTCACTCATAAGTGGGAGCTAAGCTATGAGGATGCAAAGGAATAAGAATGATACAATGGACTTTGGGGACTCAGGGAAAAGTGTGGGAGGGGGTGAGAAACAAAAAACTACAAATTGGGTTCAGTGATACTGCTCAGGTGATGGGTGCACCAAAATCTCACTAAAGAACTTACTCATATAACCAAATACCACCTGTTCCCCCAAAACCTATGGAAATAAAAACATTTTTTTAAAGAAAAAAATATAAAGGCTGAAACACAATGCAAATCAAAAGGCAAATAACAAATGGTACAATGCATGCAACATATATGACAGACAAAGATTAATCTCTTTTGTATATAAAATGCTCTTACAAACCAGTGATTTTTTTTATTTATTATTTTTTGGAGACGGAGTCTCGCTCTGTCACCCAGGCTGGAGTGCAGTGGTGCGATCTCTGCTCCCTGCAAGCTCCGCCTCCCAGGTTCACACCATTCTCCTGCCTCAGCCTCCTGAGTAGCTGGGACTACAGGTGCCTGCCACCATGTCCAGCAAATATTTTTTATTTTTAGTAGAGACAGGGTTTCACCATGTTAGCCAGGATGGTCTTGATCTCCTGACCTCGTAATGCGCCTGCCTCAGCTCCCAAAGTGCTGAGATTACAGGCATGAGCCACCGCCCCTGGCCAATTTTTTTTTTTTTTTTTTTTTTTGAGATGGAGTCTCACTCACTCTGTTGCCCAGGCTGGAGTGCAATGATGCGATCTCTGCTCACTGCCACCTCCGCCTCCGGGGTTCAAAAATTCTCCTGCTTCAGCTTCCCGAGTAGCTGGGATTACAGGCGCCTGCCACCACGTCCAGCTATTTTTTTGTATTTTTAGTAGAGACGGGGTTTCACCATGTTGGCCAGGCTGGTCTCGAACTCTGATCTGCCTCCCTCGGCCTCCCAAAGTGCTGCGATTATAGGTGTGAGCCACTGTGCCCAGCCACAAACCAATAAATTTTAAAATCCAATGGAAAAATAGGCAAAGGACTTTGTTAGACAATACACAAAAAGGAATAGACAAATAGAGTCTAAACATGTGAAAAAACACTCAATGCCTCTCATAAGAGAAATGAGCATGAAAAATGTATGATTTGCAACTTGCCAGACTGACAGAAATCAAAAAAGTTTGATAATACTTTGGGCATTTTCATATAGTATTTTTGGAAATGTAATTTGGCAAAAATCTTTTTAGAAGGCAATATCTATCAAAAATAAAAATATTTAAATTAAAATGCATATTGATTTTAACCCAATCACTTCATTTGTGACAATTAATTGTACAGGTATTCCCAAATTAAACATATGTATAAGGATATTAATTTAAGCAAAACGTTGGAAACTAAAATGTCTCCCATTAGAAGACTGTCAAATATAATAATTGATATAATGAATTATATGGCCATTCCATTCCATTAGAATGGAATATTATACAGATATTTTATTTGTATTGTTATGCAACTATTTCTCAAGTTATGTAACTATTTCTCAAATATATACACAATGTGTATAATATGCTATCATTTGTGAAAAAACTATTCTGTATACATATGTATATGAATATGCATTCTCTGTAATGATTCATTAAAAAGTGGCAAAAATCTTTGTCTTTAGGAAGAACTGGGGCTTGGATAGGAAGGAGACTTTTATTCAGAACTTTTGGAACTTGTTCATGTATACTTTTAACCATTTGAAGGCTAACATTTTCACATATGAAGCACATTTAATAGGCAAGTTTTTCCCTGGTCTAGAAGAAATGTTACATAATTAGAAATCAAAGACACTGTGAAAACACTTGAGAATGCTCATGAGCACATACAATTCTAGTTTCAATCAAATAAAACCTCTTGTGTTGACAAGACAAAATTAAAACCTTCAGTTTTCATTTCAGTTGTGCTAAAAATGAACCAGGTAGTGTCACTATAGTTAATTTTCTATGAGTCTTTCTTGCTCCAAAGACAACTTGGTTATCAGAAAGTGTTTGTGTGGAGCAAGTGGCATCTGTTGCCTATTTGTCAGGAGCAGAAGTCTGAGCACTTCTGTCCACTGCATCTTGTTTCAAAGTCGCCAAGGAAAACAATGCAGTGAAACACTGGGTGGAACACACATTACTCACATACAGAAGAGACAGAGCAAGATCAGCTTCCCTAGTGGACTTCAGTCTCCCATGACCAGAGGGTCCCTCTTGGCAGCTGACACAGGGCAGGTGGCCTGCAAACACTCCTCTTGTGCTGAAGGACCCCCATCCCCTCCCCCACAGGAGACAGAGCAGTGGGGTTGGTCAGATGCCATATGATGCACACACTTAAGCAGGGCAAAGGACTACACATTGACTCTGAAACAGAGGAAGATATTACTATACGGGGTGGTAAGTTCAGCACAGGCTCTGTGGACTCCTAGTCTCTTCAAAAGAAGTGTTCCAGGCCCAAGGCCCACTCTCAAACAACTGAGTAGGAGTTAAAAGACTGTATGTATGAGATTCCGTTTCCCAACAGTTTGGCTCTTTCACAAGGAAGAAATCACAAGAGTCACAGAATTGAAAATGAGTTAGAAAATACACAGTTATCTTGAAAGTTTTATCCATAGGGAAGCAGCATAATGAAGAATAAGAACTTAAGATTTGGAATCCATGTTTTATTTCTTATCAATGGGCAACTGGGGAATTTTTAAAACTTCTCTGAACTTTAGTTTTCTTGTATGTAAAATGGAGCTAATACAATCAGCTTCCAACTTGTAATATGTTTACTGAGGTTAACACATAAAATCTCGGCCAGGCACGGTGGCTCACCCCTGTAATCCCAGCAGTTTGGGAGGCTGAGGTAGGCAGATCATGAGGTCAGGAGATTGAGACCATCATGGCTAACACAGTGAAACTCCGTCTCTACTAAAAATGCAAAAAATTAGCTAGGCATGGTGGCAGGTACCTGTAGTCCCAGCTACTCGGGAGGCTGAGGCAGGAGAATCTCTTGAGCCCAGGAGGCAGAGGTTGCATTGAGCCGAGATCGCACCACTGCACTCCAGCCTGGGTGACAGAGGGAGATTTTGTCTCAAAAAATATATAAATAAAATTTTTTAAAAATAAAACTCTACACCACCTGTCCTAGCACAGAGGTATTAAGTGCTCACTATAGAGTCAAACTTACAGGGAAATATGGGTGATGTAAGTGCTATTTTGAATTTTCTTTATAACTAAAAGAAGAAAATTAGCAAATAATGTTTCCAGACAGTTCTATTTAATACTTTATGTATTTGAGTAACTGACTAAAAAGCAAATGTTCATCAGGTTTTTTTGGGTTGCACAAAAGGAAAATATAAGTTTTGTTTGCCAAATTCATTTGGATGTGAAGCCAACTTCATCAAACTTTAAAATTCTAAGTCTTTGTGACCTAAGGTTCTCAAAAGAGCAGCTAGAATCAATACTGTTCTTGGATTAATGGCTCAAAGAAGTCATTATGTTTTGTTTCTTGATGCTGTAGATTTAACATCATATTGGTAGAGATGTGTAACTTCTTACATGGATTAGACATCAAGAAGCCAATGTGTACATATAAACTAAAAACTGAAAATGAATACATTCAGATATTAAATTATAAAACTGCATAACAAATACAAATTTGTTAATTTTCCACAAGGACTAAAACAACGCTATTAATAACGAGTAGTCTTTTTCATCACTCTCAAAACATCTTCCTCGTTTATTTCTCCATCTCTATCATGATCAGCTTCATCAAGCATTTCCTGTAAAACAAAATGTAAATATATGAAATACATTTAAAATGACATAAATGAAGTCAAACACATATTCAAAACCAAATTTTATTTTAAATGCATAAGTGCAACTAAAGTTAGAATTATAATCCTAAATTATCACATAAGTTATAATTACATATAAATTATAATTATAAAAATAAGCAAAATCTACCTGAAGTTCATCATGTTAAATTTTCCCCTGGTTTCTTAGCAAACCTCTTGATACCGGTTAGTATTATACTTCCAGTATCATCATCATCAAATAATTTGAAAGTCTTCAATATTTCTTCTTTTTCATCTTTTTTACTCTTTTAAAAAAGAAGCAACTATCCAGTCTTTCATTTATTTATTTTATCAAGCTGGACTTAATTAGATCTTTGGGGTCTAAAGCAGCAATGTGCCAAGTAGCTGTGTTCTGATTTTATTTATTGGTCTTTTAACAATTATGTACTCACACCTGCCCTCAAGGTGCTTAAAGGTAGAGCTTGCTAAGGTGGAGAAGGCACAGGGTGGTCCAGAATGCATCTCTTATTAAACCTCATAATTCAGATCCGTTACCAAAAATGTAAGCTTCAAAATGGAAGGTTGTATCTTTCAATGCTCCTTAGAATAGTGCCTGGCAAAAATAGGCATTCAATATATGTTGCTGAATTAAAGGCTTCCAAATTCTGGCCCCATTCTCTCTATCCTGCAATATAGCCTCATTATTTCCTGACAAAAACCTCTTCTCCACATCATAGTCTTCTCATTACTACCCTGAAAACATATTTAATCTTGCTCTTCCTATCTCCCATCCTTAAAAACCTAGTTCTAATTGCTTCTCTATAAAACTTCTGATTGCTCCAGCCCTAAAATGTAGCAGGTTATTGCTAGTATTTCTTTGAAAAATAAAATCATAACTATATCATTTTTATACTCATAATGGCAAAAAAAAATCTTCAAAACTAATGGTGCCAATTCCTTCTTTATCAACTTCAGCTACCATTTTTTAAATTTCTTCTTTCTTTGGTTCAAATCCTAAGGCCCACACTGCAATCTGAAATAGGAAGAAAAGGAATTATAATATGCCATGATTTCTTTCTAAGCTTTTTAACTCCCTATTAAGAGCTTCTCTCTTTTCTATTATGGACTGAGCATAAACAGAAAATTAGGTCAGCAGGCCTGTGTTTCAGTCCTACTGTGCCATCATGTACATCACTGTTACACCCTGGGCTTTTGCCTACTCATTTATAAAACACAATTAAAATGCTTAACAAGATATCGTTTTGCTAATGCAGGGCAGGCATATGCACTGAAGAGACTTTATATTAAGCTTTCAGAAGACTACTTTTAAAGAAAGCCTTAAAGATTGCCACAAATAATATGGTTTTTAAAATGATTTAGAATTAGAAATAATTTCAGAACCTTCTTTTACATCGATGGTTCCAGACCCATCAATATCAAATAAATTAAAGGCGTCTTTAATTTCTTGCTTTTGGGATTCATTCAGTTCAATTTTTGCTGCTCTTTTCTTCCATTGGTCTGAACTTGTATGGTAGTTAGATGCCTGTAATACACACACATATGGGTGAAAGATAAATTATATAACTGGAATAGTTAGCAGAACCAGAATAATTGATGATAAACTATATTAAAGTACCTATTTCCTACTATAAAATGAATCTCAACAGGAGTAAGGAAGGAGTGCAGTTGCTGCCAGGGGCAGCCTTCCTTGCTCTGGCGGAAAAACTTCGGCCCCGGCCCCAGCAGAAGGTTACAGCTTCACACTCACCAGGTCCCCAGCCGGCAGCCGGCGCTCTCAGCCGGGACCTCCCGGCGTCACCTCCCGCAGCCCCGCCCAACCCAAGTCTTCACAGCTCACTGGCGGTTGCTAAGGCCGCTCTCACCGACCTCTCTCAGCCCCGCCCACCCAGCCTGAGTTATTGACATCCAGTTCATCCAATGGACAGAAAAAAAGGCCTTTAAACCAGCCCTTTCTCTCTACTCCCTACCAATAGCGTGACGTCCCCGCCTTTCGCAGCCCGGCGTTAAGCGGAACTTCTCTCTCCAGCTGTGTCTCTTAGCAACTAAGCCCCCGGCTCCTCCAGAAGCCCCTCTTCGCACATGCGCAAACTGCGGACGGGGAACTGGGCTCCCTAGCCCTGGCGTTTTTGGTGTTGCTGTCCCAGCCAGAATCGCGTCTGGCCGGTGGGAAGCCGGGAACTCCAGCCCCCTGTAGGAGAGGAGAAAGGAGCGAGGTTAGTAGTGAGGTGCTTCCGCTGACTGCTAAGCTAAGTCTTTCCTGAAGACGTGGGAGCCCGTGTGTTTGATTTTTCTGTCCTCTTCGGGCCAGGGAAAGAATGAGAATCTAGGGCCTGGAGGTCCTGGGGTGAATTGGTCCAGCATGTGGCTAGGAGTACTAGAGGAAGAGGGGACTGCCCTTTCTTTTTGCCGCTAGACTTTCCTCATTTTCTACAGTGCCTGGAGCTGGGCCTTCAGCCATTTACCTCCTCCCTGTTTTGGGCAGGGATTCTGGCATGGTAGACACCAGAATTCTGTATAGCAGTGGCATGGGGTAACAGTGTCGTTGGAGGGACGTGGGTATTGGGATAAGCATGGGTCTTGGGATGTATTTAAAGCTTCACTACATACATAGATAAACGTTTTTACATGTTTCGTGTAGCATTTGTTTACGAGGTAGGACTTTGGCCCCACCCATAATTACTATCGGACCCCGCCCTCCAACCCCAACACACACACACACACACACACACACACACACACACACACACACACACATCCAGCCATTTCCTTGGCCCAGTCCTAAGATTTGGCCAGTTGTCAACGATATCAACTTGATCTGCACTTCAGAGTCAGACACAGGTAGTCTGATTATCCAGTTGATTCAGTAACGGCCTAGATTTAGATACTTGTGAAACTTTTGTAAACCAACTCAATCTCTTGTCCAGAGGGCCAGATTTACTGCTTCTGCCCGTTCTGAATTTGGCCAGGAATCAGCTTAAAGGACAGGGGAGAAAGACTGAGGTAGGATGGACCACTGACTTCCTGGTGGGAATGAAGGAATGAGAGAATCTTAAAACTTCTAACCTTTAATTGCTCACACATGCGGACCCCTTTTATGCCTCCTACAATGTCTTCTCTAGAGGAAATATTTTCTAAAAATTATACTGGATTCTTCAAAAATGGATTCAGGAAGAATACTAACTTTAGTCTTTTTTTTTTTTTTTTTTTTTTTGTCTCACTTATCTTCCTGAAGGCAGGAGAGGAAAACAAGTGCAAAGTGCATTCTTGAAGCACTCTGTCAAATCACTTTTCATGCTTCATTGAGTAGAAACATGGCACATTTTCCAAAGCCATCAGCCTGTCTTGTTCATATTATATCCCAGACAGACACGCAAGTATTGTAATCATTGATAAAAATCTCATTAGGCTTCTGGAAAATAGGTAAGTTTATCCTCATATTGCAGGTGATTTTTCCATATAAAGTTACCCAGTGAAAATTAAAATGGCACAAATCCAAGATAATTTTTGAGTTAAGTAAAATGTGGTCACTTTAATATATGATTTTTCACGTCATTTATCTCACTTGGAAAGTTGCTCTTGATCAGTTTCAAGGTCATACACTTTTTTTTTTTTGAGACCGAGTCCTGCTCTGTCGCCCAGGCTGGAGTGCAGTGGCTCAATCCCGGCTCACTGCAAGCTCCACCTCCCGGGTTCTCGCCGTTCTTCTGCCTCAGCCTCCCGAATAGCTGGGAGTACAGGCGCCCGCCACCGCGCCCGGCTAATTTTTTTGTATTTTTAGTAGAGACGGAGTTTCACCGTATTAGCCAGGATGGTCTCCATCTCCTGACTTCATGATCCGCTCGCCTCGGCCTCTCAAAGTGCTGGGATTACAGGCGTGAGCAACTGCGCCCGGCCATATACTTCATTTTTAATACTAATATTAAAAGGATTTCTTAGACCCAGAAATGAATAGTGACCAAGTATATACTCAACCCAATCCTAATTTCGAGGATCTCTTGGATCATGTTTGATCTAATGACAATTAAATGGCGGAGTAGTATATTAACCTATTTTTATATCACTATGATTTAGGCTTTTATATTTGGAATATTTACTGCTAGTTAAAATGTTTTTTTAATTGTAGGCTCAGATTCCAACTCCCAGATCTTGAATAGGATGTAATTAGTTTTGAAAACTAGCTATTAACGAATCTAACTGCACTTTAGAACATTAATCATCATCATTATCCAGGAAAACATTAAACACATAGGCACTCTTAAATCTCCCAAATGTATTTAATGTTTTCTATATGTCATGCACTATGCCAACTACTGGGTGAGTTCGAAAGAAATAAAAATAGAATATAAAAGATGAATAACTAAGGAATCTACAGATTAGTGGGGGAGCTAGACACAAACATAATACAATGTTTTTAATACAGGGTATTTTTAATCTGCTTTGGTAGATGGGTATAGAAAGTGCGTTGGGAGCACAGAAAGGAGGGACAACTCTACCCCAGGGCATTAGAGAAGTCCTGATAGGAAATGAGGCATTTGCGTTGGGTCATGAAAGATCTATAGCATCTATGGAGATGAAGAAAATATAGACTATTCAAATCAGTATAGCTTAGTGAAAATAAATATGTTCTAGCGTGACAAGATCATGAGGTTTATAAGGAAAGGTGGGAGAAGAGTCATAAATTAGGTTGAGGTTAGATTATAAGGCACATATATCAAGCCAAGGAGTAAAGACTTTCTTTTTTAAGATAAATAGATGTTTTTTGGCAGTGGAGTAATCTGTTTAGGTTTGTGCTTTTTCAGTGCTAATTCTGACCACCATATGAAGGAGGAACTCTCATTAGAAGCAATTAAAGGGCCTCAACTAAGGCGGTGCCAAATAGGAATCAAGTCAACTCCAAGGATGGTTAAAACTTATATTCATGTTGGAGAAATACTAAAAGTACCGTCTGTTTTCTCTTGCTTCAGTTTTGTACTTAAATTTGGGGGAACAAATATGGTGAAAAAAATTCATTCACTTACCAAATATTTATAGAGTACTTGCTGTGTGTCAGGCAATATTGTAGGTACTCGGGATATACATCATTGACTAAAATTGCCTTCCTGGAAATTACATTCTAAGAGAGAGATGTAGTCTATAAAAAATAAATAAGTAAACTATATCCTATTTTATAAGGGAATAAGTGTTATGGGAAAAAGAAAGTATAACAGATGGAACAAATCCAGAGTACAGAGGGAAAAGAGGATTTGTGGTATTCTATAGAGTGCTCAGGGTAGGCCTCATTGAAAAGCAGAAAATTTGAGAAAATATTTGAAGGTGATGCAGCAATAGATTTCTTAGGGAAGAGCATTCCAGAAAGAGGGAACAACTAGAACAGAAACATTAAGATAGGGAACATGCAAAGCATTACAAAAAGAGGCCAGAACAAAGTGGCCAAGGGATAAAATAGTAAGTGATAAAGTCAGAAGGGTAAAGAAAGGACTGCAAATAGTTAGGGCATTGTAAGGACTTTGACTTCGACTCCAAGTGAAATGGGTAGGCCTTGCAAGATTTTGAGCCTAGGAGTGAAAGGATATGAGTTCATTTTTAAAAGGGACTCCTGTGTCAAAGGCATAAAGCTTTATTTTCTGAGTTAGAGGTTTTTAAACAGTAGAGTGACATGATTAGACTTCTGTATTGGGAATAGACTGGAGATGAGCAAACAGTTGATTTAGATAATAAAAGGCTAATCATGCCCATCAAGAAAATATTATAATTTTTCAAAATGCAGCTCCTGAAAGCATTGCATGTCTTATTACTCTAAACTGAGTACCTTAGACAAAACTGGACATAATCTTTTGAAAAAAAAAACTTATTCTGATGTCAAAATTCCAGTTAAGTTGTCTGACTCTGCTCTTCCATTACACACTTAGAAACTCAAAGAAACATTAAGCTGGCAAGTACTGAAAACAGAGAACTGTTTGTGGAAAACATTGGTGCATAACAGGACATGCATAGCAGGACAAGAATCAGATTGTGTCTGTGTAATGCCAAGAAGAGTTGCCAGAAGTACTTATCATCTTTGAAATTATCCACTTTGTTATCCCCTTTGCTGTTTTTGCCTTTTTATACCCCATCTCTTAGAGGATGGGGCATTTTTGTTTTGAGTTTTTATATTATGTTAATTATAGCCGACTGTAACCTGTTCAAAATAATAATTTAGGAGCTCTTCTAGAGTTGGGAATGCTGAGAATTTTTAAAAATTACTAAAACTTGGAATAGCTTTTTCAAATGCCAAAGCAGATTTGTCTTGAATATTGATTTTGATATCAGTTTTATGTGACTTTTTGCTTATACATTAGTTTTCTTTAAATAATTTCATGCCTTTTGTATCTAGGAAACTTTTTCACATAAATTAAATACAGATTAAATTTGAAATAGCCCATGACTGTTTCCATTCGCTCTAAGTTCTCTCTGACTTTTCTACTCGTAGTAATATCTTGTGATTTAAGCATAGTATAGAAAGGAGATCATAAGCAGAGACCCTGATACATGTACAAGTTAAGAGTATGAATAAGGTTTGGAAGAAGGCAGAAAGGTTTGGAAAAGGGAAACACAGTAAAAGATTCTAAAGAAGAGAGGGTGAATTACTATCATACTGGGCAAGGGGCACCTAAAAGGCAGAATTATATAGTAGTTAATAGCATAGGCTTTAACATTAGACAAACCTGGGTTTTAGTCCATAGCCTTTTACAAATTAGCTGTGAAATTTTGTATATGTTATGTAACTATTCTGCTTCATTTTCCACATCACTAAAATAGATTATAGTACCTCCCTCATGTTGTTGTGAATGAATACTACATTACATAATACTTGTAAAATGCCTCATACTTAGTAAGCTTTCATAACATGTTCGAAATGAAAAACAAAACCCAAAAGTCAATCTTTTCAAGCTTGTCCTTTCAACAAATTATTCTGGAGCAACTGGATATCCATGAGGAAAGAGGAACCCCTACCTCACACCATTTACAAAAGTTAATTTAAGATGACTTATGGACATAAATATAAAAGCTAAAACAAACGGAAGAACAAATTTGGCATCTCATACTTCCTGATTTCCAAACTTACTACAAAGCTATAGTACTTAAAACCTGTGGTACTGGCATAAGGATGAATGTATAGATCAGTGGAATTGAATTGAGAGTCCAGAAATCCATAGACATCTATGGCTAATTGATTTTTGACAAAGATGCTAAGGCCACTCCATGGGGAAAAGAATTGTCTCTTCAGCAAATGGTACTGGGACAATTGGATATCCACATGCAAAAGAATAAAGTTGGACTCCTACCTTACACTTTATATGTAAATTAACTCAAAATGGGTCAACAAACTAAATATAAGAGATGAAACTATAAAACTCTTTGAATAAAACATTGGGCTAAATCTTCATACCTTGGATTTGGCAATGGATTTTTAGATATGGCACAAATAATATGAGCAAACAAAAAAATAGGTAAATTAGATTTCATCAAACAACAACAAAAAAATAGGTAAATTAGATTTCTAATTTCTTTTTCTTTTTTTTTGAGACAGAGTCTCGCTCTGTTGCCCAGGTTGGAGTGTGCAATCTCGGCTCACTGCAGGCTCCACCTCCCGGGTTCACGCTGTTCTCCTGCCTCAGCCTCCTGAGTGGCTGGGACTACAGGTGCCTGTCACCATGCCCGGCTAATTTTTTTGTATTTTAACAGAGACGGGTTTCACTGTGTTAGCCAGGAATGGTCTCGATCTCCTGACCTCATGATCTGCCCACCTTGGCCTCCCAAAGTGCTGGGATTACAGGCGTGAGCCACTGTGCCTGGCCTAGATTTCTAATTTCTAACTAAAAACATTTGGTCATCAAAATGCATAATCCAAAAAGTGGAAACTGACTTACAGAATGAGAGAAAATGTTTGCAAATCATAGTTTGATAAGGATCTAGTGTCCAGAATGTATAAGGAACTCTTACAACTTACCAAAAAAAGACTAACTGCTCTATTTTTAAATGGTCAAAAGACTTGAATAGACATTTCTCCAAAAAAGATACACAAATGGCCAATGCACATGAAAAGATGCTCAATATGAGGAAAATGCAAGTCAAAAACACAATGAAATACCACTTCACATTCACTAGGATATCTATAATATTACAAAATATTACAAAAGCAAAAATGGAAAGTGTTCAGTATACTGGACTGAATATTTCCCCCCAGTTCATGTCCTTCTAGCATCTCAAAATGTGATCTTATTTGAAAATAGTTTCTTTGTAGATGTAATTAGCTAAAGTGAGGTCATACTGGATTAAGGTGGGCCCTAAATCCAATGACTGGTATCACTGGATTATAAGAAGGCTGTTTGAAACAGAGGCAGAGGTTAGAGTTATGCAGTCAGAAGCCAAGGACCACTAGGAGCAACTAGAAGCTGGAGGAAGCAAGGAAGGATTCTTCCCTTGATCCTTCAGAAGGAGCATGGACCTGCCAGCATTTTGATTTTGGGCTTCTAGACTCCAGAACTGTGAAAGAATAAATAAGTATTGTTTTAAGCTACCCAGTTGTTTGTGGTAATTTGGTATGGCAGCCCTAGGAAGCTGATGCAGTGAGGATGTGGAGAAATCAAAACCCTCATACATTGTTGGTGGGAATGTTCAGCTGTTATGGAAAACAGACAGTTCATTCAAAAGTTAAAGATATTTGCTCCTCCTTTTCATGCCTGTGGCTGGATGTCCCACAGCACTATAGGAAATGTGAGTCAGGCCTTTTGCATTAAGCAACCAAGAACTACAGACTCCACCTTTTCACCCAAATCATGAATGACCAGTGAAAAGCAACTTATTTCAGAGGAAGAAGCAGCCCTTGAAATGTTAAGGCTTGGGCTTGAAAGTTGAAGAGCAGGAATTCTCTCTTTCAAAGACCCTAGAGCACAAACCTTTGTGTGGCCAAGTGGGATCAGCCCTCAAGGGCACATGCCAAGGACAGAGCAGCCCATGTAGACAGCTTCGGAGGGTATGGGGATGTGGGGAGTTAGGGGTAGCTCCTCATTAACTATTTGTTGGGTGAGTATAAGGGCGAAGCTCAGTGGCAGTCAGCCACCTCTGCAATGACAAGCTGTCTCTCCCCTACATGTTTAGCATATATTATTAGAACACGTCCCATGCCCCCGCTCCCTTTAAGGCCAAGTAGAGAAATCTGGCAATAAAAGGCAAATGTGAGCATGCTTTCTCTAAGATGCATCATAAATGGTTTTCTTTAAGTGAATGAAGACTTTGACAGAGAAATATCTTTGTAAGCAAACATTAAGAATGCTGGCTGGGTGTGGTGGCTCATGCCTGTAATCCCAGCACTTTGGGAGGCCTAGGCAGGAGGATCGCTTGAGCCTGGTACTTCAAGACCAGACTGGGCAGCATGGCGAAATCCCATCTCTACAAAAAAAATAGAAAAATTAGCCGGGTATGGTGGCATGCACTTGTAGTCCCAGTTACTTGGGAGGCTGAGGTGGGAGAATCACCTAAGCCCAGGAGGTCGAGGCTGCAGTGAGCCATGCCACTGCACTCCAGTCTAGGTGACAGAGCGAGACCCTGTCTAAAAAATAAAAATAAAAAGAATGCTAATCATTTCTGAGTTCGCTGTGACTTGTAATACTGGGGATCTCCCTTGTAACACTGGAACTGAAAGACTGACGAAAGCTATGTCAAGCATTCATTATTCTGAAGAGGAGGAGAAATGCCACATACCTTTCCCATTGAACCTGTGGTGGAATAAATCCATGGTTGTGTCTTGCTTTGAACAGACTTTTGTTCTGAGCACTGCTCACGATGGATTTTTATGCTTCATTTTCATATCTCTCTGCACAATTAGATTGGGAGTTCCTTGAGGGCAGAGTATGTATAATCTTTGTCTTTGTAATCCCGGCAATTAACACAGTGCCTCCTGGTACATTGTAGGTGCTTAAGAAATACTCACTAAATGCATGAATGAATGAAACGAAGGAATGACTAGGAATGTTTGTAGTGCTATAATATATAATGGGATATACTCCAGTCTGGTACTTGTCTAGTCAGTCCTCTACGGTGTTATCAGAGTGGTAATATATCCAAAACATTACAATTATTATTGTTATTAAAACAAGAACTCATAAAACATGGTGCCAGACATTGTTCTAAGTACTATATTCACTCCTTATAATGACTATGAAATAGCTTCTATTATTATCCCTGTTTTTTAGATGTGGAAATTAAGGGATAAAGTACATAACTTGCTGAGGGCTATATAGCTAGTAAAGCGGTAGGATTAAGTTCACACCCAGACTTCTAGGTTTAGAGTACATGTTTTCAAACACTACATCAAGTTGTTTCTTGATCTTTTTTATTAAAAACATTTTAACGGTTCCCATTACAGGATCAAGTTTAAGTTACTTGCTATGGCACATAATGCCCTTCGTAAACCAGCTCATTTCCTCTTCTAGAGCTTCATCTGCTACTGTTCTCCACTACATGTTTTTTTTTGTTGTTGTTGTTTTTTCTGAGACTGAGTCTTGCTCTGTTGCCCAGGCTGGAGTGCAGTGGCGCCATCTTGGCTCACTGCAACCTCCGCCTCCTGGGTTCAAGCGATTCTTCTGCCTCAGCCCCCAAAGTAGCTGGGACTACAGGTGCGTGCCACCACACCCGGCCAATTTTTGTATTTTTAGTAGAGACGAGGTTTCGCCATATTGGCCAGGCTGGTCTCGAACCCCTGACCTCGTGATCCGCCCGCCTCGGCCTCCCAAAGTGCTGGGATTATAGGCATGAGCCACTGCGCCCAGCCGCTCCACTACATTTTTTATATTCTCATAAAACCAGGCTACTTCTATTTCCCTGAATACACTATGTTTTTTTCACATATATGTACATTTACTACTACCTCCTTCAACTTGTAACTCTTTCCAGTTATTTTTCAAGACTCATTCCAAGAATTGCTTTCTTCTGGAAACGTTGCCTACAGCCCTCATGCTTCATTTCCTCTGTTGGGTGGAGTGTTTCTCTTCCATTCCCCCATACCTTTATCATTAATAGAATAATAATACTGTATCATTGCACTGACCACTTTTCATGGAAATTATATGTACCTCAAAAGCAGGGAGCATATCTTGTTTTTATTTCTATATAGCATTTATAACTATGAATTATACTGAATAAAGTTACAAGTTTTTATTTTGTTTGCAGATCATGATACATGGTGATGGCTTGCAGAGTCGTAAACAAAAGAAGACACATGGGACTTCAACAACTTTCATCATTCGCGGAAACAGGAAGAACTTTCCTAGGCCCACTAAAATCATCCAAATTTATTATAGATGAAGAATGTCATGAAAGTGTATTAATCAGTTCAACAGTAAGGCTTCTTGAAAGTTTGGATTTAACCAGTGCAGTGGGACAACTTCTCAATGAAGCAGTTCAAGCACAAAACAACACATATAGAACTGGAATCAGTACTCTTTTGTTTCTTGTTGGTGCTTGGAGCAGTGCAGTTGAAGAATGTCTTCATCTTGGTGTCCCCATTTCCATAATAGTATCAGTAATGTCAGAAGGCTTAAACTTTTGTAGTGAAGAGGTAGTTTCTCTTCATGTACCTGTTCACAATATATTTGACTGTATGGACAGCACAAAAACATTTTCTCAACTTGAAACATTTAGTGTAAGTTTGTGTCCTTTTCTACAGGTCCCTTCAGATACTGATTTGATAGAGGAATTGCATGGTCTCAAAGATGTTGCCTCTCAAACACTGACCATTTCCAACCTTTCTGGGAGACCTCTTAAATCATATGAATTATTTAAACCTCAGACAAAGGTTGAAGCAGATAACAACACATCACGAACTCTGAAAAACAGCCTGCTTGCAGATACCTGCTGCAGACAGTCAATACTAATCCACAGTAGGCATTTTAATAGGACAGATAATACTGAAGGGGTAAGCAAACCAGATGGATTTCAAGAACATGTTACAGCTACTCACAAAACTTACAGATGTAATGATTTGGTAGAGTTGGCAGTAGGCTTGAGTCATGGAGATCACAGCAGCATGAAGTTAGTAGAAGAAGCAGTACAGCTGCAATATCAGAATGCTTGTGTGCAACAAGGCAACTGTACAAAACCATTTATGTTTGACATTTCAAGAATTTTCACTTGCTGTCTACCAGGCTTACCTGAAACTTCTTCTTGTGTTTGTCCAGGATATATCACTGTTGTGTCAGTATCTAATAATCCTGTGATCAAGGAATTGCAGAATCAGCCTGTGCGAATAGTTCTCATTGAGGGTGACCTCACAGAGAATTACCGCCACCTGGGATTTAATAAGTCTGCAAATATTAAAACAGTATTAGATAGCATGCGGCTTCAAGAAGACAGCTCAGAAGAACTGTGGGCAAATCACGTGTTACAGGTGTTAATCCAGTTCAAGGTGAACCTTGTCCTGGTACAAGGAAATGTGTCCGAACGCTTAATTGAAAAATGTATAAACAGTAAGCGGTTGGTAATCGGCTCAGTGAATGGCAGTGTGATGCAGGCTTTTGCAGAGGCTGCAGGAGCAGTACAGGTGGCCTACATTACACAAGTGAATGAAGATTGTGTGGGCGACGGGGTCTGCGTGACCTTCTGGAGAAGCAGCCCTTTGGATGTTGTAGATAGGAACAACAGAATCGCAATCTTATTAAAAACAGAAGGAATTAATTTGGTTACGGCCGTGCTCACTAACCCAGTTACTGCACAGATGCAAATCAAAGAAGATAGGTTCTGGACATGTGCCTATCGTTTGTATTATGCTCTAAAAGAGGAAAAGGTCTTCCTTGGAGGTGGTGCAGTTGAATTTTTGTGTCTTAGCTGTCTTCATATTCTTGCAGAGCAATCTCTGAAAAAAGAAAACCATGCCTGCTCAGGGTGGCTGCATAATACTTCCTCTTGGCTGGCTTCATCTCTGGCAATATACAGACCAACTGTGCTTAAATTCCTGGCAAATGGATGGCAGAAATACCTTTCAACTCTCCTATATAACACTGCCAATTACTCATCAGAATTTGAAGCCAGCACATACATTCAACATCATCTGCAAAATGCCACAGACTCTGGCTCTCCTTCATCTTACATCTTGAATGAATATAGTAAACTAAATAGTAGAATTTTTAATTCAGACATTTCAAATAAACTGGAGCAGATTCCGAGAGTTTATGACGTTGTTACACCAAAGATTGAGGCGTGGCGCCGAGCATTGGATTTAGTATTGTTAGTACTTCAGACAGACAGTGAAATAATTACTGGACATGGACACACACAGATAAATTCACAGGAATTAACGGGCTTTCTATTTTTGTAGTGTTACTGGCTAAGTCTTTGGAAAATAATTTTTCATAATATGTCATGCTAATAATAAATATATTGATAGCCAAGTCATGGTGCCTAAAATGCCAGCTATTGCCAAGAAGAAAATAGTTGATGTCTGTCAATAACTGTGCATGGTCTGAGATTTTACCCTACTTATAAGCTAACAAGTTAGCCTGTTACTGTTTCGTGGGATGCTACAGAATGCATAAGACACCTGGGTCAGAAACAAAGGACTTATCGCTCACAGCAAAAGCTGTAGCCAGAGCTTCATGTTGGTTTTATTCAGTTCCTCATTTTTCTAGTTCCCACAGGAGGAACACAAAGGGCCCATGATGAAAGCCTGCACACAGTGGGTTATGTTGTAAGCTTGGGTTATTAACTGCTTTTATAGTAAGCAAAAAAATCCTGGTCTTTGTCCAAAGGGAGTTATTACCCCATACTTGAAGATAGCTTAGTGTAAACACAAGCCTAGGACATGGACTAGGTAAAGACAAAGTCCTTGCATTCTTGACATACCCAGTAAGTATGCAGGGACACTCAGAGCCCATAGTGGATAGTCTCTTCCAACAGTCTGCTCCTCAGCCTGAGATGTTCTTGGCCAAACTTGAATTTTCACATGAGTATGCCACTCTATCAGCTACTCTGATTAACCTGACAGTCGGGTTGTTTAGTCAGTACCAAATTTGTTCATTTGGTCTCATATAGCAATTAATGCAGGCTATTATCAGACACAGCAGCAGGATGAAGCCAACCTGCAGTATTAACCTCAGTCCTGTCCCCCAAGGTCTTGACTCAATCAACTCTAAGTTCCAAGGGAGGACCAATAGGTCTTTTTATTAGGCAGCCAGAATGTAGTGAAGGACAATTTATTATACTTTATGACCCAATAAAGGGAGCTTTGACTGACGTACTGATATGTGGTGTTATTATCAATAATTATGGGTGCAATAGCTGGGCCAAAAAACAAACCTGTTCCCTATGGAGAGCCCTTCTATGGCTTATTTTCCCCACATACAAGTACATAAGCCCAAAGGGTCCAGGTTACTCTAGTTCAGAAGTATTGTCAAATCTGATTTAAATCATCATATGTGGATTTCAGTCACATAAGTAGTGTCACTGAGTAGTTGCAGCCTCGGTTGCTATACATGGTATAATCCAAGGCCACTCTGACAAATTTAGAGAAGCATAAGTTCAATCAGAATGAAACAAGGTTGTGCTGGTCCCTGTGTTTCTACATGTTCACATATGGGAGCCACCCATGATGGCATCATGTACTGCCTCCTATACTGGTAGAGTCTTAGTAAGGTGTTGAGCCTCCTTTTTGCTGGTGAGGCCAAAGAGACAGCATTTATTTGTTTCATTGCCAAAGGAATTGAGTGCTGTAAATCTCTCCAGTCTCAAAAAACGACTGGTCAAACAGGGCCCTAAATTTTGTCTGGGTTTACCAGCCATTCCTACTGGTAGAGATATGAAAACACCACAGTCAAAGCTGTTGGAAGTGGCTTCTGATTTCAACCACTGGAACATCATCTACAGTTGACCTTTGAACAACAGTGGACAGGGATGACAACGCCCTGCACAATCAAAAATCTGCATATAACATTTTTGGTTTTTTTGGAGACAGACTCTCCCTCTGTTGCCCAGGCTGGAGGGCAGTGGCGTGATCTTGGCTTACTGCAACCTCACCTTCTGGGTTCAAGCAATTCTCCTGCCTCAGCCTCCCAAGTAGCTGGGACTACAGGCACCTGCTGCCACACCTGGCTAATTTTTTGTATTTTAGTAGAGACAGGGTTTCACCATGTTGCCCAGGGTAGTCTCAAACTGAGCTCAGGCAATCCGCCTGCCTTGGCCTCCCAAAGTGCTGGGATTACAGGTGTGTGCCACCACGCCCAGCCTGCATATAACTTTTGACTCCCCCAAAATTTTACTAATAGCTTAACTGTTGACCATAAGCCTTACCAATAACACATATTTTGTGCATGTATTACATACTGTATTCTTACAATAAAGTAAGCTAGAAAAAAAGAAAATGTTATCAAAATCACAAGGAAGAGAAAATACACTTACTATTCATTAAATGGAAGTGGATCATCATAAAGGTCATCATCCTCACCATCTTCATATTGAATAGGCTGAAGAGAAGGAAGAGGGGCTGGTCTTGCTGTCTCAGGCATGGCAGAAGCAGAAAAAAATTAATGTGTAAGTGAACCCATGCAGCTCAAACCTATGTTGTATAATGACATTTTGGTCAACTATGGACCACATATATATGGTGATCCCATAGACAGTAATACCATATTTTTACTGTACCTTTTCTGTGTTTAGATATGTTTAGACACACAAATACTTACCACTGTGTTACAGTTGCCTATGTTATTCTGTACAATAACATGCTGTGCAGGTTTGTAGCCTAGGTTCAGTGGGCTCATATAGCCTAGGTTTGTAGTAGGCTGTACCATCTTGGTTTGTGTAAGTACACCCTCTGATGTTTACACAACAATTAAATCGCCTCATGATGCATTTCTCAGAATGTATCCCCTCGGTTAAGCAACACAGGCCTATACTTTCAGTTTTGATTGACTGCCCAACTCAGCAACAAACTTGTATTTTTAATCTAGTCAAAGTTTTATTTTCTTATTGCTGATACCATTTGTTTCAGCTTTGTGGACTCCTTGACTCATCAGCCACAGCCAAATTTCCTGTTTTCTAGGGCTCTGGAGAATGCTGCTTCATTGTCATGTCAATGTCTTCTGCCTCCCACCCTGAAGTGAATGAGCAACAACCAAGACACCATTTGGGTGTCTTGTTTTAATCCTGCCTCACACTGTTTAGCCTCTGAACATTCATTAACAGATAAGAGGGAAGCCTACTCCCCTCTTCTTTTCCCACTACTTGAATGAGAGCATTCACTACTGAATCCCAGAGTCTTCTCATATCTCCTAATCTAGCCATTGAGGCCTTCCTGTTTTCCAGTATTAAAACTTAGGTACATTAACATTTTAGAGTTTATTTGAGCAGTCAGTGATTTGTGAATGGAACAACTCCAGACTGCAGGCAGTTTGGGGCTCCAATGAAGGGATGCAAGGGGAAAACTTTTATAATGTGTTCATGTAGGCAAGACAAAGAAAATATTTGATTGGTTAAGGTGGAGCAGTAGCTTTAAATTCCCTAGTGAGAGGTTTACTGGCAATTTCTAAAGTCCCTAGTTAGAGCTTAGTTGGCAGTTTCTGATAGGTTATGCTTAAGTTTCATTTTCCTAGGCTAGGGCCTTTCACCCTGATTTGGGGTTCAGTTTGTTTATGTAGCAACTCAGGGTACTAGAGCTACCTCAGTCTATTGGCCTCCCAATTAATTACGTTAACATCAGAAAGCCATGGCTCTGTTAGCCAACATTGTCAAGAACTGTGCAATGTCTGAGATTTTACCCTACTTACAAGATGTTTTGGTCTGAATGTGTCCCCCCAAAATTTATGTGTGGGGTTTTAATCCCCAATGCAACAGGATTGAGAGGTGGGGCTTAATGGGAGGTGTCTAGTTCATGAAGGCTCCACCCTTATGAATAGATTAATGCCGTTATTAAAAGAGCTTCCAGGAGTGGGTTCACGCTCTTCTGCCATGTGGGGATTCAGTGTTTGTCCGTTTTTGTCTTTCTGCCTTCTGCCATGTGAAGACACAGTGTTCTCCCTCTCTGGAGGATGCAGCATCCAAGGCACCATCTTGGAAGCAAAGACTGGACCCTCATCAAAACCCTTGATCTTGGACTTCCCAGGCTCCAGAACTGTGGGAGATAAATTTCTGTTCTCTATAAAATACCCAGTCTGTAATTTTCTATTATAGCAGCACAAAATGAACTAAGACACGTGCTAACAAATTAGCCTGTTAAAATTTCATGGGATGCTGGCAGAAGACATGAGACTCATGGGTCAGAGACATAGGACTTTATAGTATCCAGAGCTTCATGTTGATTTGTGTCAGTCCCATGTGTTTCCCAAATATTATTGTATGACACAAAGAGCCCAGAATGAATGTCTGCACACACAGTGGGTTGTGTTACAGGAGAGGAACACCAAGCTTGGATGAGTCACCACTATTATAGTAAGCACAAGCAAGCCTATTTTTCATCAGGAGGAAGATATTACACCATTCCTTAAGATTTCTCCCTGCAAACACAACCCTTAGAAATGGCCTAGAAAAAGAAAGGGCAATACCCAGCAAGAATGTGCAGGGATGCTCAGAGCCCATACTGGACTGCTTCTCCCAACAAATTCTTTGTCTTTTGCTACCTAGCCATAAATTGAATATTTAAAAATTAAGTTTCATGTGTAATTTTTGGAATTGAATATTAGAAGAGCCCTGGGAAAATAATTAAAATAGTAGTAACAGTTACTGATTATCTACCATTTTCCAGAAACTGTTTTAAATCCTTTACATGCTGTATTAATTAGCTAGAACTGCTTTAACAAAGTACCACATACTGGGTACAGAAATTTATTTTGTCAAAGTTATGATGAAAAGAAAACTGAGATTAAGGTGTGGACAGGATTTGTTTCTTCTGAGGCCTTACTCCTTGGCTTGTAGATGGCTACCTTCTTGTGTCCTCACAGTCTTCCTTCTGTGTGTGCACATCCCTGGCATCTATTTTTTGTGTCCAAATTTCCTCTTATAAGGACCCCAGTCAGACTGGATTAGGGCCCACCCCAATGGTCTCATTTTAATTACCTCTTTAAGGGCCCTATCTCCAAATACAGTCACATTCTGAGATACTATGAGTTAGGGATTCAATATATTAATTTACGGGGTCACAATTAAACCCATAATACATATATTATCTCGATCTTTGCAACATCCATTTTCTCCATGTTATAGATGAGGAAATTGGCTTAGCATGGTTAAGAAACTAGCCCAATATCTCACAGCTAGTAGGAGGTAGCACTGGAATTTGAACCAAAATTTTATTGGCTCTGAAGTCTGTGTCCCTAAGCCTTAATTATGATATGAAACTTTTTTTCCTGTAAGGTAACAACAAAACAAGAAGAAAAGAGAATGCCTGGTTTATTTATAGGGCTAATTTAAATGTGTTAGAAATGTACCTTGATTATTTTCGTGCTTGGGAATGGTAAAATAATCTCATTTTGCATTGTGCTAAATAATGAATTTTTTTGCTTTGGTGGTTGTCTTAAATGTGACCACATGAAAACCTTGCACAGGCAGTCATCTCAGTTATACATATAGTCTTTGTTCTAAGTTGAAATAATAGCAATGTTGACTGTTAAACTGTTTTTAAAAATAAAATATATGATTTTACCTAGGTAGATACTGATACTTTTATTTTCCCTCTGTATAACATTAAAACTTATTTTTGTTAAAATATTATATATATATCATGAGTGTTACTAATATTAATTGACAGATGTTCAATTCAGTTTATATAATGGAATTTTTATGAAGTTGGTACTTGCATATATTAGTAGTGCTAAATATTTATTAAATTCATGCATTTTTTCCTTTGAAATTAGAAGTCTCACCCTAATAGAGATTTTATTAATTTGTTTTGTTTCTACATCCTAAAAAACTTTATACTATCATGGAGTTTATTAGCCATTTAAAAAATTCTTATAATAACAAGAAATACCTTTAAGTTTTAACTATTCCAGGAACTATTCTGTCCTTGCAAACTGAGGGCAGTCCCTGGACTAAATTTGGTTCATGTAAGTAAGTGGGTTTTCGAGGAAACCTTATCTATAAGCAGTTACACATTTCCCAGAAGACCAGAGCAGTGTTGACCTCTTTGTGAGACTGAACTGCCTTTTTAATATGACTATAAGAACGCTTGCTGGCATTCTACATCTACATTTTTTCACCCAAGAGAAGCCTGTCTTCAGAAGGATGAATAACTCCTCTTGGACCAGGTATTAACTAGCTCTTCAAAAATAATCTTTAAGAAATTTAAACAGTAGAATTCCTACAATTCCCAGAATATGGGCAGATGTGCCCCTCTACCCAGTAACGGGAGAGATACAGAATCATCAGAAAGGAAGGTGGGAAGCAGCAAGAGTGAAAGGGTTACCAACAGGCTATTATGAGCTACAGTTTCCAAAATTACTAACAAGTGCTTCCAAAAAGAGAGGACTCTACCTGAATGGAAATATGGGTAAGCAGTTTTGAGAACTAACTCATGGGCCACACATTCTGGATGAATGCAAAACAACCACCACCAAAAACAACCAAAAGCCCATCTGCATGTGCATGTGTGGATGCAGGAGAATTCAATGTCCTGTGGTGATTTAAACCCTGAAGAATATCAGAAATATTCAGCACATGTGTCCTTCCAGGAAGACTGATTCACACGCTTGAGGGGAAGATTGCTGGAAAGTAGTAAAATAGAGCGGAGCAGGATCATTTATAATAGGGAGAAGGATGATTTAGATTGGGAATGGTAAAACATCATTTTGTGTTAGACTGGGGTTGGTGGTAGACCCAGTGGAATAATCCAGGGGAGTAAAATCACTGAAAATAAATGTAATCTTGAAGACAAGGTTCACTGACCTCTAGAAAACACAGAACTAGAGATAGAAAATCTTGCCAACCAGACTTGACTTTGACAAGCGGAGATAGGTTACATAAAAACGCTGTATTTTCAGTCCTTTATTAACAATAGGAGAAAGCCCTGGAGCCATGAAGCTGAGAAATTGACCATGGTCCATCTCCACCTCCTTCACAGGAGTCTTCTTTTCGATGGAATATACAAAAATCCTTGTAATTTGAACATGGGGAAAAAAAGAAAAACCATTTAATATCAAATGAACTTGGTATAAGAAAAAAGATTAACACAAGGATACCCACTTTTACCATTGTTATTCAACATACAGGAACATACTGGAAGTCCTAGCTAGAGCAATAAGAAAAGAGAAAGATATAAAGGGCATCTAAATTGGAATGAAAGAAGTCAGATTATCCTTGTTTGCAGATGATATGATCTTATACTTGGAAAAATCTAAAGACTCCACCAAAAAACGATTAGAACTGATAAACAAATTCAGTAAAGTTGCAGGATACAAAATCAGCACACAAAAACCAGTAGCATATCTATATGCCAACAGTGGGCAATCTGAAAAAGAAATTGAAAAGTAATCTCATTTATAAAGCCACAAATAAAATTAAATATCTAGGAATCAACCAAAGTGAAAGATCTCTATAATGAAAACTGTAAAACTGATTAATGAAATTGAAGAGGACACCAAAAAATGGAAAAATATTCCATGTTCATGGATTGAAAGAATCAATACTGTTAAAATGTTCATACTCCATACTACCCAAAGCAATATATGGATTCAATGCAATCCCTATGAAAATACCGATGAAATTCCTCACAGAAATAGAAAAAAACAATCCTAACATTTATATGGCACCACAAAAGACCCAAAATAGGCAAAGCTATCCTAAGCAAAAAAACAAAACAAAACAAAAAAAAAACCGGAGGAATCACATTTACCTGACTTCAAATTATCCTACAGAGCTATAATAACCAAAACAGAACGGTACTGACATAAAAACAGACACATAGACCAATGGAACAGAATAGGGAACCCAGAAACAAATCCACACACAGTGAACTCATTTTCAACAAAGTTGCCAAGAACATACTCTGGAGAAAAGACCGTCTCTTTAATAAATCGTGCTAGGAAAACTGGATATCCATATACAGAAGAATGAAACTAGACCCCTATCTCTTGCTGTATACAAAAATCAAATAAAAATGGATTAAAGACTTAAATCTAAGACCTCAAATTTAAACTACTAAAAGAAAACATTGGGGGAAATTTCCAGGACATTGGACTCAGCAAAGATTTCTGGGAGTAGTACCCCACAAGCACAAGCAACCAAAGTAAAAATGGACAAATGAGATCACATCAAGTTAAAAAGCTTCTGCACAACAAACAATCAACAAAGTGAAGAGACAACCCACAGAATGGGAGAAAATATTTGCAAACTACCCATCTGACGAGGGATTAATAACCAGAATATGTGAAGAGCTCAAAACACTCTATAGGGAAAAAAAATCTAATAATCTGATCAAAAGATGGGCAAAAGATTTGAATAAACATTTTTCAAAAGAAGACATATGAAAGGCAAACAGGCAAACAAAAAGGTGCTCAACATCACTGATCATCAGAGAAATGCATATCAAAGCATTGGTTATTTCATGTCTTTGGCTTATATTCAAAAGACAGGCAGTAAGGAATGCTGCTGAGGATGTGGAGAAAAGGGAACACTGTGGTTGTAATAATTTACATTCTCACCAACAATGTACACACAGTGAAAATGTAAATTATTACATCCACTATGGAAAACAGTTTTGAGGTTCCTCAAAAAAACTAAAAATAGAGCTATCATATGATCCAGCAATCCCACTGCTGGGTATATACCCAAAAGAAAGCACATCAATATATCAAAGAGATATCTGTGCCCCCATGTTTGTTGCAGCACTGTTCACAATAGCTAAGATTTGGAAGCAACCTAAATGTCCATCAACAGATGAATGGATAAAGAAAAAATGGTGGCCGGGTGCTGTGGCTCAACCCTGTAATCCCAGCACTTTGGGAGGCTGAGGTGGGCAGGTAGATCACACTTTTTTGTACCCATTAACTACCGCCACCTCCTTACTACACTTCCTAGCCTCTGGTAACAATTCTTCTAGTCTCTATGTCCATGAGTTCAATTTTTTTATTATTTTTAGATCTCACAAATAAGTGGCAACATGCGATGTTTATCCTTCTGTGCCTGGCTTATTTCAGTGAATATGATGATCTTCGTTTCCATCCATGTTGTTGCAAGTGACAGGAGATAGAGACCATCCTGGCTAACACGGTGAAACCCTGTCTCTACTAAAAATACAAAAAATTATCCGGGCGTGGTGGCGGGCGCCTGTAGTCCCAGCTACTCGGGAGGCTGAGGCAGGAGAATGGCGTGAACCCGGGAGGCGGAGCTTGCAGTGAGCCGAGATCGCGCCACTGCACTCCAGCCTGGGCTACAGAGCGAGACTCCGTCTCGAAAAAAAAAAAAAAGAAAGAAAGAAAAGAAAAAATTGTACATATACACAATGGAGTACTATTTGGCCCTAAAAAATAATGAGACCCTGTCACTTGCAACAACATGGATGGTACCGAAGTTCATTACATTCACTGAAATAAGCCAGGCACAGAAGGATAAACATCGCATGTTGTCACTTACTTGTGGGATCTAAAAATAAAAATAAAAAAAAATTGAACTCATGGACATAGAGAGTAGAATTGTTACCAGAGGCTGGTAAGGGTAGTAGGGAGGTGGCGGTGGTTACTGGGTACAAAAAAAATAGAAAGAATGAATAAGACATACTATTTGGTTACACAACAGGGTGACTATTCAGTAATAATTGTATATATTAAAATAACTAAAAGTGTAATTGGATTGTTTGTAACACAAAGGATAAATGCTTGAGGGAATGGATACCCCATTCTCCATGATGTGATTATCTCACATTACATGCCTGTATCAAAACATTTCATGTACCCCACAAATATATATACCTACTATGTACCCACAAAAGTTAAAAAGAAAGAAAAGGAAAAAAGATTAAAACGACTATCTTGGTCCTTTTGTGCTGCAATAACAGAATACCACAGACTGGGGGATTATAAAGAACAGAAATTTATTGTCTCACATTTCCGTCAGCTGGGAAGTCCAAGATCAAGGTGTCAGCGTCTTGTACAGACCTTCTTACTGTATCTTCTTCACATGGTGGAAGAGCAAGAGATAGCAAACCCACTCCAGCAAGGTTGTTTTATGACAGCATTAATTAACACCTCTCAACACTGTTGCATTGGGGATTAAAATTTCAACACATGAATTTTGGGAGAGGACAAAAACATTCAAACCATAGCGCACCGACCAAATATTCTAACAGACAATGAAAACGCAACAGAAACTCACCAGAAAAAAATGCAGCCACACAGCTGATGACAATTAATATTTGTAAATGAGTTAAATCATCTAGATTGATGTTTTTGAAAGAATAGCACATTAGAAATATCAGATATTAGAAGATATCAGAAGATATCAGAAATTAGATGGCAAACAACAGGTTATGAAATGGGAACTCACACAACTCAAAAGAATTGTGGGGGAATGTTGCCAAGAAACACTTTGGACTAAATTACAAGAAATATAGGAATAAATAGACTCCACATAAAACACAGTAATGGAGGTAAGTTTCAATCCCAGGAACACAGTAGAGGAATTTCCTCTGTCACAAACTCTCCTGAAATGCCATAACAGAGATCTGCATTATACCATTTATTGTTTAAAATGATTACTTAAATGTACAACCTTTCAAAGAACTACTTTCCTATGTTAAAGATGGACCATTCAAACATTAGAGCACCCTCTGGATTTCAAAGCCATGAAGTTTAGGTGCAGTTCTTGGCTCATGAGTTCATGCCATTGTTCTACTCTAAAAGGCTCAATTTAGTGAGGGAAAGGGAATGGTGGGTCAAAGGAGTCAAGGGTCCCACAGGGTGGCAGTGCTTAGACACTGGTGTCCCCTGGCAAGTTTCCTGTGATCATAGCTTTATCTGAATAGCAGAAGATAATCATCATCAGAACTAACTCATGTTAACCAGACTCACAGAGAAGATGCTAATTTCATATTTATATTTGTAATGTAACTACCCAAAAGATCAGAATACTCATATGAACCGAGCCAAGAATGTCCTCCCATGTAAGAAAGTCTCTCTGGGAAGCTAGGAATATTGTTTGTTGAGGCTGAAATTGAAGCCAAGTGAGTCCTCTGATAGAGCTACTAGTCAGACATGCTCTTCAGGAACACCATTAACCAGTAAGGCAAGATCTTTGCTCACGACGTCTGTTGTGTATTCTTTATTCAGAAATTAAGATAATTAAATACACACTGCGTTTTTAATCAATCATATTTCAGACTTGCCCTGTGGAGGCTGCAAACTGTGAACCCTGAAAATCTGAGACAGGTCTCAGTTAATTTAGAAAGTTTATTTTGCCAAGGTTGAGGAAGCACACCTGTGACACAGCTTCAGGAGGTCCTGATGACATGCGCCCAAGGTGGTAGGGACACAGCTTTGTTTTATACATTTTAGGGAGACATGAGACATCAGTCAATATGTATAAGATGTATATTGATTGGTTCAGTTCAGAAAGGTGAGACAACTCAAGGCAAAGGCGGGACAACAACTCAAAGTGAGGAGGGAGCTTCCAGGTCATAGGTAGATAAGAGAAAAACGGTTGCATTCTTTTGAGTTTCTGATTACATATAATTTATGTATCCTATTAGTTTAGTAGGACAGATGCATTTAATTTATAAATATAAATGCATGTATTGGGGCACATGATCAAAAAACCTGAAGACTTCTCCATGAGCAAATTCTGCATGTGGCAGAATATGAACTCTGCTTTGATAAAGTAATCTAGGAGCATATATTCAATAAAAAGTGAAAAACTGATTTTAATTAGCTCTACCGTCTATGAGTAAAAAAATTTAAAAAATGTAATGCATTCTAAAGAAATACTTTCAAAGCGTCAAAATACTTTTCAAAGGATTCTTTCTTTAAAAATCTAGTTTCTTTGTTATTTCTAAATGAGTTTTCACCCGTGGCCACTTAGTCATATATTATTGTGGAGCTTTTTAAACAGTTTAGATCTTTATTTAGACTAGAAAATGTATTCACAGTTTTAGATCGACTCTTGGGATAACAAAATTCACATTTTGCAAGCAGCAGCCATGCCAAATTGCCCATGCTATTTGTGGTTTACTTCTAGGCTCCTAGATCATGTTGTACAAGCTTTTACTTTGCATGTGACTTTATCCTCGACGAATTTTATTGCATGTGCTGGCACCTCCTTTCTTCCTAAGTACTTTTACATACTGAGTCAGGTCTCTTTTTTTTTTTTTGTCTTTAACTATGGATTGCCTTTTCCTCTTCACCTATTCACACTGTCATTGGAACACATTCATCCTTTAATTCTTTCCATTATTCTTCAAGAACATTTTTAGAGGAACTTCTTATTCTGTTATTTTCCCCACACGTCAAGGTTACCATTATTAATATTTGGGGGTATGGCTTTCCAAGGCTGCTTCTATGTGTGTAGATGTAGATGTGTTTTTTACAATCCAAAGTGGGGTCATACTAAACATGCGGCCATATAATCTACTTCTGTCAATTAATATATCAAGAAATTCCCCTAATATTATTAGAGTTTAGTAAAATAGTTTCAATGGTATCATATCATTCCAGCGCAATAACCTACTATAATTTATTCAACCAATATCCTATCAGACATTTAGGTCAATTCCAGCTTGGGAGCTATTACGGACAAGGGTATCATAAATAGATTCTAATGGAATCTTTCCTATTATTTGTGATTATTTCTTCTGGATAAATTCTTAGAAATGGATAACGGGTCAATAGGTAGCTAGGCATTTTTAAGCTTTTCTGATATATATGTATTTTTTGAGAGGTGTGAATTAATATTTTATTTTTATTTTTATTATTGTAGAGACACAGTCTTTCTCTGTTGCACCAGGCTAGAGTACAGTGGCATAGTCAACTCACTGCAGACTTGAACTTTCAGCCTCAAGCAATCCTCCCACATGAATTAATATTTAAATAGTCTGTCCATTAAGGAAATGATGAAAATTCCAGTTTCTTACAGGTTTGAATTTTAAAAACCACAAATTACCTTGTTTATGAAAGAATTATTTGATAATCTTCTTTGAGTTTTCAATGTTCACTCATGGGGGAAAAAAACATTTTCCTGAGATTCATGTATAATTCATTATTCTTATTTCCAAGTTAGATGCTCCCTGAGACCCCTGGGAACAAAACTGGGCAAACAGTAGATTTGTATAAGGAGTCCCAAAACGTGAAGGAAAAAGCCTAGGCTAGAAGCCAGCACCACCATTTACAGTTAGGTGGATTGTGCCCTTTGCGATATATTTTTGCCAAATTGTTCTCCAGAAGGCTCTGCAAATGAACGTGTCTTTTCCCCAACCCTTGTCAACACTGAATATTATCATTAACATTTTTTTGGACCAATTTGAGTAAAAATGCTATCTAATTTTAATTAAACTTTTTTTTGATTATTAGTAAGGGAGACAAAACAGTGACTTTTCTTTATTTTAAAAAAAAGATTTGGGCCGGGCGTAGTGGCTCACGCCTGTAATCCCAGCACTTTGGGAGGCTGAGGCGGGCAGATCACGAAGTCAAGAGATGGAGACCATCCTGGCCAACATGGTGAAACCCCGTCTCTACTAAAAATACAAAAATTAGCTGGGCGTGGTGGCGCGTGCCTGTAGTCCCAACTAGTCAGAAGGCTGAGGCAGGAGAATCGCTTGAACCCAGGGAGCTGGAGGTTGCAGTGAGCCGAGATCGTGCCACTGCACTCCAGCCTGGTGAAACAACGAGACTCCGTCTCAAAAAAAAAAAAAAAAAAAAAAAAAAAGACTTGTAAAATGTCTATTTTCTTTCCTTTGGTGTTAGATTTAGAAAGGTCTTCCCAATTCCAAGATTTTGTTACAATCTTCTATATAGACTTTTTAGTACTTTTGTTATCTTACCTTTCACATTGAAATATTTCATCTAACTGGAATTTGTTTTAGTAGGCAGAGGTTATGAGTTAAGACTGTAAATGAACTTTTTCTAAATGGTTATACACTTGTCCCAGCATCATTACAGAGCTTTCATTGCCCATCCAGATTTTTCTTAGCAGGGAGGAAGAATGCCAGCAGAAAAAGAGAAATTAGTTCTCAGTTGCTGAGAAACATTTTCATTTCTTTCTAATTATGGATTCATACTGTTCCACACTCTTATCATTTTTTTCTGCCACCCTAGTGCCATATATTACTGAAAAAATAATATAGTAGAAACTTGTTGCACTAAAAGTGCTGAGAATTACGCCACTATCTCTTTTTATAAAAATCTTCTTGTGTTATATTGACAGCTACTCTCAAAAGTGTTTTAAAACACACTTTCACCTCACTTCTTTAAAACTTTGAAGCTCTGAAAATCTAAAGATGTCTTCTTTCTTTTGACCTGTAGGTGGCAAACTTCTACTCCTATGCCCTTTGAAAATTTTGACCTGCCGCTTTAAAATCCACAAAATAAAAGATTATTGTAGTGTGGAGTAGCATAAATCTGTAAGTAAGGGATTAAAAGTAACAGGAACTCTTTGGGCAGTTTCTTTTTTATTACTGTATGTTTGGAGCTAGTCAGCATAGGCCAGGGTCAGAGTCCTGGCTCTGCTATTAACTAAAGGTGACTTGGGAAAGTGATTCATTTTCTCTTGGCCTGTTATGTCGCATGTAAATGACAAAGTTGAACAAGGTCACTCCTCTTATACTTTTTTACTCTAAATTCTATGATTCCTATTGCTAAATTATATCCCTGACAGATTTTGAGTGATAGTGAAACCCATTTGAAAGGGAGAAATATGACAAATAATGGCTCCTTAAAAGATTATAATGGTAAGGCCAGGCTTTACAATTTTATTATGGGCACAACAGTGTGGATGTATGTAATGCTACTGAACTACACACTTAAAAGTGTTTAAGATCATAAATGTTATAATAAATTTATGTAACAACAAAATTTACGTAATTATGTGGTAAAATATACATAACATAAAATTTATGTAATTTTAAGTAAATAAAATTTATTGTCAAAAATTTATTATACCATGTTTATAACACGGGGTAGGGCACAGTGGCTGACACCTGTAATCCCAGCTCTTTGGGAGGCCAAGGCGGGAGGATCACTTGAGCCCAAGAGTTTGAGACCAGCCTGGGCAATGTTGACAGACCCCATCTCTAGAAAAAATTTAAAAATTAGCCCAGTGTGGTAATGCACGCTTGTAGTCCCAGCTACTCAGGAGACTGAGGCAAGGGGATCGCTTAAGCCCAGGAAGGTGAGGCTGCAGTGAGCTGTGTTTGTGCCACTACATTCCAGTCTGGGCAACAGAAGACTATCTCAAAAAAAAAAAAAAAATGGGGGTTTCAAAAATTGGTCAGTTATTGATTCAAGCCATTATAATGACTTATTTTATTACAAACTGGAGTAGTACAATAGAGAATGAAATAACTTTTTCAATTATATCGAAACAAATTAACTTAGATCTATTGTCACTAGAGCCATATCAGTAAATTACAATGGGTTCAAAAATAGAACATAAAATATGAATCTACCAGAAACTAGACTATACAATGTAATACTCAAAGAAACCAGAATAACATATTTATCCCTTTTGTGGATGGCGAGATAAATTAGTGGCTATTTAAAAAATAGGTTATTAAATGCAAAATACATATTTCCATATTACAAGAATAAAAACACCATCAAATGACAGGAAGAACTAAATGTGACACACCATAAAAAGGTTACTATTTTATATATATAAATATGTTTCAGCTGGGCTCTCCCTGATCCCAGGTTATACCTGACCCAAACCTTATATCCAGTAACTCCCCTCCTCAAAATTTTATTGTGCCTCATTCTCTCTCTCTCTCTCTCTCTCTCACACACACACACCCCCACCCCACACCTTTTTACTTCTCTTTGTCGTCAGTGTTTTATTGCCACTTTTTTTGCCGTCATCACCCTTTATTTCCCTAATCTTAGTGACTATAACCAATCCACCTTTTGTATCAAGCACTTCTTGGGCTTTTTACTTTATTAAAAATGTTAGTAAGTTATAGAGGTGACAACTTTCAAAATGTGGAGTGGTGACCTTTTACTGTTTCCTCATTACACCCTCCTTTTTTGCTTTTATACCTTCTTTTCTTCTCTTCTCTTTCCCTTTTCCTTAATGAAAATAATCCCTAGTCTCAGGAGGAGCTGTTCTTATACTCACCCTCCACACAAACTGCCATTTTCCTAAAAAGCACAGCCCTTCCTAATTAACAGGCCTACTGGGTGTCTAATTTTATCTATAAGTTTGGCATTTAAATTCCATTTAATAACAAATAAAGAAAAACAATTTACACAAGAAATTTTGGGAAAATGCACGACTTTGCTCTATAGGAGCAGTATAGAGCAAAACACTTTACAGCAGCATTACATCCTAGTGAAAATACACAAAAGATAGAACTCAGTGTTAGTGGGCATGTGGAAAAGCATGCATTTATATACCTTGCTGGAAAAAATAAAAATTGGTTCAATTTTAAATTGTTCTTATACAAAAATGTTTATAATTCTTATACAAAAATGTTTATGGGCGTATTATTAAAAAATGAAAGCAACCCAAATAATCCACAATGGGAGACATTTAGACAAATAAGATATATTAATATGATTAAATGAGTACTGCATAGTATTTTTAATGTCAAATATGTATTTTACTTCAACACATAAAAATGTTTATTATACCTAATGCTAAATGACGAGTTAATGGGTGCAGCACACCAGCATGGCACATGTATACATATGTAACAAAGCTGCACGTTGTGCACATGTACCCTAAAACTTAAAGTATAATAATAATAAAATAAAAAATTTTTAAAAATGTTTATAAACAGTGATCAATTAAAACAGAACCCAAGATAATATTAACTTTATTACTATTTAAAAACAACAAAGATTACAACTCATAAGAATATAAATAATTTCAATTTCTGTTCAATTTGGAAAGTTGTTTCAAGTTTTTGAAATGACAATTCCAACTACTAGTCATAATTATTCTATCTAGTATTATATCTCTATGAAAACTAGGACCAATTGTTCAGCCTATTTGACTTGATTTTAATAGTTTAAGCCATTTCCAAAAGATTTTTTTCCTTCTAGAATTACCTTAACCAAAGTTTCCTACATACTAGAATTTATTTATTTATTTAGATAGTTAGTTAGTTATTTTCAGACAAAGTCTCACTCTTGTCCACCAGGCTGGAGTGCAATGGCACGATCTCGGCTCACTGCAACCTCCGCCTCCCAGGTTCAAGCGATTCTCCTGCCTCAGCCTCCCAAGTAGCTGGGATTACAGGTGCCTGCCACCACGGCTGGCTACTTTTTGTATTTTTAGTAGAGATGGGGGTTTCACCATGTTGTCCAGGCTGGTCTCGAACTCCTGACCTTAGGTGATCCACCCGCCTTGGCCTCCCAAAGTGCTGGGATTACAGGCGTGAGCCATCGCACCCAGCCCATACTAGATTTATTTTAAGTTACATTTTTCCTGTGCACTAACTGAATATAGGACTATATTAGATATCTTTAAAAGTTTATTCGTGTATGGCATTCTCAAAAATACCTGGCCAATACTGCTTAAAACAGTCAATGCCATCAAAAACAAGGAAATTATGAGAAATGGTCACAGCCAAGAGAAGCACAAGGAGATAGAAGGACTAAAGGTAATATATATGGTGCCCTGGATAGGATTGTGGAACAGAAAAGGAACATCAAGTGATAACTAAGAAAATCAGAATAAAGTATGGACTTTAGTTAAAATTATGTATCAATACTGGTTCATTAATTGTGACAAGTATACTATACTAATGTAAGATGTTAATAAGGGAAAATAGATGTGGGGTGCTATGGTCTAAATGTGCCCCCTAAAATTCATGTATTGGAACTGTATTCTCCAATGCAATGAGGTTGGGAGGTAGGCTCTAATGGGAGGTGTTTGGGTCATGAGGGCAAAGCCCTCATGAATGGATTAATACTGCTATAAAAAGGGCTTTCAGGAGTGGGTTCTCTCTTCTCTTCTGCCATATGAGGACAAAGAGTTTGTCCCTTTTTTGGCCCTTCTGCCTTCCTTCATGTGAGGACACAGCAAGAAAGCCCTCATCAGATGCCAACACCTTGATCTTGGACTTCTCAGCCTCCATAGCTGTGAAAGAATAAATTTCTGTTCTTTATAAATTACTTAGTCTTTGGTATTCTGTTAGAGCAGCACAAAGCAGCCAAGTACCTGGGTATATTGGAATTCTCTGGACTATTTTCACAATGTTTCTGTAAGTCTAAAGCTATTCTAATAAAATTATAAATTTATTTTAAAAACACATTAGTGTGTTCAGACTAACAGTACCTAATGTATTGAAATTAATGTACTAAATAATTGAACCTAGTTTTCTGTGAGTAGTAAGCTAATAAGGCAAAAAATTACTGGGTCATATCTATAATCATGTAATGGTTCAAAAGAACACATCAGTAACAGAAGATACCCTTCAGTAAAGCGAAAGATACATTATTAAAAGCCGAGAATATAGAAAGTACTCTATACAGGAAAGAAACATCCTTACCCCAGGCATATGTAAGTTATTTCCAAAAGGAACAAATGATGGGAATACATCCCAAGAGCAGACTGCCAATTCTAGCCTCTAACAAAACCTTCTTATCTATCATTATGTCAAGTTGTTACTTTTATACTATAATATTTAATGAAATCTATTTCAGACTATTTTGAGGTTTCTTTTCCTTTTCTGAATTTTTTTTCCTTTTCCATTTATTTTGCCATTTTTCCTGGCAGTTTTATTTTTAAAATTTCCCAATATGTTTATCTAGTGAAGTGAAGAAGAGTCTTTGTACACTGTCTACTATGAATGAAAGCAAATTGGGAAGTTCCCGGCCTGTTGACAATGTTGAGCCCTGGTTTGATGTCTAAAAAAAGTAGACTTGTTTCCTGTGTTAACCTCAGTGCAGGAGGTGGAAAAGGCCACTTCCCGATAGGTTTCCACTTTGGGCTAAACATCAAATTAAAAGAAGTGAAACAGATGTAATACATTTGTCCCTCACCACTTAATTAAATCATGTATTAAAATAGTTTCTTGTTAATGGATTCAAAATGTTTTAAACTAACATTAGTGTTTTCTTGTTTGAAAGCAATAGAAACTTCTGTTGAAGTCATTTATTTTCCTACAAATAATCATTGGCTTCCTGTAGTATTTCTAAAACTGCCTTGTAAGAATTACATGCGCCACTTGTCAAAATGCAGATTTCCAGACCTAAAAGCCGTCTTTTTAATTAGAGCCTTCTCATCAGTTAAGTTTTTTGTAGTAATCCTTAACCCCAGCTACACAATAGAATCACCTGGAGAGCTACTAATGTCCCAGCCTACCCCTTTTATACCCCAGATTTTCATTTCTTTTACTGGATGGGGCCTACACACCAGTGGGTTTTAACGCTCTCTGGTTGGTACTAGGGTGTAGCCAGGGTAAAAAACCACTAGTCTTGTGTTTGGAACCAAAATTAATCAGAAAAACCTGTACTTTGCTCCTCAGGCTTTATTTAAAACACATTGGCTACCGAACACACCATATGGATCTCACGAGCATAAGGTTGAGCAAAAGAAGCGAGACACAAAAGAGAACATACTAACTGCTAATAGATTCAGGGTTTCATTTGGGGATCATAGAAACCCTATAAATATCTGGAATTAGATAGTGGTGATGTTTGTACAACATAGTAAATTTACTAAAAACCACTGACATGTACTTTGGGTTTTTTTGTTGTTGTTTTTTGTTGTTTTTTTTTTTTTTGACACTGAGTCTCGCCCTGTCGCCCAGGCTGGAGTACAGTGGCGCGATCTCGGCCACTGATCACCGAGATAAAGAAAACAAACAGCAGTCTTAAGGATCGTACTCCGCCTCCCAGGTTCAAGCAATTCTCCTGCCTCAGCCTCCCAAGTAGCTGGGATTACAGGTGTGCACCATCATGCCCAGCTACTTTTTGTATTTTCAGTAGAGACAGGATTTCACCATGTTAGCCAGGCTGGTCTTGAACTCCTGACCTCAAGTGATTCGTCCACCTCAGCCTCCCAAAGTGCTGGGAATACAGGCTTGAGCCACTGTACCTGGCCGACGCATACATTTTAAAGTAGTGAATTTTATGTTATATAAAGTATATATAATCTTAATTTTAAAATGTTATTAAAAATAGTAAGCATGCTGTATGACCATGTTTGCAAATTTCAAAAACAAGCATGTCTTAACCAAAGTGTTAGAATTCAGTTTAGTGGTTATCTTTGGGGAAGAGGGAAGAAGTCGTGAATAGCCAGGAGAACAAGGAAGGCTCTGGGATGCTGACAGCGTTCCTATTCCTTATCCTGGGTGTTAGTTACAGGGGCAAACTTGCTTTGCGAGCATTCATTTTTGAGCTGTATATTTATGATTTGTGCTTTGGGAAGACTCTGAGTCATCGAGAGAAGCTTAAAAAATATTCAAGCTCCTCAATTTTCCTGCATTCCTGAGAATGCAGGAAAGACTGACTAAGATTTCTATCTTAACCTATAATCAAAGCAAGTCTCCTAAGACATGACGATAATTTTTGACAGTAGAGGTCATTTAATATTGGAACAGTTTACCAAAGAAGGCTATGGAATCTCTGTCTTCAGAGTTCTCTGAAAAATAGCCTTGCTGTAAAATCAGTTCTGTTTTGGGACAGTATCTTGTAGTAATTGGTCAGATACTATTTGAGATCTAATCCAGTCTACATTTAAATTATATCTACTTTTTATTCTGGAAATAAAAAATAAGACAAAACAAAAACTCGGAGATCCTTGATTCCTCCTACCAGGAAGATACTTGCCAAGAAGACTTAGGTAATGCATATATTTTTAGTTATAGCAAACTATTGTAATCTAGTAAGCCAGTCATCAAGCTGAATTTCCCTAAACTCAATTTAATTTTTTCTGTCTTTCTCTTATTGCCACCACATTTTTCTTAATTGCTGTCAATATGCTGACAGTCCTAGACTCTTCTTTCCTTCTTTCTTTACTTACTGCTTTTCCAGGCTCTATGAATTTAGTTCTTTCTCACTTTCTTTATATGCTCTGGGGTTTTATCACTTCATTGCCTCTTTTAATATTTCTCTAGTTTCACTCATATGTCTAAGACTTTTCATTTCCAGAAATGACTACGATATTGTGAGGCTCTAGAAAATGTCCACTTCATTTGCAATATGTTTGTAAGCTAAGACAGTATGGTTCAACATTGTTCAACATTGACTCCTCTGGTTCCAGGATTACCTCTTTAGAATTGAGTCATTTAGCATTGCCACTGATTTCATAATCTCTCTTTTTGCATGCAATCCATTTCCTTTGAAATCTTTTTGTGAATTTCCAGAGCCCCTTCTTATTCCATTACTTATCCCATTCCAAGACTATGCCTTTGTATTCTTACATCTAAGGTTTTATTTCTTTTATAAAGAAACCAAACAGCAGTTTTAAATTTGCTTTGTTCTTAATTGTTCTAATTTCTCCAAGGCTATCACCATATTATAAGTTCTCATAATATTAGCCAGATTCAGAGAAAATGCCTAATTTTTTTTCTAGTTCTCAATTTTTCCAATTGTTTCTTCATTGATTGACAAATCTTATGTCAGCTTTTTATTAATGATGCTATTTGTTTTCACTTAAGGAAAGTAAAATAACAGAAAAAGTGCGTCTTATTTACCAGCTACTGAGTATGTATGTATCCCCTTATTGAGGATCAAATCCCTGCAGTAGCAGATAATTTTTCTAGCTAGAATGAATTTTATAGATTTTCTCTTTGAATCACCTCATTTTACAGATGAGGAAACTGAGACCCAGAGAAATTCACATAGTTAACTACTAATAAAGTGATTTTTATTTCACAATTCTTTGTCACTTTATCGTGCTTAACTTACATCTTTTTTTCTGAGATATGTGTGTGTATGTATATATCTGTGTGTGTATGTGTATATGTGTGTGTGCATATATATAAACATATATATACTTTTTTTTTCTTTTTTGAAAAGACAAGCTCTTTCTTGCTCTGTCACCCAGGCTGGAGTGCAGTGGCGTGATCTCTGCTCACTGCAACCTCTGCCTCCTCAGTTCAAGCCAGTTTTGTGACTCAGCCTCTGTCTGGAGTAGTTGAGATTATAAGTGTGCCTCACCATGACTACGCCTGGCTAATTTTTGTATTTTTAGCAGAGATGGGGTTTGACCCATGTTGGTCAGGCCAGTCTCGAACTCCTGGCCTCAAGTGATCCACCCGCCTTGGCCTCTCAAAGTGCTGGAATTACAGGCATGAGCCACCGCGCCTGGCCTCTAAGCAATATTTTTTAAAATGTTAATAATATTTTTAACATGGGCACACTGAGCCAGTTTAGCTTTCCTCATGTTTATTTTCTTTAAAACTGTTTGGTAAATCATTACCTCCTTTTTAGTACTAGCTGTTCAAGTTAACTATTTCTGCACCGTTTAATACATTATTATATTAGCACAAATTTAAGAACTTTCTCAAGGTGGTGCACCTTTCTCTGTTGGGGGTAGTGTTTAATATATTAATTTCTTTTTACCCCCCCTTTACTGAATTTTCCAAGTCTACTCCAAGAAAACATCAATTTTTCTACATTATCAAGCTTGATTTCTTTTTAAAGATACACCTTGGATGATAACAACAGCTGACCTATATTAAGCATTATGTTTATTGCTCCCATTTTACTGATGAGATAACTGAGGCACAGAAGTGCTCTTCGTGACACGGCGGGAGGAAGCCTAGGCTTTCTTGTTCTAGATCTAATTCTCTTTCTACTTTTTTTGCAGCAATTTGGTTAACATGATTCAATATTGCTGACAAACTTCATTTTTGAATAAACACCATTGTAAATCATAAAAAGTTTATTTTTGTAAAATTACCAAGGCTATAAATGTGGAAAAGATATTAAATTCATTTTCTCTAGCTTTAGGCTCAAACATAGTAATGACTAGTAGCATCTGAAGTGGTGTGCACCCACTCCACAGAGGGCACAAAAAGATGCATGGGAGCACAGGGAGAAATATCAAAACTGCATTTTTATTTAACATTGTATATATCCCATTAATAAATTCAACTTTACGTGTTGCTTAATGTGCATTCTATACTTGTATATAGTACTTGTGTATAATTTATAAATTTGTAAAAGCAAGATTTAACCTCATCCAAAGAGAGGCCTGGTCTTTGCCCTCAGCTCCCAGGAGGTGATCTCTGAGCCCTTGCAGTGTCCTGCCTGATAAGAGTATCTTTGTTTACCTGGGGACGTTGGGCCACACTGGATAGTCTAACAGTGTGATGTATGGTGTGGTGGGGGCTTGGGGCCATGCAATATCAGTGTGACATTTGGTGGGACTGGAGAATAAAGGCATGACCAAGCCCCACTAGAAACTGTGGACATCAAGGTTTGAGTAAGCTTCCCTGTTTAGCAATACTCGTGTGTATTGTCACACATCATTCTTAGCAGTAGTTAATGCTGTCCATGACTCCACAGGGAGAGGACAGTTGGAAACCCTGCCCATGGAACCTGCCTAGACCCTGCCCTATGCACTCCTTCCTTTGGCTGATTTTAATCTGCGTCTTTTCATTGTAATAAACCATAACTGAGTATAACAACAGTTTTGAATGAGTTCTGTGAGTCCTAGTGAATTATTGAACTTGAAAGTGGTCTTGGGGACCACCTGAACTTGCAATTGGGGTCAGAAGTGTTTATGGACCTGGGTTCTTTCACACTCTGTTTTGGTAGCTATGAACAGAAATGTTGGGCCCATTAGTCTAGGCCATATTAGCAAATGATTACCTATTTTCTTCTTAAAGTTCTAGGAAGATGTAAATTTCTTTAATGATCTGTGTCTTAGTCCATTTGTGTTGCAAATGGAGTAAATGTTTTTGTTGTTGTTTTGTTTTGTTTTGTTGGGGTTTTTTTTGAGACGGAGTGTCACTCTGTCGCCTAGGCTGGAGTGCCATGGCAAGGTCTTAGCTCACTGCAACCTCCATCTCCCGGGTTCAAGCGATTCTCCTGCTTCAGCCTCCTGAGTAGCTGGAACTACAGGCATGCGCCACCATGCCCAGCTAATTTTTTTGTATTTTTAGTAGATTTGGGGTTTCACCATGTTGGCCAGGCTAGTCTTGAACTCCTGACCTCAAATGATCCACCTGCCTCGGCCTTCCAAAGTGCTGGGATTACAGGCATGAACCACCACACCCAGCTCAAGTGGGCTAAATGTTATAATATCTTAGACTGAGTAATTATAAACAACAGAAATTTATTTTCTCAGAGTTCTGGAGGCTAGGAAGTCCAAGATCAAGGTACCAACAGATTTGGTATCTGGTGACAGATTTTTACTTCCAAGATGGCACCTTGTTGCTGTGTCCTCACATACCAGAAGGGAAAAAGCTGGGGGGAGGGGGAAAGGGGCCTAGCTAATATCTTCCAGCTCTTTTATAAGGCTGCTAATCCCATACATGAGGGCTCTGTCCTCCTGACTTAATTAGCCCTTAAAGGCCCGAGCTCTTAATACTATCACATTGGCGATTAAGTTTCAACTTACAAATTTTGGAAGGATGCATTCGGACCATAGCAACCCATTTTACAATGATGGTATAAATATAAGGCCATTTATGACAACAATGAATAATGGTCAACTTTCACCTGCTTTCAAAATCTAAGCCCTTTTCCTATTTTATTCTCCTTGAGTGTATTGTTCTCATCTTCAGTGCATGAAAAAAAATGGCATAGAGGCATAATTTTTCAAAAGCCAATTACCTCAATGGCTATGGTTGCAAGCTCTCATGCATGGTTCATGAAAGTCCAGAGACTGGTTCTTCTTTGTGATGGTAAAAGAAGATGTGAACTTATGAATAAAGGTGACAAGATACACATGGCCTCATATCAGGCTATGAGAGATTAAAGCCAGAGGGCTAAGTAAACCTTAGCTTTCATGAGTTATCTAAGAATTCAGTGCTCTAATTTTTCCCTGATACTGGGCCTGGAAAAAAAAATGCTTGAAATGACGCTTTAAAAATTATACTGGGAGAAATGAGGCTAAAGCTTCTGGAACCATAAAGATTCCACAGAACTTTTTTCGAAAGGAATTAAACATTTGTGCTATGAATTAAATAGAAGTCTAGAAATGGCTTCAAGAGATGAGTAAGGAGGACGGGGTAAAGAGGGAACCTCAATATCACAGAATATTGGATTTAGCGTTAGAAGATCTAAAGAAATTCAGTTTTCTCTACTTTAATCCTCCACTTCACTGCTTAAAACCCGAGGCTTCCTAGTGCTTCTAGAATGAAATTCAAACCCCTGCACCTGGGGAAGGCAGTCTGGCCCTTGCCAGCCTCTCAGGGCTGCTTCCCTCTGTCTTCCTTTCTATCTTGGATGCCCAGCACCACACAGACTTGCAGTGGCCCTAATGGACCCTAACTTCCATGACTTTGCATTTGCTGGACCTTCTTTCTGTGTTTTTTCTTTTAATTAAACACATTTTTTTTTTTTCAGATAGGTTCTCACTATGTTGCTCAGGCTGGTTTGAAACTCCTGGGCTCAAGCGATCCTCCCATCTCAGCTTCTGGAGTAGCTGGAATCAAAGACAGGCGTCACCTGGCCTGGCTTCCTACCCTTTCTCCAAGGGAGAAATGTTCCTTCTTTAGCCTGTTCCACAGTATAATCTGCATATGACTATGCCAACACTTGTTTCTCTGTGTACATGCTCCCTCCCTCCCTCATCTTTGTGATTCTAGCACTTAACACAGAATAACAGCCAAAAAAAGCTTATTGGATAAATAATGAACATTAAGATACATGTTGGAGGCCGGGTGTGGTGGCTCACGCCTGTAATCCCAGCACCTTGGGAGGCCGAGGCAGGCAGATCATGAGGTCAGGAGATCGAGACCATCCTGGCTAACGCGGTGAAACCCCGTCTCTACTAAAAATACAAAAAATTAGCTGGGCGTGGTGACACACACCTGTAGTCCCAGCTACTCAGGATGCTGAGGCAGGAGAATCACTTGAACCCAGGAGGTGGAGGTTGCAGTGAGCCAAGATCGTGCCACTGCACTCCAGCCTGGGTGACAAAGTGAAACTCCGTCTCAAAAAAAAAAAAAAAAAAAGATACATGTTACAACACTGTGAGCTGAGGCAGTGGAAATACCTATGACAGTGAAGGTGAGAGTAATTCTTCAAAGGTGTTCTCTGGAGTCAGGGAGACACTTGGGCCTGTCATAGCGCCTGGCTCTTGGTCACTCTGAATGTCAGTTGAATTGTTATGTTTGTATTCATGGTTGAGGATCCCATTCCCATATTAGCCGCCACAAATCTAAAAATCTTTAATTGTAAAAAAAAAAAAAAAAAAAAAAAAAATCAAATGATTTCTGCATAAGGTAGATACCAGTTAGGCCAGACTTTCACTGTTCACATTCTACTTGCTCAAATATTCTCTTAATAAAAATGGGCTCATTTAGTTTGCTTTTTACTTGGAGCAAAAGTAGCTCTCTATCCGACAGGAGTGGACAAAATTCTGGTTTTGAACAGAGGATGTGTTCATAAGTACTTTTTGATTACCAGCCTCTAACTTATTTATAATTCAGATCCCTTGCTTTTCTTCTTATTCCCTCTGATGTCCAATTTTTCACCCTTTAAGTATTCTATCTCATTCATGGGTGATGGAGAGAATGAAAAAAAGAAAATTGATTAAGTTTTATAAACCTTCTTGGAATAGGAATTTTCACTAGAAGTTTCTGTAAATTCCATGCACTTCCCTAAAGATCTTAATATCAGAGGTATATTTGTGTACTTCTGAGAATCAGGTTTTTTATAGAGAAAACATATTCCTTATAGAACTGCACATCAAAAAGGTAAATTATACTACACGTAAATCTGAAAAGAAATTTTAAGAACTTTTAAAAGTTCAACAGAAAAGTTAAGTTTTAAGAGACAGATGGTGTTAGGAAAGTTCGTTAGCTCATTAGAGAAAAAAAAAAAAAGGTAAGAGGTTGAACTTGCACTATCTACCAAAATGAATTCCAGGAGAATTAAAGAACTCAATATTTTTTTAAGTCATAAGATAAAAAAGGAGAGATTTATTAAGACCCTGGAGTAGTGAGAGCTTTCTAAAATTATAAAGATGAAGAAAATGTTGAATGAAAAGATTCATGGATTTGGCTATATAAAACTGTGGAAATGTGGATATCTGAAAGCCCCCAAATTAAACAAACCGGAAAAATACATTTTCAACAAATATGACAAGAAAGTGTCTTTACTGTATAAAGAAATTATACAAATCAATAAGAAAGTCACTTAAAACTAAATTGATAAGCCAGGTGTGGTGGCTCGCACCTGTAATCCCAGCACTGTGGGAGGCCAAGGCGGGTGGATCACAAGGTCAGGAGTTCAAGACCAGCCTGGCCAATATGATGAAACCCCGTCTCTACTAAAAATACAAAAATTAGCTGGACATGGTGGCAGGCACCTGTAGTCCCAGCTACTCGTGAGGCTGAGGCAGGAGAGTCACTTGAACCCGGGAGGTGGAGGTTACAATGAGCCAAGATCACACCACTGCACTGCAGCCTGGGCGACAGAGCAAAATTCCATCTTAAAAAAAAAATAAAACAAACAAACAAACAAAAACCTAAATTGATAAACAAAACATATACAATAATTTCTATTTAATTTTGCAGTTATTATTTCTATTTTCTCTGCTATAGCTATCACGTAATATTCTCTATACTTTAAAGAAGATTAAAGAAGGGAAAATGTAATCTACTTATTCTGATATTAGAAAATACTTGAATCTTCTTCCCATCTTAACTATAGAATTATGGTTTTTCTTTTTAAAATTCTTAATGACAAGTTTTTTTTATTTCATTACTAACTTGTGTCAAGCACATAGCAGGCAAGGCTAAGGCCAAGTCCAAGGCCTCAGACATTTGGCCAGTAAAGACACAGTAAGCCCATTTTAGCTTTAGACTGTTTATTGCTTCCATGGACAGCAAAGAAAAAGTAGCAAAGGCACCAGTTTTCCTTGGTCCTTGTTCCACACAGCAGAAAGAATGACACTGAAACAAAAGGGCAGGATGATAGCAAAATGAGTTGTGGTACACTCTGTTGCCAAGGAGGGAATTCTAGATTGTAACTAAGCAGTTCTATAGCCAGCAACTCTGTCTAAAACGGGTGAGGCAGAAAGCCTCACACCTCATCTGAACTTGGGAGGCAACAAGAAACTCTCAATGTCAGTTTCCCAGGTAGCTAGGGAAGTGAGTGAGAAATATACTTGTAGCAGCTCATTGCAAGCCTCCATGCTCTTATGCTCCAGGAAGGCCATAGGGAAGATTTCCCAAGGCGTAGGTCAGACAGTAATTCAAACCTTTCCCACATGGCTATGTGGATCTTTCTAAGGTGCAAAGCCACTAGGGCATCATGGCAGAGCTGTCCCCCTACAACTCATTGGCCACCTACGTGACCTGCAGAATCCCTCACATCTTCCTATCTGCAATAAGATTTTCTTCACTTTTCCCCTTTCCTGTTTGTGAAGTAAAGCCGTATGATCCATCTGCATAGAACTCCCTGCCTGCTCTCTTTAGTTAACTACATTTTCCCAAATTACGTAATGCCTTTTACTATGCTATGAGAAATAAGAAAAAGTATGAGTTATATACTGTTGTGTAATCAATCACCCCAAAACGTAGTGGCTTAAAACAACAACCATTTCCTATTTCCTATGATTCTGTGAGTTGTCTGGGTGCTCCTCTGCTGTTTTTGCCTTGGCATACTGCTGGGAGGTCCAAGATGGCCTCCAGCACGCATTTGACCGTTGGTGATGACTATCAGTTGGGGCATGTTGGTTCTCCTCCACGTAGCCTCTCATCTTCAGAAAGGTAAACTGGCTGCCTTACAATGTCAGTCTCAGGGCAGCATTCCCAGAGAACAAAGGCAGAAACCCTGAGACCTTTTAAGGTCTAGTTTGGAAGTCACACAACTTTACTTCTACCACATTTTCTTTTAGTTAATGCATATGATAAGGACAGCCCAGAATCAAAGTATGAGAAATAAACTCCCTTTTTATACAGAACGATTTACAGAAGAGTGTTTCCATGTTTTTCAATAATGCAAAAAGAGGAAAAATTGACTACTTGAAATGAATAGGTTCATTGAAGCCCAAATAAAATATGACTTTGCTTTTCATTCAGGTAAGTAAGAATGCCAATAGACTGAACATCTTCAGTTCTAGTCTAAATCACTGTTCATTTCTAAATCACTGTAACACTAAGAGGTCACAAGAATTAAAAAATAAAGGAAACTACAAAAGTTGTCATAAGCCCAGAAAGTTTTTGCAAGAGGAAGTGGAGGCACTAAGTCTTATTTCCCTAGGCAATGTGACCTGACAAGTGTGCTTTCCAAACCTCAGAGAGTTATGCCAATTTCATTCCAAGCCTCTTTAGTTAATAACAGAATGGAGAAGACCAGGTAAAGATTTCATAACTGAAAAGGGAATTTGCAAATTAACTCTCTCAGTTGGCCAACATTCACTGACAGGAGTTTGCATTTTTATTATCATGTACCTTGCATAACTGATGAGAGTTAAATGAGAACATGAATGTAATATGCCTGCTGTAATGCCTGGCTTACCTTTGCCAATAGTTGCTACTATTGTTTTATTCAGGCCTTCACCCAGAATTTCATTGTTCAACAATAGACATTCTATTAGGTATTTAATATATTTTTATGATCAAAATGGGTGCTTGATAAACTTGCTTTTAAAACTTTACAAGCTAAAATTATCATTGCCATAGTGTATAGGGTAAAACTTGGGAATGTCCATTTTCTATTTATCCATATGATGAAAACTGATCTAGCACAATTACAAGAGTCAGCTATTGCTATATAACAAATAATCACCAAAAGCTCAGTGCTAATTAACAAAAGAATTTATTTTGCTCATGGGTAGGGCAGTTCAGCCTCGATCTGTGGCACCTGGTTGGCTCTGCTTCATACTGCAAGTCTATAGATAGGGTGGAATAGCTCTATTCAATGTGTATTTATTCTGAGGCTCAGATTAAAGGGGCAGCAAGTACCCTCAATAAGCTCTTCTCATGGTGAAAGGATGCAAAAGTATGCAGCTTCTCTTAAGGTCGAGGTTCAGAACTGGCGCACTGTCACTTCCACTCAAGCCAATAGAATGGCCAACTTCACCTTTAGTGAGAGGAACTACCTAGCAAATCACAGGGCAAGCTCCAAGTTATAGAAAGAGATGAAGAATTTCAGCCAATAATGCATTCTACCACCAGCGTGTTTAAAGAATATTGGCCAAACTCTCTGCAGACACTCCCTAGACCTGCTTGCACAAAGAGGCACATACCCTGGTTTAGGCTTCTTATACTTTCCTAATAGAACACAAATCCTTTGGCTGACTGTTAAAGCTTATGGTTCTATCCTCAAACAATAATACGGAGTGTCTGCCTATTAGTTACTTAACAGAATATACCTTTGAATTCTGTGCATATTCATAGGAATCAGCAAATATTTTATATCTGAATCAAGAGATTAGAGGAAAAAAGATAGTTAAACTACATGTAGATAATTAGATACTAAAACGTAGATAATTTACACAGTAAATTATCGAAAAATGTAGATTTTTTTTTAAAAAGACAAAAATAATACCATGACATTTTTATGGGAAACAATTTGGCAATATCTGTAAAAACGATAAGTGCCAGTAGGAAGATTTTGTCTTATAGGTCATTCGTGTGTGAAATGATGTATGTATGTGATTACTCATTGTAACATTGTTTGTGATAAAGTTGGAAAGTAACATAGATGTCCATTAACTAGAAACCACTGGAATAAATTAGGACAATTCATACACTGTCATATGAGGCCACTAACAAGAATGTGGTAGATCTTTATGTAATAATAATACAATCTGTCCTAAGAGGTATGGAGGACACATAACATAGATTCAACCTACCACTAATTGGTATCACCAAATACGTATACTATGATTCCATTTTTGTGAAGATAAAGGTACCCATACAGAAAAATATGTATTTACACTGTGGCAACTCTTCTACCATGTCAGCATCAAAGCTCTAACCTGGACAATATGGTCCTCTCTGCTAGGGTTACTGTGTAGGGAGAAAAGATCTCTTTTCTCTCTCATCTCAGGTTCATGCCTGAGACCCCTGTAACAAAAGAAAGATTAATAAGAAATAAGCATACTAATTTATTTAATATGTTTCACATGACACAGGAGCCTTTGTAAGGAAATGAAAACCCAAAGAAATAGGGAAGCCGTGTATTTTTTATGTTTAGGTTTGATGAAAACTGCAGAGTTGTGCAGGATGATTGGACAAAAGGGAATATGACCTAACAGTAATAAACTGGGGGAAACAGCAAGGCCTGTTTGCCTGCATCTTCAGAGATAAGGACATTCCTTTCCTCCAATTATAGAGTTCGTACCTTTCACAGGAAGGTCTTATGACCTACTATAGGGGAAGGTCAACCTGGTGTTATGGCCTGCTTTATGGGAGCAGGAGTGTGGGAAAGACTAGAGTAAGCTTCCTGCCTCTGCTGTTCTGTCAAATGCCAAGGTGCCATATTTTGGGGTAGTGTGTCCTGATCTCCATCGATTGCTTTATATCATTCTCATTTCAGTTAAACAATACCAGCAACATAGCAAATTTATGGAGGTGGGCCTTGTGATAGAATTTCACTTCAATATCCTCAAATTTCATAGATGTTCTAGATTGAAAGCAAAGTTTTAAATAACCTTTTTCTACTCATAATTCCTATACTATGATACAATTCTTACAATATTATCATGTAATTCATATACCAGTATGCTATAGTATTATATAAAAATATGTATACAATAGAATGTACGATTACACACACATACACACACACAGTTGTTTTTTTCCTCTAATTTGGTCTTGAGATTTCTCTCTGGAGAGTTGTTATAACGTTGAGCCTTTCCTATTTCCTGATGGGGCCTCAGGGAAGATGGTTGTGGGTGTTTACAGTGTGCCTTTCACAGAGTATGTCTACCTGGTGGACAGACTAATGTCTAAGTGTCCAACCATGACCAGGTGTCCCTCTCACATTGAAAGATGACCCAGTGGCTCTTGTCTGACCCGTGTCATTTATTCCTACCAAGATAGCCACTCTCTGGAAGAGCCCTGACCAGGGGGTGGGCCAAGTTCAGGATGTGTTGGTCAGATGAGACACAGGGGAAGCAGTGCCAACAAGATACATGACATGACAAAAGCAGTGTATCACTTACAGATCCCAGAGAGAAGAGGGCTGGTAGGAAGGAGGTGGGGCATCTGGGACACGCAGGCACGCTCAACCAGCAGGTGGGGAGCCAGAGAGGGAGGGAGGGAGAGAGAGAAAGACAGAGGGAGAGCACGAGAGCAAGGAACTTGTCGGGGAATTCTAACAGGTGGGTTTAGAGCAAGTAGGTACAAGTTCATGGAGTCACACTGTGACTGAGAGGTGGAAGAGGTGGTTGCTGCAGCATATCTGTGCAGGCCATGCAGAGTGTGGGAGTCTGTGGGGGCAGCCAAGTAGATTGTACTGTATCTACCTCCCATAGGGAGGTGGTAACCAGGAGGCAGTTGTATAAAGCAGATGCCTGGATCAGCCACCACTCTGAGGAACTGGGAGGAGGTGGGGAACTGGAACTTGTGTCAAGGGAGACTGAGCCCTGCTTCTGATATGAGAAAGTTCAATATCTATTCAAAATGGATTCTGAGGCAACGTGAAATTATAAGAATTCACTACACATACACACATTAGACATTTACCATGATAATGATGAGAGACGCTGATAAATGAGGTCTGTTTTAAATTTAAGCTTTTCACCAGGGCATTGTTTGAATGGCTGTGTTTCTTGTATCTTAGGACTCATAATGCCAGTGGCATTTACTCTTTTATGAGAATGGGGTATCAATTAGTAAGACAGTAAAGCTTAAATACAACATTTAACAACATTTAACAGTGTTACAAACAAACACATTTAAAAATCTTCAGGGTATCTTTCCCTCTCAAGAACCTGAATCTCTGTCAAGAGCCTACATCACATTAACAATTAAGATGATAGTAGAATCAACAAACTCCCCGTTACTAGTTCTGGTCACATTTATTTAGATATAATAACATCTACCTGTGTGCATACAGTCAGAATATGACAAGATGTAATAAATGTTGGTATGATAGCAGCTTCTATGTATGTGTGTGTAGCAGAGATTCCAGCTTGAACTTAAAGTTCTATAGTTTTATTGACAATTCCACCCTCGCCTGCCATTGGATTATCAGGAGCTTGTCTTGGCACAAATCCAGTCTCCCAAACACGCCCAGACATGTTGAAACAATGTAATATTCTACAGCTTGTAATTTAGTATAGTTAATGGTGTTAGTCTTCTACATAACATACGTATAAAAGTGAAAGGTTTTTCTTCTACTTTCTCCAGTAGATCCTTTATTTCCATGTTGGTCTCTTTGTGTTACCAAAAGTTTAGAAATTCATATAGGCCCTGGGACAGAAAAATTAGTCCCTGGTTGGCCTAGTTTCCTTAGTATTTTAGCTTAATGATTTAATCCTGTATTCCATCATTTTATTTCATTTTATTTTATTTTATATTTTATTTTATTTTCTGAGACGGAGTCTTGCTCTGTTACTCAGGCTGGAGTGCCGTGGCATGATCTTGGCTCACTGCAATCTCCGCCTCCCAAGTTCAAGCAATTCTTCTGCCTCAGCTTCCCGAGTAGCTGGGATTAGAGGTGTGCACCACCACACCAGGCTAATTTTTTTATTTTTAGTAGAGATGGGGTTTCGCCATGTTGGCCAGGCTAATCTCTAACTCCTGTCCTCAGATGATCTGCCTAACTTGGCCTCCCAAAGTGCTAGGATTACAGGCTTTTAATGTATTCTTTTAATTCCGGAACTTGGTTCTGATTTAGCCATCTAACTACTAGGAAGTACTTTTGAAGTATAATACTGCAAGGAGACATAGACCAAAGAAAGGCATCACACACAGGATTTTCTGTTTGGAGATTTGCAAAATACAATAGAAGCCTGATTAAATGATTAATGGGACAGAATATAATATATCTAAAGAATGCACTCATTAAAAGTTTCTGCACAAATGAGTTAGATAGCTTACTCCAGTGTCTTACTCAAAGGAAAACATTCTAATGCATTCACAGACATACACGCACACAAAAGGAATCCAAACTGATGACAGATGGATGCAATTGCTATTGGGAAAGAAGTGGCAGTTTTAATAGTTCATTATGATGATTTCATTCAAAATATAGTACTAGGATGCTGAAATTTTTAAATGACATGTTACACCATCAAATTTCCCAAAAACACAACAGGAATGCCTTGGAGATATTGCCGATTCAGTCCCAGATCTCTGTAATAAAATGAATATTGCAATGAAGTGAGTCACATGAACTTTTTGGTTTCCTAGTTCATAAAAAAGTTATGTTTACACTATACTGTAGCCTATTAAATGTGCAATACCATTATGTCTAAAGAAATGTACATACTTTAAACATACTGCTAAAAATGCTACTTTGAGACTTCAGCAAGTCATAATTGTTTTGCTAGTAGAGAGTCTTGCCTTGATGTTGATGGCTGTTGACTGATCAGCGTGATGATTGCTGAAGGCTGGGGTGGCTGTCGCAATTTCTGAAAATAAGACAATCATGAACTTGCAGCATCAGTTGACTCTGCTTTTCACAAAAGATTTCTCTGTTTAACAGCGTTTTACCTACAGAAGAACTTACAAAACTGAAGGCGATCTTCTCAAACCGTCCTGCAGCTTTACTAGCTAAGTTTATGTAATATATTTTAAATCCTTTGTGGTCATTTCATCAATGTTCACAGCATCTTCACCAGTAGATTCCATCTCAAAAAAACACTTTCTTTGCTCATTCATAAGAAGCAGCTCCTCTCTTATTATTTGCATCACATCTCCAGTTACTTCCTCCTCTGTAGTCTTGAACCCCTCAAAGTCATCATGAGGGATGGAATCAACTTCTTCCAAACTCTTAGTAATGCTGATATTTTGTCTTCCTCCCATGAACGACAGATATTCTTTTTCTTTTTCTTTTTTTTTTAGACGGAGTCTGGCTCTGTCACCCAGGCTGGAGTGCAGTGGAGCAATCTCGGCTCACTGCAACCTCCACCTCCCGGGTTCAAGCAATTCTCCTGCCTCAGTCTCCCAAGTAGCTGGGACTACAGGCGCCCGCCACCATGCCTGGCTAATTTTTGTATTTTTAGTAGAGACAGGGTTTCACCATTTTGGTCAGGCTGGTCTTGAACTGCTGACCTCGTGATCCGCACGCCTTGGCCTCCCAAAGTGCTGGGATTACGGGCGTGAGCCACCGCGCCCAGCCAAATAACAGATATTCTTGATGATATCTAAAATCATGAATTATTTCCAGAAAGTTTCCAATTTACTTTGCCCACCTCCATCTGAGGAATCACTATCTATGGCAGCTATAGCCTTAGGAAATGTACTTCTTAAATCATAAGAATTGAAAGTTGAAATTACTTATTGATCCATGGGCCTGCAGAATGGATGTTGTGTTAACAGACATGAATGCATAAATCTTGTATATATTCATCAGAGCTTTTGGGTGACCAGGTTCATTAAGTTAAGTAGTAATTCTTTTTTTTTTTTTTTTTTTTTTGAGTCAGAGTCTTGCTCTGTCACCCAGGCTAGAGTGCAGTGGCGTGATCTCGGCTCACTGCAAGCTCCGTCTCCCAGGTTCATGCCATTCTCCTGCCTCAGCCTCCCGAGCAGCTGGGACTACAGGCGCCCGCCACCACGCCGGCTAATTTTTTGTATTTTTAGTAGAGATGGGGTTTCACCATGTTAGCCAGGATGGTCTTGATCTTCTGACCTTGTGATCCGCCCGCCTCAGGCTCCCAAAGTGCTGGGATTACAGGCTTGAGCCACCGCGCCTGGCCTTAAGCAGTAATTTTTTAAATGAATCTTATTTTCTGAGCAATAGTTTCAAAAGTGGACTTAAAATATTCAGTAAACTATGCTGTAAATAGATGTGCTTCATCCAAGCTTTATTGCTCCAATGAGAGAGCACAAGCAGAGTAAATTTAGCATAATTCTTAGGGCCCTAGGATTTTCAGAATAGTAAATGAGCTTTGGCTTTCACTTAAATTCACCAGCTGCATTAATCCCTAACAAGAGAGTCAGCCTGTCCTTTGAAGCTTCGAAGTCAGGTATTGACTTCTCCTCTTTAGCTATGAAAATCCTGGATGGCATCTTCTTCCAAGAGAAGGCTGTTTTATCTAAATAAACATCTTTTCTTTAGTGTAGCCACCTTCATCAATTATCTTAGCTAGATCTGGATAACTTGCTGCAGCTTCTATATCAGCACTTGCTGCCTCACCTTGCACGTTTATTGTATACAGGCTGCTTGTTTTGTTAAACCTCATGAGCCAAGCTCTGCTAGCTTCCAATTATTTTTCTGCGGCTTCCTCACCTCATTCAGCCTTCATAGCAGTGAAGAGAGTTAGGGTGTTGCTCTTGGTTAGGCTTGGCCTAAGGGAATGTTTGATCTCTCCAGGCTACTCAAACTTTCTCTACATCAGCAACAAGGCTGTTTTGCTTTCTTATCATTCTTGTGTTCACTGGAGTAGCACCTTTCATTTCCTTCAAGAATTCTTTTTTTTTTTGCATTCACAGCTTGGCTAACTGCTTATCACAAGAGGCCTAGCTTTTGGGCTATCTTGGCTTTTGACATGCCTCTCTCTTTAGGCTGAATTATATCTAGCTTTTTATTTAAAATGAGAGACATGAAACTCTTCCTTTCACTTAAGCACTGAGAGGCCATTCGAGGGTTACTAATTGGCCTAACTTCAATATTGTTGTGTCTCAAGGGATAGAGAGGCCCAAGGAAAGTAAAGATATGGGGGAATGATTGGTTGGTAGAGCCATCGGAACACACACATCTATCAATTAAGTTCACCATCTTATATGGACATGGTTCATGGTGTCCCCAAAACAGTTACGATAATAACATCAAAGATCATCGATCACAGATCACCATAACAGAAATAATAATAATAAAAAACTTTAAAATATTATGAGAATTACCAAAATGTGACACAGAGACATGAAGTGAGCTCATGCTGTTGGGCAAATGGCACCAATAGACTTCCTCACTGCAGGGTTGCTACAGATCTTCAACTTGTAAAAAACACAATACCTGTAAATTACAATAATGCAGAGCACAATAAAACTAGGTATGCCTGTATTCAGCTTCTCTTTCCTTATAAGTTCAATTCTCTGTTCTGTTTTTCTGGGATTTTTTGAAAATAAACATGTAAGAAAATCACAAAGAATAAACTGTCATCATTTTCCATCCTTCTAATTTCAAACAGGTGCTGGCTGCTCCCTCTTCACAGTGTTTCTGATATGCGGAGCCAGAGGGGTTTTCTGATTTAAAATAGTAGTGACAATCCTGAAACTTCTGTGTTTTGGTCTTTTTTTCTCAAAACCACAAATTAATATTTTGTACCTTCCCTAATAATTACTATGTAATAGTATCTTGTTATGATTAAGACAATAATATCTACACAGAAAGAACAAAAAAAAAAAACTGGTATTCAGATCCATTATCAGGAAAAAAAAAAGGAGAAAAATGTATTTTCCTTCTCATCTATAGCAAATATGGCAAGAAGTTTCTTAACACACTTAGAAGAAAAAGAAAAGTGAAGTTAAAAAAGAGAAAAAGAAGGACACTGTCCAAGCTCAGAAGATTCTTGACTTCGATGAAGTTGTAATATAAACAGTTTAGGGGAACATGGGATTTAAAAGCAATTTTAAGTGTTGGAAAGCAAACAGCATTTCCATGAGACTATCATTGGACCATTTACCAATGTCAGTTCCCGCTTTTAGAGCTAATCATGAGCCTTCCATTACAAGTTCCTAGCCAAGCTGATCTAGTCCAGCTTAAGGTTTGTAGTACATCCTTTCCCAAGTCAACAAAACAAAACAGAACAACAACAAATACTGTCACTAAATGAACATTTCATTAGATATCCCTTTCCCAGCTAGATTTTTTCTTGCCCTGTTACAAAATTAAACAAGTTATTTCTTCTGGGTTCCATGTTTGAAACTCTCCGGTAGATAGGGTTGTTGTAAAGATCAAAAAGACACTGTATATGCAAGCACTTTTAAACATACGAAGAATCATACAAATATATGACAAATAGTATTACCAAAGCCACATTGTAATATGCGGATTTTTTCCTTTTGTTTTCATTTTTCTCTTTTATTCCATTACTATTTTCTTAATAACCAAAACTGCTATGTCGGAATTATAAACTGCTATGTTGAAGTTCAGTTAGGTTGAAAACGAACATTTTTGGTTTTGGCTTTCAGTAAAACTAACAAAAGTACTCAACATTGCAAATTTTTACCCTCAATCGAGGCTGATGTGCTAAAAAAGATCAGAAAACAGAATCTAAAGATGCCATTTTCTAAAAAGTAGTTTTTCTCCTCAGTTTTAATGATTATGAGTTTCTTTTGTTGTTCTTGTTGCTGTCATTAAAACTGCCATGGAAGTAAAATTCCATAAAATGGCATGCATTCCATAGAAATCTCAATTTATACTTCAGGGCAATTTGAGTTGTTACAAATACCATTTTACTGGAAAGAAATCAGTGGCCATGATAAATTATTTATTTTCTTAGTGTTTGCAAACAAAAACCTCTTTTGAGAAACAGGGTATGTATAAAAGAAGGTAAAGAAAACAAGAACAAATTGTCAGATGCCTACAGACACAGGGAGTATGGTCTGTGGTTTGTGTCTCATTCCTAGGGGGTTCCGCTTAGAAGAGGTACTACAGCAAGCACACAGTTTGTGTATTAAACATGTAAAAATGAAAAGCCAAAGTCTGGGCCAGGCGTGGTGGCTCACACCTGTAATCCCAGCACTTTGGGAGGCTGAGACAGGCAGCTCACCTGAGGTTGGGAGTTTGAGACCAGCCTGACCAACATGAAGAAACCCTGTCTCTACTAAAAATACAAAAATTAGCCAGGCATGGTGGCACATGCCTGTAATCCCAGCTACTTGGGAGGCTGAGGCAGGAGAATCGCTTGAACCCAGGAGGCAGAGGTTGCGGTGAGCAGAGATCGTGCCATTGCACTCCAGCCCGGCCAACAAGAGCGAAACTCTGTCTCAAAATACACACATACATACATACATACATACATACATACATACAAAAATACAAAAATTAGCCAGGCGTGGTGGCGGGCGCCTGTAATCCCAGCTACTCAGGAGGCTGAGGCAGGAGAACCATTTGAACCCGGGAAGCAGAGGTTGCAGTGAGCCGAGATCACGCCATTGCACTCCAGCCTGGGTGACAGGGTGAGACTCCGTTTCAAAAAGGAAAGGGAAAGGGAAAGGGAAAGGAAAGGAGAAAAGAAAAGGGCAGAAAATATGTAACACACCTTAGAAAAATTTGTAACTCAAAGGACTAAAATGTTTATCAAAGCACTGTGCTAGAGCTTGCTGGCCAGTTTACACTCTGTATTGGTCAGTTCTTCTGTATAGAGGTTTCATAAAAAGTCAAATGCGCATTCCTCACTGTTGCCATTGCCAAAATTCCTAAAATTCCTGTCCACACTAATAGGAGCTATTGTCATCCTAATGACTCTAGCTCCACCAGGGATCCAGAGCCAAGGATGCCAAACTAGTGACACAGAGGCAGCTAGTGCTGCCCGTGCTTTCCCCTCAGTACCCAGGGCCCTCGCCTTGCTGTGTGCCTGCCAGGTCTTGCTGCTATCATCTCCTTTTCACCCCATTGAAACTTCCTCCTCAGGCCAGCCTCTGTGGTTTAGGCAGTGTAAAATTCTGATAATTTCTTTGGAGTTAATAAGCTAATGAGAAAAGTAAAATGAGCCTTCCTCTATCCTAGCAAACGGGCCCAACTTCACAGCAACCTTCTGGAGCTATGTGACAGTGCTGTTAATTGAATCTGTCTCATGCAAAAAAGAAACAGCAATTATGCAGTTCACTGTGAATAGAGCCCCGTGCTAAGCTTTGCTGGGGGCATTTAAAATTGTGTGAGACATTGGAGCGATCTTCACAAGCTTCAGTCTGGAGAAGAAGATAAACATGAGCACTGCTACCTACAATTAAAGTAAACATGTTACCAAACCAATCTGGCCACTGTGCAAGCCTGACCATGCAAAAAAGCCCTGTGCACTTCATCCTGGACCTCTCTGAGAACCATGAAGGCTGTGAGAACTCTGTGAATGGGACCTCCCTTCAGCAACTGAAGCCAGTGTGATGATCAGCTAAAAAGAAGAGTTTAAAATCTTTTTAGAGCCAACCAGAGATATGAACTCAGAATCTGGCTTCACTTGGTGAATTTCCTCCTTCCTCCTCCACACCTAGCCCTTTAAATTCCTGCTCCTAGAAATCAGCTGAAGTAATTTCTTAAATGCCATGTTAAATTAAGTTTAGCCTAAAGGTGCCTCCTTTCATATTTTAAATTCACCCTAAAGGTTTCTCTGCAAGTGATGAACTGTAACCTAACTGGATGTGTAAAGAGACTGCAACCTATTCTTGTACCATTACCAAGTTTCTGCAAATCAAAGGCAGCCAACTGTTCAAACCGATTTTAAGTAAGGCAAATGCCAAGATGTAACCAATCCAGTTGTTTTTCTGTAGGTCACATTTTTTCTGTCTGTAAATACTCTCCAATCACATGGCAACACTGGAGTCTCTCTGAACATATTCTGATGTGGGGGGCTGCCAAATTCACAAATTGTTCTTTGTTGAATTAAACTCTGTTAAATTTGATTTGTCTACATTTTTTTTCTTTTTGTTTAAAGTTTTCTCTTTTAACAGATGTCATCAAAAGTGGGACCCCTGCTAGAACTGATAAATGAATTTATTAAAGTTTCAGGATACAAAATCAATGTATACAAATCAGTAGCATTGCTATACACCAATAGCAGTCAAGCTGAGAAATCAAGAACTCAACCTCAGCCAGGTGCAGTGGCTCACGCCTGTAATTGCAGCACTTTGGGAGGCCGAGGCGGTGGAACACTTGAGGTTAGGAGTTCGAGACCAGCCTGGCCAACATGGTGAAACCCCATCTCTACTAAAAATACAAAAAATTACCTGGGCATTGTGGTGGGCAACTGTAATCCCAGCTACTTGGGAGGCTGAGTCACGAGCATCACTTGAACCCAGGAGGCGGAGGTTGCAGTGAGCCGAGATCACGCCATTGCACTCCAGCCTAGGCAACAAGAGTGAAACTCATCTTAAAACAACAACAACAACAAACTAAAAAAAGAACTCAACCTTTTACAATAGCTGAAAAAAACAAAACAAAACAAAACCACAAAAAAAACACCAAGGAAGGTGAAAGGAAGTGAAAGACCTATACAAGGAAAACTACAAAGCACTACTGAAAGAACTCATAGACCACACAAACAAATGGAAACACATCCCATGCTCATGGGTAAGTAGAATCAATATTGTGACGATGACCATACTGCCAAATGCAATCTACAAATTGCAGTCTCCATCAAAATACCACCATCATTCTTCACAGAACAAGAAAAAGCAATCTTAAAATACACATGGAACCAAAGAAGTGTCCGCATAGCTACAGCAAGACTAGGCAAAAAGAACAAATCTGGAGGCATCACATTCCCCAATTTCAAGCTATATTATAAGGCTATAGTCACCAAAACAGCATGGTCCTAGTATAAAAATAGGCACATAGACCCATGGAACAGAATAGAGAACCCAGAAATAAAGCCAAATATTTAAGCCAACTGATCTTCAACAAAGCAAACAGAAACATAAAGTGGGGAAGTTCACCCTATTCAACAAATGGTGTTGGAATAATTGGCAAGCCACAGGTAGAAGAATGAAACTGGAATCCTCATCTCTCACCTTATACAAAAATCAACTCAAGATGGATCAAAGACTTAAGTTTAAGACCTGAAACCACAGAAATTCTAGAAGAAAACATCAGAAAAACCCTTCTAGACATTGGCTTAGGCGAAGACTTCATGACCAAGAACCCAAAAGCAAATGCAACAACAATAAAGATAAACAGATAGGGCTTAATTAAACTAAAAAGCTCCTGCACAACAAAATAAATAATGATCAGAGTAAATAGACAACCTACAGAGTGAGAGAAAAATCTTCACAAACTGCATCAACAAAGGAATAATATCCAGAACCTACAAGAAACTCAAGCAAATCAGCAAGAAAAAAAAAATAACCCCATCAAAACATGTGCTAAGGACATGAATAGACAATTCTCAAAAGAAGATATGCAAATGGCCAACAAACATATAAAAATATGCTCAACATCACTAATGATCAGGGAAATGTAAATCAAAACCACAATGCAATATCACCTTACTCCTGCAAGAAACGCCATAGTAAAAATGAAATTTAAAAAAAAAGGAGATTGGCATGTTAGATATGAGTTCTAAATTTCTTCTCAAAGAATCAATATGTCAGTATGTTCAATTCTTTGCCTTCTACTTTTAAACTTAACTTCCTTATAAAGGGACTTTTTTCAATTACTTGCTCCACCCTGACTCATTTCAATCACCTGCTCCACCCTGACTCATTTCAATCACCTGCTCCACCCTGACTCATTCCAATTACCTGCTCCACTCTGACTCATTCCAATTACCTGCTACCTGCTTCCCCTTACTCATTCTCCACCCCTCATAACCATTTTCTCCCATCAAACCACCACCCTGTTACTGTCTTTAAATTAGCCAATCGGAATTAGTTTAGCCTGTGCGGTCTAACCCTAGCCAATAGGGGAATGACACAGCATCAGGGGCCACGTGCGTCAGGAATAAGAACCCCTTTCCCTCCCTCGTCCACATGTGCGCTCACCATTGCTCCATCTGTTAAGGCCGCATCCTTCTATAGAAGTAAGTTGCCTTGCTGAGAATTAAAAAGAAAATTTTATATTCGGGTGCTATTTCTTTTGCGGCACCAAAACTTTACTTATAACAGTGTGGATATGGTGAAAAGGGAACACTTTTACACTGCTGGTGGGAATATAAACTAGTACAACCACTATGGAAAACAATGTGAAGATTCCTTAAAGAACGAAAAGTAGAACCACCATTTGATCCAGCAATCCCACTCCTGGGTATCTACCCAGTGGAAAAGAAGTCATTATATGAAAAAGATATTTTCACATGCATGTTTATAGCAGCACAATTCATAATTGCAAAAATATGGAGCTAGTCAAAATGCCCATCAATCAATGAGTGGATAAAGAAAATGTGGTATATATATATACCATGGAATACTACTCAACCATAAAAAGGAACTAAATAATGGCATTTGCAGTGACCTGGATAGAGTTGGAGACCATTATTCTAAGTGAAGTAACTCAGGAATGGAAAACCAAACATCTTATTTTCTCACTTATAGTGGGAACTAAGCTTTGAGAATGCAAAGGCATAGGAATAATACAATGGTCTTTGGGGACTCTGGGTGTCACCTGTGGAGGGTGTCTCAGGTTCTTGGCATCTTGAACAAAGTATTGGACAAAACGCACAAGCAAAGCAAGGAAGGAATGAAGGATTTATTGAAAATGAAAGTACACTCCTTAGTGTGGGAGCAGGCTCAAGCATAGTGGCTTAAAGGCCCCATTACAGAAATTTGGGGAGTTTAAATACCCTCTAGAGGATTCCACTGGTTACATGGGGTATGTCCTATGTAAATAAAGAGGATGAAGTAAAGTTACAAAGTTATTTACTTGGCCTACAGGCTATGGAGAAGATATTTCCTGTCACAGCTGAAGTGCAAATTGGCCTTATGTTCCCTACCTCCAGACCCTGTTGTCCTGCCTCAGGGAAAAAGGATGGGAGGGGGTAAGGGATAAAAGACTACACATTGTGTAAAGTGTACACCGCTTGGGTGTTGGGTGCACCAAAATCTCAGAAATAACCACTAAAGAAGTTAGCTATGTAACCAAACGTTACCTGTTCCCGAAAAACCTATTGAAATAAAAATAAATGAATAAATAGATCCATAGAACCACCCTAAAAAAACAGTGGGACATGAAGTAGAGCTTCCAGCAGCCCCCAGGAGCACTAAGTGACCAAGCAAGGTACCCAGGCTTATCGTGGCCATTGCTCTCTCAGAGTAACTAGGGATCATGGGTTAAGTTCTCACTCAGATTCTGAAGTTTCATGGATTTGTGCTTTCAACTATCTGTGTTTGTCTGAGCAATTTTTTTTTTTTAATCTGAACTGGGTTTGGAAGTTGCAACAGAAACTGTGGACTGGGTCCAGGATTGGATCTGACCTGATAATTAACTGGACTGGATTCATTTAGAAGCCTTGGATATCCAGCTGGGTCAGACAGAAACTGGCAGTAAGTGGCAATACTGCAGGGGTACAAACTCTGACTTTTGGAAATCTGCAGGGATTTTCATATTCTTTGTTTCTTTTTCTTTTGCACTTAGGTAAAGAAAAATGATTGGCTTAGTTGGTCAATGGAATCTAAGAGCCACAGCCAAGATTCAATGTAAAATTAGAATCTTTAATTTCTGAATAACTGACTGCTCCACCCTCTGGCTACATTTACCTGTGCATGTATAAATGTTAGACCATGGAAGCAGTAACACTTATAGCAATAGCAAAATCTTACTAAAGGTAATTTAAAATTATAGTGGAACATTCCAAATGACAACACTGAACTTTAAGAAGTGCCTTTAAGGCTGGGCATGGTGACGCATGCCTATAATCCCAGCACTTTGGGAAGACAAGGCAGGCACATCATGATGTCAGGAGATCCAGATCATCCTAGCCAACATGGGGAAACCCCATCTCTACTAAAATACAAAAAATTAGCTGGGCAAGGTGGTGCGTGCCTGTAGTCCCAGCTACTCGGGAGGTTGAGGCAGGGGAATCGCTTGAACCCAGGAGTGGAGGTTGCAGTGAGCCGAGATCATGCCACCGCACTCCAGTGTGGAGACAGAGCAAGACTCCATCTAAAAAAAAAAAGAAAGCTCCGAATTAGTTTCAACCAGTGATGCATATGGATATGTAAAAGCCTGTAAAAAGGTCTCAATATTTTGTTGCTTTTTAAAAGACTTTATAAAAGGCGTGTAAAAAGCTTAAGTGACTAGTTGATTAAATCTGCTAACCTTTTGGCTTAGTTACTATCCTGCCCTAAAGGCTAAAAGAAAGCTATCCTGGGTAGAGTTTATCAAGGTAAGCCCTCAGGTAAAGTAGGCTTCTTTTTCATCTATAAAGGAAATTTACATTTGTAAGGTTGTCTGCTTCTGTGCGCTCAGAAAACAGAAAGAACTGTGTCACTAGAAACTCTTACCAATGACGTAAATTTCCATAACAAGTCTTACCTTTGTTTAAGGTGCTTTTCCTGGTCCGCTTGTCTTAACTGGGCCTTTACATCTTTCTTTCTTGTTTTGGCAAATGATGGTACAATATTTAGGCCTGAAGTCTCAGCTCTGTGCTTTGGAGATATGCAAATGATGGTACAATATTTAGGCCTGAAGTCTCAGCTCTGTGCTTTGGAGATATAAATTTCTACTTTGCTTCACCAAAGAGTAATCCTTTTGGAAGGGTAAATTTAGAGTTGCCTAGCTAACAGTGGCTTAGGGCAAAGATACAGGTAATTGGAAGGTTGATAGTGTAAATTTGGGGAAAATAATTTTAAAGCCAGCAAATGAAAATTCTTTATGAAAGCTATAAGATCTGCCTCTGGCTGTGTGTGGTGGCTCATGTCTGTAATCCCAGCACTTTGAGAGGCCAAGGCAGGTGGATCACCTGAGGTCAGGAGTTCTGTCTCAAAAAAAAAAAGATCTGCCTCTATGTATGTCTATATGTCTATATGTGTTATGCATATAAGCATAAGGAATAATATTTGGTAAATAAAGCTGGTTTTTAAATTGTTAGTAAAATAAAATAGGAATGGCTTCAAAACTGTCAGCTAACTATAACTCAGAAATGTTTGCCTGGGTTCAAAATATCACTGCTGATGCCAATTAACCCAGTCAACCAAGAGCTCTGATGGAGATGTACAAGGAGATTGTTGTTTTCAAGCCTTCTAACATAGCATCCATTCTGCGGCCCCTAGATCAAGGAGTAATTTTGACTTTTAGTCTTATAATTTAAGAAAAACATTTTATGCATTCTGTAAGGCTATAGCTGCCATAGATAGTGATTCCTCTTATGGATCTGGGCAAAGTAAACTGAAAACCTGCATGTAATAATTCACTATTCTATAATGACACCACTAAAAACATTCATGATTCAGGGGAAGAAGTTGTAATATCAACATTAACAGGGGTTTGGAAGAAGTTGATTTCAACCCTCATGGATGACTCTGAGGGGTTTAAGACTTCAGTGGAGGAGGTAATTGCAGATGTGGCAGAAAAAGCAAGAGAACTAAAATTAGAAGAGGAGCCTCAAGATGTCACCAAATTGCTACAATCTCATGATCAAACTTGAACAGATAAGGAGTTGTTTCTTAAGCATAAGCAAAGAAAGTGGTTTCTTGAGATGAAATCTACTGGTGAAGACACCGTGAACATTGTTGAAATGACAACAAAGGATTTAGAATATTACATGCACTTAGTTGATAAAGCGGTGGCAGAGTTTCAGAGGATTGATTCCAGTTAGGAAAGTTCTACTGTTGGTAAAATGCTATCAAACAGCATCACATACTACAGACAAATGTTTAATGAAAGGAAGAGTCACTCAATGTAGCAAACTTCATTCTTGTCTAATTTTAAGTAATTTCCACAGCCATGCCAACCTTCGGCAACCAGCATCCTATCAGTCAGCAACCATCAACACTGAGGCAAGACCCTCTACCAGGAAAATGATTATGACTCACTGAAGGCTCAGATTGTCAGCATTTTTAGCAATAAAGTATTTAAAAATTAAAAAAAAAAAAGAAATGTTTGCCTGGGCCTACAGACGGACAGGTTTATGCTATCTGTAATGCATTTTTTTTTTTTTTTTTTTTTTTCTGAGATGGAGTTTCACTCTTGTTGCCCAGGCTGGAGTGCAATGGCACAATCTCGGCTCACTGCAACCTCCGCCTCCCAGGTTCAAGCAATTCATCTGCCTCAGCCTCCCAAGTAGCTGGGATTACAGGCACGCACCACCATGCTGGGCTAATTTTTTGTATTTTTAGTAGAGATGGGGTTTCTCCATGTTGGTCAGGCTGGTCTCAAACTCCCGACCTCAGGTGATCCTCCCACCTCGGCCACCCAAAATGCTGGGATTACAGGTGTGAGCCACTGCGCCCAGCCTCTAATGCAAGTTTTAAGGTCATAAAACTGTTGCTGCTTTAATATTCTTGATACTTGCTTGATTTTTTTGTGAACTCATATTTTGGTCATGAGGCTCTGGAGTCTAGAGTCTGGATAGATGGCTATGGTAAGGCCTGGGAACACGTCTTCAGCACCTACACCACCAGCTGCAAGGCACAGTCAAACCCAATATGACCCCTTCCTCCCTGGGTCAGCTTTTCCTCCTATCCATTCTTGGAGGAGTTGGATCCTCCAGGCATCATCTTTATAGCACTGTCCTCTGTCCTGACCTCTATACCTGGTATGTAAATTCAGGACCCAGACAGGGCCTGCCCCTCATAGCCATCCTGGGTGACACATGGCTACTTGAGATCTAGGATGACTAGGGAATACAACTGTATCATAGTTTCAAAATTATTTTCAGTAGTTTAAAATCTTAAAGTCATGTTATATTAAATTTAGTAACATATAATTATAAAATGCCTCAGTCATTTATGAGCAAGTTAAAATGCTGAAACATTAATTATTAAAATAAGTTTAATTTACATACTTTGGCATATTATTTTAGTATGATATAGAAAAGCTAAATGTGTTTAGATCTATTAATAAACAAAAAAGAGTGTATTTCTAAAAAATTATAAAATGTTTTTCATCTACAAATACTGACATGAAACAGTTCAAAATTAAGGTTTTCACTAGAAATTAGGGTTAGTAAGAGGTGAAATTGTAGTTAATATATGTAATTAAAACTACTGGACAGCCAGGTGCAGTGGCTCACTCCTGTAATCCCCACATTTTGGGAGGCCGAGGTGGGTGGATCACCTGAAGTCAGGAGTTTGAGACCAGCCTGGCCAATATGGTGAAACCCTGTCTCTACTAAAAATACAAAAATTAGGTGGGCATGGTGGCATGCACCTGTAATCCCAGCTACTGAGGAGGCTGAGGCAGGAGAATCACTTGAACCTGGGAGGAAGGGGTTGCAGTGAGCCAAGATCGTGCCATTGCCCTCCAGCCTGGGTAACAAGAGTGAAACTCTGTCAAAAAAAAAAAAAAAAAAAACTACTGGACATAAGAGAAATAATTCTGTATACAGGGTGTATAAAGAAAAGCAAGATATGTCTTTGATGAGGAAAGTTGTAAAGGGTTGAAAATGTGCATTTGTTGAAAAAAAGTAATTTTGCCTAATTTAGAAGTTACTTAAAAGTTGTTTCAAATTGAGTGAGTAAAAAAAGATAAAGATAAAACTAGTAAATATAGAAAGTTCGGAAGACAAATACAATAGAAAAAATTGTTTAAGATATAAAAGGCTTATGGAAATCTTGTGTGGTCAAAAGTTGACTGAGATTGGATAGACTTATTTATAAAGTTTTATTAAAATTAGCTTTAGTATTGATAATATACATATACAAAAGTAAAATTTGGTTTTCTCATTGGAACAAGAATTTTGTATACCATTAATAAGAGACATTAAAATACTTTTTTTCACCTTTCGAGTAAACTACAAAAAAAGAGGAAAGAGGAGAGACAGATTTTATCTCATGCTGACTTTATTAGGTATTTTGATTATTTGGAAAACTATCTCCTCTCTATCAAAAAATAAAGGTTTTTGCATTTCAAAACCTTTTAATTACCACTTCGGCTAGATGAATGACTGTTATTTTAAACTGACTTGTGGTCCTATTTTGATTAAGTATTGTAAACCTTTGACATATTTGGCAGTCTTCCCAAAATCAAATCATGAATTCAAAATTGAATCTGTTTGGCCTCAAACTAACTCTGGGATATTAGAAGTCCCCTGCAACATTCAGAAAAAAGATAATAAATTGGCTTATTTGATATGTTAAATTGCATGGAAAGCATTGTAAAATAAGTAATGGTGTTCAACCTTCTTTGAGTTATATTTTTATGTGTATGTTCTTAATATATGTTCCAAATTATATGAGATTCCTAAAACTCTGATATGTCTTGGTATGTTATCATTCATAGTTATGATTATGTTGTTATTGTAGGCCATGGAAATAACCAAACTTCCTTTTCAATTGTGTCTTTATAACCATTTAAAGTCATTTCTGCAGTTAATTGCTTAATTCTGATGCAATTTCTGAAAGTTCTTAACAAACAAATAAATTCCTACAGTGTTGTATCTTCAAGGAGGTTCATGGAAAGGATGGAAAAGACACTGACGAGCATCCTTGAATATAGGCTTCTGATAATTTTTAGATAATATAATATGGATGAGATAAGAATTCCCAGAACTCTAATGAAGAGCTGGACTAATTTATAAAACTGCTAACCCAAGCGAGACAAGAATTAATTGAATACAAAGGAAATACTCTGCCAGATTTTCATGCTAAATCAGCCAGTACTAAAATCCTTTAGATATGCAAGTTGAATGAACTCCATTGTCCAAGTCAAATTACCTGTAATAACCCATCTAATAAACAGTGCTACACACAGGATTTGGAAAAACAAAATTGATATTTAAGAGGATATAAATCCAGTGTTAAGCATGGACTCAAGAAAAGCCTAGAGAGCCACCTAGTCTTTCTCCAGTCCTCAAGCCTTCTCTTATTAAAAGGTCTACACCCCATGACTCATCATGGCAGAGAAAAAATTATCAAATTATATAAAAACATATATTGGTGTGAGGACTGCTCTAAATTGCTAAAATGGTTTATGACCAATGTTTGGTTTGTTGAACCCATAATCCTGGGAAGACAATCAAAACTTTGGGTATATTTCTGCTGCCTGATAGACCATTTGAACACTTATAGAGGTATTTCATTCAATTGTTATTTTCAGTGCATGTTTTCTGGTTGTATAGAAGCTTTCTCATGCAAGAAGGCTGATGCTTATGACACCATTAGGAAATATGTTTCCCTTGTAGGGCAATCCTGGAGAAATTTCCAGTGACAAAGGTACTTGTTTTACTAGGCAAGTTGCAAAACAGCTAAATAAGATATTACAGATACAATAATATTAGGAAAAGCTAAACTAAATCAACTTGATTGCCTTGGTCAAAGGTATTGCAGATTGATGATGATCAGATCCACTTCCAGTGAAAAAACATAAGTTGGCCTCTTATGAAATAGTGACTGGAGGGCCTATGCTCCTAATAATAGAACCTTGTGTATCTTCTGCCCCTAAACTCTGATCTGACTAAATACTACAAGGACTTAATGCATTATGACAAAGTGTATTTCCTCTAGGTAAAGGAAGCTTTCCATGATCCACTGACTGAGGACAATCAAACCTTTCACAATCTAGAACCCATAGATTGGATCTTGTGGAAACAACACCAGAGAAAGACTGCACTTGCCACTCACACTGCAGCAAAACTTTGAGACCTCAAACCTTGGGTCCTTAATCTCACAACTCAGAAGGCACCTCCAGACTCATGGAACTATACCCCCATTGGAAACCTTAAGGAAAAGCTAACCAGGCAAGTTTCTCCCCAGAAGCAGATGGCATCCTAGATGTGGACTGCTTTCCCAGGATCTCAAATCAGACTTCTCTGCTATCATGAGACACTTACCTCTCTTAATTTTTTTTTCTGCTTATGCCTCTGTGAATAATGGAGCTGGAAAAGGGGACTTGTGTGCACTCACAGGGTATATTTTATTTGTAGAGGATTTTGCAACCAGCCTTATACATGGGCACCCTTATGCCTTGGTGGATGGAAGATGAAGCACCAATGCGAGTGAGAATTTTTAATGGTAACTTTTTGTTCTATAATTAGTCAGAACATTGGTCCACTCCTCTTAGCCTACATCATAAGTTAAAGAGAATGTTGCTGGAGGCCTATCTCTTCTGGATAGGCATCAGTTGTTAGGTCTCTTTTTTCCTTGGTTCGGAGTAAATGAAACAATAATTAGAAATTTAGCCCTCGTAATAGGCTATAACAGATTCTACTGCAAAGGCTATAGTTGCACAACAGGCTTTAAATTCTCTTGATAATGTTGTGGTAGATAATAAAATTGCTCTAGATTACTGATGGGCTAAGCAGGGAGGGAAGAATCTGCGCAATTACTGACACTACTTGTAAATGTATAAATACATTGGGTATTATAGACATTCAGTTGTAGGGGATTAATAAACAGGCTGCTTGGTTGAAACAAGTAGACTCTTTATCTGGCTCTTTCTTTGATATATTCGGTTTTACTTGGTTTGGCTCATGAGGACCCTGGCTGAGGAGCGTACTACAAACTCTTGGTATTATCCTCCTGATAATCATAATAGTAGTTTCTCTGGTGCATTGTATTCTCTCAAAAGTTTCAAATGTTTTCATGCAGCCATCTATAGAATATCAAATGCTATCTCTTCAACTGGAATAACAAAACCTCAAAGAAATGGATGATCATGAGGACACCATAACCTATTGAGTGGTTGAACAAAAGGAGGGAATTATTAAATTAAGTTTAGCGGCCGGGCGCTATGGCTCACGCCTGTAATCCCAGCACTTTGGGAGGCCGAGGCGGGTGGATCACGAGGTCAGGAGATCGAGACCATCCTGGCTAACACGGTGAAACCCCGTCTCTACTAAAAAATACAAAAAATTAGCCGGGCGTGGTGGCGGGCGCCTGTAGTCCCAGCTACTCGGGAGGCTGAGGCAGGAGAATGGCATGAACCCGGGAGGCGAAGCTTGCAGTGAGCCGAGATCGCACCACTGTACTCTAGCCTGGGCGACAGAGCAAGACTCCGTCTCAAAAAAAAATAAAAAATAAAAAAAATAAATAAATTAAGTTTAGCTTAAAGCTGTCTCCTGAATATATTTCAAATTCAGCATAACAGTTTTCTCGACACGTAGTGAATGGTAATCTAACTGGATGTGTAAATAGACTGCAACCTACTCTCGTACCAATCACCAAGTTGTAGCTAATCAAAGGTGGCCAACTGTTTAAGCCATGTTCAAAGCATGTTCATAAGGTAAATGCTGAGTTGTAACAAATACAGCTGTTTCTGTATCTCACTTCCATTTTGTGTACATCACTTTTCTTTGTCTGTTCATAAATTCTCTCTGACCATACAACAATGTCAGTGTCTCTCTGGACCCATTATGATTTCTGGGGACTGCCTGGTTTGAGAATTGTTTTTTGCTCAATTAAACTCGGTTAAATTTAATTTTTCTGAAGTTTTTCTTTTAACACATGGTTCTTCCTCTTTTGGTCAGGAATATACTGTTTTGTCTTGTGGGTTTTTTTGGCCAGCTCTCCTCATCCTTGTATTTTGATTTGACCCTAGAAACAATGCCAACAAAATGAATGTTGTGAAGAAGTTGCGGTTGATCTGGAGAAAAAGGGCTTTCTATGTATAGTGGATCCAATACTTTATAGGCCATAATCTCTGATGAAGAAATGCAGCATTTAAAATTTTTTTGCCTTTTTTTTTTTTGAAATGGAGTCTTACTCTGTGCCCCGCAGGCTAGAAGGCAGTGGTGTGATCAGAACTTACTACAGCCTCAAATCCCTGGCTGGGCTCAAGCAATCTTCCTACTTTGCCTCAGCCTCCTCAGCCTCCCAAGTAGCTGGACTTAAAAGGCATGAGCCACTGCATCTGCTAAACTTAGTCTTTATGTTTCTCCTGATGTCTCAAAACATAATCGAGTTGGTTCTACATAAATACAATCATTTCAGTGTGTATCTTACTTATTTCAGATTTAAACATGGCCAGTCATTCAAGAACTTTCCCCAACTCCTCATTCTCCCAAAATAGTAGCTGGTGTTGGAGGGAATGTCTTAGGTGAGATTCTCTAGAAGCCAAGCCTAAGGCAGAGATTCTTATGCAAGTGACTGATTGAGGGAGTGCTCTCAGAACAAAGCTGTAAACAAATGGAGGCAGTGGGATTCCTCAGGGGAAGAAGTTAAGCACATGAAATTTCAACCGAAATCTAGCCTCAGCTTGCAAAGGAACCCTGGAATGTGAATGGAATCACAAAGTTGAGCCCACCTGTGTCAGGTGGCCAGGTTTTTGTGCCCCATCTCAGTCCTAGTCATTGACTCCCAGCGAGGGTTGGAGTGATGTAACCTCCCAGCTAGTTTTGGGCAGATCCCAGCTGAGGGCAATTTTCTGGAGAAGAGTAGCCGTGTCAGCTATTATCAGCCAACACTTACAACAGCTGGGGATGGGTGTGCTGGTCAAATAAAGGAAATGGGTGAGACAAATAGTGTCTACTAGAAGGAGCTTTCAAGATGTCCAGGCATTGGGCCAGTGTTCTGAATATTTGGTCTTCCATCGCTGTGTCACTACTATGTCATTCAACAGTATCCATTTATCAGCAGATAAAGGGATAAATGCTGCACAGATGTGCTGACCCATTTGGTCCTCAGCTGGCCATCATCAGCTGAGACATACCTGACAATTCATCTGATCCACAAATGTAGCCAACGCTGTAGCACCTCCACATCCCAGCCTTGAGATCCCCATAGGTTCTCTCTGTCTCTCTTTCTCCCTGTCTCTGTCACTCTCTCCTCTCTTGGAGCCTGGAAAGCATTGACTACTCTCCTATCACTTGGTGGGTGAACAGGGTTATGAGATTACATTAGGCTGTGTGTGGGTCTTCTTTTGAGACTTACAACCATTCCTGAAATACATCTTGGGACATGAGGCTCCCTCAATTTTGGAATTCGGCAAACTTATTGGGAGATTCTCTTCTGGTACCTTCCAGAGTTTCAACCCCATAAGGAAACAAATGTGCCCCTTATGTGCCCTCAGATTCCCATGCCAGCCACTTCCCCTGAGCTGCTTTCCTCCCTCTGCTTGGGCAATGCTTCTTCATCTACCTTCTTTACAGTGTATTGTTCAGGTTAAACTTCATGCCTGGTGATTTTCCTATTTGAAACTAAAAAAACCTTTTCTTTCTCAACAGCCTTGATTTTTGTTTTTCCTTCACAAACTGTTGTCTCAGCTGTGGGTTTCAAAAGTCTATTCTTAAAACACAAAAGCTAAACAATAATTATTTCTTTCTTTTTGCGTTCCTGATTTAATAATTCTAATCCTCCCTGAGGCAACGGATGCCTCTGACTGGAGCTTCTGAAACAAGGAGGTTTTCAGAAGAAAATACACACCCCTGCCACAGTCAAGAGGGCGTGGCAAAGTCTAGGCCCTATCTTGGGGACACTTGGAGGATGAGAAGTTCAGTAAAGAGAAGGAAGGGTGCCAGAAAGGCAAATGGAAAATCAAGATGAGTTTTTAGAGGTTTCAGTTTCAGTCTTGTTAGGGCAATCCCTAGATCACTTCCCCCATCCAGGGCCTCCCTGCAGAGGGCATGTCAGGACTTGCAGGATCTGGCTCCGGAGAAGAGAATAGGATGGAAAGAAACCATTTAAAATTTATTCAAGATATTCAAAATATGCAGCAATGAAAACGTTGGCCTAGGTTCAGATACACCAACAAATATCCTAAATGCCTACTGCTAGAGAAGAATTTTTAAAACATAAGAATTTATTTCAAAATACATCTGACAACGAAATAAAAGGAGTAATAGGGAACTGGTAAAAGGAAAATATTATTTTTCTTCATTCTAGGAAACACAGATGAAGAGGGAATATTATTCTGGTTAAAAAAAAAAAAGAATTAGTGGCATGATTGAAAAGGGCTTAGTAATTTAAATAAGAGGTACAGCTATCCAGTGTGTTCCGGAAACTCACCAGAGTGAACTGAGGCTTGGCCACATGATCTCTCTTGATTCCAGATTTTTGGGTCAAAGAAACGTTTCCAAAAAAAATTGTTTTTGGTAAGCATTTTTGGCTGTTTATAAATAAATGTTTAGAGTTTGCTTTTTTAAAAACTTTTTGGCCTTTTAACTGATAGTTCATTATCAGTCAATAAGCTCTGAATCAGGTTATAGTTGTAATCATATTGTTAACATTTGCTGAGTGCTTATTATATGTACTTTACATATAGTAACTCATTTAATTCTCACAAGAACCCCTGAGATAGATATTATGAGTATTCCCGTTTTACAACTGAGGAAACTGAAGAAAATTTAACTAAACACTTACTATGTACAAGGAATTAAGTGCTTTGTATGCAGTATTTCATCTAATGCTTTTAAAAAATAGCTATGAGGCTCTATTATTTTCTCCATTTTATAGATGAGGAAATTGAGACTCGCAGAGTTGAATTTATTTTAAGATGACATAATTAGTAAGTGATGAAGGATGAAATTTAAACCAAATCTACCTGATACCCAAATCCCTTGCTCATGTAATGTTGAAAAGCTAGAAATTATATATCCAATAAGAAGTAATTTAGTTAAACTAATTAAAGATACATTCGTATAATGATGCTGAAGATATACCATATTGATATATGAAGCAAAACTTTCAGCTGAACAAAGCAGCTAAGAAAATATGCACAATATGGTTTCATTTTAAAATACATAAACAGGACAGTCACAGTGGCTCACACCTGTAATCACAACATTTTGAGAGGCCAAGGCAGAAGGATCCCTTGAGCCCAGGAGTTCAAGACCAGCCCCAGCAACATAACAAGACCCCGTCCATCTCTACAAAATATTTAAAAATTAGCTGGGCATGGTGGCACACACCTGTAATCCTAGCTACTCAAGAGGTTGAGGTGAGTGGATCACTTGAGCCCAAGAGTTCGAGGTTGCAGTGAGCCATGATCCTGCCACTGCACTCAAGGCTGGGTGACAGAGCAAGACTGTGTCTCTATAAAAAATAAAATAAGATAAAATCATAAACATATGTATACTTTCCTAGAAAGGAACATAGAAGCAAATTGAAAATGCAGGGATCCTTGTTCAAAAATTATGAAGAATTTCAGGATGACAGCAGAGCACAAACCTTCTGAGCATAGGTCCTTGTGCAGCTGTACAAGTCACACACCTGTGAAGCTGGCCCTGATTAGTAGTACTGTTTATGTTCTTCTTTTTGCTTGTCAGTATTGCATTGCTTGTACGTCTTACTTTGGTAATAAGAAAAATGATAAACTAAGAAAAGAAAGGGCATCAAATGTGATGAGAGTTTTGGAATATATACGTATAAATATAGATATACATAAACATACACATATAGATATAAAGAGATAGATAATTTTTTTCCTCATTGCCTACCCTCTTTATTTCTTGCCTAAATAATTTGGTCCTGGGGAGTAGGTTAGTGGCCCAGCACCAGATGGTGGAGCCCAGGAGGAATGAGAACAGCATCCGCATTGAGTAGGGCAGGCAGTGCTGTCATGGCATGTGCACCCACGCAAGATAAGGAAAGCATCCAGGCAGGGGGCAGCCACCTATGATGGGATGCTGGAGGCTGAATGAGGTGAGCACTGATGGTGGGAGGAGATTGGTCACATTGAGGATTGATCCAATAAATATTTTTAAGTAATGGGAACAAAGTTTCTCATTTTTAGAAAAAGGAGTTACAAATATGGAAAAGGAGAAAAGTGGAATAAACTCGGTGGCATGTAAGACTAAAATAGAAATATTTTAATCAGTGGTTTTGTCTTTTCCATAATATGTGTGTATACATACATATATGTAGACATATATTATGTATTTTCTAGCTCTTTCCATTGGGCAGGCCTGAGAGCAATGCCATTGCAATAACACTGAGCATACCTAGTGTCCAGATCTCAGGGGTTTTGTTTTTTGTTTTTTGTTTTTTTTGAGACGGAGTCTTGCCCTGTTGCCCAGGCTGGAGTGCAGTGGCACAGTCTCGGCTCACTGCAACCTCTGCCTCCCAGGCTCAAGCAATTCTCCTGCCTCAGCCTCCCAAGTAGCTGGGATTATAGGTGCCCGCCACCATGCCCAACTTACTTTTGTATTTTAGTAGAGACAGGGTTTCACCATGTTGGCCAGGCTGGTCTCGAACTCATGACCTCATGATCCGCCCTCCTTGGCCTCCCAAAGTGCTGGGATTACAGGTGTGAGCCACCACACCTGGCCCAGATCTCAGTTTTTAAACACCATTCTCTGCAATTAAAAAAAAAAAAAAAAAAAAAAAGGCCGGGCGCGGTGGCTCACGCCTGTAATCCCAGCACTTTGGGAGGCCGAGGCGGGCGGATCACAAGGTCAGGAGATCGAGACCATCCCGGCTAAAAGGGTGAAACCCCGTCTCTACTAAAAATACAAAAAATTAGCCGGGCGTAGTGGCGGGCGCCTGTAGTCCCAGCTACTTGGGAGGCTGAGGCAGGAGAATGGCGTGAACCCGGGAGGCGGAGCTTGCAGTGAGCCGAGATCCCGCCACTGCACTCCAGCCTGGGCGACAGAGCGAGACTCCGTCTCAAAAAAAAAAAAAAAAAAAAAAAAAGCAGCTGTGTGCGGTGGCTCACGCTTGTAATCCCAGCACTTTGGGAGGTCAAGGTAAGTGAATCATGAGGTCAAGAGATCGAGACCATCCTGGCCAACATGGTGAAACCCCGTCTCTACTAAAATACAAAAGTAAGCTGGGCGTGGTGGTGGGTACCTATAATCCCAGCTACTCGGGAGGCTGAGGCAGGAGAATCGCTTGAACCTGGGAGGTTCACACCTATAGTCCCAGCTACTTGAGAGACTGAGACAGGAGAATCGCTTGAGCCTGGGAGGCGGAGGTTCCAGTGAGCCGAGATTGCGCCACTGCACTCCAGCCTGGCGACAGAGGGAGACACCGTCTCAAAAAAAAAAAAAAAAAAAAAGAGAGAAAAGAAACAAAACACCAGGGCTCTTTGAAGAAATACCTGATTTCACAGATGGGTAAGAAAAGTACAAGATAAGCGTAGAACATCTGTGTGTGTATTAGAAAGTAAAGGAGTATTCAAAGGATGTTGGGAATATGTCAAAAGAACATAAAAGCCATCCTGAAGGAGTCTCTACTAGCCAAATCTGGGACAATTTCACCATCAATACAGAATGACAGAAACACCCAGCTACTTGAGAGTCTGAGGCACGAGAATTGCTTGGACCCGCGAAGCAGAGGTTGCAGTGAGCCGAGATCACGCCACAGCACTCCAGCCTGGGCGACAGAGTGAGACTCTGTCTCAAAAAAATTTTTAAAATTTAAAAATTCTAAAAAAGAAACAGAAACAAAGAAAATTTTTTTTTGATTTAAAAAAGAATGACAGAAATAGATATTGCCTATTGAATAAAATAATCATCTATTAATCCATGAATCCATACTATGAATTTATACTATTAATAACTAAAGGAAAAAGAAAGCTTTTCTTTACAATATAATATGCCAACTAATAAACAGGGTAGGAATGATGGAACTAAAAAAAAGCAATTGGCATCATAGTGGAAAATCATATATGCTTCTATGCAAAGAACAGACAACTTTCAATGGTAATTTACAAAGGAAAAATAACTGGACTAGTAACAGACTTGTTATCTACAACCTTGGTTGAACCAGATAATTTGCATTTACATTTACAGTACATGGTATATTGGCAATATCCCTATATCACGAAAGTTATCACATGTGAGATCAAACTAAAAAAGTTTTTGCATATTACAAGGGTTCTAAAAATATTCTACCCGTATATCTCTGTGAGAAAATTCTCTAACCAAGTGAAAATTAAATTTTATGAAAGGAAAGATAAGAAATTCAAGAAACATTGATGAATAATGACTCATAATATTTACAATTAAATCTAAATGTGCTGGGCATGGTGGCTCGCGCCTGTAATCCCAGCACTTTGGGAGGCCAAGGTGGGCGGATCATCTGAGGTTGGAAGTTCGAGACCAGTCTGGCCAACATAGTGAAATGGTGAAACCCATCTCTACTAAAAATACAAAAATTAGCAGGGCATGGTGGTGCACACCTGTAATCCCAGCTACTTGGGAGGCTGAGGTGGGAGAATCTCTTGAACCAGGAGGCGGAGGTTGCAGTGAGCCAAGATTGCACCACTGCACTTCAGGCTGGGTGACAGATCAAGACTCTGTCTCAAAAAAAAAAAAAAAAAAAAAAAAAAAAAACTAAATGGATGATAGTTAACTGGGAATTATACTATGTAAAGAATTTTGAAAGAGCGGAGACATTTTGTGAGGGAAAACTTGCTAATAGTCAGGGATTGAAATCCTATCATTATCTTATCCAAACTTGAGATTTGGGCAATAGGGAGACATGAGTAGCTAAATGTTCTAAAGGTTTTTTCAGTGGAAGGAGTGGAGAAACACAGAACTAGTAATCTAGCATGGTAAGAAGTCAAAGTTGTTATTTAATTTGTACGTATCAATAGAAATACATGAATTTAATTATGACAATTAGAAGCTAAAAGACAACCATTATTAGAATTGAAAAGTATATGTCAGCGAGTGAGCAAGTTGGAGATCATAATTATTTAATTTTCATATATAAATATAAATATAACTGTTAAAGTTGGGAAAGCTATGAGTAACAAAATAGAGGTGAATAGTAAAAATTCCAATTTATCAGGATGGGAGAAATGAAATAAAAAGAAAATAAAAAAGTAAGCAAAGGAGCTAAAAAGAAAATAATGTATAAAAATGTACAGGAAATAAAATTGTATAAATTTTTACTGTAAGTACAATTCTATCAAAAAGCAAAAACTCTCTGACTGAATTTGAAAATCCAGTTTAATTATATACTGTAAATATAATTATATACTGACAGGGTCTCAACAAGATTACATAATCAAAAATAGGATAATTCCAAGAAGGTTTACTTAGGAAGGTATGAGCAGGCACTAGAACTACAAAGCATAGTGTTATACTGGGGCTAATCCCAGCAGAATTGTTATCTCTCCTAGGCCCCAAAGCACAAAGGGAGGATGTGGTTACTAGAACCTGGAAGGAAAGGCTCTTACAGAGAAGGCCATCCGGAGAGGAGCCGTGACCTTTAGTTGACGTCACAGCTGTCCCTAGGGGACATCACAGGGAAGGAGCTGAGAATTGACCTTGCTCTTCTTCTCCACTTGGTCTAGCTAGGGTGCAAGGGTAGAAGTTGGTGTAGTCCCTCCAGGTCACCCTCTTCAGGCAGAGAGCAGGCAGCAGAAGGGTGGATAGTGGATCCAGAGGAGCAAGTGAACGGAAGACCCCTGCCACATCAACTATTTACAGAAACTGCACCTAAATTAGAGTGACAAAGCTTTGATTGTAGGGATGGGAAAAGGTACCTGTCTTGGTCCTTTTCTGTTGTTATATATGCAACAGAATATATATAATAACATATTATATAAAACATATTGTGTGTGTGTGTGTGTATATATATCTCTTTATGTATATAAAGGAATTTCTTTCTTATAGTTTAGAGGCTGAAAAGTTCAAGATCAAGGGGCTGCATCAGTTGAGGGCCTTCTTGCCGATGGGGACTCTCTGCAGAGACCAGAGGTGGCACAGGGCAGGCATCACATGGTGAGGGGGCTGAGTGTGCTAGCTCAGTTCTCTCTTCCTCTTCTTAAAAAGCTACCAGCCCCTCTCCTATTCCAACCCATTAATCTATTAATGGATTGATCCATTCATGAGAAGCCCCACCTCTCAGTACTGCCACATTGAGGATTAAATTTCAACATGAGTTTTGAAGGGGACAAATATTCAAACTGCAGCAGTCTCTAACTATAACTTATCTTATTAGTCAGAAGTTGTGGAATTTATGCTAGGCCCAAACTTAGGGTTTGGGGGACAGATATTAAATGTCATCTCCTAAGATAGACACCAGAAAGCCAAGTTGTCAGAATATCCCTGCAGGACTTATAATGGGCACACCAACCAACATTCCCCTTCCTCCCAGTGTACAGAAAGAGAGAACTGGGAAAGTGGAAAGGTGATTTTTAGGCCCTAAGGAGTACAGTATTCCTGATGAGAAACGCTTGAAGAGATGTACAGAGATCAAAAGTGCTTGCAAGATAGAGTGACTTGCATCTAGTTTCTTGGCTGAATGCTTGCCGAGTTGCAGAATACACAGGTCCAGTTAGGTGATGCTACCAAAGTAATGCATGGTCAGGCAGTTCTTGGGAGAGTGCTGTGGTCTCCTGAAGTGTGGGGTATGCAGGAACATGGATGCTGAGTCCGTTTCTGGCCTAGAGAACCTTAATGGTAGAGGTCACCACTGAATGACCCATGCCAGCAGGGCTTGAAGGAACGGTGGTGAGGTGTAATTAGGAAGGAAACAAGATAAAACAAGGTAACCATCCTCCCCATCCTGGCTCCAACGGGATGTGATACCACATAGGTTCTTTTTTTTTTTTTTCTGTTGCCCAGGCTGGAGTGCAGTGGCGTGACCTTGGCTCACTGCAACCTCTTCCTCCAGGGTTCAAGTGATTCTCCTGACTCAGCCTCCCCAGTAGCTGGGACTACAGGTGCATGCCACCACGCCCAGCTAATTTCTTGTATTTTTAGTAGAGATGGGGTTTCACTGTGTTAGCCAGGAAGGTCTGGATCTCTTGACCCTGTGATCTGCCTGCCTTGGCCTCCCAAAGTGCTAGGATTACAGGCATGAGCCACTGTGCCTGGCCTACTATATAGGTTCTTAACTACCTTTTCAATAGTAGATAGAATACCAGCCACTATTGCATGGGGCAGTTATACCACTTTTAAAAATATTTTTTAAAGATTCCTCTACAATATATATGAACAAACAATTTGCACAGAAGCTATTTGGTAAATTATGTACATGATGTGCTTAACCACAGCAGTATTTATAGCACTGGCAAAATACTATCTAAATGACCTAAAATACGAGGATAGTGAAATGAACTATACACATATCAACTTGACAAAATTTAATTCTTAAAATACAAATTCTATAAATTATGTAGCAAGAAAGGAAATTATAATGTTAAGTAAGAAGAGTAGCATATGAAAATATTCCTAGACTATGATTGTAATAGTGCAAAAAAGGGCATAAACCAATGTACAAATAAAACAAGAATAACTGATGTCTTAGGCTAGTGGAATGTGGGTGATGTCTTTTTTGTATTCATTACTTCTGTTGTTATAAAATTGCTTACACAGTAAATGAAATCAAAGGCCTAAAAAAGCTAAACAAATGGGTGGAAGAAGAATAGGCAGCTATTAGACAACTCTTGAGGAATTTTGCTGTACAGAGACGCACAAAATGGGGTACTATCTGGAGGAGGGGTGTGAGGTCAGGGGAGGGAGGAGCTTTGTTGAAAATAGGAAAAATAGGTACATATTTTTATGCTGATGAGAATGAGCTATTAGAAGGAAAGAACTGATGGTAGAGAAAGCAGAGCTGCTCAGCAAAGTCCTTCAGTAAAGGAGAGAAAATGTGTACCCAACACTTAAGTGGATTTAGGCCTTGGTAGGGACAGGAGGTCTCAATCTGCAGTAACAGAGGGCAGGTCCAGGGCCAGGTCGAATGTATAGAAACAGATGCAGTGGGTTAGCTATTTGATGGTGGAAAGTTGAGGAAATTCTCTTTTGATTGATTCCGTTATCTCAGTGAAATAAGAAGCAGGGGGGCCGGGCGCAGTGGCTCATGCCTGTAATCCCAGCACTTTGGGAGGCCGAGGCGGGCGAATTATGAGGTCAGAAGTTCGAGATCAACCGGGCCAACATGGTGAAGACCCATCTCTACTAAAAATACAAAAAATTAGCTGGGCGTAGTGGCAGACACTTGTAATCCCAGCTACTTGTGAGGCTGAGGCAGGAGAATCACTTGAACTCGGGAGGCAGAGATTGCAGTGAGCTGAGATGGCACCAGTGCACTCCAGCCCAGGGGGACAGAGTGAGGCTCTGTCTCAAAAAAAAAAAAAAAAGAAAAAAAATAAGAAGTAAAGCGAGGTCAACTAAGAGTGAAGGTTATTGGAAGTTTAAGGAAATTGGAGACGATATGAAAGAGTTAATGGACTAAGACACTATGGTAGAATTTCCTGAGAGAACCAAGGGGGCAGTAACAGATCTTATTGCCATATCCTGTGAATGTGTCTTAACTATGTAGTGTCAATTCCTTGAACACACAGCCTTCCTTCTTTCCCTGACTCTTAAAGAAAAGAGTTTTGTTTCAGCATCATGAATTGTTCCTAGTTTGTAAAAGGAGTTGGGCAATTGCAATTATCCACCTTTTTCATTTTATGTGAACAGTGAGATTGAAAGTACACCTCTAGGAAGCCATCTTGGAGTGTCAGTTTGCATTTACTCTTGGAGTGTTTTATCATTATGCAAGAACATCTTCCGGAAACAGCAGAATGAACTGATCTTAGACACTGACGCCCCACCCATCAGAAGCCATAATCTATGATTTATGGGTGTGAATTAGATTGTAGATTTTCAAGGGAAATGATGCTCCTCAGCAACTGCACAAAATAAAGAAATCTGTATTGTTTTGCTCTGTATGAGTGTAGTCTGTTTTTTTGTGTTTTTTTTTTTGTTTTTTTTCATTTGATGGTTTTAAGTGAAGACAGGACCACACAAATTGCATGACTAACTCCTCAAGAGTTAGGTACTTTTTGCAGCCATTTGCAGCCTACACACTGATGTCATGAGTACTATTTAGTATCAATGAGGTGGATAATGAGAGCACGCTAGGATTTATTCTAAGTGGATCAGGAAATGGGGGAAAACAGGAAACTCTGAAGGAAAAAAACACATTAAAACAAAAGAAATTAAAATAAGTGCTTTAAATAATTCACAAAGAAAATGGTCAATATATATGTTCTCCTTTGTTCCTTTAAAGATATATGTTACACGACAAGGCCGGGCGCTGTGGCTCACACCTGTAATCCCAGCACTTTGGGAGGCCAAGGCAGGTGGATCACAAGGTCAGGAGTTTGAGACCAGACTGACCAACATGGTGAAACCCCGTCTCTACTAAAAATACAAAAATTAGCCTGGCATGGTGGCGGGTGCCTGTAGTTCTCAGCTACTTGGGAGGCTGTGGCAGGAGAATCGCTTGAACCCGGGAGGCGGAGGTTACAGTAAGCTGAGATCGTGCCACTGCTCTCCAGCCTGGGCAACAGAGCGAGGCTTCATCTCAAAAAAAAAGAAAAAAAAAAAAGATACATGTTACATGATGAATGTGATGAGCAGAAAAGAATGAGTAGAAGGTAAGAGTACCTGACTGAGATTTCTTATCTATTCTTCAGCTATCCAGCTCATGGAAACCACAGTGGTCCATCTCTGTGCAAAATGACAATCTTTCCCTTCAAGACTGCAAGTCAAAATTTTAAACTTTTATAGCCTAAAGTTGTTTCCTGTCTCTACGGAAACTTAAACCAGGGAGTATTGCTTTGAACATTGGTGTTTTAGGCACTTTTCGGATAACATTGAAATGACTATTTCCTAGCATTTGGCAGACTTAAACCTAACAAATCACAAAACAAGAAATATAAATGTCCAAGGAAAAAAAGTTCTAAGTAATTTTTGAATTCTATAGTAATTTTAAAATTCAAATTAAGCCAATAATGAATTACCACTTTTTGCACGTCAAGTTGTCTGAAGATTGTTTTAAGACAATGCCTAATGGTGAAGAGAATGTGGAGAAAGAGACTCTCATGATGATTTTGGGGAAGGTTTAAGTCGACACACCTTCTTCAGACTACTTGATAAAATGTAACCCAAAGTTTAAAAACATTCACTTGTTTAACAAAAGTATTTATAGAACATCTATGTCAAAGGCTGGAAATTACATTCTATCAAATGACTAGACATTACATAAATAATTACAAGTACAATGAGGCCTGTGAAAGAAAAATCAAAGGGACATAGAGACAAGGAATTAGGTCAGGTGTGGTGGCTCATGCAGCACTTTGGGAGGCGGAGGTGGGAGGATCACCTCAGGTCAGGAGTTCAAGATCAGCCTGGCCAACATGGTGAAACCACATCTCCACAAGAATACCAAAATTAGCCGGGCACGATGGTGGGTGCTTGTAATCCCAGGTACTTGGGAGGCTGAGGTGAGAGAATTGTTTGAACCTGGGAGGCAGAGGTTGCAGTGAGCTGAGATCGTGCCATTGCACTCCAGCCTGGGTGACAGAGTGAGACTCGTCTCAAAAAAAAAAAAAAAAAAAAGCAAGGAATTAATCCTAAGGAAGTAATCAAAATTATGCAGTAAGATAGAATGAAAAAAATTTAGAATTACTTACATGTCCACAGACAGCGTATGAAATAAGCTATGGTATATCCATGTATTGAAATAATATGATGGCATTAAGAATAAAGCTATAGAAAAACAATAGAAATGTTCATAATATATTGATAAATAGAAAATAAGGTGATAAAACAGTGTATTCAATATGATGGAGTTTCATAAAAAGCTATATATATCTATCTATTCATCTATCTATGAAGAATATGTCAGCAAAATGTTCTAATGATAATTTTTGGCTGGGGATTAATATAGCAATATTTTCTTCTTTGTGTTTATCTTCATGAACATTCTTATAGGCATAAAAATAACAAGTATATAATTGGACACAAGGTAACTAATGTTTGAGAGAGATAATCTAAGGGACATATAATCAACTACTCTTCTGCATTACCTATAGTCTGTCCTTGTCTTAATTAGATCAACAGAATGCAATGTTCTCGAAATTCATTACTTTAATCCCCTGAAGAAATGCTGTTACAAAGTTATGATTGAATGTTGAATCTTTGGCTTTTATTAAGATGATGTGACTAATATTTTCTTAATCTTTTGCAAATTTATAGTCCAAGACATATGCCCTTATGTTACTACTTCTTTTGTAAGGAGCCATTCAACAAGTTTATAAGAGAATTGATGCTAGGAAAGAGTTTATTTTCCAGTGAGTTTTTATCAAACAGTATAAATTTTAGAACATGTCTTACTTTCCTTATTTCCTTGTCTGCCAGGAATATTAGAGCTAACTTTAGTGACCAATTAAGGTAACGATTTGGCTCCTGGTACAATTAATTTTGTCCTGTAAGTGCTTTATGCTGCTCATTTTAATTTTAAAACTCTCTTTCTTATGTCTTTTAATAGGCAAGTCATCCCAAATTTTAAAAAAATAGACATGTGAAGTAGAGAGATTTCCATATGTTCTATAATAAATAAATAACAAAAACTAGAAATTAGAATTCTTTGCTGATCACGTATATGTATATTGCTAGAGTTTAAACATAGTTGGGCCGGGCACGGTGGCTCATGCCTGCAATCCCAGCACTTTGGAAGGCGGATCACGAGGTCAGGAATTCAAGACAGACCTGACCAACACGGCAAAACCCCGTTTCTACTAAAAATACAAAAATTAGCCGTGCATGGTGGCGCATGCCTGTAATTCCAGCTACTCAGAAGGCTGAGGCAGGAGAATTGCTTGAACCCGGGAGGCAGAGGTTGCAGTGAGCCGAGATCACGCCATTGCACTCCAGCCTGGGTGACACAGCGAGACTCCATCTCAAAAAAAAAAAGAAGTCTTTGTAGTAATTGAAGTGTTTTTTCTCATTTGTTTTGTTTTTTACATAGATAGTGAAAACATTAACTTTAGCTCAGCCTATTTGAATTCCAACGTGTTCTAAATGTAATCTTTACAGTAACTTCATTACTTTATTAGTAAACTACTGGTCAAAACATTAGCTTTTCAGCTAGCTTATTGTTTTGGAGAGTTAATGAAATGTATTGTGTTATCAAAGAATGGATATTGTGAAAACATTTGATATTTTCAAGTCTAGCCAAATCCCATTCCCGCTTTTTAAAAAATCACTACTCATTCCTTCTGTGTTACTTTCATGAGAAGACCTTAACCTTAAGAACACTAAGTTGAGATGAAATTTCATATTCCCCTAATGACTAGGGGCTGAGGTGGTCAAATGACCTTTTCCTTCCTGGGAGTGACTGCTGTAGGTCAGGCTTGAGGTCATTGGCTGGAGAGTCACAAACAAAGTCATAGTTTTGGCTAAGGGTATAGTAAACTTGGACTGCAGACAAAGCTAATGCTTCCTCAGTGATGAAAGAGAAAAAAATTAGTCCTCTCTTTTGAACACAGACCAACATTGACTATAATCAGCCACTTCTGGTGGGTTGAAGTTAATGATATTCTGAATCTGGTACTTAGTGCTGCAGAGATGGAAGAACCCTGTGGTGACCAATTCTCCTGTATCTAGAAAGGTTAATAAAAGAAGTGTCCAGTCTCAGTCTCAGTCTCCCTCTCCCTCTCCCTCTCCCTCTCCCCACGGTCTCCCTCTCCCCACGGTCTCCCTCTCCCTCTCTTTCCACGGTCTCCCTCTGATGCCGAGCCGAAGCTGGACTGTACTGCTGCCATGTCGGCTCACTGCAGCCTCCCTGCCTGATTCTCCTGCCTCAGCCTGCTGAGTGCCTGCGATTTCAGGCGCGCGCCGCCACGCCTGATTGGTTTTCGTATTTTTTTGGTGGAGACGGGGTTTCGCTGTGTTGGCCGGGCTGGTCTCCAGCTCCTAACCGCGAGTGATCCGCCAGCCTCAGCCTCCGGAGGTGCCGGGATTGCAGACGGTGTCTGGTTCACTCAGTGCTCAATGGTGCCCAGGCTGGAGTGCAGTGGCGTGATCTCGGCTCGCTACAACCTCCACCTCCCAGCCGCCTGCCTTGGCCTCCCAAAGTGCCCAGAGTGCAGCCTCTGCCCGGCCTCCACCCCGTCTAGGAAGTGAGGAGCGTCTCTGCCTGGCCGCCCATCGTCTGGGATGTGAGGAGCCCCTCTGCCTGGCTGCCCAGTCTGGAAAGTGAGGAGCGTCTCTGTCCGGCCGCCATCCCATCTAGGAAGTGAGGAGCGCCTCTTCCCGGCCACCATCCCATCTAGGAAGCGAGGAGCGTCTCTGCCCGGCCGCCCATCGTCTGAGATGTGGGGAGCGCCTTTGCCCCGCCGCCCCGTCTGGGATGTGAGGAGCGCCTCTGCCCAGCTGCGACCCCGTCTGGGAGGTGAGGAGCGTCTCTGCCCAGCCGCCCCATCTGAGAAGGGAGGAGACCCTCCGCCCGGCAACCGCCCCGTCTGAGAAGTGAGGAGCCCCTCCGCCCAGCAGCCGCCCCGTCTGAGAAGTGAGGAGCCCCTCCGCCCAGCAGCCGCCCCGTCTGAGAAGTGAGGAGCCCCTCCGCCCGGCAGCCACCCCGTCTGGGAAGTGAGGAGCCTCTCTGCCCGGCAGCCGACCCGTCCGGGAGGGGGGTGGGGGGGTCAGCCCCCTGCCCAGCCAGCCGCCTTGTCCAGGAGGTGAGGGGCGCCTCTGCCCGGCCGCCCCTACTGGGAAGTGAGGAGCCCCTCTGCCCGGCCAGCCGCCCCGTCCAGGAGGGAGGTGGGGGGGTCAGACCCCTGCCCAGCCAGCCGCCTTGTCCAGGAGGTGAGGGGCGCCTCTGCCCGGCCGCCCCTACTGGGAAGTGAGGAGCCCCTCTGCCCGGCCAGCCGCCCCGTCCGGGAGGGAGGTGGGGGGGTCAGCCCCCCGCCCGGCCAGCCGCCTCGTCCGGGAGGTGAGGGGCGCCTCTGCCCGGCCGCCCCTACTGGGAAGTGAGGAGCCCCTCTGCCCGGCCAGCCGCCCCGTCCAGGAGGGAGGTGGGGGGGTCAGCCCCCGGCCCGGCCAGCCGCCCGGTCGGGGAGGGAGGTGGGGGGGTCAGCCCCCCACCCGGCCAGCCGCCCTGTCCGGGAGGTGAGGGGCGCCTCTGCCCGGCCGCCCCTACTGGGAAGTGAGGAGCCCCTCTGCCCAGCCACCACCCCGTCTGGGAGGTGTGCCCAACAGCTGGTTGAGAACGGGCCATGATGACAATGGCGGTTTTGTGGAATAGAAAGCGGGGAAAGGTGGGGAAAAGATTAGAAATCGGATGGTTGCCGTGTCTGTGTGGAAAGAAGTAGACATGGGAGACTTTTTATTTTGTTCTGTACTAAGAAAAATTCTTCTGCCTTGGGATCCTGTTGATCTGTGACCTTACCCCGCAACCCTGTGCTCTCTGAAACATGTGCTGTGTCCACTCAGGGTTAAATGGATTAAGGGCAGTGCAAGATGTGCTTTGTGAAACAGATGCTTGAAGGCAGCATGCTCGTTAAGAGTCATCACCACTCCCTAATCTCAAGAACCCAGGGACACAAACACTGCGGAAGGCCTCAGGGTCCTCTGCCTAGGAAAACCAGAGACCTTTGTCACTTGTTTATCTGCTGACCTTCCCTCCACTATTGTCCTATGACCCTGCCAAATCCCCCTCTGTGAGAAACACCCAAGAATGATCAATAAAAAAAAAAAATGCATAATTTTAGCATAAATACTCTAGAAATATTCCTTTTGTTTGCTATGTGTTATTGTTAATAAAGGAGATCCTACATCTAAAAAAAAAAAAAAAAAGAAGTGTCCATAATAAGTAGATTCTGTATCTGGAGCTCTGAAATGTTTCTATGACTTTTTGCTGTAATGCACTTTTTTATTTTTATTTTTATTTTTATTTTTGAGAGGGAGTCTCGCTGTGTTTCCCAGGCTGGAATGCAGTGGCGCAATCTCGGCTTATTGCAACCTCCGCCTCCTGGGTTCAAGTGATTTTCCTGCCTCAGCCTCCCATGTAGCTGAGATTACGTGCATCCGCCACCAGGCCCAGCAAATTTTTGTATTTTAGTAGAGACGGGCTTTCACCATGTTAGCCAGGCTGGTCTCAAACTCCTAACCTCAAATAATCTGCCCACCTCAGCCTCCCAAAGTGCTGGGATTACAGGCGTGAGCCACTGCACCTGGCTGTGCTGTAATGTACTCTTCTTATTCAGTCTTTGAAAAAAAAGCACTTGATGATACGTGGGAATCTGCACAATTATCACAAAACATGAATATGGTAGCCAATGTTGCCCTCTTTTGAAAACCACCTATCTTGTCAATGTCCCCTTAAGATGTAGATCTTCCAAATGTGATCTGTTTGGAGGAATTACAACATCATATCATCTGGTCACTAAACATCTGTTAAGGAAACCCAGTTATGTTAGCTTTTTAGGTAGTAGCTTTACCCTTTTGGCCTCTATTAACCATGTGATCAGTTTTATATGACTTTTTACCAAGCCAGTTTCTGCCGTGCTATACTTGCCAAACTGATTTTTTTTAACTTAGATGTAGAACTTTATTTATATCTACATCACAAATTTTATCTTAACCTTTTAACTTGTAGAAAGGCTCTTACATTTTAATTTTGTCATCTATTCTACTAATTAGCATTCTCAGATTTATGACATTAAGATTTTGGCAAGAATGACACCTCTACAAAGATGTGAGCACTGTTGGTGGAACTATAACTCAGTACAGCTATTTTGGAGGTGAATTTGACAGCGTCTCTTAAAATGGAATATGCAAGGACCCGGTGAATTCATTAGTGAGTAGTGCCTCTGGAGAATAACTCAAATATATGCACACAGGGGCAAGTGCAAAGATGGCCACTGCATCACTGTTTATAACAGCAATGATTTGTATGCAACCTGCATGTACATCCATGCTGCATTATGTAGCACAGATATATCATACTCTGGAATACTCTGTTGCAGTTAAAATGAGCAAGGTAGATCCAGACTTAACTAACATGGAAAAACTTATATATACTGAGTGAAAATGCGAGCTGCTGAAAGATAAGAACGCTATGATACCATTTATATATACAAACATGGACACCCACACAAAACAATAGTTTCTTCTCTGTGGGTGCATATATGTATGTAAATGCACAAAGAAAGTCTGAAATGACACACACCAAACTGAGAAAAGTGGTTTCATCTGAGGAGAAGTGACAGTGGTTGGGGGTGGAGTCTAAAGGATACTCTCACTATTATCTGTAATACTTTATTTTTTTTACAAAGATATTGAATTCATATGTTTCTTAACTAATTAAAAGCTAATAACAAAAAAGAATAAAAACAGATCTAATTCAAGTTGTCAATAAAAGTGTTCAAAAGAAAAACAGCCTTAAACTCATATTAAAAAGTATTTCTATATCTTAAAAAAAAAATACAGCTGGCATGGAGGCTCACATCTGTAATCCCAGCAACTTTGAGAGGCCCAGATGGGCTGATGGCTTGAGCCAAGGAGTTTGAGATCAACTTGGGCAACATGGTGAAAACCATCTCTACAAAAAAATTTTAAAAATTAGCCAGGCATGGTGGCCCACACCTGTAGTCCTAGCTACTCAGAAGGCTGAGGTGGGAGGATCACCTAAGCCCTGAGGTGAGTAGTAGAGGCTGCAGTGAGCCAAGATGGTGTCACTGCACTCCATTCTGGGCGATGTGAGTGAGACACAGTCTCAAAAAAAAAAAAAAAAAAGAAAAGAAAAGAAATAATGCATTTAAAAGAAGAAACCAATTTTAGGACTACCTGCATGAGAAAGTCCGGGGACGTCTTCTCACTGGAGAATTCTCAATGTGCACTTGTGAATATTTGGCGAATTGCATTAAATCAACCTATGCTATCTCCTATATACCATGATGTGGCCAATTTCTAGGCCCTCATGTTTTCATGTTCAGTAGGCTCTAGTACCGTATGTATTTCGGTTTCACCTCTAATAGTGGAACTGAAATCTAAAATACCTGATAGCCCAACTTGGAGGAGCAAGGCAAAAAGTAGATGAAGGGATTCTTCCCAAGCTCTTCTCTCAATATACGAGTGTAGCCATTTTTCCAGTGGGAAGGATAAGATAGGAGTGCAGATGTCACCAGAGAGCTGTCCCCTGGACTCCTACAGGACACGGCCAGAGATGATACATGGCATCTTTACTTTCTGGACCTGCTGCATTTACTTATTTTTTTCTTTTCTTTTTAAAAAAATATTATTTAGTACTCAAAAATCTTCATTTTTAAATGTAACTCTCTGAATCCGTGCTCATGCCTTCAACACTTTCACTCCACTGCTCCTCGGAGGAAAGCATGCTTGATCCAGTCACAGACACATTTAGCACATGTGGAACAACAGTAGACCCTGCTGATGTGTTTTTGTTTTAGACAATCTCATAAGAACTTTATGTCTCACAGCACCAACTCAATGAAGTCGGCCTAGGCACACACCACATACAGATTTTGGTGCTTTTTCAACCTTGTTGGTATAAAAGTAGACAATTACATTACCAGGGTTTCGGGACGGCATAGTTGTGTTAGAGGCTGTATTGTGGGGAAGCCCACAACGTTAGGTCAAAAGCTGGACCATTCTGAGTACCTCTAGACACCATCCCCTGAAGACAAAAAAAAAAAAAAAAGCATTTTCTCTTTTTTCTTGACAAATTTCATATCAAATTATTGTATTTTTCTCACTATGTATATTTTAAAATAACCTATTTAAGTAGAGAAAAAAATGCATGCGTATGGTGAAAACAAATCAAGGAGTACAAAAACAGTACCATGAGGCTGGGCACGGTGGCTCACACCTATAATCCTAGCACTTTGGGAAGCTGAGGTGGGCGGATCACTTGAGGTCAGGAGTTTAAGACCAGCCTAGTCAACATGGTGAAACCCGTCTCTACTAAAAATACAAAAATTAGCCGGGTGTGGTGGTGTGTGCCTGTAAGTCCAGCTGCTCAGGAGGCTGAGGCAGGAGAATCACTTGAACTCGGGAGCCGGAGGTTGCAGTGAGCCGAGATCTTGCCACTGCACTCCAGCCTGGGTGACAGAGCAAGACTCTGTCTCCAAAAAACACACACAAAAAACCAAAAACAAACAAAAAACAGTACAATGAGAAGTCTTCCTTTGACTGTAGACTCCAGTCCCCAGTTCTCCCTAGAGGCGGACATTCCTGAAATATTATCTATGTCTATGCAAGCATATATACTGTATGTATGTATGTCTTCCTTCAAAAAATAGAAGTATATTATGGACACTGCAGTATATCTTACTTTTTTTACTTGTTTTCTACTTTTTCAACATATCTTAGAGATCATTTCATAGCCATAACATATAGGTCTACTTTATGTATTAAAAAACTACAAAGTTCATTATAGAGTTATATCTGGCAATGATAGGCTTTCAATAATTTATTAAATAAATGTATCTACTATCATTTCTTTTTACTAGCCCCTATTGATAACCATTTATATTGCTTATTTTCAGTCTTTTGCAACCACAAGCAAAGTTCAAGCACATATGTACATACATCTTTGGGCACATGTATGAATATGTCTGTAGAATAAATTTCCAGAAAGGAAAATCCTGGATCTAAAGGTATACTTATCTCAAATATTGAAAGTTATTGCTGATTAGACCTCCCACCAACAGTGAGAGTAACTGTTACTTTATACTACTGCTATAATTATTAAACGTTTTAACTGGGCCCATCTGAGTAGAAGAAGAATAGATCTCATTCTAGGTTTAATTTGTACTTTTTTTACTCACATTTTAAACATCCATTTACATTTCTTTTTCTACAAACTACCTCTTTATATACCTTTGCCCATGGATCTTTTCTCATTGACAGTTAAGATCTCTTTCTGTATTTAGAAGATTAGCTTTGATGTCAAAGACACTGTGTATTTTCCCAGTTTGTCCTTTGTCTATTACTTTGTTTAGAGCAGGGCAACACTGGTGGTGAGGACTTGCTTTCCACAACCAAGGAGCAGTCTGCCCCAAAGATAAATTCAAATTCTTGCTTCTTGCAAGGTTGCTTTAAAATGGTAAGTTTTTTCCTCCTAGTATTGGCATATTTTTAAAAAAAAAGCCTTGAATTCAGAGTCAGGATGCCCCTTTTAATTAATATCTAAATAAGAACAAATGAACAATGAGATCAGAATCTCTGTAATCTGAGTACGTTACACAGAAGATAAAGAATAACAGGGCCTTCCTGGAAAGGGCCATCTTTGTAACATGTTTATTATAAATAACAATTTATATGAATGAACTTAATGTAGGAAACACTCAGCTCCTTTGATTCAATAGCTCCTCCAATGCAACTCTTAGAAAAGTGTTGGGCTAATTAAAAAAAATATAGAACATATGAATAAACATAATTACTTCTAGCATCATTCTCATTAAAAGGTTAAAAAACCTGGGCCCGGTGCGGTGGCTCACGCCTGTAATCCCAGCAATTTGGGAGGCTGAGGCGGGTGGATCACCTGAGGTCAGGAGTTCAAGACCAGCCTGGCGAACATGGAGAAACCCCGTCTCTACTAAAAATACAAAAATTAGCCAGGCATGGTGGCACATGCCTGTAATCCCAGCTACTAGGGGGGCTGAGGCAGAAGGATCATTTGAACCTGGGAGGCAGAGGTTGCAGTGAGCCGAGATCATGCCACTCTATTCCAGCCTGGACAACAGAGTAAGACTCCATCTCAAAAAGAAAGAAAGAAAGAAAGAAAGTTTAAAAACCCAAGTATTTGTGGTTACCTAATGGCCCTCTAGGAAGCTGCAAAGATGATTTAAGAGTAAAAGACATCATGAAGTTTTCATTTTTCTCACTTTTCTGAACTTAGGGTTTGATCTTGGGAAGGCAAAATCAGTCTATGAGCTGAGACTAGTCACTTGATTATTATAGTCACATAGATCAGCAGTCCCCAACCTTTTTGACACAGGGGACCGGTTTTGTGGAAGACAATTTTTCCATGGATAGCATGGGGCAGGGGGTGGGGTGGGGGATAGTTTCAGGATGATTCAAGTGCATTACATTTACTGTGCAGTTTATTTCTATTATTATTGCATTGTAATATATAATAAAATAAATATACAACTTACCATAATGTAGAACCAGTGGGAACCCTGAGCTTGTTTTCATGCAACTAGATGGTCCCATTTAGGGATGACAGGAGAGAGTGACACCTGAAATGTGTTGTTTATGTCCAGTCTACTCTGTAATCTCATTTTGGTTGCTGTCACTGCAGAAAACTCTATTTCACAAAGATGGCATGATGGAAATGGAAGCAGGCTTTTCATTGCTTTTGTGACAACCTCAGGATATTTCGCCGTGACTTTAGTCCAGAACGTATGGAGATTTGAAGTCAGATCAAACATACTTTTAAGGCCACGGTCATTTGCCATCTCCAGCAGCTGATCCTCTTCCAGCATGGACAAAGTCGATTCCCCTGGCTTATCCACAAATGGGTGGCAGATCCTTTCCTTCCCAGTTCAGGGGTCTTTTGTGATTGGGAAGTAATGCTCAAAGTCTTTTGAAATCCGAGATAGGTGATCATGCACCAGCTGGGAGAAAGAAGGCCCTGGCTCAGTCTCTTTCCAAATTTCTGCTAATGTCTGAAACATGTCAGAAATCCCAATGTTCACTGTTGCCCACATAATTCCAGTTTGGCTTTTTTTTTTTTTTTTTCCAGACGTAGTTTCACTCTGTCACCCAGGCTGGAGTGCAGTGGCATAATCTCGGCTCACTGCAATCTCACCCTCCCAAGTTCGAGCAATTCTCTTGCCTCAGCCTCCCGAATAGATGGGACTACAGGTGCATACCACCACGCCCGGCTAATTTTTTATTTTTAGTCTAGACGGGTTTTCGCCATGTTGCTCAGGCTGGTCTCGAACTCCTGACCTCTAGTGATCTGCCCGCCTCAGCCTCCCAAAGTGCTGGGATTACAGGCGTGAGCCACTGTGCCCAGCCCTAGTTTGGCTTTGAATGCAGCCACTTTACCTTACAACTTGAAGTTGTTGTTCTGTCTTGGAGTGACAGATTGAGTTCATTAAGCAGGCTGAATATGTCACAAAAGTAATCAAGTTTTGTGACCCATTCTGTGGCACTAAAATGTGCTGCCAGTGGTGACTTTTTTCTAAATGCCTGCAGCGGCTCTTGTAACTCAAAAACTCTGGCCAGTGATCTACTTTTAGAAAGCCATCTCACTTCTGTGTATAAGAGAAGACTTGTGTGCTCTGTGTCCATCTCCTCACAGAGCTGTGTGAACGGATGTGAGTTAAGGGTATGTATTTTAATGTGGTTGATAATTTTATCAACATCCTGCAAAATGTTGTTAAGTTCAGGTGACAGTTTTTGACTAGCCAGCATTTCTGTATGGATGACACAGTGTCTTCTGAATGTGACACACTCACATTCGGAGTGACATCTTTGACCCAAGTAGTGAAATCAGAAAGCTATTCAGTCATGGCAGCCACTCCATCCATACATATGCTGGCACAAAATGACCAATGCAGTTTTCCCGATATGTAATCATTCAAAGACTTTAATAGTTCTGCAGCCATGGTGTTGGTTGGCAACAAAAGTGCATACAACATATCTTCATGCACATCCTCTTGAAAAACATGGCATTGTCCCCTGTTGTCAATATCTCTGGAGTCATCAACCTGGATTGTGTACCACAGTGACTCATTAATCCTCTCTAAAATTGTGACGCAATATCGTCTGCTATTTTATCATTTCGTCTAGTTATGGTGCTAGCCAAAAGAAGAACATGTGCCGCCTTTTGAACTGCAGCCTCTCCTAAAAGTTCACAGCAAATATCCTTAGAGCAGGCAGGGTCAACTCTTCACCAATAGTAAAGGGCTTCTTAGCTTTAGCAATGCAGTTAGCCACTAATGAAGCTCTCAGTGGAGACACATTTGATGACGTGGTGGCCTTCGAAAATTGCTTCTGTTCATGTTCACATTGTTTTCTTTTTTTTTCTTTCTTTTTTTTTTTTTTAGACGGAGTCTTGCTCTGTTGCCCAGGCTGGAGTGCAGTGGCGTCATCTGAGCTCACTGGAACCTCTGCCTCCTGGGTTCAAGAAGTTCTCCTGCCTCAGCCTCCTGAGTAGCTGGGATTACAGGTGCCTGTCACCATGCCCAACTAATTTTTGTATTTTTAGTAGAGACGGGGTTTCTCCATGTTGGCCAGGCTGATCTTGAACTCCTGACCTCAGGTGATCCACCCGCCTCAGCCTTCACATTGCTTTCTTTTTTAAAAAAACTCCAAAGACTTGTCTTTTAATGCTTGGTCTCCATGTCACGAAGCAGTTTTTAAGGTTACCGGTTACGTGGCTTCGTTGGATAGCCAGTCACCACATATTATACAAAGTGGGCTCAGAGAATGTCAATACCCTGTTGCAATGAGCTTGTAATTTAAGTCAGACTCTTGGTATTTTCTTTTAAATGCAGCTTTCTTTCTGTTGGCAGTCTTAGAGCCTTCTGCTGTCACATCACTCGGTCTTTCCCCCTTTTCAAAGAACCTTTCCAGTGACGTTTGTTTTTCACTCATTTTGGCTAGGGTTAGCCTGTGGGTTTACCAAAACTGTGCCTGAGACAAGTATGCAGTGCAGGAAAGAGGCAAGGACCAAAGTGGTAAATAAAATAATGGGAAGGCCATGCATGGACTAAAATAAGTTTCAGAGTCTGACTTAAAGCCTGCCACCAGATGCAGCTTGTCCCTTGCCACTCACTGATAGGGTTTTGGTATGAGTCTGCATGCAATTGATTTATTATGGTCTCTGTGCAGCCAAATCTCTCTGCCAATGTTAATCTGTATTTGCAGCCACTCCCCAGCACCAGTATCTCTGCCTCAGCTCCACTTCAGATAATCAGGCATTAGATTCTCATAGGGAGTGCGTAACCTACATCCCTCACATGTGCAGTTGACAATAAGGTTAATGCTCCTATGAGTATTTTTTTTTTGAGATGGAGTCTTACTCTGTTGCCCAGGCTAGAATGTAGTGGCATGGTCTCGGGCCATTCTACCTCCTGAGTTCAAGAGATTCTCCCATCTTAACTTCCAGAGTAGCTGGATTACAGGAGTGCGCCACCACGCCTGGCTAATTTTTGTATTTTTAGTAGAGACAGGGTTTCACCATGTTGGCCAGGCTGGTCTCGAACTCCTGACCTCAGATGATTCGCCCCGCTTGGCCTTCCAAAGTGCTGAGTTTACAGGTGTGAGCCACTGCGCCCAGCCTCCTGTGAGTATTTAATACCACTGCTGATCTGACAGGAGATGGAATTGCCATTCCAGTGGTAATATGCACAGCAGGAGGCCACTCACCTTCTGAGAACAATAAATAATTGAAGCGTGGTGATCTATTCGAGTGACAATACAATATTTAAAAATAAAATAGCCAAATGCAACAAAAGCCATTGGATATTTCTGGAAGTTTTGTATGTTTGTTATTGTTTATTTGTTTTTAAAAGTCAAGGACACAAGTCACCTAAATAATTTTCTGTGCTAAAGCACAATTAGGTGACATTAGAATCTGTCATCTGAGCACAAAAGTTAGACAGTAATCTTTACTACCTCTTGTGAAGATAAAATAGAGTGGTTCACTCTATTATTTCATACCTGATAGTATGATGATGATCTGGAGAACTAATAAGATTATTTTTGATGTACTAGGTTTTAGAAAACAGTAATTTGTGCATTTTTTGTGAGATTTTCATAAGGAAATGGGTTTAATGTGATTTTCATTATGAAATGGTTAAAAGAAAGACTTCCACAGACATTGACTACACTGATACCTGCCCTTCCATAATGTAGATGATGAACTTAGCTTTCAAAAACAGTTTTCGGTGATGAAAATAATGCATTCCTTCATTTGTCAAAAAAGAAACAAACAAGCAAACCAACTTACTGAGGCCCCACTTAGTGCCATTAGGTCCTTGGGATACAGCAATGTACAGGTCAGAAAGATCTCTGCTCTAAGTTTTCTTGTATTATATTAGGGGAAGGAAACTGATAATAAATACAAAAACAAACAAGATACAATTTTAGATGATAAGTTTATGTGATAGTGAGTAATTAGTTGTTTGCATAAAAAATTCTACCTTCCAAAATATCACTACAAATACTTTAGTGTTTCTCATTCTATTATGTGTATGAAAGCATATTAAATAAATGAGATACTATTATACAGTTTTGTAACCTACTTCTTTCAATTAACAATATACAATATTGCAAGAATTTTTTTCATGTTATTATATATTCTCCCACAAAACTGTTTATTTGGCTACATGGAACGTACTACTTCGAATGAATATAATGTAATTTATTCACATTAATCACCTAGATTATCCCTTATTTTTCCTCATTATGATCAAGGATATAATGAACATCCAGGTTAATAAATCTTGTGTACATCTATAATCGTTTCTTGAGAATAAATTTCTTACATCAAAACTGTTGCCTCAAATGGTTATTTAAATTTCAAAAATTGGGCCAGTCATGGTGACACATGCCTGTAATCCCAGCACTTTGGCATGCTGAGACTGGCAGATCGCATGACCCCAGGAGTTTGAGACCAACCTGGGCAACATGGTGAAACCTGTCTCTATAAAATATACAAAAGATTAGCCAGGCATGGTGGCATGCGCCTGTAGTCCCAGCAAACCTGGGAGGCTGAGGTAGGAGGACCACCTGAGCCCAGGAGGTCGAGGTTACAGTGACCCACGATTCTGCCAATGCACACCAGCTTGGGTTGACAGAGCGAGACCCTGTCTCAAAAAAGAAAAAAAATCAAAAATTAAAACTGTGATGTACCTTTTAAAATAGTTTTCCCAAAATGCTGTATAATTTAGCCTCCCTCTGACTGTCGATAAGGTCTTTGGTTCACCTCATCCTTAATAGCACTGGATGATATCTTTTTCCTCCCGACTTTATGGGAGAAAAAAACTCATTTTCATTTTGACATCTATTATTTTTCTTTCTCTTTTTTTGAAGATACAATTCATGTATCATGAAATTCACCATTTTAAAGTGTTCAATTCAATGGTTTTCAGTATATTCACAAAGTTGTGTAATAACCATCACCACTATCTAATTCCGGAACTCTTTTATAGGTCCCAAAGGAAATCCCATACTCATTAGCAGTCACTGCCCATTTCCCTCTCCTTCAGCCCTGGCAACCACTAAGCTGCTTTCTGTTTCTATGGATTTGCCTACCCTAGGCATCTCATATAAATGGAATCATATAACACCTGGCCTTTTCTGTCTTTTTCCACTGAGCATAATGTTTCCAAGCTTCATCCATGTTGTAGCACGTATCAGTAATTCATTTCTGTTTATTGCCAAATAACATTTCATTGTATGGATATACCACAATTGATTTATCCATTCATCATTTGATGGACATCTGGCTTGTTTCCACATTTTGGTTATTATGAATAAAGCTGCTATGAACATTTATGTACATGTTTTCATGTGAATATATGTTTCCAATTCTCTTGGCTACATACCTAGGAGTGGAATTGCTGGGTTGTCTGGTGACTCTGTTTAATTTTAGAGTTAACTGTCAGACTGTTTTTATATTGACTACATCATTTTACCTTTCCACCAGCAATGTTTGAGGGTTCCACTTTTACCACATCTTCAACACTTATTATTTTTTGTTGTTGTTATTTCTTAATTATAGCTATCCTAGTGGGTGTAAAGTAGTATCTCATTGTTGTTTTGATTTGTATTTCTCTAATGTCTAATGATGTTGAGCCCCTTGTCATGTGTTTATTGGCTATTTGTATATTTTCTTTGGAGAAGTGTCTGTTCAAATCTTTTCCCATTTGAAAATTAGATTATTTGTTTGAATTGTAGGGAATACAAGTTATTTTACTGCGTGTAGCTGCTCCCCAGGTTTCTGGATGCCATTGTTAAAAAATATCATGACTTAGATTTTATCCCCGTGCTCCTGGAATCCTCAGGTTTCTGTGACACAGAGTTCAAGTGAGAGTTCAATCATTCTAGGGACTACTCAGCACCACAGTAGCACCTACAGAGATCATCTGGAGGGAGTGATTTTGTCTCAACAGACGGATCTTCAATGAAGATGAAACAAATCCATTTTGGAGAGAGATGTTAGAGAACTGATGGCGTTCAGGACATGCTACCCAAAAATAATGGTACCTTGGCACTTAAGAAAAGAGCAGAAGCAAGAGGGTTACTTTCACTTTCCCCAGATCTTCTCTTCTGAGGCAGACCATAAGACCTTCATTCCAGAGGTGCCTTCCCTATACCTGGAGGAAACAGACATCCTTATCTCTGAAGACACACGGACAGGGAAAAGAATCTGAGCAAATAGGCCTTGCTAAGTAAGTCCCCCCAGTTTATTACCATTAGATCACAGATTTGTCCAATCATACTTCTCCATGACTTCCACTTCTTTATCAATCCTAGCCTTAAAAATACACAGGCTTCCCTCTTAACTTTGGGTCTTAATTTCTGAAGTCTCCTGTTTTGTGTAAAACTCACATAAATAAGTTAGTATGTTTTTCTCTTGTTAATGTGTCTTTTGTTACAGGGGCTTCAGCCATAAACCTAGTAATGAATGGGGAAATTTTTTTTTTCCTCCTCTATAGAACATATACCAACTGCAAGAAGAAAGAAGAATATGCCTGGTTTTGGGCCTGGCGCGGTGGCTCACGCCTGTAATCCCAGTACTATGGGAGGCTGAGGCGGGCAGATCACCTGAGGTTGGGAGTTCGAGACCAGCCTGACCAACATGGAGAAACCCCGTCTCTACTAAAAATACAAAAAATTAGCCCTGCGTGGTGGTGGCGCATGCCTGTAATCCCAGCTATTCGGTAGGCTGAAGTAGGAGAATCGCTTGAACCCAGGAGGTGGAGGTTGCGGTGAGCCGAGATCGTGCCATTGATCTCCAGCCTGGGCAACAAGAGCAAAACTCTGTCTAAAAAAAATAAATAAATAATAAAAATAAAAACAGTATGCCTGGTTTTAAAGCTTCAAAGAATTTACTCATTCTCCTGTATGTAACATTCTAGAAATGCATCTGGAGTTAAAGCCTTCTTGGAGACTTAAGAACAAATGCACTTATGCATGGCCTTTTGAAACCTAATGTTTCTACAAGGAGGCACGTCCATACTTGCAACTCCTTCTAGAAGCTTCCCCAAATCTCCTGCCTCCCCACGCTGAGTTATCCGATGTCTGAAATGTCACAGCACTTAGTCTTACTCTTCTATGGCCTACTTTCTACTGCTATTTGTGTTACTCATGCTACCCATCTTATCTCCCTCAGTGTGTGAGACGCTGGCATCAGATTTGGCATCTCCCACACACTCAACATTATGTGTTGCACACAGTAGGTACTCAATACATGCAAGTTTTCTGAATAGATATTTTCCTAGTCATCTGTGGCACCTGCTATATCCTACTGAAAATTACCAAAATGCAATTAACTTCAATTTTACATTTGGGATTTACAGAAAATAACTCTCTCTCCAAGAAATGCATAACAATTTAGCTAGGGCAAATGCCAGGTCCGAGTTAAGACATTAATGCGCTTCGATCGCGATAAGGATTTATCCTTATCCCCATCCTCATCTTTCTGCGTCGTCTAATTCAAGATAGGTCAGTAAAGGAAACCTTTTCGTTTTAGCAACCCAATCTGCTCCCCTTCTCTGGCCTCTTTCTCTCCTTTTGTTGGTAGACGACTTCAGCCTCTGTCCTTTAATTTTAAAGTTTATGCCCCACTTGTACCCCTCGTCTTTTGGTGATTTAGAGATTTTCAAAGCCTGCTCTGACACAGACTCTTCCTTGGATTGCAACTTCTCTACTTTGGGGTGGAAACGGCTTCTCCGTTTTGAAACGCTAGCGGGGAAAAAATGGGGGAGAAAGTTGAGTTTAAACTTTTAAAAGTTGAGTCACGGCTGGTTGCGCAGCAAAAGCCCCGCAGTGTGGAGAAAGCCTAAACGTGGTTTGGGTGGTGCGGGGGTTGGGCGGGGGTGACTTTTGGGGGATAAGGGGCGGTGGAGCCCAGGGAATGCCAAAGCCCTGCCGCGGCCTCCGACGCGCGCCCCCCGCCCCTCGCCTCTCCCCCGCCCCCGACTGAGGCCGGGCTCCCCGCCGGACTGATGTCGCGCGCTTGCGTGTTGTGGCCGAACCGCCGAACTCAGAGGCCGGCCCCAGAAAACCCGAGCGAGTAGGGGGCGGCGCGCAGGAGGGAGGAGAACTGGGGGCGCGGGAGGCTGGTGGGTGTGGGGGGTGGAGATGTAGAAGATGTGACGCCGCGGCCCGGCGGGTGCCAGATTAGCGGACGCGGTGCCCGCGGTTGCAACGGGATCCCGGGCGCTGCAGCTTGGGAGGCGGCTCTCCCCAGGCGGCGTCCGCGGAGACACCCATCCGTGAACCCCAGGTCCCGGGCCGCCGGCTCGCCGCGCACCAGGGGCCGGCGGACAGAAGAGCGGCCGAGCGGCTCGAGGCTGGGGGACCGCGGGCGCGGCCGCGCGCTGCCGGGCGGGAGGCTGGGGGGCCGGGGCCGGGGCCGTGCCCCGGAGCGGGTCGGAGGCCGGGGCCGGGGCCGGGGGACGGCGGCTCCCCGCGCGGCTCCAGCGGCTCGGGGATCCCGGCCGGGCCCCGCAGGGACCATGGCAGCCGGGAGCATCACCACGCTGCCCGCCTTGCCCGAGGATGGCGGCAGCGGCGCCTTCCCGCCCGGCCACTTCAAGGACCCCAAGCGGCTGTACTGCAAAAACGGGGGCTTCTTCCTGCGCATCCACCCCGACGGCCGAGTTGACGGGGTCCGGGAGAAGAGCGACCCTCACAGTGAGTGCCGACCCGCTCTCTCCGCCTCATTTCCATTTCGTGGGTTCTCGCCCGCTCTCTCCCCTCCAGCCTGCACCCTCCTCCCGGATCTTCACTGCGACCCTAGCGCTCCGTGTGGTTTCTGGCCGCGCGGCCCTCGGCGGTTTCGGGTTCACCACTCACCCCCTCCTTTCCGGGCTGCGGCGTAGGCCCGGGTGTCCCCTGGGCTTTGGGGTGTGCCAATTTGCCCTGTAAACCAGTACCCCCGGCCCGGAGCCGCGGCGCGCCGGGGCCTCGCGGACTGGCTGTCTTCCCGCGGACAACCTGTCGCGTCGGGGATGCCCGCGGCCCCGCCATGCAGCTCTGGCCGCTTCTATCTGCTGCGTGCTGTCCCGGGGACAAAGACAGGAAGGACCGCAGCAGAACGAAACGGTCTTTACTGGAAAAACACCTTTCTAGAGTCCTGCCCTTAAATTCCGACTCGGGACGACCCGAGGCATATGGCACACTACTCTCACCCACTCTGTTTTATATTTTTCCGAATTGACGAAAGCTGAAAGAGCAAAAACAAAAACCAACCAGCCAACCAGCAAAAAATCCAGATGTTGTTAATAAAGTGCCATAGCTTTGTTTCAGTAGTGAAAAGAAGTGCAAACACTTTAATCTTCCACCTGCAGTGACTAGCTTTGAGACCTTGAGCCGACGCTTAACCCCAGAGCCGGTTTCCTCATCGCTCACGTGGGGCTAATATATTACTACCTTGCAGCAGGCTTGAGGATGAAATGAGAATTGCAGTTTTGCTTTCTGTAAGAAACAATGTTTGTGGTTCTAGAAAGAACACTGGCCTAAATAAGGAGTGCTTGGACTTTAGGGGATTCCCTAAGTCTGGAGTGGGGGCTGAAGATTTGCATTTCTAACATGTTCCCCGGGGATGCTGATCACATCACACTTTGAGAGCCACTGGTCTAGAGGAAAGAGAAAGAAAGGGGCATAAGATGAGCCGATTTACAACACTGATGGAATTTGAAGTGAGAGAAAGAGGACTAGAATATATTGTAACCTGTCCTCCTGTAAGTGTATGTAAACATGTGTTTTAAAAGCTGTGTGTTATGGCGTTCCTTCCTTTATGGGTTCCAGGTGGAGAATCTGATTCTCTCATTGCCTGAGAAAAGACCCACAGGGGTCCCAGCGCCACTCCCCTGTAGTTCTGCCTTTGTCTTGGGATGCTAATGGGATGTCATGAGGGGAGGTGGAGGGGGGCTGGAAGAGAAGAAAATTCTACAACCAAACGTGAATTGGCAGAAGAATGGGCAATACACTTTCATATGAGCTGAGTCTTTATTGCTTCCAAAATAGCAACCTGCAAGAGAGGCAAGTATTTAATTTTTTTCAGGCTTGCCATAATTTAAAAATTTTATCAATCACTTAATCCCGTAAAACTGAAAAGATGCTTGTAACCTATTAGATGGGTTAGTGCTAGTTCTCTATTCTGGTAACTTGAACTCATCTATTTCAAAAAATTATCTTTGTGATTGAAGTTTGTTCTGCAGTTGTCTGCTACGCCATCTCAGCTGACAAGGGCAAGGTGCTGTGTGTCCCAATTGGTTTTGTTCTTTCTAGTATCACAAATTATTTATTAAAAAGCATGTATTATGACCAGAAGACAGAAGAATTTCCCTTTAAATTAAATTAATATTTGGGGCTTCCCCTAATACTCTTTTTTTTTCAGACTCTATTAGTTGCTGAATCATTTTTTCTTTGAAGATTTTGATACCCGATTCGCCTTAGAATAAAACTATGTAGAGGTTAGCCAGTGGACATAATTTTGAATTGCATACCACATTACCACCGTTGTAAAAACAACCGTTAACTTTTTCTTCCTAACTGTGAGTTGGGTTTTCATTTTTGTAATCTTACTTTAACTCTGTGGTTCTCAAATGGGGACGATTTTGCCTCCCAGGGGACATTTGACAATGCCTGGAGACATTTTTGGTTGCTGTAACCTGGAAGGGTGCTACTGGCATCTGGCAGGTAGAGGCCGGGGATGCTGCTGAACATCCTACAATACACATTATAATACCCTCAACAAAAACATTTTTGACCCCAAATGTCACTAGTACTCAGGTTGAGAACTCTGCTAACTTTATAACTAGCTAAGGACAAGACATTAAAAGGGAAATGTAGAATAACTCATCCAGACTTGTGGAGACTACCAATTTTTTTAAAATTTTTTATTTCTATAGGGTTTTAGGGACCAGGTGGTAGTTGGTTACATGAGTAAGTTCTTTAGTGGTGATTTGTGAAATTTTGTTGCACCCATCACCCAAGCAGTATACACTGAATCCAGTTTGTAGTCCTGTCCCTCCCCAACTTCCCACCCTTTCTTCCCAAGTCCCCAAAGAGACTACTCTTTTTTTAAAGGATACCTGTACCAGGCAATAGACTGACAAGAATACAAATCTAAAAATGACAAATTTCATCTATTTCTATGTAGCCCAACCTGGACATAAATTTAAGTACAGTATATTATTTTCTCACATATTGGATGTTTACTGATAGTTGACCAAACCATGAGGAGACCCCCCAAAACAAATAAAACTGACCAGAAAACATGGAGAAGAGTTAATAGTAGCCACAGTTTCCTACTACATTATGGCTCAGATTTCTAGACCTGTTTGAAAAGTTGAAAAATCTATGGTCTCATTCCTCAGACTGTTTTGTCCAACTGACCTGAACATCTGTCACTGGAATTTTTTTTCCTTTGGCATGACACTTTGTGCCTACATGTTTTCTAAACTGCAGGTAACTTTTGAAAGGCCAAGTTCAACCATTATCAGATTTTAACATTTAGTATGGATTAAATTGTGAGTGCAATTTCTTCCCCAAAAGCTGGCCAGAAGGACTGGAGTTTGGGGAGGGATGCTTTGAAGACTGTGATATAAATGATGGGGTCCTGGAGAGGTGCAGGGGAAGAGGAGGCAGAGTGGGAAGCTGTGAGGTAGGAAAGAGAGGAAAATTTTCTAAAAGAAGAGGTAGGAGAAGATGACACAACACAAATGTTTCCAATTTTTCAGTGTTGCTGAAGGTCAACTGTGCTTCACACCTGGGCATTCTCCTGAATTTGCACTCAAAAGGGCCCATTTTCTGGCGTTTTTCTCATAGTCCTGGAATAATCTTCATTTGACATGAGAGTCTTGATAAAAACAAGATGTTAAAAGTGGTTAGAGAGTTTCTCCTTCTCCAGCATGTGCGCTGCACTCCTGCCTTTCTTTTGGCATCCTTAACTTTTGGCAGGCCTCTTTCAATGCGGTGGGAATGGATAATATTAAGTATGTACTCTAAAGTAGCAAGCTGTGTAAAAACATTCAGAAGAGAGAACACTTTATCCCAAGCAGCACGTACAACATGTGGTAGAGTATAGTAAGTGAAATGTATGCTGCTTATGTACACTTAGTATTCAATTTATTCCAGGTGCTCTTATTTACAAAAAAAAAAAAAAAAAAAAAAAATGAGAGTAGTTAGAAGTACTGTATCTACCCTTGGGCTTCTCCCAGGAGGTGACTGCCTGTGTGCCACACTTCTTTGCTTGCAGGCTCCAGAGGACGCTGAGACTTGGAAAGGCAGACCTGCCCACCCCAGTGTGGAGCAGGGGTGGCTTGTAGGTGGGCCTGACCCCTGGGCTCTTTGCTACTGCATGTGTTCCATGCAACCCCAAGCATAAAAACATGGACTTGTGAAATCAAAGGGAGGCTTCAGACCTTCTGGTTTACCCATCTCTTTTTACAGAAGAGGATACTGAAGCTCAGAAAAGTCACCAATTACTCAAGTTCACTTGTGGGTTTCCTCTTTTTTTATCCTGAATGAGCTTCTTACCACCTGGTCCCTTGCCTTCTCTTCCTGCCATCCCTCAGCCTCAGTGCGCTCTTCATTCCACCATAGAGTGTGCCCTGCTGGACCCCACTTTGGTTAGGCTTCCTCCATTTCAGGGTAGTGAGCTGCTAGCCCCTTTGAAGAGTTCTTACTAGTTTACGGGTGCCTCAGGTTGATTTCCTGGGGTTTTGGATAAAGCCACCTTTCCATCTCTTCACTACTGCCTTTGGGGTAAATAGAACCATTGATTTAATAATACACGTACTAGATTCTCTCCCCCCACCTCTCTTTGGTAATATCTGGCAAGTGGATAGCAATAATTTTACTTAATGAACGTGATATTTACTGTAATAAATATTGGGTGCAGTAAACAAATGAAGTCAGAATCTAATAGCTCATTTAATCTTGGAAATCATGTAATCAGTACAGCAATGAAAGGACAATTCATGAGTCATAGATATTACCACACCTTAGGAGCCTTTTAAGATGAGTTTGATGCCAAGTGACTTCAGCCTAGAAAAGGCAATATCCCCTCATGACATGCCCTGAGGGGTTTCATTTGTTTATAAAATGACCGTTATGTAATTAGACTTTGACAATGGTGTAACAATTGGGTTTTAAGTATTCTCATTTTGATTTATGATGCCATTTTATGTGGAAGGACATAATTTTAAAGTTTAATTAGAAAATAAAATGTTACAGATGTAATGAACAAAACAAGAACGGTTCTTTAAATATCATAAGCATAAAATTGACTTTCTTCATCTATACACTGATTCTGAGAACTCATCATCAGTGATGTTGAAAAGACAATTTAAGGTCTCACATTATTGGAACTACTATTTTAAAACCACGAGATGCCTGTACAAGCTGGTAATTACACATGTGCTGTAGTCTTTGCTTGTTTTTCCAATTCTAGTGTTTGTTGATTTTCCAGATACCCTACTTGGGCCCCTATGTCCCGTAGCACACGTCTGTAAGAAGGCTGGCATGGGATAAAAGTCTATGACCATGAAACGGAGCAAGGCAAATCTGTATCTTTGGGGCACATATCTTTTTCTTTTTTTCTTTTTGAGACACAGTCTTACCCTGTCACCTAGGCTGGAGTGCAGTGGCACAATCTCAGCTCACTACAACCTCTCCTTCCTGGGTTCAAGCAATTCTTCTGCTTCAGCTGTGATTACAAGCACCTGCCACCGCACCCAGCTAATTTTTGCATTTTTAGTAGAGACGGGATTTCACCATGAATTTTCCTGGCTGGTCTCGAACTCCAGACCTCAGGTTATCTGTCCACCTCAGCCTCCCAAAGTGCTGTGATTACAGGCGTGAGCCACCGTGCCCAGCCTGGGGCACAAATCTTAACCTCATCAGGATATTCTGTCCAAACAAATGTATTTTGTTCTGTTTTATTTTTGAGTTTGTCCTTTTCTGTGCTCTGAAATTAGGATCTGGTCTAGTACTTAATTTGTATATTGTCAGTGCTCAATAAATAGTTAATGCTTGATTGTTTGCATAATAATTTGGAATAATGATTATCAGTGTAGAGTTTTAGCTGGATCATTAGAAAATGCACTTATGGCACTGTGATTTTAAGTGTTTCCTTGTTGTATCCACTGTTCAGTTAGCTCCTGCTTTCTCTTTTCTCCCTTTAATAATGACCGCCAACAAGGCCTTTTAAGCTAGGTTATGTATAGCCACAGGAATTTAGGAGAGGAGGAAAAGAAAAGTGGCAACTTCCAGGGGAACTCACCCTTTGAGCCATAGACTGTGGTTCTTAGAAGCCAGACCAGTCTCATTCTAAACACCTTCAGAATATTTTTAGTTTGAAGAAATTGGAAGGGCCTGGAGGCAACAGACAGCCAATATTCAGTGTTTATGTCTCATCCAGCTGTCTTCTGTCACTCTTCCTGCACAAGGTGACTTTTGACTTGACCGGTGTATCTTTGATACTTACTCATTTACAGAAATGTATAATGGATGTGTGTGTGTGTGTGTGTGTGTATGTGTGTATTTGTATTTTTATAGAGCTATTGACTTCTGCAATTTAACCTCTAAGATGAATTATCCAATAGAATTCTGAAATGAAAAGTTCACAGATTTTCAAGGTATTTTGGAGATTTAAAAATTGAAGAGAAGCTATGTGAATATTAAGTGTATGTTCCAGATATAATTGAACAATTGAAAGGAATGATCCTGGTTTAATTTATAATTAAGCTATACATTAATTTATAATGAAAACTTGTAATTAAATGATAACTCAAATTAGCCAAGAAAAAAGTATTTTTTAAAAGAAATTTGTACAGAGTAGTAATGATCTGGCTGCATTCTGTGAACAGATTATTCTCTGTTCATAATTTAGGCACCTTAAGATGCTGGCACCTTAAGGTAGGAACCATGACTTCTTTATATAAATAAACATCATAAAAAGCTCAGTACTTTTTACTCAGAGAGTGCTCACTAAATGTCAGCTGATGAGGAAAACATTCTCTGTGGAACTTGCTGTGAAATAACTACTCATGAGGCATATGCTGTATAAAGCTTGGTCAAAGTTTACAGTTTTCTTGGTGTCTTGACATCTGTGTTTAGATACTTGGTCAATCTTTAAATGAAGATAATTATATATAGCAAAGTTATATTTGGGAAACATTTCGGAATTTTGGAGACTGGCTATTAGTTTTTCTTAGAATAATCTAGAGAAAGATGAATCATTTTTCAGGAAAAATTGTTTAGAACTTTTATTGGGAATTCTGATTTCCTTAAAAGTATTTAAGATTTTTATCATGTACTATTGTTGTAGGAAAATCCTGGTTCTTGTCACACGCCCAGGAAAGATTAGGCTCACAGACACTTTGGAGGGTGAGGGGTTATGGAATTTATTGGTCAGAAAGAAAAAAGGAAAAACAACACAGCAAAGCAATAGGGGTTCATATTAACAGGCCCCCATCTCACAGATTGATTCCCAAGTTACCACCCCGAACAGGAGAGACCAGTCTCCTCCCTGCAAAGGGCGTGAACTTCTGTGGCTCCACCCCATTCTCCCAGTGTGCAGGCCATTTGGAGGTTCTCCAGGGACCCCTTTATACTTGGCTGTCCTGTCTCACTATGCAATATAAAACTTTCTCAGGTATGCTGTGCATTGTTTTTCATTCTTATTTTCTTTTGTGAATAATATCCTGGAATCAGTACGTTCTTCTACATCATCTCCTTTTCTTTTTTTGAACTCTTTTAAATTCTAGATTCTGCCCTCAGTATTCCACTTAAATCATTCTTATGAGAGCACCAGTAGTCTTCTAATTTAATCATGTGGCCTTTTCCAATTTTTCATGCTACTCTGACATGTGGCAGTATTGTCTGCCTCTGACTTCTTGATAATTCCTTGGCTTCTATTACATCACATCAACCTGGTTCTCCTTTTGAAACTGCCTTTGCAAAAGTTATATCTGAGAAAATTATGACACTGCCAGAGATATGACCTAGCCCACTCCCCTCCTCTTGCCTTTAGCTTTCAAGCTGCCTTAATCATTTCTGGGCTTAGGCCCAGATAACTTTGGGAGATAGTTTAAAGGATAATAAGCCTTCCCCAAAACTCAACTGCCTTTATAAAGCTAATGAAAGGCCCTCAGGCTTCAGGGGAGGACAGGAATCTGAGTTGTGCTAAGGTGTAGACGTATTAATAGATTGCCACTAGTGCACCAATAGTGGTGCAGATAACACCACTATTGTAGATTGGCCTTTTGAGATATCTTTTCAGGTTTTTTGCATGTCTGACACCCATGGCTCCAGCTGGACCTGCTAAACCACTCCTGTGGCCCCACCCAGGAATGGTTCCACTCAAGAGGACAACTTTGACCCCCTATTATTTCATCTTCAGCCCAATGAATTATCAGTAAGCACCCATTGCATAGCAATCCTCACCCTTTCCCCCAAACTGCTGTTGAAAAACTCCTATCCCATGAGCTGTGGATGAGATTGGTTTGAGTACTAACTCTATCTCCCATGTGGCTTTGCCGGCCTTGTGTTTATTAAACTCTTTCTTTACTGCAATGCTGTGGTCTTTCCTTGTGCAGCAGGCTGGAAGAACTCCTCAGGCGGTTATACTTTTGCCCATCCAACTGTCTTTTTTTCCACTTTCTTCTGTTTTTTTTTTGCATTTGTATTCCCCCAAGGTTCTGTTTTTAGCCTTCTACTCTTCTTTCTGTGTACTTGTATTCCTTCAGAAGATCATGTATTGTCTCTGTCTCTGTCTTGATTCCCCATCTCAATTTCCCACTGCTTGGAGGGCAGACACACTGCCATAGCTTCAACTTAACATACATAAAACAGAACTTAACACCATTTTCTCAAACTAGCACCCTTTCCTCCTGAATTTCTGCTTGTAGTGAATTATTATTCTTGTCTCCAAAGCTAGACACCATGGAATTGTCTTTGATGCCTTTCTCTACTTCTTTCGTATATATCTCTCTAAAATGTTTCCCAGCCATAGTGATTTCCTTGCCCTGCCTCTTGATTTAATGACCTCTACTCTCCTGCAATTTTAAGCACTAACCAGACCTACCTGGCTTTCCTTCTTAAACATGACCTACCTTATTTCTTACTGTTTACCATCCATACCTTCCTGAAGCTGTAGCACTCTGTGCTTTAATTATAGTCTCTTTAATGTGTCATAACGATTACTGTCACAATGATTGGCCTTTCTTCATGTGACTCTTGTTTTTGAAAAATCCTTCTTTTTCTTATCAATTTCTCTCTCACAACTCCTCCCATCCTCACCTTTCTCTGGAAAAATCCTTTAAGATCCAGCCCAACAGACTTCTTTGTGAAACTTTCCTCTACCTTCCCAGGGAGAATTAATGGTTTTTACTGTTTTCCCATATACTTGGTACATAGTCTGAACACAGAACTTCATGCTTTCTGTAATAGTTAGTGGTTTATGTGTCTGGCTTCTGCACTGGGACTGTGAACTCTTTGTAGGCAAGCACTGGATCCCATTTGCTGCATCTATCCTCACACACAGTGGCCACTCAAAGAATGTTTGTTAAATTGAAGATGTACTCAATAAATTAGCCAAGTCTCTTAACTTCCTTTCTGACCTTCCCTTCACGTCTCCTGTCTTCCTTGTCATCTTAGCCTTTAACCAGGCAGTTTTCCTTAAGCTGAAATGTCCTGTCTGTCCTCGTACCTTATCCCATTTCCAGTCATGCTTTGGGCCTTATTTCTTTCACATCATCCTGTATCCATCTTTCCTTTTCTGTGTGCTATCTAAAAATTCTCTCTAATAGCTTGTTGTATTTTAATTTTATGTCCCCCAGTTTTACTGGAAATTCCTAGCTGGCAAGAAATTTTTATTTTTAAAAAATCCAGACCACATTACCCAGTAGTTCTTTACTCTTTCCTATTCTGAGGGTCTGAGGCTGAATTTACTCATCCCAGGGTCCTTTTGGCTTCATTGCTGAATGAGTGACCAGTCTGAGTCCCATGAAAAGGTTCACTCTATATTTGTTGAATGGGCAACAACTTCAAATAAGTATAAATACTATAGTATGAGGCATATAAAATGGTAAATTGAATGCAACAGCACTGTAGTTCTTTTCTGCAAACACCTTTAACATTATTCAAGGGAAGCAATAAAGGCAAAGCGTAGTCATTTGTTGGATCACTTTTTATTTTGGAAACTTTTCAGCTGTTAAGTAACATATTAATATTTCTAGCCAACATTAATGCTCAGTTCTAGAACTGGTTATAGTACTCTAATTAAGGAACGCAGACCTGGGAATTCATACCTGATTCAGACACTTCAATCCTTACGTCAGTGTGTCTCTCTCTTACTCAGGTCTAAAACCAGTGAATCATTGTAAAAGTTAGTATTGGGGACTGTCTGGTACCATTGTTAATATTTTGGGCTGTGATGAAATGGCATGGATAGTTTCATCTGAAAATTTATTCAGATTTATGACCCAGTATTCATCACAACAATCTGAAAAACTCTTAAGAGGATAGAAATTGTATGACAAAGTGAGTCACAGTCTTTGTGATGTGATGTCTGCAAGGGTGGGTGGGAGAAATTACTGAATGACCAGTCTCATTCTACTCCTTTCTAAGCTGAATCATTTTGTAAATAGAAAACAATTCATAAGTTTTTAGGTGGCCTTACATCAATAGGAAATGGAAGAGATTAAAACGGTCAAATAATGCTTCCATTTAAAAAATTACTTTTGGAAACATATCACTTGATAAACACTTTGCTTTTGAATTAGAAATGCAAATAATCTTTCTACTGCCTGCTATATATCTTTTAATCCAATACTTGCTGCATGTCTTCATGTATTCTTACTTTTTCTATTAATTATGTTACTTTTCTTGCCTAGATTTTTTTTTTATTCTACCAAGTGTCATTTGACCTTTCGTCTTATAGCTATTTCTAGTGTTGGCTCATTTGGAGATGGGGTGTGTGTGTTTGTGTGTTGGGGAGAGGTGTCATTTACTCACTGGCTGGATGACTACTTGAATTGGATGGGGACTCAAGAGAAAAAGGTCCCTTTGATTTTGGAAATTCTGATTCTGGGATGGTATCATCTTGCATTTTGCATTGTGGGTCCTCTTCTGTTAACTTTTCATCTAAGCTTTTCTCCGAGTCATATTTTACCTTTAAATGTAAGACTTATTAACATTATTTCCTTATCTTCTTTGGGGTAAGGCATTTATTTAAAAAAAGCTAAGTGAAAAGAGAAATATTCTATTTTGAATGTGTTTCTAAGTGTTAGTTCTCCTTACATATTTATATATATCTACATTACTCTGAACTCAGTAATGGGAGTATAATTGAAGTGAGATTGGGAAGATAATTTTGTTAACTGTTTTAATTGAGTGTACTAATGTATAAAGACATAGACAGAAGGTGTTGGATTGAAAAATAACGAATTACAGAGACACCCTCAGCTGTTAAAGGATGAGAAAAGTGAGACATAGATTATTTTTTGGAGGGTGGTATGAAAGCCCTGAAGTATTCATGGGATCTGTCCAGCTCTGTCCAGACAATGAGGGAGACTGCCATGGTGACTAGGCAGAGTCCCTTTGCTCTGTGGTAGAGGAAGGGTCAGGTGTTTGGCCTTTACCACTGCACTATGTTCCTAGGACCCTGATATTTACCAAGTACTTATTGAATGAATGAGTGAGTGAAATTTTTGAGAACATGCTCTATGCCAGCTTTATAAATAATATCTGTTTAATCTTAAATACAAACTTATGAAGCAGGTGTTGTTATCTTCATTTGACAAGTAAGAAAATAGTTTTTTTCCTATTGGCTTTTCAAAACATGATCTCTTTGTCCATAACAACTGGTGATTGTGCATTCTAGACTTCTTAGTGTTTAGAATACAAGTTCATGGCCAGAATTCCGCATGGACAAACTAGCAGAAATTTGAACAGAAATAATGATTTAAGCAAATAATTTAAACTCTTTCAGAGGCTTTGCCATGTCCAGCAAAGTTGAAGTGTGTGCCATCTATTCCTCTGCCCCTTCGTCTATTCCACTCTCCTTTGTTTAGGAAAGACTTCTGTCATGATTTAGTATGAGACAATTCTTCTTTAGTATTTAAGGGCTTCTTAAGATTTTTGAGTGGCATATACAAAAATAGCGTAGCATGTAATTAAGAATGAATACCATACAGCCATGCACTGCATCATGATGTTTCGGTTAATTGCAGACCTCATGTATGATGGTGGTCCCATAGGATTATAATACTGTATTTTAACTGTATCTTTTCTATGTTTAGGTAACACAAATACTTAGCACCATGTTACAGTTACCTACAGTATTCAGTACAGTAATGTGCTGTACAGGTTTGCAGCCCGGGAGCAATAAGCTATACCATCATCTAGGATTGTGTAAGTACACTCTATGATGTTCACACAATGATGAAATTACCTAAGGATGCATTTCTCAGAATGTATCCCCATAGTTAAGTGACACATGATCATGTAACACAGTGGTATTTGTGTATTTAAGCATATCTAAACATTGAAAAGGTACAGTAAAAATATGACATTATAGTCTTATGGGACCACTGTCATAAAGATAACTAAAAGGATGTTTTCAAAGTATAGTTAGGCTCTTCCAGAAAAAATCGAGGGTATCTTTTCAGTATTTAAGGACATGTGGTGTAAGATTTTAAAACAACAACAACAACAACAAAAGCAGATGGGCTTGGGTTTAATTTTCTTCATTGAGTGAGATTGTCCATTAATCAATAATTTTCTGAGTGTCTACTATGTGAGGGAATAAAGACCAAGATAGATAAAGAGATACCAAGAAAGCATGTAGCAAGACACGTCCGGAAAAGTGTCTAAAAATTAAACTCCTCTTTCCTTTATTGACTCTCCTGTATTTTCAAATGGTATCACCATCTTCCTTGCCAACCAGGCCCAGGTGTTAGAGTGAATTTCTACTATGTCGTTTTCCCCACTCCTCACTTCTCTTCTCAGGCCCTGTCCATTTCATTTCTGCAGCACATTCACACTTGTGCCGGTCACTGCAATCTTGCTGCAGCTTGTCTAGTTCTAACCCTGACTACTGCAACTGCTGTCTAACTGAGCTCATCTGTATTAGTTTGCTAAGGCTGCCATAACAAACATACCACAGTCTGGGTGGCTCGAACAATAGAAATTTATCTTCTTATAGTTCTGGAGGCTGGAAGTCCAAGATCAGGTTTTGGCAGGTTTAGTTTCTTCCGAGGCCCCTCTCCTTGGCTTGTCGATGGCCACTCTCTAGCTGCCTCTTCACAAGATCTTTCCACTGTGCTTGTGTCTCTGTTGTCTCTTTGTATGTCCAGGTTTCCTCTTCTTATAAAGACCTCAGTCAGATTGGATGGGGGCTCACCCTGAAGGCTTCATTTTAACGTAATCACATCTTTAGAGGCCCCATCTGCAAACAGGAGCACATGCAGAGATAGTGGGATTAGAGCTTCAACATGAGTTCGGGGAACACAATTCAGCCCATAGTATCCCATAATAAAGGATGTTATTCTTTGCCAGAGTGAGTTAATTACTCTGTCTAGTTGTTCAGCAGTTGGACATTGTTTTTTCCTGAAGAGGAACTCTGATCATGTTACTTCTCAGAAACTCTCCTGGGCCCTTGCTTCCAAAACGCAAAAGAAAAGAAGGAATAATGGTCATGCCAAAAAAGGCCATAGCCACGTACAGCCTATTTGTGGCAGGAACTGTGCCCGATGCATGGCCAAGTACAAGGCTATTAAGAAGTTTGTCATTTGAAACATAGTAGAGGCTGCAGCTATCAGGTACGTTTCCAAAGCGAGTGTCTTTGACACCTCCGTGCTTCTCAAGTTGTATGTGAAGCTACATTGCTGTGTCAGTTGTGCCATTCATAGCAAGGTAGTCAGGAATTGATCTTGTGAAGCCCACACGAACCAAATACCCCGATCCCGATTTAGACCTGTGGGTGCTGCCCCACGACCTCCACTAAAGCCCAGGTAAGGAGCTGAGTCCTTAAGGTCTGAAGAAAAACTATCTTCTGGAAAAAAATAAAATGAAAATTGTATTTAAAAAAAGAGAAAAACATCGTGGACTTGAAAGACTTCAATCTCCTGGTACGCACATTGCCCCCAGAGCTCACAGATGTTTCAAGTCTGTAAAAATCAGAAAACATAGGAAAGTTACCAGCAGATGTGTGGTTGTCATAGATATAAAAAAGTGGGATACAGGGTGTTTTTGGAAACTCTAGGTAAGTAGTAAGCTTGATACAGATCTCTGAAAAAAACTCCAAGAGGTTTGAGAATACTGAAAAAGAAGATAACAGAGTAAGTAGTAACTAGGGTGCTACAATGGGAGAGTCATAATATATACATAGCCTTCGTGTGTTAATTTCCATGGAATATTTGACCGAATTTCTCATAGCAACCTTCTGTAAAAGATGTGTATTTTCTTCAAGAGAGTCTAGAGTTTTTCGTATTTAGGATTCTTAGGCCAGGCTCCAACAGCTAAATAAGTTTTATTGGCACACAGCCACCCTCTTTGTTTAAACATTGTCTGTGGCCACTTTCACACTACAATGGCAGATACCCCTCAAGGTGTAAAATATTTACTTCCTGGCCCTTTACCCCAGAAAATGTGCTGACCCCTGGCTTAGGCCATATTTTTCATGAGGAGTGGACACTCCTTAGTCATGGCATTTCTGCTATTCCGCACTATTACATTTAATACTAATTTCCTGACACTTGATGTCAGAAACTGTATAATATTGTCTATGGCTTTTATGGATATTCCTCCAACCTTTGGACAGGAATTGTTATTTCCAGGCTGATCTCTTATTTAAAAATGTATTTATTAATGATTTAATATCACTTTTAATAAACTGGAATTATGCTTTTCCTCTAAAAGAAAAAAAATAAAGGTGATATAGATGCATTATCATAATCTAAAACTATTTTAATAGACAGCTGATCCTATTTTCCAATTACTAGTAAAACGTCATGCTTCAGATGATTATGCTAAACCAAAGTTATGTTTTTTGCTAGACCGTCCACCCAACTTTTAACAGCAAAGTAACTAATTCCTGTGTAGCAGGAAAATTCACTTAGTTATTTCCATATATATTTTGCAACTCAACTAATTTTTCTTGGAAGATACTGCAGGAAGTTACATTATTCAAAGTTAGATATTCTCTGTTTTAGTGAAATTTTAAAAAATTAACAGTTTGGATATTTGGTTACACCTACTTTGAATATTTTCCTCACTTAAATTATTTTTGGCTATGCTTAATGATGTAGAACTGTAGAGCTTTTATGTTAAAGAATTCTGGAGAATATTGGCTCTGCCCATGGGTATCACTCCAGAAGTGGATGAATGTTCCTGTTGGATTCCTCTCTTTTTCTAGAAGAAGCCTAATGCCCACCATGGCTGACAGTTAAAGCACACAGTTCTGCTCTCTAGGTTAGGTAGGACAGACAGCAGAACCTTTCTAAAGACCTGTTGGGGGAAATACTATTTATGGAAGCCTGCCTCAACGATGTATGGAGTGCATCTTTCCTCCAGACAGAGAGTTTTAACCTGGGAGTTCATGGATTTGCTTTAGGTTTCCCTTAAAAATAGATGCAAAATGCTAGGTTGTTTTTCTGAGGAGAGGGTGCATAGCATTTTGTCAGATTCTCAAAAGGTTATCTGTGGTCCAAAATGTTAAGGACAGTATCACTAGAAACACTAAAATATGTCTTTTAATTAATCTGACATCTGGGAGAGAACCAATTTGAACCACATGACAGTGAAAATGAGTTTACTGAATTGTGTGTTGGGGTGAAACTTTAGTTTATGGTGAGTGATTTTGTGAGAAACATCTCTGTGAAGCTCGTCTCTGTGTATAATTAACAGAAACATTAAAGAAATGTTGAGGACTGTTGTTGATCTCATTACATAGTGTCCACTCTGAGGTTCCTTAGGAGAAACTTCTCTGTGGTAACTATGTTGGGTCTAGTTATGCTTTTCCTTAGCAGCCAGCTTATTTTTATCTTATGGTCTCTGGGAAATTTCTTATTGCTGCTGGCTACTAGAAAGCCAAATATATGGCCTGCTTCTAGCAAGTATAATAATCTCACTCCTGGCTTCATCAGTTTTAAACCCTTCATTTGTATTTGCCTTATTAAAAAGCCATTTTTAAAGTTTTTTGTTTTGGTATATTGTCAATATCTTTGTAACTCACCTTAAATATTACTTGGGATCAAACACATTATACCTCAATAAAAATAATATATTGATTAATTTGCTATTTTTAACCACAAAGTACCACTATATTATACAGAGCATTGGGTGCTGGAGATGAAAAAGTCAAGGCCCTTGTCCCTTAAAATGTGTTTTGTTTGGCACGACAAGAAAGAGATATAAATCAATAAGGGCAATAAAATGTTTTGCCTGCTTTGCTTGTGGTGTTTTCCATGGGACAGTGAGATCATAGCAAGGATAGCAGTAAGTTCTAATGGGGAAGTCATAAAAGGCTTCAAACAGGAGTGACACTGAACAGAATGTTTGGAATCAAGTAGATGTTTGCCAGGCAGACAGGGCGGGGAAGGGCAGGAAGGCCAAGGAGGCAGGGCCAGGTCTGGCATGTTTTGGGAACCAAAAGAAGTTTGGAATGGCAAGAAGTAAGACCTGCTAGCTAGGCAGGGACTGGATTATGATGGGCCTTGCAAGCCATACTGAACAATTCGTCTTTATCCTAGAAGTGGTGGGGAGTCAATGGAGGGTTTTAATCAGAGAATAAGAGGATTAAATTTGGGCTTTGATGAGATCACTCTGGCGGGTGTGTGTAATAGATTGGAGGGTGTGAAGCTGGCGGCAGGGAGTACAGTTAGGAAATGATTTCAGTTATCCAATTGAGAAATGTAAATCTCTCTCAGACTATTTTCCTGAACATAGTAAGTGATGTATGGACATATCTTCAAAGAAGATATTGTGGGTTTGGTTCCAGACCACCGCAATAAAGTAAATATCACAATAAAGCGAGCCACATAAACTTTTTGGTTTCCTAATGCATATGAAAGCTATGTTTACATTGTACTGTAATCGGTTAAGTGTACAGTAGCATTATATATGTTAAAAAACCAATGTATAAACTTCGTGAAAAGATACTGTATTTTTAAAAAATGCTAATGATCATCTGAGCCTTTAGTGAGTCGTAATTGTTCTGCTAGTATAGGATCTTGCCTCAGTGGATGGCTGCTGACTGATGAAAGTGGTGGTTGTTGAAGGTTAGGGTTGCTGCGGCAATTTCTTAAAATAAGACAACAGTGAAATTTGCGGCATCAGTTGACTTATCCTATCACGAAAGATTTCTCTGTAGCATGAGATGCCATTTGATAGCATTTTACCTACAGTAGAACATTTTTCAAAATTAGAGGCAAACTCTTCAAACCCTCCTGCTGCTTTATTAACTAAGTTTATGTAATATTCTAAATCCTTTGTGGCCATTTCAACAATACATATAGCATCTTCACCAGCTGTAGATTCTATCTCAAGAAATCACTTTCTTTGTTCTTCCCTAAGAAGCAGCTCCTCATCTGTTTAAGTTTTATCATCAGATTGTAGCAAGTCAGTCACATCTTCACGCTTCACTTCAAATTCTAGTTCTCTTTCTATTTTTGTCCCATCTGCAGTTACTTCTTCCACTGAAGGTTTGAACCCCCTCAAAGTCATCATGAGGGTTGGAGTCAACTTCTTCCAAACTCTTAGTAGTGTTAATATTTTGACTTCCTCCCATGAATCACAAATACTCTTGATGGCATCTAGAATTGTCAGTTATTTCCAGAAGGTTTTCTTTCTTTCTTTTTCTTTTTTTCTTTCTTTCTTTCTCTTTTTCTTTCTTTCTTTTTCTTTCTTTCTTTCTTCCTTCCTTCCTTCCTTCCTTCCTTCCTTTCTTTCTTCCTTTCTTCCTTTCTTTCTTTCTTTTTTTTTGACTGGGACCTACTCTGTCACCCAGGCTGGAGTACGGTGGTATAGTCATGGCTCCCTGCAGCCTTGATCTCCTGGAATCAAGTGTTCCTCCCACCTCAGCCTCCTGAATAGCTGAGACTACAGGTATGCACCACCACACCCAGCTATTTTAAAAATTTTTTGTAGAGACAGGGTCTCACTATGTTACCCAGTCTGGCCTTGAACTCCTGGGCTCAAGCCATCCTTCTGCCTTGGCTTCCCAAAATTTTGGAATTACAGGCATAAGTTACCATGCCCAGCCTCCAGAAGGTTTTCAATTTACTTTACCCAGATCCATTGGAGGAATTACTATCTATGGCAGCTATACCCTTACAAAATACATTTCTTAAATCTTAAGACTTAAAGTAGAAATTACTTCTTGAACCATCGGCTGCAAAATGGATGTTGTGTTAGCAGGCATGAAAATGTTAACCTTGTACCTCTCCATCAAAGCTCTTGAGTGACTAGCTATGTTGCTAGCCAACAGTATTCTTTTGAAAGGGATGTTTTTTTTGAGCAGTAGTCTCAAAAGTGGGTTTAAAATATTCAGTAAACCACGATGTAAACAGATGTGCTGTCATCCAGGCTTTGTTATTCCATTGATAGGGCACAGGCAGAGTAGATTTAGCATAATTCTTAAGGCCCTGGGATTTTCAGAATGGTAAATGAGCATTGGCTTCCACTTAAAGTCGCCAGCTGCATTAGCCTCTAACAAGAGAGTCAGCCTGTCCTTTGAAGCTTTGAAGACATGCGTTGACTTCTCCTCTCTAGCTGTGAAAATCCTAGATGGCATCTTCTTCCAAGAAAAGGCTGTTTTGTCCACATTGAAAATCTGTTGTTAGTGTAGCTACCTTCATCAGTGATCTTAGCTAGATCTTCTAGATAACTTGCGCTAGCTTCTACATCAGCACTGTCTGTGTTACCTTGCATGTTTATGTTATGGAGATGGCTTGTTTTGTTAAACCTCATGAACCAAGCTCTGCTAGCCTCCAACTTTTCTTCTGTAGCTTCCTTACCTCTCTCAGCCTTCATAGAACTGAAGAGTTAGGGCCTTGTCTTGTATTTGGCTTTGGCATGAGGGAATGTTGTGGCTGTTTGGATCTTCTATCCAGACCACTCAAACTTTCTCCATATCAGCAATAAGGCTGTTTTGTTTTCTTATCATTCTTGTGTTCACTGGAGTAGAACTTTTCATTTTCTTCAAGAATTCTTCTTTTGCAGTCACAACGTGGCTGTTTGTGGCAAGAGGCCTAGCTTTTGACCTATCTCGGCTTTCAACATGCCTTCTCCACTAGGCTTAATCATTTCTAGATTTTGATTTAAAGTGAAAGACAATGAGACTCTTCCTTTCACTTGAACACTGAGAGGCCATTGTAGGTTTACTAATTGGCCTAACTTTAATATTGTTGTGTCTTAGGGAACAGGGAGGCCCTAAGAGTGGTGGAGACAGGGGAACATTCGTCAGTGGAGCAGTCAGAACACACACGTTTATTAAGTTTGCTGTCTTATATGGGTGTAGTTTGTGGTCCCTCAAAACAATTACAGTGGTAACATCAAAGATTACTGATCACAGATCACCATAATACATGTAATAATAATGAAAAAGTTTGAAATATTGCGACAATTACCCAAATGTGAGACAGACATGAAATGAACACATGCTATTTGAAAAAGGTCACTGATAGACTTGCTCGATGCAGGATTTCCACGAAACTTTAATTTTTAAAAATCATAGTATCTGTGAAGAGCAATAATGCAAATCACAGTAAAACAAGGCATGCCTGTATATGTGCAAGAATGGAAGGGTCTCCATTTTATTAAGTGAAATAAGGAAACTATTGAATAATGCTGAAAATATTAGTCCATTTATGAAAATGCACACACACCAACACAAGATATATACTTGTGTAGTAAATAGGAAGACTGAGATCTGAAAAGGATGTATACCTAACTGCTAACAAGTGCTTACAGCTTTAGAGAAAGGAATGGGATTAAAAGAGACGAGATCAAGGGGAATGGTCACTTCTTTACCTATGTATTTGTGAATTTTTTAAAAGAATGTATCCATGTATTATTTATGCAAAATTTTCTGAGAAGAATGAATGGGAAGTGAGGAAGTGGATGCAGATGTTGAATACTTTTCTCTGAGGTGCATGAATGTGAAGGGAAGGAGAGAGATAGGATAGCAGCCAGAAGAAGTTCCTGTTTCGGGAAACACTTGTGGACTGGGGTTTTTTGCCGTCAGTCACACGATGGATGCACGGGTGGGCTGTGGAGCACTCCTGGGAAGGGGGCATGGTCAGGCCTGTGCCCGCGCATTACAAGGGGCGCATTCCTCACTCATTCATCTGCCCCTTGGCTTATTTCTTTTCAAGTCCCACACAGAGAAGCAAGGCCTTGATCATTATCAGCACAACTGCTTTACTTTCCTTCAGGAAATGATACTTAATTAGTATTTGAAAGCAGTACATTATCTTGAATTCACTGTCTATTCTAAGGCAAAGCACACCAAAAATCTAAAATCAAATATATTCTCCATGATGTATTTACTTTTCTAAGGTGAGAGAATTATAACCGTATTCTTTGGGAATGTCCTCTTATACTCACGGAACAATGACTTGGGAGAGACAGGAAAGGCCTGGATCAGAACACAGAGGACTAGATTAAGCTTAATGGAAGCTAGGAGTCTGTGGAGTGGGAGTGCTACAGGTGTATCTTGGACTGACCCCATGGACTGGGTTTGGTCTATGAGCAGCAGTATTCACTGGAAGTCAACCTGGCTTTGGAGTCTCATCACAGAGGATGACCTTGCTATGTGGAATAGGCTGCCTGGGGCTGGGACTGATGACCTGATGACCTAGCAACTCGATTTTTAGGAGGCTTGTTTCAGTCTGGGCTTTCCAGAGAAACTGAATGAATAGGAGATCACTCTATCTATCTATCTATCTATCTATCTATCTATCTATCTGTCTATCTAATCTATCTATCTACCTACCTACCTAGAGGGATTTATTTTAAGGAATTGGCTCATGTGATTACAGAGGCTGGCAAGTCCAAGTCCAGGCCAGCAGTCTGGAGACCCAGGGCAAAGCTAATGTTGTGGTTCAAGACCAAAGGCCGTCTGCTGGCTGAATTCCTTCTTGCTGGAGGAAAGCAGCCTTTTGTTCTATTCAGGCCTTCAACTGATTTGATGTGGGCCCCCCACAATATGGAGGGCAATCTACTCTACTCAAAGTCCACTGATTCAAATGTAAATTTCATTCTAAAACACCCTTACAGAATCATCCAGAATAATGTTTGACCTAATAGCTGGGCACTATGGCCCAGCCAAGCTGACACATAAAATTAACCATCACAAGGCATTTGTTGACATAAACCCTAGACTGGCCTGACTGTCCAAAGAGGGTGGTGAATAAGCCCTGGCTTGGGTAAGACCAACTTATTCACTATGATGCCCCAAGGACACGGGTCAGAGACTTCCTAACAGAGGTACTAGACTGGCCTCCTGTTGACACTGAGAGGTTCAGTTTTGCTTTGAGCCTCAGCTCAACACTGAGACCCTAAGGAGTCTCCTTCTTCCATGGCTAGTGCCTTCCAGGGGCACATGGAGTCCAGGTTCTTTCTTCTGGTTTCTCTTGTCTTTCCCCTGAGGTGTGTGGGTTAGTTTTTCTTCTTCAGGATTTCTGAAAATAGGAATAATAATCTTATTCCAGAAGAAAGGACATAATTATGTTAAACAAAAAGGGAACATTCCCAACTTGATCACAGTGATCGTGATGTGGAGATGTTGTGGGCTGCTGTTGCCTGTATTCTGGAGACTTGTGGTCACAGCAGTAAACAATTGCTGCTGGGCCTGTTGTCTGTCAGCTGCCATCTGCTCCAAAGCACCCCCTACTCTTCGCTTGTCCCTTTAGTTGACCTGGGCCTCAGAGCCTGTTTCTGAGGATATGGGCCACAGAGGGGAATTGAGGCTGCAGGCTGATTACATAGCACTGGTGGTAGTTTCTTTTAAAGTCATGTTCTGATCTGTGGTTGCAAATGTCTGCTGCTTCTGTCAGAGCATTATTCCCCTTTCATGTGGAAGAAAACTGCCATTGATTAGAAGCAGGAGTATCATCGTCAGTAGAAGCACTTGTGCTTTAGGTTCTTTGAGCCTCATGAGAGGTCCAAGATGACACTGAAGTAAAGGAAGGTGGATACCAGATGCCTTGGCTACTTTTTAGAATACATCACTGGCACTGCTAGGAGAGAGCTGGGATTCATGAGAGTGGGATTAGGTGCTGGGCCAGGAGCAGAGAGTGTTCTTTGTACTGTGGATCTCCCTTACTTGCTTCCTGGACAACTGGCTCTTCCGGACTGGGTCTCTTGGTCTATCCTTGTGTCCTTAGGGGCAAGGTGCTTCTCCACTTTGAAGCTAAAACACCATATCAGAATCCTACCAAATACATAGACATTTTAACATGCAGCAAAACAATAAAATCTCTTTGGTGGCTTAGTTGCTATAGAAAAAGACAAATGTTCCCAACCAAAGTGCCCATCAATGATAGACTAGATAAAGAAAATGTGGCACATACATACCATGGAATACTATGCAGCCACAAAAAGGATGAGTTCATGTCCTTTGCAGGGAAATGGATGAAGCTGGAAACCATCATTCTCAGCAAACTAACACAAGAACAGAAAACCAAACACCACATGTTCTCAGTCATGAGTGGGAGTTGAACAATGAGAACACATGGACACAGGGAAGGGAACATCACACACCAGGGCCTGTCAGGGGGTGGGGGGCTAGGGGAGGGATAGCATTAGGAGAAATACCTAATGTAGATGACGGGTTGATGGGTGCAGCAAACCACCATGGCACGTGTATACCTGTGTAACAAACCTGCACGTTCTGCACATGTATCCCAGAACTTAAAGTAAAATAAAAAAAAAAAGACAAATGTTCTACTAAATGGTGAGCTTAGCTTGGCTAGCACAGTGTGGGTAGATACATTTTAAGGTATAGGAACATTGAGGGACTTCATGTCTGTGATATTCAGTAATTTCTTTGAAGTAGGAGGGAATGCTGTCTCTGAGAGAGTTGTGACTGCTGGCTGGGTAGCCTTAGAGCATGGTGTAGAGAATAGGAAAGGAAATTAACCAGGGATATGCCCAAGTGGCTAACACTTGCTGAGGGCCCACTTGAGGCTGGAGACCTCATATTGCTAATAACACCAGTTTGGATGAATGTATCATTTCCAGAACATTGTGTATGTTGAACATTGTGTATGTTCAACAATGTATGTTCAAGAATGCAGAAGCTGGCTGGGCGCGGTGGCTCACGCCTGTAATCCCAGCAATTTGGGAGGCCAAGGTGGGTGGATTGCTTGAGCTCAGGAGTTTGAGACCAGCCTGGGCAACATGGCAAAACCTCATCTCTACTAAAAATACAAAAATTAGCTGGATGCAGTGGCACATGCCTGTAATCTCAGCTACTTGGGAGACTCAGGCACAAAAATTGCTTGAACCTGGGAGGCGGAGGTTGCAGTGAGCCAAGATTGCACCACTGCACTCCATCCTGGGCAACAAAGTGAGACTCTGTCTCAAAAAAAAAAAGAAAAAAAAAAGATACAGTAAAAGTTGTGAGTTGAGCAAAATGTTATATATTTGTTTCTGGTCTTGGAACAATGTACTTGGGAGGGCCAGACTCCTTTCTCTGCCTGAGATAAGAGATTTCGATTCAGAGCATCTTAAACAGAATTAATTTCTGTGCCTTAAACTTTTCCTTATTCTTCCAGAAATAACATTGAGCGATGGTGGATGACTTTATAGATGTCTGATTTTTTTCTTCTCTTACATAGCCTCATATATTTTTTGGAGGAAGCAGAAAGAAAAAAATTAAGTCATGGGAGCAGACAGGATAAGGGAAGTAGAAAGTAGAAGAGGGAAAGGAAGAAAGAGAAAAAAACAAAAACAAAATAAAGTGAGAACAAGCAAGAGAAGATTTAGGTTGAAACAGACATTCATATTCAAAACTCCCAAGTAGCTAGTTGTATGGGACTCTTAGCGCTCTCTTCAGAGAGCGGTTCCAAATCTCACAAGAAGAAGGGAGCAAAAAAACCAACATGACCAGTTTTTTGTGGCACAGGGGAAGGAAACACATTCAATAGTTGTGATTTTAGGCTTCTTTTTTGGGATGGAAGTGTCAGTACTGGAGCCAGAAACTATTTCCTTTACTACCTGTGTACTTGCTTTTATGACGCTTAGAAAATGTATACACTATAGCTATTAACTATGTCTTTTTAGTGTAAGAAATAAGAACACATAGTATAAGAAGACTTTCTTTGGGGAGAGAAGACTTCTTGGTATTTTCATCCATTCCCCTACTTCCCCTGCTCCCCCATCCTTGCATCCAACCAATTGCTTGGATCAAAGCACAATTTTAGTATTATTTCAACCTGCTATGTCTTGTTGGATGGCAAATGAAGAGATAACAGAGTGGCATGCTTCAAAGGGGCAGTGTGGTTCAGCATTCAGCAAAAGAAGAGGATTAGGACTGCTGATCTTGACCCTAGATTGCTGGGTAACTTTAAGGCAAAACAATTTACCAACCTGTGACCCAGATTTCTTATCTTTAGCAGAGAAGTCCAGACTAGATGATTTCTCAGGGCCAAATTTTAAGGATTTTTGACTCAAATTCTGCTGGAGGTTCAGTTTTTGGGGAAGGCTGATAATATCATTAGAAGTAGGTATGGCCAATAGAAAAGAGTATAATCCCAGAAAAGAGGGTACTTCACACCAGCTCTGTCACTGGAGATGGTCAGAGACTGTTTAACAACCCTTTGATCCTAAAGCAAATAGGCATGTGAAGCTAAATTCTGTTAGCCGAAATATGGCTTAAATGTGGCTCTAGTAGATAGTGTTGTGAGTTTTAAAGTATATAGATAGAATGACAAGCAGGAACTGACTGTCTAAATAGGGGCTAGAATTGATTTCTTAGCTAGAATGTGTTGAACAGCTATTATTAAAAGTAGAGAAAATGCAAAAGTGCAATCATGTGGCTTTTCTTCCTGGCCCTAACCCTAGCCTCAGCCCTTTCTTTCTTTCTTCTCATTTCTCTGGTGAGCTCATTCTCACAGTTTCATCTTTCACATATGTGCAGGTAACAGGTAGACTTGGGTTTATGTCTCAGCTGTGCCTTACTAATTCTATGCTCTTGGGTAAGTTAATTTATTTAAATATTAGTTTCCTCATCTATTATATAGGGATACTAGCTGATAATAGCTACTATGTTGGTATTGTTGTGATGATTAACATGATAATATAGGCAGTGTGTTTAGGATAGTACTGTCAAATAATAAGTAACCATTTTACTGTTATTTATTATTCCTAAATCTCTCAAAGCTTATATCTTATCTGTCCTCCACTGCTTCAGTTGTCTATTGCTGTGTAACAAACATCTCAAAGCTGTGTGGTCTAAAATAGTGATTTTATATTTTATGATTCTGTGGGTTGGCCTGGGTGCAACTGCATAGTTCCCCTGGTATAATTTAGAATGTGTCATGCAGCTGCAGTCAAGTGGTCACGGGGACAAGAATATCTGAAATGGCTTTACTTACATGTCCAATACCTTAGCAGGGATAACTGGAATCCTAATGATATCTTTCTCCAGGTGCTGTCTCTCTCAGGTTAGCTTGGGCTTTTTCAGTGGCTGGATCTCAAGAGGAAAGGGTTCCAAGAGAGCAAGCTCCATTGTGTAAGCCGCTGTTTGCATCCTGTTTGCTAATATCAAAATTGCCAATGTCACATCAGTCAACATGTCTAGGACTAGATTCAGTTTGGGAAGAGCTACAGAAGATATAAATATCAGGTGGTGTGGTACATTGGAGCCACCAAAATAAGTCTGCCATCAGATAAACAATTAATTCCTCGCTTTTATGAGCATGGAATTGGTGCTAGATCATAAACTGACTATCCTCATTTTACCAACTTTCCCTTAATTGTTTTCTGTGTCAGTTTTTCATATTTCCAAGTTGAAACCCCCTAAACACAACATTTTTTTCCACTGCTCATTTTTTACCAAAATTCAAACTTCATGAAACCCTGGCATTTCATCCTTTGCCTTCCATCCTCATGGCCACCATCAAAGTCCACATCTTTATTATCTTACATGTGAACAGCTGTAATAACCTTTCCAGTTATTAATTCTTTAAACACCACTTTTAGCCTGATGCATTTCTTTTCAAGAACCTACGGTATGTTTATAGTCCAGATTGCATTAAACCTAACCTTTCTGTTATAGGGCCCTTTTCTGAGGCCTTATTTATCTTGCTCTGCACCATTTATATAACTATTTTCTGGCTGAGCACAGTGGCTCATTCATGTAATCCCAGTACTTTAGGAGGCAGAAGCAGGTGGATTGCTTGAGCTCAGGTGTTGGAGACCAGCCTGGGCAACATGGCAAAATGCCATCTCTACCAAAAATACAAAAATTAGCCAGGTGTGGTGGTGGGTGCCTGTGGTCCCAGCTACTTGGGAGGCTGAGGCAGGAGGATTGCTGGAGCCAGGGAAGTTGAGGCTGCAGTGAGCCATGATCATGCTACTGCACTCCAGCCTGCATGACAGAGTGAGATCCTGTCTCAAAAATAAAATAAAGTGAAATAAAAATAAAAACTATTTTTTACTATTGTATGCCCTCCACCCTCCAGAATCAGAGTGTGATGAGGCAAGTTATTTAATAAGAGAGTTTTAAGTTCATGTATATTATAAATATCTTAACACACAGAGGGGAACAGAGGAGACAATGCTGAGGTAGAGTAAAAACCCTGAAGACAAGATGTAAGGAGGAAGGGATTTTGTTGTTGCTATTTGTACTTTTGAGAATTAGGAAGGAGGGAAAAGGGGAATCAGGAAATATTTCAGGGAGTTAGAAATTAGATCCCCTTCACGGAATTCCCCAATATTTAAACATCTTGAACTGTCTTTTGTTCACCACACTACTCCTGCTGCACTTGGGTTACGCATCCATACCCACGTGGTCTGTTTTTGTAGTTGTTACTGGAATGGTGCGAGGGTGTATATACTAATGCTGTGCTTGATACTCAATGAGTGCTTCATAAATGCTTGCTGGATGAAGAATATAAGCAAAACTTACCTAATTCCTTATCTTTTATAAACTAAAATGGACAATATTGATAGGAGTTAAATGAAAGAATGAACGTTCTTATATATTAAATGGAGAGAGATGCAGAATGCAGTTTTGTTAATTATCTTCACTATTAAAAATAGACATTTGTAAAGCATCAGTATATGTGCTGTATTTGCTGCGTCTAGAGAGGAGCTGGGATGGATGAAGGCTTAGCTGGTTATACTGCACAATGAGAGTACCTGTTTCTTCTGTAGATAGAGCATAGAAGATATACTAGGAACATGGGGAAAAGCCATTATATATTTTCTTTTTTAGATCTGCAAGCCTTTTGGATGTGAGAAGATTTTTTAAAAGGACATTAAAAAATAGCTTCTTTTTCACATAAGGATACAATATTTTAAAGTAGTAAACATAGAAAGGCATTCGCCTACAGAATTCTAATGAGCATATTCGTTATTCACTGATACTCTTTTGATGGCTGTGCATTTCCTTTCCAAAAACACAATATTTTTGTGAAACCAGTGGTAGTATTCGACCCTGGCAATCAAGATTGTGTAAGGAAATGGTAAACATTTTTTGGAGAAGAGTCTCCCGCACCTCACAGGCTTTTAACAACAATTTCAAATAGCATATTTTAAAGAACTCAGCTCTGGAGTCTGCCTAATTATTAACTTCTACTTAGAGGCAGCTGCATTCTTGAGGGTGGAGCCATGATCTTCTTTTACTGTGATCCTGTTTTATTCCTTTAAATACTCAGCACAGCTGAAGAAGAGGTCCTGTTTTCTTACTGAAGACTTTCAGGCAAAGGAGCCGTTTCCAACTTCCTACTAAGTCCACCCAGCATATGTCATGCAGGGGATGCGGGGAAGAATTTTCCTTGCAAGGGCCTTCTCAGAAGTTTTGGAGATGGGCCTTGAGCTCTTGGCTGGAAGCGTGGTTTTCCAAAGTGGAGGCTGCAGTAATGCTCGTCATTGATTGAGAGACGTGCTGCCGGGGCTATTTTCATGGGAGTCAAATAAAACTCTCTTGTCTTAAGCCTGCTTTGAAAGGTGTTTTCCTAATGATTTTACAGTCAAATAGAATGACTGTGTGGGAGAGTGTATTAAATAACTGGAACACTCTGGGCAGCTTCCCTTCCCCACCCTGTGCCCCTACTTGCCTTTCCCCCAAAGCTCCTCCTCCTCCGGGCACACACATGCCGCTCTGTTTTCTGTTCTGGAGCTGCCTGAATTGTGTGATTTTTGTGGATGAATGTGAACTCTTTAATCCAGAAAGAGGTGCCAGGAACACAAACAGCCCGGCTAATTGGCATTCACCCCTAGGGAAAGTAACATGGCCAACAAGCTGGTTGCATTATCTCCATGAGGCACTTACTTAATTAACTTTGAGGAGAAACCTCAAGCTCTCTCAAATCACCCAAGAAGCATTTCGAAAAGGAAGAATTTGCCAAGAAAAGGCTATATTCAGGAGGTGTTCCATCTCTTGAGTATGTTGGATTAGTTGCAGAAATACTTACTTAAGGCAGCTTATATTTTTGTTTAATCTCTTTCTGAGCTGCTTATGATTTCAGCGTACTGAGAGGAATTTTCAAGAATTGATTTATATTGAAGAACTCACATTTCAAAATATCAGCAGTTTTGTTGAAGTATTTCTCAGTTGTTTTTGTGAAAGTATTGCCAACCCTGACTGAAGGTCTGACTTCCAACAACTTGTTCCATATGAAGATACTGACTTCCTCAAAGGCCTGTCTGCTGCTGCCTCCTCAGACAACAGAGCAGGTTGTCTAAACCATGGCACTTCCACCTCCAGCTTTGGAAGGCCTCTGCTAGAAGACATTTTCTCATAAGTAGTGCAGATGGTGCCCTAGGAGCTGATGAGCTTCCTGTTTATTCAGTAAGCGTTGCAGGAAATACAAAGAAATGTCAGGTGACCAAATGTTCTGGGGTCACCAGAGAAGTTCTTAACATTCCCTTACTAATGGAAATGAGAAAAATCTGTAGATTTTCAGCTATCTGAGGAACAATTTTTGTCTTTAAATAATCCTCTCCCCTCTTCTAATTACTAAAAGTGCAACCAACAGGTAGCAAAAGTGATATTTGAGCTTCATCCTTCTTTTCTTCTGTCCCCGTACCCTCACCTTCTAGTGAAATTACTCAGAGACTATGAAGAATAGGGATTGGAAGAAATTGAGAGCTCATGGTGGCAGGATAGCCCACAGACCATATGTGTCTCTGAATAAGGGAGAATTTGATAAGTAGAATAAGCCATCAGAAAAAAAAATTTTCAAATAGTGATTCCTCTTCAAAACATTTTACATATTTTCTCTAATATAATTATTAGAATAAAATCATTGAAATTTAGTATTAATTGAAACCTCTCATCAGATTTTTATATTGTGTTACATTGTGTTATATTGTGTTCAAGACACAATATTCATTTGGCTTTAAGAGACTGCACTAGAATGTAAAATCCACAAGAGCAGAGACAGTGTCTGGTTCCTTTCAGTGCTTTATCCCTTGTACCTGAATGGGACCTAGTTCAGGTACTCAGTCAACAATGAATTGTAAAATGAAAAAATCTAAATACAGTGGAGGCTATTTGGTCTGCGGGCTCTTCTGCCCTTGGGTTCTCAATTTCTTCCATTTTCTGTTCTAACATGGAAATGGAAGTTACACTAAAAGTAATATTTAAAGGAATCTTATTTATATTGCTTAGCTTCTTTCTCTCAAGTAATTTCTAGATCTTAAAGCACAGATTTAAAATATTAATTATTAAGCTAGAAGTAGAGACTTTGAACTAGTTGGCTGGTATTTTCTAAATTAAATTTTAAAATTTTGAGATAATTATAGATTCATTCACATGCAGTTGTAAAAAGATAATACAGGCAGATTCCTTGTACTCTTTACCCAATTTTCCCCCATTGTAACATCTTGTGAAACAGTAGTACAGTATCATAACCCAGATATTGACATTGATTCATTCAAGATACAGAGCATTTCCATCATCACGGTGATTCCTCAGGTTGCCCTTTTATAGGTGCACTCACTCCCTCAGCCCCACCTTGGGAAACTACCCATCTGTTCTCCATTTCTATAATTTTGTGGGCAACTTATTTTTAGAAACATTTCTCCAACAGCTGGCCCCTGAGAAGAAAAGACCATTTAACACATATAGGGTTGATGCGTTTTGTAGGTGGAAGCCAGGTATTTATAGATGCATGTCGTCAGTGTTGCCTGGTGTTGCTGTGCCAGGAGTCAGTGTGGGGTCCTGAAATCCAGATTACTGAGGTGTTAGTACTGTAATTATTCTTACCAGAAAATGCCCCAGCCAAAAGTGGATGGAATTTTCCCACCTGAATTACAATACCTCCACAAACCAGGCCAAGAAGTGTCCTCAGTGGCAGAGCATTTCTAGCCTTTCCGTGATGCTCAGATAGTCAGATAATGTCTGTAATCCCTAATAGCTACAGAACAGATGAGGGAAGGTGTCCTCTCTACCTGTCAACTTGTGACTATTTACTGATGAGTACTGGGACTTTGAACTCCCCTTTTCTCTCTATCTCTGAAGCTTATCTTTGCTGCTGTGCAGTTCTTTGCCCCTGTATTGCGCCTGGAGCTTCTGGAATGCCACAAGATGCTAAATAGTTCCTACCTTTTCCTTTTCTTACCATCAATCTGACTTAATTATCTGATGGTGTCACTATAGAAATAAAAGCCATTGGCATTCTTAAACAAGCAGCTGTGCTGTTAGAAGAATCAGGAGTCACCTGATATTTACAGCTATTTGGGCATTGTGTTACAGTTGCTTGTATTGGTAGCTCAGCCAGCCCAAACATATCTCTTTTAGAACATGAGGTAATAAAGCCAGTACATAAGATATTGGAGGAAATTGTAAGTTTGTATGGATTGAAATTGTTTCTAACAGCCTACCTTTGGCATAAATCAGCTGTACATCTTTAAATTTTTTAAATTACATAAGTTAAATGGTATGGCTTAGAAGTAAAATTTTGGCAAGAGATTTAGTATTTCAGACATTGTATGTTGCACTTATTTTTAATTAAATTGTTTTAATTATTTTGTCATCATCTACAATCTTAAGTTTCATAATAAAAACCATTTTTACTTTATGGCTATAAGAGTTGATACACAGAAAGATTTAATGGACTCGTAAAGCCATGTCCTGATTGGGTAGTAATGAAGGAATGCACAGATTTCTAAGCTAGCTCCCTTCCTTTCTTTCTTTAATTTTTCTTTCTTTCATATTATGCCCAATTTTAACCTTGTTTGCTAGCTGAGGAGTTGCTAAGAATTTTAATGAACTATCTGGGTGTCTAATGTTCTTATTTATAAACTTTAATTAGCCAGTTGAATTGTGAAGAGAATGGAATGTGTGGTTTTGGGCTTCTGGGATGATATGCAAAATAAAATAGTAAAAAAAGAAAGTTTACTGAGAGGGGCAATATGAAATGTGTTAGTCATATTTGTATCTGATCTTTGTAATTTATCTGATTATTACCATGGGTACTCCATATACATGTATGAAGATGTAAAGTTTTTCATTTTCAGCAAATGAGTTCCTTTTTTTTTTTCCTTTTACTTTGTTTTCTTTTTGGAGACAGAGTCTCGATCTGTCACCCAGGCTGGAGTGCAGTGGTCTGGTCTCGGCTCACTGCAACTTCCGCCTCCTGGGTTCAAGTGATTCTCCTGCCTCAGCCTCCTGAGTAGCTGGGACTACAGGTGCATGCCATCATGCCTGGCTAGTTTTTTGTATTTTAATAGAGATGGGGTTTCATCGTGTTGCCCAGGCTGGTCTTGAACTCCTGAGCTCAGGCAATCTGCCTGCCTTGTCCTCCCAAAGTGCTAGGGTTACAGACGTGAGCCACCGTGCCTGGCCAAATTAGTTCCTTTTGTTACCTAGCCTCCTTTGTCAGTTATCTATGCATTAAACGGTTTTCAGTGCCTGGTCTTCAGCATTGGATTGGATGATGGCTGATGGAAGAAAAAAAAACAGTGGTTATACCTTGGAATTTAGTTTTCAGTTACTGGTGAATTTTAGATCCAAGGAGACTACTAAACCTGGCTCAGTTATTTTTGGACACCAAAACATAATTTTATTGGAAAGCGAACACACTCTATCAACCAATTTTAAATAAAAAAGGTCTTTTGAATCAGCCAGAAGTTAAAATGTGAGCATTGTGTTCTGAGCTGAAGATGTCAGGTTATGTGAGTACTTGTTCTCTATAGACTAATATAGTGAGCCTTGAAATATAGTATTAGACAACTGCTTTCTGATTATCTTAGTACCCTAAATTGAGAGTTTCAGTTTGCTTGGGTTTCAAATTACTTAAATGAGAAATAATATTAACACTGGCCCAACTAATGAAAAATTATGCAATTGCCACTAAGCCCCATGAGGGTGGAGACTTTGTAGGTCTTTGTCACTGTTGTATTTCTAGATCCTAGAATAGTTTCCTGACACATAAGAGACACCAATATCAATTACTGAATGAATGAATAGGATAATAGATTGAGAAATTATATAAGGTCTTAGTCTTTTTTGCAGTATTTCCCTTGGGAAATAAAATAAAACTAAAAATTTATTTATTCTGTAGGTAAAGAACTGGGCTCGCTATGGTAAGACATTATATAAGCATAAATAATATACTTTAAAAAGATGCCTCAGCCACATTCATACTTGCCCTCTTCTAGATATTCTCATCTTTGATAAAATACAAGGATTCCTAAAAACATAATTTCCTGAATCTCAAAACAAAGCAGGTAGGGTGCAAAGCCAACATATTTGAGTGCTATATACTAAAAGTTTATATATGGGTGTGTACATATGTATATACACACACACACACACACACACAAAAGATCTATAACAACTGTTTCCCATCGTACAGGTGAGAAGGTAAGCTCAGTTACTTGGAGATGAAGGCTGATTTTGAATCCAGGTCTGACTCCAAAATTCATGCATTTGACACCATGTTATTTACTCTGAGTACTACAGTTTAACATCTGCGGTTTACTTCACAAACTTCTTGAAGGAGTTGTTCGCATTTACTGTTCCCAAATTGTTACTGAGGTTAATCTAGTGAATACTTTTCAGTTTTATATTACCTGTCATTTTTGGTACCATTTGATACTGAAGGTCTTCTTGAAGGTCCCACTTGAGATCCTATCTGCATTTGGTTTCTAACTCCTGGTTTCCTACTTCTGACCACTCTTGTGGGGTTTCATTAAATTTGTAAACTATTTGGTTGGGGTGGAAATGACATCTTACCTATATCGAGTTTTCCCATCTGTAAACATGCATAGCTCCCCTTTTAAGTCTTTTAAAAATGATTTTCAATAAAGTTTTAAAATTTTCTCCATAAAAGTCCTAGATACTATTTGTTATCATCATAAATATTTTTTTAATAACTAACAGTTCTAATAATGTGTTGTAGGTGTAAATAAACCGAATTTTTATATATTCTTGTATCAAGCAAGTTGCTGAATTATTTTCAATAGTTCATCTGTATGTTCTCCTAACTTTAAAAGAAACTTTTTATTTTGGAATAATTTTAGATCTACAGAAGATTTACAAAGACTTTACAAAGTTCCTCTATACCCTTCACCTAGATTTCCCTAAGGTTAACTTTTTTTTTTTTTTTTTTTTTTTTTGAGACAAGATCCTGCTCTGTTGCCTAGGCTGAAGAGCAGTGGCCCAATCATGGTTCACTGCAACCTCCACCCACCCAGGCTCCAGTGATTCTTGTGCCTCAGCCTCCCAAGTAGCTGGGATTACAGGCATATGCCACCACGCCTGGCTATTTTTTTGTATTTTTTGTAGAGACAGGTTCTTGCCATGTTGACCAGGCTGGTCTCGAATTCCTGGCTTCAAGCAATCCACCCACCTTGGCCTCCCGAAGTGCTAGGCTACAGGCGTGAGCCACTGCACCCAGCCTTACTTCTTACATATCTGTGGCACCTTTGTCAAAACTAAGAAATTGATACTGGTTACAACGCTGGTTCTAAAGTATAGATTTATTTGGATTTTGCCGCTTTTTCCACTAATGTCCTTTTTCTGTTCCGAGATCCAATCCAGAATATCATGGTGCATTTAGTCCCTTGATTTTTTAATGGAGAAAATGGTACTGTCTGCAAATAATAACTGTTAGATACCTTAGTTTCCAAGTATTGTGTGTGTGTAGGTATTAGGTGTGCATATACGTATCTTCCTGCACTAGCTCGTACTGACCACTCCATCCAGGCTCTTCTTGCTCTACATCCTATACTTCTCCCATAAATGTTGGTGCTTCCTTGGATTATGTCCTTTGCCCTTTAATCTGCGCTGGCTACACACTTTTGAGAAGATCGCAGCCACTTTACATCTCCCTGTAGGGATTAGGCACAGCCTGCACTCCCAAGGCAGCCACTGTTAGCTCTGATTATTACCTCTTTATTTCTAATAGATTCCTTTTTTGAACTCTGGATTCATATAGCTGACTGCTTTCTGGACATCTCTGTCTGAATTTTCCACAGGCATTGCAATTTCACTGTGTCTGAAGGGAACATATATCATTGTCTTCTCTTGCCAACTTTCCCCTCCTGCTGCTCCAACCACCTCCAAGTTATCCAAGACAGAAAAACCTGGGACCTATTTCTGAACTATTTGCTTTATTCTTTCCTCCCTTCTTCTCTCCTTCCTTTTTGCCCTCTTTTTACCTCCCTCCCTTCCTTCTCCTCATAGCCCCTGTGAATCCTGCTTCCTTCATGTCTCCCGTATTTGTTACCTTCTGTCCACTCCCACAGTTGGTGCTTCCTTGGATTCTGTCCTTTGTCCCCACTGTTTCATTAAAAGCTCTCATTCTTTCATGCTATTACACACTACCAAACTCCTTAACATAGTATTCAGAGCCTCTGGTATCTCCAGCCTCATTTAGTCCCCCATACCCCCTTCCACAACACACACATACATACCCCTACACTCCATGCTACCTAATTGCTGGAAGTTCCTTAGATGTGCTAGGCTTTCTCTCCCTTTCTCCTTTGGAAGTTATATAAGATGCTTTCTTTTTGTTCCCGTTCTTTCTTTTCCTTACTATTGCTAATTCTTTCAGTCTCCAATCATTTGTCACTGCTTCCAGGAAACCTCTCTGTTCAGGCTGGGTTAGATGTATTCTCTGAGTGCTCTCAAAGTAGCCTGTGTATATTTTTCTCATGGCACTTACAGTATTGAGCTTTAGTTATCCGTGTACCAGTCCTCATCGCCTCAACCATGCTGTATGTTCCTTAAGGCTAAAGACCAATGTTATATTTTCCTTTGGGCTTCCTATTGCTTAGCACAGTACCTGGCACATAGCTGTTACCCATAAATGTTAATTGAATTAATGAGTAAATGTATTCACCATTTATGGAAACACTGACTTGTCTGTTTCCAAAAACCATATTCTTTCACCAGGGACAGATCTCTCTAAATATCAGCTTCCTTATTTCTAAATAGGGAAGGTGTACTGGATGATCCCTTACACTGCTGATAAATTGGTATTGTATGATTCTAAGATTCATCATCCTGGGGCATATACAAAAGAAAATGATGTGGATTGTGGAAGATATTCCAAAATAGGAGTTCCAAAATATTTTAAGCAATGGTGGTAATGTTGAAATAATAATTTGGCTTTTTGGTCCTACTGTTTAACTAATGTGTTGAGTGCCAATGATCTGAACACTTGAACATTTAAGTGATTTACTTATGGTGATCAGAGTTTCTATTCCTTTGCTGACATATCTAAATCATTTTAGAAAGATTGTGTCAATTCTCCTTTGCTGAAGATTTTCAAGTCAAAGTTGGACAGTTGTTTGTCATGGATATTGTAGATGTGATTTAAGATATAATTGTGTAATGATAAGGCTAAGTGACCACTAAGATTTTGCTTTATGATGAGATGCTTCAATTTTGTAGTTTAGAGCTTTTGCTTTTATGTTACAATATTTTAAAAAATTGAATTTAAAGCTTGGATAACATACTATTTATTTGTCTAAGTTTAGGTCTTAGTGGATTTAATATCAACATTAGAAAGTTACCAGAAGTCTATGTTTATCAAAATTGTTGACTTCCATGCATCCAAAAACTGACTCTAGGGAGTCATCTCCGGCTTGTTAAAATGAGCTGGGTTAAGTCAGTGTCTAAAGTCCAATTTAGAAAGGTCTCTTAGCACAGCCTTTTAAAAAATTTATAAAAATGTAAAATACAAACACAGAAAATCACGTTTAAAAATTTGTACTTTAGGGAATTATTCCTATGTGAACATTCTTATAACTGTTGCTCAGGTCATAAAACAGAACTTTGCCAGCCACCTCAGAAGCGTTCTATGCCCTGTCTCTATCACAGACTGTCTTCCCCAATGAAAGTGTAGACTTATTTCAGTCACTTCTTTATTTTTCTTAATAGTTTTTGTCATAGAAATAGGTATTCTAAAATAGTCTACTTTAGTTTGGCCTTTGAAAATATATGAATTTTTAGCTGTTTTCATGTCATGTCTTCCTTCCATCCTTTTTTCTCCCTTGCAATTACTTGCTAAAGAAATTGGATTGTTTGATCTATAGAGTTTCTCAGCCTGGGTTTTCTTGATTGCTCTAGGTGTGTAGGACTTAAGTGTTTAGAACAGGCATGGCTGTTTCATGCCTCAGTCCTGGAATGACATTCTACCCAGAATATCATTCTCTTTTGTCTCTCCCTTGCCAATACCTTGCTCATGTGGTTATCTTCTATCTATACTCCAAAACTTAGCTCAAAACTCACCCCTCCTAGAAATATTCCCAGCCTTTTCATTTAATAATGGATATGTCCTATTCTGTAGTCTCCTAGCACCTGTAAAAAACTCCAGTATGACACCAATCACATGGCTGCAATTCTTTCTTTTTCTAAAAATATATATGTTTAGAGATGTATTGGAAGGAGTTGGCTTACACCATAGTGGGGGCTGGTGAGGCAAGTCTGAGATCCATAGGCAGGCTGGCAGAACTGGCAGGCTAGAATTCTCTGGCATAGGCTGAAGTGGCTGTCCACAGGCAGAATTTCTGCTGGGAAGCTTCAGCTCTGCTCATAAGGCCTTTCAACTGATTGAAACAGGCCTGCAACATTTTCAAGAATAATGTTCTTTACTCGAAGTCAATTGTTGAAACAGGCCTGCAACATTTTCAAGAATAATCTTCTTTACTGGAAGTCAATTGATTATGGACTTTAATCACATTTACAAAGTACCTTCACAGCAACACATAGATTAGTGTTTCATTGAATTACTGGGGACTGCAGCCTAGCCAAGTTGATACATTAAAAAAAAATCACACTGCATCTTTTGATTTTCTTTCTGAATCTCTGCTTTTCTTTTTCCTAATTTTGGCCTCTGTAAACCTTTCATTTTTTTCATGCTTTAGCATTGTGAGGGACTTAATACTGGGATATTTTTTCACAATATCTTGTTCACCATCTTACCTGTCACTCTTTTCCCTGAGGTACTTTGATCCAACAGACATTCACTCGATTCTGTTGTGTGTCGGGCAGTGTGCCACTGCTAGGGATACAGAAATGGATAAGGTATAGTTCCCTACCCTCAAAAAGCTCACCGTCAGTTGGTGGGGGACAGACAGGTATGGTATAAAATTACTGTGAGTGGTATAAAATTACCTGAAGGCATAAAATATCCAGCTAGTGTTAAAATTTTCCTGATGGTCTCATATTTTCTTTACAGTTGGTTTATTCTCCATCAGAAGTTGAACAAGGTTCACATATCCCTTTTGGGTGATACGTCTCCAAACTCCCTTTATAATTGAGAAATTCTCTCTTTTTCCTTGAACTCATGAATGTGCGTATTTTCAGTCATGTTTAATATGATGCACAGTTGGTATTTTTATTCTAGATTGCTTTAAAGTTTTAACAATGCTAACATTGTTACATATGGATGTAACAAAGTTAACTCCCTTTTTAATTGAGAAATTCTCTCTCCCTCCTTGAACTCACTCATGAATGTGCTTATTTTCAGTTGTGTTTAATATGACACACAGTTGGTATTTTATTCTAGATTGTTTTAAAGTTTTAACAATGCAAACATTGTTACATGCTTATTATAAAGGTAACATGCACAACTGAGAAAAAAATTTAAATATCACAATGCATGTGGAAGTAAAATATCATTTTTATCTCATTATCCCCAAATAATTGGTAACCCTTTGGGATTGTTTCCTACTAATCTGTACATATTCAAATGTACAGTTTTTACATATTAAATATTCCCTGTGCTATTACTTTGGGTTTAATTTGCTCTTATTTTTCTAGATCATAATGTAGAAGCTTAGATTTTTATGTTTTGTTTATCTAATACAAATATTTAAAGCTGTAACTTTCCCATTAAACATGCTGAGTTTTCATTATCATAAAACTAGAAATATTTTCTAAATTTCTTTGTGATTTATTTTCTCTGTTTTTTTTTGTTTGTTTGTTTGTTTTGTTGTTGTTGTTGAGACAGGGTCTTCTCTGTCATCCAGGCTGGAGTGCATTCGTGCTATCTCGGCTGACTGCAACCTCCGCCTCCCAGGCCCAAGCAATTCTTGTGCCTCAGCCTTCTAGGTAGCTGGGATTACAGGCGCATGCCACCATGCCTGGCTAATTTTTTTTATTTTTTGTAGAGTGGGGTTTTGCCATGTTGGCCAGGCTGGCCTCGAACTCCTGATCTCAAGCAATCCACCCATCTCCCAAAGTACTGAGATTATAGGCATGAACCACCACGCCTGGCCTTCTCTGTGTTTTATTTGGAAATGCATTGCCTAATTTCCAAATATTTGGGGATTTTCCAGATATCATATTGCTAACATTTCTACTTTAATACATCATATGATTTCAGTCATTTCAAATGTATTGAGGCTTGTTTTATGGTCAAGCATATAATTTATTCTTGGGAACGTTCTATGTGCCCTTGAAAAGAATGTAGATTCTGCAGATGTTGGGTGTAGTGATCTTTAAGTGTCATTTTGGGCATATCTGCATGCAAAAGAATGAAGTTGTGCCACATACCACATACAAAAATTAACTCAAAATGTATTAAAACCTAAATAGAAGGGGTAAAACTAAAACTTGGAGGAATGCATAGGTGTAAACCTTCATGACCCTAGATTAGGCAGTGATTTTTTAGATATGACACCAAAAGTACAAGCAACAAAAGAAGAACATTGATAAATTGGACTTCATGAAAATTTAAAGTGTTTATGCTTCAAAGGACAACATCAAGAAAGTGAAAAGAGGCCGGGCGCGGTGGCTCATGCCTGTAATCCCAGCACTTTGGGAGGCCGAGGCGGGCGGATCACGAGGTCAGGAGATCGAGACCATCCTGGCTAACACATGAAACCCCGACTCTACTAAAAATACAAAAAATTAGCCGGGCGTGGTGGCGGGCGCCTGTAGTCCCAACTACTCGGGAGGCTGAGGCAGGAGAATGGCGTGAACCCAGGAGGCGGAGCTTGCAGTGAGCCGAGATTGCGCCACTGCACTCCCGCCTGGGTGAAAGAGCGAGACTCCGTCTCAAAAAAAAAAAAAATAAATAAAAGTAAGTGAAAAGATACCCCACAGGATGGGAGAAAATATTCTCACATCATATGTCTGAACGGGATTTGTGTCTAGAACATATAATGAACTCTTTCAACTCAATAATAAAAAGACAATCTAAAAATGAATCAAAGATCTAAGTAGACAGTTCTTCAAAGAAGGTAACCAAATAGCCAATAAGCACATGAAAAGATGCTCAACATTATTACCCATCGAAGAAATGCAAATCAAAACCACAGTGAGATATTACTTCACACTCAACTAGGATGCCTATAATTGAGAAACAAAAACAGACCATAACAAGTGTTGGCCTGGATGTGGAATAATTGGAACTCTCATATATTGTGATGAGAATGTAAAGTTGCATTGGAAAACAGTCTGACAGTTCCACAAATGATTAAACATAGAGTTACCATATGACCCAGTAATTTGACTCCTAGGTATATACTCCCCCCAAAAGAAAACATGTCTACACAAAATCTTGTCTACGAATGTTCATAGCAACGTTATTTACGTAGCCAAAAAGTAAAAACAGTCCAAATATCCATCAGCTGCTGAATGAATGAATCAAAGTCTAGCTATACAATGGACTATTATTTGGTGATAAAAAGTAATGAAGTACTGATACATGCTACAACATGCATAAACCTTGAAAACATTATTCTGAGTGAAAGAGGCAGTCACATTTTGTTTATATGAAATGTCCAGAATAGACAAATCTATACAGACAGGTTGCCCAGGGTTGGGATGAGTGGTATTAGGGACGTGTAAAATGACTGCTAAAGAATGTAGGGTGACGAAAATGTTCTATAATTGATTGTGATGGTTGCCCAATGCTGTGATTATAGTAAAGCACATTGAACTGTATGCATGTTTTAAATGAGTGAATTGCATGGCATGTGAATTATACCTCAATAAGGCTATAACAGGTAAAACAAACAAAGGAACCATGGGTACCAACAGTTCAGAATAAGTGCCTTCGATATTACTTAGTATTATGGTGTCTTTGGAAAAGGAATTTCTCAGATGGAGTTAATTGATTTGAACAATTCAAGACCAGTAGGCAAATTGCCATAGATGGCTTCCCAAGCTGGCAGTTAATTTTTTTCTGTTAAAAATATATATTTTTTTAATTTTTTAGAGACAGGATTTCACTTTGTTGCCCAGGCTGGTCTCAAACCCTGGGCTCAAGTGATCTGCCTGCCAAGGCCTCCCAGAGTGCTGGAATTACAGGTGTGAGCCACTGTGCTCAGCCACAATTAATGTTTTGGAACATAGTTTTCAAATGACTATATTAGGAGGATGAAGTCTTAGGTAAATGAAACTTACCTGATTTAAACAACAGTATCATTTAAATCACGATTGGTAATGCTGTTCACACCTTCCATATTCTTAATGATTTATTCTCTTGTCAGTTTTTGCTTCAGATATTTTAGAGTTCTATTATTAGCTGCTAAACATTTAAGATGATTATGGTGACCCTGTTTATTTCTGGTTATACTACTTGCCTTCAAAGCTATATTGTCAGATATTAATATAGCCAGATCAGCTTTCTTATACTGAAGGTCTGCATTTTACCCATTTTTTCCACAGTTTTACTATTAACTTGCCTAGTAAATTAAGGTGCTTTTCTTGTAAACAACATAGTTAGGTTTTGTTTTTTCATCTTGTTGACAATTGTTTCCTTTTAGTGGTGTGTTGGACATTTATATTCAGTGTTATTATTGATATGGTTAGTTTAAATCTGACATTTTGCTATTTTTCTTTTTTTAAAATTTCTTCTAAAAAAATGGGATACATATGCAGAACGTGCACATAGGTATACGTGTGCCATGCTGGTTTGCTGCACCCATTGACCCATCCTCTAAGTTCCCTCCTTTCACTCCCCACCCCACAACAGGCCCTGGTGTGTGTTGTTCCCCACTCTGTGTCCATGTGTTCTTATTGTTCAACTCCCACTTACGAGAGAGAACATGCGGTATTTGGTTTTCTTTTCCTGTGTTAGTTTGCTGAGGGTGATGGCTTCTAGCTTCATCCATGTCCCTGCAAAAGACATGATCTCATTCCTTTTTATGGCTGCATAATATTCCACGGTGTGTGTGTACCACATTTTCTTGATCCAGTCTATCATTGATGGGCATTTGGGTTGGTTCCATGTCTTTGCTATTGTGAATAGTGCTGCAATAAACACACATGTGCATGTGTCTTTATAGTAGAATGATGTATATTCCTTTGGGTATATACCCAGTAATGAGATTGCTGGGTCAAATGGTATTTCTGGTTCTAGATCCTTGAATTGCCGCACTGTCTTCAACAATGGTTGAACTAATTTACATTCCCACCAACGGTGTTAAAGTGTTTCTATTTCTCCACAGCCTTGCCAGTATCTGTTGTTTCCTGACTTTTTAATAACCACCATTCTGACTGGTGTGAGATGGTATCTCATTGTGGTTTTGATTTGCATTTCTCTGATGATCAGTGATGTTGAGCTTTTTTCCTTATGTTTGTTGGCCATGTAAATGTTGTCTTTTGAGAAGTGTCTGTTCATATCCTTTGCCCACTTTTTGATGAGGTTGTTTTTTTCTTGTAAATTTGTTTAAGTTCCTTATAAATTCTGGATATTAGACCTTTGTTAGATGGGTAGATTGCAGAAATTTTCTCCTATTCTGTAGATTGCCTATTCACTCTGCTGATAGTTTATTTTGCTGTGCAGAAACTCTTTAGTTTAATTAGATCCCATTTGTCAGTTTTGGCTTTTGTTGCAATTGCTTTTGTTGAGGTCTCTGCTCTGCTCCATTGGTCTATATATCTGTTTTGGTACCAGTACCATGTTGTTTTGGTTACTGCAGCCTTGTAGTATAGTTTGAAGTCAGGTAGTGTGATGTCTCTAGCTTTGTTCTTTTTGCTTAGGATTGTCTTGGCTATACGGGGTCTTCTTTCATTCCATATGAAATTTAAAATAGTTTTTTCTAATTCTGTAAAGAATGTCAATGGTAGTTTGATGGGAATAGCATTGAATCTATAAATTACTTTGGGCAGTATGTCCATTTTCACGATAGTGATTCTTCCTATCCTTGAGGATGGAATATTTTTCCATTTGTTTGCATTCTCTCTTATTTCCTTGAGCAGTGGTTTGTAGTTCTCCTTGAAGAGGTCCTTCACATCCCTTGTTAGCTGTATTCCTAGGTATTTTATTCTCTTTGTAACGATTGTGAACGGGAGTTCATTCATGATTTGGCTCTCTGCTTGTCTATTGTTGGTGTAAAGGAATGCTTGTGATTTTTCCACATTGATTTTGTATCCCGAGACTTTGCTGAAGTTGCTTGTCAGTTTAAGGAGTTTTTGGGCAGAGATGATGGGGTTTTCTAAATATACAATCATGTCATCTGCAAACAGAGACAATTTGACTTCCTCTCTTCCTATTTCAATACCCTTTGTTTCTTTCTCTTGCCTGATTTCCCTGGCCAGAATTTCCAATACTATGTTGAGTAGGAGTGGTGAGAGAGGCATCCTTGCCTTGTGCCAGTTTTCAAAGGGAATGCTTCCAGCTTTTGCCCATTCAATATATTGGCTGTGGGTTTGTCACAAATAGCTCTTATTATTTTGAGATATGTTCCATCAACACCTAGTTTATTGAGAGTTTTTAGCATAAAAGGGTGTTGAATTTTATCAAAGGCCTTTTCTGCATCTATTGAGATAATCACGTGGTTTTTGTCTTTGGTTCTGTTTATGTGATGGATTACATTTATTGATTTGTGTATGTTGAAACAGCCTTGCATCCCAGGGATGAAGTCGACTTGATCGCAGCGGATAAGTTTTTTCATGTGTTGCTGAATTCTGTTTGCCGGCATTTTATTGAGGATTTTCACATCAGTGTTCATCAGGGATGTTGGCCTGAAGTTTTCTTTGTTCTGTCTCTTCTTGGTTTGGTATCAGGATGATGCTGGCCTCATAAAATAAATTAGGGAGGAGTCCCTCCTTTTCAATTGTTTGGAATAGTTTCAGAAGGAATGATATCAGCTCTTCTTTGTATTTCTGGTAGAATTCAGCTGTGAATCTGTCTGGTCCTGGGCTTTTTTTGGTTGGCAGGCTATTAATTACTGCCTCAATTTCAGAGCTTGTTATTGGTCTATTTAGGGATTCTTCTTCCTGGTTTAGCCTTGGGACGGTGTATGTGTCCAGGAATTTATCAGTTTCTTCCAGATTTTCTAGTTTATTTGAGTAGAAGTGTTTATTGTATTCTCTGATGATAGTTTCTATTTCTGTGGGGTCAGTGGTGATCTCCCCTTTATCATTTTGTATTGTGTCTACTTGATTCTTCCCTCTTTTCTTCTTTATTAGTCTACCTAGTGGTCTAATTTGTTAATCTTTTCAAAAAAACAGCTCCTAGATTCATTGATTTTTTTGTAGGGTTTTTCGTGTCTCTATCTCCTTCAGTTCTTCTATGATCTTAGTTATTTCTTGTTTTCTGCTAGCTTTTGGATTAGTTTGTTCTTCCCTCTTTAGCTCTTTTAATTATGATGTTAGGGTGTTGATTTGAGATCTTTCAAGCTTTCTGATGTGGGCATTTAGTGCTAAAAATTTCCCTCTTAATACTGCTTTAGCTGTGTCTCAAAGATTCTGGTACATTGTCTCTTTGTTCTCGTTGTTTTCAAATAACTTCTTCATTTCTGCCGTAATTTCATTATTTACCCAGGAGTCATTCAGGAGCAGGTTGTTCAATTTCCATGTAATTGTGTGGTTTTGAGTGAGTTTCTTAATCCTGAGTTCTAATTTGATTGCACTGTGTTTTGAGAGACTGTTATGATTTCAGTTCTTTTGCATTTGCTGAGGAGTGTTTTACTTCCAAATACGTGGTCGGTTTTAGAATAAATGCCATGTGGTACTGAGAAGAATGTATATTCTATTGATTTGGGGTAGAGAGTTCTATAGATGTCTACTAGATCCACTTGATCCAGAGCTGAGTTCAAGTCCTGAATATCCTTGTTAATTTTCTGTCTCATTGATCTAATACTGACAGTGGGGTGTTAAAGTCTCCCACTATTATTTCATAGGAGTCTAAGTCTCTTTGTAGGTCTCTAAGAGGCACACCCCCTCCACCAAGAGAGAAAGTGCTTCATCAAACTGGTCCTATTACCCGTGCCACCCAATTGGGTGAGACCCTCTAACAGGGGGTTGTCAGACACCCTATGCAGGAGCGATCCTACTGGCATCAGGTTGGTGCTCCTCGAGGTCAGAGGACACAGAAGAAGCAGGCACCCATCTTTGCTGTTCTCTAGCCTCCTTGAGTAACATCTCCAGGTGCAGGAGCAAATCAGATAGAATAGGGCCTAAAGTGAACCCCCAGCAAACTGCAGAAGCCCTCAGAAGAGGGACCTGACCATTGAAAGACAAAAAAAAAAAAAAAAACTAGCAGAAAGCAACAACAACAGCATCAACAACAACAAAAAATCCCCCACAAAAACCCCATTCAAGGGTCAGCAGCCTCAAAGACTGAAAATAGACAAACTCACAAAGATGAGAAAGAAATCAACGAAAAAATGATGAAAACCCAAAAGGCCAAAGTGCCTCTTCTCCTCCAAATGATCGCAATGTCTCTCCATCAAGGGTGCAGAACTGTATGGAGGATCAGATGGACGAATTGACGGAAGCAGGCTTCAGAAGATGGGTAATAAAAAACTACGCTGAGCTAAAAGGAGCATGTTCTAAACCAATGCAAAGACGCTAAGAACCTTTATGAAAGGTTAGAGGAATTGCTAACTAGAATAACCAGTTTAGAGAGGAACATAAATGACCTGATGGAGCTGAAAAACACAGCATGAGAACTTCGTGAAGCATACACAAGTATCAACACCCAAATCAACCAAGTAGAAGAAAGGATATCAGAATTTGAAGACCACCTTGCTGAAATAAGGCATGCAGACAAGACTAGAGAAGAAAGAATGTGAAGGAATGAAGAAAGCCTCCAAGAAATATGGGACTTCATAAAAAGACCGAACCTACTATCGATTGGAGTACCAGAAGAAGACAGGGAGAACAGAAACAAGCTGGAAAACACACTTCAGGATATTATCCAGGAGAACTTCCCCAACTTAGCAAGACAGGCCAACATGCAAATTCAGGAAATACAGAGAACACCACCAAGATACTCCACAAGAAGATCAACCCCAAGACACATAATCGTCAGATTCTCCAAGGTTGAAATGAAGGAAAAACTGTTAAGGGCAGCCAGAGAGAAAGGCCAGGTCACCTACAAAGGGAAGCCCATCGGACTAACAGCAGACCTCTCAGCAGAAACTCTATAAGCCAGAAGAGATTGGGGGCCAATATTCAACATTGTTACAGAAAAAAATTTTCAACCCAGAATTTCATATCCAGCCACACTAACCTTCAAAAGCGAAGGAGAAATAAAATCCTTTCCAGACAAGCAGATGCTGAGGGATTTTGTCACCACCAGGCCTGCCTTACCGGAGCTCCTGAAAGGAGCACTCAATATGGAAAGGAAAAACCGGTACCAGTCACTGCAAAAAACACACCAAAATATAAAGACCAATGACACTATGAAGAAACTGCATCAGCTAGTGTGCAAAATAACCAAATAGCAGCATGACGACAGAATCAAATTCACACATTTTGCTATTTTTCTAATTATCCTATCTGTCCTTTACCTTCTGTCTTTCCCTTTCTGCCTTCTTGGGTTAATTGAGTAGTTTTAAAATATTTCATTTTGCCCTTATAACTCAGCTGCCAAATGTTTGGGTTGGTGGGGAGCTAACCTTGCTCTTGAACTGTACTCCTGGCTTTCCACATCTTGGAAGATCTCTCTTTATCCTGCTGGTCATTGGCTTTGCATTTGGTGAAGGCTCAGTGCTTCTCAGAAGGATCACTTTCAGCCCTTTGACCTGCTCCCAGCCTTCAGTGGACTGCTGCCTTGCATTCTGCAAAGGCCCAGTGTACTTGAAGAGGATCTCTTAGCCCTTCTGTTCTGTTCCTAGCCTTTGGTGTGTGGTACTTGTGCACTGGGTGGAAGCTCTATGGGAAAGAACTGGCAGGTGGATATGGAGTTGCTCTTTGATCAGGGCTCTTCAGAATTCTAATTCCTCACATCAGCAGCTAATAAAAGTTTCTTAAAAATTCAGCTGGTTTCTTCGTGGTCCCATTTTTGGCAAGTTTATTCCTCCTTCTATCAGAGATGAAGCAGCTATGCATCTCTTTTTTGGGAAGAGGTCATCTGTATATCGAATTTATTTAGGAGATGAAGCAGCTATGCATCTCTATTTTGGGAAGAGATCATCTGTATATTGAATTTAGTTTATTTAGGTTTTTTATGCATCTCAGCTCAGATAGTTTTTATAGAAAATCTATGATTTTGTGACTTCCTCAACTTCTTGTTGTAGACTCTGGTTATTTTTAAAACTTGTAATTTAAAAATTATATGCCAATGGAAACACTCTTCAAGAATCTTACATGTAATGCTTATTGCTTAGTGGTTTAATGAATGACAACAATCCCTGAGTGTGGGAATAGTTGAGGTCTACAAAAGGTTAATGAGTAAATGAATTATGTTTACTTTGGGTATTGAGTCACTGGTACTGATCTGGCCATACACGAATATCCCTAATCACCCTCATGACTAGTAATACACATTTATAAGATGGTGGACCAGAGCTGGGCTAGCGTTGATTGATAAGGGACAGAAAGAAAGTATAGCGATTGATTATTCAGCCTTGCCTCATGGGCATTTGTACATCCTTATGAGTTAAAGTGAGATGCAAATGCATTCTTCATTAAAATGGCTTATCTGAATCATTTTAGAGCTGTATGCAATAATTTGCTTATACTCATTAAGATAAGTTTGGTTATGTTGATTAAAAACAAAGCTTATTTTCTGCATTTTCCAATAATATTGTAAAAAATACTTCATACCCTTCATTGTTTGGGTTTCATGTCTTCATTACATTCCTTTTACTTCGTATTATCTTTTAAGATTTTGTAGAAGAATTTCACTTGGGTAACTGTAGGCTTAAATGATGCAATGCTTTCTGGAATCCAGGGGTGACTGACACACAGAGGTGACTCAGACATGAAATGTTCAACAAAATTCTAAGATTGTCTTTTTTTTAAATTGTAAATTCTTAAACATTCATAAAAGTAGTGAGATTAGAATAATGAAATCCTGTGCTTCTAATGACTGTTAACACAAGTGAATCTTATTTATCCTATCCACTTTATTAAAAATTTAGTTATCTATTATTTAAAATAATATATTAGCTTATTTTAAAGCTAATCCCAGATATTATGTTTCATTTTGCATGTCTGTTGCTGTCTTGGTAGGAAAAATTTTAAAACATAAATTACTATGACATAATGATATCTAACAAAGTTAATTATTTAAGAAACTTTCAAAAGTTGCTTTTTCATGCCGTTTCCCTAGCTACCTATAAACACCTGGAAATTATATTTATTTTATATTTCTAATGTTATTCAAATGATAATATGCTGATTTCTAAAATTGCATTTTTTTCTGTTGCTCTCAAGAATATCCTAAACATATCCATAGGATGTGGGATGACCTATGAAAATAGTCTGGACAAACATTTATCTTGTTTATCTTATGATAAGCAGAGTTCTGAGAAGTTTGGTAATAAAGAGTTAACTTGGTTTAACTAAGATTTTCCTAAATTATTTGACACCAGAACCTATTTTTTATTTAACATCTGTTAGCAAAAATATATTTGGGGGAATATTGTTCTAGGCAGGAGAATGCTGCCTCTGAATAGCAAAATAATCTTTACTTCATTTTTATTTCAATTAATTAGGTAATTATTTGTCCATATTACATTATCATCATAATTAAGTAATTTTTTTTTGTTTTTCTGTAATCTGCTTAATATTGATAATGTGGTGTGACAAGTCATCTTTCTCAGGATCTTATTTTATGAAAATCTTTCATCACACTTATTTTATGAAAATCATTTGCTGTGTAAGCAAATTAAGTATAAGCATTTTGTGTTTCCACTAGATAGATATTTGCACACAAAAAAATAGACATCAAAATCCCATATAGAAAGCTAAATGCATCTATAGTTCATTGAAGAGGAAGCTAGAAATAAGATGTGTAGAAGTCAAAGAAATAGGGCCGGGCGCGGTGGCTCATGCCTGTAATCCCAGCACTTTGGGAGGCCAAGGCAGGTGGGTCACGAGGTCAGGAGATCGAGACCATCTGGCTAACATGGTGAAACCGCGTCTCTACTAAAAATACAAAAAATTAGCTGGGCGTGGTGGTGGGCATCTGTAGTCCCAGCTACTTGGGAGACTGAGGCAGGAGAATGGTGTGAACCTGGGAGGCAGAGGTTGCAGTGAGCCGTGATTGTGCCACTGCACTCCAGCCTGGGTGACAGAGAGAGACTCCGTCTCAAAAAGTCAAGGAAATACAGCTCAAATTATAACAGTGAATAACTAGATTTTGTTTCATTTGTGAAGAATTGGCAAATAACTTTTAAATAGTTTCAACATAGGCAGTAGCATGGGAATTCTCCTACACTTTTATGTACCCTTAAAATATGTTCACTTTAAAAAATGTAAATAGTTAACAGGGGCGATTGAAAGCTAACTGCCCAACAAAGGAAACAATTCTCCGTGTGTCCCCCTTCTCTGCTCACCCTGTGACACCTTCTCTGCTCACCCTGTGACACAGGAGCGACAAGGAACTCACAAGGCACTGGTGCCCTAGTAGTTCTGCATCTCATCCTCTCTCATACAGTTTAGTTGACATCTGCTCCCTGTCACTCACCCATACCCCCAACCTCACCAATCCTCCAAAGTGGATTAGTTGTTGCTTAGGTGTGTTTTGTCTTTATATTGCGTAAATATTGTGAAGAAGGCTCTTTCCTCTGTGGTGCTACAAAGATAATTTTTTTTCCCGTTACAGTCAAGCTACAACTTCAAGCAGAAGAGAGAGGAGTTGTGTCTATCAAAGGAGTGTGTGCTAACCGTTACCTGGCTATGAAGGAAGATGGAAGATTACTGGCTTCTGTAAGCATACTTTCTGTTTTCACACGTTTTTTGTTAGCTTTTATTGCTGTTAATTTACCAGCATTGTTGTTTATCAAATCTTTATAAAGGATTTTACGTGTATCATCGTCATAGTCACCCTGTAAAATAGGGAGTATTTTCTTTATTTCACAGATGCAAAAACTGATGTGCTGAGGGAGTAAGTAAAGTAAGAAAACACAGCTCATATAAAGTAGAGACTGGATTGGGCTGGAGGCATTCCTGACCTCTAAGTCACTGCTTTTACTCTGCAAAACTATTAAGCTATAATTTAAAAAAAATTTTCTTCTATTATGCAGTTGTTTGAAGATCATTGGGAATAAATGTATACAATTTTGATTATTAGTTTTTAAGTTTCTTCTTTAGAATGTGACGTACAAAACACTAGCAATGTAGAACACTAGTTGAGAATGTAAGCTTTCTGCCTGGTACAGATGCCGACTCTGCCACTTATGAGCTCTGTGTTCTTGGGCAAATGATTCTGAGTTAGTTCTCTTACCTGTAAAATAGAAACAATGATACTATCTCATTGGGATTTTATCAGAATTTAATTAGATACTACACATCAAGTGCCCAAATCAGCATCTGACACGTAATAGATCCTGAAAATTGTTACTTCTTCCTCACATTACTTCTCATTTACATATATGTCAGGAGAGGGACTTTTTTTTTTCTTTTTTTTTTTGAGATGGAGTCTCACTCCACTGCGCAGACTGGAGTGCAGTGGCGTAATCTCGGGTCACTGTACCCTCTGCCTTCTGGGTTCAAGCAATTCTCCTGCCTCAGCCTCCCGAGTAGCTGGGATTACAGGAATGCACCACCATGCCTGGTTAATTTTTTTGTATTTTTTAGTAGAGACAGGGTTTCGCCATGTTGGCTGGGCTGGTCCTGAACTTCTGACCTCAGGTGATCCGCCTGCCTTGGCCTCCCAAAGTGCTGGGATTATAGGCGTGAGCCACCGTGCCTGGCTGTAGAGAGGAACTTTTCTTTTTTACATGTTATCACAGCTTATCAGGGGTCCTAGTTCCTGGCTAGTATTCTTTCCACTAGTACAGGCTCCCTGTCAACTTCACCATTATTATTAGAAACGGGACTGCATATCTGTTGAACATATGATGTATAAAGAATGGTGCAGGAAAATAAATATAAAAGACAGATCTCATTCCTGTCTCCGTGAGGGAGTAGATAGGACATGTATGTAAATGTTTGTGCGTGTGTGTGTTTCACAGCTCTTACACCAATGCCACTGGCCAGTTATGACATCTCTATATAACCTCCCCACAGAAAGGATCTAACAGTACTAAGAAATTGTGGTATTTTGAGCTATACAAATAGTTTTTGAAATTTCTTCTGAATGAAGACCTTTGGATTTCTAAAAGCACCAAAACAAGGCTTACAGAGAAAAAGGGTATCTAAACTATCCCAATTTCAGACTGACTGTATGACAAAGATATACTTACATTGATATTACCAGTTTATGTAATTTTTGCAGGATAAATCACAAGTTTGAGTGTAGTGGCTCTCAATTTTGGGGGGAGGTAGTTGAATAAATTTTAGAATTCTCTTTAAGAATAGCCAATACTTATTAAGTGAAAGTGTGCCAGATGCTATGGTAGGCATTGAGCTTATAAAATTGAATATCAAATTGTCTCTGCCCTTAATGAGTGACAATCCAGGGGAGGCAGAAGTGTAAATAAGTATTTATAATAATGTATAAGGGTTTTGATATGCTACTTCTATATTTTGCATACATGCATAGTAATATAGGAAAGGATAAGAAGTATTATGATATAGGAAGCAATATAGAAAATGAGGTAATTACATTTTTCTAGAATTGGGGGAGATGACCTATAAGTAGAATTTTAGACGTTGTAAAGGAAGGAGTTCAGCAGGCAGTCATGGGGCAGAAGAAATTGAGATGAAGGTATAGATAACTCTAGGACATAGGACATGAAAAGGTGTGGATAAAAAATCTACTTGATGTATCTCTAGAATTACAAGTAATTAACTAATGCTGGAATGTATAGTGCAATGGAGTAACTAGGTGGAAGGGAAGGGAGAGAAGGCTGGGGAGGTAGATAGACTGTCTGCTGAATCTGTTGAAGGGCTTTATACACCATGCTGACTATAAGCAGTGGAGAGCCATGAAGAGTTTTAAGAAGAGATCTAATTAGATTTAAATTTGAGAAAGATCATCCTGGCAGAAGTGTAGAGAATGGACTTGAGGGGGCCAAGACTGGTGGAGAGAGATCAGTTAGAAGGCCACTGTAATAGTCCAAGCAAGTCATGTTCTGATCCTGGCAATAACAGTAGGTCAGAGAGGAGTGAGGAAAGTGCTAGCACTTGTGATTGATTAGATTTAGGACTGAAGATGAAAGAAAAGTCAAAGATGGCTTTTAGGTTGCTGGTTTGGGTGAGAAGGTAGACGAGAAAGGGGAAGGAAGAAAAGAGCAAGGTTTGGGAAAAGGTAGTAAGTTCGAATTTAGACCTATTTAGTTTGAGTTGCCTAAGGGAAATTCAGGTAAAGATGTTCAGTGAGTAGTTGAAATTATAAATCTGGAGCTTAGAGGAACAGTCTACATTGATTGTTAGATAGATTTGGGTATGATCAGCATATAGGTGGTAGTTAAATTGGGGGAATGTATGCAGTTTCCTAGGTAAAGAATACAGCTCAAAACATTAACTACTTGGGACTTTCACTTCTTCTACTCTGTACTTGCCTTTTATTCTGCCAATCTATTGTCAGCTCAAGAGGTGATGTAATAGTTTGGGAATCTACCAAAGTAGCATTTTAAATATCTCCCATGAAAGTGAACCAATAAGTAATTTTGGATGACTGACATTTTATTAGTGAGAGGAAGATGAGTTTCCAACCCTCCTGCCCCTTTCACTTTAGGATGTGACAAATCACTATGCTTCTGCAGTAGAATTGGTTTGGCTACTGTCAGACAGTGAGGGTGGTAGAGGAAAAAAAAGGAGTTGCACACAACATTTGCTCCTGTTATAACTAACTATGGACAGCACTAATAAAATGGTTTTAAAGCTCCAGCCTTTTATATGTCTGCCATAATCTGGGTCAGTGAATGCCTTGAGATTAGTTGTTACCCTGTGGTGTTGTTGAGATTAGAAGATGCAGTAACCTAGTGCATTAGTCCATTTTCATGCTGCCGATAAAGACATACCAGAGACTGGGCAATTTACAAAAGAAAGAGGTTTAATTGGACTTACAGTTCCACATGGCTGGGGAAGCCTCACAATCATGGCGGAAGGCAAGGAAGAGCAAGTCACATCTTAAATGGATGGCAGTAGGCAGAGAGAGCTTGTGCAGGGGAAGGCCTCTTTATAAAACCATCAGATCTTGTGAGACTTACTATCACAAGAACAGCATGGGAAAGACTTGTCCCCATGATTCAATTACCTCCCACTGGGTCCTTCCCATAACACATGGAAATTCAAGATGAAATTTAGGTGGGGACACAGCCAAACCATATCATTCCACCCCTGGCCCCTCCAAAATCTCATGTCCTCACATTTCAAAACCAATCATGCCTTCCCAACAGTCTCCCAAAGTCGTAACTCATTTCAGCATTAACTCAAAAGTCCACAGTCCAACATCTCATCTGAGACAAGGCAAGTCCCTTCTGCCTATGAGCCTGTAAAATCAAAAGCAAGTTAGTTACTTCCCAGATACAATGTGGGTACAGGCATTGGGCTAATACAGCCATCGCAGATGGGAGAAATTGGCCCAAATGAAGGGGCTACAGGCCCTATGCAAGTCTGAAATCCAGTGAGGCAGTCAAATCTTTTTTTTTTTTTTTTTTTGAGATGGAGTCTCGCTCTGTTGCCCAGGCTGGAGTGCAGTGGCATGATCTCGGCTCACTGCAAGCTCCACCTCCCGGGTTCACGCCATTCTCCTGCCTCAGCCTCCCGAGCAGCTGAGACTATAGGCACCCGCCACCATGCCCGGCTAATTTTTTGCATTTTTTTAGTAGAGGCAGGGTTTCACCATGTTAGCCAGGGTGGTCTTGATCTCCCAACCTCGTGATCTTCCCCCCTTGGCCTCCCAAAGTGCTGGGATTACAGGCGTGAGCCACTGCACCTGGCCCAGCAGTCAAATCTTAAAGCTCCAAAATGATCTCCTCTGACTCCATGTCTCTCATCCAGGTCATGCTGATGCAAGAGCTGGGTTCCCATCATATTGAGCAGCTCTGCCCCTGTGGCTTTGCAGGGTACAGCCTCCCTCTCAGCTGCCTTCACAGGCTGGCATTGAGTGTCTGTGGCTTTTCTAGGTGCATGGTGCAAGCTCTCAGTAGATCTACCATTCTGGGGTCTGGAGGATGGTGGCCCTCTTCTCACAGCTCCACTAGGTGGTGCTGCAATAGGGACTCTGTGTGGGGGCTCTGACCCCACATTTCCCTTCTGCACTGCCCTAGCAGAGGTTCTCCATGAGGGCCCCAACCCTGCGCAAACTTCTGCCTGGGCATCCAGGCATTTCCATACATCTGAAATCTAGCGGAGGTTCCTAAACCTCAATTCTTGACTTCTGTGCACCCTCAGGCTCAACACCATGTGGAAGCTGCCAAGGCTTGATGCTTGCACCCTCTGAAGCAACAGCCTGAGCTGTACCTTGGCCCCTTTTAGTCACAGCTGGAGCAGCTGGGAAGCAAGGCACCAAGTCCCTAGACTGTACATAGCAGAGGGACCCTGAGCCCAGCTCATGAAACCATTTTTTCCTTGTAAACCTCTGGGCCTGTGATGGGAAGGACTGCTGCAAAGGTCTCTGACATTCCCCAGAGACATTTTCCTCATTGTCTTGGTGATTAACATCTGGCTCCCCATTACTTACACAAATTTCTGCAGCCCACTTGAATTTTTCCTCAGAAAATGGGATTTTCTTTTCTATTCCATGGTCAGGCTGCAAATTTTCCAAACTTTTATGCTCTCCTTCCCTTATAAAACTGAATGCCTTTAACAGCACCCAAATCACATTTTGAATGCTTTGCTGCTTAAACATTTCTTCCGCCAGATACCCTAAATCATATCTCTCAAGTTCAAAGTTCCACAAATCTCTAGGGCAGGGGCAAAATGCCACCAGTCTCTTTGCTAAAACATAACAAGACTCACCTTTGCTCAGTTCCCAACAAGTTCCTCATCTCCATTTGAGACCTCCTCAGCCTGGATTTCATTGTCCATATCATTATCAGCATTTTGGTCAGAGGCATTCAACAAATCTCTAAGGAGTTCCAAACTTTCCCACATTTTCCTGTCATCTTCTGAGCTCTCCAACCTATTCCAACCTTTGCCTGTTAACCAGTTCCAAAGTCACTTCCACGTTTTTGGGTATCTTTCAGCAGCACCCCATTCCTAGTACCAATTTACTGTATTAGTCCATTTTCATGCTGCTGATAAAAGACATACCCAAGACTAGGCAATTTACAAAAGAAGAGGTTTAATTGGACTTACAGTTCCACATGGCTGGGGAAGCCTCACAATCACGGCGGAAGGCAAGGAAGAGCAAGTCACATCTTAAATAGATGGCAGCAGGCAAAGAGAGAGAGAGCTTGTGCAGGGGGACTCTTCTTTATAAAACCATAAGATCTCATGAGACTTATTCACTATCATAAGAACAGCACAAGAAAGACTTGTCTCCATGATTCAGTTACCTCCCACTGGGTCCCTCCCGCAACACATGGGAATTCAAGATGAGATTTGGGTGGGGGCACAGCCAAACCATATAACCTAGTAATCATGGTGACTCTGTAAGATAATTGCCGGTGGAATTTTTCATCTCCTCAGGAGCACTGGCTGAATATTGATTCATTGACAATGATAAAAAGACCCATTGTTGTTAAAAGTGATGAAAACAGAAATTGCTCTATCTTCAAGTGTATCTCTGAAACTACTAGGGTACATAAAAAGATGAGACAAGTTAAAAGAATGTAGACCTGAAAAGAGAATTCTGACTTTTTCTCTTGGCAAATAGGTATTAAGCTTCCCAAACTGTTGATTCTGTACCATCAGAAATGTAAAATACTCAAAATAAAGTTTTCTAGTTTCATTCTTAGCTAAGCAGGAACTTGTGAAAGTTAGTCTTAAATGTGTTTCTATCTCTTTGGATGTATTAACTCTTTCTGATGGAACAGATTTCCACCAAGTTGGTGCAGTAAGAATTAATTTACCAATGCTTAGAAATGTATCACAAACACTCTGTAGAGACAAAGCCATGGCTATTAAGCATAAATTAAAAATTCAGGATTTCTTAGTCTCCTTTGAGGAATGGCATGACCAAGATCCAGTTGTACGTTTCAGCTCTCGTCATACGACCTGTTCACAAGTTAATCTCTAGTCTTACCATCCAATTTGTGTGGCTTGATGTCATGCCTTTTCAGCAGCAATCCTGTCTCTTTCAAATGTTCTTGGTGGGCTGTGTCAATCTTCAGATGAAAAAGTAAGCGTGCCCCACCTCAACACCAAAGATATGGTGTTGGTGATTCAGTAAGTGGCACATTTCTCTCCGAGTCAGATCCATAGACATTAAACTGTCAACAACAGCAGCTTTTGGTATGAGTTCAGTGTTCTGACCAGTAGCCATCATCTGGGGATGCAGATGTGCCTCGTAACTTGAAGAAACTGGAATTTATGAACTTGCACTTGCCAGAGGCATAGTCCTTCCCACTCTTCTACCTGGCCCTTTTTCAGACTACTGTGTTATGACACATCCCTGGGTTCTTCTCCATTTTACTCTGTGATTCCTGCAGTGATTTCTAAAGCAGTCTAGTTTCCTCCCAGAAAGAAGAGTGCTGTGGATACAAAAAACATTTTGGTTTTTAAGAGTTATGTTAGGTTGATTACCAATTAGAGTATGAAAAAAGACTAATTTGTATACCGTTTTTTCCCCAACACCTTCACATATTAATGGTATGCATGTTTTCAGGTTACCGATTTTGTGTTGTTTGAAAACATTTCTTAAGGGTCTTTCCTTTCCTTTTGAAGCTAGGAAATAGGAAAATTCAAAAAATAACTATATTTAATTGCCAAAGCCTGTATTTGGAAGCTGAAGTTAAATAGTTCTTTAATGCACAACAGACTTCTTACTCCATTCCATAGCAGGATAAATTTTGTTGCTATGAGCAACAGAAGTCCAGAACAAATATTAGAATTGATGATTTAAGTGTTCACAAAATTACAGATTTTTAAGAAAATTGCATAAAGTGAAGTTAATTGTAGTTTTAAGTTTAAATCACCAAATGACCTCAATGTTAGCATTGGTATGAAAAAACTTTACTGATCTTCATCTGCCAGAAAGTTGCACATTGTTTTCTATATAATGCTATATAGATCATGATATACCCTGAACAAAATATTAATATCTCAGTATTAGAATGTAATTTGCATTGATCCACAATAGTGAAATATGAAAAAATGTATATTCTCTGAGGATATACATGTAATTTCTGTAAAAGTAAAATACATTTTACCTACAGAATAACTTTCTTAATTGAGGGGCCTTCACAATGACATGAAATCTATAATAAAGTAAAGTAGAGAAAATAGATATCTGAGAGCCCAATTATCCAGACTGACAATCTATACTGATGAAATTTGTGAGAAAAATACAGTAATTGAAGAGGAATATATATCCTTTTTAAGAGATAAAATACTAGAAAAAATACAAAGGTTATTGCATAATGAGAATTACTGTTCTTTTATAACTCAATCTTAAAACTGTTATGCAACCTATAGGTATTACAGGTTTAAGATCAAATTTAGGCCTGGCACAATGGCTCATGCCTGTAATCCCAGCACTTTGGGAGGCCAAGGCAGGTGGATCACTTGAGGTCAGGAGTTTGAGACAAGCCTGGCCAACATGGCGAAACCCCATCTCTACTAAAAATACAAAAATTAGCCGGGCATGGTGATGCACACCTGTAATCACAGCCAACTTGGGAGGCTGAGGCAGGAGAATTGCTTGGACCCGGGAGGTGGACATTGCAGTGAATCAAGATCACGCCACTGCACTCCAGCCTAGGCGACACAGTGAGATTCCATCTCAAAAAAATAAAAAATAAAAAGATCAAATTTAATTTTAACTTTTCACTATTTGGATGTTTCTTTTTTTTCTGAAATAGTCAACATTGATACTTACATCATGTCTGTTTTTAATTCTCAGAAGTGGTATAAGCAAAAGCACTTTTGGATTCCTATTGAGCAAGCTCCCTCAAAAGCCAAAACTGAAAAATCAATGTACTGTAAAAGAATAAACAACCCAGTAAACAGAGCATGGGGAAATGGTCATAAGGTTCAAATCTAAAATTAGGAGTGGACTAGTATTGTGAGGCCGATGCATAAGGAAGGGAGAGTTGGGGTGAGAGGAGGTGCTGGGGGGATGTGAGGAGAACTTGGCTCATGTGCTTATTTCTTTCCTTATTGTGTACTAAGGCTACTAGAGATTAGGAGGGATTCTAAAGACCATCTAATCCAATCTTCTTATTTTACAGAGGAGGAAAGTGATGCCTAGAGAAGTTAAAGGACTTGATTGAAAATACAAGTTAGTTAGGGATCAAGGCGATATTAGAAGCTAGGTTTCTTGGCCCTTCAGAGATCCTCACAGATGTCAAGTTTGGATAGTCAACTCTTGGAAAGGTCATCTGGTCTATTTTCCTTAGGGAGTAAATAGTTCATAAAGTTAAACCATATTCTGTATTTCAGTTCCTAGTCTGGATTTTCCCCAGTCCTAGTTCTCTAGTTCTTATTTAGATTTTGTAAATGTCATTGAATTATATTTTTATTGTAAGCTATCTGAAAAAGTTCCATTTGTTCATTAATTTAGCAAATACTTATTGATGACTTACTATGTGCCAAGCACTGATACAGCAGTAGACAGAATAGATGAATATCTTCACAAACATGCTGTTGACAGTCTGGTGAAATAAAGTGATATGTATATATGAATCATCTGTATTTGGGCATAGTAGAGCACAGGAATGCATGAGGTGCTTTTATTTTTCACATTATAGCTAGAGTTGCTGTATCTAGTGACTTGAGAAATCCTTTTTTGTGATGGTACTTGTAGCCCTAGAGTCAGTTTTGTAAAAAATATATTTTAGTTTTACAATGGTATTAGACTTACAGAAAAGTTATAAAGATGACACAGAGAGTATCTATATACTCCACACTGAGTTTCACTTTTATTAACATCCTACATTAGTTTGGTGCACCTGTCGCAACTAATGAACCCATACTGATATGTTATTATTAGCTAAAGTCCATACTTTATTCATGTTTCCTTAGTTTTTCCTAATATTCTTTTTCTGTTCCAGGATACCATATTTAGTCATCATGTCTCCTTAGTTTCCTCCAGACTGTGACAGTTTCTTAGACTTTCCTTATTTTTGATTACTTTGATAGTTTGAGGAGTACTGTTGAGGTATTTTTTAGAATGTCCTTCAACTTGCTTGATTTTTTTTTTCCTTTTTTTTTTTTTTTTTTTTTTTGAGACAGGTTCTTGCTCTGTCTCCCAGGCTGGAGGGCAGTGGTGTGATCATAGATCACCACAATCTTGAATTCTTGGGCTCAAGCGATCCTCCTACCTTGGCCTCCCAAGTAGGTGGGACTACAGATGCATGCCACCATACTCTACTAATTTGTTTTTATTTTTAGTAGAGATGAGGTCTCACTATATTGCCCAAATTGGTCTCGAACTCCTGGGCTCAAGAATCCTCCTGCCTTGGCCTCCCAAAGTGCTGGGATGACAAGTGTGAGCCATTGCACCTGACCTGATGTTTTTTTCATGGCCAGATAGGGATTTGAGTGTTTGAGAGGAAGACTATAGAAGTAAAGTACCATTTTTGTGGCATATAATGGTATATGTTATCTTCATGACTGATAACTCATGATATAATCCTTGCTTACCTGGCTGAGGTAGTATTTGTGTCCACTGTAAAGTTACTCTTTCACTTCCTTTCCATACTATACTGTTTGGAAGGAAGTCACCATGCATAGTCCACACTTAAGAGATGGAGATGATGGTTATGCTCCACCTCCTTGAGGGGTAGTATCTACATAAATCGTCATTCTTTTGCCTGGGAAATGTGTTCATTTTCCTCCATTTATTTATTTATTCAATCATTTATATCAATATGTATTCACAGATATTTATTTTATACTTTGAGTTACAATCCAATACTACATTATTTATTTTGTTGCTCAAATAGTTCCAGCTTTGGCCATTGGGAGCTCTTTCAGTTGGCTCCTGTGCCCTCCTCTTTGACATACTCTCAACAATGCATTTATTTTAAGTACTTCATTACTTTTTGGCCTACAAGATGCTCCAGGCTCATTTTGTATATTCCCTACTCCACCCTAGAATGAGCCATTTCTCCAAAGAGCATTGGTTTCTTTTATTAGAGAATGGTATTAGAAACCACAAACTGGAATGCTGGGTGTGCTTGTTGCTACTGAAGTATCTTTGCTTCTAAGCCCTCTAAGCTTAAGCTGACAGAGCAAGAAATGGTGGTACATACTAGCCTGGGTATATACATGTATTTATAAATATTTCTATATTTGGCCATCTGTATCAATATTAATATGAGGCAGAGCATGGTGGCTCACATCTGTAATCCCAGCACTTTGGGAGGCTGAGGCGGGTGGACCACGACGTCAGGAGTTCGAGACCAGCCTGACCAACATGGTGAAACCCTGTCTTTACTAAAAATACAAAAATTAGCCAGGTGTGGTGGTGCGCACCTGTAATCCCAGCTACTCAGGAGGCTGAGGCAGGAGAATCACTTCAACCTGGGAGGCAGAGGTTGCAGTGAGCCTAGATCGTGCCACTGCACTCCAGCCTGGGTGACAGAGGGAGACTCTGTCTCAAAACAAAACAAAACAAAACAAAAACATCTAAATATGAGTTCATTCATACTGATATCTCCAACCTTAATCCATCAATAACAAATGAATATTTTAGCAGTCCCCCCCACTTGCTTGTGTGTAACCTGCCACCCCCAACAGTGAGAAACATGGCTCCCGCCATCTCCTGGGATCAGTTTTTCATTATGTAGAAATATCTCACATAACCTTATTTTCTTTTTGAAATTCCAAAGTAAATTAACTATCCAGACAAAAAACAAACTTTTAAAAGTGTTGATTATGCTTTTTCATGCTACATTAGAGTCTGCTCTATTCAAATACTCCCTACAAGGGGTCAAACTGCCAGCACTATCTTTAACATTATTAGCATCATTATCAATATCAATAAATGGTTATTGGGCCCCTCTTATAGAACCATAAACTAAGCTGGTTTATGTGGACAGCCTCCAGGGGAACCTTGAGGTGTTGCCCCATCACTAACACATGACAAATTTATATCACTATCATATGTATACATCTACATTTCTTTTTTAGGTTTATACCTTTTAGACCTGAGAATACTTGTTTACTGGCATTATTGTATATAACACACTTCCTGGTATTCCAAATAAATTAGTACTTTTTAATTTCTAGTTCTGTGGTTATTAGCATTAGCAAAAAAGAAGGAAAAAAGTTAAATGATGTGTCTGTTGCATAGTAGGTGCTCAGTAAATACTGTCTCCATTTGGATGTCTGATATTCCTCTCAAACTCAACACATACAAAACTGAATTATTAACCTTTTCCTATAAAATCTGTTCCTACTCATAGCCCTCCCCACCGCATTTGATGGCAAGTTTATCATTCTAGAACAGAAACTTCAGTGCCATTCTTAATTCCCCTGTTTTTCTCATACCATGCAACCAATCCATCAGGAAACCCTATTAAGTCTACCTTCAAAATATGTACAAAAGCAGACACCTCCTTACCATTTCTACTGCTACCTCCATGATCTGAACCTTCATTCTCTCTGCCTGTATTACTGAATAACCCTTTAACTGGTCTAAGTCTGCTTTTGGCCCTCTGTAGTCTTGGCAGCGAGAATAATCCTACAAAAAGATGTCAGATCATGTTATTTTTCTGCTGAAAAGACTCCAGTGGCTCTCCATTTTCTTAGAATAAGAGCCAAATATTTACAATAGCCTACAAAACTATGAGGTCTGCCCCCTCTCCCATCCCATTACCTCTCTGATCTCATTTCCTGCTACTCTTCCCACATTGGCCTACTTGCTACCCCTCAAATACTCTGGATATGATCCTGTTGTAAGGCTTTTGCACTGGCTTTTCCTCTGATGGGAATGCTCTTCTCTGATAGCTGGATGGTTAACGCCTTCATCTCCTTCAAGCATTTGCTCAAATGTCACTTTCTCAATGGAGCCTACTGTGACCATGCTATTTAATATTGCACCTAGCTTCTACCACTCACCATTCCTAGTCCCTCTTACCCTGTTCAGGTTTACATTTTTCTAAGTTTTCTTATATTCTAACATAGAATATAATTTATTCACTTAAGCTTATTGCTTATTGTGTGTCTCCCCCAGCTAGAATTTGAGTGGCATAAAGGCAGGGATCTTGTTCAGTTTTGTTCATTGATGTGTCTTAGATGCCTAGAAGAAAAAAATATATAGATTGAATGAGTAAGTGTATTATTTAAACTCTATGCTTCCTGTACCTCTAAATTATTCTTCAATTTTAAAAAAGCAACACATAAACAAAAACTTAATTTGATATAAAGGTATCAAGTAGATGTAAGGGCAAAAGGTATCCAAAATCTGAAATGTTACCAAAAGCACTGAGTTTTAAATTCCTCATTTGTTAATGAGTATAATAATGTTAAAATATTGTTGTGACTTTTAAAGTATATGCATAAAAGCAGTCAATAATCATGCATTAAGGGATTTCTCAGCTCTTAGGCCTATATAAAATAAGGCTTTGGAAACAAGGTACAAGTTGTTATAAGCCCTTAGAAGCCACTTTCTTTGTGGTGGCATTCCTCTGAAGACCCCTTTTTATCCGAAGTTTGAAATGGTGAGCAAACACTGATAATAGGAAAACAGTTCTTTAAATATGTTTATAAAGATTAATAAAATTATAATGCACCAGTTTTTAATAGGCACACTGAGATCACAGTCACTGAAGATGACTTGGAAACTCAGAATGGAGACAATTGAAAATTGTACATATGTTGCTCTGTTAGACATCTACTTTTCTTGACCACTAAATTTTGGCCCTACTACTCATTTTTTTAAAAAAATGCAGTTTGTTTTCAAGAGCAAAACAGTTGTTTAGTAAATTTGCATTGCTGAACATTCAGCACAGATGTAAGTTTCCTTCCCTCCACTGTTTTTTTTCAAAAGTAGAAATAACTTTTGTAATAAATAAATAAGTAAATTAATTAATTAATAAGCTGTGGGTTCTATCATGTATCCACTTAGTCCCTGGTACTGTTTCTTTTCTCTGAAATATTAGGAACTGGCTGAAAAGGCAAATGTTATTGGAATAGTTAGTATTCTAGTATGCCAAGCATTGTAGGGAGTGCCAGCTAGCAAGGTGGGGCATCCGGGAAGCTGATAGAACACCAACAAATGAACATATGACTAAATGCTGTTGTTTAAATTTACCTCTGGGGAATCAGTCTATGAAGTTCCATGGTGACCTTTCATGTTGTCTTTATGGTTACTATGAATTTTCCTTTCACTCTTTGTTTCCCTTCTGCTTCTATTCTTGATCATAAACCTGGAATAGAGAAAAGGGAAGATTTTTTTTTCTTTTATCAGTGGCAATGAAGATGACAGAATAAAGTAACAGGTTAACTTCAGTTCACACGAGAGGGGTACTAAATTTCACTAGAGGTAGAGTAAAAGTATTGGATTTGGAATATATTGGTCTATATTACTCTAAGTTTAGGTGTTTCACTCTTATCACATTTGAATCTTTATGAACAGCACAAGACAGTCCTGTGTTTCATATAGCTGGGTCCTGTCAATGTGTGCTTCTCTGTAAGGCTGTGATTTATTTGCATCATGAAGAATTGAGTTTCTTTATGAGTAACGTATTACATAATAGGCAAATTAGTTAAGTTTGTATTTCAGTTTTTAAAAATCCATTTAACAGTGGTCAAAATATTAAAACCAAGTAAATATCCAGTAAAATTCTTATCTCTAGAAGATTACAGGATCTAATACCACACCCTTACTTTAGATGGCTGAGACACATTAGTCACTTTTAGTTCTTTCCCAGGCTTTACTTTACATTTTTGTTATTATGCCAGCTCTTTTCCTTGTTTTGCCAATTAATTTATGTTTTTGTCACAGTTTGTGCCATTGTTTGCCTTATCTTAGAACCAAGGAATCTGGGAAAAGGTTCAAGTCTTTTTAATGTGGGCTTTTCCAAACCTGAAGTTTCCTAGATATGAGTATATAGAAATAAACTGGAATGTGGTATTAATACAAAACCATATATTTATGTCTCTGTATACATCTTATATTTATGTGTTTAGATAAAATTTACATGTGTTTTCTATATAAGTTTATCATTCGATTGATATATATACACATAATTATAATGTAAAAATGATTTTTCCTTTTGAAGTGAATAAATTAATTTTTCCCCTTTGAGGTCAGTAAGTATCTTCAGTGCTACCCTGTGAAGTTGCTTTTTGAACAATTTATCTTTTTTTTTTTTTTGTTTTGTTTTGTTTTGTTTTTTTGAGACGGAGTCTCGCTGTGTCTCCCAGGTTGGAGTGCAGTGGCGCGATCTCGGCTCACTGCAAGCTCCGCCTCCCAGGTTCATGCCATTCTCCTGCCTCAGCCTCCCAAGTAGCTGGGACTACAGGCGCCCGCCAACACGCCCGGCTAATTTTTTGTATTTTTAGTAGAAACGGGGTTTCACCGTGTTAGCCAAGATGGTCTCGATCTCCTGACCTCGTGATCCGCCCGTCTCGGCCTCCCAAAGTGCTAGGATTACAGGCGTGAGCCACCGCGCCCGGCCGAACATTTATCTTAAATAATGTGGTAGCTATTAAATTCCATTACTTGGAGTATTATTTCCAGGTCTTTTTGAAAGCCAGCTATCCTTTTTTTTTTTTTTTTGATAAATAGTTGAATTGAAATTAAAAGGCAAAGTCCCTCCCTCCTGAAAGAGACTGCCAGAAATCAGTATGATACTTACTTATTCCTCATTGTCTAACAGTGTTTGGAGATTGTTAATCATATGTAATATAATGTTCCAATATTATTTTTGGCATTATATACCAATAGCTATTTTCTGTACAATAAACTATTCATTATTATGCCTTAAAAAACATTAGCCACTTAAAACTTTTTGTTAAAATTTGGGGAATTAACTCTTCTTGTGAGTAAAGTATTAACAAACCTCCTTCTGTATGGAAAGATTACAATGGGTTAGCCTTCTACTGCTGCTTCTGATAAAAGTAAAAATGATCCCTGATTGGTAACCTACCTTGGGACTGGGAAGAGTGTGGATGGATCATAAATACTGCTGGGAGCTATAGCTTTGGGCTTCCCATAGCATATTTCTTCTTACTGGGTATGTCCCTCCTTGTGTTTAACACCTGACCTGTCTGTTTTGGAGCTGGAGAATTGTCTCTGAACTCCTACTGAAGAGACATACTTGATGCTGTCCTGCTGACATGCTGTGTTCCTGGCCTGCATCCTTCTTCAGAACTAGTCTGTGTCACATTTTGGCCCATTGAATCTTGTTAGTTTGATTGCCCTGCTGAACCCAACATCACTGCTGCTGGTTGAGCAGAATAGGCATTATACTATCATAAATATTTAATATGAAAAGTGTAATAATAATAATGATAATAATAACAGGTAATTCTTCCTTTATTTTTCAGAAATGTGTTACGGATGAGTGTTTCTTTTTTGAACGATTGGAATCTAATAACTACAATACTTACCGGTCAAGGAAATACACCAGTTGGTATGTGGCACTGAAACGAACTGGGCAGTATAAACTTGGATCCAAAACAGGACCTGGGCAGAAAGCTATACTTTTTCTTCCAATGTCTGCTAAGAGCTGATTTTAATGGCCACATCTAATCTCATTTCACATGAAAGAAGAAGTATATTTTAGAAATTTGTTAATGAGAGTAAAAGAAAATAAATGTGTATAGCTCAGTTTGGATAATTGGTCAAACAATTTTTTATCCAGTAGTAAAATATGTAACCATTGTCCCAGTAAAGAAAAATAACAAAAGTTGTAAAATGTATATTCTCCCTTTTATATTGCATCTGCTGTTACCCAGTGAAGCTTACCTAGAGCAATGATCTTTTTCACGCATTTGCTTTATTCGAAAAGAGGCTTTTAAAATGTGCATGTTTAGAAACAAAATTTCTTCATGGAAATCATATACATTAGAAAATCACAGTCAGATGTTTAATCAATCCAAAATGTCCACTATTTCTTATGTCATTCGTTAGTCTACATGTTTCTAAACATATAAATGTGAATTTAATCAATTCCTTTCATAGTTTTATAATTCTCTGGCAGTTCCTTATGATAGAGTTTATAAAACAGTCCTGTGTAAACTGCTGGAAGTTCTTCCACAGTCAGGTCAATTTTGTCAAACCCTTCTCTGTACCCATACAGCAGCAGCCTAGCAACTCTGCTGGTGATGGGAGTTGTATTTTCAGTCTTCGCCAGGTCATTGAGATCCATCCACTCACATCTTAAGCATTCTTCCTGGCAAAAATTTATGGTGAATGAATATGGCTTTAGGCGGCAGATGATATACATATCTGACTTCCCAAAAGCTCCAGGATTTGTGTGCTGTTGCCGAATACTCAGGACGGACCTGAATTCTGATTTTATACCAGTCTCTTCAAAAACTTCTCGAACCGCTGTGTCTCCTACGTAAAAAAAGAGATGTACAAATCAATAATAATTACACTTTTAGAAACTGTATCATCAAAGATTTTCAGTTAAAGTAGCATTATGTAAAGGCTCAAAACATTACCCTAACAAAGTAAAGTTTTCAATACAAATTCTTTGCCTTGTGGATATCAAGAAATCCCAAAATATTTTCTTACCACTGTAAATTCAAGAAGCTTTTGAAATGCTGAATATTTCTTTGGCTGCTACTTGGAGGCTTATCTACCTGTACATTTTTGGGGTCAGCTCTTTTTAACTTCTTGCTGCTCTTTTTCCCAAAAGGTAAAAATATAGATTGAAAAGTTAAAACATTTTGCATGGCTGCAGTTCCTTTGTTTCTTGAGATAAGATTCCAAAGAACTTAGATTCATTTCTTCAACACCGAAATGCTGGAGGTGTTTGATCAGTTTTCAAGAAACTTGGAATATAAATAATTTTATAATTCAACAAAGGTTTTCACATTTTATAAGGTTGATTTTTCAATTAAATGCAAATTTGTGTGGCAGGATTTTTATTGCCATTAACATATTTTTGTGGCTGCTTTTTCTACACATCCAGATGGTCCCTCTAACTGGGCTTTCTCTAATTTTGTGATGTTCTGTCATTGTCTCCCAAAGTATTTAGGAGAAGCCCTTTAAAAAGCTGCCTTCCTCTACCACTTTGCTGGAAAGCTTCACAATTGTCACAGACAAAGATTTTTGTTCCAATACTCGTTTTGCCTCTATTTTTCTTGTTTGTCAAATAGTAAATGATATTTGCCCTTGCAGTAATTCTACTGGTGAAAAACATGCAAAGAAGAGGAAGTCACAGAAACATGTCTCAATTCCCATGTGCTGTGACTGTAGACTGTCTTACCATAGACTGTCTTACCCATCCCCTGGATATGCTCTTGTTTTTTCCCTCTAATAGCTATGGAAAGATGCATAGAAAGAGTATAATGTTTTAAAACATAAGGCATTTGTCTGCCATTTTTCAATTACATGCTGACTTCCCTTACAATTGAGATTTGCCCATAGGTTAAACATGGTTAGAAACAACTGAAAGCATAAAAGAAAAATCTAGGCCGGGTGCAGTGGCTCATGCCTATATTCCCTGCACTTTGGGAGGCCAAAGCAGGAGGATCGCTTGAGCCCAGGAGTTCAAGACCAACCTGGTGAAACCCCGTCTCTACAAAAAAACACAAAAAATAGCCAGGCATGGTGGCGTGTACATGTGGTCTCAGATACTTGGGAGGCTGAGGTGGGAGGGTTGATCACTTGAGGCTGAGAGGTCAAGGTTGCAGTGAGCCATAATCGTGCCACTGCAGTCCAGCCTAGGCAACAGAGTGAGACTTTGTCTCAAAAAAAGAGAAATTTTCCTTAATAAGAAAAGTAATTTTTACTCTGATGTGCAATACATTTGTTATTAAATTTATTATTTAAGATGGTAGCACTAGTCTTAAATTGTATAAAATATCCCCTAACATGTTTAAATGTCCATTTTTATTCATTATGCTTTGAAAAATAATTATGGGGAAATACATGTTTGTTATTAAATTTATTATTAAAGATAGTAGCACTAGTCTTAAATTTGATATAACATCTCCTAACTTGTTTAAATGTCCATTTTTATTCTTTATGTTTGAAAATAAATTATGGGGATCCTATTTAGCTCTTAGTACCACTAATCAAAAGTTCGGCATGTAGCTCATGATCTATGCTGTTTCTATGTCGTGGAAGCACTGGATGGGGGTAGTGAGCAAATCTGCCCTGCTCAGCAGTCACCATAGCAGCTGACTGAAAATCAGCACTGCCTGAGTAGTTTTGATCAGTTTAACTTGAATCACTAACTGACTGAAAATTGAATGGGCAAATAAGTGCTTTTGTCTCCAGAGTATGCGGGAGACCCTTCCACCTCAAGATGGATATTTCTTCCCCAAGGATTTCAAGATGAATTGAAATTTTTAATCAAGATAGTGTGCTTTATTCTGTTGTATTTTTTATTATTTTAATATACTGTAAGCCAAACTGAAATAACATTTGCTGTTTTATAGGTTTGAAGAACATAGGAAAAACTAAGAGGTTTTGTTTTTATTTTTGCTGATGAAGAGATATGTTTAAATATGTTGTATTGTTTTGTTTAGTTACAGGACAATAATGAAATGGAGTTTATATTTGTTATTTCTATTTTGTTATATTTAATAATAGAATTAGATTGAAATAAAATATAATGGGAAATAATCTGCAGAATGTGGGTTTTCCTGGTGTTTCCCTCTGACTCTAGTGCACTGATGATCTCTGATAAGGCTCAGCTGCTTTATAGTTCTCTGGCTAATGCAGCAGATACTCTTCCTGCCAGTGGTAATACGATTTTTTAAGAAGGCAGTTTGTCAATTTTAATCTTGTGGATACCTTTATACTCTTAGGGTATTATTTTATACAAAAGCCTTGAGGATTGCATTCTATTTTCTATATGACCCTCTTGATATTTAAAAAACACTATGGATAACAATTCTTCATTTACCTAGTATTATGAAAGAATGAAGGAGTTCAAACAAATGTGTTTCCCAGTTAACTAGGGTTTACTGTTTGAGCCAATATAAATGTTTAACTGTTTGTGATGGCAGTATTCCTAAAGTACATTGCATGTTTTCCTAAATACAGAGTTTAAATAATTTCAGTAATTCTTAGATGATTCAGCTTCATCATTAAGAATATCTTTTGTTTTATGTTGAGTTAGAAATGCCTTCATATAGACATAGTCTTTCAGACCTCTACTGTCAGTTTTCATTTCTAGCTGCTTTCAGGGTTTTATGAATTTTCAGGCAAAGCTTTAATTTACACTAAGCTTAGGAAGTATGGCTAATGCCAACGGCAGTTTTTTTCTTCTTAATTCCACATGACTGAGGCATATATGATCTCTGGGTAGGTGAGTTGTTGTGACAACCACAAGCACTTTTTTTTTTTTTAAAGAAAAAAAGGTAGTGAATTTTTAATCATCTGGACTTTAAGAAGGATTCTGGAGTATACTTAGGCCTGAAATTATATATATTTGGCTTGGAAATGTGTTTTTCTTCAATTACATCTACAAGTAAGTACAGCTGAAATTCAGAGGACCCATAAGAGTTCACATGAAAAAAATCAATTTATTTGAAAAGGCAAGATGCAGGAGAGAGGAAGCCTTGCAAACCTGCAGACTGCTTTTTGCCCAATATAGATTGGGTAAGGCTGCAAAACATAAGCTTAATTAGCTCACATGCTCTGCTCTCACGTGGCACCAGTGGATAGTGTGAGAGAATTAGGCTGTAGAACAAATGGCCTTCTCTTTCAGCATTCACACCACTACAAAATCATCTTTTATATCAACAGAAGAATAAGCATAAACTAAGCAAAAGGTCAATAAGTACCTGAAACCAAGATTGGCTAGAGATATATCTTAATGCAATCCATTTTCTGATGGATTGTTACGAGTTGGCTATATAATGTATGTATGGTATTTTGATTTGTGTAAAAGTTTTAAAAATCAAGCTTTAAGTACATGGACATTTTTAAATAAAATATTTAAAGACAATTTAGAAAATTGCCTTAATATCATTGTTGGCTAAATAGAATAGGGGACATGCATATTAAGGAAAAGGTCATGGAGAAATAATATTGGTATCAAACAAATACATTGATTTGTCATGATACACATTGAATTTGATCCAATAGTTTAAGGAATAGGTAGGAAAATTTGGTTTCTATTTTTCGATTTCCTGTAAATCAGTGACATAAATAATTCTTAGCTTATTTTATATTTCCTTGTCTTAAATACTGAGCTCAGTAAGTTGTGTTAGGGGATTATTTCTCAGTTGAGACTTTCTTATATGACATTTTACTATGTTTTGACTACCTGACTATTAAAAATAAATAGTAGATACAATTTTCATAAAGTGAAGAATTATATAATCACTGCTTTATAACTGACTTTATTATATTTATTTCAAAGTTCATTTAAAGGCTACTATTCATCCTCTGTGATGGAATGGTCAGGAATTTGTTTTCTCATAGTTTAATTCCAACAACAATATTAGTCGTATCCAAAATAACCTTTAATGCTAAACTTTACTGATGTATATCCAAAGCTTCTCATTTTCAGACAGATTAATCCAGAAGCAGTCATAAACAGAAGAATAGGTGGTATGTTCCTAATGATATTATTTCTACTAATGGAATAAACTGTAATATTAGAAATTATGCTGCTAATTATATCAGCTCTGAGGTAATTTCTGAAATGTTCAGACTCAGTCGGAACAAATTGGAAAATTTAAATTTTTATTCTTAGCTATAAAGCAAGAAAGTAAACACATTAATTTCCTCAACATTTTTAAGCCAATTAAAAATATAAAAGATACACACCAATATCTTCTTCAGGCTCTGACAGGCCTCCTGGAAACTTCCACATATTTTTCAACTGCAGTATAAAGTCAGAAAATAAAGTTAACATAACTTTCACTAACACACACATATGTAGATTTCACAAAATCCACCTATAATTGGTCAAAGTGGTTGAGAATATATTTTTTAGTAATTGCATGCAAAATTTTTCTAGCTTCCATCCTTTCTCCCTCGTTTCTTCTTTTTTTGGGGGAGCTGGTAACTGATGAAATCTTTTCCCACCTTTTCTCTTCAGGAAATATAAGTGGTTTTGTTTGGTTAACGTGATACATTCTGTATGAATGAAACATTGGAGGGAAACATCTACTGAATTTCTGTAATTTAAAATATTTTGCTGCTAGTTAACTATGAACAGATAGAAGAATCTTACAGATGCTGCTATAAATAAGTAGAAAATATAAATTTCATCACTAAAATATGCTATTTTAAAATCTATTTCCTATATTGTATTTCTAATCAGATGTATTACTCTTATTATTTCTATTGTATGTGTTAATGATTTTATGTAAAAATGTAATTGCTTTTCATGAGTAGTATGAATAAAATTGATTAGTTTGTGTTTTCTTGTCTCCCATTTCTTTGTGTCTTCTTGTCTATGAATTCTTTTTTCTTTTTTTTTGTTGGGGAGGGGCAGGTGGAAAGATCTGATCTTGGAATAGGGATAAATATAGAAAAATGGATTAAAAACAATTATGAGATGACATGGACAATATTCTTATGGCTGACATGATTACTTTTCTTCCTGTTAGAGTTCTATCTATCCATCACGTGATAAAAGAAAAGAATGAGAAATTATAACATACTCATAAGGGAGCTGTACCTTTGGCTAGTACCCTATATTCTTCATTCATAAAATAAGTTATGGTCCTTTTACTGGTTTGCTTTGTGACACACTCATTTCCTGGATGAATGCTTCTTAAAAGAATGTGTCATTTCTCAACTATGCTAGGTTGGAGACCAGTGGCATGGTTCCCAGAGTTTCCATAGACTGTTGATTATGTGGGTACAGAATTCAGGCTTTCAGTGTCTGGGCTAGGCTTGACATTAATTTATAAAGGATATTATGCTTTACTTTATTAATGTAGAAATATATCTGTAAATATACCTCTATATCAATGCACTGTCTTCTAGATTCCATTTGGAAATATTCCCAGAAGGTTTATTTCTCCAGAAACTATGCAGTCTTTGTCTTGACAAGATGTTGAACTTTACCACCATAAATTCCATTTACTTTTTGAGACAGGGTCTCATTCTGCTGGCCAGCCTGGAGTGCAGTGGCACCATCAGAGCTCACTGCAGTCTTGACCTGCCTGGGCTCAGGTGATCCTCCCACCTCAGCCTCCTGAATAGTTGGGACTACAGGTGTGCACCACCACACCTAATTTTTTTTTTTTTTTTAGAGATGAGATTTCACCGTGTTGCCCAGGCTGGTCTTGAACTCCTGAGGTTCAGGCTATCCTCCCACCTGGGCTTCCCAAAGTGCTGGGGTTACAGGTGTGAGCTACCATAACCAGCCTGCAAGTTCTGTTTCTAACAAAAGAAAAGTTATAATGGAGCAGACCAATGTTTCCTAAAAACAATAAAAGTCAACTTTAAAAATCTTTGACCATAAATGATTAGAGATTGTTAATTAAATCTGGAGATGAACTTATTAGAAGGGGGAAAATGCTAGACATAAGGATTGAAAACAGCTCACACAAATTTGATTTTGACTATTTCATAAACCTTTTATATGGAAATATTAGGTATATGTTTATGCTGGTAAGTATTTTGTGACATTTTATGGCACCACTTAGGTTTTTAAAATGCTTACTTCTCCCCTAAAAAAGTTTGAGCCTGAGTATAGTCTTAAGCAGTAGACAGTCCTAAGCTATGTGGTTTGTGAAAAATCTAGTTAATGTCCTAGATATGATCAGTAGTGAGATGAGCATGTCTTCCCACTTTTTTTTCTTTATATCAAACAATTCCCATTAGCTGTGTTTGGCAATATAACAACAACATTAAAATACTAATGCTGGGCACAGTGCCTCACATCTGTAATCCCAGCACTTTGGGAGACTGAGATGGGAAGATCACTTGAGCCTTGGAGTTCAAGGCTGCAGTGAGTTATTGTGCCACCGCACTCCAGCCTGGGCAACAGAGTGAGACCCCAGACGCTATGCCAGGTCTGACCCACAGTCTCTGACTGAATGACGGATGAAAAAATGCACTCAGGCACAGATCACAGATATCCAATGAAAGAGCAGGCTGGGGACTGGGCCACTCATAGAAAGAGTTGCAGTAGCCACGGCCCTGACAAGCCAGTGCTGCGGGCATTTACTCAGTACAGATTTAATGACAAAGGCCTTGAGTCAACACAGTTGTGGGTAATTAACATGGTCATGCACCCCCGCCACCCCCCCCCCGGCCCCCACCACCACTGCCCCAGAGAGATTAGTCCTGTGCGCCAACGGTTAACTTACCTAGATCAGGTTCTTTACATCCCCATGTTACCTAAACTAAGCTTTCAGGCACCAGGTAAGAGAATCTGGCTGCCTTCATCCAAATCCTTTTCCGAAGCTTTTGTAAACCTTCCAGCCTTCCAAGAAGGTTTGCATCTTTCTACAATTTTTGCCACCACCCTGACCAATCTCCTACACTATGCTAAATATTTGTATAAGAATTATGCACATTTAAACTTCCTTTTTTTCCTTCGGAAATCCTTTTCCGAAGCTTTTGTAAACCTTCCAGCCTTCCAAGAAGGTTTGCATCTTTCTACAATTTTTCCCACCACCCTGACCAATCTCCTATGCTATGCTAAATATTTGTATAAGAATTATGCACATTTAAACTTCACAATACTCCCATGAGAGGCTATAATTTGTTCCCACTTTAGAGGTGATGAAACACTTGACTGGGGTCACACATCTAGTATGTGATAAACTCAGTGTTAAAATCCAGGCAGGCTGGTTCTAACCATCTTTTAAGAAATTGTAAAAGTCGATTTGATATTTTCTCACTAATCCTTAGTGACTGTCCACTGCTTTTTCATATACCTTTTAATCTCTTCCTGGGACCTAATTGGAACATTCTATGTAAATCCAATTAGATTCTGTGTCTTAGACTTACACTTTTCCAGGGCTCACGAATGTGGACTACAGTTTAGTGCCAAATGTCTTTGTATCTATCTGTTGCTTGTGATTTCCCCATCTAGAATGTTCTGATTGGCATGGAATTTATTTCTTAGCTAGTGATCTTTTATTATTCTTTCTTTCCAGTATATTGTTTTATGGCAAAAAAATTACTGAGGATTGGTTTTGAAAATGTAGCCTATGAGATTATGTTTTCATCTTTGTTCTCCCTTCCTATAAAAGAAGATGATATCTCTATGCCTCAAGTGTAAAATTCCATGATCCTTTTTTTTCCTAATCTCAAAAAAGGAACTTTCCACTCTCTTGTGAAACAAGTATTCTAAAATGCTCTTGTGCTTAGCTGCTTTGTTGGGTGCTACTCAACATTCACATATATGACCCCTCCCTGCTTTGAGTTGGTGAGGTCTAGTTCCTTTAAGCATATCTGATTTTCACATACTACAAAAGGTATAGTAACCTTTTAACTTATAAAAATATGTGATTTTAACCATATTAAAGCATATCTGATTTTCACATACTACAAAAGGTATAGTATCCTTTTAACTTATAAAAATATGTGATTTTAAACCATATTTAGATTAGTTCCATCATATTTTGGAATGGTGAATGGTATGACAATTTTCCTATACATTTGCCAATTACAAGTCTGATGTTCTTTGTGTGTGTGTAGCAGTAAATGGAAAACAGAAGACAGTGTGGATGATGTAAGGGTGGTCTCATTTATCACTCTGCAATCCTTCCTTCCCCACTGTTAGAAATTGCTAGCCCAAGAAATAATCATTTTGGCTACTAAGAAAGGGTAAATTTTCTGATGCATTTTTTAGAGATATTAACAGAATGTAAGATACTTTCTCTGTTAAAGCATGTTCAAGTTTAAAACCACTATTTCTTTGAAAACTTATCCTGAAGATAAACTCGTTTATTTGAGGGTTTCTAGAATGGGTGAAAGGAATGATTCATTTTCTGATTCTTTTTCTGTTTTCCCCGTTCCACAGACATCTGCTTTCCTAAGCAGAGGATTCATTTTAAGACCTTCCCTAGGCATGGCTACTGAAATCCTAACCAGAAGTTTGTATAAACACAACCCTTAAAAGACTACTAATTTCTTTCAGCCATATCTCCAGAACTCAGAGCAAGGGCACAGACCTGCTAGCCTTTTCCCTTTGGTTCTCATATATATGTGACCCTCTTGTTCTGTCTTTACTCCAACTTGGTCAGATGCCAGAAATTTGGTTATCTTTTATTTTTCATTGTTCTAGTCTTTAATAATCCTATCGCCTTTTATAATTCAGACCTACTGTATTTAGATAAATCTCATTAGATACAATATTATCACTGTTACCAATGAGACAGAAGCTACCACAGAGTGTCTCATAAGTTTGTTCATTCATTCAATAGAAATTTATTGCTTGTTAGGTGTTGGGCATACAGAAGTTAATGTATATGGCAAGCATAAAGAAGTTAATGTATATTGGGCATACCGAACATAATGTACATGGCAAACCCAGTCATTCTTTTTATCTTGGCACCATGTGTTTTTCTTAATAACACTTATCTCCACCTTACATAACATTTATTCATTTTATTATTTGTATCTTACACATTTGAATGTAAGCTCCATATGTAGAAACTTTGCTTAACTCCATATGTGGAAACTATACATCTGTTCACTGATGTATACCTAGTGCTTAGTGCACCATGTATTTTTCTTAATAACACATCTCCACCTTATATAATATTCATTCGTTTTATTATTTGTATCTTATGCATTTGAATGTAAGCTCCCTATGCAGAAACTTTACTTTGTTCACTGATGTGTACCTAGTGCTTAGAACAGTGTATACAGCAGAGTATGTATAAGAACTCAGTAATATTCAGTGAATGAATTAATGGGTCCCTACCCTTAACTCTTGAACACCCAGTTTATGGGTTTAAGTCACTGTTAGGTCCTTTATTACCTAAAATATTGGGGTAGGGATGAAGGACTGGAATATGTGTGTAGGGAAAGAGAAAGGACATGTGAATGTCAATTTAGATATGTGTTTGAATTTGTGCATATGCTCGTGTTGAGGGTTAAATTTTCCTCTGCAAAAAACACTTGACATTAATGCCTGGGGAGAGTGAGGTACATAAAGAAAGGAGAGCAACTGGCTTGGATATCTGAAAAGAATGCCAATTAGTTGTTTATAATAAGTAAATAAGTATATATAATCTACATCTAATTTATTAAACATTAAATATAAATTACATATCATTAATAGCTATCAGTTATATTGAAATATCACCTAACACCAAACATTTACAGAAATTAAATTATTCCTCTTATTTTTATTACAACATTGAACTATATGTTAATTCTTAATTTTCATATTTTTTTGCTCTCTTTGATGGATCTCTGTTTATAACTTAAAAAAATCAAAACCCTACTTAGGAGTGTCATTCCTACTTAATCCACAAATAAACTTTCTTATATAATTTGAACTTCTTTAGCTTCTACCAGTACCAACTGCCTAAAAGTGTAGGGTGAACATGACTAGATTCTGAAAAGCATCACTTTCTTGGTCTTAAAGGACCAATTATTGGCAGGTTTGAAAATCAGCAGAGCCAGGAAGCTCAATGTGCTAGTTTAGTGGTTCTCAAACTTTACATCAGAATCACCTGGAGGGCTTGTAAACACAGAATTGCTGGGCTTTATCCTCTAGAGCTTCAGATTCTACAGATCTGGGGTGGGGCCTGAGAATTTGCATTTTTAATAAGTTGATGCTGTTATTGTCTCTCAGCTCCGAATCTGCCCTTCTGTACTTGCTTAGTGATGCTGGAGCTGGGATTCTGCTAACCAGTTTCTGCTTTGCCAGCTGACTCCCTTTTATGCTCCACCATTAGACTGCAAGGCTGGAGGAGGAAGGGACTAGCTCCTTAATGTGGGCCTTCTGTGTGCTCGTGGTTCCTGTGAGTATCACTGCTTCAAGGCTGCTTCACTCTAGCAGCAGCATTTCCTTCCCATAGTATCAGCAGAATCCAGTTTGAAGTTTTCCTAACATTTGTAAAAGAAGCTTCATTTTGCATCCCCTTCCCAAGAGACACCAGCAAGCTGATGCCTCATTCTCAGAGATCTGGGTCCAGATAAACCAGCACCAGCTGAAGAGCAAGAGGTTTGAGTTTTAACTGTGCATGGTCCCACATGAAGGGACCCACAACCCACCAGAATGGCATAATGATGACTCTAAACTGAAGATATTTAAGATACAGCAGATGCAGAAAGAAGCATTTGTGAGCTTCCCTTATCTGACTAAAGGCAAAGCTTTCTGAGAATGAAGCTGCCATTAATCCCCTGAGTAGGAGTGGGGGATTGAGGGGGTTGGGGAAGCTTTCAGCCAGGAAGGAGACTGACCATTAGCACCTAGATGAGAAATTGCATAACAAAACTTTGTCAGAAGCTACTATGCCTGCATGTTTTCACTAGAAGTCCTATACCCCTGTATCCCCTTTTATTAAGATGATATACTATACAGTATATAAACCCTTACCCCTGGCCAAGGCATTCCTTATAGAGTACTCTTAAACTTTTCTCCTGTTAATCTATCTGTTGTCAATTAATTTGTAGCAACATCCCCTCCACCCAGTTCTAAGTTGGTAGATGAAAAGTTTTCTTCCCCACCTACTTTCTATAATTTTTTTTTTTTTAGACAGAGTCTTGCTCTGTCAGCTAGGCTGGAGTGCAATGGCATGATCTTGGCTCACTGCAACCTGTCTCCCAGGTTCAAGCGATTCTCCTGCCTCAGCCTTCCAAGTAGCTTGGATTACAGGTGCATACCACCATGCCCAGCTAATTTTTGTATTTTTGTAGAGAAGGGGTTTTATCATGTTGGCCAGGCTGGTCTTGAACTCTTGACCTCGTGATCTGCCTGCCTCGGCCTCCCAAAGTGCTGGGATTACAGGCGTGAGCCACCGTGCCTCGCCTCTTCCTCACCTACTTTATGACTTAACCTTTTTGGTTGACTTTCCCAGTCTGTGAAATGAGGACAGGTTGCTATGATGATTAAAGTAGGTAATTAATATACAGCACATAGTGTGTCTGGAGTTGGTTCCTTCCAGTGGGTTCTTGGTCTCACTGACTTCAAGAATGAAGCCGCGGACCTTCGTGGTGAGTGTTAACAGCTCTTAAAGGTGGCACAGACCCAAAGAGCGAGCAGCAGCAAGATTTACTATGAAGAGCCAAAGAACAAAGTTTCCACAGCATGGAAGGGGACCCCAGCGGGTTGCCACTGCTGGCTGAAGTGGCCAGCTTTTATTTCCTTATTTGTCCCTGCCCATGTCCTGCTGATTGGTCCATTTTACAGAGCAGTGATTGGTCCATTTTACAGAGTGCTGATTGGCGCGTTTAGAATCTTCTAGTTAGGCAGAAAAGTTCTCCAAGTCCCCACTCGATCTGGGAAGTCCAGCTGGCTTCACCCCTCAATATGATAGTGTGAAGCACAGGTTAAACATTCACTATATGCTAAATGGTATTATTAATAAAATCAAGTTTCTTAATGTCTTACATTAAGTTGATTTTCTCAGTAGTTTTGTCACACTATAACATTAAAGTTGCATCTTCCAGGGTTTTAGATCATAGCATATTTTACTCAGTAGGTTCTTTTTACATTTGGATCTTTTGTTATTTGAATGCGAATGAGGATGATCATTCATATGTATGTCTGTGTGTATACATGTTACACAGAGACAGTCCCATTATTTGCTTACCCCTCTATGTGCTGTTATACTTTACCTCTGCCAACATAAAAGTGGTCTTTTCCACATAGGAAATTTTAGGAGTGCTATGCCCATATTCTCACCCATGAGTCACAGACAGAACTAGGACTTCGAGAGGTCATCTCTCATTCAGGTATTCTCTGATAAGTCACTCAGTGCCTAACACATCTATGACAAATGGTTTCCTGGCTTCCACAGTTTCTTCAAATCCTTTAACAAATATTTGGAGGCTAAGACTGCAGGCTAGTCAGTAAAGATGCACAAGGATTTCTTGTGCATCTGATTCCTTGTGCACTGATGACTCCTAAGAGGTCATCAGTTCTGGTTGCCATCCTGAATATTCCAGACTATTTCTGATTTTAAGTACACTGTCCTAATATTATTAAATACTCTATCTTTTGCAGAGCCCTCAGGCAAGGGGAGGCTGTTTTCTGTAGCCAGAAGAAGGGTGCTGCTTCTACTGGCTCAGAGGGTTCAAGAGAATTTGAAATTCAAAATTCTTATGTCCATTCACTCAGGGTCGCAGGATCCCCACTCTTTTCCTGTTAGGGGATTGGCTTTGACATAGGACACTTGTCAAACTCTATTCAGTCTCCTTTGCAGCTCTGATATTCTTACAGTTGGATCTAGGCCTGATTTTCAATATTGCCTTTGTGGCTGGAGAATATAGGGGTCTCTTTAAATGGTGCCATGGAGGTCTTGGGGTATTCATATTGTGCCTTGAATTGACAGGCTGACTTGAGCTTGTCATTTTTATTTTGCCAAGGCATCTAAACAAGTTAACAAAAGCTAGCCATCTCCAAAGCTATATAATTATTATTACGTACTTTTAAAGTGCCATGGCTACCAAACGACTCAATACTTCTGTTTCCATCTGTACCTCATTCCTTTCCATATGTAAGAATCTTAGTAGCTGCTATGTTACTATATGCCAGGGCTTATCACTACCCAACTCTATTGATGCCAGCATGCTGACTGGACCTGGAAAGTAGGAAGTGTCACGTATTCTAGATGTCCTAGTAAGACATCTAGGTGCTAGAGGATAGGAGATGCCCCTATTAAGTGTTTAGAAGTATAGTTGTCAGAGGTGTTTAAATCAGAGTGACCCCATCTTGTAAAGAGGCTAGGTAAAATAAGGCTGAGACCTGCTGGGCTGCATTACCAGGAGGTTAGGCATTCTAAGTCACAGGATGAGATAGGAGGCCACACAAGACACAGGTCATAAAGACCTTGCTGATAAAACAGGTTGCAGTAAAGAAGCCAGCCAAAACCCACCAAAACCAAGATGGGGATGAAAGTGACCTCTGGTCATCCTTACTGCTCATTATATGCTAATTATAGTGCATTAGCATGCTAAAAGACACTCCCACCATGACAGCTGACAAATGCCATGGTAATATCAGGAAGTTACCCTATTTGGTCTAAAACGGGGAGGAACCCTCAGTTCCGGGAATTGCCTGCCCCTTTCCTGGAAAACTCATGAATAAGCCAACACTTGTTTAGCATATACTCAAGAAATAACTCTAAGTATCCTTAGTGGAGAAGCCCAAGCCACTGCTCTGCATATGGAGTAGCCATTGTTTATTCTTTTCTTTCTTTTTTTTGAGACGAGTCTCACTCTGTCGCCCTGGCTGGAGGGCAGTGGCATGATCTCAGGTTTCGGCAACGTCTGCCTCCTGGGTTCTAGTGATTCTCCTGCCTCAGCCTCCTGAGTAGCTGGGATTACAGGCATGCGCCACCATGCCCTGCTAATTTTTGTGTTTTTTTAAAGTAGAGATGGGGTTTCACCATGTTAGCCAGGCTGGTCTCAAACTCCTGGCCTCAAGTGATCCACCTGCCTCAGCCTCCCAAAGTGCTGAGATTACAGGCACCAGCCACCGCACCTGGCCTATTTCTTTACTTTCTTTTTTTTTTTTTTTTTCTGAGACAGAGTTTCGCTCAGTCACCCAGGCTGGAGTGCAGTGGCGCGATCTTGGCTCACTGCAACCTCCACCTCCCGGGTTCATGCCATTCTCCTGCCTCAGCTTCCTGAGTGGCGGGAACTACAGGCGCCCACCACCACGCCCGGCTAATTTTTTGTATTTTTAGTAGAGACAGGGTTTCATGTGTTAGCCAGGTTGGTCTCGATCTCCTGACCTCGTGATCTGCCCGCCTCGGCCTCCCAAAGTGCAGGGATTACAGGCATGAGCCACTGCGCCCGGCCCCTTTACTTTCTTAATAAAACTTGCTTTCACTTTACGGATTCACCCAAATTCTTTCTTGTGTGAGATCCAAGAATCCTATCTTGGGGTCTGGATCAGGACCCCCTTCTGGTAACAGTAATCTGTAGATCTCTAAGGTATGGGCGATTTGGTGCACCTTGCAACTATCCCCACTCACAGCACTTGGAGCAATACTTTTTTACATTTTGGAAGCAGCATATATCATATTTGGGAATATCTCTCCAATTCATTTCTACTAACAAAAAGCCTGGATCCTTTCCTCCTACTGTGAATTGTAACTAAAAATAAAATCCTAAACCCCTCCCAACTGAATGGACCCCCTCTTGACCAAGGGGACCCCAAAAAAATCTTATAAACTAAATCCCCAGCCATGATGTGTAGGGAGGTTGGACACACCGCATTATACCCCTTCCTTTTTGGAGTTTAGTCACAACTGACCATTATTATGTTAACATAAGGTAACAAAATGGACTCTTTGTGACAATAAGATACCAAATTATAAACAGGATCTAAAGCCATGCCAGACAAGGGTTAAGTCACACAACCCTGCAGGTCACTCTGACCCAGTGTAATATTGGTTGACAGACTTCTTTATTTTAACTTAAAACATTCTTTCTGCTGACTCTAAATTTTTAGACAAAGCTTCACTTCCTTAATCAATTGTAAATTAGAGAATCTGTGAATCTACCTATAGCCAGTAAGCCCCCTCTTTAAACATCCTGCCTCTTCAAAACATCCTGCCTTTTCAGGCGAAATAAATGTATACCATCCACATATTGATTTATGTCTCTGCTTGTAACTCCTGCCTCCCTCAAACTTATTAAACAAAACTGTAATTCAATTGCCCACTGGCACACGTTTGCAGGACCTCTTGAGATGCATTTCCCAGACCAAGGTCATTCATTGGTTCAAAATAAACCTTTTAAAAATGTTTTACAGAGTCTGACTTTTCCATTAACAGAATTAATAAAATGGCATTCTGATTTATAAATTAATCTCTTATTACCCTGACTTAATCTTACTCAAAATCCAAACAACTCTGAGTAAAGGAAAACAATTAAAGTTTGTTAACTTTTAAAGGACCAACTGCTGAATCATGTGTTCTCTGAAAAGTTCAGCCATCTCAGTGAGCAAAAAACAAAAGGATTTTTAATAAAAACTTCTTTCTTTCTTACTTACAGTCTACAGTCTTTATTTGGGTCTTCTAAAAACTGTAAAAATAGATCATCATCCTAGGTTTTGAGAAGAACTGATAATTACTCTATATCTCCTTAAATTAATCATCTCCCCGCCATCCCAGCTTTTTTTTTTTTCTTGAGACAGGGTCTTACTCTGTCATCCAGGCTGGAGTGCAGTGGCTTGATCATGGCTCACTGTAGCCTTGACCTTCCAGGCTCAAATAATCCTTCCACCACAGCCTCCCAAGTAGCTGGGACCATAGGTGCGCACCACCATTCCTGCCTATGTTGTTTTTTTAGTCTAGGTTTAGTGAAAAGATTACCCTATAGGCTTCTGATTCTGCCTATTAACTAGTTGCATAATGTTGAATAAGTTATTGTAACCTCTCTAAATCTCAGTCCTAAAATAATGGAGATAATAATAAGTATGATTATTAAATGAGAAACATTTCATGGAAATTATTTCATGCAAGTATTTTATGTCATCACAAATTATTTGATTATCTGGTTTTATTTCTACTGACAGAGCAAAACATGATAGAATTAAAATTTTTTTTTTACCCCGAAAACCTCATAAACTAGGATCAGGAATGTGTGCTATAACAGAGGAATAAGTATTAGCAAATGTTTGGCTATGACTTCTTAGGAGGCTAAAGGCCAGAACAGAGCCTTCTGTGCACTACAGGCTGGTACTACCACTTTATTAAGGTTTTTAATTCTCTTTAGAGATGACTACAGGTTCTAAGAGCCACCAAATAAACCATTCATGAACCTATCTAGGGTTAATTACTCAACAGTCACCAAGCCTAAAGGTATGACCTTCAAATGACTGTAAAGGCCATACAAAAGAAACTCAGAGTGGAAAAAGGGAAAACTCTCCACTTGAATCTTTGTAAGTAAACATTACAGGATGAACTCAGTTATTCCAAAGAATGATGCAAACAGTGCCACTGTGGATTGAGTTTTCCCCTACAATGGGATGACGCCTATTTATTTGTTTTGTCATTAGGTCTGGATCTCCCTTTGTTTTCTGACTATGTTGAAAAACACTAAGAAACATTTCAGAAAACACTTTCACTTATTTGAAACTAAGATGAATAAAACTAGAGACGCATTAAGTGCAACCATGATTTAACAGAGAACCATAAAAGTTTTAGTGGTTTACCTGGAATTCAGGCAAATTTATTAAACATAGTTTTCACTATTACCCTGTTTTAAAAATATAGCCCAACTCAATTCTTTCCTTTTCAATTACATATTTCAAGTACAGATTGCTCTGGGAGTTTGATTTCTGTAAGCTGAACCTGTTAAGTCACTTGTCTTTGCAGGTTTTATAAAGAAACAAAAAAATCTACTCAAAAAACATAAAGCTGTCTAGGTTTGGAGTAAGACAATTCAGCTATATCTGCCAGGAAAGCTCCTTTTTTTCCAGATTCCAATGCAGTTTTTAACATTAACATACCCAAGTTTGTTTTCTATGAATTTCTGTGTTTTATGACATGAATAATAACATGGCTAGATTCTTATTTGGTAGATTAACCAACCCTGAAGGACTGCTTGGAGTGGCACAATCATGTTATCTGGCTGTCTTTCAGCCTCTGTTAAAGTCCATAATGAAATTTTATTTGACAAAATCACTTCTGAAACCCAGTGTGCTATTTAAAAAACCTTCATGGTTTACCCTTTTCTTTCCATACTACCAAAGTGGCTTAGATCACATTTTATCCATATATTGTATAAGTATTTATGCTATGTACATGGAAGATACATAGAATTAAGTATTACAATATTTTGTTTGACCATTGAGTCTAACTCCTAAATTTTATAAATGGGGAAACTTAGGTCCCCAGAGTCAGAAAGACAGTTAATGGCATGGCCAAATCCTAGGGACCCGGGTCTGCTGATTCCGTTTTGTCTCATTAACATCATTCACATGAGCCCAGGAAAGATTAAATAAATTCTGGTGATCTACTTCTTCTTTAAATGAAAAGAGAGATAATTAAAGGGATATACTTAGAAGACAGTAAAACCCTTTTATGGTATCTCTTTAGAAGTAACTGCTACATACCAAAGTATAGTTTTGTTTTAAACATAACAAAAGAAATTAATCAATTTATGTTACTTGTACATACAGTATTTCGGGCATATCATCTATCTGCTATATTGGAGAGAGTTATAATATCCACTCTGGGTTGAAGCCAACTTTACAAAGTAGAAGTGGCAAAGGGATTGGAACTCTGGTCAGTCTGGCTCCCAAGTCCATTTTGTTCATATCAGCTCCCTCTCATTGGGCATACTGTTGTCAGGCTAATTTGCATATTGTTATTAGATTAATTTTGTCCATATATCATCTTCATCATTTTGTCATCACAATCAAAATCTTTTAATAGTTACTGTTTCCATGTCAAGTCTAAACTCATCTGCCTGGTTCTCATGACTAGGCCCTACTTTTACCACTCAATAATGCCTCCTACTCTCTGGTCATAACCGTTACATATATATGTCCCAATTCAAATATAAAACTTATTGAGGGCTAGGTACAATACTACTTTAGGTGTTCTATAAATTTCTGTTGAGGACAAAAAGCTTAATTTGAATCAGAGATCCTGCCTTAATGAAAACTTCAAAGTTACTTGGAGCCATAAGAATAGTTTTAGATAGCATTTCCAAGAAATATGTGACACTGCTTTCAGCTATCATTACAAACATTAATTTAAACTTTAAGAACATATGTGGTGGGGAAAAATGTTTGACTATGTCCACTAATATTTGCTGAAGTCTCAGAAAGTATCAAAATCATTATTCTCTTTCACTTTTACTTCTGACTCCTGAGCATGAAAACATCTGATCCCTAATCACGGTACTTCTCTGGGAAATATTTGTTGCTTCTAGTCACCTAGACTCCTTATCTTGGTATCCAATCCTCTTCACATTGTTTCCAATCTAGCTCTCAAGTCAAATATCTTACCACTGTCCATATTCTGGGCCACACTGAACTTTTTACCATTATTTCTAAACTATGTCAGTCCCTTTCTGAGCTCTGTGCCTTTGTATAAGCAATTCGAATTTTATCAGTTTGTTTTTTATTTTTTTTCTTCTGCACCTGGAAAGCTCCTACTCATTCTTCAAGACCTAGTTTAAATTTCACCTCCTTTGAGAAGTCTTTGGGGACTTCTTCAGGCAAAGTTAATTGCTGTCATCTATTGTATGACTGTCTTTCCAAATAAATAGTAAGCTGCAGGGCATAAGGTATATCGTCTTACTGCTTTTTATATTCTCAGCACCTGGCACAGAGTAGAAACTCATTGAATGCTGAATGAATGGAAGAATATCTTGGTAATATATTAAAGCAGACTTGTCTTCCCAATTAAATACAGTCATTTATAATTTTCCTTTAGCCATAAAGTAATAGATAGTAACACTGAGTGTTACCTGGAAATTTTCAAGGTCTGTATAAGTAGTTTGGTTTAAATAAATATCTAAGGTGATCCATAACTGCTTAGAAATGATTTTTAAAATACCTTTCTATAACCCCTTAGGCATATTAAAATTTCTATATTTTATTCTTCTCTAGAAAGAAATAAACATTTAGGAAGCAATTTATAAAACAGAAGCAGCTTACTTTATTTCGATCTTGTACAACCAGTATTTTTCTAGTACTTTCATCAAATACAGCTCCTATTAGGGGAAAAAGAAAAGATAATTGAGAAATATTAATTTCATTCACCTTAATCTCCTCCCACACTCTCTATCTGTGGTGATAAAAATTCTACCCATACTTGAAGCCTTGGTTCAAATACAGGTTGAGTATTCCTTATCTAAAATGTTTCAGAGCAGAAGTGTTAGATTTTTCTGGATTTTGGAATATTTTCATATACATAATGAGGTATCCTGGGGATAGGACCCAAGTTTAAACATGAAATTCATTTATGTTTCATATACACCTTATACTCATAGCCTGAAGGCAATTTTATACAATATTTTAAATAATATTGTGCATGAAAACAGTTTTGACTGCATTTTGACTGTGACTTGTCACATGAGGTCAGGTATGGAATTTTCCACTAGTGGCATCATGCCAGTGCTCAAATACTTTTGGATTTTGCAGCATTTTGGATCTTAGATTTGTAGATTGGGGATGGTCAAGCTGTACCACCACCTCATCCATGAAGACACTAAGTGCCTGTCTTAGTCCATTTGGGCTGCTATAACAAAATAACCACAGACTGGATAGTTTATAAACAACAAACTTATTTCTCACAGTTCTAGAAGCTAGGAAGTCCAAGATCAAGGTGCTGGCAGATTCAGTGTCTAATAAGGGCTCATTCTTTACAGACGATGCCTTCTAGCCCTGTCCTCACATAGTGAAAGGGGCAAACAAGCTCCTGTAGGCCTCTTTCATAAGGACACTAATCCCATTCATGGGAGCTCTGCCCTCATGATCTAGTCACCTCCCAAAGGCCCCACCTCTTAATACCATCACATTGGGGATCAGGTTTCAACATATGAATTTTAGGGGGAACAAACATTCAGACAACAGATGTGCTTACAATATTTATTGAATAAATGAATTGACTTCTCATTTTTATTCCTTGAATCACTATGCATACAACACAGGCTGTGCCCCCTGATGATCCAAATCTCAAATATCTCAATATTCATTTCAAGACCTTTCTGAAGCCAATTAAATTTTCTTATTATGTATATACACAACTTTATAATCTACTAATATACTGCTTTGGAAGAGTTCTTTGTTTTATATATGTTTTAAGTTCTAGTTCATTTTTTTTTGTTTATTCATTCATCATACACATTGCATATTCTCTCTTTCTTTTTAAAAATATTTCCCTTTGGGCAATCTTGGGTCAAAAATACAAATGACGTATTAGTGATTTTTATTATGATCTTTTAGATGTTATGATTTAAACATTACTTGTATTTAAATAATGTGGGATGACATTTTTTAAAAGATACTTTCTACATATTTGTCCATGCTTTCAGTATTAACTGAGTTCCTCTATATAATGTACATAGATCCTGTGCATATTAATTGAGCTCCTACTATGTGCCAGGCACTTTTCTAGGTGCTACAGATACAGTGGTGAACAACACAAATGAAACTCCCTATCCTTATGGGGTTCACATTCTGGTATGTGTGTGGGGAGGCGCCAAAACAAACAAAAAATAAATTATATAGAATATTAGAAGGTGATAAATGCTATGTAGAATATAGAGAAGGAATAAATATGTGTAACATGGGGAAAAGTAATTGAAATGCAATTGAAATGAAAACACCACACTTGACTATTTTAAAGCAGGAAGGAAAATCACCAAGTGAGATATAATTAACATTAATGTTGGCTTCTATTAGAAAATGTAAGCTATAATTTAACTGGACTTTACAAGAGGTAGACTGCCAAAGAAATGCCAAGGAAACTTACTCTTAAATTTTAATAATTTGTGGTTACTCAAATTGAACTTGTCCCTAATGAATTCACTGTAAACATGAGCACAGTATCAGAGACAAAACCAGCACCACTAAAGCACAATTTGAGCGACCTCTGCTGGTCACAACATAAAAATTATTATTATGATTAGGCACTGTGCTTCAACGTACATTAGCTCAGGTATAAGTCACAATAATCCTGTGAGTGATATGAGTGTCTGGCTTCATATAGCTCTAACTGGTAGAACTGGGACTGATAGCCAGTCTGTCTGGATTCTAGGCAGGCACACTCTTCTCACTGTGCAATGCTGCCCCTCAACAATACTGAAACTTCTCTCTCAGAAGACTCACATTTCCATCCCATTCATTAAAAAAATATTGAATATCTACTTTATGTCACTCGCTGTCTTTAGCTTGAGGATATCGTGGTGACCAAGACAGATAAAATATCTGCCTTTATGGAGTTTATATTATTGTGGGGGAGATTAAGTGATACAATATAATTAATTTACATACATGATATAATAGAGTTTCAGACTGTGATAAATGCCATAAAGAAACATAGAGCTGGATAAAGGGACAAGGAATGATGGCACTAGTGTGCAGGGAGAAGTCACTTCTAACAGAAGGGTCAGGGGCTTTTCTGAGAAGGAGACACTTGAGCAGAAACTTCGGCTATGAAGAACTAGATAAAGAAAGTTCTGGAGAAGCATGCTGCAGGAAGAGGAGCCAGTAGATGTCAAGGCTCTGAGTCAGACACAAGCTTGCTAAGTTTGAAAAGCAAAAGAAAGCAATGGCTCCAGCTATTCCAGCCACATCTGCCTTCGGTAGTTTATAACAAATGCCAATTATTTTTCTTTCCACCTAAAAACTCTGCACCCCAGCCTGGGCAACATGGCGAAACCCTATCTTTGCAAAAAATACAACAATTAGCCTAGCATGGTGGCGCATGCCTGTAGTCCCAGCTACTTGGGAGGCTAAGGCAGGAGGATCACTTGAGCTAAAGAGGTGGAGGTCGGAATGAGCCCAGATCATGACACTGCATTCCAGCCTGGGTGACAAAGTGAGACCCTGCCTCAAAAAAAAAAAAAAAAAAAAAAAAAAAAACAACTCTGCACCTTTCCAGAACAATTTCTTACATTACCTCGTCCACACCCCCAACAGTGGCTTCAAATCCTAGTTAGTGTTCAAGATTGGTCAAGTTCTGCATCTCTTATTCTTTGAACTGCTCTGACACTCTAAACTATAATGTACAATATACAATATAGTACTTAGTTATCAACAGGCCCTTCATAGGATACTCTTTTTGCATATATTACCAATTCTGTAGTAATAACTGGGAACTCTTAAGAGTCTGTGCCCGTGAATGATAATTATTTGCATAACTTTCCATTGAAGTGTGAGGCTGTCACTAAATTATTGAGTAGAATCTTTTGAAATAGAGCTGAACGGAGAGTTTCTGAATGTCTACTTGCTACAGGGAAGTAAGACAGGGACAGAGAAGACATCATTAGGCATTCTTGAACAACTCCTTGAAAAGCCTTGAAAAGCAAACTACCTTAAAAACTCTTGTAAATTATATAAAGGCAAATAAAATTATTAATTAAATAACTAATATGCTTCATTGCTTTCATTTATTAAGGTCATAAGGATCCCTTACTATTATAGTTTTTCTAGAAATCTAAGAATTTTGGTCCTTAAAGGGTAGTACTGAGACCACCACCAGCAGCAGCAGCAGCAGCAAAAACAGAAACAGCCAGGAAGATCACCTGAATTTTCAGGTCCCACCATAGACCTACTGAATCAGAAACTCTGGGGATAGGGCCCAGCAATCTGTTTTAAGATTCCAGGTGATTTTGATGCAATCTACAATGTGAGAATCTGTGTCTTACTCTGAGGGAAGTCTTCTCTCAACTTTCCTATGTCTCTGAAGCTAATCAGCCACTTCAAAATTCTACTCTACACTTAAATTACACGATTTTAAACAACTGTTTGGCACAATAATGTAAATATTATTAAGAAGTAATTGTTCAAATCATTGAAAAATTGGTTTGCTTTACCTGAAATTCAACATAAAAATGATCATTTACTTTACAAATTTACATAATTAGTGCCAACATGTTTTACTCTGCAATAAATTTATTCCCTGATCCCAATTCAGTGCTACTATTTGAGTAGTGAAGTTTAATTATATGTGTAAAATATATTCAAGCATATCCTTTGGAAAACTAAACACTAAAGTTGTTCTCTGTGCGTCTGTCTACTGATTGAGGCAAACTTCATCTATTTAAAAGCACTATGTAATAGTCCTATTTAAAAGCACTATGTAATAGATACTGTAGTCCCCCTTGTCCAGTTTTGCTTTCTGTGATTTCAGTTATACAAGGTCAACCATAGTCTCGAAGTGTTACATCACTACTCTTGTGCTTCGGGGCATTAATAAGGAAAATAAGGGTTATTTGAATCCAAGTACTGTGATACTGGGACAGCTGATCTGATAACAGGGAAGGCTACTAAGTAACTAATGGATAGGTAGCCTATGGATCATGGATACACTGGATATGGGGAAGATTCACGGCCTGGTGGGACAGAGCAGGATGGTGAGAGATTTCATCACATTACTCAGAACAGCATGCAATTTAAAACTTAAGAGTTTTTTTCTGGAATTTTCCATTTAGGTCATAATGCCTGTCATTCACCTCACTTCACCTCATCGTGCAGGTGAATACAAAAGGGTGAATACAAAACAATATTTTGAGAGAGACCACATTCACATAACTTTTATTACACTATACTTTTATAACTGTTCTAATTTATTGTTAGTTACTGTTAATCTCTTACTGTGCCTAACTTATAAGTTAAACTTTATCATAAATATGTGTGATAGGAAAAAACATGGTATATATACATAGGGTTTGGTACTATCTGCGGTTACAGGTGCCCACTGGGGGTCTTGGAACACATCCTGTGCAGATAGGGTGGAACCACCGTAATCATTTAATCAAATAACTCATTCCACATGAATAAACTATTTGCTTAGCTGTAACAAGCAAGAAATTGGGTGAACGTCTAAAAAGTTAATTCTGCTCATCATGAGTTTGAAACTGACCTGCAACTCCTACTTGATGTGAAGCATATCCTGGTAATCTGCTGGGCCCTTCTCTCAGCCACAGAGTCAACGTTGATGAATCCGATTCTGCGTGGTGAAAGCAGAAGCCCAGGGAAGCAGCAGGGGCAATAAATCGGCTTTGGAGGATGGGAATGTGCAGCCATACAGCTGTTCTACCTTCTGATCGCCATTGCTGTACTGCAGCTAAATGCAGAAGAAAAAAGTCTAAATAATTTCCAAAGAGACGAGTGGAATAAATTAAAACTCACCTCAGGGTTTCGCCTCCTCCAGGAAACCATCTTTAAGCAAAAGAGGTCCCCAAATGTCTTGTTCACATCGCTGGCACTGGAAGTACCATGTTTTATAGTAACCACCTTGTTTATATGATTTTTCCATCAGACTGAATTCCTTCAGAATAAAGTCATTACACTGCTGACCTTTATATCCATACCACCAAAGACAATGCTTGGCACGTAACAGATGTTCTGTAGTTTTAGAGTGGACAAATAAAAGGATTTAAACCGAATCAAATACCATTTGAATGCTGTTCCTTTTAACATCCTTAGGTTTAATCTTAAAGACAATTATGGACTTCTATTTTTTTCTTCCTTTAGGAGTTCTGTTATAATGTTTTTAATGTATAAATTTCAAGGTAGTTAAACTTTGTTTTTAAATAATGTATGCTGGTTGTAGAAATTTTGAAAATAAAAAATATGAAGAAATCAAACTTCACATTTTACTAGCATATAGGAATAAAATTCTAATTTTTCCTTATTATAGATAATATCATGGTGAACATAATTATAGGTTTTCTATCTTTGCCTTCTTTAAATTCTCTTTACTACTTAAGATTGAGCCAGGGGAAAAAGATGCTAATATCTATTTGAAACTTACTAAGTTCCAAGCACTTTATATATATTATCTCATTAAGTGCACAACCATGAAAGGTATTACTACCTTAAGTTTATGGGTGAAGAAATAAATACTTCAGATTTAGAGTTTTTAGAAAAGCTTTTCAGATCACTTTCTTCATCCATCATCTCACTTAATCTTTATAATAACGCTATAAAGCGTGTGTGTGTGTCTGTCTTTGGGGGTTGATTATATATCAAATAGTTAATTAACTTTCCCTTCTCTTTTCCCTAGCTCTGCAGGAAGCTCCTCTCTTTAAGGACAATGTTCTCTACCTCTTTGAAAGTTGCTGTGCCTAGCACAGTGACAGGCACATGGGGCCTTTAATAAAGACTTCCTGATTTGAGTTAGCATGCAGTGGAATTATGGGATCAGGTCCTTCTCACCTTGCTCTCTTTGTCTGATGACATCTTTTAAAAATTGAGGTAAAGTACATAAAGTGAAATGTACAAATCTTAAGTGTACATTTCATGCGATTTGACATATGCATATGCCCGTAACACACTTTAACATTATAGAACATTTCTATCACTCCATACATTTCACATGTGCTCCTTCCCAGGCAATCCTTCCAATCAAATTAAAAGGCTACTTTCTAAAAGCAATGCTATTTGCTTGCTGTTTTATATCTACACTCTGTGTCTTGGAGAATCCACTCTCACTGCTTCAGCTGATACATACATGAGGATGGCTGCCCAGCCCTGACCTCACTGAACACTAAACTTTCTGTTCTCCAGTTGCTCCCAGACATTTCCTGTCCTGAAGGTTACCACTTCAGACTTCACAAAGTGTGTTCAAAACTGAATCTTTTGTTGTTGTTGTTGAGACGGAGTCTTGCTCTGTCACCAGGATGGAGTGCAATGGTGCAATCTCGGCTCACTGCAACCTCTGCTTCCTAGGTTCAAGCGATTCTCCTGTCTCAGCCTCCCAAGTAGCTGGAATTACAGGTGCGTGCCACCATGCCCAGCTAAGTTTTGTATTTTTAGTAAAGACGGGGTTTCATCATATTGGCCAGGATGGTCTTGATCTCTTGACCTCGTGATCTGCCCGCCTCGGCCTCCCAAAGTGCTGGGATTATAGGCGTGACCCACCGCGCCTGGCCAAAACTGAATCTTACACCCCAAACTAGCTTCATTTATAAGCTTATTTATTTCTGGCACCAATGCTTGAAACCTTAGAATCATTTTTAAATTGCTTTCTTCTTTTCCCTAATAAGCTTTATTGCTTTTTCTTCCCTCACCTCCCATTCCCATTGCTAATATCTATCCTTTAAAGTCCAGCTCATATTCCACATCTTTGACCAGTCTTTCCTAACCACTGCTCATGAGCTCACCATTATGAATTTAAAGACTACTATGTCTGTACAATTTATTAGAACTTATTACATATGACCTAATGATATCTCTTCCATTAGCTATTTTTTCCAATTCTATTTAATATTCCATGCATTTGCAATCCTCCAGGGTAACCCTACATTATGCACTGGGGCTCAATTTGTACTAATGAAATGACTGGCTTGCCTAAAGTCACATAGCTGGTGAGTGGCATAGCAGGGACCAGAACCAGTGCTATTTCATTACTGATGCAGATATGTTATGTGTGAAGCTAACAACATATTGCCTGTTTATCCCTCTAACTTCAGTTGTTGGTAACAAAACATCAATAGTTCATGTTCTAAAAGAATATGAATAGTTGACTTCTTATTCCACCAAGAATATGGACTTCTTAGTCCATAAAGACTAAGAATAGCGGACTTCATGTGTAAATAGTCTCTCTTTATAGGCACTACCATTCAGTTAGTTTTGTTCAATTATAACAACAGAACCAGCAGGAGTTCTTCAAGGTAGCATAGTGCAGTAAGAAAGGTGTAGAGCCAGGGCAAGTAAATTTTTCTCTCTGTGCCTCACTACTGTCATCTTTAAAATAGGAATAATAATGCTATCTACCTCAAAGGGTTGTTAGGAGGATTAATTACTATTTATAAAGATCCTAAAACATCTACCATTAAGTGCAACAAAATTTGTTTTATTGAAAAAATATAACAAGTATTTGGTACTTAAGTTTACAAATTAGTTTCATCTTTGATCAACGCATCTATCCAGTAATTAGAGCTGGCGTTATTCACAAAAAGCAAGCTAAGAAGCAAATATTTTTGGTGGCAATTTGCCTAATGCCTGGCTAAGCACATGGCAGAACCTGGTACTTAAACCCAGAATGTGCACCTCCAAATCGCACAGCTTTCTGCTTTGTCATGCTGACTGGGGTAGTGCTTTGATCACCTGTTTGGTCATTGATAAGTATCAGTGGGTACAACACCTGTGTCTACCCACACACTGGAAGATAAAACGATTGATTCTCCTATTAGTGACACTGTTGCAGTATAAGCGGGCTTGTCAGCAATTACTAGCAAGTAGGAGAGAAAATAATGTGAAGAGGTAAGAAGTCTGGGAATGAGGATGAGTAAACATTGAAATAACTAGCTCAATTATATTTACAGATATGCTTCTTGCCATATTGCTCAATAGGATAAAGATTATTTTGAGTTTCCAGTGTGAGAGATTTTTCCATAGTTGAATTTGCATGCTATGCCTTCAATTAGATTATAAAACCCTCAGAGGCCGTTTGAAAAACTGCTGCACCACTAAATCGACTTCTTCCAAAGTGAAGGCTCCTCCATCCAAGCTTTCTTATCATTGGGCTCAAGGTTGAAAGCCAGTAAAAAGTTTTCTTATTGAAGACTGAAACCACCCACCACCGTCCCTGGTTAATCATAAAAGAAGCGTTATTCTAAAAAACTCCAGTTCTCGCTGAGACAGCTGTTGACCCAATTTGTATACAAATGTGACACTCTGAACCTCTCTGGTTTAGTATTTGATAGCCCAACAGGGTGACTATATTCAATAAAGATTCAGGCTGGGTGCAGTGGCTCCTGCCTGTAATCCCAGCACTTTGAGGGGCCAAGGCGGGAGAATCAGTTGAGCCCGGGAGACTGAGACCAGCCTGGGCAACACAGTGAGACACCGTTTCTAGAAAAAATAGAAAAAAGCCAGATGCGCGCCTGTAGTCCTAGCTACCCAGGAGGCTGAGGTGGGAGGATTGCTTGAGCTCAGGGGTTGGAGGCTGCAGTGAACCCTGATCCTACCACTGCACTCTAGCCTGGGAGACAGAATGATACCCTCTCTCAAAAAAAAAAAAAAAAAAAAAAACAAACTGTACATTTAAAAATAACTAAGAGTAACTGGATTATGGTTGAATGCTTGTGGTGATGAGTATCTCATTTACCCTGATGTAATTATTACACATTTATACCTCTATCAAAATAGCTCATATACCCCATAAACATACACACCTACTATGGACCCACAAAAATTAAAAATAAAAAAGAAAAGCCTCTTTGGTCCACTCAGTCCACCACCCGTATTAGAATGTAAGAGTTTTTTTCCTTGGGAAAAGTGTCCGACAGAACCAAGGCTCGGTAAAGGATACTAATAATGTAATAATATAATATTAACAAACATCTACTGAGCTTTAAATACGTGGCAGGCACTGTGCTGTGCACTTTATGTGCATTATCCAAATTAACTCTCAGTAATTCCAGGAGTTCTTATCACCGGGGTCTGTGGAAGAGGAAATGGTGGTTTACGGCAATTTCCGAATGTCGCACAGTAGAAAGTGGACCAGCAACCAGGGTTGCAGATCCCAAAGTCCGGGATCTTCACCATTTCACCCAACCGCCTTAGAGACCTCCCAGCAAAAGGTCTAAGCACGAATGCTCCAGAAAACAGGTCCAGGTCACGCGTGCCTTCTCCCTTTCCCTCTGGGCTCGACAGTGGTGCACAGAGCGACTAGGGAGTGGGGGCCGCGGTTATTTCATTAGAAAAGCTCTGGAGCCCCGGGAGCCCTTCGTCCCAGGCGCACTTGCCCTGCAAGCCCTTCTGGAAGGCGGCAGCGTCCAGGCGGTCCAGCGCATCGAGCCGCGCCAGGCGCACCGAGATGCCCCCGAATCTGTCCAGCTCGCCCTGCAGATCGCACGCTCCAACTGGCGGATTCCGCACGTAACCCTGTGCGCCCGAGGCCCAGCGGTAACCCGCCGAAGGCCCGGGGCCGTAGGTTCGGGCAAGCATCGCGCGCCAGCGGCCCCAGCTCAGTGGCTGCCGCATCTCCACGCCGCTTAATTCGTCCGTTGCCCAAATGACCCCTCCGCGCTCCAGAGCGGAGATCGCGGCCGTACATTTTAGAAGAGTGCCATCAATACCCTCAGAGTTGAGCTGGGGTTACCACTCTGCAGAGCTATGCCAAGGAGACCGCGAAGTGGTCCACCAGCCCTTCTCAGCAATTTGCCCCGCTCCAGTTAAGCGGGGAAAACCTCCTCCCCCACCGCCACTCACTTATTTTGTTTGGTAGTTTAATTCAACAGACGTTGGTTTAGGGATGGGGAAGCCGGGAGGAGATGCAAAAACGTCCTGTTTTTCAGGAATTTACAATCTAAGTGGCAGTTCCGTTCCTGGAACCTATCTTCTTTCACAGATGCCGTTACAGCTGTTTCAAAGACTGCTGGTTTTGAAAACGCTCAGTCCCTCCCACCACGCTGTGCACTGCTGCGCTCCACTCAGGGGATTACGGCGCAGGGGCGGACCCTCGCTGACTTCTGCCCCGGAAGTTTTTCTCTCAGTTGAAGCGCGCACATTGAGTCGGCTTTTCTACTGCTTCGGCTAGGGTACCTTGTGACCATGTCTTCCAAGAAGAATAGAAAGCGGTTGAACCAAAGCGCGGAAAATGGTTCGTCCTTGCCCTCTGCTGCTTCCTCTTGTGCGGAGGCACGGGCTCCTTCTGCTGGATCAGACTTCGCGGCAACCTCCGGGACTCTGACGGTGACCAACTTATTAGAAAAGGGTAAAGAATTCCGGGTGGGAGACTAGAGGCCGAGGGGGCGCAACCTGAGGGGCGGGAGACTCAGTGATACTGACTTGGGGTGCAGAGACTTTTGAAAGTTGGGCGTGGCATGGGTCTGAGAGCGGCACAGAAGCGTGTAAGACTTCTGTATGTAAGAAGCATGCAAACGTAGCCGCGCCTGCACTGGAGAAGTTAGGCTGAAATGGTTTATCCGTGTCCAAGGTTTCTCTTTTGTAAATTATTTTGAATTTTTAAGTTGCACTTGAAACGCTTTGTCTCATTTAACATTAACGACACATTTAATTGCAAAATTGTTCATAACTAGCGAACATGGGATACTTATCCTAAAAAACTAAATAACCAATTCAGTAAAAATGTGGATCACTCTGCCTTTAGGAGTGATGATAGCATTTTCTTCCAGTACTACGCAGGTTATGATATTTAATAACTGCTAGTAACTGCACACTAGTGTTAGCAGTATATATAGCTCATCTAATTTCTACAGAAGCCGTGACCGATGGGTATAGTAATGACAGTTTTATAGAGGGAGGAAAGTTAACGTGATTCCATTCAGGCTACACAGGTGCTAAGTGGCAGAGCCGATATTTGAGTCCAGATGTGTTTGACTTAAAAGCCATTCCTAGATGACAGCTCCTTTGATTTGGGAGAACGTATTTATACTGAAAAGTCTTATAAATTGAATTAAAAATTGAAAATTTATATTTGATGTGTAATAGCTTTGAAAAATGGACCAGACTAGTGGCAAAAACTTTTATGTCTAATCAGACCTTAAAGACAATTTAGAGTTCACATGGTATTTTCACTCTGCCTTAGGTATCAGAGGACAACTTGTTCTGTCCTGAAGGTTCAACTTGTTTTTGAACTAGATCCTTCCCATTGACATGTAAACATGCTCATTTCTCTTCCATCTTAAATCAGAACAAAAGCTCCACATTTTCTTCCTGCAACCGTCTCTCTATCCATTGCCAAGCTTCTTAAATGGAGTGGTCTCTGCCGCCTCACCACTTACATACTCTCCCTAGCCTATTCCTCTTTGACTTCCACCCCATCATTCCATGGAAACTGTTCCTGGTGTGGTCTCCGAGCATCTCCGTGTTGATAAACCTTACGTGACCACAGCAACTTTTGGTATTGTTGACCATTCCCTCCTTCTCGAAACACTTAACTTCTTATGTGTTGTCAAACTTGCCTGGTTTTCTTCATCTTTGTTGATGTTTCATCATTTTTCTTTGCAGGCTCGTCCTCTTCCCTTGACCATTAAATGTTGAAGTTCGTCAATTCTTAGTCCAAAACCTTTTTTTTCCTCTCAATAAATCCTGTCTCCTTGGCAAGTTCATCCAGTGCCCAGAGTTTCCCATCTATAGTCTCTTCAGTGTCAGATTTATATTTGTAAATCTTTTGTTTTTGCGCCTTGATGTGGTTGCCTTTTAGCCAAATGCTTCTCAAGCTCTCTGTGGTGAAGACTTTAAAATTTATAATAGGTCACAGATCAGCACTTTTCTAAAATACAGTAAAAATGATTTTCTAGAAAAATAAGGAAAAATTTTTATTAAACAGATGTGAAATTACTCTGTAAATTTCAATAAAAGCTTCTATATACTTATTCTCCTGTTTTGTACTTGTCATGAAGCAGTAACAAATCGTTGTGGGTCATATTTTGAATAGCACTGTACAATAACTCTTCTCATGAGTGTCCCAAAGATACTTCAGGACTAACTTCATGAGCCCGTTATTTCCTCCAACAAAATAAACTTCAACTCTGTTCAGTTTTTCCCGCTGCAAAATTCAGAAACCTAAGAGTCATCCATGACTCTCCCCCCCATATCTCACATACCTAGTCCACCACTAAATCATGTTTATTACCTAAATATTTTACATATTCCTCTTCTGCATGCCATTCCCACTGTTTCTACCTTAATTTCAGACACCATCATCTCTCACCTGGACTGCTACAACAGCCTTTTGACTGATTTTCCAGCTTCCAATTTTGCCCCTTATTCCTTTTCCATTCTGCAGCCAGAATGATCTTGTAAGATGAAGATCTTGTCATGACATTGCTTTTCATCCCTTTCTGGGCTCCCACTGCTGTCAGAGTAATGACCAGCATCTTGATGCAGCCTATTGCACTATTGTCCTGGGTGGTCTTGACCTTCTTTACATGGCTTCCCTATGTCTCCACCACTCTGCCTATACTCTCCTGAGGATGCGCCATACCCCCTTCTGCCCAGGAACTTTGTACATGCTGTCCTCTTTGCTGAGAATTATCTTTTTCTTCTCCTCATTTAGTTAGTTCCTACTCTTCTTTCAGACCTGATCTTAACATCACTTCCTTTGAGAAACATTCTCTTATTTGAAATTAGGTCAGATCCCACATGGCTCTCCTGGCACTCTAAGTCATTTTTTCATTGTATTAATCTTAGTTTATTATTTTACAGCTATCCACTGATTGTTTAATAACTCACTCATCCTACAAGGCTATAAACTCTGTGAGACCAAGGACTTGTGAACAAAAGTGCCTAGCATAGTATCTTTCATATAGTAGGCACATAGTACATATTTGCTGAATGAATAAATGAAGGGTGGATGGTTGTTTGAAATTATCTTTACTATCTTGTTAGTTAATGTGATACTTAAGGTGCTCAATAAATGTGAAAGTAGTTAATGGGGAAATTAGATGTTGACATATTTTTAAAGTATTGGAGGAGTGAGGTGAGAAGGGAACTGTGTGGACAACTTGAGTAGACCTATATAGTGTAAGCAGAGAACACGTTGGTGATGTTTTGGAAAATGAGACCAGTGGCTGGGAATTTGAACATGATTACCATTGAAAGACAAGGTGGAGAATAAATCCTGGGACATGGAGAATGTGCTGGATAGGGTGGAAGGAGAAGAAGAAAACTAAAGTCTTGGGAAGGACTGAGAACACTTGTGTGGTAATTGTCAAGAGGGAAAGATAGTTCATTGAGGTTTAGGAAGAAAGAGGCAGGAACTGAATATTATGAGATCATCTAACAGCAGTATGCTTTACTGTTAATGACCAGCAAACAATGTAAGAGAACTAATGCTCATTGGAAGGTTGAATTTCTGTCCAGCTTCTTGTATTATGCAGTATGTGTTCATTTCGTTTTATACTCAGTGCTGTTCATCTTAGCTCTGTGAGATGCTTTGTTTTTCTAGATTTGCACCTCATATAAGAAGGAAAAGAAATGTGTTGGGGAGTTGTTTTGTAGTGACAGAATAATGTAAATCATATGGGTACCTTATGGTTTTCCTTTCCTTGATTTAATTTCTTTTTTATTACAGAATATCTGTTTTCTGATTATTAAGGAAAACTTAGGTAGAGCTCTGTGATTATGGTATATATGTTTACAATAAATTTTATAATGAAGTTGTGACATTTTTAAATTCTCTAAGTGTTTCATAGATTTTGTGCTGAAAAGAAAACCATTGTATACTTATTTACTACATTTATTCATTTTATGGCTATTTATTGTGCAACTGCTATATTTAATGCACTGTAAGCATTGGAGATACAGAGAGAAATAGGACCCAATTCCTGCTTCAAAGCAGTATACAATTAAGGAGAAAGACTAAAACAAATGAATATTATGGTAAATGCTATTAACTGGCAGCACAGAGTGCTGGAGGAATTAGAGGAGGGACACCTAACTAAATATGGAGCTTGGTGGGGGTGGGGTGGATAGAAAGGAGTGGAGATGACAGCACATCATTTTCAGAGGTGTTGTTAACTGGCCTGAATTCTGGACCCCCTTTTTCAGCCAAAAGTTGAAATCACTAGTGGTGTGTGTTCGTATAAGGAAGACGACTTCTGTTACTCTCTTTACGTATTCTTGGTAATACAAAAGAAAAAGATCTGGTGACCATAATGTGGGGCAGAAGTAGAAACATAACTTAATCCTCTAGAGCCAGATAGATGTGCCAGTTCCCAGTTCAATCCTTTGAATACTAGTAGCTGACTCAACTTTGAACTTAAAGCTCAGAGACTCTCTTTTGCAATTATGTTTACTTCTTAATGAAATTAGAGACTCAGAAAAAAAGAAACCAATACTCACCCCATAAAACATCTTCTTTTTAGTTAATACTTAATATGTTGCCAGTAGACCCTCAAAAGCATTTGATTTTAAATCTGTTTTGTTATAACAAAAGTTGGAACACTAGTTTCTCCAGGGTATGGTAAGTACATTCATGTGGTTATATGGTTAGAGTATTTTTATTTACTGCAAAAGAAAGCATGCCTTAACTTCTGTTACAAAGTAGTACAAAAATAATTTTCTTTTCCTTCATAGTAGATGACAAAATTCCTAAAACATTCCAGAATTCCCTTATTCATCTTGGACTCAACACTATGAAGTCTGCAAATATATGTATAGGTCGACCAGTGTTGCTTACTAGTTTGAACGGAAAGCAAGAGGTAAGAGTCTTTTTCATTTCCTTAGTTTAGAAATACAAACTGAACATTGCAAATCCAAGAATCTAAACTCTGAAATGCTTTTGAGTGCCATGGTAGTCAAAGGAAATGCTCATTGGAACATTTTGGATTTCAGATTTGGGATGCTTAGCCAGTAAACATAAGGCAAATATTCCAAAATGGAAAATTCAAAACGCTCCTGGTCCCAAACATTTTGGATAAGGGATACTCAACCTGTGTTTGAGATGTTTCTGATTTTAATTTTCAACACAAGCAGGAATAAATGAAAAACTGTATTTTAAAAGACATTAACATGTATATTAACTCTGTTCCTTTGCTGTCTATGACTCTGCTGGGCATAGTAGCCCCTAAAATGTTATGTAGAGAGAAGTGTTGCCTCCGGCGATAGTGACAGTATTTCTCCCTGTCAGTTAGTTATATTTCTTTATAAAAATATTATTTTGGGGGTAAGAAGGTCACCTGTTCTGTATATAAATATTTTACTATTCTCCCTTGTTTCAGCTGTTTCTCCTTGCTGTCATTTTTCATACCTGAGATTCTAAGCCTGGAACCTTTCCTGGATCATTTTTGGCAGCTTGGCTTTCTTTTCTGCTACCAGCCCCTTATCTTTCATGGCTTCCTTTGATGCTTCTCTGATTTGCTGGGGATCCTTTGGAAATACTTTGAAATTTTTTGTCTGCTGATGGCACCCCTCCTATTCTTTTCATTTTTCTGGCTTATGCTTTAAAGGTCCTTTACTGTGTCTTTTAGAAGAGAGGACTATAAATGTGTGAGCTTAAGCTAGAAATTTTCGCTCCTCCCTCTTAACATTTAAATCTGATAAGACCCAGGTTCTGACAAAGCTCTTGTTCTGTGTCCCTCACTATTTCCTGGATGTAGTTTAATTTCCAGGCTGGATTACTTTACAAGTTATTTTGCCTTAATATTTTTGTCATTTTCTCATTATCACCTGTTAATGCCTTTATCTTTTTTCATATATTTTTCATATCTTCTACCGTCTTCACTGTGGGATCATTCTTGATCTTTAGAAAAAGATGTAATATTTATTAAAAAGTTTATTTTTCATGAGCCCATGTAGTATTTAAATTTTTTAAAAAATGCAATTTATCTTATTGCAATTGGTATCAGATTGTAACTCTTTTTGGGTAAAGACTGTATTTTGCATATCTTAAGTGCTTGACTGTGCTTAGCATTCTACCTTATAAATTGATGGTATTCTATGAATATTTATTTTCTAACATTTTTATTTCCTCTGTCTGGCAGGTGTATACAGCCTGGCCTATGGCAGGATTTCCTGGAGGCAAGGTCGGCCTGAGTGAAATGGCACAGAAAAATGTGGGTGTGAGGCCTGGTGATGCCATCCAGGTCCAGCCTCTTGTGGGTGCTGTGCTACAGGCTGAGGAAATGGATGTGGCACTGAGGTTTGGCTCTTTTCTTTGGTGACTATCTGGATCAAAGCTGCCCAGTAGAAATATAAGAGTCACAAATGTAAACCACATATGTAATTTTGCATTTTCTTGTAACATTTTAAAAAGTAGAGAGAAACAGGTACAATGAATTACAATAGTATGTTTTATTTAACCAGTATATATAAAAATGTATTTTAACATGTAATTATAAAAAATTACCAATAAGGGCTGGGCGCGGTGGCTTATGCCTGTAATCTCAGCACTTTGGGAGGCCGAGGTGAGTGGATTACTTGAGCTCAGGAGTTCAAGACCAACCTGAGCAACATGGCAAAACCCTGTCTCTACAAAAAATACAAAAAAGAAAATTTCTGGGCATGGTGGTGTGTACCTGTAGTCCCAACTATTTGGGAGGCTGAGACAGGAGGATTGCTTGAGCCTGGGAGGTGGAGATTGCAGTGAGCTGGGATCGCGCCACTGCACTCCAGCCTGGGTGACAGAGTGAGACTGTGTCTCAAAGAAAAAAAAAGTTACCAATAAGATATTTTGCATCCTTTTTTTCAAGCTAAGTCTTCAAAATCAATGTGTATGTTACACTTGTAGCACATCACAGTTTGGACTAGCCCCATTTTAAACATTTGATAGCTACATGTGCTGAGTGGCTAGTGGCCACTTGTGTTATATTAGACAACCCAAGCTAAATGAGTGCTATATAATTTATAGACTAAGGACTTTGATTTTCCATGATTAGAGTGTGCCCTGACATTTTAGGTGAGAGTAATTTTCATTGATGCATATTTAGCAGTGTTTTTCACCTTGACTTGCAGTGTAATCAGGGCTTCTTATTTTACAGTTGTAAAGAAAAGAGTAGATTACTGTGAGTCAAACAGAAACAAGTTTTAATTAAGACTATGCAAGCAAAGAACCTGATTGTATATTTTAACTTGTTGATTATTCGATTTAGTAAAACAAACCGTCATTACTATCAGATTTTAAAATAATCCCTCACCACAGGGTAATTGTTTGAATCTACCTATCAAGGTAGTTAAGGTATATCATCCATCCTCCTGGATATTCTATTATCTAATAGGATATCGACTTGGTTTGCATATACAAGTCTTCTCAAAAATCATTTACAAAAAGCATCTTTTTATACTTTAATGTCACCTTAGTAATAGTTTGGGGGATGTGTTTACATTATATGTGAGAATTACAAACCATTTTCTAGTCATCAGCTTGATTTTAATATGTTCTCTTTTGCTACTATTGTAGATTTTAGACTTGAGTTTTGGCATATTTTTTCCTTTATAACAGGAGAATGTTTTCAGAGCTTATAGTAACAGTTTAATGAACAATAAAAAGCAGAAGGGACAGGAGACAATATGTTGAGTACCGGCTGTATACAGAAGCTTTGTATATATTGCATGTATGTATACACACACACACAGTTACCCTTTTCTTTTTAAACAGATGAAATAGTCTGAGGAGAACTTGCCTAATATTTTATGAGGTAGTTAATAGTACTGTTGAGATTAAACTGGATTATTCCTCAGACTATGTCTTAAAATGGTGCTACAGGTAGCAGTAATTCGTTGACTGGAATTAGCATTTATGATGACCTACAAACTAGTCAGACCTCTTGAGCGCACAGCAGTCTTAGGTGAGTAATGATTGCTTATTAGAGAGGACTGGATATGTTTTAAATGAAAGCTCAGGTTTTAAAATTTTGTTTTAAAAAATCTTATGTTTTAAAAAATCTTATGTTTTAAATGTGGCAGCAGAGTATAGACAAGAAAGTTAACTTCCAGTTGGGAAAATCAGTCATTTTAGTCTGCTTAAATCCTTCAGTTGCAACTGTAAGATTTTATTATTAATAGTAATGTTAGAGCTCCTTCTAGTGGAAATTATTTTATGTGCAACTATTATTTTTTTAAAAGCAAAATTGGTTTGATATTTTTACTGTTTTTACATGTATTTGTAAATACCTTCTATTCAGAGTTTAACAAAAGCAATTTAAGTATAACTTGGTTTAGAGTTCCATAAACAAAAGTAAATGTAAGCATTTAAGGAGATACATGCAATTTTCTCATTAGTTTATACATATATTTGATTCATGAAATTTCCCCCTCATTGTATTTCTCTCTTGTTCTCTCTTTTATATGAATATATAGTTGATTCTCATTATTTGTGGTTAGTTATGTTCTATTAAAGTTGCCTTGAACACCGTTAGCAAATACTGAACCATTTCTCCTAGAGGGAAATACGTATGTGTGTGTATATACATACATGCAACACACACAATATATGTAGCGTATGTATATATATAATATATATACATACACACACATTTTACATAGATTATAACCTTAAAACTCCAAAGTAATTCTTTCTGGTAGATTTTATTTTCTTTATTTTACAAAACAGAAGAGGAGATTTAGAAGTGTTAGAAATGTTAAGGGACTTGCCTGAGGTGCTAGTGCTGGGATTCACACTCCCTCCAACTGACCCCAGGCCTGGAGCTTCTTCACTACACTGCTGTGTCCCCTATCACTTCCATTCTCTGGTCATCTCTGAATGAAAGCTGAAACAAGGCAGAGTGTCACCTCATCCTACATGGTAACATGGGTGTTGGGTCACCCAAATTTTTTGCTGCTCTTCCATGTCACTAATGACCACAAATGCTCTGTGAGTATTGATTTTGGGGTACACATAAGTTTTTGGGAGTTGGTAAATTTGCAAATACAGCATCCACAGGTATTGAGGATTGACTATATTGTATTATTACTGATAAAAGTGATTGGAAGCCAGACGCAGTGGCTCACGCCTGTAATCCCAGCACTTTGGGAGGCTGAGGTGGGTGGATCGCCTGAACTTAGGAGTTCGAGACCAGCCTGGGAAACATGGTGAAACACCGCCTCTACAAAAAATATATATGTATAAAAATTAGCTGAGCGTGGTGGTGAGCGCCTGTGTTCCCAGCTACTCCAGAGGCTGAGGTGGGAGGATCACTTGAGCCTGTGAGGTGGAGGTTGCAGTGAGCTGAGATCACACCACCGCACTCCAGCCTGGGTGACAGAGCGAGACCTCATCTCAAAAAAAAAAAAAAGTGATTGGAGAACAAGGTATTTTTTGACCAGATGGGCACACAGGCACATGCCACCACGTCTGGCTAGTTTTCTTTTGTATTTTTTGTAGAGATGAATTTTTGCCATGTTGCCCAGGCTGGTCTTGAACTCCTGAGCTCAAGCGGTCCACCCACCTCAGCCTCCCAAAGTGCTGGGATTACAGGCATGAGCCACCATGCTCAGTTCCAATCACTTACACTTCCCCTTGAGCTAAACTGTCCCCCCTCCACTGGTCACTGACAGAACTAGACAGCTGTTTGTCTCCCCTCCTGATATGGGCTGCTTATGCACAAGAGGAGGAGGAAAAATGCTCATGTTCTGAGAACTCCTCAAGAGCAGATTTCTTTATAAATGTATGATATTTAGGTGTGTTCACTTCCTGCACTTAAGCAACTCTCTGGGGTGACACAGTTATCATTAGGAAGGAGGGGATCTCATTTTTCCTTGGTCATGCCCTTTCTCCAGAAAAAAACCTTCATTGTAACCATTACTCCTCTTTTTCCTACTTCTGCCTTTTCAAGTAACATACTGTATAGGACTTAATTTTCTTGAAGAAATAATTTGTAAGTTATACTGAGAGAGTGAAGTAAGTTATTAATTAGAGTCTTTCTCCAAGCTAGGCAACTTTATAAAGGGAATTATTAGTTTAGGTCAGCATTTTAAAAATGTTTTTGCCTATGACAATAAAAAATGGATTTTTCATCAGATTCTTTGTATATACACATCCATAGATAATAGTGCTCATATGTGTGCATGTGTGTATGTATGTGTTAGAAGTTAATGTTTTACAAAGCAGTATTTACCCTTTCTATATTCAGTGTACCCTGCATTTCTTATTCTATTAACAAAGTGCTGAATGAGGCTGACTGAAATGATTTCATTACCCTTGTGTTTTGAAGAACATTGATTTAGGCCACTAAGGCACCAGATTCCAAATGATATTTTCATGGCTATATGTTTCTGAAAAATGCCCATCATTTCAAAATTGTATACATTATTTATTTTAAGGTTGCAGGTGGATTATTCTTTTGATTAAGTCTATATTATAACCATATACATGTAATTTTACATCACAGTTTAGTTTCTGGTGTACCTAATGCTGATTTCTGTTCCCTTCTTATCCTTTTACAGTGACAAAGATATGGAAATTAATGAAGAAGAACTGACTGGTTGTATCCTGAGAAAACTAGGTGAGACAAATATTTTAAATTGTTTTCTTAAGTTTTAAGCTGCAAGGCATCAGCAAATAAAGTGTCTTTGAGGGCTTATATATGCATAGTAGTTTTCTTCAAAATAGCTTTGAGAATATTCCCCTCAATGAATGAATATACTTTTAAGATAGGGATGTGCTACTTTTCCTGGTTAATTGGCAGTTGAGCAGTGGAAAGAATATATGACTTGTCTGTGGAAAGAGTCAGTGGTAGAATTGAGACTTTTAACCTTTGCATTCTTGCCCTTTCCAGTGACAGATGCTATCTTGGAGTGTTGGTTTGGGTGTGCCATTTTCATTTAGTTTATTATTGAATATGGAATGCCTGGCTATTTGTTGATGTGATTGATAGAATCTGAGATCTACTGAGTGTGGAGGATTTCAGAGAATCATTTCCTTCTGTCTCCAGATGGTGTTATAGGGGAATATTAGGTCCTCAATTTTTTATGACAATTATTTTATTAATACTCTGTCTTTGATTTAGTCTTTTCAGATAATAGATGAAATATATTGCTATTTAAACATTAAACTGGTAAAAAAAATTATGCTAACATGTATATTTAATATACTGTTTTCTAGATGGCAAGATTGTTTTACCAGGCAACTTTCTGTATTGTACATTCTATGGACGACCGTACAAGCTGCAAGTATTGCGAGTGAAAGGGGCAGATGGCATGATATTGGGAGGGCCTCAGAGTGACTCTGACACTGATGCCCAAAGAATGGCCTTTGAACAGTCCAGCATGGAAACCAGTAGCCTGGAGTTATCCTTACAGCTAAGCCAGTTAGATCTGGAGGATACCCAGATCCCAACATCAAGAAGTACTCCTTATAAACCAATTGATGACAGAATTACAAATAAAGCCAGTGATGTTTTGCTGGATGTTACACAGAGCCCTGGAGATGGCAGTGGACTTATGCTAGAGGAAGTCACAGGTCTTAAATGTAATTTTGAATCTGCCAGAGAAGGAAATGAGCAACTTACTGAAGAAGAGAGACTGCTAAAGTTCAGCATAGGAGCAAAGTGCAATACTGATACTTTTTATTTTATTTCTTCAACAACAAGAGTCAATTTTACAGAGATTGATAAAAATTCAAAAGAGCAAGACAACCAATTCAAAGTAACTTATGACATGATAGGAGGATTAAGTAGCCAGCTGAAAGCAATTAGAGAAATAATTGAATTGCCCCTCAAACAGCCTGAGCTTTTCAAGAGTTATGGTATGATGTCTTCAGTTTATTGCACCCAAAAATGTTAAATTCAAATTAAAAGACAGTTGACACTTATGTAATGATTGCTCATCCTCTTTTCCTGTTTTTATTTTCTGAGTAGTAGGTATGGTAGAAGATTTCAGTTGCTTTGGGAGATGCCAGTTAAATGGGCCATTTGCTATGCTTTGGTATTTTTAGGTTGTAATGTGAATTAGTGACAGCCTTGTCTCTTCTAATAGCATATTTCCACAATTACCTGTATTGGATCTAGAATAAGTATCTTGTCATGCTGGGTCATCTGTAATGACTGAAGGGATAAACCATTCAAATACATTAGGTAAAACTTCTTAGGAAATGTAACTGTGTACCCATCTCTTTGCACTGAAGCAGGTAATTACGGGAATGGCTTGACTCAGGAAACTCAGGGCTTCTGCTGCATTGTTATTGCCAAGATCCTTTGCATATATTTGCTGTGTCTGATCTCTCTGCTTTTTTCCTTTCTCATAAATCTTATATATACATACATGTATGTATATATATGTATGTGTAAAATGAACCCTTAGATTGGCATTTTGCTCATACTTATGTACCTTTTATACTAGCAAACGTATGTACTCTTCAAGATGGTTAGTTGGAAAAAAACTGGGATTGGTGGCTTGTCTACCTGTGTTGTCTGTGCTTGGTTTTTCGATCATTGATCTGTGTTGTGTGGGATGGGGCGTTGCAACAATGTGGGTGTCCAGTTTTTTTTTTTTTTAACCAACATGCTTCCTCTGTTCTGTGGTCTACAGAGAGAGAAAGTCATTGCTGGGTATCAGTGTTTGGGCTAGTTAGTACATCTTTCTGGAGGGGGAGAAAAAACTCTTGACTCTTTTTGTGACGCAAGGTAAAGTTAAATTTTATAACTCATGTTTGAACTTGTATGACAACATTTATAAGAAACCTAGTAATGGTGAATCTAGTGTTTTCTACTTTTTCTTCCAGGAATTCCTGCCCCTAGAGGAGTGTTACTTTATGGTCCTCCAGGTACTGGAAAAACAATGATCGCCAGGGCTGTTGCTAATGAAGTTGGAGCCTATGTTTCTGTAATTAATGGTCCTGAAATTATAAGCAAGTAAGTACATGATTTAATAGAGTAAACTTACTATTAAATATATTTCTAAAATGTGGTTTTTAAAAATGATTGTGTAGTATTCTGTGTGATATTTTGTACACTGAAATATTTTGCTTCTTAATAAAAATTGTTTGGAAAATTCTTTTTGAAAGTAATTTTAAGTATTATAGAAATATTGAAAATTTAGGTTAGCTTTTATAGACAAAGCTTTAAAAACAATAAGAAATGGTCTTTAAATGTATTTTATTTGTTACAGATTCTATGGTGAGACTGAAGCAAAGTTACGTCAGATATTTGCTGAAGCCACTCTACGGTACTCTTTATTTTTAAATGTTTTGGAATTAATAATCAAGGCTGTATTAGTCAAAGTGAGATACTAGCACCTTATACAAAGCATAAACAGTAGTACAAAAATTATAGTGATAGTGGTAGAAGTAGATTATAGATCTAATGAAATTCTATTTCTATCTAATCTTTAAAAGTTTGATAAATATTATTAAATTACATAAAGTAGAAGAATTAAGACATAGTGTTTGATAAGTCATGTGACCTTGTTTGAGCATAGAAATCCATGACTTTCTTTAGGTGCTTAGGTGTTTCTAATATGCTTAGCTTTTCTAGTAGACTGTATTATTGTATGTAGCTCTTTATACTAGAACTTTGTTATGTTATACTTTGCTTCAAAGGGACAAATCTTTTGCCCATTAAATAATGACTCTGGCTGGGTGTGGTGGCTCATGCCTGTAATACCATCACTTTGGGAGGCCAAGGCAGGAGGATTGCTTGACCCCAGGAGTTTGAGACCAGCCTGGGCAACATAGTGGGACCCTGTCTGTTTAAAAATAAAAATAATTGGCTGGGTGCGGTGGCTCACGCCTGTAATCCCAGCACTTTGGGAGACCGAGGCAGGCAGATCACCTGAGGTCAGGAGTTTGAGACCAGCCTGGCTAACATAGTGAAACCCCGTCTCTACTAAAAATACAAAAATTAGCCAGGTGTGGTGGCAAGTGCTTGTAATCCCAGCTACTCGGGAGGCTGAGGCAAGAGAATCTCTTGAACCCAGGAGGTGGAGGTTGCAGTCAGTTGAGATCGTGCCATTGCACTCCAGCATGGGGGACAAGAGCGAGACTTTGACTCGAAAAAATAAAAATAAAAATAATTAGTTGGGCATGGTAGCACATGCCTGTAGTCCCACCTACTAAGGAAGCTGAGGCAGGAGGATCACTGAGCTGGGAGATCAAGGCTGTAGTGAGCCATGATTTCACTGCTGCACTCTAGCCTGGGCAACACACACCCCGTCTCAAAAACAAACAAACAAGCAAAATCAAAACAGTGGTAGAGACATAGCCATATTATGAGTGACGTTATGTTTGACCAAGTTATAGACCAATATCCTAATACTCATTACAGTGTAACATTGAAATCTAAATTCCCTGAGCTCAAGTGATCCTCCCCCTGTAGCCTCCCAAGTAGCTGGAACTATAGGTGAGCACCACCATGCCCAGCTAATTTTTGTATTTTTTTTTCTAGCAACAGGGTCTTGCTATGTTGGCCAGGCTGGTCTTGAACTCCTGGGCTCAAGCCATTCTCCTGCCTCAGCCTCCCAAAATGCTGGCTGTCTTGGTGTTTAATATCATAACTACTGCTCTTGAATCAGAAAACCCACCATTTTTGAAGTTTATTTTTTTCCCCCAATGATAGTAGATGAAGTAAGCAGTTTGTAGTCCTAGTACTGTACTGAAAATTTGAAAACTAGTGGTACACCTTATTGTTTAGTATGCTTTTGTTGTTGTTGTGTTCATGGCAGTTGAGATTTCCTTCTGTGAGAGAATTCACATCTGTTTATGGGAGAATTGATCATCTTGCAAGTTTTTATTTTAATGGTTTAAAAATAACAGGGCATTTCTAGTTTATGTCCTTTGGTTTCAAACCTGCTCCAAGGGATAGTATCTCTGGCCTCAGCTTCTGAATTGATCCAGTCATAACAACTTAATGGGCATTACTGGGGAGAGTTCTTAAGAGACTCTTATCTTTTAAGCAGCATACTCTACTCAATTACCCAGCCTTTTAATGGAGGGCAGATAGAATAGAATATGAAGTTAGTGAATTAGTATTTTGGGCTAGAATGAATCTAAGGATTTTTAGCTTAACATTATAATATCTTTATAATATTAAGTGAATTCTAAATTTGATATGTTGCATTTCAGTTAAAAAAATTAAAACTAAGTAAAACTTAAAATCAAATATAGATGAGAGATTTCATTTTACTTGTTTGTTTTTAGACACCCATCAATTATTTTTATTGATGAGCTGGATGCACTTTGTCCGAAAAGAGAGGGGGCCCAGAATGAAGTGGAAAAAAGAGTTGTGGCTTCACTCTTAACACTGATGGATGGCATTGGTTCAGTAAGTATAGCACTAGTATTGATTCTGTGTAGGGTTAATTCTTAATACTTATGTGTAGTGGTAAAAACTATTGAATGTGTCAGAGTCTTTGGATATTTTAGGATAAAGGAAAAATATTAGCCATAGCAACTAGGGGAAAGATCTGTAAAATAATTTGCTTTAGTAGATTACTTAGTAACTGCTAGGACAACATCATAACCTGGCAGGTTTTTTCTAGCATATAAAATACTATACCATGATGGATTTATTTTGTGATAAATGCTGTTAGCTTTAAAACTTGAAGCAAAGATCAGTAAGGAAGATTTAGCAGTTAAATTTTAGGGGATTTTATTTTATTTTTATTTATTATTATTGTTTTTGAGATTGAGTCTTGCCCTGTCATCCAGGCTGGAGTGCAGTGGCGCAGTCTCAGCTAACTGCAACCTCCACCTTCCAGGTTCAAGCGATTCTCCTGCCTCAGCCTCCTGAGTAGCTGGGACTACAGGCATGCACCATCACACCTGGCTAATTTTTTTTTAAATCTTCTTAGTAGAGATGGGGTTTCACCATGTTGGCCAGGCTGGTCTCGAACTCCTTACCTTGTCATCTACCCGCCTTGGCCTTCCAAAGTGCTGGGATTATAGGTGTGAGCCGCTACATCTGGCCTTAGGGGTTTTTATTAAGAAATGTCATGAGTAAGTCTTATTACCCATGTACAAATGGACTCTTTCAAGGCTTTGTACTAGGGAAATGAAAGAAAGTGAGAATAATGCGAAATGTTTTGTATAACATTTAAAAAAAAACTTATTCATATTACCAGATTCTCTCATAGGGGATATGTTCTTTCTTTTTTTTTTTTTTTTTTTTTTTTTTGGAGACAGAGTTTCGCTCTTGTTGCCCAGGCTGGAGTGCAATGGCACAATCTCGGCTCACCGCAACCTCTGCCTCCCAGGTTCAAGCAATTCTCCTGCCTCAGCCTCCCGAGTAGCTGGGATTACAGGCATGTACCACCACGCCTGGCTGATTTTGTATTTTTAGTAGAGACGGGGTTTCTCCATGTTCAGGCTGGTCTCGAGCTCCTGACCTCAGGTGATCCGCCCGCCTCGGCCTCCCAAAGTGCTGGGATTACAGGCGTGAGCCACCGCGCCCAGCCGGGATATGTTCTTTTATTAATAAAAACTATATGCTAATTATGGAAGGAACATTCATAGGACTAATAAGAGAATAGGCATGAACAAAAATTTTCTAAGACTCCTGACATCCATTAATTAGAAAAATACACTTTTCATGCTGGATTATGAATAAGTAAAGTTTTTAGAATCATAATATGTTAGAACCACAATAAATTTTAGAAATTATGTAGTATCAAGCCTCTTTTGCACATTAAAAAGCTGGTCATTTAGAATTTTTTTTTTTTTATACTTTAAGTTTTAGGGTACATGTGCACAATGTGCAGGTTAGTTACATATGTATACATGTGCCATGATGGTGTGCTGCACCCATTAACTCGTCGTTTAGCATTAGTTATATCTCCTAATGCTATCCCTCGCCCCTCCCCCAACTCCACAACAGGCCCCAGAGTGTGATGGTCCCCTTCCTGTGTCCATGTGTTCTCATTGTTCAATTCCCATCTATGAGTGAGAACATGCAGTGTTTGGTTTTTTGTCCTTGCGATAGTTTGCTGAGAATGATGATTTCCAGTTTCATCCATGTCCCTGTAAAGGACATGAACTCATCATTTTTTATGGCTGCATAGTATTCCATGGTGTATATGTGCCACATTTTCTTAATCCAGTCTGTCATTGTGGGACATTTGGGTTGGTTCCAAGTCTTTGCTATTGTGAATAGTGCCGCAATAAACATACGTGTGCATGTGTCTTTATAGCAGCATGATTTATAGTCCTTTGAGTATATACCCAGTAATGGGATGGCTGGGTCAAATGGTATTTCTAGTTCTAGATCCCTGAGGAATCGCCACACTGACTTCCACAATGGTTGAACTAGTTTACAGTCCCACCAACAGTGTAAAAGTGTTCCTATTTCTCCACATCCTCTCTAGCACCTGTTGTTTCCTGACTTTTTAATGATTGCCATTCTAACTGGTGTGAGATGGTATCTCATTGTGGTTTTGATTTGCATTTCTCTGATGGCCAGTGATGATGAGCATTTTTTCATGTGTCTTTTGACTGCATAAATGTCTTCTTCTGAGAAGTGTCTGTTCATATCCTTTGCCCACTTTTTGATGGGGTTGTTTGTTTTTTTCTTGTAAATTTGTTTGAGTTCATTGTAGATTCTGGATATTAGCCCTTTGTCAGATGAGTAGGTTGCGAAAATTTTCTCCCATTCTGTAGCTTCCCTGTTCACTCTGATGGTAGTTTCTTTTGCTGTGCAGAAGCTCCTTAGTTTAATTAGATCCCATTTGTCAATTTTGGCTTTTGTTGCCATTGCTTTTGGTGTTTTAGACATGAAGTCCTTACCCATGCCTATGTCCTGAATGGTAATGCCTAGGTTTTCTTCTAGGGTTTTTATGGTTTTAGGTCTAACGTTTAAGTCTTTAATCCATCTTGAATTAATTTTTGTATAAGGTGTAAGGAAGGGATCCAGTTTCAGCTTTCTACATATGGCTAGCCAGTTTTCCCAGCACCATTTATTAAATAGGGAATCCTTTCCCCATTGCTTGTTTTTGTCAGGTTTGTCCAAAGATCAGATAGTTGTAGATATGTGGCATTATTTCTGAGGGCTCTGTTCTGTTCCATTGATCTATATCTCTGTTTTGGTACCAGTACCATGCTGTTTGGTTACTGTGGCCTTGTAGTATAGTTTGAAGTCAGGTAGCATGATGCCTCCAGCTTTGTTCTTTTGGCTTAGGATTGACTTGGTGATGCGGGCTCTTTTTTGGTTCCATATGAACTTTAAAGTAGTTTTTTCCAATTCTGTGAAGAAAGTCATTGGTAGCTTGATGGGGATGGCATTGAATCTATAAATTACCTTGGGCAGTGTGGCCATTTTCACGATATTGATTCTTCCTACCCATGAGCATGGAATGTTCTTCCATTTCTTTGTATCCTCTTTTATTTCCTCGAGCAGTAGTTTGTAGTTCTCCTTGAAGAGGTCCTTCACGTCCCTTGTAAGTTGGATTCCTAGGTATTTTATTCTCTTTGAAGCAATTGTGAATGGGAGTTCACTCATGATTTGGCTCTCTGTTTGTCTGTTATCGGTGTATAAGAATGCTTGTGATTTTTGTACATTGATTTTGTATCCTGGGACTTTGCTGAAGTTGCTTATCAGCTTAAGGAAGTTTTGGGCTGAGACAGTGGGGTTTTCTAGATATACAATCATGTTGTCTGCAAACAGGGACAATTTGACTTCCTCTTTTCCTAACTGAATACCCTTTATTTCCTTCTCCTGCCTGATTGCCCTGGCCAGAACTTCCAACACTATGTTGAATAGGAGTGTTGAGAGAGGGCATCCCTGTCTTGTGCCAGTTTTCAAAGGGAATGCTTCCAGTTTTTGCCTATTCAGTATGATACTGGCTGTGGGTTTGTCATAGATAGCTCTTATTATTTTGAGATATGTCCCATCAATACCTAATTTATTGAGAGTTTTTAGCATGAAGGTTGTTGAATTTTGTCAAAGGCCTTTTCTGCATCTATTGAGATAATCATGTGGTTTTTGTCTTTGGTTCTGTTTATATGCTGGATTACATTTATTGATTTGCATATATTGAACCAGCCTTGCATCCCAGGGATGAAGCCCGCTTGATCATGGTGGATAAGCTTTTTGATGTGCTGCTGGATTCGGTTTGCCAGTATTTTATTGAGGATTTTTGCATCAATGTTCATCAAGGAGATTGGTCTAAAATTCTCTTTTTTGGTTGTGTCTCTGCCCGGCTTTGGTATCAGGATGATGCTGGCCTCATAAAATGAGTTAGGGAGGATTCCCTCTTTTTCTATTGATTGGAATAGTTTCAGAAGGAACGGTACCAGTTCCTCCTTGTACCTCTGGTAGAATTCGGCTGTGAATCCATGTGGTCCTGGACTCTTTTTGGTTGGTAAGCTATTGATTATTGCCACAATTTCAGATCCTGTTATTGGTCTATTCAGAGATTCAACTTCTTCCTGGTTTAGTCTTGGGAGGGTGTATGTGTCGAGGAATGTATCCATTTCTTCTAGATTTTCTAGTTTATTTGCGTAGAGGTGTTTGTAGTATTCTCTGATGGTAGTTTGTATTTCTGTGGGATCGGTGCTGATATCCCCTTTATCATTTTTTATTGCGTCTATTTGATTCTTCTCTCTTTTTTTCTTTATTAGTCTTGCTAGCGGTCTATCAATTTTGTTCATCCTTCCAAAAAACCAGCTCCTGGGTTCATTAATGTTTTGAAGGGTTTTTTTATGTCTCTATTTCCTTCAGTTCTGCTCTGATCTTAGTTATTTCTTGCCTTCTGCTAGCTTTTGAATGTGTTTGCTCTTGCTTTTCTAGTTCTTTTAATTGTGTTGTTAGGGTGTCAATTTTGGATCTTTCCTGCTTTCTCTTGTGGGCATTTAGTGCTATAAATTTCCCTCTACACACTGCTTTGAATGTGTCCCAGAGATTCTGGTATGTTGTGTCTTTGTTCTCGTTGGTTTCAAAGAACATCTTTATTTCTGCCTTCATTTCGTTATGTACCCAGTAGTCATTCAGGAGCAGGTTGTTCAGTTTCCATGTAGTTGAGCAGTTTTGAGTGAGTTTCTTAATCCTGAGTTGTAGTTTGATTGCACTGTGGTCTGAGAGACAGTTTGTTATAATTTCTGTTCTTTTACATTTGCTGAGGAGAGCTTTACTTCCAACTATGTGGTCAATTATGGAATAGGTGTGGTGTGGTGCTGAAAAGAATGTATATTCTGTTGATCTGGGGTGGAGAGTTGTGTAGGTGTCTATTAGGTCCACTTGTTGCAGAGCTGAGTTCAATTCCTGGGTATCCTTGTTAACTTTCTGTCTTGTTGATCTGTCTAATGTTGACAGTGGGGTGTGAAAGTCTCCCATTATTATTGTGTGGGCGTCTAAGTCTCTTTGTAGGTCACTCAGGACTTGCTTTATGAATCTGGGTGCTCCTGTTTTGGGTGCATATATATTTAGGATAGTTAGCTCTTCGTGTTGAATTGATCCCTTTACCATTATGTAATGGCCTTCTTTGTCTCTTTTGATCTTTGTTGGTTTAAAGTCTGTTTTATCAGAGACTAGGATTGCAAGCCCTGCCTTTTTTTGTTTTCCATTTGCTTGGTAGATCTCCCTCCATCCTTTTATTTTGAGCCTATGTGTGTCTCTGCACGTGAGATGGGTTTCCTGAATACAGCACACTGATGGGTCTTGACTCTTTATCCAGTTTGCCAGTCTGTGTCTTTTAATTGGAGCATTTAGTCCATTTACATTTAAAGTTAATATCGTTATGTGTGAATTTGATCCTGTCATTATGATGTTAGCTGGTTATTTTGCTCATTAGTTGATGCAGTTTCTTCCTAGTCTCAATGGTCTTTACATTTTGGCATGATTTTGCAGCAGCTGGTACCGGTTGTTCTTTTCCATGTTTAGTGTTTCCTTCAGGAGCTCTTTTAGGGCAGGCCTGGTGGTGACAAAATCTCTCAGCATTTGCTTGTCTGTAAAGTATTTTATTTCTCCTTCACTTATGAAGCTTAGTTTGGCTGGATATGAAATTCTGGGTTGAAAATTCTTTTCTTTAAGAATGTTGAATATTGGCCCCCACTCTCTTCTGGCTTGTAGAGTTTCTGCCGAGAGATCCGCTGTTAGTCTGATGGGCTTCCCTTTGTGGGTAACCTGACCTTTCTCTCTGGCTGCTCTTAACATTTTTTCCTTCATTTTAACTTTGGTGAATCTGACAATTATGTGTCTTGGAATTGCTCTTCTCGAGGAGTATCTTTGTGGCGTTCTCTGTATTTCCTGAATCTGAATGTTGGCCTGCCTCGCTAGATTGGGGAAGTTCTCTTTGATAATATCCTGCAGAGTGTTTTCCAACTTGGTTCCATTCTCCCCGTCACTTTCAAGTACACCAATCAGACGTAGATTTGGTCTTTTCACATAGTCCCATATTTCTTGGATGCTTTGTTTGTTTCTTTTTATTCTTTTTTCTCTAAACTTCCCTTCTTGCTTCATTTCATTCATGTCATCTTCCATCACTGATACCCTTTCTTCCAGTTGATCGCATCGGCTCCTGAGGCTTTTGCATTCTTCACGTAGTTCTCGAGCCTTGGCTTTCAGCTCCATCAGCTCCTTTAAGCACTTCTCTGTATTGGTTATTCTAGTTATACATTCGCCTAAATTTTTTTCAAAGTTTTCAACTTCTTTGCCTTTGGTTTGAATTTCCTCCCGTAGCTCGGAGTAGTTTGATCGTCTGAAGCCTTCCTCTCTCAACTTGTCAAAGTCATTCTCCGTCCAGCTTTGTTCTGTTGCTGGTGAGGAACTGCGTTCCTTTGGAAGAGGAGAGGCACTCTGCTTTTTAGAGTTTCCAGTTTTTCTGCTCTGTTTTTTCCCCATCTTTGTGGTTTTATCTTTGTTTGGTCTTTGATGATGGTGATGTACAGGTGGGTTTTTGGTGTGGATGTCCTTTCTGTTTGTTAGTTTTCCTTCTAACAGACAGGGCCCTCAGCTGCAGGTCTGTTGGAGTTTGCTAGAGGTCCACTCCAGACCCTGTTTGCCTGGGTATCAACAGCGGTGTCTGCAGAACAGTGGATTTTCCTGAACCGCGAATGCTGCTGTCTGATCGTTCCTCTGGAAGTTTTGTCTCAGAGGAATACCCGGCCGTGTGAGGTGTCAGTCTGCCCCTACTGGGGGTGCCTCCCAGTTAGGCTGCTCGGGTGTCAGGGGTCAGGGACCCACTTGAGGAGGCAGTCTGCCTGTTCTCAGATCTCCAGCTGCGTGCTGGGAGAACCACGGCTCTCTTCAAAGCTGTCAGACAGGGACATTTAAGTCTGCAGAGGTTACTGCTGTCTTTTTGTTTGTCTGTGCCCTGCCCCCAGAGGTGGAGCCTACAGAGGCAGGCAGGCTTCCTTGAGCTGTGGTGGGCTCCACCCAGTTCAAGCTTCCGGGCTGCGGCTGCTTTGTTTACTGAAGCAAGCCTGGGCAATGGCGGGCGCCCCTCCCCCAGCCTCACTGCCGCCTTGCAGTTTGATCTCAGACTGCTGTGCTAGCAATCAGCGAGACTCCGTGGGCGTAGGACCCTCCGAGCCAGGTGCGGGATATAATCTCCTGGTGCACCGTTTCCTAAGCCCATCGGAAAAGCGCGGTATTAGGGTGGGAGTGACCCGATATTCCAGGTGCTGTCTGTCACCCCTTTCCTTGACCAGCAAAGGGAACTCCCTGACCCCTTGCACTTCCCGAGTGAGGCAATGCCTCACCCTGCTTCGGCTCGCACACGGTGCGCTGCACCCACTGTCCTGCACCCACTTTCTGGCACTCCCTAGTGAGATGAACCTGGTACCTCAGATGGAAATACAGAAATCACCTGTCTTCTGTGTTGCTCACGCTGGGAGCTGTAGACCGGAGCTGTTCCTGTTCGGCCATCTTGGCTCCTCCCCGAACTTTTTGTTTTTTACTGTCTAGTGGCAGAAAGTAAATATGTGAAAATAATATAAAGGTTTGGCACTAAGTCACTTATATACTAACGTGTTAGTAATTTTAAGAGTCTGTAAGAGAAGGGTTGTCACCTGGTGGAGGCTGCCTGACTAACTGGTTCTCAGTCTTGGAACAGTACCTAGGAGTGATTTTCATGTCCCAGGTTGATTCTCAGGTTATAAAGTTGAAGAATTCAGTGTTATTAGTAGGCTGGAGATGATAGAGTTGTGAGGACAGACTGACCCATGATAATAACACTTACAAGAGAATCATGTATAAAATAGTGTCCTAGTTTGTCCATTTACAGTAAGAGATGTGACTGTTAAGCAGACCAAATGTTTGTGTTTATGGATGACCATATTTTCACCTTGATGGCAAATATAGAGAGCTGTCTTATAATTACAAGGGTTCTTGGTAGGTAGGAAATCAGATGAAAGGCTTAGTGTTGGAGAATCTTAATTATTTCAATCTGCTGTCTCTTTCTCTGCCACTGGGATAAGCCTGTTGTGGATTAGTATTCTTGCCTTTGGGCAAGGAATGGAAACATGTGATACTGATGTTTTAGTCTGAATATTTTTAAGGGTCTGTTTTTGTACTTCTAAACTTATAATTCATAGATTCGCTGTAGTCCATGCATTGTCTGTTGGCACATTCAGTATAATTGATTAGGTTTGAGCTTTTTTTAAATTTTTTTTTTTAACATAAATTGCATTCCAGTTATGCTTGTCTCTGGGTCATCTGAATAGAATATTGGATAATTTCTACAGGTGGCTGATCATGATCATAGTTCTTTATTATTTGGTTTTCCTAATTTCATTTTCAGAGAGTAAAAATACCTATATATTCAAATGTGGCTGATACTTGGATATTGGTTATATTGTTGACTCTTATTTTCAGGAATTTAAAAATGTATCCATATTAAAAAAACTAGTCTATAAGCGAAGACTTTTTAGATAACTTTCTAATAGAATCTTGTTCTATTTGAGTATTATATGTGTCAGAATCCTGACTTTCAAGTAGGGGAAAAGGACTGTTTAAAACAATTAAAACAATTATATGGTACATATTATATATATGTTATTTTTTATGAGAATGATACAGTTAAGATGTGAGAAGTAAGAGAGATGTCATAGTAGATGGAGAGGTGAGTATTGTAAAACTTTCTACAGGAGGAAGCATTTAGGCTGAACACTGAAAAATGTATAATAAAAGTAATAAATGTATAATAAAAATGTATTACTAATAAAAGTAATTGATAGGTAATGAAAGCGTAAGAAATAGGACTTAGTAGCCTGGACAGTTAGATGTTTCATCCTTGTCTATACAGCCAGTGTGTGCCTCTCACTTTTTTTTTTCTAACTTTCAGAAAAATAAATTTATTTTCATTTTATTTTGTTAGGAAGTAAGTGAAGGACAAGTGTTGGTTCTTGGGGCCACAAATCGCCCTCATGCCTTGGATGCTGCTCTCCGAAGACCTGGGCGATTTGATAAAGAGATTGAGATTGGAGTTCCCAATGCTCAGGACCGGCTAGATATTCTCCAGAAACTGCTTCGAAGGGTACCCCATTTGCTCACTGAGGCTGAGCTGCTGCAGCTGGCAAATAGTGCTCATGGATACGTTGGAGCAGACTTGAAAGTCTTGTGTAATGAAGCAGGTGAGTGTGGTTTGCTATGGTGAGTCTCTATTGATGCACTTATCTCCAGTTTACTTACATACAAATAATTTATATTTTACAGATTTCTTAATGGAAGTAGCTTTGTTTCTAATTATAAAATGTGTAATTTTTATTTGAAAAAATTTTTATTGGAAAAACCTAGATGATTCAGAAGACTATAAAAAAAAATAAAAATCACTCAATCCTACCTCTAAAGGATAACCACCATTATAGTGTATACAGTCAGCCCTCCATATCCTTGGGCTCAGCATCTGAGGAGTCAACCAACTGTGGTCTGAAAATATTCAGGAAAAAAAAGTTAAAACAGTAAAAAATAATAAAAACTTAAAAAATATAGTATCACAACTACAGTTGACCCTTGAACTATGAGGGCTTGAACTGCATGGGTCCACTTATATATGAATATTTTTCAATAAATATATTGGAAAATTTTTTGGAGATTTGCAACAATTTGAAAAAGCTTGCTTTTTCTTTAGCTTACTTTATTGTAAGAATACAGCATATAATGCATATAAAAAATATGGTTAATCAGCTGTTTATATTATTGGCAAGGCTTCAGGTCAACAATAGGCTATTAGTAGTTAGTTTTTGGGGGAGTCAGAAGTTATGCATAGTTTTTTGACTGCACAGGGATTGGTGTCCCTGACCCCCAAGTTGTTGAGGGGTCAACTGTATTTACATAGCATTTACATGGGATCAGGTAAAAGTAATCTAGAGATTATTTAAATTATACGGGAGGATGTGTGTAGTCTATATGCAAGTACTATGCCATTAACGGGCTTGAGCAGTCCTTAGATTTTGGTATCTTAGGGGTCCTGGAACAAATACTCCATAGATACTAAGGGATGACTATATCCTACTAGACTTCTCCAGAGTATACACACACACACACACACACACACACACACACACACACACACACACGGACATGTAATCAGATCCATTGGTGGCGGTATTGATGATGACAATATTTATTGATATATTGTGCTGTGCTGTGGAAATCAGGGAGAAGTGTAAACTGGAGAATCACAATTTTCCTTAAAATTGAGTGTCATGCTGGACCCCTATTAACTTCAGTGGGATGGTACCAAGTTTGAGAGGCCAAAGAAGGGACCCAGAGCCAATAAATGAAACTTAGGGCTTATTTGGCAGAACTTACTTACAGGGCGGCCCAGTGGTGATGGGCTGGACAGGAGAACTGCAATCACTTGCAAAAAGCATGCAGCTTGTATAGCATTTTCACTTAGCATCCTCCCCCCAGCAACTTCCACATGGCAACCTCCTTTCTTAAGTTATTGCTTTCAGGTGCATCTGCCATATACTCCGCACCAGCATACCCTTGCGTGGCCCTCACATTCTTATGCCTTTCTGTCATGAGATCCCTGGGGCCAGGTATGTGGAGGAGCATTGCAGCCAGATGCTGCAGTAGCAATATAAACTACAATAACAAAAAAGAATAACAAATATAATAACAATCATACTGTATAGAAAGTTTTTCAAGGGCTTAGGAGTTGATTAAAACACGTGGTTATAGGGTTTTAAGACTTAGATTCTGTAGTGGAAATATGGGTATTTAAGGCCTGCATGGCCTGGGTTAGATCGTGAGAGTCATCAGGAATACATACACAACAGGTTTTAATTAATCCATAGGTTCCGCCCTTGTGGGGGCAGTTAAGATGTCCAGGGCCATGCAATTTTACAAAGAAGGGTGCATGACACACTATCTCTGTCTCACTGCTGTCATCCACTCTAGCCCATCATTGTGTACAGCCTACCTACAGTGGGGAGTGACATTAACTTGCTCCTTTACCAGGCGGAAAATATGCCATCTCACGTTGTTGGTGGTGGGAAACTTGCTGCATGAGGTGCTGTTGTCGCTGAAGGGGAATAGGTGAAGGTCACTATACCAAGTATCGAAGTGGCCCCAGGTACTCATGTTAACTGCCTTGGTGTGGCATGGCAGGCCCACAGCGGAGGAGAGGGGGAGCTCTCCGCAGACCCAGCAGTCTGTTTTCTTCTGGAGAGAGATAACCATCTGCACCCAGTCAGCAAAGAGGTTTGCGGCACACCATCTATGGGCAAAAGGTGAGTTGTTTAGTGGGTACAAGAAAGGACAAGTCCTGGCCATTTAACAAGACATGGGGAGTTGTGTCATTCTGAGAGAGCACCACCCCTGGCAGCAGCCTGATGCCTGGTTTACAATACCAAATGGACTGGCTCCCCTCTGTAATGTGTTGCAGGAGGCCAGAGGAAGACAGTGGAGGTATAGTGTTTCATGAGAGGATGTTCATCCCCTTGCACAAGGGAGGACTAGGATTCATTATTTTAGAATTACAGTGGAGAGTATGGTATGAAATAGGTGTGACATATATATCCTGTTCTAGGCCCTTCCCCCATGGAGCAGAAAAACTGAACCATCGGGCTGGTTTGCCATTTCCCAGAACCACGTAATGATGTGCTCCCCAGTAGGTTGGTCCTGTGGCAAGGGCCATAGCAGATTACTTTGTGTCCCAGGTTGGGGGCAAAGGTCTGCTGTCCCTTACCCTGTCTACCTGTATCCTGATGGTCGTATCACATCCTTGTGTTAGAAGAGTATACATGATGGGGTGATGAGAATGTGCATATTTATTCAGTTTGTGCACGGCTGCTGGTAAGCAGCGTGTCCACAGAGCCAACTCCTATAGGAGTTGTTTCAACAGTCCATTCAATTTGTTCAGTCAGCCCCACTGCTGTAGGGTTGTACGGCAGGTGAAAATGCCAGTGGATATCCAGGGCCTCTGCCTATTCTTGTACTTTATATCTGGTAAAGTACGAGCCCTAGTCATTGTTAATTTTTTTTTTTTTTTTGAGATGGAGTTTCGCTCTTGTTGCCCAGACTGGAGCGCAATGGCGCGATCTCGGCTCACTGCAACCTCCGCCTCCTGAGTTCAAGCAATTCTCCTGCCTCAGCCTCCTGAGTAGCTGGGATTACAGGTGTGTACCACCACACCTGGCTAATTTTTTGTATTTTTAGTAGAGACAGGTTTCACTATGTTGGGCAGGCTGGTCTCAAACTCCTGACCTCAGGTGATCCACCCGCCTCAGCCTCCCAAAGTGGTGGGATTACAGGCGTGAGCCACTGTGTCTGGCCCATTGTCACTATTGATGGAGACGCTGTAGGCTGCACACATCTGTTCTGGTCCTTTTATGGTGGCATGCTTGCTGGGTTATGCTCGTTGTAGCCCTGTGCAGGTTTCTGCACAAGTTAAGGCATAGTGGCAGCCATCCAATAGGGGCAAAGATCCTATGTAGTCTACCTGCCACCATTGTGCTGGGCTCTGGCCCTGGGTGATCTTTCTGGTATCAGGTGGCAAGGGCCTGGGGTGTTCCTGTGCACGGGTAAGACATTGCTGACAGATGTGTACTGTGTCTTTGTATCATAGTGGCAGGCTCCAATTCTTTGCTATGGCCCAAAGGGTAAGTTGTCCCCTATGTCCTGTCTTCTTTTGTAACCAGTTGACCACATCGTCTGTGGGGACTCCCTTGAGGAGACGAATGCAGGTTAATTTGTCTGCCTGTTGATTTCCAGGTTGGTGTAGATGCAGTGTGGGGATCCACATGGTAGATCATTTTATGCATCCCCCAGATGCAATGGGGAATGTCCTTCTACATGTCAGGGCACCAAAGGAGGTGACCTGCTACTGTCTAGTCCTGTGCTTCCCATTGTAGTAGCCACATGGTGAGTCCCTTTACATTGGATTAGGTAAAAGTAATCTAGAGATTATTTAAATTATATGGGAGGATGTACATAGGCTACATGCAAATACTGTGCCATTTTATATAAGAGGCTTGAGCTGTCCTTAGATTTTGGTATCTTAGGGGTCCTGGAACCGATACCCCATAGATACTAAGGGATGACTGTATCCTATCAGACTTTTCCAAAGTACACACACACACACACACACACACACGCACGCACACACATGTAATCAGATGCATTGTTGGCAGTATTGATGAAGACAATATTTATTGATATATCGTGCTGTGGAAATCAGGGAGAAATGTGTACTGGAGAATCACAATTTTCCTTAAGGAATGTCATGCCGGATGCCTGTTAACTTCAGACAGCCCACCTGTGAGTACACAGGACTGCTGGGTCTGGCTTATAGAGGAGGACCATCCTGGCAGCTTGCAGCTCAGCTCATTGGCTGCTATGTCCTTGGCCTGTATCATCAATCCAGATCCTGTCAGTGGATGGCTGGATGGCTATGCCTGCTCAAGTGCAAGGATTGCCTCGTGACAAGCTGTTTGTGTACCAGGCCTGGTCAGTCATTGGGCGGTCAGACATTGGGCCCTGTCTATCCTGTATGAAGGAGAGCATCTGTGGAGGCTCAGCAGCCTCCCTAAAAGACTATGTGACAGTTGTTACATAGATGACAGGGCCAAGCACTGAATGGAGCTCTGAGCTCAAGGGGCTATTAATGTGCTCCTTTGTTGCAGGTATGTAAGCCATTTGGCCACAGTCTGTGTCTGGGCATTCCCAGACTTCAGTTTCTGGAAGATACCCTTTAGCCAACCTGCTTTGGGGTACTGGCTGCATACTAGCATCAGGACCCCTTTTGTAATGTCCTCTACTTGTTGTAAGGCATAATGTATAGCACAGAGTTGTTGTTCCATCACACTGTATCTAACTGCACCCTTTTTCCGTAGCTGGGACCAGAATCCTAAAGGCGCATATGTATGTCTCTGCCTTTGCCACGGGCCTCACCCAAACCCCTCAAGGTAACTGGCTACATCTAGTTCACAGGCTGTCTCTGCACCTGAACTCACAAGGCTTGTATTTATTTCACTGTGACTTCAGCTGGTTCAAAGGCCTCATCCTTCTTCGTGGATTAGTCTCAGTGGGCCCCCTTCTTGACTAAACAGTATAGGGGTCTAAGGAGTTGGGCCAAATGAGGAATAAAATGATGCCCATACCCTAGGAGTCCTAAGAAGATTTATAGCTGCTTTGGTGTCACACGATGTGAGTAGGCCTGCACCCTATCCATAATGGCAGACTCAAGTATTTGGCTGATAAGCCTGGACTCTGGATTTTTGTCTGTGTTTATAGCTCATCCTGTTTGCCAGATGAGGCAGCAAGGTGTGAGGGCGCAGTTTGAAAGCTGGAAAAAGACTCAGAAGTTAGCACGATATCATCACTGTAATGGAAAATGTGTACCCCTTCCAGGACCTCCATGGCTATATAAATATCCCTGGGGCAAGATGGTAAAAGTCTATTGTTCTTCCCAGGTGAATGCAAATTGGTCTTGACTCTCTGCGGCAATGGGGATGCTGAAGAAGGCATTGGTTAAATCAGTAACAGAGTGGTAGTGGTATGTGTCCAGTGCCTCTCCCGCCCTCTTTAGAAGGGAGGTGATATTGGGAACATGTGCATACATTGGGGGGACTGCCTTACTTAATTCCCAGTAATCTAGTGTCATTGTCCATGTCCCATCAGGCTTCCACATGGGCCGTACATGGCTGTTGTATGGGCTGTGCACTGGCCTTGTAATGCCTCCTTGGGCTAACTCCTTAACAATCCCTGTGGTTTCATTATGTCCCCCCAGCAGGCAGTATTGCCTCAGTGCTACTACTTGCTGTGTGGGGTTGGCAACTAGACTGGTGTCCATTTCGCATTCCCCTTGGTCACATGCTTCACCACTCTCAGTCAGAACTCCCCAGCAGTTGTTTGGAGGGTCAAGCCTGATAAGATATCCATTCTCAAGATGTATTCCAAGATGGGAGCTATACATACTAAATAGGGTTTTGGTGGCAGTCTCTCAACTTGTAATACTCAGACAGTTCAACCTTTCTGATCCCCATCCATAACCATCTTTTGCCATTTTAGCCCCTTGGAACCAACGAATGTCACCATATATGAAAGTGCATTTGGCTCTAGTATCCACTAGGGCACGCACAGTGTGTTTATTCTTAGGCGACCAATATATAGTTAGTTCTACATGTGGCCTCTGGTCCCCAGGTACCCTGGCCACCATTACTCTTATCAGGGTTCTGGGGCCTTGGCTTTCATCCAGTCTAACAGGGTTGACACTTGCTATCCCTCTGCAGGAAGGGTGGCGGGCTGAACCTGAGGCTCCTTAGTGAAGCACTCTTCTGGTGTGAGCTTCTGCCACAGTCTGACCAGAACAGCATTAGGCTGTTTATCTGTTTTCATAGTAGCTGTTCCTGCCACTACCAGGTTGTGCCACATTTGTTGGTCAGTCACCCTGATGGGCCCCTTGGCCATCTCCTTTCCTTTGGCGCCCTTGTCTTTCATCCCAGCAGCACGTACCCTTTGCCTATGCAGTTTCTCCATTTCTCATAAGTTGGTGGCTGCTTGGGCCACCTGAGACACTGGCTGTCCTACTAGGGGGCTCTGGGTAGACACTAGCACACCATACCATTGGTTGAGTGCAGACTAAGATGGTGTCTTTCATGTTGGCAGTGAAAAGCTCTTTGTTGGACCTTGGTGATGTTCAGCATAGATAGCATGTTTCATCCCTAATTTCCAGATGATGTCCTGCAATTCCTCCATAGTCTGCCATCACAAAGGAGATATGGGGATACTGCCCTCATCTGGCCACGCTTCATTGCAGCCCACAACCACCCAGCTAAGGAGGGGCATGGCCTGATCCTCATTGTTGGCACCATAGAGGTGCTGCCTCAGGGCTGGGTGGCATGCGATGTATGCCATTCCACTCATCTTGAGTCTGGAGAGTATAACACCCTCCATCCCCGTGTCCCATAGACAGAGAAGCCACCTCTCAATCAACTGTCTCTCTTCCTGAACCCACCTTCTGCCCAGCTCCACTAGTTCCATAGTGGTGTAGTGCTGCATTGTGGTATGCTACCATCTTTCAGGCAGAGACAAGTTTTGTGGGTCTACTCCCTGCAGGCACCATTGGTCTGACTTTATCTTGGTAGAGAGAACAGGACCTCTATGGGCTTATCCCAGTCCTCACTCTGCTCCTCACTAGAGCTCTCCACTGGGTCCCTGGACTTAGGAAGATTTAGTCATATAGTCCTAACTTGGCATGGGAGCTGGCGACCCTTCAAACAGGCTACCTGACAAGCTGGGATTTCCATTTTGTCATCCTGTTTCTGCAGGTAGGACAGTAGGGTCTCTGATGTTTTAGGTTGAGCTAGTCTGGCATCTCTTTCTACTCATAGTTCTTCCTATAACAGACAACCCCTGGCCTGTGCTGGGAGCTCAGCCTCAGTGGCTGCTGGGAGCACAGTCAAGAATGGCCAGCCATTGTGGCTGCCACAGCTCAGGCATCTAACTTTTGCTTAGTTAGATCCACCCCCTGCAACAGCTCTTCCAGACCCTTCGGTGTTTTTGGGGTGTTCTGTACTCATACATTGGGTCCCATCCATCAAGGATAGTGGCTTTTGGGCACCACATAAATGTGATGGTCAGCCCGGGACCCCCCCTTGGATTTCCCCTTTCCTGATCTTACGGTCTCGGTGCTCATGAAATTTTTCTCCACCTTCCTGCTGGGTTCACCAGTTGTGGTACTGAGTCCGTGTTAACTTCTGTAAGGATGGCACCAGGTTCAAGAGGCAAAAGAGACCTGGAGCTAGCAAACAAGACATAGGGTTTTATTAGGGAGAACTAACATACAGGGACAGTCCAGTGGTGGTGGACTAGACAGGAGAACCTCAACTGCTTGCAAAAAGCATGCAGCTTATATAGCACTTTTATTTGGCACCCTCCGTGCAGCAGCCTTCACGTGGCAACCCTCCTTTCTTAAGTTATTGCTCTCAGGTGCATTTGCCATACACCCACTCCCACCGTAATGGCATTAATCCATTCCTGAGGATTAATGTTGTTACGGTCTCATGGCCTAATCGCCTCCCAGTGGTCCTACCTCTTAATACAATAAAAATATCAATTAAATTTCAACATGAGTTGTGGAAGGGACATTCAAACCATTGCAGTTATTTTAGAGCTTTAGTTCAGAAATACAAATGCAATAACTTTTACCTCCAAATCATTGACTCATAGTTGTCTAATTTAGTAGGCTTTGAAGACCCTGCCTTTAGTCTTTTTGACCTTTTATCTGGACTGATATATGTAGGGAAAGAGGCTCAAGAAGGAAAAACAGTTAGGAAAAGAAAACTTGGAAGAGATATTTAGGAATCTTTGAATATCTTACTGTTGGTGGAGAAAATCGTTTTTCTTTCATTTTATTTGATCATTACCACAATTTCTAGGTTATAGGAATCACAGTTGGGAGAGACTGCAGGTTATGTAGACTATCAAGGCAAATACAAACATTCTTTTGGTACATTTTGCTCTAGGACTGGGTCTCACTCTGTCTAGTTTCTGTGAAGCTGCTTCTAGCGTCACAGGGATTAGTGGGCCTGGTCGTAGAAATGGATTACCTAGGGATCAAAAAGCAGAAGTATCAGTAGATAGCTTTGCTTCTTTCATTGCATAAGGTGGTAATGAAGAGTCTGGATTGCTGTGTAGGTGTTGCTCTGTAGGACTTGCCATGTTCAGCATGCCTTACTAGAGACTTTTTGACTTTCTAATACATTTTATGCACTCTAGAAGGCTCTGGAATTTTTGCTGTCCAGAAATACACTGTCTGATGAAGGAAAGAGATTTGTAAACAACTACAAATATAATGATAAACTACTCATAAAAATGTAAAAATGTAGTGACTTCTGTGAGGAAAGCAAATACTGTGGTTAAATAGAAAAAATGACATCTAAGAAGAAGCTTAGAGTAGGAGTTCTACAGTGAGAAAGTGAGAAAAGGAAAACATTATTTGATTGAATCCTCCTACCAACCCTGTGATAGAAGTATCAGACAGACTCAAGAAAGGCCTCAGAGCGAGTATCCAGCAGAGCTGGGATTTAAAGCCAAGGTCATCTTACTTCAACTTCATGCTCTTAATTAAAACTAATAAAAGGTGGATCTTGTTTAGAGGGGTATAAGACTTTATAATTTAATTTTAGCGTATGATACTAAGGAGAGCATCAGTTGATAAAGTAAGGAGAGCATCAGTTGATAAAGTAGAAAATATGCAGGTGTTGAACTGATCTATTTTCCCCTAATCTAGCAATGAATCAGATTATGAAGAGTAGTTTTATTTATGTATTTATTTATTTTGAGATGGAGTCTTGCTCTGTCGCCCAGGCTGGAGTGCAGTGGCGTGATCTCGGCTCACTGCAAGCTCCGCCTATGAGGAGTAGTTTTTAAAAAGATTAGTGTTCTAATTACAGAATCCAGTAGGGAAAATATGTTTGGTTTTGTGTATACTGTCCCAAATACTAGTGTATGTTGTATTATGTAGTATCATTTTCTTAACTTTATATAGCAGAATAAAATTTGAAAACAGTATGCTGGAATTTTTGCAAGAGAATTTTCTAATGAGGCAGGGTGGTATAGTGTAGAATAGGTTTTGAGAGTTGGACAGACTTGCTTTTAAAATCAGGCTTGTGATCTTAGACAGGTTCTATGCCTTATCTGAGCCTCAGTTTTCTCCATTTGTAAATTGAGGAGATTGGAGTAGATGATATTTTAGTGTCATAATGCATTATGACATTCCCTGGACGTAAGGGAGAACAAGAAAAAAATGGAAGAAAAAGAAGGATAGGAAGAATTAGAAAAAGGAAAGGGAGAAAGAAGGTAAAGAAAAAGCCCTAAGCCTCTTCAGGCCTCATCGGCTATTTTCAGTGGTCTTCTCTTTTGTATCTGTGTGAATGACTTACACTTATGTAGTTAGGGTTTTCCCATGGTGTTCTTAGAAACAGTGCTATAAAGCAGACTAATGTTGGTTGTGAAGTGCACTGCATTTTCTCATTGGAACAGTTTTATAATTTCTGACTAAAGACAGAGTAAATTACCAGTTTGATTAGTAGTGTGACTTAGAAAGCTGAAACAATTGGGAAACTATAAGCATTTGAAGTAGTAGGACTATGTTCCAAGTGCTATAGAATAGGCATAAGTGTATCCCACTTATCGAACATAACAGCAGCATTCCTGTTTACTATGATGTGTGCATTGAGCATAGGGAAAAACATTCATTCTGCATGGTAGATTTGAACTACTCTCTTAGCTTTAAATAAAAAGAATTGGACATTTGGTGTTGCATTCCACCTCAGGTTACAGCAGTTATTAGGGAATAATTTGAGTTGCTCTCAGTCCTTTGAAATAACTGCCTACACAAGTTTGAACTCACATCTGTTTTTTGTTGTTGTTGTTGTTGTTAAACATGATAAGTTTCCTTGGGCAGGTGCAAGCAGTCACAATCATTACACTGATCTTAGAATTACCCAGAAAGTTAGAATAATTGTTTTTTTAAAGAGTCATGGTAATATCTTAATATTTGGAGGCAATATTAATGACTTCTGGTATATTATAGGTGCTCAATAAGTATTTGATTAGTTGAAGAATAATTTGAGAAATATGTGTGAAATCTAGGAGACATAATTATTACCCTATACACCCTTGATAAAGGAATAGTGTTTATTAATTTTAGAGTTGAGCTTAGTTTTGTTTGTAAACACCTTGGGAATCATCTCTTTTTTTCCACTCTTTGTTGCCTTCAGAAATCTCTGCTTTGCGCTGAGGAAAGAACTCTGAAGTGGTTATTCCTGCCTTTATAAGTAGCAATGAGCAAGTTATATGTTCTGTGTAATCTTCAAAAATGTAGGACAGTGAGGCTGCTTTAAATAACTGGTTTTAGTCCATTTTTGCCTTCCCACTGACAGATTTCCAAGCTTTGGCTCTGATACGGCCTTTAACTACATTTGTTTAAAACAAGTGCTTTTCAGGAGGTGTTTTCATTGTTCACCAGTTGTGCTATGTTTAAATGGAGTGCTTGTAAATGGCCACTGGCATATATGGGTAGTTAAGGCATCTTGACCAGATTCGTGAGTTTGACACTAAGAGACTCCATCTCCAGATGTATTTCTGGGTATGTAGGTTAAATCTATCTCTTTCTATTATTTATTCTTCCCCACGGAATTCAGGTTTGTTTCACATGTTTTTAATTCAGGACCAATCACTTAGAGCAAAGAGTCTTAAACATTATTATATGAGAATCACCTGTAGAATTTACTAAACTCGGTTACTGAATCCCCCTGACAAGAGTTTCTGATTCAGTAGGTCTGAGCTGGTGCCTGAGAATGCTAACAAGTTCCCAGGTGATGCTAATGCTGGTGCTAATGCGGCTGATCTGGAGACCACACTTTGAGAGCTATTGACCTATAGGGCATTAGTTCCTAAACCTCATTATGCATCAGGCTCACCTGGGAAACTACACATTCACTCATGCTCACAGTCACATTCCCACTCATAATTAAGTGTTTAAGGGAGTTAGGAAGCTGGAGGCAGGATCTATAATGTTTTCCAAGTGATTTTGAAGCAGCCAGTCTTGCCCTTGTCTGTGACTGGACATTTGATTCGCTGATTTAGGCAAGTGGTTCTCCAACCTATGTAAGAAGCATTTGTAGAGCTCGTGAAAACACAGTTCTGGGGTCTATCCTGCTGATTCCTGTAGGTCCAGAAGGTCCAAGTGGGGCCCCAGATTTGCATTTCTAACAAGCTTGCAGGTATGTCATTGCTGCTGGTCCAAGAACTGTACTTTGAGAATCACTGATCTAGGGCAACCAACTACCCAGTTTTTGGAGATTCTCTAACTGATTTAAATAACTGGATTAAATTTAGGGATTGAAATTCTTTGACCGTCTCTAATAGTGTTGTTGCGTTTCCTCCCAGAAGTTTTTTGTGATAGTAATGTGCTCTTCCAAACTATCATTTAACTTTGCCACTCAAGAGAAAATGAATGTCTTAAGTTTTTCAGTTATGTATAATGGTTCCGAATAAAACTTTAAAAGTGGCAAATAATTCTGAAAAAAAGTCACAAGTAAAACAGTTAATTAACAATTCAGAATACAAGTAAGAGTACAGACATGTGTATTTCCTAGTTAAGATTGTGGACCTGCATGTTTGTGCTTTTTATATGTTGTGTCTCTGATGATTTTCCCTCTTCTGGACTGCCGCATAGTGAAGGAAGCTCTGTACTTTTTAACAAAAGTTGTGCACGTATGTCTAGTAATGGCATGAATTGAAGTGATTCAGAATTTCTTAGAACATAGTGAGCTATGCTTCCTGATTGTTTCTGTAATCTAAAGGTTATTGTTTGTAGGATATGAATACAAAACCTCTGTAGTGTTTGTGTAGATTGTACATGCCTTTTCAGAGGATAGAAGGTTTACAATCCATACTTTGTGAGAGTGATAATGCGTCTTTTACAGTGTGCTTACTCTCAACATCTCTAATCTTTTATTCCAGGTTACTAAGTATTTTCCATATCTTTTAACTTTGTTCCCATAATGAATATGAAAATTGGAAGCACTACAATAGGAAGTGTTGCTTTCAACCCTTAGATCTCACATTATCTGAGCAGATAACAACGTTTGGTGTTTGTGATTGGGTGTGAAGCTTATTTTCAAAAGTTATATTTTCTTTATAATTAATTTTTTAGCTAGAGTGTGGTTTGATATGTCGTGACTTGTCCAAAGAGCTAATGTTTTGTAGTTCACCTTTTTAAAGCAAAGAGCAGCTGCATTTTGAAATGTTTTATCTCAAATGGGCAAGTTGTTTACAAGCTAGACTCTAACACATCCTGACATTTAGTGTCTGTGTTTGTATTCCTGCTGGGATTAGGCTGCCTTTCTAATTAATTAGTTGCATAGCCTTTTATTAATTCCCTCAAAATTTATAATGTTTTAAATTAACAACATAGATAAGCATACTGCATTTTTTGGGAAAACATGAAATATTAATTATGTAGCAGTGACATAAGTTTCGTAAACTCTGTTGAATGTTAGAAGATGCTTACAACAATGTTTTCCAAATATAGGGATTTATTATAAACTTATCCTTCTAAGGCTGCCTGTGCCATTTCAGGAGAGTGAATATAAATAGATCTTGATTTCTTCAAGAAGTGGACTTAGTCATTTTGTTTATGGTGAAAGGAAGTATTTGCTTTGCGTCTCTAAGAATTGTCTTTAGCATCCTTGTTAATTACACATCATTTCAACATGTTCTTACCAAATTCTCAGGCCTTGATAAGGTAGCATAACAGAACAGGAAGAATTAAAACTCATATTTAAATAATTATTTTGTTATTACAGCACTTAAATCTGTCTAGTAGCAATACCGAATCTAATAATTGTAACTTTTTCTGAGATGGAAAATTTTATCTCTTGTCCAGTGTTCTGAGATATTTTTAGCTCATTTGTCCCTCCACCCCCAACTAGCTTACTTTAACAGGGATTTATGGAGCATCTGCTATGTATGTAATAGTCCAACTCTTATGAAAGGTTCTGTTTCTAATATTTTTTACTATTTTTTCAATTCTGTCAACGTTGTTTTCTAAGTTAGAATTAAAATATTGATACTGTAGAAATTTGATATTTTAAAATAAAGTCCAGGGAAATAATGGGACTTATTGCAAAGCTTATGGTGAGCTCTACATTCAGATGCTATCATTATACTTTATCAGCTGATAAACATTGAGCAAGCTATTCAACCTCTTGGGTTTTATATCCTCACCAGCTAAGTAGGGATAACACTATATGGTTTTAAGAGTTCTTATGAGGTTTAGTAATATAGCCTGGCAGCAGTGGTGATGGTTTATATAGGCCCTTGATAAGTGTCACTTAATTTCTCCTTTTCTTCTTTCGCCTCTGGAAAATTGATATTTAAACATTTTCTAAAAATTGTATTTTACGTATATTTATGCATTTCTCTGGTAGAAGCTTGTTTGGATTTTGGCAATTTTTCTGATATGAAGTGTTCTTGATTATCCTAGTATAAAAGATAGGGAACTCTGGCAGAATCCTTTGCTTTGCTAAAGTAGTGATTTTCACTGAATCTGAATCAGTAAAAATCTTGCCCGTCAGTAAGAATATGCAGACTAGAGATATGGCTTGTTTTTGGGTAGCCTCCTTGACAGATTTTCTTTCTTTTTGAGACGGAGTCTTACGCTTTTTGCCCAGGCCGGAGTGCAGTGGCGCAGTCTTGGCTCACTGCAACCTCTGCCTCCTGGGTTCAAATGATTCTCCTTCCTCAGACTCCTGAGTAGCTGGGATTACAGGCATGCACTACAACGCCTGGCTAATTTTTGTATTTTTAATAGAGACGGGGTTCCACCATGTTGACCAGTTTGGTCCTGAATTCCTGACCTCAAGTGATCTGCTCACTTCAGCCTCCCAAAGTGCTGGGATTACAAGCATGAACCACTGTTCTGGCTGACAGATTTTCTTGCTGAACTTTGGGTCATCCCAGATGTGAGTTCGCTGTAGGCGTGTCATAGAGCAACAGTAGTAGGAATACAAGTTAAATTGATGTATATGTCATGATAATCAGTCCAATTCAGTGGTCCCCAACCTTTCTGGCACCAGGGACCGGTTTTGTGGAAGACAGTTTTTCCATGGACCTGGGGTGAGAGGGTGGGGATGATATCCGGATGAAACTGTTCCACCTCAGATCATCAGGCATTAGATTCTCATAAGGAGCAGACAACCTATTTCCCTCACGTGCACAATTCACAGTGGAGTTCACACTCCTAGGAGAATTAATGCTACTGCTGACCTGATAGGAGGCGGAGCTCAGGTAGTAATGCTTGCTCGCCTGCTGCCCACCTCCTGCTGTGAAGCCCAGTTCCTAATAGGCTAGTACCAGCCCATGGGCCATTGGTTGGGGACCCCTGCTCTAATTAATGCATTTTACAAGGGACGTATTATTGTAGCTAGATAAATAAGCAGTAATTTTGCAGCATATTTCATAAGGCAATGAATTTTCTCCTCTGTTTTATAATTCTAAAATGTAGTTATAGAATGTTATATTTGTGATATTGGGATTTGTCCTACTGTGTAAATATTATGGATATTATATAGAGATGGAATTATTTTTATCAGTGAAGTGGGTATTTTAGTATTACTTTTGCTACTCATTTGAGATGACTGGAACTGAATGGTTTGTTTCAGAAAAAGAGGTGGTAGTTTTGATTCTGTTTAAGCTCTAAATGACATATACTATTTACTTTGCTAGTAGAAGATTTTCTGGGTTGTTTTGCCAAGACTATAAAAATATAAAACTTGAGGAAAGGTTTTCTTTCTAATTAAAACAATCACAAAAATAAAACCAGGCTATCTAAATAAAAGTTATTTCTGAGAGTTATTCTTGATTCTTTTTTCTCTTACTCTTTTTTTATCTAATCCTGTCAGCTCTGTTTTCATACTTATTCAGAATTTGACCTCTTAAAAAAATTAACTACTTTCACTGCTATACCACAGTTCACACCATCATCAGCTCTTGTCTGGACTATTGAAATACCTTCTTCCTGCCTACTGTTTCTTTTTCACCTCTCATCTATCTTTATTTTTTACATTGTCTAACTTGGAAGACTTTGAATTATAGGTTTTGAAGATGAGGACAGGTCTAGGTTAGAGATATGGACTTGGGAGTTGTTAGTAGTTAACATGGTGAAGCTGTAGAAAGAATGAAATCACTAACAGAAGGTGAGTAGAGTTCCTTCACTCATTGAGCCAGGTACTGCACTAGATGGTGGGGCTACCTCAATGAATAAGATAGACTTGGGCTCTCTCCTCATGAAACTAAGACTCACAGGGAAATGGAACAGTATATAAGATAAGTACAATACAGTGTGTTGGGTGTTATGTGAATGATCAGGGTGCATTCAGAATGCTAATACAGTAGAAAGGTCTTGGGAAATACTGTCATTCAAAGGTTGGGTTGTTAAAAAATATTTGGTATAGGAAACTGAGGAGTGGCTAGAGAGATGGGAAGAGAACCCAAAGAAGTGGTGACTCAGATGAAATGAGGTAAGCACTCAGTGAGGAAATAATGGGTATTGGTTCACACTCATTGAGTACTTGGATTATGTCAACCACTGTTTGAAGCACCTTGTATGTACTAACACATTTCTTCCTCACAGCAGCTCTCTGAGGTTCTCTTTATTTTGTAGTTGAGGAAACTTATGTCAGATTAAGGAAATTTCCCAAGATCACACAGGTAATAAATAGTGGAACTAGGATCAACAGTGTTGATCACAGTAGAGACCACAGTTACATAAAGTGCTTAGTTCCCTACTTGGGAGGTCATGGGAGTGTGGAAGAGAGACATTCTAGTGGTGTCTTGTGCCTAGCTGCTGGATTGCAATAAATTGAAGGGTGATTGATTGAGAGTTGAAGAAGCAGATATAGTGATTGTCAATTTCTTTTTTAGTTTTGTTGATGTATTATTATTAATATTTAGAGTTTTTATGCTTTCCATAAAAGAGGGATAAATATAGTTAGTCCTCCCTCCTTGTCATCCCTCCCTGTCTCCAGTAAAAACCAAATCTAACTATATTTCTTTATTATTTTCCTGGTTACTCTTCTCTTACCTGGGCCCTGACTTAGTCTACCCAGCTGTGAATCTTCAGCTTCTCTTGGCATACAAATTGTACTCTAATCACCTTTTTTCAAATAACAAAAACAAAAACAAAACTCAGTATTTTAGTAAGGTTGTTAAGCCAGGTAGGTAAATAATGAAATATGAAAAATTTGAAAATGGAAACTGTATTTAGGGCAGTTTGAAACCTAGGACTGGTGAAGTGAATTAATCTTGATGTTTTACAACTATAGGTTGGTGCAAAAGTAATTGCGGCTGGGCATAGTGGCTCACACCTGTAATCCCAGCACTTCGGGAGGCTGAGGCGGGTGGACCACTTGAGGTCAGGAGTTCGAGACCAGTGTGGCCAACATGGTGAAACCCCGTCTCTACTAAAAATGCAAAAATTAGCCGGGTGTGGTGGCACATGCCTGTAGTCCCAGCTGCTTGGGAGGCTGAGGCACAAGAATTGCTTGAACCCAGGAGGAGGAAGTTGCAGTCAGCCAAAATCATGGCACTGCACTTCAGCCTGGGCAACAGAGCAAGACTGTCTCAAAAAAAAAAAAAAAAAGTAATTGCAAAAACTGCAACTAGAATAGAATAATCGACTACTCTTTCAGAGATAATTTAGTACATTCCCTTATTTCACAGATGAGGAGAGACTATGTGATACATTTAAACTCAAGCAGTTAGTGAGAAATAAGCCTTGGCTTAAGGTTCAGATCTGGAGACAAATGTGCCTTCCACAGTGCCATTACCTTTAAAAGCAACTTTTGAAAGTGATAGAGGGTTTGGAATAGACTGGCTCCTTTGATCAGTTTAAGTTACAGCAGTCACTTATAATATAAATAAGGTGAGAACTACAATAACCTTTAAGGATATTCTATTTGATTTTTTAAAAATTTATTTATTAATGGGCAGTGAGAAATGAAACTTTCCTAGTGGTACAGCAAGTGATACTTAGCACCTTGTCTATACTTAATACAGAGTTGAGGGAGAATAAAGACTCCAAATAAAACAAATTTTTTAGAGTTCTGATATTTTGAGGAAAGTACATTTTAAAAAAAGGAGACTTAGATTTTTGTTATACTTGCTTTGTTTTCATATATGTGAGTATATCATTAGCAAATTTTATGCTCAACTTTTAGAATTTAAATATGAGATCCAGATGTCCAAGTTTTATGTTACCTTTTCATATAATTAAGTTTCTGTAGGCAGGTAGTAATTCTAAAAGGGATTGTTAACTTCTCTGATCAGTTTAATTTTATTGTTAGTTTCTAATGAAGGAGCTTAATTGTGATCTCAAAAATAACATATAACTTAGCAAGCACTGAGTATAAAATTGTAGGATTTTATAAACATGGGGACAAGATGATGTTTGTTGTTTGCATCTGGAGCAGATGGTTTTGAAGAGCATGGGTTTAGAATAATTGCTCTTGTCCAGAATTGGTTATATTGAAATATTGATGTAGAGCTTGAGGTGGAGCAAGTCATATACAAGTCATACGTTGGAAACAGTGTGTTGACATTTGGCTCTCTAAAGCATTTTGCCTTTTCTTCCCTTCAAGGTATCTTGTTTTCCAGTCTTAAAAATTTTAAGAGCACTGGAAAATAAAATAATGAAAAGAAGATGATACATTTTTTGTTGAATTAGCCACACCTCTTTTTTATTTCAAAATTGTGTTTCTTAACATAGCAGTATTGCTTCTGCATTTGCTTACATTTTTAAAAAATTAACTCCAAAGTTAGTGAGAAGAGGAAATGTTGATGGCTTACTTTCAACCATATTCCTTGATGTACATGTGTCCATTTGTTCTTCTAGTTAATTGTCTTCAGGTTTCTAAAAATATATGTATTTTTAAAAATTTAATCTTTCATTATGGGTTCCAGTATGGCCTTATTAGAAATGGTGATGGCCAATAATTTAAACTTAGCATCATAGAATTTTAAGTTATTTAAATTTGAATAATTAGACAAAATACATTTTAATCTTTTCATTTAATAAATGAGGTAACTGATGGCCAAAAGGGCTAAGTCTTATTTAAAGTTGTGCCTGAGCTAGTTAATGGCAGACCTAGAGCCATGGAGGATTGGTTGCATTAGTATTATAGCTCCAAGGATCTTTAATTTCTGTAAGCTCTTGATAATATATTTAACATTTAATTCATACAAATTCTGTTTTTCAACTTACATGTTATTTTCAAGAATAGCATTTGTTGTGTAAAATAGGATACGTTTATATAGAGTCCAGAATCAATACTTCAGAGTGGGAAAGAATCTGAAGGCCTGTGGCAGGGGTCTCCAGGATCTCTTACGTTTTTATAGCTTTTGCAAATCAGTAAACTTACCTATTGTTCTTTTCTCCTTTCTAACAATCCACCATACTTTATATCCTCACATACCTACAAACGAAGTAATAGAGTTGGATGTAGGTTTATTTAAACATGTTCTTTCATATGTATAAGACTGAACTCTGGAGACTTAGGATTTTATCTTTTATTATTCTATAGGGCCTCCTAATCTCTAAAGTGCTATGCTCATTCTTGTCTCTATTTATATGCTGTTCCCCCTGCTTGGAATAGTCGGCTGCCTCTTTGGCCCCAATTCCTATTTTATCAGGTTAACATCGATTCACTTTTCAGGGCTAATTACTTGAACTTAGATATATGTTTCAGTTTTTCATTTGTGAAATAAAGGAATGTACTAAATGATTTCTGTGAGAGTCATTAGGTAAACTAATCCTTCCTGAAACTGAGTTCGATGTTCCTGACGTGTTTTTGTGCCACTTTGTTCTTTCCATGTCACAGTACTTGGCATAGTTTATAATAACTACGCGTTATGATGTATCTCTCCTATTAGACTGTTAGCTGTGAGAGATTGATTTGCCTTCTTGTGTACCCTCATATGTAAGAGCTCAGTACAATTGTTTAATGAAGTAATTATGTCTAGGAGGTTCTTGTTGAATATTTTGAGTGAATAGATGAGTTAATATTGAAAAGAGTGCCCATGAAAGAGTAACTCCTGTGGTCAATGAATATATCTTCTCAGTGGCTTTATGATATAATAATACTTTAATTGCTTTCCTTTAACATGAATTGTAACTGAATTGGCAAGAAATACAAGAACAGGGGTTCCATTACTGAGAACTATTTTTAAAAAATATTTTCAAAACCAGTTCGGTGCAGTGGCTCACACCTGCAATCCTAGCACTTTGGGAGGCCAGGCCAGGAGAATAATTTGAGGCCAGGAGTTTGAGACCAGCCTGGGCAATGTAGCAAGGCTCTGTCTCTAAGAGAAATAAAATTAGCCGGTGGTGGTAGTGTGTGTCTGTAGTCCTAGCTACTTGGGAGGCTGAAGTGGGAGGATTGCTTGAGTCTAGGAGTTGAGGCTGCAGTCAGCTATGATTGTACCACTGCACTCCAGCCTGGGTAATAGAGCAAGACCTTGTCTCTTAAAAAAAAAATCAGAGTAACGGCATGTAAAAAATGCTGTTCTCTCTCCTCAAGTTTTGTTTTTCTTCTTTAGTCACCCTGCCTTTCATACCAACCATATTCGTTTGTATAAAATATTCTGGCAAATCAAAACTCTTTGTGAATACTTTAAATCATATAATCTATATTTTGTATTCTAGTATATTTTGCACACTAGTCAGCTTATAAATATGTCCTGCAATGATTCTGAGCCTGATCAGGATTTCTGTATAGAAAATTCCCAAAACTGTTTTTATTATTTTTTTAAAGAGGTAGGGTCTTGCAGTATTGCCGAGACTGGTCTTAAACTCGTGGCCTCAAGTGATCCTCCCACCTTGGCCTCCTGAAGTGCTGGGATTATAGGTGTGAGTCACTGCATTCAGCCCCAAAACCTTTTTTATGGATTTATTTTCCTAGATCATCATGTTTTTAATTATTCTGATTAGAAAGTACTCTAAATAAAGATATTTTCCTGTTTTAGTAATAAAATATTAAGGAATAAACTTCATTGTATATGTACATATGGATACTTAGAACTGAGTTTTTTCATTTTATTAAAATTTTTTTAAATTAATAGACTTTTTTTAGAGCAGTTTTAGGTTTACAGAAGAATAAAGCAGAAAGTACAGATAATTTCCATGTAACTTCCCTTTTTTCCAGCTTCTCCCATTATTACTGTCTTGAGTTAGTGTGGTACCTTTGTTATAATTGATGAGCTAATATTGATACAATGATATTTCATTTTAAACTGCAGTTTATAATTTCTAAAACTACCATCCCTCAATGTTATTTAAACCAGCTCTGTGTTGTTGCTTTATTTATAGTTTTTTTTTACTTGCGCCACACTTTTTACATACTTTTTTAAAATAAACTTCTTTCTCAATGTATTGCATGTATACATAAGAGAGCATAAGCTAAAATATCCATGTGTTTTCCAAAGTGAACACACTTGTGTAACCACCACTCAGATCAAGATACAGAGCATTACTAGCTTCCTGGTACCTCTCTCAGACCCTTTCCCAGCCCTACATGCTCACCTCAACCCAAAAGGCAACCACTCTCCTGGCTTCGAATGCCATAGATCAGTTTTGCCTGTTTTGCCTTCTCTTCTTTCACTTGTTTTATGGTTTGGGAGCTTCATCATTTTATTCTGCATAGCAGGAGTTCATTTTTATTGCTGAATTCGATTGTTTAAGTATTATGAGTAATGCCATGAACATTCTTGCACATGCCTTTTGCTGCACAAATGTATGCATTTCTGTCTATTATTTGTCTAAGAGTGGAATTATTGGGTTATAGGATTCTTGTTACTAAATACTGCCAAAACGTTTTTGTAGTGATTTTACCAATTTACCTTTCTACCTGTTGTGCGTGAAAATTCCAGTTTCTTCTCGTGGGTGCTGACATGGAGTTTATAGCAGTATTTCATTGTGGTTTTAGTTCCCTGATGACTGAGTCTGAGTACTTTTTATATTTGAATTGACCATTTAGATGTCTTTCTTTGTGATGTGCCTGTCAAGTATCTATTCAATTTTTCTGTAGGGTTACTTTTTAAAAATATATTGATTTGTGGAAGTTATTAATATAGCTTAGTTGTGAGACCTTTGTTAGATATATGTATTTTAAATATCTTCTACTCTGTGGCTTACATTTTTATTCTCTGTAGTATCTTTTTGAGGAACAGAAAGTTTATAATTATATATTTATTATAATATATATTGATATAAAGGATCCAGTTCATCAGTCTTTTTCTTCGTGGCTGGTGATTTTTGTAGCTAGCTTAAGAAATCTTGGTCAAATCTACTGTTAGGTATATTTTCTCTTACCTTCTTGATGCTTTTATTGTTTTTCCTTTCATGTTGCTATCTTTAATTGCTTCACTTTTTTTCATATAGATGTGTTATACCAGTTATTGAAATGACCATCAATTTCTGCCTTGCTTCTGTGTTACCTTTGTTGTACATAAATCAAGGGTTTGTGTTCATTTTAGATTCTCTGCTCTGCCTCAATGGTCTTTTATCCTTGTCCACAATACTGAAATGTCTTCAATACTTTCAGCCTTATAAAAAGTCATAATTTCTGGAGGGTAAGTGATATTTTTTTAAAAAAATGGTCATCAAAATTTTCTTGACTATTGTTGGCACTTTGCATTCCCATAGAAGTTTTAAAATCAATGTGTCGGGTTCTTCCTTCTCCCCACCCAGTAAACTGGCTTGCATTTTGATTGGAATTATTAAGTCTTTCAATCAATTTGGAGAGATTTGGGAAGTTAATACCTTGTAATCCATGAACTTCTTAGATTCCTTCATTTTATTTTAGATTTTCCTTAATTTCCCTCCAGGTAGTTTGGTAGTTTTATGTGAAAAGTCTTGCATACTGTTAATTAGATTTATTCTTAGGTACTTTGGTTTTTTGAATGCACTTATGAATGGCATTTTGTAAAGTTTCACTTGTAATTATTTTATGTTAGTATAGTCACGGACTGCATAACGATGTTTTAGTCAAGGATGAATGGTATATACTACAGTGGCTCTGTAAGATTATAATGGAGCTGAAAAATTCCTATCATCCAGTGACATCATAACCATTGTAAAGTAGTAGTGTAATTAGTATTATTATTTTTAAATTTGGTGTAGCCTAAGTGGATAGTGTTTACAGTAGAGTATAGTAATGTCCTGGGCCTTCACATTTGCTCAGCACATACTCACTGACTTACCCAGAGCAACTTCCAGTCCTATAAGCCTCATTCATGGTAAGTGCCCACACAGGTATAACATTTTTTAATCTTTTATACTATATTTTTACTGTACCTTTTCTTTTTCTATGTTTAGATACACAAATACTTACCATTGTGTTATAGTTACCTATGGTACTGAGTATAGTAACATGCCTTACAGGTTTGTAGCCTTGCTGTATAGTAGGCCATACCATCTAGATTTTCATAAGTAGACTCTTTGATGTTTGCACAATGATAAAATCACATAAAGACACATCTCTCAGAATGTATCCCTGTCATTAAGCAATGCATGGCTGTATCTAGAAAAAGTAAAAAAAAAATTTTTTTTTTTTTTTGAGACGGAATCTCACTTTGTCACCCAGGCTGGAGTGCAGTGGCACGATCTTTGTAAATCTTTTATACTGTATTTTTACTGTACCTTTTCTTTTTCTATGTTTAGGTATACAAATACCATTGTGTTACGGTTACCTACAGTATTGAGTATAGTAACTTGCTGCACAGGTTTGTAGCTTAGAAGCAATAGGCTATACCATATAGCCTAGATGTATAGTAGGCCATACCATCTAGATTTGTATAAGTATACTCTATAATGTTTGCACAATGACAAAATCGCATAAAGACACATCTCTTAGAACGTATCCCTGTCATTAAGCAACGCATGTCTGTATCTAGAAGAAGTAAAAAAAAATTTTTTTTTGAGACGGAGTCTTGCTTTGTCACCCAGGCTGGAGTGCAGTGGCACTATCTCAGCTCACTGCAACCTCTGCCTCCCGGGTTCAAGCAATTCTTGTGCCTCAGCCTCCCAAGTAGCTTAGTAGAGACAGGGTTTCACTATGTTGGCAAGGCTGGTCATGAACTCCTGACCTCAAGTGATCCACTTGCTTTGGCCTCCCAATAGAAAAAGTAATTTTTTTTGTATTGACTGTGTCTACCTACCTTGCCAAATGCACTTATTAATTTTAATAGTGTGGGCCAGGCACAGTGGCTTATACCTATAACTCCAGCACATTGGGAGGCCAAGGTGGGAGGATCCCTTAAGCCCAGGAGCTTGAGACGAGCCTGGGCAACATAGTGGGACACCATCTCTACAGAAAATTTACAGAATAGCTGAGCGTGGTGGTATGCACCTGTAGTCCCAGCTACTTGTGAGGCTGAGGTAGGAGGATTACTTGAGTGTGGGAGGTTGAGGCTATAATGAGCTGAGATTGCACCACTACACTCCAGACTGGGTGACAGAGTGAGACCCTGTCTCAAAAAAACCACAAAAAACAAAATTTTAGTAGTGTGTATGTAAGTTCTTTTGAGTTTTTTATCTATCAATTATGTTATAGTTTTCTATGTATACATTTCAAATAATGAGTTTTAAATTTTATTTTGTTCAACTCTACACCTATTCTTTGTCTTCCTTGACTTACTATACTACATAGGACCTCTGACAGTATTTAATAGAAGTGGTAACAATAGTAATCCTTATCTCATTCTTGATTTAATAGAAAGTTTACAAACTGTTACTTAATATTAAGAATTTTTTTTGTTGTATGCGTGATAAGGAGGTTTGTATCTATTCCTAGCTTTTAAAAAAATATAATTAATGATATTTTATCACATTTCTACATTTATTGAGATAGTCATATGAACTCTTTATTCTATTAATGGGAAGAATGATGTTGATTGATTTTTAAATGTTACATGAATCTGGCATTCCTGTAATAGAGCCAAGTTGTCACAATTTTGTAATTCTTTTTAATGTATTGATCTTTTGGCTGATGTTTTGTTTAAGATATTTGCACCTATGTTCATGAGAGATTGACCTGTAATTTTTTTTCCTTGTAATGTCCCTTTAAGATTTGAGGAGCAAGATTATGCTACCCTTGTGAATCAAGTTGGGAATTATTTTTTCTCTGGAACAATTTTTTAAAAATTAATGTCATATTCATCCTTAAGTATTTGGTGACATTTATCAGTGAAGCCATCTGTACTTAGAATTTTCTCTGTAGGAAAGGTTTTAATTATAGATTTAATTTCTTTAATATCTATTGAAATATTCAAATTGTATAGTTTGTTTGTATATTAGTTTTGGTAAATTTTTTTCCCCTAGAAACTTGTTCATTTTATCTACATTTCAAATTATTTGGCATAAAGTTATTCCTACTATCCTCTTATCTTTTTAATGGCAGTAGGTTTTGTAATGATGTCTGCTTTTTCATTCCTAGTATTGGAAATGTGTCTCTTCTCTCATTTTCAGACAACCAACCTTTGGCTTTACTGGTTACTTTTTTTAATTGTGCATTTGTTTTCTTCATTATTTCCCTCCTTCTTTTTTCTTTTAGGTTTAATTTCTTCTTTTTCTAATTTCTTAAGATGAATGCCTCACTGACTGTCAGTCTTTTTTTTTTTTTATCTACATTAAGCCTACCAGTGTCCCCTTCAGTACTGCAGTAGCAGCATCCTACAGATTTTCATATTATATTTGTATTATTATTCAGTTGAAAAAATTCAGTTTTCATTGTGATTTTTTTTGAGCCATGAGTTATTTAGAAATGAATTAACTGATTTTCAAATATTTGTGTATTTCTTAGCATTTTTTTGTTACTGATTTTGTTATTCATTCTCCTGAGGTCAGAGAACTATACTTTATGATTTCAATCCTTGAGTTACATGGAGAGTTGCTTTGTGTCCTAGCATAGGGTCAGTTTTGGTAGATATTCCAGGTATGCTGGAAAACAGAGTTATTTTATTATTTTGATGTTGTTTTTTAATATATACCAATTAGGATAAGTGAGTTAACTTTGTTTTTCGTATCTTCTGGTATCTTCTATATATTCTTTTTAAAAATTTTGGCTAATAAGGGAAGTATGTTAAAACCTGCAGGCAAGGTCTGTTTCTCCATTTAGTTCTGTTTACTTTTGTTTTATGTATTTTGAATTTTGTTATCAGGCATGTATTAATTTAGAATTTTGTATATTCTTGGTGAATTGACCCTTTTATTACCCCGAGTGTCTGGTGATGCCTCTTACTTAATGCCTATTTGATAGTAGATATAGGTGCACTGTTATCCTTCCATGTATATTTCATTCTGTGTATATTTGCATAGTATTCCTTTTATTCTTTTACTTTCAACCTTTGTATATTCTTATATTTCAGATACATCACTTGTATGCAGGGTAAATTGGGGTTTTATTTTTTTAATCCATCTGCTGTTGTCATTGTTTAAATTCAAGTACTTAATACATTTATATTTAGGGTAATATCTTAAAATACTTAGGTTTAATGTACTTCCTTATTTGCCCCACTTGTATGTTTTTTTTCCTGTTTTTTTTTTCATTCTTTTGGAATAGGCAAGTATTTTTATTATTTCATCCTCTTCCCATTGTCTTTTTAGTTAAACATTTTAACTTGGCCTTTAGTGAATATCCTATGTTTGTCTCCTTGGCTTATTAGGGGCTAGTATGCATTGCAAACATTGCAACAGATGTTTACTTATTATTTGGGTACATTAAGTTGTGCTATGTTTATTACAGAATCAGTCTTTGTACTTTACTTTTTTGGAGACAGGGTCTCACCTGTCACCCAAGTTTAGTGACTGAGTGCAGCAGCATGATGATGGCTCACTGCGGTCTTGACTTCCTGGGCTCAAACAGTCATTGCGTGTAGCTAGGACTATAGGCACATGCCACGAAGCCTGGCTAATTTTTGAAATTTTTTTAGAGATGAAGACACACAGTGTTGCCCAGGCTAGTCTCGGACTCCTGGATGCAAGCTCTCCGCCCGTCTCAGCCTCCCAAAGTGTTGGGATTACAAGTGTGAGCCACCGTGCCCAACTTGTACTTTACTATTTTTTAACTTTTGAAAAATTCCATGTTTCTCTTGCCTTTGTTTTCCTCCTGTGAGTTACTATTTTCTTTCTATGTTCAGAGGAGTGGAGATTTTATCCAGCTTAAATTCTGTAGTTTGTATTAGAAATAATAGAGATTTTGTTATTTTATAAATATGTTTATATTATAATATTAAATATACTTTTAAAAACCACATATTGCCTGTGTTTTCTAGACCCCTTCCTTAAATGAAAATAATGTATCATTTAGTGTCAGATTTTATGTTTGCATGATATAAAAAAAAGTGGCAGGAAAATTACTAGACCATTTTCCCTGTTTCAGTTTTTCTGTCTCAGTAGGGTGATGTATCTGGTCCAAATTAGAAATATTGGCAAGTATTGCCAGATACTATCTGGCATTGAAGTATTTTGATTACATCCATTTATGTTAGATATTTTAGGAACAGCTTAAATTTTCCCAGGCCACAAGGTACTGTTTGATACAACATGGCACTGCATAGATACTCCTCAACTTATGATGGGGTTATGTCCTGAAAAAACTAGTGAGTCAAAATATGTGTGTGGCTGACTTGGAACTGTAGCTTGCTGTGGCTGCCCAGCGTTGCAAGAAAATTACTGAATTCATATTGCTTTTGTACCATTGTAAAGTGGAAAACTCTTTTTTTTTTGAGACGGAGTTTTGCTATTATTGCCCAGGCTGGAGTGCAATGGTGCGATCTCGGCTCACCGCAGCCTCTGCCTCCTGGGTTCAAGCGATTCTCCTGCCTCAGCCTCCCAAGCAGCTAGGATTACAGGCATGCACCACCACACCCGGCTAATTTTGTATTTTTAGTAGAGACGTGGTTTCTCCATGTTGGTCAGGCTGGTCTCGAACTCTTGATCTCAGGTGATCCGCTTGCCTTGGCCTCCCAAAGTGGTGGGATTACAGGCATGAGCCACCACACCTGGCCATAAAGTTGAAAAGTCTTAAGTTGAATCCTAAGTCAGGGACTGTCTTTATCACTGAATATTTTTTAATGCTTCTGCTCCATTTAACTAATGAGGATGTCGAGTAGTAAATCGACCCAATTTATCATCGTCTTAGTCCAGTTTCTGCTGCTATAACAAAATACCACATACTTGGTAATTTACAAAGAACAGAAATTTATTTCTCACAGTTCTGGAGGCTGGAAAGTCCAAGATCAAGGTGCTGGCAGGTTTGGGCTCAGTCTCTTTGCATCCAAGATGGTGCCTTGAATGCCATATTCTCTAAAGGAGAGGAACGTTGTGTCCTCACATAGCAGAAGGGTAAGAAAAAGGGCAAGCCTTTCTTATAGCTGTATTAATCCATTCATGAGGCTGGAGACACCTCTCATTAGGCCTCACCTCCCATCAGTGTGTCATTAGGGATTAAGTTTTAACATGAGTTTTGGAGGAGACAAAAACATTCATACCATAGCAAACATAAACATGTCAAGAATTGTAAAGGGTCTGAGATTTTACTCTACTTTTACTCTATTCTAACAAATTTTGTGAGTGGCTGCAGAAGAGTCAAAGGAAAGAATATTGCAGCAACATAATTAGCTAGAGTAGCAGCATTTGCACCAGTTCCTGAGCCTCAGTTTTCACGGAGTGATACAGAGGGCTACCTGACACCTGAGCCTTTATAGGCTTGCATCACAGTAGGGGAGCCTTGAATTGTAGAACCTGAATCTTTTATAATGGACAGTAAGCATGTCTATCCTTTGCTTTGGAGAGAGACACTTTCTTTTCCTGCATACCAACATCCTTTAAAAGATAGTCTTGAACAGAGGCAGTCAGTGATTTTACTCTCAAGCAGAAGTGCAAGAGATGTGAAGAACCATCTTTCAGCATTTTGGAAGGCAGATAAAGCAAGTGGGTATTTGTAAGATGTCCTAAAGAAGTGACTTGCTGTCTTTAGGAAGCAGGGGATCTATTTTTGGTGTATGTTTGTACTATTCACTGCTTTTTCTTGGTAGAGAAAGATACTCAACCCTCTGTTTTGTGGAGTTTTGTATCTTCTTTTTATTAATGCTTCTGTTTATATATAAAAGTTCAAATAAGTGAAAACAAAATGATGGAGTGGTATCATTTTAATTTAGTAAAAATGTATTGAGGTATAGTGTTTTGAACAAGAAAGGTTAAAAAATCATGGGAGCTAGCTGGTGTTCCAGGATAACTTTAGATATTCAGACTGGATTTCTGAGAGATCTCTGAGATTAAACTCCTTCAAAGTGGAATTTTATTAAACACTCTTAACACAAAGAGCATATAGTGACTTACTGTCTTCTAGACTAAAGGTCGTCACAGATCAAAGGGCTCTAAATCTCACAGCCTGATGGAGAGGACATTCACTCTTGTCAATGTTTAAATTTCAAGCAAATAGCAAAGACAAAGAACTTAGTATCTAACTTCTCAAGTCAGCATGGTATCTTTGAATTTATTTTGGATCTCTCTAAATTTGACTTTGTTGACTATCTTCCTGGCTGCTTTAGTACCTTTTATTCTACGTCATCCTAGTTTTTCTTTCCCTTTTAAAACATCGTTTCTTTTTATGCTATTCAATTGATGGGCTTTCCTAAGATTGAGCCTTCTACACTTATTCCTCCATCCCTGACCCCTCACTAGCCTCCCCTTTTAGATCTCTCCCTTGCTATAATATCAAATCTTACATGTATGCACATCACTCTGAAGTTTGCTTCGCTCTTGTATTTCAAAATCACATTTCCAACTGCCACCTGAATGTTTGCTTGCAGGTGTTTTCCCAGTACCTTAAAACTTTGTAATTCTAGTTTGAATGTATTTACCAAAAGGGCAGGGGCAAAAGCATGTTTTAATTTTAATATTTTACTCTTTTAAAAGAAGTTCCCCAAACAAATTATTTTGATAAATCTTTTTGGCTTTTTTTATGGATGTTGTTTTGTAAATTCTATTTTATATTTGTAAATAATGCTTTCTCATATTAAGTATTTGTCATATTTTCATTGCCAAAACTAAGTGCTTGGATTTTTACATTTATTCTTCACATTCTTCCACCTCTCTTCCAACCTCTCATCCCCTCCCCTACAAGGACAAAATGTTTTAAATGCTGTAATCTTGCATGGGGTTTGGGTTTTTTAATATTTTTATTGGTGATAATTCTGTCACAGGATCCTTAGGGTGTCACTTTTCCAGCCAGAAACCTCTGTGGCCGGTGGCACCTCTGCCCGAGTTATATCCTCGGGCCCACTGGGCTTGTTCTGCCCACTTGGTCCAGCAGGCTGTACTTGGCTTGTGCTATTGACCTGGATCCTACACCTGCCAAGGGTGAGCCAGGCGCAGAGCAGTGAAGGGGGTGTGAGTGAGCCCGAGGTCCGGCCACTGCACACAGCCAGGCATGCTGGCTGCAGTGGAGTGGACAGCCCCAGGTGCAGGCACAGGCACCGGCTCTGTGTGAGGATGTGGCTGGACCAGGCATACCACAAGTGTTTTCCACCGTGGGCACCAGGTAACGTGGTGGTACCTGGAAGCTTGGAGATGTTGGAAACAGCAGAGCCCCAAAGAGAGTGTCACAGCTCTGGTATCACAGCTCTGATCACAGCCCTTGCATCTGGGCTCCCCAGAGGGCCACAGCTCCTCTTCTTCTCATTGCCCAAAATGTGGTGACCAGTGGGCGTGTTTCAGTCCTGTTTGTGTTACAGCTCTTTCAGTCCTGCCATTTGGAAGGTCCTGAGTTCTTGTGCAGCCTTTAGGAAGAATGAGGTATGTGGACAGCTGGAGGGTGAGCAAGGCAGAGAGGAGCTTCATTGAGCAAGAGAACAGCTCTCAGGAGACCTGAAGTGGGTAGGTCCTTCTGCCATCAGGTCGTCCTGATGAGCGTCCAGCTCTCAGCAGAGAGGATACCTGGAGGGGGTAGCTGCTGTCCACAGGCAGGCCATCCTCACAAATGTCTAGCTTTCCGCAGAGAGGACACCTGGAGTGGGTAGCTCCTTTCTGCAGGTAGGTCATCCTGATGAGTGTCCTGCTGTCAGTGGAGAGGAGACCCAGAGTGGGTAGCTTCTTTCTGTAGGCAGGTTGTCCCAGTGCATGTCCAGCTCTCAGTGGAGAGGAGACCAGAATGGGTAGCTCCTATCTGGCATCCCAGCTAGTGTCCAGTTCTCAGCGGAGAGGAGACCCAGAGTGAGTAGCTCCTGTCCTCAAGCTGGTCAGCCTGATGAGTGTCCAGCTCTCAGCAGAGAGGAGACCTGGAGTGGGTGGCTCCTTTCTGCAGGCAGGTTGCCCCAACGAGTGTCTACTTCTCAGCGGAGAGGAGACCCGGAGTGGGTAGCTCCTTTCCATAGGCAGGGTGTCCCAGTGAATGTCCTGCTCTTAGTGGTGAGGAGACCCAGGGTGGGTAGCTCCTTCTCACAGCTGGTAGTCCTGACATCCCAGTGAGTCTGGCTGAGTCGGGTTTTTATGGGCTTCAGAAGGGAGGAAGTGCATGCTGATTGGTCCATGGGTGGCCATGGGCAGGCCCAGAAAAAGCACCATAAGTTCTTGGTCTCAGCTGCAGACTCTACCCAGCTCTGACAGCCTGCCCTCCATGCTTCAGGCTGTCCCTGGCTTAAAGGTGGGGCTTCACCAGGGACTCACTCCTTTCTGCCCAGGAGCCTCTCTGCCTCCTGCTGCCATCAATCATGTCGTCCATGGTGCTGGGGCTGTTCATGCTGAGGGGCGCTTGCAGGACTGCGCCAAGCCACCCTCAGCCTCCCTCACATACTCATTGGCACCCAAAGTCTGGAGGGGACCAAGGTGGAAGGGAGCTGGACTGTCAGTGCCACCTTGAGCACATGAACACCTAGGTGGGTCATGACAGTGGCTTGGCTCAGCCTTAACTTTGGTCTGAAATCAGAGCAGGCAAAAAGTTTTTCTGGGACTGGGGAGAGGCCAGGCAGTAGAAGCAGGCACTTCGGAGCCTGTTGGGGCAGGGGGTGCTTCCTGGGTTCTCGAGAGTGGAGGGATACCTGGGTCCACAGCCATGGCTGGGCAGCTGCAGCTGTGCCTGGGTGAGTGGGGCTCACACCCCACCAACTTGGAAAAGAGCAGGGCTCCTGCCTGTTCCCAGCTCCCACTGGCTTCGTGGAGTATGCAGCCCTGGCCACGCCTCCCCCACTGCAGCCAGTGTCTTCACTGTTGCCACTCCAGATGGGCCACCGGAGCCATCAATTCAGTCTGTATTTATGAAGGAAAAGACAAATCTTGTGTTACTTTCCTCTCTTTATAGGTCTCTGTGCCTTGCGGAGAATCCTGAAAAAACAGCCTAACCTCCCTGATGTCAAGGTGGCTGGACTGGTGAAGATTACTCTGAAGGATTTCTTGCAGGCAATGAATGATATCAGACCCAGTGCCATGAGGGAAATAGCAATTGATGTCCCAAATGTAAGTCATTTATGTCCCACACTAGCTACACTGTTTGAATTAAACTCTGAAAAAAATTTAGAGTTCAGGGAGACTGACTTCCTAGGCTAAACTTTAAAAAAATATTTTTCTTAATTGAAAGTTTTATTGAGATAGCTGTAAATTCAGTGCAGTTATACGAAGTAATGTAGGGAGATTCTGTGTATCCTATACCCAGTTTCCTCCAGTGGCAACATTTTGCAAAACTGAAGTACAGGCTGGGTGCAGTGGCTCATGGCTGCAATCCCAGCACTTTGGGAGGCTGAGGTGGGCGGATCACTTGAGCCCAGGAGTTTGAGACCAGCCTGGTTAACATGGTAAAACCCCATCTCTACAAAAAGTACAAATTAGTTGAGTGTGGTGGTGTACACCTGTAGTCCCAGCTACAGCTGAGGTGGGAGGATCATCTGAGCCCTGGGGAATGTTGAGGCTGCAGTGAGCCATGGTTATGCCACTGCACTTCAGCCTGGGTGACAGAGCGAGACCCTGTCTCAAAAACAAAAAACAAAACACCCAAAAAACTATATTACAATACTAAAACCAGGATACCCCTATTGATACAATCCATTGATCTTACTCATATTTTTTCAGTTTTACTTGTGTGTATGTGTTTATTTAGTTTTATACAATTTTATCTCATGAAAAGGTTTGCATATTCATCACAGATACTAAGTAATTCCATCACCACAAAGATCCCTCATGTTGTCTTTTATAATCACACCCACCTCATTCCTCCCCTCATTTCTAAATTTTTATTTCAGAACCTTTATATAAATGGAATCATACTGTATACAACCTTTTGGAATTAGCTTTTTTCACATATGAGTAAGATCTTTTGTCTTTCTGTGTACCTTAACTTATTTCAGTAGGCATAATGTTCCCCAGATTCATCCATGTTATTATAAATGACAGTATTTTCTTCTTTTTATAAGGCCAAATAATATTCCATTATGCCACATTTCTTTGTACCATTATACCACATTTTCTTTCTCTGTTCATCTGTTGAGGGACACTTAGATTGATTCCCTATCTTGGATGTTGTGAATAGTGCTGTAGTGAACATGAGAGTGCAGATATCGCTTTGAGATACTTCATTTCCTTTTGATATGTACCCAGTAGTAGGATTGCTGAATCTTTTGGTAACTTAATATTTTGAGGAACCACCATACCATTTTTCCATAATGTCTGTACCACTTTACATTCCCACCAACAGTGTACAAGGGTTTCTTTTTCTCCATATCCTTGGCAACACTTATCTTTCATCTTTTTGGTAATGGCCTTCCTAACAGATGTGAGGTGATATCTCATTATAGTTTTGATTTGTATTACCCTGATGATTAGTGGTATTGAACATATTTTCATATACCAGTTAGCCATTTGTACGTCTTCTTTTAACAAATGTTACTCAGATCCTTTGCCCATTTTTAATCAGATTGTTTGTTTTTTTTTGCTTTTGAGTTGTTTGAGTTTCTTAATATATATTTTAGTATTTTGGATAGCAGCCCCTTACCTCATATATGGTTCACACATATTTTCTCCCATTCCATAGGTTGTCTCTTTACTCTGTTTCCTTTGCTGTGCAGAACTTTCTGGTTTGATGCAGTCCTGTTTGTCAGTTTTTGTTTTTCTTGCCTCTGCTTTTGGAGTGTATCCAAAAATTCATTGCCCTGGACCCATGCCATAAGGCTTTTCCTTATGTTTTCTTCTAGTAGTTTTACAGTTCTAGATATTATGTTTAAATATTTAATCCATTTTGAACTGATTTTTTGTATGTGGTGTGAGAAGACTGGCCAGTTTCATGTGTGGACATACAGTTTATCATATGGATATCATGTGGATATACAGTTTTCCTGACACCATTTTTTAAAGAGATTGTGCTTTCGTCATTGCGTGTTCTTCGGTACCTTTGCAGATCAATTGACTGTACATGCGTGGATTTATTTCTGGGCTCTCTATTGTTTCATTTATTTATATGTCTGTTTTTATGCCAGTATATTGCTGTCTTGATTATCATAGCTTTGTAGTATATTTTGAAATCAGATAGTGTGATGCCTACAGCTTTTTTTTTTTTTTTTGCTTGAGATTACTTTGACTATATGGTGACTTTTATGTTTCCTTATGAATTTTAGGGTTGCTTTTCATATTTTAGAGAAAAATGCCATTGGAATTTTGGTAGTGGTTACATTAAATCTGTAGACAATTTTGGGTAGTATGAATATTTTAATAGTGTTAATTTTTAAAATTCATGAACATTAGACATTATTCTATGTATTTGTGTCTTCTATTTCATCAGTATTTTATAGTTTTCAGTGTACAGGTCTTTCACCGTCTTGGTTAAGTTTTTTCGGTATATTTAAAAAATACTATTGTAAATGGGATTTTCTTTTTTTAATTTTTTGGATAGTTGTTAGAGTATAGAAATGCTACTGACTTTTGTTGTCGATTTTGTATCCTGCCAATTTACTGAATTCATTTATTGGTTTTAATCTTTTTTTTTTGGTGGAATATTTAGGGTTTCCTTTATATAAGATTATGTCATCTGCAAACAGACAATTTTTTTCTTCTTTTTCAATTCGGATGCTTTTTATTTCTTTTTCTTGCCTAATTTCCCTGGCTATGACTTTCAGTACTATATTAAATAGAAGTTGCGAGAGTGAGCATTTTGTCTTGCTCTTCATCTTAGAGGAAAAGTTTTTAGCTTTTCATTGTTGGGTATGATGTTAGCCGTGAGCTTGTCATACATATAGCGTTATGATGTTGAGATACATTCTGTCTAATGTATTGAGAGTTTTTATCATGAAAGGATGTTGAATTTTGTCAAATGCTTTTTCTGTATCTATTGATATGATTTTATGATTTTTATTCTTCGTCCTTTTAAGGTGGCGTATCATGTTTATTGATTTGCATATGTTGAACCAGCAGCCTTGCATCCTAGGGATGAATCTCATTGGATCATGGTGTATGATCCTTTTAATGTGCTATTGAATTTGGTTTGCAAATATTTTGTTGAGAATATTTCCATCTATGTTCACCAAGGATATTGGCCTGTAATTTTCTATTCTTACAGCATTCTTGTATCACATTAATGCTGGCCTCATAAAGTGAGTTTGGAAGTGTTCCTTCCTCTTCAGTTTATTGGAAGTTTTGTGAATTCTACTAAGAATTTAAAGAAGTGATGCTAATGCTTGAGAAGCATAACTTCTCGGGTCTTGGAGTTTTCTTTGTTAGGGAGCTTTTTGATTATTGGTTTATTCCCCTCACTCATTATTGGCCTGTTCAGATTTTCTTTATGATTCATTTTTGGTAGGTTGTATGTTTCTGGGAATTTCTTTCTTTCTTCTTGGTTGGCCAAATTGTTGCCATGTAATTGTTCATATTAGTCTCTTATGATTGTATTTTTGTGGTATCAATTGTAGTGTCTCCTGTTTCATTTCTCAGTTTATTTACTTTAATCTTCTTCTTTTTTTTTTTTTTTTTTTTTGAGACGGAGTCTCGCTCTGTTACCCAGGCTGGAGTGCAATGGCACCATCTTGGCTCACGGCAACCTCCGCCTCCTGGGTTCAAGTGATTCTCCTGCCTCAACCTCCTGAGTAGCTGGGATTACAGGCACCCGCCACAACGCCCAGCTAATTTTTGTATTTTTAGTAGAGACGGGGTTTCACCATGTTGGTCAGGCTGGTCTCAAACTCCTGACCTCATGATCCGCCCACCTCAGCCTCCCAAAGTGCTAGGATTACAGGTGTGAGCACCGCGCCCAGCCTACTTTAATCTTCTTTCTTTTTTTTATAGTAGTCTAGGCAAAGATTTGTCAATTTTGCTTATCTTTTGAAAAAACAACTAATGTTGATCTTTTTATATTCTTACATTGATCTTTTAAATTATTTTTCTAGTCTCCATTTCATTTATTTCTGCTCTGATCTTTAGTATTTCCTTCCTTCTGCTAACTCTGAACTTATTTTGTTCTTTTTCTATTTCTTTGTTGTGTAAAATTAGGTTGTTCATTTGAGATATTTCTTTTTTCTTAATATAGGTATTTATTGCTATAAACTTTCCTCATAGAACTACTTTTGCTGTATCAAAGTTTTGGTATGTTGTGTTTCTATTTCCATTTGTCTTAAGACTTTTTTTTATTTTTCTTTTGATTTCATCTTTGACCCATTGATTGTTCAGGAGTATGTTGTTTAATTTCCAGATATTTGTGGATTTTCCAATTTTTTTTTCCTGTTATTCTTTTCTGGTTTGTATGATTATGGACAGAAAAGATACGTGATATGATTTTAGTCTTCTTAAACTTTTTAGACTTGTTTTGTGGTCTAAGATATGATCTATCCTTCAGAATGTGTCATGTGCACTTGAAAAGAATATGTATTTGAGAGCCCCATAGATGGTTCACATCACAGGACTCTGTACAGACAACCCCCAGTACCAACCCAGAGCTGGGTAGACTTGCTGGGTGGCTAGACCTAGAAGACAGACAACAATCACTGCAGTTAGGCTCACAGGAAGACACATCCATAGGAAAAGTGGGGAGAGTACTACATCAACGGAATATCCCATGGGACAAAGGGATTCGAACAACAACCTTCAGCCCTAGACCTTCTTCTGACAGAGCCTACCCAATGAGAAAGAGCCAGAAAACCAACCCTGGTAACATGCCAAAACAAGGCTCTTCAACACCCCTCAAAAATCACACTAGGGATGTGTTTCCATTTGTGTCGTGTATTTCTTTCAGTTGTGTTTTGTAGTTTTCCTTGTAGAGGTCTTTCGACTCCTTGGTTAGGTGTATTCCTAAGTATTTTTTTTTGCAGCTATTGTAAAAGGGTTGAGTTATTGATTTGATACTCTGCTTGGTTGCTGTTGGTGTATAGAAAGCTACTGATTTGTATACATTAGTCTTGTATCTGGAAACTTTGCTGAATGCTTTCAACAGTTCTAGGAGCTTTACTCCTAAGGAGGAGTCCTTAGGGTTTTCAAGGTAAATGATCATATCGTCAGCAGTGACAGTTTTTCCTCTTTACTGATTTGGATGCCTTTCATTTCTTTCTATTGTCTGATTGCTCTGGCTAGGACTTCCAATACTATGATGAAGAGGAGTGGTGAGAGTGAGCATCCTTGTCTTGTTCCAGTTCTCAGAGGAATGTTTTCAACTTTTCCCCCATTCAGTATTACATTGGCTGTGGGTTTGTCATAGATGGCTTTTATTACATTAAGGTATGTCCCATGTATACCAGTTTTGCTGACAGTTTTAATCATAAAGGGATGCTGAATTTTGTTGAGTACTTTTTCTGCATCTGTTGAGATGATTGTGTGATTGTGTTTTTAATTCTGTTTATGTGGTGTATCACATTTATTGACTTGCATATGTTAAACCATCCCTGCATCCCTGGTATGAAACCCACTTGATCATGGTGGATTATCTTTTTAGTATGTTGTTGGATTTGGTTAGCTAGTAGTTTTTTAAGTAAGGATTTTAGCTTCAGTGTTCATCAAGGATATTGGTCTGTAGTTTTCTTTTTTTGGTTATATCCTTTTCTGGTTTTGGTAGTAGGGTGATGCTGGCTTCATAAAATGACTTAGGGAGGGTTCCTTCTTTCTCTGTCTTGTGGAGTAGTGTCAAAAGGATTGAAGGATTGGTACCAGTTCTTCTTTGAATGTCTGGTAGAATTCCGCTGTGAATCCATCTAGTCTTGGACTTCTTTTTGTTGGAAAATTTTTTTTTTCTTTTTTTTTTTTTTGAGACGGAGTAGTTTTGCTCTTGTTGACCAGACTGGAGTGCAATGGTGCAATCTCGGCTCATCGCAACCTCTGCCTCTCAGATTCAAGCGATTCTCCTCCCTCAGCCTCCCAAGTAGCTGGGTGGGATTATAAGCATGTGCCATCACGCCTGGCTAATTTCGTATTTTTAGTAGAGATGGGGTTTCTCCATGTTGGTCAGGCTTGTCTCTAACTCTTGACCTCAAGTGATCCACCGGCCTCGGCCTCTGAATGTGCTGGGATTATAGGTGTGAGCCACCGTGCCTGGCTGGTAATTTTTAAATTACCATTTCAATCTCACTGGTTGTTATTGGTCTGTTCAGGGTACTAATTCTTCCTGATTTAAGCTAGGAGGGTTGTATTTTTCCAGGAATTTATTCATCTCTTCTAGGTTTTCTAATTTATGTGCATACAGGTGTTCATAGTAGCCTTGAATGATCTTTTGTATTTCAGTGGTATCAGTTGTAATATCTCCTGTTTTGTTTCTTAGTGAGGTTATTTAGATTTTCTCTCTTCTTTTCTTGGTTAATCTTTCTAATTGTCTATTTTATCTTTTCAAAGAATCAGCTTTTTGTTTCATTTATCTTTTGTATTTTTTTTTTTCAATTTTATTTCTTTCTGCTCTGATCTTGGTAATTTCCTTTCTTCTGCTTGGTTTGGGGTTCGGTTTGTTCTTGTTTCTCTAATTCCTTGAGGTGTGACCTTAGAATGTCAGTTTGTGCTCTTTCAGACCTTCCAATGTAGGTGCTTTGGGCTATGAACTTTCCTCTTAGCACTGCCTTTGCTGTATCCCAGAGGTTTTGATAGACTGTATCATTATTGTCATTCAGTTCGAAGAATTTTTTAATTTTCATCTTGATTTTGTTTTTGACCCAGCGCTCATTCAGGAGCAGGTTATTTAATTTTCATGTATTTGCATGGTTCTGAAGGTTCCTTTTGGAGTCGGTTTCCAATTTTGTCCCATGGTGGTCTGAGAGAGTGCTTGATATAATTTCAATTTTCTTAAATTTATTGAGGCTCGTTTTATGGCCTATCACGTGGTCTGTTTTGGAGAAAGTTCCATGTGCTGTTGAATAGAAGGTGTATTCTGCAATTGTTGGATGAAATGTTCTGTGTATATCAGTTAAGTCCATTTGTTCCAAGGTATAGTTGAAATCCATGGTTTCTTTGTTGACTTTCCGTCTTGATGACCTGTCTAGTGCTGTCAGTGGAGTACTGAAGTCCCGTACTATTATTGTGTTGCTGTCTATCTCATTTCTTAGGTCTCTTAGTAATTGTTTTATACATTTGGGAACTCCAATGTTAGGTGCATATTATTTTAAGTGAAGTAACTCAGGAATGGAAAAACAAACATCATATGTTCTCACTGATATGTGGGAGCTAAGGTATGAGGACACAAAGTCATAAGAATATAATGGACTTCAGGGACTTGGCGGGAAGAATGGGAGGGGGGTGAGGGATAAAAGACTACAAATAAGGTGCAGTGTACACTGCTCGGGTGATGACTGCACCAAAATGTCACAAATCACCACTAAGGAACTTACTCATGTAACCAAATACCACCTGTACCCCCAATAACTTGTGGAAAAATTAAAAATACTAATAATTAAAAAAAGAGAAAATAACGTGTATTCTGCGGCCATTGGTTGTAGTGTTCTGTATATGTCTGTTAGGTCCATTTAGTCTATAGTGCTCTTCAAGTCTGCTGTTTCCTTATTGATTTTCTATCTTGATGATTTGCCATTGTTGAAAGTGGGTTATTGAAGTCTCTTACTGTTCCTGTATAGCTGTATGTTACTCCCTTCGGTTCTTTTAAAATTTTCTTTATGTATTTAGATGCTCCAGTGTTCAGTGCATATATATTTACAATCACTATATCCAGTTAATGAATTGACTCTTATCATTATATAATGACCTTGTCTTTTTTTGACAGTTTTTGACTTAGTCTATTTTGTCTAATATAAGTATAGCCACCCCTGCTCTATTTTGATTGCTATTTGCATGAAAATTGCTATGAAATAGCATGATTGCTATTTATGCAAATAGCAATCAAAATAGAGCTGAAGACTCTATTTTGAAAGTCTTCAGACTCTTTAAGAACACATATAGAATACTTTCACTTCAGCTTTAACAATGCATATAGAATACTTTAAATTAAAATCTTTAAATTAGAGTCTCTTATGGGTAGCATAATTTTGAATCTTGTTGTTTAATCCATTCAGCCACTCTGTCTTTTGACTGGAGAATTTAATGTTCCATTTGAAGTAATTATTGATAGGTAAGGGCTTACTAGAGCTATTTTATTGTTTTCTGTTTTGTAGTACCTTTGTTCCTTTCTTCTTCTCTTGCTGTCTTCCTTTGTGATGTGATTTTTTTTTTTTAGTGATATTCTTTGATTCTTTTCTCTTTATCCTTTGTGTATCTATTACATGATTTTTCTTTGTGATTACTCTGAGGCTTACATAAAACACCTTCTAGTTGAAACAGTCTATTTTAAGCTGTTAATAACTTAACATTGGTCCCACACACAGACTCTACTCTTTAATTTCTCCTGCCCCCATATTTTATGTTACTGATGTCACGTTTTGCATCTTTTATATGTTGTGTATCCCCTAACAAATTATTGTGGCTATTGCTATTTGTAATTTTTTTTTAACTTTTACACTTGTAGCTAAAAATGATTTATGTGCTAGTACTATACTATTACAGTATTCTGGGTTTGTATTCTTACCTTTACAGGGGGTTTTGTACTTTCATATGCTTTCATATTAGTTAGCATCCTTTCATTTTAACTTGATGAACTGGCTCTAGTGGTGCTGAATACCCACATTTTTATTTGGTTATGTCTTTATTGCTCTCTTATTTTTTAAGGCCAGCCTTTTCTGGTATAGTATTCTTTGTTGGCAGTTTTTTTTTTTCCCTTTTTCTTTTAGCACTTTCAATATATCATCTTACTCTCTCCTGGCCCGCAATGGATTGTCTGAGAAATCTGGTCGTAGTCTGATGATGGTTTCCTTATTTGTAATGAGTTGCTTTTTTCTTGCTGCTTTCAAAATTTGTTGACTTTTGAGAATATGATTATAACATATCTTGGTGAAGCTCTCTTTGTTTTAATCTATTTGGAGTTCTTTAGGCTTTATGGATTTAGATTTGAATCCATAAAGCCTAAAGAACTCCAAATACACTAAAACAAATTATATTCATTTCCCTCTCCAGATTTGGGAAATTTTCTGTCATTCTTTCTTTTTTTTTTTTTTTTGAGACAGAATCTCACTCTGTCACCAGGCTGGAGGGTAGTAGTGTGATCTTGGCTCACTGCAACCTCTGACTCCCTGGTTCAAGGGATTCTCCTGCCTCAGCCTCCTGAGTAGCTGGCATTACAGGCACACGCCACCACACCAAGCTAATTTCTGTATTTTTAGTAGAGACGGAGTTTCATATGTGGCCAGGATGGTCTTGATTTCCTGACCTCGTGATCCACCCGCCTCAGCCTCCTAAAGTGCTGGGGTTACAGGCCTGAGCCACCGTGCCCAGCCCATTATTTCTTTAAGTAAATTTTCTGCCCCTTTCTCTGCTTCTTCTGGGTCTGTTGTAATGTGTACACTGGTTCGCTTAATGTTGCGTTCTAAGTCCCTGTTAGGCTTTTTTCACTCTTCATTCTTTTTTCTTTTTGTTTTTGTGACAAGATAATTTCAGAAGATCTGTGTTTGAGTTTGCTGATTCTTCTGTTGTATTGTCTGCTGTTGAAGTTTTCCATTGAATATTTAATTCACTCATTGAATTCTTCAGTTCCAGAATTTCTGTTTGGTTCTTTTTTATACTCTCTATCTCTTTCTTGAATTCTTCATTTTTTTCATGCATTGTTTTCCTGGATTCATGTTATTTGAATTCTCTTGTAGCTAAGATGATTATTTTTTATACTTATCTGGCAGTTTATGTATCATCAGTCGTTTAGTGTCTGCTACTGGTGCTTAATTTTGTTCCTTTGGTGTCCTGTTTCTCTAATTATTAGTGATTTTTGTGGACTTGTGTTATTGTCTGTGCATGTGAAAAAGTAAACAACACTTCTTGTCTTTACAGATTGGTTTCTGTAGGGAAAGCCCTTCACTAGTCAGCTTGTCTAGTAGTTCTTGGTAGGCTGTCTTGCTGCTGGAGTCCTTGGGTATCTTGGTTTGTTGTCTGGGTCAGCAGGTGGATGGTCTTGGTGTCTAGGTCCAAGGAGGGCAGTCTTAGTGCTGGGATGGGGCTGGAGCCTGAGGCCACAGGGACAGTTCTGGAGCCTCTGTCCACTGGGGCTGACCTGGAGCCTGTGTCTATGGGGGTGATCCTGAAGGCTGAGTTCATGGATGCCACCTGGCACTGAGGTGGGCCTTGAATTCAGGACCATAGTGGTGGGTCTAGAGCCTGAGACCAGCCTGGGTCTACAGTGGCTGGTTCGGAATTTGGGGCTGCAGGTCCAAGCCTGGCTCTTGTGTAGGCCTAGAGCCTAAGTCTGCAGGGATCCATCCTGGGCTGTGGGGGCTGACCTTGGGCTGGGATAGGGCAAGTACTGGAATCTGTGGGGAGAGCTGGATGCTTATGTCATCCTTCTTCCATGTGGACAGTATTTCTCTCCACATTGTGCTGCCAGAGGTTGGGGGTGGGATGAAGCATTTAGTGAGAAACTTTACTTCCTAGATTCTTCAATGCATGTTTTCTTATTTATTTATTATTTTTTGAGACGAAATCTCTCTTTGTTGCCCAGGCTAGAGTGCAGTGGTGCGACACGGCTCACTGCAGCTTCAGTCTCCTGAGTTTAGTTGATCCTCCCACCTCAGTCACCTGAATAGCTAGGACTACAGGTGTACGCCACCACACCCAGCTAATTTTTTGTTTTACTTTATTTTTTGTAGACATGGGTTTTCTCTGTGTTGCCCAGAGTAGTCATGAATTCCTAGGCTCAAGCAGTCTTCTCACCTGGGCATCCCAAATTGCCGGGATTACAGATGTGAGCTACTGTGCCTGGCCTGTTTCCTTATTTTTGTTCTCCACCCAGGTACTCTAATATCTCACTTGGATTCCTTAGCTGTTGTGAAGGTATTTTCAAGTGTGGGCAATTGTTCAAGCTGATATTTCTGTGAGGAAAGAGCAGTAGAAAACTCCTATTCTGCCACCTTTCCATCATCAGTTTCATCACAGTTGTACTCTTTCTTGCAAAAACTCTACCATTAGAATTATTTGAAAACTTAGAGCCTTGTTAGAGAGTCTGGCCTAGTTGTATCCTTTACCTCACTGTGTATAGGCGTTTCAGTATCCATAGTTCTCTTGGTCATTAACTAATGTTTTTAAATTGTTAGCTAAAAATAAAACAAAAAACAAAACAAAGGAAACTAAAATGATATTAGATAAATGAAGTAGACAATGTGGAATGATAAGGATTTGTTTTCAATTTTTTTTTTTTAAAGAGGCAGGAGCTCTCTCTGTCTTCCATGCTGGAGTGCAATGGTGCAGTCCTAGCTCACTTCACTGTAGCGTCAAATTTCTCTGCTCAAACGATCCTCCTGACTCAGCCTTCTGAGCAGTTGGAATAGCAGGCACATGCCATTGCACCTTATTAAATTTTTTATTTTTTGTAGAGACGAGGTCTTGCTTTGTTGCGCAGACTGGTCTGGAACTCGTGGCTTCAAATGATCCTCCTGCCTCAGCCTCCCAAAGTGCTAAAATTGCCGGCGCAAGCCACCATGCTGGACCTGTTTTCCCTTTTAAAAGTGACTATATTCCTCGAACAATGTGTTTTGTGGTCATATAAGTTTTGGGATTGTTGGTTTAAATAAAACCAATAGTTTCTTTTCTGCTGGACTCCTCAGAGTCTTTTAATATGCAAATATTTATCATTATGAAGTGATCAAAAGGATTTCTTATGGAAACTTAGTTGCCATGGCTTGGGGAGCAGCGACTTTTTGTATTTTGCAATGTGAATGCAATAAATGACCACAAGTTCTTTCCATCACTGTGTGTTTGCCCTTTTGTGTGCAGTTTTGTACTCCTATGATAAAAGAAATGGAATCAGTTTTTGCAGGCTTTAAGTCTGTGCCTGGCCCTGTTACTTTCTTTGGCCAGTGTGATGTCAGCAATCATGATGCACACAGGCTTGAAAGTGCTTGAGGCTTGCCTTCCCTTGCTGCTCTTTTAAATCCTACCTTATCTATATTAAGAAATATTTACTAGCTTCCTGGAGGATGAGAGACCCTGTGGAACAGAATGAGCCCCCTTAGCTGAGAATCCTTCTACCCAGCTGTCCTGCCAATTACCAGACATGTGACATCATGCTGGACTATCCTGTCCCAATTGAAGTTTGTCCACACCCAGTTAACTCTCAGAACTGTCAGAAATAATATATGTCTGTTGTTTTAAGTCGCTAATTTTTGGGGTAATTAACTATCAAAAGCTAAAGGATGCATATACTTGTTAACTTTTTATATAATGCAGTTGTTTTGTAAATTTAGGCTGAGAAACAGTGCTCTATGGGTAGGAATATTCTCTAAGGACTTATTGGTAGCTTAGGTTACTTAGTGTGGTTTTGAATTCTTTTTGAGACATTTTCAAATTTACTATTGAATTTTAACTTAATTTCCAAAAATTTCTATAGCAGAACATGCTCATTTAATGTAAATAATTTGACAAATGGAATTATGTAATAATGGATGATTGATGTTGGGCTAGTAGAAACTTTCTCTAGAATCGATGTTATAAAACCTTGGCTGATTATTATGAGTTTTTTTTTATCTGCAATATTTATCTGTATTTTATTGCATACTGTTGCATAAAATAATGGGTCAGGTAGATGCCCAGTCATCAAATGCCACATGTCAGAATTTCAGGTGATAGTTACAAACTACATCAATCAAAAACACTTTCTAGTTTAAAACAATTTGGAACTACAGAACATACAGTAACATTTTGAATTTAAAATTACTGCCAGTGGGGAATGTGTTTAAACAGCATCCACTCTTGGAATTGCTAAACTGATTTATTCATCATAGGAACTGGTACTACAACTGCATATTTAATTGCTCTAATGAAAGATTTTTTTTCTTTATTTTCCTGTAATACAGTATTTACAATCCATGGACTTGTGCCATTTTCCATTTGGCACTTTATTATTTGGCCTAAGGCCATGGTGTGCTGTGATGTTACTCATGAGCTCTGGAGTGATTAACACTGGTGAAAGTACTTTCTTATACTGCATTTTATGCTTGCTTCAGATAATAAAAATTTTCCTGAGAAGTCAACATTTCTGTAATTAGATTCCTAAAAATTCAGTTTCCTGATTTCTGGCAATTACATCTACAAAAATTTCTCCAGATTATTTCTGCAGATGGTTAATACTTATTTTGGTATAGAAAACCTGTTTCAAATGGCTAGTTAATTATCAACATTTAAAAAATAGTATAGTGGGCATTTAGCATGTTTTCAGAAAAGATTTTAGTGCATAAAGTTAAAATTTCCAAATCACACTTGCCTAGTTATATTTAAGTTTGCAAGAAAGGTGCTAGGATGGAAATATTGCCAGTGAAAATATAAATGTTAATACATTACTAATTTTAGGAGACCACAAGTGTTAGCCACTTACTTAAATGTAATGTTTCCTTCTTTTGGAGCTTCTGAATGGTGATTACAGTGACATTAAGGTCAAATGCGTTTTCTTTACAGCATGAATCCTTACAATCTAGGAATATGCTAATATTCATTGTGAAATTCCAATTTTCTTATCCAGAGATAACAGCTGTTAACATTTTGTTATAGTTCCTGTAAGATTTGTGTGTGTGTGTGTGTGTATGTGTGTGTGTGTGTGTATGTATATTAGAGATGGAGTCTCACTCTGTCGCCTATGCTGGAGTGCAGCAGCACGATCTCAGCTTACTGCAGCCTTCACCTACCAGGTTCAAGTGATTCTCCTGCCTCAGCCTCCCAAGTAGCTTAGAGTACAGGCACGTGCCACCATGCCTGGCTGATTTTTGTGCTTTTTTTTTTTAGTAGAGATGAGGTTTTACCATGTTGGCCAGGCTGGTCTCGAACTCCTGACCTCAGGTGATCTACTCTCTTCAGTCTCCTGGAGTACTGGGATTACGGGTGTGAACCACAGCACCTAGCCGTCTTTGTATATTTTAATGTAGTTAATCTTAAGATATATGTAGTTTTATATTCTGCTTTTTTCACTTAAAATTATGTAGTAAACATTTTACATTAGAATTTGTTGGCAAAACTTTTTAAATGACTACACCAAAGACTTTTATATGGATAAACTGTAATTGGTTGATCCTTCTTTAGTCTCAAATATTTAGGCTTTTGTCTATTTTTCCATACCATTGTTATAAAGATATTTGTGTGTAAATCTTTGCATTTATGATTTTTAGAAATAAAAGTATAAGACTAAAATGTATTATTTTTAAAGCTTGTGACAAATATCAAGCTTTTGTTTTCAGAAAGGTTATTCTAATTTATGATATATGACAAAAATTTAAAATTATAACAACCTTAAGCAGGAACTCAATTTTCACTTTGGTTATTTTCTTTTTACTTTTCACTAGAGTTTATTTTTTTAACTTTTGGAAAGATCTTTATTGTCAGAAATTGATATTGAATAATCTTTAGATAAATACAGATTTTAAAAAGAAAATGAAAAATAATTATTAATTATATATCTTCTCCTTTCTATAAAAGTGTTAAATTTTTAGATAAAAGGGTATAGCTGGGCCATTACTTTTAATGGATTTTACAGTACATGACAGCAGGTTCTTACCTTTTATTTATATCCTTAGTACTTAGCATATGAATAGCACATAGTAGATACCCAATCAATATTTGTTGAGTGAGTGAATGAATAACTGTAATTTTCATGAATAAACCCCATATTAAATGATAAATTTCAGATATATGTGAAAATGAATTTCTCATCTTTCTTCTTTACCAAAGTACAATAGTCTATTATTAACCTCATGAAGCACCTTTAGATTTTCCATATTTTATAAAGCAGCTGATTTCTTCTATGATTTTTAATCCATGTTCAGTGAATTTAACATTTTTAGAATAAAAATGCCTATAATAGTACTGTGCTATCTACTCTGGAAAGATATAAAGAAGTCCTTTATGTTTTCTGCAGAAACATTTTGCTGCTTTTATCTACTATTAAAAATTCTTATTTTAGTAAGGTAAACAAAAAATAGTGCTTTTAATATTTGTATTCATATATTATCGTTGTGATAAGTTTCTCTATGTACACCATAACAATTTTCAGTGATAAGTGGCATTCTTAACCAAATATATACAAATGGAGTATCATCAAGTTTAATTCTTTTATGCATCTAAACCTGCCTCTCCTCACCTCCATGCTTTCTCTGTTTCATTTTATGTAGCATTTTAGGTTGTTCCTTATTATTTGGAAGTAATTCATCTTTATACTTTTTGATCTTGCCTTTGGATTCTAGTTTTCAGAATTTGGACATTTGGTTCACAATGAGCTAATGTATAAACCATTAGAGAGGTAGTACTCCATTTTCTTGTGAACGCAGTTTTGTAAAGTGAACTGCAGCCAGAGCCTCAGGACTAATTGTATAACCCAAACCCCTTAGTAAACTCCGATCCAGGTTAAACTTAGAGGTCGTTGGCTATCAAATTGAGTGTATACCACATATCATTAGTTAAATAAACATTTATTTACTCCCATTTTAAAATGTAGCAGTTTTCTTAATTATATGAATAATCAACTGTCTCTTTCACTAATTATATATTTAAAATTTACTACTATATTTTCACCTGGCACCTTTTCAGATGAGCCTAGAACATCAGAATGTGACAGTCAGTTGAGTTTCATAGGATGAGCTCATTAGCAGTACATTTCTGGTGCAAAGGTTTGAGTGAAGTAGTTTAATTGACTATAATTATATTTCATTCTTCATATCCCCTTAGGATAATTAGAAGAAATTCATTTTAGTTTTTATTCTTTAAATACAGTACTGCATTTTATATTTTATTTTTTTACAGGCTCAAAGATTGAGGGTTTCTATGATGCTTTATTAAATAAAAGATTGCTTTTTTTGGAATAAATAGTATAACCTGTGGAAATGCTATTAATTCCATATTGGTTCTTGGCAGGGCTTTTAAATTTGGTTTCTTTTGATTTGCTTCTTGTTGTCTAGACAGAAAAGTGTCTTCTATCACTCCCAAGATCCCAGTCTTTCTTGCCAGCTTCTCTTGTGCATTTTTATAGTTTTAAGTAATAGCAATTGAACAGGAAAGCACATTTGGGAAAGTAGATTACTTTTTACCAGGAAATAGTGCCAGAATCAAGATTGTAGTTTTAATCTCCTTAAATATTTCAGAAGGTTAACTCTTTCATTTCACTTTTCTTTTTATACCTTACTTTTGTTGGGCTTTTATAAAGGAGGAAAAATGGGAGAGATAGCAAAAGTTACTGGAAGGATCATCAATTTCTATCCTCAGCTCTGATCCTGATTAACTTTTGGTGAAATCAAATAGCCTTCCTCTCAGACTCTAAATGGAAAATTTAATTTGCAATTTCTGATGGTTATCTTGTTCTGTATTTAGAAATAATGTTGAAGTTGTGATAGAGGCATTATGCTACGCTTCTTTGTATATTTGATCAGTGCTCTTTAAATACTTCATGAGTGTTTGCTACAGTTACATATTTTCAGACAGAGTAAAGGAGATAATAATTCGCATAAAGACTAGTACCCACTAGTAGGGTTAACGTGGTTCTTTTGTGGTACCACACTTCATCACTTTACTATATACAGATATGAAGTAATTGTATACTCATTTATCTCGCCCTTTAGTTCATTGGTCCCATTACTTCATAGTGTGATCTTTCCAAAAGAAATTACTAATATAGCTTAAAATCTATCAGCCTAACTGCCTATTGATCATCTCTAGTATGAAATCTGTGCTCATTAGCCTCCTTTTCCACTTGCATCTCACTTTATGCTCTAGTCTTGTTGAACCACTTCATATTTTTGCACATGCTGTCCTCCCATCTGCCTGAAAAGTTATTTTATGACCTCTCAGTTACCAAAGATCCTGTAATGTGTACACCTCATGCCTTCCATACACATGGACTCCAAATACACATATATGCTTTGTGGACATAATTGTGTCTTGTGTACCTTTGTATCCCTAGTGCTTGGCAAATAAAAACAACTAACTTAATTTTAGTTGAATGGCTGAGTGGATATTTTGTGAAGCAGTTTATGGTAGTTCCTATTTTTTCAGAAATAGTTCTTTTGCCTTTACATATGTATTAGTCAAGATTCTCAAGAGAAACAACCAATGGGATGGATGGATGGATAGATGGGTGGATGGATGGATGGGTAGGTAGGTAAAGAGGTAGCTAGGTAGATAGCTAGGTAGGTAGGCAGATAGATAGATAGATAGATAGATAGATAGATAGATAGATAGATAGATAGATAGGAGAGGAGATTTATTAGGGGAATTGGCTCACACAATTATGGACGCTGAGAAGTCCCTCATAGGCTGCCTGCAAGCTGGAGATGTAGGGAAGCCTGTAGAAGGTAGTGTGACTCAGTCCAAGTCCCAGGGTCTCATAATCAAGGAAGCCAGTGGTGTAATTCTCAGTGAGACTGAAGGCCTGAGAACCCAGGGGGCTGCTGGTATAAGTCCCAGAGTCCAAAGGCTGGAGAACGTAGAGTCCCAATATCCAAGGACAGGTAAAGAAGGGTATTCTAGTTCCAGGAAAAAGAGCAAATTTTGCCTTTTTACTGCCTTTTAATTTTGTCTGGACTCTTAGCTGATTGGATGGTGCCTGCCCACATTGAGGGCTGATCTTTCCTAATGAGTCCATTGACTCACACCATTCTCTGGAAACATCCTCACAGATACACCCAGAAATAATGCTTTACTAGCTATTACATATCCCTTTATTCAGTCAAGTTGACACCTAAAATTAGCCATCACACCAAATGTTTTTGTTGGGTAACAGCTTTATTTAGATGTAATTCACATACCAAACAATTTATTCATTTAAAGGGTACAATTCCATGGTCTTTAGTATATCTATGGAATCAAGTAACCATCTCCACAGTCAATTTTTAAAGATTTTCACCACCTAAAAAGAAACCCTGTGCCCTGTACTTACTACCTCCCAACCTGCCCATCTCACTTAGATAATCACTTTGATTTGCCTGTTCTGTACATTTTCTATAAATGGAATCATAAAATATGTGGCTCTTTGTGACTGGATTATTTTATTTAGCATAGGTTTTCCAGGTTCATGCATGTTGCAGCATGTATCAGTATTTAATTTTTTTTAACTGCCAGATCATATTCCATTGTGTTGATATAGCCCATTTGATTTATCAGTTCATCAGTTGATGGACAATTGGGTTGTTTCTACTTTTTGGCTATTATGATAATCCTGCTGTGAACATTCATGTACAAGTTTTCGTGTGAATACTTGCTTTTAATTCTTTAAGGTACATATCTGGAAGTGGAATTGCTGAGTCATATGGTAACTTTGTGTTTTAACCTTTTGAGGGTCTTCTAGATATTTTCCAAAGTATCTGTACCATTTTACATTCTTACCAGTAATATATACAGAGTTCCCATTTTTTCCACTTCTTTGCTAACACTTGTTATTATTTATCTTTTTGATTATAGCTATCCTAGTGGGTGTAAAGTATTATCTCATTGTGGTTTTGACTTTCATTTCCTAAATGACTAATGATGTTGAGCATCTTTTCATTTGCTTATTGACCATTTCTATTGCATCTGCTTTAGGGAAATGTCTAGTCAGATCCTTTCCCATTCTTAATTCGGTGATTTGTCTTTGTATTATTGAGTTGTGACAGTTCTTTATGTATTCTAGATATGATTCCTTTATCAGATATGTTATTTGCACATTTATTTTTCCAGTTAGTTGTCTCTTTCACTTTCTTGATAGGGTCCTTTGAAGCACAAAAGTTTAAAAAAAATTTTTGATTAAGTCCAGTATCTTTTTGTTGTTGTTGTTGAATGTACCTTTGGTGTCACATTTGAAGAACTGTTGTCAAATCCAAGGGCTTTAAGGTTTACTCTGTTTTTTCTTCTAAGAGTTTTATAATTTTAACTCTTACATTTAGATCTTTGATTCATTTTTTTAAATTTTATTATTATTATACTTTAAGTTTTAGGATACATGTGCACAATGTGCAGGTTAGTTAAATATGTATACATGTGCCATGCTGGTGTGCTGCACCCATTAACTCGTCATTTAGCATTAGGTATATCTCCTAATGCTATCCCTCCCCACTCCCCCCACCCCACAACAGTCCCCAGAGTGTGATGTTCCCCTTCCTGTGTCCATGTGTTCTCATTATTCAATTCCCACCTATGAGTGAGAACATGCGGTGTTTGGTTTTTTCTCCTTGTGATAGTTTACTGAGAATGATGATTTCCAGTTTCATCCATGTCCTTAAAAAGGACATGAACTCATCATTTTTTATGGCTGCATAGTATTCCATGGTGTATATGTGCCATATTTTCTTAATCCTGTCTATCATTGTTGGACATTTGGGTTGGTTCCAAGTCTTTGCTATTGTGAATAGTGCCGCAATAAACATATGTGTGCATGTGTCTTTATAGCAGCATGATTTATAGTCCTTTGGGTGTATACCCAGTAATGGGATGGTTGGGTCAAATGGTATTTCTAGTTCTAGATCCCTGAGGAATTGCCACACTGACTTCCACAATGGTTGAACTGGTTTATAGTCCCACCAACAGTGTAAAAGTGTTCCTATTTCTCCACATCCTCTCCAGCACCTGTTGTTTCCTGACTTTTTAATGATCGCCATTCTAACTGGTGTGAGATGGTATCTCATTGTGGTTTTGATTTGCATTTCTCTGATGGCCAGTGATGGTGAGCATTTTTTCATGTGTCTTTTGGCTGCATAAATGTCTTCTTTTGAGAAGTGTCTGTTCATATCCTTTGCCCACTTGTTGATGGGGTTGTTTTTTTCTTGTAAATTTGTTTGAGTTCATTGTAGATTCTGGATATTAGCCCTTTGTCAGATGAGTAGGTTGTGAAAATTTTCTCCCATTTTGTAGGTTGCCTGCTCACTCTGCTGGTAATTTCTTTTGCTGTGCAGAAGTTCTTTGGTTTAATTAGATCCCATTTGTCAATTTTGGCTTTTGTTGCCATTGCTTTTGGTGTTTTAGACATGAAGTCCTTGCCCATGCCTATGTCCTGCATGGTAATACCTAGGTTTTCTTCTAGGGTTTTTATGGTTTTAGGTATAGCGTTTAAGTCTTTAATCCATCTTGAATTAATTTTTGTATAAGGTGTAAGGAAGGGATCCAGTTTCAGCTTTCTACATATGGCTAGCCAGTTTTTCCAGCACCATTTATTAAATAGGGAATCCTTTCCCCATTGCTTGTTTTTCTCAGGTTTGTCAAAGATCAGATAGTTGTAGATAGGTGGCATTATTTCTGAGGGCTCTGTTCTGTTCCATTGATCTATATCTCTGTTTTGGTACCAGCACCATGCTGTTTGGTTACTGTAGCCTTGTAGTATTGTTTGAAGTCAGGTAGCATGATGCCTCCAGCTTTGTTCTTTTGGCTTAGGATTGACTTGGCGATGCGGGCTCTTTTTTGGTTCCATATGAACTTTAAAGTAGTTTTCTCCAATTCTGTGAAGAAAGTCATTGGTAGCTTGATGGGGATGGCATTGAATCTATAAATTACCTTGGGCAGTATGGCCATTTTCACGATATTGATTCTTCCTACCCATGAGCATGGAATGTTCTTCCATTTCTTTGTATCTTTATTTCCTTGAGCAGTGGTTTGTAGTTCTCCTTGAAGAGGTCCTTCACGTCCCTTGTAAGTTGGATTCCTAGGTATTTTATTCTCTTTGAAGCAATTGTGAATGGGAGTTCACTCATGATTTGGCTCTCTGTTTGTCTGTTATTGGTGTATAAGAATGCTTGTGATTTTTGTACATTGATTTTGTATCCTGGGACTTTGCTGAAGTTGCTTATCAGCTTAAGGAAGTTTTGGGCTGAGACAGTGGGGTTTTCTAGATATACAATCATGTTGTCTGCATACAGGGACAATTTGACTTCCTCTTTTCCTAACTGAATACCCTTTATTTCCTTCTCCTGCCTAATTGCCCTGGGCAGAACTTCCAACACTATGTTGAATAGGAGTGGTGAGAGAGGGCATCCCTGTCTTGTGCCAGTTTTCAAAGGGAATGCTTCCAGTTTTTGTCCATTCAGTATGATACTGGCTGTGGGTTTGTCATAGATAGCTCTTATTATTTTGAGATACGTCCCATCAATACCTAATTTATTGAGAGTTTTTAGCATGAAGGTTGCTGAATTTTGTCAAAGGCCTTTTCTGCATCTATTGAGATAATCATGTGGTTTTTGTCTTTGGTTCTGTTTATATGCTGGATTACATTTATTGATTTGCATATATTGAACCAGCCTTGCATGCCAGGGATGAAGCCCACTTGATCATGGTGGATAAGCTTTTTGATGTGCTGCTGGATTCGGTTTGCCAGTATTTTATTGAGGATTTTTGCATCAATGTTCATCAAGGAGATTGGTCTAAAATTCTCTTTTTTGGTTGTGTCTCTGCCAGGCTTTGGTATCAGGATGATGCTGGCCTCATAAAATGAGTTAGGGAGGATTCCCTCTTTTTCTATTGATTGGAATAGTTTCAGAAGGAATGGTACCAGTTCCTCCTTGTACCTCTGGTAGAATTCGGCTGTGAATCCATCTGGTCCTGGACTCTTTTTGGTTGGTAAGCTATTGATTATTGCCACAATTTCAGATCCTGTTATTGGTCTATTCAGAGATTCAACTTCTTCCTGGTTTAGTCTTGGGAGGGTGTATGTGTCGAGGAATTTATCCATTTCTTCTAGATTTTCTAGTTTATTTGCGTAGAGGTGTTTGTAGTATTCTCTGATGGTAGTTTGTATTTCTGTGGGATCGGTGCTGATATCCCCTTTATCATTTTTTATTGCGTTTATTTGATTCTTCTCTCTTTTTTTCTTTATTAGTCTTGCTAGCGGTGTATCAATTTTGTTCATCCTTCCAAAAACCAGCTCCTGGATTCATTAATGTTTTGAAGGGTTTTTTGTGTGTCTATTTCCTTCAGTTCTGCTCTGATCTTAGTTATTTCTTGCCTTCTGCTAGCTTTTGAATGTGTTTGCTGTTGCTTTTCTAGTTCTTCTAATTGTGATGTTAGGGTGTCAATTTTGGATCTTTCCTGCTTTCTCTTGTGGGCATTTAGTGCTATAAATTTCCCTCTACACACTGCTTTGAATGTGTCCCAGAGATTCTGGTATGTTGTGTCTTTGTTCTCGTTGGTTTCAAAGAACATCTTTATTTCTGCCTTCATTTCGTTATGTACCCAGTAGTCATTCAGGAGCAGGTTGTTCAGTTTCCATGTAGTTGAGCAGTTTTGAGTGAGTTTCTTAATCCTGAGTTGTAGTTTGATTGCACTGTGGTCTGAGAGACAGTTTGTTATAATTTCTGTTCTTTTACATTTGCTGAGGAGAGCTTTACTTCCAACTATGTGGTCAATTTTGGAATAGGTATGGTGTGGTGCTGAGAAGAATGTATATTCTGTTGATTTGGGGTGGAGAGTTCTGTAGATGTCTATTAGGTCTGCTTGGTGCAGAGCTGAGTTCAATTCCTGGGTATCCTTGTTAACTTTCTGTCTTGTTGATCTGTCTAATGTTGACAGTGGGGTGTTAAAGTCTCCCATTATTACTGTGTGGGTGTCTAAGTCTCTTTGTAGGTCACTCAGGACTTGCTTTATGAATCTGGGTGCTCTTGTAATGGGTTCATATATATTTAGGATAGTTAGCTCTTCTTGTTGAATTGATCCCTTTACCATTATGTAATGGCCTTCTTTGTCTCTTTTGATCTTTGTTGGTTTAAAGTCTGTTTTATCAGAGACTAGGATTGCAAGCCCTGCCTTTTTTTGTTTTCCATTTGCTTGGTAGATCTTCCTCCATCCTTTTATTTTGAGCCTGTGTGTGTCTCTGCATGTGAGATGGGTTTCCTGAATACAGCACACTGATGGGTCTTGACTCTTTATCCAATTTGCCAGTCTGTGTCTTTTAATTGGAGCATTTAGTCCATTTACATTTAAAGTTAATATCGTTATGTGTGAATTTGATCCTGTCATTATGATGTTAGCTGGTTATTTTGCTCATTAGTTGATGCAGTTTCTTCCTAGTCTCAATGGTCTTTACATTTTGGCATGATTTTGCAGCGGCTGGTACCGGTTGTGCCTTTCCATGTTTAGTGCTTCCTTCAGGAGCTCTTTTAGGGCAGGCCTGGTGGTGACAAAATCTCTCAGCATTTGCTTGTCTGTAAAGTGTTTTATTTCTCCTTCACTTATGAAGCTTAGTTTGGCTGGATATGAAATTCTGGGTTGAAAATTCTTTTCTTTAAGAATGTTGAATATTGGCCTCCACTCTCTTCTGGCTTGTAGAGTTTCTGCCGAGAGATCCGCTGTTAGTCTGATGGGCTTCCCTTTGTGGGTAACCTGACCTTTCTCTCTGGCTGCCCTTAACATTTTTTCCTTCATTTTAACTTTGGTGAATCTGACAATTATGTGTCTTGGAGTTGCTCTTCTCGAGGAGTATCTTTGTTTTGTTGTCTGTATTTCCTGAATCTGAATGTTGGCCTGCCTTGCTGGATTGGGGAAGTTCTCCTGGATAATATCCTGCAGAGTGTTTTCCAACTTGGTTTCATTCTCCCCATCACTTTCAGGTACACCAATCAGATGCAGATTTGGTCTTTTCACATAGTCCCATATTTCTTGGAGGCTTTGTTCATTTCTTTTTATTCTTTTTTCTCTAAACTTCCCTTCTTGCTTCATTTCATTCATCTCATCTTCCATCACTGATACCCTTTCTTCCAGTTGATCGCATCGGCTCCTGAGGCTTCTGCATTCTTCACGTAGTTCTCGAGCCTTGGCTTTCAGCTTCATCAGCTCCTTTAAGCACTTCTCTATATTGGTTATTCTAGTTATACATTCGTCTAAAGTTTTTTCAAAGTTTTCAACTTCTTTGCCTTTGGTTTGAATTTCCTCCTGTAGCTCGGAGTAGTTTGATCATTTGAAGCCTTCTTCTCTCAACTCGTCAAAGTCATTCTCCGTCCAGCTTTGTTCTGTTGCTGGTGAGGAGCTGCGTTCCTTTGGAGGAGGAGAGGCGCTCTGCTTTTTAGAGTTTCCAGTTTTTCTGCTCTGTTTTTTCCCCATCTTTGTGGTTTTATGTTTGTTTGGTCTTTGATGATGGTGATGTACAGGTGGGTTTTTGGTGTGGATGTCCTTTCTGTTTGTTAGTTTTCCTTCTAACAGACAGGACCCTCAGCTGCAGGTCTGTTGGAGTTTGCTAGAAGTCCACTCCAGACCCTGTTTGCCTGGGTATCAGCAGCGCTGTCTGCAGAACCGTGCATTTTCATGATCTGCAAATGCTGCTGTCTGATCATCCCTCTGGAAGTTTTGTCTCAGAGGAGTACCCGGCCGTGTGAGGTGTCAGTCTGCCCCTACTGGGGGGTGCCTTCCAGTTGGGGTGCTCGGTGGTCAGGGGTCAGGGACCCACTTGAGGAGGCAGTCTGCCTGTTCTCAGATCTCCAGCTGCGTGCTGGGAAAACCACTGCTGTCCTGAAAGCTGTCAGACAGGGACATTTAAGTCTGCAGAGGTTACTGCTGTCTTTTTGTTTGTCTGTGCCCTGCCCCCAAAGGTGGAGCCTACAGAGGCAGGCAGGCCTCCTTGAGCTGTGGTGGGCTCCACCCAGTTCAAGCTTCTTGGCTGTTTTGTTTACCTAAGCGAGCCTGAGCAATGGCAGGCGCCCCTTCCCCAGCCTCGCTGCCGCCTTGCAGTTTGATCTCAGACTGCTGTGCTAGGAATCAGCGAGACTCCGTGGGCGTAGGACCCTCTGAGCCAGGTGCAGGATGTAATCTCCTGGTGCGCCGTTTCCTAAGCCCGTTGGAAAAGGGCAGTGTTCAGGTGGGAGTGGCCCAATTTTCCAGGTGCCCTCTGTTACCCCTTTCCTTGACCAGGAAAGGGAACTCCCTGATCCCTTGCGCTTCCCGAGTGAGGAAATGCCTCGGCCTGCTTCGGCCGGCACACGGTGCACTGCACCCACTGTCCTGCGCCCACTGTCTGGCACTCCCTAGTGAGATGAACCCGGTACCTCAGATGTAAATGCAGAAATCCCTCATCTTCTGCGTTGCTCACGCTGGGAGCTGTAGACCGGAGCTGTTCCTATTCAGCCATCTTGGCTCCTCCCCACTATTTTGAATGTTTTCTATGTTATCTTTTGAGATAATCTAGTGTTTCTTAGTCTGTCAATATGAATTATATTAATTGATTTTCAATGTTTGAATCAGTCTTGTAGTCCTGGAATGAACTCCACTGGAATGTAGTATTCCTTTTGCACATTGCTGAATACTGTCTACTAATATTTTGTTGAGGATTTTTGCATATATGTTCATGAGAAATATTGTTCTGTAGTTTTCTTAGAATGTTTTTGTCTGCTTTTGATATCAGGATAATGTTGGCACGGTGAAATGAGTTGGGAAGTATTCTCTTTAGTTTTTATTTGTTGGAAGAAATTGTGTAGAATTAGTATTATTTTTCCCTTATATGTTCTCCATTGAAATCATCTGGGTCTGGAATTTTCATTATTTGGAAGGCTTATGTAAATTTTAATATTTTTACTAAATCTAGGACTATTCAGATTATCTGTTTTTTTTCTCAAGTGAATTTTGGTAGTTTATATTTTTTCAAGAATTCTGTTTCACCTAAGTTGTTGAATTTATGGCCAAAGAGTCATTCATAGTATTTCCTTATATTTTTAATATCTGTTGGATCAGTGGTATGTCCGGTCTTTCATTTTTGATATTGGTAATGTGTGTTTACTTTCTCTTTTCCTTGGCTAGAGGTCTGTCATTTGTATTGATCTTTTCAAATTGCCTTTCTTTCTTCTTTTTTTTTCTGAGACAGAGTCTCACTCTGTTGGCCAGGCTGGAGTGCAATGGCATGATCACAGCTCACTGTGACCTCTGCCTCCTGGGTTCAAGCCATTTTCATGCCTCAGCCACTTGAGTAGCTGGGATTACAGGCATGCACCATCACGCCTGGCTAATTTTTGTATTTTTAGTAGGGAAGGGTTTTCGCCATGTTAGCTGGCTAGGCTGTTCTCAAATTCCTGGCCTCAAGTGATCTGCCCACCTCAGCCTTTCAAAGTGCTGGAATTACAGGTGTGAGCCACTGCGCCCAGCCTTGTTTTATTGGTTTTCTGTTTTCTATTTTATTTATTTCTACTCTAATCTTTGTTATTTCTTTCCTTCTGTTTGCTTTATGCTAAATTTCTTCTTCTTCCTCTAGTTTCTTAAGGTGGGATGTGTGGTTACTGATTTTAGATCTTTCTTCTTTTCTAATCTAGGCATTCAAAGCCATAAACATTCATTAAGCACTGCTTTAGCGGCATCACACATATTTGATATAGTGTATTTTCATTTCCATTTAGTTCAGTATATTTTAGAATTTCCCTTGGTACATCTTTAAATTATCACAGTCTACCTTTAAGTGTTACTATACCATGTGTACAGTATAAGAACCTTAGAACAATATATTTCTATTGTTCCCCTCCTGGCCTTTGTGCTATTGTTGTCATATGTTTACTTTTGCATATATTGTAAACTTCAAAACATACTGTCATCAGTTTTGCACTAAACAGAGTATTTTCTTTTGAAGAGTTTAAATATTAAGGAAAAGTGATATTTATATGTACTCAATGTAGTCACCATTTCCAGTTCTCTTTAGTCTTTTGTGTAGATTCAAGTTTCTATCTGGTATCATGTTCCTTACTCTTGAAGTGCTTACTTTAACATTTCCTATAATGCAGGTGTCCTGGTCATGAACTTCTTCAGTTTTTTTTTTTAATATCTGAAAACGTATTTTGTTTTTATTTTAGAAAGCTATTTTAACTGAATAAATAATTCTAGGTTGACATTCCTCCCTCCTTGTGTTCTTTAATGGTTTTGCTCCACTGTCTTCTGTCTTGTATTTTTTTTGAAAAGAAATCTGCTTTCTTCATTTTCTTTGTCTTGTCTATATAACATGTCCCCCGGCCCCACCTCATTGCTTTTAACATTTTATCATTGGTTTTAAGCAATTTGGTTATCATGTGCCTTGGTAGTTTTCTTCATGTTTCTTGTGCTTTCGGTTTATTCATCTTGTATATTTGAGCTTACAGTGTTAGTCAAATTTGAAAAAAAAAATTTCTTCAAATATTTAGTGTTTGCTCTTTCCTCTCTCACTGGAGACTCAAATTACACACATATATATGGAGATTGTGTCTTCTTTTTTACTTTTTTTGTTTGGTTTTTGGTAATCTCTATCTAGTGCTGCACCTACCAGTTCACAGCCTTTTTCCCCTTTTGAAATGGCTAATCTGCTGTTAATTCCATTCAGTGCCTTTTAATATTGTGGACATTGTAGTTTTCTTCTCTAGAAGTTTGATTTTTATCTTCTTAAAATGTTATACTTTTCTACTTACTGTTTTCAATGTTTCCTTTATTTGCACAAAGGTAATGCATTTATAACTTCTAATGTCCTTGTCTACTAATCCTATCATCTGTGTACTTTTTGGATCAGTTTCAATTTATTGGTTTTTCTCTTTCTCCTTACGGGTATATTTTCCTGTTTCTTTGCATGCTTGTTATTTTTTTTTTCCATTTGCAAAGTTATTTTCTTTTACTCTCTTTTTTTTTCTTTCTTCTCTTTTTGTAAAAGGAAACCATGGTCTTGGGGGCTAGAGCGGAGTTTTGCATGCCTGGTAATTTCTGATTGAATTCTAGACATTGTAAATTTTACCTTGTTGGGAGGTGGGTTTTTTAAATATTCATAAGAATTTTAGTATTTATAAAAATATTTTTGAGTGTAATTTTGAGGTGTGGTTAAGTGTTTTGGTAACAGTTTGATCCTTTTTAGTCTTGTGTTTAAATTTTCTGAGGTGAGACTAAGGCAGTGTTTTGAATAGGGTTGATTTTTCCACTCTATTGAGGTAGGGCCCTTTTTAGTACTCTACCTAATGCCCTATGAATTATGAGTTTCCACTCTGGCTATTCGGAGGAGGCACTATTCCTGGCCCTTTGTGAGCTTTGAGTATTATTTGCTCCATTCTTTTTAGGTGCTTTTCTTTGGTCTTGTGTGTTTTCTTCACGTGTGAATATTTGGCAGCCACTTTTCCGTCACACACAGGGTTTTCTCTTTGTTTGAATCCCCACTCCCTCTGTCTCTGTACAGGGGAGCTGTTTTATTCTTCTTTCTTGCCTATTAAATTCTCCATGCCTATATATATATATGTGTATGTATGTGTGTGTGTGTGTATATGTGTGTGTGTGTGTGTGTGTGTGTGTGTGTGTGTGTGTGTATATATATATATATATATATACACACACACACAACACACACACACACACACACACACATATATGGACCTTCTGCAAATTTTAAAGGTTTTCTCCCTGGGAACTTTATTTATTATCTCCAGTACTCTACCCTGCAAACTGTAGCCACTTTGACTTTCCCATACTCCTAGCTCTGTCTTCTCAACTCAGGGAGTTTGTAGGTTCTGCCTAAGGTTTCCATTGCTGTGACCTGTGAACTTTTTCCAGTCAATAAGTTGGGAGCAATCATAGGGCTCATCTTATTGGTTTCCCTTTTCTCAAGGGTCATTGTCTTTGATTCAGATGTTCAGTGTCCTGAAAGTTGATGCTTTATATATTTTGTTTACTTCTTTTAGTTTAGTTTTTTTGTTTTGTTTTTTCCAGACATGTCTTAGTCCATTTAGTATTGCTATAGAATTTAGTATTGCTATAGAGGAATGCCTCAGGCTGGATAATTTATAAAGAAAAGAGGTTTATTTGGCTCATGGTTCTGCAGGCTGTACGAGAAGCATGGCACCAGCATCTCTTTCTGCTGAGGCCTATAGTAAGCTTTCACTTGTGTAGAAGGTGAAGGGGAGCTTACATGTAGAGATCACACGGCAAGATGAGCAGCAAGAGAGAGATGCCAGGCTCTTTTCAGTCACCAGTTCTTATGGGAACTAAGAGTGAAAACTTACTCACTCCTGGAGAATGGCACCAAGCCATTCATGAGGGATCTGCTGCCACAATCCAGACAGCTCTCACCTAGGCCCTACCTCCAATATTGGGGATCAAATTTCAGTGAGATTTGGCAGGACCAAACAAACCATATCCAAACTATAGCAAGACAGAAAGGTAAATAAATGTTACCTTTTTTACTTTATGATCAGAAACAAAGGTCCTTATTTATCCATTTTTGAAAGTCCCATATTTAATGATTTACAGCCATGCCACAGCATAGGACATATTCACATGTCCCGTGTTAAAATTGCTGTCTGAATTTCATGTACTCTTTAGAGAACTGCTTTGCAGTTTTAAGTATACATTTTTAGGAAAAAAAAGCTTATTAAGAATGAAATTTCTTCTCGTTTTGATCCTACAGAAAGAGGAATGCTCTAAGGTAAAATGGGGCATGATGCTAAAATGGGAAAAGTAGGGTAGATTGATGAAACTTAATCTGAAAACTAGCAGCAGATGTTTGAGAACTCCATCATAGGCCTGAAATAAATTTAAGGATAAGTTTAAAGGTTTGGTATAAAGTTTTCTTTAATGTCCTGGGTTGAATGTAGATGGAGAGTGGGGGGAGGTGTGAGTTCTGGAGAACTGTTAATTTGTTTGTAATTTTATTACCTATCTGTCTGTGCATCTGTCTTCATTGGGGTCCCCAAGACCACTCTCAGGCTTGATGATTCACTAGAAGGACTCACTGGACTTGGAAGCTGTTACACTCATGGTTATGATTTGTTAACACTGAAAGGATACAGATAAAAATAAGCAAAGGGAAAAGGTGCATGGGTAACGTCCAGAAGAAACCAGGTACACACTTCTAGATGTCCTTTTCCAGTGGAGTCACATGGGAACACACTTAATTCTCCCAGCAACTATGTGTGACAACAGGTGTGAAGTCACTACCAAACAGAGAAGTTCACTTGAGCCTTAGTGTCCAGAATTTTACTGGAGGTTAGTCACGTTGGTATACTACAGTGCTGGCGTGACTGACCTCAGCTATCCAGATTCCAGTACTTCCCAGGGCAAAAGCAAGCATTCACCATAAATCACACTGTCAGTATAAACTTATCTGGTCAGATTGGTACAGCATGGCCCAAGGTACATACATACTGGGATATTGTGCCTGATACTTGTTTTTATATGCACCAGTACATACCTCTCTAGTTTACTAACTCCATACTTTATTTGGATTGAATTAGTTTTTCCTCTAATGTCCTTTGTCTGTTTGAGGATCCCTTGTAGATTTTCACATTACATGTGGTCATCATGTTTCTAGGTTTCTCTGGGCTGTGACAATTTCTTTTCTTATTTTTGATGGCCTTGACGATTTTAAGGTGTACTGGTCAGGTCTTTTGTAGAATGCTTCTCAATTTGAGTTTGGTTGATGTTTTCTTACGGTTTGACTGGGATTGACGGTTTTGGGAGGAAAACCAGACATGAAGTTCCAATTTTCATCACAGTCTAACTAAGGTATAATATATATTTTGAACCTTTAATTATCTAATTTAAAAATCTCCTGGCCCTTCAGAAATACTTAATCAGATTTTAGGCCATTATGGTGCTTATATGCCAGATTTGTTCTCAGTGGCTTTTCTTATCTGATAACTTTTAATTAATAGGCAGCCTTCTTTGCAGTGGTGTCAAGATCGCTGTGCACAACTTCATATCTTTCTGGAGACAACAGGGAAAGGAAGCCAGAAGGGAGAACAGTAATTGGTCAAGTTGCAGATTAGGGAAGCTAAAATTGGTCTCTTTTACTAGATTAGAATCTGGAGTAAAACTCCAGTCTGGCCCTTCAGCATAACTTTTCCATTATTCACATATGCCTCTCTTCCTTCTACAAGCCAAATTAAAATTTAGTATTAGGGACTCCAAATGATACAAACTCATTCATTCTCTTTAATTGCCTAACTCCTACTCATTCTTCATATTGTTGCTTAAATGTCAGACCTTTTAGGAAGCTATACTTGACTTAGAGGACCCTCAAGGCCTGTCATGGGCTCTTGTAGTATTCCGTATAATTTTTTGTCTAGTCCTTAATTTAAGTATTAGTGTATGTTTTAATGTATTTTTTTTTCCCAGACTGTAAGCTCCACAATGTAGAGACCGTGTCAGTTTTATTCATTTTTGTATTCTTAGAGCCAGGCCAAGCATTCAAAACAGACATGCAGTAATATGAATATATCTGAATCAATGAGTGAATACATAAATAATTGAGAAAATGAATGGATATTAGATATTAAAACCTTTACCAACTCTACTTATAGCAGCCTGACTCTAGTTAACCATAAATACACACTTGTAACGCATGGGCCCCACACTTACCCTAAGTTATAAAAATGGTACAATTAGGTAATTTCTACCCTAAGACAGTCAGTTTTTGCTCAGCGATCTAACCACGTAGGCTTGCTTACTTCTGAGACTTGCTTGACCTATCTCATTGAACTCGCTCTGTGCCTGAGATACATGTCCAATTTCTCAAGGCAAGTTCTTCTTCCAGAATTGTCTTGTGACATACTTTGAGCCAATTCCCTAGTTGGTTCTGTACCAGTAAACTCATACCCCCAGCTATTACATGTAGCACATTCAACATTCAGGGACAAACTTTGATGTAAGTTAAACTTTTTTTTTCTTTTCTAAATATTGCCCATTAAGACTGTGTTTTAAGGATTGTTTTCTAATACTTTCTTCACTCTTTATCAGAGGTTTGTCCTCCTACCTTTTGCCTTCAAACCAAAACATCAGTAACAGTCCTCTTTCCCCAACATCTTTGTTCTCTGGCCAGCATTGATTATTCTTCCCCATGGGGGAGCTTACTTTCTAGTCTATACCTCAGGACACAGAATCTGAACTGCTTTTAAAGTTTGCTTATATGAGTTTGCTGAGCTTTCTGACCCAGAGATATCTTCTGTCTTTGCCTCGCATTTAATAAACATTTGGAACATCCCTTCAGCCAGTCTTGGCAGAGTAGGCTTTTTATTTCCATGTATACAAAAACTTTATTATCAGCTAACCATCAAAGGAAATCAGAGAAAATGGTTTGAACTTATGACCCAACTATTTGGACAGATTAGGGCTAGGAAATGTAATGCAAGGCATGTATGTATAGACTTTGTACACTTTTACATATTGGTTTCACTCGCGTCCCTGTGAAGAGACCACCAAACAAAGACTAGGGAGGGACCGACGTGTTAAAGAATGCCTGGACGTCAGGCACCTCAGACCGTTTGCCCATTTTATGACAAGAATTATCTAGATCTTGTAGGATGGAAAAATCGAAAGTGCCATTTTCTGGCTATTTGGAACCACTGTCAAGTTTATATTGGGGTCAAGCGGTGTTGGAGAAGAAAATAAAATGCTTAGATTTTAGATCAGGTGTGAGCTGAAGAGGTTTTAAGGTCTTGAGAACACAGGCTAAGGGAGAAGAAGGAGGAATGGAGGGTGGAAGGTTGCCTATAGTGAAGGAGCAAGTCCAGAGAAAAGAGAGGGTAGAGACAGAGTGAAGGGGTGGGGGGTGCTTGCCCCCCTGGAAAGTGGAGAGAAAAGAGAGGGTAGAGACACAGAGAGAAGGGGTGTGGGGTGCTTGCTTCCCAGGAAAGTGGAGAAGGGGTGGGTAGAGACATGGAGAGAAGGGGTGGGGGTTGCTTGCCCCCCAGGAAAGTGGAGAAGGGGTGGGTAGAGACATGGAGAGAAGGGGTGAGGGGTGCTTGCCCCCCAGGAAAGTGGAGAAGGGGTGTGGGGTGCTTGCCCCCCAGGAAAGTGGAGAGAAGGAAGGGTAGAGACATGGAGAGAAGCGGTGGGGATGCTTGCCCCCCAGGAAAGTGGAGAAGGGGTGGGTAGAGACATGGAGAGAAGGGGTGGGGGGCGCTTGTCCCCCAGGAAAGTGGAGAAAGGGTGGGAGGTGCTTGCCCCCCAGGAAAGTGGAAAAGGGGTAGAGACACAGAGAGAAGGGGTGGGGGTGCTTGTCCCCCAGGAAAGTGGAGAAGGGGTATGGGGTGCTTGCCCCCCAGGAAAGTGGAGAGAAGGAAGGGTAGAGACACGGAGAGAAGGGGTGGGGGATGCTTGCCCCCCAGGAAAGTGGAGAAGGGGTGGGGAGAGACACAGAGAGAAGGGGTGGGTGAGCAGCCAAAGCAGGTGTCCCCACAATTGACTTGCCACCAAGGGAATGTGGGTGAATGACCAAGGCAGGCGTCCCTGCGGTGATCAGACACCAATGAAATGTGGGTGAATAATCAGGCAGGCATCCCCGCAGTGATTAAACACCGAGGGAAGACTGTCTTCTCAAGTCTGTGACCGGCGCTGGAGTTTTCGGTCCACGGATAAAACGCATCTCCTTTGTCTCTACCAGAAAAGGAAAGGAACTGAAATTAAGACAAGGGCGAGACTGAAGTGTGGCACCAAGATTGAAAGGAGAAAGAGATTGAGGGTTAGTGAGAGAGGTTGGAGAAGAGAGTAAAGAGGCCGCTTACCGACTTTAAAATTGGTGAGATGTTCCTTGGGCTGGTTAGTCTGAGGACCAGAGGTCGTAGGTGGATCTTTCTCATGGAGCAAAGAGCAGGAGAATAGCGGACTGATCTCCCAAGGCAGGCCCCCCTATCCGAGTCACGGCACCAAATTTCACTCGTGTCTGTGTGAAGACACCACCAAACAGGCTTTGTGTGAGCAACAAGGCTGTTTATTTCACCTGGGTGTCGGCGGGCTGAGTCCGAAAAGAGAGTCAGCAAAGGGAGATAGGGGTGGGGCCGTTTTATAGGATTTGGGTAGGTAAAGGAAAATTATAGTCAAAGGGGGTTGTTCTCTGGCTGGCAGGGGTCAGGGGGTCACAGGGTGCTCAGTGGGGGAGCTTTTGAGCCAGGATGAACCAGGAGAAGGAATTTCACAAGGTAATGTCATCAGTTAAGGCAGGAACAGGCCATTTTCACTTCTTTTGTGATTCTTCAGTTACTTCAGGCCATCTAGATGTATATATAGGTGCAGGTCACAGGGGATATGATGGCTTAGCTTGGGCTTAGAGGCCTGACAATTGGTAACCTTTTTCACCTGACCACATGTATGGGTTTAATACTAACTCTCCAACTTTTTTCTTTATTTTTATTTTATTTTACTTTAAGTTCTAGGATACGTGTACAGAATGTGCAGGTTCTCAGCAAACTAACACAGGAACAGAAAACCAAACACTGCATGTTCTCACTCATAAGTGGGAGTTGAACAATGAGAACACATGGACACAGGGAGGGAAACATCACACACCAGGGCCTGTCGGGGTTGGGGGGCAAGGGAAGGGAGAGCATTAGGACAAATACCTAATGCATGTGGGGCTTAAAACCTAGATGATGGGTTGGTAGGTGCAGCAAATCTCCAACTTTTTTCTATATTGCCCATCTTAACCTCCTACCAGCTTGTCCCTCTGTCACTTTTACCCCTTCTGTTGTTTTACTTGTAAGATAATACAAGATAAATATATGTCTGCCTATTAATTTATTTCTTTACCAAGCACCAAACATATGTAATATAGAAGGTACTATGTTAGGAAGGTCCTAGTCATACACACATATAGAAAAAATAGTTTAGTTATTAATTACTCATGCCTCAAATTATCAAGAAAAGTAATCAAAACTCATTTAAACATTTTTACTATTAAAAATGATTTCTTCTAGTTTTGGGTCATTTGGTTATGTAGTATTCCATATGATTGACTTAAAATTCACTTAAGAAGCTTGTTAAACATATACTTAGCTCCTGGGCTTAGGGGTCAATCAGTAGAATCCCCTCTGTCTTCCCTCTGTTTTTAGTTTCCTTGTTTTTAGTTTCTATATTTTCCATATTCCTTTATCTTTCCCAGTTCTGCTATGCCATGGTAAGAATTGCAGGAGTTACTAAGCAGTTTTCTTAAATATTCAAAGCATTTGCTGGTGATTATAGGGAAGTTATTCAAGGAATTTGGTAAATTAGAAAAAGCAAAATATTTTCATGATGTATGAAGAATTTTGTAGGCGAGTTTTATGCTGTTGTCATATCTGAGTCTTAATTTTTGTTACTTTTTTAAGTTTCCATTTTTTATGAGTTTTTTTTCTTATACTTGTTCATCTGACAAAAGTAGGTAGTTTTTTAAAAGCTCATTGTGTAAATGGTTAACCATTTTTAAGGTGAATTAAGACATACATTTTTGTAATCTAAGGGAAGTTACTTGGATAATTTATTATATTTATAAGGTTTGACTTCATGCATAGCCAGATCTGAGGACAGTGCTAAGTGTGATTGTAATGTAATTATATTTTAGAAATTGAGCTAAGATTTTAATATAACCATTAAACTGATTATTGAAATCTATACAGTTTGAAAAAAAATTACCTTTAAGTTGATAATATTTTTCATGTTTTTTTCAGATACCTATATTTTTTAAACTTGACTAATTCCCATCTTAATGTCTTTACTTATTAAATATGACATCTATGAACATCTGGCCCTCTTAGCTATTATATGTTTAGTGAGGTTCTCAATGTTATTTACTAAAGAGCAACAAATCCCAACAAATCAAGAGCAATTAGTGGCCCAGTTTTGGTGTATAGTTTCTTATATTCTTTCTAATCTAGTTTTTTAGCTTTCTGTACTCCCATCTGTGAAATTGTTAGATGTTTTCAACCTAAGCTTGCTTATGGAAAATGGAAATAAAACAGAAAGAGGGGAAAGGCTGGGAGAAAAGAGAAGCAAAGACCTCTTTGAACACTCAGCCCTTCCCACTCACCCTGTGCATAGCACTTCACATTTTTACTTGTCTGCACAATCTGTCTGCTTTTCATTGGTTTTCAGAGTCCTCGAGTGATTTTTGTATTTTGTCTGACATTTTTCTTTCTTTTTTTTTTTTTTTTAATTGATCATTCTTGGGTGTTTCTCACAGAGGGGGATTTGGCAGGGTCATAGGACAATAGTGGAGGGAGGGTCAGCAGATAAACAAGTGAACAAAGGTCTCTGGTTTTCCTATGCAGAGGACCCTGCGGCCTTCCGCAGTGTTTGTGTCCCTGGGTACTTGAGATTAGGGAGTGGTGATGACTCTTAACGAGCATGCTGCCTTCAAGCATCTGTTTAACAAAGCACATCTTGCACCACCATTATTCCATTTAACCCTGAGTGGACACAGCACATGTTTCAGAGAGCACAGGGTTGGGGGTAGGGTCACCGATCAACAGGATCACAAGGCAGAAGAATTTTTCTTAGTACAGAACAAAATGAAAAGTCTCCCGTGTCTACCTCTTTCTACACAGACATGGCAACCATCCGATTTCTCAATCCTTTCCCCGCCTTTCTCCCCTTTCTGTTCCACAAAACCGCCATTGTCATCATGGCCCGTTATCAATGAGCTGTTGGGTACACCTCCCAGATGGGGTGGTGGCTGGGCAGAGGGGCTCCTCACTTCCCAGTAGGGGCGGCCGGGCAGAGGTGCCCCTCACCTCCCGGACCGGGCGGCTCGGGTGGGGGGCTGACCCCCCCACCTCCCTCCCGGATGGGGCGGCTGGCCGGGCGGGGGGCTGACCCCCCCACCTCCCTCCCGGACGGGGCGGCTGGCCGGGCAGAGGGGCTCCTCACTTCCCAGTAGGGGCGGCCGGGCAGAGGCGCCCCTCACCTCCCGGACGGGGCGGCTGGCCGGGCGGGGGGCTGACCCCCCTACCTTCCTCCTGGATGGGGCGGCTGGCTGGGCGGGGGGCTGACCCCCCCACTTCCTTCCCGGATGGGGCGGCTGGCCGGGCAGAGGGGCTCCTCACTTCCCAGTAGGGGCGGCCGGGCAGAGGCGCCCCTCACCTCCCAGACGGGGTGGCTGGCCGGGCGAGGGGCTGACCCCCCCACCTCCCTCCCGGACGGGGCGGCTGGCCGGGCAGGGGGCTGATCCCCCCACCTCCCTCCCGGACGGGGCGGCTGGCCGGGCAGAGGGGCTGACCCCCACCTCCCTCCCGGATGGGGTGGCTGCCGGGCAGAGACGCCCCTCACTTCCTAGACGGGGTGGCTGCCGGGTGGAGGGGCTCCTCACTTCTCATATGGGGCGGTTGCCAGGCGGAGGGTCTCCTCACTTCTCAGACAGGGCGGCTGGGCAGAGACGCTCCTCACCTCCCAGACGGGGTCGCGGCCGGGTAGAGGTGCTCCTCACATCCCAGACGGGGTGGCGGGGCAGAGGCGCTCCCCACATCTTAGACGATGGGCGGCTGGGCAGAGACGCTCCTCACTTCCTAGATGGGATGGCGGCCGGGTAGAGGTGCTCCTCACTTCCTAGATGGGATGGCGGCCGGGCAGAGACGCTCCTCACTTTCCAGACTGGGTAGCCAGGCAGAGGGGCTCCTCACGTCCCAGACGATGGGCGGCCAGGCAGAGACGCTCCTCACTTCCCAGACGGGGTGGCGGCCGGGCAGAGGCTGCAATCTTGGCACTTTGGGAGGCCAAGGCAGGCGGCTGGGAGGTGGAGGTTGTAGCGAGCTGAGATCACGCCACTGCACTCCAGCCTGGGCACCATTGAGCACTGAGTGAACCAGACTCCGTCTGCAATCCCGGCACCTCGGGACGCCGAGGCTGGCGGATCACTCGCAGTTCGGAGCTGGAGACCAGCCCGGCCAACACAGCGAAACCCCGTCTCCACCAAAAAAATACGAAAACCAGTCAGGCGTGGTGGCGCACGCCTGCAATCGCAGGCCCTCGGCAGGCTGAGGCAGGAGAATCAGGCAGGGAGGCTGCAGTGAGCCGAGATGGCAGCAGTACAGTCCAGCTTCGGCTCGGCATCAGTGGGAGACTGTGGAAAGAGAGGGAGAGGGAGACCGTGGGGAGAGGGAGAGGGGGGAGAGGGAAGGGGAGAGGGAGAGGGGGGAGAGGGAAAGGGAGAGGGAGAGGGAGAGAGAGAGGGAGAGGGGGGAGAGGGAAAGGGAGAGGGAGAGGGAGAGCGAGAGCGAGAGCGAGAGCGAGAGCTGACATTTTTCTTTTTAATCAACGGGAGAGAGTCTATAGTTGCCTTATGGCACCATAGTGAAACTGGAACTTTTGACTTCTTTTTTTTTTTTTTTCTTTAAATCTTCATAGAATGTGTCTTTACAGCATGGGAAATTTTTTTTTTTTTTTTTTTTTTTTTTTTTTTTTTGCTTTTCACTATATACAGCTAATGGCTTTTACTTATTTTCATTTAGATCTAAGAACACATTTTAACAGTTACTGCTTCCTAATCTTGCTTTATCTGTATTAAAGAAGCATTTGGAAATTTATAATTGTTCTTGACCTTGGAGGTTGGTTTTCTCAACCTTTTTTTTCCTGCAATATGCAGTATCTTTAGTAATTTGGTACACTTATGATTTCTAAACAAAATATGTGTCTTTTGAACATTGTTGAAAAGTTAGTGTATGACCCCACAAAGAATTTGGAACAGGTGCCAGCCCAATTGTGACTGCCTGACTTCTTGTCCTTACACTGGGAGTTGTTAGCATGAAAAAACAAAATGTCATGGCATTTTCTCTAAAATAATACTTTGAAAAGAATTTTTGTCCCTGGTGGTAAAAAACTTGGCACCCAGCAAGCAAGAGGATCTTGACTCATAGATGTATAAAAACATTGTCAGTGCCCCTGGAGCTACGGAATTCCTCTCTCATAGTAATTTTTCTAATGTCTGTAGCTCAGTTCATTAATTTTTATTTTGCTGCCTTGGAATTTGTCCATAAAAGTATTTTTTTTTCTATTTATTTTTAACCTGATCATCAAGTTCCTTGGCTTCTATGGGTGTACAGTTTGAATTTTTGTTGTTGTTGTTTTATTTTGTTTTGGGGTGTTTGGCTAGGAAGAACTAACTATAGGATGTTTGTCAGGGACATGTTCCTTGGGAAATTTATCTCACTGCTCTGTGCTTGTTTGACAGCTGTTCTTGCACTTCTGACTTTAATTCAAAAAGTTATAAAGCCATATGTGAGCAGCTGTTCACTGTTTTCATTAGGGCAAAATAAGATCGGATGCAAATATTATCAGGAATGATTTAGGTTATATTGTAAAAATAATTTAGACTATATTGTAGGAATAATTTTACGGTAGTTATGATATATTGTAAGTTATTAAAAAGAAGGTTCTAGAATTAAAAACAATTTTAAGCATAAAGTACTATTTGTTGAAAGATGAGAGGTGTTGAAAGATGATATACTGTCTGAAGGTAGGATAGTGAAACAGCTAGCTTTTGAATTCCTCTTCTAGTTCTAGGATTTTATGATTTCATGGTAGTGTTTATCCTTCTCTACAGACTAACTTTTCCCATGACTTCCTATGCTTTAGAACTCTTCTGTGTAATAATAAGCTTTTTTTTTTTGAGACAGAGTCTCGCTGTGTCACCCAGGCTAGAGTGTAGTGGCATGCTCTTGGCTCACTGCAACCTCCGCCTCCCAGGTTCAAGCGAGTCTCCTGCCTCAGCCTCTTGAGTAGCTGGGATTACTGGCATGCACCACCACGCCCAGCTAATTTTTTTTTTTTTTTGTATTTTTAGTAGAGATGGGGTTTCACCATGTTGGCCAGGCTTTTTAAGCTGATTCATATTTATTTGTGAATTATTATCATAGCCATAGAAAGAGTTATCATTTTTTTGGCTTTCAGGTACTAAAATCAAAATGCAAAATTGGTTTGCCTTTAGTTTAAAGTGATCAGAACAAAAAAAAATGAAGATAATTTAATGGCTTATCTTTTTCAGTAGTCCTCCAGAATACAAACTTTATAATCATCTCTCAGACATTTAAATAAAGTATCTAGTATTTATTAAATATTTACCACATGCCAGGCAAAGTACAATTAATTTAACATATGCTCTCCTGTTTAATTCTCACAGTGATCCTGAGACCTTAGGGTTTATTATCCCCATATTATAGAAGAGGAAAAAGTTTAGAGAGTTGAAGTAAATTACCCAAAGTCACATAGTAAGTACTGGGTCTGAGATTTGAACCCAAGACCATTTTTTTTTTTACCAAGTTCTAAATTTTAGAAGATATTTACTATATCAAAAAAGTATGAAGTTAAAAAGAATCAGAATGTAAAATTGTGAATATGTTAAACCATACATACACATGCACACATGTGTGTTTGCATTTGGAGAGGCTAGAAGGTCCTACACCAAAATATTAACAAGGATTACTTTTAGGTATTGGCATACAGATAATTCTTACATCCTTCTTTATAATTTCTTGTAGGCTATACTTCTTATATCTGCTATTCTCATAATCAACAAGGTGGGAATTGCTGCTATTTTTATATTCTAAAAACTTGACATCTTACATGTATGCAATTTTCAAATCTGTCTTCACTGTCTTATTTGAGAATTATAAAGCTGTTTTTCAGTAGCTTTTGTATTAATTTGTGTAAAGACAGATATTTTATATATTTAGAGACTCTCTTTTAGGATACTTTTCTTATTTCTCTTTCTAGATTTCAGATTTTTTGGACATTATTGCACTCATCTTTGTGCCCCTACAGTCTCTAGGACAAATCCTGCACATAGAAGACATTTCTTAAAATTGATTGAATTTATTTCAGTAGTAAATTTTAGCCACAGTACAATAGTTGGAAAGAATAAACGAATTACAGTTGTAATAATAAAGGAAACTTAGGTTAAGAAAATTTCCTAGATTTGTTAATCAGTCATTTCTCTAACTTTGTCACCTAGTTCTACTAGGTGAATGGGTGGTTCCCTGACAACGTTGGGCACCCATCAAGGCTTTTTTTGTTTAGTTTTGTTTTTGTTTTTGGCTGAACCTTTTAACTCCCCATCTGCGTCATGCTTTTCTTTTTTTCTTGACCACAGCTTCTAGGATCTTAGTCTGCTTCCTTGTCCTCATGCTTTTATATATACATACAAACACAAACACACACACACACATGCACACAGACACACACACGAGTATGTCAAATGATAAAAGTAATGCAGTTTCACTGTAGAAAATTTTCGTAATACCAAAAATTATTATGGATAATATAGAAATTGCTTGTATTCCTATCACTTTAAAAATAACAATTTTTGAAAATACATATATGTGTATGTGGTTTTTTTTTTTTTTCTGAGACGGACTTTCACTCTTGGCGTTCAGGCTGGAGTTCAATGGCGCGATCTCGGCTCAGTGTAACCTCCGCCTCCCTGGTTCAAGTGATTCCCTTGCCTCAGCCTCCCGAGTAGCGGAGTTTCCAGGTGCCGGCCACTATGCCTGGCTAATTTTTGTATTTTTAGTAGAGGCGGGGTTTCACCACGTTGGCCAGGCTGGTCTTGAACTCCTGACCTGTGTGTGTGTTTTAATTGGGATTATAATGTATTAAAATCTTTATATTCTGCTTTTTTATTACATAAATTTTCAGAAAATATAAAATATCTTCTAAAATTTATTTAATTTCTATATGATTGTCCATTCTTTAAGTATTCTATAATTCATTTAATAGTTGTTTGATGTTTAGCATTGAGGTTGTTTCTAGGTTATTTTCTGTCATACAGAGTGTTGTGCCATGAATCTTTGAAGAAGAAATCTTTTTGTATTTCCTGAACTGTTTTGGGAGGATAGTCTAGGAAGTAATATTACTAGGTAAAATGTATGAACTTCTAAAATATGTTGCCAAGTACATTTAATAAACATTACGATTTTTTTCTTCTACCAGTGTGTGACAGTGTTGACTCATTGTCTATCACTGGCCTTGAGAAGTCCATATTTTACTCTTCGCTAATTTTATAAGCTGAAAACAGCTTTTCACTATTTTAATTTGGATGTTTTGGCTTTGATTAGTAGAGAGTTGAGCTTTTTACCCCCATAGTTTGATTTTGCATTTCTTTTTTGTATCATCCATTTCCTCTTATATTCCATACTTGTAACGGTACCTTTCCCAAGCTAGTTATTTAAGCTTTTTTTAAAAAAAAATTTTAATGATTTTTGAAATGGACTCTTTGAGCTTTTTTTTTTTCTTTTTTTACCTTTTCCCTTTTTAAGATTTTTATTCTTACCTATTAGGAAGACAACAAGGTATATCTAATTACATGACAAACAGTCTTCACCAAGAAGCCAGAATCTTAAATTTATAGCTCACTGTTGCCATCTGAGATATAAATAGAACTTCAGTTACTGTGTGTTGCTTTCCATTAAGTCTACTTCCTTGCTCTTCTTAAACCCCACTACTCCTTCTTTAATGATAGCCCTTCTACGAACACATGGATCTTAATAGACTATAAGAATCACTTGATTGATGTGTTTCATTTACATTTTAGAGAACTTCCATAATAAATAAAAGCTCTCTCAGTGTGTCTCACAGAGAGATTATCCCACAAAGAAATGTTCCTCTTTGAGCATTTTCTTATATTTCTTCCTGTCTTCAAAATAAGTCAGATCATTTAATTTATTTTAATCTTTTCTGTTAAATGCCAGTAGTACAAAGTCTCCATATAGTCAGCAGTCCTAAACAGCCCAGGAGAGGGGACCTCTATAATAATGGAATGCCAGTAACCAAAACAGCATGGTACTGGTACCAAAACAGAGATATAGATCAATGGAACAGAACAGAGCCCTCAGAAATAATGCCGCATATCTACAACTATCTGATCTTTGACAAACCTGAGAAAAACAAGCAATGGGGAAGGGATTCCCTATTTAATAAATGGTGCTGGGAAAACTGGCTAGCCATATGTAGAAAGCTGAAACTGGATCCCTTCCTTACGCCTTATACAAAAATTAATTCAAGATGGATTAAAGACTTAAACGTTAGACCTAAAACCATAAAAACCCTAGAAGAAAACCTAGGCATTACCATTCAGGACATAGGCATGGGTAAGGACTTCATGTCTAAAACACCGAAAGCAATGGCAACAAAAGCCAAAATTGACAAATGGGATCTAATTAAACTAAAGAGCTTCTGCACAGCAAAAGAAACTACCATCAGAGTGAACAGGCAACCTACAGAATGGGAGAAAATTTTCGCAACCTACTCATCTGACAAAGGACTAATATCCAGAATCTACAATGAACCCAAACAAATTTACAAGAAAACAAACAACCCCATCAAAAAGTGGGCAAAGGATATGAACAGACACTTCTCAAAAGAAGACATTTATGCAGCCAAAAGACACATGAAAAAATGGTCATCATCACTGGCCATCAGAGAAATGCAAATCAAAACCACAATGAGATACCATCTCACACCAGTTAGAATGGCAATCATTAAAAAGTCAGGAAACAACAGGTGCTGGAGAGGATGTGGAGAAATAGGAACACTTTTACACTGTTGGTGGGACTGTAAACTAGTTCAACCATTGTGGAAGTCAGTGTGGCGATTCCTCAGGGATCTAGAACTAGAAATACCATTTGACCCAGCCATCCCATTACTGGGTATATACCCAAAGGACTATAAATCATGCTGCTATAAAGACACATGCACACGTATGTTTATTGTGGCACTATTCACAATAGCAAAAACTTGGAACCAACCCAAATGTCCAACAATGATAGACAGGATTAAGAAAATGTGGCACATATACACCATGGAATACTATGCAGCCATAAAAAATGATGAGTTCATGTCCTTTGTAGGGACATGGATGAAATTGGAAATCATCATTCGCAGTAAACTATCTCAAGGACAAAAAACCAAACACCGCATGTTCTCACTCATAGATGGGAATTGAACAATGAGAACACATGGACACAGGAAGGGGAACATCACACACTGGGGACTGTTGTGGGGTTGGGGGAGGGGGGAGGGATAGCATTAGGAGATATACCTAATGCTAAATGATGAGTTAATGGGTGCAGCACACCAGCATGGCACATGTATACATATGTAACTAACCTGCACATTGTGCACATGTACCCTAAAACTTAAAGTATAATAATAATGATAATAATAATAATAAAAGGAAGGAAAAAAAAGGGTTAAAACTCCTTTCAGAACTCTTTGATGAAGTCCCATGATCACTACCTGGGTGAGGGGTTCAACTGTAATCCAAACCTCAGCGTCACACAATATACTTGTGTAACAAACTGCATATGTACTCCTTGAATCTAAAATAAAAGTTCAAATAAAAAAGAAAAAAATAATAATGAAATGCCTGTAGAATATTTGTTTATTATGATTGGAGATTCCTAAATTGAGAGAAAGAACTTCCTCCACCAGTTAGTAATGAAATGCAGAAGTGAAACTGAGTATCCTATACCTATAATATTTCCTTCTAACTCTTTCTTTGCCATTGTCACTAGGAGAGTTGGCATGCAAAAACATCTTGAGAGTTGCACATTTTAATAAATTATTTACCTTTTCCACACAGGCCTTGATAGTCATATAAATTCAGTCTTGCTCAGAGTTGTCCAATCTTCTGGCTTCTCTTGTCCACATTGGAAGAATTATCGTCTCGGGCCACACATAAAATATACTAACACGGGCTCCGAGCAAGATGGCAGCCTCCGAGCCGGTTAGGCTACAGCTTCAATATGATTACCCACTGCCAGCTACCCTGCACTGTACGGCCTTCCTGGCTTCTGGTTGACTTGAACAGGCGCCGAGTTGTCACAGATCTCATTAGTCTCATCCGCCAGCGATTTGGCTTCCGTTCTGGGGGCCCTCCGAGGCCTCTACCTGGAGCAGGGGTTCCTGCCCCCCACCGAGAGCGCATGCCTGATGAGAGACAATGACTGCCTCAGAGTTAAATTAGAAGAGAGAGGAGTTGCTGAGAATTCTGTAGTCATCAGTAATGGTGACAGTACTCATTTATCACTTAGAAAAGCAATGAAGTGGGCATTTAAGTTAGAGGAGGATGAAGAAACTAACCCAGATTACAACTATTCAAAGAAGCATTGGAAGAAGCAAGAGTACAATAACAATAATGAGAAGGTCTTGGATCTAGAACGAAAAGCGGTCACAGATCAGACTATAAGCAAAAAAAAAAAAAAGAAACAAAAGAAAAAATAAAGCAACCTGTGGCACAACGGGTGATGATAACGAACAGACCCCCCAAAAAAAAATCACCAAAGAAAAAGGAGAAATGTGAATATGAAAAAAAGGCCAGGAATCCCAAGTCACCTAAAGTACAGGCAGTAAAAGACTGGGCCAATTAGAGATGTAGTTCTCCAAAAGGCTCTGCTAGAAACAGCCTTGTTAAAACCAAAAGGAAAGGTGGTGTAAGCGTTTGCTCAAACGAGAGTCCCAGTTCCTCCTCGGAGTCTGAGTCTTGTCATGAATCAATCATGATGGTCCCAGCAAAGTCACTTTGGAGGCCAGAAATTCCTCAGAGAAATTACCAACTAAGTAATCAAAGGAAGGACCCTCTACCAAAAGTACAACTGCAGACAAACTGGCTACAAAATCTGGCTTTAGCCTTAACCCCCAGCAAGGGCAAGACCTCTGGAACATCATCTTCTAGTTCAGATTCTGGTTCAGAGTCAGAGGTGAATGCTTGATGTCATCGAGCACCCCGGAGTGTGCTGTGGATTTCTAAAAGACAGTAGGCCTTTTTGCAGGAAGAGGTTGTCCAGGCCCTGGGCTGTCATCACAGACTGCAGGTGCTACTGGATGGAAGCGTTCTGGGTTAAATGGTGGCAGACAGGCTCCTGGTCCTTCTCCCAGTGTGTCTCTCCCCAGTTTAGAAAGAGGATGGGGTAGAGGAGAGAACCTTTTTTCTTGGAAGGGAGCTAGGGGACGGGGAATGCGGGGGAGAGGTCGAGGACAAGGGCATCCTGTTTCCTGTGTTGTAAATAGAAGCACTGACAACCAGAGACAACAGCAATTAAATAAAGTGGTAACAAATTCATCTACTGTTTTCCAGAATCCGGTAGAGACACACTAGAAGGACTGTATGGTCTGTTACCGCTGTTAACAGCTGCCCCTCAAGTTGGAGAAAAGATTGCATTTAATCTTTGGAACTAACATCCAGTTACACTCTTCTGTTGTCTCTGATTACAAGGAAAAATATTAAGCCACAATCCAGAGACACAGCAAGTAGATACAGAAATTCTTTCATCCTTACCTGCCTTGAGAGAACCTGGGAAATTTGATTTGGTTTATCACATTGAAAATGGAACCGAGGTAGTGGAGTATGCTGTGATGCAGGAGAGCAAGATCACTGTATTTTGGGGAGAGTTGATTGATCCAAGACTGATTATTGAATCTCCGATTAACACATCAAGTACAGAACCTGTCTGAATATGACCGCTCCATCTTATAGTTTATGAATGTCTTGTTTGTGAAAGTGACTATAACTTGAACTTTTTTTTTTTAAGAGGATTTGAAAGTTGTATGGGTTTTTTTGTTATCTTCACTTTACTGCATAGGAAACAATCTACCTCATCATTTAAAATGACATGGGTGTCGGTTTTGTAGACCTTTGGTTTTTTTGTCAGGTTCAATTTCAGTTAACAAAATGTAAAACATGACATTCCCTGCAAACGTTGTTGTATACCAATATGTATGGTTTCTTCTCTTTTTTAAAAGTTTTTGACCATCAAGCAGCAGTTGTCAGTAGGAGTTTATAATACCAAGAATGTGCTGCATATCTTGTCTCATTAAGTTTTAAGTAACATTTAAAAATATTAAAGCATGTTACTTGACCTAATTTTATAGCATTTGAGTTGTCCCATTAAATGGAGCATCTCGTAAATTTCAAGTATTTTATACTTGGCAATGGTTAAGAGTTAAAAGGTAGTTGGATTTGTCACAGACAATGAGTTAAGGAATCCTTTCACGTTTTTCCCAACTTTAAAATTAAGGATTCTCAGGGCCCTGTGTAGAGCAGTAAAAATAAGACCTCGTGTATGTGTATGTGTGTGTGTGTGTGTGTGTGTGTGTGTGTATGTGTGTCTGTCTGTCTGTCTGGAGGAGAATTGATTGGTGTTCCACTTGGGTGAGAGGGTTGGCTGTGAGCCTCAGACCAGGAAATGTGTCATCTTGCCAAGCACCTGGCTGAGTGTGCTGGAGTGAGGATTTGAACAGAAACTTCCTTTTCTGTTATTATTCACTACAAAGCTTAAGTGGCCAAATATATACTGTGAAAATTGGTTTCTTTTAACAAAAGATCAGATCCCTCCTTCAGCTGTACACATTTTTAAATAAAATCATATAGAACTAAAAAAAAATACTAACACGAACGATAGGTGATGAGCTAAAAAAAATTGCAAAAAAATCTCATAATATTTTAACAGACTTTACCAATTTGTGTTGGACTGAAGGTTGGCCAAGCTTGGTTTAGCTTAAGTTATATGGATTATTTGTACAACAGAATTGAGTTGATTTCTGCGGTATTTTGAAGAGTGAAAGTGGTTTTTTAAATTTGTACTGTACTTATGTTATAAAGCAATATGAGTAATATACTTTATGTGTGAGACCTTACGTGCTCTAAGAAATACTTTTGTTAAGGATTTATATTTATGGTGGAGTATTCGTTACAACATGGGGTCTATACATACTTGTAAAGAAATTAAGGATAGAGAATGCATCACTCAGACCCCAATCTTTCCATTCATATAGATTGATTAGTCATCACATAGTCCATATTTTTCTACTATATTCAAGTCCCAGTTGACACCTTATGCATCATATTCCTTAGTTCCCAAACATGTTCCCTTATTTCTTTTCATGTAACTTTTAATTACTCATTTGTCCGAGTCTGAATCCTGAATATTACCCTAGATACCATTTTGTTTCACCACCCCTCTCCAAATGTAGCTTTAAGTTTTTCCTGTTTCTTTTTCTACTCCCAGAACCCACAATTATAGCTCTGAAGTATCCTTCCAGTGAGTTTTCAGTATCTGCATGTGTTTACTCTAGCTCAAGGTGTGTTTTTTTTTCTGATATTTATGTCATTAATTGATCTCTCTGATGAATCTTGTCAGAGAAATCTTCCAGAAGGACATTTCAGACCATATTGCTTTCTAGATTAAAAAACTTCAAAGACTTCCAAGAATGTACAAAGAATTCTCTTGAATTCCTTCCTCTGGTCTTCAGGGCCCTATGCTATGACTTCAACTTTTCTTTATTTCCCTCCCTCAAATATTTTTTCTCTTTTCCTTTTTATACTTCTTTCCTTCTGAGCTTTCTGTCACTTTTTGGCCTGTACCTAGCCATTTCCCTGTTCTTGCATTTCCAAATCTCATCTATCCTTCGAGAGTTGGCTTTTACGTTTGTCTTCCAGCTAGAAGTAGTCTTTTCTTCCTGGGAACTCCCAATGGCCTTTTCAGTTTGTTATTGTACTTAGTATCCTTTCTGTTGAACTGTGGTTGTTCATGGTTACTGGTTGTTATAGTTAGTTCTTTAACGCATGGATTCCTGTCTCATTATTCTATTTCTTGTGTACGTTTTCTGGTACACGTATATTCTTAAGACATATAAAGAGCTGTCTTGTTCTGGGGGTATTTCTTAGTTGAGAAAAATAAAACCTTGGGGATACTTTATATGCTAAAGATAAAAATGATTGTGTGTTCTATAAAGATCTACAAAAATATGCTTGGAAGTAGTTTTGCTAAAAAACAGGTATAAGAAATTAGATATATAGATGAGACCTTGGATGACTTGACTCAAACCACTTTCAGACAGATGAAACGTAACTTCTAAATCTTTCTAGAAGGTTAGATTTTACGATATGCTCAATCATTTAAACAGTTATTTATATGAGACTTACAAGCAGAATTTTTTTTTTTTTAGTATTTTTACAATATGCAGTTCACATTTTATGTACTCCTAATTTACTTCTTGTTATTCTTGGAATTTTTTAAAGGATTTTCCTGATTCTTAAATGGTTCTATTCTTTTTTGCAGTTCTTCTGTTAATGATATGTTTTTTATTTTTTTTTAGTTCTCTGTTTGTCCTGGCAAAACTTATATTTGGAAAATGTTCTATTTTTCAGGTATCCTGGTCAGATATAGGAGGACTGGAAAGTATCAAACTGAAGTTGGAACAGGCTGTGGAATGGCCCTTAAAACATCCAGAGTCTTTCATTCGAATGGGTATTCAGCCACCTAAAGGAGTTCTTCTCTATGGGCCACCTGGGTGCTCTAAAACAATGATAGCAAAGGCTTTGGCCAATGAGAGTGGACTGAATTTTCTAGCTATAAAGGTAGGGTGTTAAATTTTTTAATCGCTACTCTCTCTTGGCCTCCCCCAACCCCCATTCTCTGACTCCTACCTTTAGGAGAACGAATAAAGGCATCTTAAGGAGCAGTGATTCTTTTTTTTTTATTTGATGTTGATGGCAATATAATATAGGGAGATGAGTGATAAGAAATAAATTCGTGCATGTAATCAGCAAATCATGGTAGACATTGGGAAGACTGCTTTATTTAGTTTCTTGATTCTGGTATTTCTTATATCCATGTGTAACAGAAGCTAATCTTTTTTTTTGTTTGTTTCTACATTTTTAATTATAGACTTTTGCTTAACCAGGACTTAAAGATAAACATGACAGTGAATTCAATATTTACATACCTAGAATTTTCAAATGAACAAGACACTTGTTATGGTACACTAAATTCTTTAAAAATACTTTTCCATTCAGAAAGTATATGTGCATTGTTTTTATTCTGAACCACACACACATTTTATTTGTTCATTGCTTCGCCCCGATTAACTGGGATAGATAATCTTTCATGATATGTAGTTGTACACTTACTTTAGGACCAGATATTAATTTTATGTAACATTATGATATATCCAGATACTTAATCCACACATATAAAACTGTAAATCCATTTCTGTGGACTGTATCACAAAAATATATACCTAAATAGATTAACTATCAATTCATTTCAGAAAAGGCACATGATCATCTGTTTTGATATTACCAGGGAATTTTTTACATAACAGAATGCATTTTCTTTAGCGTGATCTTGGCTCACTGCAAGCTCCGCCTCCCAGGTTCATGCCATTCTCCTGCCTCAGCCTCCCGAATAGCTGGGACTACAGGTGCCTGGCAAATTTTTTGTATTTTTAGTAGAGACAGGTTTCACTGTGGTCTTGATCTCCTGACCTCATGATCCGCCTGCCTCGGCCTCCCAAAGTGCTGGGATTACAGGCGTGAGCGACTGCGTCTGGCCCAGAATGCATTTTCTGTCTTAGAACATTGAAATCATTGGCAGTTTGAAAGCACAAAACTTCAGAGTAGTTTGTCAACTTTTGGCTTTACTTAAGATTTTTATAGAATGATACTTAGGTGTGATTAAGCTGTTTGTTCTTTAAGAATCAGTATCTTCAACATATTTTTTATTTTCTGGAAGATATTGGAGAGTAAAGATGGGGGAGGAGACCATTTACAGCATGATCACTTATGGGGAATCACAACTACAGTTTTAAAGGTTTCAGGTTTATTTGTTATTTTTTTGAGACATGGTCTCACTCTGTGGCCTAGGCTGAAGTATAGTGGTGTGATTATAGCTCACTGTAACCTCAAATTCCTGGGCTCAAGCTATTCTTCTGCCTCAGCCTCCTGAGCAGCTAGGACTACAGGTGTGAGCCATCACACCAGCTAACTTTTTAACATTTTTGTAGAGACAGGGTCTCACTGTGTTGCCCAGGCTGGTCTCAAACTCCTGGCCTCAAGCAGCCCTCCCACCTTACCCTCCCAAAGTGCTGGGATTATAGGAGTGAGCTGCTGCAACACAGCAAAGGTTGCGGTTTTAAGGGTTGAAGTAATGAGTGATTTTGTCACTTCCCAGGACAACTTGATTTCTCCTTGGTCCTTGTCCTTTTATCATGTGGTAATGGGGATGGCTGTGTTTACTGGCATTTTCTAGTCTTTTTACTCTCATCTCCATTTTTTCTGTTCTTACCTTGTATATTCTACAATTGTATATTCATAGTATTAGAATTTTTCTTGTCTACTGGAAATCTAAAATTTATTTAAGAACCTGTGAGCGAAGTCCTCATCAGATAAGTTTTCGACTTAACTCTTAAGAGCACACTTATTTTCTTACAAACTAGTATCTTACTTTTTCTGTGATCCAAGGTAATAATTTTAGATACTACTAAGACTGCTTTCTGGACTATCCTAGAATTACTTAGAAATATATTTATTATCTTTTTTGAACATAAACATTTCATAACCTTAGACAATTTCATTTTTAGTCTTTTTTTCACTATGAGGAAATTGTAAATGATTCTTTGAAAGGTTTAACTTTGTACACTGCTATATAAAATAACCAGGCACACATTCATTTATTTGAGCTTTTTCATTAGATTTTTAGGTCACAGACAGAAAAGCCACATGATGTTAACAAATTATCTTCATCAATTGAGTTCATAACTCAGAGATTATTACATGTCCTAGTTACTAATTTTGATTTAGTGTGGATTTTTATTCAGTTTAGAATTTAGTGTGGTTCGACAGTATTATTCAATTTTTGAATCTGTATGGAGGATATACTTAATGAATGATGGGTTTTTATTTTTCAAATTGAATATCCCTTATCAAAATGCTTTGGACCTGAAGTGTTTAGATTTTGAATTTTTTTGCATTTTGAAATATTTGCATTATACTTCCCAGTTGAGCATCCCTAATCTGAAAATTTGGAATCTAAAATGCTAAAGTGGGCATTTTCTTTGAGTGTCATGTTGGAGCTCAAAACGTTTTGAATTTTGGAGCATTTTGGATTTTTAGATTTAGGGATACTCAACATGTACTATTCGTTCAACTCTCCTATAGGTTTAAAATTTTTTTAAATACAAAGTTGGGAATATGAAAATAATTTGTCTTCTACTAGCATTTTCATTGGTCCTTTTATTTTCATCTATTCAGTGTTTGTGAGGAAAGTTTTAAAGTAACAATACCATACAGCTTATGTATGAGAAAATGGAGCCAAAGAAGTTGGGAATTCATACTCTGTTCTCTTTTTTTTTGAGACAGAGTCTTGTTCTATCGCCCAGGCTGGAGTGCAGTGGCACGATCTCAGCTCACCGCAGTTCCCACCTCCCAGGTTCAAGAGATTCTTGTGCCTCAGCCTCCCGAGTAGCTGGGATAACAGGCAAGCACCCCAACGCCCAGCTAATTTTTTGTATTTTTAGTAGAGACAGGGTTTCACCATGTTGCCCAGGCTGGTCTCGAACTCCTGAGCTCAGGCAATTTGCCCGCCTCACCCTCCCAAAGTGCTAGGATTACAGGCGTGAGTCACTGCACCTGGTCCTGTTCTGTTTAATTTTAACTTCCTGTTTAAAAAACTTGGCAACTTTTGTTCAACCCAAATGTTTGGTTTCAACCTATATATTTGTTTTCTACAAGCTTTAAGTGTTAAAAGTTAGTTTGAAATTTTGAAATAACAAATCTTACACATTTTGAAAGTGATCAGAAAAAGTAGACATACACTAGAATTCTCTAGCCAGTTAGGAAACACAAGTATTTTAAACAGATTGAAAGGAAAAACTCCCTATCACTTTTCACAATGGTAGTTACTACTTTTAATCTTCAAGATATTTTGATAGACTTACACTTCTTCCTCTAAGTTTATGAAAGAACCTTTTAGCTTCCTCTATGCATCTTTTCTGAACAGGGATTAAAAGATACGTACTGTACTCAGGGTGGAGACTTCAGCTTGGCTTGTGTGAGCTCTTAATGCCCTCTGGCATATATATGTGTTTTTGTGTAGATTGTGACATTTGACATACTGTGTAAGTTTAGTTTGTTATCTGGGACAGTTACGTAAAATACTTTCCAGTTGAAATTTCCTTTCTGCTTCTCTCTTGCTTTTGTCTGGAGTGCTACAATAGATTAATTGCCCTGGGATAGCTGCATTGCTTTACTATATGAAGAACTGTCACTAATTCTGCAAGAAATGTGGTTAGGTCTTTGACAGGGATTTTCAGCAAATAATTATTCTGGTAAATACAGGAATGTAATGAGCTTAGTATATCCTTGACTTTTTGGGAAATTTTCTTCTCTATACTTGTCTCAGAGAGGAATTGTATAAAATAGATTTCATTTCCAGAAAAACCTGTGGTTTATTCAAAGTAGTGCACAATTCAGAGTACAGGTGCTCCCCAATTTAAGATGGATTTACTTAAGTTTTCGACTTTACAATGGTGTGAAAGTGATATGCACTCTGTGGAAATTATACTTCGAATTTTAATCCTTTTTTTTTTCCTCTGAGACAAAGTCTCACTCTGTCGCCCAGGCTGGAATGCAGTGGCGCGATCTCGGCTCACTGCAACCTCTGCCTCCCGGGTTCAAGCAATTCTCTGCCTCAGCCTCCCAAGTATCTGGGGTTACAGGCTCCCAAGTATCTGGGGTTACAGGCATCCACGACTATGCCCGACTAATTTTTGTATTTTTAGTAGAGACGGGGTTTCACCATGTAGGCCAGGCTGGTGTCGGACTCCCGACCTTGTGATCCACCCGCCTTGGCCTCCCAAAGTGCTGGGATTACAGGTATAAGCCACCACGCCAGGCCCAAATTTTAATCTTTTACTGAGCTAGTGATATGCAGTACAGTACTCCCTCATGATGCCTGGCAGTAACAGTGAGCCACAGCTCCCGGTCAGCCATTGTGATCATGAGTGTACACAGCCAACATTCTAGAATGTACTGTGTTGCCACGTCACTTTTTCCAACTGTAGGCCAGTGTAAGCATTCTGAGCATGTTTAAGGTGGGCTGATCTAAAATATGATGTTCAGTAGGTTAGGAGTATTCAATGCTTTATGACTTAGGATATTTTCAATTTTTGATGAGTTTATCAGGACATAACCCCCTTGTAAATCAAGGAGCATCTGTAATTACTATTTGTCATTTAACTAGATATATTAATATTCTCTTATCAAAGGTACAAGATAATCTGAAATTTAAAAATTCCAAATTCATCTTTAGGCTTCTGTTTTTTAATTTTTGCATGGGAAGCTGCATAGCTCTTTTAATTACAGAATGCTTTAAGATTACAAATAAGGATAATGATTTTAAGAAGGTTAAGTGACTTTTCGAAGGTCTAAGTGGTAGTGATGGCACTGAAATTTAGTCTCAGAACTTTCTGACTCAAGAGTCTGAGCTCTTAACCACTGTATTATATATATGCTCTTCCATTTCCCTTTTTGTTTTTTTTAAAAAAATAGAACTAGTGTCCAATGGCTTTTTTCATTAATTACACAAAGTTACCAGGGAAGATAGTTTAAGTAGTTTCTGTAGGGTAGGTTTAGAGAAGTGGAAAGATGTTTCTGGGAACTGGTTTGAAAAATAATTTTGTTTCTCTAGGACAAAGAAAACAGAAAAATAACATGGCTTTGGTCTAGGAGTAAAAGTTAATAGGAAAGGGCAATCACAGCCAAAGATACAGGAAACTGTTCAATGAAATAGAAGTGCCTGGAAAAAGACTGATGGTGGGATAATGGGGAGCTTAAAATTTACCTGTTAGTATATAATTTGTGCCCTTGATATTGAGTATGTCACGATGAAAAGAACACTAAGCTGGGATTCACATTGCTTGGATTTACTTCCTAACCTTAGCACTTTTTAGTTTTGCAGCCTTAAGCAAGTTCTGTAAGTCTCATTTTTTTCATCCAGAAAAGTATAACATTTGTACATTATAAGCTTTGGGGAGCATTATGCTTAAAAAGGCAAATGAAAAAGTTTTTGGGGGGCATAACTCCCCACTCCTTGAGTGTGGGCTTCTTTCCAAAGAATTTAATATCAAAAGAGGGGAGGGGAAGAGCTACTGTACAATGGTGAAACCTGACAAGCCGTGCCACAGCCAGATGATCAAGGTTAACATCTTCAGTGATAAGTCATGTTGACAGTACAGTTGATGCTTTGAACAACACATTTTTTTAATACATTTTTTTTTCAGTATAGTTGCCCTTCCTTATTGTAGGTTCCACAACCAAACACAGATTGAAAATATAATATTTGTGGTATATGGAAACTCCCAAATAAGGAGGGCTAACTATGTGTCCTCAGATTCCACAGGCTGACTACAGGACTTGAGTATGTGTGCATTTTGGTATTCACAGTGGTCCTGGAACCAGTTCCCGTAGATAACTGATAAATGACTATATATACCCTTGGATAATGTGGTGATAATAGCACTTTACTTCTGTTGTCTTCCTCCTGAGTGCTCATAACCCCTCTCCAACCATGAGAAAAATTTTAGGCAAACCCACGTTAAAAGACATTCTGTAAAATCACTGACTAGTACTCCTCAAAACTGTGAAGGTTATCAAAAACAAGGAAAGTTTGAGAAACTGTCACCACCAAGACAGTACCCAAGGAAGCATGATAGCTAAATGTAATGTTACAATATCCTGTGTAGGATGCTGGAATGAAAAAAAAAAAAAGGACATTAGGGAAAAATTAAGGAAATCTGAATAACTATGGTCTTTAGTTTAATAATAATATCTCAATCTGGGTTCACTGATTGTAACAAATATACCATGCTAATATGAGATAGTAATAATAAGGGCAACAGTGTACATGGGTGGGTGGGCATATGCGAGCTGTTTGTACTATCTGCTCAATTCTTCTGTAAATCTTAAACTTTGCTAAAAAATAAAATATATTTAAATAAATTTTGAGGTCAGTATAATAGATCTGGGCATATTGTAGATGAAGTAATTGAAGTTTAAAAGGCTAACTCTGAGTTCTGTACTGCAGTGAACAGGATGCATGGAGTAAGGCAAAGAAGAGTCATGAAGAAGATTGTGGATTTCATGGGTGAGGGCTTTGATGACCTCTCCTATTCATAGTCCCCCTGCCCATAATGATAGTGGAAAGTTACTGGGAAAAGCCCTGAGAGGAACTTGGCTGGGGAACCTGGGTTTGGGGCTGCCCTGAACTTGCCTGTTTCACTGCACTTCTCAGTTGAAGCCTATAAAGGTGTGTGTTAGTTCTGGCCCCAAACCCAGACCCCAACACTATAAAGAACTCTTTCTCTTAGTGTTTTGGTTATTTTTTCTTTCACCTTGGGTGCAGCTTCCAGTTTAGTCTCACCAGGAACTATGTCATTTCATGCCTTTTGTGGATCCTAAGTCTGTATTCTCCTTCTATAGGTTTATTACTGTTTGGGCTCATCTAGAGTCTGAAACCTTTTGAGTTTCTATTTAATTTCCTTTAGAGTTTTGTTTTTTTTTAACTTTAAAAATTCCCTTGACTTCAGCAAATAGTGTTGTATTATGTGCCTTATTTGCTTAAATCGGCAGTTATTAACATCAATATTAAACAAAGACATATACTTAGTTTTATCCCTGTTTGAATGACTATTAGGGAATAACTAATAGTAACCTGTTATTCTTGGGACAAGTGGAATAGTTATTGTGCCATTGTCAGTTTTACAAGGTTATGAAGAAGTTAGATCAGATTTACTTACATTTGTCATTATTTGTACAGTATACTATGTTAAAGTTGTGGCATCATATGTTAAGACTATATATATGTTATTTTTTTTGAGTTGGGCTTTTATCAGTTGATAAAGCTGATATATAAAAAAAAGTCTTGATGTGAAAATATTCCATAAATAACATTTATCTAAAAGCAGAAAATGACAATAAGAACTATAACAAAACCTTTAGCATTTGGAATCTAAGAAGACCTAGAGAGATTTAGAAAAAGAAGGATAATTTTATAAGGAATTTTATAAGAAAAAGGATAATTTTAAACTTATAAGAAGTTTAAAAATAAGCACATTTTATTGTTGGGTTTAATTTTTTATTCATGGATAAATTAGCTGATGTAGAGAAACTAGTTTTTTCTTTCTATCTCAATTCCTTTTTGAATGAAATTTAGAGGTGAAATAAATATTACAATGTCATGTCTGTAATACTTTTAAAAATATTTGTAAAAGTTTTACAATTGGAATAGCAAAAATAACACCTTCTGTGTGTCAGGCACTGTGCATAGTAAACAAAGATATATTAGATGGGCTCCTCGTTATGTATCAACTCATTATTTAGTGGGAGAGATATTTGACTCAACAACTAACATGAAGAAACAGTTAACAGAATCTGCAGCTCTTGGTTGTTGATTGTATGTGAGAAATGAGAAAGAAAAGCAGTCAAAGGTGATAAAAATTTTTACTGTCAATGACTGGCAGATGGAAGTATCCTAACTCCAGGGAGAAAAGGAGAAACAGGTTGGAGGTGAGAGAGAAAATACCAGTGTTGAGTTTGAAAAGCCTTTGGGACAAAATGTTGAATATGTCCTAAAGGCAGTTGTATATATGGATTTGTAGCTCAAGAGGATGATTATTTCGAGAGATGAAAATATGGAAATTGAGATGAAAATGTGGAAATTGGAAATCAGTGTTTGAGATTCTGCAGACAAGTCAGCAAAGGAGACTGAGAGTGACAAAAGTAGTCATTAATAGCAGAAGGGGATTTCATGGGCATGTAAATATGTGTAAATACACATTTTACAACTTGCCTAATTGTAGCCAGCATGGTCCCTGCAATGTAAGTTCTGAAGAAATGTGTCATTTTTCTTTTTCCTGAATAGAATGAATGAATTTGGGGAAGGATTGTATTATACTTTATGAGAGGAACAGCTCGAATTCTGTTCTCTTCCCTGCCAGCCCCTCTTGCATTTCAGGGTTTTTACTTGCCCACAGCATTCTTGCCTAGTAATTAAAACCTATTTTCAAACTCTTTGAAGTGCTTTCCCAGAATGGCCTTCTGTATGTGCTGATACTGTACTTTTTATTAATTTTCAAGTTCCTTTACTCACATTACATATATGTAATTCTATCTTATGTGAGTTTGGATTTTTATGAGCATATTCCATAACATTTAACCATAGTTAACACTTAGGTTAACGTGCCTTCCCCAGACACTTTAGAACTTATAAAAACTTCATTTGAATTGTAATAACTAAAAGCACCAGGCAGGTGTCAGACACATTTAAAAAGCCCTTGGGAGGACTGAAAAAAACCCAGTAGTGATTAAAGGGGCAAAATTGTAAGAACATGAGGTGTAAATGTTATACTCGAGTTTGTGACTGATATGATGTAAAATAATGAAGCACAGTAAAAAGATAAGTCAGGTTTACTTCTCACTAGATTAATAGAACAGCTGGACAAATATTTTCACATGTGTTTATGATATTTTTGTTATTTTGTAAACTTGGATACTTGAAATATTGGCCATGGAATGTTAAAAGTAATGCTATTAAAAATAACTCAATTAATGGTACTTATTAATGGCAGTTTTTCTTGATCATTCTTATCAGTAAAGCACATGCTATCTAGGAGGTAAAATATGTGGCAAGACTAACATACATTCTTAAAAGTAACATAACTTATGAGCAAATACGGGACTGAGACTATACTATATATACCTAAACTCTGTAGTTAGATATAAATGGTCTCTTGTTTATAACGGGTACTAATAAAATTCTTATTTTCAAATTAGCCTATGCTACTATCTATTAAGAAAGAATTATACTTCACCTTTGCCACTCGATCTGCTCACCAGAAATACATTTGAATTTGAATTGCTGGTACTGTGTAAAATCTTGTTTTAAATTTAAAAAATTATTTTTAGCAGCCAGCTTTGTCTAGCCCCAAATTAACTTTCATCTAAAATCTTAACGGGACATTTCATTTCTCTTTTAAGGACTTAGAACAGGACATCATAATTCTTAGAAAGAGTGCTGGTTTGGAAACCACAATTCTGCATTCTTATCATTTCTGCCATTTAACTAGCTCTAGGACTTTTGGCATATTACTCAGCCTCTTTGTACTTTGCCTCAGTTTTAGGTGAGTAGGTTAGACTAAGTGACTCCTAAAGCCCTTCTGCTAATAACATTCTATGAGTAGGTCACAGTACTTGTACTTTAATCTGTTGCATATCTTTTGTGCCAATGGTGGCCAAATATTTGGGGCAGTTTCTCTAACTGTCAAGTGTAATAGTTAAAAGACTTGTATCCCAGTTCTGCCATTTGCTAAGCTGTGTGACTTTGGACAAATTACTTCACCTCTTTGCACTTAATATTTTTTTCTGTAAAATTGTAGTAACAGTGTACAACTCAGAAGACTGTTGCAAGCAGTAAAAGGGATAAGACATAGTAAGCATATAGAAAGATTCCACAAAATTAGTACATGCTGATTGCTGCTCTCTTCCATTTTTAAGAAATTGATGTATGTTTGACCTCAAATGGAGCAAAAATATGACATCACAGCTTATGATTCCTTAAGTTTTCTGTTAGTAGTAAAGTGTAATATTTATCTTTGAAACTGAATATAGACTTTTAAACTCTTTGTACCAAAATACAGTGATTTTTGGCAACTTAAACTTCAAGCTTAAAATAACCTCCCTTGGTAATGAAATTGCTGTGACTTCTCATAAAACTCGAGACCAATGCAACATACGAGTTCAGCTACTTGGGTTGCATTTTGCAGGCCATCTAGGTAAGATTCATCAGTACATAGTCCTGTACAAAGTCATATTTTCTAGGGACCCTGCAGTCTTTTCATTATGCCTTATTAGTAACACTTGACTTGAATTATTCCAATGCGTATTTTCTTCACAGTGCCAGATTTTCAAGTTAGAGTTTCAAATGTCTTAATTTTTTTTCTTTCTGTTTTGTTTTGTTTTGGAGGAAGAAGCATTGTTTCATTCTTATCCACAGGTCCTGTAGTCCACCTTTCTGTGGCAGTGGAGTGACCCTTCAATTGGTTGAGGCTTTATACTATATTTTCACATTTTCAAACAAAGTATCAAGAATGTTTACCTGTATGTTGGATATTTATTAATAAACCATATTAATCTTTCTATTGATACCAAGATATTGACATTGTACTTAGCAGAGAAAAAAATCATGAAATGACCATAATCTTGTACTTTCTAACATTAATGCCTAGGTTATCTTCATCATCTACAGAGAACAATGACCATTTTTCCAGGTTCTCTAATCTCTTTCCTTCAGTTAAGCCAGATAATTAAAAAGCAGTATATATACATTCAGTTACATTGCCTGAATAAAGAAATCTCTTCACTGGATTATTATTTTATGCCATATCCTTGGCTTTTGCAGACAATTGCTGTAAGAACAACAGCAATAATGTAGAGTTGGCATGATGGTAATTGCAATAAAAACAGTGACCCCAGCAATTTCCTTTCTGATTATTGTCAGGCCACAGTTTGCCTAGGTAGTTGCTCTAAACTGAATAAAATCTGCATACAAATTTCTTACCACCCCTAACCCCTCAACAAAAACACACTCTGCTGTTTATCTAAAGCTTGTTTTATTGGGTGGGCCCTGATCCTTGTTTTAGTGTTCACTTTCTTAATTCCTTGTCCACAGTCCCCCTTGTGTAAAACTTAATTTACCACATGTAAATGAAAAGTACTAGTTTTGTTTATTTGACTTTATATTATGTTATGAATAGGCATTTCTTGCTTTGTACTACAATCGTTTTTACAGCCCTATACTACAGGCATTTCTTGCTTTGCAGTCTAGTACAAAGCAAGTATAGGGCTGTAGTATAGGGCTGTAAAAATGATTGTGCAAGGTGAAATTATGCAGAATGATCTTAATCAGTGGGAAAAATTACAAGTGTTACATAACTTTTAAACATTTTGTCAAAACATTAAGAACGTTCATTCTTGGTTATAAATGTTGAGGCAGTGCATTTTGGCTGTATAACAGATCCCTTGCTAGTTTCCCTACCTCTTAACTTATTTCTTTGACTAGCCCTTCATTCACACACTGACAGCCTAGTACTCCATTTTATGAGGACACAACAATTTATTTACTCATTTTTATGTTAATGAATTTTTAAGACACTTCCACCTTTTATTTTTATTGTTGTTATAAACAGTGCTCAGTAATATTCTTATTCATTTTCTTTTGTATATTGGTAAGAGTTTCTGTAGGGTATACGTATCTAGAAGAAGTTGTTATTGTTATTGGACATGTACGCTTCAACATTACTAGATAGTTTGAAATTGCTTTTTTTGTGTGTCATTAATTTTTTTTGCTTAATTTGTATCAATCAATTTTTTAAATATTTTGAAGATTGTTCACTCCTTAGCAATTATGTCATTGACATTTTTGATGACTTTTGATCTTATAGACAAAAGTGAACTCTTTCAAATTATATGAGATTAATCTACATCAGAGGTCATAGTCTTTAGACATAATCTGGCCTGCAGTGTATTTTGGTCCAGCTCCCTAGCTAAGAATGAATTTTTCATTTTTAAAGGGATATTAACAAGAAGAATATGTGACAAAGACTTTATGTGGCATATACAGCCCAAAATATTTACTCTCTGGCTCTTTATATTTCGTCTTTTTAGATCCCACAATACGTGGAAAACTGCCTTCAAGTTTATTTACCTCAGTGACGGCTGTGGGTGTAAACATTGTGTCGCTGTTACATAGTCTAACCTGTATCTAAAAATAAGCTTGTAAAATTGATTTGGTATTGTTTCTTTTTCTTCAAAATCCTTAGAAGTATGAGAACATTTTGCCTCAGCATAATTAATGTTTCATTGTTTGTCTTTTTTTAAGTTAAATCTGTTTGGTAGTTGCATTATTTAAAAAATTGAGATATGGAAGTATTGGTGATTAAATTGTAATTATGAAGTCACTCTGTAGTATCTTAAGCTTAACAATAATTTTATTGTGGAAACATGATTGCTTACAGTTTAAGTACCAATGTACAAATAATTGATATACTAATTATAAATAATTACTCATCCAAAACACTGTGCCAAGCAAATCCTTGTTTACTTATGGATACATAATCACTTTGTCTATTTGTGTATTCTGTGGTTTGTAGATTTCAGTCAGTGATGTAATGATATTATCTGTCTTAAATGAAAGATAATATTTTTAATTATTACTCTTCTTTTTTATAATTTTTTATTTATTATTATTATTATTTTTGAGACGGAGTCTTGCTCTGTCACCCAGGCTGGAGTGCAGTGGTGCAATCTCAGCTCACTGCAAGCTCCACCTCCCGGGTTCACGCCATTCTTCTGCCTCAGCTTCCCAAGTAGCTGGGATTACAGGTGCCCGCCACCACGCCCAGCTAATTTTTTTTTTTTTTTTTGTATTTTTAGTAGAGACGGGGTTTCACCGTGTTAGCCAGGATAGTCTCGATCTCCTGACCTCATGATCCACCCACCTCGGCCTCCCAAAGTGCTGGGATTACAGGCGTGAGCCACCGCGCCCGGCCTATGATTATTCTTTTCATGTATCTGTCTCCTAATTAGCCTCAAATATTGATTTTTAGACTATGTATAATCTATTACTCTGAAACAGTTTTTTGGGGTTTTTTTGTTTGTTTGTTTTTGTTGTTTTTTTGAGACGGAGTTTCGCTCTTGTTGTCTAGGCTGGAGTGCAATGGCGTGATCTCGGCTCACAGCAACTGCTGCCTCCCAGGTTCAAGCGATTCTCCTGCCTGAGTCTCCCAAGCTTGGATTACAGGCATGTGCTACTACTCCCAGCTAATTTTGTATTTTTAGTAGAGATGTGGTTTCTCCATGTTGGTCAGGCTGGTCTTGAACTCCTGACCTTAGGTGATCCGCCCACCTCAGCCTCCCAAAGTGCTGGGATTACAGGCGTGATCCACTGCATCTGGCCTGAAACAGTTTTTCAAAAAGATTAATCATCTTGGGTTAATAGAAAAAAATCAGGCAGAAAGATAAAACTACTTCTGTCATTACTTAAGGATTCCTGTGTTTATGCTATTAGGTATCTCCCTCATCTTAATTGAATATGATGCAAGGCAGTGTCCTTGGTGGAAGCTGGATTCTGTCAGTCTGAACTTTGAGATGTTCTTCCTATCCCTTTCTTATTTTTGCTCTTAACTTTTCTACCCTGATTCTCATATCTTCTAACCTACTCATCTATTACCATATTATCATATTTCAATATTTTTGAAGCAGCATTGTGAAGGTAATTGTCTTATTTCAGGCTGCTATAACAAAATACCATAGACTGGGTGGTTTAAACAACAGAAATCTATTTCTCACAATCCTGGAGGCTGGGAAGTCCAAGATCAAAGTGCTGGCAGATGTGGTGTCTTCTTAGGGTTTGCTGCTTGGCTTTCATGTGGTCATCTTGACATAGCCTCACATAGTGGAAAGCAGAGAGAGAGAGAGAGATATCAAGCTCTCCTGTCTCTTCTTATAAGGACACTAATCTCATTCATGAGGGCTCCACCCTCATGAACTAATTACTTCCCAAGGGCCCTGTCTTCTAATATCACATTGTGGATTAGGATTTCAGCATATGAATTTGGGAGGGACAAATTTGGTCCATAGCAGCACCATACAAAAACAGTATTAAAGGTGGTCTCGTTTTCATCAGGCATGTTTCCAACTTGAAAGATTTGTTAATGTCCATAATTTTTGTCTGTTTGCCATTTCTGTTCTTTTCCCTTTTCTCCTCTTTTCTTTTGCATTCAGTGCATTTTGATATTGTATATTATCTCCTCTATTATCTTAATAGCTAAGCCTCTTTATTTTACTTAAAAAAATACTTGCTCAAGCATCTATACTATACATACTTACATTCTGTCTTCAAATAACACTGCACCACTTTATTTATAGTTTAAGTTCTTACATCAATATACTTTTGTTTTCTTGTGCTGTATTCTGTATTTTACCTCTAAATACACAATAAACTTTATATTGTAGAGTTAAAACTTTTAGTCAGTTACCTCTTAAAGAAATTAATTGAAAAAAGAGCTATTCTATATTTATTCATATATTTGCCGTTTCTAACCCTCTTCATTTCTTTGTATAGATCTAGGTTTCCATTTGATATAAATTCCCATCAAGCTTTAGAAATTGTTTTAATATTTCTTGTAGTGGAGATCTACTAGTGACATATCCTCTCAGCTTCTGTTTGTCTGATAATATCTTGTCCTCACCTTTCATTTTTAAGGATATGCCATTCTAGCTTGACAGGTTTTTTCTTGCAGCACTTGTCCTCCATTGTCACTTGGCTTGAATTGTTTCTGATAAGAAGTCAGCAGTAGTTCTTTGCTTACAGATATATAATGTGTTCTTATATTCTCATTTCTCTTAAGACTTTCTCTTTCTTATCAGTTTTTAGTAATTTGATAATGATGCATCTTGATGTAGTTTCCTTACTTGGATTTCACTGAGCTTTTTTGGATCTAGTTAATATTTTTAAAAATCAAATTTGCCTATGTTTTTGTCATCTTCTTCCACTTTTTTTTCCTGACTTTTCAATTGTATATATGAGGGGACTTCAAAAAGTTCATGGAAAAATGGAATTAAAAGATAAAAAATATAAACTTTATTTCTCAACATAAGGTCCATCAAGTTCAAGATACTTTTGTAAGTGATGATACCAGTCATTTAGTCTATCCCTAAAGAACTGAGTGTCCTGGGAAATTAATCATATCAGTGTTATATTTTTTACATTAGTAATTGAATAAAAATGGGTGCCCTTTAAAAATTTTTAAAGATTAAGAAACAAAAAGAAGTCAGAAGTTGCTAAATCAGGATTGTAAGATAAATGCCTAATGATGTCCCATTGAAATTCCTGCAAAATTGCCCTTGTTTGATGAGACAAATAAGCATAAACTTTGTGGTAAAGGAGGACTCTGGTGAAGCTTTCCTGGGCATTTTTGTGCTAAAGCTTTTGCTCACTTTCTCAAAACACTTGCAGTCAGCAGATATTATTATTCTTTGGAAAGTCAACAGGCAAAATATCTTGAGCATTCAGAAAAACTGTTGCCATGACCTTTGCTCTTGACCAGTCCATGTTTGCTTTGACTGGACTACTTCTATCTCTTGGTAGCCATTGCTTTGATTGTGCTTTGTCTTCAAGATCTGTAGAGCTGTGTTTCATTTCCTGTTACAATTCTTTGAAGCAGTACGTCAAAATCTTGATCCCACTTGTTTACAGTTTTGATTGAAAGCTCTGCCCTTGTATGCAGCTGATCTGGGCATAAGGATTTTGGCCCTAATCATGTGGAAAGTTTGCACAACTTTAATTTTTCAGTCAGAATTGTTTAACCTGAACCAATTGCGGTGGCTCTGGTGGTGGGTATTGTTTGTGCTGTTAATCATTTATCTTCTTCAATTAGGGAACAAACAAGATGAGTTTTTTCCTTGCAAACTGATGTGGAAGGTCAGCTGCTGGGGTCTTCATCTTCAACATAGTCTTGTTCTTTCAGTTATCCATTTGTAAACTGCTATCTCATTAGGGCATTGTCTCATGAACTTTTCATAAAGCATCAATAGTTTTACCATTTTTCTATCCAAGCTTCACCATAAATTTGCTTCTTCTTGCTTCAATTTTAACAAAATTCATGTGGCTCTGACAAACTGTTTTCAAACTGGTATCTTACCCTTAGTGCCTCAAACTGGACTCTGTTCAGACATGTTTTAACAAGTTAGTATGAATTTATTTTGGTGCAAAAATAACTGAAATCCATGCATAATTTTTAAAATAATACATCTTTTACATGAACTTTTTGAAGACCCCTCATATATTAAACCTCTTAATATTGTTGTTATTAAGGGACCTGTGTCTCTGAGGATGTCATTTTTTTTTTTGTCAATCTTTTTTGTTTCTATGCTTACTTTGAATGGTTGTTCTGTCTCCAAATTTACTGATTTTTTTCTTCAGCTTGTAAGCTTATTTAGTGCACTTTAAAATTTCCAATATTATATCTTTTAGCTGTAGAAGCTTCATTTGGTTCTTTTTATGTTTTCTATCTTTTCCTCATAATTTTAATGTTTTCCTTAAAATTCTTTTTTGTCTTCTTCTTTTTTTAAAAATTTCTTTTGGCCAGGTCAATAACTGCATAGTGTTTTCCTGAAAATTTTTGAAAATATTTACGATACCTGTTTTTAAGATCTTGTTTGCCAATTTTATCACTTCTTTTATTTCTATATCTATTTGTATTGAACTTTTTTTCTCCAATGTTTTTATATTTGGATCAAGTTTTTGTTTCTTCTATTTCTTTAAGATCTCTAAACTTTACAGAAAATTTGCAAGAACAGTCACAAACATTTTTTTCTTCAACCATTTGAATTTAGTTGCTGCCATATGCCCCATCACAGCTGAATACTTCAGTGCGTATTTCTACAAAATCAAATTCTCTTACATAACCACAGTGTAACCATAAAATTAGAAATGAGCATTATTATTGTCACTCAAGTTTTGTCAGCGGTCCCAATAATTTCCTTTATGACAAAATAAGTTAGTCCAGAATCATGTGTTGCATTTATTTGTCACATCCGTGAAGATTTCTTCAGTTGGTAACAGTTTCTTCAGTCTTCTTTACTTTAGTGACCTTGACATTTTTGTAGATTACAGGGTAGTTATTGTGAAAAATATCCTTAAATTGAGATTTGCATGACATTCCCTCATGATTAGATTTAGGTTATTCTTAGAAAGGATGCTGCATTCTTCTCATTGCATTCTATCAGGTGATACTTGATTTTAACTTGTCGTATTTCTAGTGATGTTAACTTTGATTATGGTGGTGTCAGCCAGGCTTCTTCATTGTAAAATTACTCTTTTTCCTGTTAAGTTAATATTTTGTGGGAAGTTATTTTGGGACTATATAAATATCCTGTTTTGGCCGGGCGAGGTGGTTCATGCCTGTAATCCCAGCACTTTGCGGGGCTGAGATGGGTGGGTGACCTGAGGTCAGGAGTTTGAGACCAGCCTGGCCAACATAGTGGAACCCCGTCTCTACTAAAAATACAAAAATTAGCCAGGCGTGGTGACATATACCTGTAATCCCAGCTACCTCAGGAAGCTGAGGCAGGAGGATCACTTGAACCTGGGAAGCAGAGGTTGTAGTGAGTGGAGATTGCACCACTGCCCTCCAGCGTGGGTGATAGAGTGAGACTCCATCTCAAAAAAAAAAAAGAAAGAAAGAAAAAGAAATAAATACCCTATTTCTTAAGAGATTTTTAAATTTATTTCGTTTTTATGGGATCATAAATTCCTTTCTATTCAGTGGTTTATGATTTCTCAGTATCACTATTTGTACTGATGTCTCAGTTGCACCAGTTTGGCTAGCAGGCCCTCTTTTAAGCTGTCTTTTGTGTGCTCTTGGCATTAATTAATCGCAGATGGAAAGTCAGTTGTAACTCTGTGCAGCTTTGACATTTTACATAGCTGAGTTAATAAAGTGCTTAGAACAGTTCATGGCACATAGTCAAGGTTCAATATATGTTAGTACTTATGATTGCAATTATACATTTTTTATTTTAATCATTTTGGAGTACAGTATTTTTAATGAGCTACGCATTTATTTTTGTATTTTTTATTGGTGTATCATAGTTGTACATATTTTGCAGGCACATGTGATATTTTGATGTGTATACAATATGTACTGATCAAATTGGGATAATTGGAGTCTTCATCACCTCAAACATTGATCTTTTCTTGGTTTCGGGAACATTACAATTCTCCTCTTTTAGTTATCTTGAAATATGCAGTAAATTGTTGTTAACTATGATGTCTCTACTGTACTACTGAATACTGGTACTTACTCCTTCTAACTGTGGTTTTGTACCCATTAGCCAATTTTTTTTCATCTCCCTCCTCCTCTCTTCCCTCCTCAGGCTCTGGTAACCACCATTCTACGCTTTACCACCATGAGATCCACATTTTTAGCTTGCACATATGAGTGAGAACATAAAGTATTTGTCTTTTCTGTGCCTAGCTTATTGCACTTAACATAATGACCTCTCATTTTATCTGCGTTGCTGCAGATGACAGGATCTCATTTTTTTAATGGCTAAATAATAATTGATGAACACTTAGGTTGACTCCATACCCTGGCTGTTGTAAATAGTGCTACAATAGACATAGGAGTGCAGATATCTCTTGGAAAGACTGCTTTCCTTTTTTTTGGTAGTAAACCCAGTAGTGGAATTGCTAGATCATATGGTAGTTCTGTTTTTAGTTTTTTGAGGAACCTCCCCACTGCTTTCCGTAAATGGCTATACTAATTTACATTCCCATCGACAGTGTACACATGATTTCCTTTCTCTGCATCTTCTCCAGCATTTCTTATTTTTGTCTTTTTGATAATAACCATTCTAACTTGCATAAGATAAGAGATCATTGTGGTCTTGATTTGCATTTCCATGATGATTATGATGTCGAACATTTTTTCATATAGTTATTGGCCATCTTTCTTTTGCGCATTTTTTTATTGGATTATTTATATTTGCTACTGAGTTGTTTGAATTCCTTTTGTTATTCTGGTTATTATTTCTTTGCTGAATAGGTAATTTGCTAATATTTTCTCTCATTCTGTAGATTGTCTCTTCACTTTCTTAATTGTTTCCTTTGCTGTGCAGACACTGTTGAGGTAATTTGTCTTTTTTTTTGCCTTTGTTACCTGTACTTTTGAGGTCTTGCCCAGACCACTGTTGTATAGCATTTCCTCAGTGATTTCCCCAAGTTTTCTTCTAGTAGTTTCATAGATTCAGGTCTTATGTTTAAGTGCTTTTTTTTTTTTCCTTTTGAGACAGGGTCTCACTCTGTCACCCAGGCTGGAGTGCAGTGGTGTGATCTTAGCTTACTTCAGCCTTGAACTCCAGGGTTCAAGCAATCTTCCTTTCTTAGCCTCCTGAGCAGCTAGGAATACAGGTGTGAACCACTACACCTATTTTTTTAAATTATTATTATTGTAGAGGTGGGGTCTTGATATGTTGCGCAGGCTCAAACTTCTGGCCTCAAGTGATCCTCCCACCTCTGCTTCCTGAGTTGCTGGGATTACAGGAGTGAGTCATGTGCCTAGCCACATTTAAGCCTTTAATACATTTTGAATTGATTTTTGTTTGTGGTGAAAAATGTGGATTTAGTTTCATCCTTCTGCATATGGATATTTACTTTTTCCAGTATCATTTATTAGAGACTGTTCTTTCCCCAGTGTGTGTTCTTGATGCCCTTGTCGAAAATGAGTTGACTGTAATGAATGTGGATTTATTTCTGGGTTCTCTCTTTTGTTTCATTGGTCTGTGTGCCTGTTTTTATGCCAGTACCATGCTGTTTTATTACTGTAGCTTTGTAGTATAATTTAAAATAACTTTGTTTTATGCTTCCAGCTTCGTTCTTTTAGCTCAGGATTGCTTTATCTACTCAGGGTCTTGTGTGGATCCATATGAAATTTAGGATTGCTTTTTCTATTTCTACCAAAGAATGCCCTTGGTATTTTGATAGGGATTGAGTTAAATCTGTAGATTGCTTTGGGTAGTGTAGACATTTTAACAATACTTATTCTAATTCATGAGCATGGGATATCTGTTCATTTTTTATGTGTGTCCTCTTTAGTTGTTTTCATCAATGTTTTATATAGTTTTCCTTGTAGAGATCTTTGACTTCTTTGGTCAAAGAAAATTTATTCCTAGGTTTTTGTTTGTTTGTTTTGAAGTTATTGTAAGTGGAATTGCTTTCTTGAGTTCTTTTTCAAATTAATTGCTATTGGTGTATAGAAGTGCTACTGATTTTTGTATGTTGATTGTGTATCTGGGAATTTACTGAGTTCATTAGTTCTAAGAGTCTTTTGGTGGAGTCTTTAGGTTTTTCTACATATGAGATTATGTCATCTGCAAACAAGCACAATTTGACTTCTTCCTTTTCAATTCGAATGCCCTTTATTTCTTTCTCTTTCCTAATTTTGGCCAAAACTTGCAGTATTATGTTGAATAGAAGTGGTGAAAGTGGACATCTTTGCTTTGTTTCAGATCTTGGTGTAAAGGCTTTCCATTTTTCCCTGTTCCATATGATAGTAGCTATGGGCTTGTCATATATGCCCTTTATCAGATTGAAGTATGTTCCTTCAATACCCTGTTTATTGAAGGTTTTTATCATGAAGGGATGTTGAATTTTACCCAGTTTTTTCAGCATCTGTTGAAATGATCCTATGGTTTTTGTCCTTGATTCTGTTAATGCAGTGTTCAATGTTTATTGATTCGCATATGTTGGTTCATCCTTGCATCCCTGGGATGAATCCCACTTGATTGTGGTGAATGATCTTTTTAATGTATTATTGAGTTTGGTTTGCTAGTATTTTTTGAAGATTTTTAAATCTGTGTTTATCGGGGATATTGATAGTTTTTTTTATTTGTTTTGTCTTTGGTTTTGCTGTCATGGTAATGCTGCCTTCATTGAATAAATTTGAATGTATTCTCCCTTCATTTTTTTTGAAATATTAATAATTAGCAGAATTTATGTTAATTCTTTAAATGTTTGGTAGAATTCAGCAGAGAAGACATCAAATCCTGTGCTTTTCTTTGATGGGAGACTTTTTATTGCTTCAATCTTCTTGTTATTGCTTTTCTGTTTTTTTCATGGTTAAGTCTTGGTAAGTTGTGTCCAGGAATTTATTCAATTCTTTTAGATTTTCCCATTTGTTGGAGTATAGTTGTTCATAATAGTTTCTAATGATCCTTTGTATTTCTGTAGTATCAGTTGTAATTTTTTCTTTCTCTTCTCTGATTTTATTTATTTAGGTGTTCTTTTTTTTAGGTAGTCTAGCCAAAGCTTTGTTGATTTTATGGTTTCAAAAATCAGCTTTTCATTTGTTGATCTTTTATTTTTTTAGTCTGAATTTCATTTATTTCTGCTCTTTATTATTTGTTTTCTTGTAGTAATTTTGGGTTTGGTTTGTTCTTGCTTTTCTAGTTCCTTGAAGTACATTATTAGATTGTTTCTTTGAAGTCTTCATATTTCTTTGATTTGGGTGTTTAAGGCTTTAAACTTCCCTCTTAGTACTGCTTTTGTGTATCTGTAGATTCTAGTATTTTGTGATTTATTTCACTGGTTTCAAGAAATTTTAAAATTTTCTTTTTTTTTGGTGGACTCATTGGGCATTCAGAAATATGAACTGTACAGAAACTGTACAGTTTCCAAAGTTGTTCTTGTTACTGATTTCTAGTTTTTGTTGTGGTGGTTGTGGTCAAAAAAGATGCTTGATATGATTTTGACTGTTTTGAATTTGTTGAGATTTATTTTGTGGTTAATGTATGGTCTATCCTGGATAATGTGCCATGTGCTGATAACAAGAATGTGTATATTCTGCAGCAGTTAGATGAAATGTTCCGTAAATGTCTGTTAGGTCCACTTGGTGTATAGTTTAACTCCAATGTTTGTTTGTTGATTTTTTGCCTGAACTGTTTGTTGCTCAAAGTGGGGCATTGCGGTCCCCTGCAATTATTTTATTGCAGTCATTGCAGTCTGTCTCTCTCGAGAGCTATTAATATTTGCTTTATATATTTGGGTGCTCCACTGTTGGGTGCATGTTTTTAATTTTGTTATATCTTCTTGCTGATTTGACTTTTCTAAATCATTATATAATGACTTTCTTTGTCTCTTTTTACAAGTTGTGACTTAAAATCTGTTTTATCTGATATAAATATAGCTACTCCTGCTTTTTTTTGGTCTCCATTTGCATGGAATATCATTTTCCATTCCTTCACTGTTAGTCTATATGTGCTGTTAGAGGTGAAGAGAGTTTCTTCTAGGCAGCATATAGTTGTGTCTTTTTTTTTTTTTTGGAGATGGAGTCTCGCTCTTTCGCCCTTTCGCCCAGACTGGAGTGCAGTGGCACTCTCTCGGCTCACTGCAACCTCTGCCTCCTGGGTTTAAGCGATTCTCCTGCCTCAGCTTTCTGAGTAACTAGGATTACAGGCACCTGCCACCACGCCCAGCTAATTTTTTTTTAGTAGAGATGGGGTTTCACCAAGTTGGTCAGGTTGGTCTCAAACTCCTGACCTAGCGATCCATCCCAGCCTCCCAAAGTGCTGGGATTACAGGTGTGAGGGTCTTGTTTTTTAATCCATTCAGCCACTCTTGGTCTTTTTTAACTAGAGAATTTAGTCTATTTACATTCAATTTTAATATTGATAGGCAAGGCCTTACTTTGACCATTTCGATACATTTTTTTTTTGGTATTATGTAACTCTTCTTTTCGTTTCCTTCTTTCTTACTGTCTTCTTTTGTGGCTGAGTGATTTTTCTCTGGTAGCATGTTTTAATTTGTTCTTTTTTATTTTTAGTGTATATATTATAGTTTTTAGCTTTGTAATTACCTTGAGTCTTATAAAAATATTATATTAATTATTTCAAACTGGTACCAACTTAACTTTGATTGCAAGATAAGAAACAAATGAAAAGAAAAATTTGTACACCTTAACTTCCTCTCCTCCAACATTTTGAATTTTTGATTTTACAACTTGCTGTTTTTATATTGCCTCTTAACAAATTGTACTTGTAATTATTTTTAATTGTTTTGTATTTTCTTTTTACTAAAGATATAAGTGATTTAAGAACCATGATTATCATATTAGTATAACAATAACGTTAATGTTCTTTTCTTTTGGTTTGAAGAACTCTGATTAGCCTTTTTTATAGGACAGGTCTAGTAGTGATAAATTTCCTCAGCTTTTTTTTTTTTTTTTTTTTGGCCTGGGAAAGTCTTTATCTGGCCTTTATTTCTGAAGGATAGTTTTGCTGGGTACACTATTCTTCGTTAAGTTTTTTATTTTCTTTCAGCATTCTGAATAATTTCACTCCCTCCAACCCTAAGGTTCCCACTGAAAATTCTGCTGCCAAGTGTATTGGATCTCCCTTATATGTTATTTGTTTCTTTTCCTTTGCTGCTTTCAGGATCCTTTATCTTTGATCTGTGTGAGTTTAATTATAAATCTTGGGTTGTTTCTTATTTTGGAGAGGGAAAGTTGAGCCTGGTTGGTGACCTTTAACCTTCATGTACCTGGATATTTATATCTTTTCAAGCTTTGGAAAGTTTTTTGTATTTCTTTGAATAAGCTTTCTACCCCTTTGTCTTTCTCAGTTTTTTTCTTTCATTTCAGTAACCTGAATATTTGTTCTTTTGATGTTGTCTCATAGCTCCCATAAACCGTTCATTTCTTTTCATTCCTTTTGCTTTTTTCTCCTCTGACTGTGTATTTTCAAATAGTTGGGCTTCAAGCTCACTGATTCTTTCTTCCTTTTCATCAGTCCTGCTGTTGATATTCTCTATTCCATTTTTCATTTTGCTCATTGTATTTTCCAGCTCCACAATTTTTGTTTGATTTTGTTTATGATTTCAGTATCTCTGTTAAATTTCCCTGATACATTTCTGAATCGATTCCGTCTGTTTTCTTGAAGTTCATTGAGCTCTCTTAAAACAGGTATTTTGAATTCCTTGTCTGAAAGGTCACATATCTCTATCACTTTAGGGTTGGCCTCTGGTGCCTCATGTCCATTTGTTGAGATCATATTACCCAGAATCTTCTTGATGCTTGTGAAATTGCAGGCTGTCTGTGCATTGAGGGATTAAGTATTTATTTTACTCTTCACAGTCTTCCTTTGTTTGTGCCTGTCCTTCTTTAGAGACCTTCCAAGAATTCTAAGCCAACTGAGTATTGTGTTTCCTGAGCCTGTGACCACTTCAGCTATCTAAACACTAGGAGACTGTATTAGGGTTCTCCAGAGGGACAGAACTAATAGGATTATGTGTATATGAAAAGGAGTTTATTAAGGAGAATTGACTCACATGATCACAAGTGAAAATCCCACAGTTGGCCATCTATAAGCTGAGGAGCAATGAAACCAGTAGTGGCTCAGTTCAAGTCCCAAAGCCTCTAAGGTAGGGAAGCTGACAGTGTAGCCTTCAGTCTGTGGCTGAAGGCCTGAGAGCCAATGGCAAACCACTGGTGTAGGTCTGAGAGTCCAAAGGGTGAAGAATCTGGAGTTTGATATTCAAGGGCAGGAAGCATCCAGCACAGATGAAAGCCAGAAGACTCAGCAAGCCGGCTTATTTCATCTTCTTCCACCTGCTTTTTCTAGCCACACTGGCAGCAGATTGGATGGTACCCACCCAAACTGAGGGTGGGGCTTTGTCGCCCAGTCCACTGACCCAAGTGTTAATCTCCTCCGGCAACATCCTCATAGACCCAACCAGAAACAATATTTTGCATCCTTCAGTCCAATCAAGTTGACAATTAATATTTACCATCACAGAGACTCTCTGAGCCCAGGCTTGCCACAAATCTCACAGGATCTCTTTGGTTGATATGGCTTTCTGGCCCAGATGGACCTGGGGTAGACCCAAGGCAGATACTCCGGCTGCGTGGAAATGCTGGCCAGGGATCTGAGTCCAGAAGACTGTCCCAATCACCCAGATGAGTGTGCCTTTCAGCATATTTCTGCACAGGCAGGATGGGCTGCTAACTGCAGTGAGAGGGCCTGGAGTTGAGACTGGGCTGCGTTGGGATCTGCTGTGTGAAGGAGACTGGCCCCGACTTATTTGCTCATATCAGCATGCATCACTCAGCTGGTCATTGCAAAAGTGCTTGACTGTAACAGGGGGGTCTGGTACTGAGACTGGGCTCCCTTGGAATCTGCTGTGGGATGGAGGTTGGTGTTCTTGTCACATTGGCTCAGATGGGCATGTGTCTCCCAGCAGGTCCGTACATAGATGGGATAGCTCCCAGACTGCAGCAGGAGGGGCTGGAGCTAAGACTGGGCCCCCTTGGACTCTGCTGTAGGGACGGATTTGGAAAGCTTGTCTTGTTGGCTCAGAGTGGCATGCATCTCCCAGCAGGTCTCAGCACAGATAGGATAGTTCCTCTACTGCACTGGGCGGGGCTTAGACTGGGTCTCCTCAGGATATGTTGTGGGATAGAGGCTGGTGAGCATGTCGGGGAGGATCAGAGTCCCAGGCCATGAGATTTGTGTGAATCTCCCCCTGGTTTCTTGTGTAAGCAACTATAAGCTGGGACCTCAGCTAGGGAGGCCTGGAGCAGTGTCACAGTTCAACTTCCAGGTTCACTACTGAGACCAGTTATCAGTGGGCTGATGAGCTTTTCTGCCAAGGCATTAGTGTGCATGATTTCTCTGAACCCTTTGGCAGATGATTTTGGTTGCAGGCTCAAGGTCAAATGGGGCTATAGTCAAGCCCCTTGAGAGACAGGGCTACTTCTGGGCTTGAATGCAAAAGCAAGCTCAGTGGAGCAGATCAGTCACTTGGGTGTTAGTGTACCCTCTCAAAGTGACCCTCCTGTGTCTTAGGGTTTCACAATTGTGGATGGATGGATAATTCTTTTTATTGTGGGCATATATGAGCAGGTTACCTTCTATTTCGCCATCTTGGTGGTGTCACTCTATGAACTACATACTTAAGAGAAATTGCTACACAGAATATATTGAGCATCCTTTTTTTTTTTTATGAATTAAGTCATTATCGTGAACATCAAAAATAGTAATGTTACTTTGGGAGGCCGAGGCAGGCAGATGACGAGGTCAGGAGATTGAGACCATCCTGGCTAACACAGTGAAACCCTGTCTCTACTAAAAGTACAAAAAATTAGCCGGGTGTGGTGGCGGGCACCTGTAGTCCCAGCTACTTGGAAGGCTGAGGCAGGAGAATGGTGTGAACCCAGGAGGCGGAGCTTGCAGTGAGCCGAGATAGCGCCACTGCACTCCAGCCTGGGTGACAGTGCAAGACTTCATCTCAAAAAAAAAATTAGTAATGTTAAGTCAAATTTGAATTATTCTACACCCCACTCTCATCTTCACATTTTGCTATCCACAACACATTAATTTTATATTTTTAATTGTTTTTGTGGCTATCTTCTCATTTCCATTGCACTCCTTTGCCTTAAACTTGTTCCTCATTATTTTTCCCCTTTACTATTCTAAGCATTTTATAACTGTTCTCTCGACTTCTGGACTCTTAATATTCCTCCTAAACATCGTTTATACTGTGGCCAGAATCATCTTTCATTAATACCTCTGTTATCACTTAACTTTCATAAAACCCTTCCTATTGCTTACACGATAAAATCTGAACCCCTGCCTCCCACTTTAAGTAGCTTTATTGATTGCCACAATCTCCCTGCACCCTATGATTCACGTGTAGTAAATTCTTATATCAGTTCTGTTCAAGTGTATTCATTGTATGTAATTTAAAAGTCAATGAACTCAGCGTAAAGACCTTAAGAGCTCTTCTACAACAAAGTTCATATAGTAACATCTATTTTGGCTCATCAGAGACCTTTTTGATTTCTTCCTGGGTCTTGATGTATTTCATATTTTTGAGGATGTGAAATAAATCAACTGAGGACTAACCTGAAATGTTACTTTCTCTAGGAACATTTCTTGACTCTAAGGAGTTTCTTCTGTATGTTTTGATGGTACCTGTGCATTGCTCTATCATAGTACTTGTCATACAGTATGCTAATTTTCCTTGTAATATGGTGTTTTATATGAAGCCAAATACTGCCCATACCAGTTTGGGATTAGTTAACATTCTGCTAGGGTTTGCCTTTGTGTTTCAGTCAGTCAGATTTTTAAAAATTAATATAAATTGTTTAGGAAATACTTAAGTCAGTGTCTTGTTACATCCTCGGAATTGGCTGGACCCGTGATCTGCATGGAATAGAATATGAATCTTGTTCAAAGTAAGGGGTGTGTGTATGTGTTTGTGCATGCATGCATGCTCGTGCGCACACACAGAGAGAGGGAGAGAGAGACACACACACATGTCTCTTGTTCTTCGGGATGTATGAGGAACTGTGTCAGAATAGCCAGATGCTCGGAGAAACATCCCCACAACTGAGGTCATCTATCATTATGGGACAATTTAATTCATAACTTCTTGTGGTGACTGTTTATCTTAAGAGAGTAGATATGTATGTGGTAAAAAAGAAAGTCTGCTGTGTTTCTTACAATATTTGATATTCTAGGTACTTGAGAAATAAGAAATATTAAAGTTCAGAAATATTAATGTCAAAAAATGTGCATCTTCAGATCTGGTAAGTAGACCTGCTTAGAGCTAGCCAGTGGTTAGGCCTGAGAAATGGCTGTTCCATCTTCTGTGCCTAGCACCACATCTGATATAGTGTAAAAATGTGGATAGAGTTATAGACAGATGATGAATAAGTTGTTAAAATATTATGATTAGTCACAGCCTTTCCTTTGTATTGATGTGTGGTTTTTGGAATGTAGAATGGCTTTAACTTTTAAGGCACAAATAACAAACAGAGAAAATAAGCATGCTAAAGGGATTAATAAGCAGATTTTGTTTATTTTCTCTTTTGTGTATATTTTTTCTACTTCATTGGAAGAAATATACATGATTGCATTTATAAAGACACTGAACAGTTGTTTTCTTTTCATGCAGGGGCCTGAATTAATGAATAAATATGTTGGTGAATCTGAAAGAGCAGTTAGAGAGGTAAGAAATTGTGCCTTTAGTGGCACTCAGCACAGGAGAATCACACTTCTGTCCTGTGCAGCTTCCCTTTTGTTTTAGGTAACAGACTTTGGCATTTCCGAAGTCAGATCTTAGTGGTATTTTTTTTTCTTCAGGTAAATATTATTTTATTATTTAAAAATGCAGTTTTGATCATCTGCAATACTTCAGTTTTGTTTTTAAACATCATATTACCAGCCCTTTTAAAACTATCATTTTTTCTGATAATAATAGCCAGCATTTCTGTTAAAATAGTTAATGCTGTTACTAATAGTTAATAATACCTATCATTTATTGAGCTCTTACTGTTTCAGGCATTGTGCCAAATGCTTTGTGTTCTTTTTAAAATTCAATTATTAAAATAACTTTCTGAGGTAGGTGTTTATTATCTCCATTTTATAGATGTAGAAATCGAGGCTTACAGAAGTGAAGTTAACTGCTGAAAGTCACACAGTTACTAGTAGTGCAGCTGGGATTTTAACTGAAATTTTCTGATTGCTTAACTGAATTGCCTCCTTCACACCTATGTGAATATGTATTGATAGTCTTGTCTCTTTAAGCACTATTGAAGGGGATACTTTTACATCCATTATAAAGTTCTGAACATCTATTACAAGGTCTATACAAAGTGACTGGGCTTGTTGACTTGTACCTAATAGGTTTGGTTCTAAATATAGTTTTAAAACAAACCAACTACAGAATTTTCTAGTGTTTGCTCATCTTTAGCTAATGTGGCACTCTTTCCACCAGACCTTCCGAAAAGCAAGAGCAGTGGCGCCTTCCATTATTTTCTTTGATGAACTGGATGCCTTAGCAGTTGAAAGGGGCAGGTAAGAAGTATTTAATAGCACTGCTATTACATAATAATATGATGTTACATAATAATAGCAATTATGGTATAAATAGCATTTTGTATACAACTTTTATCTATTAATACATTTGGCCTAAAAAAGTTTTCAGTTTTTGTAATTTTTTCCTCTTATACCCATTAAATTATTTCATGTAATTACTGTATAGTACTTTTATCTATATTGGATAAAAACCACTGATACCTGTCTGGGCATTTGAGTTAATTTTTATAGTTTATATCAACACATACTTCTTAGTATTGTCTATCAAAATTAGGGTTATTGTAAACATATAATTAAAACTGTAAACAAAACTGGATTAATCATAATTACTTCTTGTAGTAGAACAAAATTATAAAATACGTTACACAGATTTTAAAATTCTCTGGAATAAATGTTTCCTAAAGTAAAATTAAATAGAATATAAATTAGTATTAATAGTTTTGCTCCAAAATCTCAGGCAGTAAAGAGGATTATCTATGATGTCATTTCAAACAAATATATACACACACACACACACACACATCAGAACTGTTCATAAGTATGTTTTTTTCCTCTACAAATGTATAGCGGTCCTTTAATATGTTCTACAAGTGGTTCATGTTGGGTAATGTAAATTCATGTACTTTGTGCATAGCTTCTTGATGTGTATATTGATTATAAAATTTTTGCTGGTGGTAATTACAGTGAAGGGTGAAGACAACTTACAGGTGTCAGTAGTAAGTGTGATATGAAACATTGCTGTTATCATCCTTCTTAATTAGAGCTGCCTCATGTGATGAGAGTATAAATTGTCATTAGGAACCTATCATTAGGAGGTAGACTGCTATATTAGTCCATTTTCGTGCTGCTGATAAAGACATACTCGAGACTGGGTAATTTATAAAGAAAAAGAGGTTTAATGGACTCACAGTTCCACGTGGCTAGGAGACCTCACAATCATGGTGGAAGGCGAAAGACATCTCTTAGGTGGTGACAGGCAAGAGAGAATGAGAGCCAAGTGAAAGGGGAAACCCCTTATAAAACCGTCAGATCGGGCTGGGCGCCGTGGCTCACGCCTGTAATCCCAGCACTTTGGCAGGCCGAGGTGGGCGAATCATTTGAGGTCAGGAGTTTGAGACTAGCCTGGCCCACATGGTGAAACGCTGTCTCTACTAAAAATATAGAAATTAGCTGGGCGTGGTGGTGGTTGCCTGTAATTCCAGCTACTTGGGAGGCTGAGGCAGGAGAATTGCTTGAGCCCAGGAGGTGGAGGTTGCGGTGAGCTGAGACTGCTCCATCGCACTCCACCCTGGGCAACAAGAGCGAAACTCCATCTCAAAAAACAAAACAAAACAAAAAATCAGATCTCGTGAGACTGATTCACTACCATGAAAACAGTATGGGGGAAACCACCCCCATGATTCAGTTAATCTCCCACTGGGTCCCTCCCACAACATGTGGGAATTATGGGGGCTACAATTCAAGATGAGATTTGGGTGGAGACACAGCCAAACCATATCATTCCGCCCCGGCCCCTCCAAATCTCATGTCTTCACATTTCAGAATCATTCATGCCTTCTCAACAGTCCCTCAAAGTCTTAACTCATTTCAGCATTAACTCAAAAGTCCACAGACCAAAGTCTCATCTGAGACAAGTCAAGTCCCTTCCACCTATGAGCCTATAAAATCAAAAGCAAATTTGTTACTTCCTAGGTACTATGGGGGTACAGGCATTGGATAAATACACCCGTTCCAAATGGGAGAAATTGGTCAAAATTAAAGGGCTAAAGGCCCCATGCAAGTCCAAAATCCAGCAGGGCAGTCAAATCTTTTTTTTTTCTTTTCTTTTTTATTTTATTTTATTTTATTTTATTATTATTATACTTTAAGTTTTAGGGTACATGTGCACAATGTGCAGGTTAGTTACATATGTATACATATGCCATACTGGTGTGCTGCACCCATTAACTCGTCATTTAGCATTAGGTATATCTCCTAAAGCCATCCCTCCCCCCTCCCCCGACCCCACAACAGTCCCCCGAGTGTGATGTTCCCCTTCCGGTGTCCATGTGTTCTCATTGTTCAATTCCCACCTATGAGTGAGAATATGCAGTGTTTGGTTTTTTGTTCTTGAGATAGTTTACTGAGAATGATGATTTCCAATTTCATCCATGTCCCTACAAAGGACATGAACTCATCATTTTTTATGGCTGCATAGTATTCCATGGTGTATCTGTGCCACATTTTCTTAATCCTGTCTATCATTGTTGGACATTTGGGTTGGTTCCAAGTCTTTGCTATTGTGAATAGTGCCACAATAAACATACGTGTGCATGTGTCTTTATACCAGCATGATTTATAGTCCTTTGAGTATATACCCAGTAATGGGATGGCTGGGTCAAATGGTATTTCTAGTTCTAGATCCCTGAGGAATCGCCACACTGACTTCCACAATGGTTGAACTAGTTTACAGTCCCACCAACAGTGTAAAAGTGTTCCTATTTCTCCACATCCTCTCCAGCACCTGTTGTTTCCTGACTTTTTAATGATCGCCATTCTAACTGGTGTGAGATGGTATTTCATTGTGGTTTTGATTTGCATTTCTCTGATGGCCAGTGATGGTGAGCATTTTTTCATGTGTTTTTTGGCTGCATAAATGTCTTTTTTTGAGAAGTGTCTGTTCATGTCCTTTGCCCACTTTTTGATGGGGTTGTTTGTTTTTTTCTTGTAAAGATAGTCAAATCTTAAAGCTTCAAAATGATCTCCTTTGATCCATGCCTCACATCCAGGTCACACTGATGCAAGAGAGGGGTTCCCATGGTCTTGGGCAGCTCTGCCTCTGTAGCTTGGCAGGGTACAGCCTCCCTCTGGCTGCTTTCACAGGCTGGTGTTGAGTATCTGCAGCAACATGGTGCCACAGGCACATGGTGCAAGCTGTCAGTAACCTACCATTCTAGGGTGTGGAGGATCGTGGCTCTTTTCTCACAGCTCCACTAGGTGGTGCCCCAGTGGGGACTCTGTGTGGGAGCTCCAACCCCACATTTCCCTTCCACTCTGTCCTAGCAGAGGTTCTCATAAGGGCCCTGCCCCTGCAGCACACCTCTGCCTGAACATCCAGGGATTTCCAACATCTTCTGAAATCTAGGCGGAAGTTCCCAAACCTCAATTCTCGACTTCTGCACAACCGCAGGCTCAACTCCATGTGGAAGCTGCCAAGGCTTGGGGCTTGCACCGTCTGAAGCCATGGCCCAAGCTGTACCTTGACCCCTTTTAGCCATGCCTGGAGCGGCTGGGATGCAGGGCACCAAGTCCTGAGGATGCACTCAGCAGTGGCAGGGGGGGCCCTGGACCTGGCCCAGAAAACCATTTTTCCCTCCTAGGTTTGCAGGCCTGTGATGGGAGGGGCTGCAGGGAAGGTCTCTGATCTTCCCTGGAGACATTTTCCCCATTGTCTTGGCATTAGCATTTGGTTCCTTGTTACTTAAGCAAATTACTGCAGCTGGCTTGAATTTCTCCCCGGGAAATGAGTTTTTCTTTTCTACTGTATCTTCAGGCTACAAAATTCCAAACTTTTATGCCTTGTCACATCTTGACTGCTTTGCTGCTTAGAAATTTCTTCCACCAGATATCCCAAATAATCTCTCTCATGTTCAAAGTTCTACAGATCTCTAGGGCAGGGACAAAATGCCACCAGTCTCTTTGTATAGCAAGAGTAACATTTACTCCAGTTTCCAACATGTTCCTCATTTTCATCTGAGACCACCTCAGCCTGGATTTTATTGTTCCATATTGCTGTCAGCATTTTGGTCAAAGCCACTTAACACGTCTCTAGGAAGTTCCAAATTTTCCCACATCTTCCTGTCTTCTGAGCCCTCCAAGTCTCTAGGAAGTTCCAAACTTTCCCACATTTTCCTGTTTTCTTCTGAGCCCTCCAAACTGTACCAACCTTCACCTGTTACTCAGTTCTAAAGTTGCTTCCACATTTTCAGGTATCTTTACAGCAGCACCCCACTCTACCGTTACCAGTTTACTGGATTAGTCCATTTTTATACTACTATGAAGAAATACCCAAGACTGGATAATTTATAAAGAAAAAGAGGTTTAATGAACTCATTAGTTCCACATCGCTGGGGAGCCTCACAATCATGGAGGAAGGTGAAGGAGGAACAAAGGCATGTCTTACGTGGTGGCAGGCAAGAGAGCTTGTGCAGGGCAACTCCCCTTTATAAAATCATTAGATCTTGTGATGCTTATTCACTACCACAATAACAGTGTGGGGGAAACCACCTCCATGATTCGATTACCTCCACCTGGCCCTGCCCTTGACACATGGGGATTATTACAATTCAAGGTGAGACTTGGTTGGAGACACAGTCAAACCATACCAGCTGCCCTGCTTTCCACCCCCCTCACATTTGGTATTCCATGAATACTTACCAGTCTTTTTGCTTTGTGAAGTGAAGCACTCAAGCCCTTTTATTACTTACGTTTTAAGATGGCACAGAGTGTTACAAAACTCAGGTTTACCTAACTACAAGAGAAGAAAAGCCAGAGAATTTTGCTGAAGTAGTGTGACCTTCCACAGTTATGTGACATCAGAGACATCTGGTTTTGGACCCTAAAAAGGAACAGGTGGGAGGGATATCCTGTTAAATATGAACCAGATGGGAGGTAGAATATGTAGCAAAGTTCTCTTAAAATGTCTCTGAAATAAAGTGATGTGAGAAACCAGACAAGGCACTTTGTAGTAATATCTTGCTTTCATAGGAGTTTAGCTCAGTAGGAATTACCAGATACATAAGAGATGCTAATGATTTGCAGCTTCTAGATGTTATTTCCTCTGGTAGTCTTCATCAAATTGAACTTTTCAGAGAACACATGTGTTTAGTGTATACCTCCCTCTCTCAATGGCTCGTCATGTGTTACTTAATGAAGGGAGGCAGTTTACATACTGAGAAATTCAGTCATTAGTCAATTTCATTGTTATGTAAACATCATAGAGTATACTTACTTATAAACCTGGATGATGTAGCCTTCTACACTATATACCATATGGCCTATTGCTAGATAGTATAACAATCATCTGCAGTACTTTGATTTTGTTTTTAAACATCATATTACCAGCCTTTATTTTTATGAAATAAAGATTTTTTTTAAAACTATCATTTTTTTCTGATAATAATGGCCAGTATTTCTGTTAACATAGTCAATGTTGTTACTGTTACTTAATCATACCTATCAATTATTGAGCTCTTACTATGTAAGATATATATAGCAATAAGCCATATGGTATAGCAATAAGTCATATGGTATAGCAATAGGCTATATTACCTATACCAGGTAGCCTGGTCCTAGGCTACTAACTTATACAGCATGTTATTGTACTGAATACCATTGTAGGTAGTGGTAACAAAATGCTTAGATTTGTGTATATAAACATACAAAAGTTAGAGTAAAAAGACAGTGCTGTGATCTTATGGTACCAGCTTCATATATGTGATTGCCATTGACCCAAACTTCATTATGTGGCACATGACTGTAGAAATAAATTCTATGCAATTTGTTTTGTACAGAAACATTTCTGGTCATAATTTATCAAGTTAGTTGGCATTTCGGAAAGCAAAGATGAAGTTCCATTCAAGGAAATAGAGTGCTGATGGGTCCCAATTAAAGAGTTTTGGTTGTACTCTATTTGCACTGAATCTTATGTAGTTTGTTTTTTGTAACCATAAAACTCTCATAAAGTGACTTTCTGTTTTCAGGTCTTCGTCTTTTTTTCCTAATTATATGATGGATCAGTATTGCCTATAAGTGATTGTTTTATCTAATTAGTTTGCTGTTACTTGAAATCTAAAACAAAAGGTATTTTGTTCATTTTTTTGTTCTTTGGCTATTTGAATTGAACACAATGGAAACTGATAAAGAACTACTGATAGATATACCAGAAGTATAAAATTCCCAAGATACTAAACTAATTTTATGCATTGTTAAACTACTCATGGAATAGGAAAACAGAGAAAAATTTCATAAATTAGGAGGCATTTCTATGTAATATTAGGCTGTAAACAGTCACTGATTTAATTCGTCCAAAGCTATCATCTGTTTTCTATGATAACATTCAGATCAAATCATATAATTAGTCCCAAAGTGACAATGCATAAAGAAGAATGTTTCTGGGCTGGGCACAGTGGCTCACACCTGTAATCCCAGCACTTTGGGAGGCCGAAGTGGGCGGATCACGAGGTCAGGAGATCAAGATCATCCTGGCTAAGATGGTGAAACCCCGTCTCTACTAAAAATACAAAAAATTAGCTGGGCGTGGTGGCAGACGCCTGTAGTCCCAGTTACTTGGGAGGCTAAGGCAGGAGAATGGCGTGAACTCAGGAGGCGGAGCTTGCAGTGAGCTGAGATCGCGCCACTGCACTCCAGCCTGGGTGACAGAGCGAGACTGTCTCAAAAAAAAAAAAGAAGAAGAAGAAGGTTTCAAGAATTTAGTTTCTAAATTCAGGATGTTTCACAATTGAGCAAAGAATCATGATATTTGCTAGTCTTTACTGTCTTGCTCATGCTAAATCAAATTATTTTGACTACTTAAAATTACTGAAAAGATAAGACATGGTAATTAGCCATGAAGCAGAGGATTGCAGCCAGCACATTGTAAGTAGAGCATAGATATACTATTTGCTTGTTAGTCATTGAAGTCTTTGTATTTCAAAAAAATCGTATATTTCGTGCTTATGAAAGTATCTAATTATAACCAATATTTTATCTCTTCTTTGCCCTGTTTAATAGATTCTTTGGGACTTGAAGAATAAATAAGCCTGATATTTACTTCTCTTCTGTATGTTCATTTAAATTACGGCACCTTTGAATAAGAATTTTTGTCATATTTTATATTGTAAGAGGAAATGCTGCATGATTCTTTTTTCAAAGTATTTTACTACATTTGGGAAAATTAAAAATGCTGTTAAGGGTAACATAGCTCTTTGGAAAATGGATAATATGATAGGGAGTGAGACGTTGAGGGAGGAAGGGGAGTTGAATTATACTGGGCTAATAATAATATTAGATAACATTCCTTTAGTGCTTATTACATACTAGAAACTACTTACATTGCTTTACAGTAAAGAAAAACTCACAGAAAGGTCCCTGCATTAATGCAAAGTAGGATATTATACAATTGGCAGTTGACTCTAGTACTTTGTCTTACCTCCTGACTAGCTTACATTTTTACCTTTTTCAAGGTTATGATGTGGTGAGTAGAGCAAACTGGGCAGTAAATTATTAGTCAACCTTGTCTTAGGCAACAATCCTGTCATCAAAAGTGCAGACATGTAGGGTTGGCCCAGTCTCCTCTGACTGACGAAATGAGTACTGACTAACCTGTAGATTTCCCATAACAACTTCTATTGTCCAGGACATTTCATAGGATCCTAAGATCCTGAATCATACTCCTTAGCTGACAGTGATTACTTAGTAGTGCCAAACTTCAAGTAGGACTAGAACAGATTTGGAACTAGGAACATATTCCTGAAACTTAGGGTCATTAGCTAGAGAGGCTCATCTTTTTTACTTAACTTCCAAGTAATGTGACTCCTTTTGTTTGGACCCCACTTAGTGTATTAACTCCTAATCGTTGTGTTTAGGTGCTATTCTCATCTTCCTTTCACAGGTGAGAAAACGGGGCTGTAGACACCTAAGTACCTACTCAAGGGCATGCATCACTAATAACAGAGCTTGTATTTGAATTTAGATATATTGACTATAGAGCAGATACCCTGAGCCACTTTTTTGTTCAACTACGGTACCACATAGCCCAGGATTCCAGGTGTAGGTAGTTAACTAACCTTTCAAGCTTGTTTATCTTGCATTTTCTCTGTGACTTACATTATAATGTTTATCTTGCATTTTCTCTGTGACTTACATTATAATGATTCTGTTCATCTAACTGAGCTGTTGTAAGTCTCCTTTGAAAGCATTCATTCATTCAGTAAGCATTTATTGAACATTCTCCAATAGGCTTTGCGTTGGGGATAAAACAGTGAACAGAACCTAGGACAGGTTCCTTAACCTCTCTAAGCCTTAGTTTCTTCATCTGTAAAGTGGAGTTAATAATAGTAAATTCTAGGTTTTTGGAAGTAAATACATTTATAGCGCTTAACATAATACCTGGTATTTAATAACTACTAGAAAAGTTCAATGTTTCTTCTTACAGTAATTTTTGCAAGATATTCTTAAAATAATAATGATTTCCATATAGGTTGAAATATAGTAATTGAGATTGAAATGAATCTACCTCGACAGAGTTTATACACTAGTGAAAGAAAACTGATTAAATAAAACATTTGGGAATTAGAAAAAATATTCTACAGTTGACACACAGTGTGGCATTTTGTCACTCTAAGATGCCATCAGTTATAAGATACATCATTATTTTATGTAACTTACTGAAGAAATATGCTGAGAAAATGGTGCTGAGAAATCACCAACTACAGGAGACATTCTGACCTGACAAATTTAAAATATGAAAAAAAATTATCCTAGATATAGGAGAAAATTTTGTTGTTTAGGAGATAGGGAAATGATTTATTCTGTTTTGTAACACTAAAGCTTTATATAATGTATTGGGGTATTGTTTTATGACTAGAACATAAAAACATGATCAAATATATTTAAAAAAATGAAAAAGGTGAAGTGCTCAGTTAAAAGCTGACTGGTATCTTCTGTGTGGCACTAGAGAATCTATATTAATAACTGCTTCTCCTATAGCTGTTTCTGCATTTATAGTCCAGAATTGGTTTCCACTTAAGAGTGGTTAGGGAAAAAAATAAAAAAGTTCTAAGCTAGCTTTCATTGAAAATGAAGATCTCAGGCTTAGCGGCATTCTGAAAAGAGGTCTGCGTTTTAAAATAATAATCAGGAAATGAGGTACCCTCTTTTAAGCAGCAGCAGCATATCCAGATTTGAGGTAAATTCAATACATTCATGATGTTATGTACTGTAAAGGAAATTTTTGTAGGCATCATTTCTCTAAATGACACTTTTCAAGAAGGGTTATAAATTTTTTAATGTGATTTTTATGGTGGTTTATAAAATTTCATAAAATCATAGAACTTTATAAATGGAAAAGTTCTTAGAAGTCATCTAGTACAACCTTTTATTTTTCAGAAGAAACATGTAATTCTTTTGTGGCCTAGACAAGACTAGAACTCATGTCTTCTGATTTAATGCTCTTTGAACTATACTACTGCTGTTTCATATATTATCAGGATTTAGGATAGAAAAAGTACATTTATTTCAGGGTAAAAATTCTCATGTATCTAAATATTTATGAAGAATTTTTTTATGTTTTAAGAAACTCTAGTAGTCACAACTTAGATATTTTTAGCCACTATTATTTTTATGTCCATTTTGAAAGTTACTAAAATCAATGGCATTTTTCTGGTAAACAGTTTTTTCCAATTTATACTTAATTGCCTCACATATAACATAATTTCATATTGGTAAATTTTAAATAGTAAACAGTAAACAAATGCTGAGGAAAACAAAGCAAGAGACGAAATGGAAAATGTGTAACAGATTTTCTCTTATAATAGTTTTATGTGGTATGAGAGTTCTATGAGTTTTTTTATTTGTGTTTTGTCTATAAGTTGTAACTAAGTACTATAGCATAATTTTTCAAAGGCATGAGATGAGTTTCCTTAGAGAGATGGCCTGTTGCAGCATTTTACTAGGAACTGGGAATTCTTTGTTATGTGTAGGACACATAGATTTCTTGCTGTAGCTATCTCACCTTTAAAATCAAAGTTTGCTTACATTTTACGTGTACCATGAAAATTATCATAAGTAATGCTTTAACTCAGAGCAGTATATGTTGGCTAGCCTTCTTTTTTGGGGTTTCTTACAAGCCAATTTTGACTGTGGGTGTGTGAGATTTTAAGAAAATGAGGCTGGGCACGGTGACTCACACCTGTAATCCCAGCACTTTGGGAGGCTGAGGCGGGCGGATCACGAGGTCAGGAGATCCAGACCATCCTGGCCAGCATGGCGAAACCCCATCTCTACTAAAATACAAAAAATTAGCTTGGCATGGTGGCGCACACCTGTAGTCCCAGCTACTCGAGAGGCTGAGGCAGGGGAATCGCTTGAACCCGGGAGGTGTAGGTTGCAGTGAGCCAAGATTGCACCACTGTACTCCAGCCTGGGCAACGGGGCGAGACTCCATCCCCCCCAAAAAAAAGAAAGAGAGAAAAGAAAATGAACAAATTTACATGCCTACCATTTGGAACTTGTTATGATATTTAAAATGTATACTAGGAAAAATATTTTAAAATTAAAAATGAGTATATAAGATGCTGGTATATAATTTGGGTAGGGCATTTTATTTTATTGGAGGAGTTAGGAAATTCATGTATTCTGTGAAAATTTTTAGTACTGGAAAATAGAATCAGTATAATAATTACCATAATGGGAGTGAAGTTTCTTAAAGATAGGGGTAAGCACATTTTTTTTCTGAAACAGTTCAGTTAGTAAATGTAGTCTCTGTTACTGCTATTCATCTCTGTTGCTATAGTACAAAAGCAGCATGGAAAATATATAATCAAATGCGAAAACAATTGGTTGGTCAGATTTGGTCTGTGCCTATAGTTTGCCTACCCCAGTTTTAAGATACCGTAATATCCCTTTGATCTGTGGTCCTATATGTCTTTTGAATAGGAATAATTTGGAAAGGGGGCTTGACTTTTGAAAGGAAAAGAGAGTTAATGCTTTGGGAATGTCTGGCTTATATATTAGCTGTACATTTTCCCCTATTGTGTTGCCTATGTCTAGCAGATAATAAAGTCTTATGAAATCATTTCATTATGTTAGTGATTAAGCATTTGTATTTAAACTTTTTCATAGAGTTGTTTTTGATTTCCTAGGATGTCAGTTTTATGGTTTTTGTTTCCTACTGAAGCTTTGAAAGTCAGCCAAGAATATTTCTCAGTTCATAAAACATTTTCACTATGCTTTTCTCCAGCTAGCTTTCAATGATCTGTGGAAATAAAGAGCAAAGGCCGTATGGGTAATAGGAATGCAAAGAATTATTGTCACCTAATCTTCAGCATTAATTACAGCCACTGTTTCATCCTACAACAAAGAGCAAATTGGAAAAGTTTGAGTTTCACTGCCTTTTATTTAGAAGTACCTGATTGGAGGTGTCAATAAAACATTTCTAAATATGAATATTTTATTAAGAGTAATCAAGTAGCTCCACATAGATGCTACATAATAACAGCATAGAATCACAATTTTATTAAAATTCAAAAGACTTATGTATATATTACCTAAATTTGCTCCCTCATTCATACCTGCCAACAAGAATGAAATCTTCAAGGAAGTGAAAATGTCTTCATTCTCTTACCTCAGATGTCCACCACAGTGCCTAGCAAAGATGCACACAGATAGTTTTTTTGAATAAGGGAATAGAAACTCAGAGAAACTAGAGATTATGATCACTCCACTGGTTATTCAGAGTTCGACTTAGTGCCACGTGTGAACAAATTTTCTTTTAAAATTTGAGACTTGTAAAATTTAAACTGAGACTCTTACATAATTTTATCTCCTGCATTAATGTTTATAGAAGCATCATCATCTTCATGGTAAAGAATCATTGGTAAGCTTTGGAATAATTTACCTCTCAAAGAACTCCAAAAAGAATTACTGAAGTGCTAAGCCGTGCTAAAAACATTTAATGGTTTTTGAACACAATAAATTTAAAAGTGGGTTCGACTCACAAAACTTTGTCAGTGTGCCAAGTATACAGAAATGATAGATATTCTTTTTAATATAGCTGTTAGCAGCCGTAATTAAAGGCCAACAAAGGATAGCAGCAGTGATGAGCATTATCCATTTTAGGCCAGTGAGAACACATTTTGAAAAAGACTGCTGCCATCCATGATATATTAATTAATGTGTAGAAAGGTCTCCATGTTACTCTCTGCACAAAAGGCCATTCAGTCACACTTATTTTATTGTAGGGTAATTTAACAGTCTTTTTTTGCGTAAACAAGCACCTAAGTCAGTAGGTTCCAAATCCTGTGTTTCTACAACCATACTTAGAGCATATAAATGATGATCCTGTATTATCAAGGACAAATGCTGTATAGAATCCTGTGGCACCCTCTTCCCAAACAAAAGCTGAGTTGACTGGGAATACACAAAGAAGGAGTGTAGGTAGAAAAAAACAGATGAAGAGAACTTTTGGTATAGATTCAAGAAACCAAAGAAATACGGATTTTCTTTTTGTTGGCCTATTTCCTGAGCCAAGCATTTCTGCATCTGAGCACAGAATCTTACAGTATGTTGTTAAAAATATTTTGTCTATTTTAGAAGGATTTACTTAAATTTATTTTTAATTATAAAAATATCCGAAAAGTATAAACATATTCTTATCTGGAAATTTTAGCTATGTAAAATAAATAACTACTTGAGGAATTTGAGAAGCTAAGCAATTACTACATTTGAACAACTAAAACAGTTAAGACTGTTAAGACTAAAACGTAAAGTACTCTAATTACCAATGTCTTAACAATCTCCTAGTAATACAGCAACAAAATCTCTATTAGGAGTGTATTAAAGGCTGACTGTTCTGGGCATGCCTCATAGTTATGAAGGATTTCAGAGGAGCAGTTCTGATCTTAGTATTCGCTTGGTGGTTTTCATGGCAAAATTTAAGGAAATTTGATACTTTGAACCATATTGTAAGTAAGGCTAAGTAAGGAACTGACTGTTAATCTGGATGCATCTGTTGACCTATGCTGTTTGAAGCTTCTGAAAATCTTCTACCAGACATCACATTCTTGCTCTTTTCAGCAAATATTTATGTATCACACACCCGTTAGTTTAATTTATAACTTTAAAAGATTTAAAAGGTATCTTCATTATGCCAATTATAGTGCTGACACTTACAATGACTAAAAATTAATATTTAATTAATTTTTATAATTATAATTATTATAATGCCCCAAACTGCTATCTAGTGACATTTTCTTTGTGCTAAGTACTGTGCTAGATCCTTTATATGTTTTATTTAATTTTGAGGAAGTGTCTTAGTCCCCTTGGGCTGTTATAACAGCATAATTTAGTCTGAGTGGCTTAGAAACAAAAGTTTGTTAGTTCTGGAGGTTGTGAACTCCAAGATCAAGGTGCTGTCATATTTGATATCTGGTGAGGGCTGCTTCCTTCTTTATAGAATGCCATCTTCTCACTGTGTCCTCACGTAGTGAAAGGGGCAAAGGAGCAGTCTGGGGGCTTTCTTACAAGGATACTAATTCCATACATGAGGGCTCCACCTTCATGACCTAATTACCTCCTAGATATCCACCTTCAGATACCATCACTTTGGGGGTTAGATTTCAACATATGCATTTTGGGAAGAGGCAAATATTCAATCACCAGGCAAGTATGATCCTTCGCATGTTTTGACTGAGAAAACTGAGCCTCACAGACAACAAACAAGGTGAAAAGTTGCCGTTTGAACCCAAGCATATTAAATATCAAAGTCCTTTCCCAAATTCAAAGCAACCTTCCCAATGAGTACTAGTCAATGAAGGTTTATTGGTTTTCTTTGGGTTGTTGTTTCTTACGATTACTATAGATTTTTATTTTTTATTTTACTATTTCTAGATCTGTGATATTAGGAAAATGGCACACGTTTAAAAGCATTTAATCTGCTTAAATTTCTAGGTAGTTGGCTGTCAGAAAGTAAGTTTGAACTGACATATTAATTTTCCTTATTATTTCTTGTGTTGGATTATGTTTATGATATCAGTGCCTGCAGGTTCAGGATTGGGAAACAATTCTTTTCAAAAAATTGCTTTTGTCAGGTGGTAAATTGAACTGTGAGTTTAAGAATCACTTGTTTCTCGGGCTGGGTGTGGTGGCTCACGCCTGTAATCCCAGCACTTTGGGAGGCCAAGGCGGGTGGATCACCTAAGGTCAGGAGTTGGAGACCAACCTGACCAACATGGAGAAACCCCGTCTCTACTAAAAATACAAAATTAGCCGGGCGTGGTGGCGCATGCCTGTAATCCCAGCTACTCGGGAGGCTGAGGCAGGAGAATCACTTGAACCCAGGAGGCGGAGGTTGCGATGAGCCGAGATGGCGCCATTGCACTCCAGCCTGGACAACAAGAGCGAAACTCCGTCCCCCTCCAAAAAAAAAAAAAAAGAATCACTTGTTTCTCTTATTCTGTGTTTGAATCAAAACTATACAAATGTAATGAATATTGTCTGTGTTAGTGTGGAATTTTTACTGGGAAATCATGGCAAGATGGAAAAATACATGCTTTTATGTCACTCTCTATGTTAACAGTTTATACAAATCTGCAGTTACATAGAGCACATGCAGCTTATACATCTGTATAATAGCTGACAAAGGTAACTTGTGTGTCTTTCTGCATTTATAGGATATCTTATTAATCTAAAATAGGTTCCTGCTGAATGTTGATCATAATCTAAAATCTAGTTTATCATGTAGGTGATAAGCTAGATTACTCAAGACATTATTGATTTTGGACATTTATCAAATGGTTTTTGCTTTCATATTTTTCAAGTTTTGTTGATTATTCATTGTTAAATATTTCTTCAGTACAGCTTCCTTTCAACTGTAATAAATAAGGAACTTTTATTTTTCTTCTGGAGTACTGATTAAAAGATGGCTGTAGTAGATATTTCAGCTTTACCATGGCACATTGGTGTATTTGGCTTACAAAATTTTTAAAAATTATTTATGATGGAATGAGTATAGGCTCTGGAATCAAGTAAATGTGCTTTTAAATCCCAACTCTTTTATTTGCTAGTTGTGGAATCTTAAGCCATTCAACCTTTCTGTCTCAGTTTTTTAATGGCCCTCACAGCAGTATTTACCTCACAGCACTATTATTGGGATTACTTAACTAATACCTGTAATGCATGACACAGAGCAACTTACACATGTGTCAACTCTTATTAATACAGTGTCTGGGAAGTAGGTATTCAATGAACAATAGATAATCTTCATAATTACTTAATTTCGCCTCACAGCACTGTGTGGGAAGTCAGAATTCTCCATTTTCAAGGCTAGAAGTGAGGCACAGGTAAACTTCCTGGTGTAAACATAATTATATACTGAGCTTTAGTAATGCTGTAAACAAATGGTTTATCAGAAACAAGGAGGTTTAATTTTGTTTATGGGAATCAGAGATCTTTTGAGGAGATTATTTTTAAAACAGCCCAAAAAAGTGAGCAAGAAACCTTAAGAAATCCTTGATGTTGTTAGACTCTTTAAATATTTGTCAAAATGTAATTGCCAGCTGTATAACATAGCTGGAATTTTAAACATCCATAATTTCCCATAATTTTAAACACTAGGGAAAAATGCAGTATGTGCAACACAATATAATTTTGCTTTTCTCTAGAGTTGTTTTTCAAGAAGTCCAGTCTAACATGGATTTCTTTAGTTCAAGAGTTTTGTGATATTGGAAATGATTTATTCAAATGCATTTGTTTATGGAAGAACAAACTTCTTTCCTAGGGATAGAGATTGTATTCTATAGGTAAATTTATTACTATAATATTAACCTGTTTTATTTGGAGTGATATGTAATGTTTGTGTTCACATTTTTTAATTGACAAAAATTGTGTGTACAATGTGATGTTTTGCTATATGTATACACATAAAATGATAACATAAAGCTAACTGACATATCTGGCACCTCACATATTTGACACTTTTTGTGTGATGAGGACATTTAAAATCTACTGTCTTAGCATTTTCAAATATGTAATACATTATTATTAATTATCATAACCATGCTGTATATCAAACTTTTTAAGATGTTTAAAACATGAATTCCTATTCTTTTTTTTTTAAACTGAAAAAAAATATGGTTACCTTCTCCGGCCTATCTCCTTTTCTTTCTTCTTTCACTTAAGGAAATGATGTTAAAACATTTTAGTTTTTTTCATAACTTATAAATTGTATCTTTATTACAGATTTTTACTTTTTGAAACAGTAAAAATCATTGACAAAAATGATGTTTTTAAAATAATTTTATTCTTCATGAATTATAACTTGTTTTATTTGTATACATGCTTAAAATTCTTAAAAATATAAATTTGTCTCTTTTTCTATTTTTACAAAATATCAAGGAACTAGAATAATGTTATCATCTTCAAGGTATTTATGCGGTGAAAATGTAATTCATACTCCTCCCAAACTTTGCTATGGAGAGGGGGAGTATTTTTAGAAAGAATCTCTTTTTATGTGTTTGTTCCTGTCCAAACTTATTTTCTCTCAGGTGGTTGTACTCATTACTACTTCTTCGTCAAAGAAAACTGACTCTTTCTCAAGTATATAGGTTTCTTAATCTTAGTAATTTATTTTGAAAGAAGTTCACGTCGGATTTGTCAGGTCAACTAAAGAAAAGGAAAGGCAAAACAGAATCTAAAACATTTAGATGTATTGTTGACATTTTTAATGAGTGAGCATTTACAGGTGTGTATGCAAACAAGTAGTACCATAACATTTACAGTTTCTGTTTCTAGGATAATTCATATTTAGGACTCAGAAATGCCCTGTTTGTACCTGTTTTAATATTAGTCACTGATTGCAGAAGTTATTTTGCATAGATGACTTTTGGAATAAATCTTAAATGTAAATGGTGGTCACAGACAGTTATCTTTAGTTAGAAGTAATTTTATTGCCTTCAACATTTCAGAGTTTTGAGTCCATTCTTGATCTCTTTGATTTCTTTCAATAGTTTTGGGACATTCTCAGATAGTATTTTTTTTTTTTTTTTGAGGCAGAGTCTCGCTCTGTTGCCCAGGCTGGAGTGCAGTGGCGCGAACTTGGCTCACTGCAGCCTCCACCTCCCAGGTTCAAGCAATTCACCCTGCCTCTGCCTCCTGAATAGCTGGGATTACAGGCGCACGCCACCATGCCTGGCTAATTTTCGTATTTTTTAATAGAGACAGAGTTTCAGCTGTTGGCCAGGCTGGTCTTGAACTCCTGACCTCAGGTGATCCATCCATCTTGGCCTTCCATTCTCATAAGGGGACTCTATACTTTTTTTTTAGGCCTTTCCACTGGATTACATATGTCTTTTGCACTCTATTCTGTTTCCATTCTTTTTTTCTTTTTTTTTTTGTCACTTTGTGTATTCATTTGGATGCTTTCTAGTAACCAGTCTTCCATTTTAAGAATCCTCTGTTCTGTTTTCACTAATCTCCCATTAAGACTATCTTTTGAGTTCTTAATTTTTATTATAGTTTTTAGGTTTAGGATTTCCCTTTGATGGTTTTCTAATGGATTCCAAGTCCCTGGTGAAATTCAACTTTTTAAAAATTTTGCTGTAGTTCATGTGGATTTTTGTTTTTACTATATTAGCACTATCTCTTGCCAGATTGTATTTTAACTTGTTTCACAGATTGTAATTCACTAGGATCTCTCCTCTTCTTAAGAGAAAATTAAAAGGGAGATGGGATTAAAGCCAAATGATACTCTAGAAAGCCTTTTTCAAAAAATTTCTTCTTTCATTTATAGAATTTAGGGTTTCGAGGAATGGGATGAATAGAGATGTCTATGCTTTTGTTGATAACATGGTATTTTGGGCTTTTCTCAATTGTTCCATCTCTTTTTTGGGGGCGGTGGGAACGGAGTCTTGCTTTGTCGCCCAGGCTGGAGTGCAGTGGCGACATCTCAGTTCACTGCAACCTCTGCCTCCTGGGTTCAAGCAATTCTCCTGCCTCAGCCTCCCAAGTAGCTGGGATTACAGGTGCATGCCACCATGCCCGGCTAATTTTTGTATTTTTTCAGTAGAGACGGGGTTTCACCATGTTGGCCAGGCTGGTCTCGAACTCCTGACTTTGTGATCCGCCCACCTTAGCCTCCCAAAGTGCTGGGATTACAGGCATGAGCCACCACGCCCAGCCTGTTTTATCACTTTATAATCATTATTTTTACTGTAGCTTACTTAATGCCTTGTGTTGAGTTGAGCGTCTAAAGCAATTAGGATATTGGTAATGTTTCTGTTTGTGAAATGATTTACGCAATCTTGGCTTACTGTAACCTTCGCCTCCCAGGTTCAAGCGATTCTCCTGCCTCAGCCTCTCGAGTAGCTGGGATTACAGGCGCCTGCCACCATATCTGGCTAATTTTTGTATTTTTTAGTAAAGGCGGGGTTTCACCATGTTGGTGAACCTGGTCTCAAACTCCTGACCTCAAGTGATCCACCTGCTTCGGCCTCGCAGAGTGCTGATTTACCCATTCTTAAATTAACTAGATGAGTACATGTTAATAGAAAGGGATAGTGTGTCAGTGAGCTGTGAGCACTTAAAAAATGGCATTAGAAAGCTCCCTGAACTGGCCGGGCATGGTGGCTCACGCCTGTAATCCTAGCACTTAGGGAGGCTGAGGCAGGTGGATCACCTGAGGTCAGGTGTTTGAGACCAGCCGGACCAACATGGAGAAACCCCATCTCTACTAAAAATACAAAATTAGCTGGGCGTGGTGGCACATGCCTGTAATCCAAGCTACTGGGGAGGTTGAGGCAGGAGAATCACTTGAACCCAGGAGGCAGAGGTTGCAGTGAGCCGAGATCATGCCATTGCACTCCAGCCTGGGCAACAAGGGCGAAACTCCATCTCTAAAAACAACAACAACAACAAAAAAAAAAACAAAAAAAAAAGAAAGCTCCCTGAACTGGGTGCAGTGGTTCATGCCTATAATCTCAGCACTTTGGGAGGCCACAGGAGTTCCAGACCAGCCTGAGCAACATAAGACTCCCATCTCTATAAAAAATTTAAAAAAATTAGCCAGGCACGATGGCACAAACCTATAGTTCTAGCTACTTGGGAGGCTGAGGCAAGATCACTTGAGCCCAAGTGTTTGAGGCTGCAGTGAGCCATGATGGCACCACTGCACTCCAGTCTGGGCGACAGTGAGACCCTGTCTCAGATTAAAAAGGCTGCATGAAAAGTTTTTTTTTTCCTTACCTGTGATTTAAAACAAATTCAAAATAAAAAACAATTATACAGTTTTAGTTTTTCCTTATTTTCTGATGAGTTCTCATGTAAAAACTGCTTATAATAAAGCTTAGATATGATATTCTTTTAACTTAGTTATCTGTTGATGTGTACAGTTATTTATGTTTGCAACATTCATCCTAGGGTTTAAGATATAAAATTATTTTTTAATTATATGATGAAAATTTATGTACATTTAGATTGCCTTTATTTTTATTTTTATTTGTTTTTTTTAGAGATGGGGTGAGTCAGTCTCTTAGCCTTTTTTTGGGGGGTGGGGGGTGATAAACAAGTAAACATAGAAGAGATTACCAGTCAGTATATATTCAGTGACATTTTATGTCTTGGGTTAGGGATTTTTTTCCCCTCTTAAAGGAGACTTTTTGCTTTTGACCCCCAAAAGAAATCAATGTAGAAATAAAGATAACTGCAACACTGTCTTTAGCCTTATTTTGAACTCAGACCTATCTACTGAGTACTATCTACTATCTACTGAGCTCAGGTCTATCTTCAGAATACTCCCATCTAGATGTTTCAGAAGTACCACAGATTTATACTTGTTTTCTCTTTGGTGCAGTTGTTATTCTACCCAAGATCATTTTGGGGAAACTCAAGCCCTGTGCTGTGTGTGTGTGTGTGTGGTGGTGGTGGGGCGGGGGGGTTGTGTGGTGTGTGCATGTGTGTAAGTGAAATTTTTTTTTCCTGTTGTTGTTTTTTTTTTTTTTTTTTTGAGACAGAGTCTCACTTTGTTGCCCAGGCTGGAGTGCAGTGGCGCGATCTCAGCTCACTGCAAGCTCCGCCTCCTGGGTTCACACCATTGTCTTGCCTCAGCCTCCTGGGTAGCTAGGGCTACAGGCGTATGCCACCACGCCTGGCTAATTTTTTGTATTTTTAGTAGAGATGGGGTTTCACCATGTTGGCCAGGATGGTCTCGATCTCCTGACCTCGTGATCTGCCTGCCTCGGCCTCCCAAAGTGCTGGGATTACAGGTGTGAGCCACCGTGCCTGGCCCCTTTTTTTCCTATCTTAAAACCACTTACTGGCTCTGTTACCTGCATGATGTCTAAGTCAAGAACTGTGAAAGATCTGGGGTTTTCTACTTGCAGGCTAACAAGTAGCCTTCCACAGTTGCATGGATACTGGCAGAAACCATGAGGCTCATGGGTCAGAAACGAATGACTTCATTATTCACAGCACAGCAAGCAGCAAGAATATCTGTATGTTTGTATCAGTTCCTCCTTTACACTGCATCCAAAAGAGGTGATGCATATGGGCCATATGGATATCTGCACATCTGGTAGGTTGCATTACAGGACAGGAATCCCACTCTTGGTTAACTCAGATCTTTTATCTTGGGCAGTAAGCTTGCCTGCCCTTTGCCCCTGAGGGAGGTAGATGAATTGTGTAGCTTCTGAAGCTCTAACCAAACCTACTCTTTGCTCTGGAGGGGGACGTTGTTTCTTGTTTTTGTTCTTCACCATTTTAAGTGTACAATTCAGTGGTACTTCAGTATGTTTACAATATTATGCAGCCATCACCACTAATTCCAGAACATTTCCATCACCCCAGTTAGTGCCTTGCTCATAAGACTGAAGAAATGTGAAAGACCCGTGGAGAATTGTCTCCCAAAACACACATTATTTGTAAGAGAAAATCATATCTTACACAGATTATATTAATGGCAAAGTAGCATGGGAGAGGGTCACAGAAGTGGGTTGGACGATTCCGTTAAAAGCAGGGAACATTCTAGTTAAGGCACTTGGATAGGCATTGGGTGAGAGTTTTCATGTCTTTTCTGCTAGATTGTTCCTGTTTTTTTTCTCTATGTGCACCTGATTTTATGCTTTTTTTCATCTAGCACATTATCTTTAATATATTTGACATTGAACATTTGTTTGTTAAACCACCAAAAAGTTTCAAACAAGAGAAATCTGTTTTGACTGTTGGAAGGCAGAGACAGCACAAGATTAGCCTGTTCTGCTGAAGTCATAGTTCAACCTTAATGAACGTCAAGGAATAAAAGACTGTACATATGAGGTGTGTAGTATTAGCGTGTTTGTGAAATCATATACCCAGTAGAACAAAACACTGATTTTGCTGCTTTTGAATGTGCACATATTATTTTTGTGCATTAATAATAGCTAGTCAGTGTTTGGAACTGAGACTTTTGTCTAGAATTGTATAGAGGTAAAGAGCATGGATTTACGTAGGCTTAGTAGAAGAACTAATTTTAAAATAAATGGTCACATCATAAGACCTAAGTCAGGTTATCAATAAATATTTATAAGTGTCTGTAACTTGCAAGGCCATGTCAGGTAATGTTCAGCAGTCCCCAACTTCAATCTAGAATGGAGATGGCTACCAAAAAGTATCTTTGGATTCCTAGGACCCACAGAGATTGACTCAGTGGGTTTGATTGTTACCCTGGATTCATGGGTAACACTAAATGGTTACCCATGGGTAATCTAAAGCACAGCTAGATTTCTGAACCTTTATTTCAGGATAGCTGAAAAACATAGAGATGAGACATTAAAGCCCCCAGTCCTCTAACAGCTACCTCCGACCAGTTCTTTGTTTAGCATAAGGATTACCTTCACCTAGGAACTTTTTGAAGTGTCCAGTGCCCTCCTTTGTGCTCTGATTTTCTTCTGTTTTGCATTGTTTGAGAAGTTATGTTGTTATTACTGTTTTTATGAGGGGAATGGTGTTAGGAATGAGGGGTTCTCTTTCTATAACACTCCTTGAGGGAATAGGGACAGTCTTCTTTAATCTTCTCATTTCTGTTTCCTAAAGTAGTGCCTGCCAGCTAGTGTTTATTGAACAAATAAATTGAATTGAATGAATTGTTATACATTCTAATGAAATTATTCCCCTTATTTTTCTTCCAGTCTTCCTCCTGCCATGCCACAATGATCTTTGCCTAACATGAGATAAAACTTACTTAGCTATTTTTTTACTGCTTGGTAAACTCAAGTAATACATTCACACTTTCCAGTAAGACACTTGGCCATCTTACTAATTCATTGGGAGAAATAGAGAGCATATATATAACTAAGGATAGGATCTGACATTATTTGGATGTAGCTCCTGTTAGAAGGCAAAGCAAGCAATAACATGCATAAATTAGATGTGGCATGGCCCAGGATTTTGTCTTTTGATGAAAGTAGGCCATTCCTTTGGAACTGTTTAGTTATGTTCCATGAACTCCTCTAGGTAGGGCACAAAAATTAGAAGAATTCTGTTTTATCTAGTAGTGTAGTCAGGTTAACATTTTTTTGTTGATGTGTAACCCTCGCCAATGCTAGGAGTATAACCTTCCTATTGATAAATCCAGTTGTTATTTTTTATTTCTTTACTTGACTCGAAAATATTTGACACAGTTAACTCCAGCTTTTTTTTTCTTTTCCTTCTTTTTTTTTTTTTTTTTTTTTGAGATGGAGTTTTACCCTTGTTGCCCAGGCTGGAATGCAGTGGCGAGGTCTCAGCTCACTGCAACCTCCGCTTCCTGGGTTCAAGCGATTCTCCTGCCTCAGCCTCCCGAGTAGCTGGGACTACAGGCGCCCACTACCACACCCGGCTAATTTTTTGTATTTTTAGTAGAGATGGGGTTTCACCGTGTTAGCCAGGATGGTCTCGATCGCCTGACTTCGTGATCCATGCGCCTTGGCCTCCCAAAGTGCTGAGATTACATGCATGAGCCACCGCACCTGGCCAACTCCAACCTTCTTGATACACTATCCCCTTTATTCCTTGGTTTCCTTTCTTCTTCTCTGATACCCGTAAAATTCATATATTGAAGCCCTAACCCCGAATGTGATGGTATTTAGCGATGAAGCCTTTGGGAGATAATTAGGTTTAGATGAAGTCGTAAGGTTAGTTCCCACATGATGGGATTAGTGCCTTTATAACAGGAGATAGCAGAGAGCTAGCGCTCTCTCAAGTTTGTGCTCTCACTCTCTCTCTGCCATCTGAGGACACAGCGAGACCGCAGCCACCTGCAAGCCAATAAGAGAACTCTTGCTGGAACTTGCCCATTCTGGCATGCTGACCTTGGACTTCCATCTACCAGAATGTGAGAAAATAATTTCTGTTGTTTAAACTACTGAATTTATGTTATTTTGCTCTGGCAGCCCCATCTGACTACTGCACACCCCTTCTCCTTTGCAAATTCCCCTATCACTTCCTGTACCTAAAATACTGGTGTTAGCATTCTCTTCATTATGCATTTACCTTTCTTCTAACTATGTATTTTTTCTCGGTGATCTATTTCCATTCTCCAGGTACCATCTTTATGACAAGGACTGGTAAAATTTGTATTTCCATTTTGTACCTCTTTCTAACTCTAAATATCTAAATCTCCAGTTGTCCCACAGGACAACCCACCATGTTTACAGTTAAAGTTTTTTTCATCCGGTGACTCCATGGAGACATTAGTTTATCAGCCCTATTGATTGTATTTCCTTAATATTTCTCACATATATCCACTTCTGTCTCTTTTGCCATGATTTTAATTCAGACAGCTAACTATCCGTCCTGGATCGCTCCAACATTTTTCTAATTGACTGACATCAATAATACTCTTAAATTTATTTATTTTTTCTAAATAGACTTTTTTTTTTTAGAGTAGTTTTGGGTTCACACCAACATTGAGTGGAAAGTACAGAGTACTCATATATACTCTGTCTTCAGAAACACACAACCTCCCCAGCTGTTAACATCCTGTGGGAGAGTGATACATTTGTTACAATCTATAAACCTACAATGACACATAATTATCACCCAAAGTCCATAATTAACATTAGGGTTAACTCTTGGTATTGTACATTCTGTGGGTTTGGATGAATGTGTAATAACATATATCTACCATGATACTGTCGTACAGAATAGTTCCACTGCATTAAAAATCCTTTGTGCCATCCCTGTTCATTTCTGCCTCCTCTGTAACCAGGTGTTAACCTGGCAACTGATCCTTTTACAGTCTACGTAGTTTTGCCTCTTTTGGAATATCCTATACATTCCTATGCAGTGTTCCTGTAGTTGGAATAATGCAATATGTAGCTTTTCCAGATTGGCTTCTTTCATGTAGTAGTATGCATTTAATATTCCTCCATGCCTTCTCATAACTTGATAGCTTATTTCCTTTTAGCACAGAATAATATTCCATTGTCTGGACCTACCTCAGTTTACCCATTAACCTACTGAAGGACATCTTGGTTGCTTCCAAGTTATGAAGACTGTGAATAAAGCTTCTGGGAACATCTGTGTGCAAGTTTTTTGTGGATATAAGTTTTCTATTCCTTTTGATAAATATCCAGGAATGCAATAGCTGGAACCTGTGGTAAGAGTATTTTTAGTTTTCTGAGAGTTTATTTTTGGAACTTCCAAACTGTCTTCAAGAGTGGTTGTACCATTTTTTACCCCATCAGCAGTGAATAAAAGTTTCTGTTGCTTCACAGCTTCATCAGCCTTTGGTGTTGGCAACTTTCCTGATTTTGGCCATTCTAGTGGGTGTGTAATGGTATCTTATTGTTTTCATTTGCAGTTCCCTAATAATATATGATGTTGACCATCTTTTCATATGCTTATTGTTTGTGTATTTTCTTTGGTGAAGTGTTTGTTCAGTTTTTGGCCTATTTTTTAATCTGCTTGTTTTCTTGTTGAGTTTTAAGAATTCTTTGTATGTTTTGGATAACAGTCTTTATCACATGTGTCTTTCGTAGACACTTTCTCCCAGTCTGTGGCTTGCCTTCTCATTTTCTTGATGTCGTCTTTTACAGAGCAGAAGGTTTTTGTTTTAATAATGGCCAGCTTATCAGTTGTTTTATTTGTGGATGATGTCATTGCCATTGTACCTAAATAGTCATTTCCATACCCAAGGTCATCTTGGTTTTCTCTTATGCTGTCTTCTAGGTGTTTTATAATTTGTGTTTTACATGTAGGTCTGTAATCTACTCCGAGTCAGTTTTTGGAAGAAGTGTAAGGGATGTGTCTAGATTCATTTTTTTTGCATGTGGATGTACACTTGTTCCAGCATCATTTGTTAAAAGGACCATCTTTGCTCCCTTGTATTGCCTTTGCTACTATGCCAAAGATTAGCCAGCTGTATTTATGTGGGTCTATTTCTAGGCTCTCTGTTCTGTTCTGTTGGTACTTTTTGTGTGTGTCTCTGTCTCTCTCTCTCTTTTTTCTTTTTTTTTTTTTTTGGTCACTACCACACTGTTTTGATTACTGTCGCTTTATAGGAAGTCTTGAATTTGGATAGTGTCAGTCCTGCAACTTTGTTCTTTTCCTTCAATATTGAATTAGCTATTTTGGATCTTTTGCCTCTCAGTATAAACTTTATAATGGGTTTGTCAATATTCATAGAATAACTTGTTGGGGTTTTGGTTGGGATTGCATTGAATCTGTGGATCAAGTTGAAAAGAATTGACATCTTAACAGTGTTGAGTCTTCCTTTCCATGAGTGTGGAATATCTCTCCATTTATTTAGATTTTCTTCAGTTTTCTTTCATTGGTGTTTGTATTTTTTCTCATATAGATTTTGTACACATTTTGTTAGAGTTATAACTCATTTTTTTGGGGTGCTAATATAAATGATAATGTGTTTTTAATTTGAAACACTTTTTAATTGTTGATATATAAGAATGCAGTTACTTCATAGGTTAACCTTGTATCCTGCAACCTTGCTATAATTGCTTATTAGATTCAGGAGTGGTTTTGTTGATAATTTCACACTTTTTACATAGATGATCACATCATCTGCAAAGACACTTTTATTTCTTCCTCCCCTATCTGTACCTTTTATTTCCCTTTCTTATGTAGTGTGATGTTGAAAAGGAATGGGCAGAAGGGTCATCCTTGCCTTGTTCTTAATCATAGCAGAAAAGCTTCTAATTTCTCACCATTAAGTGTGATGTTAGCTGTAGGTTTTTTGTAGCTGTTCCTTACCAAGTTAAGGAAGTTCTGCTCTATTCCTGGTTTGCTGAGAGGTGTTTTTTTGTTTGTTTGTTTTTACCAATAATGGGTATTGGATTTTGTCAAATATTTTCTTCATCTATTTATATGATTATGAGATTTTTTTCTTCAGTCTTGATGAGATGGATTAAATTAATTGATATAATGTTACATCAGTTGTAACATCAATTGTAATGTAATGTTTTCAAGTGTTAAACTAGCCTTGGGTACTTGGAATAAATCCCACTTTATAATGGTATATAATTATTCTTTTTTTTTTTTTTCTTTTTTTTTTAAGAGACAGGGTCTCACTCTGTTGCACAAGCTGGAGTGTAGTGGCACAATCATAGCTCACTGCATTCTTGAACTCTGGGCTAATGTAATCCTCCCACCTCATAATTATTTTTACATGTTGTTAGATTTGATTTGGTAAGATTTTGTTGAGGATTGTTGCATCTATGTTTATGGGCAATATTTGTCTGTAGTTTTCTTTTTTTGTGATATGTTCGTTTGGTTTTGGTATTCGTCTAATTGTGGCTTCATAGAATGAGGAAGTATTCACTCTGCTTCTATTTTTTAAAAGAGATTAGAGAACTGGTGTAATTTTTTCCTTAAATGTTTGGTTGAATTCACCAGGAAACGATCTGGGTTTTGTGCTTTCTGTTTTGAAAGGTTATTAATTATTTATTTAATTTCTTTAACTGACACAGGCCTATTCAATTTGTTTATTCTTGTGTGGGTTTTGGCAGATTGAAGTTTTTAAGGAATTTATTCATTTCATCTAGGTTATCAAATTTTGGGCCATAGGATGTCTTAGTTTTTTAAAATTATCCTTTTAATATATATAGATCTGTAGTGATGTGTCCTCTGTCATATCTGATATTAGGAATTTATGTCTTTTCTCTTTTTTTCGTAGATAGCCTGGCTACAGGCTTATTGATTTTATTGATTCTCTGAAAGGACCAACTTTTAGTTTCATTGTTTTTTTCTCTTTTGACTTCCTATTTTAGATTTCATTGATTTCTGCTCTAATTTTTATTATTTCTTTCGTTCTGCTTACTTTAGCTTGCTCTTCTAGTTGCTTAAGGTGAAAGCTTAGTATTGATTTTAGATCTTCTCTAATATATACTCTCAATACTATAAGTTTTGCTTTAAGTACTGCTTTCTCTGCATTGACAAATTTTGATAAGTTCTATTTTCTTTGCATATTTATAGACAATAGAACTTTGATAAGTTCTATTTATATATTTATAGATATATATCTATAAAACTAGTGTATATATGTAAATAGTATATATATATGTGTGTGTGTGTGTGTGTGTGTGTATATATATATAAAGAGAGAGAGACAGAGACAGAGACAGGGTCTTGCTCTGCTGTCCACACCTCAGTGCAGTGGTGCGATCACAGCTCACTAAGGCCTCAACCTCCCTGGCTCGAGTGATCCTCCTGTCTCAGCCTCCCAACTAGCTACAACTACAGACATGCATCACCAAGCTTGACTACATTTATTTTATTTTTTATGGAGATGGGGTCTCACTCTGTTGCCAAGGCTGGTCTCAAACTCCTGGCTTCAAGAAATCCTTCCACCTCGGCCTCCCAAAGTTCTGCGATTACAGGCGTGAGCTACTGCACCCGGCCTAAAAATATTTTAAAATTTCTCTTGAAGTTTCTTTTTTTTTCCTTTGTATTACAAGTGTGTTGTTCAGTCTTTTAAGTATTTTGGAATTTTTTTTTTTTAGCTGTTTGCTGTTGACTTTCAGTTTAATTCTATTTTGGTCTGAAAGCAGACATTCTATGATTTCTTTTAAATTTGTTCATGTGTGTTTTATGGACAAGAATGTGGTCTATCTTGATGAATATTCTGTCTGAGTTTATGAAGAATGTGTTGGCTGTTGCTGTATGAATTAGTGTGTAGATATAAGTTATATCCAGTTGAATTGTGATTTAGTTCAACTATGTTCTTATTGATTTTTTTGCCTGTTGGATCTATTTCTAATAAAGTGATGTTGAAGTTTTCAGCTATAATAGCGTATTCATCTGCTTCTCCTTATAGTTCTATTAGTTTTTGCCTCACGTTTTGCTGATTTGTTGTTAGATGCATACACGTTAAGGATTGTTCTGTCTTCTTAGACAATTTACCCTTTTATCATTATATAATACCCCTTTTGGTCTCTGAGAATTTTGCATGCTTGAAGTCTACTGTGTCTGGAATCAATATAGCTACTCCAGCTTTCTTTGGCTTAGTGTTAGCATTGTATGTCTCTCTTCATTTTTTTTACTTTTAAGCTATATTTGTTTTTGTTGGTAAAGTGGGTTTCTTGTAGGCAATATATAGTTAGGTCTTATTTTTTTTATTCATTCAATCTCTGTTCTTTAATTGGTGCATTTAGGCCGTTGATGTGTAAAGTGATTATTGATATAGTTGGATTAATATCTACGATATTTGTTACTGTTTTCTATTAGTCGCCTTTGTTCTTCATTCCCATTTCTTCTTCTCTTTCATGGCTTTAATTGAGCATTTTATGTTATTTTATTTTATCTCTTTTCTTAGACTGTTAAGTTTTTTGGGTTTTTTTGTTTGTTTGTTTTTCAGTTGTTACCCTAAGTTTTGCAATATATTTCTACTTTCAAATAGCCCTATTCACTTCACAGGTAGTGCAAGTACCTTATAATAAAAAAAATTCCTAAGTTATCCTTCTCATGTCCCTTGTATCATTTTTGTCATTCATTTCACTTGTCCGTAAACTATAGGTATCAAATACATTGTTGTTATTTTGAACAAGCTTTTGTTAGATCAGTTAAAAGTAGGAAAAATTAAAGTTTTTATCTTCTTTATTTCTTCTTTCTCTTTCTTTATATAGATCAAAATTTCTGACCTATATTTTCTTCTTTCTGAAGAACTTTAAACATTTCTTGCAAGGCAGGTCTACTGGCAACAAATTCCTTATTTTTATTTGAGAAAAATTTTCTCCTTCATTTTTGAAGGATGTTTTTGCAGGATATAAAATTATACATTGGTGGGTTTTTTTCTCTCAATAGTTTAAATATTTCGCTTCACTTTCTTTTTGCTCACATGGTTTCTGAGGAGAAGTTAACGTAATTCTTGCTCTTCTGTAAGTAAGGTGGTCCCCACCCCTCGACATATGACTTCTTAAAGGTTTTTTAAAAATCTTTGATTTTCTGCCTATGTGTAGCTTTTTGTTTGTTTGTTTGTTTTTACATTTATTCTGCTCAGTGTTCACTGGACTTCCTGGATGTGTATCTGACATTAATTTGGGGAAATTCTCAGTGAATGTTTCTTCAAATATTGGTTCTCTTCTTTCTTCTTTTGGTGTTGCTATTACACATGCTACACCTATTTGCTTCATAGTTCTTAGATATTTTGTTCTGTGTGGTTTTATTATTTTTTTTTTAAATCTAGTCCAGTATTTTGTTTTCATAAAGTTTTCCTTATCCTTGCTTTTCAGTTTTGGAAGTTTGTATATACATATCCGTAAGTGCAGAGATTCTTTCCTCAGCTGTTTCCGGTTGACTAATGAGCCCATCAGATGTAATCTCTATTTCTGTTACAGTGTTTTTGATCTCTAGCATTTCTTTTTTATAGCATTTCTTTTTGATTCTTGCTTAGAATTTCCATCACTCTGCTTACATTACTCATCTTTTCTTACTTGTTGTCTACTTTGTCCATTAGAATCCTTAACATATTAATCATAGTTTTTTAAAAATTCCTGGTCTGACACTTCTAGTGTTTCTGCCACATTTGACTTTGCTTTTGATGTGTACTCAATTTCTTCAAACTGTGTTATTTCTGTCTTCGTAGGCCTTGTAATCTTTCTTTGATAGCCAGACATGATATATGGGATAAAATGAATTGCAGTAAATGAGGCTTTAGTTATATAATGGTAAGGTGTTGGGGGGAGTATGGGAAGGAGTGTTCCATGGTCCTGTGATTAGGTCTGAGTCTTTTAGTGAGTCTATACCCTTGGACTGTGAACTTCACAATTTTCTCCCGTTAGGTGGGACAGGATGGCTAGATGGAGCTGGAGTTTTTTATTTTCATTCTCCCATGGGAAAGGCTAGAGAGGGCTGAAGTTGGGTATTTCTCTTCCTCTGGGTCAGTTGGTGTCTAATAAAACCTCAATAACATAAGCTCTGGGAAAAAATATTTTCTCTTGAGGAGCAGGCCTTTTTAAGAAGAGAATGCTCTAGTGTATTTCACAATGGGTACTTTTCCTTCCTCCTGCCAGAAGCACAGGGTAATTTTTCTCAGATCTTCACTGTGAGAAGCTGGTGTAGTTGCTGAAGATAAAACTCACAAATGTGTGAGGGACCCCGCTCTATGACTCTCAGACTTGTCAAACACTGAACCCCCAGCAGTTTGTTAATTGCATTTCCAGTTGTCCTACCCTGGCACTGGCTCTCATGGAGGTTTCTCTTTGTGGGTTTCCGCTCCAGAAAGTTGTGATTTTCTGTACCTGGGCTGTCTGTCTCTCCAATTTTGGGGGCAGTGATTTGCCCTGTGACCTTACTAATATGATGTATCTAAGAAGAGTTGGTTTTTCAGTTTGTTCAGCTTTTTACTTGCTGTTAGGACGGAGCGAAGACTTCCGAGCTCTTAACGTTCTGGACCAGAAATTGGAACAATGCTGTCCTTTTATTGTCTCTTCTCTACACTGCAGGCAGCCATGGTGTTTCTCAAAAACACAAATCTGATTAGGTCATGTCTCTAGTTGAAACATCCCATTAACTGTAGCATAAAATCCAAACTCCATGATTTGGATAACAAGGTCTTTGTTTTCAGCCTTGGTTTATTTTTCTGTACTATCTTTTATAATACATTTTCACTTTACTGTTATGCTGAGCCATTGTGCACTTTATCCAGTTTTTAGTATTCTGTGTTCTCTCTCTTTCCCTCCTTTCACCCTTTGCTTGCCTGATACCCACCAAGTTTTTAGGTTTTACCTTAGAAACCATCTTTCTTATGACAGCCCACCTTGACTCTCCTGAGACCTGTCCATATTACCTTCCTGAGTTTTTTCTGGTATAGAATCACAAGTGATTAGCAGAGTAGATACAATTAAAGGCCTCCGATGTAATTTATTGGCAGCCTGAAATATTTACTATGCTTGTAGTAATTATGAAAGACCTCCTAAAGCTTTTGCCAACTGTGTTTCTACTTGACAGTTAAACTCCCACGTGGAAAAGTTATATTATGGAGAATCTTTTGAAGGATGTTGATAGTGTTTGGCTCTGTGTCCCCACCCAACTCTCATGTCAAATTGTAATCCCCGTATGTTGGAGGAGACTCCTGGTGGGAGGTGATTGGATCATGGGGGCAGATTTCCCCCTTTCAGTTCTCATGATAGTGAGTGAGTTCTCATGAGATCTGATGATTTAAACGTGTGTGGCACTTCCCCCTTCGTGCTCTCTCTCTCTCTCCTCCTGCCATGTGAAGAAAGTCCTTGCTTCCTCTTCTCCTTCAGCCATAATTGTTAGTTTCCTGAGGTCTCCCGGTCATGCTTGCTGTTAAGTGGAACTGTGAATCAATTAAACCTGTACTCTTCATAAATTACCCAGTCTCAGTAGTTCTTTATAACAGTGTGAGAACGGTCTAATACAGATATAGAATCCATTTGTTTATAGTGTTCAATGTTTATTCTTACGTAGAGTCAAAAAAGCAAATTTGTGTACCGGCAGAGTAGCTACCTGCAAGAATTAGTGCCCAAAACAGTTCTCATTGACTTTGCAAGTACTCTTTGGTCCCATATATTTTAAATACTGGAGAAGACCATGTTAAATTAATAAATTAGCGTTGTGATTTGTATGACAACCTCATGTGCATTTGATTAGTGTGAGTTAGAGGCTATTCTCCTGTGGATACACTAAGTCAAATTTTTGAACTTATAAGTCTAAATACTTAACTAAATACTTTAACTTATAAGTCTAAATACTGTCATTTAGAGATGCTGATTACCTTATTATTAAATATATTACATGATGATTATACTGAGGTGTGTTTCTTTGTCACAGGTGCTAACAAAGTTATTGGGTGTGTATCTCCTTCTACTTTACGTCCTCTTCCACCCAAGTGCATCTAATTGAATTTACATGTTTAATACGCTTACAATGCTGTGTTACTCTATAATTGTCCACTCAGTTGTTTATTACATATTTATCAATTCCAAATAGGTCTTGGAGGAAATCCAAGCTATTGCTAATGAGAATTATTTTGCACATTTTGACTGTGTGATACAGGGTTTTGTTCATTAGTAGGATCTGTTGAGTTTACTTCTTTTTTTTTTCTTTTTTTGGGACAGAATCTCACTCTGTTGCCCAGGCTGGAGTGCAGTGGCGTGATCTCCGCCCACTGCAACCTCCACCTCCCAGGTTCAAGGTATTCTCATGCTGCGGCCTCCTGAGTAGCTGGGATTACATGTACATACTACCACACCTGACTAATTTTTTTATTTTTTTTAGTAGAGACGGGGTTTCGCCATGTTGGCCAGGCTGGTCTTGAACTCCTGGCCTCAAGTGACCCACCTGCCTCGGCCTCCCAAAGGTTTTACAGACGTGAGCCACTGCGCCTGGCCCGAGTTTATTTCTTAAAAACTTATATTTAGTAATTTTTTTGTGGTCAAAGGACATGAAGTTAGAGGATAGTGTGTTTAGAACTGGCTTTGTAATGGACTTGGTACGTAAACCAAAGGAAAAAAAACTAGCCTGCTTTCTTTGCCTGTTTCTCAAGAAATCGGGATTGTGGTGATTACCTACCTTCTGATGTGTTTTAAAAATATTCTTAATATTTATGAAGAAACATCAGAAATATCCTAGTTGCTGTGGATGCGTAATGAGTTTTTTATTTCACATAGACTTTAGGTTTCATGTGAGGAATGGGTTTGCATCTTACTCAGTTTTTTATTCTAATTTCTGTCAACATATTTACCATGTAGAATATAAACATTGATTGAACAATTCTCTATGTATTTGATGAACTATTTTAAATAATCTTATATCTTGTTTTCCAGTGCTTTTATTTCTGACATTTATTTAAATATTTTTGTTTTGGAATGAAAATGAACATGGTTGATGATAGAGGAAAATAAATGATTTGAATACAGTTTGTTTTGAGATATGATAATGCAGTAAATAAAGTCTCAAATGCATACTTCATATTTGAAAATAGACATGATTTCTCTTGTTATAGACTATAGAACCTTTAAAAATTAATAGATAATAGTATTTGAAGATAAGTAAAGATATTTTTTAAACCGTACTTTCAAAATCAGTTCTTTAGGTGCTGGGAATGTAGCCGATCGTGTTTTGGCTCAGCTCTTAACAGAAATGGATGGGATTGAACAGCTAAAGGATGTGACCATTTTGGCAGCTACTAACCGTCCAGATAGGATAGACAAGGTAAGAGAGAAGGCATTGTGGATATTATAAAATCAAGAACTGGCTTGTTTGATTTTATCAGGTTTTTGTTTTTGTCAAATTACTTTCTAATCAGTATTTCATTTAGAGGATATTGAAGAATGTAAAGCAGGTTCACTGTGGACTGGTTACCATCTTGTCTGAGTCTGGTAAGACAGAACATTCTTGCATACAAGTTATACAAAGCAAGTTTACCACTTCTGGATAGGCAGCAAGATACAACAGAAGCCTAGGATTCATTGCAAGCTAGTCTCTCAAGGTTCAGGAAAACTGCCCTGGGTGAATGGAATCTTGACTGCATATGCCCCACTTGCACTGCAGCTGAGGGCCTCTGGAAAGCACCCTGTTCCAGGTTTTATACACTGAGTATGTGAGACTCACTGGGCTAAAGTGTTGGAGGACATCCTGTTTTTAGGGGAGGACTGGAGTAGAACCTGGGCTGTTCCAGCCGGTCCCTCCCTGTCTCAGGATGTTGCATTTCCTGCACATGCTACAGTTATTCTTGAGAGCTACGATGGGAGAGAGAGAACTTGGTCATTCCAAGACCACCCAGAGAGCTGTCCTACAAAGGATCTTAAACTAAAGGAAATGAAGAGAACAAAGGAAAGCTTTTATTTACATTTTTATTGCTTATGATTCAGTATTAATGAAACTATTTCATAACTCTTCAATATCTACTCCCCAATCTTGTATCTTACTTTTAGCATATTTCTCTAGAGAATTGAAGTTTTGAAATTCTTTGTTTCATCTAATTTATTCTTCCAGAGTTTTCAACATTTTCATCTATACGAAGGTACATTCTAGCTATTTAGCAAGTACTAGTTAGACTCCAGTTGCCATCAACACAAGAACTTTGAAGAAGTACTGTCCTAATTGTTGTTTTTAAAGTAATTAGAATAAAAATAATGGATTCTTCTATTTTTTTAAGAAGTTAGTCAGGCTGTCACATTAAATTAAGTAGTATAGGTGCAAAACCAGTCCTTTTAAACTATTACTACCACTTTTTCCCTAGGTCATAATTTAATAAAGGAGTTCAGTAATTTAAGTTCCTCATCTATATCTAATATGTAATATTTTATAAGGATTTAAGTTGAGTAAACATTTGCTCTCAGAGCGTGAACCAGTTTCTCTTTTTTGTTGTTGCTGGCATTATTGCCTTGTGTATGACTTTATGAGCTACTTTCTTCCTGTGTACATATACACATTCTTTCAGTTTTAAAAGATGTGATTTTTAAAAAAGACCCCTTTGAATGTAACTATTATGTGGCAAGAAAGCCTTGCTTTGGTTAGGTATTTTGCTGTGTGATAAAGATCCTTTGGTAAAATTCAGGAAAGCTTTGGACCTTAAAAAATCATTCCCTTCCTGATGCAGTATTTTATTAGAAGATAGGTGAGTTCTGAGTATTTATAGAATCTGGGTTGGTGTTAAGGCATCTCTGAAGTCTATACAAAGTATAAGACTGTATCTTAACAAGGACTGTAGAAACTGCTGAAAGAGCCCTTAAAGTTTACCTAATTCTGCCTCTGGTTTCACAAATAAAGGGTGCTGAATCCAGAAAAATCTTTCTCCTGGTAAGAATTCATTGTATTTTTATGATATTTATTTCCTGGTTTCCCTGTGGTTAATAAGCTCTAAAATGTCTTAGGATTTTTGTCACTACGGCTTAATCTAATAGTAGCCTTCTTTGGCTTCCTAATGTTGGGTGTCCTCGATATTAGATATATTTCTTGAAGTAGGATGTAAGGCTTACAGTAAACTTAACTGCATTTTTCTAAATCAAGCTGTCTGACTTGGCCTGTTTAGTGCTTGTATTGTTGTTTTCTTTCTGTGTAACAAATTACCACAAATTTAGCAGCTTCGCACCCATTTGTTAGTTCACATTTCTTAGGTTAGAATGTGGGCACAGCATGACTAGTTTGTCTGCTCAGGATTTAAACTAAAGACTGAAAACACAGTGTTGGCTAGACTGCATTCGCATTAGGAGCTCATGTTTCTAAACTCACATGATTGTGGCACAGCTCACTTGTGATTGGGGCTGAGAACTAAAGACTGAATTTCCTTACTTGATGTCAGCTAGGAGCCACTCCCAGCTCCTAGAGACTACCCACATTCCTTGCCACACAGCCCCCTCCTCCATCAGAAACAGCAATGGAAAACTCCATTATGTTTTATCCCTGTCACACTTCAAATTTCCTTTGCCAGGAAATTTGTCCCTTTGGAGGGCTCATCTAATGAGGTTAGCCTTATTGAGGAAAAATCTCTGGACCTTGAAGTCAGTTGATTAAGGATCCTGCAAAAGCCCTTCGCAGTAGCACCTAGATTAGCATTTGATTGAATAAGTGGGAGAAGATATGTTTCTATCAGGGTGATACAGGACAGGCCAGCCCCAGAATTGGGACATAGCCTAGGAGGGTTCTTTGCTACCCCCAGGAAAGAATTCAAGAACTTGCTGGGGGTGTTAGACAGCAATCTTTTATTGATTGGTACTGCCCGTTGTGGTGCAGGGCTAACTCATAAGCAGTGCACCCAGAGTTGGCAAGGTGTGGGCTTTTGGCAACTGTATTTATACTCACTTATGCCCACTTTCATTTACATGCAAATTAAAGGGTGAGTTAACACAAATTGATTCTATGAAAGGGTAACTTCTGGGTCACTGCCATGGAAACGGGTGGTAACTTTTGAGTCATTGCCATGACATTTGTCAACTGCCATGGTTCTGGTGGCAGTGTCTTAGGCCAATGAGCATTGAGCGCAGCTAGAGATCGCTTTTGTTGCCATCTGCTGGCTTTGGCCAGTTTCTTCACTTTGCCCCATGTGGACTAGATCCTGTTTTGTTCAGCAGAGTTTTTCACCAGAAAACAAGTCTTGTTGGTCTCCTACCTTATTCCCCCCTCAGAGATTAGAAACTCCTCCTTAATCTTAAAGGGCTGCAGATGGGCACAGGTCTATCTTCTGTAAGTGCTTTCTGCTGATTTTATAAACATAGGCTCTGCCTAGCATGGGAGGAGTAAAAATCTCTGGATACCTGATCTAAGGAGCCCAACAGCAGGATATTTTCATTTTCTGGGTCAGAAGATAAGATGAGTTGGAAGCCTTGTGCCAGCATCATCTTTATGTTGACTTTAGAAGATACAAACTTTAGTAGGAGGTTAAACAAGAAAATTACAATTATAAGGAAGAGAAAACTTAATGCTCCTATGCCCACCCACAGCATCACATTATTTATCTGTGTGTTTGTGAAATAATAGCTTTAAGTCTTCTAGAGGTTTGTAAGTTATGGTGTCTTCCTCTTATGCCTGCAGCGACTTACAAGAAACAGGTTTAATCCTGGACAGCTGTATCCAGCTAGTGATTCTCTAATGTTTGACAGCAGTGGAGGTCCTTAACAATACCTGATAGGGGTCCTTCCATTTTGGGTTGTAATTGATCATCAGGGGATCTTTCTTTTTAAGTTCTTAGTAAGACTAAGTCTGGTTAAACAGAGGAACTATTTTTTTCTTTGTGGGAAACGGCAACACTTTATTTTCATAATTTTGAAAGGCCTTTTGAACCTGGCCTAAATTCCAAGAGCCGGGGTGGCATAGTGAAGTCTGTCCAACCCCCTATTTCCCATCATGGCTTGAATTAGTTTTTTAGGTTTCTGTAGGATTTCCTTTGGCCGGGGAACGTGTAAGTCAAAAGACTTATAGCCAATTAAACATTTTAGGCCAGAGAGGAATGGAGGTGGCTTAAAACATTTTAAGCAATATAGGAGTCAAATATTAAAAGCCAAAAATAAGATTATATATCAAGAAAAACCAAGAGCATCAAATCAAGCTATACTGGGGGAAAAGTGTTCCTGTAGATCTCTAAGGCAAAACACTCTAGTATCAGGCCATAACAGCAGTCAGAACCAGAGGAGAAACAAGTTACAGGAGCTGACAAAAAAGCTAAAGGAAAGAGTTACACAAATCTGAGAAGCTTTCAAAAGAAATAAATCACAGAATTGAAAAAGCAAAAATTCTGGTAAGTTAGCAAATTAATACCTTAAGAAAAGCTGGCTCTAACACCTAGACCATTTTCTAGAAAGTCTACCACGAACAGTTTTCCTTCAGTCACAGCCAGCTTAATCACACACAAAACTCCCCTCACAAATTCCCTTTCACAAACCCCATTATCACCCACACAGACCATCCATGACATGTCTGGACCTTGTGACCTGTCCTACACCATCTCCCTCTCAAACAACCAGTTACTTTACTCTAGGACAAGAATCCACCATGCAAGGTCCCTCATACAAAATCACTTTCTTTATATCCCTCCCCACAAAAAAAAAAAAATATATATATATATATATATATATGTGTGTGTGTGTGTGTATATATATATATATATATCTTTTATCCACACTTTCCTCACATCCCTCTTTTTATTCATTGATTCCCTCTTATTTTGAACCATGGCCTAAATGTGCTGTATATATTCTGTAGTTATGGTGGGGAAAGTGCCTTCAGTATTTAGTGATAATTATAAAAAAGTTTAATATTTAATTCATTTCTCTTTCAGGTAGAACTCCCTGTGGAACATGAATTTTTTTTAACTATACTTTTGTTACTACTCAGATGATATATACTGTATCAAAAGTGTATGTCCTTGTCAAGTTCTCTAAAGTTTGTGAAATACAAGAGAATATGCAGTAAAATTTTAAGTCTGTTTCCTTTCCAGATACTTTTTCTCTGAAGAACTACTGTGGAACATTACTTATATTGTTTAATAGTACTATAAAGTTGTTTCCACACTTGTATGATTAGCACGTAATGTTCAAACTGTGCCATGAATGTGCTGGTAGAAACAAAACAGTTTTAAGGACAATTAAAACAACAACATCCTGTTATGAAGTAAAGACACAGTTTTTACCATCTTTATTGTCTGGAAGAAACTGTAGTAGGAATAAAAGAGGCGACGAAGAGTTAAAGTACATTTTATGTTTTTAGGCTAAAACTGATTAAAAAAAAAGATCATTGTAGGGTCAAAGAAATTGATATATATAGTGTAATTTTGGCTACATTAAATCCAGGCATTTGGCCTTTTAAATTAGCTAGCATATTTTACAATCTTGTTGCCTCTTACCCCACAACCTCTATGTTATGATGATTTTAGGTTAGTATGTTAAAACAAGGAGAATTCCTGGACTGTCACAGGAGTGAAATTGATATCATTATGTTACCCATGTGTTGTGCATATTTAGTGTCTCTTTTTGACAGTATTTCAGTTTCATGTCTTCTGGGGAGACTAAAGCCAAAGTTTCTTGGGGATTCTGGTGTTTTAGCAAAGACAGTGAGACACATAGCTCAAGAACTGCGTTATTTTACTCCTTGCTATGTCACATTTACATGTCAGACTCATTTGCTGTGATGTAGCACACTAGGCTGGTGAAATAATTGCTTGTGATGTCCCTAAGTCCCCGAGGCTTTTTTCTACCTCCTGCTTAGATAGTGAAGAGAAGTTGAAGTTGAGTCCTCTAGTGTTCATTTTGCGTAAGAGTGATAGGATGCGGTAGGACAGATGAAGATTAATGAGATTGTGTGATATCAAGTAGGCTCATTGTCTTTAGATTGATTGCTGATGGTCTGGATTTGCTTAGCATCAGGAGAGTTTAGAAACAAACAACTAATTTATTAATGATGCCCAAATAATAGTTAAATGCCCAAACTTTTGGAATTTATGTTGTTCATTGTTAACAACTGCTGTGTGGCCCCTTTAGAAGTGTCCAGTCCATGACATTTTATACATTTGTGTTGAATCTTAAGGAAAACATGATCATGTCTTCTTTCTCGGGTGATAAGCATGCCTCAAAATAGTTTTAATTCTGTGAATATCTTTGAATTCAGTTTATTTGGGTACTTTTAGTACGGATACCTACTATATAACAAGCTCCTAATAAGAACTATTAAATTATAAGCATTATCCCTAGCGTATAAACCTAGTTTTCTTGTAGTAGGAAATTTGAAGGACTTCAAAAATTTTACTTTAAGCCATCTATGGAAAAGATTGCCCAATTGAGAAAAATTGTGAAAGATATGTAGAAGTCTTAAATAATTTTGGTTTCAGGATTATTTTCTATTGTTGTGTTAGACTCATGGAGGTAGTAAATTGGCATTAATTTTCCTTACAGTTTTTCTGGAAGAGGAAATGTGCTTAATGAGCTAAATAAGACATAACATTTTGTTTTCTTACATTGTTGCAAATTGAAGTTGGGTTTTGTTGTTTGTTTGTTTTGAGATGCAGGTCTGGCTGTTTTGCCAGGCTGAAGTGCAGTGTCTATTCACAGATCATTAAGTTGTGCAGCCTTAAACCTTTGGACTCAAGCAATCTCCTGCCTCAGCCTCCCAAGTAGCTAAGATTATAGGTGTGCACCACAGCATCCAGCTTAAAATTTAGTTTTCTAGAAAGTTTTATGACATGGGGAAAAGTTAATTAACAATATTTAGGAATGTCCACAAATAAAAAGCTAAATATACGTATCTTTCGATATTCAAATGACTAGTATTCCAAAAATACCCTCAGAAGAAAGGCTACAAATGTTTCTTCATTCTCCATTTTTCCTAGTTATAACTATTGCTCTTCTAATATTACTCTTCTTAGCTAAGTCAGAACTAAAAAAAAAAAGCTGCAAGGACTAATTGACATTAATAGTTCAAATGAATCATAATTCTTTACTTTCCCAAAAGTATTTAAGGAATGGATGCCTATTAATCTTTCACATTGTTTATCAAAATGATGTGAATAGTCTTTGGTGAGCCATATTAAGATTAAAGCTGGAAAGCGTCCTGTACGGTTGTTTTCCAATTTCAGCTTTGCCATCTTTACACAAGACTCTCATAAGTGTTTTTGTTATTGTTGCTGGATTCTTCTTTTGTTTGTTTTTAAAACTCCAGGTGTTTTAACTTCTATGACAGTTATTATTCTTATCTTCTATGGCAGCCCCTTCCAAGTTTTGGCTTTGGGGATAGAGAATTGGGAGAGATCAGAGAAGAGAGACTGGTGAGAGGTTGTATGCATATGTGGGTCTTACTTCATTTCGATGTTCATAAGATAAAGACGCTTTATCTCAAGGGTTGGCAGACCATGGCCTTTAGGCCAAACGTGACCCACCAACTGGTTTTGCATATCCCATTGTCTAAGAATAGTGTTTACATATTTAAATGATTAGGAAAATACTTTAAAAGTGGTTTTTTGTGACATATGAAAATTATATGAAATTCAGCTTTCAGTCCTCATAAATAAAGCTTTATTAGAACACATCCACACTAATTTGATTATGTTTTGTCTGTTACTCCTTTTGCACTACTGTAGTAGAGTAGTTACAGTACAGACTTATGGCCTATAAAGCCTAAATTATATACTCTAGACCTTTGCAGAAAAAGTTTCCTGACTCTTGATTTGTCCTTGTAAGTTTTTAGAAGATTAGTAGCCTTTAATGTCTGTTGTTCATATATGAACCTCACGTTTTTGTTTCTTTTTAAAAAAGATTATTTTAATTGACATAAAAATTGTATCTGTTTATAGAGTACAACATGTTGTTTTGATAATTGTGTATTCATTGTGGAATGGCTAGATCAAGCTATTTAACATGTGCATTACTTCACATACTTCTTATTTTTTTGTGATGAGGACACTTAAAACCAACTCTCTTAGTAATTTTTAAGTATACAATATATTGTTAACGATAGTCACCCTACAGTACAATAGACCTCTTGAACTTATTTCTCCTGTTTAACTGAAGGTTTGTATCCTTTGACCAATATCTTCCCAACTCCCTTAGACCTCCAGGCCCTGATAACCACCATTCTACTTTCTGCTTTTGTGAGTTCAACTTTTTAAGACTCCACATATAAGCAAGATCATGCACTATTTGCCTTTCTTTGTCTGGCTTATTTCACTTAGCATAATGTCCTCCAGGTTGATCCATATTGTCACAAATGACAGGATTTCCTTTTAATAAAGGTTGAATAGGATTACCTTCTGTATACATACCACATTTTCTTTATCCGCTTATTCTTCGATGCATACTTAGGTTGATTCCATGACTTGGATATTGTGAATAATGCTGCAGTGAACATGGAGTGCAGATGTCTCTTGGACATACTGATTTCATTTCCTTTGGATATATACTCAATAGTGGAATTGCTGGATCATAAGATAGTTTTATTTTAAATTTTTTAGGAACTTCCACACTATTTTCTCTAATATCTGAAGTAATTTATGTTCCTACCAACAGTGTACAAGGGGTCTCTTTTCTCCACATCCTCACCAACATTTATCTTTCATGTTTTTGACAATAGCTATTCTAACAGGTATGAAATGGTATCTCATTGTGGTTTTCATTGGCATTTCTCTGATGATTAGTGATGTTGAGCACTTAAAAAATATACCTGTTGGCTATTTGTATGTCTTCTGAGAAATGTCTATTCAGGTCTTTTGCCCATTTTTTAATCAGGTCATTTGTTGCTGTTGAGTTCCTTATAAATTTTGGTATTTTAGATTTTAACACCTTATCAGGTTTGGTTTACAAACATATTCTCTCATTTTATAGGTTGTCTCTTCACTATGTTGAATGTTTCCTTTGCTGTGCAGAGGCTTTTTAGCTTCATGTAATCCCATTAGTCTATTTTTTCTTTTGTTGTCTGTGCTTTTGAGGTCATGTTCAAAAAATTATTGTCCAGGCCAGTGTCATGGAACATTTTCCCTATAACTTCTTTCAGTAGTTTTTCAGTTTTAGCTCTTTATTCGTCTTTAATTCATTTTGAGTTGAATGAGCCACAGAGTTTTTTTTTTTAAAGATTGTTTAAAATGTTTAACACGTACGTTTTCTGAAGATACATTATAAGTCGTATTTGAGTAAAAAATATAATACTGAACTTAAATAATAGTAGGGAGGCTGAATTAACTTATTTCAAGCATACACCATCCCCTCTTGAAAGCTCTCTTAATCTTTAATTTTTTAAAATACATTTTCTTCCACTAAATACTTATTTTTTCCAACTGACTCCCGAAAACTCATAAATCTACAATTGTTATTACATGAGTAATGTAAATATTTATTCATGCCACCTGAATCTTAAAGTTCCATTGGTTATTAGCTTTTTGTAGTTATGAGTTGTATGCCCTTTTTAGTATTTAGCAACATTGGGATTTTCAGGCTTAGATTTCTAAATTTTGAAAGATTCTGTGTTTAGATATATTTGTTTAGTAAATAATATTTGATGTTGTCAACGTGAATTGAAGTATGTTTAATATTAGAGAAAGTAATACCATAATAAAATACATGTTGCTGTCAATACCCAAGGTCTAAAAGAAATTTGGTTTTTCAAGACTGGAGAGGACATAGAAGGCTCCATGGTCTAGATGACCCATCTGATACACTGACACCTGTTGTAAAATCCCAACCCATCATTTCTTCATCCTTTGCTTATTCACCCACACTGATGGGGAACTATTAATTCACGAAATAGACCATTTCATTTTTGTGTCAGACTATTAAGAAGTTCTTTAATCCGATGAACAAGCAGCTGTTTGTCTCCCTAAACCCTCTATACCTCTACCTGATTTTATTCCAAAGTCTGTAAAGAACAGTTTTTAATCCTTCTTCTATATGGTGTTCCTTTATTTTTTAAAACTGTTAGTTATCTTGTCTTTACACTTTATCTCACTAACCAGTCTTTTGTTTTTCAGGCTTGACATTTTGGATTATTTCATATGCCATTGTTTTTCCGTCTAAAGCATTCTCATCTTTTTCTTGTGAACTATTTGTCCTTTTTGCTCTGAAGTTGTAACATCCACCAACAAATATATATTGATTGGTTGTGTTCTATCAGTACACAACTTAGTGAGACTCCTGCTGCCTCTACCCTGAATACCTTGCTTCTCCTAATGCATTCCAGGATTTTGTTAGCTTTGTTGTCAGCTGCACATTGAGATTGCTATTGAATAAAGTCATCAGGAACAACAACAAAGGTGAAAAGCCCAGGTCTTTCTTCAAAGTCTGCTAAATAATAGTTTTCACGCCTTGGGCTTGTGCAGTTAATTTGATTTAAGTTTCAGCAACTGAGGCACAATATATACCAGATATAGAAGTTATCCTCCAAAATTAGCTCCTCTAAGTTTCTCCTACTTTTCACATGATTCCCAGATATTCTTTTCTTTAAGTCCAAGTGATTTCCCAATTATTTCCATGGCTATGGCTACAAAGGCTTTAGGCCATAGGAATAGAGGAATTTATTCTTACTAAATTCATCTTATTAGATTTGATTAATCTTCCCAACTTGTCAACTGTGGGATCTTGTTTCTGTCATTCTCTATGTATTTCTTTATTCATTGATAGCAAAGGCACTATATATCTTAAATACCAAGAAGAATTTATATAGCTTTCTTTTTGAAAAATTGTTTAAAGTATCTAGTTCAAGATCCCCAATCTAGGTGAACTTCATGGAACATTTAATTGACATGGAGATAATTAGGGGATGTTCTGAAGAGTTACCAAAGAGAACTCCTAAAGAGAAACTAGATGGTTGAGATTATTTATGGAGGAAGAACAGATGAAAGTAAAATTCTGCTATTAAGAATACTATCTGGGTAAAGAAATGCTTTCTGCTTTCTTTGGTGGAAATAGATAAGAGTGAGCAGACTTATATTCATTCATTGAAATTCAGATAAATTCATAACCAAAGTTTTATTATATATATACTGATAAGGTGAAGAGTTCAACACTAATCTAGTTTGAACTCCATAGATATTTAAAACCAGCTATTTTAATTTCTTTTAGCTTTAAGACAATGCTGAAATATGTACTTAATTTTCTGAATACTTTGCTCTTTATAGTTGCCGTTTCATGAATTTGTGATATTAGACTTATTGTATGAGGAGTTTTGTATTTTTCTTCTTTGAACTTTTTGCTTATAGTGCTTTGGGCACAGACCTTCCCAAACCTTAGTATTTCTGGATGAATTTTTTGAGAGTGCACAACATTGGAAAGGAGCTTTTGCATAATGCCAGCAATGTAGCTGAGGAAATGGGTCTGGAGGAAAATGAGATTTGACACCTGTAACAGAGGATAAATATGATAGGGGCCAGAGTGCCTTATACAGAGTGTGATAGGAAAGCTCAAAACTAACAGAAACAAGCAATGGAAGAGTAAAGGCAGACAGATGGTTGCAGAGATCTTAGTTTCTGATGCTAGCTGTGTTATTAACAGACTGTGTATTATTTGAAATAATTTATCCTCACTGAGCATCTGTTTCTGTACCTGTGAAAAATGTACTAGATAATCTTTGATATATCATTCAAGCTCTACAATTATCTTCTTTTGTGACACAGAGACAGACAAGAATAGAGATTATCAATGTTATATAAAAGGATGTTACTTACCAAACAAGTTTCTGAGGTTTTTGTTTTTTGTTTTCTGTTTTGTTTCTTTTTAGGTACCACCTTCCCAGACTTTCTTGTTACTGTAACGTTTATTTCTTCAAACAGATCATAAAGCAAGCAGATATTATCCAGGTGTGCAAAAGTGATTAACCATGTGATTTTCAGAAAAAAAAAAAAAAAAAGAAAAAGCAATCAATCAGCCTTTAAGGCTGTTGTTGTGTAATAAAAACCTTGCTTGACAGTTGAAGTACACCTTAACTTTTTCATTTAAAATTTATTACTCTTTGAAAAAGGAGAACTTGTTGAGCAGCATATTTTCTTTTTTCACAGATGTCTGATTAGCCTGCAATATTTTGGTTCTATTTAATATACTTTTAACTATTTTTTAATGAATATGAATGTAAAAATAATGTTGAGTTAGAATAGAAATATCTAACTGTATGATTAAAGTTGAATCACTTATAAATTTGAAAAAGCTTCTTGTCTTCTATTGTTAATGCTCCTAGAATCTCATGTTTGAGAACGAATGTTCAGTGTAGCCAAAACCTAAATCTGGGACTATATGTTGAATGTTTTAAAGTCACTAGTAGAAGGGCAATTTGGTGGCTAATTTTAAAGTACATAAAGAGTATTAACAATAATGAAGTGTCATTTTGTTCCTGGCATTCTGTGTGTGTGTGTGTGTGTGTGTGTGTGTGTGTGTGTGTGGTGTCAAAAAAGTATCTGAAGGGGCCTGTAATAGAAAACCTAGTTCCTTTATGATATACACAATCTAGCTTGAAATTTTAATGCATTAAATTCATAAAACATGAAGAGTTTAAGCTTTGCAACACTTAATTGACACATGCGTCAGAATAAGTTTGGAAAAAAATGAACCTTCATACATTTTGACTTCTCTGTTTTCTATTTGATAACTTTGGTATTGCAGTTACTCTTTTTTGACACAAGATGGTGATGTTCACCTGAAATGTTTCCTGAGTACAGGCTCTACTGCGTTTAGAGGCTCCCCCTTATTTATCCAAAGAGCAGCTTAAAGAAATGAATGAAACTGGCTTTGCTTTAAGAGATAATAGTTGAAGAAAAGCAAGAGAGTGTGTCCTCTTTTATAACTGATTTAACAAATAATGATTCAAATTTAAGTGTGGGTTTGTGTGAGTTGAGGACTGGGGAGCGGAGAGCACTGGGAAAAAGGAAAGTTGAACAGTGGAGAATTAGCAGTCATTAGGTATGCAGTATGCATTAAGTCTATGCTATGTGTTTTACATATGATGTCTAGTTAATTTTAGTCAAATATGAGCACTTTACATGTATTTTACACAATACTAGTGCATTCCTTGTTTAATTGTGCAAGTTTAGAAGTACGGTGTGTGTTTGTTCTTTCTTAAAAAAATTATGACGTATCATCAGCCAGTGTAGTAGCTTTATTCATAATTTAAGTGATACTGTTTCATTTTTAAAAATACACAAGTTTCTTACATATAGTTAAATATATATTTAACATAGTATCCGACAATCTCAGTCCTAGGTATTTACCCAAGAAAAATGAATAAATTGTCCAGCAAAGACCTGTTTGTAATGTTTATAGCAACTTTATTTATAACACCTAAACAACCCAAATGTCTACCTACGTGAATGAATAAATAAGTTGCAACATGTCCATACAGTGAAATACTACTCAGTCATGAAAAGGAACAAATTATTGATATATGCAAAGATGGATAAATTTCAAAAGCATTATGCTAAGTAAAAATAGTCAGATATAAAAGACTATACACTATACTGACATTGTGAGGATTGCAGGGACAGAAATCAGTTCGGGGATCTGAGGGAGGAAATTTCACCACAGAGCAGCAATGGGAAACTTTTTGGAATGATGTAGATATTCTATATCTTGGCTGTAGTGGTGATTACAGGACTGCATATACAGGGATACCTCGTTATATTGTGGTTTATTGCACTTTGCAAGTAGTGTATTTTTTATAAATTGAGTATTTGTGGTAACCCTGCAAGTCCATTGGTGCCATTTTTCCAACAGCATATTCTCACTTCACATTTTGGTGATTTTTGTAATATTTCAATCTTCCTCATTATTATTATTATGTTATCTTGATCTGAGATCAGTGATATTTAACATTATTATTGTAATTGTTTTAGGACACCATAAACCACACCCATGTAAGACAGCAAACCTAATAAATAAACGTTTTGTGTTCTGGTTGCTCCAACAGCCAGCCATTTTTCTGTCTCTTTTCCTCTCTTTGGGCCTCCCTACTCCCTGAGACACAACAGTACTGAAATTATGCCAAAGAATAACCCTACAATGATTTCCAGATGTTCAGATTAAAGGTAGAGTCTCACATCTGTCACATTAATCAAATGCTAGAAATGATTAAGTTTCATGAGAATGGCATGTCAAAAGCTGAGAGAGGCCAAAAGCTAGGCCTCTTTCACCAAATGTTTAGCCAAGTTGTAAATGCTAAGGAAAAGTTCTTGAAGGAAATTAAAAGTGCTACTTCAGTGAACACATGAATGATAAGAAAGCAAAACAGCCTTATTACTGATATGGAGAAAGTTTTAGTGATCTGGATAGAAGATCAAACCAACTACAGCATTCTCTTAAGCCAAAGCCTAATCCAGAGCAAAGCCCTAATGCTCTTCAATTCTGTGAAGGCGGAGAAAGGTCAGGAAGCTGCAGAAGAAAAGTTGGCAGCTAGCAGAACTTGGGTCATTAAGTTTAAGGAAAGAAGCTATCTGCATAACATAAAAATGTAAAGTGAAGCAGCAAGTGCTGATGTAGAAGCCGTAGCCAGTTATACAGAAAATCTAGCTAAGATAATTAATGAAGGTGGTTAACTAAACAACAGATTTTTAATGTAGCAAAAACAGCCTTATATTAGAAGAAGATGGTAATCTAGGACTTTCATAGCTAGAGAAGAGAAATTAATGCCTGGCTTCACGCTTCAAAGGATAGGGTGACTCTGTTGTTAGGGGCTAATGCAGCTGGTGACTACGTGGAAGCCAGTGCTCATTTACCATTCTGAAAATCCTAGGGTTCTGAACAGTTATGTTAAGTCTACTCTGCCTGTGCTCGATCAATGGAAAAACAAAGCCTGGTTGACAGCACATCTGTTTACGGCACAGTTTTCTCAATATTTGAAGCTCACTGTCGATACCTATTGCTGAGGAAAAAAAAAGATTCCTTTTGAGATGTTACTGTTCATTGACAATGCACATGGTTACTCAAGGCTCTGATGGAAATGCACAAGGAGAATTAATGTTTTTGTGTCTGCTAAAACAGTATCTATTCTGCAGCCTATGGATGAAGGAGTAATATTGACTTTCAAGTCTTATGATATAAGAAATACGTTTCTTAAGGCTATTGCTGCTGTAATAGTAGATATGGGCAAAGTAAACCTCCTTGAAAGGAGTCACCATTCTAGATGCCATGAAGATCATTCATGATTTATGGGAGGAGGTGAAAATACGTCAACTTTAACAGGAGTCTAGAAGAAGTTGATTCCAGCCCTCAGGGATAATTTTGAGGGCTTCAAGACATCAGTGGAGGAAGTAACTACAGATAAGGTAGATACAGCAAAAGAGCTAGAATTAGAAGTGGAGTGTGAAGTTGGGACTGAATTGCTGCAATCTCATGAACAAATTAGAATGGATGAGGAGTTATTTCTTATGGCTGAGCAAATAAAGTGATTTCTTGAGATGGAATCTACTGGTGAAGATGCTGTGAATATTGTTGAAATGGTAACTGAGGATTTAGTATATCGTGTAAGTTTAGTTGTTAAAACAGCAGGGTTTGAGAGGATTGACTCCATCTTTAAAAGAAGTTCTACTGTGGTTTACCCTATCAAATAGCATTACATGCTACAAAGATATCTTTCATGAAAGGAAGAGTCAGTCGATGTGGCATACTTTATTGTTGTCTTTTTTTTTAGAAATTGCCACAGCCACCCCAGCCTGCAGCAACTACCACCCTGATCAGTTAGCTGTCATCAACATCAAGGCAAGACTTTCCACCAGCAAAAAGATTATAACTTGCTGAAGGCTTAGATAATCATTTGCATTTTTAGCAATAAAGGATTTTTAAATTAAGGTATATATATTTTTCCCCCATACATATTGGTATTGCATACTTAGTAGACTATCATATACTGTAAACATAGCTTTTATATATATTGGTAAATTAGAAATTCTTGTCACTTGCTTTATTGTGATATTAGCTTTATTGCAATATTAGCTTTATTGTAGTGGTCTGGAACTGAACCTGCAGTATCTTGGAGGTATGCCTGTATTTGTCAGAACCCTTCTAGCTGTAAAAGTAAAGAGATTGAATTTTACAATATGTGGGGTATACCCAAACCACCCTAAAAAAAATTGTTTAATTCGGAACACAAAGGAAAATGTCAGCTTTATACTTCAGCAACAGTTTCTTTTCACTTGGAGGTAAGGCCTCCTGCTTCTCCGCTCTTTTACCAACCTTTGACTATCTTTTACAACCCATTTACACAGACCTGCATTGTTATTGCCTCAGTGGGCTCAGAACTACCTCAGCAAAGAAGGGGACTTGGAGTGTTGCTTCACCAGCTGGAAACCTCCATGGCCAGTGGCTCCTTCTGCCTGAGTACTGCTCGCACCCACTGAGCTTGTTCTGCCCACTCAGCCCAGCAGGCTGCACTCTGCTCGTGCTACTGGCCTTAATCCCACACCTGCCAAGGGCGAGCGAGGCGTGGAGCGGTGAGGGTTGTGTGGGCAAGTGAGCCCAGGTTCCTGCCACTATGCACAGTCAGGCACACAAGCTGCTGCATGGGGTGGGCAGCTCCACACACTGATAACAGGTGCTGGCTCCATGCAAGGCTGTGGCTGGACCAGATGTACTGCACACATCTTCCACTCTGTGCACCCGTGACTGGACGAGGGGAACACAGTGGTGCCCAGAAGCTTGGAGAAGCCAGGAACCAGAGCCCCAAAGAGGGTGTCACAGCCCTGCCTCAGGGAGCCCCTAGGTCTGGGCTCCCCAGAGGGCTGCAACTCTTCTCCTTCTCATCACCCTCAATGTGGCAAGTCAGGGTTGGGGGTGTTTTTCAGCTTTGTTTGTGTTACTGCTCTTTCAGTCCCTCCATTTGGTGGGTCCTGAGTTCTTGTCCCGTGTCCAGGACCAGTGAGGTATGTGGACAACTGGAGGGTGAGCAAGGTGGAAAGGACTTTAATTGAACAACAGAACAGCTCTCAGGAGACCCAACATAGGTAGCTCCTTTCTGCAGCTAGTAGTCCTGAAGTCTCTCCAAGTCTGGCTGAGTCCAGGGGATTTTATGGGCTCAGAAGGGACAGAGTGCATGCTGATTGGTCCATGGGTGGCCATGGGCAGGCCCAGTGAAAGCACCCTAAGTTCTCACTCTGGGCCGAGGTCTCCACATGGAACTGGCAGCCCAGCCCCCAGGCTTCAGGCTGTCCATGTCTTGAAGGTGGGGTTTCACCAGGGACCCACCCCTTTGCACCCAGGAGCCTGTCTGCCTTCTGTCACCAGGAATGTGCCATCCATGGCCCCCAGGCTGTTTGTGCCAAGGAGTGCCTGAAGCCCTATGGCAAACCACCCTCAGCCCTCCTCAGCCTCCCTCCCATGCTCACCAGTGCCCAAAGTCCAGAGGGGTTCAAGGTGGCTGGGGGCTGGCATCTCAGTGTCTCCCTGAGCACAGGCACACCCAGTTGAGTTGTGACAGCACCCAGGCTTGGCCACAACTTTGCTCTGCCCAGAGCCTGCGCCACAATCGGAGTGGCCAGGGAGCAGGAGCAGTCACTTCTGAGCCTGCAGGGGCAGGAGGGCTTCCCAGGCCCCCAAGAACACAAGGATGCCTGGGTGCAGAGTCACGGCTGGACAACTGCAGTGAGCCCCGCCCTCCCAACTCAGTAGGGGCCAGGGCTCCTGCCCGTTCGCAGCCTTGACGGCTTGGCAGAGCTTGCAACTCTAGCCGCACCTACCCAGTGCAGCGGGCGTCCTCACAGCCGCGCTCCAGACGGGCCGCTGCTGCCATCATTACTCCCAAGTTTCGGGTCAGAAATAAGTAGAATTTTAGTGCTGGAGAGATTCTTAGAGAATTTGATTTCTTAATAAAAATTTGGCTAACTAGATATTTTACATGTAAATCTTTTAGAGAATTTATTCAGCAACAAAAATCAGTTATGTGTGTATTGACAGTTTCTAATCTAATTTTCATAAATATAACTAAAATTATGAAAATGTACTTAAAAAAAAAAGCTAGATTATACTCCTGTCTCCTAGAAGGGACAGTGCAGGTAAACCAGACCAGTGCCTTGTATCAATAATTATGTTTCATACCAAGTAATAATGTTTACCTTTTTGTTATGCCAGTACAATTTATGGCCTAAAAGTTACATGTTGTTTCTGTTTACATCAAGATATTTGATGACAGACTTAGTCAGAGGTATGTTTTGTTATGAAAAAGACAATGATAAGCCAGTTGTAAAACGAGTGCCTTTTGGAAATCTTGATTCCGGAACTTTTTTTTTTGTATTAGAGTACAAAAAAGAATATTTGTCATAGGATTTTATAAAAGTATAGTATATTCTATCTAAGTAGAAAGTTGAAGAAAATAGAATGCTAATGTTGGAGAAGGTGAGCAAAATTATATTTTTATGAATGTTTAGGATATTTTGGGAATTTCTAAGAGTTCAGCCTCTTTAATTCTATAGTTTGGGGCTTAACGCATTTTTTTTTAAATATGTGTGTTTTTTTAGAGGCTAGTAGAGGCCTGACATTTTGAGTTTAACAACTTTATAAGGTTTATTCTTAAATTCTGTATCAGACTTAATGTCTTTGAATTGTGTATTTAATAATTTGATGTCCTTTTGCTACTGCATTTATAAACCAGAATTCAGTCTTTGATGATTGCATTATATTACTAAGTGATTTGGGTAAAGACAGAGGGGAAAAAGAGAAAGAGGGAAGATGGAGGAGGGTAGAGGGAGGTTGAAGTGGTATATGTGTGTCGGTTGTTGTATTTATGTTTTATCTTTGCTTGTTAGACAATTAGAATTGAAGTTAAACACTAGGAAATAGATGATAAGTTTATCTCTATACTCCCAGGAAAATTTAACATTAGAATTAAGGCATTTAGCTAAACTAAGCCAAGATTGGAAAACTACTGTGCTCTATGCCTGTGTTTAGAAATAAAGTTTTATTGGAACACAGCCACATTCATTTTTTTTCTCTTGTGAGTGCTTTCACACTGCAATGGGAGAGTTGAATAGTGCTATATAGACGGTATGGCTGACAAGCTGAAAATGTGTACCATCTGGCCCTTTATTACTAATTATAATATGGCTTATAGAAAGGTATTAGTAATTGTTAGAACTAAGAAATACTCATATGATAGATCTCTCTTATCTGAAGCAATAATAATATTGAGCCTCATAGGAAAAGATTATATCAATCATCTGACACTGTAGGTGCTCCAACCCATTTTCTCACTCTGATTCTCCATACCTCCTTTTATGCTACTCAGCTGTTTTTTTCTGAGTGCTTATTAGTGTAGTGTAGTGAATATTATTACCACATAGTTTACTTATACACAGTATTTATTATTGTCTGTCTCCCATTGCTCTAATGCAAGGGAAGCATTTTTGTCTATTTTGAGCAAGGATTTTTGTCGTATTTACTGGTATATTCAGGTACCTGGAACACATAGTAGCAGTTAGTATGAAATAAACCTGCCTTCTTATTAACTATATTAATCAATTTAGAAAGCATCAGCTTTTCACTTGCTGGCTATATTTTGCTAATTCAAAATGCAAATAATTTGCTGAGCTAAATTGTATATCTTTTAATTTGTTTTCTCTGTTCTTCATTGAGAAAGTTAGTATTTTCTGTTTTTAACTTCTCACTTTAGCTACATGTAGTTTTTTCTTGGGGGTGATATGTGTTTAGTAGAAGGTAGTTCAGTAATATATTTACTGAATAGCAAAACGAACACTAAGATTAAAGCTCATGTTAACTACTCTGATGGCCTTGAGGAAGTAATGCTGAGAGTTTAATCACCATTAAGTAATTAAGAATAATTTCTCATAAAAGTTCTCTTCCTTCCAGTTATATTCATGACTGTGTTTTGGTGATAGTTGATTGCCCTGCTTACATAGTTGCAAAATTGGTAAGGAGAACAGTATTCTGCAGCCAAGTTTCCATGAGTTGATATTTCACATTCACATTTGTGACCTAAACCTGTATTCTGGCAGACAGTGAGAAAAGCCAAATGTTCTCGTAAGCAGCAAGGATTTTCTTCATGGAAAACAAAGAAGTAAAAATGTAATCCAAGCAAAACTATCATGTATATACTGAATTTTATAGGTATATCTACAGAAAATTAATATTTGCTTTTATGCATTTTATTACAAGTTTATTTTGTTAGGTATTATATTTGAAGTAAAAAATAAAATACAAAATTGAATACATAAAGGGAAATCAGAAAAACCCAGAAATATTACTCTAAGATAATAACAATTATTACCACTTTTATTTGAGCACATGCACTATACCAGGCACAGCACACCGTGCTTTATGTACATAATCTGTAACTCTCCTGACAACCCTGCAAAGTAGTACCTCTGTTTACATTTTGAAGATGAGAAAATTACTGCTCAAAGAGATTAAATAGCTTGCCATGATTCAGGAACTAGTAAGTAATGAAGGCAGTATTGTAAGGCAGGACTTTCTGTCTCCCCAGATACCTTATTCTTTATCCCGTAGCATGTCATTTTTCTCCAGTATTGTCATGATGTGTCATCAGATGACTATACTTTTTATCCATACTTTATTTAAAAATTTTATGTGTTAGAAAACTTATACTCTAGACATTTAAAATTTAAATTTTCATAACATAGTATGCTTCTGAATAACCTGAGAAGAATGTTACACAAAAGGAGATGGCTTGCTGATTCCGTGGAGTAATAAATGCCTACCTGTTTTCATTTTGAAGTTGAAGCCATTGCTTCTAATTTTAAGCCAACCTGTATTTTTTTTTCATTTTACCTTTCACATCTTCATAACATGTATTTGGCCTTATATAGCTGTGAAAATTGATTGTACAAATTGGTTTGAGCATATGAGACCTATGAACACTTGTATTCTGACTTAGCATAGAGTTTTATATTTTCTGAGTAGCATAGACCCATATATTTTTGGACACCCCTCGTATTTTACATTTAATAGAATGATGAACATGATTCATTAAGCCTTTCTTTGATGAAAGACAGAAACCACAGAGCAATGAAGATATTGGCATTTCTGATAAAGTTTGTATATTAAAGTCTTATGGTAGCCTATGAAAAAGAGCTTGTTTGGAAAAATTGAGAGATTCAAGTTTTGTATTATACTTAAGTTTTGTCACTTCATCAAATGCCTCCCTTTCTATGTCTTATCATGAATTTATTTTTTTCCCTTTAATAGTAGATCAAATATAGATAGCCAGGAAAGAGTAAAAGGTCAGTTATGGTAATATAGTGAAGATGTTTCATTCATACTTTAATATTATACAAGTATTAGTTTTGTATTATACTTCTTCTTCTTCTTCTTCTTCTTCTTATTATTATTATTATTATTTTGAGACAGAGACTCACCCTGTCGCCCAGGATGGGGTGCAATGGCATGATCTCTGCTCATTGCAACTTCTGCCTTCTGGGTTCAAGTCATTCTTCTGCCTCAGCCTTCTGAGTAGCTGGGATTACAGGCATGTGCCAATTTTTGTATTTTTGTGAAGACAGGGTTTCACCATGTTGGCCAGGCTGGTCTTGAACTCCTGACCTCAGGTGATCCGCCTGCCTCAGCCTCCCAAAGTGCTGGGATTACAGGTGTGAGCCACCGCACCCAGCTATACTTACTATTTTAGAAGAACTTTATGAACACTATTAATAATAAAATTGCTTTAAATTATTATCTATTGAGTGAATGAATGGCTGGCTGACTGAATGAATGCATACATTCAGAACTCTGGACTCCAAAATCTTTTAGAGTCTCCCTTTGAGTGGAAACTACTCTTCCTTGATTTTGGAAATGTTAAATTAAAAGATAGCTTAATATTGGTGTTGCTCCTTTCTATAATTGTCAAAAAGAAGTTATAGTGTCCTCATAAAGACAAATAAGGAGATAAAGAAAAACAAAAATAATTGAGTTAAATTGTTAATTTTTGTTTGTTTTATGTGATCCTCAGATTCTTGGGATTAAAATTCAAGCAGGGATGCAGTCTTCTTTTGAGTTACATGTTAGAGTCTGTGACATTAGCATTCTCTATCTCAAGCAGAAATGCTACCAAAATGGTTCTTGATTTAAGGATGTGATTTCTTTTATAGTCAGTATTTTTAACATATCACATTTGAGTCTTTTAAAACTTAACTGCTTCCTTCTTTCACATATCAGTTTCTCTTCCATCAGAGAGAATAGTGATATGGAATCATTTTGTCTGAATGGTTGGCTAAAAGTACATACTGTAGAAGGTAGAAACTTAAATACAGGATAATGAATTTTTTTTATATCTGATTCCCATTAGCATTGACATTTTTTTTTTCTGTTTCCAGACCATAAAAGCTTCTTCCAAAAGTATCCACAGGCACAGAAGCTCTGTTTAGATTTTTCCTATGTGCTTTCTTTTCTTGATATTTTGATTTTTTTCCAAAATGAGTTTGCTGTTTACTTTTGATGAAGTAAATATCTATATAAAATCTGAAGATTTTTATTTCTTGGATTTGGAGGGCAATTTGAACATTAGATTTTAAAGGCTTATACTTAAGATGACCATTAGTAGTTAAATCTGGTTTATAACTAATCTAGTGTAATTTAATTAATAGAGGTTAGTGTGGAGTCATTCATATATTTATATTTCCTGTTTCATATGTTTATAAATATTTGATGAGTATCATTGGCTTTTTTTCTCCAATGTGTTTGGATTCAAGGAATTAAGGGTCTGTATAAATACTTATTTTTCTGTGTGTGCATTTTCTTGTGTTTATTTTCATTGGTTTTGAGTTTGACTTAATATACACATGTGCATTTAAAAAGATGATCTTTCCAAAAGCTTTGCTTGGGATCTTTGCTAGGAGGATGAGTTAATGGATGGAGAGGGCTGCTTGCTTTACTGTTTATTTTCCCAGACAAATCCATGGAGACAGGCTGCTAATAGGATAGGAGAAAAACAACAAAAACAAATACAGCTTTTTGGCCTGGAACTGAATTGTATTATCTGTACTGTCAGAGCCTTTGCTCACTTACCCAGACGATCTCTACAGGGATTAAAGCTTCCTCCTGCATTTGCGATAACTTTCAGTATGCTGCAGCGTCATATCCAGTTAATATTAAAAAAAAAAATCTGGCTGTAAATAGTTACAAAATCCTCACCAAATCAACCTTTAGCAAGAGTGATTGTGCTGATTAATCAAACAAGATTGTCAGTAATTAAAGGAATACAGATGACTTGGATTTTATTTTCAGTTTTCATATGTAAATTCTTGCAGCCCTTCCCCAAGGTTGGGCCTGATTTTGTTATGGGATCTTTGGGCTGTTGCTTTTCTGACCAGCAACCTCTGTGGCCAGTGGCGCCTTTGCCTGAGTTCTTGTCCTGCATCTAGGAAGAATGAGGTACATAGACAAGTGGAGGGTGAGCAAGACAAAGAGGAGCTTTATTGAGTTAGAAAAGCTCAGAAGAGGCCTGCAGTGAGTAGCTCCTTTCTGTAGGCAGGTCATCTCGTTGAGTGTTGAGCTCTCAGCAGAGAGGAGGCCTGGAGTGGGTGGCTCCTCTCTGCAGGCAGGTTGTCCCGACGAATGTTCAGCTCTTAGCAGAGAGGGTAGCTCCTCTCTGCTGCTGGTCATCCTGTTGTCTGCAGCTCTTAGCAGAGAGGAGGCCCTGAAGAGGGTAGACTCCTCTCTGATGTTGATCATCCTGACCTCAGCAGCTCTCAGCAGAGAGGGTAGCTCCTCTCTGCAGTCGGTCCCTCCACTGGCTCTGCTCTGCTCTGGCTGAGTCCAGGGCTTTTATGAGCCTCAGAGGGGAGGAAGTGCATGCCGATTGGTCCATGGGCCTGCGGTAAAGGCACCACAAGTCCCCACTCTGGTCCGCAGGGCTGGCAGCCTGGCCCCCAGCCTTCAGGCCTGCCCTGTTCTGAAGATGAGGCCTCACCAGGGACCTGCCCTGCCCCTTCCCACCCAGGAACCTGTCTGCATCCTGCTGCTGCCCATCACACCCAGGCTGCTCACACCCGTGCCAAGGAGCACCCACAGGCCAGCCCAGAGCCTCATTCAGCTCCATCTTGGCCTCCCTCTCCTACTTGGCATCCATAGTCCAGAAGGGCCAAGGTGGCAGGAGGCTGGTGTGTCAGTGCTGCCTGGAGCAGCACACACCTGGCTGGGCCACAACAACGCTGGGACCAGGAAGAGGCCAGGCAATGGGAGCAGATACCCCTGAGTCTGCTGATGATGGGGGACCCACCTGGGTACTCGAGAGCACCAGGAGACCCAGGCCCACAGCCACAACCCAGGCAGCTGCAGCTGTGCCTGGGGAGCTCTCACCCTACCAACTCATAAGGGGCAGAGCTCCCGCCAGTCCCTGGCTCTGCAGAGTGTGCAGCATTGACTGTGCTGCCTTCTCTGCATCTCCCACAGTGGTGGCAGGTGAGGTGCAGGTGGCATAGTGGCCCTGGCCAACCCAGCACAAACAAACCCGATGCTCCCAGGGCTAGTCCTGTGAGTCCCAGTGGCAGCACCTTTGGCCAGGTGCTTGTGGGCTTTCAAGACATGGTGGGGCGCGAGGTTGAGGCTGCAATGGCGGCTCCGAACTTAGTAGCAGGTCCTGCTACCTGTGCGAGGGTGGAGGTGGCACAGTCCACCTTGAGGACATGGGACACAGGAGACTGTTGCCACTGCTGCTCTCACAGTTGCTTCTGCTATCCTGTCTGCCTCCTTGCAGCCTGGAGCAGGGCTCCAGGCCATCGCTGGGCTGGGCTGCCGTCCAAGGCAAGGATGACATTGCCGCAAGTTCCCCCTGTGGACCCGGCTCTCGGTGGCAGCCTGGGGCTCCTCCTCGCACAGCTTGAGACCCTGCCGGGGGGCACCTCTGGGGCAGATCGCGGGCCCCAAACCCAGTTGTCGGGAGCGCCAGGCTGAACAGTCACTCCGACGTGGGGTGGATCCTGGGGTTGCAGCGTCGGTGGCCCGGGCTGAGCCTCCAGCTGAGGTGCAGGAACTTGGAGCCGCCAGCAGGGTGGGTGCGGCGACAGAGTCGCTTGCCAGGTCTGGGAAGCGGGCGCCACTCCCGCTTTCCACCCCACACCCCTGAAGTACGGCCCCACTGTGCGTTCAGGCCCACCTCCCTTCACTCTGTGCGCAACTGCAGCACCCCTGGGTCCAACTCTGCCTTGAGACCCCTCCATGCCAGACCGTGCTCTTCCCCCGCCTGCAGGTAGGTCAGCCCGGCCCCACCTGAGTGGATCCCAGGGTTGGGCTTCCAGGGCAGCAGGCCCCAGGTACCGTTCGCCTTGGAGTCCACCTGAGGATCCACAGCCTGCAACCCCACCTGCACCCACACCCGTGCCCCACCACAGCCGGTCCCGGCTGCCAAAGTGGCAGTGACTACTTTGGATGGCCCGCTGCTGCCATCAATTTGAATGGTTTATATTTTGCCGTCCTTGTTGAGAAGAAAAACATGGATGTATAGATATACAGTGATGGATGGACTAGCAGCTTAAGAATCATTTTGGGGACATTTTTTAAAAAATTTTTTGAGACAGAGTCTTGTTCCATCTCCCAGGCTGGAGTTCAGTGGGGCAATCGTGGCTCACTGCAGCCTTGACCTCATGGGCTCAGGTGATCCTCCTGCCTTAGCCACCCAAGTAGCTGGGACTACAGGCGGGTGCCACCACTCCCAGCTAATATTTAAATTTTTATAGAGACAGGGTCTTGCTTTGTTGTGCAAGCTGGTCTCCAACTCCCAGGCTCTCACAGTCCTCCTGGCTTGACCTCCCAAAGTGCCACCACACCCAGGCTATTTTGAGGACGTTTCTCTTTTCAGAAAAGTTATAAGTATTTTGACCCTGCATGAAAGTTTGGAATGATGGAATCATATAAACAAAAACAACAGAAAGCCTCAAAAGATTTTTTTAAACCAAACAAAAATTATTGGAACCAGCTTTTACCTCAAGCAGTGAATGAGCTACACAGAAAGTTGATTTTTCTTTTATTAATGATTGCTAGTAATGAGAATTTTACACTTTATTCTTCTCAACCTCCCTCCAGGTCAGTTTTGGTTGTTACAGCTGGAGGAATGATACTGGCATCCAGTGGGTAGAGGTCAGGGATGTTACCAGACATCCTATAATGCACAGGAAAACCCTCCCTGACCCACAATGAAACATTGTTAGCCCAAGTAATGCTGAGATTGAGAAACCCTGCTGTAAAGTGTGGATTTTTATCTTGATGGGAGTTTTTCCAAATAGCTACATTGATGTTTACAATGCTTTATAAATAAAGGGAAGTTTTGTTCTGTTTGTTTGAATTACTAATAAGAGATAAAAGAGGCTTTAGAGACAGATTTTGGGATTTATAGATGCAATAAACACATAAACACAGTCTTCGAAAAATGTTCATGGAGACAATATGGTGATCTTGTGATACAGGGAAATGGAAAACATTTTATTATAGAAGAACATGAGAAATTTGTATTATTTTTTACTCTTTCATGGACATGAAATGAAACTTCTACTTTGTAGGTGTTGGTGTTGTACAGAATTATTTCTATATTTGTGAATTAAATCATATAATAAAGTAATTGCAATATCCAAAAATCAATTATCTTGGTAGAATATTCAAGAGCCTGAAGCTCTGGATTCACTTCCCATTTGTGACTAAAGTTAATTTATTTAATGTCCAAGCCTCAGTTAACACATCTGAAAAGTAAGGTAGTTTTTATAAACTTGTCAGATGGGCATTAGTTAATTTGTATTTGATAATTTGTATTGACACTAAACTGTTATCAGATGTTAAAAGAACTGTTCAGTCTTTGATTGCTGAACTTCAGTGTAAGGAGTAGGTATTTCTTTGTTCATTTCATAAAGGAGCTCTTGAACCTCCGTTTTCAAGCATTGTCTGCTCAGTCACAATAATTTGCAGTGGAAGGATGTATATGTAACCACACATGTGTAAACACATACACACCTAGTGACTTGATGGTAGAGAAGTTAAGGATTTACAAAATGTGTTTACATTGCTTTCCAGAGATTGAGGTTGAGGTTTTTGGAACCTGGCATACTGATAGTACCCATTATGGAACCATAATCATGTGGAGTTAGCATACGAGATAGAGCATATAACCTATAAACATATTTAATGATACTCATCTATTGTGCTACAACAGAAACAGACATTGGAGAGTAAATGTAAATGATCTTATTCCCACTCTTAAAAATTTGCAGTTGATTTTATTTTTTAAATGATTATGTTGTCTGCCATACTACCCACAGTCCATTAACTAACTGAATGCATGTTGTCGAAAAAGTTCTACTTTCTGTAAAGGAGGAGAGGGAGAAAAAAAAAATGCAGGTTGGAGTCACAAATCATAGCAAGTCACTTTACCTTTGCTTCCATGTTTAAGAAGGTGTCTCTTTGGTGGAGACAGATGAGATCTGTATTCTGTCACCACCAAAAGTCCTTGGGGTTATTTTTTTAATTTTTTTTTTTTAACTAAGGGACCAGCCAGGGCTACGCAACTAATATAGAGAAAAATTCAGACAAGAAATTAGATCTCAGATGGAGGTGGAAACTGCAAAGTTTGATCATCTTTTAGAGATTGCAGTGTATAAAATAAATTGTTTCACTTATAAATGGAAGCAAAGCAATAAACTTCATGTTATTCTATATACAACTTTAATTACTGTTTCATTTTTTAAAAGATATTTTGTTAAGATGGTATTTTGAATTGGTAACATATGTATATAATTCAGAGATCAAAACTGTATGGAAAGATATACATGCTCATTCCTTGTTCCTTCTACCACTGTACCCCAACCTTTCCACCTTACTTTTATTAGTCTCTTGTTTCTTCTTCCAATTTTTTAACACAAACAAAAAAATATGCAAATATATATGCAAATATAAATATATGTTTATGTGTGTGTATATATAATATATATTATATATAATATATATATTATATTATATATATTATATATATATATATGTTTTCAATACCCATTTCTCCCAGTTATATACAATGCAGGAAACTATGTATACCCTTCAGTACTTTGCTTTTTTGATTTAGCTCTGTTTCTTGCAGATCTTTTTCTCTCAGTAAATGGGCATTTTCCTCATCCTTTTGTAGGATGCATGGATGAAGAACTACCATAGTTATTCAACCAGTGCCTTATTTTATGGATTCTTAGGCTATTGTCAGTCTTTTGCCACTATTAACAGTACTACAAAGAGTAATCTTGTCCAGGTGTCATTTTGTACTTGTGCTGGTTTGTTGTAAAAGTGGGATTGTTGTGTTATGGGTAAATACATTTGTAATTTTGTTAGATATTATCGTATTTCCTTTTATGGTGATTCTACCATTTTTTACTTTCACCAGTAATTTTGAATGTGTCGGGGTTTCCAGGTTGGTATCAGTAGTTAGTAGTTAATTTAAAAGGGTAAGTAAATAATCATTTAATGTTTTATATTTATGTTTAATGATTTTAACATAAAACATAAATATACATTGATTTCATTTGTCTTAGGGCAAATAATTTTTTAAGAATAGTCTGCTCATTGGAGCTCTGTAATACCTCTTTTCTAAACCATATTTTATTAATTTTAGTGTTTGGCATCTATCAAGTAGAGTGATAACTTAAGATACTCTGAGGTACCTTGAGTATCCCCATTCATCTACAGCTGTTCTGCCAAACCAAATTAACAGTTGAGAGTTACTCATCTTTATTGAATCTTTCCTATTTAGGTTTTTTTTTCTAAAAAATAATATATTTATTTGAATCACATAATTTCAATGTCAAGTAATTGTTAAACTAGAATTTTGGAATCAGTATTTTTTACTCATGTTTTGTTTACCGGTAAGTCACCTTGCTTATTACAGTGTCTCAACGTATTAAGTGTTTAGTAAATTTTCATTGAATGGAATAGAAGGAAAAGAGGTAGTATGGAAATAGACTCAACTGATTCTAATTATGCACCCAAAACAAGAAAGCAAAGGTTACGAGAGCAGGAGGAGGGTGCGCATAGCAGAGGGCCTTCTTATCAGCCAGGATATTTAACCTCCCATGGCTGAAGAGTCTAGGAAGTGACATATTTTGCTTTCCAGTCTCCTAACTTTCTCTTCTTAGACATACAAAATTTATATCAAATAGAGACAGTGTGGGTCCATCTTTTTCCCTCATTTTGCTGTCATTTTCAAACTTGTTTATTCTGGAAAATTATAACATGTCTTGCCAAAATTGATTGGCTAGATGTGCTGCAACTTACAGAGCTTTAGACCAGTTATAATGATGAAGGTTCAGTTTAGATAGTAATGTGCTTTGAGGCAATAATTATGGGATATTTCCTTGTAGTGACCAGTAATTTTTATGTCTTCTGTATTAGTCCATTCTCACATTGCTAATAAAGACATACCTGAGGCTGGGTAATTTATAAAGGAAAGAGGTTTAATTGACTTACAGTTTAGCATGGCTGAGCAGGCCTAAGGAAACTTAACAATCATGGCGGAAGGCACCTCTTCACAGGGCTGAAGAGAGAGAATGAGTGCAAGCAGGGGTAATACCATAAACTTATAAAACCATCAGATCTCATGAGAACTCACTGACTATCATGAGAACAGCATGGGGGAAGCTGCCCCCATGATGCAATTACTTCCATGATGTGGGAATTACGGAGATTACAATTCAAGATGAGATTTGGGTGTGGACACAACCAAACCATATCATCTTCCAAACAGAATTTATCATCAACACTGACGAGCCATTTCAGTTTTATCTTAATTATTGCAAGGACTGGTCAAGAGAACGTGTTTGGAAATTGGAAATTAATCATCTATGTTGAGGAAATAATTTATAACATTTGAGTTTCTCCGGTGAATCATTAACATAGTTTCCATATTTAAATTTCTGCCATTATATTTTTTCACATTGTCTGTCTTCTTTCCAAATAACTTCTCAGAGAAACTCTTAGAAAAAGCAGTAATAATTAAGGGCTAAAAAAAAGAGCTTCAGTGCACTTGTGACATCATTTTATCCGTTATAATTAACCATTAAAAATTAGTTAATATTAGTTACCTAACTAAAGTTAGTTAATATAATATCATTATGTGTGCTGCATCATCTATGTGCCCTTCTGGCAAGACTGAGTTTTGGTGAGTGAGGGTTGTTACTGCAGTCACATTCTAGACACAGTCATGTGCTGCGTAACCATGTTTTGGTCAACATCAGACTGCATGTACAAATGTGTCCCATAAGATTATAATGGAGCTGAAAAATTCCTATGGCTTAGTAACACTGTAGCCATCATAATGTCATAACCATTATGATGTGGTAGCATAGTGCATTACTCTTGTGGCAATGCTGGTGTAAACAAACCTGCTGTGCTATTAGTCATATAAAAGTATAGCACATTCCATTTGTATAGTACATCATACTTGATAATAAACAACTGTGTTACAGGCTTATGTATTACCTATACTATACATTTTTATCATTGTAGTGTGTACTCTGCTTATAAAAAAAAATTAACTGTAAAACAGCCTCAGGCAGGTCCTACAGGGGATATTCCATAAAGAAGGCCTTGTAAACGTACGAGATGACAGCTTCATGCATATTATTGCCCTTGAATACCTTTCAGGGAAATAAGATGTAGAGGTGGAAGACAGTGATATTGATGATCCTGACCTACGGGCCTAGGCTAATATATGTGTTTGTGTCTTCGTTTTTAGCAAAAAAGTTTAAAAAGTAAAATAATAAATAAAATTTAAAAATAGGAAAAAGCCTATAGGATAAGGATATAAAGAAGAAAATATTTTTGTGCAGCTGTATAACATGTTGTTTTAACCTAAGTGTTATTATAAGAGTCAAAAAGTAAAAAAAAAAAATAATAAATAAAAAATTTATAAAGTAAGTTACAGATTAATTCCTGAAGAAAGAAAAGTTTTAAAATAAGTTTAGCATAGTCTTATTGTACCGTGTTTATTATAAAATCTATAGTAGTGTACAGTAATGTCCTGGGCCTTCACATTCACTCTTTGCTCACCCAGAGCAAAGAGTTTACTCACTGACTCACCCAGAGCAACTTCCAGTCCTGCAAGTACCATTGCTGGTAAGTGCCCTATACAGGCATACCGTTTTTTAATCTCTTATACATTATTTTTACTGTGCCTGCTCTTTGTTTAGATATGTTTAGACACAAATACCATTGTGTTACAGTTGCCTACAGTGTTGAATACAGTAACATGCTGTACAGGTTTGTAGCCTAAAAGCAACAGGCTATATCATATGGCCTGGGTAGACTATACCATCTAGGTTTGTGTAAGTACACTCTGTGATGTTTGCACAATGACAAAATCACTTAAGGATGCACTTCTCAGAACATATCCCCATTGTTAAGTGACACATGACTGTATTTTGTTCTGTAACTTTCTTGGCCAAATGTACTATTTTGAGTCAAATTCCATAGACCTTTTTGTTTCCTCTTGAAGTATAATGAACCTTTTCCTTTTAACTTATAAAAAGATGAGTGTATTCAAGATTGATTGTTCAGAAACTTTGTCTGGGCAGATTTGACTTTTTATTTTAAATTAGCTTTGTCACAAGGATATTATCACCTTATGTCTTGAAACCCTGACCCAGCCCTCATTGCACTCTCCCAATTTCCCTGCTGGATTTTGTTTGATTATTTGTTGTTTTGCTGCCTCACCGATTTACACATATCACCCTGTAGTTTCAATATGTAAATTCAAAACTTACCTGTTTTGCTATCTAGGATAATATTTAGATAATCAGTTATGTTGATGAGAAAGAGATAGATTTGTTCTGAGATACTTAAATTTATTTTAACTGTTCTCTCCCCAGATATACAGATACTCCTCAACTTACAATGGAGTTCCTTCCTGTTAAAGGTATCTTAAGTTGAAAATATCATAAGTCAAAAATGGATTTAAAACACCTAACCTACCAAACATCACAATTTAGCGTAGCTTACCTTATATGTGCTCAACACTTACATTAGCCTTCAGTTGGGCAAAATAGCCTAACATAAAACCTGTTTTATAATAAACTATTGAATATATTATGTAATTAATTGAATACTGTACTGAAAGTGAAAAACAGAATGGTTGTATGGGTACTCAAAGTAAGGTTTCTTCTGAACATGTATCACTTTCACACTATCATAAAGCTGAAAACTCCAAAGTCAAATCATTGTAAGTCAGGGACTGTTCATTACTTTTGTTTTCTAATGCAGTGGTAATTAATGAAGGAAAATACCAGAAATTGACAGTGTATTGATAAACTGTTCTTTCTATTCATAGGGCTATCTTTTTGCCTTTATACTAATCTCCTTTAATAAATGGAATAGAAAACTACTTTTTTTTTTGGCCATGTCATCTGTTTTTTTGTTTTTTTTTTTTGACAGCATATTAGGTTGTGGATAGTATTTGGAAATCCACATCTGCTCTTTATCCACATGTGTTTATCCTACTTGCAGTGTAGATAAAAATGTGCTTTGTATTTTAGATTAAAAATTGTGTTTTCCATTATTTTATCAATTTTCCTTTCTGAAAATTGACCTTTTAACTTTGTATTTTTGCAGGGAAAGCTTTTGTCAGAGGAACTTTTATTATTGTTTTTCAAAAGGCAGTTGCCTCAAGAAAATCTATTTTACTTTAGTATGAAAGTGGAAAACTGACATTTAATTGCACAAGCTGTTTAAAAATCATAAAATATAACTACTGCTATAAAAATGTGTTCATATAAGAGACTAGAGGATAATATTCAGAGCATAAAACAATGGTTGGAGATCCACAGGCAACCAACACTGGTAGTCAAATAGTGATTAAATTCTTGATAAGTCTTGCTGCTTTTTTTTCTGAAATTTTATTTAATAATATCATATAATGTTTTTCATTTGAAAAGGAAAAAGATGTTATCAAGTTCCTGCCTATTTAACTTTAGAGAGAACTTAGTTTGGTTTATTAAGTTAGACATGTAGTCAGTGTAGCACTTTAATCTTTTAACTTTACCACTTTAATTATTTTACAAATACAAGTTCTTGATGATCTTTTATGTTTTTCTAGGAAATATTAGTGATAACATCTCATATCAATTTTTTTGTAACATTCAGAATGTGTAGTCATGAAGAAGAACAGGGCTTACCTCAAAATATCTGGTATACTCTGCAATAAAAGTATCATCACTGGCCATCAGAGAAATGCAAATCAAAACCACAATGAGATATCATCTCACACCAGTTAGAATGGCGATCATTAAAAAGTCAGGAAACGGCCGGGCGCGGTGGCTCACGCCTGTAATCCCAGCACTTTGGGAGGCCGAGACGGGTGGATCACGAGGTCAGGAGATCGAGACCATCCTGGCTAACACGGTGAAACCCCGTCTCTACTAAAAAAAAAAATACAAAAATTAGCCGGGCATGGTGGCGCGCGCCTGTAGTCCCAGCTACACGGGAGGCTGAGGCAGGAGAATGGCGTGAACCCGGGAGGCGGAGCTTGCAGTGAGTCGAGATCGCGCCACTGCACTCCAGCCTGGGCGACAGAGTGAAACTCCGTCTCAAAAAAAAAAAAAAAAAAAAAAAAAGTCAGGAAACAACAGGTGCTGGAGAGGATGTGGAGAAATAGGAACACTTTTACACTGTTGTTGGGACTGTAAACTAGTTCAACCATTGTGGAAGACAGTGTGGCAATTCCTCAAGGATCTAGAACTAGAAATGCCATTTGACCCAGCCATTCCATTACTGGGTATATACCCAAACGATTATAAATCATGCTGCTATAAAGACACATGCACACGTATGTTTATTGCAGCACTGTTCACAATAGCAAAGACTTGGAACCAACCCAAATGTCCATCAGTGATAGACTGGATTAAGAAAATGTGGCACATATACACCATGGAATACTATGCAGCCATAAAAAATGATGAGTTCATGTCCTTTGTAGGGACATGGATAAAACTGGAAACCAACATTCTCAGCAAGCTATTGCAAGGACAAAAAACCAAACACCTCATGTTCTAACTCATAGGTGGGAATTGAACAATGAGAACACTTGAACACAGGAAGGGGAACATCACATACCAGGGCCTGTTGTGGGGTGTGGGGAGAGGGGAGGGATAGCATTAGGAGATATACGTAATGTAAATGACGAGTTAATGGGTATAGCACACCAACATGGCACATGTATACATGTGTAACAAACCTGCACGTTGTGCACATGTACCCTGGAACTTAAAGTATTAAAAAAACAACAACAAAAAAAACCATGTTCTTATTGGACCACTGCATACCTGACATGTATTTCATTATTTGGTGAATATGAACTTTAAGAGGAAATTTCTTTATTATGAAGTTTTTTAAAACTGAAATTACAGTGTCACAAAATAGTTAACTTGGGTCAGAGGCATTCCAAATGATTTGCTCTGTAAGTGAATGAATGAATTGAAATCTAACTTCGAGTATTATACTTCTTTTGACAGAAATTATTTTACAAAGAAAATGTAACATAAAATTAAGAAATTATTATTTCTCTGGTTTTGTTTGGCGATTCTAAAACAATCACCAGGAAACATATTACTTTTCCATGAGTTCTTACGAACACCTTTACCTTGGGTATATGAAAATGGCCTGCTCTTGAGTTGGATGCTTTATTCCAGATGTGTTCACATAAACAAAGTATGGAAAGTCTATACTTGTATGTATAGGAAACAATGGGTCAGCTTTGAAATTTTTTATGAAATGTACATAGATTTTTCTAGACACGTACAGAAAAATGAGAAGTCGTGTCTAGATGGAGCCATCTCTTGAGACTGGACATCTCCAGTAGAAATTTGACTTCTAGCTAGAAAGACAGTATCAAATTGTTCTCAAATATTAATTTATCATTCTTCTTTCAGGGCTTCCAGATGAGCTTGGAAACTGATTTACAGAGATAATTAAGACCATTTGCCATGAACTTCCTTATGTATCCCCATCATTAACAAGACATAACTTGGCTCTATTATTATCTGCTGCTCCTTTCCTACACTGTCAGAGAAGGACATTTTTTGCCTAAAGTTAATTGTTCCATCTAGTTTCTGTAGCTCATCTCAATTTTAAAAATTTTAGCTCCCTAGTTTCTCCTCACAGACCAAATATATTAAAAGTGAACTTGTGAAAGTCACCAGTGACTACTGAACAAAATTTAATGGTTTCCTTTCTTACTGTGTTCAATTCCATAAATTTTATCCTGCTGAGTACCTGTATCTTGAAACCCTGTACCCTATTAGCTTTGATGACATGACACTTTTCCCTTCTGCTGACTCTGAGTCTAGTACTCTTTTATTTCAGTGGAATTTAATAATCACCTTAATATGGCAAATATTTAAACAAAAATCTGAATCCAGTCCAGCCTCCGGTTTTGTTTTATAATTCAAAATTTGAAATCTCAATTATTTTATCTCAATTTCTTTTTTCTGCTCTATTACCATTACTCTTCTGGTTGAGTTATTTCCTTTATTACTGCCATTGCCTCTTGACTCGTTTCTCTGCCTTCAGTCTCTTTCTCCACCATTTCATATTCATTCTGTTTTATAGTATTCTTCCTAAAGGAGTGATATACTGTTAAGGAACATACAGGGACTCCTTGTTTGCCTCATCAAGTCCAGCTCTTCATTCTGGCTTTTTCACTTTGCAAAAGTTGCCCATACCCCATGCAGCATCTTACCATTATAGTATTTTCTGTTTTCACTGAACATTTACCTTTTATCTTGGCAATTATGTCTTCTGGTAGTCATGTGATATGCACGTACTATTATACATTCATTATTTTCTCCAGGCTTTTGCTTATTTTGTCTCCTCCTCTTTCATCTAAAACCATGCTCATTACTTTTCCTTGACTGCCTGTCTTAACAGCCTTTTCCATGAATTTTTTATTTTTGAGGTTTTGTTTAGTTTTTACTAAATTGGCTCTACAAATCTTTTTTCTCTAGCTTACTTGTCTTCTGTACCACCTAGCTTAGTTCTTGATGTTCTCTAATAGTTCATGTGTTCCAGGTTTTTCCTGTCTTTCTAATAACATGTAAGTATCTTGAGGTCAGAGAGATTGATACAGTTTGGCTGTGTCCCCACCAAAATCTCATCTCAAATTATAGTTCCCATAATCCCCACATGTCATGGGAGAGACCTGGTGGGAGGTAATTGAATCATGGGGGTGCTTACCTCCGTGCTGTTCTCATGATAGTCAGTGAGTTCTCATGAGATATGAAGGTTTTATAAGGGGCTTTTCCCCTTTTGCTCTCATTCTTCTCCTTCCTGCCACCATGTGAAGAAGGATGTGTTTGCTTACTTTTCCACAATGATTGTAAGTTTCCTGAGGCCTCCCCAGCCATGCCAAACTATGAGTCAATTAAACTTTTTTCCTTTATAAACTACCCAGTAGCCTTGGGTATGTCTTTATTAGCAGCATGAGAAGGAACTAATACAGAGATCAAATCATATTTTTGATAGCCGTCAGATAATAGTTGTTTCATGAATTTTGCCCGTTAATTAAAAATAAGACTACATGGCCAAGTGCAGTGGCCCACACCTGTAATCCCAACATTTTGGGAGCCTGGGGCAGGAGGATCACTTAAGGCTAGGAGTTTGAAACCAGCCTGGGAAACTTTGGGAGACCTTGTCTCTACAAAAATTGAAAAATCAGCTGTAGCCCTGGCTACTCAGGAGGTTGAGGCAGGAGGATTGCTAGCTAGATCCTAGAGGTTGAGGCCTATGGTGATCCGTGATCTTGCCACTGCTCTGTAGCCTGGGTGACAGGGTGAGACTCTTGTCTCTAAAAATAAATAAACATAAGACACAGAAGCTAAATATTTAAATCTCTTTAGTTTTCACAGGAAGTCAATAATGAAACCAGGATCTGAGTAGAAACAGTTATTTTAAAATCATAATATCACAGTTTTATCATATCAGTTTTTATAGTTGTAAAAATTTCACATCAGCAGAGGGCAGTCAAACCATAGTTCATTCAACTATCTTATGGGAAATTAAAATTTTCTCTGTGTTTTTCTGCTTAGGACACAAGCTGTACTTTATATAATCAGTTTGTAAATACATTTCAAAGCTCTTCAGTTGGTAAGCTGATAGAATTGTATTACTGTTTAGCCACGGAAGGTAAACAGTTTTTTTTAATAAATTTAAATAAAAGGAATTAATTTTTTTAGATCATGAAATGCTTTATTATTTGGTGTTTTTGATGGATGGCCACTTTACATAGAAATTTGTTTTTTCTGCCTCAGAAGCAGTATTTCTGTTAAATTGCCTGTTATTAATTAGGCTATTTTTTATTCAAAAATATTAACTTTTATGGAATACCTTTATTTTCCCCTATGAACTTGAGAAAAATGAGTTTTTATTAGAGGCTATAGTATAACACTAACTAAAATGTAGTTTGGAAAGTTTTATTGAGTTTTTCTTCCTTAACCTTTTCTTTGGCTGGCTGCAAACAACTAGTGATAATGTGTTTTTAGATGTGCTTATTTTCACCTCTTCCTCCTGGAGGTTAAGCTAGTACTCATTAAGGAAAAAATACAGTTTATACTAAACAGTGTTTAACATATACTGATGGTATTACTGTATTTCCTGTTTTGTGTTCACAATGAGAAGATTCTGAAAAACTGTCTTTGTGTAAATACTTTACTGACATACCAGACAAGTATAATCTTGTCTGCTGGTAGGCAGGAAAGAGTGATGTCCTGGAATGTTGTTGAGAAGGAAATCTCTTTGTGTTCCACAAATGATACCCTTAAACCCTTTAAGAATATAATTTTAAAATGACAGCTCTGAATTTGCTTTTCCTTCCGTTTATTAACTTTTCATGCGTTTAAGTTCAGAAATGCATTTAGTTGGGAAAAAAACCATTGTGTCTGAGAAAGAAGTATCTCCCTGGTAGTTTGTGGGAAATTATTGGTAGAAGTATCTCAGGGTAAACATAAAAACAGATTTAATAATTGTTGCTTTTTGTTTTCTTAGTTTAAACTTTTTCTGATACTTGAGTCAGGCTTTTGGTAATTCTCTACAGGCTTAAAAAAATGCAGCATCTCCAACAACCATCCGAAACATCTACCCAAGAAGTAATTTGGGGAGATTGTTGTTAGAACACAAATTTTTTTTAAAGTTAGAGTTGGAGTTTTTAAATTTTATTATTTAATGTGAGTCATTAAGACATATGAAAAGCTGTTGTGTAGTGTTAACATTGAATATTCTAGTGAATGGATTTTTATATACTTAATTATTATAGCTGAGAGTTCACTTAAAATTATACTGATGTTTCTGTTCAGTGACTGAAAAAAAAATGATTATGGTTAAACCCTTAAATAATTGACAAAACAGACATCACAGACTAGACCTGTGTGTGATTTCTGGGTCAGTGGTTCTTTTTCTTCTTCTTCTTTAGTACTCCCATCATTATTACTTACAGTGATTTTGTACTTCAGCTCTCACTCTAAAACCCAGCAAAATGGAGAATTATCTGTAAGAGTCTCCAAATACAAGGTTTAAAATGCTTGTTAATAATTTTCAAACTTTAGAAAAGTATTATATGCTTTTTTTCATCTTGAAGTTCTTGCATTGTTAATGCATGTCATATGTTGTATCCTTTGTTAAAGTATTTGCTTAAAAATATGTGGGACATTATCCTTCATATAGACCTGTTTTCATAAATCTGCTCTGATGAATTCTGAAATATGGAGGCTACTGCATTTTCAATTAAAAATCTTAAAGGCAATACTTTAAGACAAAAGAGCTAAGTAATTCAAACAAGTATTAACTAATATGGTAGTTTCATGGTATCAGAAATTCAGATTACTTCTGTGCCATCCCTTAGGCCACATGGTAAAAAGTATCTCACTGTCACATTAGTTGGGTTCTCATTCAGGTCAACAAGAATTAGGAGATAAGGTAATAGCTCATCCCTGCCGTTTAAGAGCATAACCCATAAATTGCAGCTATCATTTACATCCCATTGGCTAATCTTAGCTACAAGGTAATATTCAGCTGCAAGAGAGGCTGTAAAATAAATATATTCTCTATTTTGAGGGGCTGGGATTTAAATTTGGCTTTAACTCAGGGGTTTCATTACTAAAGAGAAAAACTAACAGTCTCTGCGATTACCTGTTAGCACCATCAGCTGTCATTGTCCACTCCTTCCTCTTTGAAACATTCCTCTTTGTTTTACGTGACACAGTAATACCTAATTTTTCTTCTATTTCTTTGTCCTCCTTGACTCCTTTACATATTTATTCTGGTCTGCCTAGCCACAGAATGTTGCAGTTTGTCAAGGCTGGGCACGGGACCCATCTTCTCTCATCCACATCCATGGCTTCAGTTGTCAGCTGTGATTCAGTGCCTAATTCAGCTCAGATCTTTGCTCTGACCGATTCAACCATCTACTTACATGTCTCAAAGGCACTTGCAGTTCAACATGTTTTTAAATTTTGTTCTAAATTATATATATAATTATATAATCTTAATTTTATGAAGTAAATTCTATTACCATCCTTGATCATACACGTGAGAAACTGAAACACAGATGGTTAAGAAACTTGACCAACATAGCTGGTAACTGTTATGTGAGGTTTTTTGTTGTTGTTTTGTTTTTGAGGTAGGGTCTTACTCTGTTGCCCAGACTGAAGAGCAGTGGTGCAATCATAGCTCATTGCAACCTCAAACTCCTGGGCTCAAACCATCCCCCACCTCAGTCTCCCAAGTAGCAGGGACTATAGGTGCAGGCCACAGTTCCCAGCTAATATATATATATTTTTTAATTTATGTAGATATGAGGTCTCTCTATGTTGCTGAGGCTGGTTTCAAACTCCTGGCCTCAAGCAGTCCTTTCACCTCAGCTTCCCAAAGTACTGAGATGACAGGCGTGAGACACGATGCCAGGTTCAGTTCTGTCAGTTTTGATAAATGCATAGAATTGGGTAACCACCAACACAATCACAATGCAAAACAATTTATTTACTCCAAAAATTTATTCTTGCAGCCACCACTGGTGGGATGTCTTCTTTCCACCACTGACCCCTGGCAACTACTGATCTGTCCTGTAGTTTTGCCCATTTCCCAAATGTCATATAAATGTAATCATGCACATGTCATCTTTGAGTATAACCTCTTTTATTTCACATGTTTTCGAGATTCGTCTGTGTTACTGTATCAGTAGTTTGTTCCTTTTTTATTATTGGGTATTATTCCGCTATATAGATGCACTACAGTTTGTTTATACATAATAAACAATAAAGGACATTTTAGATTGTTTGCAGCTTTTGCTATGAAGAATGTTGCAGTACACATTCACAGACTGGTTTTTATGTGAACAAAACTTCTTATATCTAATATGATTCTAGGAGTGGATTTACTGAATCATAGGGTAATTAACTGTATGCTTAATTTTATATAAACTGCCCTATTACTTTCCAGATTGCCTGAACTATATTCCCACCAACAATATATGAGCATTCCAGGTGCCCTGCATACTTGCTAGTGCTTGTTATTGTCAGTGTTTTTTTTTTCTTTAGTTTTAATCATTCTGTTAGTTATATAGTATTATCTTATTGTGGTTTTAATCTGCATTGCTCTTATTACCAGCAATATCAGGCATCTCTTCATTTGCTTATTTGTAATTTGAACATTTTGTTTTGGTGAAATGTTTTCTTTGGATCAATTTTTACCCTTTCAATGGGTTGTTTTCTTTACGTATTCTGGATCAAAATCCTTTATCGAGCATATTACAAACCTTCTCTTAATCTGTAGCTTGTCTTTTCTTTTTATTAACACTGTAGTTCACAGAGCAAAAAATTTTAGTTTTGAAGAAGTACAATTTCCTTTTTTAAAATCAACTCTTTACTTATGTATAATGTCTCCTATGGGGATTTTTAAAATTATTTTTTTATTGCGGTAAAAAAGCACATAACATAAAAGATACCATCTTAACTGTTTATTTTTCTTTTCTATCTTAGCAGTTTCTAAGTTTACAGTTTAGTAGTATTAAGTATATTCACATTGTTGCACAGCCTCCAAAACTTTTTCATCATGGAAAACAGAAAATCTGTACCCATTAAACAACTCTGCATTACCTCCTCCCCCCAGTCCCTTTCTACTTTGTTTCTATGAATTTGACTGCTCTGGATACCTCATATAAGTGGAATTGTGCAGTATGTGTCTTTTGTAACTGGCTTATTTTAATTTAGCATAACGTCCTCAAGATTATTTTATGTTATATAATGTATCAGAATTTCTTTTTTGAGGCTGAATATTTTATTATATGTATATACCACATCTTGTTATCCATTCATCTGTAGATGGACAGTTAGGTTGTATCCACCTCTTGGCTATTATGAATAGTGGTATTACAAACATGGTGTGTGAATATCTATTTGAGATCTGCTTTCAATTTTTTGATATGTACTCAGAAGTGAAATTGCTAGATCATATAGTATTTCTATTTTTAATGTTTTGAATAACTGCCATACTATTTTCCACAGCAGCTGCACCATTTTATATTCATTCCAATAGTGGGAACAAGGTTTTAAATTTCTGATTCTTTTCTTTTTTCTTTTTTGATAGTATGTATCCTAATGGGTATGAGGCGACATGCATTGTGATTGTGATCTGTACTTCCCTAATGATTAGTGATTTTCACTATATTTTCATGTGCTTCTTGGCCTTTTCCCCCCCAGATTTATTGAAGTATGATTGACAAACAAAAATTGCATATCTTTAGAGTGTACAACATGATGTTTATATACACAGACACATATACATTGTTATTAACTGTAGTCACCACCATGCTCTACATTAGGTCTTTAATACTTATTCATCTTGTGGCTGAGGGTTTGTATCCTTTGACTAATATCGCACTTTTCCCAACCCTTAGGTCCCAACCATTCTATTCTCTGTTAATAGGAGTTCAGCTGTTTTTTAGATTCCACATATAAGTGAGATCATGTAGTACTTGTCCTTCTGTGTTTGGCTTATTTCACTTAGCGTGATGTTTTCAGAGTTCATCCATGTTGTCGCAAATGGCAAGATTTCCTTCTTTTTTATGGCTGAATTATATTTGTGTGTGTGTGTGTGTGTATACATATATGTACATTCACAATAGCCAAGCTATGGAAACAACCAGTGTTCATTGATAGAAGAATGGACGAAGAAAACATGATGTGTGTACATATATATATATATATATGTGCATATATATTTGCATGTGTACACACACATCACATTTTCTTTATTCATTCTCTGTCAATGGACACAGGTTGTTTCCATAGCTTGGCTATTGTGAATAATGCTTCAATGAACATGGAAGTGAAGGCATCTCTTCCGCATCTCTTCCGCATAATGATTTCAATCCTTTTTTTTTTTTTTTTTTGAGACGGAGTCTCGCTCTGTCGCCCAGGCTGAAGTGCAGTGGTGCGATCTTGGCTCACTGCAAGCCCCGCCTCCTGGGTTCACGCCATTCTCCTGCCTCAGCCTCCCCGGTAGCTGGGACTACAGGCGCCCACCACCACGCCCGGCTAATTTTTTGTAGTTTTAGTAGAGACGGGGTTTCACCGTGTTAGCCAGGATGGTCTCGATCTCCTGACCTCATGATCCGCCCGCCTAGGCCTCCCAAAGTGCTGGGATTACAGGCGTGAGCCACTGCGCCCAGCCGATTTCAATCCTTTGTGTATACATTGCCAACCTAAATAGCAGGCAGAGAGGTTCTCCGAAGATAATGGGTTTGTTCGAGACTGCATAGAGGATTTGCAGTTCTGGGATATGCAGCCTATGGGGACCACAGGCATATCCAAAGAGGTTCAGGCAAGGGGATGCTTTTAAAGGTAAAGGAGAAAAGTAGTAGTTTATTTTGAAACAATGACAACATTGGTTACGGGGCTTATCACAGGAGCTGACACCAGTTCTTTAGTGGAAACTGTGTCAGGCAAGTGTTCTTGTGCATCTGGCTAGCTGTCCTTGTGACTCCTGTAACAATCTGCAGTTTAGAACGTTGTGGTTACAGGCATATGTGCCTAAGAGTCCTTCATACAGTGTCTGTTATAGTTCCTATCATAGGCGTGTGCGTGTGTGTGTGTGTGTGTGTGGCCTCCCTTTGTAAACTCCTAGCTTTATTTATATATATTTTTTGTTTGAGTTTGACACAGGTGACTTCATTTTGATTCTGATACCTTTTACAATACCCAGTAGTGGGATTGCTGAATCATATGGTCATTCTGTTTTTACTTCTTTGGGTAACCTAGACATTGTTTTCTTAAATGGCTATACTAATTTACAATATCACTTTATATTGTTTTCTTAAATGGCTTTACTAATTTACAGTGTCACTAACGGTGGATAAGGATTCCCTAGTTTTCACATCCTTGCCAAAACTTACTGTCTTTCATCTTTCTGATGGCCAGTCTGACAGATGTGAGGTGACATCTCATTGTGGTTTTAATTTGCATTTCTCATTATTAGAGATATTGAGCACTTGTATTTGTTGGACTTTTGTGTATCTTTTGAGAAATGTGTATTGAAGTTCTTTCCAGTTTTTAATAGGGTTATGTGTTCTCTTGATATTGAGTAGTTTGAGTTCCTTGTATATTTTAGATATTAGCTCTTTATTAGATGTATGATTTGCATATGTTTCTCCCAATCTGGGGTTTTTCTCTTCACTCTATTGTTTCTTTGGTGTGCAGAAGCTTTTTAGTTTAATGCAGTTCCATTGGTTTATTTTTGCTTTCATTGCCTGTGCTTTTGAGGTTATATCCAAGAAATCTCTGTCTGTGGAGCTTTTTCTCTTAGGTTTTCTTCTAGTAGTTTTATTTTCAGGTCTTCTGCTTAAGTCTTCAATTTATTTTGACTTGATTCATGTATAAGGGGTGAGAAAAGGGTCCATTTTTATTCTATATGTGGATATTCAGTTTGCTCGTCATCACTTATTGTAGAGACTGTCCTTTCCCCATTGTATGTTCTTGGCATCATCATCAAAAATCAATTGACTATAGACATGTGGATTTATTTCTGCTCTCTCTGTCCTATTCCATTCGTTGATGTGTCTGTTTTGATGCTAGGTATGGCTTTGCAGTATATTTTATAATCTGTTTGTGTGATGCTTCCAGCTTTGTTCTTTTTGGTCAAGATTATTTTGACTATTCTGGGCCTTTGTGATTCCATATGAATTTTAGGATTTTTTTTTTTTTTTTTGCAAAGGATCATAAGAAACTACTATGAACAATTATATGTCAACAAATCATGTAACCTAGAAAAATGGATAGAAACATTTAACATAACAAAACTGAATCAAGAGATTGGAAATCTGAACAGACCAATAATTAGTAAGGAGATTGACTCAGTAAGTAGAAGTCTGTCATCAGTGGAAAGCCCAGAACCACATGACTTTATGGCTGAATTCTACCACACGTTTAAAGAAGGGCTAATACTAATCCTCCTCAAACTCTTCTGAAAAATTGAAGAGGAGGGAATACCTCCAGACTCATTTTATGAGGCCAGAATCACCCTCTTACCAAAGCCAGACAAAGACATTACAAAACAAAACTATAGGCCAGTATTCCTGATGATCATTGATGTAAAAATTCTCAACAAAATACTAGCAAACCATAGTCAATAGTACATTATAAGGATCATTTACCAGTAGATCAAGTGGGATTTATTCCTGGAATGTAGATTGCTTCAACATAAGCAAATCAATAAATGTGACTTACCATATTAACAGAATGAAGGACAAAAACTACATGATCATTTCAATAGATGCAGAAAAAGCCTTTAACAACATTCAGCATCCTGTCATGATTAAAAATCTAACAAATTAGGTACAGAAGGAATGTTCCTCCACACAGTAGAGGCCATATATGGCAAGTCTGCAGCTAACAGCATACTCAATACTGAAGAGCTAAAGGCTTTTTTTCTAATATCATGAACAATACAAGATGCTTACCTATTCTCACCATTTCTTTTGAACATAGTTCTGGAAGTCCTAGCCAGAGCAATTAGACAAGAGAAAGAAATAAAAGGCATCCTAATAGGAAAGGATGAAGTGAAATTATCTTTGTTTGCTGACTACATGATCTTATACAGTTACACCTCTGTATCTGTGGGTTCTGCATCTTTGGATTCAACCAACCACAGATTGAAAATACTCAGAAAAAAATGGATAGTTATGCCTGCTGAATATCTACAGACTTTTTTCTTGTCACTCTTCATCAAACAATATAGTATAACAACGTTTACATAGCATTTACATGTATTAGGTATTTTAAGTAATCTAGCGATCATTTAAAGTATATGGGATAGGCATAGGTTATATGCAAATACTATGCCATTTTATATAAAGGACTTGAGCATCCATGGAGTTTAGTATCCTCCAGGTTGCCTGGAACTAATCCCTCATAGATACTGAGGGACAGCTATATATAGAAAATCCTAAGGACTCCACCCAAAACTGCTAGAATTCATAAACCCAATAAAGTTGCAGGGTACAAAATCAACCTACACAAACCAGTAGCATTTTGTTTTACACTAACAACAAACTGTCTGAAAAAAATTAAGAAAACAATCTCATTTACAATAGTATGAAAAAATAAGTAAAACAATTAGTAAACAAGGAAGTAAAAGATTTGTAATTTCCAAATATTTGGAAATTTTTCAGTAACTCAGTGTCTTTAACTAATAATTTAATCATTCTAGTAAGAAAACATGCTTTGTATGATTTTAGTCTTTACATTTATTAATTTATGTAAATTAATATGTGGGTTTTATGATCACCCACGACATTGTCCTAACTTGTCGACTGTTCTGTGTGCTCTTTTAAAGAAGGTAGTCTGTTGGCCGGGTGCGGTGGCTTACGCCTATAATCCCAGCACTTTGGGAGGCTGAGGCAGGCAGATCACCTGAGGTCGGGAGTTTTAGACCAGCCGAACCAACATGGAGAAACCCGGTCTCTACTAAAAATACAAAATTAGGCCAGGTGCGGTGGCTCACCCCTATAATCCCAGCACTTTGGGAGGCCTAGACGGGCGGATCACGAGGTCAGGAGATCGAGACCATCCTGGCTAACATGGTAAAACCCCGTCTCTACTAAAAAAAAAAATACAAAAAAATTAGCTGGGGTGGTGGCAGGCGCCTGTAGTCCCAGCTACCTGGGAGGCTGAGGCAGGAGAATGGCGTGAACACGAGAGGTGGAGCTTGCAGTGAGCCGAGATCGCACCACTGCACTCCAGCCTGGGCAACAAAAGCAAAATTCCGTCTCAAAAAAAAAAAATATATATTAGCTGGGCGTGGTGGCACATTCCTGTAATCCTCGCTACTTGGGAGACTGAGGCAGAAGAATCGCTTGAACCCAGGAGGCAGAGGTTGCAGTGAGCCGAGATCATGCCATTACACTCCAGCCTGGGCAACAAAAGTGAAACTCCATCTCAAAAAAAAAAAAAAAGAAAAAAAGAGAATGTAGTCTGTTGTTGGGTGCAGTGTTTTATAGAGGTCATTTAGTCAGTGGTCCCCAACCTTTTTGGCACCAGGGACCAGTTTTGTGAAAGACAATTTTTCCACAGGTGTGGGGCGGGGGTTGGTTTCGGGATGAAACTATTTCACTTCAGATCAGGCATTAGATTCTCATAAGGAGCACACAACGTAGATACCTTGCACGCACAATTCACAGTAGGGTTCACACTTCTATGAGTGCGCATCTAACGGTGCGGCTGATCAGGCAGTAATGCTTGCTTGCTTGTCTGCTGCTCACCTTCTGCTGTGCAGACCAGTTCTTAATAGGCTGCAATCTGGTACTGATCCACAACCCGGGGGTTGATGACCCCTGATTTAGGTCACTTTGGTTGATTATGCTGCTATTCATGTATTTGATATTCTTGAAGAATTTCTATTTGGTCTATTCTTTTGGTTCCTGAGAGAGAAATGATGAAGTCTCCAAGTGTAATTGTGGATTTCTCTATTTCTCCTTTCATTTTCTTCAGCTTTGCTTCATCTGTGTTGAAGCTCTATTCTTAGATGCATTCACATTTATCAATTGTTGCACCCTCTACATCTCTTGGTAATTTTTGTATTCTGACATCTAACTTCCTCAGATTTTAACACAATCAATCCACTTTTCTTTTGCTGGTGATCACGTGGTCTCATTTTACATTCTTTTAACATGTATGTATTATTTTATTACAGTTGACTTTCATATAGATAGCATTCAATTTGTATCTTGTTTGCTGTACAGTCTTAATCAGGTTTCTTAAAGTTGTGTTTATACCATTTAGTATAAATTTCCATATGTTTGGGTTTATGTCTGTGACTTTATTGTTTGCTGTTTGCTTCCGTTTTTCATTCTTCGGTTTTCCTTTTTCTGCCTTCTTTTGAATTATTGGAATATTTTTTATTACTTTAATTCATTTACTGGCATTTTAAAATTTCTTTGTTTTGTGTGTTGCTCTAGCAATTACAATATTCACATCTAAGTTTTCACAGTCTACTTAGAGTTAATATTTTATCACTTGAAGTTTCTATACATTAGTATAGAACCCTTACAATGATCTAGGTCAAGAAGATAGGGAAAATGGATATTTGATGACAGCTGGGTGTCTGCCACAAAGGACAACATTAAGTTGCCTTTTAGCCCACACTTCTCTTAATCTTTTCTGTACTGCTTGTTATGCATCCTTTAATTATTTGTTTTATTCTATATTAATTTCAGCCTATAGTGTGCAATTATATGGAAAATAACGTTATGTCCATGCCTCCTTTCTTGGGATATTTCCTAAATTCAGTATGAGATTGTTGATATAGATAAGAAAACTGACTTGCAAAGAGATTTCATTGCCCCAGGTAACACAGCTAAGTGGCAGAGCTGCAATTTGTACTCTGAGTCTGGTTTTGGGGTCTGCACATTTGACCACAATGCTACTGCCTGTATTTTACTTAAGATAATAGTTATGTTTATGACAAACCTCTAAGTATGTATGACTTCTAAATTTACACATTCTTTGAGTGTTCTAATTTCATTGTCATAAAAGCTTACTATTTTCTCATTTTTAAGACATATTTCATACTTCTTAAGATAGCTCTTAAATGTATTCCAGAAACTTTAAACATTTTTGATATTGTTGAACTAGTTTTGGAATCAAAACAATTTGTGATTCCCACATAATTGCAGTTAAATTTTTTCAGTGTAATTTTAAAAATACCTTATGGGAAAATACTACTGCAAGTTGTGTAACACTTTAATTATCTATTTTTTGTAATCATAACAGCGTACACTTAACATTTGGAAAAAAAATAAATATATTCAAAATATACTTTTTCATTTTTTTAAGGTAATATTTGGTATTTATAGGTCTTCAAGCCCAGGAGCCTACAACCGACAGACTGGGAACCATACTTTATACTATTAGTGAATAATAATAACAAAAATAAGATTTACATTTTTTCTTAGGATACCAGAGTTGAATAAATTCAAATTTAGAAACACATATACATGTATATGTATAAAATATATGTATATCAAAGAACTAGAATTTTTAATCAGACTCAAACCTTACCAGTGAAATGGGAATACTCTTTACATTATCCACCTAAAATGTTCCTATTAACCATGTGGTTTTAAGAGGTATTTAAATTTTGGAATTTTTAATAGCTATCTGTTTCTTCTGTAACTTTGATTATATTATAGCTTTTCTTGAATGAGGAGATAAAACAGATGTAAATATTAAGACAAAAGCTTGATGCCTATGAAACAAATTATTTCCAAGTACATAGAGTGAAAATACTTTAAAAGCCTTTGAATTTGGCAACTTTCTCTTTGCATTCCCTTTCCTGATTCTGTAGCAATCACTGTCTTGTTCTTAATGAACTGGTACTCAAAGGTCATTCAGAAACATTCATTAAAACCAGTAGGGAAATAATTCTACAGACTTCCTTTAACCAACCTGTAGTTTTGTTTTCTTTCTTAATAGCCTCAGGTCTCAGACACAACCATCTTTTATTTATTTTTTCTTTCTTTCTGGAATCAAATAACTTTTAAAGATTTGAGAAAATCAGCACCAATATTTGAAGATTAAAACTTGATCCATCTGTCAGTTAGAATTTTGATTTGGAAAAGCCACAGGTAACAGTGTAAATTCTAGTTTTACAAATGTAGTAATAAAGAATATACTTCAGTGGCAATTTAAACTTCATATTAGTGAATTAAGATACTCAGTAAGTTTCAGGGTATTAGATTGATAAAGCAATACCTGGATTAATGACTAGTCATTATGAGGTGTACTTTTATCTTTCATTTAAGTCAAAACTTATGTTGCATTACATGCTTTACAAAAATTGCCACATTATTACATTATGGTTTGGCCATAAATAGGAGCAATTTTGGGAACCATTTATTTTGTGAATGGTTACTGATTTTCTGAATCATTCAAGTTCTACATTCTATTAAATTTTATAAGCCTATTATTTAATATGAGCTTTTTCTGTTTTCAGACTGATACCCATTATTTTTCAGTCATAGCAGAGAAATAGGTTTCCAGGATAAAACAAATTGTTCAGGTATTCAAGCAGCCCTCAGGAGTAGGCAAATATCAACAGATAGGTCACTGAGAGATCAAGGGATTTACTCTTTTCTTTGGTATACCATAGTTCTTGAAGGCTAAAATTTTGGTAACTGTTTCAGGAAAATAAATACTGTACTATATTTCGTTTCTTTCCTTCAATCCTGATATGTAAAGTAAACAAACCTGTTTTCAGAATATCTAACCTTTAGTTGAGTAAATGACAGGTAGGAAATAAAGCTGTTGATACGGGAGAATGAGTAAGTGAAAAAATCCATCCTTTGTCAACCACTCTTATTTTTTAAATTGAATCTGCTTTCAGTTTCAGTAGTTGGGAGTGCTAGATGTACATAGCTTAATGGATTTGGTGCTTAAAATTCTGGTTTTCTTCTTTTACTTACATTCCAACATCACAATAGAAAATAATGCAAATAGCCTTCTAAATGATTGATATATGATGATATGTTAGGCTTATTTATTGAGTCAATGCTTCACACCTGTTCTGTGTCACAACACCTCCCTTAGAGGATAAGGTTTTTTTTTTTTTAAAAAAGCGATTCTTTCTTGTAATGCCACAGGCATTATAAATCTCTCAATTGAAAAATACTGAATTAAATTTGCTTCTTATTTAAAACTACTTAAGGGTAACCCTTTGTATACTTGTTTTTTAAAGTTGATTGCTTATTATCACATTGCTCTATGTGTATTCCCATTTTTTAAACTTTGACAAGATACTAATTTTTATATTCATGGTAATAATAATCTTAACATTATATAACATTTTCACAATATGGAGTTTACTGAAAACAAATCTAAAATTTTACATTTAAGTTCACTAAAGTAACACTTGTAGGATGAGAAAGATTTTACTTGTTTGGTGGTACATGGAAATTTGACCCCACATGGAACAAAAGTTAACATTGTCATGAAACTACTAAAAAAAATGCTCGTGTCATTTTAGCCTACATTAATTATAGCATCTAGATTGCATAACTAATAACTTCATAGTATTCTGTCCTGGTGAGATGACATCTAGAATATAACACACAATTTTGAGATTTCATGATTTGCAACTAATTTTGGACATAACAGGCAAGGTCCACAGCATATTTTTACCATGGATAATAGAATGTAAAATAGTTACTGTTTTCATGTGTTTAAAAGTCTGTTCTCTAGAAAAGACATGATTTTAAAAGAAAGTTTCTAGCAAAACAAAAAGAATAACTTTGTGGTGAATTGGAATTTTTCACTAGGGGACTTGCTTGTTCTGGTAGGCATTGATCTCCCAGTTGTTCTGGGTGCTTTTAAAAATTATATTACATTTCTGCTGCATTGACTAGGAAGTTAAAATTAGCCAGGCATGGTGGCGTGGGCCTGTAGTCCCAGCTACTCAGGAGACTGAGGCAGAAGAATCGCTTGAACCCAGAGGCGGAGGTTGCAGTGAGCCAAAATTGCCCCACTGCACTCTCCAGTCTGGGTGACAGAGCGAGACTCGGTCTCAAAAACAAAACAAAACAAACAAACAAAAAAACAGTGTTACTCTATAGTGTACTGTGTTGCCAGATTTGTTTTGCCCACCTGTAGGCTAATGTAAGTATTCTGAGCATGTTTAAGTTAGGCTGGGCTAAGCTATGATGTTCAGTAGGGTAGGTATGTTAAATATTTTTTTGATTTAATATTTTGAGCTTGATGGGTTTATCAGAATGGAACTCCGTTGTAAGTAGAGGCTCGATCTGCATCTTTGGAGAAACGTCTATGCAAGTTTTTTGCCCACTTTTGAGCTGGGTTGTTTGTTTTTTGTTTGTTGTTGTTGGGTTTTAGGTATTCCCTATATATTCTGGATATTAATCCCTTATCAGATAGATGATTTGCAAACATTTTCTTTCATTCTGTGGGTTGCCTTTTTACTCACTTGCCACTTTTTTGTAGCAAACGTGACCCCTCCTAAAAGGGGGGATATATGTATTTTAAGACCATTCCTTGGCAGTATTGTCCTTAGAGCTTTAGGTTGACTATTTGAATTCGTATGGTCTTTGACTCATCTCATCATCTAAAACTCCTTGATGTTTTCCTCCTTTCTTTAATGTTATATAGACACAACTGGGACAGCTGACAGTGAATATAGGTTATATTTTTGCGAAGAATTTAGCAAGAGAGGTTGGCTGTTTGGCATTAAATATCTGTATCACTGTGAAGTTTTTAATTGTTTTTGGATACTAATTATCACTGAACATGACCTAGAACAATACCTTATTACATAGAGTTACTCATTTGTCAAATGTAGGAATGAATGTATGTATGCATGCATGTAAGTACACATGCATATAGCCTTGGTAGTTACTACAGTGCTATCATAGATGTAAAGTCTTTCACAGGCCTGGGTAGACAGCAGTCATGTTTTATTCATGGCCTAGTCTAGCATGGTTCCTGGTACTCTTAAGTTTTGGTGAATGTTCGTCATATAAATAAATATATTTAATTTAGAAAGCATCAGAAAAACTAACATTTGGATAAAGCAGATATAATTTTGTATTATATATGTGAGTAATTTTCTTTCATCTTTAAATTGTCATATTTCCAAGGAATCTATTCATTGTTGATTTCATGTCCCTCTTAAACAACTTGAGATACGTTAACTTTGGTAATCTGTCATAGACTTCACTTCATTCTGTGGCCTTTAATTTAAGAGAATGGTAGTTCTTTAGATGCTCTCTCAGGGTTAATCTCCCAACAGCTGGAAAACCAAGAATGGCTGTGAAAAGTACTTCTTTACCTAATACAGGATTGCATAACTACTTGCTTTTCCCTTAAAAATAATCTGCAGTATACATGGATCTTAAAATAGGAATGATAACTCTTTTGTAGAAATATTAGGGGATCAGAAGAGATAATTTATACGAATCATTTGGCTTACAATTTGTTGTAAAGTGAGGCCTTGAGACGCAATAGCTATTACAGGGTGAGCATTCTAAGTTGGAAAATTCAAGACCTGAAATGCTCCAAAATTTGAAACTTTTGAGTTCTAACATAATGCTTGAAGGAAATGCTCATTGGAGCATTTAGGATTTTGGATTTTAAGGTTTGGGATGCTCAACCCTAAACCAGTAAGTATGTATAATGCAAATATTACAAAATCCAAAAAAAATCTGAAATCTGAAACACTCTGGTCCCAAGCAATTCAGATAAGGGGTATTCACCCTGTATTATTAGTTTTTCCAGAAAAAAAAAAGAAAGATTATCAAAGATACACACCCGACTTTAGCACTAAAATTTTTAAGTTGTTGTACCTTCAATTGCTTTATTTTTCCCTTTCAATTCTAATGTTAAAAAATGTAATCCTGTTTTACAAAATATTTCAGCAAGTTTTCAGCAGTCGTCGCTATTACATTAACTATAAATAATCTTTTGGGAGACCTATCAACATCTACTTTCTCTTTCACAATTTGATAATTAACGTATATCACATCTGTGCCTTTCTTTCTAGGGATTTCCAAGATCTGATGGAATTTGCAATGGTTGATGTATATATGGCTCTTATCCATTGTCAGTAACCCACCTTCTTATGAGCTTTTCCAATTTTCGGGCAAATAACTAAGTACAGTATTTGTGCTGATATAGGTACAAGAGTTTAAAGAAGGCATGACTTAAGTGTTACTAAGAGGAAATAAGGAGAAATTATGTTAATAAATTGGCATTATATACTAATAAAGTTAGTCTCCAATCTGTGGAAACATGAAGAATAGAATGTAATGCTTTGCATTTCTCGGTGGATGAATGATTTTAAAATTTCATACATGGGGGAGAAAATAAAAATACTCCTGAACCCAAAGCTTGACTTCATTCAGGGATATGCATAAACTTCTCTCTCTTTTTTTTTTTTTTTTCCTTTAACCTGAAAGGACATTTAGAAAGCTAAATCTATTTTTCCTTCTTTTCAGTCAGAAAGTCAGGCCTCACCAGCAACAGACTACTGGTGTTTTGTAAGGGCTATATAATGTTTTCATCGTAATGCTATATAATGTTTTCATCTTTGTATTCGTTAGCCCAGACTTTTTGTTTAGTACTAGGAAGTATTTCCACAGATGTTGAGTGAGTGGATAAATGAATTAACTTGTGTGGTATACCTGGGGAAAAGGCAGTAAATGGGTAGAAAAACTCAAGAATAATCTACACCTATGGGGTTGACAACTTTTCCAGTTGCTCTAGGAATTACTGTAATCATTTTCTTTCTGTTATACTGCCTTATAGATCTGATGGAAATTTTGAAAAGAGCGTGTTCTCATTGTTTAGCTCTATATATCTGTTGGCTTCATTTGCTTTTAATATTTTTTTCTAATAGATACCTTTCTGGCTTGCACAGCAAAGTTCAATTAATGTAAGGATAAAATGTAAATTATCTAATTCAGCTTATTTACATGCTGTAAGTAATATAGTAATGCTAACTGGGCTTTCCTTGGCTTTTGTTTCATTGTGATCTGAGCTCAGATTATAGTTTGATCTGCTATGCACTGACCTGGGTGCCAGATGCAAGGGAAGCCAGTAAATAATACTATAAAGAGAGATGCTAGCTTTAGTTTTGAAAGGACGATGACTTGTAAGTGAGACTGTTGTAAACCACACAGTAATTAAAAAGCTCCATAATTAAAAGGGATATTTCCTTTCTTTAACCTGTCTTAAATGTTAGATATGATTAAAAGCAAAAGCATTTCTCTCAATAAAGTTGGGGGAAAAGTACTTGTTTTTATAGTCAGTTTTTGAAACATAGGAAAAGTGACCTCAAAGAACCTGTGTTGTAAAATTTTCAGAGTCATAGGAACTTGAACTTTGTTTCTTGATTACTTGATGAAATTGGTCATACTAGTTTATGAATAGTTCTGAATGGCCTTGTAGTCTTCTGTTGGTTTTGGTTTCATCTTTCAGTAGATGGACCTGTGGAAAAGTGGAACTGGCTTTGAAAATGTACTGGAAGCAATTATTTTCCTAAGACAATAATTTTTTTTCTCTTTTCCATTTTCTTTAGAACATACAGGCTAGAAGATCCACTCAGCATTTAATGCATATGACTTTACATTGCTGTTTATCTTTTTGTTTATCCCGAAATTGGAAGCTTCTAAAAGGCAGAGATTCACTCTCTTCCTGTGGTGGTTCTAGAGGCTGTGCCTTGCATAGAGTTAATTTTTAAAAAATAATTAATAATTATTTTTCTTACCATTTCTATTACTCATTTTTCAATTTGGAGAATAATTTTACCTGGCCACACTGATGGAACTTGCATACATGGGCCAGCTCTTTTACTCAGTTGCCCAATTTTTGAATGAAACTGAAAACTGTGGACAGATACATCAGGGAAGAGGAACATACAGAGTAAAAGACATAAAAGCCTTAAAGTTGGCTTCAGTTTCTTCATTTCATCTTGTAAATTACACAGGAGTCCTTCAGATAAAACTCACTGGTTATATGACAAATTAAGCAATTAGATTACTGCACACCTAATAATAGTAGCAAATAATGCACTTTCAATCTGCTAATATGTTAAGCACTTTTCATTATCTCTTCCTTTTACATGAGGGGAATCTGAAGTTTAGGGAATTTAAAACTTCCACAAAGTTAGTAGTCAGTAGTTTATATACTAGTATTAAATCTGTTTAAATCCAAAGCCGGTGACATTAACAGTTTCCAAACGATAATAACAAAAGTGAAAAATGTTAGTATCATTCCTTGAGAATTCACTACATAAAATTCTCTTCCAAATATTTACTCATTTTATAGATTAGGAAACTGATCCCCAATGAGGTATATCCTTTTGGTATATTGGTTAAAGAATAATATGTCTACTTGAGAGTGGCATCCTAATTACTGAAAACTGGACTACGAACTTTTAAAGTTTAATTAACAGTAATTTAATGTATTTTTATGTTATTTCTTAATCTTTGGATTATTTTTTCTTTTTGGAGGTTGTGTATACTCTGAATACTTATAGCAGTACTTCAGAACAATTTAGAACATATTTGTACTTCTAATGCAAATTTAATGTCTAGAATCCTGTTAACACATGTGATAAATGCCAACAGAAAGAGATTGATTTGCTGTCATGAATTAGACTGACAGATTTCTCAACAACACTAGATGCAAGAGGCCACTAAATAGGAAACTAACTTTGAACCTAAGATTTTATCCAACTAACTTATTTAAATATGAGGGAGAAGTAAGGATATTTGCTCATATACAAGATCTCAGAAAACTTACTGTACCAACACTATTTCTGAAAAGCACCAGGCAAGAAAAGTATGTCCAGAAGGAACTAGTGAGATATAGTTAGTAAAAGGAAATAAAGAACCCAAGAAAGGGTATAGTTTTATAGCCACACAATGGGGAGAAAAACGGAAAAGAAGGGGAAGAAAAGAAATAAGAGCCAAGTAATTTGTTGGCTTAGAATTAAAACTCCAGGTAATATTAGTCTTTCAGCAGTTATGGGGACAAGATGGGTAAGGAAGTCAGTTAGAGATCAGAGTAGGTGAAAATTTTGAGGTTCTTGTATTCATCAGGGAAAGTATTTATGAACTTTAGACACTAACAGTGAAAAATATGCATAGTTATGAAACTCAAAATTAAGCTCTCTGTTTAATAATAGACATCAGAGATAACATGAACAGATACTGATAAATTGAGAAAAGAGCTTCAGTACCAAACGAAACAAAGAACACAGATTTCCAGGTGCTTTTTTATCTGAACATGTTGCAGCACCATTGGAACCATTGTGTCACTTTAACCAAGCCTCCAATATTTTTATTCTTTCAGATCACAAGGGGTGGATGCCAAACCTCTCATTTTTTTCCCTCATGATTACACTACAAGGCAAAGCGCACAGGGTTTGAGTTCGTTGCAGTTGCTAGGGACATACACCTAGGGACTGACTACTAGGGCAACCTATGCTGTCATGTCACATTGTTCATAAGTCTTCCGTGAGCAAAGATCTGTCCCAACAAATGCCCCATACTCCTTTCACTTCCAAGTTATTTTCTATCCTAAACAATTTTTCCTTCCTTTATACTGGAAACTCCAAGATCTATAACATTTTATGATAAACTTGATCTTATTTTATATTATATATTTGTGTTCCCATTTCACTCTTCTGTTATCTTACTCTAACACTTAAATGCTGTATGATCAAAGTTAACTAATTTCTTAAATTTAATGAATCTCTTTAAACCAGGAGATGTCATGTCTTGGTTGTGCATGGTATACATAGGAATGATAGTTTAAGGAAACCCATTTCTAGATCTTTAGTGCCTAAAACTGATCTGCTTGAGAATTCACTTGTGATGGGGGTGGAAGTTTCTCTTCTCCAAACTCCTCTTTACCTCTGAAGCATCAAACAAGTGGGCAGTGGGAAATACAGGTATTACGTTTGAGAGAATAGATGGCACTAAAGCCATCTATTATTAAACTGGTACTCAGTACCAGTTTACTGAGTGTGGTCTGAAGATCATAATAATTACCATTTGCCTTTTTCATTCTTATTTTCTCAGTAGTTACAATTAAAAAAGATTTTCAGTTGTTATCTGTCATCATTCCTGATATATAATATAGACAGATTTCAAATACTTGAGGAATATGATTAGAACAGAATTACTTCTCGCTTATTTGTATGAACAAGGTTTCTCTGTACTTTATTCCACAAATTTTTTTTAGAAATTGAAATAGAATCTAAAAAATTGAATTGTAGCAATAAGTAATAGTTTACAATGTCTATAAAAATTCACTGGGGAGGGAGACTAATAAGAGGATTCCAGCTGTCTCATTAAGAAACGAACTTTCTATAACCTTAATGTTTAATTATATTTTCCAAAAATCATTAATACATTTATGTAATTGTACATGAATCATTGTAATGCTCATTCAATCCAGAAGAAACGTAATACTTAGAACCTTATGTTCATATGAGTGAACACTTTTTAAAATTTCAAAATATGTGCATATTTTTCTAAGAATTATTACAAGATGATCAGAGAAAGAAGGAAATTCTATTGGGATAGTAGAGTAGAAGTACAAATTCAAGGAGAAAAAAAGAGCAGTGTAAAATTTCTCAAAGATATCTTTTAAATAGATGGTAGTGTTAAATCACTGTATATTTAAATCTGTTGAATATGTTGAAAGAGTTGATGTAAAGGTCTTATTTTAAAATCTCAATATTTACAAAACTCTGGAAATTACATCCTTTACCACTATTTAAACATGGGTACATGTGAGAAGGCAAAAATCTCAATTTTCTTTTTTAAGTATACATACAGTTCCTTTTTAGCACTAAGAGCTACGTGTGCATAATGATTGAGACCAGAACTCCACATTTTGTTGAAAAGTGGGGAGTGAGGGGGAGAGAGAGAAATGCTTTTAAAATTAAACAATGAAACTTTTCCGGGGAGTAGTGAAGAGTGGGTGGTTATAAAATGACTTGGAAGCAGATCAGCTGGAAAGGTGAAAGAATCAGAAAGCAAATATAGCAGTGGATAATGGAGTTGATCTGTAGCTAGCCTATAGCAACTGCCTTTACTATATTTTAATATGTGCCATTAAGTGTGTCTCTTGATTGCTTCTGCTTTCTGCCAGTATGGCTTACTGTTGTAACTAGAGTTAGTTAGCTGGCCCACTGATACCACCACCAGAGCCTTTTCTAATCTATTATAGATTTCTAACGTGGGATAGGAGGCCAACAATGTTTCTTTGATTACAAATAGGAGGTACATACCTTGCCAAAAATTTGCAACATGATAGAATTGAAGTCAGTACAGAACACACACACACTCTATTTTTTTTTTTTTTTTTGAGACAGAGTCTCGCTCTGTCGACCAGGCTGGAGTGCAGTGGCACGATCTTGGCTCACTGCAACCTCTGTCTCCCGGGCTCAAGCAATTCTCTTGCCTCAGCCTCCCGAGTAGCTGGGATTACAGGCAGGTGCCACCATGCCCGGCTAATTTTTGTATTTTTAGTAGAGACAAGGTTTCACCATGTTGGCCAGGCTGGTCTCGAATTCCTGACCTCAGGTAATCCGCCTGCCTCGGCCTCCCAAAGTGCTGGGATTATAGGCGTGAGCCACGGCGCCTGGCACACACACACTGTTTTTATACCACTGTTACTTTACAGTTTGCCCAAGTTATGACAGAGATGGCACTTATACTTAGTAAATAAATTTGATAAGTTACAGGCTTACAAATGGAGAAATCAAGAATCAGGTGACTAAAGTGAGATGGAGATAAAACTAGATAAGATGAGTCTTTGCTGCAACACTTGACAAAATCCTGGGAGAAAGGATAAAACCATCTAATTCATAAAATTTATAATAGGCCAATGGACTGGAAAGAAAAAGAAATACAGGAAAGATACTGTGGAAGAGAAATTACAGAAAAAGGTGAGGAAAAAGTTAATGTCTGGGGATGGGAATAAAATGAGAAATGGGGTTTAGCTGTCTATAATAAAACAAATAGAAAATGAAGACCGAAGCTTTTTCTCTGCTTCGATTTGTACTTTTCAATTTCATAATATGTTTGTCTAAATCAGTGATTATCAAAAGGGCTCTAAGGTGTGCATCTGAGAATTATGCATGTACATCAGAATATGCAAATGTTCTCTTTTCTTCATAAGATTCTGGTACAACTTAATGATCTTAAAAAATGCTTACCCAATCCCACCTCACATAGGCACACACAAAAACCACTGGATATTTAGATGGAACTGTGCTGTTCATTTCAATGGTGTTGAAGCCTAACTAATGTGATTTTCATCATGTAGCAAACATTTAAAACTTTTGAATTTCCTAAGCATTATTTTAGGAAATAGCTTTTTTTTTTTTTTTTTTTTTTTTTTGGTCAGAGTCTCACTCTGTCGCCCAGTTTGGAGTGCAATGACATGATCTCTGCTCACTGCAACCTCCGTCTCCTAGGATCAAGCAATTCTTCTGCCTCAGCCTCCCAAGTTAGCTGGGACTACAGGCACACGCCTGTAGTTCAACATATGCAAATCAATAAACATAATACATCACATAAACAGAACCAATGACAAAAACCACATGATTATCTCAGTAGATACAGAAAAGGCCTCCGATAAAGCTCAACACCCCTTTATGCTAAAAATACTCAATAAACTAGGTATTGATGGAACATATCTCAAAATAATAAGAGCTATTCATGACAAACCCACAGCCAGTATCATACTGAATAGGCAAAAGCTGGAAGCATTCCCTTTGAAAACTGGCACAAGACAAGGATGCCCTCTCTCACCACTCCTGTTCAACATAGTATTGGAAGTTCTGGCCAGGGCAATCAGGCAAGAGAAAGAAATAAAGCGTATTTAAATAGGAAGAGAGGAAGTCAAATTGTCTCTGTTTGCAGATGACATGATTGTATATTTAGAAAACCCCATCATCTCAGCCCAAAAACTCCTTAAGCTGATAAGCAACTTCAGCAAAGTCCCAGGATACAAAATCAATGTGCAAAGATCACAAGCATTCCTATACACCAATAATAAACAGAGAGCCAAATCATCAGTGAACTCCCATTCACAATTGCTAAAAAGAGAATACCTAGGAATCCAACTTACAAGGGATGTGAAGGACCTCTTTAAGGAGAACTACAAACCACTGCTCAAGGAAATAAGATAGGACACAAACAAATGAAAAAATATCCCATGTGCTCATGGATATGAAGAATCAATATCATGAAAGTGGCCATACTGCCCAAAGTAATTTGTAGATTCAATGCTATTCCCATCAAGCTACCATTGACTTCCTTCACAGAATTAGAAGAAACTACTTTAAGTTTCATATGGAACCAAAAAATAGCCCATATAGCCAAGACAATCCTAAGCAAAAAGAACAAAGCTGGAGACGTCACACTACCTGACTTCAAACTATACTGCAAGGCTACAGTAACCAAAGCAGCATGGTACTGGTACCAAAACAGATATATAGACCAATGAAACAGAACAGAGGCCTCAGAAATAACACCACACATCTACAATCACCTGATCTTTGACAAACCTGACAAAAACAAGCAATGGGGAAAGGATTCCCTGTTTAGTAAATGGTGTTGGAAAAACTGGCTAGCTATATGCAGAAAAAATGAAACTGGACTCCTTCCTTACACCTTATACAAAAATTAACTCAAGATGGATTAAAGACTTAAACATAAGACCTAAAACCATAAAGACCCTAGAAGAAAACCTAGGCATTACCGTTCAGGAAGTAGGCATGGGCAAAGACTTCATGACTAAAACACCAAAAGCAAAGGCACCAAAAGCCAAAATTGACAAATGGGATCTAATTAAACTAAAGAGCTTCTGCACAGCAAAAGAACTATCATCAGAGTGAACAGGCAACCTACAGAGTGGGAGAAAATTTTTACAGTCTATGCATCTTACAAAGGCCTAATATCCAGAATCTACAAAGAACTTAAACAAATTTACAAGAAAAAAACAAACATTCCCATCAAAAAGTGGGTGAAAAAGTGGGCGAAGGATATCAACAGACACTCCTCAAAGAAAGACGTTTATGCAACCAACAAACATAAGAAAAAAAGGTCATCACTGGTCATTAGAGAAATGCAAATCAAAACCACAATGAGATACCATCTCTCACCAGTTAGAATGGTGATCATTAAAAAGTCCAGAAACAACAGATGCTGGAGAGGATGTGGAGAAATAGGAATGCTTTTACACTGTTGGTGGGAGTATAAATTAGTTCAACCATTGTGGAAGACAGTGTGGCGATTCCTCAAGGATCTAGAAACAGAAAGACCATTTGACCTAGCAATTCCATTACTGGGTATATACCCAAATGATTATGAATCATTCTATAAAGACACATGCACACGTATGTTTATTGCAGCACTATTCACAATAGTAAAAACTTGGAACCAACCCATATGCCCATCAATGATAGACTGAAATAAAGAAAATGTGGCACATATACACCATGAAATACTATGCAGCCATAAAAAAGAATGAGTTCATGTCCTTTGTAGGGACATGGTTGAAACTGGAAACCATCATTCCCAGCAAACTAACACAGGAACAGAAAACCAAACACCTCACATTCTCATTCATAAGTGGGAGTTGAACAATGAGAACACATGGACACAGGGAGGGGAACATAACACACTGGGGCCTGTTGGGGGATGGGGGTGGGAAAGGGGAGGGATAACATTAGGAGAAATACCTCATGTAAATGATGGGCTGATGGGTGCAGCAAACCCACCATGGCACATGTATACCTATGTAACAAACCTGCACACCTATGTAACAAACCTGCACATTCTGCACACGTATCCCAGAACTTAAAGTATAATAATAAGAAAAGATAATTAGAAGACAAGCTACAGGCTGGGGGAGAATATTTGCAAAAGACACATCTGATAAAGGACTGTTATCCAAAATACACAAAGAGCTTTTGAAATTCAACAATAAGAAATCTAACAACTGGATTTAAAAATGGGTGAAAGACCTTAACAGACACCTCACCAAAGAAGATATCCACATATCAAATAAGCATATGAAAAGATAATCTACATTATACATCAAAAGAGAAATGCAAATTAAAACGAGACATCACTACACACTTGTTAGAATGGTCAAATTCCAGAACACTGACAACACCAAATTCTGGCAAGGATGTGGAGCATCAAGAACTTTCATTCACTGCTGGTGGGACTATAAAATGGTACAGCCACTTTGGAAGACAGTTGGATAGTTTAAAAAACTAAACACTCTTACCACATGATCCAACAGTTGCGCTCCTTGGTACTTACCAAAAGGAGTTGAAAACATGTCCACACAAAAACCTGCATACAATGTTTATAGGAGCTTTATTCATAATTGCCAAAAGTTGGAAGCAAGGGATAGCTGACATCTGATGGATAAAATAATAAATAGAAGAGAAACTTGGGAGACTGAGATTTCTTTAACAGCGGTTATAATAGCTAACATTTATTGAATACTTAAGTGGCATGCAGTGTCTTGAATGCTTATGTTAAATTATATATCTTCCCAATAACAACCACATGTATCTGATTATCAAAGAATTTTCCTCTTGATTACTTTTGTCATTCAGATATTTATTAATTCTTCCATTATCTCAGTGGGCAATTGAGTCATGTCCTAGCTTCCTCTTTTAGGTGGAAACTTGACAGGCCTAGAATGTCCACAGTGGCTCACCTATGTGTCTGGCTTATCTGGGACTTTCTCCTGTAGCACCTTCGAACTCTTCCACATGGCCTTTCTACAGCATGGGCTTCTCACAGCATGGCAGCCGAGTTCCAAGGCAGAACATTTCAAGCCTTGGAAAGGAAAAGCTGCAGATCTCTGAAGGCTCACTCTGAATTTATACTATGTCACTTTGCCAATTCTCTTGTCCTTTGTTTTGATAGAGCATCTCACAGGGCTAGCCCAAATTTCATGTAGATTCAACCTCTTGATGGGTAGAGAAGAAAACTTTTTGTACCCATTTTTTTTCTTCGACATTTATTTTAAGTTCCAGGGGACATGTGCAGGATGTGCAGATTTGTTACATAGGTAAACGTGTTTGCACCCGTCTTTAACCCACTACAGATATTATGATAGTTTCCTGTGTTGTTATTATTACTGTAAAATTATATTTATAAGGGTTAACTGCCTTTTTTACTTGTAATAACATGAACATAAAAAATACCAATGCAACATGTAAAGGTAGCTCCAAAAATTAGTAAGCACAAAGAAAATCAAGCAAAATAAGCACAATAAAACCACAGTAGGGCATATCCTAATGAAACTGTTGAAAACCAGTGATAAAAAGAAAACTTTAAAAGCAGTCAAATGGAAAAAGAAAAAACAAACCCACACATTAAATACAAAGGAAAAAAAGTAATAATTGTCATTAACTTCTTGGCAGAAACAGTGCAAACCAGGAGGCAGTGGAATGCTGTCTTTAAAGTTCTTAAAGAAAAAACTGTTAATCTAGAATTCCCTTTCAAGCAAAAATATCCCTTAACATATGAAAGTGTAGTAAAGACATTTGTCTTTCAAAGACTTTTGAAAGACAAAATTATCGGACAAATTAAACTTGTGAGAATTTCTTGTTAGCCAACTTGAACAACACCATGAGAAATGATACCAAGTTCTTGAGGCTGGAGGAAAATGAAGCAGATGGGAACCTGAATCCATTCACTAGATGGAAGCTTGAAAGAAATGGAGGAGAGGGTTAGACAATGTGAAGATTTGAATAAAAATAAGGGAGCTTTTTTTTTTCTCATTTTCCAGTTTATTTAAAGATACTTTACTGTTTAATGTTAAAACCGATATTATAGAGTTCTGTAATATTCATCAAAGTATATACATGACAATATTGCCACAGATGACAAGAGAAAGGAAAATGGAAACATATCCTTATAAGCTCTTAAAGTGATAAAATAATATTTGTAGACAGGTCAACAGTTTAAAGTAGCAGAGTACAGCATCTAGCTCCCAAGACAATTGACTGCACATCTAAGGTGATACTGCCCTATACAGGCTACCAAAAGTGTATGATAAGTGTCCATAGTGAGATTTTAAGAGTAAAAACTGTCTGAATTTAAGGATTAAAAACTAAAAAAATAGAAACAGTTGAATTTTTGAAACAGTGAATATTCAACCAATCCTAGCTTTGTCAGTTAGTAGCTGTGTAACCACAGCACTTAAATTTCTTTGGACCTTAATTTCCAAAAGGAGATCATTGATATCAACTCTATAAGGAAGGTTATGGGATGGATTAGAGAAAAAAATATATTAAGAGAAAAGCATAGTGCCTAGTGCTTGACATATATATAAGAAATTTAACAAATGTAACACGTATTGTTAAAGAAATTTAAAAGGTCAAAGTTAGTTACTTTGGAGACCTCAGTAAAGGTGAGGAAGCAATACAACAGATGATTTTGACAAACATTAGAAAATCTGAATCTCTTGCCAACATTTTTTTCTGTCCACTTCTGCCCCTGCCTGCTTCCCTCTTTCCCTCTTTTCTTCCCTCCCTCTCTGCCCCTCCTCCTTATTGTTCTCTTGATCTGTGAACATTCTCTTGAATGTTTCTTTCCTGTTGAGTATCTATCCCTATTTCTGTTTATTTGTTTGTTTATTTATTTAGACACAGAGTCTCACTCTCGCCCAGGCTGGAGTACAGTGGCATGATCATGGCTCACTGCAGCCTCGAACTCCTGGGTTCAAGCAGTTCTCTCACTTCAGCCTCCCGAGTAGCGTGGACTACAGGTGCACACCACCAGACCTGGCTAAGTTTTATATTTTTATAGAGACAAAGTTTTGCCATGTTGTCCAGGCTGGTCTTGAATGCCTGAGCTCAAGCCTTCCTCCCACCTTGACCAGTGCTAGGGTTACAAGCATAAGCCACTGCACCCAGTCTTATCCCTATTATGTAATTTTTTTTCTCCTTTCTTCTCATTGTCTTTTTTTCCCTGTCTTCTTTTCCTCCACATTCCTTCTTGCTAGTCAAAATAGTGAACAGAGTTACATTTTTTAGTATATGCAATTGGCCTTGTGTATCTTTTGCTTTTGCATCTACAGTTTCAACCAACTATGAATTGAAAATATTTGGGGTCGGGGAACAAAAATTAACAATACAGCATTTTCAAAATTTAAATTGTTAAAAAAATAACTATCTGTAGCATTTACATTGTATTAGGTATTATAAGTAATCTAGAAATGATTTAAAGTATACAAGAGGATGTGCGTAGGTCATAATCAAGTAGATACCATTTTATATAAGAGACTTGAACATCCTCAGATTTTGGTATCTGCAGGAGGTCCTGGAACCAATCCCTCATGAATACCAGAGAATAGTATTTTATTTTTTGAGCAACTAAAATGTTGTTTTTCTGTTAGTTTTAAAGCATAGTTTGATTTTGTTTTAAACAAAAGTTCATCTTGGTACCTGTATTAGTCCGTTCTTGCACTGCTCTAAAGAAATGCCTAAAATTGGGTAATTTATAAGAAAAGAGATTGAATTGGCTCATGGTTCTGCAGGCTGTACAGGAAGCATGGCAGCTTCTACCTCTGAGGAGGCCTCAGGGAGCTTTTACTTACGGTAGAAGGCAGAGTGGGAACAGATATTATAAATGTTAAACTCGTGTATGTAATTTAAAGGGACTAACACCCAGGATATGGCTAGACCTTAAGTTAGGACTCTCAGCTACATGGCTGTGTTTAGTTTGCAAGTTTATCTCTTCATCATAGTTCCTTCAAGTATGCTTGTCATTTCTGTTTTGAACAGAAAAAAAAAATGGAGCAAAATCTTGAAGTTGTAATATAGAAGTTTGAACCAGGGGTAGAATACTGAAACAAACATGTTAAAAGATGGGGTCTAGGCTTCACATTACGTACGTAACCCTTCAAGGGCCTATTCTCTATGCTGTAGCTTTTCAATTAATGTCAATAATAGAATTCTTAGTACAAAATTCCTAGATACCTAGTCACCATTTTTAAACATTAGCTTGTCAGGAAAATGTGCCAAAAAGTTCCAAAACATGAAATTACAAATAAAAACTTAGAAAATAATCCCTTTAGCAATTGGGAACTGCCTCAGTACCTACTCAGATTGGAAACCCTCAACTTGGTCATGTTTTTTATCACCAAGACAGCTGGTATTGTTTACAACATATGTCTGAGTATTATTTTTAAGTTTCTAATTGCCAGTATCTCCAGTTTTTAAAAGGACACAAACCAACCTCTTTGTAAAACTTCTGCCCTCCAAAGGCTTTATGTTCTCTAAGATAGTTAAGAAGATTAAAAAAAAAAAAAAAAAGAAAAAAAAAGAAACTCCTGTTCTTAATGATCCCATGCTGATAGTTTTTTTTTGGATAAAGTGTAGGCTGCTGTTCATAGAGATGCCAAGTACATATGAAAGGAGGGACTCATATGGAAGGTGAACTTATTACCAGAAATCCTAACCTGCAGGTAGGGTTTCTTTCTTCCTCAAAATAAAAATTAACCCATGGGGTGAGACGCAAATTTGGCAACAACACTGAATGATCTCTCTACAAGCTTTTTTTTTTCTTTTTTGAGACAGAGTCTTGCTCTGTTGCTCAGGCTGGAGTGCAGTGGTGCAATCTTGGCTCACTGCAACCTCCACCTCCCAGGTTCAAGCAATTCTCCTGTCTCAGCCTCCCGAGTAGCTGGGATTACAGGTGCCTGCCACCACGCCCAGCTAATTTTTGTATTTTTTTTTTTTAAGTAGAGACAGGGTTTCACCATGTTGGCCAAGCTGGTCTTGAACTCTCAACCTCAAGTGATCCACCCACCTTGGCCTCCCGAAGTGCTGGGATTACTGGTGTGAGCCACCGCACCCAGCCTCTACAAGCTTTTATTCATCATAACCATACACATTTATTGTTGCATACCATAAGAAGCATAAAGCTTTAAAAGCCTTTTCTGGACTAGGCCACCTCTACCCCCTACTTTGTATGGTTTACATTGGTTTCTATGTGAATCATTTGATTATTGCATTCATGTTTTATCTCCCAAATACTGCTAGCTCCCTTAGGATGAGGTTATTGTTTTATATAAAAGATCCCTTTCAAAAAAGTAGTCTCAAAAAAAAATTGTAACTCTTGATTTACATAGCAAAGTATTAATTAACAGCATCTTCCAAGATCAGACGAGATTGAGCGTGTTCGGGGTGGTATGGCAGTAGACAAGTAACAGCATCTTAATTAGTTCACGTAAAACAAATCTCTAGCCACATTCACTCCAACTTTCAATATCACAAAATGTGTGGTATTTCCTAAAAACATAGCTTTCTATGTCATCATCAAGTGAAAGTAAATACCTCCCCCCTCTATAAAAGAACAAAACCTATTCAACTTAAATAATGAAATATGTTATTGTTAAAAGAATCCTAGAGTCACAGAAACTGGATACTGAAAAGGAAGTTTGAACTAAGTCGATAGCATTGGGAGTGGGTGTAAAGAGTGGCTAGGAATGACATCTTCCTTGTTCCCCATACGCACATATACCACTCTATTTTGCCAGATACACCAGGCAGCTTTTTCAAATACACACACACACACCCACCTTTACACCTTAACCTCTCACTGTGGCATTACTAGGGTAGTGAGCCTCTGTGAATGATGAAAGTGAGTAGTGTCTTTGGTGTGTTGAGCCAAAAAATAGATTGAAATCACTGACAATACCAATCCTCATTTGACACATATGACCATTACAGCTTTGAGAAGATAAAATGACTTGTTCCAAATTACTTTTGGCAGAGAAAATAACCTGAATCTCAGGTCAAGTTGTGCTCTATTTCTTTTGTACATTTAAAAGTGTGGGGATCCTCTTGGAATTAGCCTGTGAAATGTATTTGCATTGAAAGGTCAATCTCAGGAATTTCAGAGCAAAGGTTTTTTTTGTATGTATGGGTGAAAGGACACTTACAGTTTTAGTATCAATGCAATTTGATATAAACTCATTAGAAAGTCTAAGTTTACTAAGCTATGTATTAATTTAAATAGGTATAACAATAGTAGAGATGAATAAAACATCACTTCAGTATTTCATCTCTCTTCATCTTGACAAGTGAAGTTCAGGTGTGGTAATATCTATTATGTAGGGGCTCCCCAAAGAACTTCGGGTCAAGAAATACAGAGTACATAGGCAGTATATAAACATACTTATTATTGCATCTAGTCTATGGAAAAAAAATACAGAAAGAACATTTGAGCACAATAAATCTCCCCTAAAGAGAGTTATTACTTGCTGCAACCTGTCTGCAGCAGTCAGAGGAAGGAAGTCAGCAAGAAAGGGAAAGAATGCCAGGTTGCAAATACCAAACGGTCCCATCATTTGCAATTCAAGACTAAGAGCAGATTCCTAAAACTCAAAGTTCAAATTCAGCTGCTAAAATTACAATGGTCTCCTAGATTTTAGAATCAATTTTTCTACCAGTAAAGGTGATCTTAATCTAAAATATTAATAGCGAAAACCACAGAGGATATGTGGTAAAAGAGACTGCAGAAATTATGTCTAACCTTCTTATTTTCAGATGAGGTTAACATGGATTAGAGAGTGTTTATTTGACTCCTAGTCCAGTGTTCTGTCCATTACATTTTGTTAGGAAGAATTATAATTCTAACAAATTACTTCCAAATGCCAGGTAAATCAGGCCTGATTAAAAGTATGTCTTTTATAGCTGTTAAATGGTTCTGAAAAACTAATTCTGAAGGATTTATAGATAATTTATTATTTCGTTTTCTTTTGTAAAAGTTTTGGCAAGTTTTTAATCTGATATTATGATGCTTTTGGAAGCTAACAGATGTTGCTCTGAAAGTCATATTTCTCACTTAATTACAGTTTTAATAAAGCAGCCTGGGTAATGTTAGTTGGGGGAGTATTTAGGACACATAGGAGCCAAGTCAGATAGAAGTCATAGAAGTGTTGCAGTCAAGAGGCGTTTGATTATAAGGTGCATCATTACTTTGTAGACTACTAAGAAAGAAAATGCAGCCAATTAAACTATGATATGCATTGTCTCTGATTTCTGCATTTAAAAAATGAAGAAATATGTTTCCTATAGTCATTGAAATACAGTAAGTCGTTGGTTAGGAAAGGTAAGGACCTTTCTAAAGGGGAAGAAGCAGAGTAGAGGTGAGAGTGCATAGCATGTAGAGCCTGGGTTACAGGCTCCTCTGGGAAGCAGTGGGATATTAACTGGAAGGCTGCAGGACCTAGGACCGGGAGGTGCAGGAAGTGAGGACAGTGCCCAGACCTAAGCCAATTGTCCTGAGTCTCCTGGTTCCATTTAGTTAGTGAACAGGATAATGTATCAGAATCAATCTTAACAATTTAAGTGGGAGAGCAGCATTCAAAATCTTGAGACTCTCCTAGAATTTAGAAGAGAAATGAAGTGATTAAATGCCAGCCAAAAGCATTTCAGCTTTATTTTTTAGGCAACAGTGGGCCTCTGAAAAGCAATGAAATAAACAAGTTTTTAGAATATGAATCTAACATGGGTGTGAATAATTATGGTCTGCCAAAAATCTTGTCTTTTTGTTGTTGTTGTTGTTGTTGTTGTTCAGAGACTCCTTCTAGAGTAACAATATTGGTGTGATGACTAGCCTTTTTTCTTTCTATTTTACCAAGTTGTGCTACTTCTCTGAGAAAAATCCAAGTTTTACACTTAATAGTAAAGAAGCCAGTGGTTATTTATATGAGATTTTTACCCACCCTAACCTTAGACTCAGTGCCACAACACAGCATGCTAAATTAGGTTACATCCTTAAAAAATAATAATAATAATTCACTTGGGGTGGAGTACAGACCTGCCCGTAGCCATCAGTTTTACTGCAGGCAAAATAAAGACACACCTCTTCCTGAAAACACAGACAACACAAATTACTGTGGCCAGCTTCTTATATTATAATTTTTACATCAGCTCATCCCTAACTGCTAATCACCTAATACTACAATGTAAACACTGCCCCTTCCAAAGACCAGGCTTCCTTTGGTGGTATTCTGTGATAACCTGTCATTCTGTAGTATCCTTGACATGTCTCCCTCTTACAAGATTCTCTCATCTCTGCCTGTGTTTTATCACCTCTGTCCTATCACTGTGAACAAGAAAATGCCTTCCTATTTGTCCCTTGCTAAATTCCTACTCATCTTTTAAGAATCAGACCTTCCGACCACCTCCAGCAGGAGTTTGGGCTCTATGCATAGAGCAGTTACCTCTTTCTTTTTCTTTTGTTTTTTTTAAATACAAGTAGTATCCCCTTATCTGCAGCGGATACATTCCAAGACCCCCAGTGGATGTCTGAAACCATGGGTTATATTAACTGCTATATATAGGTTTTTTTCTTATACATACATACCTATGATGACATTTAATTTATAAATTAGGCATGGTTAGAGATTAACAGCAATAATTAATAATAAAGTAGAACAATTATAACAATATGCTATAATAAAAGTTATGTAAATGTGTTCTCTGTCTCTCTCAAAATTTCTTATTGTACTATACTCACCGATTTTCAGACTGAGGTTGACCTTGGGCAGCTGAAACTGCGGAAAGAGAAACTGAGTCTAGGATGACTTTCTGTCTCAATTCTTGCATTGTATTGTACACTCCTTAAGGATAAAAGCCATGTTTCTTCAGAATCTTATCCCAAAAACTTAGCAGAGTGCCTGGTACATAATCAGTGGTCACTGAATTTTTTTTGATTGATTAGATGATGGAGATTTATGTATGTCTAGCTATAAAGTTTATGTTTATCATATACAATATTGGCTTAATAAGATATTCTTTGGCCTCAAAATTAGAACCTAATAGGAAGCTTAAGACATAAAACTAATTTGATGACAAGGAAGCATGAAATAAGTGCTCTAAAAAGAAACTCAAGAACATTTAGGAAGGATATACCGCATCCAGCAGGGGTGACTAAGTGATAATAATTACACTAAGTCTTGGGGAAGAAAGGATGCTATTTCAGGAGGTGGAGGAGAGGAATAGGTAGTTATTCCATATGGAAATAATACTCTAGGCAAGGGATACAGACATGAAAGCAAGGAATGTATTTGAAGGATGGTATCTTCTAATTGCATAGTTCAAAATTCTAAATAGGAGGTCAGTGGCTAATAGAGCTAGGCAAGGAAGTTGAAATCACATTATGGAAAAGTTTAGAATTTAGTAGGCAGTAGAGAGACGTAATTTCTGAATAGAAAAAAATACTGTCATGAGATTTTACAAAGGTTAATCCCTGCTCTGACTGGATTAGAAGAAACAGAAACTGTAGGCCAGGGGTGCAGGGTTCTTCAGGAAAGAAATATAAGACAAGAAGTTAAACTAAATAAAAATAAGACAAGGATATATATGAGTGATATTGTAATGTATAAAGAAAAGTGTCTCATTAGACTTGCAAGCTGGTCCATTTACATTTGATCATATTTTTAGAGAAACATGAACAAGCCAAGGCAAGTCCAAAGGAGAGTAATCAGGATTTGACGGGGAGGGAGGGATGAGGGTCTGCAAGTGGTGAGTTCCTGGTTAATCAGCTGGGGAAAAAAAAGACCAGGAAGGAGGAATGTGATAGGCAGCTTCAGTTATTCAAAGGACTGTCCTCTAGAAGAGACAACATCCTTATTCTGTTACTTCAGAGAGGCAAGAAGAGACACTATAAAAGTGGATTGTGTCCGGAAGAGTGTGACCAAGATATGGAATGATTTGGAAACTGTGTCACACAAGAAGAATAAAAGTATTTTTTATGATAAAGGAGAATTTTAAGGAACTTGAACACCACCTTCAAATACATGCAAGGAAAAATGGGACTTTTGAACATTCAGTTAACTCCATATAACAGAACCATCTAATTTATAGATAAGCAACTTTTCTCTTTACCAATTATAGTGGGCCATCTGTCAAATATTATAGAGTACATGAGTATGTTGGAAGGAAATGTTGACAGTGACAAATGTTTTTAAAAGGGAAAATTAATAGTGTACACTACATTTATTTTATTAGTATCTCTAATATCAGATGGAAAAGAAAGGAGAATCAATGGGCCCACTGATGGCTTAGAACTTATGTCTATAAAATTTACTCATATTATTGCATTAATATTTCAGAATTCATAGTCTCAAATAAATACAAAATATAGAGAGACATATCAGGAAGTTTAGGTTACCTATGTATAAATAATTAAATCTCTTTATTAAAATGAATACCAATACCAAATTTTATTTTATAAGGAGTCATCATGGCATAGTATGAAGAGCTGTGGGTTGACATCAGGCATACCCAAATTTGAAACCAGCTCTGCTACTTACTCGCTATTTTAACTTTAGCATGTTATTTGGCCCCTCTGGGTCATGGTTTAATCATCTATAAAACAAGGATATAATTCCTCTCTCTAGGGTTATTATACAGATTAATAATAATGTTTATGTAGTATATAAAAAGAACCTCATACATATTTGATATTTAAAATGGCAATTATTAATGTTATTATCTGAAAAGGTTTTAACAAGCATGCTACATAGATGCAAATGGTAAAGTGGAAACAATGTGGACTTTGGAATCAGACTGACCTAGCTTTGAAGGCTAGCATTGTCACTCACTAGCTGTACATCCATAGTAACGTGATTAACCAAGCTGAACTCAGATTATCTGTAAAATAAAAACACTGCCTGGGCCAGGTGCAGTGGCTCACGCCTTTAATTCCAGCACTTTGGGAGGCCGAGGCGGGTGGATCACAAGGTCAGGAGTTCAAGACTAGCCTGGCCAACATGGTGAAACCCCGTCTCTACTAAAAATACAAAAAAATTAGCTGGGCATGGTGGCGCGTGCCTGTAATCCCAACTACTCGGGAGGCTGAGGCAGGAGAATTGCTTGAACCGGGACCCAGGAGGCAGAGGTTGCAGTGAGCTGAGATTGCACGGCTGCATTCCAGCCTGGGCTACAGAGTGAGACTCCATCTCAAAAAAACAAACAAAAAAAACCCAACACTGCCTGTCTACTCCACAAGTTCAGAGTAGTAAATTAGGTCATGCTTATTATTTTTGTTTTTAGGATAGTCTGGTATGTAGTAAAACCTCAGTGTTAATTTCATTTTATTTCCCCAAATATATGAACAGGCTGTACCCCACTTATGACCTCTTAACATGTATTTTACAGACTTACGTGGATTGGAAGTCCTGGCTGGGCTCCACAGTCCCTGAGGGAAGGGAGAGCTTCCCTTTTTTGAACATCCAAACCCCAGGGACTGATTCACCTAACTGCTCTCTATTAGGCAACCCTTGAAAGGAAACTTCTGAGTTTTAGTAAATGAAGAGAGGACAGAGACCCATCTCTTGTTTTATGCAGAAGTAAAGAGTTTAAGTGACTAATGTCCAGGCACACTTACTGTAATTACTCCTCTCTAAACCTTATGTAATACTTCTAAAGCCCTACATCTTTCAAGAGGGTGTAGTGATCAGAGGTAAGGTTTAAAGTCTACCACTTAGACCTGGTTTTTAACTTCTCATCAAAATACCACAGTCTGCATTGAGTGTTCTGATCAGGCTTGTTTTCTTATTATTGAGGTAACTTACTTTGCTCTTTCTCTGCACATTTAACCATGGTGTTCTTTTTATTGAGAAAACCACCCCTTTTGGGCTCTTATATAAATTCAGAGCTATACTTCAAGTCACCCCAAGATCTGCCTTCTTTGTGACCTCTAGTGATCCTTCTAACCCATAGTGATTTTTCCCTACCTTGAGCTTTCACAGCCCCAGTTCTTCCATATTTTGTCACTTACTTTGTATTTTGAGTTATTTTCTAATTATTTCATGTGTGTAACTTACTTTCCCAATAGAAATTTAAGTCTTTGAAGAGAGGAAACTGTATTATTGGATATTTTTTGTTTTATTTTTTGTTTTTGAGACAGAGTCTCGCCCTGTCACCCAGGCTGGAGTGCAGTGACACGATCTCGGCTCACTACAACCTCCGCCTCTTGGGTTCAAGTGATTCTCCTGCCTCAGCCTCCTGAGTAGCTGGGATTCCAGGCACCTGCCACCACGCCCAGCTAATTTTTTATTTTTGTATTTTTAGTAGAGATGGGGTTTCACCATGTTGGCCAGGCTTTTATATCCCCCACTATGTCTAGCAAAAAATGTAATTGTATAATTATCTAATTAAGATTTATTGAAATGCTTTAAGTTTTTAGATTCTAATTGAAGTCTCTATGCCAATACTTTATTACTTTTTTTGGTTCATTTGCCTTTGAGAATTTTCTTAGCATTTTTAATTTACTTTAATAATTGAGCGATTATGACAGGAAATCATTTCATGTAAAAAACAGACCAAGTATTCTGGTTCCTAGCCAGTTTTCTTTCATTTAGATATGATGGTACTAAAGCAAACAACAAATGACACCTCTACTTAATTAGTGATTCCGCTATTCTGAATATATATTTCATGGCAATAAGAGTTTGTTGAAGTTTGAAGGCCTTTTTACAGTCTCTAAAAAGACTTAAAATTAGTGTTTTCATTCAAGTTATAGATGGTTATAATCTCAGACAGCTGAGACTTTTCATTTTCACCTTAAGGTTAATTTTATTTGGAGTGAACTGTAAAAAAAAAATACTTTGGCTTTACAAAAATTCCTTTTAGTGTAAAAATGACTGAAAATATTATTATTCCCTTTATATGAAATGTCCAGCTAAGGAAAATTATAGAGAAAAAAGGTAGATTATTAGTTGCCTTGGGCTAGAGTTAGGAGATGCCTTGGGGATTAAGTATAAATGGACATGAGGCAACTTTTGGGTTAGTGAAAATGTTCTAATACTACATTATGGTGGAGGTTGCACAATTTTGTATATTTCCTAAAAATTATTGAATCGTATGCTTAAATAATTCATGAATTTTGTGGTATGTAAATTATGTCTTAATAAAGTTATTAAAAATAATTTATGAAATTACAGGGTTAAATTTTATTTTATAATAAACATAATAAATTGTCCTTAGTATCCATTTATGAAAGTAAATATGTTGCTTGAAATTATTTCATTAGAAAAACTATTGCTACTCTTTAGTTGTATGGCTATCTGTAGGTCTTGTATGTGATTTATTTATTAATAAATTTATATTGAACTAAGTAGAATTTTTAAAAATATGGCTACTCATATGTAAAAGTTACTGGAATGGTCTTCTTATTTTTCTGACCTTTTTATATCCATATAAATTCGGATGATTTCTCATTGATATTTATGATATCCTGCTCTGAAAATAATATAATCAATTACTTGCCTTTTTAAGTCAAGTATTCTACCCTAGTTGACTATAAAGTGAATTTTTTCAAAGGAAGTCTTAAATTTTTCATATATCTCTTAAGATTAAATTTGAGAGATGTTCACATTGGGGGGAAAATCAAATTTAGTAAGCTGTGAACTTTGGCAATGCAAGATTGAACTACTGCCTTAAATATTTGTTAATATCTGCTCACTATTCCATTCACATAGCATAAGAATTTCCCCTATGCCTGATATTTTTGGCTTCATATTTTTAATTTCTATTTCTGGATTTGTTTTCTTATGTCCAATGGAGCATTGATGCTGATTTTTTTACTTCATAAATACATAGTATCTGTGATGGTTAATACTGAGTGTCAACTTGATGGCATTGAATGATGCAAAGTATTGACCCTGAGTGTGTCTGTTAAGGTGTTGACAAAGGAGATTAACATTTGAGTCACTGGGCTGGAAAAGGCAGACCCACCCTTAATCTGTGTGGGCACAATCTAATCAGCTTCAGACACAGCCAGGATATAAAGCAGGAAGAAAAACGTGAAAAGGTTTGACTGGCTTAGCCTCCCAGCCTACATCTTTCTCTCGTGCTTTATGCTTCCTGCCCTCAAACACTGGACTCCAAGTTCTTCAGCTTTGGAACTCGAACTGGCTTCCTTTTGCTCCTCAGATTATGTGAGTTAATATTACTTAATAAACTCCCCTTTATGTATATATCTATCCTGTTAGTTCTGCCCCTCTAGTATCAATCAAAATTTGAAGTATCAATCAAAATTTGAAGCTACAAGAGAATTTAGAAATCATCCAGTGCAACTTATTAAATTATACTTTTGATAGGGGATGCTAAATGGTTAGGGAACTTGTTTGGATCTATGGATTTCGTTGGTTATATACTCAGCTCTTAATTGCCAAGGAATAGTCATGATGAACCAGCAGACTTTCCTCACCTAGTTGGGGAGAAAAGAATTAGATTAATTTTCGGTTCCTTGAACTCTAGAAGTCTATAAATCTATCAACTGTAACTATGTCAAATATAATGCTATGGATGTTACTCTTCTTAATTAACTATGTCTACCTTCACTTTCTCATAGTCCAGCTATCATTAATCTTGGATTATAACGTATGGATCCTATCTGCCTGGCTCCCTGAACTTTTTATAGAAAGGAGTATATACTATATTAGTAAAAGCACACACTCTGGATTTAAACTCCCTGGGTTTGGGTATTGGTTCTGCCACTCATTTACACTGTGTCCTTGGACAGGTTATTATCCCCTCAATATGGGGAGAATAAAATGCTTCATAAACTGGTGAGGATTAAATGAATTAATACATGCTTGAAATAGTCCACTGAATATAATAGGAACTCATAATAAGATGAATAATTAATATAACTCAAACCAACTGGTTTCAGGGCCTTATAGTATATATAAGTATATCATTATATATTTATATATTATATATATTTGATATATATACTTACATATAGATATCTATATATAATATACTTATATGTAGGTATCTATATATATAGCTTTTTGGGGGGTCCTACTTAGCCTTTCTTTCTCCATAGGTTTAATTGTAGAGCTGTGTTTCTTTTTTTTGTTTGTTTGTTTGTTTTTGAGACGGAGTCTCGCTCTGTTGCCCAGGCTGGAGTGCAGTGGCACGATTTCGGCTCTCTGCAACCTCCGCCTCCTGGTTTCACGCCATTCTCCTTCCTCAGTCTCCCAAGTAGCTGGGAGTACAGGCGCCCGCCACCATGCCCAGCTAATTTTTTGTATTTTTAGTAGAGACGGGGTTTCACCATGTTAGCCAGGATGGTCTCGCTCTCCTGACCTCGTGATCCACCCACCTCGGCCTCCCAAAGTGCTGGGATTACAGGCGTGAGCCACTGTGCCCGGCCACAGCTGTGTTTCTTAAACTTAAGTAATGAATAAATGTATTGTAAAGAAAATACCTCAAACTTCTATGAATATACCTACAAATTCCAGTTGAAGAACTACATTAATTAAATGCTGCCACCTTCCATGGTAGCTTGGTTCCAACACAATCAGAAACTCTAATGCAATTTTTGATGTTGAAATCAGGTAACCAGTACTTTATTGTAAGATCTTCAGCTGATTGAGCATTTTAATTTTGTTAGGTCATCATCAAAACAAAAACAGAAATTTTAAGCATATGAAATATCTTGAGACTATTTCAGCAGACCCTAGTTGAGAACTGTTGCTTCAAAAGTAAAAATAACACACCTATGCACACCAAACTGATTGTTTTATATTCAAAACTCCAGTATCACTATTTGTTTTGATCAGTTGAAATTACTTAAGAGTAATAACAGGCCTGCTGCCAGTGGTGGTAGCAACTGAAGCTGATTTTTATCAGATCAAGAGTGAGCCAGGATAATGCCAGTTTGGGGCCAGCTCTAGGTAGAATGCTAAAAGTTGTTGAGACTTCTGTCTTCCTTCTGTTACCCTACTACATTCTGTCATCCTTCCTCCTGACTGTGCCCTTTGTCAGTGCCCTTACCCCTAACCCCAAAAGCTCCTCACTGAGATGCTTGACATGTTACTTTTCCCAGCATATTTGTGTTTTAATAAAGCAAATCTAAGTCCCTGAAATACCTCAAGACTTGTTAGAATCTCTTAAAGTGAAATTTCTAACACTCTGAGTTCAATAAGAAGAAATAAAAGTACATATATTTTTATATAATTTTTTATGTTTGCAAACCAAGAAACATGCCATTTCTCCTAGTAAAAATGGGGGAAGTGAGGACTACTTTGCCTTTTCTCCTGGACAGAGTAGTCCTCATTTCCCCCTTTTTTCTTTATAAAAAGGAAATGATGATAAAAAATTGTTAATTGGATACCACTTCAAATGGGGATTAGTTATGCATAGAATATTTCAGATATATTAGTATAGAAGTCATTTAAGATACAAGCATTTTATCCTTTTGTAAGTTCTTTTGTCTAAAGTTTGTTAAGAGGAAAGCCAAAGATTATTTTGTTGTATACTAAAAGCTGTAAATATTATTAATTTATGTCCTATACTTCCCTATGGAAAAGGGAAACTCAGTATTACCATGAACAGGATCCATTCTTTATATGAGTAGTTAGAAGCTAATTGTAGGTTATTGAGATTTAATTTAGTCTCTGGTTATCATGTTTAGAATCTTATGACATGATTTGTTTTAGAGAAATAACCTGCTTGCAGTTAAGTACATTCCTTAGATGTCAGCCTGGTTAACTAGTGTCTGTCCTGAGTTGGTAAATGTCTACTTAGATGCCAGTGATGCGAATAGAAACTGTCGTGTCAGCTTATAACATTCTCAGAGGGTTGCACTTTCAATGCAGATGGGGGGAAGGACAAAGTAATAGCTTCTTGTTGGGATTACAGTAAGTGAGGGCTCAAGTGAAGATCTCTTAGTTCCTTGAATGATCCTTTAAAAGGTAATAGTTTTCCATTTTTTTGCTTTCAGTTCTTGCATATGTAATGAAAATAACGTGAACTTAGAAATATGGGCTTAGTAAATTCTTAGTAAATTATGTTCACATGCTATAAGATTTTAATCAATGAGTTTCAAATGGGGAAGGGAATTTATATTTAATACCAACCTACGGCATGCCTATATTTTAAACTATTAATCATCCAGTAACCCATAAGCCTAGGAAGGATTAGTCCGACGTATTACAGTCTCAAAGAGATAGAGCCTGGCTATGCGCATTGTTCTGTCTGATTATTTTTCATTTTCTCTTTTGTTTTGTTTTTTTGTTTCTAGCCTAGGCAGAGTGCAGTGGCATGATCTCAGCTCACTGCAACCTCTGCTTCCCGGGCTTCAAGCAGTTCTCTTGCCTCAGCCTCCCAAGTAGCTGGGATTACAGGCGTGTGCCACCATGCCCAGCTAATTTTTTTGTATTTTTAATAGAGACGGGGTTTCACCATATTGGTCAGGCTGGTCTTGAACTTCTGACCTCAAATGATCCGTCCGCCTCTGCCTCCCAAAGTGCTGGGATTACAGTTGTGAGCCACCGCGCCCGGCCTGTTCTATATTATTTTAAAACCTAAACCCTTTCCTCTTAAACAAGCAGACATCTGTAATATATGTAACCTAATTGTAAAATAGATAAACGTAACAGAGAGTATGGTTGGTATAGTTTCTGGTTAGTGCTAAATGATTGGAACAAAGAAAGGAGAGATTACTCTGGACTGGAATGATCAAGAAAAGCTATATAAGGATACAACTTGAGGTGGACTGTGAACTCTGGGTAGAAACAGAGTTAGGGTTCGTTTTGGAGGTTCTAACAATTGTAATATTTTTAGTAGTTACAAGTAGAGCTCTGTCATTCCCATCATCTAATTATAATGTGCAAAGACTGATTGCATGTACTCTTTGACTACAGTTCTTGGCACTAATAACCCTAAACAAAGCTGGAGGCGCTAATTACCTCCTTTTCCTAATCTGAATTTTGATGTGCTTTTGAACTAGTAAGTCTTCTGGCATTCTAAGAAGACTTACCCCATCACTGGGGAGACATTTACTTCAGCATTCAGAAAACTAGATTTTTGAATTAAAGTTTTTTAGAGGAGTTTTTCACGCAGTAGCACAAATAAATTAATCAGTGTCTTTATTTTTCTATACCCCTATCGTCATTGCCTGCATATAAGAAGGAGATAAGTATAACAGTTTACTCATGGGATATGTGTACTTTTTGATAGAAAACATGGAGACTATGAAAAGCATTCATTTTGTCTCCTGGTTGTCAGATTCTGTCTGTAACTGACAGTATGATCCTATATCTTTTAAATGTGCTATTACCTGAGTTTCTTTTGGTAACACTAAAGGTAGAAAGAAAAAAAGTTAACTTAGGGTAAAGGCTATTTGTTCCTTTTTCATTAAAAAACCAGGAAATTCTTTTTTGATTGGTGACATCGTATTAATATTTAGTCTGATTTATTAGCATGAGGCAAACAGCTTTTTTCCCCAGAGTGTTGACTTAGAGAATGTGGACTTATATAAAAATAAAGATAATTTAGTTTATGATTTTTCTTCTTTTTTCAAAATTCAGTTTCTTTCTTAACTTTTTGTTGGACTTTTTCTCACTTTTTAAAAAAACCGTTAGTTTTGTGACTTGGGCAACCTACTCGGCCTCAATTTTCTTATCCCTAAAATGGGGTTATTAACCCACCTATTTAACAGGGTGGTTGGTAGGATTAAATGAGATCATATCTGTGGAATGATTCAAACAGTTAGAACGGTACCTCATAGTTACTTAGTGAGTAAGTATTAGCTATTGTTTTAAATAAAACCAGTAGGATTTCAACCACACTGGCAGGTGTGCCCAGCTCTGCCCTTTGCTAGCTGTGTGACCCTAAAAATGTTACTTAGCCTCTTTGTATTTCAGTTTCCATGTCTGGAACACGGAAGTAATACTGATGCCTCCCTTGTAGATTTTTGTAACAATTAAAGCAGTTAATGCTTATAAAAGTTCTCAGAACACCCTGGCACATAGTAAGTCTGTTGTTATAAATATTTTCAACATTATGACTGTTTTTGTCAGGATGGGTTTTTTTAAAGCAATGCATAAAAGTACTATAAATATACATTTGTTCTATGTAATGGCCAACTAAGGAAACAAAAGCAGATAAGGTAAAAGCACAAGAAATGAGGAAACAGAAAGAAGGCAAACAGGAATAGGCAGAAGGATAAGTACTAAAAAACATACATACACTTCCAGGGAGAGAGGACAGATCAGAAAGTTCTTCCTATTTCTAAAATTTGTTTATACACACACACACATGAAATGAAATTCTAGACTATAGTAAGTGATCTTTGGGCTATTTCCTATATCATAGCATTTTCACATTGTATTTTGTTTGCTCAGTTAATTATCCATCTTCCCCTGCAAGCTCTTGAGGGTAAGAAACATTATGTCTTGTTCATCTTTGGAACCCTACTGTCTAGCATGTAGAAAGCTCTCAATATTTAAATTGAATTTAAAAATAGGGTTTTGCAATACTAACTTGTATTTTTCCATAAATGCTTTTCTAATATTTTCCATAAATTTTCCACAAATATGCCTTGATATTTTATATATATATAGAATTCCTTGACTGTGTGTGACGTAGTTTAAAATTTTCCTTTTTCTAAAATTTTTATTTTCTTTTTAATTTGGAAGTCTCCATTCTTATTAAAATTAAGTGCTTATGCTATTTAATATAATAATACTTGTTACACCTTTAGGAAAACATAGTTGTTCACCATGCTTTATATACCATGTGTGAACTTTTCTATATTTTTTTCCTTTCAGAGTGTATCGTTCTTTTTGTTTGTAAAGCAGCATACTTGATGCTGCAACCAGTGACTTTTTGCCATGCATTCTTAATACTTCTTGGAATATTTGGTTTAGGAAGTGGGGTAATTAGTACATAAACACTGTGTAGCAGAACTACCCTAATTAGTGCCTTTTGGCCTGGCTTCAATGATAAACAAAGTAAGATGTGTGTCAGCATTCATCCTAACACTTTATAAAAATTGTTATAGCCCTATGGGGCAGCATACACAAGATAAGTTAAATAATGTAGTAGTTGAGACCATGAGAAGGAGTTTTGTCTGTCTATTTAATAGTCTTTGCATGATAAATTAGCTTCCTAGCTTTGAAGGCTTCATTAGTCTTAATTATCCAGAAAGCATAAACTTAGCCATCAAAGTGTATCCCTAATAACGTTTTACATCTTTAGTGAAATGTTGCCTCTTTAATCTGTACCTAAACCAATTTCACTATCTTCCTATAATCTATAGGCGAAAAAGAGCATTAGCTTAGACCATCAAAATGAAATGATTCAGGAACTGGGTTCAGAGGCAAAACATTTCTCACCCATTTTATGGGGCCTTTAGGAAATTTTCTTTCATTTAGTTCACTGTTACTTAAGTCTGTTATTTCAGAAGACCACTACTTCCTATTTTTGAAGTATAAATACTTTAAAGATTTTCCCATTAAGATGTTGCTTTGTTGGTTTACAATACTGGGACTACTATATAGGAACAGATCATTTTTTCTAGAGACAAGGAACAGAACTTTCTGCTAGACAGCTCATTTCTTAGAGACACTCTAAGCTTAAAATTTGGGACTCATTATGAAGTCTAGGTACAGTTTCTGAAGAATCTCATCTGTATTAAGAACTGGTTGTTCAAAACCTCTTTGTAATTAATTTTCTTACATTAAATCACAAGGCCGAAAATGGAAAGTAAATATGTAAAAATGTAGAAAACTTAAATAGGTTAATAATTGTCAAAGATATTGAAATGGTAGTCAAAGCCCTCCCCAAAAACTAAACACAAACACTTGAATAAACAGACACACTTTCCTAAGCCAAATAGATTTTATAGGACATTGTTACCAGATTTTCAGGGGATGTAACTCCTGTCTCATATGGATGCTTTAAAAATAAAAAAAAGCCAGGATACTATCTGGCTAATTTTGCAAGGCTTGTACAACCCTAATTCCAAAAGATAGCACAAGAACAGAAAAGTATAGGTCCACCACACTTATCATTACAAGTGTGGGAATTCTAAATCAAATTTAGTGAATAAGTCCAATGGTTTTTTTTTTTTTTTTTTTTTTTTTTTTTTTTTGAGTCGGATTCTCACCCTGTCACCCAGGCTGGAGTGCAATGGTGCAATCTCTGCTCACTGCAACCTCTGCCTCCCAGGTTCAAATGATTCTTCTGCCTCAGCCTCCCGAGTAGCTGGGCTTACAGGCGCCCACCACCACGCCCAGCTAATTTTTGTAGTTTTAGTAGAGACAGGGTTTCACCATGTTGGCCAGGCTGGTCTCAAACTCCTGACCTCATGATCCGCCTGTCTCAGCCTCCCAAAGTGCTGGGATTATAGGCCTGAGCCACTGCACCCAGCTGGTAATTTTTTAATATAGTATTTTATCTAAGGAAGTTAAGGATGGTTTAACATTTAAAAAATCAAAGAAATTCACTATATTAATGGTGAAAATATGTAATAGGCAAAAAAATTATATAATTGTCTAAAAGTATGCTTTGAAAAGCATTTGATAAACTTTAACTATATAATTAAAAGTTTAGAAAATTAGGAATAGAAGGAAACTTTACAAACTAGTTATATACAAAAGCCTACAACAAATATCAATACCAAAGCTTTAATCAAACTTTATACAAAGCAAGACAAATATATATTCTTGATATAGATCTGACTAGTCCAATAAGAAAAAAAAAGTGAAATAAAGGTGGACAGAGAAATGGTGGAGCAGAAAAGAGAAACTAAAATAGATAAAATAGTCCTTACTTGGAAGTTATACATTGTCTATGTGGGCAAATTATTAGAACTAGAAGAAGCAAGCTATATACTGTCAATAGTTTCAAGCTATATACTTTCAAGCAAGCTATATACTTTGAGTATACTTTCAGTAGTTTTGTTTTTCCAGATTTAGCAGTGACTACACTTCAAAATTCACAGCAATTACAAAAAGTATAATGCATTTAAACATTAACCTAACAAAAAATTATAATAGCTTTATGGAACAAATTACAGAACTTTACTAAAGGACGTAAATGAAAACTTGGTTAAATGAAGAGCTATAACATGTCTATTGGTGGGGCACATAACAACATAAAGATACCAATTCTCCCCAAATCCAATTCCAATTAAAATTATAATAAGACTTTTGGGGAGCCTCAGTTAACTGACTCTGATGTAGAAAAAGTTTCTTAGATAGCTAAGTCTATTTTGAAATGTATCAGGAAGAGGGATGATTTTTTTCAACCACATTTTAATCCATATTTGTAAAAGTAATATGGAACTGGCATAGAAACAGATGATTACACTAACGAAACAGAAGAGACAGGTCAAAAACAGAACCATGGTGGGGAAAAGGAATGTTGCTTAGTAGGTTCTTGAAGACTGGTTTACAAAATTTTAAAAATAAAGTTGGGCCCCTACTTCACATCACATACCATGTGAACTCCACAGAGAACAAGGACTTAAAAGTGACAGGTATAACCACAGAGCTAATAGAAGAAAATGTAAGAGAATATTTTTCTGATCTTTTTTAAAAAAAATATATATATATATATTATTTTGAGACACAGTCTTGCTTTGTCATCCAGGTTGGAGTGCAGTGGCACGATCACGGCTCACTGCACCCTCAACCTCCTGGGCCCAAGCAATCCTCCCACCTCATCCCCCTCAGGTAGCTGGGACAACAGCTGCATGCCACCATGCTTGGCTGATTTTTGTAGAGATGGGGTTTCACCATTTTGCCCAGGCTGGTCTTGAACTCCTGGGGTCAGGCAAGCCATCATGCCCAGCCTATTTTCTAATCTTGATATGAGGAAGAACTTCTTAAACCCTACTGCAAAAGCACAAACTATCAGGGATACATTTTTTTTTGCTTTACATTGTCAAAACTAAAGATTTTTGTTCAATGATTAAAGAGTAAAAAAATTAACAGAATAGTGACAGATTGGAAGAAGATATCTGCAGTGTCATAAGCAGACGAGATAAATATGTAGACCATAAGAAAAATGCTTTCAAATCAAGAAGAAACCAATATATACAAAAGCAAAAGTTGTTACTAGACAATTCATGGAAGGGACTCCTTACTGTCTAAGTGTATAAAGAGAGATGTTCAACCTTATGAGGAATTAGAGAAATGCTAATTGAAACAACATACCACTTCCCATCTATTTGGGAAGAAGTTTTTGAAAAATCAGTTGGTAAATCAAAATATAGGTGAGGATTTGGGGTAATGAGGACATTCATGCACTGCTGGTTGAAATGCAGGCTGACACAGCTGGTCTGAAGAGCAATGTCACAGTCCTTTGTAAAAGTAAATATGTTTATAACTTGTCACCCAGAAGTGCCATTTCGTGTACATATTCTATTGAAACACATTTCAGCTTGATAATGTTGTGTATCCCAGGATGTTTACTGTGGAAGTGTTTCTGGTAGTGTGGGGTTGAGGACAACTTAAGTGTCCATCACTATGAGAATGGTCAAGTAAAATGCAACGGATGCATCCTGTGGAACGTTCTGTAACAGAGCAATAAAATAAATGTTCAGGCAATGCCCTCCAGCCAGAGACTCCTGGGAACATACACCTGGAGTGGAACAAGTTGGGTTTATTCCTCCTTGTATGGAGGGGTAATGCACACCTTGCAGAACTGGGGGTGTCTTAGCAAGAGGATGTTAGGAGGGAATTATAAGAGCTGAGCTTGTATGAGATGATATGGGGGAGAGCTTAAGAAAGTGGGCATTGTACTGGATTGCTTACTTTCAGGAGGCAGAGACAACACCATGATTGATTATCTTAATTAAATCATCTGTAAGGAGGGAAGAATTGAGTGAAGCTAATGGTGTAATTGGTAAAGAAGCAGTCACTCTTACTAGCTGGAACTGGGAATATATGTTTATTTTGTGGCTTGGAGAGTGTTCATATTTTGTCCATACCTGAATATGCAGCGGTCTTGTTTTTGTCTTGATCTGTTACTGTCACAGAGTGGCCTCGTCTAATGTTGCTGTTCTGTGAAATTGTTCATGTTCAACAGAATACCAAGTGAGTCTCAGACCAGCTCATGATAACATAAAGGCCATGCTAGTAATACAATACCAGAGCAGCTCTCAAATATCCCTTCTGTTTTTCAGTACTACAACAATACACAAGATCTTAAAAATGTAGTAGTGATTATTAAAAAGGGCTTACAGCAAGTCCTATAACATAATATTATTTATATAAATTACAGACATAATAAATAAAACAGTAGTATGTATTATTCAAGGATGAATATATGTATACAAGACCCTATACCAAATACAAGGGTTTTCATCTCTAGTGTGGTCGGACGGAAGGGGCCAGTAGCCAATATTGGGGGTGAAAGGAAATATTAAATAAGAGAAGAGCCTTGTATGGACCAATGTGATAGTGTGCTATGTAGATTGAAAACTATGATAATTCATTTTCAGCAGCTAAAGTCTTAAAACAAGTCTACACTTCTGCAGAAAAGTGGTAAGGGAAAGAGTGGGAGAGGACCTGTAGCCCAGCATCTTATCTATATTTACTACTCTTGCCTTGTGGGAGGTGGGGGAAGGGGGAGGAGGAGGAATACCTTCTTTAAGCTTTTCCTAAATGTCTTACATTTCCCCCAAAAGGAATGAGCTGTTGTAATGATAGCATGTTGATGCTGGTTAAAATAAAACATGCCCACCAGTGTAAAATGATAGCATTAATATTTCTTGTGGGAACTTGATTTAGCTTTAAATGTACCCAAAAGCTTTCGAAGTACAAAAGCCCTCATATTAGCTCCAGAGAAACCAAGTTTATTATATCTTAAGGAAAAGATTTCTTCATGAACCTTAAATTTAGTGTCTGTGTAATCATGTTATTTTGTCATTTACTTTTTAACTGTAGAAAAGAGCTTGATTTGATTTTTTTTTTTTTTTTTTTGAGACGGAGTCTTACTCTGTCACCAGGCTGGAGTGCAGTGGCACGGTCTCGGCTCACTGCAGCCTCCGCCTCCCAGGTTCAAGCAATTCTCCTGCCTCAGCCTCCCGAGTAGCTGGGACTACAGGCATGCACCACCATGCACAGCTAATTTTTGTATTTTTAGTAGAGACGGGGTTTCACCGTGTTGGCTGGGATGGTCTCAATCTCTTGACCTTGTGATCCACCCAAAGTGCTCTGATTTGGGAGACCTTGGCCTCCCAAAGTGCTGGGATTACAGGCGTGAGCCACCGTGCTGGCCAGACCTTGATTTTTTTAGGAGTAAAGAGACTTCCTACCTCCACTCTAGTCCTCTTATCAGTGATTTCTTTTTAAAAAAGTAAATGTCCTTGTGTCTTCACTTCATCTTCCTTAATAAGTATTTAGAGGCAGTATTTTCGATATTAACAGCATAGATTCTTTAATTTAGGAAAGAAGAAAACTTAACTTTGATTTTTCTAACTTTCTGCTCAGCTCTTCCAACGTGAATATGTAGGTCTCTGTCTCCCGGGGTCCTCATTATGCTTTACTTTGCCCTTTCCAGTGCCCTTTCCAGTGTTTCAACCACATTGAGCCGCATGGCCGCATAGGGGACTATGAAGATCAGCTCATGCATTTGTGAAGCACTGCCTCCTTGTGTCTTACTGTTCTCTTTCTTAATGGGCTGTGTTCTGGAATGGTGTCTTGGTGTTATGTTTTAAAACATTATTTTGCGTAATTTATGTCATTTTATAGTCAGCCAGGAGAAAGTACACTACATTAGTTTTATGTCATCAAATTGTTTAATCATCTCTATAATTTACATGAATCTTCATTAATAATACAGGAGGAAATACAAGACTCTTTCTATAAAGCTTTGAAAATGCTGAGTTTTTTTGAAATAGATTTAGAGGGTACAAATGCACTTGTTACATGGCTATACTCTAGTGGTAAAGTCTGGGCTTTTAGTGTAACCATCACTGGAATACTGTACCTTGAACCCATTAGGTAATTTCTCATCCCTTACCCGTCTCCTTCTCTGCCATCTTTCCAAGTCTCTGATGTCTGTTATTCCACTCTGTAGCCGACATTAATTTTTAAGGATAGTTACTCTTTATATACTACTTCTGTAAATCCATAACAGATCCCCAGGTTTTTTCCTTGTCTATTAGGAACTGTTTAAAAAATTTTGTTTAAGAAACAAATGTATCTCCATTCATATTCTTGAACAACACCTCTAATTAATGAATTACTCAGAAATTTTGCTGATGAAAACATGTTATGAAATCTGTATATTGTATAAGACCTTTGCTTCCCTGAGAGAAATCACTCCCATTGTTTCTTCAGGAACTTATTCTTTCAGACTTGCAGGTTTGAACTCTTGAAAATTTCTATGTGTTTTCTCTCTGAATATGTAGAAATTCCATGTTTGTTCTATGTAGATAGGATTAAGATGGAACTGTGTTCTAAAAATTGGGCTGTTTTTTATAAATTGTCCAAATTTACATTTTCCTAAAAAATATATTAAGAATGTTAGCTTGCAACCTCTTTTAAATCCATAATATGCTGACATATTATCTTTGCAATAAAGAATATTGGAAAAACAATACTGCTGCAAGTGTACAAATGGTATTTAATTCCACATGCTCCTGTGCTTCCATCAGTCCCTGCACATAGGCTTCTCTACTCCTGATTCTAAAGCTCATTTACACTAAAAAGGTTATTGAAAGGTACTTGATCTGTTTTTGAGCTTAAGAAATAGAGCTAATGGACAGTGTCACAATTGTACATGCACATGCAGCCCATTTTCCATTCCTAGATATATCATTTACGTTTTCTACATCACCTACACTCTTGGGTCCAGGGTTATAGAGCATAGTAAGAAGCCGAAAAGAATGAATACCTTTTGAAGAACTATTTTCAAGCTAGTGTACCTAATTAGATGAGGACCATAGGCAGTTTTTCCTTCAGATGCCAGCAATCTAGAAGGAGGAGTAGGATGGGAGCAGACAGGTTGCCTCCCCACCTGGATAACTGAGTGTGGTTTTCTGCAGTTCTTAAAATTGTCAGCTCACACATACTACTTACTTACTTACTTACTTACTTACTTACTTATATATGTCTGTAAGTACGTGACAGAGTCTCACTGTGGCACCCAGGCTGGAGTGCAGTATTATGATCTTGGCTTACTGTAACCTCTGCCTCCTGGGTCCAAGTGATTCTTGATTCTCATGCCTCAGTCTCCCAGGTAGCTGGCAATACACGTGTGCACAGTCACACCTGGCTAATTTATTTCATTTTATTTTATTTGTATTTTAGTAGAGATAGAGTTTCACCATGTTGCCCAGGCTGGTCTGGAACTCTTGAGCTCAGGCAGTCCGCCCACCTCAGCCTCCCAAACTGCTGGGATTACAGGCGTGAGCCACTGCCCCCAACCAACTCACACATACTTTAAGTGGGACTTTATTTAATATCTTCATATCAGCGATAGAACTTGATGTGGTTTTCCATACATGTACACACACATAATAAATATCATCCCTTTGACAATACTATAAGAATTAGTGCCTTTATCATTGGATATTCTCTTAAAATCATTAACAGAAAATGTGTTCTTTCTAGAGGAATTTTATCAAAAAATTTATAAGGTGTTTGAACATGTGATTACAAAGGAAAGGGAAAGCTAATAAAGAACTTAGTAGTATAACCATGGCCAGGCACAGTGACTCCTGCCTGTAATCCCCGCACTTTAGGAGGCTGAGGCGGGAAGATCACTTGAGGTAAGGCATTCGAGACCAGCCTGGCCAACCTGGTGAAATCTCATCTTTACTGAAAATACAAAAATTAGCTGGGCATGGTGGCAAGTGCCTGTAATCCCAGCTACTCGGCAGAGTGAGGCACGAGAATCGCTCGAACCCAGGAGGCAGAGGTCACAGTAAGCCACGATCATGCCACTGCACTCCAGCCTGGGCGACAGAGTGAGACTCTGTCTCAGAAAAAACAACAACAACAACAAAACTTAGTATGTAACTATTTATTTAGCTATTTTTCAGGCACATTTTAGAACAAAAGTGATTTTTTTTCAAACCTCTTTACCCTCTTTGGTGGTAGGAGACAGATTTCATATTCATAGAGGTCCATATGTGGTACATATGTTACTTAAAACTTGTGGTTGACACTGTAGTGGGAAGTAACAGTAGGGTCACTACTGATATCTAAATCCCTGATGTTTCTAGTAGGTATAAACTAGAGTGTGATTTGTTTTTGTGAGGAGGGAATTATATCTCTGTTAGGTAAGCTAAATTCTTATTTTTGGCATTCATACTGTAATTCTCTATCCTGATTCTTGTGTTTTTGCACATTGTAGACAAATATTAAAAATCCCACTTGACATGATTCTAAATCAGAAATTCCTGAGAATAGAGATGTTTAAAAGATGAACTAAAGCTACCTTAAAACATTTCAGTATTTTGAAAGAGAAAAGGATATTGTATTTAATTCCTCCTTTATAAAGAAGTTTTAACTAAACTTTAAAATTATTTTTTATTATCTGGTGTACCAGGATTGTGTGGGTAATATTCTTTTTATTTTTAGGTCTCATTCAGTATCTCTGTTTTTTTGATAAAACAAGGGTCAGCAAACTTTCTCTGTAAAGGTCTGGGTAGTAAATATTTTAGGCTATGCAGGCCACATATAATCTCTGTGGAATCTCCTCTCTCACCACCCTCTATACTCTCTTCCTCCTCCCCCTCTTTTTTTTTTTTTTTTTTTTATTTGAGACGGAGTCTCACTCTGTCACCCAGGCTGGAGTGCAGTGGCGCGATCTCGGCTCACTGCAAACTCCGCCTCCCAGGTTCACGCCATTCTTCTGCCTCAGCCTCCCAAGTAGGTGGGACTACAGGCACCCGCCACCGCGCCTGGCTAATTTTTTGTATTTTTAGTAGAGACGGGGTTTCACTGTGTTAGCCAGGATGGTCTCGATCTCCTGACCTCATGATCCGCCCACCTTGGCCTCCCAAAGTGCTGGGATTACAGGTGTGAGCCACTGCGCCCGGCCCTCCTCCTCTATTTTTTTTTTACAGCCCTTTAAAAATGTAGAAGCTGGCCAACCACGGTGATTCACACATGGTAGTTCCGGCACTTTGGGAGGCAAGGTGGACAGATTGCTTGATCCCAGGAGCTCAAGACCAGCCTCGGCAACATGGCAAAACCCTGTTTCTACAAAAAAATACAAAAATTAGTTGGACATGGTCACATGCACCTGTAGTCCCAGCTACTCAGGAGGCTGAGGTGGGTGGATTGCTTGAGCCCATGGGATCAAGGCTGAGATTGTGCCACTGCACTTCATCCTGGGTGGCAGAGAGTCAGACCCTGTCTCAAAGAAAATAGTAATAATAAATAATAATAAATTAATAAAAATGTAGAAATGATTCCAAGCTAAAGTGCTCTATGAAAATAGGTTTGGCCCACTGGCTGTTTTGGGGCCTAGTTCTAGATCAAGTTCTGCCCCAAACTAATTGTGTGCTTTGGGGTAGTTTGTATAATTGGTTTTATCTTCTCTGGCTATTTTATGAAGATAATCTAGTAGTCACTTCATATGTGAAGAATTTATGAAATACCTATATATTTGCTTTTGTTTTCTAATTTTAGATACACACTTTACTACAGAAAATAATTTAGTCATGTTAAGTTTGATTAATGCTAAGATTAGTATCATCTGAGGTCAAGCTATATGGCATGTGAATTCAGTGTCAGAAAGTCTGAATTTGGGTCCTTGATTTGCTACTTACTAGACTCTCTGGTTGCAGGTAAGCTCTGAAACTCTGAGTTTCTACTTCCTGTTCATCAAATTGATGAAATGACACTAACTCTGCCTACCTCTTAAAATTCTTTAATTATTTTTTAATTGAAATGTGAAACTAAGATACCGTTATAAAGCACAAAACATTAAATCATCATTAGGAGTCATTCTTTTAAACTACATGTTTTCATAACTGAATTTCCCCTTATAAATTTTATTATGGAGAAAAAATTTTAATTTAAAAACCACTAACTAGTAAGGCCAATAATTCTTCATAGTATAGCATCTGGCAAATAGACACTCAGTGGCTAGTTATCTAAGGTAAGTCAGTAGCTTTTCCAACTAGAACTTATACCTAGGTTTTAATTATATTGTTCCTTTCTAACTAACCCAATGGTATCAAATGCTCTCTGGAATATAGATAATGAAGCTCTTAACATAGTGCCTCCCACATAGTAGGCACTCAGAAATTTGCTGACTAATTCTAGGACTTCCATCTGCCTAGGTATTAGATGTTTCCATTTACCTCTCAGCTGTAAATACTGCATTTTTTGTGCTTAAAGTATAAAACTGTTGTCTTTCCTTCTTAGTTTGCATTTGCTCCATTCCCTCAGTAGTTCTCTTTATCTCCTTTGTCAGTGACAGAAGAATAAAAAGAAAAATATTCCCTGGGGACTGGATAGGTTCTGTCCAATTGAAAGATAGTTAATTCCCAGTTTACTTTTTTCTTGACCCTTCTTCCCTCAGTTAGTTATTTCCAACAAAAGCCACTTGAAACCAAATTTCATATAATAAAAGCTGTGCTTTGGCTAGTGGTAGCTCATCTGTTGGGGAGAAGGAAGCAAAGAAGGAAGCTCCCTAGAAATCTAAGATGGATTTTTCAGTTTTATTTGGTTTTGCGTTATACACAGTTTAAGGGGGGAAGAAAACAGAAATAACTTAGTACAGTACTTTCCAAATCTAGCTGTACATCAGAATCACCAGATAAGCTTTGAAAAACCAAGGATTTCCTGGCCATGAACCAGACTTATTAAATCAGAATCTTGGAGGGGGTCAGAGCTATCAATCTATAATTTCAGAAGATTCAGCCAGGTTTGAGAACCAGTCAGTACCATGGTTTTTAGAGTAAGACAGATGTGAGTTTGAAATCTGGTTCTGTTACTTACTACCTGTATGAATTTCAGCAATTTATTTAACCACCCTTCAAAAAAGTAAAGGTAATACAGGTAGTAAAGCTTCATTTCATTGAGGTATTTTGAGATTAAATGAAATAATATAACATGTAAATGCTTGCTACATAACAATCACTCAGTAAATCATTGTTTATTGTTTTACATGATTGTATTATCATTTTCTGACAGATGGTATTTCCTTAGGAAAAAAGTTAGACTAAATTTAAATTTTAAATAGAATTCTTTAAAATAGAACGTGAATAAAAGTTTATTTCATGACAGTCTCAAATTAGTTATGCTACATGTGCATTATCAGCATTTTATTAATAGAAATATGCAGGTATAGAGTATTCACTCTGTAGTTTTCTTACAAGACTTGACACTTTTTAGAGTATTATGTACATGTTGCACATAGGCCAAGATGATAGTCACATTCATTTGGCAAAAACTATTTAGATTTCTAATCTAACACAATAAAAGAAAAATGGAAAAGAAAGAGTATAAAATTTTTTTATGTTGGCTGCTTGATTTACATGAGGCCCAACCTGGTTTTTCTTGTTTGTTAGTTTTGTTTTTTTGAGATAGGGTCTGGCTCTGTCACACAGGCTGGGATGTGGTGGCATGATCTCAGCTCACTGCAGCCTCCACCTCCCAGACTCAAGCCATCCTCCCACCCCAGCCTCCTGAATAGCTGGGACTACAGACATTCACCACCATGCCCAGCTTGCTTATTTATTCATTCATTCATTCATTCATTCATTCATTCATTCATTTATGGTAGAGATGGGGTCTTGCCATGTTGCCCAGACTGGTCTTGAACTCCTGGGCTCAAGTGATCCTCCCAACTTGGCTTCCCAAAGTGTGGGGATTATAGGCGTGAGCCACCATACCTGGCCCCGACCTGATTTTTTTTTTAAACTAAAGCCATAACTAAGTAAAGGGAAGCTGGTGTATGTAAAAATATGAGATATACATGTTGATTTTAGCGAACATTTAGGTTTCTCTGAAAATCTGATATCAAATAACTCTACCTGAAACAAATGATACTGGTCTGTTTTGTGTTAAAATAAGTATCTATACACACTACTATGATTTTGGCATTCTAAGTATTCTGAGATCTTTTAAAAATATTTTTTAGACTTTTATGTTTGTACATATTTTGAGAAAATAAGTCTGATTGTGGTTCATGTTCCACTCCTCATACTTTTCTAAAGTGCTGTCCGACTTAAGAAGAAAAATCTTTTGCCCAATGTTTTGGAATTGTTCTATGATATTTCTGCCAGTTATATATATAAAGTGCATTCCTTTTAGTAAGGTCCAGCATGATCATTTCTTTTTTTTTTTTTTTTTTTTTTGAGACGGAGTCTCGCTCTGTCGCCCAGGCTGGAGTGCAGTGGCGGGATCTCGGCTCACTGCAAGCTCCGCCTCCCGGGTTCACGCCATTCTCCTGCCTCAGCCTCCCAAGTAGCTGGGACTACAGGCGCCCGCCACTACGCCCGGCTAATTTTTTGTATTTTTAGTAGAGACGGGGTTTCACCGTTTTAGCCGGGATGGTCTCGATCTCCTGACCTCGTGATCCGCCCGCCTAGGCCTCCCAAAGTGCTGGGATTACAGGCGTGAGCCACCGCGCCCGGCCCCAGCATGATCATTTCTAAAGTGAAAATAAACAGTGAAAAGCCATTAGTAAGTTGCCAATAATGTTGATTCTTTGGTTAGCGTGATAAATCAAATTTCCCAGAGGCAGTCACATAAATTATAGCATTATGTTGCTAAGATGAATTTGGCCAAATTATGCTTCATTTGTAGCAGAGTCAATCTTAAAACTCAGGTCTCGTAACTGCCTGCCAAGACTATCCCTTTATTTTGTAGGTGAAACCTAGGCAAAGCCAATTTGGTGCTCACTCACCCCTTCCCAGAAATGAAGTTGGTTGATGGCTCTTTTGAAAGTATTAAGTTCAGGTATCTGAAAAATTGGAGGAATATTAGTAATAGTTAACCTTTATTTAGCTACTGAGTTGGTGCTGTACCTGTTTATCTCGTTTAATTTTTATTCTATCTCATATGAGGTAGATGTTGTTATGCCCATTTTACTGTGTTTTATTATCTATCTAGTATTCAAAGGTTCATAACATCAAAAAAGTCATAATAACTGTTACAATAGCTACTGTAGATCCTTATTTTTGACACTACCCTTTACTCTGTTTTACATATCATTTTATTTGTCATGCAACTCTGTGAGAGTCTAAGTATGAATGTCTACATTTTAAATATGTACCACCTTACACTAAATAGGTTGAAGTAATTTTGCCCAAACTCACACAGCTAATAGCTGAAATAAGTGAAGTTTTAACTCAGGTCTGATTTCAAATTTCATTTCTTTCCTGCTACTTTATCTTACTTCACATATATAATTTTACCTCTTACCAAAATAAGACTAGTGTTACCTAGGAAGTGGGGTAGGCATGATAGATATGTTTTTTTCTTATACATGAAGGAGTTCTTATGATTCTCACGCTCTGATTTTCTAAACTAAAAATATGTTCCTGTTCCATTGTTATCAAAATGTAAAAATCAGTTAAGTACCACAATATATGGGGGCTTTAAAAAGTTACTTAGAAAATATGCATTGTACAGTGAGCCGAGATCGCGCCACTGCACTCCAGCCTGAGCAACAGAGCGAGACTCCGTCTAAAAAAAAAAAAGAAAGAAAGAAAATATGCATTGTATTGATGTTTCTAATTATTAGAAATCTCCCACTATGTTTCAAGGGGACTTTTGTTAGGTCAAGTTGGAACATGGATATTTACGGACTATATCATGGTGTCACATAGGTAATTATTTGTTTTCTTTGAAGCTAAACGAAATTACAACAGTATATCATTCAAAGTGCTAAGCTTTGGATCATAAGTAGTTAATCTGATTAAACAGCTTAGTCATGCATTCATGATAAGGATATAATGACAAAAATTCTATAGGTTTTAATAATAATATCTTAGTCTAGGAATTCTGGCATAAGAATTATTTTGGAAATAGATCATTTATGTGTTTCTGTTTTCGTTTACAACTGAAAATAGTGTAGTAATATTGATTCATCTAATATGAATATTATGACTACAGAATAATTAGAATCCCAGCAATGGAAAGTTTGAATAAAAATTATTAAGTGTAAAAGTTTTACTTCTTAAGATAGTGCCTTTTCAGAATGAGGCAATTTGACATCATTGTTTTTGCCTAAGACAGCTTTTAGAGTTTAGTCTAGAAGTTGTTCAAATAGAAGTTGGTGACATGTTGAAGCTGAATGCCTTCTTTTCTTAAAAGGTAGGAAATGCTCTTCTCATTTGTAAGTTTTAGTTTTCTACAGTCTAATAATCTTATAAAAGGTACATCGTTTTAAATTTGAAATGTAGTTGGAATGTCTTATTGAATGTCTTCAGTGATGACTTCTGGTTTTCTAAGGTTTCATTTTTGAAAAATATGACTTTTAGGGTCATAAAAGGAAAAAATAAAAACTGTATATACAGTTTTGTGATAAAAGAACTGAATATATATGAGGTTGGTGGTGTGCAGTGTAAAGCTGGCGGGTGGGGAGGGTTGTTTCTAAGAAGTTACCTTAATTAAAAAGAGAATACCCTATTCATTGGCCATTCAAAGTGGGAATATAGATATGTGGGGTGGAGAGGGGGACAGCTTTGTACCTGCAAAGCTCTAATGAATGCCACTACATGGTGGAGCTTGAGAACTCACTGAGCTACCCAAAAGACTAGTTTGTCATTGCAGTGGCTCCTAGACATTGCTTTATGAGGAAAGAAAAGAGGAAAGAGGATGAGCCTAGATACAAAGGGAAAGGCTTGGGAAAAAGAAACTACATCCATGATTTTTATAGTGCCTCTTTTGTTACTATTGTTTTGTAAATAAGATAGGTAGCAAATCCAGTCATTCAAAATTATAAATAACCACTAAAGGGAGAAGTCAATGCTCACTTTAGCTTGGTTTCTGCTGTTGTTCTTTATGGTGTGCATTTGTGTTTACGGTACTCTCCGAAATAGCTCTTCACAGCTACTTTATGTATAAGCTCTTTGTCACATCTAATGGAACTTTTTTGAAGTTGTTTGCATCAACTTGAATCTTTAGTTGTTCCCTAAGTTCATTCTGGAATGGCTGAAACCACTTATAAAGAAGAAAGTATTAAGGGCATTGAGTTACCCAACGTATTAGTTGTTATCGCTGAATTCTACTTTTAACCAGGAATATACTTTGGTCTTCGTTCAAAAGCACATCATTTTTTTGTAATTAAAATATATATGGAGACAATATAGTCTTTAATTTAGTTATTAAGAATATTGGTATTCTGTTTGAAACTTGGAAATTCTGACATCAAAATTATATTTATTACTGATTAGACATAATTGTATCATTTGGTTATTTTTATATCTAAGCTAAAGTGATCCTCTCTAATCCTTTATACTCTAGGTTTTTTTTGTAAGGATATAATGCCAAAAATTTTGAAAAAAAGAAAACAGGCACTGTGGCTCACACCTGTAATCCCTGCACTTTGGGAGGCTGAGGTGGGAGGATCTCTTGAACCAAGGAGTTGAAGACCAGCCTGGGCAACATGGCAAAACCCCATCTGTCCAAAAAATACAAAAATTAGCTGGGTATAGTGGCACATGCTTGTAGTCCCAGCTACTCTGCAGGCTGAGGCAGGAGGATCACTTGAGCACTGGGGAGGTTGAGGCTGCAGTGAGCCATGATCATACCACTGTACTTTAGCCTAGGTGACAGAGTGAGGCCCTATCTCAAAAAAAAAAAAAAAGACTGAACTTTAGTCTTTTAATGTTATATTTCTGGATTTAAATAAAAACAGAAGAAAGATAATGAAGTGTGCTCTTTCATTCTTAATCTTTCATTTTTATTCTTATCATTAAACATATGGAACACATCTTAGGTAGACCATATATATTTTTATAATTCTATATTTTGTTAAAGATTTATATATTTTAGTATTGCCTCCTTAATAGATGCATTCCTACAAAGTTTGTTCTGTAAGAACTTCCTATTTATTGTAGTGATTTTTTCCCAGTGATTTTCATTATAATATTAAAACTATAAGCCATTTTTCTACTTTTGACATCTAAATGTCATAAAACCTTATTTGCTTGTAAATATCTATATTCTTAAAAGTAGTATATCTTCCATAAAATATTAACAGTAACTTGAAATATTAATAACATTTCTGCAGTGTACCCTAAAGAACAACCAGAATCTTTGACTAGAAGGAGGCTCATTCTCATTTTTCTTCACAAACTGTTCGTCGATCATAGAGCAATCACATAAGCTTAGTGATTAGACTACACTTGTTTTTTGCTAGTGTGGAACTACATTATTGCTTCAAATTTATTTCCAAGTTAGCAATATTTCCCCCGTAGCTTTTTTCTTTCCTTGAGATGTACTGATCTTTTCCAAAAGTCTTGATTGACATCACTTCTGTTTTAAAATGCTGATCATAAAAGATGATTATTGTTTTAATGTTTGTTTTATCTATTATAAATAGGATTAATCATAAAAGGATAGAATCATGAAGGCATCATTTGGTAGGTAGACGTCTTAATAGTATTGGTTTATTGGGCCCGAGAATTCTATAAATATGCTAGTCATTGTAGGGTAATGTTGAAGCAGTTGTCAAAGTCATTAAACTTACAAGTTTATCAAGTGAATTTCTTTTGATTATTTCTAAATGCATTTTCTTCTTAGTACCCAAATTTCTCACAATTGAAAAGCAACTGGGTGTTGGGACAGAAATATAGTATTTGGACATTAGAGGGTCTGGCCTTGACATTTGATGCTACTACTTAACTGGCTCTTATCTAAAACTGGTATCCTAAAAGCCTTAATTTCTTAGTGCCAGTGCTGTCTGTCTATCTCGCAGGTTCATTATAAGTATATGAGGTAATATGTGTGCAACAGGAAAGAACTGGCCCAAAATGTTAGTGTTGCTGGGATTAAGAAACCCTGCTCTGCGGAATTCTCTCTTTGATATTTCCCTGCCTTTTATAGGAACTCTTTTTCACCTAAGATTTTCCATTTATGTTTTGTTCATTCTTTATCATCTGCTCAGAGTTGTAAGTTTACCACAAGTGGAGACCTGGGATGTACACCCAGGGACCAGAGTCACCCCATAACTCATTTTCTCATAAATTGTTTCCTAGAGAAGCCTCCTTTTTCAGCTAGAGCCCTTTGGATGCCTTTTTTCTTTTCTTTTTTTTAATTTGACTCTTCCAACTTAGTTGAAACACAGAATCTCCGTTAACCCTCAATGTACACTGGTCTTAATCAGATCAAGTTTTTAACCACAAGGTAAAATGTTTCACTTTGCTCATGAATCTTAAGAATGGGCCATCCAGAGTGGCTGTACCCAGAACAACAGGTTTACTGTTGTTTGTTTCACTCCAGTTCCCTGACTTTGACTGCTCTCTTTGAGTATTGCCTTAGCTTTCATTTCTAATCTGTGAAAAGATGCCTTCCATTTGCCTACAGCCACTTTTGCATAGATTAATTGTACTAGTTTAGTCTGAGTTAATTTTAATTTAATCCATTTGCTAAGGTCATTTGCTTTTTTTTTTTTTTTTTTTTTTTTGGAGACAGGGTCTTGCTGTCACCCAGGCTGGAGTGCAGTGGCAAGATCATGGCTCACTGCAGCCCGGGTTCAGGTGATCATCCCACCTCAGCTTCCCAAGTAGCTGGAACCACAGGCGTGCACCACACCTGGCTAATTTATTTTTTTTAAGAGACAGGGTCTCCCTGTGTTGCCCAGGCTGGTCTTGAACTTCTGGAATCAATTGATCCTCCCACTGCAGCCTCCCAAAGTGCTGGGATTACAGGTGTGAGACACCACGCCCAGCTTCATTTGAATATTGGAAATACACTGTTCCTAAGTAATGGTCCTGGGAACTTTACAACAGTACTGTGACTATTCTCTTTTCAAAAATGTGTATCGGCTTAAATATTTAAGAGATGGGAAAGAGAAGTTCCTGATGACATTGTATGCACCACGGTAGCAGGTGATGTGGTGACTGTATCTCTGTTTAGGTAATAACACTTTTGGCCTCATACTAGCGTTTGAATTAGTTCCGGAAACATATGTGTCACATTTTGTTTCATCAGCTTTCCATCTCAGCATTAATGATCAAGGCAAAAAATAAAGCAGTGTGCTTTTTGTATCTAACCTCATCTGATTTCATGGTTGTGGTGAGATTGCACAGAGATGAATAGAGGACTTTGAAGTATCACTTTTCTAGTTAGATTTTCATCTTTCCTGTGCATATTTAATCGAGCCAGAAGAATGAGAAAGGCCTGAAGGGTACCTCTATCTTCTCTTCCTACTTCAGTGAAAGGACTTCCTCTAATAGATTAATGGACAGAGGTTAATAATAAAGGTATTCACAGGAATGAAAGAAGAATTGACTAAGACAGAAGGAGATTAGGTGCTACTATGGGGTAGGTTTATCAGAATTATGACTTCCATAGTGTACTGTATATTGAGGCATTTCATTATTCATATTTTTTAACAAAACACTCTATTTGGTTTTGTGAGTATTGTGAAGAATGTTATTAAGCCAGTTTGTAGGTAAACACTGCCTCAGGTTTCATCAAACTTGGCACTTAAAGTTAGGATTCAACTCTTTCACTGCAGTATTACAGAGGGGCTCCATCTATTTGTTACCTGAAAATTGCCTGGAACAGTGTAGAGATTTTAAAAACTACTTCCAAGCAAAACTTGCAGTGATGTCACTCATTACCCATTGCTCTAAGAAATGCCCTCATCTTGCTGTCTAGGAAGCACTTTTCATGGACTGCTAACTTCTGTTAGAGCTGTATCAATTACAAGCAGTTTGGCAGGGTAATTCTGATATGTAAAGCTGGGGAGGAACATTGTTTGGTTAATTAATTCATTTGGTTAATTAAAAAGTGAAATTATACTTTGATTCATATAAGTGATACCATGTAGAAGAAATATAAATCTGTGTTTAGATATTACTGTCAAATATTACCAATTCTGAAATATAAGGATATTCCTATTCCTTCTCATATTCCTATGAGAAGGAATGTCATAGCTGGTTTAGGTAAAGAAATTGAGCATATGCAGCTAAACCCACTCTGGACTCTTTTTTTTTTTTTGGCAACTACCTAGACGCACAGTGGTTCCATAGTGCCTGCTCTACCATGCTATAAGCTTAGGGAGGGCTTTGCTCCAGAAAAGGAACCTGTAATTAGCTCATGTGAGTGAGTAGATAGCCACATCTAATAAAAGGTTAAGTATTAGGAAATTCTTGTGACTATACATACAAGGTACATTCTCCAGTAATAAAATTTGTATTTTGATATTTTTATCTTCGTATTTCTTTCTCTTCTGTATTCTCATTCTCTCATCTATCCATATTCTCTCTCCCTGTCTTCATCTTTCTCTCTCTCTTCTATCCTACCCATCACCTATTGTATTTAGATAAGGAAAACAGGGTTATTTTGTGGCCTCCCTATAACTTTAACAACACCCTTCTCCATTTTTTGTTTTCCATGAGTGGTTGTCATTTTCCTACTAATTTGTAGTTCTTTATATAATCTGACTACTAATCCTTTGTCAGTTATATGTTCACACATATCCTCTCCCAGTCCTATTTCTTATCTTTATACTTTGTTTATGTTCCATGTGGCCTTTTATTGTAGGAGCGTTTAACATCATCAGATTTATCAGTCTGTTTCCTTATGATTTGTGGGTTTTATGTCTTCCTAAAGAAATCCTTCAGTACACACAAAATCATATAGTCTTTTCTTCTTTTTTTTTTTTCTTGAGTCAGAGTCTCAGTCTGTTGCCCAAGCTGGAGTGCAGTGGTGTGATCTTAGCTCACTGCAACCTCCGCCTCCTGGACTCAAGCGATTCTCGTGCCTCAGCTTCCTGAGTAGCTGGGACTACAGGTACCCACCACCACACCCAGCTAATTTTTGTATTTTTGGTAGAGACAGGGTTTCACCATGTTGGCCAGGCTGGTGTCTAACTCCTGAGCTTAAGCAATCTACCTGCCTTGGCCTCCCAAAGTGCTGGGATTACAGGTGTGAGCCACCACCGCTGCTAAAATCGTATTTTATTTTAAGTACTTTAAAGTCTTACCTTTTATATTTAGGTCCTTATCTGAAGTTTTCGACCTGACATTCAGTGTACAGTGAACACACTCATACATCTCCTCATGCAGATATGCACCATCTAAAGATGGAGGCTACTAGCTACATTTAACTGTTTAATTTTCAACTGATTATAATTAAATAGAATTTAAAATTCAGTTCCTTAGTTTCACAGTAGCCATATTTTAAGTGCTCCATAGCCACGGTAGTGAATGACTACTCTATCGAATAATGCAGGTAAAGAACATCTCCTTCACTGAAGTAAGCAGTCTTTTGTGGTCCCCTAGGACCTTTACCAGGACTCTCCTCTTAGCGGGCTTTGAGTCTAGCTTCTCTCCCCCTGTGGCCCAGAAGTGTATTGAAAAGTCAGCTGCCTTCCTATTCCTCAATAGCTTCTTCAAGGAATTTTTGCCCACAGGCAGTATATTTTTCTTCCCAGATCCAAATCTAGCTTTTATTCTACCTTTGATTTGGTCTATCAAGTAAATAAACTGGCTTATTTAAAAATATGTCATATTCAGCGTTAACTTTAAACAAATTATAAAAGAAAGTTTGTTTTATGTATCTAAGGTACTCATGTGAATAAATGAGAAATAAGTAGGCATTAACTTGTTATCTCTTGTTTATTTATTTGTATATGTTTTGCTTGCTCGATCATCAAGTGGCTTTAATTCTTCTGAGAATATTAGTAAACTCCTTGTGTATCTGAGAGTTCTTAGAAACCTGAAGCTTCTAGTACAACTTTGCTGAAACATGATTTGTCAGGAGAATTATAAACATTGCACATTAACCCAGTGAGAACAACCCAACTTTAAGAATTAAAGCTAAATTGCCTGATAGTGATTTCAGTAAGGCTGTTGTTTATGCACGTACACATTAGCATCCATAGTGCTACCAACTTTAAAAAATGCTCCAGATTTGAGTACACTCAGAAAGTTTCTAAGATATTGAAAACAGTATTCTTAAAGTTCCTCTGTTTTCTGAACATTCCCTAGTGTACAAGATTTTATATATTTATCCAAATGAAACGTTGACCTTCAATGTAATATTGAATATAAGATTGCAGATAAACTATTATTACAGGTTATTCCTAATAAACTTTTAGTTGCTGAATGTTAACAATAACAATCTTTACTTTTAAAGCACTATAGACAAAAGTGTAATTTTTATTTAGCACCAATAAATAAATGATTTAACATTTTAAAGTATTTAATAAGACTGAAACCCACAGCAAAGCTGTTCTCTGGTGTACAATTACTGGAGAAGTTCACTAGGTCAGAGTAAAAGCGAAGAAGATGTATTTTAACATCTAATATGCAATGTATTTTTTGTTTCTTAATCAGAATGTGAAAAAGAACATAAAATACAGAATTTTATTTTCATTACAACTTAAACCAGAGTTTAACATCTATAAAATATGCTTCAAAAATTAGAAGTTTAAGAATGTCATCACTTATATAAGACAAAAATAACACATGTATAGCCCATCTAAATCATTCTTGAAAACAGACCACACACAGCCTTACATTTTTAAGACAAGAGGGCTTTAAAATGTAAAAGGGGAGAAAATGAGACTTAATGACATATTAGAACTAACATCCCCTGAGTATTGATTGAAAGGAAAGGTATTGTGTAATAAGGAACATGTTCTTCCAATTCTTCCATCAGTCTCAGTTTACTTTCCACTGCGTCCTAGGGTGAGAAAGTAATTAATTCTCTGTACTTATTGAATTATAAGTGTTTATGAAGCAACAACTTGAAATGACTTCAATCCCTACTTACCGGCCATAGGAAGCAGTAGTATTGGCAGGGAGAAAGCAAGTTTGGACATAAGGACTAGACTTCAGGGCTGTCCAATCTTTTGGTTTCCCTGGGCCATGCTGGAAGAAGAATGGTCTTGGGCCACACATAAAAAACAAAATAACTCTGACGATAGCTGATGAGCTTTTTAAAAAATTGCAAAAATCTCAGTGTTTTAAGAAAGCTTGCTAATTTGTTTTGGGCCCAGGTTCAAAGCCATGTTGGGCCCAATTCAAAGCCATCCTGAGCCACATGTTGGATGACCTTGGACTAGAGAAAAAAACTCACTGAAGCCTCCATATTTTTTATAGTATCTTTTCTGTGGGATACTTATTAAATTAAGGTTGAGCCATTTTTAAAAAACGTATTTTCTCTGTGAGGAAAAGCAAATCTGTCTTAATGAGTTACATGAAATGATATGAAGTTATATGAAATCTAAGGGATTTGAAAATTTCAAAAAGATTTAAAGGAAATACATCAGAATTTTGGTTGCATTTCAGTTAACAGATTTATTTATCTAGATTTTTGAATAAAGTGTTTTTGAATACTTAATTCAGAATTGATGATCTGCCCATGACCTTAATAAAATTTCCTGGTTTCATGGCAATGGCAAAAACAGTTTCTAGGTACTTGGGTGAGACACATACTAGCAGGTGTAGAAGTAGTAATAAAAATAATGATTTATTATCAGAACAACACTTCTTACACCTATTCACCAATTTTCTTTCAGGATATCCCCATAATATTATTATTCCTAAATAGCAAATAAAGAAAATAAGCCAAATGCAAGTCAAGTCACTTTATATCTTCCTCATCCTTCCATTCATTTCCTCATTCGTTCATTCATTACCCTCCTTGTTTCTTAAACATCAAATGGTGCCTTGAGGCATTAAACAAGTTGATAAAATAAAACAAAAGCATGAATACTTGACATATTTCTCTCATCACTAAGACAACATGCCAGTTAGTCAATTAAAAAACAAAAATAAATGTATCAAACCACGTGGTATTATGTGGAGAAGACTTGATCCCAAATGTTCCCTTTTCTCGAAGTTATTTGCTGTTGTCCATACTATCCACGCTATCCAAGTTTACCTGGATAAATAGAATGCAATCAGAATTATGTTGAAGCTAATTTATTGATAAAATATATACCAAAATGTATTACAAACATAAAACTTCATGAGGTCAGTATTATTAATTTCAAATTTTGGGTTTTTTTCTAACATTAAATTATTCAAAACTTTTATTTAAAAATGCCACATTCAGGTAAAAGGTAGTAGATGGGAAAATTTCAGCAGTAGATATTTCAGAATACAATGGTTGTAGAAAAAGGGATTATGAGTTTATTTATGTGCAGATATACAGTTATGTTTTTAAAATCTAGATTATAAAACTGATATAAAATTCGAGTTTAACAACATATCTTATTAAGATAAGAATCTTAATGCACTATGAAAAGAAAAACAAAACAAAGCCCAGATAACAGGTTTCTTTTGGTAGTGATCTACAAGGTATTAGGGATATGATTTCCCTCTTGTTCTGCTGTCTCTCTGTCCCTCAGTGATTACAGGTAGAGCATCACTTCAATAACTCTTCCAGTCAGTATTGGTGGTGACAGCCAGTCTGACCTGAAAAGAAACCAATACCCCTTCCCAACCTGGAAATGCTGGTAATTTATTTCACCATCCCCAGCTTCCCTATATTTTTCCCCATCCTACCAGCAAACTTTGTTTATATAAAATGCAGCCAAATACAATTAAGCCAAATACAAGTCAAATCTTCCTCATCCTTCCATTCATTTCCTCATTCTTTCATTTGTTACCATCCTTGTTTTTTTTTTTTTATTGAGACGGAGTCTCTGTCACCCAGGCTGGAGTGCAGTGGTGCATTCTCAGCTCACTGCAAGCTCCGCCTCCCAGGTTCACGCCATTCTCCTGCCTCAGCCTCCCTAGTAGCTGGGACTACAGGCGCCCACCACCATGCCCAGCTAATTTTTTTTTTTTTTTTTTTTTTTAGTAGGGATGGAGTTTCACCATGTGAGCCAGGATGGTCTTGATATCCTGACCTCGTGATCCGCCCACCTTGGCCTCCCAAAGTGCTGGGATTACAGGTGTGAGCCACCGCGCCCGGCCACATCCTTGTTTCTTAAACATCAAATGGTGACTTGAGGAGTTAAACAAGTTAATAAAACAAAAGCATTAATACTTGACATATTTCTCTTATCACTAAGACATCATGCCAGTTAGTCAAAAAACAAAAATAAATTCAGAGTACCTCTTTCACATGTTAAACTCATTGGATTATTTAAATACTAAGTGATTTAACATAGTTTTTCTGAGCATTTCACACACAAAACATTTTTTTTTTCCACATGAGACCATTACTTCTGAATATTAAGGAATTTCATATGGTGCATGTTTGAGGAATTTCGTATGGTGCCTGCTGTAATAGGATCTTGGCTTATTTGCATTTGTTGATCAGATGCAACTAGGTATAGAGATTGGATGAGGGAAGAGTAAAGTAAAATTACAGAAAACTTTTAAGGCTTCCCAAGTTTGTTACCGTTTGATAGTATTAGAAACAATGTCACTGTAATTTCCATTTTCAGGCCTATGTATAGTGTTAATAAGATTCTTGCCATGAGTCTCTTTACTATTTATAGATTAGTAGGAGCCATTTTTATGGCAATCCAAAGCTCTCTGTTAAACTTAAAACACTGTATAAAATGAGTTGAAAAGATTATTAATAATCTTACACAGAATGATGTCCTTCAGTTCAAAGATGTTACCAGTATTAACAGTGGCACTTGTTTTAAAAGAATAAATATCCTACTCTTGTTTTTCATTAGAACTCTAAGCAAGACTACAAACAAAGTTTTCATTGCAATAATAAATCTTTTTGAAAGGGTTTTCTGAAACCACTGGATTTACATACTTTACATTTGCCCTACCTAAGTTTACGGTAAGGAGCCAAATTCATTTAGCATAAATATTACAACCCATGAATCCAGACATACAGCAATTTATGGGGGACATTAGTCTTCTTATTATAGAAAACGTTTGTTTAAATAATGTGAATAACTACCAATGTTTATTATAATTTTATATTTTTTCCTTATTCATCTCTAATAACAATTTCCGTTACTTCTTAAATCATCCCCGGGTTAAGAGAACATAGGCATTTGTAAGTAGCAAGTATTACAAAAACAAATAAGATTTTTTACAAAAAGAGAAACATCAAATTTCCTGTTAGGCTCACTGACCATGCTCTCTAGTGTCACTCTAGTTCCTCTTTATAAGCATACGTACTTAGGCTGCGCACAGTGGCTCACGCCTGTAATCCGAGCACTTTGGGAGGCCGAGATGGGCAAATCATGAGGTCAGGAGTTCGAGACCAGCCTGGCCAACGTAGTGAAACCCCGTCTCTACTAAAAATACAAAAAATTAGCCGGGCACAGTGGCGGCGCCTGTAATCCCAGCTACTTGGGAGGCTGAGGCAGGAAAATGGCTTAAACCCGGGAGGCGGAGGTTGCAGTGAGCTTAGATCACGCCATTGCACTCCAGCCTGGGTGACGGAGTAAGACTCCATCTCAAAAAATAAATAAATAAATAAATAAATAAGCATACATACTTTACCTTCATGGATGTTTTAAGGGGAAGGCAGGTGTTAAGAACTTATAAAAAATACAAAGTGTTAACTTTAGAAATTAAGAGTTTTTGAATGCTGAACAACACATTCCATTTAAATAACGTTAATAGAAACAGATTTTGAAGCCTCTAACATCATGGTGCATTAAGAGCATAAGAGAAACGAGCCGGGCGTGATGGCTTACGCTTGCAATCCCAGCACTTTGGGAGGCTGAGGTGGGCAGATCATGAGGTCAGGAGTTCAAGACCAGCCTGGCGAACACAGTGAAATCCCGTATCTGCTAAAATTACAAAAATTAGCTGGGCATGGTGGTGGGTGCCTGTAATCCCAGCTACTCAGAAGGCTGAGGCAGGAGAATCGCTTGAGCCCGGGAGGTGCAGGTTGCAGTGAGCCAAGATTGTGCCACTGCACTCCAGCCTAAACGACAGAGCTACACTCCGTCTCAAAAAAAAAAAAAAGAGCAACCAGCTGGAGTCACCGAGCATGTAGCTGCCCAGAGCCTCCTCCCTACATCATGTGTGTAGCTTGTTCCATATTGTGAAGGGTGTGTATATGTATATGTGCACACACTGGCACACAAATTCGTATGCATTTGTCTTACTAAAGTGTTTTTGTCTCCCCTACGGTCTTTAACTGCCTGGTTGAACCCCTTCTGAGACCACTACTCTGTTTGAAGGGATCTTGCCAGCCTCTCCCTAGAATTGCATCTCTGATTCTGTTTCTTCTCAGATACACATTCTTAATTGAAGCTAGGACTTAACACAGTCCTAAAAATTACCATTAATTAGGACCATTAAAAGCCAAAACATCTTCCTGCCTTAGGATTGGGTCCTTTAATTGAAGCTAGGACTTAATCCTAAAAGTTCCCAATGATTAGGACCATTAAAATCCAAAATATCTTCCTGCCCTAGCCTTTCCTTGACCTGAAATTACCTTTGCTAAAATTGACCTGCAATGTATTTCTTAATATATTTTCTGTTACTCGTTATATAATGGAGTAAGATTGTGGTGGGAAGAAACAGACTCAGGAATGTGTTGACATTTGCAAGGTTTAGAATCTAGATGAGGCATGAACTTGAATTCTGGAGCTTCTTGTGGTAGCCTGATTTAACATAGTTAAAGGCCAACATAAAATTAATACTGGCAGACTTGAGGCACAATAGTACTGGTGATGCTGTGAGTGAGTGGTAGAGAAGGAGTGGTCTCTTGAGCCCATTGATGAAGGCTGGCGGTCTGGGGAAGTGAATCTAAGTCCAAGTGTACAGAATTCATACTTAACCTCTTTGGAAAAGGGCAGACTCCTCCACATCAGAGCTACTCCTTGACCTCTGTGAGTTCCTGATATTCTGGGTCAGTAAATAGATGATATAGATACAGATATAGACATAGTCATAGGCATAGACATAGAGCCTGGTTAGGAGTATGAAGTAGATCCAAATCCTGATTTTTAAATATAAAATAATGTTAATTACATTATGCAAAATGATTTTTATGCAGTATACATTTGGAAAATTTAATGACCCACAGAAATTGATTTTCAGAATCATTGATAACATCATTGTTTTGGATTTATGAAAGGAACATAGCAGTAATGAAAGAAACTAAATTATGGAATCTTTTCAATGATATACTCAGAGGTTTTTTTTTTTTTTTTTTTTTTTTTTTGAGATGGAGCCTTGCTCTGTCGCCCAGGCTGGAGTGTAATGGCACGATCTCGGCTAACTGCAACCTCTGTCTCCCGGGTTCAAGCGATTCTCCCACCTCAGCCTCCTGAGTAGCTGGGACTACAGGCACGTGCCACCACACCTGGCTAATTTTTGTATTTTTAGTAGAGACGGGGTTTCGCCATGTTGGCCAGGCTGGTCTCCAGCTCCTGACCTCGTGGTCTGCCCGCCTCAGGCTCCCAAAGTGCTGGGATTACAGGCATGAGCCACCACACCCGGCCGATATACTCAGAGTTCTAATGTTTTATCTGTTATCTTTTCATATAAATCCAGAGCTATATACAGATTAGTTAATCCCATGGCAGAATGTATAAAAATATCTGCTTTCATGTAGTTTTTATTTTATGTGGAATATTTACCTAAACCAGGATTTAGTTTTCATCTTTACTAAATTTTTCAGATATACATATGTATGTATGTATTTACTTAATTATAAAACATGTTCTAAGGAAGTAAAAGATATCTTTGGATGCCTTTGCAGAACGTAGAACTACTTTTGTTTAATTCTGTGCCCTTACATATTTTTTGTTTTTCTTAATTCATAATGTGGAACAAGGCCTTCTTTTTTTCTCTGTTCCAAATTTTGAGGTAAGAGGTATGGCAATTCACATATTATGATTGTTTTAGAGATGAACTTAAATTCACAGGGCTTTAATAAACATCAGCCCTGAATAAACTGAATATGTAAAACACTAGCACTGATTACTCTATTCCAAAAGGAAAGTCCACATTTTCTATGTTAATACATTTTCTACTGCAATTATTTCATATGGTACTCAGAATCATGCGGGAAGTTGCATTTCTTTTCTCTACTCTTCCTGTATGTCATCTTGGGAGCCCAAGCGAATTTTATATTCAAAAGAGCAATTTATGCTACTTATTAATACATGTTTTTTAACAATCTTTAGGGATAATAAGTTGACATAGCTGAGAGTAGCTGAGGGACTGATGGCATACGCAATCTGTTAAAACATTTCTTTGAAGAGAAAGCTTGTGCTTGACCATGGTTGCTCGGTGGAGAGTGCTCCTATGCATACCACAAGCTTGGCCTTCAGTTTGGAATAGCTCTTTTCATTGTTTGAGTTTGGTTGCACTGAGAAGGCAAGCTTGTTACTTTACTGTAAAAAATAAAGTGCTTGTCCAAGCTTGTTGCATGTTGGCAGTTGAGAGGCTGCTCTTTTGCTGGCTGGAACGTGGACAACTTTTTAACCTCTCCAAGGCAACGTAGCTGTGACAAGATGTCAGTTACCTTCAAAAAGTAAATAAATCACAGCCTTTGAGTTTCAGCATAATAATAAAGATCCAATGTCCTCACATGAGTTTCTCATTCCACAATTTTGAATCATATTTTTTTGTGGCAAATGCTCTACCTTCAAAGTAAAGCGTTTTAAAAATACAGTTTAGAGAGCCAGGTTCCCTGAGAGGAAGATTATTAACTCACAAGGAAAGAACAGTGAATTATCTTTAATAAAATAAGCTAAGAAACAAAAACATTAAAGTTTTGTTTGAAATTTAACCTTCCTTGCCTATGTTCTTTACCAAATCAGGAAATACTAGTGTAGCTGTAGTGTGAACATCCTTGTATTTAAGAGAGTGAATTTAAATGTTTCAAATACTTTGTAAGACAATTAAACATTTGCTATATGTAAGTTCACCTTAGACTTACAAATTTCCAGGAATTATTCTAAATTCATTCTATAGAACACTACCTGACAAGTTGGAAAATATGGACGTAAGAGTCTTTATGGCTTAACTGTGTTAACTGGCTGATGTTTAACAACAATCTACGTTTCCCAAGTTTCACTCCAAACCCGTAAGTTGTACTGTTTCAGAACATCGACAAAAACACCAATCACTAGATGAATAGAGATATTTGATTGAAAACAAACTGTTCTACAAATATATTAAGCTTGAATTTGCTAATCTTTATCAAGTAATTCCCAGTGCTCAAATGTGTTTTGTAGAGTGACATACTTTGCTGAGCAAAAATGGGGTGTTTGAGTTTTAGTTTCAGGTGTTCTTTTAACCTTCAAAAATAGTGGCCGAGTTAATCTTGGGTAACAAGTTATCTTAAAAAAATGAAGAAGAGGCCAGGCACGGTGGCTCATGCCTATAATCACAGCACTCTGGGAGGCCAAGGCGGGCAGATTGCTTGAATCCAGGAGTTCAATACCAGCCTGGGCAACATAGTGAAACTTTGTCTTTACTAAAAATACAAAAAAATTTAGCTGGGCATGGTGGCATATGCCTGTAATCCCAGCTACTCGAGAGACTGAGGTGGGAAGACCATCTGAGCTGGTGAGGTCGAGGCTGCAGTGGGCTGAGATGATGCCGCTGCACTCCAGCCTGGGCAACCAGAGTGAGACCCTGTCTCAAAAAAAAAAGTGAATAAGAATATACAAAACAATAATAATAACAGAAACAGTGCATTAGATGAAAGTTCAAAGTCTTTTGTGGCTGATTGAAAAATGTAATAGGACTGCTAATGCCTTTTATGGAAAGAAGCAATATAAACTAGTAATTTAATGCTTTACTCCATTTCTACATAGCATCTTTTAAAATTTATTTTTAGTATATCTTGTCTTAGTGGTTTATGCTGGGGTTAATATTCTGGAGATAATATTACATCAGAATTCTATATCACACATTTTGTTTTTCACTGTTTAAGAAAGGTAAGTAAATAATACTTCAGAACAGTGATCTCTGAACTTTTTCATTGCATATACCTGAGTACTTTTTAGCATATACTACTAATATGTGCATATTTATTTATTTTATTATATGCAGGTTTTATGCAATGTATATAAACATATAAAACAGGAATTTAAAAGGATGTGATTTTATGTCTTAAAAATCTATTCTAATAATTTTATGGCCAGCAGATGACTTTTTTCTTTCCTCTTATTTTGTAACTTTTAATTTTGACATATGATACGTACACATAAAGTTGAAAAAAATAGTACATAGTACCCCATAAGCCATAGCCCAGCACCCCCAATGGTGATATCTTATATCTGTAGAACAATATCAAAACCAGGAAATTGTCATTAGTACAATATTATTAATTAGACTACATAGCTTATTCAGTTCTTATCAGTTTTTACCTGCACTCTCATGTTTTTCTGTGTGTGCAATGCAATTTGACCCCTATTACAGATTCATATAATCACTACTACAATCAAGGTAGAGCATTATATATTTGATCACCACAAGGAAACTCTCTTGCGTACTCCTTTATAGTTGGATTCTCCCATCTTCTTTTCTCTGTCCTCTGGCAACCACTAGTCTGTGTCCATCTCCACAGTTTTGTCATTCTAAAAATGTCACAGCTGGGCACGATGGCTTGCATCTGTAGTCCTAGCTACTCGGGAGGCTGGGGTGGGAGGAACCCTTGAGCCTAGGGGTTCGAGGCTGCAGTGAGCCGTGATCGTACTGCTGCACTCCAACCTGGATGACAGAGCGAGACTCCATCTCTTAAGTAAATACATAAATCAAAATGTCACATAAATACAATCATGCAATGAGTATTAACCTTCCAAGATTGGCTTTTATCACTAAGCACGTTGTTCTTTAGATCTAGCCAAGCTGTATGTATCAATAGTTGTACTTTTTTTTTTTTTTAGAAGGAATCTTGCTCTTATCGCCCAGGCTGGAGTGCAGTGGCATGATCTCAGCTCACTGCAACCTCCGCTCCCAGGTTCAAGTGATTCTCCTGCCCCAGCCTCCTGAGTAGCTGGGATTACAGGTGCTCTCCACCACGCCCAGCTAATTTTTGTATTTATTTATTTATTTGAGACGGAATCTTGCTCTGTCACCCAGGCTAGAGTCCAATGGCGCAGTCTTGGCTCACTGCAACCTCCGCCTCCTGGGTTCAAGTGATTCTCCTGCCTCAGCCTCCTGAGTAGCTGGGATTACAGGCACCCACCACCGTGTTGGCCAGGCTGGTCTTGAACTCCTGACCTCAGGTGATGCACCTGCCTCGGCCTCCTAAAGTGCTGGGATTATAGGCGTGAGCCACTGCGCCCAGCCAGTTGTACCTTTTTTATTCCTGAGTAGTTACACTGCTTTATGGATGTACCAGAGTTTAACCATTTATCTGTCTAAGGACATTTAGGTTGTTTCCAGTTTTGGACTATTATGAATAAAGCTGCTGTGACCATCCACATACAAACTTTTATGTGAACATAAGTTTTCATTTCTTTAGAATAAAGAGTACAATTGTTGAATCATATGATATATTAGTTTCCTGTTGCTGCTATAACAAATTACCACAGGCTGGAAGCTTAAACAACACAAATGTATCACAGTTGTATAGCTTAACAATCCAACATATGTCTCATCGGGCTAAAATCAAAGTGTTGGCAAGGTTGCATTCCTTTCTGAAGGCTTTAGAGAAGAATCTATTCCTTTCCTAGTTTCTCCTGTTATTCTTGGCTTGTAGTCTCTTCCTTCATCTTCAAAGGAGCAATGTTGCATCTCTCTGTGCCTTTCCTTCGAAGTCACATCTTCATCTGCTAACTTTCTTCTGCCTCCCTTTTCCACTTTTAATTCTTGTGTAATGTTACATAAGGTAGTTCTGTTTTAAGGTCAACTGATCAACGACCTGGATTTCATCTACGACCTTTATTTCTCTTTGCTATGTAAAGTAACATATTTTCAGGTTCCAGGGGTTAGAATATGAACATCTAGGGGTTGGTAATGTTGTTCTGCCTACTGCATATGATAAATTCATGTTTAGTTCTATTTTAGAAACTACCAAACTATCTTCCAGAGTGGCATGTGACTTTATATTCCCACCAGTAATGAATGAGAAATCTAGTTTCTCTACATCCCTGCCAGCATTTCATATTCTAGTAGGTATGTAGTGATACCTCATTGTGATTTTAATTTGCATTTCTCTAATGGTTAATGATGTTGAACTTTTTTTATGTGCTTCTTTGCCATACATATTTCTTCTTTGGTGAAATGTCCGCTCATGACTTTTGCACATTTTCCTTTGGATATGTGGTTTATACAAGTCCTCTGAATATGTGGTTTGCAAATATTTTCTCTCATTCTGTAGCTTGTTTTTAATTCTCTTAACAGGGACTTTTGCTTGTGAGAAACCTTATAAAATTTCAGTTCTTGCCTTACATGAGTGATGCCACATGCTACAGTCATGAATATCTCATAGGGTTTTAAAGAAAACATTCATATGAGACAGTAGTCATTACTTAAAGCTGTGTTTGAAGTAAGACTTTGTGCTGATTTGGATGTAGTTAGAGTTGGACCCAGTGATGTGCTTGAACTGGCTCTTCCCAGTTTGCAAGAGGCACGTTTTGAAGTCCAAGAATGTTGCAAGTTAGTTTTTAAACAGTCAGTAGCTATGTTGGGAGTATGTATACAATGGAAATTGGCAATCACTATAAATCAGTGCTCCCCTCCTCACTGGAGAGTGGGTAGTTAAATATTTACCAACTCTCTACCAGTGAGACTGGCAAAGAATTTGTCAAGAAATTGAGTATTTTTTTCCTTTAAGTCAGTGCCCATTGAGATATATCATAAATAAATATGTCAGGGTATTCTCTTCACCAGCTTATAATATTTGCTTTGTATTTTTTGCTATTTTATTTTTATTTGTGTTTCATCAATTTTGTCCTGTTCTAATTACAATTTTTCAGAATGTCAGGGAGTACAGTGGTATATAAGTAGTATAGTTTAATGGTGTAGATTAGACCATACATTTCAGAATCAGATAGACTTAGCTTACATCCCACCTCAATTTAGTAGCTGTATGAACCTGGCAATATTGTCTTATATGTAAAATTATGACAGTTATTATACATAATACAGTCAGCCCCCCAAATTTACAGGTTTCAAATCCGTGGATTCAACGAATCAAGGGTCAAAAAAATTTTTAAGAAAAAAAAACAGTAAAAAATAATGCAACAATCAAAAATTTAAATGTTAACACAAATGTTGACAATACAGTATAGTAACTATTTACATGGCATTTACATTGTGTTAGCTATTACAAGCAATCTAGAGATGATTTTAAGTATAGGGAGGATATGCAGAGGTTATACGCAAATAACTACACCATTTTATATAAAAAGGACTTGAGCATCTGTGGAATTTGGTATCCTGGTGGGGGTTAGGGAGGGGATTGGAACCAATCCTCTGCAGATACCAAGACAACTGTATATACTTTGTAAAGCTTGTATAAGATGATACTCATAAAGCATTTAACAGATAATGTCTCAATAAGTGTTTTAATTGTTATATCATTACAACTATCACCATTATAATCTCAACAGGGAAAGCCTTTCATAATCACAGCTGATTAAAATACCTTTTTAGTATTCAGGCATCCCCTGCTTAACACTTAATATCCTAGGAAATCAGATGTCCTACTTGAAAATTCTAACCAGGAACCCATTCCCCCAAATCCCCAACCAATTTCCTAAAAGCTAACTAAATGCAGTGAAATATCTTTAAAGTAATAAATTATAATTTGGGGATGTAAAATGCTTAAACAGTGGTTTCCTGATGACCTAACAAATCTAGCCTTAAGGAACCATTGCTAGGTTGATACACTCAGAGGACTTTTCGAAATGTCTACACATGATCAGACCTTTCTACCAGTTGTGTTTGGAATGTAACAGGAGACTTCCCTCCATACATTCTTTTGTTTAAAATGTTATGTTAAATTTGAGGAATGTAAGTATAAATTTTTCCCATATAAACATCAGCAGGAAAATGTTGAATTTAGAGACATATATTGCCTGAGTTATGGGTGTTAAAACCAAGAGGAATTCTATCAGAAAATGTTAACCACGGAGACTCTGTAAGTGTGCCCGATTTTTATTTCCTGGTTTATTTACTAGATGAAGTGGATGTAACTAACAGGAAAACACCTGATTAGTGCTGCAGACTCTGTGTTCTTATTTAATTCTCATACAACTTTGGAAGTTAAAAGACCTTAAATTAATTTTGCAAAGCTGTACAACTCCTTCATTTCTGAGTTGAAATTCAGTTCTACTGCAGTAGCTAATAGCTGTCCAGGAACAGCTATTAGAAAACTGGAAAAGCATCAAGGAAAGCCTACTGAAGTGTGTTTTCCTTTCGATCCAGTGTCTTCTTTTCTAGTAAATGTCCTGTCTATCCCCCCTTCCCCTATAGGAAGTTTTCTTCTCTTTCTTCAGATGCTATTATATGAGATACAATTTATAAATTCTTTTTTTTCTCATCTGACAGTAGCTTTTTTCTATACAATCAGTTACCTTTCACTGTGTTTTTCACCCATCCTTTTTAAAATATTTCTGATATCAGGATTTGCTGCAAAAGAATTAACGAAAAGTATCAAGAAGTTTGCTAGAGCTTTCTTTCTACTCTTGCTTCTCTCATGGAATCAAGTGGAAAATTGGGCTTTCTTATTTTATTTCATTCACTGAGTAACTGTACTCACAAGAATGTCTACTTCAGTAAGGTAGTTGAACCAAGCATATCCTGACAGCCTCATGGAAGCAATGAATCTTTTAATTTATATTAGAGAGGAAAACGAATTAATGAGGAAGAAAATCATAAGTAGATGGTTAGGCATTCTAGAGAATTATATTTAAAATTAGCTACTAGGTCACTTCTGCATCAGTTGTTCTACGTAAAAGTGATAGGGTATCCCCTCAAATGTTAAGTCACATTCTGGCCATCCTTTTTCATAGGTTGCACTCAAATTACTTTCAGGTTAGTTGTGTTTCCTTTTTTTTTTTTTTTTTTTTTGTGAGACACGGTCTAGCTCTGTCGTCTGGGGTGGAGTGTAGTGGCACAAGGCTGGAGTGTAGTGGCGCAATCACACGGCACATTGCCACCTCTGCCACCTGGACGCAAGCCATCCTCCCACTTCAGCCTCCTGGGTAGCTAGGACTACAGGCACACGCCACCACACCCAGCTAATTTTTGGTTTAGTTTGTTTTGTTTTGGTAGAAATGAGTTTCGCCATGTTACCCAGGGTGGTCTCGAACTCCTGGACTCAAGTGATCCTGGCCTCCCAAAGTGCTGAAATTACAGGTGTGAGCCACCACGCCTAGCCCAGTTGTGTTTCTGTACACCAGAAGTGAATAATCTGAAAATGAAATTAAGAAAACAGTTGCATTTACACTGTCATCCAGAAGAATAGAATACATAGCAGTAAATTTACCCAAGGTGAGATACTTGTATACTGAAAACTACAAAACATTTCAGAAAGAAATTAAGAAAATCTAAATAAATGGAAAGATATCCTGTGTTCATGGATTGAAAGACTTAATATTGTTAAGATGTAGGCACTAACCAAAGTGATCTATGGGTTCAGTGCAGTTCCTATCCAAATTTCAGTGACATTTTTTGCGGAAGTGAGAAGGCCAATTCTCAAACCCATATGGAATGCAAGGGGCCCCAAATAGCCAAAACAATATTGAAAAAGAACACAGCTGAAGGACTTTCACTTTGCAATTTCAAAACTTACTACAAAGTTACCATATTCAAAATAGTGTGCTACTAGCATAAGAATAGACTATATGTAGACCAATGGAATTAGAATTAAGAGTCTGGAACTAAATCCATGAATACATGGATTTATGAATTAATCGAATATCCACAAGGATACTAAGACCATTCAATGGGGAAATAATAGATTCTTCAATTAATGCTGCTGGGACAACTGGATTTTCACATACAAAAATTGAAGTTGGACCCCTACCTTATACCATATATAAAAGTTAACTCCAAATGGATCAGTGGCCTAAATATAACAGTTGCCATAAAATTCTTAGAGGAAATCATGGGGTAGGGATCTTAAAGACTTTGGATTTGGCCATGGGTTCTTAGATATGACACCAAAAGCACAAGGAAGGAACACATTTAATGGAACCTCTTGGCTTATAAACCATAAACCCAGACCACTATGTCAAAACTATTATAAAAATCAAATTAGACCCATGTAAGCAGACTATATAGCCACTGATTTGGATAGTAATATGAGACCAAATTTTTATTTGTTGACAATTAACCTATATACAGTAACTAACCTGTAGAGTCTGCATCTAAGAAGTTTTGTCAAACTTTCCAAAGCTAACCATCAATGTCGTTATGGATAGAAGGTACCAAAGTCTTTAGTGTAACATATTTAGACAATAGAGGTGTTAGGAATAGTCTCCAGATGGATACTAAATTGGTTCTTATCCAACAACATTAAGAAATAGCCATTCTTCTGTAGTTCATTGTGCATGTTATTCTCCTCTATAATATAGTAAAATATATATTTTGTCTTCCAGCTCTGTTTTCCTGGCATGCAACTCCTAAAATCCTTAGAATTTCCAAAGTAGTATCTTTTTCTATGCTGATGAGTTGACTAGTGGCTTCAGGGTGGGGTCACAGGAGAGAACAAGGCATGATTATAGGACTGGGACTTGAAGTCCATCCCACAAACTCCAGGGAGGGGAGAGGGGCTAAAGATTGAGTTGATCACTGATGACCAATGATTTAGTCATCTGTATCCTTTGTGATATCTTTAATAATAACCTGGTAAATTAAGTGTTTTTGCTGAGTTATGTGAGCCACTCTAGAAATTAATTGAACCCAAGCAGGGGTCATGGGAACCCTGATTTATAGCTCATCAGTCAGAAACATAGGTAAAACAACCTGGGGCTTGTGGTTGTTGCTGTCGGGTGTCAGTCTCCTGGGGTCCTGACACTGTCTCTAGGTAGACAGTTTCAGAACTGAATTGGAGGACACCTATCAGGTGTATGTTGCAGAAATGAATGATTACTTGGTAGTAGGGAGAAATCCCCCATATATTTAGGGTTATAAAGTCTTCTGTATTGATTGCTGTGGTATGAGAGCAGAGGGAAAAAAATTTTTTTTTCAACTCATATCCTCCCACTCCCCATAGCTGCTCTTGCCTTTATCAGTGTTGTGTGTGAAAGTCTGTATAAGGATAGAAAAGGAGATTGAGGTGGCCCTATGAACTGCGTAGCCCTGGATTCCATTCCATTGAGTTCAGCCAACGGGATGCATCAAGAATTTTTTTTTTTTTTTTTTTTTTGAGATAGGTTTCACTGTCACCCAGGCTGGAGTGCAGTGGTGCAATCATAGCTCGCTGCAGCCTTAAATTCCTGGGCTTAAGCGATCTTCCACCTCAGCTTCCTGAGTAGCTGGGACTACCAGCATGTGCCCCTGCACCTGGCTATCAACAGGAACTTAGAAGGTGGAAGGAGAAAGAGGTCAGGATATGTATTCCCTCTCCCTCCCTGCCCTAGAACCTCAATTCTAGTATTGGCTGTATCCCTTTATAACTGTATCTCTTGTCCTTTGAGCCTTCACCCCACTTCTTCAACAGCTTCAGCTTTGGGTTTTGATAATACTGTCTCCTCCCACTTACTCCTTCCAGGTCCTAAGCAGTAATAGCTTCCTGCAGTCCCTAGACTTTGGTTCCGTCAGCATGCCTTAACCTTTCCAGCACTTTGGGAAATATTCCCTAAGTTGATTTATCTTCAGAGTCTCTAACAGGACCCTGACTAATTTTCTATTTTATTTTTACAAGTAAAAATTGTATATATTTATGGTGTGTATGATGTTTTGATATATATACACATTTAGAATGGCTAAATCAAGCTACCTAATATATGTTTTACCTCACATACTTATTTTGGAAGATGAGAACATTTAAAATCTACTGCCTTAGCAATTTTCAAATACATGATATATTGTTAACTGTAGTCATCATGACATACAATAGGTTTCTTGAACTTATTGCTCCTGTCTAACTGAAATTTTGTGCCCTTTGGCCAGCACTACCTAATCTCTCTGCTAACCACCATTTACTCTCTCTGAGTTCAACTTTTTTACACTCCACATATAAGTGAGATCATGGGATATTTGAATTTCTGTGCCTGGTTTATTTCACTTTATGTGATGTCCTCCAGGGTCATCCATGTTGTCAAAACATAACAGACTTTCCTTCTTTTTTTAGGCTGAATAGTATTCCATTTTGTTGCACATTTTCTTTATCCGTTCATTTGTTGATGGACGCTTAGGTTGATTTCATATCTTGGCTATTGTGAATAGTGCTACAATAAACATGGGAGTACAGATAGCTCTTTGATATACTGATTTCTTTTCTTTTCTTTTAGATATATACCCAGCAGTGGGTTTGCTAGACTACATAATAGTTATATTTTTTATTTTTTGAGGACCCTCTGTGCTGTTTTCTGTAATTGCTTATAGAAATTGACTAGTTGACATTCCCATGTAGAAAAAGGGACCCCTTTTTTCTACATCCTTGCCAACCCTAATTTTTTTATCTTCCAACTTAATTTTTTTTTCCTGTTGGCTAATACAACTTTGGCCTGTCAAATCATGGTAGACATTCTGTGAATAGTACCACTGTAGTAGAAGCCAGAATGTTTTATAGAGGAAATGTAGAACAGAAATTAAATCTGGGGAGTCAGATAAATAGAGGTAGATTAAAAGGATCTTTCATATTAGTGTTATTGCATTTTTCTCAATGTCTCCAAAGAGTTTGAAATGTTGTATACGTTATTTAGAATTGTACTCAGAAGATAAAGTATTTTACCAACAACTGAGCTTAATTTTTATAGTTTATTAGTATCTTCATTTCCTAGTCTCCGAAGACCATCTTCTCATAAAAGTGCTTATATATGTAAAAGTTTGTTTGCATTTTCAACCTGTATCCCTTGATACTCATCCAGAAACCTAGGGTGAGAATACCTGTGTTAACTGTTTTTAAAAATTTCCATGACATGTTTGGTCAGGGGAGAAGAATGTTCTGTGACAAGTGCCAGTTTTATTGGTGAGGTAGAAAAGGCCTTAGAAGGTGCTAGTAAGACAGAAAAAGAACTGTAGGAAGAAATCAGTATCGGAGAGCACAGAGATCCTCAATCCTTGGATATATACCACCCAGTGAAGCAGATCAGAAAGACCTATATTTTATAGTGCTGTCACAACATACAAGCTGGAAAGCACCCTATTATATGTGAATTGGCCACAGCTAAGAGTAAATGATTGAAATCTTTTAAAACTTTTAGTTACATTGTTTACAATTTGGGGTAAATGTCTAGATAAGTCATGTAAATTTTTTCACCTAAACTCATAATTTTGCTTCTAGAGTCCTAACGAGTAGTGAAATGGAGATTAATCTTGAAAATCCCATTACCTTACATCACTAGAAGCACTTTGTCCACCTGCTTCCTGGACCTAGAAGAGTAAACCTGTGGTTGTCCAGTTCTAGGTGGTAGCTTTAAGATACTGCAGGCGAAGACATATATTTGTGACCAGCAGATTACAAACAAGCAAGAAAGTGTAATCCCATTCTGCTATATTTTTAATGGACAGGATTGGATATATCTTTCTAATCATAGAAGACGTCTGGAAGAAAATGGTTTCTGCAGAGGGAAATTAATGTATTGAAGGTGGGAACAAGATTTTGGTTTTTACATACACATTTCTGTACTGTTTGTTGTTGCTATTGTTTTACCATGAGTTTGTATTACTCAATAAAATAACAAAAATGGTGAGATCAGGAAGGACACCTTTTCTTGCTATGTAGATTATTTTTGCCTCATCCTTGGTTCCTTAGTTTCCATTTCCTTACAGTATTTTCCAGTTACTCGTTTTTAACAATCTGTGGGGTCTGTCCATAGTTTTTCCTTTTTCTTGTCCTGATTAATAGCCTCCCAATTTATTTTCTCATCGCCTGCATACAACTCAGACCCTCCTATTGAACGTGAAACCTTCTACCTATTCACCCCTCTACACAGATCACGCATCATTTTCTTGTCTTAACTGTTTCAGTTGTTCCGTGATTTTTGTTCTATGCCTTTGAGGATTTATTGTTTACAAAGAACTAAAGTATTTTTAGTTTATTTGTTTAAGCTACCCTCAAAAGATAATAATAGGCAAAAGAAACACCGTAAGAACATACCAAAATTCCACTGAAAGCTAACTAGGGAATGTTGGCTTCCAATCTTAGCTAGAAAATGATCAAAATTCGATACTGGTTGATTTTTTAAAATATGAATTGTGAGTCATATTCAAAAAGAGCCACAGCTTGCAGTTGTAGTCCCAAACTAAAGTAGGTATAGATAGATAGTTCCAAGAGATCATCTGTATTACAGGGATCAGGCAAAATTGCTTTCACCTGGAGAGCCGTTTGCATGGAAATACAGCATGGTTAGAGGTAGCCCTCTGGATCCGACTGCTTGCTTCAAATCAAACTGCACTTTCACTGTGCTTAACCTCAGTCAAGTTACTTGCTTCTTTTGGCTTTAATGTTATCTTGCATAAAAATCAGGATATTTAAAATACCTCACTAGTTTGTTACATGATTAAATGAGACAATGCATATAAAATAACACAGAGCCTGTTATATGGTTACTTTTAGCCATTAACAGCATAATCATAAAATATCACATTATAAAGTTGCAAGAGATTCTTTCCATACCTCCTCAAAAGAGTTTTTACTTGGACCTTCCAGCATTTGAAGCTATGTCACCAGTGGCAGTCTTTTTGACTTCATATACCTTCCAAATAAGTAGTTTTATTTTCAAAAAGCTGAATGCTATAGTAGTGGTGTTTATCAAATATGTTACCAATATTTGAAGTTTTGATACCATTTCTTATATGCAGATTGATCTTCGTGTACAAGCTAAAGCTAAACCATGCTAACAATATTTAATGGGTATATATCCTGTATAGAATAAAATATTTCCTGAATTTCATTTTCCTTTTCCAGAATTTTATACATACATGCTCATGGAAACACACACAAGCACACCTCTCTGTGCCCTAACAACAACAAAAATCTTATAAGTTTAGACTTCTTTTGATTAAAATCATATGGTTAGTCCCAAAACTACAAATATATTTTTAATTTAAGTAAAAGAGGACACTCCAACAAAACTAGTATTCACTGCACCTCTGAGCATAGCACACATCCTTTCTGAGTTCAGGTGGGTACAATTAGCTGCTACTAAAAATGAACCATTAGTGAAGTCAGTGAATATTAAATGTGGGACTTACAAGGCTAGGAATGACAAATAATGGGAAAAAACATTTTGTACTCTAATTTTAAAAAGAACTATTTAGGAGACAGCTGTAGCTGGGGTAGCTTTCTCTTGTAGAGGCATTTGCTCCATTGTTGAGGGTTGGTACTGTCTAAAGTTAAACCATTTCAGTGATGCCTAGCATGGAACACTTGACAACCAACCTTCCAGCTAGGAAATGAGACTTCCTTGCCAGCAAGTCCATATAATACTACAATTTTTATGACTAGACTATTTTTGCAGAAGTACTTATTGCTTAATTGACATTAAACTTAAGTAAGTCTATCTCTTTCTCTTAAAAATAATCTTAATAACAAATAGAAATCTTTAGTATCCCAGTCTAACTCAGTTTAGTCCTATTTAGTTTGGGATAAGAAAGTAATGTATCAGTTATTTTGGCAAATTATTTATAGAAGCTATGTGGAATAAGCTGTATCTATTTAGATTTTATATAATTTGGTAATTAGCATACAATAGCTTACATGAAATAAATTCTTTAAATAGTAGAAATTATGAGTAATTCCACTGGGCTTACTCTTGTCTTAGATTACATAGATATAAGTATTCTTGGGCATTTTGATGCTAGACCAATGATTTATAATATCAAATACATTTATTTTTAATACCAACAAAGGTCACTGGGGTTCAAAGAAGTAAGATTAAGCAGTCAAGGAAACGTGTGGGACAATAGTAACACAAATACTACTTTTAATGCCCTCAGTTGCTTTACTGTTAGTAGAAAGTTTAGTAAATAAAACAGATGACAGATCTCATATCAGAGTAAACCTAGCAATAGGGCATTAACATTGATCTTATTAAAATACAGTTGACCCTTTGAACACCACAGGTTTGAATTGCACAGGTTCACTTATATGTGGATTTTTTTCAATAAATATATTGGAAAAATTTTTGGACATTTTTGATAATGAGGAAAAACCATGTGGCCTAGAAATATAAAAAAAATTAAGAAAAAATGTCATGAATGTATTAAATATGTATATACTAGTCTATTTTACCATTTACTAACATGAAATATACACAAATCTATTATAAAAAGTTAAAATTATCAAAACCTACACACACAAACACTACTCAGCCTTAAGACGATAAGGATGAAGACATGAAGACCTTTATGATCTGCTTCCACTTAATGAATAGTAAATATATTTTATCTTCTTTATGATTTTATTAACCTTTTTTCTCTAGCTCACTTTATTATAAGAATACAGTATATAATACATATAAAATACAAAATATGTGTCAGGCTATGTTATTGGTAAGGCTTCCAGTCAATAATAGGCTATTAGTAGTTAAATTTTTTGGAGAGTCTCAGGTTAAAGGAGAATTTTTGATGTGTGTAGGGTTTGGCACCTCTAGCCCCCATGCTTTTTGTGCATCAACTGTAATTCATTTTGCCTGCATGATAACTGCTTATTTTTTAAGATATATTTTGAAGACTCAAAATAATATCATGTTGATATAGAAACATTCCATTTCCATTTGTAATTAAAATTGAAAAAATTTTAATTCTTCCATTTACCTTGACTATCACAAATACATGTAATGATTTTTTAAACCCAGTCTAGAGCTGAACCAGTTAAGACAAAATTGACATAACAGATTTGCCCACTTTTCCATTAAATATTTTTATCCCTAATCAGGCCCTCAAGTTACCTGCTAATGCTAATTGTATGACTTGGGGTAATATGGATCAATTATTGTATTTTTTAAAGGCTAGAAATTATTGGATAAATTGTGGAAATTTTAATTATTTCTAGACCTCATTTGTAGAATAAAGTTTAATCAGAATGTTTGAGCTAAAGGAAATCCTAGATGTCATGGTCCAGTCCCTCTCCTTTTACAGATAAGAAAACGTGAAGCTCTAGAAATTAATATCTTTGCCATTATCATCAGTATATGAGAACAGACCTGCAAAAGTGAACTCATTTATTTCAATAGCCCATCCTTTTTTCCCCCTTATGCCACAATGCCTCTTAACTTTTAATTTCCTACCAGTTCACTCTTCTTCCCAAAGTGCTCCTTCTGTTAATTACTATTTTTCCTACCTTCCCTCCACACCAACTAAAGAAAAATTCCTAGTGCCTATTTCCTCTCAGCCTCTAGGGATATTTATTGCCTGAATGAATCTCTTCAGTAGCATTTTCAAAAGTGTGACAAGATGAAAAGGACATTCTAATGTCAGAGGAACTCTTTAGGGCTTTACTAATACGAAAGGTATTCTGTCTATGAATCTGCCCTAGTTACAGTCTTTCTTCTTCTCTCTTGTTTTTTACTTCACTCTTGAACTACATGGGTTCTCTAAAAACTTAGGTTATTTTTGGTTTTAACTATATGATCTCCTAGTAGGGCAAGTATAAAAGGACAAGGTATACATATGTTTAAAGTCTTGTCCTTTTATGCCTGCCTTACCTACTGAATCTAAAATTGGTAATTAAGTATTATAGACATTGAGGTCCCAGAATTTTATATCTCAAGACAAAAAAAGAATATAGGCAGCACAATGTCATGAGATTTGACCTATGACAGGTTTTTCTTGAATGTTTCTAGGAGGTATTCCACTGGCTTTTTTTCAATATCAGACATCACCATATTATGCTTTTTTAAACGTATGTAGATAAAAGTGAATGTGGAACATAAATTTGCACAGTCTTCCTGGAAGGTGGTTAATATATAATATAAAAACTTCAAGTACTCACCTTTTGTCCTATAAATTCTATTTTTAAAACTTTGTCCTAGATAATAAGACAAATAATCCAAGATTGAATCTGCCTTAGAGAGTTGCTTTAAGGATTATTGCATATACACTATATCTACATAACAGAATGAGAAACTATTAAAATGGTGATACATATATCTGTATGCATTAACATTAAAAGAAGTTCATGCATTTATTAACTGGAAAAGTAGATTACAAAACTATAAATAACACAACATTTATGTAAAACTATGTATGTTACAATGGTCTGGAAAATTGTTCCCCAAACTGCTAACAGAGCCATCACGTTTATTATTTTTACTTTTTTTTTTTTTTTTAAAGAAACAAAGCCTCACTCTGTCACCCAGGCCAGAGCACAGTGGTGCAGTCATAGTTCAGTGTAGCTTCAGACTCCTAGTCTTTTGCCTCAGCCTTCTGAGTAGCTGGGACTGCAGGTGCACACCACTTTGCCTTGCCAGTTTTTTCAAATTTTTTTTGTAGAGGTGGGGAAGTGGAGGGGCTCACTTTGTTGCCCAGACTGGTCTCATGTCTCCTGGCTTCAAGTGGTCCTTCCACCTTGGCTTCCCAAAATGCTGGGATACAGGTATGAGCCACCATGTCCAGACAATTTTTACTTTTTAATTAATGTTAATCAACATTATAGCAATATTGTATATAATAAATATGAACCACTTTTATAGTCAGAGAAAGCAATGAAATTATTTTTATTTTAAAAACAAACCAAATGTACATAGCCTTGGTATTTACTAGCAGTATGACTTTTAACTTGTTACACACTTCCTCATTTGTAAAAGGGTGTAAATGTCAGTCATATTCCCATCCCATCTTCCTCCCCATTTATGAATCCTGAGCCCCTGTTGGCTCCATTAACAGCTGGAGTAAATGCCTTTTGACAGATGTGAGGGTCAGATTTCTCATCAGCAACTTCCTTAGCAGAAGCAGTGTTGTTAAATAGAAAAGGTGGAGGGAAACCAAGATGTTGACAGAGCCTAGAAGAGAAGTTAGCATGATGATCTAAAGGAGTATTTGCAAAGTCCAGAATTATGTGGCTATTTTAAGACTGTCTTTAGTTTTATTGTCATTAACTTAATGAGTTTCAGGAAAGAGGGAATGTCTCTTTTGATTCATTTTGATTCAACAGTTTTATTTTTAGGTATATACAGAGGAGAATTCTCTTGGTTAAAAATAAAAAAGGAAAACTTACACAGCTGAAGTGAATGGTACTCTGAAGTATCTGTGGGGAGACTGTAGTTAGTGACTTGTGTCATACCCCTTCCACCCATACCAGATCCTTTCCTTTGAGACATGGGTGCTTTTCCCTGGCTAGTCTTAGAAGCAATCACATTTTTATATAATGAACTCTGAGGGGTTTAAAAATGAGTGAGACATGGTATCCTGGAGTGCAGCATATGTCTGCTCAGCATTTACAGGTTTGTTTGTTTTTTTCCTCTCTTTACTTTTCCATTTAGTAGACACTAGGCCATAAACCCGTTTTAATTTATTCACTGAGAAGGAAATGACATAATATTCACTGCTGTGGCTGCATAGGTCATCAATTCCCTGGGACTCAGGATTACATCTGAGCTGATATCAGACTCCCTCTTCCCAGGATAGTAAAATTTGAAGTCTGTGTGTCAGGGGCCTGCAGTGTAAGTATTCGAGAAAGTTTGTTCAAAGTATTTCCTTTCCAAAAAGCAGGAATTAGAGAAGCAAGAATACAGGAGCAGGATGGTGTATTAGGAATTTTAGCTTAAGATTCCTTTACAATTTCTTCTCCTAAGAAATTTTAGCTCTCTTTAACAGTGTGGTTGTCAAGTATGCTAGTGAATCTTACAAAAATTATGCAACTGGAGAAATGAAATTATTTGCTATTTGTACTGGCTTATGTGCAGGCAAAATAAAAGTAGGCAATGGATGGAAGAAAACAGAGACTTTTGCTTTATTAAGGTGAAGTGAATTTCACCTCCTTTTATCGTTTGAAGTATTGAGAGGTTTTTGTTAGAGTGTTTTGTTTGGAAAAGTTATACAGATTTTGCCTTTAAGAACAAAATTTTAAATCTCTCTAAGAGGTTTAGTATTGAGTGGCAATTATTTTGTTTACTTGTCTGTCTTCTCTGTTGACTATGAACTCCTTCGTGGTGGAGATGGTGTTGCTTATGTTTGATAAGTCCAATCCCAGACTCATAAATGTTTATTTGGTTGGATAATTAGCAAATTAATTAATTTTGCCTGTTAATGCAGATAATTTTGCTTAAAAATAGTTTTACATAAACACATATACATACATACATACATACATACATACATACATACATACATACATACATACAGTGGGCCTACCTTCTATTTTCTGCTGCTTTCAACTTAAGCTTGGGAATATTTTTGCTATAGCTATTTACAAAGTTTTTGCATTAAAGGATTAAATCACTCTAAGTTGAGTGGGAATTGGAAGGAGCAATAATATTGGGGCTATTTTTAAAATGTCTGTATGCTGGAGAATAGGAAATGGTTAACTATGGCCAGACCTATACCCTAGCATATCTAAATCTATTACAAAAGTGAATTAACCACTGTATTAAAGTTTTCTAGAGAGACAGATCCAATAGGAGCCATTTATTATCTAGATCTATATATGAGTTTATTAGGGAGCACTGGCTCATGTGATAACACTGTGAAGTCCCATGATAGGCTATCTACAAGCTGGGGGAAGACAAAAGCTGATAGGGGGCCCAGTCCAAGTCATAAAGCCTTAAAACCAGGGAATCCGACAGTGCAGTTATCAGTCTGTGGCTGAAAGCCTGAGAGCCTCCAGGAGGCCGCTGGTACAATTCCACAGTCCAAAGGCTGGATAACCTGGAGTATGATGTTCAGGAGTAGTAAGAGAGGAGGCAAGCGTCTGACACAGGTAGAAAGAGAAAGCCAGAAGTCTCAGCAAACTGCTTATACCCCTTCTCCTGCCTGTTTTGTTGTAGCTGCTGGCGGCCATTGGATGGCACCTGCATTGAAGGGTATTGCTTTCAGTCCATCAACTCAAATGTCAGTCTCCTCTGACAACACCCTCACAGACACACCCAGTAACAATTCTTTACCAGCCATCTAGGCATCCCTCGGTTCAGTCACACCTAATATTAACTAACCGTCACAACCGCCATTCCCCATATTAGTACTTAGTGTGCTAAGTCAGTGCAAAATGTGGGACACTTAATTTACATAATTTCTTTTTATATTTTAATTCCTGTGAATAATATGTGTGCTCTTAAGTATTTATAAACATAAACATAGAAAAACAAACACTTGTGATTTTTATATTCTTGAGTTTAAGGAAATATATTTAATCTATTTCAGGCAGTTAAAATATAATTTTACTTGTGCATGTGTATAAAATATTTCTCAAAGTAGTACTCTGTAACAAGAAAACCTTGACCCTGTTTCTTCAAATGAATATAAGCTCTAATAAATAGACATTTGTTCAATCTCTGAACTATTTAACTGTAATGAGTTGAAAAAAAATTTTTTTTTTTTTGAGACAGAGTTTCGCTCTTGTTGCCCAGGCTGGAGTGCAGTGGTGAGATCTTGGCTCACTGCAACCTCCGCCTTTCTGTTTCAAGCGATTCTCCTGCCTCAGCCTCCCGAGTAGCTGAGACTACAGGCACATGCCACCATGCCCAGCTAATTTTTTGTATTTTTAGTAGAGACGGGGTTTCACCATGTTGGCCGGGATGGTCTCGATCTCTTGACCTTGTGGTCCACCTGCCTCGGCCTCCCAAGGTGCTGGGATTACAGGCGTGAGCCACTGCACCCGGCAGAAAATCTTAAATCTATACTATAGAGTCTGACAAGAATTTGGGACCCAAAAGCAATATAATTCTATTACATATTTATCTTAACAAGTAACATTTTAAAAGTCCATGTAATTTATAGATTTATTTGCTTTCTCTAACAAGTAATGCTTCTAATAAAAATCTGGGCCTGGTGGGGTGGCTCATGCCTGTTATCCCAGCATTTTGGGAGGCTGAGGTGGACGCATCACAAGATCAGGAGTTCCAGACCAGCCTGGCCGATGTGGTGAAACCCTGCCTCTACTAAAAATAGAAAAAAAAATTAGCTGGGTGTGGTGGTGCACGCCTGTAATCCCAGCTGCTTGGGAGGCTGAGACAAAGGAAGTGCTAGAACCCGGGAGGCAGGGGTTGCAGTGAGCTGAGATGGCAGCACTGCACTCCAGCCTAGGCAACAGAGCAAGACTCCAACTCAAAAAAAAAAAAAAAAAAAAAAAACCTGGAGTTAAAATTAAATTTAGCATATAACTTAACAACAACTTAAAATTACCTCTGTTGTCACATATTCTAGTTGCTAGTGATTTTTAGCAGTGATTCTTGTGTTATTAATGAGCTAAAAACTTCTTCAGCTTATAATGGTTAATCAGTTTTTAAATGAATTTACCAATTTTGTAATTAAACAAAATCAATCATTTTGGAGGCTCAGGTAGTCATAATATTGTGTAAGATTGGCACATGTTTTTATGAGGTTAATTTATGTGGTGTCCTAACTTCATAAATTTGATACATGAACGACATAGGACATTTTAAAAAACCTACATAGTGTCTTACATCAACTATGTAGTATCCTATGTAGTGTGTATCTCTGGGAAATTTCTTTAGTGATTGTCTCCGTAGCACTGCAGCTGCCTGTCTAGTTGGTAGCCACTGGCCACATGTGGCTATTGAGCACCTGAAATGTGGCTTTTCCAGCACCTGAAGTGGGGCTTTTCCAAATGGAGATGTGAGTTTTTTGTTGTTGTTTTGTTTATTTTGAGACAGGGTCTCACTCTGTCACCCAGGCTGGGGTGCGGTGGCACAATCATAGCTCACTGCAGCCTAGACCTCCTGGGCTCAAGCAATCCTCCCACCTAAGCCTCTTGAGTAGCTGGAACTACAGGCATGCATCACCATACTCGGGAAATTTTTTAATTTTTATTTTTTTGTAGAGATGTGGTCTCATTGTGTTGCCCAAGCTGGTCTCAAACTCGTAGGCTCAAGCAATCTTCCTCCCTCAGCCTCCCAAAGTGCTAGAACTACAGGCGTGAGCCACTGCACCTGGCCTGAGATGTCTTTTATACACCAGATTTTGAAGACTATTCAAAAACAATGTAAAATATTTTTAAACAATTGTTAACATTGATTTTTAAATGATGATATTCTGGAATATTGGATTGAATATATTACATTTGTTTTACTTTTTTAAAAACCTTTAAAATATAGTTTCTTAAAAAATGTAAAAATGGCCAGGCACAGTGGCTCACACTTGTAATCCTAGCACTTTGGGAGACCGAGGTGAGCAGATCACCTGAAGTCAGGAGTTCGAGACCAGCCTGGCCAACATGGTGAAACCCCGTCTCTACTAAAAATACAAAAAAATTAGACAGGCATAGTGGCACGTGCTTGTAATCCCAGCTACTCAGGAGGCTGAGGCAGGAGAATCATTTGAACCCGGGAGGCGGAGGTTGCAGTGAGCCAAAATTGCGCCACTGCATTCCAGCCTGAGCAACAAGAACAAAAACTCCATCTCAAAAAAAAAAAGTAAAATTATATTTGTAGCTCATACTATATTTCTTTTGAACAACACTGATCTAAAGTGCTATGTTTTTCATTGTCCGTTTAAATGGATTATGATGTAATTAGACTAGAGATCTCATGGGTTTTAGAACTAAAATGTTCTGGGGTCAGATGTGGCTTCTGGCTTTTACTTATTTGTATTTCTGGCCTCAGTTGTACCCGAAAATAAATTTTTGTTGGAAATACAGTTTGTCCTGAGCTAATAGAGGAACATGATTTACCTTCAATTCTGGAGAGCTAGTAAAATAATTTAGAACACTATGTCAAGAATGATTCTTTCTCACTCATAACACTTTCTTGTGTGTCTGTTATTTTAAGTATCAAAATTCTCCTTTAAAACTCTGGGATAGATGTTTCACATGTTTCTTCTTGACCTAAAAGGTGTCATTTTCAGGCACCAAAAGTTCTTAAACACTAATATTCTGGTATGTAGCTGCTGATGAAAAATGTACTTCTTAGCAAATCCTAAGCTGGATACACATAAAATCACACAAGGCATAGCATGATAAAATTGTATAAAACCAATGATAAAGAGGAAAATTTTTTTAGTTATGTTATGGTAAGAACATTTAACATGAGGTCTACCTTTAAAAATTTTTTTTCAGTGTATAATACAGTATTACCAACTGTAGGTGTAATGTCATACAGTAGATGTGTAGAACTTAACTGAAGCATTGCTTCACTGAAGCATTATGCCTGTTGATTAGTAACTCCTCATTTCCCCCTCTCCCCAGCACCTGGTAACCATCTTTCTACTCTTTGATTCTATGAATTTATCTATTTTAGATACCTCAGTTAAGTAGAATCATGCTATTTGTCTTTGTGTGACTGGTTTATATTACTTAGCATAATGCCTTCAAGTTTCATCCATGTTATCCCATATGGCAGAATTTCCTTCTTTTTAAAGACTGAATAATATACCATCATATGTATATGCCACATTTTCTTTAATCCATTCATCTGTAGATGGACATTTAAGTTGTTTCCACATCTTGGCTCTTGTGAATAGTGCTGCATGAACGTGAGGGTGCTAATATGTCTTTGAGATCCTGGTTTTAATTCTTCTTGACAAATACCCAGAAGTGGGATTGCTGGATTAATATGGTAATTCTATTTTAATTTTTTGAGGAACGTTCTTACTCTTTTCCATAGCAGGTGCATCATTTTGCAGTCTCATCAACAGTGTGCAAGGATTCCAGTTTTTCCACATCCTCACCAACTTTTATTGCCTTTTATTTCTTTGATTATAGCCATGCTGACAGGTCTGAGGTGAAGGCTCATTGTAAGTTTGATTTACATTCCCTCAGTGAGTACTGACATTGAGTAATTTTTCATATACCTGTTGCCCATTTGTATATTTTCTTTGGAAAAATGTCTGCTCAACTCCTTAGCCCATTTTTAATTTGGGTTGTATTGGTCCACTCTCACACTGCTATAAAAAAATACCTGAGATGGGGTAATTTATAAAGAAAAAAAGGTTTAATTCATTAATGGTTCCACAAGCTATCCAGGAAACATGGCTGGGGAGGCCTCAGGAAACTTCCAATCATGGCAGAAGGCAAAGGGGAAGCAGGCACATCTTCATATGGCCAGAGCAAGAGGAAGAGAGAGGCAGAAGGTGCCACATACATTTGAGCAACCAAATCTCACAGCTACCACAAGAGCAGCACCAAGGGGAACATTCTCCCCCATGGTCCAATCACCTCCCACCAGGCCCCACCTCCAACACTAGGGATTATGATTTAACATGAGATTTGGGCGGGGACCCAAACCATATCATGGGTTATTGGGGTATTTTTTAAATTGAGTTGTAGGGGTTCCTTATATATTTTGGAGACTAACCCCTAATATTGGATACATGGTTTGCAAATGTTTTCTCCAATTCAGTAGGTTGCTTTTTCACTCTGTCGATTGTTTCCTTTGCCTTGCAGAAACTTTTTAGTTTGATACAGCCCCACTAGTTTATTTCTATTTTTGCATTCTGTGCTTTTACTGTCATATTCATGAAATTATCACCAGGACCAATGTCATTAAGCTTTTCCCTTATGATTTCTGTAGGAGTTTTACAGCTTTAAGTCATATGTTTAAATCTTTAATCCTTTTTGAGTTGATTTTTGTATATGATGTAAGATAAGGGTCCAATTTCATTGTTTTGTTTTTGGGTATCTAGTTTTCCCAGCACCATTTATTTATTTATTTGTTTTGTTGAGTCATCTCTCCTTTTTCTTTTTTTCTTTTCTTTTTTTAAATTATACTTTAAGTTTTAGGGCACATGTGCACAACGTGCAGGTTTGTTACATATGTATACATGTGCCATGTTGGTGTGCTGCACCCATTAACTCGTCATTTAATTTAGGTATATCTCCTAATGCTATCCCTCCACCCTCCCCCCATCCCACAACAGGCCCCGGTGTGTGATGTTCCCCTTCCTGTGTCCATGTGTTCTTATTGTTCATTTCCCACCTGTGAGTGAGAACATGCGGTGTTTGGTTTTTTGTCCTTGCGATAGTTTGCTGAGAATGATGGTTTCCAGCTTCATCCATGTCCCTACAAAGGACATGAACTCATCATTTTTTATGGCTACATAGTATTCCATGGTGAATATGTGCCACATTTTCTTAATCCAGTCTATCATTGTTGGACCTTTGGGTTGGTTCCAGGTCTTTGCTATTGTGAATAGTGCCGCAATAAACATACGTGTGCATGTGTCTTTATAGCAGCATGATTTATAATCATTTGGGTATATACCCAGTAATGGGATGGCTGGGTCAAATGGTATTTCTAGTTCTAGATCCCTGAGGAATCACCACACTGACTTCCACAATGGTTGAACTAGTTTACAGTCCCACCAACAGTGTAAAAGTGCTCCTATTTCTCCACATCCTCTCCAGCACCTGTTGTTTCCTGACTTTATAATGATCGCCATTCTAACTGTTGTGAGATGGTATCTCATTGTGGTTTTGATTTGCATTTCTCTGATGGCCAGTGATGATGACCATTTTTTCATGTGTCTTTTGGCTGCATAAATGTCTTCTTTTGAGAAGTGTCTGTTCATATCCTTCACCCACTTGTTGATGGAGTTGTTTGTTTTTTTCTTGTAAATTTGTTTGAGTTCATTGTAAATTCTGGATATTAGCCCTTTGTCAGATGAGTAGATTGCAAAAATTTTCTCCCATTCTGTAGGTTGCCTGTTCACGCTGATGGTAGTTTCTTTTGCTGTGCAGAAGTTCTTTAGTTTATTAGATCCTATTTGTCAATTTTGGCTTTTGTTGCCATTGCTTTTGGTGTTTTAGACATGAAGTTCTTGCACATGCCTATGTCCTGAATGGTGTTGCCTAGGTTTTCCTCTAGGGTTTTTATGGTTTTAGGTCTAACATTTAAGTCTTTAATCCATCTTGAATTAATTTTTGTATAAGGTGTAAGGAAGGGATCCAGTTTCAGCTTTCTACATATGGCTAGCCAGTTTTCCCAGCACCATTTATTAACTAAGGAATCCTTTCCCCATTTCTTGTTTTTGTCAGGTTTGTCAAAGATCAGATAGTTATAGATATGTGGCATTATTTCTGAGGGCTCTGTTCTGTTCCATTGGTCTATATCTCTGTTTTGATACCAGTACCATGCTGTTTTGGTTACTGTAGCCTTGTAGTATAGTTTGAAGTCAGGTAGCATGATGCCTCCAGCTTTGTTCTTTTGGCTTAGGATTGACTTGGCAATGTAGGCTCTTTTTTGGTTCCATATGAACTTTCAAGTAGTTTTTTCCAATTCTGTGAAGAAAGTCATTGGTAGTTTGATGGGGATGGCATTGAATCTGTAAATTACCTTGGGCAGTGTGGCCATTTTCACGATATTGATTCTTCCTACCCATGAGCATGGAATGTTCTTCCATTTGTTCGTATCCTCTTTTATTTCATTGAGCAGTGGTTTGTAGTTCTCCTTGAAGAGGTCCTTCACATCCTTTGTAAGTTGGATTCCTAGGTATTTTATTCTCTTTGAAGAAATTGTGAATGGGAGTTCACTCATGATTTGGTTCTCTGTTTGTCTGTTATTGGTGTATAAGAACGCTTGTGATTTTTGCACATTGATTTTGTATCCTGAGAGTTTGCTGAAGTTGCTTATCAGCTTAAGGAGACTTTGGGCTGAGACGAAGGGGTTTTCTAGATATACAGTCATGTCATCTGCAAACAGGGACAATTTGACTTCCTCTTTTCCTAATTGAATACCCTTTATTTCCTTCTCCTTCCTGATTGCCCTGGCCAGAACTTCCAACACTATGTTGAATAGGAGTGGTGACAGAGGGCATCCCTGTCTTGTGCCAGTTTTCAAAGGGAATGCTTCCAGTTTTTGCCCATTCAGTATGATATTGGCTGTGGGTTTGTCATAGATAGCTCTTACTATTTTGAGATACGTCCCATCAATACCTAATTTATTGAGAGTTTTTAGCATGAAGGGTTGTTGAATTTTGTCAAAGGCCTTTTCTGCATCTATTGAGATAATCGTGGTTTTTGTCTTTGGTTCTGTTTATATGCTGGATTACATTTACTGATTTGTGTATGTTGAACCAGCCTTGCATCCCAGGAATGAAGCCCACTTGATCATGGTGGATAAGCTTTTTGATGGGCTGCTGGATTCGGTTTGCCAGTATTTTATTGAAGATTTTTGCATCGATGTTCATCAGGGATATTAGTCTAAAATTCTCTTTTTTTGTTGTGTCTCTGCCAGTCTTTGGTATTAGGATGATGCTGGCCTCATAAAATGAGTTAGGAAGGATTCCCTCTCTTCCTGTTGATTGGAATAGTTTCAGAAGGAATGGTACCAGCTCCTCCTTGTACCTCTGGTAGAATTTGGCTGTGAATCCATCTGGTCCTGGACTTTTTTTCGTTGGTAAGCTATTAATTATTGCCTCAATTTCAGAGCCTGTTATTGGTCTATTCAGAGATTCAACTTCTTCCTGTTTTAGTCTTGGGAGGGTGTATGTGTCGAGGAATGTACCCATTTCTTCTAGATTTTCCAGTTTATTTGCATAGAGGTGTTTATAATATTCTCTGATGGTAGTTTGTATTTCTGTGGGATCGGTGGTGATATCCCCTTTATCATTTTTTATTGCATCTATTTGATTCTTCTCTCTTTTCTTCTTTATTAGTCTTGCTAGCGGTCTATCAATTTTGTTGATCTTTTCAGAAAACCAGCTCCTGGATTCATTGATTTTTTGAAAGGTTTTTTGTGTGTCTATTTCCTTCAGTTCTGCTCTGATCTTAGTTATTTCTTGCCTTCTGCTAGCTTTTGAATGTGTTTGCTCTTTCTTCTCTAGTTCTTTTAATTGTGATGTCAGGGTATCAATTTTAGATCTTTCCTGCTTTCTCTTGTGGGCATTTAGTGCTATAAATTTCCCTCTACACACTGCTTTGAATGTGTCCCAGAGATTCTGGTACGTTGTGTCTTTGTTCTCGTTGGTTTCAAAGAACATCTGTATTTCTGCCTTCATTTCATTATGTACCCAGTAGTCATTCAGGAGCAGGTTGTTCAGTTTCCATGTAGTTGAGCGGTTTTGAGTGAGTTTCTTAATCCTGAGTTCTAGTTTGATTGCACTGTGGTCTGAGAGACAGTCTGTTATAATTTCTGTTCTTTTACATTTGCTGAGGAGAGCTTTACTTCCAACTATGTGGTCAATTTTGGAATAGGTATGGTGTGGTGCTGAAAAGAATGTATATTCGGTTGATTTGAGGTGGAGAGTTCTGTAGTTGTCTATTAGGTCCACTTGGTTAAGAGCTGAGTTCAATTCCTGGGTATCCTTGTTAACTTTCTGTCTCGTTGATCTGTCTAATGTTGACAGTGGGGTGTTAAAGTCTCCCATTATTATTGTGTGGGAGTCTAAGTCTCTTTGTAGGTCCCTAAGGACTTGCTTTGTGAATCTGGGTGCTCTTGTATTGTGTGCATATATATTTAGGATAGTTAGCTCTTCTTGTTGAATTGATCCCTTTACCATTATGTAATGGCCTTCTTTGTCTCTTTTGATCTTTGTTGGTTTAAAGTCTGTTTTATCAGAGACTAGGATTGCAACCCCTGCCTTTTTTTGTTTTCCATTTGCTTGGTAGATCTTCCTCCATCACTTTGTTTTGAGCCTATGTGTGTCTCTGTACATGAGATTTTGAGATGAGTTTCCTGAATACAGCACACTGATGGGTCTTGACTCTTTATCCAGTTTGCCAGTCCGTGTATTTTAATTGGAGCATTTAGCCCATTTACATTTAAGGTTAATATTGTTATGTGTGAATTTGATCCTGTCATTATGATGTTAGCTGGTTATTTTGCTCGTTAGTTGATGCAGTTTCTTCCTAGCCTTGATGGTCTTTACAATTTGGCATGTTTTTGCAGTGGCTGGTACCGGTTGTTCCTTTCCATGTTTAGTCCCAGCACCATTTATTAAAGAGGAAAATCTTAAAAGCAACTGGAGAAAAAAAAAAGATAAGATACAGATTAATAAGGTAATAATTCTTATTCCCTATAGAAGCCATGCAAAGCAGAACACAAGGAAATGACATATTTCAAGTGCTAAGTGGATGAATCTCAGTCAGATTATTCGGAATACTAATAGCGTTCATTTATTTAGTACATATTGTAAACCAGAAATTATGCTGATTATTTTAATATGCATTATCTCATTTAATCCTTACAGCAACCCGGAGAGGCAACTAGAATTAACACATTTTAGAGGTGAAGAAAATGAGGCTAAGAGAAGCCAAGGGACTTGGCTAATAAATGTTACACACTTAGCAAATGGAAAATTCAGGATTTCAAACCAGATATGATTAACATAAGCCATGTCTCCTCTTACTATTAACCATAACTGGTAGAACATATACATAACTTAAATTTGATAGGTAAGCTGATTGGAGGCTATTTGTTGTGGTACGAATGTTTGAAAATTGCTGTCAGTCAGCAAGTATTTATCAAGCACATTAGATATTCCAGGCTGGAACTGGAATGGAATCATGAACAATACAAGTATGGTTCTTTATCCTTATGGAGCTTATAAATGTCTAAGGAAAAGAAATGTGGTAATTCTAGGTACTTCTGAGGATGGTTCTAAGGATTAAATGATATATTAAAAAAAACCAGCACAATTTCTGGCATATAACATTTATGTTCAATAATTTTAAGTATTTAAAAAAATAGTTATAAGTAGTCTAAGTGTTCTGAATAAGTGCCAAGTGCTGTGGAAGGACATTGGAGGGAAAAAGCTAACATAGTCTGGGAGATTAGGAAAGGCTTCCCTGAGTTATTGATTTTTAAGCAGAATCTGATGAGTGAATAATCTGTTAGCCAGAGCAAAGAGATTGGACACAAAAGATCATTATATTCAAAGGGCTGCACATTTGATAAGACATTGCAGAGGTTGAAGAGAGCATAGTATGTTCTTATTCTAAAGACAGTGGGAAACAAATGAAGCTTTTTAAGGATGTGGGTGGAGGGTTGCTGGCAATAATCATGTTAGCCTTAAAAAATCATTTCATCATTCCAGCAACCTCTAAGAACAGTCTTTGAGGAATGTGGCAAGAGTAGACACGAGGATAAATGTGAGGAAGTGGTTCAAACAGTGGGAACAGAACAAAGTGGACAAAGCTACTTACATGGAATATACAAAATTTGGCAATTTTGGATGTAGGAAAGGAGAAAGAAGATGCACAGTTCTTAGGTTTCTGGGATGATGGAAATGCCGTTTCCTGAGAATGGAAATATCGCAAGTTTTGAGAGAAAATTATTAGATATCTTTATTTGGATATACCTGTATGCTGTGTCAGTTAGAGAGATATCAAGTAGGCAGTTTGACACACTGGTGCTCTGAGGAGAAATTTGGACCCAATATCTAGATTTTGGGAATCATTTATATGCATACTTTAGAGATATCGTATGTTCGGTTCCAGATCAGCAAAATAAAGTGAGTTTCTCAATCTATTAAATGTGCAAAAGAATTATGTCTAAAAAAACAATTTTTTTTATTGTTTCAGAATACTTTATTGCTAAAAAAATGCTAGCAATCATCTGAGCCTTCAGCAAATCATAGTCTTTGCTGGTGGGTCTTGCCTCCATAAAGATGACTGCTGACTGATCAGGGTGGTGGTTGCTGAAGGTTGAAGTGGCTATGGCAGTTTCTTAAGATTAACAGTGAAGTTTGCCACATCCATTGACTCTTGTTTTCAGGAAAGATTTCTCCATAGCATGTGATGCTGCTTGGCAACATTTTACCCACAATATAACTTTTAAAACTGGAGTCAATTCTCTCTGCCACTGCTTTATCAACTAAGTTTATGTAATATCCTGAATTATTTGTTGACATTTCAGTAAGGTTCACAGCGTCTTCACCAGGAGTAGATTTCATCGCAAGAAACCACTTTCTTGGCTCATCCATAAGAAACAATTCTTCATTCAAGTTTTTTCATGAGATTCCTGCAATTCAGTCATAATTTCAGGCTCCACTTCTAATCCTAGTTCTATTCCTATTTTCACCCCATTTGCAGTTACTTCCCTCCACTGAAGTCTTAAACCCCTCAAAGTTATTCCTGAGGGTTGGAATCAACTTCTTCCACACCCCTGTTAATGTTGATATTTTGACCTCCCCTGAATCATGAATTGACCTTCTCCCCTGAGTCATGAATGTTCTTAATGACATCTAGAATAGTGAATCCTTTCCAGAAAGTTTTCCGTTTACTTTGCCCATATTCATTAGAGGAATCACTATCTATGACTGCTGTAGCCCTACAAGATGTATTTCTTAATAAGACTTGGAAGTCTAAATTATTCTTTAATTCATGAGTTGCAGAATGGATGTTGTGTTAACAAGGCTTGAAAACAACACTAATCTACATCTCCATCAGAGTTGTTGGCTGACTAGGTACACTGAAAATGATCAGTAATATTTTGAAAGGAATCATTTTATCTGAGTAGTAAGTTTCAACAGTGGGCTTAAAATATCCAGTAATCATGCTATAAACAAAGTGTTGTCTTGCAGGCTTGGTTGTTCCATTTATAGAGACAGGAAGAGTAGATTTAGCATATTCTTAAGAGCCCTAGGATTTTCAGAAGGGTAAATGAGCACTGGCTTCAACTTATATTTACCAACTGCATTAGCCCCCAACAAGAGAGTCAGCCTATCCTTTGAAGTTTTGAAGCCAGGCATTGATTTCTCTCTAGCTATGAAAGTCCTAGATGACATCTTCTTCCAATATAAGGCTGTTTCATCTACATTGAATATCTGTTGTTTAGTGTGGCCACCTTCCTCAATTACCTTAGCAACATGTTTTAAATAACTTGCTGCAATTTCTGTATCATCACTTGCTGCCTGACCATGCACTTTTATGTTATAAAGACTGCTTCTTTTCTTAAACTTCATCAACCAACCTCTGCTAGCTTCAAACTTTCTTCTGCAGCTTCTTCACCTCTCTCAGCCTTCACAGAATTGAAGAGGGTTAGGGCCTTGCTTTGGATTAGGCTTTGGCTTCAAGGAATGTTGTGGTTGGTTTGATCTTTTATCCAGATCACTCGAAGTTTCTCCATATCATCAGTAAGACTGTTTTGCTCTCTTAGTATTCATGTGTTCACTAGAGTAGCACAATTCCCTTCAAGAGTTTTTCCTTAGCATTCACAATTTGCTTACTGATTGGCAGAGGAGGCCTAGCTTTTGGCCTTTCTCAGTTTTCAATGCACCTGCTTCACAAAGCTTCATCACTTCTAGCTTTTTATGTAAAGTGAGAGATGTGGGACTCTTCCTTTCACTTAAATACTTAAAGGCCATTGTAGGGTTATTCATTGGCCTAATTTCATTATTATTGTGTCTCAGGGCATAGGAAGGCCCAAGGAGAGGGAGAAAAGCAGGGAACAACCAGTTGGTGGAACAATCAGAATACACACAACATTTGTCAGTTAAGTTTACCATCTTATATGGGCATGGTTTGTGGTGACCCAAAATAATTACAGTAAAAACATCAAAGAACAGTGATCACAGGTCACCATAATAAATATTATAATAATGAAAAGTTTAAAATGTTGCAAAATTACCAAAATGTGACACAAAGACAAGAAGTGAGCACATGCTGTTGGAAAAATGGCTGCAGTAGACTTGCTCAATGCAGGGTTGCCACAATTTACAATATAATACATTGTATTATAAAAAATACAATATCTGCAGAGCCCAGTAAAGCATAGTGCAATAAAATGAGGTGTGCTTGTATTTATAGATGATATCTAAAGTCAAAGAATGGGTGGAACAGTGAAGACGAAGAAAAAGAAGAAAGTTAAGTATAAGCTCTGAGGCACTTCAACTTTTAAATTTAGCCAGAGGGGGAGGAGCCAGCAAGTAACAATGCATGAATAGGAATATCTAGAGAAATAAGAGGTATAATGTGGAGTGTCAGAAGCCAAAAGCGAAGTGTGTTAAGAACAAAGGTGTAGTTCATCTTTTCCAATCCTGCTGAAAATTAGGGCAAGATACAGACAGAAAAGGCATTTCTTAAAATTTTAACAACCTGGAATTCATTCGTGATTTTAACAAGAATCATTTTGGTGGAGTGAGAGGGACAGATTTGAGTCAGCTGAGAAAAGTGTGACAAATGAGGAACCAGAGACAGAGCTTAAACAATTCTTTAGCTATGAGTGTGGAAGAAAGAGATTGGGCAATAGCTAAGACAGGATAATGTGTTGAACGAGGGTTTTTAGTAGGCAGGAGATATCTGATGGAAAAGAGCAAATAGAGAACTTGAAGATACTGCATTGGGGGATGATTGCAGTGCAATGTTATGTCGTGGCAGAATGAGGTGGGATTGGGAGAGATTGCTCTTAGATAAGAAGAATTGCTGGTCTGATGTAAAGTTAGGCAAAATATTTTAAAACATACTATTAAAGCTAACTGTCAATTCTTAGCATCACAATGAAATCATGAAAACCCCGCAGGTGCTTCGCAGTTCCTACAGGGAATCTTCCTTGTTACAACAACAACAAAGCAAAAGAAGACACCAAACCGACCAACAGCAAGGAGTAATATTGAATATTCAAAAATAAAATCTATTCCTTGACTTCAAATCATTAAAGTAGAACTGCCTATTTAAGAACTTTTATTTGCACAGTCCTATTAATTTTAATGCCTAAAGCAGTGTTAATCGCATGACCCACGTGAAAAGATTTTAAAAATTGCTTTGTTAGAAAATGTAATAGACTTGTCGTTAAAGTTTTCAAACTCTTTTTTAAAGATTTGTAATATTTGGCTAGAGTTCCATTTATTTTCTTTAAAAAAATTATGTACACACACACACGCACACACACACACACACACAGTCACTCCTATCCCGCACCCTCAGAGAAAGTTTGAGATTATACAGCCACATCTGTCAGAGCTGTGCTAACCTATGTCATCCATCTGTTCTGGTTATATTTTCCTTCCCTTTCCTCTCTTTTTCTTCCATTCTCCCCAGCCTTTAAAAGAAAAAAAGTTGAGAGTAAAAACAAATCACCTCTTTTTATATTGAAATTTAAGGTGGAAGAAAAGTGGTTATAAAAGCATCTATCATCATAGCACTGACTTGCCAAGTTAAGTATTTAGGTTGGAAATCATGCCTTTCCAACTGCTTAAAAACAGGAAGTATCTCTGCTAAGTGATAAATAGCTCCCTGTTGCTGGAAAGGAAGGCCTCTTTTATTTCTTTCTACATTTTTGAGCAATAATAAATGAGTTCTGCATTTTCATACATGGGTGTATGTGTGTGTGTGTGTGTGTGTATAATGCAGAAATCCATTTGCAGTGTTTATGTATACATATATACCTCAGTATATGTAAATATATGTGAAAATACTTTCCAAGACTTTAAGCATAGAATCTCTTCTCATAAGCCAGCCCAGGCACATCTTACTCAACAATTCAAGCAAAACCTTTGGATCTGTCAGAAACAGCTTATAGGTCTGCATTAGGTGATTAATTGCCAGGAGAATCTGGTTCTATATTTTGTTACATATAATTATTTTCTTTTCTAAAGGTGTTCTTTTATTAAGCTCCCACCATAAAAGAGGGGAAAATAAGCACACGTCTTACATGCCTGATGTTTAGCACTTCTTACAAAAGAAAGAGGAAAACTTTAACATAATCCACTGATAAAAGCATATTTGTCTTGGCTTCAGACAGTTTTCTCCTCATTTTTACCAAAACTTTAATAATATTTTAACTTGCTTAGAAATTAGTCTTGGGATAGCAGTATGGAATAATGGAATATACTTTGGTTATACAATCTGACGGTATAAAATTAAACCTTAGTTCACATTCTATCCTTAATGCTTACTACCACTCTGACCTTTTACAATTACTTAACGTCTTCAAGCTTTTATTTCCCTTTTTGTAAATTGACTATAAGAATACATATCTCCTTTTGAGTGTTACTGTGAGGATTGCACTAATTACCATAGTAAAGCACTTATTACAGTTCTGAAAATATAGTAGGAACCCAATAACATTACCATTTTAAACATTATTAGTTTGCTTATTCTAAGCTCTGCCACTTAATCATGTATGACTCAATATCAATATTACCTCCATGGGCCTCAGTCTTCTCAGTAAATACAGGAGTTTAGAAATGGAAGAATTTTTTGTGAGACTAATGTCCTGTGATTCTCTAATTATCTTCATATCAAATGAAGAAAAAGTATTTTCATTTTAGATACAAATTATTCTTATCCCCATAACTGACAAAGCAAGGAATATGGCTTCTACAATGTAATTTCTGCTTTACTTTTGACTGAGTATTCATAAGACTTCTTTTGGTGTTGATTATGGTCTCTAGAGCGAGACTGCCAATATTTCAATTCTGGCTCCCCACCACTTACCAGCTATGTAACTTTAGGCAAATTATTTAACCTCTCTCTAACTCAGTTTTATTATCTATAAAGTGAGACTAATAATAGTACCTCGCCTTCCGGGCTGTTGTGCAGATTAAAGGAGTTTTATGTAAACTCATTCATGAATTTTATGTAAAAGAGTTTGAACAATATCAAGCATATTGTACATTTCACATGCACATATTATTGTTGTCATCATTGTCATTGTCTGGAATAACATCAATTGCCTCTAACCATAGCATGGGAATACTGTAATAGATGAATAAGAGTTTGACTATCTGAAATGCAGTTCTAGCACCATAGGCTTTGATAAGTATCTTACTAATGACAGATCTCTAAATATGCATGCACATACCAATAGAGTGAGGGAAGAAAATTTAGAAACATACTCATGACTATTTTATGTACCATTCTTTTTAATGTACACTTTTGTGTTGTATACAATATACTAATACAAGAAGGCATGTGTATGCTTTCTGACTAAACATTAAAAAATGGGGGAAAAGTGCTCACATAGTTTTTACTAATATGAATGAATGATCAAAAAACTTTGGAGACAGCTGTCCTAGGAGACAGTGTCTTCCAAAGGTGGTGTTAACTTGACCTCGCCATCAGTCTCAGTTGTCTGCCCTGTACTAGATGGAGATGAACATGTATTGAAGAAGCAAATCAAACTTTCATGACTCCAGAGAGTCTGGAAAGACCACAACGAGTAGTCCTTTGCTAAAGATAGAATAAGTGTAGTATGGAATCCAAGTTATTCTGACTATGTCAACTACTTGGTGTGACTGAATAATCAAATACCTGAGAGATGTCAAATAAATCATTCCTTTTCAGTACTCATATTTGGACTTCACCATGGAAGAAAATACTGCTGTTCTCAGTGCCCAGGGACTACAAAACCACATTCCCACAGAATAACCAAATTCCTTTTCTGCTTATGTTTAACAGCAGTGCAACTGGGCTTTTCTAATAGATTTTAAACTTTTTGTTATAAATATTGTTACCTCCACGGAAGTGAGGAAATTATATTTTTTAACTATTCTGCTTAGAAAATACCACAAATAAAGGAAAATCAATAAATTTCTTTCTTAAGTGGATACATTTTAAAGCAGAGTTACCAGTATTTGAAAATAACTCAAAATGAACTTCTTTCTCTCTAAGAAGTTCTCATAATGGGTTGATATGACCCATGTGTTAGTACATAGATACCTAGGAGTAAATGCCCCCACCTCCTTTGGGTAATGTATTTTTGGGGGGAATCTGATAGATACACTCTCCTGAAAATACAAATACAAAATTTTTACACGTAAAATTTAGCCTACAGTTTCAAGGCTTCATAGATACTGTTTTCCCTAAACGCATTCAAGAACCTTTAGGTAACTGAGATCTTCTGGATGTGAAAGGGATGTAGCTACATATACATTCCAACCCATAAGCCACTGTGTCATCATTGCAGTTTATGATAAGCTTTCTGTAAACCCTTCATTTTCTAGGTTTGGCTTCAAAAGTCATTGGTGCAATTCTTAATTACATAGTTACGTCTTGTTTTTTAACGCTTGAAATAGTGTTAAAATGATGGCATCTGCATTATCTCTTTGCTGTGTGATATTTGCTTATTATGTTTTAATTATTTAAATTTTTATGAGGCCACCATGTAAGTTATAATCTGAATCTTCCCAAAGATATATTGTCTTACATTCTGCCACAGAATTAAAATGACAAAAATAGTGCATCTCATAGCAAAGACATAGAGTTCCACTTTACAGATGAGAAAGCTAAGGCTTAAGAGCACTTAGAGTGATTTGATTCATTTATGAGGTAAGGGACTGTCCACGTTCACCTATGAGGCTTTTTTAAACTAACTTGTACAAGCCATATCTCTCAAAGTCTAGTCTAGGAACTTTCTCTGTCAGAGTCAGCTGGCAAGCTTATTAAACATGCAGGGTCTGACCTCTCCCTCCAGACCAAATGGGATGTAAATGGGGAACAAGATTCTTCTAGATGAGCAGATAAGCCAGATGATTCCTGTGCACATTGAGGTTTGAGAAACCCTGAAAATTGGTTTAACTTTAACTGCACATTAGAATCGAAGAAAATAATTTGCCTGGACCTAGACTGATTGATTGTCACTGGAGCAAGGAGGTGGAGGTAACCTAGGTTCTTAAAGTTCACCAAGTGATTGTGATGCACAGTGAAGGTTAAAAACCACTACTCTAAAGTATTTAGAAAGTTTTCCTGTAAAAGGCCAGATGGTAAATATTTTAGACTTTATAGGCTACATCTGTTATTCCTTGTAGCTACTCAACTTTGCTGACTTAGAATGGAAATAGCCATAGATAATATGCAAATGGCTGAACAGGGCCATGTTCTAACACTTCATTTATAAAAACAGCTGGTGGGACAGATTGTAGTTTGCCAAACCCTACAGAGGGGGGTACAGTCCCTGCCATGTGCCTCAAAGGTGCTGTTAGACTGTGTTCTAAACCTGAGATGTTTCTAGTTGTTTGAAGTAAAGGTGGAAAACTACCATATTAAAATTCAATTACGGGCTGGGCATGATGGCTATAATCCCAGCACTTTGGGAGGAGATCATAGTGACGCCACTTGAGGCCAGGAGTTCAAGACCAGCCTGGCCAACATGGTGAAACTGTGTCTCTACTAAAAGTACAAAAATTAGCCAGGTGTGGTGGTGCCTGCCTGTAATCACAACTACTTGGGAGGTTGAGGCATGAGAATCGCTTGAACCTAGGAGGTGGAGGTTGCAGTGAGCTGAGATCATGCCACTGCACTCCAGCCTGGGCGACAGAGTGAAACCTTGTCTCAAAAAAAAAAAAAAAAAAAAAAAAAGGAGTTCCATTCCAAGAGGGCCAAATAGGAACAGCTCTGGTCTGCAGCTCCCAGCATGATCGACACAGAAGTTGGGTGATTTCTGCGTTTCCAACTGGGGTGACTAGTTCATCTCATTGGGACTGGTTGGACAGTGGGTGCAGCCCACGGAGAGTGAACTGAAATAGGGTGGGGCATTGCCTCACCCAGGAACTGGAAGGGGTTGTGGGATTTCCCTCTCCTAGCCAAGGGAAGCCATGACAGACAGTACCTGGAATATCGCTACACTCCTGCCCAAATACTGCGCTTTTCCCATGGTCTTAACAACTGGCAGACAAGGAGATTCTCTCCCGTGCCTGGCTTGGCAGATCCAACACCCACGGAGCCTTGCTTGCTGCTAGTGCAGCAGTTTGAGATCGACCTGCGAGGCTGCAGCCTGGCAGGGGGAGGGGCATCCGCCATTGCTGAAGCTTAAGTAGGTAAACAAAGTGGCCAGGAAGCTCAAACTGGGTGGAGCCCACTGCAGCTCAGGAAGGCCTACTGCCTCCATGAACTGTACCTCTGTAGACAGGGCATAGCTGAACAAAAGGCAGCAGTAACTTCTGCAGACTTAAACGTCCCTGTGTGACAGCTCTGAAGACAGCAGTGGTTCTCCCAGCACGGCATTTGAGCTCTGAGAACGGACAGACTGCCTCCTCAAGTGGGTCCCTGACCCCCATGTAGCCTAACTGGGAGACATCTCCCAGTAGGGGCTGACAGACACCTCATACAGGCGGGTTTCCCTCTGCGATGAAGTTTCCAGAGGAAGGATCAGGCAGTAATATTTGCTGCTCGGCAGCCTCCGCTGGTGATACCCAGGCAAACAGGGTCTGGAGTGGACCTCCAGCAAACTCCAACAGACCTGTTGCTTAGGGACCTGACTGTTAGAAGAAAAACTAACAAACCAAAAGGAATAGCATCAACATCAACAGAAAGGACTTCCACACAAAAACCCCATCTGTAGGTCACCAACATCAAAGACCAAAGGTAGATAAAACCACAAAGATGGGGAGAAACCAGAACAGAAAAGCTGAAAATTCTAAAAACCAGAGCGCCTCTTCTCCTCCAAAGGATCACAGCTCCTTGCCAGCAACAGAACAAAGCTGGATGGAGAATGACTTTGACGAGCTGACAGAAGTGGGATTCAGAAGGTCAATAATAACAAACTTCTCCAAGCTAAAGAAGCGTGTTCTAACCCATTGCGAGGAAGCTAAAAACCTTGAAAAAAGGTGAGACAAATGGCTAACTAGAATAAACAGTGTAGAGAAGACCTTAAATGACCTGATGGAGCTGAAAACCATGGTATGAGAACTTCGTGACACATGCACAAACTTCAGTAGCCAATTCAATCAAGTGGAAGAAAGGATATCAGTGATTGAAGATCAAATGAAAGAAATGAAGCGAGAAGAGAAGTTTAGAGAAAAAAGAGTAAAAAGAACAAAGCCTCCAAGAAATATGGGACTATGTGAAAAGACCAAATCTACATTTGATTGGTGTACCTGAAAGTCACGGGGAGAATGGAACCAAGTTAGAAAACACTCTTCAGGATATTATCCAGGAGAACTTCCCCAACATAGCAAGGCAGGCCAACATTCAAATTCAGGAAATACAGAGAACACCACAAAGATACTCCTCAAGAAGAGCAACCCCAAGACACATAATTCTCAGATTCACCAAGGTTGAAATGAAGGAAAAAATGTTAAGGGTAGCCTGAGAGAAAGGTCAGATTACCCACTAACGGAAGCCCATCAGACTAACAGCGGCTCTCTCGGGCAGAAATCATACAAGCCAGAAGAGAGTGGGGGTCAAGATTCAACATTCTTAAAAGAATTTTCAACCCAGAATTTGATATCCAGCCAAACTAAGCTTCATAAGTGAAGGATAAATAAAATCCATTACAGACAAGCAAATGCTGAGAGATTTTGTCACCACCAGGCCTGCCTTACAAGAGCTCCTGAAGGAAGCACTAAACAAGGAAAGGAACAACCAGTACCAGCCACTGCAAAAACATGCCAAATTGTAAAGACCATCGATGCTTTGAAGAAACTGCATCAATTAACAGGCAAAATACCCATCTAACATCATAATGACAGGATTAAATTCACACATAACAATACTAACCTTAAATGTAAATGGGCTAAATGCTCCAATTAAAAGACACAGACTGGCAAATTGGATAGAGTCAAGACCCATCAGTGTGCTGTATTCAGGAGACCCATCTCATGTACAGAGACACATACAGGCTCAAAATAAAGGAATGGAGGAAGATCTCACAAGCAAAAGGAAAGCAAGAAAAATCATAGGTTGCAATCCTAGTCTCTGATAAAGCAGGCTTTAAACCAACAAAGATCAAAAGAAACAAAGAAGGTCATTACATAATGGTAAAGGGATCAATTCAACAAGAAGAGCTAACTATCCTAAATATATATGCACCCAATACAGGAGCACCCAGATTCATAAAGCAATCTGGGAGACTTTAACACACCACTGTCAATATTAGATCAACGTGACAGAAGTTTAACAAGGATATCCAGGACTTGAACTCAGCTCTGCACCAAGCAGACTTAATAGATATCTACAGAACTCTCCACCCCAAATCAACAGAATATACATTCTTCTCAGCACCACGTCGCAATTACTCTAAAATCGACCACATAATTGGAAGTAAAGCACTCCTCAGCAAATGTAAAAACAGGAATCACAACAAACTGTCTCTCTGACCACAGTGCAATGAAATTAGAACTCAGGATTAAGAAACTCACTCAAAACCGCACAACTACATGGAAACTGAACAGAACAGCCTGCCCCTGAATGACTACTGAGTAAATAACAAAATAAGGCAGAAATAAGGATGTTGTTTGAAACCAGTGAGAACAAAGACACAACGTACCAGAATCTCTGGGACACATTTAAAGCAGTGTGTAGAGGGAAATTTATAGCACTAAATGCCCACAAGAGAAAGCAGGAAAGATCTAAAATTGACACCCTGACATCACAATTAAAAGAACTAGAGAAGAAAGAGGAAACATACAAAAGCTAGCAGAAGGCAAGAAATAACTAAGATCAGAGCAGAACTGAAGGAGATAGACACACACAAAAAACCCTTCAAAAAATCAATGAATCCAGGAGCTGGTTTTTTGAAAAGATCAACAAAATTGATAGACTGCTAGCAAGACTAATAAAGAAGAAAAGGGAGAAGAATGAAATAGACGCAATAAAAAATGATAAAGGGGATATCACCACCGATCCCACAGAAATACAAACTACCATCAGAGAATACTATAAACACCTTTACTCAAATAAACTAGAAAATCTAGAAGAAATGGATAAATTCCTGGACATATACACCCTCCCAAGACTAAACCAGGAAGAAGTTGAATCTCTGAATAGACCAATAACAGGTTCTGAAATTGAGGCAATAATTAATAGCCTACCAACCAAAAAAGTCCAGGACCAGACAGATTCACAGCCAAATTCTACCATAGGTACAAAGAGGAGCTGTTACCATTCCTTCTGAAACTATTCCAATCAATAGAACAAGAAGGAATCCTCCCTAACTCATTTTATGAGGCCAGCATCATCCTAATACCAAAGCCTGGCAGAGACAAAACAAAAAAAGAGAATTTTAGACCAATATCCCTGATGAACATCGATGCGAGAATCCTCAATAAAATACTGGCAAACCGAATCCAGCAGCACATCCAAAAGCTTATCCACTATGATCAAGTCAGCTTCATCCCTGGGATGCAAGGCTGTTTCAACATACGCAAATCAATAAATGTAATCCATCACATAAACAGAACCAATGACAAAAACCACATGATTATCTCAATAGATGCAGAAAAGGCCTTCGAAAAAATTCAACAGCCGTTCATGCTAAAAACTCTCAATAAACTAGGTATTGATGGAAATATCTCAAAATAATAAGAGCTATTTATGACAAACCCACAGCCAATATCATACTGAATGGGCAAAAACTGGAAGCGTTCCCTTTGAAAACCGGCAGAAGACAAGGATGCCCTCTCTCACCACTCCTACTCAACATAGTGTTAGAAGTTCTAGCCTGGGCAGTCAGGCAAGAGAAAGAAACAAAGGTTATTCAATTTAGAAAAGCGGAAGTCAAATTGTCCCTGTCTGCAGATGACATGATTGTATATTTAAAAACCCCATCGTCTCAGCCCAAAATCTCCTTATGCTGATAAGCAACTTCAGCAAAGTCTCAGGATACAAAATCAATGTGCAAAAATCACAAGCATTCCTATACACCAATAACAGACAAACAGCCAAATTGTGAGTGAACTCCCATTCACAATTGCTACAAAGAAAATAAGATACCTAGGAATCCAACTTACAAGGGATGGGAAGGACCTCTTCAAGGAGAACTACAAGCCACTGCTCAACAAAATAAAAGAGGACACAAACAAATGGAAGATGGGAAGAATCAATATTGTGAAAATATCCATACTGCCCAAGGTAATGTACAGATTCAATGCTATCTCCATCAAGCTACCAATGATTTTCTTCACAGAATTGGAAAAAACTACTTTAAAATTCATATGAAACCAAAAAGGAGCCCGCATAGCCAAGACAGTACTAAGCAAAAACAACAAAGCTGGAGGCATCACACTACCTGACTTCAAAGTATACTACAAGGCTATAGTAACCAAAACAGTATGGTACTGGTACCAAAACAGATATGTAGAGAACAGAGGCCTCAGAAATAACACCATGCATCTACAACCATCTGATCTTTGACAAACCTGACAAAAACAAGAAGTGGGGAAAGGATTCCCTATTTAATACATGGTGCTGGGAAAACTGGCTAGCCATATGCAGAAAGCTGAAACTGGATCCCTTCCTTACACCTTATACAAAAATTAATTCAAGATGTATTAAAGACTTAAATGTAAGACCTAAAACCATAAAAACCCTAGAAGAAAACGTAGGCAGTACCATTCAGGACATAGGCCTAGTCAAGGACTTCATGACTGAAACACCGAAAGAAATGGCAACAAAAGCCAAAATTGACAAATGGGATCTAATTAATCTAAAGAGCTTCTGCACAGCGAAAGAAACTACCATCAGAGTGAATAGGCAACCTACAGAAGGGGAGAAAATTTTTGCAATCTACCCATCTGACAAAGGGCTAATATCCAGAATCTACAATGAACTCAAACAAATTTACAAGAAAAAAAACAACCCCATCAAAAAGTGGGCAAAAGGTATGAATAGACATCCCTCAAAAGAAGACATTTATGCAGCCAACAGACACATGAAAAAATGCTCATCATCACTGGCCATCAGAGAAATGCAAATCAAAACCACAATGAGATACCATCTCACACCAGTTAGAATGGTGATCATTAAAAAGTTGGGAAACAACAGATGCTGGAGAGGATGTGGAGAAGTAGGAACGCCTTTACACTGTTGGTGGGAGTGTAAATTAGTTCAATCATTGTGGAAGACAGTGTGGTGATTCCTCAAGGATCTAGAACTAGAAATACCATTTGACCCAGCCATCCCATTACTGGGTATATACCCAAAGGATTATAAATCATGCTGCTATAAAGACACATGCACACGTATGTTTATTGCAGCACTATTCACGATAGTAAAGACTTGGAACCAACCCAAATTTCCATCAGTGATAGACTAGATTAAGAAAATGTGGCACAGATACACCATGGAATACTATGCAGCCATAAAAAAGGATGAGTTCATGTCCTTTGTTGGGACATGGATGAAGCTGGGAACCATCATTCTCAGCAAACTATCAGAAGGACAGAAAACCAAACACCACATGTTCTCACTCATAGGTGGGAATTGAACAATGAGAACACTTGGACGCAGGGCAGGGAACATCACACACTGGGGCCTGTCAGGTGGTGGGGGGCTGGGGGAGGGATAGCATTAGGAGACATACCTAATGTAAATGATGAGTTAATGGGGGAAGCAAACCAACATGGCTCATGTATACCTATGTAATAAACCTGCACGTTGTGCACATGTACCCTGTAATTAAAAAAAAAATTCAGTTACAACCAGGTGTGGTGGTTCACACCTGTAATCTGAGCAGGAGGATCACTTGAGTCCGGAGTTTAGACCAGCCTGGGCACCGTAGGGAGACCCGTCTGTCCAAAAAAATAAAATTTAAATGTTAGCCAGATGTGGTAGCACACACCTGTGGTCCCACCTATTCGGGAGGCTGAGGTGGGAGGACCGCTTGGACCCTGGAGGTCAAGTCTGTAGTGAGCCATGATCGCGCTACTGCAGTCCAGCATGGGCAACAGAGCAAGACCCCATCTCAAATAAATAAATAAAACTCAGTAAGTAATAGAGCCAGAATTTTGAACTATGAATAGGTAAGATTAAAAAAAAAGACATTATTTTGTAATGTCTTGTATTATCAGACAAGGTACCAGAGACAAGGAAAAAGAAAGGTGCACTGAACAGCCAAAGCAGGACTGACGGAACTCAGAAATGGGCTGGGACCAGCCTGGGAGAAAGAAAACGCAAGGCAAAGAAAAGGATAAAACAGCCCTGCTGCACTCTGGTGGGACTGATAAGAAATAGCTTCTGTATCTTGGTATTTTGTACCTTAAAAAAAATTGAGGAGTGGCAGGAATAGAAAACAGAAACAATGTCTCTTTGGGGTGAGAGACAGAAACACGCTGTTCCTCTCAGAGGATGTGGAAACATTGATGACCTCTGCAAGTGCAGGCAGGCAGTATCCACAGCTCTGCATCACCACTCGGCGTCACCACTGTGCAACCCATCAGTCCTGTGGTGCCCGTTCAAGTTACATTGTATAAATCTGTCCTACGGCATCTGTATCCTCACCATCTAATAACTTTAGCACAGAATATTGTTTAAGAATGATGGAGAGGGAAAAGAAGACTTTGAGTCAACAAAACCTTTGTTTGTTTACATTTACCATATCATCCATTCTTTGTAGTATATATCAGAAGACTTTCATTTTAGGTTTTTAAAAATCGTTTATATGTAATGAGTTAAAAACCTTAGTTATCCAGAAACATATTCTGAGCAACATGTTTTTGGTACCACCTGCTGTCTTATATATTTCTTGTCTGCATGCTTCTGTATACCTAGTAGGTGTCTGTAGGCAGATCACCTTACATTGTGATTTCTTTTAAATTGGGAAAAAATATATGTCCTTTGAATATCTTATGGTTCAGCAGGGGCATTAGAAAATATAAACAACTGTTGTGTGATATGTGCAAAAGAAATGTGAACAATGTTTAGGAGTAATATAGAGAAGAAAATGACAGTTTCTTTGTATAGAAATGATTTGAAAGAATAACTAGGATTTTCCTGGAGTACATGGCCTGGGAGTAGACAGGACTGTTCAGATAAAGAGATCACTATTTATAAATTAGAGAGGTGTGAAGAATATGCTCATAGCAATTTTAGGGGAAGTACAAGGAGTTCAGTATTGGTAGAAAGTAAAGGGCCTGGAGGGGTCAAATAACAGGAGACGATGCTGGGAAAAGAAGCAGAGGACAGGCCATTTGTCCCCACTGCCACTACTCCCTTACCCCCATTAAGAACCCATGGGTTTATATATTTTTAAATATCTTAAAATATGTAAATATCTAAGGAAGTTCTTCACTCCTATTCTATCTTATGGAGACCCTTTTTAAAGAGTGAATTTTATAGAGACATAGGAAATGTTAGTTTGCATTGTTTTCACTTTGCCCCTATAGTTTTTTAAAAAGCAGATTCACTTTTTACAAGAGGAAGAATTTGGATTAGTGCTGGATACATACTGTTTTGACTTGTAAAATGACTCTTTAATAGAAATGGACAAAGAAAATATGCTAATAAAATAACTTAAGTATGTGTATGTGTGTGCATGCTAAATTTTTTTTTCTTCTGTTCTCTTCATTTTGTGCTCATCATCAATTGCTGCTATTTACTGTGGTGCATTTTTCCTGAACACCTGCTGTCAAATGCATCAAGTCTTTTCTTGCACAGTGCTACAGGTTTTTGCAGAACTGAGCAAGCCCAACATTAGACAGATAGCCTAAAGACTGATTGATTTATTTGTTTTAATACAAATATACGCTAACATGTTGACATACAGAAATCTGTTTCAAATGAATTATTTTTTAAAGAACAAAGAACTTTATAACCCTAGTACCTAATCCTATGCCTGACACATAGTAGATACTCAGCAAATATCTGTGGGACTGAACTGCTCTGTGAAGCCTAGCTAAGCACTAAAGACTCCCACAACTTTTTCAGCTTTATGGGGAAGTGATTATCTTAAATAGTTTTAATGCAAATTGAATTATTGTTTAAAAAGCATGTCCACCAGTTGAAAAGTCAAGTCATGGAACATTGTTAAGATCCAGGTTTTAATTTAGCAGATATTGTTCTCTTTGCAGAATAATTACGAATCTATTTAAAATAAATGCTTTTTTATCTTTATCTCCCTTTGCACAATGGAGTGGCATTGTCAAAAGGGGAAAGTGTCTAATAATAAGTTGAAAACATTGTGCAGTTATACTTCAAAGACATCTCTTAAATTGTCCTGTTCAGGTTCACTGCCTCTGCTATTATTCATGTTCTAATTTAGGGCCTCGAAATTGTATTAGTTGCCTAACTGGAAGTTGCACTTCGTTCCTGTGCTTCTTCCACACTGCTGCCAGAATCATTTACTTTCTTCAACAGAAAATCAAGCCTGTCTCTTTCCTCATTAAAAACCTGCAATTTGCTACGGACTGTGAGATAAGGACCAAACTCCTTGGCATTACATACCATATGTAATGTAATTATACCTGTGGATTTTTTTTCTCAATCTACCTTCATGTCCCCATGTTTCTAAGCATCCTCTACCAGTGCTTCCCAAAATTTTTCATGACATGTCACACATGGAATAATAACCAGATGATACCACTGTCTGACTGCCTGAAGTCTCTGGCTTCTCTGAGCTTTCTGGCCCTTCTGAGATCTGAAGGAAACAATATCTTAAGCATACCCTCTAATCCATTCCCAGTACAACCACTGGGAAAGTCTGCCCTACATGTGACCACAGTAAACCTTTTCGCCTCCCAGGAATGGTTTGTGCACTGCTTTTCTTCTTTGCTTATAATATTCATTCTGCCTTTTCACAGTTTCTCAATCTGGTAAATTTCCCCTCCTTGTCATTTAAAGCCCGGCTCATTTGGATTTGGGAAATGTTTCTGGAATTTTTTTAAGAATATGTGAAGCTCTTTGTTTCCAATTAAAGCCTTATCTTAAATCAATTAATTTTGACTCTTAGAAATTCTCTTTCCATTTTCTGACCCATTTGTAATAACTTAATTTTAAGGTTACACCTACTGTACCAATAATGATTTTGTTTTTAAAAATACAAATAAAAATCTCCCTTCCTTGGCTTTTTGGAAACAGTTTCTTTCCCCCGTAAATTATATTGCCCATGGTTTCATAAATACACATCTCAAATGGGTTACTTATGTAAAGGGTGTGTGTGCTTACTTGCGTGCGTGTGTGTGTGTGTGTGTGTATCACTACTACTAATACTAACATAAATATATATATCATTACTACCCACTTAGCTATATTCTAAAGTTAAAAGATCTCAAAATACTTCTTGTGAAAAGGTTTACTAAGCCCAAAGTTCTAAGAGAAAAATTATGAAAATTGGTTTCCTTTGTTTAACAGAGCCTATTGCTTATTTTAAGGGTAATTGATCTTTTGTTTTGAGACAGGGTCTCACCCTGTCACTTAGGCTGGAGTGCAGTGGTGGATGCCTCCCTAGGCCTCAACCTCCTGGGCTCAAGTGATCCTCCCACCTCAGCTGGGACTACAGGTGTGTGTACCACCACACCCGGCTAATTTTTATGTTTGTTTGTTTGTTTGTTTGTTTTGTAGAGATGGGGTTGCGCCATGTTGCCTAGGCTGGTCTCAAATGCCTGAGCTCAAGCGATCTGCCTGCCTTAGCCTCCCAAAGTGCTGGGATTACAGTTGTGTGTGTGCCACTGTGCCTAGCCTGATTGATTTTGATCTCTAACACATTCCTCTCATAACTATTTCTGCTTTTCCAAAAAAGTTTTATGTATGGGTTAGGTAAATGTTTCTGGTTTTATCTCATTAAATGATTGGCTTTTAGTATCAGCATGAATCAAGTATAATTTGACTTACCTCATCCTTAAATTCTTACTTAATTTGGTAATTATTGTGTATTTTATCATTTTCTACTAGTGTCTTAGCCTGTTGATCAAAGCTTGCTGCAGTTAGTTGTTTGCGTGTTGATCTTTCTCTACTTTTTAGTGTTCTTAAAGGTAAGGACCAAGTCATATGCTTCTGTATTTTCCTCACAGTGCTTTGCACACAAAAAAAAAATTGTCTAGTAGGTGTCTTTTTAGTTACTTTTAAAGTATCTTGTGGGTAGTTAAGACTTTTTTATTCAAATTTTATATAAAATCTGTTTTTGTTTTCTGATGCCTGTTCAGCAGATGCTTACCCAGACTGAAGTAGTTTACATTCTTTTTCAATGTCCCAAAAGCTTAATTAGCAAATAATATAATGCAGACTGCTCCTTGCATAGGCTCTCATGGATTTTACATACTACTGCTTATTTTATTAGTCTCTAAAGTCATTCTTCTCCCAGTGTAATTACACTTTTAAAAATTACTAAATTGCATAAGAGATATTATGAAATCGTATTCCTGGAACATTGAGAATTTCAAGCTTTAAAAGACAGCAGCTAAAGTCAAAGATACAGCAACATTTTCAAAAGTTAGCTTTGTACATCTCTTGGCTGAGTAATGTGAACCCACACATGGAAAGATTTAATATATACAGGAATGTTCTGGGCCTCTGTAAGAGCTGATCCCTCTATCAGGTTTCTGTGCAGACAAGCATGTTTCTTCTATCTATTAGGAAAGGGTTATGAATTGAGCATTTCAGAGGCTATGGTAAGAAGCAGGGAGAGAAGGGGGCAAGTAGAGAATTGCTGAATATCAATTCTTTTTAAATATTGAGATTTAGAAATAAAAATCAAGAATCTGTATTTTGACTTGACTTTTCAATCTATTATTCTAACCTCGTAGCTCATTGTTCCATTTATTCAAAGAACATTAACATCTGCCATATATTAGGAATTCAGAGATTGCTAACATTGCCTATGTTCAAGGATCTCATAATCAAGTACTGAGGATAATTATACAAGAAGAGTAATCACTATAATAGCATTTAATACTTACTGAAGCATACATGCCATATGCCAAACACTGAGCTAAGCACATTATATCAATATAGATATAAAAACACCTGCTGATTTGTCCAAACACACAGCTAATAAGTTTTTGAGCTAGAATTTTCCTCCAGCTAAGCTGATTCTTTTGCCCTCACTTTTAACCTTGTATGCCAAATTACAAGTTTAAAATTCATTTATGTACTTGGAAGAGTCATAGAAGTTTCAATAAAAGAGAAGACTTTTAAGCTGAGACTTGAACAAGAAGTGGAGCTTCCCTGATAGACAAAGAGATAAAATGTCATTCTGAGCAGAGGGAGAAATATGTGCGAAAACAGGGAGGCAGAAAGCAGCGTGGTGAGTTTTACTAACTGGGTGTTTAGGTGCTCCTAAGCAAGTCCAAGTTCAAGTATAGCATTTCAAGTTTCTATGATTTTAGTGTAACTCCTATCTTATCTACAGCTCCTTTTCTTTTCTCACAGGGTGAGAAATGCTATACTTGAACTTGGACTTTTTTCTTTGATGTGCAATTAAATGATTAGAAAATAGGAAGTTAAGGTATTTGCAGTTAAAATGATCACATTAGCCATGATGTAGATAAAGCAAGGAAAAAGAAGGAAAGAATAAGACTGCAGGCAGAAAAACAACTAGCACAGCAGTTATGATATTCTAGACAAATGATTGTGTTGGCTTGATATCACTGAGTAAACATTTATTGGGTGCCTTATATGTGCCATAGCTGAGCTTACAGTGTTGAATAAAATGAATATGATTCCTGCCATTACATACAGTCTACAATCTGTTGGGAAAGACAGACAGTAAACAAACACACAAATACACAATAAAGAAGAATGGGTAGAAGTGACAGGTTTAAGAGAGATTTAAGTAGTGTTAGCCAGGTCTATGCATTAGTTGGATTTAGAGGAAGAAATAGATACCTAGAATAAATCCAAGGTTTCTTTGAGATAATTCAGAGCCGTTACCAAAGATCCACCTTTCTCCCTGGTTTCTGGAACTATTCTCTCCATGAATCATGATTCATTGATATGTTTTTATTAAAGTATAAAGGCTCAGTGCTGCTTTCCTTTCCTAGAGGAAGGCACTCCCTATATACACATACACACCCTTGTTGATTATTTTAAATGAATGGGAGCCAATGGGACCTGATTTTTCAAGGTGTCTATTTTAATACTTTTGTCTGAACAAGTATTTCTATGTTAATGAAATTAGATTTGAGCATTTGATAGAACATGAAACTATAAGTGTTGAATTTCAGAATTTATAAAAAAGAAAAGGCAGCCTTATAATTGTGGTATAAGGTTTGATAGTTAAGACTCCTTCATGTGAAATACCAGATGTTTTGAGTCCTTGATATAAAGGTCAGAAGAAAAGAAGGATATTGGTTTCATAATAAACTAACATGTTTACAGTAATGACTATGCAGTGTAAGCTGTGGATATTTTGTTATATAAGAATGGCAGGGGGTCCTAGAACTGGGGGCTGGAAGGCCCATTTAAAAGGTCATCCAATACGATAATTTTTAGTCTGGAGCACACAAGCAGAGTTCAGGTGAACTCCCTGGAATTATTTGCAAAATTGGGAGTATTTTTTGTATGTATAGTTTGAGGGGAATTTCTGTCAAATGCACATAGGCACCTGTAATTAAAGAGCCGCCTTCATTTTCACACATGAGGAAACTGAGGCTGTTACAGATGTAGAGACTTGCCCAAGGTCTTGAATAACTTCTCAGAAAGGGAGTTTGTTCTATGATTTGTGTTTTTTAATAAAGTTTTAATGGACAGACCACGATATCCAACATGGCCTTGGAGCCATAGGGTTCAGAATATTAGAAAGCCTTGGCTTCTTTTTTCATTGAGTTGTCATATAGTGATTTTAATAATAATAGAACATGCTATTATTCAGAATACATTCTTCCACCCTAATATCCCAAAACAGTATTTTTAAAGAAATTCTAGGAAGGGTGTTTACTCATTCAGAGTTCTACAGGAAGGAAGGCTCTTTCCTACTATTTTTTAAGCATAACTTTCACTGACAAGACCAGGCCAGAAAAAGCCTAGCTGGCTGTTGGCCCAGACAATGTTATAATAATCATTGAAGTATACTCAACCTGCACTGCCTGAGGATAGCTACAGCTAAAAAAAATAAATAAATAAGCACACACAGATGTATGCTGAGTGTTCCAGTGACTTAGCTGACATGTATGCTGTATATCCTTTGCTGTGTTCTTTCAACTATTAGAAAGGAAATTTTAAAATAGCCTAGAATTTATTATTCCAATAGGGTGAAAAGGACAACTTCAACTTTAAAAAAATAACCAAGCTCTCCAAGGCTGTATCCCCAGCAAGTAAATCAATCTGGCATATAGTAGATGCTTAATAATTTTTTTGATGAGAGAATTGTTGAAGTTTGTTAGTTATATTTCAGAAAGAGAATTTTGTTTGTTCATCAATAATGAGTATCATGTAGTGTCAAAATAGTAAAATTAAAAAGGACTGCTTCAACATTTAGAAACCCCAGATTTCAGCGCAGTTTCTGTAAGTTATTGTACGACCTTGGGCCTCATTTTCTTTGTCTTAATAAGGATATAATAATATCTAATTCCCAAAATTTGGGGGAATATTAAATGAGCTACAGTATGTGAAAGATGCTTCATAGATCCTTAAGTGCTATATAAATATTAATGTTATTTGTCTTAGATAACATTTTCAATTTTTTAAATATGTATTTACTGAAATCATCTTTATTTCCTAAGTCCTGTATTTGTTTTAGGTAGAAAGAAGTGATTTCCATGATTGAAATGGAGTTTTGAATTCTTTGATAAAATACATTTTAAGGTGTACAGAATTGTCTGCAAAGAATTAAAACACTCATTTTTAAGCAAGGGAAATATATTTATTTTATGATTTTCCTAATTGAATTTTTGCCAGCTAATTTGTACGTAAGTTAAGGATTGATTGATATATATTTGATAGACAATCACCCTCTTCTAGGTATTATAACATATACAAAAAGTATACAACAGCATTTTCCAAAGTGGAAAAGAAATATTAGTTTTTGAGATGTTCCATGATTAGAGTTTGGGAATTTAAAATAGAATTTTTACATACTACCATAGGTTTCTCCTAGATATTTTTATTACCCATTAATATAATTTCCAAAAATTCCTTCATATAGAAACCTATACAAACCTTTTATTTTGTTTCTACACAGTGTTATCCAAATTTATTTAACAAGAAAACCCTTTTTTCCATTACATTTGTTAACATTCACTCGAGTATTTTATAAAGCACTGGTATGAGATATGATGATATGACCCCATGGATTTGAACAGTCTGTTTGGAACTCTAAGTATGAACATGGTGAAGTACATTAAAACAAAACAAAACAAACAAAAATAAAACAAATTAACTATGAGATTGTGAAATGGTTGTAATATATGTCACCAAATTCATGGCTAAATCATAGAAATTGATCTGTCACAGCTTGTTAAATAAGTATTCTTTCTCTTACATGACTTCTTACGTGATTTTTTCCAAACTGCTTAGTCAAAGAAGATAATCTTTCCAGATAGAGAAAATTTTAAAATATCTTTATTCCTCTTTAAATTTACTGATTTATAAATACTGGGAGTCTAACAAATGCAAGTTACTACTCTTTATTAATCCCTTTTATTTAGTTTCAGTTTACACACAATAATTGTATCAACTTATATGTACAAGTCAATTAATTTAGACTTGTGTAAACCTGTGAAACCACCTCTGCAATTAAGGTGCAGAACATCCCCATCACCCTCAAAAGATTGCTTTTGCCCTTTTGCAGTCCATTTTTCCCTCTTCCTCAGGTTGCAGTCAACCACTAGTCTGCTTTTTGCTACTATAGATTAGATTGGACTTTGTAAATATTTTATATAAATGCAGTATGTACTCTCTTATGTCTGTTCTATTTGACTCAGCATGATGAGACTCATGCACATTGTTGAGTGTTCAGTATTTCCTTTCTATTGTTGAGTAGTATTCCATTATATATTTTGACTATTCACTCATAAGTTGGTAGACATTTGGGTTGTTTACAATTTTACTATTGTGAATAAAGCTACTGTGGGCTGGGCACAGTGACTCACACCTGTAATCTCAGCACTTTGGGAGGCCAAGGTGGGTGGATCACTTGGACATGGGTGTTTGAGACCAGCCTGGGCAGCATGGCAAGACCCCATCTTTACTGAAAATACAAAAGAAATAGCTGGGGCTGGGCACGGTGGCTCAAGCCTGTAATCCCAGCACTTTGGGAGGCCGTGGCAGGCAGATCACCTGAGGTCTGGAGTTCAAGACCAGCCTGGCCAGTATGGCAAAACCCCATCTCTACTAAAAATACAAAAAATTAGCCAGGCGTGGTGGTGGGCGCCTGTAATCCCAGCTACTTGGGAGGCTGAGGCAGGAGAATTGCTCGAACCCAGGAGGCAGAGGTTGCAGTGAGCAAAGACTGCACCACTGCACTTCCAGCCTGGGCAACAAGAGCGAAACTCCACCTCAAAAAAAAAAAAAAAATAGCTGGGCATGGTGGTGCATACCTGTGGTCCCAGCTACCTGGGAGGCTGAGAAGAGAGTATCACTTGAGTGCAGGAGGTGGAGATTGCAGTGAGCCAAGATCACATCACTGCACTCTAGCCTGGGTGACAGAGTGAGACTCTGTCTCAAAAAAATAAAATTTGTGAACTTCCATATACAAGTCTTTGTGTAGATATGGGTTTTTTCTTCTTAGGTAACTACCTAGATTATTTCACAATAATTGGGTTGTTATGATGTGGTGGGTTTAACTTCTTAAGAAGCTGACAAATAGCTTTCCAAAGTGGTTGTTCTATTTTATATTCCCATTAACAGTGTATGTAATTTCTAGTTGCTCCATGTCCTTGATCGGTCTTTGGTATTGTTAGTGTCTTTAATTTTCATCATTCTTATAATGTAATGGTATCTCATTGTGGCTTAAATTTGCATTGATCTGATAACTAATGATGTTAAGTATCTTTTCACATACTTACCTCACAAAGGAAGCTGTGTGGTTAGCAAGTATGTTCAAATTTTTAGTCCAGTTACTTTGGGTTATTTTCTTATTATTGAATTATGAGGATTCTTTATATATTTTGGATACAAGCCCTTTGCAAATATGCATATTGTGAATATTTTATCCCAGTCTGTGACCTGTCTTTTCGTTTTCTTAAAGGTACCTTTTGAAGAGAAATTTTGTTTTGATTTTTGTAAAGACCAGTTTGTCCATGTTTTTCTTTTATACTTCTAGAAGTTTTGTAGTTTTAGCTCATACATTTCAAGTTTATTTTTCAGTATGGTGTGAGGTAAGGGTCAATGTTCATTTTTTTCATATGGATTTCTAGTATTCACAGTACCATTTCTTAAGATAATTTCCTTTTTGAGTGCCTTAAAATCAGTATGGACTTCCTTTTTCTATTTTATTTATCCGTATCTTTATCCTCTAGATACTCTCACACTATCTTGTTTCTTTAGCATTATAAGTTTTGAAGTCAAGTAGTGTAAATTTTTCCAATTTGTTCTTTTTAGAAGTTGCTAAAAGTTGCCACATTGCCTCTGTAGATACACACAGAGAGAGATTTAGACACATACCTCTTTTTAACCACTTTGAGATAATTCACATACCATAAAATTCACTATTTGAAATATTTAATTCATTGATTTTTAGTATATTCACACATATGTATAACCATCACCATAGTCAATTGTACACATCTTATTCATGCTTTCTCCTATTACCAAGAGCAATGTCTGGGATGTAATACATGCTCACCAAATTTTTCTGAATAAGTGAATCCATTAGTTGTAAAATAATGTAGGCATTAGCCTCTAGTAAAATATTAAGAAGGCTCATTTGACTGCATTCAGCTCTAGAACTATTCTTTTATTAGAACTCTGCTATTTTGAGGGATCTCTGAAACAGCTAACAGCTTAACTCAGATATAGATACAGATATATATATATGGCTACAGATTTTTTTTTTTAAATGGAGTCTTATTCTGTCACCCAGACTGGAGTGCAGTAGTGCTATCTTGGTTTACTGCAACCTCCGCCTCCTGGGCTCAAGTGATCCTCTCACCTTAGCCTCCTGAGTGGCTGGGACTACAGGCATGCACCACCGTGCCCAGCTAATTTTTGTATTTTTTTGTAGAGATGTCGTTTTGTCATGTTGCCCAGGCTGGTCTCGAACTCCTGGACTCAAGCAGTCTGCCCTCCTTGCCCTTCCAAAGTGCTGGGATTGGCCGGGCACCGTGGCTCACGCCTGTAATCCCAGCACTCTGGGAGACCAAGGCAGGCAGATCGAACGCCTGAGGTCAGGAGTTCGAGACAAGCCTGGCCAACATGGTGAAACCCCGTCTCTACTAAAAATTAGCCAGGTGTGGTGGCATGTGCCTGTAGTCCCAGCCACTAGGGAGGCTGAGGCAGGAGAATCTTGCAGTGAGCTGAGACTGCGCCACTGCACTCCAGCCTGGGTGGCAGAGTGAGACTCTGTCTCAAAAAGAAAAAAAAAAAAACACCAAGTGCTGGGATTATAGGCGTGAGCCACCATACCTGTCCTTAAACCATATTTTAGTAGTTATTTAAGGAAGTTACAAAAAAAATTCCTTTTGATATAATGAGTGCAAATTATTTGCACATTTTTGAAAAGAGAATAGTCATCTTTTATTCACCTGATAATTGCTGAGAAGGGCAAACCTCCCATAAGTACTGCTTTTCTATTTTTTTTTTTTTTTTTTTTTTTTGAGACAGAGACCTCCTGCTCCACCCACCTCAGCATCCCAAAGTGCTGGGATTACAGGCGTGAGCCACCGCGCCCAGCCTTCTATTTTCAAAAGTACTCTTGACATTGTTTGTATCGGTGACATAGATTATGGAATCTCTGGTACTTGTTTTATTTACCAATTACGAATAATAGTGGATTGTTCGTGAAATTCCAGACATCTTTCCCTAGGTATCTTTGAGATGGAATGTCAGTTCTGAGCCCAGTTAATTCATGTTGCCTCATTTTCTTTATAGGCTTTGATGCGGCCTGGAAGAATTGATAGAATCATCTATGTGCCTTTACCGGATGCAGCAACAAGAAGGGAAATATTTAAGCTGCAGTTTCACTCCATGCCTGTCAGTAATGAAGTTGACCTGGATGAACTCATCCTTCAAACCGACGCATACTCAGGAGCAGAGGTAAGATAGTTCCCTTCAAAATACCTTAGTGGGAGGAAAGCGGTGGCTCAGGGTCATTAAGCAAAATAAATTGCTTGCCCTGAGGTGTTTTAAATGACCATACTAAGAAATCTTGAAACAGGAAGTGCAGTACATGACATAGTCACTAAGTTAAATTGCACTTTACGTGGCTTCTATTATATCACAATTGTTTTTTACTTGCTCCTATTATTTCTCAAAATGTAGTCTTCAGAGGAATAGCATAATATAGTGAGAAGAACACTAGACTAGAAGTAGATTCTTCCACTGGGCTTCTTAATACAGCAGTTTCTAACCAATCACACACTTCTCTAACTTTGCGTTCTTTACCCATCAAATGGAAATGATACTACTACCTTCCCTCCTGTTTCCTCATGGAGAGCATAGAAATAAAATTAGGATATCATGAGTATAAAGGGCAAAGCAAACAGATTGTATCATTATCATCTTTTTGTCATTTTGGCAAGTTATCTCAGTCTAATTTTGTATTAAACATTCTCTCACAGTAAAAGGGACCATCTGCCCTTACCTCTGAAGATAAACTCTTGACAAGAACAGCAAGACCTCTGTGAAAATATGAAAATGACTTTTATGTATGGCAGATTAACATTTTTTCTCTCCTTACCAACTCTTTACTTATGCTATTTTTATTTACCAAATAAAATTCCATGAAATAATTCTGCAACTTTTCTAGCTGCATTTCTTAAGGAAAGGACCAACTATGTACCTCGACACAGAAATAGCATCTGTCACACCAATGATGTAGACTTTTAATGGGAGATTAATATTTTTTTAAGTACAAGGTTACAGATTATTTTTATTCTGAATTACTCAGTAGGCTAGGACTCCACATTCTGTTTTGCTTGCTATTGTTTTCATTCGTCTTATGTAAACACCGAAGAGATTACCATATGACAGATCATTAGTGGTACTCCGAGAGTCTATTTGGAACTGAACTTAGTGTATCATGCAGTCATAGCTAATAACAACAACCAAAATAAATCCCAGATCTATTCATTGTTTTGCCCCAAGAACCATAGATATAGATATAGACAGTCCCCAACTTATGACAGTTTGACTTAAGATTTTGGGGCTTTACAATGGTGCAAAAGTGGTACACACTCAGTACACTCCTCAACTTACAATACAGCTACATCTGGATAAATCCATCTTAAGTTGAAAATAACAAGTTGAAAATATCGTAAGTCAAAAACATATATGCATTTTTGACTTAGACATATTCAACTGATGATGGGTTTACCAGGACATAGCCCCATCATAAGTTGAGGAGTATTTGTATTTGATTTTCCTCCTTTATATTTTTCAAGTCCACTGGAATAAAAAGCCATGTGGAAAGTAGCTTGAGAAGCAGTTGAAGTGCGCTCACCTTTAACTCCTCTGAAACAGTGATCTTTATGACCATCCATAAAGTTAAAATGAACATACAGTTATGGTTAACTGACTGCTCCAACATTTCTAGAATTCAGTTTTTGATTTGAGACGAGGGCTGGCATCTTGTATGATGATATGGCAATTTGCAGGAAACAGCAAGAGGAAGACGAAGAAACCATAAATCTCTCACTTGAGCCGAGTAAACTAGAAGAGCAGTTAGCAAGATATAAATATGCCTTTCTCACTTTGAAGTAATTCATGGTAGTAACATCGAAGTGCAAAACAAAAATAAAACCCAGTGAGATTCTATCTGGCTAAAAGGAAAAAAACCTCATTTGGTGCCAGCAATTATTGTACTGGCTTGCTAATTCTTATGTAGTGCACTTCTTATTTAATCTAACATGTAAGCACATTTATGATTAATTTTTATATGAGATCTTCTGAAAATCGTCACAGGAAAAGTAGCAGAAAATTCTATCTTTCCTCAAATTATATTGTTGTGTTCCATAATGCTTGGATTGGGGAGGGCATCCCATTGTGGTCCTATTTATAATTAGTATATTATTACAACTTCATAGAAATTTTGCTAACAGCTACATCTTAGTAGTTCTGTGGTTTCTAATTTAGATGAGGCAGGTTTGTTCCCTGTTGAGGGTTTTTGTTTTGTTTTGTTTTGGTCTGAATAGGTAGGCAGTTCACACAGTTGTTTTAGGAAAATTATTATTTCTTTAAAAGTCTTAAAGTTAATAAACAGGAGATTTAGGAGACGTTAAGTAATGCTTAAGATAAAAGGTTTCATTTCTCTCTCTCTGTTTCTCTGTCTTCACACAGAACCTTCTACATGGTGTGTGTTTAACAAGCACTTGATAAACTGTGGGGAAAAAAGATTTTTAAATTAGATTTAGGAAAAATAGACTTCAGTTCTCATTTGTTACAAGAGGAGCCCTCTAACTCCCTGCTGTAGACACAGCCATTTTCTCAGAGTTGGAGTGTCTCTTTGGCCACTTTGGGTATAAAAATGAAACTACTATCAATTTATTGTCCTCACAAGAGAATAGTATATTATATTCAAGATTATATAAAATTAATTTTATTTAAGTGTATACTATTAGCTATATGAACAAGAATTTGGGCAGGAAAGCCAGAGACGAGGAATTTCCTGGCACTCTAATTGTTTTTTAGAAACAAAATGTTGAAGTGTAGTGAGCATTTTTTATTTTTAGTGAAAAAGTTGTAGAGGATGATTAAGATGGAAATGATACTGGTACTTTTTTTTTTTTTTTTTTTTTTTTTGAGACAGAGTTTCGCCCTTGTATCCCAGGCTGGAGTGCAGTGGCACGATCTTGGCTCACTGCAACCTCCGCCTCCCGGGTTCAAGCAATTCTCCTGCCTCAGCCTCCCAAGTCGCTGGGATTACAGGCACCCACCACCACGCCCAGCTAATTTTTGTATTTTTATTAGAGACAGGGTTTCACCACATTGGCCAGGCTGGTCTTGAACTCCTGACCTCAGGTGATCCGCCCACCTTGGCCTCCCAAAGTGCTGGGATTACAGGCATGAGCCTCTGTGCCCACCACTGGTACTTTTAATGGCAGGGATGAGAAGAGGTTACTTTAAAAAATTATTTTCTTTTCACTTGGTTATTTATTTTGCCCAATCAGCATTGTTCTATGAAAGCTTAGACCAGCTCAGTGTTTGAAATAGCTCCTTCTGGTCAAAGTTACTCCATTTTTCCTTCGTGGAGAGGGTATACAGAGAATTGAAACACTTTTGTAAGCCTCAGGAGGCTCTCAAGAGGAAGTCTGTCACCAGCTGGAAGGGGAATACAGCCGTTAGGGAGCAGCCTCTGAGGGGAGACTGAAGCAGGTTGCGTCTTTTAGCCATCTCTGCCACCTGCCACTCATTGTCCCTGTGGCTATGGCCCTCATTGTCCTGGCTTCTTGACTGTAGCTGTCAGTTAATGAAAAAACATGTGCCATTTAAAAGCAGAAGGGAATTTCTCTCAGGAGGAAGTAAGTCTTTTTGGTTATCACTATTGTTTTCTTTTGCTCTGATTTTTGTTTTTTAAGTTATTTGTAGCAATTCCACCTCATTTATTCATTTATCTTTTATCAAATTATCCTGGTTACTTTTGGAAGAGTTTTATCTGTAACAGAAAATCAACTGTCACAAATATATTTACAAAAAAAAGCAATAACTGGGCTCATTACCCCATATGCCCTATGCTTGGGAACACAGGTGATGAGTAAGATGCATAATTTCTTCTGTGTATCAGAATTTGCTGACATAGGCCAAAGACTGATATCTGTAAAATTGGGGTTGAATTTTTATTTGAATTTGGATATTATCCTCCTTTCAGTGAATCCCTTGGGATCACCAATTTGTGAGGGAGTCAGGCCCTTCTTGGCCAGTTTGTAAATCTCCTCCCTTACATCTTCAGAGGCCAGCTTCAGCCAAGTGGGGACACTGCAGTGACAGGGAGGAGCCGATTGGGACAGGCCCTTCCTGGGAGCAGGCATGCAACTCATGATGTGGCAGTCAGGAGCAAAAAAAACACCTTCTTTTCTTTAAAATGTAAAAATTTGCTTACTATAGTGGTTTTTTTATTGCAATCTTATGAATGTAGCTCTAGAAGATCTTTTTAAAGCAATTCATTAGAGTTAAATACATTTCACACTGAGTTTTCAAAAAGCTTTAACTTCATGTAAACTTAGTCTGTTTGTTTTATTTTTAAATGATCTGTCATGCCCTGAATTCTGTTTTGTAGTCTATGCCTTCCTGGGTCTAATAATAGCACAAGATCTTCATGCCAGCTTGACATTTAAAAAATCACCTTCTAGTTTGCCTCATTAATTCAAGAAGGGTCCTATTCACTATGCTTGAGCTATTATAGCTAATAAAAGGAGAGCCTTAAATTACTTTTCTGTCTCACTGATTAACGTTTTTTCTGACATCTCTTTTTCTCCCACACAGTGAAAACAGAAGGAGCAATTATAGCCACTTAAAATGTCTGTACTCTTCTTATGTGAAATCTCTTGTGATAGTATTCCCCAAACTAAAATATCAGTCATTGTATTAGAATCTGGCATAGATTGTTCATCTGACCAGTCAAACAACACATGTGAGATAGGAATAAGGATTCTAAGGAAGGACCATTTGACCTGGTCTTAAGCGCTCTACTTATTATTGTTAGAAAGCAGCTAGCAGCAGTGTACTTGTCTCCAAAGTGAAGCAGAGCAGCACAGTACTTAGCACTCTCCTACAGACCAGGGGTCCCCAACCTCCTGGCCACGGACCAGCACCAGTACTGCATAGCATGAGTGAGTGGCAGACAAGTGAGCATTACTGCCTGAGTTCTGCCTCCTGTTAGATCAGCAGTGGCATTAGACTCTCATAGGAGCACGAACCCTATTGTGAACTATGCGTGCGAGGGATCTAGGTTGTGTGCTCCCTATGAGAATCTAACGCCTGAGAACAGTTTCATTCCGAAACCATCCCCCCACCCCATTTGTGGAAAAATTGTCTTCCACAAAACCAGTCCCTGGTCCCAAAAATGTTGGGGACTGCTGCTATGGACTGTCTGCAACCTACTTTTCCTGCCTAATCAGAAACTGCCCTATGAAAACATGCTGCTATCACCAAGTAGTCTACTATATTTGAGATCTTCTTTGCTATCTCTCTATTCTTCCTTGTGTCTTTACACTAAAATTCTGTATCTGTGCCCCAGAATTTCAAAATACTCAGTGCTCTGTATCTGCAAGTTCCATCTGCAAATTCAACCAACTGGGAATAGAAAATATCAGAAAAAAGCAACAAAAAATAACAATACAACAACAAAAAGTACAAATTTGAAAATATAGCATGACAACTATATAGCATTTACATTATGTCAGTTGTCATAAGTAATCTAGAGATGATGTATACAAGAGGATGTGCACAGGTTATATGCAAATACTATGCCATTTTATATAAGGGACTTCAGCATCCTTGGATTTTGGTATCTAAGGGGCTCCTGGAACCAATTGCCCTTGGATACCAAGGGACAACTATATTCTTTCCTTACACGACCTACTGAAATAACTACTTTGTCATTAAACCATAATGACCACCCCACCAATAAATAGCCTATTCTTTTGTACTCTTTTACACTTATTTTTGTTTTCCTTGTTTAGCTGTTACCATATTTTGTAGTTATTTTATTTTTTTAGAGACAGGGTCTCATTCTATTGCCCAGGCTGGAGTGCAGTGTCATGATCATACCTTACTGCAACTTTGAACTCCTGGGCTCAAGTGGTCCTCCTGCCCAAGCCTCCTGAGTAGCTCAGAATAGAGGTGCATGCCACTGTGCCCAGCTAATTTTTTTAAAAAAATTTGTAGACATTGTCATGTTGCCCAGCCTGGTCTTAAACTCCTGGCCTCAAGCAATCCTCCTATCTCAGCCTCCTAAAGTGTTGGGATTACAGGCCTGAGCCACTGTGTCTGGCCTCTGTAGATATTTTAATATGAGCAGCTGCCTCATCTCCCCAAACACAGATTCTCTAGGGCAGAGATCAGTTCTTGTACTTCTTAAAGTCTGGCAAAACAGCTGTCTCACACACACTCGGTGGGCATTAATATTAGATGGGTGGTACATTTATGTATTGATTCTAAGTCATTTTACCAACCAAAAATGTCAGTTTTAACATTTGCTGAAGTGGCACTTTCTAGTTTTAATCATATTTTCATATACATTATCTATTTGAGTACCCTAACTCTATGAGAGCAGTGCTGTAGCGAAAGAACTAAAGTCAAGCAAAAGAAATTGGCTTGTCTGAGATCCCACAGCAAATAAGTGACAAACCTGGGACCAGAAACCAGGTCTCTCAGTTCCACTTGAAGGACTCCACGATCTCCTAATGCCTCTGTGTCAACACAACGTTCTTTGAAACTTTCATAGTTCCCTTTGACGTCTCTGAATATTTGATAAAAGTTTGTCAATTCCTGTGAATAGTGACTTAGCAAACTAAACAGCAGTTATGAAACATCTGTACCATTTTTATACCTTTTTCTCTTACAGTAATTGTCTTTACCTACCTTGTTTTCATCTTCTCCAAAAAAGTATAAGCTACCTAAAGTTAGGAACCTTGTTTTTATCAATTAATTTCTTTTATTTCCTAGGTATTGTGAATAATGTTTGCAATTTAGAATGAAAAGTATAAACAACGAAGTTTTATATAATGTATTTATGTGGCATGATCTACTGATGTGCAGAATGCTATAGGAGAAAGGAGGAGGAGTAACTCACACTACCTGGGATTAAATGAGATAGATGATACCCAGAAGAATTTTTTTCTGAGTTTTGATGGGCAGATGGAAAGGCAGAGATGAATGAAAGAACATGGTGTGGTCTAAAATCAGTTAAAGTTTGAATATGATTGGCAGAAAGAGTCTTCATGTAGAAGTAGTAGGGGATGAAGCAGAAAAAGTAGGTCAGACTTAAATATGAAGGAACTTGAATATCATCCGAACTTGCTTTTCTCCTTTCAGCAATGGAAAACCATTGAAAAATGTGATCACTGTTGTGGTCAGATTTGTATTATTGAAAGATTTGTGGCATTTGTGTCCAAAGCCACCACTAGCTAGCCTTCCAAGCACCATTACACGAATTAGAAAAAGGTGTTCCTTCACCCCACTTGGTGACAGCTTTTTGTTACAGCAAAAAGCTTGTCAGAGCATGAGCAACATTTCAGCCCCTATTTGCCCCCCTTGGCTGGGCACCCTTTTGTAGATACAAGCTTTACATCTGTACAAGGTGTCTTATTTTTGTCTTCTCCACCTTTATCTCCCTCACAATGCCTAGCATAGCACCTTATATAGAGTTATTGTCACTAAATAAACAAATGGAGATTTTACATCTCAAATATATAAACTACTTTCTGTAACTTTAACATTTACCTCATGAGCCCTTGGATAAAAATAAATTGGGACTATTAAAGATGTCTTTTGTAGAAGATACAGAAATGGCCAACAAACATATGAAAAAATAGCATCACTAATGATCAGGAAAATGCAAATCAAAACCACAGTGCAATACCACTTTATTCCTATAAGAATAGCCATAATCAAAAAATCAAAAAATAATAGATGTTGGCGTGGATGTGCTAAAAAGGGGACATCGTTACACTGCTGGTGGGAATGTAAACTAGTACAATCACTATGGAAAACAGTGTAGAGATTCCTTAAAGAACTAAAAGTAGAACTACCATTTGATCCAGCAATCCCACTGCTAGTATCTACCCAGAGGAAATAAGTCATTATATGAAAAAGATACTTACACATGCATGTTTATAGCAGCACAATTCACAATTACAAAAATATGGAACCAGCCCAAATGCCCATCAATCAACAAGTGGATACAGAAATTGTGGCATATATATACACCATGGAATACTACTTAGCCATAAAAAGGAACGAAATAATGGCATTCGCAGCAACCTGGATGGAATTGGCAACCATTATTCTAAGTGAAGTAACTCAGAAACAGAAACCCAAACATCTTATGTTCTTACTCATAAGTGGGAGCAAAGCTATGAGTATGCAAAGGCATAAGAATGATACAGTGGACTCTGGGGACTTGGGGGAAAGGGTGTGAGGGGAGTGAGGGATAAAAGACTACACATTGGGTACAGTGTACACTGCTTGGGTGATGAGTGCACCAAAATCTCAGAAATCACCACTAAAGAACTTATCTATGTAACCAAACACCATGTGTTCCCCAAAAACCTATTGAAATAAAAAATGAAAATAATAATAAAAGGTCTTTTGTGCAAACTTTAACCTGCCATGAGGTACAGCACTTGTTGTAAATTGCTAGAATATTAAAAGTAAGGTGGATTATATCCTCTGAGCCATATTATGTAACTTTGAATATAAACTCTAAGGACAAAAGCACAATCTCTGCACCTGTTTAGTGGCTAAAATATGGCTCTCTGTTGTAAATGAATTATGAAGGGATCTTTCAGAGCAAAAATCAGCATGTGCTAAAAGTAGATATTTAGGACTGTAACTTTTGAGCTAGTCCTGTACCACTCCCCTTTTCCCTTCTTCAGCATTTTATGATCTACATGCTAAGTGAAGAAATTTGGTAAAAGCCAAGACCCATCATGGCCACCTAGAACAATATGAGTTTAGCCAAATCATTTATCATTTGTAGAACTCACTTTCATCTTGTAATAAGGGGATAGGAAGATGGTCTTTTTATAATCCTTTCAAGTGTTAAAAATCTGTGTGGTTATATACCTGTCATAAATTAAATTAATTGTATAAGGAATCCCTTAGGGATTGGACCTCCAGGGATATGTAGTATGGTTATGCTTCTCTTACAGTCTGTCCAGAAAGCTGGGATCTTGGGATCTTAGTCAATGCCTCTAAATATTTTCTTCTGTGGCCAAAAGATATTAATTATGGCACCAGAAGAATGGGGACCTTAAATGACTCTGACAGTGCACAGAACTTGGATTTTAATAAAATTCTCCTTAGCAAACTTTAACAGTTTTCCACTAAGTAGAAAAGAAAATTTTACATGCTCAGAGAGTTGAAGGCCTAGTGATTTTTTTACCCTGAGATCTTTGGTTGTTATGCTTTTCAACTTCCTTAAGAACAGCTAATCAAGTTCACTATCTATGATTTTGGGGATACTTGGATAAAAAGCGTTATAGAATGGAAATATACAGCAGCCGACTTTTTCCTTAAACTCTTTGTTGGGAAAATAAATGAAGGTTGCAAAATTATAATATTGTTCATTTTAACTTAACAATTTTTAAAACTTCAATGTATGGAGATACAATGTACTTACAGTGTATGGAGATTCTCTGTATTTCCAAACTTCACCTTCTGCTTAAATTGGCAACAAAAGTACATTCAGCTTACCTGAAGGCTATTTTAGATAGGATGTTTACACCAAAGCTAATCATACTCCAGAACACCTTGTGCTGCCATACCTGTATTGCTAACTCTATGCCAGGTATTTAAAAGTGCTGTGAGTTTACAAGAAGTATTAGTCAGAAAGGAAATGGATATGAATGAGAGGCTGGTTAGCAACAAACTTAATAGAACTTTTTACACCCAAACATGGAAGCCTTTTTATAGGGAAGAAGTATATCCAGTGAACAAGTTAGTCAGGACCTACCAGATAATCTAGTCCCCAAGGCTGATATCCAGAGTAAATCTGTATCTGTGGAGAATTACTCAAGCCAATGATAATGCCGATTTGAGCATTTTAACATTCCACCTTATTTCTCTTCTTCCAAATTCTCAGTCTCTCTATTTCCTCATTCTTTTTCTCCAATATTTTATATAAACCATTTAATCTGTGCTTCCTCATCTTCAGAAGAGTGATAAAATGGAGGTGGGGGTTAGGTTCTGTTAACCTGAGAGGAGCTTATGATGTTAAAAAAGAGATGTGCAAAGCATGCTGTTAACTCTGTAGCATAGATTCTGATAGTGACAGTTATTTTTGTTTGGTTATTTGAAGTGATGGAAGGCTGATTTCTAATAACAACCTAATCTGTATATGAAAAGATACACATGTAAAAGCTGTTTCTCCTTTTAGGAACTCTTTTTACTATATGAAATTGAATTATGGTTAAGTACCCTGGGTTATGGAATGAGAAAGCTGTGAACCCAAATGCCAAGTCTTCCATTTCCTAGCTATGTGACCTTTTTATTCATATGTAAATAAGGATAAGAGAGGTCCTTAACTTCACAGTTGTCCAGATTAGATGACATAATTTATATAAGGTGCTTATCCTAGTAAGCATATAACAAGTGCTCAGTAAATAAATTTTGTTATAATCAGCAAATTTAATTTGATATCTAGTTTAAAAAATCTACAATTTGCCTAATTTTTTCACATTGTGTTGCCATAGATTTTATGAATACTCATAATAAATGTTTCATGTATATGTCTTGTTTTTAGTTTTAATGGTGTGTTCTTTAAACTATATTTCATAGTTTACATGCAGCATTTATTTCATCTGATTTATATTTATAAACATCTGTAATCCTATTTTTATTTTTTCCTTGTTAAAGATGTATACTATTTTTTACTTTTCAAATGTGTAAAGCTAATGTTTTACACTTTCAAATGTGTAAAGCTAATGTTTTTTTATAAACTCCCTGTGTAATATCCCTATTTCGGCATATTCTTTAGTTAATTGCTACTTTCTCACCTATAGCTTATTCCTAACTTTTTTTACATGTCTTGTTAATTAAAAAGAAAAAAATAGTAACCCAACTTTAGAAAGTTGAGGGTTTCTGTGTCCACTAGAATAATTGTTTAGGAAATAAGCATACCTCATTATTTTGCTCTTTCTTTGAAGTTAGGATTGGACCCCAGTGTTTAGGTAATAAGGCTGAGAAGTCTAATGCTGAGGACAGTAGCACCACATATCTGTTATTCAGTGTATGAAAGACACAATTGACATGTTCTCGTTCTTCATCCCCAAATGACCATAATTCTGAGAAGAGTTCTGAAAGAAGTCATTCTATTAGAATGTTATTAAACTTTATAAAATGGTTGTTCAGAGCTGCAATGCAGTGGTTACCTTGTTCTTAAGGAAACCCTCCACTAGTTTTTGGAAACTGAAGAACAGAATTTAACCATGCCTTAGACTGACTAGAAAGAAAAGTAGAAAGAATTTAGATTCATAGGGTTTTCTCTTTTTATTTTATTTGTGTTTCAAATTTCCAAAGATTATTTCTGATGTTCTTTAATAATAGCTCACTCCCTATTTACTATTAAATTCTGGAAAATGGGTTTTGCTTTTATATTTATAGCAAAGTTTCCCTGTTTAGGAGCAAAAGAACTTTAGGTATAGTAAACATGCTACTTTACCATTGTGGAAGTTCCACATCATAAATTAGATATTTTCCCTTTTCCTTCAAAATGAAGTCACACTACTTTTGGCACTTGGACAGGACAATCTTTCAGTGACAGCAAAATTAGCCTTTTGGCATATTTTTATTCACTTTGAAAGAATCCTTAAGGAGCGGTTTTATGATTGAAAGCAAGAATTGTATTTACTTTGCCTAGGGTAAATTTCTTGCCTGAATATGTAAAAGAACGTAAGTCAAACACTGTTAGATAAAAACAAATTAGTATCAAAAGATTTCATTATAATAACTTGTCTATATTTTATGACATAAAATAGTATATAACTAAGTTCTGTATTATTTTGAACTTTTATTTCTGCTACTAAGTAGTGATACATCTTGAGGAACTCCAAGGGGCCTAAACATAAGTTTACACAGGTATTTGAAGAATCAGTTGACTCACTATCTGAACTGAGTATGTCTGTAAAGCTATGTTTAAATATATCCCTATATTTAAACTGATCATGGCTTATAAGCTAATCACCCATGAAGAGTGTATGTTGTCTTTCTTAATGCCAGTATGTTAGACAATCAATATATAATTTATGTTTATATTAATAGACACACACAGTTTCCAATTGGTATTTCGATGCCTCTTTCCTAAATATGAATTGAAAACTAAGGACCACTAATATTTGAAAAAAGCTAAAAATAGACAGTCTAAAACAAGCACAGGGAGGATAGACATAATTAGGGAGCAGATGAAAAGAGAGACAAGAATAATATGGCCACAAAACAAGCACCAGAAGCTCTAAAATAGAAGGCTCAATTGTTCCTTAATTGAAAATGTAAAACATTCAGGTAGAAATAAAAAATAAATGGAAGAATTGGATGATCAAGTTGAAAGTCTCCCAGAAAGTCAAACAAAAAGACAAAGAGATGAGAATTGTAGACATGGTAACATCTGACTAATAGAGGTCTCAGAAGGAACAAAGAAATCAGAAGAGAGAAAACTATCAAGACTTCTTTCCAAGATTTGAACATTAAATTTCTAGATTGAAAGCCTCTACCAAGTGTCTGGCCTCAAACCATCACATTCAAAGGACTAAAAATTTGGAGTGCCACAAATTTATCAACAGCAGAAGCTGTACGACAGGAGAGCTATTCTTGAAATTTCTGAGGGGAAATTATTTCCAACCTAGAGTTCTATATCTAGCCAAACCATGAAATCATATGTGAAGATGGAATAAATTCATTTTAGACATGCAAGACCTAAAACATGTTTATCTTCATGCATGTCTTTTTAGGAAGTTACTAGTAAATGTGTTCCACCAAAAAAACAAGGAAAAAACATGGGATCCAGGAAGCAGGTCGTTCAGCACATGAGAATAGTGAAGAGAATTCCCAGAGCAATAAAGAGAAATCCTGGAAAAGATATTTTTAAGCTTTTCTATAAATCTGGCAAGGAAATTCATTCTTATCAAGTTGTCACTATTTGACTCTATTTTTCAATTGAGAATAAATAATAAGAAAGACTAGTAGGTGAAAATTGAATCAGCCACACTGGGAATTATAAAAGCAAAGTATTGTCTGAAGAAACCATCATATATTCTTTTCACCTCTTTATTCCAATCCAGAACTGTTTCTCCATGAAAGCTTTATTTTAGAATTCAGTGTTACTGTTTTCTATAATTTTTAAAACTTCAAATGTGTAGTTCCTGAAATACTTTAATAGCAGAATCTTTCCCCTCCATCAAATAAAGCCGTATGTGGGAAGCCTATTATATTGGATCTACTTTGGTGGGGTCCCTGTCCTGCATGCCTCTTCCTCCTGCCCGGGCATGCTGCATCCTGTGAGGCACCTTGGAGATTCCACAGAGCAGTTTAAAAACTGTTACTGTAGCAAAAACACTGCTGAACACATGGCTTCATTCTTATTTCTCAGAAACATAACATGAGTACCCATTAGTTTCATGAACTCACAGAAACAAAACATTCTTGTGACATGGCTTGCATAGTGGGTTGTATACCTGTGTATCTGTGAAATGAACACTAAAAGTCCATCTTGACAAGTTTGCACCTATCTGAATATATTAGTTTCCTTTTAAATGAAAAGTCATTGCCTTGGTTTCAAATAAAAATTGGAACCTCTAGTTTTTACATTCCTGACATTTTAAAGTTTGAAATTAGTAACTCATGTTTCTTTTCCCTTGTAAGTATGAGCTGAGACAAACATGAAGCACCAAAATAGCACTGTACTTTGGGTGGGGGAACCTGCATTTCAACTGCTCCTTGTAATACATCCTTCGTCCCCCTTAATGCATCTTTTCTTTTTCCGATGTCACCTTTGTAAAAGAAGCTGTTCAAAGATGTATAGTTTGTTTTGTTTTGTTGAGATGGAGTCTCGCTCTGTCGCCAAGCTGGAGTGCAGTGGCACCATCTCGGCTCACGGCAACCTCTGCCTCCCGGGTTCAAGCGATTCTTCTGCCTCAGCCTCCGGAGTGGCTGGGACTACATATGCCCGCCACCACGCCCGGCTAATTATTTGTATTTTAGTAGAGATGTGGTTTCACCATGTTGGCCAGGGTGGTCTCGATCTGCTGATCTCGTGATCTGCCCGCCTCGGCCTCCCAAAGTTCTGAGATTACAGGCGTGAGCCACCACACCCAGCCAGATTTATAGTTTTAAATAACTTTCCAGATATAATCTTTTCTGGTAAATAAAACTAAGAGATAGGGCTAAAGGACAAAAACAGACTAACAATACTACAGGAATTTGACTTTTTATGTAGTTGGTCATTATGGGATGTCTGTCACATCAGAATTGAATCTTCCTGTGCACCATGAAAATGTAAAAGATAAAATAGTAGAGCATGACAATAACTATTTAGTCTGAAAAATGATTTATCATTGGTGGATATTTAAAAAATGCCAACTCTGTGGCCTTTACTACATGTATACCTTCTGTGGGGAAGGGTACTCCCTAACTGAACATTTTGTGAATTGATTAATGTTTAATATTGATTTGCAAGGCTTAGAAATGTAATGAAGAAATAGCTATAAACCTTGTGTGCTTTGTGCATCAAGGAATTTAGGTGCATGTTGCTTTCCCATTTACTTATTCTTTTTAGGTTCTTCAGCGAAATAATGCAAAAAACATAGCTCATGGAATTAAAGAGGAATACTTAAGCAGGAAAAAAAATAAAGATTTTAAAAAGAAAGAGGAATATAACATCTTAAAAACCTCACCTTTTATATCCTTACTTATAATTTTAAGAATTGAAACCTTGAGCAAGTGCCTATCTTGGCAGGCAAATTATTTGACATAAAGTTTGATCAAAGTACAATTAGAAGAAAACTCAGAATCATAGCTGGAAATGTTATTATCTTCTTAGGTTCAACCTAAAAAGCCAGTGTACATACAGGTTAGCATTTCAAACTCAAAGGATTTGTTTTCATCTTAAAGACGATGAAAGGCCAGCTACGTTTAGAAATCAACAGCAATCCATCATTTTTATCCCTCAGTCATTCTCTAAGGGTATTTTTTGTGACACCTATGAAGAAGCAAAGCCATGAAGGTATATCATATATGCCAAATTTTCACTACTGATGATGCCATTGTAGACAACTGCAGAACAATGCTGGAGACTGAATATAGCAAGAACAATGCTAGAGAGTGAATATAGCACTCCAGAAAAGCCTCTCACTTAGGTGCCAAGTTCAAGGCCAAAGAATTACTTAGATATTCTCAGGGAAAACTTGGTTATGTACAATATCATGAACATATAAACTTCCCCCTTCATGCTCATTTGCCGTTTACCAAAGATAAATTGTGATTTCCCAACTTTGTAAGAAAATAATAGTTGGAATGGCTTGAGGATGTTCTTCTATGCTTTTTTGCCATCTTCTGGTTCTTTTCACTTGTGAAAACAGTATCAATCTGTTGGGGTTTTTTCGTTTTGTTTTAATTAGATGAGGATCATTTTATTATCAAGAATTGAAGGCTTCTGTGAATTTCTGCCAGCAGGGTGATAGCTGCCAGCAGTGCACAGCTTTGGTGTGAGGTAGTAGGGATTCCATGTGGATATTGTCCCTAGACTAAGGGAAAGCCCCATTGCTGTGGCTTGTTCGGTGATTCTGCCTGCCAGCCCCATTTTATGTAGCTTATCATGCATGGTTCATGGCTTGTAGGATGTTTATTCCTCTGGGTTAAGTTTTCCTCTTGTTCTTCTTTGGTTTCTAGCTGACTTACTTGTGAGAGCAGAAAATTACCTGGGTGCTTGAGACCCATTGTTCACGTGATGGAACTGTGATGCACATACATTTGAATACATTTAAGTTTTTTATTTGCCGTTTGTAACTTACACTGGAAAGCTACCCTGGTCCTACAGTTAAAATTTTCCCCTGAGTATTATTCCTAATATGTTTTTTTTTTTTTCATGCCCCAAAATGATGTTTATAATTCACATTTTCTCACTGGCACATGAGTAAGATTTACTTACGCTGGTTTTGAAAGGTTTAGAATAATCAGTATTTCACTTGCTAAGACTTGAAACATTAACAATAATACACTGTAATACACAGTGAAATTCTTTGAGGAAAAGACACCAATGATCTTTCCTATTAACTTATAAATGCTTCCACTGATCAGCAAAGGTAGTTCAAAATTTCATCACTCAGTCCTGATGCTCAGATAATACCAGAGTAGTCAGGGTGACACTGTTGTGCTTCTGACTGGTAGAAAATGTTTTGCTTTCCATTTTTCAAAGACAGTTGTTGACAGATAATCCATTCTCTTTGTGTATGTATGTATGTAATGAAAATAGCCACCGTGAGCTCAGTAAACCCCTCCTTACTAAATGTACACAAAAGTCCATTTTCAGGTGTTTGTTATTTGTGAAACTTGGTTATGTACAATATCATGAACATATAAAGTTCCCCCTTCATGCTCATTTGCTGTTTACCAATATGATTCCCCTTGAGACTCCAGCATTAGGTGCTATATGGCTGTACAAATTGGTTTGGGATTGCTTTGCTTACAGTCATCTCACCTCAGAACCCCACTTAGCAGTTTCTATGATTCTCAGGGAAAGTGCTTCAGCAGAAGTAGACCTTTAGGAATTAGAGACAAGTTACAACCAAAGGAGGGACATTCACCTGCAGAAGCTTATAAAAGCACATGAGATACAGGCATCGTAGCCTACTCAGATTGACATCTACTTGCAGATTCTGGTCATCAGTGACTTCATTGAGCACTGAGAGCAGTTTCATTGAAGGAGCAGTAAGGGCAAAAACTAGATCGTAGAGAACTGAAGTCAAAATAATAGTTGAGATTTATTGTGGATATCTCCTTTCAAGAATTTTGAATGAAAAAGAGAGGAGAGAGATTAGATTGGTAACTAGAGAGATAGTGGTGGGGGCAGGGTATATTCATAGAATGGAAGAGACTTGAACATGTTTATAGGTTGAAGAGGGAGAGTCAGCAGAGAGAATAGAGTGAAAATATCCAAGAGAAAAATGAGAAAGGGGATAACTAATGAAGGAAGATCACAGAGGACTGTGGTCATGGACACAAAGAAAGGTTTTGCCTTCAGCTGAAGGAGACTTTATTCTCTTATATTATTCAGAAAGAAGTAAGAATGATTGTAAATATAGACAATTTCTTAGGTAGAGGGCTAGAAAGGTGAAAAGGGTGGTTAAACTCAGTCATCGCTGATCCTCAACTTAAAAGTCTGTTCCACTAATCTTTATTTTGTATTACTGAATGCATATATAATGAGCTACGTTAACATTGGGTTTTACTGTACATTATGCGTAGTATAATATATAGAAAGTCTGATCCCTCTTTTTAAATAATATATAGAAATCCAAACTTTATCAGTGTAAACATACTGAGTTTGAGGTGTCTATAGATCAGCTTAATGGAGATGTCATACAGATTAGTTTTCATTTTTAAATTTCTCCCTATTTCATTGAAAATATGATTCACTATATAAAATTGTAATTAATATAGATATATTACATAAAGACAAAGGAGAAGCTCTATACATATGGATGATCACATACTAATGGAAGATTTTTTAAATTGTAAATTAATATTGTTTCCTAGACAAGTCAGTAGGATTGAGTATACAAGTTGAACATCCCTAATCTGAAAATCCAAAATCCAAAATGCTCCAAAATCCAAAACTTTTTGAGCACGGGCATGATGCCTCAAGTGGAAAATTCCACACCTGACTTCATGTGATGGGCTGCAGTAAAACATTGTTTCATGCACACGATTATTTATTGTATAAAATTTCTTTCAGGCTATCTGTATAAGATGTAGATGAAACACAAATGAAGTTCATGTTTAGACTTGGATCCCATCCCCAAGATAACTTATTATGTATATGCAGATATTCCACAATCCAAAATTCAAATACTTCTGGTTTCAAGCATTTTGGAATAGGGTTACTTAACCTGTACTGAGGTGACAGGTAATCTCTTAGTCTTCTGGCTTTATATGATTACTGGTTAGCTAAGGACCTGTCTATGTTAGAGGCCTTGTCCATGCCACATTTTTTCCCAAGTTAAGCTTCTACTGTAGCTTTTTCTTATTTTCTGACCTGCTTGATAATCTATTCTTATATTCATTCTCACAGTGAATTAGTCTATATAGTGTATTAGTTATAACTCAGTGTATTCTTAAAGGGTTTCCTCAATTATTTTAATATTTGACCTGCAATAATCTGAGAACGATTTTCATTTTCTATACATAATGGCTTTGTAGTTCAGTGTTAAAGCTTTGGAATCTTCAGAGTGAATTGATTGATAAAAGAAAACTAATAGTGCCTGGCCCCCAGTTTGCACTTAATAATGTTTGATGAATGAAAGACCGAATGCATACAATTTCATTTTTGTGAAAGTTTACCATCCTAAAAACTCTGATTTTTTTTTTTTAAAGAAATAGTACATGTTCTTTTTGGACTGTCTGAAAACATTGACTCTTAACCATAATAACAAATAATTTTTATGAGTCCCAAGCTAGAGATAAAGAGACCTAGTTACTTCATTTTACCTTGGGTATGAGTTTTGATATTTGATGATAACAGATTTGGATCGTTGCTGGTTTGGGCAAGGTTCGGATTAATTATATAAAAGAGCACATAATTAAAAAAAAAAAAACCTATCATATCCTGTTACCCAATTCTCTGGTACAAGAGCTTTAGGCACTGATTTAATCTTGAAATGATAATTGGACTTCCCACTAGATTAGCCCATATGTTTTGAGAGGCTGTCTGGGAATGAGAGGATGTCATTCCTATATGAAGGAACATGAGGCAAGAATCCAGAATGAAGAACCATTAGTCTGTCTTACCAGAGTTCTGACAACACTGTGATCTGAAAATGTTTTGGCCAAAGTCAGATTTATTGAGGGCCATAATTTTCAATAAAAAGAATCCCAGAGGAAGTTATTTGATGGTTGGAATAAAAATATGACTTATACACTACATGATTCAGCTGCTTTGGTGTTGTTTTTTGAGTTGTACCCATATATTCACCTTCACATCCAAGTGTGCTGGAAAAAGTTTGTGTTCTGATTGAATTATGTTCACCTTAATTTCCTCTGCAGTGCTTTTCCCTCAGGCAGACCCTTGAGTGATTGTCTTTTTTACCTCCTCCAATTTCCACCATTCTCATTTTATGTGTTCAAGTTAAATGTGAACAACAGCAAACAGCTACACTCTGTAAAACATACCATTTCTTTCCTTGAGTCAATGCATTCACTTTTCTGGTAAATGATTTTGGGGGCCTGCAGAAACCAAATGATGAGACCCCTGTAGGTGGTGAAGAGGAGTTTGCAAGCAATGTTTGCATAAAGTTCTCCTGGCCTCTTCTGCTCGTGTTTGGTTTGTTCTTTTAAACACTGTCTTAACTACAAAAAATTTTTTTATGACTTTGGTCTCTTTGGAGCAAGGAAAATGACCTGGAGGGACAGTCCTATGGCAGTCCAGCTTATATTCTTATGTAATTGACTTAACTGACATATGCCTTGGTTTTCCTTTTTTTAATTTAACTTTTATTTTAGGTTCAAGGAGTACATGTGCAGGTTTGTTACATAGGTAAACTGCATGTCATGGGGGTTTCATGTACAGATCATTTCATCATGCAGGTAATAATCACGGTATCTGATAGGTATTTTTTCTGATCCTCTCCTTCCTCCAACCCCCTAGCCTCAAGTAGGCCCCAGTGTCTGTTGTTCCCCTCTTTGTGTCCATGTGTTCTTGTTGTTTACCTTCTTATAAGTGAGAACATGTGGTATTTGGTTTTCTGCTGCTGCATTAGTTTGCTTAGGATAATGGCCTCCAGCTTCATCCATGCTGCTGCAAAAGACATGATCTTGTTTTTTATGGCTGCGTAGTATTCCATGGTATATATGTACCATAATTTCTTTACCCAATCTACTATTAATGAGCATCTAGATTGACTCCATGTCTTTGCTATTATGAATAGTGCTACAGTGAACATACATGTGTCTTTATAGTAGAATGATTTATATTCCTTTGAGTATCTACCCAGTAATGGGACTGCTGGCTTAAATGATAATTCTGTTTTGAATTCTTTGAGGAATTTCCATACTGCTTTCTACAATGGCTAAGCTCATTTAAACTCCCACCAGTAGTGTATAATCATTCCCTTTTCCCTGACACCTCACCAGAATCTGTTATTTTTTTGCTTTTTAATAATAGCCACTCTGACTGGTGTGAAATGGTATCTCGTTGTGGTTTTGACTTGCATTTCTCTAGTGATTAGTGATGTTGAGCATTTTTCCATATGCTTGTTGCCACATGTATGTCTTCTTTTGAAAGTGTCTGTTCATATTCTTTGCCCACTTTTTAATGGTGTTGAGGTTTTTTTGCTTGTAAATGTAAGTTCCTTATAGATTCTGGATATTATATCTTTTGTGGGATGCATAGCTGCAAATATTTTCTCCCATTCTGTAGATAATCTGTTTACTCTGTCGATAGTTTCCTTTGATATGCAAAAGCTCTTTAGTTTAATTAAGTCCCATTTGTCAATTTTTGTTTTCATTGCAGTTGCCTTTGGCATCTTCATCATGAGATCTTTGCCAGGCCCCATGTCCAGAATGGTATCTCCTATGTTATCTTCCAGGGATTTTATAGGTTTAGGTTTTACATTTACATCTTTAATCCATCTTGAGTTGATTTTTGTATATGATGTAACGAAGGGGTCTAGTTTCAATCTTCTGTACATGACTAGCCAATTATCCCAGCACCACTTACTGAATGGGGAGTCCTTGCTCTATTGCTTGTTTTTGTTGACTTTGTCAAAACTCAGATAGTTGTAGGCATATGGTCTTATTTCTGGGTTCTCTATTCTGTTCATTGGTCTATGTTTCTGTTTTTGTACCAGTATCGTGTTGTTTTGGTTACTGTGGCCTTGTAGTGTAGTTTGAATTTGAGTAACATGATGCCTCCAACTTTGTTCAGTTTGCTTAGGATTATGTTGGCTATTTGGGCTCTTTTTTGGTTTTGCATGAATTTTAAAATAGTTTTTTCTAATTCTGTGAAGAATGTCATTCGTAATTTGATAGGAATAGCACTGAATCTGTAAATTACTTTGGGCAGTATGGCCATTTTAACAATATTGATTTCTTCCTATCTGTGAGCATGGAATGTTTTCTATTTTTGTGTCATCTTTGATTTCTTTCAGCAGTGTCATAATTCTCCTTGTAGACATCTTTCACCTCCTTGGTTAGCCATATTCTTAGGCATATTTTATTATTTTTGTGGCTATTGTGAGTGGGATTGCATTCCAGATTTGGCTGTCAGCTTGGATGTTTTTGGTGTATATCAATGCTACTGATTTTTGTACATTGATTTTGTATCCTGAAACTTTTACTGAAGTTATCAGATCCAGGAGCTTTTGGGCTGAGACTATGGGGGTTTTCTAGATATAGAATCATGTTGTCTGCAAACAGGGATAGTTTGACTTTGTCTCTTCCTATTTGGATATCTTATTTCTTCCTCCTGCCTGATTTCTCTGGCTAGGACTTCCAGTACTATGCTGAGTGGGAGTAGTGAGAGAGGGCATTCTGGTCTTGTGCTGTTTTTCAAGGAGAATGCTTCCATCTTTTGCCCATTCAGTATGATGTTGGTTGTGGGTTTGTCATAGATGGCTCTTATTATTTTGAAGTTTGTTCCTTCCATGCCTGGTTTATTGAGGGTTTTTTAAATGAAGCATTGTTGAATTTTATCAAAAACGTTTTCTGAATCTATTGACATAATCATGTTTTTGTTTTTAGCTCTGTTTATAGGATTAATCACATTTATTGATTTGTATATGCTGAACCAAACTTGCATTCCAGGGATAAAGCCTACTTGATCATGGTGGATTTGCTTTTTCTTGTGCTACTGGATTCGGTTTGCTAGTATTTTGTTGAGGATTTTTGTATCGATGTCTATCAAGTATATTGGCCTTAAGTTTTCTTTTTTTGTTGTGTTTCTGCCAGGTTTGGGTATCACAATGATGCTGGCCTCATAGAACGAGTTGGAGAGGGATCCCTCCTCCCTAATTTTTTGGAATAGTTTCGGTAGGAATGGTACCAGCTCTTCTTTATACATCTGGTAGAATTCTGTCTGGTCCTGGGCTTTTCTTGGTTGGTAGGCTTTTTTATTACTGCTTCAGTTTTAGAACTTGTTATTGGTCTGTTCAGGGATTCAATTTCTTAGGTTCAGTCTTGGGAGGTTGTATTTGTCCAGGAATTTATCAGTTTATTCTAGATCTTCTAGTTTGTATGCATAGAGGTCTTCATAGTACTCTCTGAGAGCTTTTTTTATGTCTGTGGGATCAGTGGTAATGTCCCCTTTGTCATTTCTAATTGTGTTTATTTGGATCTTCTTTCTTTTTATTAGTCTAGCTAGCAGTCTATCTGTCTTAATTTTTTCAAAGAAGCTACTCCTGGATTCATTGACCTTTTGTATGGTTTTTCATATCTCAGTTTCCTTCAGTTCAGCTCTCATTTTGGTGATTTCTTGTCTTCTGCAACCTTTGGGATTTGTTTGCTCTTGATACTCTATTTCTTCTGGTTGTGATAGGAGGTTGTTAATTTGAGATCTTGCTAACTCTTTGATGTGAGCTTTTAATGCTATGAACTTCCCTCTCAACACTGCCTTAGCGGTGTCCCAGAGATTCAGGTATGTTGTATCTTTGTTCTCATTAGTTTCAAAGAATTTCTTGATGTCTGCCCTAATTTCATCATTTACCCAAAAGTCACTTGGGAGCAGGTTGTTTAATTTCCATCTAATTGTATGGTTTTAGCAATTTTCTTGATATTGGTTTCTATTTTATTGTCTTTTGCCTTAATTTTCATTTATGAAAATATAAAAAATATAAATATAATGCATGTGATAAATGCATGAAGTACAATACTGATGCTTTTTCTTTGGTATGTACATTCCAGAAATTAGTTATGTTTACACATTAGGGTGAGTCATGTGCTGAGCCTTTAAGGGGAAATTTTAAACCTTAATCTGTATATTTCTAACGTAAATGGCACCATATATCTCTAGGACACAGTAATAGACCCCAGAATTTAGGACCATGTCAAAGAAATCTGAAATGTTTTAATTTTTCTCCTACTGTGAGTTTGCTTCATCTCTACTTGAAAAATGAAGAGTTTCTTTTAGGCCAGGCGCGGTGGCTCATGCCTGTAATCCCAGCACTTTGGGAGGCCAAGGCGGGTGGATCACCTTAGGTCAGGAATTCGAGACCAGCCTGGCCAACATGGTGAAACCCCATCTCTACTAAAAATACAAAAATGAGCCGGGCGTGGTGGCAGGCACCTGTAATCCCAGCTGAGGCTGGGGCAAGGAAATCACTTGAACTCAGGAGGCAGAGGTTGCAGTGAGCCAGGATCATGCCACGGCACTCCAGCCTGGGTGACAGAGCAAGACTCCATCTCAAAAAACAAAAAAAAAAAGCTTTTATAGAACTAATGTATATAAAATATACATACAAGTTGGAAGTATAGCAAAGAGATAAATAACTCAGTTTCTGAAATTAGGAAAAGGTAAATTTGAATCCCATCTCTGCCATTTACTAACTCTATGACTCTGGAAAGTTTTCTAATAGGTATAGTAGTTATAATAATAGTACTTTCTTCCTAGGGTCATTGTGAAGATTAAATTATATCACCTATAGAAAGCACTTGTACATATCATGAACCAAAGATTATAACTAATCCAATTTTTCAGTTCACTGAAGAAAAATGGAAGTGACTGTCCAATGTAGATGTCAGCACATACTGAAGGGTTCAAGAAATGAGAGTTGTAATTATCACTGCTGTTATCAGTAGATCATCAATAAGTAGAACTGATCAGTTAGCTCAAATTGAGCAATCAATACATGAGTTACTAGAAAGCAATATTTTTTAAAGGTTTATTACAATATAAAAGTGATACAACTAAGGGATTGGGAATAAATGCGTATACATTTACCTAAGAACAAGTGTTTAACTCCAATTTCTTTTAATTAAGTTAGTTCGCATTTATGATAGAGCCATACATATTGCAGAGGACAATACCATGTGCAATGCTAAGTAATATTTTCTTATGAGGTTTAGTGTCAGGTTCTTCAGGTAGAAGAAGCACAAGCAGCTGCATTTAGTAGACCTGGGTTCCAATCCTAGCTCTACCATTTATCAACTGTATTACATTGAGTAATTTAGTGAACCTATCTGAGACTCTGTAAAATGGCAATAGTAATACTTCATTACTATGAAGTAATACTTTCATAGGCATTATGAAGATTGGAAATAATATATAGGGTACTTAGTAAATAATAGCTATTGGTGTTATTCTACCACTACTTTTTTTAAATTAATAAACTGTGTACTACCACCATTTTAATTAATAAAGTTCGGTTCCTTTACAAATAAACATTAGTTTTCTATCCCTGCTGTAACAAATTGCCATACACATAGTAGCTTAAAACAACAAATTTATTATCTTATAGTTCTGGAAGCCAGAAATCTGACAAAGGTCTTATTGAACTAAGATTAAGATGTCAGCAGGGCTGTAATCCTTTATGGAGCCTCTTGGGAACAATCCATTTCTTTGCCTTTTTCAGCTTTCTGAGGCCCCCTGCATTCCTTGGTTCATGGCCTTTTCCTCCATCTTCAAAGCTAGCAGCCTAGCATCTTCAAGTATCCTTCTGTTTCTGACCTATGCCTCCCTGTTCCACATTTAAAGGACGCTTCTGATTACGTTTGACCTATCCAGATAATCCAGGATAATCTCCCTATTTTAGGGTCAGGTGATTAGCAATTTTAATTCCATGTGTAACCCTAATTCTCCCTTGACATGTAACATAACATATTCACGGTTCCAGGGATTAGAAGGTGGATATCTTGGGGGTGGGGCATTATTCTGTCTACCACAATAATCAAAAAAAGCATTTGTTGCATAGTATTGTATTTGCCTTAATAATCATGAGAAACTGGCAAATAAAGATCAGCTGGTACCATAAATTTTCAGATATTACCATTTTTTTGTTTTCATTTTTGTTCTTTTTTTTAATGTTATTTTAGTATCTTGGTTAAAAGTACTATCATTTTGGAAATTCACATTTTTGGCCACTATAGCTGTATTGTGTTTTTTATTTAAATTGATATAGTTGAAACTCTAAAGATACAACTGCAAGAATATATGTGGGCAAATTTTTGAACTATTTTGTGGATAAAGGGAAAAAGGGTAGGAATCGGATGTTTTTCATCAGTTTTTAGGAGTAATTACAAAGCTAACAGGAAAATATGTCTCCCTTCTAAGATAAAAGGAACCTGAATATTTGTCCCTAATATTAGAAAGCAAATGGCTCGCAAAAATTCTCAAAGATAGTGTGAATCATATTCTTTTATAACACTGGATAAAGGGGGAAAAAAGTGACATTTGGGGTATTAAACCTGAGATGAACATCCTAATCCAGAGAGTAGCTGATCTTTAGACCTACAGGCTGCCAGTGAGGTGTTGTCAGATGTTGGAGTTTAGGCATAGACAAATGCACTGGGAAGAGAACAGTGCCACTGGCTAGTCACTTCACTTCTGGGCCTCAGTTTTCTCATACCTATTTTGTGGATTATGTGGGTTGCTAATTAAGACACCCATCTACCTTTGATGTTCTTTAAAGTAGAAGAAAGAAATTTAAACAAATGAATGACACTAAAAACAGAACAGAAACCACCAAGATGTCCTTCAACAGGTGAATGGATGAATAAACTTTGGGAAGTCCAGACAATGGAAGATTATCCAGTGCTAAAAAGAAAATGAGCTATAAGGCCATGACAGTGCATGGAAGAACCTTAAATATATATGACTAAATGGAAGTAGCCAATCCAAAAAGGCTACATACTCTGTAATTCCAAATATATGATATTCTGGAAAAAACAAAACTATGGAGACTAAAAAAGATCAGTGGTTGTCAGGGATTAGGGGAAGGGAGGGATGAATAGGCAGAGCACAGAGGATTTTTAGGGCAGTGTAACTACTGTATTCACTACAGTGCTGGGTACATCTCACTATATACTTGACAATGTAACAATGTAGGTTCATCACTTATAACAAATGTACCACTCTGATGTGAGTTATTGAGTATAGTGGGCAGGCTGTGTGTATGTGAGGGCAAGGAGTATCTGGGAACTCTGTACTTTATGCCCAGTTTTACTGTGAACCTCAAACTACCCTAAAAATTAAGTCTATTTTAAAAATTAAACAGGGTGGGAGGAAATGGAAGGGGAGAAAATAAAAAGGCTACTCACTGAGCCTTTCCTCATCTCCACTGCCTGTTTCACACACTTGGCCTTTTCACTGTCTGTAGTTTTTCCTCTCCTCCAACCTTAGTCACTTTCACGTGGATAGTTAGGACAGCTTTTTCACTCTAGTGGATACAGTATGCTCTAAGTTCACTAAAACAAGCATGTTTGTCTTTCTTACTGGGTTAGGGAGAATCTGCTGTATGATCCAAATAATATACTCAATACATTAACTGGGATCCAGTATAACATGAGTGATTGGTCCATAAAAATCCAACTCTGGAAGTATCAATTCGTGTTTTACAACTATTTTTGGATACTGTATTTCTTTCTAAACCTTCCTTAGATCATTGTTACCCTTAAGAATACACCCTGTCTGGATCAGCAAGGTCACACAGCCACCGCTGTGAGACAGGGCTCTATGACTGGCTTATCAAAGAGTTGGCATAGCTGAGGGGCAGTTCCCCAAAGAAATAGTTCACTTGTTCAAAGAACTAAGAAGTCTTGTTATTTAAAATTAAAAAAAAAAAAAAGTACAAGGGAAAGAAGCAGGGGGGAGAAAAGAAGAAGGAAGGGAAAAGAAAGGAAAGATGAGGGGAAAATACCATGTTTCTTGTATCAAGCCTATCAAGACACCTACCAGGATGTTTTATAAGATTTTCTTTGACACAGAAGGGGAAAGTCAGTGTTTCTTCTGTATCGGAACACTTAATATATGAAAATGATTTTGCTTCACAAAAACTGTGAATATAAGTGTCTTGCACTTTTATGTTTTGTCCCTGGAAGTCTAGGTCAGATGCTCCATAAAGGTTTTGGATGTGATCTCTAAAGCATATGTTCCACCAAGAAGTCTTTCTATATTCACCATCTCTCTGGTTTCCATGGAGGTGATGATGGAAACTTATGTATAATTTCAGACTAGCATTGTGCTGCGAATGATGTTTATAAAATATTAAATTCTGATAAAGGGAATAATATTTTTAAGTCATTCTTAATTCCTGAATAATGCTGCATGTTAATGGTTAGATATCATTTGACTTCAAAGTCTTTCACAACATAAACTTTGATTTCATACTAGTATAAGTGACCCGGTAGGAAAAAAAAAAGAGAGAGAGAGAGAGAGAGAGATGTTTGTCTTTCTTATAGGGTTAGGGAGAATCTGCTGTATGTTCCAAGTAAATGTTTTCTACCATTACCATCTTGTTAAGCTAATGCAAAAAAAGAACAGCAGTTTTCTTACCCAGAATCCCAAATTTGAGTCAAGGCCAATTTCATAGGAATGTCCTCCTATGTAATGGGGAGTTAACTGTCTAAATCAGGGATCATTAAACTACAGTTTGAGGATTAAATATGGCCCACAAACTGTTTTTGTGAAGCCCACAAGCTAAGAATGTTTTACCTTTTTAAGGGATTGAAGAAAAATCAAAAGAAGAATAATACCTCATGACACATGAAAAATGTATGAAATTCTAATTCCAATGTCCATAAAGTTGTATTGGAACACAGCCACACTCATTCATTTACGTATTGCCCATGGCTGCTTCCACACTGCAAGGGCAGATTTGAGTAGTTCCAGGAGGAACTGTGTTCTCCGCAAGACCAAAACACTTGCTGTCTGGCCCTTTACAGCATAAGTTTGCGCACCCCTGATGTAAATAATTGTTTCACCATCTTCCCACCTCTGCACCGACACACATATTCTTCCTATCATCTCTTTCTCCTTCCTTCCCTTCTTCTCTTCCTCTTCACACACACATACCTCATTTTGAATTTGGCAATTATGATCACTTACAGTAAAGGTAAGCGGAAATACATTTTAATTTTCCTTTGTCATTTCTCTCCTCCCTGTCTGCTTTCCCTTTCCTCTACTGCCTTTATATAGAATGTCTGAGGGCTGTGCCCTTTTCCCAAAATATTTTGTTTTAAGGTGGGGGTTAGATCTTGGTACATTTTTTGACTTCCATGGAAAGTTTTGTGTTAGTATGTGGTCCCATTTTTAACCTATTTGCAGACACCCCCGATTATCTAAAATCACTTTCACATGGGGCTGAGGTTAAGCTTTATTTCTTTTGGCATGTCCCTACCACAGCAGACACTTCCTCTTTGCCTTGAAAGGACAAAACGATGTTCAGCTGTCTGGGCTTAGGCCCAGTATTTGATTTATACATTATTTAATTTCCTCCTGAAAATTGGAAGCAGGACTTTCAGGAATAGAAGTCAGTATTTTTCATTTGTTTTAGAATACTTCTAGGTGTAATATAATCATCAGTGGTAGATGTCAGCATGATTAGGGGGTGACTTAAGGTAAAGCAAATAAAATGTGAATACAAAGGAAAATTATTTGACAATGGAGAAGTTCCGAAGTTTTTGAATAATCATTATTGTATATGTTATTAGGTTTTGGGGGTACTACATTTTGGGGCACCTGTCTTCACTTTACCCATTGAAGGAAAGATGTCTATTATGTTATAGTTGCAATTGTTGGGGGATTAGAAGTTTGAGGAAAATGTAATGTAACCCTTCCAGTAATTTTACAGAGGATTTTTGGATTCTCTGTCAGCTGCTACTGCATTTGTCTTCACAATTAAGTTCATACGAATGCCAGGATGTGAATGCCAAAATAGTTTGAGATTTTAACAGCAGTGAACTCAGGAAATTAAAAATTAACTCTGGAAATACTATTTCATGTTTTACAACCACTTTTGGATAGTGTGTTCCTTTTTAAACCTTCCTTAGATCATTGTTACTCTTGGGTTACAACCTGTCTCCTTTTTACCACCAAAGTTCTTAAAAGTCTAGCACACCTACTGCCTCTACTTCCTCACTCATAATTCGCTTCTCAAACCCTGGCAGTATGGGCTTTCCCTCCCTCTGCACACTGCTAAGCTGACCTCACTATTTCCTTCTCTCCAATTATAATAACCAGCTCTAAGTCCTCAGCTTTCCTGACCTTTTTGCTCCATCTGTCAGAATTCGTACCCTCTTCCTAAAGCCCTCTTTCAGTTTTTATGTGGGACTGTCCTAATTTCCTCTACTTCTTCCTGTCTTTTATAGACCCATCTCCCTAGTATGGAGCTGGGCTTAAGTGTCCCCCAGGTTCTGTTTCTTGGACCATTTTTCTCCCTACATTCTTAGGCTTTCCCTTCTCATTTTTTCTCATTACCTGAGACACTTCAGGAGAACTCAGAGGGCTGCAAAGAGCACAGTTTGAAAATCACCCCGGTCCTGTCAGACTACTTTTGAGTCCTTAATACAGCCCACCCTATGCCACCTCTGTGCCTTCACATGAGAGTGTACCTTAGTGTGGGAGTGTGCACTCCCATGGAGTGCCTTGCCACCAACACCACCAGTACATCTCTTCACATTCTTCTAAAGCTTATTCCTAAAGCATCTACTCTTTTATGTTACCAGGCTCCCAGTAGATGCTTTCCCTCCCTCATCTGAGCTATGGTGGGTAAAGAAAAGGTACCAGAGTCAGACAGATATGGATTTAAATATGGATCCACCACTTACCTGTGTGTGATGTTGAACAAATTTACCTAAAGGCTTTCAAATCAGTTTCTTCATTTATAAATTGGGGGTAGGGGGAAGGATTTTACCTACCACATTAGATTGTTGGATAGATTCGGTAACTTATGTGAAGGCAGAGAACACTTGGAAATCAGTGGTGGTGGAGGTGGTAGTGCTAATAGTGCTATTATCACCATCGTCAATATAATTATTTCCACAGCAGCATTTTGTTTCTCATATGTCAGTTACGTCACTGTACTTATTGTCTTGTTCTCATTTCAGAATTTCAGACTCCTCGAGGTTTTATTTATATTCCCCTGTTCCCCAAGAGCATAGAACAAGGACTTAAGCATAGGTTTTCCTAAGTGAGTTGAGTTGCATAGAATAGCTCTTCTCCCCTAAAGGAAAATACTGACTCCACAGTGTTCTTAAAAGTCAGAGCTGGTAAGTTTGTAGCTGTCTCTTCATATTTTAATCAAACATTATCACACTAAAAAAAATCATTGTTACATTTTGTCACTCTAAAACTTGAAACTAAGTAGTCTTTAAATTTTAAATTTTAATTTCTCCAAGAGTTAATGACTTATATATTTAGATATAGGTGGTCTGAAGTAATTATTTTTAAAAGAACTACTTTTGTATTTGATGCATAAATTATATCAGTAGTAAAATATTCAGAGAAGAAAAATTAATATACAAACATTAAATTGCTTTTGATTTTATATGTTTGATTCTGTGTCCATCTTATTTTTGATTTTGTAAAATCAATGCCAACTGCAAAGTTTTTTAGCTTAAATAACCAGCAGTTTTTCTTTTTACATGTTTTTACTTACAAAACCTTTATCCTCTATCTCTCAACATATTTCTGGAAAACAGATTTTCTGCTTCTGGGAAACATCACTTTTTCACAAATCACACATCGACCTGGTTATAAAAACCTATAACTGCTTTGTTTGTTGCTCTGAGGGCCAGAGTTGTAGATTAGGTTCTGCTGTGGATTTCTGAAGGCTAAAGTAGGGAAGGAGTGGTTGTGCTATTCCGATCTGAACTTCTGTAATAGGAGAGTAGCAAAGCAGTGAGGAGTTGAAAGGCCTTTAAAAAAAAAAAAAGTATATGTTCACATGGAGTCCCTCTGAATAAGTACCAGCACCCCAAAGTCACTAAAATTACTCCCCAAATCAAGCATTCATCACTCAGAAAGCCTTTATGGATCACCAGTTTTGCAGGGCTCGGTATTTGGTGGTGTCCTCACAGCTTTGAACCAGACATGCTTCACCTGAGTTAAGGACACCTCTACCGGCAGGCCCCTAGAGAGTGGCTCAGGGTACTGATGGGGTCAGAAAAGGGAGGGTGTGACCAAAGAGCAGATTGAGTCCACACTTTGAATACTTTCAGGAACTACTTGCAGCCACTCAGGAATATAAACTAGTATCACAGCTGAGAGCTTTATTTAACATTCCACTTAGTTATAATCTTTACCTAATCTCTACTGTTTTTATTTGGCTACTAGCTATTTAGTGTAACCCCATTTTTGTGGAAGGCTGGCCAAGAGCACACTTCAACTCAATAGTAGTCAAATCCAGCTCTACTGAACCTACATGAACACATGAGCACACAAATTGTGTGGTTCTGAAGTTTGTGGGGGTATTTTTTAGTTCTTGATAAATGTTCATCTGCCTAAGCAGTATATACAATGTAAAGTTAAATGTGACACCTGCTATAAGGCATATAAATTCCACATTCGGTTAAAAACCAACTTGTTAAGACTAAAGTCCTAAATTAGTTAACATTAAGTCAGATATCTTATTTTATGCTCTTCATATATTTTCCTTCTTTCCTTCATTGTTCTTTTTCATTCTTTCCTATATTTGTTGACCATGTACTATGTGCCAGATAAGGTTCTAGGCACTAGCATCTAATATTAGCAACGAAAATAAAGAAGTCTATTTTGTGAGAGGCAACAGACCATCAACAAAATAAAATATAGTATGTGGCAATAAGAGAGAAGGAGCAAAATAAAGCAGGGAAGGAGAATGGGATTACAGGGAGAGCTGCAGGTTTTAATAGGGTGGCCATGGAAAACCTTGCCGAGAAGGTGGCATTTGTGTAAAGACTTGAGGCGAGTGAACTGCAATTATCCAAAGGAAGCACATTTCAGGGAGAGGGAACAAGAAGTCCACATGCTCCGAACACGAGTGTTCTTTGCACATTCAAGAACAGCCAGGAAGCCAATGTCACTGGAGTGAAGAGTGTGAGGGGGTTCTAGAGCCCAGTTGAAAAAAAGTGGGAGTAAGTGATTGGTGTCGCATGCTGCTGATAGATTAAATAGATTGAGAACTGAGGATTGACCATAGGATTAGTGACCTTGACAGAGCAATTCAGTGGGGGAGTGTTCAGAAGTGTCATTTCAATGGGTTTAAATGAGAATGGGAAGAGAGGAAATAGAAAATGGAAAATGAAGAGAGCTCTTCCAAGGAGAGTTGCTAATGGGAATGAAAGCAGATATGGAGACAAGGAAGGGACTAGATTACATCTATAAGGTGAGAAATTACAACGTGTTTTTATGGTGGTGGTAAAGCTTGACTCAGGTAAAAGGAAATGGAACCCCATGCATAAATAGAAGGATTGATCTTGGCAGCACAGATACTTCATCTATTGAAACAGGAAAGAAAGTTGAGTATGTACATACAAGTAGAGGGAAAGGGGTAGACTCAATGGTGATAGCATGTTGAAAGTTCTTCTCTGCCACATGAACAAACTTTCTTTCCAGTGCTTAAACAACACCTGCAGTATCCTTCTCATATGGTCATTTGCATATTATCTCTACAGCTGTCTTATGTTTGGCCAGCTTATTAATTGTTAATATATCTCTTCCTCTTATTGAGCAAAAACCTTTCTTCTAGAACATTGATCCTAGTTCTGCTTCCCATAGCCTCCCAAGATGGACAGTTCTAATTTTTCTATAGAAGAGCCTTTGAAGGACTGGAGGACTGATGTGGTTTCTCAAGGCCGACCTCATTCCTGCTGATTCTAACACCTAGCCCTTCAGTGTTTCTGCTGGCATGTGTGGTTTCAACCCCTGTCACATTCAGACACTCTCATCTAACAGGGCCCAGGGTATTTAATCAGTTTCATTTGCTAATCAGGCCTCATTGGTCCCGGCCTTTGGTATCTGTTTTTCTCCCAGGCTTTTTTCTACATATTTAGTGTTTCTCACAAATACTAACATTGAACCAGCATGCCATTAAGATTTATTTATTTATTTCAGTAGCTTTAGGGGTACAAGTGGTTTTTGGTTACATGGATAAATTGTATAGTGGTGAAGTCTGGGCTTTTAGTATACCCATCACCCAAATAGTATACATTGTACCCAATAGGTAATTTTTCATTCTTTACCCCCACTCCCACCCTACCCCGTTCTGAATCTCCAGTGTCCATTATACAATTCCATATACCTTTGTGTACCCATAGCTTAGCTCCCACTTAAACATGTGAGAAATGCAGTATTTGGTTTTCCATTCCTGAGTTACATCGCTTAGAATGACCTCCAGTTCCATCCAAGTTGCTGTCAAAGACGTTACTTTGTTATTTTTTCTGGCTGGGTAGTATTCCATGGTATATATACCACATTTTCTCCATCCTCTTATTGGTCGATGGGCACTTAGGTTGATTCCATACCCTTGTGATGGTGAACTGTACTGTAGTAAACATATACATGCAGATGTCTCTTTTATATAATGATTTCTTTTCCTTTAAGTAGATACCCAGTAGTGGGATTGAAGGATCAAATGGTAATTCTACCTTTAGTTCTTTGAGATATCTCCATATTGTTTTCCATAGAGGTTGTACTAATTTACCTTCTCACCACTAGTGTATAAGCATTCCCTTTTCTCTGCATCCTCATCAACATCTGTTGTTTTTCTGTTTTTGTTTTTTGTCTTTTTAGTAACAGCTATTCTGACCGGGGTAAGATGATATCTCATTGTGGTTTTAATTTGGAGTTCTCTGATGAATAGTGCTGCTAAGCATTTTTTTATACGGTTGTTGGCCATTTGTATGTCTTTTTTTGTGTGAAAAATGTCCATCTGTGTCCTTTCCCACTTTTTTTTTTAAGTTCCAGGGTACATGTACATGTTGTGCAGGTTACATAGGTAAACATATGCCATGGTGGTTTGCTGCACCTACCAACCCATCACCTAAGTATTAAACCCAGTATGCATTCACTGTTTATCCTGATGCTCTCTCTCCCTGCCCTCCAATAGGCCTACTTTTTAATGGGGTTATTTTGTTGCTGCTGTTGAGTTGTTTGAATTCTTTGTAAATTCTGGGTATCAGTCCCCTATTAGAGGCATAGTTTGACAATATTTTCTCTCATTCTTCAGGATGTCTGTTCACTCTCTTGATAATTTCTTTTGCTGTGCAGAAGTGTTTTAGTTTAATTAAAGTTCCATTTGTCTATTTTTGCTTTTGTTGCTTGTGCTTTTGAGGTTTTAGTCATGAATTCTTTGCCCAGACCCATGTCCAGCAATCTTCCTTAGGTTTTCTTTAGTATTTTTACAGTTTCAGTTCTTACATTTAAGTATTTGATCCATCTTGAGTTCTTTTTTTATACAGTGAGAGACAAGAGTCCAATTTCATTCTCCTGTGTATGGCAATACAATTTTCCCAGCACCATTTATTGAAAAAGGTGTCCCTTCTCCAGTGTACGTTTTTGTCATAAAAGATTGTTGGCTATAGATATGTATTAGTCCATTTTCACACTGCTGATAAAGACATACCCAAGACTGGGCAATTTACAAAAGAAAGAGGTTTAATTGGACCCACAGTTCCATGTGGCTGAGGAGGCCTCACAATCATGGTGGAAGGCAAGGAGGAGCAATTCACATCTTAAATGGATGGCAGCAGGCAAAAAGAGAGCTTGTGCAGGGAAACTCCTGTTTTTAAAACCATCATATCTCATGAGACTCATTCACTATCACAAGAACAGTGCAGGAAAGACCCACCCCCATAATTCAATCACCTCCCACCGGGTTCCTCCCACAACACAAGGGAACTGTGGGAGTTAAAAATCAAGATGAGATTTGGGTGGGGACACAGCCTCAATGATCCATCTACTGCTGTTGGTGGAGCGTTTAAGTCTCCCACTATTATTGTATTGCTCTCTGTCTTTTCTTAGGTCTAAGAGCATTTGTTTTATGAATCTGGGAGCCCTGGAGTTAGGTGCATATTTATTTAGGATTGTTATATCTTCTTGTGGAACTGATCCCTTTATCATTATATAATGACCCTCTTTGGGTTTTTTGTTTGTTTTTGTTTCGTTTGTACTATTATTGATTTAAACTGTTTAATCTGATATAAGAAAGGCTATTACTGCTTGCTTTTGGTTTCATTTGCATGGAATATTTTTTTCATCCCCTTACCTTGAGTCTATAAGAATCTTTACCAGTTAGGTGGGTCCCTTGAAGACAGGAGATATTTGGCTTGTGTTTCTTTATCCATTCCACCAGTCAGTATCTTTTAATTGGAGCATTTAGATCCACTATTTAGACCCGTATTCAACATTAATATTGATATGTGAGGTACAATTCTAATGATCATTTTGATTGTTATCTAGTTGTTTTGTTTTCTTCATTATGTTACTGTTTTATAAGCTCTGAGTTTTATGCTTTCAAATGTTTTTATACTGGTGCATATTGACCTTTCATTTTGAAATTTAGAACTCCTTTTAGCATCTCTTGTAGGGCTGGTCAAGTGGTGACAAATTCCCTCAGCATTTGCTTGTCTGGGAAAGTTTCTCTCTCATTTATGAAAATTAGTTTTGCAGGATAGAAAATTCTTGGCTCCCCATGGGAGAAGCACCAGCTGTGTCTACAGTGATGGGCTGACAGTTATTCTGCTTTTGAGAAGATTAAAGATAGGACACCAATCTTTTCTGGCTTATAAGGTTTCTGCTGAGAAATCTCCTGTTACTCTGACAGGTTTTCCTTTATCTTTCCTTTCAAGTTATCTGATGCTTTTGTCTCACTACTCTTAGAATTCCTTCATTCACATTGACGTTAGATAGCCTGATGAATATATGCCTTGCTGATGTCCATTTTGCAATGAATCTCCTAGGAGTTCTTTGAGCTTCTTGTATTTGGATGTCTAAGTCTCTAGCAAGACCAGGGAAGTTTCCCTCAATTATTCTCTCAGATAGGTTTTCTGAATGATTTGCTTTTCTTTTCTCTCAGGAACACTTATGATTCTTAGGTTTGGACGTTTTATATAATCTCATATTTCTTGGAGACTTTGTTCATTTCTTTTAATTCTTGTTTCATTATCTTTTTCTGATTTGGTTGATTCAAAAGCATTCTCTTCAAGCTCTGACATCCTTTCTTCTACTTGATCTAGTCTGTTTTTAAAACTTTGCATTGCATTTTGTAATTCCCAAAATATGTCTTCATTTTTAGAAGTTCTGGTTTTTCTTCAAAATATGTCTCTTTAGAAAACTTTCCATTCATATTCTAAATTGTTATTGTGATTTCTTTATGTTGGTTTTCAATTTTCTCTTGGATCTCATCGAGCAACTTAATAGTCAGCATTTTGAATTTTTTTATCTGGCATTTCAAAGATTTTGTTTTGGTTTGGATCTATTGCTGGGAGGTTAGTGAGATCTTTGGAGGGTGTTGTAGAACTGTGCTTTTTATATTGCAGAATTATTTTTCTGGTTCCTTATCATTTGGGTAGACTACTTTTTCTTACTATTTTTGAATTTATTTTTTATTCTACTGGGTTAAAAAAAATTCCCCTTGAGAATGTGACTTTAATGTTTGCGGTATAGTCACCTAGCTTAGGCTCTGAGTGCTTTCAGTGGCAAAGACTTTCCAAGTTCCTTGGTTATAAAACATCTTTGCACAGTGGCTTTCTCATATGCTGGTTGTAGTACCAGTGTGCTGGGTGTGTGAACAGGTTCACTGTCTCGTGGGGCTGGAATGGCAGAGGTCCCATGAAGCTTACATCATTCTCCGGTGGTGTGTACTTTTCAGTTTTTTTCCCATAATATTTTTCACTGAGTTGAACAGTTCAGCTTTTGGGCCAGTAGGAGGTACCCACAGGTAAAAACAGCTGCAGCTTAAGCAGATGGATATATGCAATACCCCAGTGGTGGACAGAAGTCCCAGCCTTGACAGAAGCAACTGGGGGAGCTCTCCTTGAAAGGCACTGAGGTCTTTGCAGGAGAAAGGGAGGGAGCCACCTCAGCTCCTCTTCCAGACCAGCACGAAAGCAATCTGCCTCCCTGTCACACTCATGTCGCAATGTTCTGGATATTCAGATCAGACGAGGCACTTCTGTGGATCTGCAGAAATGCTGACATTCATGTAGAGAGGGATTGTGAACCTACCCCAAAGTGCTCCAGAAAGGCCATCCATAGGTGCACCCAAGCCAAGCTCCTGTGGAGGAGTCCCAGCCACGTCTGCAGTGATAGGCAAAGGGTAGAAGTCCCCTTCTCCAGGTCCCTTCACGAGCACTGGGGCTGCCCAACTGCTGGGGTAGAATGACAGTCTTTCTACCACTTAGCCCAGCACTGCATCTGTGCCTCTGCTGAAAGAAACTTCCCACAAGCAGAAAGTTCTAGGACTCAAAGGCTGCACTCTAATTAATTTTGTCCCACAGGGTGCTCCCTTGATATGGTACCCTTTCCCTTCCCCTAGGAGTGACAGTCCCTTAGGGCAAGACTACTGTAAATACTGCTGCTTCTCTAGGTATAGCCACCCTGTGGGGGCTGCCACAATCCAGGCTGGTGCTGGGGAATGTCTACAAGGGATCCAGTGATGTGAAGATACAAGGGTTGAAGGATCCTGAGCAGAACAAAGTCCCACAACCTATGTGCACGAATATGGCAGCCGCTACTACAGCTCAGGCCTAGGGCAAGAGGGAAGGGACACTATGCAGACAAGGCAGTGCCCTCAAGAAGTCCCCAAATCGCAATCCACTCCTGTACTTGTGCTTACAAGGGCAGAGACACTCTGCCTGAGTTCAGATGCCAGCAGTCTGCCACAAGACCTAGAGATGCTGAGAGCACTCCCACCTACCCTTTCCAAAGATTACTGAGCCTCTGGGGGTTTGACCTCTGCCAGCTTCTTGTAAAATAAAGCACACTTTATTTTGTGGCTGTATCATAGATTCTCCCAGTGAACTCTGTGATAGGCTCTAGCACTCTCCCCTTAACACTCCATTTGGGCTATGATTATTCACCTATAACTTTGGTTCTTCCTTCTGAGGAGAATTGGTCACCCGTGTCTCTTATCAGCAAGCTGGAGAAGTTTTCTGATGCCACAGGCTGTGGACAGGTCTGCAGGATGTGCAGTGGCTTGGGCTCTGCTCTTAGCTTCAGAGGGGAGTGATGTTGCGTGGAGCTGAACTGAACTTCCTCTGGTCTCCCAAAAGCAAGTGCAAGCACCAGCTCTGATGAGGGTGGCAGGGGAGCGACATAAACTCTGTAAGATTTCTTTGGTTTTAAATAGCCCTAGTGTGGCTCAGTGAGTGAGAACTCACTGAATATAGTTCTCAGATGCCAGCTATGGAAGTAATGTGCTGGGCACATGAACAGTCTCACCATTAAGTTTTTATCTAATGTGTTTATCCTTAGGATGAGGCCAAGGACAAAGTACAACCATCAAAGAATCCCTTCCAAACCTATCTTTACCCATTAGTTAACCCCATCTAGACAGGATTGTAATTTCTAAGTATTCACATGATCCCAGGTAAATCAACATCAAAACCAGGAGACTTGGTCAGATTAAATGGTATGGGGCAAAGAAAAAGGGGCATATTTCCAGTGTGTTGAAGCCAACATGCCTGGGAGTATAGTGTATCACTGAAACACTATACTCTGAAACACTGAGTTAGTAGGGCAGGCAGTTTTCAAATCAAGATGACACATCTAATGTTGAACACTGTGGGTTGTAAGTACCCAACCTGAGCTAAAGATGAATATTTCACAGTTATTTGCATAGGAGTGATACTTAAAAGACATGAGAGTAAATTCATTCTTTGAGAGATTATAGGTAAAGACTAAAAACCAGGGGCCAAGGATAATACATCATATGTCTATGGCATATAAGTATATGATCTTAGGAGAATTAGAAGCTAGTCCTAGCACATTATCATGTACATGAAAAGTTGATGTAAGAGAACCATACTGGTTTGCAGCACCTGTATAAATACAACCATCCTAATTTTCCTATTATCACTTCCTCAAGCCCATGATTGCTGCTTCTGACACTTTAGAAGCAGTGTCTGAGCTGATCTTAGTACCATGACCAGCCCCATTAGCACTGCTACCTCCTTTACCATTACAACAGAGTATCAGCAGCAGTGGTGATCACCAGAAGACTGAGTGTGAGTCAGCTCCAGTAGCCAAGCTTAGGAGAAAAGGCAGGTCAGTTCGATAGCATGAAGCCACTTGGAGATGTGGAAAGGTAGAGCTGTGACTAGAGCTGGCAGAGGCATAAGCCTTGGAAGGCTGGTTGGGGCAAGGTGAAAAATGGGAAGGACAGAAGCAGGTAAAGAAGCCAGAAAAGGCAAAATTTTACCAGGTTCTTTCCTCTTTACTGGAATTTGAATTTTGTCCTACTTGCCTGTCTTGAGACTTTGACTGACATAAATAAATCTTAAGACGAAAAGGGAACAAAAGACTGAAAACAGCTCAAATATCTTTTACTTGAAACTGGGTTAAATAAACTATGCTCCTATAAAAGGAATGAGAAATAGCTCTCTATATAGCCGTGAAGTTGTTTCTAGCATAAATTGTTAAGTGAAAAAGACAAAGCAGAGCCAGACGCCGTGGCTCACGCCTGTAATCCCAACTCTGGGAGGCCAAGGCGGGCAGATCATTTGAACCCAGGAGTCTGAGAAAGTTGAGAAACAGAAAGTTCTAGGACTCAGAGCCTGCACTCTACCAAACATGGTGAAAACCTGCCAGCATGGCAAAACCCTGTCTCTACCAAAAATACAAAATTAGCCAGGCATGGTGATGCGTGCCTGTAGTCCCAGCTATTTGGGAGGCTGAAGTGGGAGGACGGCTTGAGCCCAAGAGATCAAGGCTGCAGTGAGCCAGCATCACACCACCTCACCAGCTGAGCACGATCTTGTCTCAAAAGCAAAACAAAACAAAAAAAAGATAAAGCAGAGAAAAGCGTGAATACTATGCTAACATTTTTCGGGAAGGTGGCAGGAGAGGTGGGAAAGCGTCCCTTTATCAATATATCCCAGCTAATGAATGAAGAAGGAATAACAGAAATAGGATAGCATCATTTTGCAGCCCTTCATGAATCAAAAGACCTGGACAATCATAAGTGGCTACTAACACATGAAAAGAAGAGCAGCCATACATTATGTGCATCTCAGCAATACCTATGAAGTACTTGTTCAAAAAAAAAAAAAATCAAACCTGAAACTCCCCAAGCCTCTAGATCTTAATACAAGTTAATAAGAAATACAGGAGGCAGGAGATGTTAAATAACACCAGAGGGATGCAGGAAGCAAAATAAGGAATATGGGAGACTGGATAGGATATATAATTCTGTTTCTTGAACATAAATTTTAAGGGAAAAGAGAAAGAGAAATCCCTTAGATATGAGATATAGTAACTAAATGTAATGTGTCACACCTATTCTGATCCCAATTCAAACCAACCATCTGTGAAATATACTGACTGGTAAATGTGAACACTAACTAAATACTGATAATGTTAAGGAAATGTAGCTAATTTTAATGTGGCATAAAAGTGTTACAGTATATCTTTAGAAATACACTAAAATATTTATGGGTTAAATATTGTGATTCTGAGATTTGCTTCAAAAAATTCAGTGCAGTGTTGGAGATAGGATTACAGTGTAGATGCAACAAAATTGGTCATGAGTTGGTCATTGTTAAAGCTGGGTAGCAGGCGAGTGATTTCACTGTATACTGTTCTCTGTACTGTTGTATGTGTTTGAATTTTCTATCGTTAAAAAATATTAAGAAGAAAACAAATAGCATTATCTTTTCCCTAAGTGTTCACAATCTCCTCTGTCTCCCCTTTCTCCTATTTTCTAAGGAGAAAGAATTGAGCAAGTTTACAAAGTGGGGTGGAGCTGTTGTGAAAGATACTTCAAATCATTTTTTAGCTACTCAGAATTATAGCATGAAGTCAAAGTTCTCTAGGCTTGAAATGCTGTGTACCTCATTCTTCCCCTCCAACACATATTTCCAGTTATACGCACAATTTTAATTGACTGTAGGGACTATCTTCAAATAACATTTCCATAAACTTCCAAACTGAACCGCCCCAGATTGGAGTTTTGTAATCTATTAGCCATTCATGACCCCTCCCCTACCCACAAAAAAAGTTGTTTTTGTTTGCTTTCTCTTCTGATTTTCATTTAGACTTCTTTCTTTGCCAATAGATTTAACACAAAGATAGCATTTTCTAACTTTGACCATAATCCATACTGGAATCATCATTCAAAAATAATGGCCTAATTGTTCCTACAAATTTCATAATCATTTTCAAAGAAGTTCATTGGTGGCCCTTGAGGCTTTTCAACTTTATCCTATTTTGGATGATATCTGTGGCCTAGAAATCAGTTGTATAGCCCAAAATGTTACCTAGACTACTAATGAACAGCAAGGTCTAAGGAAATGGCAACTAGAGGCCGGGTGTGGTGGCTCATGCCTGTGATCCCAGCACTTTGGGAGGCCGAGGCTGGCAGATCACAAGGTCAGGAGATCGAGACCATCCTGGCTAACGGTGAAAGCCTATCTCTACTAAAAATACAAAAAATTAGCCAGATGTGGTGGCGGGCGCCTGTAGTCCCAGCTACTCCAGAGGCTGAGGCAGGAGAATGGTGTGAACCCCAGAGGCGGAGCTTGCAGTGAGCCGAGATTGTGCCACTGCACTCCAGCCTGGGGGACAGAGTGAGACTCCATCTCAAAAAAAAAAAGAAAAGAAAAAAGAAAATGGCAACTAGAAACAAGCAGCCCCATTGCAGCACGCTGAACACCGTTTTTTGGAAGCATGCACCACTGAGCAGGAATTCCAAAATGGCACCTTTGCAATAGTACATTTTGAGGCATTGTGTTGCCAAGACAGAAAGAAGAGAGGAAGCAGTGTATAAGCACCACAAATTTACATATACATAGAAAAGGATAGAGGGCAGTTTTTACATCCTCTCTCTCATTTCCTCCACCAACCAACAATCGGCCTGACTCAGATTACCTATCCAGCCCTCCTAAGGATCTTCACTTCCTCCCCCTAGAAAACTACAGAGTTGCTCTGTTGTCACAGTGTGAAAACACACACACACATGCATGCGTGCATACACATACACACACACACACACACACTTGATTTGGTGCATAGGAAGTGACCTAATTCAGTTTGTCCTCATCATAGTGACAACTAGACTGAGCCAATCAGAGACTTTCTGTAGGGTTTTGATTACTGGAATTGAGAAAATGAGGGCTTTCTGGTGGGTGAAGCTGTGAGATGTAAAACACAGCAACTGTTCCTGGTCATGTGAAGCCAAAGTACGGAGAGAAGCAGAGACAAAAACTCTCTTCATCGAGACGGAATCCCGATGGCATCCCAGGCCCTGCTTCCAGCTGGTCCGCTGAGGCCCAGCCACACTGCTTTCTTTAAGTTCAGTTCGACCCAATAATATCATTACAATAAATTCCTCCTTTTGGATTCAAATTGGCTTTCCATCCCTAGCAGTTCAGCCCTAATATACAGCAGATGTCACAACTGATTTCACATATTTGGAGAAATAGGAGTAGCTGAGACAGAATTTAGTCTACCTTGCTCAGAGACATTCACAGATAGTGTGAAAACCACTCATGAGTCCCCTTTGCTTAAAGTTACCCTGGTCATGTTTATTACAGCATGTAAAGGTACATAGCCTTAAAGTCTTTTCAGGACTTGGGATTTTTCTTAAAGAAAACAAATCAAGAGTGTTCATTAAAAGATTGATATAAAAAATTAATAATTCTGAAGTTAACCCAAAACTTAATGTAATCTTCCATTGGAACATTTGTTGATGTGTGTGGGGGGTTTAAATTCCACAAATATTATTAAAATGAGCAATCAGCAGCAAGATGTTTTAAAATATTTTGTTTCAGCATGTAAAATCTCGTTTTATTACAGAATTATTTTGTTAAAGGCACAGCTATGCCAGGTTGCTGCCAGAGTGATAGGATCATAACAGCCCAGTTAATTTTAAAAGACTCACAAGTGGTAGGCCTTGGAACTACTGATGGCAACATGTACATCACATTTTAGTATAATGCTTAAACTTACACCACATCTTGTGAATTTATATGCATCTGCCAATGTGTGTGTGTGTGTGTGTGTGTGTGTGTGTGTGTCTGTGCACGCATGCATGTAGATACACATATATTTATTTCAAAGAGAAGAGAGTTGGTGGGAAGTAGGACAGACTTGTGAAGTAATTAAGAATTTCTACTGGCTCTCACATTCTTCAGTGTAACTTAAAATGTGTACAAAAGATATCTTGAATACACTGTGTCAAAACTGGTCTGGTTTCATTTCCAGTTAGTTGCCAGCATGCTAAAATGGAGATGCTTGCTACCAAGGTGTAGCTTGTCTAAAGTTTAGTGATTAGATCTCCAAATGAAAAAGTACAGCCTAAAGAGGAAATTCTTGGCACTTGTTTCAATTATCTCCTCTTTACAACATTATAGGGTGCTTTCATGTGTATGTATTATCATTCATAGTAGAGAGTACATTGACTAAGATTGCAAAATAGTTTCCATTGTATCATAATCCCCTTGTGTCCAGTTGACTCACATCTCTGAAAAATTTCTGCTCAGTTACAAATGTCTGCTGGTCTCTTTCCAATGATACTTTGTTTGTTTGTTTGATGGTTGGAAATCTGAAGAAAGTTCACTTAGTTAAAATGGTGATGTAAAGTATATGAGTACAGTCCTAAAATTTACTAAATGTACATACTCAAATTTACTCAACTTTAGGTCTTCAGATTTTAAAAACTAGATGAATAATCTATCCTTTAAAAATTCACCATTAATTCTTCAAGTATACCAACTGCTGCATTTCTAATACCAAAACAACCTTATCAAGTGATAATTTAATTACACCTTTTAAATGAAATTTTAAAACATGATTTATTCATGAAAAACAAGTAGTTTCATCCACCCTTCTTTTTCTACAACTCTTTGCATATCTGTGGCCTGCTATTTATTACAGCCTTTCTCATAATTTTTAGTGTAGGCTTAACAAGCATATAGTTTTAAATCTTTCTTTAGGAGACTTTCTGGCTTTTCTCATTGCTGAATTCGACACAAACCTTATTCTCTTATTAGCATTCTTGCAAGGGAGTTTAGGTAATAATAGTTAAGAAAGAATGTTTAAGTTTGATAGTACATTAAATAATAGACAATGATCAGAAGAGGAAAAAAATGCATGGGTATTTTGGTTAAGGTTTTCAAAACCTAAATCATCTTTATTCTCCACCTTGGCCTGAACAAAGAATAACTATAATGAAAATTTGGCCTATGTGGCTTTTACACGTATGTGTTATTTCCTTCCGTTACCTCACATATATAATTTTTTGTTGTTAAAATGCAACAGCTGGATCTCGCTATTGGCTTTCAGATCAGTAAAATCAGAGATTGCCCTTTCTTTGCTTCCTTTTTAGTGGACCTGCAGGAAATAGAGTTCAGAGTGTACCTCACTCCTTACAAGACAACAGCCCATATAATTTTGCAGATAAGGAAACAACTCCTTCAGTTTCTAAATACCCAGTATATAGTGTTGTTATCAAACATCAACACCTGTATGCATTTAAATTCACTCACAGTTTAAATGAAATTACACATAGTTAATACATGCCACTTGTAAAGTCTAATCTTATCTTGGGAACTTGGATTTTGCATTCCTTAACTAGTGTGCTTAAATTTTCAGTTGTATTATCCTATGTTTTTTTTGTTTTTTTTTTTTTTAGTAGATGAAAATAAGACACAGGTGTTTAGGTTTCTCTTCATGTCGATAAAGATCTAAACAAGCATTTAGTTATACTTAGGAGCAGCTGTTGAAATTTTCTAGGGTACAAAAGAAGGATCTAACAAAATAAAACCCACTCACCTCTAGCATGATTAGCTCCATTTTGTATTTTCTGTACTCCCCAACTGTGATAATTCCAGCCAAACTGTATTCTGGCCTAAGTCATCTGGAAAGGGGGAAAGCAGGTGTTATTATGAAGCATTCAGAGGATTTAAGAAGATTTGAAATATAGTTACTATAGAGCAGTGATTCCTAACCCCTTTTTGGTTTTGGATCCTTTTTAGACTATAATGAAAGTTTTGAACCTTCGCTATAGAAAAATATATAATATGTATACATGGGTGTATGTTTTCATAAGTTTCAATGTATTCTTAGATCCATCTAGATATCCATAGACTCTCAGTTAAGAATCTTTACTATGTGGCCAACAAACACACAAAATTAGTGAAATACCAATTGAAATAGTATCTAGTTCATGTAACAAAGATTGCTTTATTATTTGAAATTAAAACAAAATAATATAATGTGAGCTTCTAAATAAATGGCTTATAAACAACATAAGTATTACAAGTCAGAGGAAGCAGAGACCACCTTAAAAATATAAAAATAAAAAAGATACATGAGTGTATACTGGGTATTTTCAGAATATCTTATGTAATTGGGATGATGTGATTTCACCTCATTTACATCCTTATTTATTTATATGCTAGATGGGAAAAAAAAGAACTTTCTTCCAAAAAGCATACCACTGTCAATGAGTATGACATGCATAAAATAAGTGTAATATAAATAATCCTATTTTCTTCTCACTCTATGTTATGTGCTAATGGTATACTTATTGGTTACTCACAAGGACCTATCTTCATCTGCCCCTTAGCTAGCTACAGATTGTCAAGTCATTTTTTCCCCCTGTTTAACACAGATAGCCATTAACACCATGTCATCTTCTTTAAATGTAAAATCATTTAGGGATGCCAAGCAAATCTGCTGATTAGCTCAGGCCAGCCTACACCAGATTGGAGAATGGGAAAGTAGTGAAAGACACGCATTACAGATTAAGACTGGGTATAAAGAGAAGACTCTAACAACCCACCCCCACCAAATATGCCACACAAGTGCTCAGAGAGACCAGAGTCCCAAACTAGACTACCCAGGTGAAACTACAGAGTTTCACAGGAGGCAGCTTTATGTGTGTGTCAATGGGGCAAAATGTGAGGGCTGGCAGTAAAGAAGTCTGACAGATGAGGAAACATGGGGAATATTAAAACCAGTTTAACACACTTGCCCACACCATCCCCCGAGCCGCTTCCTCCCAAGCTCCCAGAGCACCAGCAAGGAGGTTGAGACACTCTAGACTTGGGGAGGAGTCTTGAAGTTTTTCAGGAACTTTGCTTGCTTTCTTCTCCCAAGGACATCCCCTGTCCTCCTCTCCTCTTTGCCCAGGACCAACCTCAAGCTCTCCCATTACATGAGTGCTTTTACCCAAAGTGTGGTGCCTCTTCCAGAGCTGTCAGCTTTCTGGCTATAGCTTGGATATCAGCCCCACAAGGACCCACAAATACAAACCTCAACATAGGATGACTTACTGTGCCTGATACGTTTTTGCCTTTTTAGTCCATAGTAGACAATTATCTTGACTATAATTGTCCCAGCAGGAGCTGCCTCTGTGTCTGTGTATATGCGTGTGTATTTTTTTTTTCTAAGGCAAAAACTAGTTTATATCTTTGTTCAAAGATGACCTTAGCAGGAGACCTTTTTTTTTTTGGAGTTGATCGGTAGGTCAAGCCATGTGCTAACCTGGCTTGTCTGGGTATGTCTGGGAAGCAGAGCAGGACCAAGGCTGCAGGGCCTTTATGGAATTTCTGTGCTAGGAAGGGAGATAGACATTTAACACAAATATCTCTATATCTTGACATTTGCGATATGGCAGGAAAGTACAGGCACCTATGGGACTATAAAACTGATCCTAAAACAAGCAGGCATGAGGAGGTAGTGAGGTCACCTCTAGGAATGCCTCCTCAATGGAAACATTTGCACTGAACCTTGAAGATTAGGTAGATGAGCCAGTGCTTTTGCACACCTTGTTCCATGAAAGCAAGACTGTTTTTTTACTGTTGTATTCCCCAGTGTCTGCTTCCTTGTAGGTGATCAATAAAGATTTCTTGAATAAATGAAAGAATAAGGGGCTCCCAACATCTGTTTGCTCTCTTATCCCTCTCCTTCCCTACCCAGTGGTTCCTGTTCTCTCCATTCCCTTACCAACTGGTATGTTATTTTTAAAACTAAAAATACTCTGTTTTATCATATTATTATTCAATTAAAGTTAGAAACATTTAAAATCCCCATAGATGCAAATGCTAGAACAATGAAATAAAAGCTCAAGATTTTTTCTGCCCCCAAAGCTCTGTGGAATAATCAATTTTATAAATTTTTAAAAAACAAAAACTATTTGGAAGGCTGAAGCAAGAGGATTGCTCCAGCCCAGGAGTTCAAGACCAGCCTGGGCAACATTGCAAGACCCCGTCTCCTAAAACAAATAAGTAAATACAATTTTAAAAAGGAAAAACTAGGCTTCACCATGCAAGTTTATAATGAAAGGTTATACACTGAATATATACTTTAGCTATATATTTCAAAGACCTCAAGATAACGTTAAGGCCGGGCATGGTGGCTCACGCCTATAGTCCCAACACTTGGGAGGCCAGCTGGGGAGGACCACTTGAGGCCAGGAGTTAGAGACCAGCCTGGACAACATGGTAAGACTTCATCTCTATAAAACATAAAAAAGCCAGGCGTGGTGGCATACACCTGTAGTCTTAGCTACTTGGGAGGCTGAGGCTGGAGGATCACTTGAGCCCAGGAGGTCAAGACTGCAGTGACCCATGTTCAAACTACTTCATTCCAGCCTAGGTGACAGAGAGCAACCCTGTCTTCAACAAAAACAAACAAACAAAAACAACTTTGAATCAGCAAAATTAAGCAACCAAGTGTGTTCCCCTTCTCTAATGTCATTAAGCTTTGAGTGTGTCTTTACAGAAATTTTTATTTTCTTATGTATGGCATCCTAGATTGTATGACTTTAACATAATCCCAGATGGATTAATTATCATGAAGCCTATTTTGCAGACGATTCAAGGGAATTTAGCCCAAGAGCAAAAGTTAGGTAATTCCTTAAATCTGAAATCTGTCCTCTGAAATACTACTCTACTCACCGCTTAAATGGTTTTCAGTGAAGTGGCATTTTAAAAATAAGTGCTGCTTGCTTTACCTCTGAATTCCCTTCTCCAATGCCATTTTACTCCCTGAGCTGCTTTCTTGGCAGTTTGGGGCACCCCTTGCTGTTTGTGCCTGTGATAGTCTGACTTCCATCTGCTGCTCTGCAGCCAGGAGCCTGCTGTGCTCCCTTCAGTCACATCTTTCATGCCTGGCCATTCAAGCACCTTTCATCAGGTCTCAATGGGCCTGGGTAAAGGGCCCTCCCCCTGCATCCACATGAGCACATAATCTCCCAGGTAGCCTCCTCCTTGAAGCACCTCCAGTGCATGTGTTCGCAAACAGCAGGACATCACTCTCTACTGGGTTCCTAATCCCTCAGACACACAGAGGAAGGAGGTCGCAAGGCTGTGAAAGTGAAAAGAAAAGCGAGGGGGCGGGTGAGCAGAGGCAACACAATGTCAGCGCCTGGGCCCTCCAGCGGCTGCACCACAATCATCGCCAGCTGCAGCCCAATTAAGCTCAACAGGTCACAGGTGTTCCAGACAGAAGATGCTTTTAACAAAACCACTTTCTTGAAAATACCTAAGACTTTTTGAAGCACTGCAGCCCATTTCTTTTGGTAGATTCTTTAAAGCTATTTAGTACCCTTCAAATACAAAGAAGCTGAGAAGCACATTTCGGCCTCAGTGGAAGGCGTGCTTGCTTCATGCAGAACAGCGGGGGCAGCAGCCAGGCTGCCGTGACCGAGCGCAGAGACAGCATCTCTGCCAATACGTGGATTCAGTGTGCAGCTGCAGAAAAAGGACGTGAGGGGTGTCTCCCTCCTCCAGCTTGGTCGCGTCTGATACTGTAGCCTGAACTGTGCAGTTCACTCACTCACACAAGAAATTGCTGCATAGCCATGACCTTGTGTGTACTCTTAAATTACAATCTCTAGGATGCAGTTGTAGTTTTCCTATGAACTTTTAAGCAGCCCTGCCACATGCTGGTTAAACTAGGTGAATGAATTCAGCTATCAGGAACTACTTTTCATCTTCTGACACATTTTAAAGTGCTGGCTTCATTTTCTCCACAGATCCAAGTGTTCCCTGTGCCTGCCAGAAGTGTGGGGAGGGGATGACAGGATCCAAGCAGAAATTAGGTAGTTGTTTAAGTCACCTTCGGACCTTTGTTACCCTTCCACCTTTCTTTGAGGATATCGATAATCTCTGAGAGGCAGTTAAGAATGTAGTGGGGAAGGTCAAGTTAGAATTTCGGCATCCCTATTGGAAGGGAGCGGTTCTTGGTTCCCCTACTCCTCAGGCGCACTTACAGCAGCATCCCTTCTTCCCACGCCTGTGTGCCACTCTCATGGGTATGTTTGCCTGTTGTCATTATTGTAACCTGTTTACAGCCAATAGCGAGGACATGCTGACGCTACCCAGGTCTTATCTGGAAATGGAAGCAACTGCTTAAATTTACAATTGGGTTTCTAATCTGTCAACGCACCAGAAAAGCCCCTAGTACTACTGTGAAACTGAAAAGAACATGGGAAGAGTTAAAGCACAGCGGGAATGAATACCCAGAATAGGGCCCAACGTTTTCAGCTTTTCCTTCCTGTTGATTAGTTTTTGGTAAACAGTCTTTGCCTTGACTGTTACTTTTTATCACGTCATTTTTTTAAATTATTACTGCTTGCTTAGAAACCATGTTGGTTTTAATTTTCACAATACGCCTGTTTCTGTTTTGCTAAGCTGAGCCACCTGTTTAAACTCTTCTTGTCTCATGAATTGGGGGAAAGAACCGTAGGCAATGTATAAGAGGTTTCATTTTTTTCCACAGTGAAGTAAGACATTGTTCTTATTCTTCATGGCATTCAGAATTCTGCACAATTGCCTCTTTTGCCCTTTTGCATTTAAAAGTGAGGTAATTAGATTTCCCAAGGTTCAATGGTCAAGAGCCTTCTCATCCCGCGGAGTTGCTTCCCCACACTGCTCACAAGTGGAGCTGTCTCGCGTAATCCAGTTATTGCTATATTGTTGTTATAAAGGAACTGCTTTTTCAGAGAGCTAGCATAGCATGAAACTTTATACTCACATGTCCCTTTGCTTTCATTGCTTTTTTCCCCACATTTGAAACTAATTACTATTTTATTCAGTGTCTGTGAGGATTTCTAAACATTTTTGTTAAAAATCTTTTCCTACGTCCTAGGAATTCATTTCAAATATGCCTAAATCCTTCACATTGTGAGATCCTGCCTTTGTTGTTTTATGTTTTTGTCAGATATTCGATCGTCAGATCTATTATTACTGCTGAACAAATGGAAAGAAAATTTGTGACATGTTGGCACCAAATAAATTAGTGTCATAGCCACTGAAACAAAGGCATGTCTTCGTCTAGCTCTGACAGTGAGATCTTGGGCCCACTCTGCTATTTTTTTGTCTTATTTTCTCATTTTCACAAACAGATAATGTTTTACCTTTGCAAAAAGCTGTATATATATATATATTCTAAAGCTTGGATATCAATTTTTTTTTCTTTTTTTTTTCTGAGATGGGGCTTCACTCTTGTTGCCCAAGCCAGAGTGCAATGTCACGATCTTGGCTCACTGCAACCTCTGCCTCCCGGGTTCAAGTGATTCTCCTGCCTCAGCCTCCCAAGTAGCTGGGATTACAGACATGCACCACCACACCCGGCTAATTTTTTGTATTTTTAGTAGAAACGGGGTTTCACCCTGTTGGCCAGGCTGGTCAGGTATCCATTTTTTAGTCAAAACTGAATAAGATGAAATACTCAGATTTATAGAGCTGGCCAAAACGTTTTTGTTTTTACAGCCTAATAGCAAAAGCAATCTTGCTGGTAGTTGGCTAGTAATTCATTTCTATGATGTAGTCTGCAGCCTATGGGGGAAGAGGACAAGATGGTGAAGGGATTAGGGGAAAGCTTCCAAAATCCTTTTTGCCAAAGAAGTTAAGGAGCTTGAGCGACCCAGGTTTTCTCTCTAAATGGGTTAGTTTAACATTCCAGACAGTCTGTGATTCAAACTTGTCTATTCACCTATACATCTACTCAGCAGAGTTCTTTATGGCCTCATAGGAACAATTCAGCTGAATTCCCCCATCACTGAAACTGTTCCAGACTTTATCTACTTTTGCTTTTTGTTTTTTAGAGACAGAGTCTTGCAGTGTTGCCCAGCGTGGCCTTGAACTCCTGGGTTCAGATGATCCTCCCATCTCAGCCTCCTAAGTAGCATGACTACAGGCCCACACCACTACACCCAGCTCCATCTGCATTTTGAATGTGATGCCAGCAGAGTGATGAGCTTTGTGGTGGTCCCTGGGTTCAGTGTAGATACACACACACACACAAACACACAAACACACACATACTTATCTCATTAGGTTTTCCTATAAACTTTATAGCTAGTAATGAGAAAGGTCCTAGTTTAAATTGAAGGGTTTTTTCCCTCAGTTTCTGTAGTATTCATTCCTAAATAGAGAGATATGTTGACAGATTTATCTGAAAAGACCTCATTTTTCCAAAGCTTAACACAGAAAGGAAAATCCCGTAATCTTAGGTTAGTTTCATCAAGTGAGACAATAAATCGCCATTTGCATAATTTTCTTTTTTTAGCAAAGATTCCATTCTAATTCTCCAAAATAATATACAGTCATGCACCACATAATAACATTTCAGTCAACAATGGACCAGATACATAATGGTGGTCCCATAAGATTACAATATTATATTTTTGCTGTACCTTTTCTATGTTTAGATACACAAATACTTACATTGTGTTACAGTTGCCTGCCTACAGTATTCAGTAACATGCTGTACAGGTGTGTAGTGTAGGAGCAATAGAATAGACCCTATAGCCTAGTGTGGAATGGGCTATTACCATCTAGATTTGTGTAAGGACAGTCTGTCTACACAACAGTGAAAGCACCTAACAATGCACTTCTCAGAACATATCCCTGTTGTTGAGCAACACGTGACTATATGTTACTGCACTGTTTGTAAATTTTCTGAAGTTGTGCTCCATTCCAGTGCAGTTTTTTTCTATGACAATACAACAAAGAAGCTCCTGTTCCTGTGGGATACATTTTGATACCGAAGAAAGCATCTCTCAAAAATAACAAAAGCATAGCTGTATTCTTGCTAGAATTTCTAATTTATGTTAGAAATTAGTTCTACAGAAAGAACTAAATGCAGAGTAGTGCTCCAAACTGAAAACATAGCTTGAGATGAACATACATCACAGTATTAAACAATTTTAGTTATTTACTTTCTCTTCATTCTAAGAACTTAAGAAGACCTGACAACATCTGGATCAGGGGTTCCCACCACCCCCAGGCCATGCACCGGTACTGGTCCGTAGCATGTCAGGAACCAGGCCACACGGTAGGAGGTGAGCAGTGGGCAAGTGAGCATTACCACCTGAGCTCCACCTCCTGTCAGATCAGCGGCGGCATTAGATTCTCATAGGTGTGGGAACCCTATTGTGAACTGTGCATGTGAGGGATCCAGGTTGTGCACTCCTTATGAGAGTCTAATGCCTGATGATCTGAGATGGAACGGATTCATCCTGAAACCACCCGCACTCCTCCGCCCCCTGTCCATGGAAAGATTGTCTTCCACGAAACCAGTCCCTGGTGCTAAAAAGGTTGGGGACTGCTTATCTAGATCATATGAAACATAAGTAACTAAAAATACTATAGATTGGCCAAATCTGGGGAAGATGAACATAGCATGCATCTTTTTGAAAAGGTAGTTGTAGTTAAGTAACTATTCAGTTCAGCAAACATACCTTGACTATTTACATAGCCAGAGCACAAGTAAGTGCTTTGGCTGCTACCACTGTTGCTGCCCTTTGACCCATTAAACACACTGGCCTTCCTTCTGTCTCTCATGTCCTCTCCCCATCTTCTCAGAAACACAAGGAATATGTCTATATGTCTATTCCTTGTGTTTCTGTCCTCCACCCGCTTCCTTTTTCTATTTTGGAATGGGGAGAGCAAAAGTAAAAAGCTATGCTAATAAGCAAGAGCCATAATGTGCCCTGATTGAGTTGTTTGGTATCTCCCAAAGTATGTGCCAAAGATCACCATTAAACCATTTATAGATATTCTGCCAGAAATAGGAGGGGAAGAGTTCTATGGGAAACAACGAGTGTCGTAGTCCATTCTGGCTGCTATAACCAAATAACTTGGACTGGGCAATTTTTAAATAATACAAATTTATTGCTCACACTTCTGAAAACTGGGAAGTCCAGGATCAAGGTGCCAACAGATTTGGTGTCTGGTGAGGGCCTATTCCTCATAGACATACCTTCTAGCTGTGTCCTCACATGGTGGAAGGGGCCAACCAGCTCCATCAGGCTTCTTTTATAGGGGTACTAATTCTGTCAGTGAGTACAGAACGCTCACAACCTAATCACCTCCCAAAGACCTCACTTCTTAATACTAGTAGCATTGGAGATTAAGTTTCAACATATACATTTTGGAGAAAAACATTCAGACCATTGCACTGGGTTAAAGAAAATCAAACTGACCATCATTAGTAGCCTTTGTAAAACCTTTAAAATTCTATTGTGCACCATGGGGAACAGAATATATACAGGTTGAGTATCACTAATCTGAAATCCACAGTGCTCCAAAATTCAAAACTTTTGAGTACCAACATAACACACAAAGGAAATGCTCATTGGAGCATTTTGGATTTCAAATTTTCAGATTACAAATGTTCAACCAGTAAGTAGAATGCAGATATTCCAAAATCTGTAACATGTCTGGTCCCAAGCATTTCAGATAAGGAATACTCAACCTGTATAGTGTTGCCCAAAACTTATTTGACCATGGAATACTTCTCCTGAACACACTGATTTCTTAACGGAAATGCTGGCGTGGACCATGAGAAGAGCAGGAGAGCTGCACTTTTCTTGGGAGATATTATATCATATCTTGGAACTCATACCACAGTAAGTGGCTCCCAGAGCAAATAGAAACCAGCCATCATGGACATCCTAAGAATACATCTGTTTCCAAATCTACCTTTTTATTCGCGGTAGGAGAAAAGAACCAATAATCCAGTCAATGCTTTTGCTTTTGGAATTTCTACTAAGAAGCCTTTTCATGAGGAAAAAATAAAAACAAAAGGAACTTTTAGGAGTGGCGCTCTGTCAGCTGCTTGTGCATCAGCTGCTTGTGGATTTGGTTTAGAGCTTTAGAGAGGACTGGCATTGACTAGCTTTCACTGTCATTGTGGCCCACATGACTTTGAAAACACTATCATTGTGAATTTTAGTTATATTTGATGGTAGAATTATTCTTTTAAAAAAATTTCTCCATTCTGTCTACTGAGGCTAGTTCAATGTAATCCGTGTTTTCTTTCTTCCCACCTTGCTGCTTCTCTACTCATTTTATTCCTTTCCCTTACCTGTATGCATGTCTCAGTTCTGTTCTTCACACTTTGGTTTCCAAAGCTGTAACTTATTCCTTCTCTCCACACTAAAGCCCTTTCCATTTGCCTCCCTGAAAGTACTTCTAATACCATGGTACACACGGCATTTACCTTACATGCATCCACTACTGGTTTGTGAGCAGGGGAAGACAGGTGCTATATCTTAGACATGCCTGGATCTTCCACCTGGCTTAATATAGTTATTGCACAGAGTAGCTATTCAGTGGATGTTGATTGACGAAAGAATGACTGGCTAATTATTTGTAGTGTCCTGGTTACATTTCCCTCAGTTACTGGCAGTATATTGCTAAGTAAATGTGATAGGAAAGTAAGAGTGGCAGAAGAAGATGACCTTATTGACTAGTTCTTCAGAGCATCCTTTATAAATAAAAAGAAACAGAGTAATGTTTATTGAAGCAAGTGTTGAATTCAGGCAGTGTTTCTCCCGCCCTAGGACATACAGACAGCTGCACTCCTTCCTCTACACAGAAGAAGTCACGTTCATATTGAGGTCCTTGAGTACCCATGTTTCTCTTTTCATTAACACTCAGAAGTTCTCTAGGTCATCCCTATCTCATCCAACCATTAGTGATCTGGTCAAAACTCTGTCCAAGTTTTCTATATCTCAAGTTTCGTAGTTCTCCAAGCTAGATGGAATTGTTTAAGAGACAGGGGAGTACTAAATATAGTAGGGAAATTTTTCCCAAATGTTGACATATACTAGAGGCCCCAAGTTACAAACATTCACATTTCAGGTGGTCACTACTTCTCTGACCATAACTGATCACTAAAGCCGCTTTGTCATTACCATGTAAGCCACCACAAAACAACAACTTATAGCTCATAGAAAAATCTATAGCAGCAGGCTGGGCTCGGGGGCTCACACCTGTAATCCCAGGACTTTGAGAGGCCAAGGCGGGCGGATCACAAGGTCAGGAGATCGAGACCATCCTGGCTAATATGGTGAAACCCCATCTCTACTAAAAATACAAAAAACTAGCCAGGCGTGGTGGCACGCGCCCGTAGTCCCAGCTACTCAGGAGGCTTAGGCAGAAGAATCGCTTGAACCCAGGAGGCGGAGGTTGCAGGGAGCCGAGATTACGCCACTGCACTCCAGCCTGGTGACAGAACGAGACTCTGTCTCAAAAAAAAAAAAAAAAAAAAAAAAAAAAAAAGAGAGAGAAAATCTATAGAAGCAAATGTGAAGGAAAGTAAGTGATTCTGCAAAGAGGAATGCCCAGGGGAACTGACCCTAAGGACAGCCTTCTAGGCCCTAATGATATAACATTTCCCACTACCTACATTTATTTACTGTGCTGTATTAGGCTCCCTGAGGTTCCAGTGATTACAGGAGTACAACCATTTCTTCTTCTGCCAGTTTGATTACTGTGTGTTGAGAGTGAAAGCCTGTCTGACAATTGGTTCCCTTCCTCGGATGTGCCAGCGGGGCAAACCGCCCATCTCGCCATGTGAATCAAAACCCAGAAACGTTGAGAGGTTCCAGGCAGCCTTTTGGTTACCTCTTTTTTTCTCAACCCTGCTCTTTTTCCAACCCCCGCCCTGGCCACCATGGTACACATGCTCATCTGGCCACTCTGTTGGATGTGTTTCCATCAGACTTTACACATACCCCTATTAGCAAGATCACTGCACTGTGCAAAAACAGGGAGATATCAGTCATATAGCAAATGAAATAGTACAGTAATTAATATTTGTCCACTCACATAGTAGGTGCTCAATAAATGTTCCCAACCATTATGTGCCAGGCTCTCTATTCTCTGAGGGAGTCTCAGCTATGAGGGGTGGGGGAGGTATGCAGGAGAGAGAAAGAGAGCTCCGTCACCTGGCAGGAAATGTAGTGCTCTTTGCCTCTTCCAGTGATTCTTCAGACTTCTTAGCCTTGCAACCATTGCTTCAAATTCTTGTCCAGATGAAAGAAGTGCTGCTCAGAAGGGTGTGGGTGGGGACTCTTCCCACTTGGTCCCTTCACCTCCCTTTGTAGAGATCTCCAAGGTCCCCTTAGAACACAGTGGAACCATTGGATAGCCAGTTTACCATGCTGGTCATTTCACAGGTTTTTACTGTGCTTATTAATTATCACATTCTTGTTTTCAAAAGAGCTCTTTTTGCACCAGAACATGTGATAAAGTGGTTTTACTAATCCCTTGAAGTTTTGTTTTTTCCTTCAACAAGATGATAGCCACCCTCTTTTTTCAGAAAAACATTAACATGCATAACCACTACAGTTAACTTCGGCGCTCATTAATGAAGCCCAGAACTAATAGTTACATTGTCGTAATTTGACAAAGCCATCTAAATCTATGCATGTTTTTGAAAGCTCCCTAAACATGCTGCTAAATCCCCTAAAAAGCTACTAAACTGCTTTGGCAGCCATTAGCCCAGCATAAGCAGAGGAACTCTTTTCAGTGAGTGAACAAACAGAGAAAATACGCTGAATGGATGGACAAATGTGTTTCAGCTGGCCCTTTCATTTACCAATATAAGGGCGCAGTCAATATCAATCACTGTTTTCCCTGTTGCCCTGAAAATCACAATATCTCTTTTCATCCCACAAGCTCTTTTCACTACCGTAATGTGTCTTTAGAATGACACTGGCATCAGCCTGCTTCCGCTGTCTGAAGTCCAGAGAGCTTAAAAACACATTTCGGGATTCTTGAACCTTCCTCCCCTTCCGTTTTCCTACTGCCTCCTCCCTCCTCCCTCTGCATCCATTCCGCCCCCTCCCCAGATTCTTTTCAATTCTTCCAGCTTTCCTGGCTGAGTAAACAGCATTCACTTCTCTGTTCTAATGCAGCTCTCCAAAGTAAATGTTGACAACCCTATCTGATATTCCTGAGATTTAAGAACTCATTAAAGAGATACACATAAAGAAATGCTTTTACATGTTGGTAATACATCAAAGGTTGAAAGGAATGTGGAAACTCTGTGCTATGACACGGTGTGTTGATGAGCAAGGCCTCACTCTGTATCAGAATATCTCCCCCTCTGCCCTCCCTTGACCGTTGGCTCCCGCCTCCCTCCACCACATAGAGACATGCATCCTTTGCCATCCCTTGTTAAAAGTATGTGCGTGCACAGCTACCTACCCTTACAGTTAAGAGCAAATGCCCTTAAAAGCAAATGCCACTTCTTAGATATCTTTTGGCACTCCTGGTTCTGAGTACTTAATACGTTGCTTTGGGATGAAGGAAAGAACAGAATGCTCTGTATATGATTACCTTTTATCCTTTTGAAAACTTGAGTGGACTAATTCTTGCAGATAAATTTTAGCAATGGGCATTTAGTTGTAGAAGGTACCACAGATGAATATTTGGAATATTATGTTTCTAAAAGAGTACTGATTGTTTTCTACCTCCTTTTATTTACTTATTTTTTAAAATTTCAGATTGTAGCTGTCTGCAGAGAGGCAGCTCTTCTGGCTCTGGAAGAAGACATTCAAGCCAATCTCATCATGAAAAGACATTTCACTCAGGCCTTGAGCACTGTGACACCTAGAATTCCTGAGTCATTGAGACGTTTTTATGAAGATTATCAAGAGAAGAGTGGGCTGCATACACTCTGAGAAAATATATATATTCAAGATGCTGAAAATCCTTTCCAGAGAAAATTTGTTTCTTTTTAAAATTTTTTGAGAGTGTTAAAAAAAATTTTACTAGGCAAAATGTTTGAAGTATGTTCAGTAGAATTTAGGGGCTTTGGTTCTTACAGATTTTCAAGTCATGTAAGTACAGTGAAAATATCTCTGAGCATAAGTTTCAATCAGTTTTACCTGGAAATTTGTGGTGTGGTTTAAAAAACAAATGTTTAGCTTTTTCATTTGCGACCTAGTCTGTTCATCCCATGAAGCGATTTCTTTTTCCAGAATCTGTTTGAGTGTCTTTCTAAAATGCCAAACATGTTGGCATCAATTTTATACAGGGATATAAAAAAGTATATGTGGATAAATTTTTTGTAATCTTTAGGGATATAAAAAAGTGTATGTGGATAAATTTTTTGTAATCTTTATTTTTGAAGGCCAGCCAGTAAAATGGCCCAATGTGCCAGCCAGGCTTATGTGGCCTTGTTTTCAAATATACATATATGTGTTATCATTAAAATTCATATATGCATTTTTGTTTTAGCCTTCTTAATCTCTACCTATGGCCAAAAAAATTTTTTTTGAGAGATATTTTGTATAATACAATGCCCTTTGAAAGTGTAAGCCCACTCTAAGCCTAGATCAGTAGGCTTGGGTTTTTTTTGTTGTTGTTTTGTCTTTTTTTTTTTTTTTTGAGACAGAGTCTCACTCTGTCACCTAAGCTGGAGTGCAGTGGCACGATCTTGGCTCACTGCAACCTCCGCCTCCTGAGTTCAAGCAATTCTCCTGCCTCAACCTCCTGAGTAGCTGGGACTACAGGTGTGCACCACCACACGCAGCTAATTTTTATATTTTTAGTAGAGACAAGGTTTCACCATGTTAGCCAGGCCGGTCTCGAACTGCTGGCCTCAGGTGACCCACCCACCTGAGCCTCCCAAAGTGCTGGGATTACAGGCGTGAGCCACCATACCTGGAGAGGTTTTGTGTTTTTGTTTTTTTTTCATAAAATGCTTTTAATAAATCATATGAAGCATTCATGTTTTTACTTATACATATTTTCAGGGTACCAGTAAACTTTTTAGTTCAAAGATAGGCCAAATTGTACTTTTTTTTTTTTATGAGACAGAGTCTCGCTGCTCTGTCGCCCAGGCTAGAGTGCAGTGGCGTGATCTAGGCTCACTGCAAGCTCTGCCTCCTGGGTTTACTTACGCCATTCTCCCGCCTCAGCCTCCTGAGTAGCTGGGACTACAGGTGCCCACCACCATGCCTGGCTAATTTTTTTTTTTTTTTTTTTTTATTAGAGACAGGGTTTCACCGTGTTAGCCAGGATGATCTCGATCTCCTGACCTCGTGATCCGCCCGCCTCGGCCTCCCAAAGTGCTGGGATTACAGGCATGAGCTACTGCGCCCTGCCGCCAAATTGTAATCTTAAACATATTATGTTGCATTCTAAATATGTATATTTATGCTTCTTGTTATTTATCCTCAGGATTTCTTCACACTTTATTACTTCATAAATACTCTTGAAAAAGCTTTCAGAAAGTGATTCTCTGACTTCAGATCAGAAACTGGCAATGGGAAGAATGTGCACTTAAACTTGATCACTGTAGATCTTTGAAAATTCCCAGAAAGACAAATCAGACAAGAAATACCTGATTATCAAAATAATGGGCTATACAGTTTTGTGGTGGCATACATTCCTTGTTTGTTTGTTTAGAGATAGGATCTTGTTGTGTCACCCAGGCTGGAATGCAGTGGCACAGTCGTAGCTCACTGCACCTTCAAACTCCTGGAGCTCAAGTGATCCTCCTGACTCAGCCTCCTGAGTAGCTAGGACAACAGGTGCACACTGCCATGTCAGGCTAATTTTTTTTTTTAAACAGAGAGACAGAGTCTTGCTGTGTTGCCCAGGCTGGTCTCCAACTCCTGGCCTCAGGTGACCCTCCTGCCTCAGCTTCCCAAAGGGCTGAGATTACAGGTGTGAGCCACCATGCCCAGCCTGTGGTGACATATATTCTGAAGTCACATCTCAAATATTTAATCCTCAAATATATTTACATCCTCAAAAATATCAGATTTTCAAGACAACACTGGTTTACCAGTACATAAACCCACCTAGGGGACAAAGAATATTACCACTTAGAACTGTGTTGTCAAATACAATAACCACTAATTGTATCTGACCATTTTAATTAAATTAATTACAATTAAATAATATTTAAGAATTAGTTTATCAGACATATCAGCCACATTTCAAATGCTCAATAGCTACATGTGGCAAGGGTCTGCCACACTGGACAGAGTAGAAAACATTCCCATCATTCAGAAGGTTCTCTTGGACGCTGCAGATCTGGAAAACAAGACTTCCATATTGAAATAAATACAACCTCAAAACTTTTATGCTCTGTGTTCCCTTTAGTTGTTATCTACATAGAAAATTATGAAACAAGAGAGGAACTTACCTTCTTCCCTATTAAATATATGGCTAAGGGCACAAGAAAATAAGAGGAAAACTTATCCTTCAGGGCCTAAACAAGGAAATGAAAGAAATCTCATTCCCAATAGAATAAAAACCAGAAGCTTGAAATGACTCTGGTGCAGGAGGCTGGGTGGTGGGGAGGAGGGTAGCAGTCTCAATCAACAAGTTTAGATATTAATAGCCACTCAAAGCCTTCAGCCCATATAACATGAAGTGACAACTGAGCTCTGCACATAATGCTCAAGCTCTATAATAACCAACACTCTCAGCACAAGGGTAGACAAGAAAAGAAAAATCTCCTGCTGGCCAGGAAGACCACAAGGAGGCTTTCTGACTTGGCCTGTGCTTTTGATTTTTAAAACATTTTTTAAAAGAGGCCTCTCTGGGCTGGGCGCGGTGGCTCATGCCTGTAATCCCAGCACTTTGGGAGGCCGAGGCAGGCGGATCACGAGGTCAGAAGATCAAGACCATCCTGGCTAACACAGTGAAACCCCGTCTCTACTAAAAATTCAAAAAATTAGCCGGGAATGGTGGTGGGCGCCTGTAGTCCCAGTTACTCGGGAGGCTGAGGCAGGAGAATGGCGTAAACCCGGGAGACGGAGCTTGCAGTGAGCTGAGATTGCGCCACTGCACTCCAGCCTGGGTGACAGAGTGAGACTCCGTCTCAAAAAAAAAAAAAAAAAAACCTCTGAGAATTCTGACTATGAGCTTACCTGCCCATGGCTTTAGAATGATTTGAATTCACACTACCTTCAAATTCATGAAACCTCAAAACCTACAAATTAACCTAAAAACATGGAGCCAAGCTAAAAATGCCCTGGGGGTAACTAGCACTTGGACTAGTTACAGGAATGTAGCTTCGTCTCAGAGGATTCCAAAAGCTAATGCCTTGCTTACCAAGGGCTTGTAATCTCACAGGATGTGATGGGTGGGGCCTCAGATCTGCTGATGGGAGCATAAATTGGTACAACCACTTTGGAAGGCAACTGGCTATCTAGCAAAGTTGAAGACCCTACAATCTAACAGTTCTCCTAGGTGCATATCCCAGAGCAAGTCTCACATTGATGCAGTGAGATAGTGAATAGGAAAGTTCATAGCACCATTATTTTTAAGTAGTAAGAACCCGGAAACAATCTAAATATCCATCAGTAATAGATATATGTGATAGTCATACAATGGAATACTGTGGCAATAAAAAATAATTAGAGCTACATATGAAATAGGGATGAAACATGGATGAACAAAGAATGTTTTAGAGGAATATGATATTTAAAATTTGAAGCATGAAAAATATGTGTTTATGGGGGCATATATAGTGGAAGAATAAATGAATAGAAAAGAAAAGCACCAAATACTGGTGAGGAATTTCCTCAGGGGAGAAAAGTTGAGCTGCTTCAATTGTGTCAGTAATGTTTCATATCTTAGGGTGGGTGATGGGAATATAGGTGCTGATTTAATATAGTCTGTACTTTTTGTGTACCTAAATATTTCGTGATAATTTTTAAAAGATGGGCCTTAAACCAATACAGTCATATCATTTAACTCAATTCCATGAATTTACAATGCAATCCACAGTGCCCACAACCCCATGTTTCTGGAAAATCAGGAGTATTGGGTACAATGGAATAAAATGCAAGAAGGCAAATAAGAGATCAGGCTTTTAGGACCTAGGAAACAAATAAAGAGGAATTTGTTGCTGAAAGTAATGTGTAGCTGACACTCTCATTACCTGACACAATGGGAGACATTATGTCTGGGAATAAGACATCTATTTCCATAGCACTGTAGTCCTGCAAAGGAGTTGGAAGTTATGAATTTTTAAAGATTTTAGAACATTATATCTTTAGTCTCTCATAAGCCAATTATTTATATCTCCACATAGCCCATTATTACCATTGAAAAGGCATGCAATTCTTCTATTTGAAGCTTGTTCCCTTTTTACAAAAGTACTAGTAAAAATCTGAGTCATACAAAAGAGCAGGTCAGGTGTCACTAATAACAGTTTACCTCAGCTTCATCTCCATGAAGGTTTTACTTCTAATCCCAGAGTCTCATGTTTATGTATTACAAGAGTGTATGAAAGCTGGGCATGGTGGCACACACCAGTAGTCCCAGCTACTCGGTCGGGGGTTGAGGTGAGAGGATCGCTTGAACTCAGGAGTTTGAATCCAGCCTGGTCAATGTAGCGAGATCCTATCTCTTAAAAAAAAAAAAAAAAGGGGGGAACAGTGTATGATCCTATTATTTGGGTTTGTGTGTGATCGAATACATGGTATATAGTTCATGGAAAATTTAAGCTCAGCAAGGAAAGAAAATGGCCAGCTTCCTGTCTTAGGAAGACAATTTACTTTTTGGCATCTGTTTGGTTGAAAGTTTGCCTTTGATCCAGATTCTTTCGGATGTCAGGGATATTCACATTGACATGTCTTTTTAGTGTTCCAGGAGATTTTAGTTTGAATAGTACAATTTTTTCTTCTTACAACAAAACTTAGAACGGCTTCTAACTTATTTCTTCATGGCCAAGAAACTACCCTAACTTATCTCGATAAATATTTAGTTCTGTCTTATTTCTAATGTGTAAAACAGGTTTTAAAAATAATATATAGATTTTGCATTTATAAAAAAAGATTTAATTTATAGAACCAAACTTGAACATATGTTTAATTTAGCCTAATCAGAAGGTTACAGAAAAAGTTGCTGTAAAGATAGAATAAAGGTATTGTACTGGTCTGTTTTTACTGAAGTTCCAGAATGTGAGGTTATTAGAGTCTTGGCTTATTGTGTCATGTTTTCCTGAATGCTTCCTTTGAAGATGAGCACACACCAAAGCATCCTTTGATATTATGTATGGATTAAATTAACACTGCTTTCCAAATGTGGTCCACATAGAAATTCTAATGTTACAAATTTGCCTTTCTTCCTTGGATTTTCATTATAACAGTTGTGTGCACACATAGGCCTTTTGCCTAATGTCTTTATCAAATATACCCCTTACTCCAACAAATTTTTGCAGAAAGAGATGTTACAGGGTTTTGAGAGTCCTACAAAATCATATGGAAATTTGTAGACTCTTCTTTCAGGATTTAGTGATAAACATTTCTGGAAAGACGGTTAAGTGTCACACCCACACACAGCAAAACCCAAGGATATGAAAAGAAAAAAAAATAGAAACATAGAATTCATCTATGCTTAAAATAGGGAACAAATATAACACGTATTACAGATTTCAATTTTACACCAACTTAAAAAGGATCTAGGAAGTTTTACATGTACTGTGCTTGACAACACATTCAGTGTGACAGGAAATACCTTGTTTACTTGGTTTCAATACACCATCAATTGTAAGCCTCACTATTTAAAAACATATTTTTCTAGAAAAAAGATAAAGTACTATAATATTGATTTGCATGTTAATGGTATTACATCCTGATTCCAGAAGCATTAAAATGTGAACAACATATATAATAAAAATCAATGAAATACAGTTAAATGCAAAGGAAATTAACATGTAATAATACATTCAAATATTTTATAATACACCCACAGCCATTAAAATATTACTTGCACCCAACATAATTATAGGTAATAATGAAAATTGCGACAAGCAAATAGGAGAATTAAAGATACTGAATGCAGATTATTTTGGGGCCGTGAATAATCACAAAGTGAAATATCCCAAATGAAAATAGCAGGGGAACTATGCCAAAAATGTGGGGTGAAGGGGAAGGCTGGGAGGAGGAGAGAAAACACCAAAAGAAAGCTGGGGTACATTTGGAAGAAGGAACATTTTCTGAGGAAAGAGGAAAAAAGTTTAGAATACAATGGCTTTGAAGTCTCAAAAAAAGTTAAGAAAACATGGATGATGTGATTCAGTAGATAAAATAATTGAGTCAGATTTAAACAGAATTAACAGAGCAAAGGAAAGGGACTAAGAAGAAAAATAATACTCTCATGTAGCCTTAGATTCAGAAATTCCACATTAAACCATTTATCATTCAGATATACATTCACAGTTACAAAATGGTATGTATAAAATTTTTTCATTACAGCTTTGTTAAAAAGACAATTCAGTTATCTATCCATAAGGGCTATTTAAATAAAGTATGGTACATCCATATAATGGAACATTATGCTGCTATAAAAAAAAAATTATGACCTAGTGTAGACATTATCTCCAAGATACAGTGGATCTGAATAATAACTAATAACACATATGTTTAAACTCTGCAAATAGAGAATGCACATCATTTTATACTCATGATACATGTAATTATAGGGTACATGCACACACGTATATAACAATGTATTTGCTAAAGTAGATATGGTGCAGAATGTACCCTATAACTACCATGACATAAAACTAATGTAGAAACAACAGTTACAACAAAAATCAACCAATTAAAAGCTCAAAAATAATTGTTAAGTGATTCCTTGAACAAAGAAGAAATCGAAAACAAAATTGGAGAATATCTAGAAAATAATAATGAAAGTACTATATACAATTGGTGGGACACAATTAACATTCTACACAGAGGATAATTTGTACACCTGAACACTTTCCTTAATAGAATAAGATTAACTGAATTAAGCATTCTACTAAAAACTTATATTTTAAAAAAAAACTACAAAATTAATCTCAAAAAAATGTAAAAGCTGAAATCAATAAATTAAAAAACAGAAGTGGTCAGTCCAACAGCTCATTGTTTGAAGAACAAACTCTAAAACAAAACAAATTAATCTTTTTTGTGTTCGACAGAATGATTATCCAAGTATGTCCATGTCCTAATCCTCAGAACCTATGCATGTGTTTGTTATGTAGCCTTCAGATGTCAAAAAGAACTTTGCAGATGTGATTACATTAAGGATCTTGATAGGAGAATAGCCTGAATTTTTCTAGTAGACCCAATGTAGTCACAAGGATCGTTATGAGGGAAAGATGGAGGCAAGAGAATTGGTCAATGATGCAAAGGTCAGAGAGAGACATTTGAAGATGCTCCACAGCTGGATTTGAGGATGGAGAAAGGGCCCACAAGCCAAAGAAAGCAGGTGGCCTCTGGAAGCTGGAAAAGGCAAGGAAAGGGATTCTTCCCTAATGCTTCTAAAACACAGCTCTACCAACATCTTGATTTCAGCCCCATTTTATAGACTCATTTCAGACTTCTGACCTCCAGAACTGTGAGATAATACATTTGTGTTTTAATCCACTAATTTGTGATAAGTTACAGCAGAAATTGAAAATTGCTACACTTTCTAGATTGCTTTTTAAAAGATAACAAAACCATTTATGGCATTTTGATATACTGATGACAATCAAGCTGAGAAAATCGAGAACACAATCCCATTCACAATAGCTACAAAAAAAAAAAAAGTGAATATCTAGGAAGATACTTAACCAAGAAGATGAAAATTCTCCACAAGGAAAACTACAAAACACTGATGAAAGAAATCATAGATGATACAGACAGATGGGAAAAATGCCATATTCATAGATTGGAAGAATTAATATTGTGAAAATGACCATACTGCCCAAAGCAATCTACATATGCAATGCAATCCCTATCAAAATACCAACATCATTTTTCACAGAATTATAACATCTTAAAATTCATATGTAACCAAAAAGGAGCCCAAATAGCCAAAGCAATCCTAAGCAAAAAGAACAAAGCTGCAGGCATCACATTATCTGACCTCAAACTATACTACAAAGATATAGTAACCAAAACAGCATAGTATTGGTATAAAAACAGATCAATGGAACAGAATAGAGAACTCAAAAATAAAGCCACATATCTTTGACAAAGCCAACAATCTTTGACAAAGCTGACAAAAACATACACTGGAGAAAGGACCACCTTTTCAATAAATGGTGCTGGGAAAATTGGATTGCCATATGTGGAAGAATGAAATTGGACCCCTACCTCTCACCATATATGAAAACCAACTCAAGATGGATCACGAACTTAAATGTAAGACCTGAAACTAAAAATATCAGAAGAAAACCTAGGGAAAATTGCTGGTCATTGGTCTAGTCAAATAATTCATGACTAAGACCTCAAAAGCACAAGCAACAAAAACAAAAATAGACATGGGACTTAAGTAAACTAAAAGGCTTCTGCAGCACAAAAGGACAGAGTGAACAAACATTCTGACGAAAGGGAGAAAATATTTGCCAACTGTGTATCCAACAGGGAACTGATATCCAGAATTTGCAAGAATAACAACAGCAATGAAATAACCCCATTTAAAAGTGGGCAAACCCATGGGAATATAAACTAGTATGGAAAACAGTGTGGAGATTCCTTAAGGAACTAAAGGTAGAACTACCATTTGATCCAGCAATCTCTCTACTGGGTATCTACCCAGAAGAAAAGAAGTCATTATACGAAAAAGATACTTGCTCATGCATGTAGCAGCACAATTCGCAATTGCAAAAATGTGGAATCAACCAAAATGCCCATCAGTCAACGAGTGGATAAAGAAACTGTGGTGTGTGTGTGTGTATACATATATACACATATATATACACACATATATATATACATATATATACACACATATATATATACATATATATACACACATATATATATACATATATATACACACATATATATATACATATATATATACACACACATATATATACAATGGAATACTGCTCAGCCATAAAAAGGATTAAATTAATGGCATTCACAGCAACCTGGATGGGATTGGAGACTATTATTCTAAGTGAAGTAACTCAGGAATGGAAAACCAAACATCATATGTTCTCACTCATAAGTGGGAGCTAAGCTATGAGGATGCAAAAATACAAGAATCACACAGTGGACTTTGGGAACTCAGGAGGAAAGGATGGGAAGCGGGTGAGCAATCAAAGACTACAAATTGGGTTCAGTGTATACTGCTCAGGAAATGGATGCACCAAAATCTCACAAATCACTAAAGAACTTACTCATGTAACCGAATACTGCCTGTTCCCCAAAAACCTGTGGAAATAAAAAATTTTAAAAATAAATAAAAAAGTGAGCAAAGAACATGAATAGACATTTTTCGAAAAAAAGACACAGAAATGATCAACAACCATATGAAAAAATGCTCAACACCACTAATCATCAGAGAACGCCAAATTAAAACCACAATGAGAAATCATCTTACCCCAGTCAGAATGGCTGTTATTAAAAAGACCAAAAAAAAAGACATTGGTGAGGCTGCAGAGAAAAGGGAGTGCTTATACACTGTTGCTGAGAATATAAATTAGTATGTCTATGGAAAACAGTATGGAGATTTCTGAAAGAACTACCATTTGATCCTGCAGTCCCACTACTGGGTATATACTCAAAGGAAAGTATTCACGCATTATGTTCATAGCACTCGTTATGTTCATAGCACTCATTATGTTCATAGCAGCACTATTCACAATAGCAAAGGTATGGAACCAACGTAAGTGTCCATCAACAGATGAGTGGATAAATAAATTGTGGCATATATTTTACCATGGTATACTATTCAGCTATAAAAAAGATTGAAATATCTTTTGCAGCAACATGGATGGAACCGGAAGCTGTTATCTTAAGTGAAAACTCAGAAAGTCAAATACTGCATGTTCTCACTTCTAAGTGGGAGCTAAATAAAGCACACACATTGGAGACTTGGAAGTGTAGGAGGGTGGGAGGGGGTGAGGGATGGGAAATTACATAATTGGTACAATGTACACTATTCAGGTGATGTTTATACTAAAAGCCCAGACTTCAACACCAGGGGCAAATCCATGTAACAAAACTGCACTTACAGTCCCTAAATTTATACAAAAATAAAGACAATAAAACCACAAATAAAATTATTAGGAAGGAACCACATTTATGAAGGAAATAAAAAGTTTGGTTACCTATGCTAATAAAAACCCTGTTTTGTTTTTGGGTTTTTTTGGTTTTTTTTTTTGAGACAGAGTCTTGCTCTGTCACCCAGGCTGGAGTGCAGTGGCACGATCTCAGCTCACTGCAACCTCCACCTCCCAGGTTCAAGTGATTCTGCTGCCTCAGCCTCTTGGGTAGCTGGGACTACAGGGGCCCACCACCATGCCCGGCTAATTTTTTTATTTTTAGTAGAGACAGGGTTTCTCCATGTTGGCCAGGCTGATCTCAAACTCCTGACCTCAGGTGATCCACCTGTCTCGGCCTCCCAGAGTGCTGGGATTACAAGCTTGGGCCACCACGCTCGGCCTGAAATTGATTTTTATATAGCTACTTCTCAAAACATCCTTCAGCACAGATGACTTCATATGCAAAAATTTATTCAGATTTTCAACCCAGTCATTGTTATGCTATTTTAACTGTTGATGAGCATAAAGAAAAAGCAAGTTTTTTAGTTCTTGTTATGACTAAAATGGTGCTAAGCCCCCCTTCAGTAGCTATGTATCAAAATCTCTAAAAGAAGGACCTAAAAAGTTATTACTCAAATCGAATGATCATTTAACATGAATAAATCAAAGTAGAAAACAATAAGTCAGTCTTGGAATTTAACATCCATTTCTCATTTTTAAAAAAAAGTAAGGATAACATTAACATGTTAAAAATAATAGTCCTAAACCAATAGCTAATAACATAAATATCAGAAGCTAGAACAAAGATCCATTACCACCACTTTTGTTCATCGTTTTTCTTTGAGCACCAGTCAATGAAGTCAAACCAGGGAATAGAGTCAGAACCCCAAAATAAGTAACTGAGGGATTATGTAAATATGTCCCCATACCTAACTGTTATAACAAAATAAGGTCACATTTCCTTTCATACTCAATTTATGTCTTTGAGTCTTTCTCCCACCAACAACCACAAGCCCCTTCTACCAATTTCACTTCCTCAAGTACTTTCCGGGACTCAGTCCCTGATTAGTGCTTTCAGTTTGTTAAGTATATGTTGGCAGGAGCTTAACACCTGCTCTCCACTGCCAACTTCACCCCCATTCCACATTCTTTCCCAATCCAGTAAGCCACTCCGCATCCCCGGGCCCCTGGTGCTGCCTGCTAACAAGCTCCTCAAGGTCTGCCCACCATGAACATCATAATGTTATGGTGCTGAGTCATTTCATTCAATTGTCTCAAGCATTTTCATTGTAGAAAGAGATCTTTGTTTTTATTTTTTAATAACTAAAATTTACATTGACTTTTTAAACTAAGAATCTTTGCCTCCAAGATAAATTTTTTCTCTATCTTGAGAACAACAGTAAACAACATCAGGAAGTTTTAAAACTGCTTTCAGATTATCACGGTTCCAGAAATAATGTATTTTGTATTTCAGTCTTAAAGGAGCATATTCCCTTTGCAAGCCCTGGAGTTCAGTAAGCTGGATTCTTAGCTAGTGTCTCCATAAAGTGGACACGGAAAGGAAGAGAATGTAGACACATCAAAAGGACGCCTCGTCAGTTGAGAAACAAGGCATTTTCAAGAAGCAGTAACAGAAGATCATGAGGATGAACCAATCCAGTAAAGACCCTTGTATGTAGTTCTTAGTGGTTCATTAGCGACCTTTAAGGAAGCAGTATCAATGGGATAATGAATAAAGGGTAAATAGGGGTTGCACTATGAGTTACATAATTTGTTTTTCAAAAATTGTTAATATAATAAGTGTGTCAGTTATTAAGTTCTCTTCTATCTCCAAATCCAAGCTTCTAAACTTTGCTTTGGGTTGCTAAAGCAGTCACTAGACAAGCCATTTCTGCATTGCTGGCTGATGCCTTAATAGGCTGTGCCAACAGGAGAGGCGGAATTCAAGGATGGAGTAGGAAGGAGGAACTTGTTCCTCTTTGTTTCCTGCAGACCCCACGGGTCTTTCCTGCTTGTTTCCTAAGCATCCCCTGACCATGGTATTTTTTTCCCCTTTTTTACCCTGACAGTAGCAGTCCCTTCCCACAGCAACGACTGAATCCAACTTTTGCAAATCCAGCCTTACTGTGCTTTCCCTTCCCCCACGCATGCCAACAATGGGAGACAGAATGTTTGTGGGTGTGGATTCTAAAGGTATTAGACCAAGGTGGATTTAATGCAACGCTGGAATCAGCTGAATTTATTGATATACGTGCATTCATCAGAGATTCTGGATTAAATGTTTTAGTTTGGATAGCTGCAAGTGGCTCTATTAGGTTACTTTTTAATTTACTTATTTACTTGTTTGTTGCTTATTTTTCCCCACTGCTGCATGTGGCCAGGGATTTTTATCTGTTTTATTTGCTGCTACATTTTGGCATCAGAATCACACCTGATATACAGTACGTAATAAATATTTGTTAAAGGAATAAGTAAATGAACACTATGCTGAAAGTAAAATTAGGGGAAATATTTACTTGGTCTGTTCTAGATTTCTAAAAGGCTTGCCAAATAATGTCATGCCACATTAACTATATGGCTGTAATAATTATTGCTGGTGATGATCTTAATATATATGTGCCCTTTTATTTTAGGAAGTACTTTGATGTATGTCAGGCTTAAAACCCAGATGACGGGTTGATGGGTGCAGCAAACCACCATGGCACATGTATACTTATGTAACAAACCTGCATGTTCTGCACATGTATCCCAGAACTTAAAGTAAACGGAATAAAAAAGAAAGTAATTTGTTTCCTGCATTCATCAGTTGTTCAAATATTGCCTTTAAAACGTACATGGTCAAAAGTTGTTCTGAAGGCTCCCATGACATAAACAAATTAGAAACAAAAATATACTCGACAATATTCAGACTTGGAAGTAAGTTATATAAGCTGATTCCACCATAAGTATACATCTTTCTTTAATCCACCAGCCTCAAACAGTGCCTCCTACGTTGCCAAACACGTTGAACCTTTAGACTTCATCCAGTTTACAATAGAAAGCCAGCATAAGGTACTGAGTTCTACCATCTATGGCACTTCTCCCATTTCTAATCTCACGACATTCTTTTAGCTGATAGCATTTCTTTCCTCTCTCCAGGATGCCAGTTGTCAGTTTGGTATTCGCATGAAAGATCATGAGTTCACTTGGTTGATTGTCTGAAACTTGGGCTCAACAATGGCCTATGTTTAATGAGACTGAGACCTCAGAGCTTTCCTGGCATAATGAAGACAAAGGATGCTAGCCCTAGATCCAGACCTAGTAAATGGCAGAGACAGGAAAGATTACAGGGTCCAGGGCCTCAGATGGGCTTGACCCTGGATAGGAGCACAAAGAAATTTCCTGTGGTTACAGTGGGAAAGGCAAGGTAGATGGTAATGGGGCAGATGGAGAGCATTTGGCAGAAACATAGGACTGTTTTTCTCAACGAAATAGGAAGCAGAGCTCTCAGCTGAGTATAGGGATGAAAGAGGAGACTTTGGAGGTTTGAGAAGAGAGAGTTAATTGCCCACAAATGTGTAGGAAGGTGGCCAGGCAGCACTAAGGGCCCGCTGAGGTCAGTGGTCAGGAAATTAGGGCACAAAGAATTTCCTGTCATTGATCAAATTCTTACATTTCATCTCAAATTCATGTCATTTTTTACAGTTTTCCTGAAACCAGTCCAAATTTCATCCCCAATTTCCATTATAAGTGAAGGAAAGTTATTTGGCCTCTATGCCAAATCTTAAAACATGACATTCTTTTTTCTTTGCATATTTCCAGAAAAATATTTCTGTGGCCTTCTCTGCTTCACCTCCTCCATTTAACTTCTCAGTAGGAGTTCTTCAGAAAAGTTGATGAGACTGAATGAGTGAATGGAAAAGAACCCATTGGCTGAGAGTCAAAGAAGGATGGTTTGCCATTCCAGCTGCTCCAACTAAGACTTCCGAGGTTCAGTCTAGAGAGAAATCAAGTCCTGTGTTTCCCGGGTTCACCTTGAACAAGTCACCACTTTATCCCTCCACATCACTCTCGTTTTAGCAATAAAATATCAAGTAAAAGCTAGGAGTTGGAGGAATCATTCAAACAGATATTAAAACGTTAGCACACATTTTTAAACATTTCGTAAGTCACAAGGTCCCAACTTCTGTAAAATTTTGAGATTTGGGTAGGTTTTTGTTACAAAAAGTTGATGTACCTGAAAACATACTACAGTGATGTTTTAGCACAGAGCCGGGCTGTACTAACCCAAAGAATCATAAGGATTTTTCCAGAGGCTTTGGGTGTACTTCATACTTTTCACCCTCTTGGGGTGGGTTCGAGTTCATCATTGCAGAACCCACTAGCCCTGGAAACAGTCCAGTAGGATCAAGGACATTTGTCCAATTCTCTGGGCAGAAGCTGGAAACAGTCCAGTAGGATCAACGACATTTGTCCAATTCTCTGGGCAGAAGTTGTCCATCACTGTCTGCCTGTGTCAGTTTCTCCTCTGGTTTTAGTGAATGGGAAGGTCCACACGCCCCTATTCTTTTCTCCCCTTCACTGGTGATTCAGTGGAGGTGGAGAACGAGGGCCTTTCCCATCTCCACCACCAGCTTAGCTGTCAAGCTTTCTGTATACAGGCACACCTCATTTTATTGCACTTAGCCTTACTGTGTTTCATAGACACTAAATTTTTACAAATTGAAGGTTATGGCAACCCTGCATTGAACAAGTCTATTGGCACTGTTTTTCAATAGCATCTGCTCACTTTGTGTCTGTATTACATTTTGGTAATTCTAGTAATATTCCAAACTCTTTCATTTTTATTATATCTGTTATGTTGTTCTGTGATCAGTGCTGTTTGATGTTATTATTGTAATTTTATTGGGGTCCCACGAACCACATCTGTAAGATATGGTGAACTTAATCAGTAAATGTGTGTGCTCTGACTGCTCCACAAACCAGCTCCTCTTTCCCTCTAACTGGGCCTCCCTGTTCCCTTACATACAACAACATTGAAAGTAGGCCAATGAATAACCCTACAATATTCAAGTGTTCAAGTGAAAGAAAGAGTCACACATCTCTCACTTTAAATAAAAAATTAGAAATGATTAAGCTTCACGAGGAAGGCACGTTGAAAGCCAACATAGGCCAAAAGTTATATCTCATATCTCTAGCACCAAACAATTAACCAAATTGTGAATGCAAAGGAAACGTTCTTCAAGAAAATTAAAAGTGTTACTCCAGTGAACACATGAATGCTAAGAAAGCGAAACAGCCGTATTGCTGATTTGGAGAAAGTTGAGTAGTCAGGATAGAAGATCAAACCAGCCACGACATTCCCTTAAGCCAAAGCTTAATCCAGAGCAAGACCCTAACTCTCTTCAATTCTCTTAAGGTGGAGCGATGTGAGGAAGCTGCAGAAGAAAAGTTGGAAGCTAGCAGAGCTTGGTTCATGAGGTTTAGGAAAAGAAGCCATCTCCATAACATAAAAGTGTAAGGTGAAGCAGCAAGTGGTGAGGTCAAAGCTGCAGCAAGTTATCCAGAAGATCTAACTAAGATAATTAATGAAAGTGGCCTCACTAAACTACACAGCCAGAAAGGAGTAGTCAATTCCTGGCTTCAAAGCTTCAAAGAACGGCTGACTTTCTTGTTAAGGGCTAAGGCAGCTGGTTACTTTAGTTTGAAGCCAATGCTCATTTACCATTCCAGAACTCCTAAGGCTCTTAAGATTTATGCTAAATCTATCCTGCTAGTGCTCTGTAAATGGGACAGCAAAACCTCGATGACAGCCCATCTATTTACAGCATGGTTTATTGAATATTTCAAGTATACTGTTGAGATCTACTGCTCAGCAAAAAAGATTCCTTTTAAAATATTACCGTTCATTAACAATGTACCTGATCACCCAAAGCACTGATGGAGATGTACAAGGGTGTTAATGTTGTTAACGTTGTTTTATTATTATTATTATTATTTTTCTTTTTTTTTCTTTTTTGAGACAGAGTCTCACTCTGTCGCTCAGGCTGGAGTGCAGTGGTGTGATCTCAGCTCACCACAATCTCCGCCTCCTGGGTACAAGTGATTCTCCTACCTCAGCCTCCCGAGTAGCTGGGATTACAGGCACTAACCACCACACCCACTAATTTTTGTATTTTTAGTAGAGATGGGGTTTCACCATGTTGGCCAGGATGGTCTCGATCTCCTGACTTCATGATCTGCCCACCTCAGCCTCTCAAAGTGCTGGGATTACAGGTGTAATAAAAGAGCCACTGTGCCTGGCCTTATTATTACACTTTAAGTTCTGGGATACGTGTGCAGAACGTGCAGGTTTGTTACATAGGTATACATGTGCCATGGTGGTTTGCTGTACCCATCAACCCATCATCTACATTAGGTATTTCTCCTAATGTTATCCCTCTCCTTACTCCTACCCCCAAATAGGCCCTGGTGTGTGATATTCCCCTCCCTGTATCCATGTGTTCTCATTGTTCAACTCCCACTTATGAGTGAGAGCAGGCAGTGTTTGGTTTTCTGTTCCTGTGTTAGTTTGTTGAGAATGATGGCTTCCAGATTCATCCATGTCCCTGCAAAGGACATGAACTCATTCTTTTTTATGGCTGCATACTATTCCATGGTGTATATGTGATACATTTTCTTTATCCAGTCTATCATTGATGGGCATTTGGGTTGGTTCCAAGTCTTTGCTATTGTGAATAGTGCTGCAATAAACATGCATGTGCATGTGTTTTCATAGTAGAATGATTTATAATCCTTTGGGTATATACCCAGTAATGGGATTGCTGGGTCAAATGGTATTTCTGGTTCTAGATCCTTGAGGAATTGCCACACTGTCTTCCACAATGGTTGAACTAATTTACACTCCCACCAACAGTGTAAAAGCATTCCTATTTCTCCACATGCTCTCCAGCATCTGTTGTTTCCTCAGTTTTTAATGATCACCATTCTAACTGGCATGAGATGGCATGAGTTGTGGTTTTGATTTGCATTTCTCTAATGACCAGTGATGGTGAGCTTTTTTTAATAATGTTTTTTGGCTGCATAAATGTCTTCTTTTGAGAAGTGTCTGTTCATATCCTTTGCCCACTTTTTGATGGGGTTGTTTGTTTTTTTCTTGTAATTTTTTTTAAGTTCTTTGTAGATTCAGATATTAGCCCTTTGTCAGATGAGTAGATTGCAAAAATTTTCTCCCAGTCTGTAGGCTGCCTATTCACTCTGATGATAGTTTCTTTTGCTGTGCAGAAGCTCTTTAATTTAATTAGATCCCATTTGTCAATTTTGGCTTTTGTTGCAATTGCTTTTGGTGTTTTAGTCATGAAGTCTTCAGCCATGCCTATGTCCTGAATGGTATTGCCTAGGTTTTCTTCTAGGGTTTTTATGGTTTTAGGTCTTATGTTTTAAGTCTTTAATCCATCTTGAGTTAATTTTTGTATATGGTGTAAGAAAGGGGTCCAGTTTCAGTTTTCTGCACATGGCTAGCCAGTTTTCCCAACACCACTTATTAAATAGGGAATCCTTTCCCCGTTGCTTGTTTTTGTCAGGTTTGTCAAAGATCAGATGGTTGTACTTGTGTAGTGTTATTTCTGAGGCCTCTATTCTGTTCCATTGGTCTCTATATCTATTTTGCTACCATTACCAGCTTTTTTCATTGCTATAGCCCTGTAGTATAGTCTGAAGTCAGGTAGCGTGATGCCTCCAGCTTTGTTCTTTTTGCTTAAGATTGTCATAGCTATATAGGCTCTTTTTTGGCTCCATATGAAATTTGAAGTACTTTCTTCTAATTCTGTGAAGAAAGTCAATGGTAGCTTGATGGCAATAGCATTGAATCTGTAAATTATTTTGGGCAGTATGACCAACTTCACGATATTGATTCTTCCTATCCATGAGCATGAAATATTTTTCCATTTGTTTGTGTCCTCTCTTTTTTCCTTGAGCAGTGGTCTGCAGTTGTCCTTGAAGAGATCCTTCAAGTTGCCCTTGTAAGTTGTATTCCTAGGTATTTTATTCTCTTTGTAGCAATTGTGAATGGGAGTTCACTCATTATTTGGCTCTCTGTTTGACTATTATTGATGTATAGTAATGCTTGTGATTTTTGCACATTGATTTTGTACCCTGAGACTTTGCTGAAGTTGCTTATCAGCTTAAGGAGTTTTTGGGCTGAGACAATGGGGGTTTCTAAATATACAATCATGTCATCTGCAAACAGAGACAATCTGACTTCCTCTCTTCCTATTCGAATACCCTTTATTTCTTTCTCTTGCCTGATTGCCCTGTCCAGAACTTCTAATACTATGTTAAATAGGAGTGGTGAGAGAGGGCATCCTTGTCTTCTGCTGGTTTTCAAAGGGAATGCTTCTGGCTTTTGCCCATTCAGTATGATATTGGCTGTGGGTTTGTCATAAATAGCTCTTATTATTTTGAGATACGTCCCATCAATACCTAGTTTATTGAGAGTTTTTAGCATAAAGGGGTGTTGAGTTTTATCAAGGGCCTTTTCTGTATCAATTGAGATAATGATGTGGTTTTTGTCTTTGGTTCTGTTTATGTGATAAATTACATTTATTGATTTGTATATGTTGAACCAGCCTTGCATCCCAGGGATGAAGCCAACTTGATCATGGTGAATAAGCTTTTTGATGTGCTGCTGGATTTGGTTTGCCAGTATTTTATTGAGGATCTTTGCATCAATGTTCATCACGAATACTGGCCTGAATTTTTTGTTGTTGCTGTGTCTCTGCCTGGTTTTGGTATCAGGATAATGCTGGCCACATAAAATGAGTTAGGGCAGAGTCCCTCTTTTTCTATTGTTTGGAATAGTTTCAGAAGGAATGGTAGCAGCTCCTCTTTGTACCTCTAGTATAATTCGGCTATGAATCCATCTGGTCCTGGGCTTTTTTTGGTTGGTAGGCTATTAATTACTGCCTCAATTTCAGACCTCATTATTGGTCTATTCAGGGACTTGACTTCTTCCTGGTTTAGTCTTTGGAGGGTGTATGTGTCCAGGAATTTATCCATTTATTCTAAATTTTCTAGTTTATTTGTGTAGAGGGGTTTATAGTATTTTCTGATGGTAGTTTGTATTTCTGTGGGATCAGTGGTGATATCCCCTATGTCATTTTTTATTGTGTCCATTTGATTCTTCTCTCTTCTTTATTAGTCTGGCTAGCGGTCTATCTATTTTGTTAATCTTTTCAAAACACCAGCTCCTGGCTTTATTGATTTTTTGAAGGGTTTTTCGTGTCTCTATCTTGTTCAGTTCTGCTCCAATATTAATTATTTCTTGTCTTCTGCTAGCTTTTGAATGTGTTTGCTCTTGCTTCTCTAGTTCTTTTAATTGTGATGTTAGGGTGTTGATTTTAGATGTTTCCCGCTTTCTCACGTGGGCATTTAGTGCTATAAATTTCCCTCTAAACAGTGCTTTAGCTGTGTCCCAGAGATTCTGGTATGTTGTGTCTTTGTTCTCATTGGTTTCAAAGAACTTATTTATTTCTGCCTTAATTTCATTATTTACCCAGTAGTCATTCAGGAGCAGGTTGTTCAGTTTCCATGTAGTTGTGCAGTTTTGAGTTTCTTTTCCTTTTTTTTTTTTTTTTGAGTGAGTTTCTTAATCCAGAGTTCGAATTTGATTGCACTGTGGTCTGAGAGACTGTTTGTCATGATTTCCACTCTTTTGCATTTGCTCAGGAGTGTTTTACTTCCAATTATGTGGTCAATTTTACAATAAGTACGATGTGCTGCTGAGAAGAATGTATATTCTGTTGATTTGGGGTGGAGAGTTTTATAGATGTCTATTAGGTCCACTTGGTCCAGAGCTGAGTTCAAGTCCTGAATATCCTTGTTAATTTTCTGTCTCGTTGATCTGTCTAATATTGATAGTGGGGTGTTAAAGTCTCCCACTATTATTGTGTGGGAGTCGAAGTCTCTTTGTAGGTCTCTAAGAACTTGCTTTATGAATCTGGGTGCTCCTGTATTGAGTGCATATATATTTAGGATAGTTAGCTCTTCTTGTTGCATTGATCCCTTTACCATTATGTAGTGCCCTTCTTTGTCTTTTTTGATCTTTGTTGATTTAAAGTCTGTTTTATCAGAGACTAGGATTGCAACTCCTGCTTTTTTTTTTATTTCCATTTGCTTGGTAAATATTCCTCCCTCCCTTTATTTTGAGCCTATGTGTGTCTTTGCACATGAGATAAGTCTCCTGAATACAACACACCGATGGGTCTTGACTCTTTATCCAGTTTGCCAGACTGTTCTTTTAATTGAGTCATTTAGCCCATTTACATTTAAGGTTAGTATTATTATGTTTGAATTTGATCCTGTCATCATGGTGCTAGCTAGTTATTTTGCACATTAGTTGATGCATTTTCTTCATAGTGTCATTGGTCCTTATATTTTGGTATGTTTTTGCAGTGGCTGGCACTGGTTTTTCCTTTCCATATTTAGTGCTTCCTTCAGGAGCTCTTGTAAGGCAGGTCTGGTGGTGACAAAATCCCTCAGCATTTGCTTGTCTGTAAAGGATTTTATTTCTCCTTCACTTACGAAGCTTAGTTTGGCTGGATATGAAATTCTGAGTTGAAAATTCTTTTCTTTAAAAATGTTGAATATGGGCCCTCATTCTCTTCTGGCTTGTAAGACTTCTGCAGAGAGATTAGCTGTTAACCTGATGGGCTTCCCTTTGTGGGTAACCTGGTCTTTCTCTCTGGCTGCCCTTAACATTTTTCCTTTGTTTCAACCTTTGTGAATCTGACAATTATGTGACTTGGGGTTGCTCTTCTCCAGGAGTATCTTTGTGGTGTTCTCTGTATTTCCTGAATTTGAATGTTGGCCTGTCTTGGTAGGTTGGGGAGGTTCTCCTGGATAATAACCTGAAGTGTTTTCCAACTTGGTTCCATTCTCCCCATCACTTTCAGGTACAACAACCAATCATAGGTTTGGTCTTTTCACGTAGTCCCATATTTCTTGGAAGCTTTGTTCATTCCCTTTCATTCTTTTTTCTCTAATCTTGTCTTCTCACTTTATTTCATTAAGTTCATCTTCTATCTCTGATATACTTTCTTTTGCTTGATTGATTCGGCTATTGATACTTGTGTACGCTTCACGAAGTTCTTGTGCTGTGTTTTCCAGCTCCATCAGATCATTTATGTTCTTCTCTAAACTGGTTATGCTAGTTAGAAATTCCTTTAATCTTTTATCAAGGTTCTTAGTTTCCTTGCATTGGGTTAGAACATGATCCTTTAGCTCAGAGGAGTTTGTTATTACCCACCTTTTGAAGCCTCCTTCTATGAATTTGTCAAACTCGTTCTTCTTCCAGTTTGTTCCCTTGCTGGCAAAGAGTTGTGATCCTTTGGAAGAAAAGAAGCATTTTGGAATTTTCAGCATTTTTGTGCTGGTTTTTCCTCATCTTTGTGGATTTATCTACCTTTGATCTTTGGTGCTGATGACCTTTGGATGGGGTTTTTGCATGGGTGTCCTTTTTGTTAATGTTGATGTTATTACTTTCTGTTTGTTAGTTTTTCTTCTAACAGTCTGCTGGTCTTTTAACTCATCTGCGGGTCTGTTGGAATTTGCTGGAGGTCCACTCCCAACTCTGTTTGCCTGGGTATCACCAGCGGATGCTGCAGAACAGCAAAGATTGCTGCCCATTCCTTCCTCTGGAAGCTTTGTCCCAGAGGGGCACCCACTAGTTGCCAGCCAGAGCTCTCCTGTATGAGGTGTCTGTCGACCCCTGCTGGGAGATGTCTCCCAGTCAGGAGGCACGGGGGTCAGCGACCCTCTTGAGGAGGCAGTCTGTCCCTTAGTAGAGCTCAAGCGCTGTGCTGGGAGATCCACTGCTCTCTTCAGAGCCAGCAGGCAGGAATGTTTAAGTCTGCTGAAGCTGTACCCACAGCCACCCCTTCCCCCCGGTGCTCTGTCTCAGGGAGATGGGAGTTTTACCTATAAGCCCCTGACTGGGGCTGCTGCCTTTATTTCAGAGATGCCCTGCCCAGACAGGAGGAATCTAGAGAGGCAGTCTGGCTACAGCAGCTTTGCCAAGCTGTGGTGGGTTCTGCCCAGTCCAAACTTCCCAGCAGCTTTGTTTACACTATGAGGGGAAAACCGCCTACTCAAGCCTCAGTAATGGTGGACGCCCCTCCCTCCACCAAGCTCGAGCATCCCAGGTTGACTTCAGACTGCTGTGCTGGCAGCGAGAATTTCAAACCAGTGGATCTTGGCTTGCTGGGCTCCGTGGGGGTGGGACCCACTGAGCAAGACTGCTTGGCTCCCTGGCTTCAGCCGCCTTTACAGGAGAGTGAAAGGTTCTGTCTCGCTGGGGTTCCAGGTGCCACTGGAGTACAAAAAAAAAAAAAACAAAACTCCTGCAGCTAGCTCAGTGTCTGCCTAAGTGGTCACCCAGTTTTGTGCTTGAAACCCAGGGCCCTGGTGGTGTAGGTACCTGAGGGAATCTCCTGGTCTGAGGGTTGCAAAAACCATAGGAAAAGTGTAGTATCTGGGCCAGATAGCAGCGTCCCTCAAAGCACAGTCCCTCATGGCTTCCCTTGGCTAGGGGAGGGAGTTCCCTGACCCCTTGCACTTCCTGGGTGAGGCAACACCCCACCCTGCTTCTGCTCGCCCTCCATGGGCTGCACCCACTGTCTAACCAGTCCCATTAGATGAACTGGGTACCTCAGTTGGAAAAGCAGAAATCACCTGCATTCTGCATTGGTCTCACTGGGAGCTGCCGACTGGAGCTGTTTCTATTCAGCCATCTTGCCAGATCCCCTAATGTTGTTTTTATGCCTGCTAATAGAACACCCATTCTGCAGCCCATGGATCAAAGAGTAATTTAGACTTTCAAGTTTTATGATTTATAAAATGTATTTTGTAAGGCTGCCACAGACAGTGATTCCCCTGATGGATCTGGGCAAAGTAAATTGAAAACACCTTCTAGAAAAGATTCGTGATTTTTGATGCCACTAAGAACATTCATGATTCAGGAGAGAAGATCAAAATAGCAACATTAACTGGAGTTTGGAAGAAGTAATTTAAGCCCTCCTAGATGACTTTGAGGGGTTCAGGACTTCAATGGAAGAAGTAACTGCAAATGAGGTGGAAGTAGGAGACAACTAGAATAAGAAGTAGAGCCTGAAGATGGAACTGAATTGCTACAATCTCAGGATAAAACTCTAACAGATGAGGAGTTGCTTCTTATGGATGAGCAAAGAAAGAAGTTCCTTGAGATGGAAGCTACTCCTGGTGGAGATGCTGCGAACATTGTCGAAATGACAACAGAAGATTTAGAATATTCCATAAACTTAGTTGATAAAGCAAGAGCAGGTTTTGAGAGGATTGTCTCCAATTTTGAAAGAAGTTCTACTGTGGGTAAAATGTTATCCAATAGTATCTCATCCTACAGAGAAATCTTTCGCAAAAGGAAGAATCAATCTGTATGGCAAACATCATTTTTGTCTTATTTTAAGAAATAGCCACAGCCACCCCAACCTTCAGCAACCACTATTCTGATCAGTCAGCCATCATCAACATGGAGGCAAGACCCTCCACCAGCAAAAAGATCACAACTTGCTGAAGGCTCAGATGGTCATTAGCATTTTTTAGCAATAAAATATTTTTGAATTAAGACATATACTTTTTGGCTGGGCGTGGTGGCTCACACCTGTAATCACAGCACTTTGGGAGGCTGAGGTGGGTGGATCACCTGAGGTCAGGAGTTCAAACCAGCCTGGCCAACATGGCAAAAACCCATCTCTACTGAAAATACAAAAATTAGTTGCACGTGGTGGCGCATGCCTGTAATCCCAGCTACTCGAGAGGCTGAAGCGGGAGAATTGAACCCGGGAGGCAGAGATTGCAGTGAGCCAAGATGGCGCCATTGCACTCCAGCCTAATCAACAGAGCAAAGACTGCGTCTCAAAAAAAAAAAAAAAAACAAAAGGACATACTTTTTTTAGGCATATGCATATGCTATTGCACACTTAATAAACTACAGTATAACATAAATGTAACTTATATGTGCACTGGCAAACCAAAAAAATTCATGTGACTCTATCATGATGCTTGCTTTATTGCTCTGATCCAGAACTGACCCCTCAATATCTCTGAGGTTGCCTATATCACAGTTCACATTCTTCTTTTTTGTTTCCTTTTTATTGCTAGTTCGTTTCTTTACCATGGTCTTAACTGGCCAGTCCCAGTGGACTGAAGATGAATTCTATTAAAAAGAACACTGGGGAAGAAGGCAAAGGAATTTTGGCAAAATCACAAAATGGGGATAATAATATACCAATTGGAAGGGAATACTCACCCATCTCGTGGGGGTGCTGTGAGAATTAATTAATGTTTGTAAAGGCCTTTGAGTTCCGTGGAGGGAAGGTGCCACCACAGTGCTAAGCATTATTGTGAAGGGATTATGTGCACAAATACAATACCAGAAGCCAGGATATTACTAAAAATAAAGCAGAACTTTCTGTGAGGAAGGTAAGGAAGGAAATGCCTCCTTGAAAAAAGGCTGAACCGTCTTTTAATACAAATGCTTAGGCTACCCGGTAATGGAACAGCAAATCTGAGATTCTATTGTAAGTAAAGGATTATGTTTTCTCGGCATTGTCAAGGTGCTGTGGAACAAAACAAAATGACTGCTTTACGCAAAAGAAGGTTAGAGTCTTTGAAAAAGAGATTAAGAGGATGTTTGGCTATTGCGCTGCGTAGTCCATCCAGGAGGAAAAAGGCAACAGCAAAGGCGAATGTTTGTTTGCATTTTGGGGGAAGGGGTTTTAAAAATGGGAAAAATGGGAACTGCTCCAAATTAAAATAATTGTTGGTGGTTGCTCCCAATAAATCTAGTAATGAAGATTAAAGCTTGTTAGAATCCTACACCCATTTTTCATTTGCTTTTCTCTCTAAAAAGTTCTTTATATCCTAGGTTTAAAGTAGCAGAAGAAATATATTCTTGCTTATGTATTTACAGAGAATGATCGCATTAACATTGTTAAACAAAAAACAAAAACAAAAACAAAACAAATAAAAAACTCTACTTTGTCCATATTATAAGTAATGCATGTTACATTTAAGGAGTGGATTCTACCGTGTTTTTGAAGTCCCTATTAGGCATTTAGTTAACAAAACTTATAGCAGAAATGGGAACGAAATCCCTGTCTTCCTTTTCCTAACCCCCTTCTTTCTAACCCTTTCCTCTCCCCAACCCCCTTATTAAAACAAGGTCTGTGGAGTCTGAAGCAGATTAGCAAATAGATAAATCCTTTAATGTCATGGAATACTTTCCCCAGTATAAATGGGATTAATCTGCCAACCCAGCAAATTCTACATTTCAAACACCTCAGCTGCATAATAAGCCATTTCCCCAACCCCCTAATTTATGGCACAAGGGTCATTTGATTTTAATGTTTGCACTGGTTAGACTTTCTTTCTCCAGTCTTCCCTCCCACGGCATCTCCAGCTCTCTCCATTTTCTACCTTTGAAAATGCTCCTTACATAGCCTTTAGAAAAGCATCAAAGGGTACAAACAATAACCTGTGCTTCACAGAGAAGCCGGAAGACGGAGAGGATGTGGAGCCTAAGCTGCCTTCCACTGGGCCCAGCAAGTCCCTCTCCAGAGCCTGTGAGGTGGCCATGTTGGGAGCTTTGGCCTGGGTCTGGCCACACAGCCCTGGGTTTGAGGATCCAACATCATGGCCAAACCCAGTACTATACAGCCACCAATACCTGTTTCACAAAATGTTTACTGTAATGAGGAAAAACACAGGCCCTGCTTAGACACTTTAAGAGCTAGAAATGGCTCTGTGTGAACACAGAAGGGAGGCAGTGCAGTCTCTGACCCTAGAATTAGAACTGGGTATCTGTGCACCATTGCATTCAGTGACTGGCCCAAGGTCACAAAGTAGGAGGCGGATGGCTTGCATCTACCAGGTTGTCAGCCCTCCAGGGCTGTACTGCACCTCCCAAGCCACACTGCTTCCTTTAGGAAAGTATGGCCACGCTGCTCTCATTCAGCAACCCCAGGAGAAAAAGACTATTTCAGGGCTATTTACTCAAAACCATTGGGTAAATTCTGACTCACATTAACGTTTCCCTTTACACACCCTTTGAAATCAGAGCAACATGAGTCACCTTACTGTTCTATCCTCTTGGTTGGTGACCAAAGGGAAATGCTTCATTTTAAGAAGTAAGTCCTCGTGGCTGTTGTCGGTGAAGCTCTGAGAGTCACAATAAGGCCGGAACACCCCTGCAGTTGTGAGCCCAAAATGTCCTTACGGCACATGGGCCAGAGAGTCTCCTCCTTCCCGAAACAGGGTCTTCGCCAGGCCTTTATATTAAAATAGTAGAAACAATGGGATAAGAATGAGAATGTGAGTATATTTCTAAAAAGCAGTCATGAAGATTTTATTTCGAAACAGCAAAGTAGCATAACGAATGAACTACAGCCACATGCAGATGGGTGAATCTTAGCAATGTAATGGAAACGAAAGTCGCAAAACATATACTACACGATACCTTTTATACAGTTTAAAGTAGCTAAAATGTTTTAAAATACATGCAGTTTAGGACTGCAATAATCTACATCGACAGAAAAGCTAGGAAAACCAGGATGCTGCTGGGGAGGATGGGGTGAGGTTGCTGGGGGAACATGTCATTAGCTCTGACTTATTTTCCAGACTGACTTTTGTTTAGGAGATGGGCTCGCAGATGTTTATTATATTACTAAAAATAAATCAATAACTGAATATAAGTTGGACATCTACAACCCAATGATGACAATTTAAGGATCATAATTAAGCCAATTAATACACACCAAATTGAAAACAAAACTGACGATTGTATTAGTTTACTAGGGCTGCTGTGACAAAGTACCATCAGCCAGGCTGATATGTTTAAAATACAAACTGACCATAAACAAAATAATAGATAGCTTACATAAAGGTAAAATAAAAAGCACAAACATTGCCCCCAGAGCATGATATATAGTAAATGTTGGCCTGACCTGGGGTAGGTTTGTGAGGTAATGACCTCCTATGCTTTGATGAAGCTTTATGGCTCATCTAACTGAGGCTCTCACCTCTAAGTTCAGTCATGCCTCAGTGTTTGAGTAGAAGGAACAGATGGGACATGGGTTAGTGGCTAAAATCAATTTCATCACGTCGACGTTGGTATCCTAGCTCTCTCCTACAACCAAGTCTCTTCCTCTTTTCCAAGGGACGTTCATTCCTGCTTCTTTCCCAGTTCCCCAACAACTGGCTTTCCCGTCCTTGAACTGAACTGTCTCCATGGCTGAGGCCCCACGCCAGCTGCTCCAGATTCTTTGTGCCACCATCTGCCTGGCTGGACTTCTACAGCAGTTACCCTTGACTTCTTTTTAGAGGTTCACTTTTGAATTTTTGGGCTAAGTTTAATTTTTTTTTTTTTTGAGACAGTCTCACTCTGTCACCCAGGCTGGAGTGCAGTGGCATGATCTCGGCTCACCACAACCTCTGCCTCCAAGGTTCAAGCTATTCTCCTACCTCAGCCTCCCGAGTAGCTGGGACTACAGGTGCCCACCACCACACCCAGCTAATTTTTGTATTTTTAGTAGAGATGGGGTTTCACCATGTTGGTCAGATTTGTCTGGAACTCCTGACCTCGTGATCTGCCTGCCTTGGCCTCCCAGTGGACTAAGTTTAAACCTGAGTTAATGGTATTATTCTCCATCTATCCCTTCCTTATACAGATTTATCTCCTGGTTTCATACCTATTTTGAGATTCATGGCAGAGAATTATGGAAATCTCTAGTAACACATTTCTGTCTTTAGTCGCATGCCCAGCATTTGAACCTTGCCTTTCTCTGTGAGTATTCCCAGAAAACCATCCCAACAGTACATAGTTTGGCCTTTATAACTCCTGATCCTCTCTGAGCAATCGTAGCCAGAAACCAGACCATTGCTTTAATTAGACTGGAGGAAATAGAACAACCAGAAGTTTTCAAAGATTACAAAAGAGATTGCTAGGGAGGCTTAAAGGAAGACAGATAACAGATATCTTCTCAATAAAGGATGAGACGGGCCAGGCATGGGGGCTCACGCCTATAATCCTATCACTTTGGGAGGCGAGGTGAGAGGATCGCTTGGAGCCAGGAGTTGGAGACCAGCCTGAACAACATAGTGAGACCTCATCTCTATAAAAAAAAAGTTTAAAAATGTGCCCAGCATGGTGGCATGTGTCTGTAGTCCTAGATACTCAAGAAGAGGTTGAGCCACAAGGATTGTTTGAGCCCAGAAGTTCAAGGCTGCAGTGAGCTATGATTGCACCACTGCACTACAGCTTTGGTGACAGAGTGAAACCCTGTCTCTAAAAATAAATAAATAAATACAGAGACAGTTATCAGATGGGCATGGCTTGGTAAAGTAGAATTTATTTTGCTGTATGAGGCACTCTTGGCCTTCACACAAAGATGAGTAGTCACTCCCCGAGTTAGTGTGACACTGTCTGCTGATGTTGATCAAGATGGATACATTGACTTGTTTACTCTGTGTCACATACAGTCATTCCATGACAATCTTCAAAATGCCACCGCGTATAGGCTCAGGATTAGATAGGACATTCTTTTAATGAAAGGACATAGGATAGCCTGAATTCACTGGGTGAACATATCTAGAGTCAGGGCAGGGACCACGGTGGTGAGAACAAGCACACCAGGAGGGAGCCAAGGCCGGGCCTCGGCTTTGAGCCTGCAGCACTGGGACAGGGGTGCCCTCTACCCCCAAGCATAGACACCTTGACTTTTGGCCTTCCCGGTCTGCTCAACCCATCCTAGCTAGTTGATATGCTGTGAAGAGGACACCTACCCAAGTAACAGGAATAGAAATCTCTATGTGGCACCAAAGCACTCCTGGCCCCCTACTCCAGACATTTAGGATGGTCATTCTGCTGAGGAGGAAGATGACAGAGCCAGGGAGAAGAGCTTGGACTTCACATCCGCACCGTTCTGGATTCCAATCCCAGCTCTACCGTCGACGATTTGTGTGATTCCCGGCAAATCACCCGGCCTCTCAGTACAAATTTCTTACTCTGAAACACAAAGCTCATAACATCTACCTTTTCAGGATAAAATGTGAAGGATAAAATGAACTGATGTCTATAAAGTGTGACGCAGGGCTTGTCTTTAACGAGGGCTCATTGGCCTACCCTTCCCACCTCCTTCCAAGCACACAGGGCACGGCCTCCCGGAGCGCACATCCTCTGCCTTTTACATGTGTCCTGTTGAAATCTGAACAACCTGAGAGGTTTTTCTGTGGCTGCCGTCATCTGTTCTTTTTCACAGGAATAATTTCTAAGTGTACAATCTAACATTCTTTTGTTTTGTTTTGTTCTTTCAGAATTTCCCTTTCGTGTGAATCATATCCTTGGCCAAGCGGGGCACATTTATCGTATTTCTGAACTTTCTGAAGCCTATTTTCCAAAGTCCAGGTTCAGGTCACCTCAGCCTGGTGGTTCCTTTCCTCAATTTAATGCAGAATGACACAGTCATGTTTTTCTCTAGGTTCCTGGAAGTTACACAATAGCCATCAGGTTCTTTTTCATCAGAATGAAGTCAAGAATAGAAGTTCCCTTGTTGTTTCCTCTGCCTTCTTAGTGACGAGAGTATCATGAAGACGGGCAAGGATTTATTACATGGTTTACTTTGAGCGGAACAAGACTCCTAGTAAAATCTGAACCTCTGAACCTGATCACCATTACCACCTACATGGCCTATTAAGTATTTAAAATTGATTAAGCATTTTCCTGCATCAGAATAGAAAAACAGCCCTAGCTTATATTTACTGTGCATTTTCAATGTACAGGGTACCCAGTTAAGCTTTTGGAGGACATTGTCATTTTTAAACTTTAAAACAGCCCTACTAGGTAAGGGCTATTCTTAGTTCCCATTTTACAGATATAAAAACTGAAGCACAAAGAGATTATGTACTTTGCCTAAAACCACATGGCTTGCAGGTAGGAAGGCCAGGGTTCTGACCCTAGAGCCTGTCTTCTACCCGCTGTCTGCTCTTGCTTCTCACACATGAGCTCGCATGCCAGCTCCCTAACTTAGGGGCTTTCTGACCTTGGGAAGGTTGCTCCCTGTCTCTCAGTTTTCTCATTTGTAAAAATGAGAATCACAGTATCAACACCACCAGGATTGTTATGCAAATGAAATGCTATCGCGTTTAGGAAGCAGGTAGCACCATTCCTAGTGAAGAGCAGGGGCACCAGGCAACTGCCAGAAGAGCATCACCACCATCGCCACATGGCCCCACTCCCCCACTGCACCTGCCCTTCACATGCCAGTATTTCAGAAATCACTTTTTATCTCATAATTGCTGAGGTTCCATCTCATAATCAATGCATACATTTGATGAGGGTTAGCTTTTCCCAAAAAGTTATTACTTGATAGCATGTCTTTCTATAAATGCCATCTCTGAATCAAGGAAATATAGTATTTCTACATGTATTTGTTTTATTTGTCTAGCTCGTTTACTAGGACAAGAGCCATAGTTTGAATTTTCCTGAGTTCTCTCAACATTTAGTACTGAGCCTCACTCCAAGTACTCAATAAATAGCTGTGGAGCACATACGTGTTTGTCATAAGCAAATTCAGCTGTCCTGGTTTGTGTTGGGTAAAAGATGCTTTTTCCCTCCAAGTGCAGTATGGGGCCGGGATGGGGCAGGGCCGAGGGTATTTTCCTAGAGGGTCTTTGCGCCCTCCTGCAGGGTGGGCTGAGCACTTCCTAGAGCAAGAGTGACAAGAAACTGCACCTGTCTCCACGGAGCTTTCCCCGTCCTGGCTGTACCAGGACATGCATGACATTAAAAGCAAACAAGATTGGTGTAGCCAGAGGTAAAGGGAAAATTTATTTGTCTGGGCAACTGTACTGACCTCTGGCTCTGAGGATTTCCCTCTAAGAGGAGGAGGACAGAACTGGATTATGTTCTCCCAAGTTTTACTCTTGTAGGATTTTTTCTCCTTGGTTTTGGAGTGAGTGAGCATGTGTGCACATTTTCACACCCTGCTAGTGATTAAGACACCCTGATGCAAATGTCCACTCGGACTTTATAAGACAGTTCATGCGTTCAGGAATCAGGCCTGGTGAAGGGAGTACAGCTGTCTGGACCAGGTACAGGCCGATTCCAGGCAGGAATTACCTGAAACAAGAGCTCAGAGCTGGTGTCTTTTGGCTGCATCAGTTTTCATGCCGAGCCTTTTCAAGACTTTTATAACTCTCTAGCTAGCAAGCAAACAAATAAATAAAAATTAACTAGACTGAAAGTTGGTCTGCAGAACTTCAGCTTGAGATCATTCTTTTTCTCTGAAACTGAGAAAGTTTCTAAATATTGATCTATAAACAAGCGAAGGGGTGTCCGGACTCTGGGAACAGCTTGGCTTGCACTTTAATGGTTTCAAAATTAGGAGGAGCAGATTGCTGAGCAGCACTTTCCTCCAAGATTATCTTTTTTTATTAAAAAAGTGACAAAAACATTTGCGTGGGACAGACTTCAGCAGCACATATGCTGGTTTTTAAATATTCTACAAAGTTTCACTAATCGGATTTCAAAAAAGGTCAAAAGTTGTTCAGCTTATATTGTACACATGGAAACTTCCTTTTGGGGTTACAGGGGTTTTCTTTGTTTTTCTTTACATTTTCCTCTTTAGTTGCTCTTTTGATTGATGTGGCCAAATGCTGGAGTTGCTTATTGTGGGAAATGTGTCCTGCTTTTCTTTGTGTATTTATAGAAATTGAAACACACTTCACGATGAGCTCTACTCTCCTAATAAAAGGGAGATATGACATTTTAGACAATAACTTTTTAAACAGAATGTTCTGCTTTTTATTTCATTCAGCTCATGTTAGGCACAGAAGCAGCTCAGGCAGATCGCACAATGGGAGTAACTCCTGGGGGGGTGGAGAGGGGTTGGGGGATGTGGGGGTACCCCTCTCTCTGTTAGGGATTATTTGATTTGGTAATTAATAAAAGATAAAGAGGTCTTTTATGTGTTTTTCGCTAGAACTTTAAATTAACGTTCCTTCTCAAATGTTTCTCTCAGCTCTCTTCTTGCCCATTCTGCAGGGTGACTGTGCTGCACAGCTCCAGGGCACAGCTCCCAGTTGGTTCCATATGCGTGGTGTCTCTGTGCTGTGCAGCTCTGCAAGGAGCCTAACGGTGAACAGGGGCAATTGCCTTTCTCTCCCTACCATGAGATTTATTTCTGATCCTACTCCCTTATGACTTACGAAGCCCCACATAACTATTCTTTCCTTCCCTCGTGTGAAGTTTCCCCTTTCATGACAGACTGGCAGTCTTCACTGAAACCCAGCTGGACTGCATCTCTCCTTAGATGAGACTCGAATGTCATGAGACTTGAGAAAAGCATGAAACAGTCATGTTTGACAAAGTGTCTACCTTGGGAACTAAGTTCTGAGAAATGCTTCTCAATGAAAAGGATTTCTGGTCAAATAATTTGGGGAAAAAGCTTTGCTATGGTTTGGATATTTGTCATTCCAAAGCTTATGTTGAAATCTGATCCCCAATTTGGAGATGGGGTCTAATGAGAGGTGTTTGGGTCATGGGGTCAGATCCCTCATGAATGGCTTGGCCTCCTCTGGTAGTGAGTGGGTTCTTGCTTTATTAGTTCCCACAAGAGCCGGACACCTCTCCGCTCTCTCTCTCGCTTCTGTTGTCTCACCATGTCGTCTTTGCACACATGGCCCCCCCTTTCCCTTCTGCCATGAGTGGAGGCTTCCTTGGCCCCTCCCCAGATGCAGATGGTGGCATCCTGCTTCTCGTACAGCCTGCAGAACTGAGAACCAAAAAAACCTCTTTTCTTTATCATTTTAATCACCCAGCCTCAGGTATTCCTTTGTAGCAACACACACAGACTAAGACAAGCTTCATAACACATCTCACTTTTGGGTAGTCAACTGATCTCAGTAATCAAGGTTAAAATAAGCTTGGGAGGGGCCCTGTGCTTAAAAAATAACCAACCAACCACAACAACAGCAAACACTAAACTAGGTTTAACTTCATCTCACCAAGAACTTCCAGATAATTTGTATTCATTTGTTGCATAACACTGGTAGTCCCTGGAACGGGCTTTGGGAATTGCTGTCCTAAAGCATCCTAGCTACCTTCAAGGCTCAAGGAAATCATAGTAATTTAACAGAACTGTTTAATCATGTTCCTTGGAGATGTAAGTAATCTCTATTATGTTTAAACTTTTACCCTGTCATTCTGAAATAGATGACACCTAGAACTCAGGTTGGATTATTATCCTCAAGCCCCATTATGCAGAGACCATCTGGCTGTTGTACTTGAGAAAAGACAGTTACTACAATGAATCAAATCTAGGTGGTGAAATTAGAAAGAGCCAAACTGGAAATGTTGTAGAATAAGGCCAGCTGACCCCAGAATGGTCTTTTAAAGAAACAATACTGAGATGTGGCCCTCAAATGCACTCACGTAAAGAAACTTGAGGGCTGGGTGCAGTGGCTTACACCTGTAATCCCAGCACTTTGGGAGGCAGGTCACTTGAGTCCAGGAGTCTGAGACCAGCCTGGGCAACATAGTGAGACCTCGTCTGTACAAAAATGAAATAAAAATTTAGCCCGGTGTGGTGGTGTGTGCCTATAGTCCCAGCTACTCAAGAAGCTAAGATGAGAGGATCAACTTGAGCCCAGGAGTTCCAGGCTGCAGTGAGCAATGACCATGCCACTGCATTCCTGTCTGGGTGACAGAGTGAAACCTTGTCTCAAAAAAAAAAAAAAAAAAAAGATAGGAAAAAAAACTTGATTTGATTGTGCCTTCAGAGGTTATCAGATTCAAAACAACTGATTTCCATTAGGAAACATCACACAAGTTTGATGTATAAACTAGAATGTGATGATTGCTCTCTAGTAAGAATAGACACGTCATGGGCAGCCATACGGTCATAGTGGCTAATCAGTACACTCTCTTCATGGGAAAGCTGCATAGGAAGCCAGAAATTATCATCATAAGGCTGTTTCATGAGCAAGAAATCTGAGCAAGGGAATTTCATTGGATAGTGGTGTTCACTAGAGCCATAGACTTTCCAAATAGAATAATAACTACCCTGGCGGGTCCACACATACTTGTCTCCTGAAGATGCACTGTATAGTCTTCCTAAGTGAGACCCACTTTCACTACATTTTGAAGACTGTTCCTATTGGGAAGGAAGAAAGAAGGGTTCCAAACCAGGTTCCAGGCCTGATTTCATGCTCTAGTTGTCAGGGTTACACTTGGTTATTATCTGGATCATCTAGACTTGATGCTTCCTATCTCCAAGAGGGTGCTTTCTGCAGACGGCTAATCGCAAATACCCTATGGCTCTCAGACAGTATGTCCATATATTTGGGCAACCTTATTTCCCTCCATGCGTCCTGACTATTCTATGGTCCCGTTTGGCTGTCCGGACTGGTCTGTCTTTGGTTAGAGGCATGCAGAGAGAAGGGAGAATGTAAGGATAATGCCCCTTACAGATTCGCCATTTAAGAATTTCTCTATACAAATAACTTTCTTCCCCAGTCTGGTCTGCTTCTTGTGTTAATTCAAGGCAATTGAAGCCAGCAAATACAGAAATACTCATTTGCTAAGCTCCTATTATGTCTAAAACAATATGTTTAGCACTGTTGAGCAATTTGAAACAGAAAGACAGGAATTCTGACCCATGTTTCAGAGTTATGCCTCTCATGAGCCGTGCAAGGTCCACATACATTTGTATCTTGCCACAAGGTCAGACTTTTATTGATACTGTTTCAATCACAAAAACCATGAGCTCAATGGAGTTCCCAAGAAAGAGGTTCTCCTCAGAACTTCCCATTCACTCGGTAGTGAGAATAGCGGGCACACAGGCTCAAGCCACTCCACAAGTCAGTTAATACTGAAAACCATATGTAATAGAATACGTGGTCACTATATACATGTTAAACATTCCACAGCTCACAAAGTAACATTTAACATCAAGAGAAAAGGGAGAGAAAAAAGAGTTAATGAACCATTGCAGGGAGAACAACGAAGACAAAAAGAATCTCCTGGCTTGGCCTGGGCAGTCCCTCAGTCTCGCAAGGAAGAGTCTTTGATGTGGGCAGAGCCTTTGTAGGCAGATGCCAGGTGCTTATCGCAACTGATAGCAGGACTGCGTCAGTTGTGTTGAGCTGCTGAAGCCTTACTCTTTTTATGGCCACAGAGTCCTCTGGTGAGGACTGATAGTGGAAGAATGTGCTTGTTTGTATCCTTATCTGGTTGGATGTAGTCATTATTTGTTAAGCAAAATATCTTGTCCCTGTTGGCAAAAAGTGTCATATGAAGTATAAGATACAGTTTTTTTTTTCTAAGATGGAGTTACTTATGTCAAGGATGCTCTATACCATGCCCATTTACTGAGCTTACCAAATAGTTCTCAAAACATCTCTGAGTGTGCACCAATTTTATTCGCACCATGGAATTGAAACTGCTTCCCCCATCTGCTTCATCCCGTTTCTCTGGTACCTTTACTGTCACAGTCTTATTCTGTTTCTCTCCTAGCACTAGACCTAGCTGCTTCTTCAAACTTGAACTTCTATACCCACCCTATCTAAAGCAGTGACCCATAACTCTTCATCTTATTTTGTTTGTTGAAACATTGGTCCTTATCTGAAATCATTTTGCCATTTTATTGTTTAATCTCTGTCTTCTCCATCTAGAAAATTTCAGCTCCATGCCTTGGTCACGATGGTGCTACTGTGTCCTTAATACCTAGAGCAGACTTAGGACCCAGTGGTAGCTCAAGAAATACTCACTGGGAGTGTAGTGACGGAGCAGGGAGAAGTGAGTGAGTCAATGAGTCTGATCTTGTAAGCACCACACCTGAAAGCTTCTGTCAGAGCCTGATTGCAGAACAGCAGGGCGTGCGTATTTCTTTGTTCTACAAGACGACATTTCTAGTAGGTGGTAGCAGGTGGTGCTATTGCTCTGTCAAAAGAGCCACACTCAAAGTCCACGTTATTTCACAGGCCCTAGGAAGTAACTTACTGGCAGAAACAAACAGGTCTTGGTTGACATAGAACTAAGTGGGAAAACAAGTGAGAACTTACCTTTGCTTTGCTCAAGGGCAGAAAGGTTTTAACAGGAAAGAAAGAAGGGACAATGAGTTAGAAATAGGGAATATGGTAGAAGGGGTAATAACAGTGATAAAATAAAAGATTTATAAGTTATCATGGGATGGCCACTCCAAGGACATCACATTCAAGCCTCTACCTTTGCTGTTTGCTACAATGACCCTGAGAAGTGGCCATCTTTTCTCAGTACAAGTTTCCACCATGATGGGGAGTTTCATACAGTGTCACTGATTGCCGCTAATGTTTATCTAGCATCCACTTTGTGTCATCCTGGGCTGCAAGGTGTCCTGCACAGGGTGCACACTGCATTTGCAGCGATGAGGACGTGAATGGCAGCTCCTAGATCTGTGTGGCTGGGTGTCGCCAATGCCATGTGCTACCTAAGTTCACCCACACAACCCATCATGGTAGGCACATGGCAGCAAGTGGCAGGGCTGGGAGTTACACACAAAAAGTTCCTCCCTCAAGTGAACTGACGCCCTGACTTCATATCACAGCTTTTTTAGCCACAATCCTTAAGTGTTCCTACAGCATTTCCTATCTCTTCCGGCCTTTTCTATCTCATTCTCTTGTTTATTTCCATCCCCAAATTTTTAAGCTCTTGTTTTAAAAGTATATATGCTGGCCGGGCGCGGTGGCTCACGCCTGTAATCCCAGCACTTTGGGAGGTCGAGGTGGGCAGATCACCTGAGGTCAGGAGTTCGAGACCAGCCTGCCCAACATGGCGAAACCCTTCTCTACTAAAAACACAAAAAATAAGCCGGGTGTAGTGGTACTTGCCTGTAATCCCAGGTACTCAGGAGGCTGAGGCAGGAGAATCGCTTGAACCTGGGAGGTGGAGGTTGCAGTGAACTGAGATTGCGCCACTGCACTCCAGCCTGGCGACAAGAGCTAAACTCCATCTCAAAAATAAATAAATAAATAAATAAATAAACAAATAATAAACCAAAAACACAAAAAAGTATATATCTGCTTATTGTTTTAACATTCTCCTCCCCTGAATGTAAACTCAGGTGGTAGACCGTGTGCCACCTTACTCACCATCGAATGCCCACTTTATACACAGAAAGTATTCCATGAATATTTCTGGAAAGCCTGAATGCTCCATAGGCATTTGTGGACGGATGCCTCAATAAAATGAGCCCAGGTCTTCCAAGTATTCTTCCTATGACATGGTACCTATCCTGTCATTTTCCTGTATCATCGTTAAAGTATCATCACAGCAGGCTTGTCTCCTCCCCTTTCTGTCCAGGCTGGCGCCCAAGAATTCGTTAGCTGTGGGGCGAGGAGGCGGCTGAATGAGTTAACAAACTGCCCTTCCAGTCGCTTTGGATTTTGCCTGGACTCCAGCTCCGTGGGGTGCTAGTTAATGTTTAGTGAGCGGCTCTCTTCACTCCCACCCGCAAAGCAGGGCTGTGTCGTGCTGCCATCTCCGCGGCGTAAATACTCCCGCCGTGGCTGATTTCAAGGTACCCAAGGGAGGTCGCTGGCCGGGGTTGGGGAGAGCCTCTGACTGTCACAGAGCCTGCTCCAGCCCCACCCGTCCCCATAGACAACAGCCTCCCGTGTTCCCTGAGAAACAGCACCTGGCAGAACCCATGCGTCTGCCCCATGCCCACCCTGAGCTTCCCTATAAATCCAGAGTTTAAAAAAAAAAAAAAAAAAAAAAAAAAAAAAAAAACACACACAGAAATAAGGGGAGTGGGAAGGGAAGAAGAGGGGACTAAATTTCTTGTAGGTCTACTGCCTGCTTCTCATTAGGCCTTTGGGCACATGGACACGTGCCTACTTTCATGGCTTCCCCGAAACACGTCAGCTTATTACAATTACTTGTTTTCTTCCTCTGGCCAAAATCAGTGGGGAAAAAGGAAGTCGTTCTTTTGTTGCTGTTTTGGTTTCTTTTATTTCACTACATTCATTTCTTTTCTTCCCGCAGCTCCCACAACAGGTGGCATGACTTAAAAAGACATAATTCAGTATCATGCCCTTCAGTGAGCGTGTGGTGTCCCACACAGAAAGCTGGGATGTCCTCAGAGTACCAGGTTTGTGGGAGATTTTTGTTTGTTTGTTTTTTAGAGTATGCTTCAGAAGTGTAATTTATTTACCATGTTTTTATTTGGGTCAGTGGGAAAGGGCTAGCAATTAGTTATTTTGGCAAAGGTTCAGTTATGCCTCAAAAAGGAACACAGACTTAACATGTTATATAATCACTCTTAAACCACCTCTGGGAAGTTCTCCAAGCCCTGTGTGTCAGTCTCCATTGTGCTTGTCTGGACACAACCTCTACAAGAATTTCTATTTTATAAAGCAGGGTGGGGAAATGCCCAGAGACAGAGCTGAGTCCAATTGCAAGGTGACTTGTTATGGGGGAGCTAAAGGGAAGAGGTTATCTTATCCTGAAATCTACCACATTAGTCTGTAGGTAAGCCCAGGTCCTCCAGACCACTGGACTCTGTATTGGTAAATAACTTTGCTCCAGAATCTAATTATGTCTATGGGTGATTCTTTCAATTTTTATGTAGTAAACTTTTTATTGAAGTCTAACATGCACTTAGAGAAGTGCACAGATGATAAGTATACAACTTAAAAAGTTACCACAAAAAGAATATACCCACTTAACCACTTCCAGGTCAGGAAGTGCACATGACCTGAAGCTCTCACAGCCTTGCCCAGGTACTACAACCACCCCTCTTCCCCAAAGGTGACTACTAACACCTCTATGGAAGAGTTTTCATTGACTTCTCTGATTCTAAACCGAAGTTCTGATTGTTTTTCCATAGTGATCTAGAAGGGCTCTACTTTAACCATGTTTTTAAAACAGGATCAGGAAGTTGGGGAGCATGTGTTGGTCACATTACTGAGTCAGATGCTGTAACCTGGGTGGGGGTCAGGGCCACCCCTAGGACATGCAGGAGTTGGGCATATGTTTTTTGCCAGGTCCCTGTCTATATAAATAATTTTACTTTTTTAAGTGTACTGCAAAATTCATGGTGCCATATGAGATAGAGTGATTAATCATAAAGCTTTATAAGAATGGTTAGAGAAGTACTGAAGGGCTGGTTTGTTTCCTAGCCAGTACACCTGGCAATTCTTACTAGTGTCCGGGCACTGTCTCTTCCTCTTCGGGTCCAGGAAATATCTCTTCCTGTTCTTTATGGTCAAGAGTCCCATTTCTGGCAAATTTCGCATTTCCCTCACAAGAAAAGGTAGTAATGCTGTTTTTTTCACAATATCCTAGGACTGTGCCAGACTGAATCATGAAACAATAGAACTCTTCTTGCTTGTTTCGAATGTCATTTATTTAATTCCAGTGAGGTTATTACTTGTGATGCTGCATCATCCACCATGACATCTGTGCATACCGGCTTACAATGACACCCTCCAAGTTCCTGTGCCTTGTTGATGGTATCCGCAAATGTGGGAAGTTGTGAATGATGACTTGTTTTCTGGTCATGTTACATTTACCGTTAGGAATTTTACAGCAGTCACATAGAACGATGCATCTTCCAACCCTGATTTTCTTGAACTCTAAGACCATAATCACTGCATTTATAAAATGAGATCTCTTTCAATGCTGACTACACCCCTGCCTTCTACCCATGCCCACCAGCAGGGAGGATAGTCAAGTGCCATGAGCAGAGAGAAGGGTCTCATTCTCAAGGTAATGTCTGTCCCTCCTCTGGCACAGCTTAATACCAACCCAGAAGAGCATAATGTTACCACATCAATTGGAGGCAAAAGAAAACATCTATCAGCAAGACCTGTTGGCTTTACTTTGCAAGGGCAATGAAAGTTCTTGGATGAGATAGGTGCTGTCACCCCTGGAAGACTGCCTAACATGTGGGAGGGTGTGGGGGATTGCCCTAGGTAACAGCAGTGCATAGGGTTAAGGATGCCTGCTGCCATCTCCAATGCCTTTAGGATCAAAGGCAGTTCCGCAGTGAAAATATGGGTGAGCAAGAGCCAACGCTCAGGTCCGCACATATGGCCCAAGCCCAAGGACCCTCAGTAGCTCAGAGTCCTGAACTCTTCCTGTGTCTGGCATGAGTGAGAGTCGCTCCAAATCAGTGTGTCAATACCATTCTGCTTGATCAGTCAGGGATGATTTCATAATAAAATACCCTGCCCACCACAGGGCTCCAGTTTGATACCATACATGTGAGTCCCAAAACTCCTCATACCATCTGGCCCACCCCAAGAGCAAAGCAGAGGATCAGAGAATGCCCAAAGGGAAGAAAGAGGGATATATGCCTCCTGATCTGAGTTTGGGTTTCCCTTTCTGAATGGCCCTGCAGACTCTGGCAGGTCTTAGGAACCACGAGGAGACAGAAACTTTCCAGGAAGCCACTCCAAAGTGCAGGACCGCCTGTGGCGTGGGGCCCGGCTCTCTGGGGTGGAAGGGAGGTATTGATGTTACTAAGATTACCAAGGTAGGGCTTCGTGCATCAGCCTTCTTGCTCCCAGGGTCTTCCCTTGCACTCCTTATTTCCTAAATGATCTGCTATGACCCCAAGAAAAAAAAAAGAAAGGTATGTTTGTGGGGTCTTATTAGTAAAGAAGTATGATACTGTAGAACTCATCTATGTCTTCAGGTCAGTCTTGACTATTTGCTACTTACATGTCTTTGGGCATGCTATTAGCCACCACATTACCCAGTTTCCTTATCTATGAAATGGGCATAGAAATAATACTCAATAAAACTCACAAGATGTTGTCAGAATTAATACGAGATAATATACGTAAAAATATTTTGTAAACTTGTAAGGACTATCCAGATATGCTTGTGTTTTTTCTTAAAGAAACATTTGTATTTTAAAAATATCTGCATGTACTAACTGTCCAGCTGAGTTCTTTCAACTCAATTCATTCTCTTTTTTTGAGTCATAATTTAGAATTTACACTGACATATGATTTGAAATCTATGCCCTGAGTCCAGTAAAGGGTTCCATGGCCCCTTCTATTATTCCCTTTTACTCTTCTTGGACACATGCTTGACTTTGAGTCCCTGATGCTGGCCTGCCCCAAGCACTAACCTATGCATTATATTTACCTTCAATAATATAATCTCAAACTTATCAGGTGTTTTTGTTTGTTGTTGTTTCTTTTTGCTTTTTGAGACAGGGTCTCACTCTGCTGTCACCCAGGCTGGAATGCAGTGATGCCATTATAGCTCACTGCAGCGTTGACCTCCTGGGCTCAAGCAATCCTCCCTCCTCTGCCTCCCAAAGTGCTGGAATAACAGGTGTGAGCCACTGTGCCAGGGTAATCCATCAGTTTTGATAAGACATATTTACCTACATAACCTGGATAACTAAAGAGAGGTTAATCAAGACTGAGGGCATCCTTGGCATAGCCATCATAAGCCCCAAGACAAGCTTGTGGCAGATAGGTGAGAACAAGGAGCACAGTGGGACAGTTTCCAAGTAAGGCTTGCCAGGCAACCCCTGACGTGGCCCCCAACCATCCCCACCTGCAGGTGTTCACACCTTCATCTAGTCCCCTTCTCTTGAGGGTGGGCTGCCCTACTGGCTTACTTCTGTGAATAGAATACAGAAAAAGAACTAGGATATCACTTCTGTGATTAGACTACGTAAGGCTGTGCCTTTTGCCTTCCCGGTAGACTGTCTTTTTGGCTTTGATGAAGCAAGCAGCTATGTTAGGGGGGACCACATGGCAAGTAATTGAGGGCAGCCAACAGCTCACAAGAAACTGAGCCTTACCAACAATCACATGATCCTGAAAATGGATCCTTCCCTGATTCCCTCATCTTCTGATGAGCCCCCAGTCCTGCTAACACTCTGACTGGCCCAGCTATGTGAGTCTGTGAGAAACTGTGTGTTGTTTCAAGCTGTTAATTTCGTGGTAATATCTTATGCAGCAATAGATAATAAAGATGAAAAAAATTCTAAAAATTAACAAATGTAAACTTTGAAGACCATCCCCTACTCGAGAAGATTATGTCTTCAATATCTTTAAAAGTGTAGATTAATTCTATTCCAGTGGATACTGTGACAAATACACTTACAAAATTATAAACTCATTTAAAAAATAAGGCTCAGGAATAATGATTTTTTGAATTCATTGTCTATCTTCTAAACTGGTTACCTTTCTCAACTCTGCTATTCCTGCCAGATAAATAATAATAATTATTACTATCATTATTATTATTATTTTGAGATGGGGTCTCACTCTGTCTCCCAGGCTGGAGTCCAGAGGTGCGATCTCGGCTCACTGTAACTTCCACCTCCCAGGTTCAAGCGATTCTCCTGCCTCAGCCTCCCGAGTAGCTGGGATTATAGGTGCCTGCCACCACCCCCAGCTAATTTTTGTATTTTTAGTAGAGACAGGTTTTACCACGTTAGCCAGACTGGTCTCGAACTCCTGACCTTACTGCCTCAGCCTCCCAAAGTGTTGGATTACTGGCGTGGGACACCACACCCGGCCTCTGCCAGATAAATTATTATTTTTAAATGTATCTTAGAACCTACACATCTGTTTATTTTATGGTTGAAATGCACTGGAGTTCTCAAGAGGTTGCATGACACAAAGCTTATTAGGGTTACAGGCAGCACACGGTGTCTGGTTCCAGCTCTTTCTGGCATGTCCCTCCTTTATCTCTCATAACCACCAAACATTGCCGGTCCTTCTGCAGTCAGGCTTGGTCCCACTTTCTCTAGTCCCGCCGCCCTCGCCCCAGCTGGCTCCCCAACCTCCCTCCTCTTTGTGGCCCTCAGCATCCCCTCCAACCCATTCTGCCTGCTGCTGTTAGGATGATCTTCCTACAACTTCACTTTCAACCGGCCCCTCCCTTGTTTGGGCATCTCTAAAGCCTACGTGTTCCTTTCCAAATCAAATCCAAACTCCTCTGTCTGCTTTTCAAATCCTCCTGAAACCCAGCCCCAGCCTATTCCCCACTCCTCCCAGCGCCGAGGCCTGCATCTCTCCTGTTCCCTACTATGATACACTTCCCGCCGGTCCTTGCTTTTTAAAAACATTAGGTTAGGCTCTCCTCTCCCCTCCTGCTTTTCCTTCTTCCTTTCTCATTACTTAAAAAAGAACTCCAAAGACTGTCTTAAATTACATTTTCTTCTTCTCATCACTTCTCATTATCTAATATGATATACTGTACTTCACTTATTCAATTATTTATTTTTATTTATTTATTTTTTTGAGATGGAGTTTTGCTCTTATTGCCCAGGCTGGAGTGCAATGGTGCTATCTTGGCTCACCACAACCTCCACTCCCGGGTTCAAGTGATTCTCCTGCCTCAGGCTGCCGAGTAGATGGGATTACAGGCATGCACCATCACGCCTGGCTAATTTTGTCTTTTAGTAGAGACAGGGTTTCTCCATGTTGGTCAGGCTGGTCTCGAACTCCCGACCTCAGGTGATCCGCCTGCCTCAGCCTCCCAAAGTGCTAGGATTACAGGCCATTTATTTATTTTTTTAAGAGATGAGTTCTCACTCTGTCACCCAGGCTGGAGTGCAGTAATGCAATCACAGCTCACTGCAGCCTCAAACTCCTGGGCTCAAGCAGTCCTCCTACCTCAGCCTCCCAAGTAGCTGGGACTACAGGTGTTTACCATCATGCTTAGCTACTTTTTAAAATTTTTCTGTAGAGGTGGGATCTTACTTTGCTGCCCAGGCTTGTCTCGTACTCCTGGCCTCAAGAAACCCTCCTTGGCCCCAAAAGCATAGTGATTACAGGCATGAGCCACTGCACCCTGTGCTGTACTTCATTTATTCATCCTGTTTATTGTCTGTCTCTCCCCATAGAATGGAAGCTCCATGATAGCAGGGACTTTTTTCTGTTGTTTTTTTTATTTTTTATTTTTTGGTTTTTACTATTTTGTTCACTGCTATAGTTTCAGGACCTAGAATAATATTCAATAAATATTATTGAACAATATTCAATATATATTATTGAACAATATTCAATATTTAACATATTCGATATTGAACAACATTAAATAAATATTTGAATAAATAAGTGAAATTTCATTTGGTCTATAAAGTTCTCCCTCACACTACCTTTTTTTTCCCTGCAAATGCCTATACATTTTGATCTGTTTAGCGCTTAATCAGGCCTTAATTGTTTCATGTGTTTCGTTTGGTTTCTCTGTGTTGTAGGATTGTTGTGTTTGTGTGTGGATGTCCAACAAACTTCCTTCCCCACTTGTTCTAGAAATATACCTGTCACCTCATCCCACCTAACATTTCCCCCAGACCACAGAGGTGAACACAAGGCCCAGTTTGGGTCAATTACAGAACCCCAATACCCTGGCCACAGAGAATGGCCAAGAATGAGTATTCGACCCATCCAAGGGAGGTTCGAGGCCTTTCCCAAGACTTAACCTTTCAGGTTCCTGTAGCTTGTCCTTTCATTCCATAAGCTACCCTTCCAAAAAGTTCTCCTTTTTGCTTAAGTTGGTTTGAGTTAGGTTTCTGTCACATGTAACATGGAAAGTCTTTGTCCTGTACTTTATATTTTTTAATTTTCAGGCCAATACATGCATTTGGTTGAATATAGACTTATTTCATATTCTAAGCTGTAGGTAATTCAATACAGTATATTTTCCCCATATTTTCATAATGATTGCAGGAAACAGTGCATCTGATACTTGATTATGTGGCCCAGCATAATCTATACGAGCAACATAAGATAATAGCAATGTCAGTAGTGATGGAGGGAAAAAATAGATGCAAACGGCTACTTTTAAGTAGAGTACAGAGTATACTTCTTATGGTTCCATTTTCCAGGTGGAAGAATTTGGACTCAAAGAAAGCAAGCATCAGCTCTGGGTTTAGTAGGGGCTTGTTGCAGCTTTCTAAATTCTGTATACAGTCATGTCAGATCTGGGTGAATTCTGATTCAGCTTTTTAATAGCTTGGCCAAGTTATCTACCACCTTACTTCCATTTTTATCATCCAGATAAGTGAAGATAATAACCACTTATTTCCTAGAACTGTTTGAGGATTTTTTTTTTGAGATAATGTGTATAACTGGAAACAGAGCTTGAGGCAAAGGCTTATGTACTTACATTTGTATGGGGGAGTGCAATCCAGGAAATCATGTGTGGGGGTTAAAGGGCAGAGAGGTCGGGAAGGAAGGGGACAGACACACCAGAGTGCATCATCAGGAGAGCCACAGCTCACTATCAGGTACAACCAAGCCTACCTGTTCTCACAGTTCTGCCTCCCAACCATCTGCAGCTCTCCTACTCTCAGTATGGTTTGTCTGGGTGGTGGAAGGGAGGACACATTATTTACCACTCTCATTGGTTAAAGTTTGCCCACAGGGTGTCTGCTTTCTGCACTTCCGGGTGTATGACCTAATCTTTCTAGAAGCTGACCCAAGAGGCTCCGCAATGTGAGCCACAAAAAGTCATCAGCATTCCCTACCTGCCTCTCTGCAGTCTGCAGCATGATGGGCTGGCCAGATGAGCTCTTGCAAGAGCATGGGCACCAAGAGATATCACTGAATCTCACAGCTCAGTGGCAACCAGAAGTCCCAGAGCAGGAAAGGGGAGGTCCATGCAGTGTGAATTGAGGTAGTGGCAGGTCATGAGTGACATGAGGAATTGCAAATAGCTGCTGCAGCCGGACCAGCCTGCTAAGCAGGTGGAACACTGTAACAGCATGATCCTGCCAGACGGCAGCAACAAGCTTCCTTCCTACCACAGACAAAATGTTTCATCTACAATCTCCAAGAATGCAGCTGCTGGTGGGCCATCTTGGTCATGAGCAGAAAACCATGGTTGCATAAATCTAGGGGGCCTTCTAAGCTGCCAGAACAGTAACCGTGCCTAGTATGGGGGCCTGAATTGGAAGATGCTCCCATAGTGTCAGTTTCCTTCCTCCCTTAGGTGGCTGAAACATGGAAGGCCTGCAGCTCTGACGTTATGAAAATGAAATTCTATTAAGAACAAGCAATGAGAGATGGCTTAAGTTGACTAAAGGGAATGTTAGCTTTAATATTGTGAAGATGACTGAAACCATATTGGTGAATACTTGAACTCATAGGATAAAAGAAACCTCAATATATAAATATGAGTGCTTTTATTTTACTAATTTTTTAAAGAAATGGAGTCTCACTATGTTGCCCAGGCTGGACTTGAACTCCTGGGCTCAAATAGTCCTCTCCCCTCATCCTCTCAAGTAGCTAGGAATACAGGCAAGAGCCACCGTGGCTGGCTAAACATAAGTGTTATGACTCTCCTTGTTTTCCCTAGTCAGTGGCAGGTGAGCCATCCATTTGGGTAATATTGTTGACACACACTTGCCAGCATTTCCCCTTTCTAAATACCACCAGTGGTGGCCATGATTTATATCTGACTGTGTCTATGCTCAGTTTCTTAGACACTTGGCTTTTGGGGGTGAGTCTCTAATGCATCGATGCCTTTCGAATTTCTATAATGGTTTGGGGCTTCCTGAATTCTTATTTTTCTATTGAAAGTTTAGAGCTACTTCCTTACCCACCTCTGTCAGGGCTGGCCACTCTTTGAGAATAGCCTCCAGAGGCTAGGCACAGTGGCTCATGCCTGTAATCCCAGCATTTTGGGAGGCCAAGGCGGGCGGATCACCTGAGGTCAGGAATTCGAGACCAGCCTGACCAACATGGAGAAACCCCATCTCTACTAAAAATACAAAAAATTAGCCAGGGGTGGTGGCACATGCCTATAATCCTAGCTACTCAGGAGGCGGAGGCAGAAGAATCATTTAAACCCAGGAGGCGGAGGTTGTGGTGAGCTGAGATTGTGCCATTGTACTCTAGCCTGGGCAACAAGAGTGAAACTCTGTCTCAAAAAAAACATTAAAAAAAAAAAAAGATTAGCCTCCAGGAGAGTGTGGAGTAGGCTGCTAGTTTGACTATTAAGACATCCAGAATTCACACACTACCTCCTGGGCTTGATAAAGTGACATGGTAGCAACAGTTCTTACAGCAAGGTGACCCCACAAGACATCTTTGCCATGAAGTTGACCATTCTTCATGTAGATATTTAATTTCCTACAAAGATTGCCCAAATCTGGCCACTGGCCAAGTAGCATGAGTTATCAGCTTTTTCCTTACTGTGGGATCATTTGTAGAAGCTTTAAAAAACTGCCTCAATGTGTGAGTTTCCTTGGACTGAAAGAAAAAAATAGAACTTAAAAGTTCCAGCTGTCTGAACATTTTCTACTTAAAAAAAAATAAACTGAATTGGACAGGAAGATCATGGTACATGACTCATGGTAAACAAATGCCAAACACATGTTATCTTAATCATCCTGTACAAAATAAGGAAATTGTATGAATCCAAAAAAGAATTATCCAGAAAGGACAAATGAAGGATATCCAGAAGACAAATTTGAAGGTTTTGTTTTTTACAAATTATTAATTTATATAGCTCCAAACAGCCACAGTCAGAATCGGTCAGAACACAGAAATAAGAACATTTAGGTATCCTTCAACCTATATCAATTTCACTCTGTTAGGTTTAGTTAATCAAAGTGTTCATTTAGGAAAGACTCCATTAACTTTTTGCAACCATATCCTGTTTTGAATGATCAGAATCATAACCCTTGCTTTTATAATAAGCAGTATAGCTAAAATCTACTGAGTGCCGTGAATCATGCATGTATTCTGCTAAATGATCTAGTATAAAAAAATCTGTGTATGTTATCATTCTTTCCTCAGTGGAGTTTTTAATCTAGTTAAATGAATGGGTATTATGCATGTAGTGGTCAATTTTATGTGTTAACTTGATTGGACTAGGGGATGCCCAGATAGCTGGTAAAACATTACTTCTGGGTATGTTTGGAAGGGTATTTCCAGAAGACATTAGCATTTGAATCAGTAGACTTAGAAAAGAAGCCCTGAATGGAACAAAAGGGTTGGGGAAGAGCAAATTCACTCTCTCTTTGAGCTGGGACATCTGTCTTCTTCTGCCCTTGAACTGGAACTACATCACTGGCTTTTCTGGGCCTCCATCTTGCAGACAGATGGCAGATCATGGGACTTCTTAGCCTCCATGATCATGGGAGCCAATCTCTCATAATAAATAAATACATAAATATCCTATGGTTCTGTTTCTCTGGAGATCTCTGACTAATATAACATGTAAATTCCATGTTTCCTGAGGCTGTAGAGAGCTAGTTTGGAACAGGCAGGTAATTCCTTTATATAAGGTACAGCTTCCATAGAGCTGTGGGTAACAAAGTCTCTGATAACTTGGCATTGCCCACTTTGTAACATAATGTGAAATTAACTTGGAGGAGAACTAGGGTACTCTGACAGTTTCTGGAAAAATAAAGGGCATGCTTTGCATATAGGCCATTGAAGGCCATAGTAGAAGGACAGCAGGGCTGGGATGGATTTGTATGCATTCTGTGTGGGGTTAGTGACAGGCAGAATCTAACAAAAGGACAGCTCTTTTTTTGCTCGGAAATGCTAAACAATGTAATTCCCCAGGGTGGTGGAAACCAGAAGACATGAAAGGAGAGGGCTGCAAATAGCAGAGAGGATAGATTCAAAAGGATGGCCTATTTTATCAGCATCATGTAAAGAAAACAGTCTTTGGTAAACCTCAGGGAAAGAAATAGGATCAACCTTTGCATATAATTCCCCCAGTGGCATTGTTCAGGAGGAGCCCCCAAGACTTCCTGTAAAATGCCAAAACCAAGAAAGACATCTGAAAGCAGAGAGAATGGAGCAAAAGTTGCTAAGAAGTAAGTAAACCCGGAGGCTGCAGAGAAAGCTGGCAGGAGACTGGGGCAGAGCATGATGGACACCCCTCGTCCCTGGGAGACCACCCAATCCACTCTGATGGAGCAGTTCCTCCAGCCCAGGACTGAAAGTTTAGGGAAGCTCCTGTTTAAACAGAGAGTATCCCCTGGCCCATGAGGGGCACTTGGAGCACAGAGCAACTTTTGACTGCTATTGTCTGATACCCAAAAATGCAAGATGGCGAGTTTTCTTCTCTTTCAAATAAAACCACCCTTTGCCCCATTGTAAACATTATGCTTGCAAGTGGGGAATTAGAGCCAGGTACTTACTGTGATCTTTAGGAAGATAATTTCACAGGTTGCTCACCAAAGGCCAGAGCCAATAAATTGCCCCATCCTTGTAAAGGGGCCTGGGCCCACAGAAGCTTTTTTGTGCAATATTCTTAGTAGTAACCTTAATTTACATTTTTTTCCTGCCCACACTGGGCCCATATTCCCACAAGATGGTGTTCAGCAGGAGCTGGTGGCAGCTGCCTCCTTTAGACAGCAGACTAAGGCATATTCAAATTCACCATAGGCCCCATCACTCCAGATTAGGTAACTTACCTTGAGGCTGCAGAACTGTCACTTATCAGAATGCTCATGTTGTTTTTGTTAGAATAGAAAACCATCTCAGTACCCATATCTCTGAAAAAAGAGAAGTGAAAGTAGACTGAGAGGGCTGTGTATTTCTTATACCTGGGGCCCTTCACCTGTGTTCGCCACCTGCCTGCCTCATCCCTGCAGCCTAAGATGTCCTCATGACATTTTCCCCATGCAACACTTTGTTTTCGTTTGTTTGTTTGTTTGTTGTTGTTGTTTTGAGACAGAGTTTTGCTCTTGAAGCCCAGTCTGGAGTGCAATGGCGTGATCTCAGCTCACTGCAACCTCCGCCTCCTGGGTTCAAGTGATTCTCCTGCCTCAGCCTCCCTCAGTATGATTACAGGCATATGCCACCACGCCCAGCTAATTTTGTATTTTTAGTGGAGATGGGGTTTCTCCATGTTGGTCGGGCTTGTCTCGAACTCCTGACCTCAGGTGATCTGACTGCCTCAGCCTCCCAAATTGCTGGGATTACAGGTGTGAGCCACTGCGCCCGGCCGCAACACTTTGTTTTATTGTTAGTGCCAGATATCTCTAGTTTCTTGTTCATCATACCTGCCTCCTCTACCCCATAAGAATTGTCTAATTATTATAAAAAGTATTTTGCTTACCAACCAATTAATTCTGCAGTCCCTACATAACAAAAATCCTGCCTAACTGAGACAGATTATTTTTTCAAATTAGTAAATTTGAGATTTTAAAGTAGGATGGATATTTGAAATATGTTAAAAAGTCTGGCACCTGCAGCTTCACTCAATGAGAAGTGATTTGGCAAAAGTAAAGCATCCTCAGGGTGGGGTGTGGGAGCAGGAAGAAGGACGGATGCACAGAATCATCTTGTCTGCCATGATCTGTGGCACAATATTCATATTTATTATTTACTCATTAAAATATTGGGTGTTTTCATGTCCTAAGGATTGTTTTTATTGCTTGAGTTTATAGTTGCAAAGTGATTACAACTGAGAAAGAAATCTGAATCCATCTATGTCTATACCAGGCTCTAAAGCTTTTATTTGAGAATGAGCTGAAGATAAAAATATGCCATATTTCTTTCCGTCCAACGTTACAATTTTTTTATTTGAATGCCTGTCTATATGTGGTTGTAGTGAGAGAAAGGTAGTTGCTGAAGAAATTAGGCATAGGGTAAATATTTGTTAATTGAATGAATGAGTGAACATGAGAGGTAACATCCAGAAGATTGACTCATAGCCCAGAGCGATTGGCAGTCAAGGCTGAGTGGAGATGATGGTGTTATGAAAGGCACACAGGTGTTAGGATGGCCCAGGTGAACTATGCAAACCCAGTGGCATCAGTTACTCACCAAAACTGGAGGGGAGGACTAGGAGGACAGACAAAAAATGGGAAAAAAAGAGGGACAAGTAATTGACTTTATGCTGGTAATCATTTTTCCTGGATATTTTGTAGTCTTGCTATAATCACAGAACCATCGTGGTATTGGTCTATCGCAAATATCCCAACTGTACAAACAAGAAAATGTAAGAGAGTGAAGTTACCAGTTCCTACTCACCTAAAAAGAAAGGCCTGACTTTACTCTACAAATATAAAACTATACAATTTTCTTTCTTTCTTCTTTTTTTAAAAATTTAAGTTCAGGGGTACATGTGCAGGTTTGTTATGTAGGTAAACTTGTGTCATGGGAGTTTGTTGTACTGATTATTTCATCACCCAGGTATTAAGCCTAGTACTCATTAGTTATTTTTAAATGTTTTCATGTATGTAATCCACTGGTCAAGTTACAGTTTGTGGGCTTTCATATTCCACTATACCCTGCCATGTCAAAGAAACGCAGCTCAAGAAGAGATGGAGATTTCTGTGTGAATGTAGCTGCACTCATCAGCATTCCCCCCTTGCCTCCTGGAAATCATCCAAAGGCAACAAGGAGAATGAAAAAAAAAAAAGAAAAAAGAAAGCATGCTCCATTTTTGGTGAAACTAGGAGACAGGTATATTCTCCACACTCTAAAATATGTAAAAGGCCACCAAATGCAGCTGTTAGTAGGAGGAAGAAGGGGAAAAGTAGAGAGAAACTTTATTGGGTAAGAGGGCCCAGGGTGAAAGATCTAAGTTAGTGCCAGCAAAAATACACTTACTGAAGGTGAGAAGCACATCCTGAGGGGTGAAAGCTTTCCCCCTGTGTAATAGATTGTATTATTTGCTCAACATATTGACTGATCCACCCCACTAGTCTCTTTCCTGTCATCCTGGCCCTTCTGCCCCTCCATGGACAGAAATATCCTTGCTAAAGATTGATCTTTCCCACCCCAATCGCCTCAGGCATGACCATGAAACTTGCTTTGTCTAGTGAAAAGTGAGTGAAGTGACAGGTACCACTTTTGAGCAGAAGCTTTAAAGAACCAGCATATGATTCTACCCCCTCTCTTCCTGCCAAAGACCGGCAGTGTCCCAGAGAGGGGTATTTGAATAAAGATGCTGCGTCATACAGCACAGTCAACCCTCAGGTCACCTTCAATGGCAGTGAAATGAGTGAGAAATAAACCTTTTTATAAGTCACTAAGATTTGGGGGACATTTGTTAGCACAACATAACCTAGCCTATGCAAACTGATACAAATGTTTTCAATAGGAGGTACAGTGATTATGATGAGCTGGGTTTGTAGCAGGAGACTCCTTGGATCCGGGTTGGTTCAGAAGAGCAGAAAAGATAGTTACAGGCAAAAAGCCACGTGTGCAGGAAGAAGTCTATCTATCTCTAGAGCAGCAGCAGCAGAGAGGCAGCAACTAGCCTGGAAAACTAAGGGGAAATATACTCGTTTCACCATTGCCTATAGTAGGGCACCAGTAGATGTTGTCTAAAGAATAAAAGACTAAGGTTAGTAAATGAGGTAACAATAACAAAAATCAAAAGACTACAACAAAAATAAGAACCTTTCTAAATGCTAGAAGAATAACATGCAAAAAAACACAAAACAAAGAATTCACATAATGGAAGACTTCCAACAACACTATAAACTGAATTGGCAGGATCACTTGAGCCAGGTTTCAAGGCCAGCCTGGGCAACATAGTGAGACCCTGTCTCTAAAAAAAAAGCCACACACACCCACGTACACACACAGAGAGAGGGAGAGAGAGACACGCACCTAAAAACGCAATGAAAACAAAAAACACAAAGGAATATTTCAGAATAATGCCCAAACAAAAATAGGCTAAACTTACAAATGAAAGAAAAAGAGATTCTGATTTGGTCACTATGTTGATGGACTCTAAGATGGCCCTCTGTGACCTCTGCCTCCTGAATACATGCCTTTGTATAGTGCCTGCCACTTTGGGAGAAAGGGGAATATGATTTACTTCTAACCAGTAGAATATGGCAAAGATAATGGGATGTAACTCTCTTAATCGTAAGTTACATAAGACTCCATCCTGCTAGCCAGCTCTCTCTAGAGACATTTCTTACTGGTTTGATGAATTAAGCAGCCATGTCGGGAAAGCCCCTGTGATCTCTGCACTCGGCAGCCCCTAGGAACTGTTGTCTTCTAGGAGTGGGAGCGGGTTCCAGCTCCAGCCAACAAAAAGCTGGAACCCTCAGTACTATAAGCACAAGTATACAAATTCTGCCAATAATCTAAGTGAGCTTGGAGACCGTGCTTCCTCAATCAAGCCTCCAGCTCCAACAACCTTGAGGGCAGCCCCATGAGATGCTAAGCGCAGTACCCAGCTAGGCACAGCTGACTCCTGGCCTACATAAGCCATCAGATAATAAATATATATGCTTCTAAGTTCTACGTTGTTGTGCAACAACAAAAAATACAACCACAAAGCAAAATTCCATTTCATGCTATATGCAAGAGATATATCTGAAAGAAAATGATTTTAAAATGTTGAAAATAAAGGATGAGGAAAGACATGTTAGGAAAATGCAAGGTAAGCACAGGTGCAATCATCAGAGGGGAAGGAATTCAAGACAAAACCATTATTTGAGGCAAAGAGGAATACTACAGAGTACAATTCAGAATAAAGCCCTCAGAGTCATGGCTTCACTATACCAAATAACATTGCCTCAACTTTCATAAAGCAGAAATGATAAAAAATTCAAAAAAGTTGATGGAAGTATGCTACTAGTAGATTTGTTGGCTTTCAGTTCATAAGAGATCAAGAATTCCAAAGAGAAAAGGTACAGAAGACCTAAATAATATAATGAATAAGTAGATAGATCTGTAATATATAAAGCTTTCCCTCCTAGGAATAGAGAACATATCGGGCTGGGCACAGTGGCTTACACCTGTAATCCCAGCACTTTGGGAGGCTGAGGTGGGCGGATCACAAGGTCAGGAGATCGAGACCATCCTGGCTAACACGGTAAAACCCCGTCTCTACTAAAAATACAAAAAAATTAGCCCGGCATGGTGGCAGGCACCTGTAGTCCCAGCTACTTGGGAGGCTGAGGCAGGAGAATGGCGTGAACCCGGGAGGCGGAGCTTCCAGTGCACTGAGATTGCACCACTGCACTCCAGCCTGGGTGACAGAGCAAGACTCCATCTCAAAAAAAAGAATAGAGAACATATCTTTTTTTAAAGTGCTCTGAACTGAAACCTTATACTAACCCACAAAGGAAACCTCAATAAATTCCTAAAAGTTTAAAGAATATATGGCTGGGTGCGGTGGCTCACACCTGTAATCCCAGCACTTTGGGAGGCTGAGGTGGGTGGATTATGAGGTCAGGAGTTTGAGACCAACCTGGCCAATATGGTGAAACCCCATCTGAACTAAAAATACAAAAATTAGCCAGGGGTGGTGGCATGTGCCTGTAGTCCCAGCTACTTGGGAGGCTGAGGCAGGAGAATTGCTTGAACCTGGGAGGCGGAGGTTGCAGTGAGCCGAGATCATGCCATTGCACTCCAGCCTGGGCAACAGAGCGAGACTCCATCTCAAAATAATAATTTAAAAAAAAGAATATGGATAAAATTGTCCAATTTTGATGAAAACAATTCATTTATTAACAACAATAAAAACCTCTACCACATGGAAATTAAAAGCAGAAAGCAATAAAATGTGCACTTCTTGGCTCAAAGAGAAAATACAAACTGAAAATTAGACAATACAAACTGAAAATTAGAAAATATATAGAAAATACAAAGATTAGAAAGACTACATATCAGAACATAGGTGATACAGCTAAAACGATTTTTTTTTTGAGATGGTGTCTTGTTCTGTCACCCAGGCTGGAGTGCAGTGGCGCGATCTCAGCTCACTGCAAGCTCCGCCTCCCAGGTTCACACCATTCTCCTGCCTCATCCTCCCAAGTAGCTGGGACTACAGGCGCCCACCACCACACCCAGCTAATTTCTTTGTATTTTTAGTAGAGACGGGGTTTCACCATGTTTGCCAGGATGGTCTCAATCTCCTCACCTTGTGATCCGCCCGCCTCAGCCTCCCAAAGTGCTGGGATTACAGGCATGAGCCACCACGCCCGGCTGCTAAAACAATTTTTAGAGTGAAACATCCTATCCTTAAATGCTTATATCATTAAGCAAAAAAAGAGTGACTATAAATTGTCTTAAGAACAAGACGATATACTGAGAAATGCAAAAGTAGAAAATAAAATAAAATAAGTAGAAAAATAAAAGTAGAAAATAATAAATTGGAAAGCAGAAAACAACAACAAATATAAATACATTCAAAATGAGTTTTCGATAAATGGAATAAAATAGACAAATTGATAGCTGAACAATTTGTTCACAGATAAGGACATATGCATGATCATTAATATAATCTCAAAATATGTTCTTGTACTACTACAAGACAAATGTAAATTAAAACCACACAGAAGTACCATTTTTTTACTTATCTGATTGACACACATTCAAACACTTGATGTTGCACTGTGTAGGTCAGGCTTTGGGGAAATAAACTGTCTTTAACTGTTCTAATGGCTGTGAAAAATTGTACGATGCCTAAAGATGGGCATTTGGAAATAGAGATAGCAAAATGACAACATAAGCCTGGCCAATCCACTTCAAGGATTTTATCCTGAAGATACATTCATATAACAGTGAGGAAGTTTACTCATTGAAGCATTGCTTGTTATAGAAAAAGATTAGAAAAAACCTAAATGCCCATAAGTAGGAGACTGTTAAATAAATTATGAACTACATACAGTATACTGTGCAGCTGTAAACAGGAGTGAAGATATTTATCTGCTGATGTGAAAATATGTCCAAGATATAATATTATGTCAAAAAGACAAGGTAAAAAAGCAGAATATGTTACCATTTATATTAAAATGGTGGAATAAATTGAAAAATGCATATATTAATAACTTCTGGTCTGAACATTAAAAATTTTGAAAGGCCACTCAAGAACCTAATAGCTGTGGTTGCTTTTTACCTCTTGAGAGGATTAGGAACTAGGTAGATGAAGAATTTTTGTATGTTTTAATACTTTTTAATTTTGACACGTAAAAATATTACCCAGTCAAAAAATGTAAAAAATAATTTCTAAAAAAACTATAAAGTTTTGAAATTTGCTATGTGATGCTAGATTGAAGCACAGATTAACAATATTTTTTCCAGAAAAGGCAATCTTCTTCATAGCATATCATTTTGCAATTTATTTCTTCTATGATAAGAGTCTATGGCCCAGATATAGTATTTCTTAGTAATAATTATAACTGGAAGTTTAACTGTAAGGTATGGATCTCTTGATGGAATATGAAGATTAAACATTATCTTAAAATAATTGTGAATATCAGTAAACATTATGTGAACTCTATTTTACATATCCATATTCATCTACTTTTTAATAAGTTGATATACACCCCCATGGTTTGTTTATAAATACTGCCATGGACTGAACTGTATCCCCCCAGAATCAATCATATGTTGAAGCCCTAACCCCCAATATGACTGTATTTGGAGACAGGGCCTTTAGGAGATCATTAAAGCTAAATAAAGTCATATGGGGAAGGGTCCATTATCTGATAGGATCAATGACTTTATAACAGGAAGAAAAGAGCTCTCTCTCTGTCTCTCTTTCCCCGCCATGTACACACAGAGAGGAAAGGTCATGTGAGGAAGCACCAAGTAGGTGCTTGGGAATAGAGTCCTTGCCACAAACTGAACCCTGCCAGAACCTGGATCTTGGACATTGCAGCCTCCAAAACTGTGAGAAAAAAAATTTATGTTGTTTAAGTCACCCATTCTGTGGAATTTTGTTATGGCGGCCCTAGCAGACTAATACAAATACATATGTATACAAAACAGATGATCAGCACCAGTGTCTGTAGTAGTCAATCAGTAGGATGAGACTCAAATTAAATAGGGGTGGAGTCTGGACACTGTCAAATGAGCTGTATTTTGAGTCTTTGCAGCTAGAAACTTAAGAATAAGACAGTCCTGTAATAAAGATGCCTGATATAGTTCGGGTGTTTGTCCCCTCCAAATCTTATGTTGAAATGTGATCCCAAGGGTTGGAGGTGCGGCCTAGTGGGCAGTGTTGGATCATAGGGACGGATGCCCTTGAATGTGGTAGTGCTATCCCCTTGGTGATGGGTGAATTCTCACTCTATTAGTTCAAACGAGAGCTAGTTTTAAGAGCCTGGTACCTCCTCCTCCTCTCTCACTCTCTCTCTTGACATGTGATGCACTGACTTCCACTTTTGCCTTCCACCATGATCATAAGCTTCCTGAGGCCTCACCAGCAGCAAATGCTGGCACCATTCTTCCTGAACAGCCTATAGAACTGTGAGCCAAATTTCTTTTCTTTATAAATTACCCAGTCTTAGGTATTCCTTTATAGCAACACAAATGGATTAAGACAATGCCCAGTTGAGCACACCAGGCCCCACGGCATAGGAAGGTGGATGCCAGCTCTGGAAGAGGGTTGCCGCTCTGTCTCAGGAAGTTGACTGTGCACTACCTGCATCCAAATTCTGGATGTGCTTATTATAGAAATGCAGATTCTTGTGCCTCCACCATCATCATAATCTCTGGGAGTGGGGTCTGTGAATCTTAAACATTCTTATCTCTGCCCTATGGATGTTGGAGAAAATGAATTTAATACTAACAAACCTTCTTAGGAATAATAATAGTGACTCTCAGCTAAAATTTGCTGAGAACACAGTTTATGCTTTGTATTGTCATAAGCGTGGATCTCATGTACTTTTCCTAGAGGAGATTTAGATTAAATGAGCACATTTCTCTAGTACTAAAACCTACATTTAAAAGGAGGTAACAGGTTGGGCGTGGTGGCTTATGCCTGTAATCCTAGCAATTTGGGAGGCCAAGGTGGGTGGATCACCTGAGCTCAGGAGTTTGAGACCAGACTGGCCAACATGGTGAAACCCTGTTTCTACCAAAAATATAAAAAAATTAAAAAATAAAAAAATAAAAAGCCAGGCATGGTGGTGTGCACCTGTAGTCTCAGCTACTTGGGAGGCTGAGGCAGGAGAATCGCTTGAACCTGGGAGGCGGAAGTTGCAGTGAGCCAAGATCGTGCCACTGCACTCCAGCCTGGGTGACAGAGCAAGACTCCATCTCAAAGTAAATAAATTAGTTAAATTAAACTAAATTAAAAATTACAGTAAGTAATTGCCAAACAAATTGAGGTGCTTTCACATTATTGAGCGATGGAAACAAGACCGTGCATGAAGCCTTAGGTAATTTAGTTTAAGTTTAGTTAAGTATGTATTTTAATTGTTCTAAATTTTGGCAAAAGTGAAATAAATGTTTAACTTCTAGCAAAAGGGAAATAACAGGTGTTTGTAAATGTGACACTACTAAATAATGTATTAAAATGACTGCAAAATGAAGATCTGTGAAAGATAGTTTATTAAGGTTAGGAAATGAGAATATGAAATCACCCATTGGTTTTTAATCAAATGAGCTAAAGGAATTAGAAACTATTAACAAATCTCCTTTTTGCTATCCATGGATAAAATACACTATTTCATTCCAACGGGCAAAGGTTTATTTCATCTGTGACTTTATTGGTCACACAAGACTCCCACTCTACATTTAAGAAGTTGAAAGACCAGGCGTAGTGGCTCATGCCTGTAATCCCAGCTACTCAGGAAGCTGAGGCAGGAGGACTGCTTGAGCCCAGGAGGTCAAGGCTGCAGTGAGCCATGTTCATGCCCCTGCCCTCCAGCCTGGGCAACAGGCTGTCTCAAGAAAGAAAAAGAAAAAGAAAGAAAAAGAAAAAGAAGAAGAGAAGTAAAGAAAGAAAGAAAGAAAGAAAGAAAGAAAGAAAGAAAGAAAGAAAGAAAGAAAAAGAGAAAGGAGGGAGGGAAGAAAGGAAGGAAGGAAGGAAGGAAGGAAGGAAGGAAGGAAGGAAGGAAGGCTGGCTGGCTTTCTGTTTAAGTTTAAAGAAAAAGGCTGGGCATGGTTGCTCATGCCTGTAATGATGAGGTCAGGAGATCGAGACCATCCTGGCTAACACAGTGAAACCCCTTATCTACTAAAAATACAAAAAATTAGCCGGGCATAGTGACACATGCCTGTAGTCCCAGTTACTTGAGAGGCTGAGGCAGGAGAATTGCTTGAACCCAGGAGGCGGAGGTTGCAGTGACCCGAGATTGCGCCACTGCACTCCAGCCTGGGCGACAGAGTAAGATGAAAGAAAAAAGAAGGGAAGGGAAGGGAAAAGAAAGGAAAAGCATGCATGTTGATATGTTTTGGGTCTGTGTCCCCACCCAAATCTCAAGTTGAATTGTAATTCTCAATGGTGGAGGAAGGGCCTGGTGGGAGGTGAATGGATCATGGGAGCAGACTTCCCCTTGATGTTCTTGTGATAGTGAGTGAGTTCTTAGGAGATCTGGTTGTTTGAAAGTGTGTAGCACCTTCCCCTTCGCTCTCTCTCCTGCCAGCCATGTGAAGCTGGGCCTGCTTTCCCTTTCCCTTCCGCCACGACTGGAAGTTTCCTGAGGCCTCCCCAGAAGCAGAAGCTGTACAGCCTTCAGAACCATGAGCCAATTAAACATCTTGTCTTTATAAATTACCCAGTCTCAGGTATGTCTTTATAGCAGTGTGACAATACACTAATACCTATGTCAATTTAGTCTTCTAATTTTGATAAATAATGCCTAAAATTATAAACATAGTTAGTGAATATGGGATAGTTACTATGTGATTGTCTCTCATGGATCAGCAAGGCAGTATACTTGAACATTTTCTATGTGTTATAATTTCTGTTCTAACTTTTTGTTTTTATACCTAAAATTTAGAAATTCTGGTTTAAAAGACTAGAAAGACCATTGTACTGAGATTCAGAAACTGGGTCTCATCCCAGTTTTGATACTTACTGGTTGAATAACTGTAAGAAAGTTTTATTTTTGCTGAGGAGGGAAATAAGAATTTATTGAACACTTATAATATGTATTTCAGGCAATTTACACATATACCTAATTTAATTCTGAGAAGAATGGCATAATTAATCTTTTCATTTTATAAACAAAGCCACCATTTTATAAACAAAGACTCAGAGAGATGAGTCACTTGCCAAGATCACTCAGATAGTGGATGCCAGAAATGGGTTTCAAATCTGGCTCTAGTCTGTATGCCCCTAAAGCTATCTCATGTAGACTTTCAGGGATTATGTGTCCTTATCTGTAAAAACCATGAGACTGATGAACTATAATGTCTCTTAATCCTGATAAAGACCTTCCTTTTTTCTCTTGGCATAATTTCTTTCTGAAGTAGTTGTGTTACCAATAGTTCATTGCTTTTCATTGCCATGTAGTATTCCATGCTAAGTATGTGCCACAGTTTGTTTAATCATTTGCCTGTTGAAGGACCTCTGGATTGTCTCCAGTTTTGGATTACTATAAATAAAGATTCTCTGAACACTCTTGTACAGACTTTTGTGTGAACAGAAGTCTTCATTTCTCTGGGATAGATGGCCAAGAATACAATTGTTGGGTCATGTAGTAGTTGCATGGTTACGTTTTATGAAAAACTGCTGAACTGTTTTCTGGTGGCTGTATCACTTGGCATTCTCACCAGCAATATATGAATAATCCAGTTTCTTTGTATCTTTGCTGGCATTTAGTGTTGTCGCTATTTGTTACTTTAGCCATTCCTTCAAGTGTGTAGTAGTGATCTCATTGTGATTTTAATTTGCCTTTCCCTAGTGGCTAATGTGCTGAACATTTTCTCATGTGCTAATTTGCCATCTGTGTTCCCTCCTTAGTAAAATGTCTGTTCATGTCTTTTGTCCACTTTCTAATTGGATTGTTTGGTATTTTACTGTTGAGATTTGAGAGTTCTTTATATATTCTAGATACTCGTTGTTTTTGGTTAGATATGTGGTATGCAAATACTTTCTCCATTCTATAACTTGCCTATTTATGCTCTTATCATGGACTTTTACAAAGTACAAGTTTTTAATTTTGATAAGGTCCAATTTATCAATAAATCCTCTTTTGAATCATACTTTTGGTGTTAAGTCTAACAACTCTTTACCTAGCTGTAGATTCTTAAGATTTTCTCCTATTTTTTTTCTAAAAGTCTTATGTTTTACATTTAAGTCCATGACCATGTTCGGCTAATTTTTGGATAAGGTGTGAGGTTTAGGTTTTTTGTTTTTCACTTTTAATTTTTTGCCTATGAATGTCCAATCATTTCAACATCATTTGTTTAAAAGGTTACTCTTCCTCCACTGAATTGCTTTTGCACCTTTATCAAGTTTGGTATATTTATGTGGGTTTATTTCTGGGATCTCTATTCTTTCGCATTGGTCTATGTGTCTAACCCTCTGCCAATGCCTTACTGTCTTAATTATAATTGCTATATAGTAGATGTTTATATCAACTAGAGTGATTCCTCCTAGTTTATAATTCTTTTTAAATATCTGATCTATTCTAGGACCTGTACCTTTTCACATATATTTTGGAATAAGTTTGCTTATATCTACAAAACACCTTGCTGGAAATTTCATAGGAATAACATTAAACCCATAGGTCAATTTGGGGAGAATTTTCATCTTTGCTATGTCGTGTTTTTAAGTCCAAAAACATGGCATGTCTCTCCATTATTTAGGTCTTATTTGATGTCTTTCATCAGCATTTTGTAATTTTCAACATACAGATCCTACACATGATTTGTTAAGTTTATACCCAAGCCTTTAATTTTTCTTTGGAGTACTCTTAAGTGGTATTGTGTTTTAAATTGTTCTTTGCACATCACTGTTAGTATATATTAATGCAATTGATTTTTGTGTGTTAATCTTGTGTCCTATCCTGCAGCTCTGATGAACTTATTTATTAGTTCTACGAGTTTATTTGTAGATTCCTTAAAAATCCCAGATGGGAATCATGTCACCTCAAATAAGGACAGGTTTAGTTCTTCCTTTCTAATCTACATGTCTTTCATTTATGTTTTCTTACCTTATTGTAGTGGTTAGAACTTTCAGAACTGTGTGAACAAAAGTAGTGAGAGTGGACCTTCTTGCTTTGTTTCCAGTCTTAGAGAGAAAGCATTCAGTTTTCACCATTAATTACAATGTAAACTGTAGGTTTGTTATAGATGCTCTTTACTAACTTTCTCATCCCTAACTTGCTGAGAGTGTTTTTGTCTTCTGTTTTTGTTTGTTTTTTCTTTTTATCATAAATGGGTATTGGATTTTGTCAAATGCTTTTTCTGCATTGATTGATAGATCATGTAATTTTTCTTCTTTAGCCTAGATTATATTGATTGATTTTTAAATGCTAAATCAGTCTTGCAAACCTGGAATAAATCCCATTTGTCTCTTGTTTTATTTACAATATTGACGGTTTGTGTGTTTTCTTTTGATCTTCATATTTGGATGCTTCTTTTCATGTTAATTTTCTTATCTGTGGAACAAGATGATTGTATTACTTTCCAATTACTGCTGTAACAAATTAACACAAATTTGGTGGCTTAATACTTTTAATATTTTACAGTTATGGAGGTTAGAAGTGTAAAATGGATCGTACTGGGCTAAAATCAAGGTGTCAGGGTCCTGTATTGCTTCCTGAGAGTTCTAGAGGGCAATCAGTTTGCTTTCTCTAGCTTCTAGAGGCTTCCCTCATTCCTTTACTCATGGCCACTTCTACCTTCAAAGCCAGCAGAGGCTGGTTGAATCTTTCTCACGTTGCATCATCCTGACCTCTTCTGCTGTGCCCCTATTCCATTTTTAAAGAAGTTTCTTTTTTTTTTTAGACGGAGTCTCGCTCTGTCACCCAGGCTGGAGTGCAGTGATGCAATCTCAGCTCACTGTAACCTCCGCCTCCTGGATTCAAGTGATTCTACTGCCTCAGTCTCCTGAGTAGCTGGGATTACAGGCGTGCACCACCACACCTGGCTAACTTATGTATTTTTAGTAGAGATGGGGTTTTACCGTGTTGGTCAGGCTGGTCTCTAACTCTTGACCTCATGATCTGCCTGCCTTGGCCTCCCAAAGTGCTGAGATTACAGGTGTGAGCCACCGTGCCCGGCCAGGATATTTCTGAATACACTACACCCTCCCTCCCAACTACAAAACCTAGCTTTATGGTAAACTCCTATTGACCATATTATGGTCTCCCTATTTTATGGTCAACTGATTAGCAACATTAATTCCATCTGCAACTGTAATTCTCCCTTGCCATATAGCATAACATATTCGCAGGTTCTGGCGATTAGGACATGGACCTCTTTGGGGGTGCAGCATGATTCTGTATACCACATGATGTGTGTAAGAGTGTTTTGCAAATTTTAATGCACTCTTTTAATATGTATTGAGCATTAACAATGTGCCAGGCACTGTGCAAGATGCTAACCTCAGCTTAGTTTTCTCTGCTGCAAATAAGCATTTGTCTTCACTTCAAGAGTTTTTTTATTCTTGGCACTAAATCTCACACACTCCCTTTCACAAGCAGTACTGGGCTACTTAGAGTTCTTGAAATCCATCAAGGTTTCTCAAATTTGCATGACTTGGAACATGTTTGTGTTTCCTAGATTGTCACTCTCTGGCCCCTTCTGCTTAATCAGGAAAGCCTGCCCCCTCCCTCTCCTTTTCCTCCCTCCAAACCCCTAGCCCTATGATTCTTATTGCAGATGCTGGTGTCTCCGTTAGGACCCTTTGCACCCTGCTAACAATGTTTCCACACTGTGCTATAAACTCTGGTTTATTGTACAACATCTCCATTAGACCAGTAAGGTACATGAAAGTAGGGATTGAGTTTTTATTTACTTTATATCCTCAATGCCTAGCACAATTTCTGGAGCAAACTTGGCACTCAGTATTTTGCTGAATATACGAACAGCCCCTTAATCCTAAAGATTTGCATTCAACTTCTTTTGTTTTCTGCTTCATGGGTTCTGCTGATTTATCCAACTTTGCTCTATGCATAGGACTCAAATATCACGTGTTACCACTTTCCCAAATTTTTGGCGTTTGCTGGAGAGACCTCATTCTCATGGGATTCACCATATAATTTCAGACTCACTGTGTACCAAATATAATTTTTAAAATTTTCCTGCCAAATAAGCCCTGTTTAAAATTCAGGTTAACACTGTCTCTACCTTCTATTAGCTCAAAACTTTCATGTTGCCTTTCTCTTTTTCGAATCACATGTCCAATCTCTTGCCAAGGCTCATGAATTGCCCTCTCACAAATTTTTTTTGTTTTATTCTGTTTTATTTCTTCCGGAGTTTCAGGACTTCACCAGGAATTAGAAAAGTGTATTCATAAAAACTCTGCTCACTTGATATTTTAGATCCCTTACCAAGATAAAATAATTGTGTACAGAATGTATAATGAGACTTTCAGATGATACTGTCTTTGCAAAAGAATTTTTTGCTGCTATTTCCATTTTTTCTTGCTGCTGCTTCAAACACAAGCAGAAATATATCTGGTTCTTAGTTTTATTATTTGTTAGTTTTACTACAATCACAGTTATATTGTTTGATTCTGTACCTTTGTGTTGAGTGAAATCAAAATATTTTACCCTAAAATACATTTCTTTGACATCTTTTGAAATGGCTGCCACGTGGCCAGCAGACTGAAGAGTGCTGCAAAGCTATCTTTTGTGGGAGAAATTTGCATCAGTAGAGAATCTCCATTAATGCAGCCAGACTTTCCCTTTCTAGGCCTTTCCTGGAGGTAGGAGAGATTAACTAAGAGTCTGACACCTTTAAAGGTCTGAAAAGAAACATTTACCATCTACACTCTCTGAAGGCTGCTACCTATGAGGCTTCATCTACATAACAAGGCCATCTTCACTAACCAAGCCTCTTCTTTTCTTCCTCCCATAACCTGTCTTGCCACTAACAACTGTTTTTGGCCATGCTCTGAGCCAGCATTCTTTCTGTAAGCTCAGGAGGGTATATAAGCTTCTGTACTTCATTGAGGAGTTTGGTCTTCATTCTGAAGGCTCTCATGCATGTTAAATAAATTTGTACACCTTTTCTCTTTTTAGTCAGTCTAACTCGTGGCAGTGATTTTTAGTGAATTGTTAGGGGGCCAAGGGCCTTGGCCTCCACAGTGTAGAATACCAAGATATAACTATGGAATATGTAGGTGGTAATAGAGGATATATATCTTTATGTCACTTTGGGTTTAGAGAAAATGAAATTAGGAAGAACAGTCTCAGGTTTTTCTTCTTCTGAAAATAACCCGAGATACTTGACAATAGTTCACAGGAGGAAATTACATGAAATAAATGTTGTAACATGGAGAATATAATCTGTTTCCTCCTGTCTTACTCAGGGTTAAGGAATTTTCATTTTTAAAGTAAATGTTTGTTTCTGCATAACTAATAGCTTAAGGAAAATAATTCTCATATTTTAACAAAGAATTTAAGAAATTCCCTTAGAACTCAGACCTAGCTAGGGTGACTACAAATACAGTATGCATACATTTGACAAAATTACCACTTCCTATCTTAGTACCAGAAGAAAAAGCAAGATAGAGAGCCAGCCTTGTTGGGAGATGAAAAAGAAGGAAATGGGACAAACTCCTAGATATTAAACAAGTCCTCCCCCAGCCCAGCACCACCTCAGAGCTCCATACATCTATCTCCTTCCCAAACATGTAAACTGATGTCAAATAAGATAATATGAACTGATTTGTGCAAATGATTGCAACTACTTTATAATTAAACATCTAGGGAATTATATATGTGAAATAGATATCTCTGCACATACTAGAGATTTAATTGCATCCTGGATTAAAAGAAATTTTGACCCAAGATTGAAAACAGATGCTCAATCACTTCAGGTCCCAACGGTTGCTTTGTAAGCAAGGGACACTGGATTCTGTGCCTTCAAAAATGTTTTCCCCAACTTCATTGTTTTTTGCCAAATACTCATTAAAGAAGAAACACAAAGAACTCCACTGTTAGATTTTTTTTCTGGGCTTCTTGAATGTTAGAAATCAACAGGATTAGCAATATTTGATTGGAAAATTTTCTTAGCATTTACTCTTGTGATTTGTCTCTAATCTGGAAGGAAACAGCTGACTTACTAAATCACCGTGTTACATCTTATTCTTCCAGCTTGTGAAAATTCAGTATCTGGAAATTAGATTGTGACTTGTCTCACTTTCTACCTTTATGTTTTTAACTTTATTCAAATGAGGAAATAACGTGTAATGGGAAGGTATTAGATATTCTTCCTCTTATTTTGCTGATGGGACAATGAGCCCATCCAAAAAAGACATAAAAATGTATTTGAATAGAGAAATATACTAACAATTCTTGTTGCTACTTTGTTGACTTGATCATTATAGAAAACAGAAGTAATTTGAATTTCCCCACTCAGTCCAGGAATTAGAGAGATCCTTTGTTTAATTACACAACATACATGGATTGAGCCTCGGGCACTGTGCTGGGGACTGTGGTATAATGGTGAACACAACAGATGCATCCTGGAGCCTTATAGTCTAGAAGGAAAGACAGATTTTAAACAAATTATTCTAAATAAATAATTAATTGCAACTGTGAAAAATTTTACAAAGAAGTACAAAGTATCTAATAATCATATCATTGAGGGAGACATATCATGCAAAGTTTCTGAGGTTAGAAAAACCTTGACACACTCCAGGAACTGAAAAAGTTCCAATGCAGCTGCAGCATAAAGAACTGAGGTGTGGCTGGAGAGAGAGGCAGGGGCCAGATCACAGTGATCTGAGGCCATGTTACCAAGTTGGGATTGGATTCTGCAGACAGTGGGAAGCAACTGAAGAGTTTTTATGTTAAAAAAAAAATAGTGATCAGATTCGTGTTTCAGGAATATCACACTATCGACAGCATGTAAACTAGTTCGGGTAAGCATTGATATGACTTGTGGCAGTGGTGTTACTGGAGAGCTTGTGAGAGATACAGAAAGTAGAACTGTCATCTTGGTAACTGATGGGGTATGAAGAGTAAGGAGAAGGTTTTTGATTTGAGCAAGTGGGTAAACAGTAGTGTCTTATACAGAGACAGGAAACACTAGAAGAGGAGATTTTAGTGTGTATGTGAAGAGAGGATATCATGTGTATTCTTTTGGAGTTACTAAGTTACAGGTGACTGTAAAACATCTAAACAGAATAAGCACTTATTTATGAGGGTCTGATGCTGAAAAGTTAAATCCAGGCTGGAGATATTTGGTTATGATTATGAAAAAGAAGCCATGGGAGTGCTGAGATCACTTAGAAAGACAGTGTGGTGTGACAGAAGATGACAGAGCAGTATGACCATAGATCCCAGTGTGCCTGGGATAGTCCTAGTCAACACCCATTGCCCCAGCACAATCATTAATTGTGCCCCTTGATAGAGTTTGAATATGTGTCCCCACCCAAATCTCATGTTGAAGTATAATCCCTAGTGCTGGAGTTGGGGTCTGGTGGGAGGTGTTTAGATCATGGGGGTAGACCCCTCATGCATGCTTGGTGGTACGTGAGCTCTTGCTCTGAGTTCACATGAGATCTGGTTGTTTAAAAACGTGTGGCACTTGTACTTCCCTACTCCCGCTCTCTCACTCGCTCCTGCTTTTGCCATATGATGTGCCTGCTCTCCCTTCACCTTCTGTCATGACTGTAAGCTTCCTGAGGCCTCCGTAGAAGCTGAACAGATGCCAGCACTTTGCTGCCTGTAAAGCCTGCAGAACTATAAGCAAATTGAACTTATTTTCTTTATATTCATAAATTACCCAGTTTCAGGTATATCTTCATAGCAGTGCAAGAACGGCCTAACAGAAAATTAGTACCGAGCAGTGGGGCATTGCTATAAAGATACCTGAAAATATGGAAGCAGCTTTGGAACTGGGTAACAGGCAGACGCTGGAAGAGTTTCGTGGGCTCAGAAGAAGACGGGAAGCTGATGGAATGTTTGGAATCTCTTAGAGACTGGTTAAATGACTGTGACCAAAATACCTTCACCCACAAACCTCAAATCCCCAAGTGCACACAGGCACAGACACACACTCACCTATATCCACAGGCAAAGAAAGTTAAGGTAGCAAGGAGGCAAATCTACACTGTATTAATGAGGTTTTCTATATAAAATTAGAGGTAAAGCTTGAATAAGGTACAAATGCATGTTAAAAAGTGAAGCCACATGTCCATGTAAAAACATTCCCTGGGCCAGGCGTGGTGGCTCACATCTGTAATCCCAGCACTTTGGGAGGCCGAGGCGGGCGGATCACAAGGTCAGGAGATGGAGACCATCCTGGCTAACGTGGTGAAACCCCATCTCTATTAAAAATACAAAAAATTAGCCAGGCATGGTTGCAGGAACCTGTAGTCCCAGCTACTCGGGAGGCTGAGGCAGGAGAATGGCGTGAACCCCAGAGGCGGAGCTTGCAGTGAGCCGAGATCGTGCCACTGCACTGCAGCCTGGGCGACAGAGCGAGACTCCGTCTCAAAAAAAAAAAAAAAATTCCCTGGCATTTGATTTTTCTTTATTTTTAATAAACATTTTTCTTTGAAAAATTTTATTAATCACATAAATCCCTTGGAGGCTGAAAATGTTTCTTGCTTGACAAATCATACAAGACATTTCAAGGCCAATGCAATGGCTCTAAATGCTTGAAGATTTTGCTCCTGGTGACAATGTGGGAAATTGAAGATGGGGGGAGGAAAGTTCTATATTACAGGGGATGCTGAATATTTCATTTCTTTGGACACATCTTCATCAAGACACCACTAGTAAGTAGTATGGCACAAGAAAAGGAGCTTTATACGGTGTACCTTTTAGTCAGAAAAAAAAAACAGGTTTCTTATGCATTTAATTGCCATGCAGAAAAAAACTTTAAGGCAGCTCATAATTTTCTGCATCTGATTATCAACACTGATCTATATTTACACTTGAGCTTTGTGTGTATGGAATGGGAAACAGGGTCTCACTCTTGCCCAGGCTAGAGTGCAGTGGTGTAATCACCACTCACTGCAGCCTTGACCTTCCCAGGCTCAGGTGATCCTGCCACCTCAGTCTCCTGAGTAGCTCAGACTATAGGCGCACATCCGCAGCTAATTTTTGCAGAGACAGAGTCTTGCCGTGCTGCCCAGGCTGGTCTCGAACTCTTAGGCTCAAGTGATCCACCTGCATCGGCCTCCCAAAGTGCTGGGATTACAGGTGTGAGCCACAGCGCCCAGCCTAGTGAAGAGATTTAATTAATAAGGGGAATAACTCCTTTATTTTTACCTTCATGTGTCCTGATTGAAACTTTCTGATTGTTTTCTGTATTAGGTCCCACAAAAATAGTGTCCAATTCAAAGATAAATTTGGGGCCTTAAGTACAATATTTCAACCACTAACACACATGTGTGTTATGAGCACTGAATAGGAATAAGATATCTTCAGAAATGTGGGTTGTACTTGGGATCTGCCTCACAAGAAGATTGCATGTGAAATTCTCTGAAGGTTCCCTGTGATGCACAAGGCAGAAGAAGCAGGTGTACACGAAAAATCAGAAGAACCAAAGCCCCAGGTGCGTGGTCTTTGATGTGAGAGATTTGCCATTCCCAAAGACATTATTGTTTCTGCTACATGTGGCTTAGCAAGCAGGACGTGGGGAGGGCCCTGGTAAGACAGTGAAAATCAGTCCCATGGAAGCTTGGTATCAGAGGTGAGACCCAGTACTATAGAAATTAGTGCTTTTTCTTCTTAAAATTTGGGACTAGAATATTTAAGCAAATGTGATATATTCTTACAGTGGAATATTGAGCATTTTTTCAATAATGTTTTAAATATCCATTGTCATCTCATTATATAAACACATCAGAAAACATGCACAGAAAAAAAGACATCTATAGCCATTTTGTGTCTTCCCAGTTCCACTTTGTGTATAACTAGTTGTACTTCGTTTTCTAGCCTTAGATATTTGTGTGGTTGTCTACTGTACATTTATAAGAATCCCGGGACGAGTGCCGTGACTCATGCCTGTAATCTCGGCATTTTGGGAGGCTGAGGTGGGCGGATCACCTGAGGCCAGGAGTTTGAGACCAGCCTGGCCAACATGGCGAAACTCCGTCTCTACTAAAATTTCAAAAATTAGCTGGGCATGGTGGTACATGTCTGTAGCCCCAGCTACTTGGGAGGCGGAGGCAGCAGAATAGCTTGAACCCGGGAGGTGGAGCTTGCAGTGAGCCGTGATCGTGCCATTGCACTCCAGCCTGGGCGACAGAGCAAGACTCCGTCTCAAAAAAAAAAAAAAAAAAAAAAAAAAAAAGAATCACCTAAACTTACCTTGCAATCTAACCATGATTAACACATGGCATTTCTTATTTCTCAGTTTTCTCGCCCAGATGACTGCCGTGGCTTCCTAGCAGCTGAGAGAAATGACCGCCTCTGCCCCTTCATCCTCTTTCCTACTGCCAAGGTGATCTTTCTCCTATTACTCCTAGGGCATGCATTTTTTATTTTTACTTTTATTTACCTATTTATTTTGAGACAGAGTCTCGCTCTTGTCTCCCAGGCTGGAGTGCAATGGTGCGATCTCAGCTCACTGCAACCTCTGCCTCCTGGATTCAAGCAATTCTCCTGCCTCAGCCTCTCAAGCAGCTGTGATTACAGGCGTGCACCGCCATGCCCAGCTAATTTTTGTATTATTAGTAGAGACGGGATTTCACCAGGTTGGCCAGGCTGGTCTCAAACTCCTGACCTTAAGTGATCCGCCCGCCTCGGCCTCCCAAAGTGCTGGGGTTACAGGCGTGAGCCACCGTGCCCAGCTAGGCATGCATTTTAGCTCTAGAAATGTATTTAAAGTTGTGTTGTGTGCAGTTGCCCCACTGACCCATCCTTGCTTCCTTCAGTGCAGTTCCATCTTATCTCTTTTATAGTCTAGGTTTTCAAACAGCACTTTTTGAGGGCAGGGGGAAATAGGTCACTGCTAAACAAGCTTGAAAACCACTCTTCTACAGGATACTATAGAACTTCTTTACATGGAATGTGATCTGATCTCTGCTTTCCTATCTAGCCTTCCCTTTTTCACTTCTACCTTCTTACTCTCTGAACTCCATATATATTGTATTAGTCCGTTCTCATGCTACTAAGAAAGACATACCCGAGACTGGGTAATTTATAAAGGAAAGAGGTTTAATGACTCACAGTTCAGTGCGGCTAGGGAATAGGCCTCAGGAAACTTAAAATCATGGCGGAAGGGGAAGCAAACATGTCTTTCTTCACATGGTGACTGGAAAGAGAAGTGCCGAGCAAACGGGGAAAAACCATCAGATCCGGCCGGGCACAGTGGCTCACGCCTGTAATCCCAGCACTTTGGGAGGCCAAGGTGAGCGGATCACAAGGTCAGGAGTTCCAGACCAGCCTGGCCAACATGGTGAAACCCCATCTCTACTAAAAATACAAAAATTAACTAGGCATGACGGCAGGCGCCTGTAATCCCAGCTAGTCAGGAGGCTGAGGCAGGAGAATTGCTTGAACCCGGGAGGCAGAGGTTGCAGTGAGCTGAGATGGTGCCACTGTGCTCCAGTCTGGGAGACAGATTAAGACTCCATCTAAAAAAAAAAAAAGAAAAGAAAAGAAAATCAGATCTCGTGAGAAGTCACTGACTATCACAAAAACAGCAGGGGGCTAACTGTTCCCATGATTCAATTACCTCCCATCAGGTCCCTCCCACAACACGTGGGGATTATAGGACTACAATTCAAGATGAGATTTGGGTGGAGACACAGTCAAACCATATCATGTGCCATGACCATTCTGCCCTCTATACCTTTGCACACTCAATTAGCTTTTAGAATGTCCTCCTTCTAGCTCCACCCACCACCAATGTTGTCTGCCATCCACCAAAGCTAAGCTCAGTGTGCCCTTCTCTGTGCAATATTCCCAATTCTCCCAGACAGACTTTGATGCTTATATTTATCAGGCTTATTGCTTATTAAGGAGCAGAAACTGAGTCAAGCCATCAAATATGATAAAAGAGAGATAGGAATTGCATGAGAATCAACAAAAATAAACCATCATAAGACTGTGCCACCTGAAGTGTCAAAGAGCTTTAGAGACCTCAAGCAACAGGCTGGGGGTGGATCTTCAATGGAATATCCTGTTATTGTCAGAGCAGTTCAGCTATCCTTTTCTGTCTACTTCTCTTCTTTCTACCAAATAACTTCCTCACCGTCTACTCTGTATACCTGATTTCAAATCCTTGTTCTCCCACATGCCGGCTATATAATCTTGGGCAAACTACTAAATCACTTTGTGTGTCATCTGTACAAAGGTGAGATAGGAAAAGCATAAGATTATCGAAGGAGAATATGTTAGCTATTGTATTCCATCAACTCCCAAATGCACATTTTCATCCACATTTTAATACCTCTGAAGTCGGGTTGGATTTTACAATTGCTGTCTGGCAGACAGGAGTCAAGTTGTGAGGTAGTTGTTATTGCCTGTCCATGTGCAAACGTGCTTGTTATTCCTGGCTGCATGACTGAACAACTGCAGCCTCTCCATGTTTGACTCAGGAAACTATTTAAGGACTATTTGAGGCAGGACTATGAGTCCTGGCTGCTGTCTGAAAACCTTTTATTGACACTTTTTGATAAGATCAAGAACATTCCAGTATCAAAACACAGAATAGGTTTTGGAAAAAATCCAGAGAACAATGATGCAGCAGTCTTTTAAGAACTGCTACATCTTTTAAGAAATGCTGCCCAATGCTCTTGATGGCCATAAGATTATCTTCTACAGAAAAACACAAGCATCGCCAGGCGCAGTGGCTCACGCCTGTAATCCCAGCACTTTGGGAGGCCGAGGCAGGCGGATCACCTAAGGTTAGGAGTTCGAGATCAGCCTGGCCAACATGGTGAAACCCCATCTCCACTAAAAATACAAAAATTAGCTAGGCGTCATGGCAGGCGCCTGTAATCCCAGCTACTCACGAGGCTGAGGTAGGACAATTGCTTGAACCCAGGAGATGGAGTTTGCAGTGAGCGGAGATTGTGCCACAGCACTCCAGCTCGGGCGACAGAGCGAGACTCCGTGCCAAAAGGAAAAAAAAAAAGAAAAACACAAGCATTAATGACTGAGTCAAAAAGTAATTCAGAAGAATCAGACTCTGAAGTAGTTTTAGGGACCCTAATATATTTATTTTGCTTACATTTTTCTTTTCAGGTGTGCACAAGAATGATATGTGACAAAATCTGTGCATAAATCAGCATTAAAAAGCCATATTAATAAGTATTTAATGTAAAACTATAAGTGATAAGGAAGCATTGTGTCAAGAGTGAATTAGCAGCATTTAAAAAAATTTCGTAGTAGTCCATAAAAGAAAAATGCATCATACAATTGACATCTTAGATTTGATGAAATGTGATATTTGGCCAGGCACGGTGGCTCCTGCCTGTAATACCAGCACTTTAGAGGCCAAGGCAGGCGGATCACGAGGTCAGGAGTTCAAAAGCAGCCTGACCAACATGGTGAAACCCCGTCTCTACTAAAAATGCAAAAATTAGCCGGACGTAGTGCGCACACCTGTAATCCCAGCTACTCAGGAGGCTGATGCAGGAGAATCCTTGAACCTGGGAGGCGAAGGTTGCAGTGAGCCAAGGTTGTGCCACCACACTCCAGCTTGGATGACAGAGCGAGACTCTGTCTCAAAAAAAAAAAAAAAAAGAAAAAAGAAACAAGAAAGATGATATTTTTGTTATTATTACCTAAGGATTTGTGTTTAGTCATCACTTTTACTAACTCATGGTCCCGCATCGCCCTTCTCTTCATGACTTTGAAGATTCTATTTCATAAAGTAACTGCCTTATTCTTTCCATAATTTCCAGGCTGGACCAGCTCATTCTTTTTTTCTAACAGTCTTTTTTTTTTAATTAAGAAAAAAGAGAGAGAGAGAAACCAAGACATCTTTAGGCTATGGCCTAGGCTATGGATTGGCTGTCGTTAGATCTTGAGCCTGAGCTCATCCCTATTCCCATCAACTGAGGCACTGCCTACAGCTAGCCCATGAATTTGTTTTCATCTTTGTATCCCTAATACTTAGCACAGTACCACACCTAGTACCAATACGCAGTTGTTAGATTGATGGGTGTATGAACCAAAATGATCTTGGAAGCAAGTGAAGTCCATGACTCACTTACCATATAGAGCTGGACAATGAATTGAAAAGTTTTAATTTTTTTCAAATCACAATAGCATCCCTACCTTACTTGCTATTACAAATATTTGATCTCAATTTTCTATAAGTGTAGTATTTGCAATTTTTTCATGGATTAAGGTTTCTTAGTATCTATACATTATCTTCACTGGGGAATTTTTCAGCAATCATTTTGATGGTCTAATTGATTAACTCTTTAATGGAACATAAATACTGCTTGATATCTCTGGGCCACAGCAGCAAATTATAATCAATATTCCATTCCTTGAGTTGGCCAGACATAGCTATAAAATATTAGTGATCTCTTATGCACACTTTTCTCCCTAAAAATGCTTTTTTTCTCCTCTTACTTCTTTCAAAATTGAACAGAAGTGAATGGAAGAGATTGCAATGCCTCTAACTTTTCTGATGAATATAGATTCATCAATTTTATTGTCTTTGGGATCAAGCCCAGATCATCATGTTGGCATTAAGGTCCCTCTGTAATTCGTCCTTAGCTTACTTATCCAATTTTGACAAGAAATCTTCCCTTCCACTCATGTAAGTCTTGTAAATTGACCACAATCACGATGTGCCTACACCTATTTGCACATTCCAGTATTTCCTTGTGCCATGCACTAAGGGTAAGCTGTCTTTTTCTTTTCCTCTTCTACGAATCCTATTTATTTTAGGATAAGTTTCAAGTTCTTCTTCCTATAATGATTAATACTTTATATTTTATAGCAATATATAATTTATGCTATGTGTTAACATAAATATTTCTCTTTGGTCTTAATTCTCCCTACAGCACCCTTTTAACATTTAACATAGCAGATCTTTCATAGCAGATCTTTTTTTTGAGATGGAGTCTCGCTCTATCACCCAGGCTGGAGTGCAGTGGCAGGATCTCAGCTCACTGCAACCTCCACCTCCCGGGTTCAAGTGATTCTCCTTCCTCAGCCTCCTGAGTAGTTGAGCAGTTGGGATTACAGGTGCCCACTACCACGCCCGGCTAATTTTTGTATTTTAGTAGAGATGGGGTTTTGCCATGTTGGTCAGGCTGGTCTTGAACTCCTGACCTCAGGTGATCCACCCACCTCAGCCTCCCAAAGTGCTGGGATTACAGGTGTGAGCCACCGTGCCCGGCCCATAGCAGATCTTTAAACATTTTGAACAGATAACCATCAGCTGCAAAACCTCTTATGACTTTAGAAAAAAATCCAGAGTCTTTATTATGGGCTACAAGGCTCTAAATGATATAGCTGTAGCCTTCCTTTCTGACCTCCTCTTTACCATGTTTCCTCTCCCTAGTTCCACGTGATATTTCCTAGGGCCTTTTCACTGGCCATTTCTCCTGCTGGATTCCTGCTTCCCCACTAGTGGCTCACTCCCTCACCTCATCATGGCTCTGCCCAAATCTCACTTCCTCAGAGAGACCCTTCTTGGCCACCCTCGCTAAAGCAGTCATCACCTCTCAACCCCTATCACTCCAGCCAAGCTTCATTTTCTCATGGCAGTACTTACCATTACTGTCACAAAATATTAGTTTGTTTATTGCCTGTCTCTTCCTCCTACATGTGAACTCTCATAAGGAATGAGGACAGGGGCTTTTTCTGTCTTGTTCATAATGCATTCATCTTCCTTGGCATGATGTAGGTGCTTAGTAAATATTTATTAAACAAATGCATAAATTATTGAGAGTATGAATTAAAAAACTGAATTAGGTTTGATCTCCAAACCTAATTCTGTGTAGTGTAGCCACTTCACAGGTGACCATTTGGGATTCGGGAGGGAAAGAGATTTGTGAAAGTAACATAGCCAGTGAAGGAAACAAGCCAAAGTAGAAGACATTCCTGTTATTCTCAGCTGCTTACAATTTCCCCTGTTACTCACTGTCCTCTTTCTTTTGTGTCTTCCTCTAGGAGGCTGGTTGTCTTATTTAATATATGTAAAAATGTAAATTGATGCTTTGTTTTTCTTCCCAGACTTTAACTCAGCCTGAGCACTCATCTTACTCCATACACATGGCTTCTATTGATTTATGTGTTAGAAAAATCCAAATCCATTTTGAAAAGGGAGACATTTTCCAATATTGAGATTATTTACCATATATACAATATCCCATATACAATATTGATATACAATATTGAGATATTTCGAGAGAATGTGATGTAAGCCCAGATGATATTAACAATACAAGGAATATTTACAAGGACTCGTATTGTAAATATATATTTACAATTACACAATATACATACAATTATACAATATGAATATAAAGAGAGATTTGTACAGTTGTAGTATTATTGGAATAAGTACCTTTTCTAAGTAACTACTTCAAGAGGGCAAACACCTTTATCGATATATTAATTCTTATATATTAGCTAAAACTCAATGTCCCCACTACTTTATCTTCTCCATCAATACTGTAACTTCCTATAGACAGATAAAGCCTTTTCATGTCTTTAGATTCCTCAAAAAGTAGCCAATATATATTATGAATTTTTTTGCAGTTTTATTAAAAGCTTATTCTAAACCATATGGCAGTATTGCAAAAGAAAAAAGAAACTAATGTAAAGCGGTGATCACTGTGAAAACCCAGTTCCTAGACTCAAGTACATTTTTTGTTTGAAATTTGAAATGACTTATTTTTAACAATAGGTGGCGCTTCACAGGTTTTTTTGTGTGTGAGGTTAAATGCACTGGCTATATGAAATATATCTGTGCTATCAATTTTTTAAGTTAATACAAGAACACTGATTCATATAATACATTGGTAAGTAATGGAAACTATTGCTATTAAACTTACCGTATTTATGGAGCATCAAAACTAACATTCTAAGAGATTATAAAAAAGGCAGCAGTAAATATACCTTTTGAAAATATGTAGGATTCTGTTTTTTTACTTTTCTATTTATTTTCAACTTTTATAAATGTTATTCAATCACTTTTTAAAATATGCATTTGCTTTTTTTACTCAATGATCACAAAGAGTTTACAAATTTTATAGAAGGGATTTTTACTATTTATAATGATCTCTATCTTAACTAGAAGTACAATATTAATGATTGAAAATTCCAGATAAATGATAAGGTGAGCAGGGCTCAGCAGGTGTGTAATCTCAAATTATTAGCAGATAGCTGGTCCAAAATCCCCCTCATGCACACATACAGCAATACTATTATTAAAATCAGAGTTCTCAGGCTCAGAAAAACAAAAGTAAAATAGAATTGCCTCAAAACAGTTATAAGGCAAATAAAATCATTATTTGGGGTGAAGAACCTAGAAAAAGGGGGCCTTAAACATTTCCTCATCATACAATGTGATTGAGGCAATGATAACTAATAATTTGTACAGAACTTTAAAGCTTATAAAGTCCTTGCATATATAATGAGTCATTCAGTAGCACTAGGATTTGGGAAGAGCAAGTATTTTTATTAACTTCAGGTTATTGATGAGAAAGCAGGTTCAGAGAAATTAAGTGAAGGTTACCTAGCTAGAAAGTGGCAAAGTTGGGACTTCATATCATCTGATCCTATATCTGGTACTCTTTTCATAATACCATGCTATTTTCCTAGTTATAATACTGGACATAGGGGCATTATGATTAAATATGACACATAAGCTAAAGTTATAGACCATGATATACAAGGATAATATCGTCAGAACTCAGGTCTTCAATACATGTATCCTATCAATTATTATAGACCACTTGAAATGTTTATATAAATGGAGTTATTAGAAATGTGACAAGAAAATTACAAATCAAGGGAAACTCTAAGTATAAACTTTTTTAAATTTTTTATTTTTTTGAGGCAGAGTCTCGCTCTGCGCCCAGGCTGGAGTGCAGTGGGGCGATCTCGGCTCACCGCAAGCTCCGGCTCCTGGGTTCACGCCATTCTCCTGCCTCAGCCTCCCGAGTAGCTGGGACTACAAGCGCCCGCCACCACGCCCGGCTAATTTTTTTGTATTTTTTTAGTAGAGACCGGGGTTTCACCGTGTTAGCCAGGATGGTCTCGATTTCCTGACCTCGTGATCCGCCCGCCTCAGCCTCCCAAAGTGCTGGGATTACAGACGTGAGCCACCGCACCTGGCAAACATATTTTTAAAAAAACTCTTTTGGGAAGTTTTTTATGTTTTCTTTTCTTTTTCTTTTTTTTTTCTTTTTCTTTTTTTTTTTTTTTTTTTTTTTTTTTTGAGATGGAGTCTTGCTCTGTCGCCTAGACTGGAGTGCAGTGGTGCGATCTCTCCTCACTGCAACCTCTGCCTCACGGGTTCAAACAATTCTCCTGCCTCAGGCTCCAGAGTAGCTGGGATTACAGGCACTTACCACCATGCCCGGCTCATTTTTGTATTTTTAGTAGAGGCAGGGTTTCGCCACGTTGGCCAGGCTGGTCTCGAGCTCCTGACCTCAGGTGATCCACCCGCCTCGGCCTCCCAACTGCTGGGATTACAGGCGTGAGCTACCGTGTCCAGCCTTCTTTTTTCAATATTAGTCATTCTCTGTTCTTAAAGGGTATGGCTATAGTTGTTTCATCAAATCAATATTCTACTTTTTTTTCCGTTCAAATAAAGGATAAACTGTAGCCTTTGACGTAGGTTATTTCAATAGGAAATATTATAGTGAGGAAGCCCTAAGAGATGCTTTTTTTGTTTTGTTTTTGTTTTAATGAGAACACACTTTTATTTTCTTACTGTGCTATCTTTGGGGGACAGTTACAAGTTTAACTTAACGTAGATTCTTACGTGCTTGTCTCTGAAGATTAAGATAGCAGTAGGTAGTTGTGGGAATGAGAGATTGATAAATTTTGTTGACCAGAATCAAAGATGATACCAGGTGATCATTATAAGGGCCATTCCACTTCTTGTTTCAAAATACAAATCAGCGGAAGAGATGGCTAATCTTGTTTTCTCATGAAAATAAAGAACAAGTCAAGGCTTGGGGGGAACATCTGACATCACTGGAAGAGGAAAGAAGACAGGATTTATTTTGCAATTAGCTAGGTAAGAATGAGGACTGTTTTGTACGTAGGGCAAAAATGTTTCCTTAGACAATCTTACCATGTGGGTTTAATTAGTAAAATCTTTAATATATAGTAGGGATGCAGTTTATCTGAACTCTTGTCACTTTTATTCTCTCCAAAGGAATATGGCACTTAAGAAATAAAGCGCACCAATTTAGGACACGTCCAGGTATATTTCTTTCTTTTCTGACAACTTGCAGAAAAATAGAATCGCCTGTGACAAAGTACACAAATGATTAGTTGAATTATAGAGCTGACACAAACTACAAATCATTCAGTGTAATTTACTCAACGTATTGCTTGATTTGCCCACTTCCAGAATTTGAAACCAATACGGAACATTCGTATTTCAAATAAGGCAGAAGGATGAGAATTACGCTTATGAAAATGAAGAGAATGTTTATGGAAAATTTACAGAATAGGTTGGTCTATTTCTGTCAACTACAAAGATTGTTTACAAAAGGAAACTGAAAATAAAATGGCCTATCCTTGCCAGCTTTTCTTGGGAAGTATAGTAATATAGTGACTATTGCCCTAAAAGGAAAGTAAAGAGAACTTAGTTTCCATTACCGGTCTTCATTGATTTATGACATGCTTATAAGCTAACTCATCAATGTCTGTGATTATTTAGTTTGTGTGTTTGTTTCTCAACAAGATAAAAAGACTGTGATACATTTATTTATCATGACTTCACAGAAACATTAGGAGAATTAATAACGTATTATTTTTCAAAAGCTTGGAACACATGATTGTTATTTTTATTTTGGCAAATAAAGTAGATACATGAATAAGTTAAGCTTCCTATAACTGTATTAATTTTTTTTTTCTTTTTGAGGCGGAGTCCAGCTATGTCGCCCAGGCTGGAGTGCAGTGGCGCGATCTCGGCTCACTGCAACCTCTGCCTCCCGGGTTCAAGCGATTCTCCTGCCTTAGCCTTCTGAGTAGCTGGGATTAGAGGCACAGACCACCATGTCCAGCTAATTTTTTGTATTTTTAGTAGAGACCAGGTTTCGCCATGTTGGCCAGGCTGGTCTCCTGACCTCTGGTGATCAGCCCACCTCAGCTTCCCAAAGTGCTGGGATTACAGGCGTGAGCCACCATGCCTGGCCATTTTTTTTTTTAATCACTAGAAGTTGTGAGGAGTTACTGAATTTTTTTCATTTCACTTTATTCTTTTTCAAAACTCAAATTAACACAAGCGATGGCTAATCTTGTTTTCACATGAAAATTAAGGACAAGTCAGGGCTCACTTTCCATTCCACTTTATTTAGACATATCTTAATAAACTAAAAATTATTATAAGATTTTTCCCATTGATATTTGCATTGTTTTTCATTTTTGGAAAAATTTCATACTTCCGTTATCCATTTTTAGTCAAGTTACAATGTAATTAAACTTACCAAGTGAAAAACAATGTATACTTTAAGCTAAAAATTTAGAATTTCTACAAAGTCTTATAGTTGCGGGGAATCAGGAGAGGCAAGTTTCATTCAATGTCTTTTAGAACCAAGGTGACAGAGCTATACGTACATTTATTTGTAATGTAATATTTAGAGAAAAACATATTAATGCATTTTAGTGCTAAATGACATGGAGGGTTATTGATCAACTCTGTACAGCATATTTAATTTCTTAATACAACATGACCCATGGTGATGGTGTTTTAGATAAAAATCTCATGGATTTGATTATTATAATTTAAAAATACTTGATCTAATGAAAATTATTTTAATACATTTCTGGTTGAAATAGAGTGTATTTGCAATAGAAATCTTTCAAATATATTTTGTAGGATTTATGAAGGTAGAATGTTCAGTGCTCCCTCTCCAGGTTTTATCATATTGGTGAACTGACCTCTCAGCTCACAACTGTGGTAATAGTTTTGAAGAACCAAATAAGATACTCTGATAGGATAGTCTATTTTTGATTTGTCTATTCCAAATACATTCACAAGAAACCTATCCATCACTAGTAAAATTTCATTACATCCCCAAATCTAATGAGATCTATGAAAAAAATACAATGAAATCAATTTTATTCTTTTAAATAGCCTATTTTAATACAATTCATAATATTAAGAGTGAATATGTAGCTTTTTGGCTTGATTCTTATTCTATGCTATTTTCTAATGATGCTTTTTTATTGTTATTCATGTTCTTAACAATGCTCTGTGTTCTTCAGAGGCAATTCCAAACACAACTTTAATTTTTGAAAGTGCTCAGACATTTGAAAGTCCTGTGTGTGTGCGTGTGTGTTATGTATGTATATATTTATAGTTTCAACAGAACCACTTGCTATTGTAAATGAGACTAAAAATGTACTTTGAACTAAAAATTTCCATACTTATATGTTTATATGATTTAGATTCTAGAGTTTTGTTATTGTTTGCTTTGTTTTGCCAGACTTTAAGCTACTCCTGATATATAGTACCTGGAAAAATATTTCCTTTCCACTAAGTTTTTGGTCTTTAGGTGGCTTTTAAAAGTTTCTACGGAACCTTCAATTCCACAAAAAGTTATCCTCACTGCAGCATGAAAAGGCACAACTTTGATAATAAATGCCTAAAATCCCATAGTTTGTAAGAAAGTAGAAATCAAGTTTCCTACTTAAAGTGTTTTTTTTCCAGTCATATCAGCTATTACTAAGAATTATAAAACTTCTTGATAAATTTTTTCTATTCTAATTAATTGACTTTTAGCTAATTAAAAAATATACGGGTTTGTATTTTTTGCAAAATTATACAACTATATTACAAAATTGAAAGAATTTGGTTTTTTCTCCATGTGCTTGATTTTTGGGAAATCATATAACAAGCCAAGGTAAAGCAATTATTTAAAAAACCCACAGCAGAAAATTTCACCTTTATTACATATGCTTATATTACATTTGCAGTAAGGAGTGCCACCTTTTGAACTTTAGGTTTCACATATTCTGAACTTTGTTGTAAATAGGAACTGTAATGTTATATAATCATCTTTTTGTGTCAATATACGTTTTCCCTCTAGTTGGTCAGAAGTGATGGCTTGGCATACAACTTTTTTCATTTTCTTTTATTCTTCACAATTCTTTTCTAATTCAACTTAAGAGTAGAGTCCACCAATCCTTTTAATTGAGATCGACAACTGAAGATTGCTAACTAAATCCGAATGTATTCCTCTATGACAAACTGCATTTGCAGAATTTTTAGAGGCACTCCCGAAGTTTTAAGAGGATGTTTATTACACGAGTCTGTAGGGCAACATTTCCAAGTTGGTACACATAAACGAAAGAGGAAACGATAGTTAAGGAAATCCTGTTCCAGGTTTTCGGGCAGCCCGAGTGATTGACACATGATATCACCGGAGGCGTGTCCTGGAGTGGAGGTGGAGGTGGAGGCAAGGAGCTGAAATTCTGCGTAGCCGGAGTGAGACCGCTCTGCAAACCACTGCGTGCTTTGCAGAGTGATTATCAGCACAGTTCCCTGCCCTGGATAAGGAACAGCTACAGTCGCTGTTAAATGTGCCTGAAAAGCAATTTGCAATCTTTGCATTAGGTAAGTACCGTTTCCTTCCGTAGACATTTTAGGAAAGATAAGGTGAGAAATGTTGACTTTTGCAAGGAACTGAACATTTATTTATTTGAACTTGCTTTCCAGCTAAGGTTACTGGTTGCATTTCAAAACACCGGTAGCATTCCCACTGCTAAAACTAATGCTCTTAAAGTAAATGCTACCGCTAAAAGAAAAAGCAGGGTCCCTTTCACCTTTCCTTAACCGAACAGTAGACGTTTAAAGTCTGAAACGATCGAATTTGTGAAACACAGAGCCGTTAATGCCTTTATGCGAAGAGGGGCTAGCACTCGGTGTGTGGACCAAATGCGTGTTTGTTTAGGCATTGTTGGCGACCGAATCCCGAGTGAAGCATTGGTTTAAAACCTGAATTTCCCGTCTCTGTGTATTGATTCCTAACGCGCAGAGGCGTTGCTTGAACGTTGTTTGAACTCCTAGGCATTCCAGGGGGCAAAAGCACCTCGGCAAAAACGTGCAGGACTGCATGTTACTTTGGTTCGCGGCTGACACGCCGACTGTGCGCCGGCCTGTCAATCACCGGGAGCAGCAACAGGGAGCACATGGCAACGGGCTGCGGGCGAGCTGGCCAGCGGCCCGCCCGGGGTCCCAGCCCTTCGAAGAAAGGGACATTCACGAGCTTCTATCTCTAATTCTCTGTCGCAGGCATTTCGGCCGTGGAACCCCAGGCTCGGAGGACTGGGTGTGAGCGCTGCCCGGGAGAGGCTGACCTGCCGGGACCGGAGTGCCCGGGGACGCTGTGCCCCCACTTGCCCAACGTGCGGAATCGGCTAAGCGCGTCGGCCTGCGCGGGGCACAAGGGACGACGCCCGCCTTTCTCTCTCCGAGAAGGATCCCCAAACCTCACTCTCTTCACTCCTCCCCGCTAAAAAAAAAAAAAAAAAGAAAAGGGTAAAAAAATCCCCCTCCCCCTCCCGGCCGCGGCAGCCTCTGCCTGGCAGGCGCGTGCTCCGAGGTTTCGCCGGGGTACTGCGCGGCTCCGTGACCCACCCGCCGACGGCGGTTCGGGCCCCGACCCGGGCGCTGCGGAGTCTCGAACGCCCGTGACGTGGATTTTTCGCTCGTCAGGAAGCCGCCATCCCTTCCTTCGTTCCTTGCGAGGAGCGACTAGAACCCGAGTTCTCTGAGCACACCGTGCCGTCAGCTGGCCCGTCACGCACTCGACTCCGCCACTCCCCTACTTGTTTTTCTGAGACTTGGGAAGCCTTCCTGAAAGGATTTGTAAAAACTGGTTCTTGGAAAGGGGCTGCAGAAGACCTCCCGAGGTGGATGTTACTGAGCCGCCCGGCGAGCACCAGCCGTGACAGGTCCGGGCCCGGCCGCGCGGAGCCGCGGGAGAACTGCCCTCCGCAGCCGGAAGGGGGCCGCGGGGAGCGCTCCTGGCCGGTGGCGGCGGGGGCGGGGGAGGCCGCGAGCCGAGGCGCTCCAACTCCGGCGATGCCGCCTCGCCCTCCCCGCCGCGGTTGATGCGGCACGTGCACGCCGCCGCCCGCACCAGGACCTGGGCCGGGTCGCACGGCTTGGCCCCCGGCCACCGCTTCGGCCTAGGTGAGTGTGTGCGGCGGCCGCCCTCGGCCCGCTGGGCTGTAGGCGCGCGGGCGGGGCTCGCTCGGCGCGGCAGGTGCGGACTCGGCGGCGCTGCTGCCCGAGCCAGGACTCCGGGAGAGGAGGGGAGGGGAGGGACGACCTCGCTCGGCGCGGCCCCTCCCGCCGCTCCCTGCCCCCTGGGGGCCGCGGCTTCTGGGGGCTCAAGGTTGGGTGGCGGGGTGGGCGACGGTCTGCGGCTGCGGAACGTAACAGGACAGGGTCTCCTCCATCCCCGATTACCCGGAGCGGCGGCGCGGTGGCCCAGGTTGTCCTCTCGGAGAGCCCTTCACGCCCAAGGGGGATTTCAGGCGGCTCTGGGGATGTCCCCGGAGGCCCTCTTTGGAGGAGTGTGCCTCAAGCAGGGGGACGACAAAGGCTGTGTGTGTGCGTGTGTGTGTGTAGGCACATCCCCGGAATTCGCCGATTACCCCCTCGATAGAATTAGGCAGCCCCAAAGCCAGCCGCAACTTTCTTCTGGTTTGGAGCACAGTGCAAAGACAGGGGAAGGGAGAGGGCACTGCCACTTTAAAAGTGGGGAAGTCGGCTGGGCGCGGTGGCTCACGCCTGTAATCCCAGCACTTGGGGGGGCCGAGGCGCGCTGATCACCTGAGGTCAGGAGTTCGAGACCAGCCCGACCAACTGATGAAACCCCGTCTTTACTAAAAATGCAAAAATTAGCCGGCCGTGGTGACGCGCGACTGTAGTCACAGCTACTCGAGAGACTGAGGCGGGAGACCCGCTTGAACCCGGGAGGCGGAGGTTGCAGTGAGCCAAGGTCGCGCCACTGCACTCCAGCCTGGGAGACAAAGTGAGACTCCGGCTCAAAAAAAAAAAGTGGGGAAGTCCGCCCTCCTGAGCTCATGGTAACCTCAGCCTCCTCCCCTCCTCCTACCACAGAGAGAGGGAGAAAGAACTTGTTTTCATTCATAACTTTTTCCTTTTCCTTCTTCCGTCAACTATTTATTCAGTGCGGATTGCAGAGGGCGCAGCTCCACCGTGGTAACTTGCAATGTGGCCGCCCCTGCGCTGGCTTCTTTCTCCTCGGCCCTCGGTGAACCCAGCTTTTCCTTTAAAGCATAGACAAATCCTTGCTTAGGGTCAGCCAGACCGTGGGCTTGCTTTGGGCTCCCGCGTGGACGCTGAAGGCTCTTCATGATTTCTCAGAAACCTTGGTGGGCCACCCAAAAAGTGTGTTGGAAATCCACGGTGATCCTTAATATGGTGATGGGATTGTCCGAAAAGGTATTCTACTTCCATTCGCGTTTTCTTGGGGAAGGCAGTGTGCCGAGCGCGTGTGAGCGTGTTTGGGGCTTGTCCAAGACTGTCACTGCTTGAAAATGGGCTTTTCTTCGGATCGGAGGTGGCGAATTTTCTTTGCTTTTAATTTTTTTGTCTGGCAACTTTATTTCCCAGCCAGTATGAAGTTTGTTACAACTATCATTGGAAATGCAAATTGAAGTTGTGCCTGGTGTTATGGGTTACACTATTCAAATCCTCTGCGGTTTTGTGAATCTGGCTTAGTACTTTTAGCTACCTTTTGCTTTGAAAGCACTGAGTTAAGAAGTTCTTGAAGAAGAGGAATAATTGTGCAGGAGTCAGGATTAGATGTTGAGGACTCCGAGACTAAATCCCCGCAGGTTATGAATGTGTTACTCCTCATGCGCAAAGAAGGTAGAATAAAGTAGAAACTCGAGAGAGCTGAGTTGTGAAAACGAGGGGGAGCTCCAAGAAGTTAACATGTAAGACATAGTTTAGAGACATTAGTTTAGGAAATATAGGAAATGGACTTCTTTCTGCGTTGTTCCTTAAACCATGTTTTTTGCCTCAGGTTGGTAGTGGAGAATGGACATTTCTTTTTCTTTTCATTCTTGAATTGGGTCGACTCTGTAGACTTTAGAAGGAATTTGTGTGAAAAATACTCTAGTTCACCACTGAAAGCAGAAACTTTCATCTTTGGCAGTTTGTGAAGAACACATAAATTAGAAATAACTTACTATTAGTATGGAAACACAACTGCTTATTTTTATCTGGATATTAGTGTGCTGATTTTGTTACAAGAAGAACGTTGAATCAGAATTGGCAGTGCGTTTGAAAATCAAGGTCTGTCATGTAAATACAGATTTTTAAATCAGAGGAAATACAGATAATTAAAACTGCCAGGATTTCCCTACACTGCGTTAAAGGCCTCACACTTATTTGTGCATAAAACTTACTTTGTTTTGTGAGTGAGCCCTTCAGCTTAAAAAAAATCCTCTCAGGATTTCAAATATGAGTACTGTTATATATCATTCACTGGACTATACATTGAGTCTTGTGTGTGTGTGTGTTTGTAGCTCCAAAACACCAAGAATCGTTGTGTACCTGATACATTTATTTTTGCATCTCATAGATGAATAATAAGGTAGTTTTAAAATTCTGATTTATATAGAAAATTACCTATTATTTTGCGATTTCATTTTAAGAGTCTCAATTTTTTAATGCCTTAATTTTTTTCATCATTAATCTAATGCATATAACAGCACACAACAAAAAGGCTGTAGCACCAAAGCCATTCTCAATTTCTTAAAAGGTAGACATTTTCCTTTATGGAAGCCACCTATGAACTGATAACTGAGCTTTCTTTAGATGAGAGTTATTCTCCTGCTTATACTCAGTATTCCCTGCGAAGGCATGCTCCATTTTAATTATTAGATTCACAAACAGGAAGGCATTACTTTCTCCTGATTCTGCTTCTTAAAAGTTGGAAAAACTTATAATGTTCATGGCATGGGGTCTCTTGTTTATAGTCTTCCTCTATGATGTGGTCCCCAGCCTCTCCTAGAATTGGACTCTGGCCAGGACCCCAGCATCATTGTAATCCACTGATGAAGGAGGTCATTACTAGGCGGTTTAGGCAATTTGTGATTTGACAGGATTCCCCCCCCCCAAAAAAAATGCTTCCTGTCATTTATTTTCTGTTTTTTTCATCTTTGATTTCGTTTTAGGATTTCAGATGCATGCCAGGTTTCCACTGATTGCCAGAACTCGAGATCACTACACATGGATCCCCAAAATCAACATGGCAGTGGCAGTTCGTTAGTTGTGATCCAGCAGCCTTCTTTGGATAGCCGTCAGAGATTAGACTATGAGAGAGAGATTCAGCCTACTGCTATTTTGTCCTTAGACCAGATCAAGGCCATAAGAGGCAGCAATGAATACACAGAAGGGCCTTCGGTGGTGAAAAGACCTGCTCCTCGGACAGCACCAAGACAAGAAAAGCATGAAAGGACTCATGAAATCATACCAATTAATGTGAATAATAACTACGAGCACAGACACACAAGCCACCTGGGACATGCAGTACTCCCAAGTAATGCCAGGGGCCCCATTTTGAGCAGATCAACCAGCACTGGAAGTGCAGCCAGCTCTGGGAGCAACAGCAGTGCCTCTTCTGAACAGGGACTGTTAGGAAGGTCACCACCAACCAGACCAGTCCCTGGTCATAGGTCTGAAAGGGCAATCCGGACCCAGCCCAAGCAACTGATTGTGGATGACTTGAAGGGTTCCTTGAAAGAGGACCTGACACAGCACAAGTTCATTTGTGAACAGTGTGGGAAGTGCAAGTGTGGAGAATGCACTGCTCCCAGGACCCTACCATCCTGTTTGGCCTGTAACCGGCAGTGCCTTTGCTCTGCTGAGAGCATGGTGGAATATGGAACCTGCATGTGCTTAGTCAAGGGCATCTTCTACCACTGCTCCAATGACGACGAAGGGGATTCCTATTCAGATAATCCTTGCTCCTGTTCACAATCACACTGCTGCTCTAGATACCTGTGTATGGGAGCCATGTCTTTATTTTTACCTTGCTTACTCTGTTATCCTCCTGCTAAAGGATGCCTGAAGCTGTGCAGGAGGTGTTATGACTGGATCCATCGCCCAGGGTGCAGATGTAAGAACTCCAACACTGTCTATTGTAAGCTGGAGAGCTGCCCCTCCCGGGGTCAGGGTAAACCATCATGATTTTTGGAGGTGGGTTGTACCTCCTGAACTTTTAGCTTTCAAGTTGTGGCTGTTTTTTGTTTTTGTTTTTGTTTTTGTTTTCTTTAGAATTTTTCCCTGTTTCCCACCTTCTCTTCCCCTGTTGCCAAGGTCTAACTCATGGATTTTTCTCTTTCCTCATGGATGATCTTCAGCAAGAGTGGACTGGGAAGCTGCACCTGGCTCCCACTTTCAACAAGAGCCTCTGCCATCCACTTGAGGGTATTGAGAGCCAGTGGGCTTTTGTGTAGCCTTTTTGTTCTGCAAGCAACTTTCTAAAGTTGTGTACATGAACATACACCCACATCCAGACTACAGTGATTTAGAGTTGTTTTGATTGGGTACCGTGGGAGCAGGGAAATTGGTTTTTTAAAAAGCAACTGTTTAATTGCTTAAATAAGCTATGTATTAAATCTGTCTCCAGTTAGGGCTATCTTCCTAGCATAGGCCCCTTAAGTAGCATGGGGGATATATTTTTTGCTATAACGTAAAAATTTTCCTTTAACCACTGCCCTCTCCTTCTTTCTCCTTCAAGGTTCTTTCCCCCTCAGTTTTGTTGTTGTCTTACTCTGGAGATGCCAAGTGTATTTTTTCTTTCTATGTAATTTTAGATTCGCCTTACAATGTAAATCTTCACATTGGAGATAATATTGGTTGGACCTTGCCCATCTTCACTCTAGCCTTCGTATTTGTGAAGGACTCAGCCACCTTCCTTCTTCACCCCATGCTTCTCACCAAATTTTTGTTGTCATTGAGGGCACTTGGATAACTCAAGTTGATATTTATAGCTGATCAATCTATATGTGTCACAGAACTATGCTGCCTAAAGTGATCTTGGCTCCTTAATGGTCCTTTTGGCCCCTTGGATAGTTAACAGCTGAGTAATTCTAATCTCTTCTGTGTTTTCCTTGCCTTAACCACAAATTGTGGTGCTTTTTGTATATTTTATGTATAAATCACAAAGTTGAATTCTGACTATTTTTAAGACAAAAGTCTGTTAAACTTTTTTATTGTAAAGAATATTTATTATGCGAATCTCTATTATTTTATGGTATTTATTGCAAAAGACTGTTGAAATGTACTCATGTTTGAATATAACAAAATATCAATACTTAACGGAAAATAAGGTGACACGAAGAAAGTACATATGTTAACTATAATGCAGAAAATATATTAATTAATGAAACTGTCTCTCGATTTCTTCATTTATTAGCCTGTACTATTATGATGATTTTTGCTTATTTGCTTTGACTTTTTCTTCTTACACACCCATTTTACTTCTTTCCCTATAGATGTTGAATCTAGACATAGGTGAGCCCAAATTATGAACTGGATAATTAGGTTGGTGCAAAAGTAATTGCAGTTTTGGGTCATTTTTAATGGCAAAAACACAGTTACTTTTGCACCAACCTAGTATTTCCTGGAAAGTGCATTAATCAAAATTTTGTAATCCAAATTATCTTTTAACAAATGCTCAAGTGAGTTATTTTGTACAGTAAAAATTTTTTGTAATACTCTCTCCCTACTTTGACTATTTTGTAAGCATGAGGTTTTGTGTATATTATAGTTTCTTGAAATGGGGCATATCTACAGTAGAAGCTTTTTTAAATGTTTATCCTAACTTTTAAGTTAATAAAAAGTTAGATTTATCAGCTAGACTTAATGAACTTAGTTCTGTAGATATGCTAGGAGTCGCTGGTACTGTCACTTTAATAAAGCATTCTAGAAGTTACCAAGGGAATAATTCACAGTATCAGAGACATTTCAAAAACATTCCTGTCCCTGTCTTTTCACTTGTTTCGTAAGTCTAATGTGGCCTGACCAAATTACACCTCATCAAGTCCTGTGCAATAAGAAACCTGAAGGCCTAAAATTTTACGTAGAAAAAGTGTTTTAAATCTTATTTTTTAGGCTGGTGAAACCACTACATAGCTGGAATCTTTGGGTCTGATAAAATATTTGGTCATTTGAGTCCTCAGAATACACCGTTTTTAAGTTTGATAAAATTTTATTCATGTGAGTCCTCAGTCTCACTAACTCCCTAAGTGATACATCAGTCATTATCTGCATTTGAAAATAATTCTTTGCATTTGAGAATAAGATACTGACATAATTTGAACCCAGGTTATCAAAGCTCTTATCCAGCTTTTTGTTTTGGTCATTATTCATGGATGGCTCGGCTGTTAGTTTAAGACTACGTATTTGTTCTTTGTAAATAGGCTTTGACTTTGTTTTATATAGACAAGGTATAATTGGTAGAAACTTGTTTTAGTCCTTTTCCATCAAGCCGCTAAACCTATTAGTTGGCAATGTGATATTTAATCCATCAAATATTTCCTTTATGCTTTGAAAGCAGGAGGATTTTTAAAAGTAAATAGTTGTTTTGGAGGCTACTTCATGATCTGTAGCACTTAAAAATGTGAACTTGAGTGTTTTCCTCTGATATTCAAGTTATGTGATGTTATCACTGGTCCTTTCATATTTATAGAGTATTTTCATTGAGATGTGGCTTCTTAATGAAGTATATGAACACAGACTTCTTCAAAATACTCTTTGGGGCTTTTTTCCGGTATTATTCAGACCCTTAGTATAATTAGTTGGAGTCAGAGCTGTCTTTAGCTGTAATAACCAGACTAAGAAGCAGTAGCTTTTACTGAAAGAAATTTATAACTTTTATGAGAATGAAGTATGCTGTGGAGTTTTAACTTCTGGCTATATATATGCAGAATACATGAAAAATATTAAGATGCTGGTCTGCTGCTTCGAGGACTGTATATGAACTCTGGCATAATGGCAAGTCTGTACTTGGAAGGAACGATCGGTTAGAGGTTCAGATTTCTAAGAGGCTTGTCAGGTGGCAAAGCATAAACACTGATTCGAAATGTCCTCCTTTGTGATGGTTTAAACCTAGGAAGAAGAAATATAAGAGTGTGTCCTCATAAGAGCTTATGGGCCCTAGGCTCTTGAACCTAATGCTGATCATCATTTTAAAGTGCTTAGACTTTGAAAGCATCAGCTGAAATTTTTTACAATGCCGCTGCCACTTATTTAATACTGTTGAATGAAAAACAACATGCCAAACAGATGGGATAACCTTTTTATTCCACACATTTGTCCCTCTTCCCCTACTAGTACAGCTTGACAGAATGGATGTTTTTGTTACCTGGTTCCTTTCCAGTATATTTTCTGACTGCCAATTTTTTCATTTCAAACAAGCCTTATTTAGATAGTTTAATAGTGAATAAACCAACATAGGACTTTTGTAATTGAGTAGTTTCCTGTTTACAGAGTTTATAAAATGTAACCTAGCAGAAAAAATGGAATGTGAAAAAGTAGACTTTTTTGTGTGTGAAGACCTAAAGTGAATCTGCAAATATAGGATTATAATTACATGGTTTCCAAAATTCAAACCACAAAATATTTCCATTATTACTAAAAAATAAAAATTAAAGCTTTAAAAATAATGGTCTTTAAAGTGAAAAATAAGTTTAAAACTATGTTTTTATCCTAAAATCGATAATGAAACCAGACTCAGGTGATTAATTTCCAGAGGATTTAATTTTTGAAATTATCCATTTTTCCTAAATCTTTTTTTAATGGAGTGGTGTATTTCGTAGCAGACTATCTATCGATATCTATAGATAGATATCTCATTAAAAAACAATCCCTTTTGAAATATATTGAAATATTGAAACAAACTGGAAAAGTGTCTAAAAGCAGTTCTCATCCTAAACTCTCACTATACATTTTCTTTTTAATTGGCAAGAGTGTTGGTGTTTTTAAATATGTTGAAAACAAAATTTTTAAGTCCTTTTGGCTAATTGATGGTTGGATGGTTGTTTTTTCCATTACTTCACTGATTAGCTATAATCAAAATAGCCATGTATATACTTACCTGATAGCTATTGATTCTTATAGTAGTCTCTCAGATTATTACTAAGCCATTTTGCTATTATTGAACACCTCATAGGGGCATTATTCTGTATACAGTAGAATTCTAGAACTAGAAATATATCTTAGAGTTTATCTTAATGTTTCTCAATCATGTATGAAAAGAAATAGATATCTAGTTTAAAAATTAAAAATTCAGAAGTGTGTGTCATAGCTCAGACCTGTATTAGAATAATCTCCGGGGGTGGGGGCCTGGTATTCGTTATTTTCAAAAAGCTTTTTGGGTGATTGTATCAGGCAACTTTGGAACTGATTTATGTAGCTCACTGTCTTCATTTTGAAGATGTACAAACAAAGTCATGGCTTGAGAAGAAAAACTGTCCATGTTTTAGCAAGGGTAAAGCCTGAACTCTTTCATCTGACACAGGATTTTCTTCATTTCTTGTTTGTTTGCTTTTTGGGATGAGGTCTCGATCTGTCACCCAGGTTAGAGTGCAGCAGTGGCTTGATCACCACTCACTGCAGCCTCAACCTCCTAGGCTCAAGCAGTCCTCCTCTGCCTCAGCCTGTGAAGCAGCGGGGACCACAAGCAAACGCCACCATGGCCAGCTATTGGTTTTTTTTTTTTTTTTAGTGGAGACAGGTGTCTCCTTATGTTGCCCAGACTGGGCTTAAGCTGTCCTGCTTCAGCCTCCCAAAGTGCTAGGATTACAGGCGCAAGCCATTGCACCTGTCCTCATTTCTCAGCAGCCAACTCAATCAGTGTCTTTCTGCTGCAATTAGCCCTTACTATTCCATCCTCTTTACCAGAAAATTTTTCCTTCATAATATATTTGACCATAATTTAGGAAATGAAATGTTTTTCTGCATATATTATTCATGCTTAGCTATCAGGAATAAGTAGTAAATGACTTCATTGCCGTGATTATTTTTCATATGTTAATATTAAAATTAACAGTTTGAAAGTGGAGCTTGTGTTTCCTCTGGCTGGGTTTATATGGTAATAATAGAACAAATGGATTTAATCAGTTTGTGAAAGGAACAGTAACTTGGCATCTAGATTTAAGAACTCATGTGATGGTATTTCTTATCATTTTTCTGGCTGCAGTAAGATTACAGTGATTAGAAGCTGCTTTAAATTGTATATTTTGCATTATTAAAGAGATGGATGTCGTCTTGCAGACAGAATCACAATAGATATGGCAATAATTCTATTGCAGAAACTATCAGAGAAGCTAGAACTGTTTGAACTGGATATTTAGGTACAGTATACTAGAAGCATCATTCACCAATGATGCTTTGTTTAGTCCAATAATATTTTAGTCCAAGAATCTACTTAGTCGATATAAAATAATCAAAATTATAATTTGATAAAATCAGAATAGTAATTTTTATGATAAAATAATCATAGAATCATTATTTCCTTCCTAGTAGAAGGAAACTTAAAGGTCATCTAATCCAGTCTTTTTATTTTAGAGATGAGAAGTCCAGGTTAAGAGAGGTTACTTGCCTAAAGTCATGATCTATTTGTGAAAATGAAGTAAATTGTATTAACTACTTGCTGGGCTGGGCGCGGTGGCTCATGCCTGTAATCCCAGCACTTTGGGAGGCCGAGGCAGGTGGATCAGGAGGTCAGGAGTTCGAGACCAGTCTGACCAACATGGTGAAACCCCGTCTCTACTAAAAATACAAAAATTAGCTGGGCGTGGTGGTGTGCGCCTTTAATCCCAGCTACTCAAGAGGCTGAGGAAGGAGAATCTCTTGAAGTCTGGAGGCAGAGGTTGCAGTGAGCCGAGATCATGCCACTGCACTCCAGCCGGGGCAACAGAACGAGAGTCCATCTCAAAAAAATAAATAAATAAAATAAAAATAAAAACTACTTGCTGCATTTGTACACGTGGTAAATGGCTGGAAGGAAGGAAAGAGACGTTGATTAAGGGGAGTGGAGGTTGAACAAAATTTCAGATTATTTGTGTTATAAAATTGAACACATTTGTTAAAGCACAATGGATTAATGATAGTCCATTGCAGAGAAATAAGTGCCATGAGGAGGGAGCCAGACAAAGCAAACAAGATGCAAGTCTGAGAAAACTCAGTTCCAGTTTGGCTAGCAGTGGTTCTCAGCCTTAGCCGCACATTAAAAGCAGCTGAGAGCAAAAGACACCACCCTCAGCAATGAACAAAAGTCTGTGCCTAGACCCCGCCTTAAGCTAGTTAAATCAGAATCTCTGAGAGTGGGCCTTGGCTTTCCTTTGTTTTAAAAGCACCCCAGATGATTCTACAGCTAGTCGAAACCCTCTGAGTTAGATCATAGGTATGTATAGGGGAATTGTGGGAGATTAAAATAGCAGAGATTAAGATAGGAAGGCCAATTTAGAAAAAGAAAGCCATAGGTATTATGGTCCTGACACAGCTTGTAGGTTAGTAGGAAGGGAAAGGGGGCGGGGTGTGAATGAGAGAACTATGGTCCATGGGGAATCTATGGGACTTTGCGGTTATTTGTATGTGGATTTCAGTTGGAGGAAAGAATTGATACTGAGCTTTTGGATTTAGGCAAATGGGAAAATGACAGTTCCATTAAATGAGTGGGATTTGTTTGGGGTATGTGGGGTAGGAAATGTTATTAGTTCTATTGGGATAAACAGATAATTATGAAAAAAAGTCTAGAGTTTAAGAGAGGTTAGTGACGGCCCATCATTCACATACAAGTGATAGGAGGTCCACAGTGTAGATCCCAAAGGAAAACAATGGAATTAAAAGCAGGCTAGAGACAAACCTTGAGGAACATACCTACATTTAGGGAGCAGAGAGAGGATATAGAGCCAATCAGTAAGAGAGATGGTCGAAGAAGCATAGGCACCAAGAGATTGGTATGTTTTAGAATCTAAAGGAGAAGACTTCTAAGGTGGAAATTAGTAATCGAATGTCAAAAGCTGCAGAAACTCCCAACTAAATTTAGTGAGTGGTATTTAGGTGAAGTTGTAATGAAAACCAGATTGCATGGGATTAGGAAATGAGTGGGAAGTAAGGATATGCAGGGTAACAGTTTCAGGCTGTTCACTCTAGACATTTTGAGATGATGGGAAAGTAACTAGAGGCAGGTAAACAGCTGAGAGTATTTTTAGAATAACAGAAACTTGAGCCTTTTTGCAGAAAGACAGCATGGGCAGTTGAAAGGGAGAAGAGGGAAGAGCGGGAGGGTCACAATCCTGGAAGAGGGAGGAGGAGATGGAAGAGAAAACACAAAGGGGAACTTTAACCTTGGCAAGACAGTTCTTCTCCCAGAGTAAAGGAAAAAATAAGAGGGAAGAAACAGATGTAATAGAATTTTAAGAGAGAGGAGGAAATTGTCAAAACACAGCCTGTTTTTGGTAAATAGAAGGATGGTCTTCTACTGATAGTTAAGACACATGACAGACCCAAATTGGTTCTTGAGGGCAGAGGTCTAGAATGGCTAGAGATGGGGACTGCTCATGGCTCAGTCAACAGACCAAAGCAGGTGAAGTGAAGAATAGTGAGAGCTCAAGCTCACATGAGACAGGGAATGTTTTAGGAGCCAATTTTCAGATTTTATCTAGATATTGTCTGCAGCTGGTTGTGGGGAGCAATTAAGGCAGAGAATAACTATTACCTGGGGCCAGTAAGAAATGGTGAATTTCACAGAGCTCAGGGATTTTAGGGCAGTAGCCTGAGTGTTTGCTAAAATGGCTAGCCAGAAAAAACTGTATCTCAACGAGGGTGAGATACAGGTTTACTGAGAGCAAGGCAATAGGAAAACTGAGGACAGCTGAGGACATAGGAGCAGTTCCAAGTCAAGACCCTAGAAGGTGGGCCTTTTTGTTTTGGGACAGGGTCTCGCTGTTTTGCCAGGGCTGGAGTGCTGTGGTGCAGTCATAGCTCACTGCAACCTCAAACTCCTGGGCTCAAATGACCCTCTCACCTCAACCTCCTGAGTAGCTGGGACAACAGGCATGCAGCACGACACCCAGCTAATTAAAAAAAACAAAAAAACAAAACTTTTTTTTTTTTTTTTTTTAGAGACAGGGCGTCATGATGTTGCCCAGGCTGGTCCCAATCCTCCTGCCTCAGCTTCCCAAAGTGCTGGGATTACAGGCATAAACCGCTACACCTGGCCAGGCAGGCCATTTTTAAATGCTGAGGAAACCTGGAGTTTCTCTGTGCTAACAGGTAGCTCAGGTGATAAGAGTTAGAGATATATGGAACTAAGGATGAAGATAAGGAGAAAATGGAGGCCAATGTGTTAGAAGAGTTGTTAATTTAGGTATTAAAATATTGGAAGTTGGCTGGGCGGTGGTCTGTAATCCCAACACTTTGGGAACATCTCTTGAGCTCAGGAGTTTGAGACCAGCCTGGGCAAATTGGAAGGCCCCTAAAAGAAATTCATCATTTCTTTCTTTTTTTTTTTTTTTGAAATGGAGCCTTGCTCCGTTGCCCATGCTGGAGTGCAGTGGTGCGATCTCAGCCCACTGCAGCCTCCAGGGTTCAAGAGATTCTCCTGCCTTAGCCTCCTGAGTAGCTGGGATTACAGGTGCCCACCACCATGCCTGGGTAACTTTTGTATTTCTGGTAGAGACAGAGTTTCACCATGTTGGCCAGGCTGGTCTTGAACTCCTGACCTCAGATGATCCACCTGCTTCAGCCTCCCAAAGTGTTGGGATTACAGGCGTGAGCCACCGCGCCTGGCCAGAAATTCATTATTTCTTATTGGCCGCAGGTAACACTTATTCTCTGCCTTAATTGCCCCCCACAATGAGCTGCAGGGAATGTCAAGATACATGTGAAAATAAATGTCTACATAAAATGTGAAAAACAGCCAGGTGCAGTGGCTCACGCCTGTAATCCCAGCACTTTGGGAGGCTGAGGTGGGTGGATCACGAGGTCAGGAGTTCAAGACCAGCCTGGCCAACATGGTGAAACCCCCGTCTCTACTAAAAATACAAAAATTAGCTGAGCATGATGGTGGGTGCCTGTAATCCCAGCTACTTGGGAGGCTGAGGCAGAGAATTGCTTGAACCTGGGAGGCAGAGGTTGCAGTGAGCCGAGATCGTGCTACTGCACTCCACCGTGGGCGACAGAGTGAGACTCTGTCTTCCAAAAAAAAAAAAAAAAATAGTGAAAAACGTTCATTGGCCAAAACATCTACAAAAAATTAGCCAGGCCTGGGGGCTTGTGCCTATAGTCCCTGCTACTCAGGAGGCTGAGGTGGGAGGATCCCTTTGAGCCCAGGAGGTTGAGGCTGTGGTGAGCCATGTTCCCACAACTGCACTCCAGCCCAAGTGACAGAGCAAGACCCTGTCTCAGAAAGAAAAAAAAAATGCTAGAATGATAGGTGGAGAAAAAAATATCTAGAAGCTGTTTATGTTTGGGAGGAATATTTTTAGGTGCTCTAACTTATTTCTAAACTAATGGATTACAAGAGCTGATAAAAATGTAGGATTTCTTAATAAGGATAATTTTAATAAGAAATGAACTAGTGGAGTAGAATTTATTGTAACGGATGTGCTCCATTTATAGCACAAACGATCTGTTAACAAAATCTGTTACTGAATAAAGAAAATATCTACATGAAATAGATTGACCTGTCAATTCAGTCAAAATAATACACACAGCCAAAAGACCTTCTGCTTTCCACATTCCCTTCTTTCAGCTTTTGTGCACTTCAGAGGCACTTGAGGAAGCAAAGAGATTCAGTCCAAGATCTTAGTCTTGCCTGCTTCACAGAGTTTGCACGTTGCAGATTTGCAGTGGAAGCTGTGAGTAAATTTGATTCCCTCACAGAAGTACATTTTATTCTTCTGGGCCACCCAGAATCTGTCTATTACTCTAAATGTAGAGAGGCCTATCTTTATAAAGAAAACTGTTGGTGTCAGAGTTATTTACAGAGCATGTGAAACTTTAACTTGTCACTTTGTGGTTTGTAAACCTGTTCTTTGAATTGCCTATAATTTCCCCTTTGTGTCTGCCTTTTTAGGTTTTACCCTTTAGTACCAGAAACAATTCAATTAGGGAAGACAAAAAAGGATGAAACCAACATTTATCGGTTTTAACATTTTGCTATCTAGTACCTGGAATCGTGATTATACAACAGAGGAAGAGCTCAGTAAATATTTGTTGTTGATCAACTTTGTAGATTTATTAAAAGCTTCAGAATAAGGAAAAATGCTGAGATTAATGTTTGCAGGGTCTTTTGATACCATTTCTAATGTCTACAATATTGGCAATTTTTGAGAGAAAATAAGAACTTGGCTTTGTCAACTATGCATTCATCAATTTAACAACTGTATCTTTGAATAGTAATTCGTAACTTTTTAGCAATGTGAATGATGCTATCACTGGCGGTAAATGGGGCCATGGAAACACTCTGGGAGGAGGCAGCCAAATCTGTCTTTGTAAATCAGAGAAGCCTTCATAAAAAAAGCCTTGAAAGATGAGTAGTAATGAGTCAAGTAGACAAGGGAGAGAAAAGCATTTTGGAAAAGTCCAAAGGCATGTTAAGTGGGAATGATCATGGCATGATGAGAACATTGCAAGTAATTTAGTATGTTTGGAGTGTAAGATGCCTGTGGGGAAAAGAGGAGCCAGTCATGGAAAGTGGAAATGTCATGTTTAAAAGTTTAGGCTCTATCCTGTGGGTGATAGTCATTGACAGATGATAATAAGGAGAATGGCATGAACAGATTAGAGTTTCAGAAGGATACTTAGGCAACACTGCATGCTGCTGATGGACTGGGGGGCAAGAGGGAGACCAGCTGGATAAATAATATAGGAGCCAAGGTGATTAATGTGACAGGGACAGTAGAGGCTGAAAGGAGGTTGTGAGCTTGATCTGATTGGTTGTAGAAGGTGGGGGAGGAGAAGTCTTGGCCATTTGGTACCGGGTTAACTCATCTCTGGTAATGGAAGGCAGAGACATTTGTGTAAATGAAATATAGAAGGAGATCAAAATTTTCCCCACTCAACATTCTACTAATTGTGCAGATTTAAGAGTCTCTCCCCGCCCCCAACCCCCCAACCCCCATCTCTCCTGGAATGGTTAATGAGTAATGAAGTGGACAGAAGGCAGGAAGCAAGAAGACAGGAAAGAAGCAAAGGCTTTGTAAATCAAACAGAAACTAAATTTTTCATTCTTTCACCTCAGCCTCCCAGAGTTCACTGTATACAGCTTCACTGTATACACTTTTCAGTGACTTATGTATCTGAACTTTGTTGTCAGAAACACCCAAGTTCCAGAACTTTAAAATTCACCAAGCTTGGTGGGGCACAGTGGCTCACACCTGTAATCCCAGCACTTTGGGAGGCCGAGGTGGGCAGATCATTTGAGGTCAGGAGTTCAGGACCAGCCTGGCCAACATGGTGAAACCCTGTCTCTACCAAAAATACAAAAATTAGCTGGGCATGGATCCCAGCTACTCAGGAGGTTGAGGTGGGAGGATCGCTTGAACCCAGGAGGTGGAGGTTGCAGTAAGCTGAGATGGCACCACTGCACTCCAGTCTGTGAGACAGAGTGAGACTCTATCTCAAAAAAATAAAATTCACCAATTCAGCCTTTTTCTCTTTAACTGCTAAAACATTTCTTCCACTACTCCCCTACTCCACCCTCCTAATCCAGTCATTACATTTTGAATCATTGAAGTATCCTGAAAAACAATGTTTGCAGGCCGGGCGCGGCAGCTCACGCCTGTAATCCCAGCACTTTGGGAGGCCGAGGTGGGCGGATCACGAGGTCAGGAAATCGAGACCATCCTGGCTAACACAGTGAAACCCCCTCCCAACTAAAAATTAAAAAATTAGCCAGGCGTGGTGGCGGGCGCCTGTAGTCCCAGCTGAGGCAGGCGAATGGCATGAACCCAGGAGGCGGAGCTTGGAGTGAGCCGAGATCTCGCCACTGCACTCCAGCCTGGGCGACAGAGCGAGATTCTGCCTCAAAAAAAAAAAAAAGAAAAGAAAAAAAATGTTTGCAACATAAAGAGTCTTGGTTTTCCTTATTCCCTGTATTTTTCTCTGCCTGCTGGTGGTGGTGATGATGATAGAGAAAGGAAGGAAGGTGATTGGGCAATATGTAATCCCTGTAATCCCAGCGCTTTGGGAGGCCGAGGCGGGCGGATCACCTGAGGTCAGGAGTTCGAGACCAGCCTGGCTAACACGGTGAAACCCCGTCTCTACTAAAAATATAAAAAATTAGCTGGGTGTAGTGGCGGGCGCCTGTAGTCCCAGCTACTCGGGAGGCTGAAGCAGGAGAATGACGTTAAGCCGGGAGGCGGAGCTTGCAGTGAGCCGAGATCATGCCACTGCACTCCAGCCTGGGCCACAGAGCGAGACTCCGTCTCAAAACAACAACAACAACAACAAAGCCAGGCGTGGTGGCTCACACCTGTAATCCCAGCTACTTGGGAGGCTGAGGCAGGAGAATCGCTTGAACCTGTGAGGTGGAGGTTGCAGTGAGTCGAGATCACGCCATTGCACTCCAGCTTGCGCAGCAAGAACAAAACTCCGTCTCAAAATAATAATAATAAAATAAAGTAAATTGAACCCGAGAAAGGTGAAATGACATGCTCAAGGATAAGCATCTAGTAGGAAATAGAACCAACTGAATGAGAAAAAGACATGAACAATACTTTTAAAGGCCTGTACTGTTTTCATTATGTGGACCTTGTTTGTACTTGAAGTTTGGGAGTTTAATTTACAATTCCTGAAGAGAATATAGCATAAAGATAGGCAGATCCAATAAAACCTGAATTCTTACAGAAGCAACACAGAAGAAGGGCAAAATAGTTTGGGTTTGGAATTGGTCATTTTTTTTCTTTATTTTGAGACAGAGTTTTGCTCTTGTTGCCCAGGCTGGAGTGCAATGGCGCGATCTCGGCTCACCGCAACCTCCACCTCCCGGGTTGAAGCGATTCTCCTTCCTCAGCCTTCCCAAGTAGCTGGGATTATAGGAATGCGCCACCAAGCCTGGCTAATTTTGTATTTTTAGTAGAGATGGGGTTTCTCCGTGTGGGTCAGGCTGGTCTCAAACTCCTGACCTCACGTGATCCGCCCACTTCGGCCTCCCAAAGTGCTGGGATTACAGGTGTGAGCACCGCGCCCGGCTATTTTTTTTTTTCTTTTAATTTGAAATACTTGTAAATAATAGTATTGGAATTTAAATTTTTTTCTATTTTATAGGTGGTATATACGAGGCACATGTAGAGACTTGGGAAAAAAAATTTTTTAAGGTGATCTTTATAAAATAGCAAAACTTGAATTTGAGGAACCTGGCATTGCTTGATTTCCAAAGTTTGGTAAAAAAAAAAAGTCAAGTGTGAGAGTCCAAAATTACTTCACACTCTATGTAAATAATGGGATATGGTACCCTGTGGTCCCTTAATTTCTTAAATAAAAATTTTAATGAGGGAGAAAGGATCTCTTAATCCTTAGGGAAAATATGCTTTGTGTGGATTGTAAAATCTGGCAAATTTTGGAAAGAAGAAAAGCAGGCAGTACTCTTGGAAAAAAATAGTCTGCTTGAACTTGCCTTTTTTGAAAAAAAACAAAACCCAACATTCTTTCATAAAGCATTTTTTTAAAAGTATTTGCCCTTGAGCATTTTTTTCTACTTACCCATACTTATCTTTCAAAACAAACATTTATTTCTTTCTACTATAGAGTGTGAGGAAGTTCCTTTGAGGTTATGCCCTACAAACATATCCAAGCAGTAACTGTCACCTCCTTCCTATGGCACAACAAATGACTAAGTCAACCGCAGGCAGCGGGGAGCATAGAGCGGCGATTTCGTGATGGGGGCTGTTCAGATGTTACCTATGGGATCCGTTCTCAAGGGGAAAAAACACACAACTATACTTTTGTGTGCAAATAAAATTTTGGGTCCTTTTGACCCAATGGAAAATGTGTGTCTACTGGTGGCTGCCTACTTGGAATATGATGATTTACACTTGGAAACATTTGTGTCATTTATCATATGATGTTACTGGTCTACAGCATGACTGCATAACAAATAACCATATTAAAAATTAATCTTTTCCAGTTCATCAGACTGTATGTCTTTTTGACACCCCAAGTCTTGTCTTTGCCTCTTGCCCTGCCGTCTTTTCCTGCAGTCACTCTTTACATTAAGTCTAGGATTAAGTTAAAACTCATGCACTGCGTATTTGTGGCTGCGCTTTCAGACTCCTACCCTGCCCTTTCACCCTTCTTTCCTACTTTTCTGAAACATAAATCTTCTATCCAGTGGAATTGGTTCGCTCTCTGTCCCTGCAACACACCTTCAACTCCAGACCTGAGACACTGTCTTTGCCTTTTCAATCCTATTCTTTGCAACAAGGTTTAAATCCTACTTTTCTGACTGGATCATGGCAAAATAATCTCTCTCAGAAATTCTTTAGTAACAACATTCTGTAAACTGATCATTACTTTTAATGTTGAGTTTTTAGTGTTTATGTCTTGTCTCCCTTCCATATTATAATTCTTTCAGACTGGGTTTATGTTGTAGATTTACCTGTACTCCTAAGGTGCTTTGCCCATAGTAGGCACTCAATAAATATTCATTGATATTTTTCCCTGCATTTTACAATCGAGTCATAAAAGCCCATATTTGGCTTCTGTTTTTCTGGCCAGAGGGCCATTCACTGCATTAATAAAATATATATTCTGACATGATGTGTCTCCTGCCTAAAGTCATTTTTGTCTAGCAAATACTAGTAAATAGAATTCTAAAAAAGATATGTAATTATCTGCTGCAGAGAATTTCAGTAATATCATTGATCATGTTAAGGTTTCCAGGGGAGACTAATTTTAAGAATTGTGGCAGTAAAACCTCTGGCACTAGAGGAGACAGATGTTCAAGGCTGTGGAATTGGCTCACCTCTCACGGGATATAATAATGCATCCTTTCTATAACATCCCAAATAGATAGGCCTGACATGGAAATGCCTGGAATCAACTCCTCCTTCATTTTACTAATGTATTTTTAGTTATTGATAATGCAAACCACTTGGTCTTCTCTGTTAAGCGTCCAAAGTATCCTTAAGAGTAATTAAAAAAGTAAAAAAAAAAAAAATGCCAGGGCCCTTCCCAGCTTCTTAGATGCTAATGCTCTTTCTCCTGGATACTAAACTATTGTTTACTCTTCTTGCTGAACTTGGCATAGGCATGAAACCCCTCAAAACATTCTTTTTTTTCATATGTACTATGGCTGTAAATACTTTTGAATGGTCTTGGGGATAGATCTATAATATTATGGAATCTATCACTCAAAGCACTATTATTAGTAAATACAGTAATATCTCAGATTGTATATTGCACACATTTTCTGTAAGTACCTAGGTTATAACATATTGGGCTTTTGACATACTTACGAGTGAAAGAGGGGCCAAGTTATTAGCCTAGTTTTGCAGATAAAATCTAACACAGGGAGGATTATGATTTTCACATTTATTGATAAAGTTAGGACTAGAACCTAAACTCCCTGATTCTGTTAGTTCATTCTGCTCTCACTATGTAAGATCAAGCAGATGGGCCAAACCAGCTGAAGCATCAGGGTTTGGCTCATGACTTTTGCTGTGATGGAATATCCAGTTGAAAAAAACAATCCTTATTTTCATACTTGAATGTTATAGGAAGCTCATTTTAAATTGCTCTGTTCCATATGAAAGATAATCTGGCCAATTTCTTAACTGTATTCAACTCCTATGCTTTAGAAACAACGTTGTTGTGTTTACAGGGAATGTTTAAAGCCCAAATACACAAAAGTAAATTTAAATCCCCTTACATTTTTATTATTTCAGTACTCTAGTTTATTATAACTCAGCTATCTATAGTGAACAGTTGACCTCTTATTATCTCCTCCAACCCCATCCCTGCTGACATCATTAAACAGGAAGGATTCTAATTATGTAGTCTCATTTTGGAGAAAATTGGGAAGACTACGTAGAAATCTAAACGATGTGTGTTACTCTCAGAGCTAGGAAACTAGAGCCAGGTCTCATGGCACTCTAATTAAAAACTTTTATTTCTGCAGATTTATTCTGTGGTCCTTACTGAACAGATCTGCCTTGGGTTTCTGCTGGTGAGTTTTTCAGCAGGAATGCAGGCTTTGTTTCTTTGAATAGTTGAGTGCAGATTAGTGGTATGCCAATTTCCTGTGGCCTTTCAGAGCTGCAATTTGAGCCCTGTTTGCTCCTGGCCCTTGCACAATTGAAAACAATGGGTGACTTCTTTTAGGTTTCACTTCAGGGCTCTTAGAAACAGGGGAAGTGGCTAAAGCCCTACTTTACAGGTAATTAACAATAGATAATGTTTGCTCTGCATTTTTTAGAGCCGATAAAAGGTAGAAGAACATATTCAGCTCCTGATTTAGACACTGTGCAGTGGTTTTATGGATACAATAGCTGTCTTAGCATTAGCAAGGTGGCATGGAGTATCATATATATCTGACAGCACAAAAGTTTTAAAAAGCAGAAGAAAAAAGAGTATTATTAAAACACTGAAGAGTAACCAAGAAAGCACTCCCTGGAAGATGCTAGAGAAACAGCGTCATTTTAAGCCATGCATTTTGACTCAGGCTGTAAATCTATATGTTTTATGAGGTGAACAATTTTCATAACTTGTTGACATTTATTCAAGGTCTTTTTGTGTTTTACACATAATTCAACTCTAGAATTCTCCTGTTTGTTAAAATAGCTTCAGCTTAAAAAGGCTTTATTTCCCATTACATTTAATCATTAGCCACAAATATTCTTATGAAATGGTTTTAGGGACTGGGCACTGTGGTTCATGCCTGTAATCCCAGCACTTTGGGAGGCCAAGGCGGGTGGATCACCTGAGGTCTGGAGTTCGAGACCAGCCTGGCCAACATGGTGAAACCCCATCTCTACTAAAAATACAAAAATTAGCTGGGCGTGGTGGCGGGCACCTGTAATCCCAGCTACTTGGGAGGTTGAGACAGGAGAATCTCTTGAGCCAGCGGGGCAGAGGTTGCAGTGAGCCGAGATCACGCCATTGCACTCCAGCCTGGCAACAAAAGTGCCTGGGCAACAAGAGTGAAACTCCAACTCAAATTAAAAAAAAAAAGATTTCAGGTGCTTAACGTGTAGAAAACAATGTTTTATTGCCCTTTTATTGTGTCTTGGGTAGTGATAGGGTGTTTACCTTAATACTTGGAATAAATATTTTTAGACCACTCTTCTCTGTGAAACATATTGTGTCCACCTGTGACAAGGTAGGTGTGTAGGAGTACTGATTGATTGATTCATTAAATCCTCAACAGTTACCAAGCACCTACTCTGCCCCACATCCTGGCCCCAGCACTAGAGGTGGAAGGATGATGGAGACCTTGTCCTTAAGGAGATTATGGCAATCGCTTTCCCACATTCTTTGGAAAAAATGAGTAATCTCAATTTTAATACATCTACAATTGAAATGTGTAGGCAGCACTCTTGATAAAAACGTTAAGGACTAGGCTGGGCGCAGTGGCTCACGCCACTGCACTTTGGGAAGCCGAGGCAGGCGGATCACAAGGCCAAGAGATTGAGACCATCCTGGCCAACATGGTGAAATCCCATCTCTACTAAAGATGGGTGTGGTGGCGCGTGCCTGTAGTCCCAGCTACTTGGGAGGCTGAGGCGGGAGAATCCCTTGAACCCTGGAGGTGGAGGTTGCAGTGAACCTTGATCGTGCCACTGCTCTCCAGCCTGGCGACAGAGCGAGACTCCGTCAAAAAAAAAAAAAAGGAAAGACTAGGTCATATCTGATACCCCAAGTAACTTATTTTTAGAGTGAACAAAGTCTAAACCAGAAGTTAGTGGCTTTTTGTTCCAAGCCACTTCTAACTAGCAACGTGAAATGTCACCTTACTCATCTGCTTTTGAGTAATGATGAACAGAGAGAAGTTGCTTTAGTAGGGAATTTATATGTCGTTTAAAACCAGAGCAGCTTTTTCTAAGTGTGTTTAGACACCCTTGAGAACAGTGTTTTAAGTACAGAGGTGTACAAAGGTGAAGGACCCCTACATCAATTAATTAGTCAGTCCAGACTTGCTGAGCACCTGGGACGCGTTCAGTGCTGTGCCAGTGGTGTGGATTTAGGAAAAAAGTATAAGCTCTTGATCTCCACTAAGAGCTGGATCAGGAGGCTGACCTGGCAGCCGGAAATGGGAAAGCATTTAAATCCTCTTATCTGCTGATAAAAGTAACATGTTTATTGTAACATTGTTTTTGAAAATGCAGATGAGTATAATGAATTAAAAATGACACATAATCCTGCTACCCATTTCTTAGTTACAAATGGGCTTTAACAATCATTTGGATACATTATTTACCTGTCTCCTAGTGTCTTGAACTTTCTTTTCCATTTTTTTTTTTTTCTGTCTGAGATGGAGCCTCACTCTGTTGCTCAGGCGGGACTGCAGTGGTGCGATCTCAGCTCACTGTAGCCTCTGCCTCCCAGGTTCAAGCAATTCTTCTGCCTCAACCTCCTGAGTAGCTAGAATTACAGGCGTGCGCCACCACGCCCGGCTAATTTTTATATTTTTGGTAGAGACGGGGTTTCACCATGTTGGCCAGGCTGGTCTCAGACTCCTGACCTCGTGATCCTTCTGCCTTGGCCTCCCAAAGTGCTGGGATTACAGGTGTGAGCCACCGCGCCCAGCCATGTCTTGTATTTTCTAAAATAAAAATTTAGGGGAACACTCCTCTACTTTTATTTTTTATGATCTTCTAAAACTCATTGAATCTTTAGAATTGAGGATTTTAGTAATCTTTCAGGAAACAGTCACTCTGAAGACCAAAATTTGTGTTTTGTTTCATTTACTTCCCACCTTTCTATCTTCTTAATAAAGTGAAGTTGTTTTCAGAGAGTTGAAAAAGAGAAAAACTCAACTCGTCCATTTAAGCTTTCTAGTACTTATCTAGCTAAGCACATTTATTGCAGGAAAACTAACACTGATGATAAGCAAAAGAGCACTAAGGAAGTTTGGATTGCCAGTGAAAATGTAGAAATTCAGTGGCAAGAATATATGTTTTCTATTTAAAAGAAACTATTACTATCTAATATTGCCAACAATTACGACAAAATAACCTCGTAAAGAAAAACTTTAAAAAAAGTGAACCTTGTTTTGCTGTGAGAGTCAAGCAGCTGTTCCATCCCTCCCAGCGCCCCACTAGCCTACCACTTTTTATGTTAACCACATTAATCATGATAATAATTTCCCTTAAGAAACTTTGCCTCTGAACACTAATGCTCATCATTTTACCCAGTGACTGGGTTGGAATTACGTAACCAACTTTATTATCACTGTCATTAAAATCAGCATATATCTCATTCTGGTTGTACAGGAAGCGATTGCTTAAAGTATCCATTTAAAATATGACTTAATGTTTAGATAGTGAACTTATATGTTTATCATGTCAAAGCCTCAGAGAAGTATTCTGTTCTCCTTAAGTGCTCTAAATGGCTGCTCAGTTACATACAGTTGTGATTGGCTATGCGTATATCCACATAGTTATTGATATTAAAAAATATGAAAATGATATCAGTAGAATGCTCAAGTTCTATTATTCTCTTGTTCCATGCATTAAACGAACTTTTTAGTTGTAAGTAGTGTCTTCAGTGCACATCATTCTCGTACTAGAACGATGACATCTTTCATCTTTTCCGATGAAAGAACTCATTTGCTAAAACAACTGATGTACTTAGGAAGAAGTGACGATCTTTTTATTTAATTAACCTTTTACTCCTAGATAGGTAGGTGTTCTGCCAAAAATTAAGGTATTTTAAAGCAGCAATGAGCTCATTTAATTTCTCTATTTTAAACAGAGTGCTTTTGATGGTTTACTAGACACGACATCACAGTTTCCTGTTTCATATTTGAAATAAGCAGGGTTGGAGAAAACTATTTGCCGTGAGTTTTGAAACTCTGGGGACAAAAAGCCCCTGAAAAGAAGTCTCAGAAGCATAGTGGCTTTTTAAAATTATATAAGGGAATTAAAACCACAATACTGATGAGCCAAACAAACATACGCTTTCCCTCCCACTTATCCCCTAAAAGAAAGAGAAAAGTGAAAATGGGAGAAATTGAATGATGGAGATCATTAATTAAGCCTGTCACTCACTCATAAGGGCTCTCAGCATTTAAAAAAAAAATTTTCCTCCCTAATCACAACCAATGTAGCAGTTTGTGTCTTGGCAAAATTGTGTTTCATGTTCTCAATTGAGAAAGGGAAATTTAAGGTACAGTTAAATTTTAAGGCTCAATAAATTACTTGTATTTAGAACTTAGTGGTGATAGTGAAGGTGGGACTGGGATGTTTAATAATGTGGTAAATAAAGAAAAAATACTGAAACTTTTTTTCAATTATTAGGGAATTTAAGAAAAGATATTTGACACTACACATAACTCTTGTGTATGTGTACATATTATTTAATTACTTTTTAAAAAAGCAACAACAAACGGTTCTACAGAAAAGAAGATACTTCTGAGATCCATGCAAACCACTGATAATTCTTAAGAGTTACACTCAGTTCCTAGAGAGGAAGTGATACATATATGACTGTTAAATTGAAATGATAAATTACAGTAATTTTTAAAGACGGAAAATAAGAATTTTAAATGAGCAATTTAACAGAAATGTTTTGTAAGCCCGATCTATATACACCCATAATAAGGAGTTAGGATGCACTAAATTCTCTCAGAGAAGCAATCTAAAATACCTGAGCCTTTGGAGGAACAAATGGTCATTTCCTGAGGTGAGTGGAGGGAGCAAACGTGGTTGGGGGCAGGATGGAGGGTGGGAAGGGGAGGGTGGGTGGAGACTGTGGGCCAGGCTCCCGGTGTATGGTAGTGAACAAGACAGACATGGAGTTTACAGTCCTTTCTCCTCTTTTCTCCTAATTACATAGGCAGAAAACCGTTTTGGAACGTTCGTATTTTCAGTACTAGTACCCTCCTAGCTCTGTATTCCAGATATTGCTCCCTTAAGAGAGGAAAGAGATTTTTCTCTTGTGAGATTTGTTTATTCTACGAAACTCAAAAAGTCTGGTCATTTCCCATTTTCCACATAGGAGCCCAGGTCACCAAGTAGTGCAGTCGTCAGCTGGGGTTCCTGTCATGTCAATTCTTAGTGCCAAAACATGGGATTTGAACTCCTGCTTATTTTGTGATTGAGTCCTCTTCAACCAAAGGCTGCTAGGATTGTTTCTGTAATCTCCATTCCCTGAACTTAATACTCAGTCCCAGATAACTTACTTTACTTATGGTTTGTTTTTCTCACTGTATTATAAGTTCCCCCAAAGGCTTGAGGTCTCTCTTTTTCTATCCTTTCACCAAAATTCTAGCTCACTATACACTGAGCTTATTATACCCAGGAGTAGCTGGACACCGTTCTAAGAACTTTACATGAATTATTTTATTTGATCTTCTCAAAAATCATATGAGGTCGCTAGCATTATTATTTTCTTTTCCAGATGAGGAAACCCAGGCACTGTGAAGTGAAATAACTAGCCCAGGTTCCCACAGCCAACCAGGATGTTAACTGTGGTTAATTGACTGCAAAGCCTGTGCATAATTTGAGCTTACAAACTACCTCCGATTGCTGTAGCCACAAATTTCTAGGAGAGTGGCCAGTGCTACTTTTCTACGAAAACAGAAATCAAGAAACAAAGACCAACTCTGAATGAAAACGAGAATGATTGTATCTTTTATTTTAAAAGGACTTAACATTTTTCCTTTTTCCTAACTTAAAAACAATGCAAATGTGTTTTTGTACTTTGGCCTGTACTTCCTTGGGTTGGGGATGGAGATGATGGGTGGGTGGAAAGGGGTAAATTTTAAAGTATCTTTTATTAATACAAATGGATAATGTCTTAACTTTGTTGATACAGAATGATACCAGGTTTAATAAGATTCTAAAATTGAGTTGAGCCATCCAACCGTGATGGGAGATGGGGGAATAGGTTGGACGATGGCTGATCTTTCCAGCCTAGCAATGACCATGAAAGGGCTTATTTTGATTCTGATTTAAATTTGTACTGTGCTATATTATATGAGCTTTATGTAGGCCACTTGCCTTCTCTTTTCTTTTTTCTTTTCTTTGTTTTATTTTTATTTTATTTTATTTTTGAGACAGCGTCTCACTCTGTTGCCCCCGCTGGAGTACATTAGTGCAATCATCAACCATACCTCACTGCAATTTTGAACTACTAGGCTCAGGGGATCCTCCTGCCTCAGCATCCCAAGTAGCTGGGTCTATGGGTGTGTGCTACCACACCTGGCTAATTTGTTATTTTTTGTAGAGACAAGGTCTTGCTTTTATTTTCCAGGCTAGTCTTAAACCTCTCATCTCATGTGGTCCTCTTGCCTCAGCTTCCCAAAGTGCTAGGATTACAGGTGTGAGCCATTGCATCTGGCCGCCTTTGCTTTTACTAATGGCTAACCCCAACTCTGGGGAAGTATCTAAGATCATGCAAATAGTTGGCTAGTCAGTAAATAACATTGAAGTTCATTTCCTGAAAACTATATAAGGAACCATGAAGAATCAACAATTAGATAGTAAGCTTTGTGGGAGTAGGGATTTTCTTCATTAACTTTTGAAACTCCAACACCTAAAACTGTGCTTGGACTATAGCATTGTTGCCACTCAAAATATTAGCTGAATAAATAGACACTGCTCTAAAGGAGTCTTCAATCTAATTGAGTGAGAGGAGACCAATATACAGACAACAACCAATAAATGTTATGGTATGACATCTAGTGAAGTATGTATTTTTATCTTTTAATTTTTAATTTTTATGGGTACACAGTAGGCCTATATATTTATGGGGTATATGAGATATTTTGATACAGGCATACAATGCATAATAATCACATCAGGTAAATGAGGTATCCACCACCTCAAGCATTTATCATTTCTTTGTGTTACAAATATTCCAATTATACTCTTTTAGTTATTTTAAAATGTACAACAAATTATTGTTGACTGTAGTCATGCTGTTGTGCTATCAAATACTAGATCTTATTCACTCTAACTATACTTTTGTACCCATTAAGCATCCCCACTTTTTCACCCCCTGCCTAGTACCCTTCCCAACCTCTGGTAACCATATTCTACTCTCTATCTCCATGAGTTCAACCGTTTTAATTTTTAGCTCCTACAAATGGGTGAGAACATGTGAAGTTTGTCTTTCTGTGCCTGGTGTATTTCACATAACATAATGTCCTCCACTTCCATCCATGTTGCTGCAAATGACAGGGTCTCGTTCTTTTTTATGGCTAAAGAGTACTCCATTGCATATATATATATATATACCACATTGTCTTTTATCCATTCATCTGTTGATGGACACTTAGGTTGATTCCAAATCTTGGCTATCATGAATAGTACTGCAGTAAACATAGGAGTGCAGCTATCTCTTCAATATACTGACTTATTTTCTTTTGAGTATATATCTAGCAGTGGGTTTGTTGGATCATATGGTATTTCTACTTTTAGTTTTTTTAGACACCTCCATACTGGTCTCCATAGTAGGTATACTAATTTACATTCCCACCAACAGTGTATGAGAGTTCCTTTTTCTCCACATCCTCACCAGCATTTGTTGTTTCCTATCTTCGGGATATAAGCCATTTTAACTGGGGTGAGATGATATTTCATTGTAGTTTTGATTTACATTTCTCTGATGATCAATATGTTGAGCACTTTTTCATATACCTGTTGCCATCTGTATGTCTTCTTTTGGGAAATGTTTGTTTAGAAATGTTGCCCATTTTAAAATACGATTATTAGATCTTTTCCTATACGGTTGTTTGAGCTCCTTATGTATTCTGGTTATTAATCTCTTGTGAGATGAATAGTTTGCAAATATTTTCTCTCAGTCTGTGTGTTGCCCCTCCACTTTGTTGAGTGTTTCCTTTGCTGTGCAGAAGCTTTTTTTTTTTTTTTTTTGAGACGGAGTCTCACTCTGTCGCCCAGGCTGGAGTGCAGTGGCGCGATCTCGGCTCACTGCAGGCTCCACCTCCAGGGTTCACCCCATTCTCCTGCCTCAGCCACCCGAGTAGCTGGGACTACGGGCACCCGCCACCATGCGCAGCTAATTTTTTTTGTATTTTTAGTAGAGGCAGGGTTTCACCGTGTTAGCCAGGATGGTCTCGATCTCCTGACCTCGTGATCCGCCCGCCCCAAAGTGCTGGGATTACATGCGTGAGCCACCGCACCCGGCCGCTGTGCAGAAGCTTTTTAACTTGATGTGATCCCATTTGTTTATTTTTGCTTTGGTTCCCTGTGCATTGGGTATATTACTCAAGAAATCTTTGCCTAGACCAATGTCCTGGAGAGTTTCCCCAATGTTTTCTTTTAGTTGTTTCATATTTTCAGGTCTTAGTTTTAAATCTTTAATCCATTTTGATTTGATTTTTGTATATAGTGAGAAACAGGGGTCTAGTTTCATTCTTCTGCATATGGATATTCAGTTTTCCTAGCATCATTTATTGAAGAGTCTGTCTTTAATGTATGTTCTTGGAATCTTTGTCAAAAATGAGTTCACCATAGATACATGTTTGTTTCCGGGTTCTCTATTCTGTTCACTGGTCTATTGCCTGTTTGCATGGTAATACCATGCTGTTTTGGTTACTATAGTTCTGTAGGAAATTTGAAGTCAGGTAAATTATGATTAAAATATGATTCCTCCAGTTTTGTTCTTTTTGCTCAGGATGGCTTTGGCTTTGGCTGTTCTGGTTCTCTGGTGGTTCCATATAAATTTTAGGATTATTTTTTCCATTTTTGTGAAGAATGTCATTGGCATTATGATAGGGATTGCATAAAATCTATAGATTGCTCTGGGTAGCATGGACATTTTAACAATATTGATTTTTCCAATCCATGAACATGGAGTATCTTTTCCATTTCTGACATCAATTTTTTTTTTTTTTGATGGAGCCTCACTCTGTCCCCCAGGCTGGAGTGCAGTGGCACAGTCTCGGCTCACTGCAAGCTCCGCCTCCCAGGTTCACGCCATTCTTCTGCCTCAGCCTGGGACTACAGGCACACGCCACCACGCCCGCCCGGCTAATTTTTTGTATTTTTAATAGAGACAGGGTTTCACCGTGTTAGCCAGGATGGTCTTGATCTCCTGACCTCGTGATCCACCTGCCTCGGCCTCTCAAAGTGCTGGGATTATAGGCGTGAGCCACCGCGCACGGCTGGCATCAATGTTTTATAGTTTTCATTGCAGAGATCTTTCATTTCTAGGGAAGTATGGATTTTAAAACAAAGCTCCCCAGATAATTCCCATGACCAACCAGGTTAATGTCCCTTGGCCCAGTGCAGAGGTTCTCAAACCTATTTTCTAATAGAACAATTTATGACCAAATGGTATTACCTGAAAGTCAGTATATGAAAGAGATTAATATGTAGTCACTCCACTTGAAGAAAGAGGGGTACTGGGGAACCCTTCTTTTTCCCTGACCTTTTCAGCCTTTCCTTTTTTCCTTCCCCACAACCCCTAGGAATAGTGGTAAAACCACGGATCTAATTACCAAATGTGCAGTCATTCATGGAGTGCTTGCAGGGGACCTATGAACCTTTGAACGATATGCAAAAAAGTGTGTGTGTGCTTCTTTCCTGAGGACAATTCACATTATCAAAGAATCTTTGACCCAAAAAAAGGGTAAGACCCACCCCTCCCGTATACAGGAAAGGTACTTTCTTTCTATGCACTATGCATAAGCTTTTTTTTTTTTTTTTTTTTTTGGTGGGCAATTACTGAAGTTTGGATACTTTGTAAAAAAACACAAGCATGATTTTTAGATGCTGCCCCTTATCAATTGGAAACTAGACTGGAACCATTAAACCATTTCACCTGGATTACTATCACACAGCAGTCAGATGGTACTTCCTTCACAATCTTTTCTGTGGTTGAATTTGGCCCAGAATTTTTTGTTCCTGATCTACCTGAATCTTCAGTTTCCAAATAATCCTCTGCTATAGAAAAAGAAACACAATCTCAAGACTTTTTAATAACAAGTGCAAGACGCCTTTCATACCCATACATGTGTGCTTTTTCCAGAAGTTTACCAATGGTTTTTTTAAAAAAACATTCTAACCAAAATAGATATTTTCTAAAGCTTCACATAGTGTGATGCTCAAACATTGCTTAACTGATCCCTGGGCTTTCCGTACTGCCAGGTAAAGGAATACTGGGAAACTACAGAGTATATACAGCTTGGTTCTTTATTTCTGGTGTTCTGTTTCTTCTTTGAAAGCTATTGCAAAATTAATATACATATGTAGATTAATTTAGCATGCTTATTACTCCTGGTACCAAATTGTCCTGTATCAAATAGGGATCACTGATGTTCTCTGAAGGGCAGTAAGCTAGGTGGTAAACTCACTTATAAAATATTGACTTGGGGTAAGGCGTGGTGGCTCACACCTATTATCCCAGTACTTCAGGAGGCCAAGGCAGGTGGATCACCTGAGGTCAGGAGTTCGAGACCAGCCTGACCAACATGGAGAAACCCTGTCTCTACTAAAAATACAAAATTAGCCAGGCGTGGTGGTGCATGCCTGTAATCCCAGCTACTTGGGAGGCTGAAGCAGGAGAATTGCTTGAACCCGGGAGGTGGAGGTTGCGGTGAGCTGAGATCACACCATTGCACTCCTGCCACTCCTGCCTGGGCAACAAGAGTGAAACTCCATCTCAAAAAAAAAAAATTGACTTGGGTTACTAGGGTAAGTGGAGGGAAGATGGCTACAGGATATTATCACCACTCTTTCAGATATGGCACTTCCTCCTCACTTCAGTTGGATTTGATCATTTAGTTCAACACATTTATAAAGTTTCTGCTAGAGTTCTGGTGATACAACAGTGAATAGGTAGCTACAGTCCTCTCCCTCACAGAGCTGATGCTCTAAGTAGAGACACAGACAATTATAAACAAGCAATGATAATATGCTATAGTTAATGCCATGGTGCTATGGAAGTAATGTGTGATATGAACATGCTAAAACAGATGAATAACAGTTTTTTTTCTGGGATGCTTGTCTTTCCTATCGTGACATATGGAAAAATAATTGCATTAGTCTGTTTTCACGCCTCTAATAAAGACACACCTGAGACTGGGCAATTTACAAAAGAAAGAGGTTTAATGGACTCACAGTTCCACTTGGCTGGGGAGGCCTCACAATCATGGCTGAAGGTGAAAGGCACTTTCACATGGTGGCAGACGAGAAGAGAACTTGTGTAGGAAATTCCCCTTTATAAAACCATCAGATCTCATGAGACTTATTCACTATCATGAGAATAACACGGAAAAAATCTGCCCCCATGATTCAATTACCTCCCACCAGGTCCCTCCCACAACATGTGGGAATTGTGGGGGCTACAATTCAATTTGGATGGGGACACAGCCAAACCATATCAATAATTGTATATATATTCCATGTGGAAGCTATCTGGGAAGTCCCTACCCTTCCTTTTCCATAGGGCATTATGTAAGTCTATTCTTGTGTTGCTATAAAGAAATACCAGAGGCTGGGCAATTTATAAAGAAAAAGATTCATTTTGGCTCACAGTTCTGCAGGCTCTACAGGGAGTGTGATGCCAGCATCTGCTTCTGGCGAGGGCCTTAGAAAGCTTACACTCATGGCGGAAGGTGAAGGGGAGCCAGTGTGTCACATGATTAGAGCAGGAGCAAGAGTGAGAAGGGGGAGGTCCTAGACCTCTTAAACAGCCAGAACTCAGCATGAACTGAGTGAGAACTCACTCATCACCAAGGGGATGGTGCTAGGCCATACATGAGGGTTCCACCCCATGACTCAATCACCTCCCACGAGGCCCCACCTCCAACACTGGGAGTCACATTTCAACCTGAGATTTGGAGGGGACAAGTATTCAAACCCTGTAAGGCATATGTCTAGGTCTCTTCCAGGGAGGGGAAGTCTGGGGGATCACAGTCTTTACGATTTCTTCATCTGGGCCTACAGCATTTAAGCTGTGTCTTCTCTGTCCATCCAAACCCTCTTGATTTTTCTTTAAGAAATTACTTACAGTTCTGTCAGTTTTATCCTTTCTTGTACTCTAATAACGCTTCAGGAGTTATCCTTCCCCATACTATCTTTTCTATTCTTTCAAAAGGTTTTAGGTAGAAGGGAAGGTAGATACCTGTGCTCAGTCCCCATCTTGATCTCACCTTCCATATAAGGTTTAGCCTACTCCTGCTCCACCTACTCGGTGCAAAGTTCTTTCTCCAGAGACCTCTTATCACTCCCCTATCAGAATGTTGCTTTACTTATTTCTCCCCAGTTAATTGACTCTACAATACAAGATTGAGTTTTTATGGAGGTCTGTTATATTTGTGAAGAATTTCAGGAAGACCTTACTCAATTTTTTGAGTTAGCAAATCTAATAACATATTTTTTTTCCAACATCCATACATGATTGATGGATTTTAAGTATTATCCTAACACTTGTTGCTGATATTTTGTACATGTATCCTCTGGGCTTTTACCTCATGCAACATGTTATTTCAGTGCACTATTTTTGTGCCATAATAAAATAACTAAATATTTTTGCTCCTGATTTCTTTGACCTTTCCTTTCCCTAGGCATTAACCTTCTCAGGGAGAGGCCTTGAAGTCACATCCTAGCAAATGTGTAGAATCAGAAGGGCCTTCTGTCCTCTTCCTACAAAATGCCCTGCTGCTGCTGCTGCTTCTTTCATTTCATCCTCAAACTGCACTACCCAGTAGCACCCCACCTCTTAAGAGAGCCCGTGCAGAAAACAGTTGGATCTCATCAACAGCAGGGTAAAGCTTATCTATTCCCTAGCAATTGTTGCTAGCTAAAATGCTGTTTTACTTCAAAATCTACCAGCCAGTCTGAAAGTTAATTTGCATATAATAGCTCAAAATTATCCTTTTTTTTTTTTTTTTTTTTTGAGACGGAGTTTTGCTCTTGTTGCCCAGGCTGGAGTGAAATGGTGCGATCTCAGCTCACTGCAACCTCCACTTCTCAGGCTCAAGTGAATCTCCTGCCTCAGCCTTCCCAAGTAGCTGGAATTATAGGCATGCGTCACCATGCCCGGCTAATTTTGTATTTTTAGTAGAGATGGGGTTTCTCTGTGTGGGTCAGGCTGGTCTCGAACCCCCGACCTCAGGTGATCTGCCCACCTTGGCCTCCCAAAGTGCTGGGATTATAGGTGTGAGCCACCTCGCCCAGCTAAAACTTCTGAAGTTTTATTTTCATATTCATTGCCAGGTGTTCCTTCTCCTGGGTATGGCGAATGAAAATGTAAGGGGCATTTAGGATTCTCTTTTTTGGTGGTGACTCTTTTTTGTTATCTAGGTATTTTTTTCACAGAAATCAATGGCTGCTACTTGATTTTTAAATATTTGCTTTAGTCTAATGAAGAACTTGTGCCAGGTATTTATTTAGACACTATCTCTTTTATAAAAAAGTGTTTTCGCACAGTTAAAAAACAATGAGAGAAGTATTACTAAAACATAAATAGGGATCAGGATGAAAAGAAAAATGTAATAGTACGGTTGTAAATATCTCTGAAATTAATAAATTTGTTGGGTTTGAGTTTCCAATATGATCCAAAATTTTCACCAGACTAGAAGAAAAAGTGAAAATATTGTAGGATGAGGTTCTTAGCATTTTTAGAAATCATGGGTTGCGCTCATGGAAGATAATTTTTGCCCCAGCACTAAAATCTTAAGGATGATTCTCACTCAGAGCTTATGTAAAGGGTATTGAATATTGGGGATGGACAGTGTCCTCGAAAAAGGTGGATAATTCATATGGTTATGTCCTTGTAGTAAACCAATAAAAAGCCAAAGATATAAAAGCAAAGCATATTTTTGCGAAAAGAACTGAGTTTTTTTCAAGGGAACTTACAAGGGCTTAAACGTAGTGGCCCAAGTATCATTGTCTTCTCGTAGTTGTAGTCTTCTACAGCTCAACTTATGGTATGTGTTACGGACTGAATTTTGTCAGTTCAATGTTCATATGTTGAAGTGATCATCTCGATGTGACTGTATTTGGAAACTGGGACCTATAAGGAGGTAATCAATGTTATGCGAAGTTATAACAGTAGGGCTATAATCTGATAGGACTGGTGTTGTGGGAAGTCAGGGACCCCAAACAGAGGGACCGGTTGAAGCCATGACAGAAGAATGTGGACTGTGAAGATTTCATGGACATGTATTAGTTCCCCAAAATAATACTTTTGTAATTTCTTATGCCTGTCTTTACTGCAGTCTCTAAACATAAATTGTAAAGATTTCATGGACACTTATCACTTCCCCAATCAATACCCTTGTGATTTCCTATGCCTGTCTTTACTTTAATCTCTTAATCCTGTCAGCTGAGGAGGATGTATATCGCCTCAGGACCATGTGATAATTGCATTAACTGCACAAATTATACAGCATGTGTGTTTGAGCAATATGAAATGTGGGCACCTTGAAAAAAGAACAGGATAACAGCAATTGTTCAGGGAATAAGAGAGATAACCTTAAACTCTGACCGCTGGTGAGCCAGGTGGAACAGAGCCATATTTCTCTTCTTTCAAAAGCAAATGGGAGAAATATGGCTGAATTCTTTTTCTCAGCATGGAACATCCCTGGGAAAGAGAATACGCACCTGGAGGTATAGGCTTATGAACAGCCCCCCCAGGTGCACCTGTCTCTTATGGTCGAGACTGCAGGGGTAAAATAGACCCCAGTTTCCCATAGTGCTCCCAGGCTTATTAGGAATAGGAAATTCCCGCCTAATAAATTTTGGTCAGACCAGTTGATCTCAAAACGCTGTCTCCTGATAAGATATTATCAATGACAATAGTGCCCGAAACTTCATTAGCACTTTTAATTTCTTCCCGGTCCTGTGGTCCTGTGATCTCGCCCTGCCTCCACTTGCCTTGTGATATTCTATTACCTCGTAAAGTACTTGATGTCTGTGACCCACACCTATTCGCACACTCCCTCCCCTTTTGAAACTCCCTAATAAAAACTTGCTGATTTTTGCGGCTTGTGGGGCATCACAGAACCTACTGACATGTGATGTCTCCCCCGGACGCCCAGCTTTAACATGTCTCTCTTTTGTACTCTGTCCCTTTATTTCTCAAGCTGGCCGACGCTTAAGGAAAATAGAAAAGAACCTACGTGAATATCGGGGCAGATTGCCCGATAGACTGGTGTCCTTATAAGAGAAGGAAAAAACACAAGAACTTTCTCTGTTTCACACATGCATGCACACACACACACTCAGCACAAGCACAGAGGAAAGGCCATGTGAGGACACAGTGACACAGTGAGAAGGTGGCCATTTACAAGCCAAGAAGAGAGGCCTCACCAGAACCCAACCCCAATGGCATCTTGATCTTGAACGTTTAGCCTCCAGAACAGTGAGAAAATAAATTTCTGTTGTTTAAGCTTCCTAGTTTGGTGTGTTTTGTTATGACGATTCTAGCAGAATAGTACAATATGGCCTTCAGAATTAGTTACATAAATGATAATCCTTCAAGCTTTATCATAAGGATTTCTTGGTCTGTAAGTACCTTCAGCGGCTTAACTGAATGCAGACCTGGCTTCACATCACATATCCACCTGGCAGCTCCTCTGCTTTCCTAATGACACAGGATTCTTTTGGTGCCACTTCGCCAGCTGGAAATCTCATAGCCAGCAGTGCCTCTGTCCCGGCTTCACCTGAGCCTGCTGGGCTGGCACCACCCACAATCTGGGAGGCTGCGCTCGGCCCGTGCTACCAGCCCAGAGCCCCTGCCCGCCATGGCTGTGTGCTTGGCCCACAGCTACTCCAGGTATGGCACAACCAGCTTCCACATTGGGCGCTGGTGTCTGGATGAGGGGGATGTGGCAGCGCCCAAAAACTCAGAGATGCCAGTGTGTCCGAAATTGGCAGGTTCTTGGTCTCACTGACTTGAAGAATGAAGCCGTGGACCCTCACGGTGAGTGTTACAGTTCTTAAAGGTGGTGTGTCCGGAGTTTGTTCCTTCTGATGTTCAGATGTGTTCAGAGTTTCTTCCTTCTGGTGGGCTCATGGTCTCACTGGCTTCAGGAGTGAAGCTGCAGACCTTCGCGGTGAGTGTTACAGCTCTTACAGCAGCGTGTCTGGAGTTGTTCGTTCCTCCCTTCTGGAGTTGTTCATTCCTCCAGGTGAGTTTGTGGTCTTGCTGGCCTCAGGAGTGAAGCTGCAAACCTTCACGGTGAGTGTTACAGCTCATAAAAGCAGTGCAAACCCAAAAAGTGAGCAACAGCAAAATTTGTTGTAAAGAGTGAAAGAACAAAGCCTCGCCAGTGTGAAAAGGGACCCAAGTGGGTTGCCACTGCTGGCTCAGGCAGCCTGCTTTTATTCCCTTATCTGGCCCCACGCACATCCTGCTGATTGGTCCATTTTACAGAGAGCTGATTGGTCTGTTTTACAGAGAGCTGATTGGTCCGTTTTGACGGTGCTGATTGGTGCGTTTACAATCCCTGAGCTAGACACAAAAGTTATCCAAGTCCCCCCTAGATTAGCTAGACACAGAGCACTGATTGGTGCATTTACAAACCTTAAGGTAGACACAGGGTGCTGATTGGTATGTTTACAAACCTTAAGCTAGACACAGAGTGTTGATTGGTGTATTTACAATCCTTTAGCTAGACATAAAGGTTCTCCAAGTCCCTACCAGATTAGCTAGATACAGAGTGCTGATTGGTGCATTCACAAACCTTGAATGAGACACAGGGTGCTGATTGGTGCATTTACCATCCTCCAGCTAGGCATAAAAGTTCTCCAAGTCCCAACCCGACTCAGGAGCCCAGCTGGCTTCGCCTAGAGGATCCCCGACCAGGGCCGTGGGCGGAGCCGCCTGCCAGTCCTGGGCTGCACACCTGCACTCCTCAGCCCTTGGGTGGTCGATGGGACCGGGCATGGTGGAGCAGGGGTCAGCGCCCGTCGGGGAGGCTTGGGTTGTGTGGGAGCCCACCAGGCAGGGAAGGGAGGGGGGCTTGGGCATGGCAGGCTGCAGGTCCCGAGCCCTGCATCGCAGGCAGGCAGCTGAGGCCCGGCGAGAATTCGAGTGTGGCGCAGGCCAGCCGGCAGTGCTGGGGGACCTGGTGCCCCCTCTGCAGCTGCTGGCCCAGGTGCTAAGCCCCTCACTGCCTGGGGTGGGCAGCGCCTGCCAGCCACTACGAGTGCCAGCCTGCCGAGCCCACGCCCACCTGGAACTCGCGCTGGCCCGCGAGTGCTGCGTGCAGCCCCGGTTGCCACCCACGCCTCTCCCTCCACACCTCCCTGCAAGCAGAGGGAGCCGGCTCTAGCCTCAGCCAGCCCAGAGAGGGGCTCCCACAGTGCATCGGCGGTCTGAAGGGCTCCTCAAGCATGGCCAGAGTGGGCGGTGAGGCCGAGGAGGCGCCCAGAGCGAGGGAGGGCTGCCAGCACGCTGTCACCTCTCACCAGCAATGGTGGAGCCACAAGGGGTGTTACAGCTTTTGCTCAGGGAGTCCCACTCAAGGAGTCCAGTCTGAAGATCTGAGCCCCCAGGAAGTGTCACACTCATTTGGTCCCACTGCCTGCTCGGTAAACGGGAGTGTGGTGCCCAGCAGTATTTTTCACTCCGGTAGCGTGGCGAGAAGGAACGTGTATTACAGCTCTTTTACACCCGCTGTTCAGCAGGTTCTGGGTTCTTGTCCTGCAACCAAGAGGAATGAGGTACATGAACACTGGAGAGTGAGCAAGGCAGAGAAGAATTTTATTGGCGATAGAAAAGCTCTGAACAATGAGTGGGAACCGGAAGTGGGTAGCTCTCTGTGTGAGCAGGGCCCAAAAGCAGGTCTGTGAGGCCAAGTCCAGGGTTTCTATGGGCTCAGAATCGGGGAGTGTGTGCTGACTGGTCCATGGGCAGGCCTGGAAAAGGCACCATTCAATTGGCTAAAAGGCATTGAGGAAGTTCTCACAGGGTTGTGGACTCCACCTGGAACTGGCAGCTCAGTTTTCAGGCTTCAGGCTGTTTTGGTCGTGAAAGTCAGGTTTACCAGGGTACTGTCCCTGTCTGCCTAGGAATCTGTCTGTCTCCTGCCTCTATCACTAAGAGCTTGCCAGCCCTCCCAACACTCTTGACTTCCAAAGCAAATGGCGGTGCCTTCAGTCAGCATTGTAATGTGTGCTGTAGGTTAGTCTTACCTCTCCAACGAGCTTATAAACTCCTTCCCATCAATGGCTCTGAGCCATGCATAACTACTCTTCACCTTGCTAAATATCACATTTCACTATTTAGCAGGAGATAAAAACATCAGATTATTGAACTGCATGTCTTCCGTATTGTTCAAGTACTAAGATGGTGAATAGTTTATTTTTCCTCCCATATTTTTATCAATGTAAGTAGTTAGACAAAAGAGATGAAAGCAGGTAAAAGCAGTTCATAGTCAAGAGGTTATGACTTTAGATTTCTTTTGGTCATCTTAATTATTCTCTCATCTTTTAACTAATAGGTTAAAGGAAATAAGAATAAACAATGTACAAGAGATCCTTTATACTATGTTTTTAAAAATCTTATAACTTGTTGCCTTTACTACTTTATATTACAAATATTGATATTGGGGAAAATTTCCCCAAATGTACCTCAAATAGAACAATTTGGCTTGAACTCAGGAGTGTGAGACCAGCCTGGGCAACAAAGTGAGACCCTTATCTCGCATTACTGATAAAAAATCAAAAAATTAGCTGAGTGTGGTGGCACGTGCGTGTGTTTCCAGCTACTCAGAGGGCTGAGGCAGAAGGATTGCTTCAGCGGGGAGGTTGAGGCTGTAGTGAACTGAGATTGTGCCACTGTACTCCAGCCTGAGCTACAGAGTGAGACCCTGTCTTCAAAAAAAAAAAAGAAAACGAAAAAGAATTTGAATCAAAATATATACAGAATTGGAACTAAAATTGTGTTAAATCTGGCAATGTTTTTAGACAAACTCAAGAATTCCGGGGGAGAAATTCATGTAATTGGTGTGTTTTGACACTTTAGATACTGCATTATTAACTTTATGAATGTCAGGTATGGCCCTTTGTACAGTAGCTATTTTAAATGTGCAGGTTATAAATATTTGGTCTGATAGCTAAAAAATGGAAGACTTAGAAGTAGAAGATTATGCCCTATATCTCATGGTGGCCAAAGGCATGTTGATTGTGTATCTAATCAAAATTTTTATTTGAAAAATTCTTGTTTTCACCATGAGAGGTTTGGGTTTAAGTATTTGTGAAGTAGTAAAATATTTTACATGGTAAGCATCTAGGGTAGTGTCAACTGAATACATAGAAAGCATCACAAAAGCCTTTAGGCTCTTTATATTAGAAGTCAGTTATCAGTGAGATGGACGGGAGAAGGAAAGGAAAAGGTGCTTAGATAAACCCCTAAAGTAAAGTATCAGGCCTGGATTGATTGCTAATATGCTTTTCAGTTTATAGCAACATTTGTTTTGTTTTTTAAAAAAGTTTTGTAAGCTATTTGGCTGCACTGCATTGACTTGGCTTAGTTTGATTTAACAGGTTTGTCAATGCCTCACTAGGTGGATTCAAACAGATAAAACGTAAACCAGAAAATAAGGATATGGTTGCCTTGTCTTATGGAATGAGAACAACAGGACTGGGCCATGCCAAAATCATGCTTCTTTCTCTAGACTCATTATAAGTTGTGAAGTGGCATGATGCAATGTGAATGTCCGGACAAGTATCCCTTTTGTTGTTCTCAAGGGGGTTATGTCGTGGATTTGTTCCTTTGCAAACTCTTTACAGTTTACATAGCTGGAGAGACTCAATGCCTTGGCAGCAGCACCAGGTTTTATCTGTGGGTTTGCCCTCTTAGAGTGGCAGGAGTTAGTATATGTATCAACTGTGTTCTTTTTGCCTGTTGTTACTCTATGTTATCACTTGTTTCTTTTAATGACATGAGAAAATAATAATTTAGATGACTATTGGCCTTTCTGAAAGAGAAACAAAAAAAAAGCTCCCCTGGATTTCTCCTGCCCTTCTTGATCTTCCCTTTAACACACTGTTCTCCTGTCGAGAATGTGCAATCACTGATTTGATTACATTTTTAAGTATTTGGGCATTTGCTACTGAAAATACTGGGTGGGGGTGATAATGTCACACATCTTCCTGATGACTGCAAAACAAGAAAAGAAAGCATGCATGTTCTCCAGGCTTCTTCTGGGTCGTTTTGTTTTGGACACATTGCTATTGTACCATCAGTACTTTGGTGAGTAGCAGAATTAGAGTCATCTTGTGGAGAAATTGAGGAAATCATTAAGTATTAATAAGGATTACTGTACTACTATGACAGATTTCTTTGTTTTAGTTGCTACTTTGTAAGCCAATTCATGACCTCTTTTTTAAATTTTTATTTATTTATTTATTTTTGAGACAGAGTTGCGCTCTGTCGCCCAGGCTGGGATGCAGTGGCGTGATCTCGGCTCACTGCAAGCTCCGCCTCCCGGGTTCACGCCATTCTCCTGTCTCGGCCTCCCCAGCAGCTGGGACTACAGGTGCACGCTGCCATGCCCAGCTAATTTCGTGACCTCTTTTAGAGTCAAGAAATTCTTAATCTGACTGATACTTCTTCAGAATATGCAGTTGAGAAATTCAATAGCCAATAAACCCTAAGCCAAATGAATTCACTTTGTCAATATTCAAACAAATTTCTTCTGATTTCCTATTATATCTATAATCCAAAACTCACAGTTTAAAACCTGGTGACGGCCGGGTGCAGTGGCTCACGCCTGTAATCCCAGCACTTTGGGAGGCCGAGGAGGCTGAATCACTTGAGGTCAGGAGTTCCGGACCAGCCTGGCCAACATGGTGAAACCCTGTCTCTACTAAAAATACAAAAATTAGCCAGGCATAGTGGCCTGTGCCTGTTGTCCCAGCTAGTTAGGAGGCTGAGGCAGGAGAATTGCTTGAACCTGGGAGGCAGAGGTTGCAGTGAGCCAAGATTGTGCCACTGCACTCCAGCCTGGGTGACAGAGCAAGACTGTCTCAAGACAAAAATCAAACAACAACAACAACACAAAAAAAACCTGGTGATAATCTCCATATAGTTCATTTTCATAAAATATGTTTCAATAACCATATTAAAAACTTTTAATGCCAGCCGGGCACGGTGGCTCACGCCTGTAATCCCAGCACTTTGGGAGGCCGAGGCGGGCGGATCACGAGGTCAGGAGATCGAGACCATCCTGTCTAAGACGGTGAAACCCCGTCTCTACTGAAAATACAAAAAATTAGTTGGGCGTGATGGCAGGCGCCTGTAGTCCCAGCTACTAGGGAGGCTGAGGCAGGAGAATGGCATGAACCCAGGAGGCGGAGGTTGCAGTGAGCTGAGATGGCGCCGCTTCACTCCAGCCTGGGCGACAAAGCGAGACTCAGTCTCAAAAAAAAAAAAAAAAAAAAAAAAAAAAAAAACTTTTAATGCCTTAGCCATCTTTGATTCTATCACAAAGTTGAAAACTTCGTGACTTAATGTTCTGAAGCATCTGGGTTTCAGGCAGAGATTGACTTGCAACTTTCCTAAACACTGTTGTGAACCCAAAGAGAACAAATCCTTGAACATCTATACTAACCATTATTTGGACAAGAGTCAATCCACTTTTTTCCTATAAAATACACCATGAGAGTCTTATTTTATTTAGAGTAATTAATTATCTAGATGTCTGTTACTCAGCAATTAGGGGCAGGATGAAGGACGATAGAAAAGAGAGGATATTTTGGAAGCAGACACTCTGGGCCTTGGATTAAAAGATTTCAGCAGCGTTTTATTTATTTATTTTTTTTTGAGACTCGCTCTTGTTGCCCAGGCTGGAGTGCAATGGTGCAATCTCAGCTCACCGCAACCTCTGTCTCCCAGGTTCAAGCGATTCTCCTGCCTCAGCCTCCCTAGTAGCTGGGATTACAGACATGTGCCACCACGCCTGGCTAATTTTGTATTTGTAGTAGAGATGGGGTTTCTCCATGTTGGTCAGGCTAGTCTCAAACTCCTGACCTCAGGTGATCCACCTGCCTTGGCCTCCCAAAGTGCTGGGATTACAGGCATGAGCCACTGCGCCTGGCCAGGATTTCAGCAGTTTTAAGCACCAAAAGTGTTCCTGAAATTACTGGTGTAGTATGACATAGTATGATATTTAATTTTAATAATAATGATCTTGAATTTACAAAAATTTGTTTTTGTTTTTTATCATAAGAAGAATACAATATATTTTAGATAAAATTCAAAGAATAAAAAGTTTACTACTTGGGAGAGTAAATTCCAGTTATTTGGAAAATTGTACTATGTGTAGAAACTTAAGACATTATTAATAAATGAACTACTGAATTAACCAATTAGTTCTAAATAATATAAAATGTATATTTCTTGGGTAAATGATCATTTCTCTGCTCAGATATCTAACATGGCTTCTGTTAATCTTGTGCATAAAAATCTAGCTTGCCGTTTCCAGAGTTTGCTGTAATAGTCGCCCAATAACATGTCTACTTGGTTCACATCTATTCTCCCAGTGGCTGTATTACTTTCCTCTCTCTTTAACACATACTTTTTTATGAGGGGTCTTCTCACTTTCCTAGCCTAGCCACAGTGATTGGTCCAAGGGAGGGGGCATGTGACCATGGATAGTCTAATCAGAATCTTTCCCTAGGATTTTTTTCAAACAGGATCAAAGGAAGAGCTTTTCCCTGTTTAGTTGTGAAAATGTAGGGATGTGTGCCTGGAATCCCATTGGTTACGTCTCTAGCAGTCACAGAAACTACAATGTAGAAATGATAAGCTAGATTGAAAGAAATGGAAGTCCTTGGTTTGCTTTAATAAGCCAATAAATTCTGTGACCTATTTCAGTTTGTGGTTCTGTTTCTTGCATTCAAGAATCCTAGTTAATCCTTTTCCTGTCGGCCATTTTACATTATTTCTTGTATTTATAGGCTGGATTGTGAATGTCATTACCCTAATTCCATAGTTGAAAAAGTTAGCCTTAAGGAGTAAGTACCTTGACTAACATCACATGGCTATTAAGTGGCAGAAATAGTAGTTAAAGCCAACCTCACTGATGTTAAGCTTATCCTCTTTTTTTTCTTCTTTTTAACAAAATCTTAGTGTATTTTTTTGTGTTAAAATATACATAATGTAAAACTTACCATGTAAACCATTTTTAAGCGTACAGTCCACTGGCATTAAGTACATTCACATTGTTGTGCAACTATTGATTTCCAGAACTTTTTCATCATCTGAAATGAAAACTCTGTACCCATTAAACAATAACTCCCATTCCTTTCCTTCCCAGACCCTAGTAATCAGGATCCTACTTTCTGTCTCTAACAATTTGACTACTCTAGGTATCTTATATAAGTAGAAACATATAATATTTGTACTTTGGTGTCTGGCTTACTTCATTTAGCATAACGTTTTCAAAGTGCATCCATGTCATGCCATGTGTGAGGATTTCCTTCCTTTTTAAGGCTGAATAATATTCCGTTGTATGTATCTGTTACATTTTGTTTATGCATTCATTCATTGATACACATTTGCGTTGTTTCCACCTTTTGGCTATTGTGAATAATGCTGATGTGAACATGGTTGAATGAACATTCTTTTCAAGTTCCCTGTCGTCAATTCTTTTGTGTGAAATTGTTGGATCATATGGTAAGTCTGTGTTTAATTTTTTTGGGGAATCTCTATACAGTTTTCTATAGTGGTTGTAACATTTTACATTCCTACTGACAGTGCAAGGGTTCTAGTTTCTCTGCATCCTCACAAACACTTGTTATTTTATCAGGTTTTTTGTTTTTGGTGAGGTTTTTTTTTGGTAATAGCCATCCTGATGGGTGTAAAGTGGTATCTCTTTGTGGTTTTTGATTTGCATTTGGAGCTCGTAACCTTTGTGTGTGGCAGTTCCTTGCTCCCTGAAATGTCCTCATCTGTTAATCTCTTCAGTTCAGCACATCAAATACTACTGAGCAGACTCGGAATTTGTCATTCCACCTTTAAACTTGCTTGGCTGGGAGAGACTGTTATGTTCTTTTCACTCTCCCAAAGCATATCTACCCTTCTTTTATTTTTTAAAATTAATTAATTATTATTATTATTTTGAGGCAGAGTCTCGCTCTGTCACCCAGGCTGGAGTGCAGTGGCACAGTCTCGGCTCACTGCAAGCTCTGCCTCCCGGGTTCATGCCATTCTCCTGCCTCAGCCTCCCGAGTAGCTGGGACTACAGGCGTGTGCCACCACGCCTGGCTAATTTTTTGTATTTTTAGTAGAGACGGGGTTTCACCATATTGGCCAGGCCGATCTTGAACTCCCGACCTTGTGATCCGCCCGCCTTGGCCTCCCAAAGTGCTGGGATTACAGGCGTGAGCCACCACGCTTGGCTACCCTTCTCTTAAATTCTGTTTGAAATTCATCTCACCATTAAAGTCTTCTCAAAGTAACCCAGCCTAATCTAAGAACATTTTATTCCAGTATCCCTTAAGCATGAAGGAACAATTAGTATTGGACTGATGTATATATTCTTTTGCATGTTTTCCAAGTGGGTTTATCCTACCCACTTTTAGATTATAAACACCTTGAGAAAATGGTTAGGTACCTTTCTGTGGCAGTCCCATTATACCTAATGTCCAGTGACCAATATGTAGTAGACAGTAATAAAAGTTATTGACATTTATAATGTCATTTTATTATTTTTCTGTCATAATATTTTCTCATGCTTATGTGGATGTCAAAAAGCAAGTTCTAGTTTCCTTATCTCCATTTCTGCTTCCTACTTACATGAAATTTCCTCTGTAGAACAGTTTGTGAATGTGTTCTATTGGGACAAAGGTTTGGTTGTCCTCAGAGAAATAGACATTTAAATGCTCTATTTCCTTCCTAGCAGTGCTGCTGGGTTGGTCAGCAGATATTTATTCCAAATTCCAATTTTCAGACACAGCCATTTAAAAAAAAGATGCTTATATTGAAAAACATGAATATCAAACAGTGGCCCACCCTGAACAGTCCCAGATCTGCTGGTCTGTTAGCCATGCTGCACTTCTCTTCCTCCACCCCCTCAAAAAAGAGAAACAAGTCTGAAGATGATCAGGCTTCCTGTTCTGTAGATTTTGAATTACTGTAATCAGGATCTCATGTCTGCAGCCACACAGCCAGCGGTGATCTCTCAGCCTGGGCACTTTCTATTTCAGTTGGTAATTACTCAGTAGTAAAAAAAAAAAAAAAAAAAAAAAAAAAAAAATTAAAAATCACAGATAGGAGAATTGAGGACATAGTCTACTTGGTGCTGACTCTTTTGTGGGTGGGGAGGGTGGGGAAAATAGGGTACACTATCTGTAATTCTAGTTTTCCCCAGACCAAAGCAACTAGGCTGAATATAATAGGCCCTTTAATTTCCTCGCACCCATTCAAAGGTGCTTCAATAAGAACAAGTGAAAAGACTCTGGAAGCCAGAAGATTGGTGATGGGGGAAGGGAGTGGTGCAGCAGAAGTAGCTCCTGGGAGGACGGAAGATGTTAGCACAGCAGTATCACCAAAACGGAATTTTATATTCTTTAAAAACTGTGTGTGCATGTGTTTTAAGTTAAGGTTAACTTCAAATAATAATTAAACACCAGTTGCTGGATCGTCTACTTAGTGCTTATCAAGAGAGTTTATTTACTGATCTGCTGAGACCAAAAGCAGCAGTTCCTCTGGTTAACATTTGCTAAGACAAATCCTTCCATTTGGGAAAGATTTCTTCCCTCCTTCCCTCTCTCCCTGATTTTTCTAGGTCTGGGAAAGCTGGTTTTATATTATGCAAAAGTGTGAATCGCACAGCCCAGAGTCACTGTCCCCTTTAAAGGGGGCTTTCTCTCTTGTCTTAAAAAACAGACCTCAGAAGGAGCCAGATGGTTCCCGTCTGCTGCCTTGAGTCAATGCACTTCCTCCCACAGACTGGAGCCCTTTTGCCCTCCTTCCTCCCCAGCTCCTCCCCACATTCTACCCCCCACCACTGGGCCTCCCTGTTTTGTCGCTAGAAATAATCTTTTATTGCCCAGTTGTTCGGAAGTGACCTTTTGCCCTTGATTAGATAGCACCAGGCTCCATCACCGGATTGCTTTTGAGCGGGCAGTTGCTTTTTTGTGTGGGCTGATCCGGTGTCAGGGAGAACAATGCAAGGCTTTGCAAAATTTTAGTATAGCTCAGGCCTCATGTGGAACAGGTGGGGGCGGGGAGACGCGGGGTTGAATAAAGCAGCCCAGTGGATCCTGGTTGCAAAAATACATTTTCTTTAGTAAACTGAAAAACAAATGGCATTTTAAAAAATTCACTTGTACATATTTAACTCATTCCTTAATAACCATGTATTTCAGAGGAATAGAAGATTACTCCAGGGTTTCAGTATATATTATTTAAGCATACAAATATTATTACAATTAAACTGACTTGAATATAACCTTACATTAGAATATTAATCAAATGGACTATTGAGTTTCTCACAGCAATTTTCCAGGTCTCAATTATTTTAAGTAACAAATATAATAATAAAACATATAACAAAGAATGAGTTTAATTATTGAAAGCTAACTCATTTTTTATTTTAAAAATTAGGGAAAAATATTCATGACTTTACATGCTTCCTAGGTAAAACGGTATTTGTGACTTTGTATCTTTCATAATAGTCCTTAAATTCTTTGGATTTAAAATTCTCAGGAATATCTGCCAGAACTAGTAGAGTGGGTGAGTTTGAAATTTTTGTTTTAACACCTTCAGTTTCACCCAGGAGATGAATATTCTGCTATACAGGCATAGCAGCATTTTGGGATTCTTTTAAAAGTTTATTAACATTAACATCTAAAATTTTGGTCAGGTACGATGGCTCACACCTGTCATTTCAACACTTTGGGAGGCCAAGGTGGGAGGATGGCTTGAGCCCAGGAGTTTGAGACCGGCCTGGGTAACCCTGTCTCTACAAAAAATAAAAAATTAGCTGGGCATGGTGGCACATGCCTGTAGTCTCAGCTACTCAGGAGGCTGAGGCAGAAGGATTGCTTGAGCCTGGGAGGTTGAGGCTGCAGTGAGCAGTGTTTGCACCACTGCACTCCAGCCTAGACAACAAAATGAGACCCAGTCTCAAAATAAAATAAAATAAAAATTTGCTGAGGCAGGAGAATCGCTTGAACATGGGAGGCAGAGGTTGCAGTGAGATCGCGCCACTGCACTCCAGCCTGGGTGACAGAGAGTGAGACTCTGTCTCAAAAAAATAAAAATAAAAATAAAAATTTGAAGTTTCTTAGTTCTCCATGTGAGGGGGAAAATGCCTACAGACCACGCAACCCTAAATTTTTGTTGTAGGTAATACTTAATGCTAATGTCCACACTGTTTCTTAACTCTTGGCCTGCCAATTGTGGTGGCTTAAAATGAATTCTACCTTTCTGCTTTATTTCAGAAGTTCTGGTCCGTGTTTTGTTTCATAGGTTTGCAGTGTTGGGATGTAACAGAGAGTTGGTGATTACTCAGTAGTAAAAAAAAAAAAAAAAATTTAAAAATCACAGGTAGGAGAATTGAGGACATAGTCTACTTGGTACTGACTCTTTTGTGGGTGGGGAGGGTGGGGAAAATCACAATTGTTTTTCAGTGTCACACAGGGGGGCTATATTTGCTACACAATGTGGAAAATATGTACATTAGCCTATACACAAAGGAAGTTAAAGATATAAATTGCAGAGTGAGTATTACCAGCTCCATTTTAGAGATGAAGCAGCAGGAACTCACCATCATGTAAATGTTCTAGATGTACCCAAACCAAGTCCAAGGTTCCCAATGGCCTTGTTTCAATGCTTAAGAATGGTTGTTTTCATAAATATTATGCATGTGTGTATATCACAAAGAAAAATGATTGGTGTGCTCTACCTTTTCAATTTTAATTTGTGCTTTACTAGTTAACTATATTTCTCTCAAAAAATCAGCATGAAACATGCCAAATTTTCTAAAAATACTTTTGAGAATACAGTGATAGGCCAGGCACAGTGGCTCATGCCTGCAATGCCAGCACTTTGGGAGGCGAAGGCGAGTGGATCACCTGAGGTCGGGAGTTCGAGACCAGCCTGGCCAAGCAACATGGTGAAACCCCGTCTGTACTAAAAATACAAAAATTAGCCAGGTGTGGTGGTGGGCACCTGTAATCCCAGCTACTCGGGAGGCTGAGGCAGGAGAATAACTTGAACCTGGGAGGTGGAGGTTGCAATGAGCCATTACACTCCAGCCTGGGTGACAAGAGCAAAACTCCGTCTCAAAAAAAAAAAAAAAAAAAGAATACAGTGATACATAAATGTGTATATATATATACATCTACATCCATGTGTTTTAAAAGAGCAATGGATATTGTTGATCAATTATACTAACAGAGAAGGTAAAGAATTTGCTAGATTACTTGCTATTCAGTGGGTTTCCCTGGTTGAGCCTAGGAAATTGGGAAATGATCAAGGGAAGATCAATGTTCAGAGATCACTGAGTGAAATGAAAACATGCCATTCAAGCGTTGGTAGATTTCGTTTGGTTTCAATGCATCTTCCTGTTAGCAGGGGCGTACTTCTTTATGTCTCTGTAGGGCTGTGGTGTTAATGTGAGTGGTAGCAATTGAGTTTTGGAAAAATGCCAAAATGGTGTGGCATTCTTCTTCGACTTTTTTTTTTTTTTTTTTTTTCAAACAAGGGTGTCCTTAGCTTTGGGACTGTTTTGAGAATCGGTCGGCCTGCATGGATGACAAGGGAGGACACTGGAAATCTCCTTTGGGGCTTTTGGGTGGGTAGCAATGAAAATACTGAATCTGTTTATCTTTGTGACTTACAGACAACAGGAGACTGGGTCATAGCAGTGCCCCTCCCCTCCCTTTCCCTCCTCTTCCCTCTCCTCTCCCCTCCCCTCCCCTCCCTTCCCCTACCTTTTTTTTTTTTTTTTTTTTGAGACAGGGTCTTTCCCTGTCACCCAGGCTGGAGTGGTGCAGTGGTCTGATTTCAGCCCACTACAGCCTCAGTCTCACCAGCTCAAGCAATCCTTCTGCGTCAGCCTCCCAAGTAGCTGGGACTATAGGCATACACCACCACGCCTGACTAATTTTATTTTTAGTAGAGATGAGTTTTATTTTTTGTAGAGAATTTTATTTTTTATAGAGATGAGTTCTCACTATGTCGCCCAGGCTTGGTCTTGAACTCCTGAGCTCAAGCAATCCTCCCACCTTGGCCTCCCAAAGTGCAGGGAGCTACTGAGCCCAACTTTATTTTCCTTAAACTCCTCCTTTCTGAAAATGCTTCTCTTTTTATTTCATGGGAATATAGAATAGTAAATTCTTTATTAGAAGAATTTAGCTTATATATTAACTAAAAAAGAGTAGAGATAGGACTCTGGAGACCAAGATTCTTCTGTTGATCATTTCCAAAAGGGGCTAAAAACCTTCCCCTAATTTACTTGGTTATTAAAGCAGTTAGTTGGATGTATTGTATCATATTTCTGGCAACCACCACCACCAACAACAAAAAAGACAACAAACATGCAAACAAAAAACTATGTAGTTGTGATGCTCAAGTCAACAAACATTTATTAGCTTATTATTAGCATATTAGTATAGCAATGCTATATAAAGTTTAAATATATGTTAAAAATGAAAATATATTCTTTTCTTGTCATGCCTAGGAAGCTAATTTTTTGCATACTTAAGATAGCAATGTCTACTTTTCACTTTTATAGGGAATGATATGTAAATACAAAACATAAAATTATTCTTTCACTGAAAAACATAATATAATAGTAAATTACCGATGAGGTTAATCTTAAAGAGAGCACAGAGGTGTGGTAATAAAAGGCCACAAAACCAATTTGATGATTATTATGTATATAATCACAAAAAATAATTAGAGTAAGCCAAAGTAGATTTTTTTTTCTTTTGGAGACAGAGTCTTGCTTTTTCCCCCAGGCTGGAGTACCGTTGCATGATCTCGGCTCACCATCACCCCTGCCTCCTGGGTTCAAGAAATTCTCCTGCCTCAACCCCTGGAGTAGCTGGGATTACAGGCACGTGCCAGCACGCTTGGCTAATTTTTGTATTTTTGGTAGAGAAGGAGTTTCACTGTGTTGGCCAGGCTGGTCTCGAACTCTTGGCCTCAAGTGATCTGCTCGCCTTGACATGCCAAAGAATTGGGATTACATTACAGCCACAGCGCCTGGTCAGATTCTTTTAATTAGGAAGACCATTAAAATATTTTCTTAAAAATTTATTGAAAGTTGATTGGGTGTGGTGGCTCACACCTGTAATCCCAGTGCTTTTGGAGGCTGAGACGGGTGGATCACCTGAGGTCAAGAGTTCGAGACCAGCCTGGCCAACATGGCAAAACCCCATCTTTACTAAAACAACAAAATTAGCTGGGCGTGGTGGCACTTTCCTGTAATCCTAGCTGCTTGGGAGGCTGAGGTAGGAGAATCGCTTGAACACAATAGGTGGAGGAGTGAAACTCCAACTCAAAATAATAATAATAAATAAATAAAGCCATGGTAAACTATCATATGGCAATGGCTGTCTTCAGTTAACTGGATATTTGTTTTGTCATTAAATAAACAAGACATTTGTTGAATTATTATATTTGCCAATATTTACTAATATTTAATTTCACCTATGCCACCCTAAAATTTGAGTTTAATTCCCTTGACTGAAATGTGGCTCTCTGAAGTTCTTGAAATTCTTTTGCTGGCACAATCTCAGATCTCTTGGTCTTCAGGCATGTGACTTTGGTCCTACCAGCACCAGGGTCTCTGCCTCTTTATATAACTCAGCTCACACATTCACAGGGGTCTTTCTTGAGCACTGTACTTTCTATAACCTATTAATGCTGATGACTTCCAAGTCCTGGTCCTTGTTCTTTGTCCTTTTCCTCTGCTACCCCTCCTTTGTGGTATTCACGACTAAAATTCACTACCTTCTTAATTAAAATCACTAAAATGTCTTTACTGCCTTGCCCCTCTGAGTGCCTTGTATCTTGTTCTGCAAGATGGTGCTGCTCAGATATTTTACTGGTGACTGAAAGAAAACATCCCTGAAATGAAACCTTATCTCCCATGAGAACCTATTCTAACCACTATCATTGTTTATTGAGTGACTTTGCTAAGGGTATTCAATAACTTGCTGGGTAGAGGTCGAATTTTTAAAGAACGAATACAAACTTGTCAAATTGTTAATGAACCAGCCTCGAAAGATTGCGGTGGGCTTTGTAGGTGATAAAACCTAGGGATAGTGAAGGAAAGATAGCTCCTCTATGGAGCTTGTTCCAAGCTATGTCCTTTCATCAAATGGAAAGAACACAAGATGGGGGTTGGGGGAATCAGATTTACTTTGTTCAAGCTCTGGTTGGACCACTGACCTTATAAAGTTCTCTGAATCTTAGTTTCCTGTTTGTCAAGGCTTTCACTTCCTAACTTTTGTGGTTAACATGAAAATGCCACGAAGTACTAAGCAGTATAAATAGAAGGTAATTATACTACAGTGATCATGTTGGGGATTTGTGGTTACTATAATCACAATGAGAACATACATACCAGGGTTGCAGTTAAGTGTTTATTTGCTTGTTCACTTGTTTATTGCCTTTCTCTCTCCTAAATTGTACATTCCATTAGGGTAATGACCATATTTGTTTTATTAATCATTGTAATCCTGTTATATATTAGTTTCTGACTCTGGGAGGCACTCTGCATGTAAGTATTATTTGGATGGATGGATGGAATATGATTAATAGCTTTAAGAATACTGGCTTTGTGAAGACTAAAGGGCTATCAGAAAATCCACGTGCCATGGCTTATGAACATTAATATTTATAGAATTTCCCAAAGCTTCACTTCAACTCTAAGTTCACTTAGAGATAATTTTGTTTGTTTGTTTGTTTGTTTGTTTTAGAGACAAGGTCTTACTCTGTGGTCCAGGCTAGAGTGCAGTGATGAGACCATAGCTCACTACAGCCTCAAATTCCTGGGCTCAAGGAATTTTCCTGCCTCAGCCTCTGAGTAGCTGGGTCTACAAGGGCATGCCACCACACCTGGGTAATTTTACTGTTTTACAGAGATGGGGTCTTGCTGGGTTGCCCAGGCTGTTCTCAAACTCTTGGCCTCATGTGATCCTCCCTCCTTATCCTCCCAAAGTTCTGGGATTATAGGCATGGGCCACTATGCCCAGCCTATTTTAGAGACAGTTTTAACACATCTGCCTATCTCCTATTTAAGTTATATGAAACTGGAGACTGATAATTAGAAATCTGTAGGGAGGAACCCAAAGGAGGCACTATTAGCTGCAAGCAGTGACAGCCAAACAATCTGAAAGCAAATTAGAACGTAGAAAAACTGCTGAAGAAACTAAAAAGTATGGCAGTCTGGAACCACTTAATACAAATTAAATGCACTGATGTGTTCATAACAATTCTGTGAACTGTGTAATATCACATACATACATGGTGTTATGTAAGGGAAAAGCAGCCTACCTGCTCTGGGTCCTACAGCCATTGTAGTGAAATTGTGTAGGGATGGAGGCTCATGAGGAAATCTCTGAGCCATCAGGAAAATTAAATTATGTTCACTTTCCTTAACAAGGTAGGGAAGTGTGTAGGTCACTTTAGATTTAGATTTAGAAAGAGTTCTCTCAAAATATACAAAATTGAAATATCTTATTTCTGATACTACTAGATAAATGAGATACTATTTTATTCACTAAACCAATGACCTTTAAAGATATATCCAAATCAACCAAACTCTAAAAAGTTAGGAAGTTACACTTGCTATACATTAAAACACCTTTAAGGTCTGCATATGTAGATGCTGAATAAATTAGAACAACAGTACTGTAGTAAAATAATGCGCCATTGTACTTAGTCAAGCTGGTAGGCTCCTTTATTGGCCTAAATTATTAAGATCTTATTTTTACCAGAACACTATATTCCTTTGGTATCTGAGTTATGCCTTAAATAATAAATTAGGTATTTAAGATGTTAATATATTTTGGTGATGCTAGGCATTTGGGTTTCCATTGTCATAGGGAGAATGAGGTTTTATTTTTGTTTTTTTAGTCTGCTATTCACAAGTGGCAAATTTTGAGAGCTTAAAGTTGATTTTAAATTTCATTTGGCCTGGTCATGGCTCACTCCTGTAATCCCAATACTTTGGGAGACCAAAACCAGAGGATGGCTTGAGCTCAGGAATTTGAGACCAGCCTGGGCAATACATTGACTACAAAAAAAATTTTAAAATTAGCTGGGCATGGTGGTTCACACCTGTGGTCCCAGCTACTAGTGGGGCTGAGGTGGGAGGATCAGTTGAGCCCAGGAGATTGAGACTGCAGTGAGCCCTGATCACACCACTGCATTCCAGCCTGGGTGACAGAGCAAGACCCTGTCTTTAAAAAAATTTTCATTTGATTTCAAAAAATATTTATTGACTATCCACTTTGAATTAGGTGGTACTAGAGACAGATAATGAGTAAGACAATATCCCCTCTCTCAGGGAGCAAATAGTTTTGGTATTTTCAAATAGAGAAAAAAGCCTTGTCTGAATCACTAGAACTTTAAAGTCTAGTGATGTTTGGAGAAGGAAATGCCAGCAGCTACTATTAGTTATAGTGAACAAAGAGTAATTTTAAAATATTCAAAATTTAGAGGTGAAATAAATTAATTTAAACTGTATATCACATTAATAGTTAAACATGTTGGAGAAGTAACATTAATCTTTTAGAACATATTTCAGTTCTATTTGCTGGTGGATTTTTTCCTGATTCTTTTGAATTATAATTACTTTTTTTAAAAAGGAAGAAAAAATTCATAGTTCATAATTACTAAACTCTCCTAAGTTAAAAAAAATTAAAGAATCCATGTATAGTTCAGTGGGAAAAAACTCAGATGAAAGTAACTGCAGGAAAGAATTTTTATATATATTTACTTTGTATACTTAATTTTAATTTTCCTGTGTTTTAAATTTTCAAAGTAGGTACATTCAAAGTAGGTGAAACTTTTTTGAAGATCCTTAACAGCAAGCAATTCTAAATCTTATCATGGGTTAGGTTTTCATGTCCTGGGTTATTCTAATCCATGAACTCAACCAAGAACAAAATACAACCATTCAGAATGGAACAAACTGTGTCTGATTAAATGATAATTTCCTAAATTAAAAGAAGTTTTGCTACATCAGATAGTACTTGATATCCACACTACCTACTATCAGATAGAGGAACTCTCACATGTGCCATTCTGGGAGACTTGCCAATGCTGCTGTCATCACTGGTAGCTAGAAAAAGGCATGATTAAAAGATTTGCTTGTAGTGTTGCTCATCATTAGTAATTTGTATATCTGGTGAGTAGACATAAACAGAAGCAGCTCTTTCACTGGTATTTTCATCCTCCTCCATTCTCTCTGATCCCTTCATTTCTCTGGCTCTCCTCAGAGGTGGGCTGGTCTGTTGGAGCTTCTATTTCAGTCTTTGCAGTTGTTATCATGCATTTTTGGATGTTTGATTTAACTACACATCATAAGCCCATCCACCCCTCCACGACCATCTAAGCTAAAACAAACAAAGGCTTATTTCTAGCCTATATCACAATCTTCAATTGTCTCCATCTATAATTTATAATGTAATTTAGGTGTTACAGTGTTTTTCAGTCACAAGGCAGATGGAGTAAAAAAGATGACCACAGTGAGGTCAGGTCAGCTGATAGTGACACACATCATCCTACAGGAGAGTGTTGTGAATAATTGAAGGGGAGAGACTCACAAGAAGGAAAATGGCTTTATTAAACAATGAGAATGGAGAGATTGTGGTGACTTTAGAATGGCAAAAGTACAGAATGACTTTTTTTTTAAAGGCATCCAAATGAAACTGAAAGAAAAGAAAAATTGAGGAAAAAAGAAGAAAAGTTAAATGAACACACTGAAGAAGGAATCCAGCTTACACACAGCTTAGAGGATGAGGAATGAGCTAATGAACCATTCATCGCTACATGTAAAATGCTGTGTGACGCACCAGGGAACTGCTGTTAGTCACAAAAGGGAAATTATGGTACATCTTTCAGGCTCTGAGGGTCCTGCTGGAGCCCATTAGCTGTGTGCCAGTCTCCCTTGCGGGAGGCAGGAGGCAAACCTATTTAGAATCTTTTTTTTTTTTTTTTTTTGGTTTGAGAAATTGGCCCCTGGGACAAGGAATCCCAGTTCCTCCTAGGCACCGTGACGATGGACAAGAAGGCATTGCCTGGCAGTGCAGCACCTTGTGTACTTACTTCCAATGTTGCTTTCTGACAGGAAAGGCAATCGGGGTACTTCTCTGAGTCCATCTAAAATCTAAGTTCATAGGACGACATCTGAATGAAGGTAAATAAGTGTAAATTTAATAACAGTAGATTTGGTAGCTCAGTTTCCTTCCTCAGCGAAATAAGGCAACCAGTATAAGGAGGAGAACTGCTTTCTATATCTTCTTTTTTTAACTTCAGAAATCTCAAGGTCCTTTTCAGAATACTATAGCCCATTGTTTGAAATCATTGTACCTCTATAATCCACATAAATTAAAGTACTAAAGTTAGAAAGAATGGGTTTAGGATTGGACAAATACAGGTTTAATGATGCAGGTCTCTAACACTGGCAGGGGACACCATCTACTTCCAGTATCGTCCTTAGACCTAGGCAACCAGGCCTTATCCTGGTGCACTGCCCCTCCCTGCCTTAGAGGACCCTGCGCCTCCCCTTCTCTGACTTCATCTTTCCTATGGGGCTGGGAGTCTGCAAGTCCAAGGAGATATGGCCCATCCTCCCAAGGCCTGTGCCTCCCCATGTTCTGGGGATTCTGGAACCCAGAATTTTGGACCCAAACAGCAGGGCCTACTTTCAGGGCCAGTATAGGACTGTTTCTCAGGTTTGTCTTCACAGGGTGGGCCCTGGTGCCATAATGGTGCCACTGAGAGAAGGGGTCAGCAAAGGAGGATGGAAATTAGATGGAGCAGAGCTGCGCTGCAGTGTTCACTCCTGTGTGCGAGATGCCTGTGGCACTGGACAGAGCCGGGTGTGGGAACGGGACCTCCATTTGTGCAGTGGCTCCCGCCTGCAGATGTTAGACGCACACCTGTCCATCTAATGAAGTTACTGAGATGTTTAAATAAGCTAGTGTTTGTAAAGTACTTAGCACAGAGATTGGTAGATTGTAGGCATTCTGCATACTTTTGTTCTGGGATGGCTTCTGTTTCAAATTAAATTTGACTTAGCCTCTTCTAAATTTCCATGAAAAACATGTACCCAGAGGCCCAAAATAAAATGAAATCTCTTTAGCAATACTGAAAAATAAGACTAATAGCCATCCTATTGCCAGAATCTGGGAGGAATTTACAAACACCACAAAACTTATAGAGCAAAATAAGGAATCAAATTGTCATTTGGGGTCATTTTACATTGATAAAAAGTACTGCTTGTGCTATGGAAAAAGAATCTATAAACCTGCATAAGCTGAATCATATAGGTATTATAATAATAGGAGTCAAACTCCATATCAAGTAAAAAATACTGGAAATGCATAGAGCAGTGGACACAAATAAATTATTATGGAATATAATACACCTTTTTTGAGCTTTTGACAAATCAAGTAGCTGATATATAGACATGGAAATTTTGCATGTAATTAAGTTGACTTTACAGTTAATTGTTGAACTTTGTGTAATCCAGAGAACACACTTTTTATATGCTTGTGAAATATTTTCAAAAATTGATTACATTGAGAAAAGATAATCTCATTAAGTTCTTCCCAAGTAGAAGCTGAATAGACCAGATTGTCTAACCTCAATGCCATAAAATAAAAATGAAACACAAAACCTGAAACAAATGATTGCCTGGGTGTGGTGGCTCACACCTGTAATTTCAGCACTTTGGGAGGTTGAGGTGGGTGGATTACTTGAGCCTAGCAGTTCTGAGAACAGCCTGGGCAACATGGTGAAACACTGTCTCTACAATAAATGCAAAGTTAGCTGGATGTGGTGGTGTGTGCCTGTAGTCCCAGCTATGGGGAAGGCTGAAGTGGAAGGATTGTTTGAGCCCAGGAGGAGCCGAGATTGCATCACTGCACTCCAGTCTGGGCAACCGAGTGAGACCTGCCTCAAAAAAAGAGAGAGAGAGAAAAAAAGGATTAATTGTAATGGCAATAAATACCAGTTATCTGTGAAATGGATACACCTTTGATTTTCAGATGCATCTCAACTTCAGAGTTGTAAAATGTGCAAAAAAGTGTGTTTGACAATTCATGAAATACTTTAACTTCTAGGTAAAATGAAAATGAAAAATTTACCAATTATTAGAAAAAGAAGCAAAACTGCTATCAGGATGATGGTATATGAACAAAGCTATATAATGAGGCATATTCATAATCTTAAATTGCTTTTGTTATAAACAGAAAGAAAATAAATGAACTATAATAAATACTTTATTCAAGAATAGTTTTATTTTGTGGTGGAACCACGATTCCTTTTCCTCATAGACTGTGATTAAATTCGGCCCTCACGCTTCCTCTTTGTAAGTTTCCTTTTTTTTTTGAGACAGAGTCTCAGTCTGTCGCTCAGGCCAGAGTGCAGTGGTACCATCTCTGCTCACTGCAACCTCTGCCTCCTGGATTCAAATGATTCTCCTGCCTCAGCCTCCCAAGTAGCTGGGATTACAGTCACACGCCACCATGTACGGCTAATTGTTGTATTTTTAGTAGAGGTGGGGTTTCACCATGTTGGTTAGGCTGGTCTCGATCTCCTGACCTCAGGTGATCTGCCCGCCTCAGCCTCCCAAAGTGCAGGGATTATGGACGTGAGCCACCGCGCCTGGCCGAGTTTCTTTAATCTCAGGGCTCCTACTGTCTCTCCCTGAAATTGAGTTTCTGTTGTTTAACTTTTCCTCCTCCCAATCCAGTCCTTCAAGTATATTTGTATATGGTTAGCCTCAATTATATACAAGGTTTAGTTTTTAAAATGAGATTTTTAGGCCTGATATAAATCAGACAGTGAAGTTGGATACCATCATAGAATGAATATTGTTTAACACCACATAATGACTTTTCTGAGTTTTGGTCCTGAATCTGTCAGAAACCCTAAATGATGAAGAAAATCCATCCTAACTTAAAATCAAGATTGAGTTTAACAATAAACCACTGGGAAGAAAATCAGGAATAAGATAAGGGTTGCATCAATAACTCACTATTTAGCATTATTTCATCTGAAGTAGAAGTGGGAAGTATATAGAAAAGGAAGAGGCCAAATTATTATTTATGATAATAATTCTTATAATAATTATATTAGTTATTATTATAAGAAATAAGAATAATTTCTGGCTGGGTGCAGTGGCTCATGCCAGTGATCCCAGCACTTTGGGAGGCTGATGTGGGCGGATTGCCTGAGCTCAGGAGCTTGAGACCAGCCTGGGCAACATGGCAAAACCGTGTCTTTACTAAAAATACAAAAAATTAGCCAGGCGTGGTGGTGCGTGCCTGTAATCCCAGCTACTTGGGAGGCTGAAGCATGAGAATTGCTTGAACCCGGGAGGTGGAGGTTGCAGTGAGTTAAGATTGTGCCACTGCACTCCAGCCTGGGCGACAGGGTGAGACTGTCTCAAAAATAATAATAATAATAATTTCTTATAGGCCGAGCACGGTGGTTTATGCCTGTAATCCCAGCACTTTGGGAGGCTGAGGCAAGCGGATCACAAGGTCAAGAGATCGAGACCATCCTGGCTAACACGGTGAAACCCCGTCTCTACTAAAATATACAAAAAATTAGTCAGGCTTGGTGGCGGGCGCCTGTAGTCCCAGCTGCTTGGGAGGCTGAAGCAGGAGAATGGCATGAACCTGGGAGGCGGAGGTTGCAGTGAGCCGAGATCACGCCGCTGCACTCCAGCCTGGGCAACAGAGCGAGACTCCATCTATAAATAAATAAATACATAATAATAATAATAATTTCTTATATTTAGAAAAATACAGAGAATCAACTTAGAAATATTTAATATAGGAAATTTTCATAAAGTGGCCAGGTAATGAATCAATCCAAAATCAATAGACTTTCTATTTTGCAGCAATAACCACCAAGGAGATATACTAGGGGAAAATATTTAATCAATAATAATAATAAAAATATTTTCTAGAATGTTAGAGAAACATAAAGATGTACTCTACTTCTGGACGGAAAGACTGAATATGATGAAGTTGACAGTCATTTCCAAATTAGTTTATAGATCTAATACATTCCTAATCACAGTGCCAACATAGTTTCCTTTAGGAACTTGACCAAATTATTCCAAAGTTTTTCTAGAAGACTAAACATGTGAAAATGTCATGACTTATATTTTTTTAAAAAGAGTGACTAATGACTTTGTAATTCTCCAAAGAGGAGGGACAAAACTTAAACTGTTAGGTACTGAAATAAGAATAAACAAGTCAATAGTAAAGTAGAGAGCTCTGAAAAAGTTCTTCATATTTATAATGATAGTTCATAATTAAAAAAATAAAAAAAGCCTTGGAGTCCGTGCGCGGTGGCTCACACCTGTAATTCCAGCACTTTGGGAGGCCGAGGTGGGTGAATCACCTGAGGGTCAGGAGTTCGAGACCAGCCTGACCAAGACGGTGAAACTCCATCTCTACTAAAAATACAAAAATTAGCCAGGCACGGTGGCAGGCGCCGGTAATCTCAGCTACTTGGGAGGCTGAGGCAGGAGAATCGCTTCAACTCAGGAGGTGGAGGTTGCAGTGAGCCAGGATCACGCCATTACACTCCAGCCTGGGTGACAAGAGCGAAACTCCATCTCAGAAAAAAATAAAAAATAAAAAAGCCTTGGCTACAGTTCAAGTTGGTTGAGAGACCTGGTTAAGTAATTGGAGAAAAAAATAGTTTCATTCTTTTACTATACAGTGTAATAAATATTAGATTAAAATTATAAAAATTCCAGAGGAAAAATGTATGTGTTTAATTTTGAGATGGGGATGAACTTTCTTTTCTTTTCTTTTCCTTTTTTGAGATTGGGTCTTGTCTTGCTCTGTTGCCCAGGCTGAAGTGCAGTGGCACAGTCATGACTCACTGCAGCCTCAGTCTCCCAGGCTCAGGCAATCTTCTTGTCTCAGCCTCCTGAGTAGCTGGCACCACAGGTGTGCACCACCACCTCCACCTAATTTTTAAAAATTATTTGAAGAGCTAGGGTCTCCCTATGTTGCCCAGGCTATCTTGAACTTCTGGGCTCAAACCATCCTCCCGCCGTGGCCTCCCAAAGCGTTGGGATTACAAACATAAGCCATCTTGCCCAGCAAAGGATGAACTTTTTAAGCATGAAAGCAATGTAGTAAATGCAATGGAATAAATTATAATGGAAATTTTGTTTAAAAAGCATAAGTAAAATGATGAAATAAGAAAAATATTTGCAAAAAACATACTGTCACAATGTTAGTTATAAAAAGAATATAAAGGGACATTATAAATCAGTAAGAAAACCATGACTATGAAACCAATACAATATTTCAGTCTCAATAGTAATCAAAAAGATTCAGATTAAAGCAAAAATTATGCCTTTAAAATATATAGATATATGATAGCTATACATTATATGTATCTAAATATAAAATATCTAATAGGCATTATTAGTAAGAAATGAGGCAATATACATAGATAATACTTTTGGAAAGCAATTGCACTTTTGGTAGCAAGACACTAAAAATGTTTATATACTTTAACTCAGTAATTTCTCCTCCCAGGGGAATGATCAGAGATGGACTGGAAAGTGTATGGGAAGCAACTAGGATGCACAATTACAGAAACAGTATAACCCCCTTGAAAAATGAGTGTATTTATTTATTTATATATGTGCACATATGCATGGTAAAAGCACTGAAAAAGTGGTTATTATATAGATAATTGGGATTTTAAGTTTTGTATTTTTCAAATTTTACATATTCAGCATGTATTGCTTTTATAATTGGAAAAACAATTGAACATTATATTTAAAAGTTAAAAATATGGCTGGGCATGGTGGCTCATGCCTGTAATCCCAGCGCTTTGGAAAGCTGAGGCGGACTGATCACATGAGGTCAGGAGTTTCAGACCAGCCTGGCCAACATAGTAAAACCCCGTCTCAACTAAAAATGCCAAAATTAGCTGGGTGTGGTGGCATGTGCCTGTAATCCCAGCTACTCAGGACGCTGAGGCAGGAGAATCGCTTGAACCCAGGAAGCAGAGGTTGCAGTGAGCCGAGATTGCGCCACTGCACTCCAGCCTGTGCAGCAGAGCAAAACTCCGTCTTAAAAAAAAGTGAAAGGAATATTCTTTTCCCTTTCCTTGTAATTTAAGGGCTGTGATTAAGTGCTATGATCTCTCTTTTTCTGTTTTTTTCACCTTATCTCCCAAGACATGTTTTACATTTTCTCATAAAGTCCTATAACGCTTCAGTTAAGAAAAAGAAATGATAATCATATAATTATGAATTTTTGCTTTAACTGCATTGTATAATATGATTATCAAGAGTTCTCAACTCACATTTCAGTTAAATATTGTGTCTTCAGCTAAACACTTAAGTGATCCCAGAGATAATAGTCACATAAATACTTAGGTGAGATTATTTTGGCAAATATCCAAAATTAGTTATTGCTATTAGAATATTTTTAAAGGTAATTTACACAAATTCTTTTTCCAGACTGGTAAATCTCAATAATGGCAGCTAAGGTGAAACTTACCAAAGTTCAGTTTAATCTAAAGTCAATTTCTCACTTTCTTCCTGGTGTCCATTACAGTTAATATCCACAGAATCTGGATATCATGTAGTTAAAAAGATAGCAACTATGACCTTAAAACTGATGTTTAATAAAAGATATTTTCCTCTACAAGCTCTTGGATTTCATTAAGGATAAAGGAACAATTTAGATATCAGCCACCTGCTGCATAATGACACTTCAAGGTGGGATCACATATATGATGGTGGTCCCATACATAAGATTGTGATGGAGCAGGAACCCATAGCTGAAGAAGAGGCAAGAGAAAAGAAAACTGCAGGAGAAGAAAAAGAAGAACCCACATGAAAATTCACAGCGAAGCCTTTAGCAGAAGCTTTTGCAGACTCCAACAAACTCCTTAAAGCATTTGAAAGTATAGACCCCCAATGCCGGAAGGTTTTCATTCATAGAGAAGAATGTTTTTGGTGCATCATTATCTGTTTACAAGCAAATCTGTCATGAAAAAAGAAACAAACCAAGCAAACCACCATGGATGTATTTCTGAGAAGAGTGACACCTCCTCAAGAAGAGCCTCAGGCAGGTCCTTCAGGTGGTGTTCCAGAAGAAGGCATTGTTATCATAGGAGATGACAGCTCCATGCGTGTTATTGCCCCTGAAGACCTTCCAGTGGAACAGCATGTGGAGGTGGAAAATAGTGATATTGATGACCTTGTTCCTGTGTAGGCCTAGGCTAATGTGTATGTTTGTGTCTTCATTTTTAACAAAAAAGTTTAAAAAGGAAAAAATCTTAATAGAAAAAAAATTATAGAATAAGGATAGAAAGAAAGAAAATATTTTATGCAACTGTACAGTATGTTTGTGTTTTAAGCTAAGTGTCACTACAAAAAAGTCAAATTTTAATAAGTTAAAAAGTTTATAAAGTTATGGTAAGCTAAGGTTAATTTATTATTAAAGAAAAAAATTTAAATAAATTTAGTGTGGCCTAAGTGTACAGTGTTTATAAAGTCTACAGCAGTGTACAGTAATGTCCTAGGCCTACGCATTCACCTAACCACTCACTGGCTCACTCACAGCAACTTCCAGTCCTGCAAGTTCCATTCATGGTAACTGCCCTATACAAGTGTACCTATTTTTTTTTTTTTTTTTTGAGGCAGGCTGGAGTGCAATGACATGAGCTCGGCTCACTGCAACCTCTGCCTCTCAGGCTCAAACCTTCCCACCTCAGCAGCCTCTCGGGTAGCTGGGATTATAGATGCCATCATGACTGGCTAATTTTTGTATTTTTTGTAGAGGTGGGGTTTCACCATGTTGCCCGTGCTGCACTGGAACTCCTGAACTTTGGTAAGTTTCATCTTAGCTCAAGAGATACACCTGCCTTGGCCTCCCAAAGCTGTGGGATTATGAGCATGAGCCACCTGGCCAAGTGTACCATTTTATACTTTTTTTTTTTTTTTTTTTTTTTTTTGAGACGGAGTCTCGCTCTATCGCCAGGCTGGAGTGCAGTGGCGCGATGTCGGCTCACTGCAAGCTCCGCCTCCTGGTTCAAGCGATTCTCCTGCCTCAGCCTCTCGAGTAGCTGGGACTACAGGTGCACGCCACCACACCCAGCTAATTTTTTTGTATTTTTAGTAGAGACGGGGTTTCACCATGTTAGCTAGGATGGTCTCAGTTTCCTGACCTTGTGATCTGCCCACCTCAGCCCCTCAAAGTGCTGGGATTACAGGTGTGAGCCACCACGACACCCAGCCTGTTTTTCTGTTTTGTTTTTCTAAAAACACTGTATACTTTTATATTTATTTTTACTGTACCTTTTATATATTTAGTTACATTTAGATAACACACATACCATTGAGTTACAGCTGCCTACAGTCTTCAGTACAGTAACATGCTGTACGGGTGTGTAGCCTTGGAGCAGTAGCCTAGGTGTGTAGTAGGGTGTACACCCTCTAGGTTTGCGTAAGGACACTTTGATGTTTATGCAACAACAAAACAGTCTCATGACACATCTTTCCGGACATAACCCTGTTATAAGGCAATGCATGACTATATTACACTTAATTTGTGAGAATGGAATGTGGTGAAGCATGTTCTAGGCTCAGTGCAGCCAAACTTTGTGGTTGTTGCTTCTGTTTATAGAAGCTCTAACAGTTTGAGATATAGGGTCCCTAGGTGCTTACCTAGGTATTTATAAGTGTCTTTGAATGTGTTGCAATAATTTCAAATAACTTAATGGAATCATATATTTCCCCGGGGAGGGTTGCTTTTTTGTTTTTCTCTACTTTTGATTTTGGTTAAAACTCAAGGTAATCTTATACCAGACACTCTGACAACTTGGTTGACTTGTGATTAATAAAATACTGCAAATTACATCATTTCAATATGGTAGGCAGTTTTAAAACCTGTAGTCACTGGACGAGAGTGAAGTAGAATCTACTGCCCCTACCTCAAACCTCATGTCCCACCATACCATTTCAGGACAGTTCTTTACTTCAGGAGTTTTAGCTTCTCTAGGGTAGATTTGATTTTTATTTTTTCCATAGTCACACATTCAAGAATCTTAACAAACAATTTGTGTATAGATGGAACTTCCCTTCATATATGTCTAATATATTAAAATTGAAATCTACACAGCAGATATGTTTTTCTTGGACTTCTTTGAATAACTGTATCATGCACGCTTCTAGAATTTATTTACTCCTCTAAGAATTCTTTGTTTTGGGAATAAACCTGTGTTGGTCTGGCTTACTTTGGGAATGTTGTTAATGGACATACATGTCTCAGTTGTGCGAACGAAGGCACAAAATTTTGGAGCTGGAAGGCTCATGACTTTTCAGAATTATGCAGTGGGTTTACGGACAGTCTCCTTTTTGGTGGATGATGTGGAAATCTTCAAGAGGGATTGGTGGATATTGAAGCAGCTTGTGACAGATTTCCTCTTCCAGGTGCCTCCAAATGTTAGTTTGGTATCAGATGATTTGGTCAGCTCCTTTAATTTTTAATTTTTATTTTTTTGAGAAAGGGTTTTGGTCTGTTGCCCAGGCTGGAGTTCAGTGGCACAATCATGGCTCGCTGCAGCCTTGACCTGCCAAGATCAAGCGATCCTCCCTCCTCAGCCTCCTGAGTAGCTGGGACCACAGGTGTACACCCCAATGCCTGGCTAATTTTTAATTTTTTTTTTTGTAGAGACAGGGTCTCACTTCTTTGGCTAGGTTGGTCTTGGACTCCTGGGCTCAAGAAATTCTCCAGCCTTGGCCTCCCAAAATGTTGGGATTACAAGTGTGAGCCACTGCACCTGGCCAGCTACTTTAATATGAAATGAAAAATTGGAAGATAAAATGTTATCATTATTCTATTATTATTCAGGAGACAGATGGGACAATTTGCAAGTAGAAATGGGGATGACAATGATTAGGGACTAAGTTTTTAAAAATAATGAGAATTTATATATCTATCAAAATCAACATGTCCAGATCTTCATGTCACTTCCCCCATCAACTCCATCCTTGGTTTTCTTCTTATGACAAAATAAAGAATGAACCCTTAAAAATAACAAACAACAGAAGACAGAAGACATTTCTCATGAATTTTTGACGCATGTTTGTTGCTATTATTGTGCTCTATTTCCTATAGTTGCTTGTTTAAGCGTTTAAAAAAAATTCATTGAAATTTATCATTTTTCTCTTAAACCAACTCAAAATTTCGTGTGTGTGTGTGTGTGTGTGTGTGTATGTGAAAAATGTCCCTAGGATCAGCTCTATTTGCATTGGTATTTCCAGTGGAAATGTCAAGTGTGACCTTTTTCTTGTTTGGGTGTCTAATCCTATTTTAAAGCCCTGTCACGCCCCTGCCAAGGGTCAGTGCCCTTGTGAATAGAACTTCAGCACCTGCTACCCCTTTCTTCTCCTCTTCTTCCCCTCTGAGTAGAACTGGAGGATGTTCCGGATGGCAAACAAAACAATACTATGCTTCAATGACTGCAGTGCTAGAAAATAATTCCAGACTTGACAATTTGGCAGAGTAAGTTTTGAAACCATGAGAAAATAAACACAAAAAAAGCAAACCTGAAAAGAGGAAAAGAATAAACGTGCAGGAACATTGCATTTCATTGCTGCAAATATCAAGACTAACACCCCCTTGAACTTTTAAGCTGATGAGATAGGGGCTCTGAAAAAAGACCAGCTCTAGCAAATACAGGCTGCTAAAATCAGTGTCATTGACATTTCACCTTTGGAAAAAATTATTAACATAAAAAATTGTGGGAAATATAATGGAGGAAATTCAGATTATTATAGTAACTGGGTTTGGTTTCTCCATTTCCTAAAGTAGAATTTTGAATAATGATGCTTAGCAGAGCTGAATTAAGCAGTAAATGAATGTAGACAATTTGAATAGCAAAGGGATTGTATGCTCATGCTTATTATCATTTAAAGATAATGTTCTATAAAAGTCAGCTCTGTTTGCCAGTGCTTCGGTTGAATTATAATTTCCCATCACAGAAATTATTAGGGAATTAAATAATTTTGTGTTGGAACATAGCCATATTTAAATGTGTAGTTTCTCACTGAAGTTCGTTATCAACAGTTTTATCTGACAATATCTCACCACAAAATTCCTAAGGGAACAATCTTTTCTGGCCGCATTAATGTTCTCACTGTTTTTCCTAAAATCATGCTAATTCCCACTTTTTCATATGAAATAAAGCCTTAGTGATGTTTTCTCATATTGAAATCCAAGTGTATTTTCTCTTTTACTTTGTACCATGCTCCGCAATCTGGTTTGGTACACAGCGCTTCCATACACGTATCTCTGCTTTTCCCTCATCACCTTATATTCTGATCCTGCAATAGTTTCTTGTGTGCCACCACAAGAGTAACCATTCTAAGAGATCATATGACACTCTTCCTCAAATACCTCCAAACCCGAAATTAAATATAAATGTATAATTGATTATGATAAGGCATAATCAAACTAGATTGAATGAAAATATGTAGAGATAGGGAGTGCCATGACCCAGAAAGCTTCAGAAAGCAATGGAAGTGAGAGTGACCTAGAATTGGGATGAGGTGGGGCTTGAAACAAGCCTTGAAGAAATGGGAGTATTTGGTGAGAAGTGACAATGGAGCATGTGTCCTCTTTTAGGGAACAGTGACCAAAGACATAAAAGCATTTTCGAGTATGGCTAATACAGCAGTTTGGCTAGCATGGCATGTCATAGGAGATGAATCTAAAAAGTAGGTTAGGATTTGCTTGTGGCTGGCCATGATTATCCGTTTACACATCTTTGTCCTCTGGATTTTGGGAAGCCATGAAAGATGTTTGGGCAGGGTAGTGATATTATCATCTAGGAAGACTCACTCACTGGAAATGTACAGGACAGACTGGCTGCGGATAGAAGGCCGGAGGCAGATAAACTGGTTAGAAGACAGGGATAGAATGCCCGAGGCAGAGAAACTGGTTAGAAGACAGTTGCTGTAATCTAGGTGTGTGTATTAAGGTCCTGATTAGGGTGAAGGCAACGAGAAAAGTGGAGATACCGGGAAGAAATTACTTAGAGAATTAGGAAATTAAACAGGTATGAGGGAAGCATTAAAAACTTACTCTAGAATTTCAGGTTTGAAGACTAGGAGAAAAAGAGCAGCCAGGAGAAGAATCTGAGGTTTTGTGAGTATGTGATGGGTTTTTACATATGGTGTTTGAAATAGCTGCAGTTCATTTCCTTGAAAACGTCACGTATGCAGTTTGGGATGCAGGATTGGAGTTCCAGCGACAGTCCTGGCTAGAAATGTACATTTGAGAGCCACGTTAATTGAGTGCTAGTTGAAGCCTTGGAAATGAATAAAATTACTCAACAATGACTAGATTTTGGCTAGTACTCTTATTTATGAGATGAGGGAGAAAAAGGAGAAAGCAAGGAAAGATGAGTAAGGTACAACCCAGGTGAAGATTGTTTTATAAAAGCAAAGGGGAGACAGTGGAAGAAAGGAGGATGACACCAGCAAAGAACACAGATCTACAGAGAAGTTCACAGTAAAGCAAATGAAGCCTGAGGACAGCCTGCTGGGTTTGTAAACTGAAAGACCATAGTTGGCTTTTGAAAGCGTGGGGCCTGATGCCACATTGCAAGTTGTTGAGGAGACAATGTGTCATGTGAAAGCAGAGGGGGATACAGTAAAAACTTGTGAATTTTTGTGCTAAATGGAGGGAGAAAAATGGGGGTGGGCAGGATACCCAGTTTGTGTGAAGGACATCAGATGGGGCAGGGATGTTACTGTTAAAAGGCAGAGAATCGAAAGCCAGGAGAAGTGAAGGACTGAAAGCGTTAGAGAAAGAGGCATGGGGTTGAGAAAGCAGGAATGAATAAATGACTGTTTCCTGCATATGAGTAACTGAATGAATGTGATGTTTGAGGTGACTATTGAAATTTGGCAGGGCATGTCCTTGCAGGGGTGCATGTGTGTATATTTTAGTAAAAGCATATTAAATTCATATTAAAGTCAAGCAAATTATTTGCTTGTTTTTTGAACAGGGTCTCCCTCTGTTGCCCAAGCTGCAGTACAGTGGCATGACCACATCTTCACTGCAGCATTGACCTTCCAGACTCAAATGATCCTCCCACCTCAGCCCCCCAAGTAGCTGGGACTATAGGCATGTGCTACCATGCCCAGCTAATTTAAATTTCTTCTTCTTCTTTTTTTGTAGAGACAGGGGTCTCCCTATGTTGCCAGGGCTGGTCTCAAACTCCTGACCTCAAGTGATCCTCCTGCCTCAGCCTCCCAAAGTGCTGGGATTATAGGCATGAGCCACCGGGCCTGGCCCAGGAACTTATTTTAAAATTCAACTGAGATGGTAGCACAAATCACTGTGGAATGTTTAATGATAGGTGGAGCAGGTTTCCTAAGCTTTGAAGAGAGTTAAGACATCATTTGTACCTACAGATGCCAGTTCTTAGTGCCTTGTGACAATGGCAAGTCTGATGTGTCCTTAGGCTGCAAACAGAATCTGAGTGAGTGGACGACCCTCAAAGGCAAAAATTTCATTTGTAAGTGATTTTGTCTTTTGGGTGAGATACGATGGAAGGACAGAACATCATGTTGAATCTCAGTTTGCTTTTTTGGTTCTCTTATGCTCCCCTACTTTCTTATGCGTACCTCACTGTGTGGTGATGGTCCATTTCCTTGCCAATCTGATCTCCCCCAAATAACTGTGAGCTCCTCAAAACCTAAGTCACTCATCTCTGAATCAGAATACCTTATATGTTCCTGGCACATAATAAGCAATCAATATTGCCTGCTAAATAAATTAGGGAGGGAGTGTGTGTTTGGGGGTTAGCTCTGGAGAGGAGGCGAGCCCCGCCTTCCTGCAAGGCAGGAGAAGAGAGGGTTGTAGAGATATAATTTTAAAAACTCGAATCAAAGGAAGAGGCTATTCAGGCAAGATGATTTCTATTTCTTTAATAAAGTAGTATCCAAGCAGATTTTCTGAGTAGGAGAGATAGCAGGGCCTGAAGAAAGCTGTTGAATGTCTTCTATGAGCAGGGTACTGAATAGGCACTTTGCATACACTTCCTTGAAACCCACAATGAAGCACTAGGAAGTTGTTAGGATTATTCCCATTTTGCTGATAAGAAAACCGAGGCTGAAATAGCTATACACTTATTTATAAGCCCATGTTAAAATTCAAGTCTCTTGACTACAAAACCTACTTCCTTCCGTATGCCCCATTATTAGAGTAGTTGTAGGAAGTGTGTAGAGGATTTGAGAGATGAAGACAAATATTTAGCAGCAGCAAGGGTCAAGTGAAGGTGAGTGAGCTTCATCTTGCTTAAACCCGAGGTAGTATGTTCTACAACTCTGAGAAGAATAGAGCAAGCAAAAACAGTGGAAATCCAGGCTTTGTGCCTGATACGATAGAAGAAGATTAAGTGAGGAGGGTATAACCAAGGACAATTGCATTGATGGGGATATTCATTAATTATTTCGGGTTGCTAAATCTAGTCTCTTTAACAAGATTGGAAGCCTCTCCTTGTGCCTTACAAAGTATTAAGGACTCATTCAACACTTAATGACTGCTTGTGAAATGGTCAACACAAAACAATGTGGGAACTGATATTAAAATGGAGATTTGTGCTAACTAAATCCAACATTGTTTTGGTGTTGATGCACTTTACCTATTAAGATGCTACTAAGCCAAAGGAAGATTTAATTAATAATAATAATAATAATAATAATAATGATAAGGCTCTTTGTGAAGGAAAATCTGGCTTAATAGACATGCTTGGATCCAACCAACTGCAGGAAATCAAATAGCCAGTCTTTGGTGAAACAAGACTTTTGGCTGATTTGCTCCCTTATATTGTGTTGCTCTAGGAAGGAAGATAATAATTATGAGTATTTTGGAGAACAGTACTTATTTGCGTCAGGCAGTGTTCTAAGTACTTCACATGCTCTAGTTCATTTAATCCTCATAAGGACCCTAGAAGTAAGTGCTGTATTATCATGATTCCTGTTGTACAGATAAGGAACTGAGGACAAAAGAAGTTAAGTATTGTAGCATGCCCAAGAGCAACAGCAAATTAGTGGCAAATTTAGAATGTACACTTGATGGTCGGCTTGTAAGTCCACATTCCTAACTACTTTGCCATTCTCCAAATTCTGACATTTTTGATGTTATGGTATAGGTAGCTTCTTAGTGTTTGATGAGAAATATGAGCAACCCTTAACAAATCTGAAGTGCATCCATTCTTGGTGGTCAGATAAATTTCCTTTTATTCTACACCTGTCCTGTCAATTGTGTTCAGAAGGAAATCCTCTTTCTTACTCATTTATGTGACATTTGTACCTCAGTGATTCTTTGGCAAAAATGTTCAAAACCTAAAGAAAACTACGATGACAAAGGCTGCCTTCATATGTCTTTCCATAAACAACAGCGAGGCTAAGTCTGCGCATTGTCAGATTTCCCCTCTTTCAGCTTTGACCAGTTTCCCCTCATTTGGCTTTAGAAATGGCATTGGTGAAATCTTTTAAAAAGGAATTTAATCTGCTGACCATTGTAAAATAATTCCTTATCAAAAGAATAATGAAGCATGTCATGTTTACCTAGGACTTAAATTGGAAGAGATATTACCGTTGGATTATCTTCACATTTGTATACTCAAAGAACAGAAGACACGCTGGAGTAGTTCTGAAGGAGCGATACTGTCTCATGTTTAGTTTCTCACATCAATAAGTACAGACTAACAAATAACTCTTGATGGCTTCTTCCTGTCTTCAGTGTATTATTCAGAGATGACTAAGAGAGACTTAGATTCAGTATGGAACATTAATGTAAAGTTTGTATTTTGTCATGATAATCTGTGAAAGTCTGCCTTTATAGACTGGACTGTAGGAGGCATAATATTAATAAAATTTTTTGTAAAAGAATAATTCTCTAAGACTTTTAAAAGCTATAGTTTACATTTTATCAAATGTTCTTAAATACCTAAGCCAGTGTTCAAAATTCAGTTCATTCTCATTTAAGGACACTGATTTTAATTGCTCACACTAACTTACAGAATGACTGATACATATGAAAACTTATATCAGTTGGAAGTTGCTTGTTGAGTTTCCAAACCAGAGCATTATGTCTGGCATATATAAGGATTTGGTCAGCTGTTATCTAGTTAAGAATTTATGCTGGGCCTGGTGGCTCATGCCTATAATTCCAGCACTTCAGGAGGCCAAGGCGGGCAGATCACTTGAGGCCGGGAGTTCTAGACCAGCCTGGCCAACATGGCAAGACCCCATCTCTACAAAAAAATTTTTAAAAAAATTGTTGGGCATAGTGGTGTGAGAGTGCCTGCAGTCCCAGCTACTTAGGAGGCTGAGGTGGGAGGATAGCTTGAGCCTGGGAGGTCAAGGCTGCAGTGAGCTATGATTATGCCACTGCACTCCAACCTGGGTGACAGCAGTAAGACCCTGTCTCCAAAAAGAAAAAAAGAAAAAAAAAAAGAGAGAGAATTTATAACGCCCATAAAATTAAATCCTGTTGGCCAGATTATTGCCCAACAAAAAGTATATTTTAAAGACCCTTTAACATCTCTTGTTTTGTATTGGTAAGTTTGTACCCTTCTAGAGGAATAGTATAGGACAGATCCTTGTAATGATACAAATATACCAGTCAGTAAGCCCACATGTGCACATATGTTGCTATACTTCCAGTAGGTAGATGTACACGTGCATAATTATCTCATTCTACATTGTTAATTCATACATTTATCATTTTTATTTGCTCATGTACTTATAATCTCAAAGTAGAATCAATATACTACATCTACATGCTAAAGTTTTGTAATGAGCATTGTGAAGTTTAACATGTATTTAAAATTTTTGCTTTAAAATTTCTAAAAACACAAAATGTTTCACAAATTGAGCTAGGTAATAGATGGATAAAATAAACATTGAGTTGCCTGACAAGTAGGAATTCCCCACCTCAAGTTTCTGAATTTTATACTAGAATTATTTTAAACATATGTGGTTATAAGCTTATCAGATTTCCAAAAATGAACCTTCTATAAAAATCACACTGGGCCCCTCAGCTGTGATTTCTTCCATTATTTATAGACAAATTGAAAACAAATGTTTTTTTCAAAAAAATACAATGAACTGAAAACAGCTGTCAGGATGTACTTTTTCTCTAGAATTCATCTGTAATACAGAAGTGTAGTAAACCAGCACTTAAGTCTCCGGAAATCGTGCCATATTTAGTGGTTGTTTTAGCATTAATTCAGAGATATAAGTATTGATGCTTGCTGCAACAAGACCTGAATATCTCATTTAACTCAGTGAAGATTATGATTCAAGCAAGTGACATGGGGCCAAATGCAAATATTACATTTTGGAGTGTCTTAGTTGCAAATATATTTTACAAAGGACAGACTTTTTGAAAATTCATTTGAAGTGTTTTAATGAATATTATAGAGATGATTCTGGACATTTCTCTCCATGGCTACTGAAGCCTGGAGTGAATGCCTGACCACTATACAAGATCATAGAAAAGGCAATGAGCAGAAAAGCTCAGAAAATATGTGCCTCAGAAAATATACGCATAAAATGTAGCATGGCTTATCTATCTGTTGTAAACAAACATTTATTTTATTTAATAAAAACATTTCTCTTAATTTAGTAAAGGTATATTAAATTAACAAGAACTTATTTTAAAATTGAACATTTAATTTATGAAGACACTATGAACTTTCTCTAACCTAAAATAAAATCATTATTTTTAAATGTGATACCTTAAGAAGGATGTAACATCACTTATGTAGAATTCTTGCCAGAAATGCATAATCTGAGTTCATAAGAAAATATCAGACAACTCTAAATGAGGAACAGTCCACTTAAAAAAGAAAGAAAGAGAGAATGAATTCTTCAAAAATGTTAATGTTGGTCAGGCGTGATGGCTCACATCTATAATCCCAGAGCTTTGAGAGGCTAAGGTCAGAGGATTGCTTGAACTCAGGAGTTTGAGATGAGCCTGGGCAACAAAGGGAGACCTCATTTCTATAAAAAATACAAAAAATTAGCCAGGTGTTGCGGTGCACACATGTAGTTCCAACTACTCAGGAGGCTGAGGCAGGAGGATTGCTTGAGCCCAGGAGTTTGAACTGCAGTGAACTATGATTGCACCACTGTACTCCAGCCTGCGCAACAGAGTGAGACTCTATTTTAAAAAGAAAAAAATAAGCTAATGTCATAAAAGACAAAGAAAAGCTAAGGGAATTTTCAAAATCAAAGGACATTAAAGAGACATGACAACAAAATGCAAGACCTGATCTTAGGCTAGATATAATTCTAAAGGAAAAAATGTTATAAAAGATATTATTGGGGTAAAGAGACAAATCTGGAATACACGTGATGGATTAGATAGAAGTATTGCATCAATGTTAAATTTACTGAAGTTGGTAACTGCACTGTGGTTATGTAAGGGAATATCCTTATTCTTAGGAAATATGCACTGAAGCTGGGGTAAAGGGCCATGATGAATGCAACTTAGTCTCAAATTTTACAGAATAATAAAGAAAATGAGGCAAAATGTTAACAAGATAATGTGGGTAAAAGGCATATGGGTGTTCTTTGTACTATTGCAACTTTTCTCTAAGTCTGAACTTATTTCTAAACAATAATAAGTCTGAATTTATTTTCCATTAAGTCTGAATTTGTTTCCAAATTTATTTTCAAATATAAAAATTAGCTTACTTGAGAAAGATTGATTTCTGGGGACCATAAACTCTTCTTAGATAAATGCTGTCATAGAAAAAATATGCTAAAACCACTGGGTGTTATTAAATATCGGTTGAATGATCTCTGACTGAATGAAAGAATACAACTGGTGTGTTGAATTACTTTAGATTTTGGTTTCAAATTCCATGGTAATGGATATGAAAAAATAAGCAGGGTCACTGACTAAGTCTTTTAGTGACCAAGTTTATTGTACTGTATACCTCATTTTGTTGTGCTATGAGTTTCAAAGGATTTCTTTTGTTTTGTGTGATTTTTTGTTGTTGTTGTTGTTGGTTGTTTTTTTTGAGACACTGTTTGGCTCTTGTCGCCCAGGCTGAAGTGCAGTGGCACAGATCTCTGCTCACTGCAACCTCTGCCTTCTGGGTTCAAGTGATTCTCCTGCCTCAGCCTCCCGAGTAGCTGGGATTACAGATGCCCGCCACCATGCCCAGCTAAATTTTGTATTTTTAGTAGAGACAGGGTTCACCATGTTGGCCAGGCTGGTCTTGAACTCCTGACCTCGGGTGATCTTCCCGCCTTGGCCTTCCAAAGTGCTGGGATTACAGGCGTGAGCCACTGTGCCCGGCTGGATTTTTCTTTTGAAGGCTCACTCAGTTGGTCATCAATCTTGAAAAAGCCTAGTAGCTCACAGATTTCTCTCCAGGGGAAATGGGTAATTTTTTTCTTATGGTCACAACTTCTTTACAATTTTATTAAAGTTTTCACCTATAACGTATTTCATGAGAGCACATTTTAAGTATTTTAAATTACTTTGGAATTGCCAATTGAGGAACCCAAAGTCTTTTACTATACTCTCTTCCCCTAAAAAATATACAGACAGTGTTGTTCCTATTACAAGATGCAAGAAGCGAAGCTCTTCACCTAGCTTCCTTCTTTATCTTTGTTTTACCAATTGCTTCATGCTCAGCTATCTCCTCCGCATGTCTTTCCTGTTTTTTTATTTGTGATAAAATTGCTTATAAAGATTCAAGTGCATTAAACAATATTTTATGCTTTTTATGAAATCAGCTTAAAGTGAGTGATTAAAGGGCTATGAAATGGGAAAAAGTTGTTGGTCTTGACTATGCAATTTTATTTTATTTTTCTTGACTGGATGAGCAGATCATGATGACATGGTCTCTTCTAAAACTTGCTACACAAAATATGATCTATAGACTAGCAGTGTCAGCATCATCTGGGACCTTTTCGAAGTGCAGAATCTTAGGTCACAACCCAGATGTAATGAATGGTAGGCCTCAGTTTACCAAGAGCCCCATGTCTTCTGTATGCCCATAAAAGTTGAGGAACACGGATTAAACTTCAAAGCTATTCTAAAACAGGTGTTCCTGAGGACTCTAGAGGATCCGGTGACCTAAATTGCCATCAGCTGTCTCACTACTAGGATCAATTTTAAGAAAAATAAAAATAATGGCTGTTGTGCCTTGTAATACCTTACTTTCTGATTATTTGCTACAATTTTTTCCATTTGAAGACTCCCCAGTCTTTTTAGTTCTTTTTTTTCACCTTCATTGATTGTTTTTATTGTTTATCCTAATCTTGGTGTTGTGTTTTTCCTAGAAACACTTGTCTTGGATTTTCTCATTATCTGCCCACATAATTACCCAATTTTTTCCCCATTGTAGTCATGGAATATGTGCTTTAAGACTTAAATCCTTTGAAATTTATTGAGTCATATTTATGGCTCAGCATATGGCCTATCTGGGTGACCATTCTATGTGGACTGGAAAACAAATATGTTTAACAGTTGTTGGGTGTGGCGTTTAGTAAACATCAATTAAGTTAATTTGATCAGTTGTATATTTAGATCGTTTTTATGTATCATGATTTTTTATACTTGTTCTATAAGTACACTGAGAGAGGGGTATGAATTTGTCCCCCTTTGAGTCTTTGCTTCATGAATTTTGATGTTCTGTTATTAGGTACAAACATTTAGGATGGTTGTCTTTCTGACAGATTTCTTCTTTTATTATTACATATAATGTCTTTATTTCTTATAATACTCTTTTAGTAGAAATCTCCTTGGTCTGAAATTAACATAGCCACTCTAGCTATGTTTTTTTTCTTAAGTTTAGTTGAAATCTTCCAAATTTAAATCCATGTCTTCTTGTCTGGTCTTTAAAGTTATGAATAAGAATATTTTTCAACACTCTTTTCCTTAGAGAAAAATATGGAGAAACTATTAAAATCACATTAGCCATCTCTTTTATAAGACTAATAACTTTATTTTACTCTTTTCTTATGATTTAACATTTTACCAATTTTTAAATGTTATTTTCTCCCTTGAAACTGTACTGCTAACTGTACCTTAAGAAGCATCAGGAGGAACCTGCAGCAGAAATTTCCGCTGTTTGTCATGAACCCCTTTCCCTTCTTATTCCCTCACATTTATTTCTCACCTTTGATGCAGTATTAAAGACTCTAAGGGGATCCCTGTAATAGCTGCAGTTTTTTTGTTTATCTTGGATGATTTAACTGTCAGAGAGAGATGGGACATATTTATATATGCCAGGAGCATGCCATGTGGTAGCACTGTCCAAGGTGCTTGACGTGTATTACTTCATAGAATTCTACAAAAACCCTGCCAAGCGGTGATCATTGTTCTCATATTAAGAAAAGGAGATTGAGACTTATACAAGTTAAAGAATTTGTCAAAGTCAAATAGTGTGTATACGTTAGCTGGATTCAACTCCAGATCTCCCTGAGCTCTTTCTGCTACACAATGTAGTTTTGTTTAACTCTTCTAAAAGAATAAAAGCTCAGTTGATTCTTTCTTAGCTTGATCAGGCATATTAGAATTAGCATTTTTAGCATGTCATTAATGCTTTCACTTCAGCAGTATTTACTTTTCATTAACTCTCAGAGCAATGACAGTCTTCTGTTTGTATGTCACGGTGGTTACATAGAATTCTGAGGTTCACATAGAGTAACCTACCTATGTTCACCTTTCATGGCAAATGGAAAAATACTGATCAACCAGTAGGATCTGAAATACGACTTCTAAACAGCCTGACTGCTGATCCACCAGGAAAGCCATGACCAGTTTCAAGGTAGGGGTGTCACAGATACTAAAGCTATAGAATCCCCCTAATTTTTCAGAAGGGGTCATGGTGGTGGGGATAGCAGTGAAGAGTGGGGTCCCTTCCAGGCCACAACACCTGTTCCTTTTCTCTTTTTAATAATTGAGGATGACACTAAAGCTGCAGAAAAAGTACCTTAAAAACTATGTTTTTAAAACTTATTGTGAAATGATTAGGCATATAGAAAAGCATAGATAATATAATAAATCAGGGGTATACAGTCTTTTGACTCCCCTGGGGTACATTGGAAGAAGAATTATCCTGGGCCACACATAAAATACACTAACACTAATAATAGCTGATGAGCTAAAAATCAAAACTTCACAAAGAAAACTCATAATGTTTTAAGAAAGTTTATGAATTTGTGTTTGGCTGCATTCAAAGCCATCCTGGGCTGCATGTGATCCACGGGCTATGGGTTGGACAAGTTTGCAATAAATATTGGCATTCCAGAATTTTGCTTAAGAAATGAAACATTAGAAATACAATGGAAACTCTTTCTATATCCACCCCAATCCTATTCTCATCTTCCCTCTTCCCCAGGGGTGATATGTATTTGAGGTTTATGCATGTTAACAATCATGGCTTCAATTCGTTTATTTTCACTTCTGTGTAGAATTCCACTATATGAATATACAGTAATTTATTTACCTACTTTCAAATTGATGTGCACTTAGGAGATGGGTGAGGTTGGTGGTGGAATGTGTGATTACATGTGAGTTATTTTCAGGTCCTGTTTTTGCTTTGGGAGAGAGGTACACAGATGCTTATTACATTTTTTAAAGTAAGTTAATAATTAAATATAAGTTGAACATTCACAGCCCAATGATAATATGTGCCATAAACCAATGATCATGATTAATCAAATTAATGCACAACAGATTGATACTAAAAATGGTAATTGTATTAGTTTTCTAAGACTGCTATAACAAAGTACCACAGACTAGGTGGCTTAAACAACAGACATTTATTTTCTTATGATTCTGGAGGCTAGATGTCTGAGATCAAAATACTGGCAGGGTTGGTTTCTTCTGAGGCCTCTCGTTGGCTTGTAGATGGCTATGTCTCTTCTATGCATCTTCCCATGGTCTTTCCTCTATGCCTGTGTCCTAATCTCCTCTTCTTATAAGGACACCACTGATATTGGATTAGGGCCCACCCCAATCACCTCATTTTAACTTAATTACCTTTCAAAGGCCCTATCTCCAAGTAGGGCCACATTCTGATGTACTGGGAGCTGGGACTTCAACATACACATTTTTGGGGACCCATTTCAGCACACAACTATTATAGACAATGCTTCAGTGACATCCCTGTAAAGGTCTCCTTGTGCAAATAAGGGAAAGTTCCCTGGAGAATCCAGCTAAGTATGGAATTGTCAGGTCATATAACACAATACTATTAAGTGAATGATGATGTTGATAATTACACAGTGAAAGTTTGAAGAAATAGCAATAGTAGTAGCTAGCACTTTTAAAGTGATGATAACTGATAGAGTTTGGATATCTCTTCCAAATCTCATGTTGAGATGTAATCCTCAGTGTTGAAGGTGGGGCCTGGTGGGAGGTGTTTAGATCATGGGAGCAGATCCCTCATGAATGGTCTGGACATCTCCTTGGTGATAAGTGAGCTCTAGCTCTCACAGCTGGTCATTTAAAGGTATGTTGCACCTGCTCCCACTCTTTCTTGCTCCTGCTTTCGCCATGTGATGTGCCTGCTCCCCCTTTGCCATCTGCCATGATTGGAAGCTTCCTGATGCCCCTGAAAGAAACATGCCACTCTGCTTCCTGTACAGCCTGCAGAACCATGAGTCAATTAAACCTGTTTTCTCATATATTACCCAGTCTCAGGTATTTCTTTATAGCAATGCAAGAACAGCCTAATACAATAACTGTATATTATATAAAATTATATTTAAAGTCTATAACTTTTTTTGAGGTAGGTGTTGCCATTATTCTATTTTACCAATAAGAAAACTGAGGCTCAAGGAAGTTAAGTCATCTTTCCCAGGGCCCCGAGAAACCAGTGATGAAGCTGAGATTATAGCCTAGAACTGTTGGATTCCAAAGCTCATGTTTTTATACACTATAGCAGCTTCTATAGTAGCTTTATTTGGAGAATGCATGCATGCGTGTGTGCACGCACACACACATACACACACTCCCTATTTTTATAAAATGCTGCCCTAGGGCACAATTAGCCACTAGTTGGAAAACTCATTCATCCAGCTGCACTAGATACTAGATGTGGCTGGAAGATGAATGACAACAGTATGTGAGTACAGCCTAGGAAAAAAGAAGGTCCAAATTCCCAGAAAAACAACTCCCAGAAAGGCAGCATCTGTACTGACTTACAAAAATAGAAAAGTGGGGAAACCTTGTGGTTTAGAAGCAGAGACATTACATCCTGTGACGTGAAGAAGTGGTGGCTGACGTCCTTGTGAACAATGGCCACAGATGCCAGGCCACAGAGAGAACACTGCATGAGGGAAAAACCGTGTGTCACCAGCTGTGAGACGTGCACAGGAAGGAAGCATGGGGCCAACAACAGCCCGGCCTCTGAGGCTGCTGTGAGGAGTAAAGGATTTGATCAATGCAGGATGCATAAAGTGGCGTCTGCACATAGGGAGCGCTCGGTACAGGTTGTTATTACTGTTGGTATTCTCTTCATGTGGACCATTCTCTCAGACACACAAGACAGAAACAGTAGCCTTTTTGAAGGAGGAGGTAAGGATTAGATTAACAAGCCCTCCATTTATGGTGGAGGTGCCTGCTCCATTAATCCAATCAACTCAACCTTTAAATAACACTTGTGCAAATATATCCTGGATGACACTTGTGAGGGAAATGTGGTAATCTTTCTGGACTTTTACAACACAAAAAATTGGAATGCGTTTTATCACACCAAAGCAAGCTGGAAAGGGTAATTTGGATTTCACTTGTGGCATGCTCCATAGTCATTTTCTGTAAACGAAGATCCAATTTTTAGGGTGGGGGCAAATATACAAGGTCCAATGATTTGAAAAGATGTTTTATTATTTTTTTCTCCATGCCTTCCATCTTTTCAGCCCAATGGGAATTTCTTCCCTTGAACAGTTCTAAAGAATCACAGCATTAGAGATAGGAATTATTAGGTTATTTAAGCTATCTTTCTGCTGATGAGGAGCTATTCCTGTAGTACAATTTATAATGCTTTTCTGAGTGTGGCTTTGAACAATGTGACTTTTATCAGATGAACCGTGGTGGAGATGGAGCCCTCTGTTTGTGTTTAGAACAGGTCTAGCCTAGGGAGGAACGAGGAAGACCTCTCAAAGGCTCACCTCCGCACAGCAGGCCTGATCGGCTGGCTGGAACTCAGAAGGGCAAAAGGGGAGTGAGGCTCCACTTTGATGTGGTTCGCTTGCAGCCCCGTTGCTGTACTGTGGTGTGCATATGTTGGGGGCAGGGCAAGGGTAATAAATACCAGGGACACTTTTGCAATGCGTGCCTGTCAGCTGAGTGCTGGACAAACATTTTTACCACTGGCTATTTCCCTGAGGCTTCTGACAGTTTGTGCAACTTGTGTAAGACATTCCTGAAAGAGAGGAGCATTTGTTCAACTTATATAACTTCTTTTTACATCATAAGACTAAAGCAGTCCTTCCGGGCTCATGTCCTGTTGAATGTGATCCAACTGAAACTTCTTTCCTCTGCATACTCAGAAACCTGACTACCTGTGTAAATTCCTCCTGATAGCATAGCTTTCTGTTTGCCCTCAGTCCTTCTCTGGCCCTCTCAGACACCCAGGTTCATAATGACATTCCTTCTTCCTCTTGTAATTCTATTGAATTGTTAACAAAAAAAAAAAAAAAAGGAGTAATAGCTGTGATCGATTTCTACAATGTGTTCTTAAATTGTGTGTGTGTGTGTGTAAAATGTGTATATTTTTGCACTTGATCTTAGCCAAAAGGCTGAGAAATGACCAAAGGTCTGTATTTTTGAATTACTATATAGGAGCATAGGAACTGCTGTGTGATTCTGGAATTGTAACAGAGGAGTAGCTAATGGAGTTTTGAGGGATATTATGATGTGCATATAGCTGGGGAAACTGGGTGCTCAGGAGTATGAACCTTCATTCACTCACTTCCTGCTCCCAGTAGGAGATTAAGAAGGCATGTGCAACTTCTTATATTTGGTATAGCTTTTGTTTCCTGCCAATCTTTTTTTTTCTTTTTGACAAAAATGCTGATTGGTTTTGCCTTGATTTATTTGTATTTAGAGGTTTTCAAAATGAGTTGGTTTAAGGCATTACGATTGAATACAAGTTAATCGATAATCACGATTGTACACCAGTTCTTCCTAATACATTTTATCCTGTGGCCCTGTAAAATTTCCAATCGACCAAAGCAAGCTTGGTTGGTAAGGGAATGACTTACACAGGATCTTTTTCATTTAGGGGTTTGCAACTTACAGTGCACCTTCACATAGGTCTTCTCATTTGACTTGCGCAATAGCCCATGAGTAAACAGCACAAGTGTTATTAGATTCAGCTGACAGAAGAGGCCACCACAAGGGCTCAGAGAGGTGAAGGGGTTTGGTCTAAGTCACAGCTAGTAAGTGGCATAGCAAGTCTACTTTCCTGCAAAAAGCATTTATTGCTTAATCATGCTAGTGTCTATTATTGTGGTTGGTTTTTGTGTTTGTTTGTTTTGCTTTCGGGGACAGGGTCTTGCTCTGTTGCCCAGGCTGGAATGCAGTGGTACAAATATGGCTCATTGCAGTCTTGATCTCCCCAGCTTAAGCAATCCACCTGCCTCAGCCTCCCAAGTAGTTGGGACTAAAGGCGTGTGCCACCACGCCCAGCTAATTTATTTTTTATTTTTTAATTATTTTATTATTTATTTATTTATTTATTTATTTTTGAGATGGTGTCTTGCTCTTGTTGCCCAGGCTGGAGTACAATGGCTCAATCTCTGCTCACTGCAACCTCTGCCTCCCAGGTTTAAGTGATTCTCTTGCCTCAGTCTTTGAAGTAGCTGGGATTACAGGCGCCTGCCACCACGCCTGGCTAATTTTTTGTATTTTTAGTAGAGACGGGGTTTCGCCATGTTGGCCAGGCTGGTCTCAAACTCCTGACCTCAGGTGATCCACCCGCCTCAGCCTCCCAAAGTGCTGGGATTACAGGCGTGAGCCACTGTGCCCAGCCCATTTTTTATTTTTTACAGAGACAGCGTCTCACTTTGTTGCCCAGGCTGGTCTTGAACACCTGGACTCAAGTGATCCTCACACTTTGGCCTCCCAAAGTACTGAGATTACAGGCATAAGCCACCGCACCCAGCTATTATAGTTGTTATCTCCATGTGCCAGCCACTGTGCTTGGTGCTTTATGTACGTTATCTCAATATCCACCACAAGTGCAAGAGTTGGCATTAATTACAACAGAAGAGGAAACTGAGACTTATGTCCCCCAGACAGAGTCTTCTCATTTGGAGTTGGGTCATATAATGTAACTCTGATGCTTCATATACTATACCACATTTAGGAACACCAACCTGCCTCTCTCACTAAATGTTAGATTCCTTTCCTTGTTCTCATGTTGCCTGTTGGGGCTGAAATGGGCTCTGCTTGAGCATAATGGAGATGGAAGAAAGTGAATAACTTGGGCATAACTCATCAGTGGTGGAGCCTTGGCTGCCACAGAGGTGCTTGGTAAGGAGCTCTGAATCATATACATGGGGAATAAACCACAGCAGAGCCTACGACAAGAAGGTGAGGAACACAGCAGCCGTCTGTTGTCATACAGCAGCTCCCTTGGAGAAGAGGCCAGTGTGGACTCCAGAAAAGCCAGGTTCTCATCGCTGCACTGTTGTGTGTTTATAACACCCTGGTGTTCTTGACATGCTGCTTGGAGAAGCCTACTTCTGATATCCATGATGGGAAGGCCACTCAGCTCTTAACTTGGGGTAATCTTTCTTTTTAAAAAATTGTTGTGGCCGGGCACGGTGGCTCACGCCTGTAATCCCAGCACTTTGGGAGGCCGAGACAGGCAGATTACCTGGGGTCAGGAGTTCAAGACCAGCTTGGCCAACATGATGAAACTCTGTCTCTACTAAAAATACAAAAATTAGCCGGGCGTGGTTGTGCATGCCTGTAGTCCCAGCTACTTGGGAGACTGAGGCAGGAGAATTGCTTGAACTTGGGAGATGGAGGTTGCAGTGAGCCGAGATCATGCCACTACACTCCAGCCTGGGAGACAGAGCAAGACTCCGTCTTAAAAAAAAATTGTTGCTACTGCTGCACCTTTGGCATTATCTGTGAGCAATCTTAGTGAATTTGGCAGAGATTAGGACCAGCGTGCATTGGGAAAAACCAGAAGTGGAAAATTTGAGTAAAAATCTTCAGGAAAGTACAATAAAATGTTCCTGAAAGTTAAAATTAATCACTTGAATATGTGTGGCCTATATTTTTAAGTTTAAAGTTGAGTTTCAAGGTGTGGCCCCTTGTAACATTCATGAGACTGGCTATAAAAAATTGCCATTATTTTTGAAACTTTCTATTTCAAATGATGTTGGTTTTTAAATGTTCCAAAGTAAAGAATGTGATATATCAGACAGAGCTACAACTGGCTCTTACAAGTCTAAGCTTTTCCACCTATAAATGGGAGTAAAAACATACCTGGTAAGAGGTATCATTTTAAGTTATTGGAGATGCTCCAAAACCTATCATCTTAAAATTAAAATGCATGATTTTCAAAAGTATAGAATGTTTACAAACTTATATCTTGAAGAATAGTTGACTGAAAATCACTTGGCTTATGTGAAAATAAAAAGCCACGGCCAGGCGTGGTGGCTCATGCCAGTAATCCCAGCTACTTTGGCAGGCTGAGGCCGGGAAATCACTTGAGGTCAGGAGTTTGAGATTAGCCTGACCAACTTGATGAAACCCCCTCTCTACTAAAAATACAAAAATTAGCCAGGTATGGTGGCCTGTAGTCTCAGCTACTTGGGAGGCTGAGGCAGGAGAATTGCTTGAACCTAGAAGGTGGAGGTTGCAGTGAGCCAAGGTTAAGCCACTGCACTTCAGCCTGGGCGACGGAGTGAGACTCCATTTCAAAAAAAACCAAAAAGGATTTCTCTATGTCCACTGGTTTCTTTTTGTACCAAAGGAAAGGTAATCTGAAATCACTCAAATGAATTGTCCCAGAGATAGAGACTATTCAGGTGAGTGTGGTCAGATGCAGGGACAGGGTAAACTCACACTTCCTAAACGAGTGGACAAATCAGGGCTTGCTCAGGAATACAGAAGCCACTCTATGTATTCCAGATATAAAGAGTTTAATTGAGAATTAGGAATTCATGCAACCTTTGAATAGCTGGGAGGGAGGGCTGCACTGGTGCACAGGTCATAAAACTACCCCTGAAGATCAGGGGAACAGCCCCAAAGGTCAGAGTGGTTGACACTGAAGCCTACAGCTCCAAACACTTGGAGTAATTTTCAAAAGCTTGTCTGCAAGCTGCTGCACCTCTTGAGAACCTCTGAGAAGTTCTCGCTGTCTCAGTCTGCTGTGCAACCTTGCCTGTGCATTTGTGTACAAATGCCTCCAGAGAATAGGCTTCACACTCCACATCTACCCCAAGTCTTCTCCCGTGAAGTGACTCTGCAAGACGATTGTGTAGAAGTTTCCACACTTAGGAGGGGGTGTTGGTGGTGCCAAGTTAGCAGCAGACTATCCAGCAACGAGGCCTGCTTCTCTAAACTCTCACAGAAAAATGAAATGTGATATAATCACTGAACAAAAATAGACCCCAACATGACTTCATTCCTTCACTCATTCATTCATTTAACAAAGTATCCTTTGAATAGCTGGGCTATGTGGTATGTACTGGGAAAACTATTGTGTAGAGATAGATTCATCCCTGCTTATTCTACCTGGGGAGACAGTGAATATACAAGTAACACCCTCAAAAATAATCATAGCTTTTGATGATATGAAGGACACAGGGGCTATGGGGGGCGTTTTGGATGGAGTGGCAGCTCTCTGGCAACTATTTCTCATAGTTCCTTGTATTAAACTTATCTGGATATATTCCTTTTTCTTTTTTTTGAGACAGAGTCTCGCTCTGTCACCCAGGCTGGAGTGCAATGGCGTGATCTCGGCTCACTGCAACCTCCGCCTCCCAGGTTCAAGTAATTCTCCTGCCTCAGCCTCCTGAGTAGGTGGGATTACAGGCACCCACCACCACGCCTGGCTAATTTTTGTATTTTTAGTAGAGACGGGGTTTCACCATGTTGGTCAGGCTGGTCTCGAACTCCTGACCTCGTGGTCCGCCGGCCTCGGCCTCCCAAAGTGCTGGGATTACAGGCATGAGCCGCCGCCCCCGGCCATCTGGATATATTTGTTTTCTTTTCTTTTTTTTTTTTTTTTTGAGATGGAGTCTCACTCTGTCGCCCAGGCTGGAGTGCAGTGGTGCAATCTCGGCTCACTGCAAGCTCCACCTCCCGGGTCCACGCCATTCTCCTGCCTCAGCCTCCCGAGTAGCTGAGACTACAGGCGCCGGCCACCACGCCTGGCTAATTTTTTTTTTTTTTGTATTTTTAGTAGAGACAGGTGTTTCACCATGTTAGCCAGGATGGGCTTGATCTCCTGACCTTGTTATCCGCCTGCCTCAGCCTCCCAAAGTGCTGGGATTACAGGCGTGAGCCACCGCCACCGTGCCTGGCCCCATCTGGATATATTTCTTGTCTCCTCTGTGAGGTTTTAAGCTCTTGGAGAACAGGAAAGATAGATCACTTATAACTATATTTTTTATAAGTCTTGTACAGAGTAGGACAGTAGGCACCAAGTAACTATTAGTTGTACAGATGTGGCCCACGGTTCAGAATTCCAAACATAGGCAGGTGGTTTCATACGAGTCAGATGGCAGACTGTTTTAGTTTTGCATGTGATTCACTGCTTATGTAGACAAGGCTACATTGTAGGGACTGGGCACAGATCCCTCCGATTCTTTTGTCTGATAGCTGGGATCTAGGCCTTGACACTCTGGTTCTAAGAGTTCTGATAAAGCCGCCCTCCTTTGAGGGGATGGATTTCTCCAGTTTAACTGCCTGAAAAGGGCAGGGTCAGGGGTAACAGGATTATCAGAAGGGAAAACATGTCAATTAATATATGCAACTAGGATTACATTACACTTGGCATCCATCCAATCTCTACAGAAAGGTTATCTTCTCAGAGAGGTTTTCCCTGAGCAGCATGCTCCTCAAAAAAGATACATGTGGAAAATTAAACCTCATCACAAATTCCAGAGATAAATATTTTAGTTTTTAAGTTATTCAAATTAAAGGTCTACATTGACTGCAGTAATCTATTAGTGGAGTAATTGTTTAACTTTCAGAAAATGACCCATAGGACAAAAGTGATGAGTAGGACAAACATAGGTTTGTTCAAGGTTACCTTTTGGGGATGATGTTGAAAGTCCATATCTTCCCAAAAAGCAGATCATATAATGAATCATGCTAATCATGTCCTCTTACTGGCTTAAGAATCTGTACAGATGTAAATGAGATTTACAGTTTCTTACTCTTCTTTTGTATTCTATCAAAATTGAAATAATCGCAAGGGAAACTATGCCAAGTGTTAAGTTTCTAGTCTTTTGGGTATCTCTCCATAGAAACCTATCCCAAATTGGCCAGGCACAGTGGCTCATGCCTGTAATCCCAGCACTTTGGAAAGCCGAGGTGGGCGAATCACTTGAGGTCAGGAGTTAGAGACCAGCCTGGCCAACACGGTGAAACCCCATCTGTACTAAAAAATACAAAAGTTAGCCAGGCATGGTGGCGCACGCCTGTAATCCCAGCTACTCGGGAGGCTGAGGCAAGATAATTGCTTGAACCCAGGAGGCAGAGGTTGCAGTGAACCGAGATCGTGCGGCTGCCCTCCAGCCTGGACAGCAGAGTGAGACTCCATCTCAAAAAACAAAACAAAACAAAACAAGAAACCTATCCCAAATTATGTCTTCTCCCTGTGTTTGAGTCCCTTTGGTAAGAAACAGTCTTGATGCCCAGATTGACAGGGGAGACTAGGTAGCAAATTTTACTGCTGCCTGTCAACATATAGTTAAATGTTGGTAGTTAGAAGCCAGCTAATTCTAAGGGACCTTTCTGTGTTTCACCATTTCCCCTTCCTACTTCCCACCTCCCCAAAGCTGTTAATGGCACATTTTGCCCCAGCCTGTGTTGCAGCCAGTGTTGAACAGATGGATCCCAGCGGCAGCCTGAAGATGGGAAATCTGTTTGGGCACAGAAGGGCTCAGATTCTTCCCCAGCTCCTGATTCCATCTTTATAAAGCCTGCTGAAAATTCAGGTCTTCTCATTGTAATCCAGAAGACATGTTCTTGGTTTTTTGCTCCTTTCTTCCACTGTGGCTGTAAATTATTTTCCCATCAGTGATTTATGTAGTATCTTTAAAGAAGAAAAATCTGTCTCAGACTGAAGAGACAGTCTGGGAGAGCCGCAAGAGCTCCCTCCATGCCACCAGGAGAGGGTCTTGGAGCATTAAACCATGGTTTTCTTTGATTTTTTGACTGTGAAAGAAAAAAAGCTTATTCCCTCTCCCACATCTTTCTCCCTACTTCAGTCCAAAGTGCATTTAATTACCTCTCAGTGTCATGTTAAGATGTGCTGATAATTATGCTGAAAAAGATCACCTTAGACACAAAAGCAGCATGTCACTCGAGTAGGCCGTTGCATCCCTGTGCTGCGTGTCTCATTGAGCCATGCTGAACTATTTAACCTATTCATTTGGCTTGACTTAATTTGTCTCTACCAGGCATATGATGGGGGTAATATGGTAAGGACACATTCTGGGGAATTTTAATATCAAAAAATTATGGAGTACTGGTTTTATTGTTTGCTGTGATAACCAATTAATCAAAATATTTATCAGGCATCTACTCTAGGCAAAGCATACTGCCACATGCTACTGTGAAAACAGCACCAACCCCCAGAACCCTGGAATGGCAGTGATCATTTAGTTACCTAGTATATTCTTTCTTTTTTCTTTAGGACATGTAAAAACTCACACTCCCTGGCCTCCCAACTTTGGAACAGTGTCTAGCACATAGTTAGGAATTTTGATTGGAAAGTACCATACAAGATGAAGAAATAATCTTCCTTTGTGTAGATTAATATGGGAAGCTGAGTTTCAAATCAGAAGGACAGTGAATAATCATGGAATTGGTATAAGGGGAGTTAGTTTTAAAATGGAAGGGCTCAAATGTGGCAAAGTAGAAGAGTAGCTTCCTGAAGAAGATCAAATGGTTGTCTATCAGGTGGCCTCACAGGATGGTCTTTACTTTCATGAATTCATAGTAATCTGATCTTATAGAATCAGAAACTTAAAATTTATCACTGGGTAAAATGGTTCCTTCTGTAGGAGTTGACTCATTAGTCAAGATCATACAGATTGATGTATAACCACAATATCAGTTTATTAATTAACATTAAGAAATAATTGCTGCTGGGCACAGTGGCTCATGCCTGTAATCCCAGCACTTTGGGAGGCTTGAGATAGGAGAATCGCTTGAGCCCAGGAGTTTGGAGACCAGACTGGGCAACGTGGCAAAACCCCATCTCTACAAAAAATTTAAAAAAAAATTAGCTGGGCATGGTAGTACACACCTGTAGTTCCAGCTACTTGGGAGGCTGAGGCAGGAGGATCACTTGAGCTGGGAGGCTGAGGCTGCAGTGAGCCATGATTGCACCACTGTACTCCAGCCTAGGTAACAGAGTGAGACCCTGTTTCTTTCTTCCTTTTTTTTTTTGAGACAGAGTCTCACTCTGTCACCCAGGCTGAGTATAGTGGCACGATCTCGGCTCACTGCAAGCTCTGCCTCCTGGGTTCACCCCATTCTCCTGCCTCAGCCTCTCGAATAACTGGGACTACAGGCACCTGCCCCCACACCCGGCTAATTTTTTGTATTTTTAGTAGAGATGGGGTTTCACCATGTTAGCCAGGATGGTCTCAATCTCCTGACCTTGTGATCCGCCTGCCTCAGCCTCCCAAAGTGGTGGGATTACAGGTGTGAGCCACTGTGCCCGGCCAAGACCCTGTTTCTAAAGGAAAAAAAAAAAAAGTAAGAAAAAAGAAATAATTAGCTGGGCATGGTGGTGTGTGCCTGTAGTCCTAGCTACTCAGGAGGCTGAGGCAGGAGGATTGCTTGGGCCCAATAGTTTGAGGCTACAGGGAGCTGTGATCATACCACTGTGCTCCAGCATGGGTGACAGAATGAGACCCTGTCTCTAAAAAATAAAATTCAATAAAAATAAAAGAAATAATAGGCAGGTAGAACAAATCCAATAATTGGCAGGTAGAACAAATTCAGAAGGCAGGTAGAACAACAAATGCTACCTGGAAATATCCAACTAGCATATTTTTATCTTTTCTCATTATAGGTGAATGTTCTTTTGTTATGTGATGCAAATAATACCCTATTGTTTAAGCCATTGTAGATGATTTCTTTTCTTTGTTACTCTGTAGCTGAACATAATCCTGGTATTTCTCTGTTATCTTTTGACTTAAAAATTTTTTCTTGGATCTTTGCTCTTCCATATGAATTTTAGTAACAGCTTAAGAAGTTATACACATGTACATCAAGGAAAAAAAGAAAGAAATCTATTTTTTTTTTGAGATGGAGTCTCACTTTGTCACCAGGCTGGAGTGCAGTGGCACGATCTCAGCTCACTGCAACCTCCGCCTCCTGGGTTCAAGTGATTCCCCTGCCTCAGCCTCCTGAGTAGCTGGGACTACAGGCGTGCGCCACCACACCCAGCTAATTTTTGTATTTTTAATAGAGTCGGGGTTTCACCATGTTGGCCAGGATGATCTGGATCTCCTGACCTCGTGATCTGCCTGCCTAGGACTCCCAAAGTGCTAGGATTATAGGCATGAGCTGCCGCGCCTGGCTCAAAAATTTATTTTTTTTAATTGCATGAAATTTACAGATTATTCTGGGGAAAGTTAATATTTTTCTGATGTTGTATAGTTCTGTCTATACTAGACACACACACACACACACACACACACACACAATTAGGTTTTAGTTTATGCCTTTTAATGAAGTTTTAAATTTTCCTCACAAAAGTCTTACTCATCTTTTATGACGTTTATTCCAAAGTCTCTTAAATTGTGTTTTAAGAAATTACATTTTTTTTACTAGTTATTGCTGGTGAGTAGGAATGAAATTGATTCTGGGATATTGTTACAAGTAACTTTGCTAGCATATTCTAAGAGTACATTCTGTATCAGTTTAATAGAGTATAAATTCTCCTAAATTTTTTATATAGTCATATCATTTGCAAGCCATGACAATTTATTTTTTTTCCTTTCCAGTTGTGGCAGGAACATTCGCAGCTCCCTGAATATTCCTGTGCTCCCCCACATTTCCAGTCCCTTTACAGTTAAAGCCGTGTGACTTGTTTGAGCCAATAGAGTGGAAGTGGAAGAGAAGTATGTCACTGCGAGACTGAAGGAATAAAGAGCTGATGTGTCATCCTTCATTTCTCCCTTGCCTCTGTACGATAACCGGGAGTTCCCATTTTGAGAAGTACAGCCACAAAGGACACTTGTTAGAACTGAGTCATCACCAGCAAGATCTACAATGAACTTTGAGCAAAAGCAAACTTAATGTCTTAAGCCACTGAGATGTTGGGGTTTGTATGTTACCACCAGCCTGACTGCTACAACCAGTTTTTCATACTTTATGCACAATCTAGAAATCCTTCATAATTCTGAGTAAAAACAGTGATAGGGAGCATTATTTTTTATCTTGTTCTTAACTTTAAAGGGACTGCTTCAACTGCTTTGGCATTAAGAACCATGTTTGCTGATGGGTTTTGTTAGAATAGTCATCATTATGTGAGGGACATTTCCTTGTCCTCCTAGTTTTGTGTGAGCTTCTGTCATGAATGAGAGTTGATTTCTTTTTTTTTTTTTTTTCTTGAGACAGGATCTTACTCTGTCACTCAGGCTGGAGTACAGTGGCTTCATTATGGCTCACTGCAGCCTTGACTTCCCAGGCTTAAGTGATCCCCCAACCTCAGCCTCCTGAATAGCTGGAACCACAGGCGTGTGTTACCATGCCTGGCTAATTTTTTGTTTGTTTCTTTGTTTGTAGAGACATGGTCTCCCTATGTTGTTTAGGCTGGTCTTGAACTCCTGTCTCAGCCTCCCAAAGTGTTGGGATTACAATCATGAGCCACTGTGCCTGGCAAGTGTTGAATTGTACCAAAGGTTTTTCCTGAATCTATTGAGGTGATGATTTTTCTTTTTTTTCTTTTTCTTTTTTTTTTTTTTTGAGATGGAGTCTCGCTCTGTCGCCCAGGAGATGGAGTCTCGCTCTGTCGCCCAGGCTGGAGTGCGGTGGCGTGATCTCTGCTCACTGCAAGCTCCGCCTCCCGGGTTCACGCCATTCTCCTGCCTCAGCCTCCCGAGGAGCTGCAACTACAGGCGCCCACCACCATGCCTGGCTAATTTTTTGTATTTTTAGTAGAGACGGGGTTTCACCGTGTTAGCCAGGATGGTTTGAACTCCTGATCTGAAGTGATCCGCCCGCCTCGGCCTCCCAAAGTTCTGGGATTACAGGAGTGAGCCACCGCGCCCGGCCCTTTTTTTTTTTTGTGACGGAGTCTCGCTCTGTCGCCCAGGCTGGAGTGCAGTGGCGCAATCCCAGCTCACTGCAAGCTCCGCCTCCCGGGTTCACGCTGTTTTCCTGCCTCAGCCTCCAGAGTAGCTGGGACTACAGGTGCCCGCTACCATGCCTGGCTAATTTTTTTGCATTTTCGTAGAGACGGGGTTTCACTGTGTTAGCCAGGATGGTCTTGATCTCCTGACCTCGTGATCCGCCTGCCTTGGCCTCCCAAAGTGTTGGGATTACAGGTGTGAGCCACCGCGCCCGGTCGAGTTTTCTTCTTTAATCTGGTATGTGGTCAGGAGTTTTCAAATGTTAAAACAGTCTTGCAATGAACTGTACTTGCTAGCATTTCTTTTTAATTTCCTGCTAAATTCAATAGACTAGTATTTTATTTGGGATTTTGGAATCTAAGTTCACAAGTGAGACTGGCCTATAATTTTCTTTTCTTGTATATCTTTGTCTGATTTTTATATTGGGGTTATATTACCCTCATAAAATATTATGGGAAGTGATTCTCATTTTTCTTACTTCTGTCAAAATTGCTATAAAGTTGGTCAAAGTTGGAAAAGCTGGTGTAATTTTTGAATAATGTATTTTTTTTATTCTTTTGGTAAAACTGCCCTATAAATACATCTGAATGTGGTGGTATTCATTTTGTGTATGGATACTTAACTTGATTCAGTTTCTTTGATAGGTCTTATAAGATTTTCTCTTTCTTGTGGGGTCTGTTATGATAATTACCTATTTTGCCTAAGTTTTCAAATTGAGCTATTCATATTTTTTCCTTAGGATTAAAAAATTCCCATTGTATCTGTAGTTATGTCCCCTTTTCATGTATTCCTAATATCAACATTTAAAACTAATTTGTCCTTTTAAGTACCTACCTCAGCTTATCCCATGTATTTTGATATAAATGACAGCACTTTTATTTTTCTGTCACTTCTAAGTATTTCCAAATTTACATTGTTATTTCTTCTTAAACCCATGATTTAGAAACATTTAACATTTTCAGACATGAGTTTTAAAAATCACTTTTAACTTTTAATTAAATTATATTCAGGAAATATAATCTACCAGATATCAATTCTTTCTTGTGGCATGATCTCGGCTCACTGCAGTCGTATCTCCTGGGCTGAATTGATCCTCTCACCTCAGCCTCCTGAGTAGCTGGGACTACAGGCACATACCATCATGCCTGGCTAATTTTTGAATTTTTTATAGAAATGGGGTTTCGCCATGTTGCCCAGGCTAATTCTTTCTTATTAGTTGAGATTTACTTTGTGGTTTCATGTGAAGTCAAATTTTCTAAACATTTCATTTGTGCTTGAGTTGAATTTTTTTTTCCTAATTAGCGGATTCAGGATACTATATAGGCTCACAAGGTTTTCTATATTCTTTTAACACCTTTATTGAAGTGTAATTTATATATTATACAACTCATCCCTTTTAAATTGTACAATTTAAGGTTTTTAGTAAATTTACAAAGTTGTGCAATGATCACTACAGTACAGCTTTAGAATGTTTTGCCTCAAAAAGGCAAGTACAAAAGGCAGGAAAAGTTATGGGAGAAGGAAAGGAAACCTTTCTGTTTTTGGTAACCCTTGTTTCCATCTTTTTAATTGATTTTTGTATGCTTGACTCATCAGTTTCAGAGAGACATAAATATAAATATGCACCCACTATGATTGTGGTTTTGTTGATTTCTCTTTGTAATACTGTAATTTTTTGCTTTACATATTTTGTGGCTATTTTATTAAGTACATACAAGTTTGAAATTATTATATTTTAGAGGCAAATTGTTCATTGCCTCATTAAAATGAGAAGGCTAAAAATTATTTTTCTCAATATGTGCAATCTATCTTTATATCTAAAAATGCCCTTGGTCTTTATTCCATTTGCTATTAATTTCATTTATTACTTTATTTCATTTGGCATTAATCCAGTTACAGTAGCCTCCTTCAGGTTAATATTTACTTGATATATTTTTCTACCACATTACTTTAAGTTTCCATGTCTTTAAATTATATGTATTTCTGTTGAAATCAGTGTATAATTGGATTTCATCTTTTGTTTAATCTGAAAATCTCTGTCTTTTAATAGATGAATTTAATCTATTTATATTCAATATGATTGTTGACATATCTGCCTTTATTTCTACCTATTATTTGGTGTTTTTTATTTACTATACTTTTTTTTTCTTTCCTTTCCTTTCCTTCTCCCATCACTTTTCCTGCCTTATGTACTTGATTGAATTTCCCCCCCAATTCTCCACCAATTCTGGTTTGGAAATAATGCCTTCTGCCTTCTACATTCACACACACACACACACAGACACACACACACACACACACACACACACACGTATTACATTTGCGTTAGCATTTTAGTTCTATAAGTTTTACTCTTATACTAACAAATGTTTTTAAGATTTACACACATATTTATCATTTCTTGGCGTGAAATTATCTCTTGCATCTTATTTCTTCCTTCTGGGTTAAATATCTTCTTTCTGAAATACATATTTTAGAAGTTTTCCATTGAGAGTGTGTTAATATTAAGGCTCTGATTTTCTGTGTGTCTGAAAATGTCTTATCTTTACTGTTGAATAAAAATGTATTTGGGAATAGAATTCTGAGTTATCTGGTATTTTTCTGCCGCGTATTGAAATGATATTAAATTGTCAAGTCATTTCATTAATAAGGCTGAGATAAGTCTGTTTATCATTGTTCTTAGGTAGCTGGCTTTTGTCTTTACTTGCTTTTATGAGTTCCACTTCATCTAGATGTAAATTTATATTTATTTACACTGTTCAGGACACCACATTCCTGAACCTGAAAATTCATGTCATTCATTCATTCTGGAAAAGCCTAAGCCGCTAGATCATCAAATGTTACTTCTCCACATTCTGTTTATTTCTGGAATTCTTATGGGCTTTCTCTTTCCACATTCTATGTCTCTTAGAAGCTTTTTGATTTTTTAAAAATGTCTTTCTCTCTGTGTTGAATTCTGAGTAGTCTTCCCATAAGGTGCTTTTAAATGTATTTAATCAATTTAAATATACTTATTTGATATTATCTTAGAGTTTATAATTGTTTTAATTCTTTGCTTAATTCTGTTGTTGGTTGTGTTTGCTAACTCTTAAATGTGGTGGATTCCTTATATAATTGTGAATTGTGTGAGACCATTTTCAGAAGGGCTGTATCTATGTGAAGTTTGTGCATCTTGAGTTGAAGGTGTATTACTCCACAGATTTTATATTTATCCTGCCAGAAGTTCAAGGGATTTAAAGTCAGGGGTCCAATTTCTATGTTAATTTCATGGTTTGAGTACTAAGACTATGTCAGTAGCATATAAATCCCAGTTTCTGGGTATGTGTGGTATACACCAATGGTATTAATATGTAGAATAGACCTTGATCCCAGGCTTAACTAGACAAGTATCTGCCAGTTGGAGAATTTTTCAGTCCACCCAGACTTTTTTTTTTTTTTTTTTTTTTTTTTGAGATAGAGTCTTGCTCTGTTGCCCAGGTTGGAGTGCAATAGCACAATCTGGGCTCACTGCAACCTCCACCTCCTGGGTTCAATGGATTCTCCTGCCTCAGCCTCCTGAGTAGCTGGGATTACAAACATGCACCACCATACCCAGATAATTTTTGTATTTTCAGTAGAGATGGGGTTTCGCCATGTTGGCCAGACTGGTCTTGAACTCCTGACCTCAAGTGATCCGTCTGCCTCAGCCTCCCAAAGTGCTAGGAATCCAGGCATGAGCCACTGCGCGTGGCCCAGCCTGCCCAGACTTTTTCAGCTACTTTTATTATCATTTTTTTCTTTTCATCCTAAAACACAAACCCCACACTCACTGCTTCTACCTGGAGGCAGAAATCCTTGTCTCTGTTGCCCACCCATCCTTGTCTATGTTGTCTGGATGGCCCACTGCAGTGCCCCAATTTGTCCATCACTGTGCAGGCTGACCCTTCTTCCTATACTTCCAAACAGGAGGCTGCTGTTTCATTCCAAAGTAGTAGCTCCCTGACCACGTTCTGGCCTGTGTCTTCCTTCTTCTATTCAATTTTGTGGCCTTCAGTTTCTGATTCGCTGAGTTCCTCTTTACGTTTTGTCTCTTGACTGTGCATGTTTATGTTAAAATATATTTTATATGTTTTCTAGGGATTCGTTGTAGTTCTAGCCCATCAATATAAAACAGAGCCTAACTAAACACTGTTGTACAAAATCTTTGCCCACGTGTCTGACTCTTTCCCTGAGATAAGATTACAGAGAGATAATTGTTTGGTCAAAAAGCTATAGGAAGTGATCCACTGCTCATAATATATAGCAGCACACTATTTTCTGAAAGGTGATAATTTGATTCCCACCAGTAGGTTCTTTTGATAAGTGATATATTTCAGACATAAATAGACTGGGAGCTAGGGAGTACCTTATTTGGACTCATTTGCATTGAGATAGAGGAAATTTTGTGTGATCTTTCAATAAAGGTTTCTCAGAAGAAATGATGTCCAAGTTGAGTCTTCAAAGATGAGTAGTAGCTAGCTACGCGAGGTGTAGGGGAGTCTTAGGGGAGAGGGAACAGATCCTAAGGAAGAAAGACCTTGCAACAAGGTGGTAAACATACATGATAATGATTCCCACCCAGTTATTATCCAAGGGGTCTATAGTCACTTACCTGGAAGAACATACACCGAGGAAAGGGGAACACCCAACCTTTCAAGAGCTGTTTCAACTTGACATTGATACTCAGAAATTTGAAGAGTTGTTATGGCTTCCCTGTGAGACTGGAGGCACATGGAGACTCTAGGGGGATATCAGCTAATTGGACTTGGTGGTCAGTAAGTGGCAAATATGTTGGAAACCTTGATAAGAAAAATTTCCTCCAGGAGGTAGAAGATAAACACTCTGATAAATCAGGGGCTGGCCTTTATCAGTAACACTTTTAGGAATCCAGTGGTCTGGGACATGCTGAAACAACTTTTGGTTGTACCAACTACAAAGCAAAGGACAAATGACTGCACCTCACACCTCCTATCACAAAGAAGGAAGCACAAAACTAGGTAGAACTAATTGGGTTTGGAAGCATCATAGTCCACATCTGGCAATATTGTTCCTATTTGGGGTGATTCCAAATGCTTCCAGCTGTAAGTGGGATCTAGAGCAGAAAAGGGCTTTGCAGTGTGTCCAGGCTGCAAAGCAAGTGGCCTTCTCATCTGGGCAATACAGTCCAGCAGAACCTATAATATTGGAGGAATCTGTGGTGGGAAAATATGTTGTGAGGAGATGAAAGTAAGTCCCAATAGGGGAATCACAATATAAACCTCTAGGATTCTGAAGCAAAGATTTTATAGCATTAGAAAATCAGCTGCTGACTGGCAACTAAGTCCTGGTAGAGATAGAACACCTGACCATGGGTCATCAAGTGACCATGAAGCCAGAATTGCCTGTCATCAACTGAGTTCTGCAAGAGTTATGAGTCAGGCAAGACAAGCAATCCATTTAAGCAATCCATTTAAGACAGAAATAGTACATTCAGGATCAGGCACATGAGGGCTGATGGGCACAAGGCAGCTGCATGAGCAGCTAGAAGAGAACCCCAGGTATCTACCATGTTACACTAGTGTCCTTTTCTTGGGTCACAACTGTGAACCTATTGCCGTATTGGGGATCTATACGGCCAGCTGAAGGAGGATAGAACTCAAGCTTGGTTTACCTGAGTCACCCTGGAACGTGATGCAAACTGAAAATGTACAGTGGTTGCATTATAGCCAGAGGTGTGCTGAAGGTAGCTCACACAGGCTTCTGAGTGCTGAATGTATGCATCTCTACCCAATCCTGCAACACAGATATCCCACTGGGAGCTTGTAATGGCCACAGTAGGACTATTGTCACTACAGAAAGCAGCAAATGTTGTAAATCAGGACTCTTTTCTCCCCTGGAGAACTGGTTGTGGAATATTTTTCAGCAATCTACTGATGACAGCCCCATCCAACCAGACACTTTACTCAAACCAGAAGAGCTACCTAAAGGTTAGAGAGATCTAGAATATGGAGTAGAGGAGAGATACGACGTGACCAACTGCAGTGGTGGGGACTTTAGCTTGCACCGCTAACCTTTTTCTTAGAATTTTGTCCCAGGAAAAGAGGCCACCATAGTCCTGGAGGAGTTACTTCCGGAAGGTATGTGAAGGCTGTGGATCCAAGCAATGCAAAGGGTATACTCTAGTGGATGTTGTGATATGCCACCCAGATCCCCTGGTGAGTATGGAAGGACTTATTCCACTATCTGCTGGAAGTGCTGCCGGGTGTGTTGCTCAACTGTCAGCACTGTCTGGAAATTACCTTTGCTCCAACTGAAGGTACCCAGCCCTCTTGATTCAACTCAGGACAACTCTCCAGGGCCATCCCAGTTTCATGGCTTCCCATGGGGTCAACTGAGGCCTTTCATGAGACTAAGCTGCAGTCCTACTTTGCCCTCTGCACAATCTTACTGCCTTCCCTTCCTCCACAGGTGTTGATCCTGAGAGTGCTTTGTTAAAAAACATTCTCCATGCTGACCTCCGTTTTCGAGTCCGCTTCCTGGGGAAACCTGAAACAGGACTTGATGCTAGCAGCTGCCCAGAAGAACCAGATGGGCCACTGTCCTTGCCAGAAGATCTGATATCCTGTGTATGGCCACCACCTAACACTGCTCACTTCTACATGTAAACCTCAGGTAGGTGTGTCTGTTTGGAAGAACTGTAGGTAAAGGGAGTCTTCGAAATTTAGCTTTTAGTTTTCCAACCTTTATAATAGAGGATGTTGTGCTAGAAGAGGGTTTGGATGGGTGCAAATTGGGTAAGACAACTTACAATATCTGCCACAGTCGTACCCTATATCATTTATTCTTTCCATACAAATAATAACAGAAAGAGCAACATGCGCCTGACAAACATAATGCAATGAATCCTCCTACAAATACATTCTCACCCTCTCCCTAAAAAGGGAGTAAAAAAGTCAGTCACTGAATCTATCTCTGAGTGATGTTCATTTCTACTCCAATTTAGTCACAATCCCATCTTCTTAGCTTGTATCCTAGGGATTAAAATGATAAAAGTAACACCAGCAATTCACCCTATTTAAGATAATGAAAATGGATTTTTAAAACGAGGAAAGAAATGATAAGCCGCTGTAACCAACCATCCTCTTCTTTTTGAACTGATCACAAGTTTATTGTGGACGTTTATAGTTTCCTCTACTACCCATTCAATGTTTACTGTGCCTTCATTCAACATCTCAGCTGGCCTGAGTTCTTTTCCTGGTGAAACAATCATCATTTTTGTGCCTGAGGGGTCTGAACTCTTGGCGACCCTACTAGTATGAGGTTTCTATGGTTTCCGGGCGGATTTATTTTTTAATTGTGGTAAAACATACACAACATAAAATATACCATATTTGCCATTTGTAAGTGTATGATTCAGTAACTTTAAGCATATTCACAATGTTGTGTAACCATTACCACTATCTATTTCCAGAACTTTTTCATCATATCAAACAGAAATTCTGCACTTATTAAGCAATATCTCCCCCATTCCACCTCTCCCCACCCTAGTCCCTGGTAACCTCTGTTCTACTTTCTGTCTCTATGAATTTGCATATTTTGGATTATTTATATAAGTGAAATTGTACAATATTTGCCCTTTTGTGTCTGGTTTATTTTACTTAGTATAAGGTTTTCAAGGTTCATTTATGTTGTAGCATGTATCAGAATTTCATTCCTTTTTAAAACTGAATAATATTCCATTCCAGGCATATACCACATTTTGTTTATCCATTCATCTGTTGATGGATGCTTAAGCTGTTTCCATCTTTGGGTTATTGTGAATGCTGCTATGAACCTGGCATACAAGTATCTCTTTGACCTTTGACTTCTTGCTTTCAGGTCTTTTGGATATATACACACACACACACACACACACACCCCCTTTTTGGATATATATACATATATATACACACACATATATACCTTTTGGAGATATATACACCTTTTGGATATATATACACACATACCTTTGGATATAAATCTTTATATATATAGGATATATATTTTGAATATATATACATCTTTTGTATATATATATCTATATATCTTTTAGATATAGATACTTTGGAGAGATATATATATATCCAAAAGATATATATATATATATATCCAAAAGATATATATATATATCCAAAAGATATATATAGATATATGTATATCCAAAAGATATATAGATAGATATATCCAAAAGATATATAGATAGATAGATATATCCAAAAGATATATATAGATAGATAGATATATCCAAAAGATATATATAGAGATAGATATATCCAAAAGATAGATAGAGAGATAGATAGATATCCAAAAGATAGATATAGAGAGATAGATATATCTCCAAAAGATAGATATAGAGAGATAGATATATCTCCAAAAGATAGATATAGAGAGATAGATATATCTCCAAAAGATAGATATAGAGAGATAGATATATCTCCAAAAGATAGATATAGAGATAGATAGATATATCTCCAAAAGATAGATATAGAGAGATAGATATATCTCCAAAAGATAGATATAGAGAGATAGATATATCTCCAAAAGATAGATATAGAGAGATAGATATATCTCCAAAAGATAGATATAGAGAGATAGATATATCTCCAAAATATCTTTCAGCCAGACTGTAATGAAGTCTTTAACAAGCCATTCCACAATTATTTTTGTCAGGTCAACTATTTAGGGGTGGAGTAGATAATGAAACCAGTGAAGTCTATGGGCATGTGACCATTGCCTTACGTTTATTTTTCAGTGCATTTATCCTCTTGATTAGAAGAAATGATGTATGTAGTGGACCATGTTGGTGAATAAGGCATTCATTTGGCACAAGTAAATTACTGCATAAAGAAGCAATTGCAGTAGGGTGGTCAAATCCATATCCAAAACAAACTATCTGTGAGGACAATAACTATTCCCTCTATGATGAAAGGATGAAAGGATCCGATGTAAGTTACCTTACCTGATGACTGCCTAGTTCCTTCATGGTCAGGTTGCTCTATTAAAGGCTCAATATTGATTTTCTGCTGCTTGCAGATTAGAAACTGCAGAAGATAGATAGTTTAGCTGTGGTTGAGAAAAATCCATGTTGAGCCCATATATAACCCCATACCTACAGTCTCTTATTTCATAAGCCAACTAAACATAGCTAAGTAAAGAGAACAAACCAATATCTAGAAAACAGGCAATCTTAATAACCTGACTATTTAAAGCTTCCTTTGAAGAGGAATCTTCACTACTGACCTTCATTACTGACCTACAAAGGAAAGCCACCACTCCATTAAAAAAAATGTTGGTACTTACCCTTGCCAATGTATTATGTAATGTCAAGGTTCAATGAGTGTCCTCTAGGCCCTCTTGGTATATGTAGTTAGGAACTGGGTAAGCAGACTGCACATGAAAATATGTCTCAACCTAGCTATTTCTTTAAGTCTTTAGGTTCTTTCCTCTACATGGTATCAAGAAATTTCTGGCATCTGAAACAACTCTGAGTCTAGGTTTCAGAAAACCAAGTGAACAAATGGAACAAGCGCCAATTGTTTAAGATGAAATCACTGATAACTGCAGCCATGTTGATTAATTCAACCTGATCTAAAATTATTTACCCTCTCTTTTGTTTAGAAACCTTAGAGTCTGTTCCAACACATATAATCTATGTTCTTGATGTTCTAAATTAGAAAAATGATACAATTGTGTTTGAGTCTTTCTCTCTTTGGTTTAATTTTATAATCTAGTGAATGCTGGAATATGACTGTAGTTATAAGTCTTGAGGCAATGAATGGTGGTAGAAGAGAAGGATAAGGAGAATTGGTACTCATTGCAAGTTATTTATGTGAAGTGAGATTGTTATAGACTCTTAAAGAAAGATAGTTACAACTTCAACATACAGAAGAGGAGGAGCCGATTAAGCTGAACTAGTGCATTAGAGCTTGGCAGTTTAGACACTCATTGCAGCTAAATCCTCCCAGATATCTCCATTCCAGTTAAGGGTGGGGTTGGCAGTGTAACAAGCGATTCAAAGTTTCACATAAGAGACCTAATATGAATGTAAATTCATCTATGTCATAATTCAGGGACTCATGGAATCAGACTCTATATCTCAGTTTTGGCTATGTCAGACAAAAAATGTGGCTGACAAAAGATAAAATGTCTTTAGGGTAATTATAGTAATTCCTTGGTCTCTGATCAGGCCTTAAACAAGAACTAAGAACCTTGATGTCATCCTTTTCTTTATTTAAGTGCTCCAGTACAATGGAAGTAGTCTGGCTTATGTCCCTCCATTCTGTTCTATAATGGTGGCCACTTGGTCTGTAAAACCTTGTCTTCACTAAGAAGCATCCTGGTGGTCCCAGTGACTGTATTCTGGTGACTGCCAGTAAAGGTTTAGGCAACCTCCATCACTGTGCTCCCTCCCAATAGTAACCAGATCCTCAGTGCTTTCACATCCAACCAAGTCAGACAACCAATCTCAGATTTCTATTTCCCTCACTTGAAGTACCTCTGTTACCAATTACTTTATGCAGCAGAATTCACTCTAATTGGTTCAAGCAGATACCAGATACTTGGTAGTTAAAGAAGGAGGCCAAAGAACTATGCCCAAGTGGTTGCTACAACAGCTAGGAATGGAGCAGCCCTGAGAAATTTGCTAAGTCCAACAAAGGACTGTTTTGAGCAAAACACTCCTGGCATTGCCTCCTGGTCACTTGGAACCTACAACTCTAGGAACTGAGCTTCAGAAACTCTTCCACAGCTGCCCAAGAAGAATTGGAGGTTTCTGCTTTCCGGGAGACTTGATCTCCTCACCTTGTTCACTTCCACCTTCGAGTTCTGTGTGGTCATGTTGGCTTGGCAGAAGCTAGATTTCATACGGACCTTCACTGCAAGGGAGTCTGGAAAGTGTGGAGTTCATCTTTTGGCCTGTGAAGCACAGGAAGTCAAGCTACAAGAGGGTCTAGAAATGCTGAGGAACTTGCTGGGCATGGTGGCTCACACCTGTAATCCCAGCACTTTGGGAGGCTAAAGTGGGTGGATCACCTGAGGTCAGGCATTCAAGACCAGCCTGGCCAACATGGTAAAACTCCATCTCTACTAAAAATACAAAAATTAGCTGGGCATGGTGGCATGTGCCTGTAGTCCCAGCTACTTGGGAGGCTGAGGCAGGAGAATTGCTTGAACTCGGGAAGCAGAGGTTGCAGCAAGCAGAGATCGTGCGGCTGCGCTCCAGCCTGGGTAACAGAGTGAGACTCCGTCTCAAAAAAAAAAAAAAAAAAAACACAGAAAAGAAAAGAGAAATGCTGAGGAACACAACTCATTGTTCACTTTTACAGGAGCTGTCAAACCTCTGGCCCTATTCTCCATTTAATGAAACTTAGCAGATAGTATAGGCAGGTCACAGGTGGGAGTCAGAGAGGCCATTTTAGCTGTGAGTGATTTCTTCTTAAAGATGAGGAATTTCAAAGGAAGAGTGGAGCTATGGAAGAGGTACTTGTAATTATGATATAAAAATAGAAAGCAGATGTGTCAGACATTACAGCAAAAAAGGAAAAGAAGTCCGTATTTACAAAACAAAGAACTAATGGCATTTCTTTTCAATCTCCTAAGGTATGACAATGGTGCAGCCAAGAATAACAAAGAACAGGAACTAGAAAAAATGAATTGCAGTTTCTCTTAATTTTCATTCATATCTAAATCCTCTGTTCTTGTATATTCAAATAAAAACAGCAACAGGAACTTAGCTTTGGGCTAAAACTGGAAACAATTCAGGTTGTTATACTTTTTTGAAAACAAAATTTAATTTTTTCAGGTTCAAATAAATGCAATTCAAAGTAATGAAATGATAATCATGAATGATAAGTGAGGGGGGAGGACAACATGGTAAAGAGATGAGAAGATAGTAATTAATTTGGGGGAAAGTTCATATCTGCTATGTACAAAATGTTAGAATTATAAACTCAAGATGTGAAAATTAAAAGAAACCTAGAAACCAGTTGAACTTCTCCCTGCAGGCAGAATTTCTTCTGTATCCCTAACAAACGATTCATCTTCTATCTTCCACTTGACTATTTCTGGGAACAAAGAGCAAGCTGCCATCTTGGTCATCAAATGATAAATAAATGTAGTTTGGTATAACTCTTTCTTAGTAAAATTTTGCTGATATCCAGGGATTACTGTTTTTTTTTTAAGTTCTTATATCCTATGTGGTTTGTTCTTTTATTTACTAATATAATTTCAGATTTATTAGACTGCTCAATAGATGTGAAAAGATTTTTTTTAAAAATTCCACTTACAATCAGAATTAAACATATCAAGGGGATTTGTTCCTTGGGTAGTTTTCAACCTTTCTGTCTAAACATCCCATTCAGTACTCAAACTGTTTTCAACAATGGGCACTGCCAAGAGAAAACCGTTCAAACCACCAAAGAAAATAAAATTCATTTATATATTTTAATTTAATATATTATATATTGAAGACAAAAAGGCAGGGGAAATAGAATGGTTGTTTATAAAAGTTGACTTACACTGATTTACCTGTTACTGAAATAATTATCAAGTGCAGTGATATCAAACCCCAACATTAATTCGGTTACATACTTATCATTTACTGTGAGATTTACATTTTCCTACTGCGGCAACTGTATTGGTCAAAACTCTTTTGGATTGCAAATGACAGAAAAATCATTAAAATGGCTTATTTATTTTACTTTATTTTTTTTTTTTTTGAGAAGGAATCTCGCTCTGTCACTCAGGCTGGAGTGCAGTGGCGCAATCTCGGCTCACTGCAACCTCTGCCTCCCCGGTTCAAGCGATTCTTCTGCTTCAGCCTCCTGAGTAGCTGGGATTACAGGTGTGTGCCACCAGGCCTGGCTAATTTTTGTATTTTTAGTAGAGACGGGGGTTTCACCATATTGGTCAGGCTGGTCGAACTCCTGACCTCAGGTGATCCACCCGCCTCAGCCTCCCAAAGTGCTGAGATTACAGGTGTGAGCCACCACACCCGGCCTTAAAATGGCTTATTTAAAAGAAGGAATTTATTGGCTTACATCACTGAAAAGGTGATTGATTTAGATATGGCTGTATCTGGGTGCTCATATGATATGGTTAATCTCTCACTCTCCTTCTCTTTCTTTCCTATGGATGACTGTTCCTCACTGATGACAGGATGGTAGAGTGCAGCCCCAAGTCTGTATGCTACCACTTATTCCAGCAGTCCCTAATCTTTTTGGCACCAGTGACTGGTTTTGTGGAAGACAATTTTTCCATGGACCTGGGAGTGGGGGATGGTTTCTGGATGATTCAAGTGCATTACATTTATTGTGGACTTTATTTCTATTATTACATTATAATATATAATGAAATAACAATACAATTCACCATAATGTAGAATCAGTGGGACCCCTGAGCTTGTTTTCCTGCAACCAGATGGGACCATCTGGGAGTGATGGGAGACAGTGACAGATCATCAGGCTTTAGATTCTCAGGAGCTGGCAACCTAGATCCCTTGCATGTGCAGTTCACAATAGGGTTTATTCTCCTATGAGAATCTAATGCCACAGCTGATCTGACAGGAGGCGGAGCTCAGGTGGTAATGTGAGCAATGGGGAGCAGTGTCCTGCTGTGTGGCCCAGTTCCTAGCAGGCCACGGACCAGTACCAGTATGTGGCCTGGGGGTTGGGAACCCCTGAGTTATTCAGTTCCACTAGAAAGCAAGAATGGCTTTATTCTAATAATTTCAGCAAAAGTTCCCGGCTATCATGAGATCAACTTGGTTCATATGCCTGTTCCTGAAACTTACCACTATAGACTGAATAGGCTGATGGCAGTCACATGTTTACTGCTGGAAATAGGAAGGACTGCATGTGATGTGAAGTGTACAAAGCCCCAGCTGACAAGGCAGTGCAACCCTGGCTATTTTCTGGGCAAGGCTGGTGCTCTGGTGCTGGACTTCATTTGCCTGAAGGAAGCAGTGCATTTTTCTAACTTGTGTGAAGACATTGTATGGACTAGCTGTGGCCCTGGAGCCATGTATGTGGATGGGGTCGGCCTCACTGAACCACTGAGACTGTGAGTGGGAGAGGGATAGTCCTCTGAATGAAAATTAGGTTCACCTTCTATAAGGGAGAATGGATGCGCAAGCAGAACTATTGGATATACATTACAGAAAGTAATGCCATTACTGTAATTCTGAATCTTGCCTTGTAGAGCAACTCGACTCTTTAAGTCTACTCAACTCAGCTCAACGCAATCCAACAATTATTTTTTATAGGCCAAAGTGTGTGTGTGTGTGTGTTTGCACACACACCTGTGTGCTGGGTAGGGAGGTGTTACCAAAAGAAAAGACCTACCTTCAAAAAGCATAAAGTATTCTGATTTTAAGCCACGCCAACTATGAAAGTTTTTCTTAAATTCGACTCTGTTATACCAAATAAATTAAAAATTATGCAAAATTAAAGATGGTAGCATGTTTCTTTAGTTGCTTTTTAGCAAAATAATCTGTGTATTTCAGTGAATTACACAACTATTAGATGTTCAAATACGATTATATTCTGGTTAACTTACAAAATTAGGAGTTGAAAAATTATTTACTTCATTATATTTGTTATAGATATATCAGTCCTTATTTCCTAACAGTCTGAAATAGCAGCCAAATATAGCTCCTGTAGAAGGTCATCTTAGGTTTTCAGGTGACTTTTAATTACCACGTAGCTTTAAACTACTACTAGTAACTCATCGTTTAAAAAAATTAAATTAGCCTTTTATTTCTGTAAAGAAAACTCACCTTTACTCTCCCTTTACTGTCCTGTAGGAATTTTAACAGGACATGCATTAACTTTAGACCTTAGGGAAAGCACAAAATAAACAGCAAACTGATAATATTATCTCGCCAAAGTAAAACAAGGGATGGAGGCGTGGGGAGAGACGGCGGGCGGTAACTAAGTGCCAAACGGGATTTGTTTTTACTTAAACGTTTACAGAGCATCCGCGAGAACTTCCTTCTAAGCTAAATATGTCATCTAGCACCTGAAAAAATTTAAGTCTGGTTCTTTCTGGATAAAAGAAAGCGCACAGGATTTAAGTGAGTAAATACTTAAGTGAGTAAATTCTTAGAAAAAACAAAACCTAACCGCCACAATTGGACTTTGGAACTTTTTTCCCCCCTTAGCAGCAGGCTGAAATTTTCAGTTCCTCGGTCACTGATCAGGGAATTCTGCGCTTCAGGCTGTGTACACCCGCAAGTCTGGAAGGGTGATGATGATGATGTGATGATGAGTTAGGGCAATTATAACTACGGCAAAAAAAAAAAAAAAAAAAAAAGAGTTCGCAGGGACGCAGCGCTGCCGCCGCCGCCGCCGAGGCCGCGACCACGGCCCGAGCCGGCCACCGCGCGTCAAAGGAGCCATTCAAGGCCCGGCGAGGCCCGGGGGTTGAGAAGTTAAGGAGCGGGAGGTGGTGCGCCGGGGCCGCGGCCGCGCCATTTGCATTTCAATGCGACCCGCTTGTTGACTCAGTGCCCGGCGCTTCCGCAGCTCCCACCAGAATCTGCCTTTGTTGGTTTTAGCTCCGGTCAAGTCCACTTCTTGCATCGGGGGAGCCGCGCGCATTGAGTTTGTGTAGTCAGGCAGAACGCTCGACAGGAAGGAAGGAGGAAGGGGCGCTCTGCGCGGCCATTGTCTGGGCAACCGGGCTTAAGCAGCCGAGTGACTATTTAATCTATAAGGTGCACTTGAATCCCTCGCAAATCCTCTCAGTGTGGAGCGGAGGCACCCAGACAGGGACAGATGGTGCAGAACCCCTTTGTTTAAGAATATGGAAATACGCTTTTTCCTTTACTTAAGGTGGTCCGCTCTTTTAACTGTTGCTATTCCCCCTTGCTGCATTGTCAAGGAGAGGGCATGAGAGACTCATGGGTCTGGTCAGCCCTGCCGAAGCGCCTCCGTATTAAGAAAAAGTAATTGCTGGAAGGGAGTCGCCTCTTTTGGTGAGCCATGAGTACAGTGGAGACCCCACGTACCCTTTTGGTGCCCTTTGCACTTAGGCAGAGAGTAGCCGAAAGAAGTGTGTTCAGAATTCTTGCAAGATTGTTTTTCATGGGCTCCCTCTCTTTCCTTTTTTCACATTAAACATCAAGTTCGGAGGTCTCGGGTTGCTTCCCGTGCAACTACGGGAAAAGGGAGACGTCTTGTCCTCAGGGGGCCCTGCTGCTTCGCATTGACCTCTTGGGCTTGTAAGCAGAGAGGTTGATGGGCAGGATGGCCACTGCAGCTGGGCCGCACCTGTGCTTCTGTGTCCACAGCTGTAATTTAGAGTGTGTTCAACATCAGGCTGGGGAAAGGTACACATAGGTTTGGGGTATTGTAGAAAAGTGGAAGACTGCCCATAGAGCCCTGGAGCATGGTGACATTTCACAAGATAGCTTTTCTGATCTTCCTAACGACATGGAGGACTCCACTTGCAGCGGGACTGGGGATACACTAGGACCATCAGATCCCACCCCCAGTCAGTCTGAAATGAATTCAACCAACCGTCCACACATATAAGTCTCAGTTTTTGTTTAAAACATGCAGTCAGGCGAGGCGCAGTGGCTCACGCCTGTAATCCCAGCACTTTCGGAGGCCCAGGCGGGCGGATCACTTGAGGTCAGGAGTTTGAGACCAGCCTCGCCAAGACGGTGAAACCCTGTCTCTACTAAAAAATACAAAAATTAGCCGGGCTTGGATCCCAGTTACTCAGGAGGCTGAGATGGGAGAATCGTTTGAACCCAGAAGGCGGAGGTTGCAGTGAGCCCAAATCGTGCCACTGCACTCTAGCTTGGGCGACAGAGTGAGCTGTCTCAAAAAAAACAATAAAAAAAAATACAGTCATGGTCCTGCTGGGCTGTTCTAGCCATAGTAATACAAAACAAAGGAAAAATCTGAAGGGACAGCTGTCAGGTAAAAATCAAATTCGTTTCCATTTTCAGTACATATTAAACAGGAAGCAGGTAATTGTCTTGTGGTTTTGAAGGTAAAATAAAGAGGACACATTATAAAATAGATGTTGAAGTATTTTAATCTAGGTGTTTCAGTGTCGGGCATGTTAATACATTTCTGTAAAGAGGTAGATGTCTGTTTGGTCTCTAATGCAAACACTTGACTATGTGAAATGCTCACATCCATTTTTTATTTTTCTTAAAAGGCACTTTCTCTTCCCAACCACGTGGCTGCAGACTTCTTGCTCTCAAGTTGTCCTGACATGCTCTGAGAGCACACACAACATACATACAACACCTGGATCTGTGAATTAATTACTGCCTAGGCTACCACCAAGAAGCTTTCCAAGTGGCCAAGTGCAAGGATCTTCTGTTTCTTATCCAAGTACATTCTTTCATCACGGCCTTGGTCCAAGAATTGACCCTTAACTATGAATTCCTGCTTCATTTCCATTTCACTCAGCCATTTTAGAGCAGGAAAAAGCCAGAAGCAGGTGTCAGCCAGCAGGTGTGGCTCATAATTCATATTTTTCACAGAAGCATCATTTGGAGGGGAAAAAATCTGTCTAAGCTGGTTTCAAAGTTAACTTATTAGTATAAATTTTTTAAAAAAGATAGGCCAGCCTGGGCAACAAAGTGAGACCCCTGTCTCTACAGGAAAAAAAAAAAATTAGCTGGGTGTGGTGTTGCACACCTGTTGGCCCAACTACTCAGGAGGCTGAAGTGGGAGGATCACTAGAGCCCAGGAGGTTGAGGCTACAGTGAGCTGTGATCAGGCCACCGCACTCCAGCCTGGGCAACAGAGTAAGTCCCCATCTCTAAAGAAAAAAATAAAAATAAAATAAAAAATTTGGGAGTGGCGAGGGTCAGTGTTTTTTCTTATAATACATGCTCAGCCGGGCGCGGTGGCTCACGCCTGTAATCCCAGCACTTTGGGAGGCTGAGGCGGGCGGATCACAAGGTCAGGAGATCGAGAGCATCCTGGCTAACACGGTGAAACCCTGTCTCTACTAAAAATACAAAAAAGAAAAAAAATTAGCCGGGCGTGGTGGCTGGCGCCTGTAGTCCCAGCTACTCGGGAAGCTGAGGCAGGAGAATGGGGTGAGCTCGGGAGGCAGAGCTTGCAGTGAGCCGAGATCGCGCCACTGCACTCGAGCCTGGGCAACAGAGCAAGACTCTGTCTTAAAAAAAAAAAAAAAAAAAAAAAAAAAAACATGCTTAAGTGTTGCTTGGTAAACAATTTGCTTAGAAATACAAATGTTAACCTGAGACAGCTTTGCTTGCAGTTTTTTTTTTTTTTTTTTTTTTGAGACGGAGTCTGGCTCTGTCGCCCAGGCTGGAGTGAGTGGCGCGATCTCGGCTCACTGCAAGCTCCGCCTCCCGGGTTCACGCCATTCTCTTGCCTCAGCCTCCCCAGTAGCTGGGACTACAGGTGCCCGCCACCGCCATGGTCTCGATCTCCTGACCTCGTGATCTGCCCCGGCCTCCCAAAGTGCTGGGATTACAGGCGCGGCCTCCCAAAGTGCTGGGATTACAGGCGTGAGCCACCGCGCCCGGCAAAACTCCAGAGCACAGAGGGGGCACCCGGATTTGAACCGGGGACCTCTTGATCTGCAGTCAAATGCTCTACCACTGAGCTATACCCCCACCACTGCTTGTAGTTTTAAAATGTTATAGGTTTTTCCTTTTGCATAGTGAAAAATGGAACACAATGTTATTATTCCATGGACAGGTGTGAGCTTGAGCATATTATGTTCTTTGGCTTTCTTTTGATTTTATGTAATGTGTCTTTTGTTGGACTTCATTACAGTGATGGCCTCCCCCTCTGTTTCTGATTAAACCGTGAAACCTCACACACTCACTGATATTTTTTACTTTGTTTTGGTTAGTAAGTAAGTTTTGGTGATGAGACTATGAAGCCACAAATTCCCTAAAGCACTGGAATTCAGTTAAAAGGAAACTACTCCATCCAGCGAAGAGTTTTGGTTTTAGTTGAACCCGGAGCTTTGTGTTCATTCATAGTTAATAAATAATGCCCATTCATCTAGCCCAAGGGGACGAGATTGGGGATGCTCACATTCTATGGGGTGAAGAATTCCTAGAGTGCCTAAGACCAGTGTGTTATGTGGGACCTCGATTAAAGGTCAGAGAATGAGACTATGTATTCCCATAGGGAAGGGATACTTTAGCAACTGACTCTACTTATGAGAGGGTTCGGCCAGCTGGGACATGAATTCAAAGGCTTTAATTATGAATCAGTTCCCATAAGACTATTATGTCTGGATTGAAAGTGTTCAAATTGAACTGTAATTTTTAGTTTCTGCATTGCTTGCTTGGGTTTGAAATGGAAATAATTATGGTGATTCTCCATACCAGAAAGAAGATTATTTACAAGTGCACACCAAAATTTGCATTCAGGTGTGGAATTAGTTTAGGAAAGCTCTCCAAGTCAGAATCTGTTTTCCCCAAAGTCAGCACAGAGCCCCAGTTGCTGCCTCTGAAAGATTTCTGTCGCATCTTATCTGGTATCTGTGGTGGTTGCCAGTATCAACTGCTACCTCTTTGGAAAGTTACTCCCTTGTCTGTGGTGACAGGACACACTCCTGTTTTTCTCCTACCTCCATGGCCTGTCCTTCTTAGTCTTTTTTGGCCTTTCCCCTTTGCCCATCCCTTACTTGTGCTCTCTGAGAAGTTCTCTCATTGGGAGAGAACTCTTTCCTACATTCTCCCTTGGTGAGCTTTCTGGGAAATATTTCTTGAACACACCTCTACTCTCCTGCCTCAGGGCGTTTGCACATATGATTTTGTCTGCTTAGAATGTTCTTTCCTCACATATGGCGATATGTGGCTTGCTTCGTTGTTTAGTTCTCCAGTGTCACCTTTAGACGAAGGCTTTCCTGGTTATCCATAGAAAATAGCAGGTATCTAGTCAGGGCTGGGACTAGGCGGAGGCAAGCAAGATACCCAGGGTACAGAATTTAAGGAGGCACCCACTCTCATGCAAGGGCAGGGTGAGCACCTGAGAATGAGTGCCTCTCTACATTTAGTGTCCTGAGTACCTCGCTTGCCTAAGCCATCTGGCCCTGTACCCAGTCACTCTCCAGTCTCCTTATTTTTCTTCACAGATGTTATCACCCCCTAACATATGTACATAATTGATCACTGTCTGTTTCCCCACCCTTGCCCCACCCACGCCATGACAGTGTGAGCCCTGTGGGAGCAGGCCCTTGTCTGTTTTAGTTTTTGCTGTATCCCTGGAGCCTAGAACAGCTCAGGACATAGTCAGTATTCAGTATATGTTTATATTTAATTAAATATAATGTATAAATGGCTACCATTCATATTATTGATGGCTCTCAAATTTGCAAAAACAAGGTTTGTAAATGGACCTCTCCCCTTGATGCCCCACAAGCTTTTTAAACTCAGCATATCCAAAATTGCGTTTAATACCGTCTGCTGCCAAAAACCTACCTCCCATTTGAATTCTCTTTTCAGATGAATAGCACCTACATGCAGCTCAGATCAAAATGCTAGAGATGTGGTAACTCAGGCTTGCCAAGTTGCTCGGGAAATAACTTCTGCCCTGGTCATCTCCATCCCTAGGGTCCTGCCCTCTCATTCAGGCCCTCCTCCCTGCCTCCAGGGAAAACTGCCTTCACCTTTCAACTGATCTTGCAAATACTTTGCCTTTTCTGTTGGAAACTTCCACCATGTTGCTGTGAAGGGAGCTGTCTAAACCACACATCTGATCATGCCACTTCTTTACCTTATTCTCCTTCCACATAGCCCCATAGGTTTGAAGATCCAATCCAAATTTTGTAGATGAGAAGGCCCTTGTGATCTGCTGCTGAGCCTCCTGTGCCTACTTCCTTTCTTTTCCTGCCCCTGTGTTCTACCCTGCCTCCCCAGCCAACACATAGTCTTTGTGCTCCCTTACGGAATACTTGGAATTGCTAGAAACATCTATCTTTTCTTCTTTTTTTCTTTTTTAATTATACTTTAAGTTCTAGGGTACATGTGCACAACGTGCAGGTTTGTTACGTATATATACATGTGCCATGTTGGAGTGCTGCACCCATTAACTCATCATTTACATGAGGTGTATCTCCTAATGCTATCCCTCCCCCTTCCCCCCACCCCACGACAGGCCCCAGTGTGTGACGTTCCCCTTCCTGTATCCAAGTGTTCTCATTGCTCAATTCCCACCTATGAGTGAGAACATGCGGTGTTTGGTTTTTTGTCCTTGTGATAGTCTGCTGAGAATGATGGTTTCCAGATTCATCCAAGTCCCTACAAAGGACATGAACACATCCTTTTTTATGGCTGCATAGTATTCCGTGGTTTATATGTGCCACATTTTCTTAATCCAGTCAATCATTGATGGACATTTGGGTTGGTTCCAAGTCTTTGCTATTGTGAATAGTGCCGCAATAAACATATGTGTGCATGTGTCTTTATAGCAGCATGCTTTATAATCCTTTGGGTATATACCCAGTAATGGGATGGCTGGGTCAAATGGTATTTCTAGTTCTAGATCCTTGAGGAATCGCCACAATGTCTTCCACAATGGTTGAACTAGTTTACAGTCCCACCAACAGTGTAAAAGTGTTCCTATTTCTCCACAAGCCTTCCAGCACCTGTTGTTTCCTGACTTTTTAATGATCGCCATTCTAACTGGTATGCAATGGTATCTCATTGTGGTTTTGATTTGCATTTCTCTGATGGCCAGTGATGATGAGCATTTTTTCATCTGTCTGTTGGCTGCATAAATGTCTTCTTTTGAGAAGTGTCTGTTCATATCCTTTGCCCACTTTTTGATGGGTTTTTCATTTTTTTTCTTGTAAATTTGTTTGAGTTCTTTGTAGATTCTGGATATTAGCCCTTTGTCAGATGAGTAGATTGCAAAAATTTTCTCCCATTCTGTAGGTTGCCTGTTCACTCTGATGGTAGTTTCTTTTGCTGTGCAGAAGCTCTTTAGTTTAATTAGATCCCATTTGTCAATTTTGGCTTTTGTTGCCATTGCTTTTGGTGTTGTAGACATGAAGTCCTTGCCTACGCCTATGTCCTGAATGGTACTGCCTAGGTTTTCTTCCAGGGTTTTTATGGTTTTAGGTCTAACATTTAAGTCTTTAATCCATCTTGAATTAATTTTTGTGTAAGGTGTAAGGAAGGGATCCAGTTTCAGCTTTCTACATATGGCTAGCCAGTTTTCCCAGCACCATTTATTAAATAGGGAATCCTTTCCCCATTTCTTGTTTTTGTCAGGTTTGTCAAAGATCAGATGGTTGTAGATGTGTGGTATTATTTCTGAGGGCTCTGTTCTGTTCCATTGGTTTGTATCTATGTTTTGGTACCAGTACCATGCTGTTTTGGTTACTGTAGCCTTGTAGTATAGTTTGAAGTCAGGTAGCGTGATGCCTCCAGCTTTGTTCTTTTGGCTTAGGATTGTCTTGGCAATGCAGGCTCTTTTTTGGTTCCATATGAACTTTAAAGTAGTTTTTTCCAATTCTGTGAAGAAAGACATTGGTAGCTTCATGGGGATGGCATTGAATCTATAAATTACCTTGGGCAGTATGGCCATTTTCATGATTTTGATTCTTCCTATCTATGAGCATGGAATGTTCTACCATTTGTTTGTATCCTTTTTTATTTCGTTGAGCAGTGGTTTGTAGGTCTCCTTGAAGATGTCCTTCACATCCCTTGTAAGTTGGATTCCTAGGTATTTTATTCTCTTTGAAGCAATTGTGAATGGGAGTTCACTCATGATTTGGCTCTCTGTTTGTCTGTTATTAGTGTATAAGAATGCTTGTGATTTTTGCACATTGATTTTGTATCCTGAGACTTTGCTGAAGTTGCTTATCAGCTTAAGGAGATTTTGGGCTGAGACGATGGGGTTTTCTAAATATACAATCATGTCATCTGCAAACAGGGACAATTTGACTTCCTCTTTTCCTAATTGAATACTCTTTATTTCTTTCTCTTGCCTGATTGCCCTGGCCAGAACTTCCAACACTATGTTGAATAGGAGTGGTGAGAGAGGGCATCCCTGTCTTGTGCCAGTTTTCAATGGGAATGCTTCCAGTTTTTGCCCATTCAGTATGATATTGGCTGTGGGTTTGTCATAAATAGTTCTTATTATTTTGAGATACGTCCCGTCAATACCGAATTTATTGAGAGTTTTTAGCATGAGGCGCTGTTGAATTTTTTCAAAGGTCTTTTCTGCATCTATTGAGATAATCCTGTGGTTTTTGTCTTTGGTTCTGTTTATATGCTGGATTACATTTATTGATTTGCGTATGTTGAACCAGGCTACCAAGCAAATGGAAAACAAAAAAAGGCAGGGGTTGTAATCCTAGTCTCTGATAAAACAGACTTTAAACCAATAAATATCAAAAGAGACAAAGAAGGCCATTACATAATGGTAAAGGGATCAATTCAACAAGAAGAGCTAACTATCCTAAATATATATGCACCCAATACAGGAGCTCCCAGATTCATAAAGTCCTTAGAGACTTACAAAGAGACTTAGACTCCCACACAATAATAATGGGAGACTTTAACACCCCACTGTCAACATTAGACAGATCAACTAGACAATGTTAAAAAGGATATCCAGGAATTGAACTCAGCTCTGCACCAAGCAGACCTAATAGACATCTACAGAACTCTCCACCACAAATCAACAGAGTATACATTCTTCTCAGTACCACATCGCACTTATTCCAAAATTGACCGCATAGTTGGAAGTAAAGCACACCTCAGCAAATGTAAAAGAATAGAAATTATAACAAACTGTCTCTCAGACCACAGTGCAATCAAACTAGAACTCAGGATTAAGAAACTCACTCAAAACCGCTCAACTACATGGAAACTGAACAACCTGCTCCTGAATGACTACTGGGTACATAACAAAATGAAGGCAGAAATAAAGATGTTCTTTGAAACCAATGAGAACAAAGATACAACATACCAGAATCTCTGGGACACATTTATGGCAGTGTGTAGAGGGAAATTTATAGCACTAAATGCCCACAAGAGAAAGCAGGAAAGATCTAAAATTGACACCCTGACATCACAATTGAAAGAACTAGAGAAGCAAGGGTAAACACATTCAAAAGCTAGCAGAAGGCAAGAAATAACTAAGGTCAGAGCTGAACTGAAGGAGATAGAGACACAAAAAACCCTTCAAAAAAATCAATGAATCCAGGAGCTGGTTTTTTGAAAAGATCAACAAAATTGATAGACCGCTAGCAAGACTAATAAAGAAGAAAAGAGAGAAGAAGCAAATAGATACAATAAAAAAATGATAAAGGGGATATCACCACCAATCCCACAGAAATACAAACTACCATCAGAGAATACTATAAACACTTCTATGCAAATAAACTAGAAAATCCAGAAGAAATGGGTACATTCCTGGACACATACACCCTCCCAAGACTAAACCAGGAAGAAGCTGTATCCCTGAATAGACCAATAACAGGCTCTGAAATTGAGGCAATAATTAATAGCCTACCAACCAAAAAAAGTCCAGGACCAGATGGATTCACAGCTGAATTCTACCAGAGGTACAAGGAGGAGCTGTTACCATTCCTTCTGAAACTATTCCAATCAATAGAAAAAGAGGGAATCCTCCCTAACTCATTTTATGAGGCCAGCATCATCCTGATACCAAAGCCTGGCAGAGACACAACAAAAAAAGAGAATATTAGACCAAGATCCCTGATGAACATCGATGCAAAAATCCTCAATAAAATACTGGCAAACCGAATCCAGCAACACATCAAAAAGCTTATCCACCATGATCAAGTGGGAAACATCTATCTTCTTAAATGCAGCTGTACCTTACCATTGCCTGCCGAATTCTCCTTATGTGTTCAACCTCAGTGGAAGGAGCAATTTGAACTTCCTTGCCTATCAAACTGTTTTGTAATTTTCTGTTTACCTTTCTCCCCCATGCCACTGTGAGCACCTCTGAGGACAAAAACTGGGTCTTTCATTTTGCATACCCAGTATACAGTTGGCGCTCCATGTTGTTTGTTGAATGTGTATAAACTCATCTAAATATTACTTTGTTATATCGGATAGAATATAGATCTTAAATGACTTTTTTTTTACTTGCCTACTATTTATTCCAACATCATTTAAAAAAATCCTTCTGACTGGACAAGGTGGCTCATATCTGTAATCCCAGCATTTTGGGAGGCTGAGGTGGGAGAATTGCTTGAGTCCAGGAGGTTGAGGCTGCAGTAAGCCCTGACTGTGCCAGTGCACTCCAGCCGGGGCAACAGAGTGAGACTGTATCTCTCAAAAAAAAAAAAAAAAAAAGTCCTTTCTACACCCTTATGTGAAAAATTTACTTTGTCATATATTAAATTTTAACAAATAGTTGGATATAGTTCCTGTTTTCTATTTTGTTCTCTTGATTTACATATCCATTCCTGTACCAGTAACTCCCTCAGTTACACTCCCCCTCAACCCCCACTGCCCAGAATGTTCTCTGAGCTTTGTCCATGATTATTTTCCTAAATATATTTTGGTATTGAATGTTATGTTGATTTTTAATATTAATAGAAAAATCCCTTTAAGAGTTTTAATTGGAGTAATTATGCAATACTGAACATTATCTTTGAAAAAGCAGAACGTTTTTTAATTATAATTTTCGCATCTTGAAGTTGGTTAGTTGCTAGTTTAAGAGTAACCAGATAATGGAGAAACCACATCAATAGCTGATGTCCAGTGACAGTCACATTTTTAAGCTAATCACTCTAGTTTCTCAGGACAGAATTCATAGCCTCATGTTTCTCATGCCTGATAAATTCTTCCCTTCCTATGCAAAGATAATCCATCTAACAAGCTAACATATTTGTCTTTTAAAACTCTCTAATGGAGATAGACAACATCTTTCATGTGCCATTTTAGCAGTAGATGGAATATTATGGCTGGAAAGTTCTTTCTTTTGTCCAACCCTAGTATTTAAACACGAATTCAACCTATTCTCTTGGTGGAGATGAAAAACAGCTGGCCACCATCCCTTTTCCACAAATTTTTCTTACACTTTCAACTGGTAATAGTGAAATACATCTTCAGCTCAGTTTGACTAAAAATGTATTTTGTGGGGCCTTCTAAACATCCATAAATTTTGCACAAACCTTTCAAGCATTTTACATGATTAATCCCCTATGATTATCTAATACAAGATGTTGCACACTGCCTGAAGCTCAGATTATGAAGAGAGGCCTGTAACCTTGGGGGCGTCTGCATCGTGTTCACTGCATTATCAGTCTTTCCCATCGTTTGTTTGTATAATAGGATCAAAAACACAGATATTTTGTTTTTTACCTTGTTTATTTTAAACCCTTCGTGTCTTTTGGCTGGGAATAGAGTCTAAACTTTCTAATTTAAGCAAAGGAGTTTATGAGCGACTGGGGCAAAGATTTCATTCCATAGCCCGGCTAGGAATGAAAGGAGGAGGGAGATGGAAGGAGGGAGATGATTTGGTTCATTGATTTCTCTTCTGAGTCCATTTATTTCCAGTTCTAGCCCCTGATCCCTATCTGCCAGGGGAGTAGTTAATCATTTTTCTCATATCCTCTGGCTCTCAATAAGTGCTCAGGTGATCTGATTTAAGGTATGCCTTAAGTTTGTGCAAGCCACTTACATGAGCTCATAGTTACAATTTATTTCAGGTAAAGTTATTGATAGTATATAAGGATGATACAACTTGGTTTACATTATTATGAAATTTTAAAATCTGATTAATTTTACACAAATAGAGCTTTTTGTTGTTGTTGTTTTCTTAATTGCTGAGAACCATAGCAATGGAAGTTCACTCCCACTCCTACTTTTAGGGAAGATTTTGGTAAACGATTTCAGACAGCTGAGTTTTAGGCCACACTGTCAATCAAACAAAACAAAACAAAACAAAAAAACACTATCAAACTTATCCACTTGGACCACTGTTTACCTGCTTTTCCTCCATTTCTCTGACAAGAGCCTATGCAGAAACGTGAACAATACAGGTCAGCCTTTAAAAACAAATAACTTCATAAGAAGTGAGCACATTCAGGGAGTACGTCCCTGGGCTGCAGACGTTCAGCCCAGCACATGTGGTGCAGAGTCTGTAGAAGACATAAGGGAATGGAATGTGTTCTTCCACAGGAGTGACTTTGGGAAGCTCTATACTTATTTCAGTGATGCTGCCAATACTGAAGATTCTTTTTGGAACTCCTCTTTAAGAAACACCTTCAGGCTTTCTATCTCAAAATATTTCCTAAGTCTATCAGTTTTTTTTGGTCACCCCATGGCCAATGCCCTAATTAAGATACTTAGCATCTCTTAATCTTGAATATGGAAACATTTTCTCACTTTTTTTTTTTTTTTGAGAGGAAGTCCCGCTCTGTCACCAGGCTGGAGTACAGTGGTGCAATTTCGTCTCACTGCAACCTCTGCCTCCTGGGTTCAAGTGATTCTCCTGGCTCAGCCTCCTGAGTAGCTGGGATTACAGGTGCGTGCCACCACGCCCAGCTAATTTTTGTATTTTTCGTAGAGATGGGGTTTCACCATGTTGGTCAGGATGGTCTCAATCTCTTGACCTTGTGATCTGCCTGCCTCGGCCTCCCACAGTGCTGGGATTACAGGCGTGCCTGGCCTGCTCACTGGTTTTATGCCCAGTTTACACCCCTTCAATTAATTTTTCTTGTTGTTGCTAGAGGGATCTTTTTCCTGTGACCATATCCCTTAACGTGATGGTCAGCGCTTTCTACCATCTGGTCTTGTTCTATTTTCCAGGCTTTTCTTCTCCCTATCCCCTCCATATGAATCATACTGCTATGAACATTAGTGTGCAAGTCTTTGTGGGGCTGTATGTTTTTGTTTCTCTTGGGTATATACCTAGGAGTGGAATTGCTTGGTCATATGGTAACTGTGTGTAACATTTTGAGAAACTGCCAAACTGTTTTCCAGAGCAGCTGCATCATTTTACATTCCCACCAGTAATGCTTGCGGGTTCCAATTTCTCCACATCCTTATTAACACTTGTTGTTGGTCTTTTTGATTATAGCCATCTCAATGTGTGAAGTAGCATCTTACTGTGGTTTTGATTTGCATTTTCCTAATAACTAGTGATGTTGAGTATCTTTTCATATGTTCATTATCCATTTACATATTTTTAAAGAGATGTTTATTTAAATCATTTGCCTATTTTTAAATTAGGCTATTTGTCTTTTCATTATTGAGTTTTAAAACTTCTTTACATATTGTGAGTACAAGTCCTTACTGGATATATGATTTGCAAATGTTTTATTGCCCTCTGTGGGTTCTTTTCATTTTCTCAATAGTGTCGTTTGAAGCACAGATATTTTTAATTTTGATTTAGCCTGACTTACCAGTCTCTTGGTAGCTTGTACTTTTGGTGTCATATATAAAAAATCATTGTGTAACCCAAGGTCACAAGGATTTACTCCTGAATTTTCTTCTAAGAGTTTTATAGTTTTAGATTTTTTATTTAGGTCTATGATCCACTTTGAGTTAATTTTGTGTGTGGTGTGAAGTTAGGGGTCCAAATTCATGTTTGTCATGTGGATTTCCAGTTGTCTTAGCACCATTTGCTGAAAAGACTATTCTTCCCCCATTAAATTGTCTTGTCCCTCTACCCCTATGTATTTTTATAGTTTAATGTCCTTATTTATGTTATTACTTTGACTTAGAATTATTTTCTTTTCTATCATTCTTCCTATTGACATTTAAGTATAACCTTCATCTAACTATATCAAGCTTATATTTAGATTTACCATCTCAATAAAACTTCTCTAACCACCCAAGCTAAATTATTGCTCCCTCCTTTGTGTTCCCATAAATAGTATTTATTTTATATCTTGATTATGACCTGTGTCTTCTTGTACTCTAATTAGCTGTGTGCACGTCTATCTCTTCTACTGCACTGTGTGTTCCTTTTGGAAGGACTTACTCATGTATGTGTGCCTGTGGCAACTGGTAAGTATTCATTAAGCAGTTGCTGATTAGGTGAATGAAGAAATGTATAAATGAACAAATAAATGAATGTCCTAAATAAGAATACATTTCTATACTATGGCAGTAGGTTCTGTTTTTTAAAACAACCAAGAATCTTAGGTGAATAAGGAAAATACTAAAATGAATGGTGGTGGGTATTACCATTTCAGACCAAAGGCAAACTCTGAAGATGGTTCCAAAGGACAAGACCCTCATTACTTAGTCCTAACATTTCCTTTCAAAGTTAGCTATCTTTCACCAGTGTAATATGAAGTATAACACCAGGAGTGGGATTATGATCTAGGGGATGGTACAAACCTCTGCTTAACCGACACCTCTCACATTAATTTAATGATTTTTCACAGTGCTTCCCTCTCCCACTCTATAGCCCCTAAGTACATGCTTAGTGTCAGTATTCCACATTATACTCCAGAAGCTGGATGCCATTTCTAGAAGGTCACATTTCGAAAGCCAAGCCATGCCACCCACTCTGGGAAAGCACTTTCTGTTCAGGCTCTTCTGTGGCTATTAGTAAAGCCTAGTTGACTTTACTTGGCTATCATGAAGTAGGTTATACTGGAGGACAGGAGATGGGTTGACAGAGGCAAGAGCTTGTGGTGACAGAATCAGAGCTACTGCTAACAGATGTTGTGTCCTATTTGAATGCCATGGAAAAATACATTGCTCTTTTGCGGGCATATAGGGTCTTCTGGTGCGTAGCTATGAAGGCAAACCTAAAGAGCTAGTGGTCAGGAAAATCAGGCCCAGCTCTAAGCCTGTGCTTAACCAGGACTTCTAGTGTAAAACAACTAGTGCTGAGATAGTGGAATCCCATTGTAACCTGTTGTCCAGAGATGAGAAAACACCCATATTATTGGCTTCCTCTGTCACAATGAGAGGGCTCACTTTACACCACTATGTACTTGGGGATATGATTTGATTTGCAACATAACTGAATCCATGAGAAAGCCAAGTGTGGGACTCATGAATTTTTACTGTATTTCTTCCATGTTAAAGCAACAAAAATTCATAAGAATCTTTTCTGCATCATCAAAAAAAGTCAAAATGTCAGCCCTGTATAAGCACGTTCTTCCCAACATATACATGTAGCCTCTGAACATCTGCAAAGCAGCATTGCCATTGAAGAGTTTGCTGGTGTTTTGGAACAAGTGAATAGCAGCCAGATAGCATAAAGAGCAAGGAAAACTTTCAGCTTGTAGACTCACAGATGGGATTTCTGCTGAAATGATTAACAACTATTGTCAGATCTGCAAGTAGTGACCACAAAACACCTGCTCTCGTTTCACGTGTTTAAATTCACATTTATTAAAATGGGCTGGGTGCGGAGGCGCCTGCCTATAGTCCCAGCTACTTGGTGGGCTGAGGTTGGAGGATCGCTTGAGCCAAGGAGGTCAAAGATGCAGTGAGCTGAGATTGTGCCACTGCACTCCAGCCTAGGTGACAATGTGAGACCTTTCTCAAAAAAAAAGAAAAAAACCCATTTATTAAAACAAACAATAGTTCATTTATGTAACAAAAATGTAATCATCAAAATAGTTTTCAGAATTCATACAAGGTTTAATTAACATGGGCAAGAACTATATTCAGTTACTTAATGTAAATCTGTGTTAGAATTAAAGAACAAATACTAACAGTTATTCACAGGTGAGATGAATAACTGAAAAAGTCCCCAATTTTTTAGGTTTCTATTAGGCTAATTTACATAAGTTAGAATATCTAAATTGATTAGAAGTGTGTGGTAAATGAAAGGTTGGATGATTTTCATGGATCTTGCTGTTTATCCAAGTATGGCATGCTTAGCAAATCCTAATAACAGATTTGCTTTGAAAATCAAGATAAAGGCCAGGCATGGTGGCTCACGCCTGTAATCCCAGCACTTTGGGAGGCTGAGGTGGGTGGATCACCTGAGGTCAGGAGTTCGAGACCAGCCTGGTCAATATGGTGAAACCCCGTCTCTACTAAAACTACAAAAATTAGCCAGGTATGGTGGCAGGCACCTGTAATCCCAGCTACTTGGGAGGCTGAGACAGAAGAATTGCTTGAACCCAGGAGGTGGGGGTTGCAGTGAGCTGAAGATTGTGCCATTGCACTTCAGCCTGGGTGACAGAGCGAGACTGACTCAAAAAAAAAAAAAAAAGAAAATCAAGATAAAACTGAAAGCAACTTATGTATTTCCTACTTATTTAATACTTTTCTATTTGTTTAGTCATAGGAAAAAGGCATATGCAGCCATTAGGCATATACATACATTACCGTGCACATTACTTTGTGAACCTCTATTATTTACCAGCAGCCCAATATTATTTCACATTTGAAGCTGTCTGCCTGAGACAACGGAGAATGGTATATCAGTAACTTATGAGGTGCCTATGTAAGATAGAAACTTAGACTAGATGAGTGAGTCTCAAATGTTGGGATACCACAGAATCACCTGGGGAGCTTGTTAAAAATACAGATATCTTGGCTCAAGAGTATCTGTATTTTGACCAAGCTCACCTAGGTGGCTGGTGTGTACCAATATTTGTAAAATATTGAGTTTGGTGACCTATAAAATCTTTTTAAACTCTAAGATTATATGAGCCTACAAAACAGATATATATGTGTCTTCAAAGACCTCATGATATCAAACTTAATCAATTAAAAGAAAACTTCTTTTGAAAGTCTCTTATAAAGGAAACCAATGTTTTAGCCATTCTTCTTTGTTCCTAGTTGTCCCTCCAGTGAGTTTGTGTCACTCTTCACAGTCTGTATTTCTCCTGCTTACATGTGATTCCCACATGTTCTACAGAGTCTAAAGGCATATGAGGTAAGCTTTATAAAACAGCTCAGTGTGTTACGGCCAAACGTGCCTCCTTTCCATTGTGTCAAATCACCACCTGAAAAGGGATGAGGCAGATCCACTGACAACTAATCAGAAGGTTTTTGTGAAATAAAGAGAAAGTGCTGCTTGCTTTAGAAAGTATTGGTTTTCTCTTGCTTAGTTCTAGTTACACCCAATAGCAATGGCAGAGGATTTGATTCAGAGACCCTAGGAGGTTGCGGGGCTAAGCCTGAGCAATTCCAGACTGTCCTGCCAAAGCCCATGTGGACAGAGATATAATTCCTCTATTTGCTCCTTGCCAGAAGGCTAGGACCTCTTTTCTGTATTAGTGGAAATTAAATCCATAAGACATGGCAATGTAAAATAAAACTCAACAAGGGAGAATCAAATGCTACTTAAGAAAATACTTTTTTTTTTCTAATTTAACTTTCTACTTCCCCAGCAATAAGAATATAACCCCAGTGAAGCTAATAATGCCTCTGGAATGACATTCTTTTGTGAACCGTGAAGAAGAGAATATTCTATTTTATAACATTGAATGTAAAGACTCATGTCTTTGCCCCACGAATAAGAATTACACGGCCTCATTAGTAAGGAAGAGCTCTGTTGCTAGTTTTTTAATTACTGGCTTACAGTAACTTATGAGAACTTGCTGGCACAGGAAGAGAAACAGTTGATTCTGAACAGGCTATGGCTTTAGCATCAAATTGCTCACATACTGTAAAACAATTATTTCACTAGTAGAACCAGAATATTATGCCTGCCTTTCTCCCCGTCTCCATCACAGTTTATGATTCACCTCTTATTGCATTTCTCTTAAGGCATTAGGGAATCTTTTATGGCAGAAACATTTTATGCAGAAAGGCAAGTTCCCAGAAAACAAAATCCTGTGTGTATATACTTGAGTACATGCAATTCCGAAAGGGAGAAAAACATGACTGAAGTTTGCTAAAAGAGGATTATGCTAGCTAAGTTTATCATCTTAATTACTGCAGCTGACTATATAATCAACAACTTGGACTGATTAAAGTTATAAGAACATTCATTATGGAAAGGAAATAAGTCTAGCCTGTGGCTGCTCAACTAATGAATAGTGAAAACAGGATAATTTCAAACTGGTGAAAGAAGAATGTATGTAACAAGTATGCTAGACTATAGAAAAGACTCGAAGCCCTTACCGCAGTCAGCCCATGTGACTGAAACGTTACACTATTCTTTAATGGACTTGAATTGTAGGACATGAAGGTTTGAAATGAATGTGTGAGCATATTAAACCAAGCAAAATTTCATAGATTTAAATTAAGAAAGAACAACTTTGGCATGGAATAGTAAAACCCAACTTTTTTTTTAAACCTGACTGTAAAAAAAAAAAAAAAAAGTTTTAATTATTCTTAACCAGACATGAGAGGGAACACATCAGACTGACTTTGGGGTCTTTTTTGAGTCTACAGTGCTCCACCCTCCACACCTGGTTTAAAATCACTGCCAGGTGAGCTGCTGGTGATGGGAGTGTGTCAAATCTGCATTTGGGTGGGGCAGGAAACAAGATTGGAAACTACTGGCCTAAACTGTGAGATTTTAAAACATCTTCCAGACAATTTTATTTTTATTATTCAACTACTTATATGTGGTATAAAAGTAAGCTTCAGTCAGCTGCTGAACTAAAATGGTTATACATAATTGAATTTATAAGTAATGAGGGTTTATTTATTTATTTATTTGAGATGGAGTCTCACTCTATCACCCAGGCTGGAGTGCAGATGCGCCATCTTGGCTCACTGCAACCTCTGTCTCTCAGGTTGAAGTGATTCTCCTGCCTCAGTCTCCCAAGTAGCTGGGATTACAAGCGTACACCACCATGCCCAGCTAATTTTTGTACTTTTAGTAGAGACGGGGTTTCACCAGGTTGGCCAGGCTGGTCTCGAACTCCTGACCTCAGGTGGTCCACCCACCTCAGCCTCCCAAAGTGCTGAGATTACAGGCAAGTAATGAGGTTTTAGTTAAAAAATGTATTTTGTTTCAGAAGCATACATAGATATAATATAGAAAATGCAGATGAATGAAGTAAAGGAAAATATATTTTATCCACAATCCCACGACTTACTGTCAGTGTCATTTTGGATATACATAAGTGGCGGCTAGTCTGAGACTAATGGTCCCATTTGCCCAGGACAGAGTGCGGTTTCCTGGACACGGAACTTTCGGTGCTAAAACCAGGAAAGTTTTCGGAAAAGTGGGAAGAGTTGATCACCCTATGGTAGTCTTCTACCATCTGAACCCAGTAACCCCAGGCAACTCATAGAAACATGAGATAAAATGGTTGTTTTCAGCTACTAAGTTTTGGGGTGGTTTGGTTCCCTCCCTGCCTCCCTTTCTCCCTTCCTCTTTCTTCCTTTCCTCCCTTCCTCCCTCCTTTCCTTCCTCTCTCACTATTAAATTATACACATAGCTTTGTAATCTGATTTAAAAAATAACTGTATATTACAAACATGTTTGCATGTTTTAAAATATTTCTGTACAACATCAATTTTAATGGTTACATGGAATTCTCTTTTTTTTTTTTTTGAGACGGAGTCTTGTTCTGTTGCCCAGGCTGGAGTTCAGTGGTGTGACGTCAGCTTATTGCAACCTCCGGCTCCCTGGTTCAAGCCATCACAGGCCTCAGACTCCTGAGTAGCTGGGACTACGGGCACGCACCACCACACCCGGCTAATTTTTCTTATTTTTGTATTTTTAGCAGAGACGAGGTTTTGCCATATTGGCTAGGCTCTTCTTGAACTCCAGACCTCAGGTGATCTGCCCGCCTAGGCCTCCCAAAGTGCTGGGATTACAGACGTGAGCCACCGCGCCCAGCCTGGAATTCAACTGGAGTGTACCACAATCTGTTTAACAAGTCCCATGTTGTCAGATAACTATGTTGCTTCCCATTTTTTACTCTTACAAACAATGTCCTTATAGCTAAATCTTTACATACAAACTCCATGATGGCTTCTTTACGATTAATTCTTAGAAGTGAAATTGCTGAGTCAAGACTATTATTTTGAAGGCTTTTAATGAGTATTGCCAAATTGCCCTTCTTACATGTGCTATTTTACAGACCTACTGACCATATATGAGAATACTCATTTTGCAAACAGTGGGTTTGCAACAACAAAACAAATTCCCAAACTCTGTCAACTTGACAAGTTAATGAGACTTCCTTATATTCTACAGTCTGAGGCACACCACAGTGAAATCTCTCTGGTCAATTTAGTATTGTGCCATGAGAATATGTTCTGAGCAGCAGCTCTTGATGTTTACATAAACCATTACTTAAGCCCTCAACACCATCAAATATTTATTTAACATCCACTGTGGGTTAAGAATCGCAACCCAGGGCCCCAAAGCAACTTACAAGCTAAAGGAAGGAGTGGAGGCACAGTTCCTTGTCTTTGCCTTGGGAATATTTTTAGTAAGTTGCTTCTTTTCCTTTTCTCTCTAGAGCTTTATAAAACCAAATTATGGGAAAATTATCATGCAATTTAAAAAATTAAACATTTTACATTGTAGAATATAAAATACTTTCATAAAAGAACATAATACGTATATATTTACATTAAAGAAGAAAACATTAATGGTCAGGCGTGGTGGCTCACGCCTGTAATCCCAGCACTTTGGGAAGCTGAGGCGGGTGGATCATTTGAGGTCAGGAGTTTGAGACCAGCCTGGCCAACATGGTGAAACCCTGTCTCTACTAAAAATACAAAAATTAGCTGGGCATGGTGGTGGGTGCCTATAATCCCTGCCACTCGGGAGGCTGAGGGAGAATAATCGCTTGAACCCAGGATGCAGAGGTTGCAGTGAGCTAAGATCGCGCCATTGCACTCCAGCCTGGGTGACAGTGCAAGACACCATCTCAAAAAAAAAAAAAAAAAAGAAAAAAGAAAAAAAAAAGGCTTAAAAAAATTGGACTTCTATGGGACCACCATCCAACTTAAGAAATAGAACATTGCCAACACCTGAAAATCTCCACCCTTTCCCACCTATCCTTATGGAATTTCAATCTTGTTCTTGCCACAGAACGGTAACCATCATTATAACTCGAAGATGATCATTTCCTTCCTTTTCCCTCTTGTTCTACCATTGTTTAGTTTTGCCTGCTTTTACATTTTATATCAATGAAATCACAATGAATTATTCTTCTGATTTGCTGTTTTTGCTCAATGTTGTGTAAGATTCATCCATTTGGTTGCAGGTAGCTGTATAACATTTCACAAGATGAATGTACCACAAATTTTAATCCTTCTATTGTTGATGGATTTGGATTATTACCAACTTTTGGCCTTTGAGCCAGTCTAGGATTCACGATGTAACCATGGAGCAGATGCTTTGAGGTAATAAACTTCAAATTAGATGCATAAATAAATCTAATCTTTTAAAGATATTAGTTCCTTTGTGACAGATATTTCCCCTCCAGTGCTTTCAGCTTTGATGACTGAATGGTAGTTTCATTGTGAGAATCCTATTATCTTGAATCCTTGTCAGTGATAGCTGTTTAATGAGGGTTTTTTCTCTCCTCCTACCTGGCACTGTGTGTGCAAGTCATCTCACTCAGGAAACACCCACGTGGTGGGGATGGCCTTCACGGCAACTGTTGTGCTCTTTATTCTTGCCACACTTGCTGTTCTCAGTGAAAAACTGAGAGTTCCTGGAAAATGTATGGGTTCAGAAATGGGATGGTCATGAGGTTAAAGGACTTGGCCTGGGAAGGAAAAGAAGAAATATCATGTTTTAAAATATCATCTCTAACCAAAGTAGAGATGGATTGAGATTATAACCACTGTGAAGGGTACAGATTAAACAATTTTGGACATGGGTTGATGGTTTGTGAGAGGTTGGGTACTGGGTAGGGCAGGTACATTACGTCATTATCTTTAATTTTGTGTATGTTTAAAAATTTCCACAATAAGAAGTAAAAAGGGAGTTAACTAAGACAGTAAATTAAAAATGTTAACTCCATTTCTAGTACAAAATGGACTTAATAAGTGTTATCTGCTCACCTTCCCTTCCATCTAGGTGAATGACATTTCCAGCATTGAAGGACAGCATAGACACGGAAATACATTTTATGGCGTGCCAGTGGGTGTGGTGGGTCTCAGGGATGCAAGGTGGGTGAGACTCCCTGTCTGTTCCTGAGGAGCTCTGGTGAGTGGGAAGGAGAAGGGAACACTCGAAGAGCATGGCAGCCTTAAAGAGGCAGTGGGCTGAGGAGGCTCGCTCTGTGTTCAGAAATTGGAACAGGGTTGTAGAAAGGATGCTGTGTGGCTGTTAAAGTAAACTCCACCCATTTTAGAATTTTCCTTGGAAGCGGCCTCAATGTCTAGAAAAGAGTGGGAAAAATCTTTCCCCTTTTCAAATTTGTTCTTTTTTGAGCCATGCAACTTTAATTCTAAGAATAAAACATTCATGCTTCTAGTTGTAGTTTCCTTGGACAGCTAAACTGTGGATAAAATAGGAATTTGGGTGCTAACCCCAAAATCTAAATGCTACTGAAGGGGCTGTTATCTCTGCATGAATTCCTCATAAAACCGAAAAGCTACCCAATAGGTGCTGAAAACAGGTCAAATACCATATTAGATGTCACATTGGGTAGCACACACACATGGGAAAGCACAAAGACTGGCTTAGAGTGCCAAAGTAAGAAATGGATCACACTGGCTGGGCGCGGTGGCTCACGCCTGTAATCCCAGCACTTTGGGAGGCTGAGGTGGGCGGATCACGAGGTCAGGAGATCAAGACCGTCCTGGCTAACATGGTGAAACCCCTTCTCTACTAAAAATACAAAAAATTAGCTGGGCGTGGTGGCATGTGCCTGTAGTCCCAGCTACTTGGGAGGCTGAGGCAGGGGAGTGGCTTGAACCCGGGAGGCGGAGGTTGCAGTGAGCCGAGATTGCACCACTGCACTCCAGCCTGGGTGACAGAGCAAGACTCCGTCTCATTAAAAAAAAAAAAAAAAAAAAAAAAAAAAAAAAGAAATGGATCACGCTTTCAAAATGCTAAGTGCTAGCCAGATGAGTGGCAAACATGTACGTGAATGTTGTTGTATCTCTGTGTAGAAGAAACAACAGCAACTGGGAGGGCCAGTGGCATTCATTCAGACCCACAATCTCATGGTGTTAGGTCCCTTTCCAAGGCATGTGAGCAGCTCCAATCGTTTGGTTCTGGAATTCTGTAAGTCTGGTCCCTGCGTTTAATTTGGTTTCTTCTGGCTTCCACTCACCATTAGCCATCTGCTCAGGTACCCACTGTGGGGTTAGAGGAGGTAGCCTTTTGCATCATATTGTAAATAGTGTCGTCACCACATTGGGGTACATTTTTGTGGTTAGTTTTTAACTACCCCTTCCAAAGATAGGGACAACAAAGACCAATTTTTGAATTGTATCTGATTCATTTTCCAATAGGATTCTGGATTTTTGATGGAAAAGTCTGTCACACGGGATCTGCGTTCAGTAATGAACTTGGCAGAAAGGCTGACATGAACCAGAGGCTGTTCCCATGAGCCTCACTAACCTTACTTCAGATGGCTTCCATTATGTGGGGCGTGCCACTATGAGCCCTTGTAAAATGAGGAGAGCAATGTCTGTCTTACTGGAGGCTCAAAGGGCATGATATATGTAGCAAGTTTAGGACAGTGTCTCACACAAAAAGTAGCTTTTGTTGCTAATATATTGGGAATCTAATAATGTTACCTTTTTTGTTGTTGCTAAGAAGAGGTATGGCTTATAAATAACAGACAAATTGCTGATAAAACTAAAACTAAGTAGAAGTCTATGCAAATGGTATACAGTGGGACAGTCATGCTGCTATTGTGCTGACTCTGTTTGGCCTGAATGGGCTCAGTCTTGCCTGTAGGTCTTCCCAAATTGTTGTGCACCAAGAGCTGGGTTTCTCTTCCTTTTTATTCTTTTCTTTCAGTACTATTGCTGAGTGGTGCTAAAGTCCAACAAGCCTATTTGATGTTAGCTCCAAGTTGTAGATGAATATCCTGTGTGTGTATAGTGTTTCCTATATGCATGTTGGTACATGAACTTGGTCTTTTTAGGTCTATATCCTGTCAGTCCAGAGTAATGTGCTGACTCCAAAAAAAGCTGACACCTGAAATGTGCTTCCACAAAGTATATTTATCTCTGTACACTAAGTCCAAGTTTCTAAATGACACTTTCATGAATGTTAGACAATGTTTATAGCTGGAATTGCAACAGCTTTACAGTTCGACTTTTCTTATTGTGCCTTAGATTTTCAGGGAGGAGTAAACTTATTCGCTAAAGAACCAGATAATAAATACTTGGGGCTTTGCAGGTCACATACAGTCTCTGTCACATATTCTTCTTCTGTCCTCTAAACAATCATTTGAAAATGTAAAAGTAACTCACTGTGGGTGGGATAGGAGAGGTGGAGGGAGAAGGGTAGCTATAAAATTAGGTTGAGGCCACAGGCCCTCAGCTGTAATTTACCTACCCCTATAGGACATCATAGTGGGAGATCCTGAATAAAACAATACAAATCAAAACAGTGATCCTCAGTGATCCTGCCACACAAACTTTGGGGAATCAGTTTGGAACTGACTGATTGGTTTCCCATTCCTGACTCATTCTTTTGGTAATGGGGAGTTGAATCCATCAACTCACAACCAACCCTCCTTTGTAGCCACATCATTGTGGAACAAACTTGAGAAGACTGTAAATTTCTCTTTTGGACTGAGCAGTAAGTACTTCATTAGTAAGTGTCATTAGTAAGTGGTAACAATTTGTAAAGTCCTTTGAGGAGAAAGGCAAAATCATAAATATTAATTATAGCCATTGTTTTGATGAAAGGAGGATTACTGGAAGCACAGAAGCCTCTAAATCTACCTATTAAACCATACTCCAGCTCTTATGTTCTCGAATGAAGGGGTTAATTATATTAGAAAAAATTCCATGGGATTCTTCTGTGGTCTGAGGTCTAATAAAAGGTTCACTTTTCATATGACATTATTTTAGAAGTGCTTTCCAAAGCTCAGAGTCATTTTCTTGAGAAAAAATTTTAATAAAGAAACTTTAAACTCTTAGTGCGTTTCATCAGGAATGCAATGCAGTAATAGAGTCAGGTTATTGGTGCAAAGCCCCAGACTTTAGTGTTAAAATGAACCCCATCTACAGGGTGAAATTTTTAAGGAGGTATAAAACACACTTAAGGCTTTTTGAAATAGTTATGAAAGAGAAAAAAACTTGAATAAACATATTTTTTTCATATTTTATATGTGTTATATGTGTTACCATGGAGAAAATAATTAGAAAGTTACTTCTAAATGAGTGACTTCATTTAGATGAAAATGTTTCTTTTGTGAACTCCTACACTAGCTAAAAAGCCATAAACTATGCTGACGGAAGGTGTTGATAATTTACTATCCTTATAAATGTCATCTTTTAAAGTGCCGATGCTTGAAAAAGGAAAGGGATGATGTGTCACCATGTTAAAGGAAACTTATTTAGAAAGAAAGGGGCATGGTAAAATTCAAATGAATGAGTGGGCGATTAAGTTTTAATTTGTACATAGGCCTATAAAAAGATTAGGCCAAAGGCTTGGTTTTTAGCATTGCTTTTCTTATCATAAAAGTAAAAATTATAAAATATAAAAAATTATGTGTAATTCCACCATCCAGAAAAAAGCCATTAAAATTTTATTGTCTCTAGTTATTAAACTATTTTTAACAAAATTAGATAATACAATGAATATTGCCTTGTAACTAGCTTTTCTCACTTAATATATCAGATCATCTTTGCATACTATCTGTTCATGTAACTTTTATTGAAAACTATACTTTGGTAAGATCGTTTTAATGGCCATACAATTTTGACTCTATGACTGTACCATAGTTTGCTTGCCAATCCTGTTGGATATATAGGTGTATTGGTCAGAATGCATTCTGACCTCAAATAAGTTTACCCTCAAAGGGGAATTTGGTGGCTGTTATAATCGGAGAGGAAGAGATGGGGTGGGCTTCTGAGTCATTTGGATGCAGAGCTGGAAGCATCACGACTGTCTTTCCATTTCTCTGCCTTAAATCTTTCTTCTGTTGTTGCGATCACTCATTCTCCATCACTTCGAATGACTTTGTGAATGGAGATGGCTGTAGGCAGCTCCAAAGTTACAAGGCAATTCCTGGGGGAAGGCTTAGCAATGCCAAAGGAAAGAAACCTCCTTTTTCCAGCTTCATTTGGGAAATCTCCAGAAAAGAAAGGCTCAGAAAGGCTTACCTTTAGGCAGGTGCTCACTCCCGGACCAACTGATAGAGCCATTGGGAGTTACTCCAATTACCTGGGCCTTAGTCATGGGCCTCCCTGTGGTCAAGGGGAGAGCCAGACCAGTAGAATACATAGACCCATCAAAATGCAGGGAAGCCCAGTTTTATTTTTCCTTATAGGAAGTGAGGGAGGCCAGTCCCAGAAGACTGGAAAATATGGTGCTATGAAGGTAAATATAAGCCTTGTCCATTATGTAGGCTGTGACCAGTTTATGCAATTAAATTTAGCTTGTAGCTAAATCTTGGAGAAAAGTTTAAAAACAGAGGTCAAATTGATGTCAGTGAGATGGTCGACTATCACTCTCCTTCAAAAGATGGATTAAAACAATGAACAAACAACTACATTTCAACCCGAATGACTAAAAGAGAGTGCTGGAGCATAGCAAGGGTGTGGCAGAAACCCTGCAGGGTGCAGAAACTCAAGATGGCCACATCGAGAAGGGAGCAGAACACCTTGCCTCTGTCATACCGTCTCCCTGGTTGGGATCAGCTCAGGACTTCAGCTCCATAGCCACTCTGAGCACTTGTGCCCTGGAACACAGCACTGCTGTGGCTGCCTGTGGCTCATGTCAGACCCAAGGCCAAGAGGGATCCCCTCATCCAAGTCTCTCCACTATTGGGGAAAATAAGAACAGGAGGATCCCTTACCACTAGGAATTCACAAAATCTACCTTGCCATCACTGCTGCCAGAAACTCCTGCAGCCTAGGCCTCTGAGGCACTCATGGTCATCACTGACGTGGATTACACATGAGACACTGTCTTTATAAAATAATAAATTAATTAAAAATTAAAAAGAAGAAAGATACCAAATAAATAGCCTAACATTATACCTTGAGAAGCTAGAAAAAGAACAAACTAAACTCAAAACGCCTATATTAGAAAAGAAGAAAGATCCCAAATAAATAGCCTGACATTATATTTGAAGAAGCTAAAAACAAACCCAAAGTTAGCAGAAGAAAATAATAAAGATCAGAAATAAATCAAATAAAGAACAGAAAAACCATAGAAAAAAAATCAATAAAACCAAGAGTTGATTCTTTGAGGAAAAAAACAAAATTGACAAACCCTTAATTAGACTAAGAAAAAAAGAGAGAAGACTCAAATAAATAAAATTAGAAATAAAAATGGAGACATTACAACAGATGCCTCAGAAATAAAAAAGATCATAAAGGATTATTATGAAAAATTATATGTCAACAATGTGGATAACCTAGAAGAGATGAATACATTCCTAGAAAAATATAACCTACTAAAATTGACTCAAAAAGAAATAGAAAGCTCGAACAAACCAATAACAAAGATATTAAAGTAATTAAACACCTTCCAGCAATGAAAAGCACTGAACCAGATGACTTCAGAGAAGAAGTTCACAAAACATTTAAAAAAGAATTATTACCAATACTTCTTAAACTCTTCCAAAAAAAAAAATAGAGCTAGAGGGAATACTTCCAAATATATTTCATGAGGCCAGTGTCACCTTGATACCTAAGCCAGACAAAGATACTTCAAGTAAAAAAAACCTACAGGCCAATAAGTCTTGAACTTTGATACTAAAATCTTCAATAAAATATTAGCAAACCAGATTCAACAACACATCAGGAAGGTTATACATCGGAACCAAGTGGGATTTCCCTGTGGTGTACAAGTGGGATTTATGCATGGCATGCAAGTCAATCAATGTAACACATCTATTAAAAGACTAAAAGAGAAAAACCACATGAACCTCTCAATTGATGCAGAAAAACTATTTGACAAAATTCAGTATCCTTTCTTGATACAAACTCTTAACAGTTTAGATATAGAAGGAAAGGTCCTCAAAATAATAGGGACCATTTATGAAAAGCTCACAGCTAAGATCATAATCAACAGGTACAAATGAAAGCTTTTCTAATAAGATCAGTACAATACAGGGATGCCCCCTCTCACCACTTCTATTCAATGTAGTATTAGAAGTACTAACAAGGGCAATCAGAGAAGAAAAAAAGGCATCTAAATTCAGAAAGATGAAGCAAAATTATCCCTATTTGAGATATTATCCTTTATGTAGAAGGCCTCAAAGATCCACAAAAAACATTTAGAACCAAAAAAATGAATTTGGTAAAGTTGCAGGATACAAAAATCAGTAGCATTGGTGGGGCACGGTGGCTCACGCCTGTAATCTCAGCACTTTGGGAGGCCGACGCGGGTGGATCACTTGAGGTTAGGAGTTTGAGACCAGCCTGACCAACAAGGTGAAACCCTGTCTCTACTAAAAATACAAAAATCAGCCAGGCGTGGTGGCAGGCACCTGTAGTCCCAGCTACTTGGGAGGCTGAGACAGAATTGTTTGAACCTGGGAGGAGGAGGTTGCAGTGAGCCGAGATTGTGCCAGTGCACTCCAGCCTTGGTGATGCAGCAAGACTCCACCTGAAAAAAAAAATCAGTAGCATTTTTATACACAAATAATGACCTAACCAAAAAAGTAATTAAGAAAACAATCATATTTATAATAGCAAAAAATTAAACATCTAAGAATATATTTAACCAAGGGAGTGAAAGACTTGTATACTGAAAACTATAAAACCATGATGAAAGAGATGGAAGAAGACACAAATAAATGGAAAATTATCCTGTGTTCATGGGTGGGAAAAATTAATCTGTTAAAATGTCCTTATTACCTATAGCAATATACAGATTTAACACAATTCCCATCAAAAGTCTAATGGCATTTTTCACAGAAATAGAAAAAAATACTAAAATTCACATGGAATCACAAAAAACTCTGACTAGTAAAAGAAATGCTGAGAAAGAAAAATAAAGTTGAAGGCATCACAGTTTCTGAATCAAAATTATATTAGAAAGCTATAGTAATCAAAACAGTATGGTACTGGCATAAAAACAGAAATATAGACCAATGGAACAGAATAGAGAGCACAGAAATAAACCTAAGCACATGTGATCAACTGACTTTTGACAAGAGCACAGAAAGGACATAATGGGGAAAGAATAATTTCTTCAATAAACAGTGCTGGTAAAACTGGATTTTTTACATCAAAAGTGTGAAATTGGACCCTTATCTTACACCATACATGAAAATAAATTCAAACTGAATAAAAGACCTAAATTTAAGACCTGAAACCATTAAACTCCTGAAAGAAAACACAGGGGAAAAACTCCTGAACATTGGTATTGGCAATGAATTTTTGGATATCACACCAAAAGCTCAGGCAACAATAACAAAAATAAATAAATGGTACTACATCAAACCAAAAATCTTTTGCACAGCAAAGGAAACAATTGATAAAATGAAAAGGCAATCTATGGACTAGGAAAACAATTGCAAACCACATATCTGATAAGGGGTTAATATCAGAAATTTGTAAAGCACTCTTATAACTCAATAGCAGAAAAACAACCCAATTAAAACATAAGCAAAGGACCTGAACAGACATTTCTCTAAAGAGACATAAAAATGGCCAAGAGGAATATGAAAACATGTTCAATATTACTAATCATCAGGGAAATGCAAATTAAAACTGCTATGTGATATCAACCTCACACCTGTAAGGATGGTTATTATAAAAAAGACAAGACATAACAAATGTTGGCAAGGAGGTAGAGAAATGGGAACCCTAGTACACTATTAGTGGGAATGTAGACTGGTACAGCCCTTATGCAAAACAGTGTGGAAGTTCCTAAAGATATTAAAAATAGAATTATTATATGGCCCAGCAATCCCTCTTCTGGGTATACACCCAAAGAAGATGAAGTCACTACCTTGTAAAGATATCTGCTCTCTCACATTCATTGCAGCATTATTCACAATAGCTAAGATATGGAAACAACCTAAATGTTCATCAGTGGATAAACAGATAATGAAAACATGGTATATATATATATATGAATATTATTCAACCTTAAAAAGGAGATTCTGCCATTTACCACAATATGACCTGGAGGACATTATGCTAAGTGAAAGAAACCAGACACAGAAAGAAAAATATTATATAATCTCACCTTTATGTAGAATATATACATATTTAAAAAGAGCTCAAATACACAGATACAGAGAACAAAACAGTGGTTACCATGGGTGGGATGGGGGTGGGGATGTGGAGCAGGGTGGGAGGGAAAGGAAATGGGGGCAATGTAGGTCAAGCGATCAAAATAGCAGCACAAAGCAGTTTAGAGAGCCAATGTACAACATGAGTAATAAAGTTAGTAAAATTATACTGTATTGGAGATTTTTATTAAATAAGTAGATTTTAGCTGTTCTTGTCACAAAAAAGTAACTATGTGAGATGATAGATATGTTAGTCTGCTTCACTATAGTAACCATTTTACTACTATATGTATCCCATAACACTATGTTGTAAACCTCAAATATACATAATCAAATGCATTTAAAAAATAAAATAAAAGTGAGATCAAATTGGTTTCTCCAGACAGCTGTTGTATTTTTAAAAAAATTAATTCAGAGAATTATAGCAACATACTAGAGTGGTAGAACAGTATAAAAACTGAAGAATTATAGCTCCCTAACTGTTCTATTCCAAATCTTCTTTACAATTGATAATACTCTAGCCACTAAGTATTTTGTGCTTTTCCCTTTATTTACTTAATAAATTTGTTTCAATTTCACCAACTTCTATTTCCTGAATGAAGAACTTCCTGCATTAAGAAGTTCATTATCTGAATTACAACTTGTTATAATCATTCCACATATAAGGCAGAAAAACTGTCAATTACCCTGGAGTCTAAGCAAGACTCCTTTAATCTGTTCTCCTGATAGAATCAGGTTTTCGTGTTGATTAAATGTATTGCACATTATTGATTTTGTCTCCTCCATATTACTAAGGGAAACATCTTTTAAGATAATGCAAAAGCCTATGAGGAAATTGGGTGAGTCCGGGAGGTCTACAAGAGTTGTACCTTAGGAGCAAAGCTTCATATAATGAAGCACGCCTTCTTCTCTCTTTCATACCGCCGAAGAGCAACAGGAACCACAGGCTCTGACTTCTGCTTCTTGCCACCAAACCTCACGCAGGCAACTCTTTAAGCAGTAGCCATTCAAAAATAATTCTCTGCTTCCTCACCTTTTTGCCTAAAATCAGGGCAGAAATTTTCCTTTTGTAAAGGAAATTTACATTTGTAAATGAAATTTGTATTTATATAGACAATTTGTAAATCTCCCCTCATCTGGAGATGCCTTTTATTACCTAAGAGGACTTCAAACTGCAAAATAAACCTTATTTACCATATAGTTTATAATTACCTTCCACAACTTATCCCCACCTCAGAGGCCCAACACCATTCATTTGTCTAGTCTCTTCTCCACACCTCACCACTCTTTGTTAAGATAATACATAAGCTCCTGCATCTAACCACTTCTTTGGGGTTGGTAGTTTCAGGTAATATCCCAGATACAGCAGCAAAATACCAAAACTGAATTCATTTGCAGTGTCTGTATTATCTAATTTGACCATTCACCTGCTAAAATTAACTAAATGTTTTTGGATTTCCACTTAGTCTGGACATAACTGAGATCAAGATTGACTAAATGAAATAATTTTATCTCCTCAAAAATTATTTAGCATGTACTGTATGCAGCACACTGTAAGCTATGCATAGAAGAAGGAAAAAAAACTTTTCCTCTACCTTCTTAGTTAGGGTCAGTGATTGGAGCCTGTGAATTATACTTACAAAGGACAAGTTAACAGGAGAAATAGTTTATTTCACATACACCCAGAGGTGATAAGTGGGGGGCTCCCAGAAAAGAAGTGAAAATCCCATTGATAATTTGACAAGGCAGGATATTGGCTTTGCTTCAAAATCATGAGATAGAGCCTTACCCCATCCTCAGAGAGTAATGAAATGTGATTGGTTTTGGAAATTTATGCTAAGAATGGTACTTGGGAGAGATGTTGAGTTTACAAGAGGTGATAGCCAAAAGTCAGAAAAAAAGTAAGACTAAAACTTTAGATAAGGTTTTAGAGTAGGTTACAGTAGGAAGTTGTATGGGGAACAGAGCTGGTAGGGGACTTGAAGCTTGACAGACGATGGTGGGTTCGGAGATTGCACATGGAAGCTATGGAGCAGAGGCAGCTCATGGTGACAGACCTGGGGCTCTGTGCCCAGGAAGATGAAAAAGGGAGTGGAATCCAGAAAGCCCCAGAGTTTGGATTTGGGTGGCTGGAAGGAATTTGGTTTTAATCAGAATCAAGGGGTAGGCCTGGAATTCAGGCACAAAGAGTTTTCCTTCCCCATCTCCCCTACCCTCACCCTTTGGGGCCATGAGAAGTAATGAGAGGTGACAGTATGCTGGCAGTCCTCACAGCCCTCGCTCATTCTCCGCGCCTCCTCTGCCTGGGCTCCCACTTTGGGGGCACTTGAGGAGCCCTTCTGCCCACTGCTGCACTGTGGGAGCCCCTTTCTGGGCTGGCCAAGGCCGGAGCCGGCTCCCTCAGCTTGCAGGGAGGTGTGGAGGGAGAGGCGCGAGCGGGAACCGGGGCTGCGCGGGCGCTTGCGGGCCAGCTGGAGTTCCGGGTGGGCGTGGGCTCGGCGGGCCCCGCACTCGGAGCAGCCAGCCGGCCCTGCCGGCCCCGGGCAATGAGGGGCTTAGCACCCGGGCCAGCGGCTGCGGAGGGTGTACTGGTTCCCCCAGCAGTGCCAGCCCACCGGCGCCGCGCTCGATTTCTCACCGGGCCTTAGCTGCCTTCCCCCGGGGCAGGGCTCCAGACCTGCAGCCCGCCATGCCTGAGCCTCCCACCTCCTCCGTGGGCTCCTGTGCGGCCCCAGCCTCCTCTATGAGTGCCACCCCCTGCTCCACGGTGCCCAGTCCCATCGACCACCCAAGGGCTGAGGAGTGCGGGCGCACGGCACGGGACTGGCAGGCAGCTCCACCTGCAGCCCAGGTGCGGGATCCACTGGGTGAAGCCAGCTGGGCTCCTGAGTCGGGTGGAGACGTGGAGAACCTTTACATCTAGCTCAGGGATTGTAAATACACCAATCAGCACCCTGTGTCTAGCTCAGGGTCTGTGAATGCACCAATCAACACTCTGTATCTAGCTACTCTGGTGGGGCCTTGGAGAACGTTTATGTCTAGCTCAGGAATTGTAAATACACCAATCGGCACTCTGTATCTAGCTCAAGGTTTTTAAACACACCAGTCAGCACCCTGTGTCTAGCTCGGGGTTTGTGAGTGCACCAATCAACACTCTGTATCTAGCTACTCTGGTGGGACCTTGGAGAACCTTTATGTCTAGCTCAGGGATTGTAAATACACCAATTGGCACTCTGTATCTAGCTCAAGGTTTGTAAACACACCAATCAGCACCCTGTGTCTAGCTCAGGGTTTGTGAGTGCACCAATCGACACTCTGTATCTAGCTGCTCTGGTGGGCCCTTCGAGAACCTTTGTGCCCATACTCTGTATCTAACTAATCTGATGGGGACATGGAGAACCTTTGTATCTAGCTCAGGGATTGTAAACTCACCAATCAGCGCCCTGTCAAAACAGGCCACTGGGCCCTACCAATCAGCAGGATGTGGGTGGGGCCAGATAAGAGAATAAAAGCAGGCTGCCCTATTCGGCAGGGGCAACCTGCTCAGGTCCCCTTCCACACTGTGGAGGCTTTGTTCTTTCGCTCTTTGCAATAAATTTTGCTACTGCTCACTCTTTGGGTTCACGCTGCTTGTATGAGCTGTAACACTCACCGCGAAGATCTGCAGCTTCACTCCTGAAGCCAGCAAGATCTGCGAGCCCACCGGGAGGAATGAACAACTCCAGACGCGCTGCCTGAAGAGCTGTAACACTCACAGCAAAGGTCTGCAGCTTCACTCCTGAGCCAGTGAGACCACTAACCCACCAGAAAGAAGAAACTCCGAACACATCCGGACATCAGAAGGAACAAACTCCAGACCCGCCACCTTAAGAGCTGTAACACTCACCGCGAGGGTTCGCGGCTTCAGTCTTGAAGTCAGTGAGACCAAGAACCCACCAATTCCGGACACAGTAAGAGAACTATTAGTCCCTGAGAAGTCAATTTGAAGGTGAACCAGAAATAGGCATTGGACAGATCATTAACATTCTGATCGGTGTTCATCAAGTCAAACTCAAAAATCCCAGGCACCTGGAGATACCCAATTTGTATCCTTTGATATCACCAGTGTTGAGAATTTACTCTGAGCAGAAACCACATATGCTACGTTTTAGAGGACATAAGACAGGGGTAAGTACCCTACAGGAATAAAAATGTTTAAGGAACATGGGTTTAAAAGAGAAACCTCGGCTGGGCGCTGTGGCTCATGCCTGTAATCCCAGCACTTTGGGAGGCTGAGGCGGGCGGATCACGAGGTCAGGAGATCCAGACCATTCTGGCTAACACGGTGAAACCCCATCTCTACTAAAATACAAAAAAATTTAGCCGGGCATGGTGGCGGGCGCCTGTAGTCTCAGCTACTATGGAGGCTGAGGCGGAAAAATGGCGTGAACCCGGGAGGCGGAAGTTGCAGTGAGCCGAGATCGCGCCATTGCACTCCAGCCTGGGCGAGAGAGCGAGACTGTGTCTCAAAGAAAAAAAAAAAAAGAGAAGCCTCAATTCTCCAATGGTAATGGCATAAAGTTACCTAAAAGTGGACATTCAGATCAGGGCTTCTTCCTCAAAGAGGCTTTAAGGACTACACATACTATGGGTTTTGTTGTTCAGATAAACAGACTGTCAATTCTAGGGGAAAAGGCTAAATTTACCTTGTTGAACGAGGCAGATCGAATATTGGAACAGTCTCTTTTAAGATTACTTGAACAGGACTTATGGACACTTCTGAGTGAGTGCAGAGGGTTTTGATTATTTCTAAAAGAAAAGAGAAAACTTTTTATTATCTCTTTTTTTTTTTTTTTTTTTTTTTTGAGACGGAGTCTCGCTCTGTCGCCCAGGCTGGAGTGCAGTGGCGTGATCTCGGCTCACTGCAAGCTCCGCCTCCCGGGTTCACGCCATTCTCCTGCCTCAGCCTCCCAAGTAGCTGGGACTACAGGCGCCCGCCACTAGGCCCGGCTAATTTTTTGTATTTTTAGTAGAGACGGGGTTTCACCGTTTTAGCCGGGATGGTCTCGATCTCCTGACCTCGTGATCCACCCGCCTCGGCCTCCCAAAGTGCTGGGATTACAGGCGTGAGCCACCGCGCCCGGCCTTTATTATCTCTTAACAGAAGTAGGGAATAATGTTGATTGGCTCTTGGACCAAAGCTATGCTGCTTTAACCTACTCAGCTTAAAGCTATTTCATTTTGACTTGTAATCCCTGATGAGATTTAAAAAGGGCAGGTTTTTCAAGGTCCATGATTTTAAAGATTAAGGTTTCATAATACTATGTCCTTGATGCGCACCAGTAGAAGCAGTTCTACAGTTTTGAGCATACACATTTAGTCAAACCAAGAAGTATGATAATTTAAATTATGGGGTTTGGCTGGGTGCGGTGGCTCACGCCTGTAATCCCAGCACTTTGGGAGGCTGAGGCAGGTGGATCACGAGCTCAGGAGATCGAGACCATCCTGGCTAACACGGTGAAACCCCGTCTCTACTAAATATACACAAAATTAGCCGGGCATGGTGGCGGGCGCCTGTATTTCCAGCTACTCGGGAGGCTGAGGCAGGAGAATGGTGTGAACCTGGGAGGCAGAGGTTGCAGTGAACTGAGATCGTGCCACTGCACTCCAGCCTGGGCGACAGAGCGAGACTCCATCTAAATTAAATAAATAAAAATAAAAAAATTATGGAGTTTAACAATGTTTAGTGATCAAATTAACTGGAAAACAATTTAATCTCTCATTCATTTTGTGTTATGGGGACTCAACTTCTAGCAAATCCTAATACTCTCTTGTGCACTAAGAATAAAGATTGTTGGCTGGGCACGGTGGCTCATGCCTGTAATCCCAGCACTTTGGGAGGCCAAGATGGGCGGATCATGAGGTCAGGAGTTTGAGACCAGCCTGACCAACATGGTGAAAACCCATTTTTACTAAAAATACAAAAATTAGCTGGGCGTGGTGGTGCGTGCCTGTAATCCCAGGTACTCAGGAGGCTGAGACAGGAGAATTACTTGAACCCGGGAGGCAGAGGTTGCAGTGAGCCGAGATCATGCCACTGCACTCCAGCCTGGGCAACAGAGCGAGACTCTGTCTCAAAAAAAATAAAAAATAAAAGAAATAATGAAGAGTCTAAAGTAGGCTGTGTATCCTAGGAGGAAAAACCATGGGCTATGCTGTCTTAGTACATTCCATTCCATTCCGTTTTATTTCATTAACATTTATTAAGCACATGATAAAAGCATCAAACCTACTGTTGTTATATGCCAGTGGCCAGTTGTTTTATTGCTGATCCAAAACAATCCTGTGAGAAAGTAGGGGTGTTACTATTACTATTTTACATATGAGAAATCTGATGGTTAGGTTACCAGCTCAAGGAAATGCAGGTTGTAAAATGACTGAACCAGAAATTTAACAAAGGTCTCTCTGACTCCAGATTCCATGATTAAACCTCCAGACCTTCTTCATACCTATCTTACATTCCTTGCTGATCTATTATAGGTTAGTGTCAGAATTGCCATAAGTTTATTTTGAGTAGTGCATTTTTGTACCAGGTAAGTAATTTACCAAGAAATTATCACTATCCATTTTAGGCCTCAAGTAGGGTACATATTTTGTCTTCAGTATCCTAGTGGTGGGTTATGGGACAAACCCATATCAAGCAAATCACCAAGCATTATACAGCCGCCTGTCCCCTGGGGTGGGAAAAATGAATTGTTTGGGATCAACCTGTGGACAGGGTGAAATATTGGCAAAAAGGTCTCTTCCCATTATTATTTACTCTGACTTTTGTGTGCCTTTCTGACTATATTCTCAAGTCCACCAGAGTTTCTGATCTGCAAAAGAATCACCAGCTGTAACAATTCTTATTAATGTATCAGTGACTAAGTGCATCACTAGTATTTTGTCTTCTTTAAAAAAAAAAAATGATGGCAGGCACGGTGGCTCATGCCTGTAATCTTAGCACTTTGGGAGGCCAACGTGGGAGGATCACTTGAGTTAAGAAGTTCAAGACCACCCTGAGCAACATAGTGAGACCTCGTCTCTACAAAAAATTAAAAAATTAGCTGGATATGGTGCACACCTGTAGTCCCAGCTACTCGGGAGGCTGAGGTGGGAGGATCTTTTGAACCTTGGAGGCTGAGGCTGCAGTGACATGTGATCATGTCACTGCACTCTAGCGTGTCACTCAAAAAAAGAAAAAAAAAGAGAAATGAGAAGATAATGGTTAACACAGAGAAAGCAATCCTTAGCAGCATAGATCTTGACAAAGATTATTTGCTTGATCAAATTTTAGTCAGGCTCCTGAAACTTCTCCTAGGCCCATCTGTGCACTTCCTTATAAAATCCAGTTTTAGCATGAAGCCTGCTAACTTTAGCATGAATCTCCCATCCTCCATGTCTGACCACCCTCTATGCCTAGATGGGTTCTTCATCCTCCACCATCTTTCAGGTGATGTCTGATCACCCCGGCCTGCCTCAGCAAAATGCTGTTAGGTTAGTTTGGTCAGAATCTCCCCTTAGCCCTGATATTCCTCTTAGTAATTTTTTTATCCTCCAACCTCCAGTCTTCTTGGCTATAAATTCCTACTTCCTCATGCTGTATTTAGAATTGAGCATCGGCCGGGTGCAGTGGCTCACGCCTGTAATCCCAGCACTTTGGGAGGCCGAGGTGGGTGGATCACCTGAGGCTGGGAGTTCAAGACCTGCCTGACCAACATGGAGAAACCCCATCTCTACTAAAAATACAAAATTAGCTGGGCATGGTGGCTTATGCCTGTAATCCCAGCTACTCAGGAAGCTGAGGCAGGAGAATTGCTTGAACCTGGGAGGCGGAGGTTGTAGTGAGCTGGGATCGCTCTATTGCACTCCAGCCTGGGCAACAAGAGCGAAACTCCATCTCAAAAAAAAAAAGAATTGAGCATCGTTCTATACTGAGTTCTGTACTTTTTCCAGATTGCAATAGTCCTGAATAAAATCTCTTTTTATTATTTTACTTTTTAGCTCTGGTTTTCTTTGACAATCTTTATGCATTTATTAGTCATCAGTATCTAACCCTTTAATATACTTGGTATTGAGCTCAACCCTGGAAAGTAATTGAGTAAAATCCACTTTCTGCCCTCAGAGAGTTTATATTCCAATGTAGGAGACAGATAAGTCAACACTATCACAATGCCTCATGAAAGGTGTCACTGGGATTACCCGCAAAAGTCCTGTGAGAGCAAAGGGAGGTTGTTGGGAGTGGCCAGGAGTGTTCAGGGAAGAGTAGCTTTTCTCTGCCTGGCCAATCACATTCCGTAAGGCTCACATTCGAACTGCAAGATGTGAGGGTAAACAGCTCTCCCAGCTTTCAACAATGTTGGGCAGCCTCAGTTCAAGCAGGTTGGTGAATCAGAATTTCTAAGTAATCTTTAAGGTGTTGTATGTCTTTTGGGGCAGGACTGGGGATGAAGAGAGTTGTTCTAAATGTCCAGAGAATTATCAGTACCATAGTGGAGGTACTCAGAAGTTCCTGCTAGTCCCAGAGTTTGGCGGTAAGGGTAGAGACTTTATCTCTTTTAAAGAACTTTCTCATAAATTAGGATTTGGGGTTAAGGTGAACCTAATTCTGGCTTCTAAATGTCCATGTTAAGGACTTGTATGGGATTTGGGGAAAATGGGAATAGCTTTTGTCATCAGTTCTACCCTTTGTGAGGCACCCATTTCTTGTGGCTCAGGCAATCTACACATTCTGGTAGTGTTTATTTTTAATTATTTTGATGGTGTTTCTTTTATTTATTTAGTCGATGGCTTTTAATTTCTTCTTTCTTTTCTTTTTTTTTTTTTTTTTTTTTTTTTTTGAGACGTTTTCTTGCTCTGTTGCCAGGCTGGAGTGCAGTGGCGCAATCTCAGCTCACTGCAAACTCCACCTCCTGTGTTCAAGCGATTCTCCTGCCTCAGCCTCCCAAGTAGCTGGGACTACAGGTGCATGCCACCACGCCCAGCTAATTTTTGTAGTTTTTTAGTAGAGACAGGGTTTCACCATGTTGGCCAGGATGGTCTCAATCTCTTGACCTTGTGATGATGGCTTTTAATTTCTTTGAATATAGTTAGAAAGCCTTATTAATATGTAATTCCCTACATTGTGCATAGTGATCCTAAAGATCTTTAGAATGCAGAGACCCTAAAGATTCAGAATGCCATCTGTGTATAAGATATTATCATTTTCAGGACCAGAATTTTAATCTGTCCCAAACATCTTGCTATTCAAGAGTCATTCCTTTGAATCAAGTTGCCCACCCACCTAGTTATTTGTCTATTACTTGTGTTATTTGGCCAAAATAATACTAGTCCATTAAGACCCACAGCTAAATAATAGCAGATTATTATTTTTAAAGAAATCAAAGAATTGGAGAGAGAACTCAGAGGTAGCATGTGGTGAAGCGAAAATTGGAAGAAAGAAGTCTACCAAGGGCTTCTAAAAGCATTGGCCAATGCTTCATAGGGAACACCATGAAAAAATAACCAAGATTAGGGGACAAACTTGGCCCATTTTGTGGGCAAAGGGTGAGCCTTTTAAGACTCCTATGGCAGATGATTTTATTTGGCTGCTTAGGAAGATGCTCAAGTTACAGAAAATAGCTTTTAATTAAATGATGGTATAGTCAGAAAGTCAACTGTTTTTGGTATTATATTCAGTTTTAACACTTTTTTAATATTAAAAAATGAAAAAATAATGCACTTAGAATATTTATCTTTAATTGTATAGATAAACTTCTCTTAGAGCAGAAATGAAAATATATTCAAGTGCAAAAGAGTATTCACTCTCACTTTCTATCTTTGGTCAAAGCAAAAAACTCTACTGCTAACATAATTTAGAGCAACAGTTTCCACACCTGGCTGATGATGAGAACACCATGGAGAATTTAAAGTACACATTCCCAGGCACCTATCCTGGATCTACTGTATCACTTTCCAAGAGTGGGGCCCCAGAATCTGCATTTTAAAAAGAGCTGTTGAGGTGATGTAGATATTCTGGCAGATTTGAAAACCACTGCCATAAAACAAACAGGGATTTAAAGCCCTCAATTTTATCTTAGCCTCTCACTGAATATGCTCTTGTAATGGTTTAAGGTAATAATGACCTTGTTGTAGGCTATTTCCTGTTGATTAATGACCAGCTGGAAGAAGTTGTCTCTAGGCTTTTTCAATTCAGCCTGCCAATAATTACTCAACTAAATCTGCGCCTGCAGTTCAAATGCGTAAAGTTTTCCTCTACAAGGAACACTGCACTGTTAGGTTGTCTTAATTGCATTCCTTTTCTAATTCATCTCTCAAATGCCACAGTTGCTCTAAAACAGAAAAAAGCAAACAGGAGGATCAAAGTGTCTGTCTCCATTGGAACAAACTGAAGCAGAGAGGCAGGGGAGAAGATTTAGCTCTTAGGTGGATTTTGCTGAAATGTTCTATTTGTTGAGCAGTGATTTGTACCAGGTAATGTGAACTAAGTTGCCCTCAGTCTCTTTACAGATTACACCCCATTTCCTTTACTGTGCTGCTAAGTAATTCTTAGGGAATTATTCCCCCTCCAACTTCTCTCTGCTAACAAAATGATCTGCCACATATGCTTCCACTTTATGTGCTGCAGGACAGCCATGGGCTTCATAAAGCTGCCTGCATTTCAAACTGTTCAGGCTGGAACTGTAATCTTTCCACCCACCCCTTTCCCGTCAGGTAAAGAAAATGTTCATACCTCAGGTTTTGTTACCAAGCAACAGAGTTCCATTTGCCAATTGCCACCATTTCCTTCTCATAGTATTACAGGCCTTATTAATTAACATTTAGTTCAGAGAAATTGCTGTCATTATGTGAAGTAACTTCCTTTAGAGGTTATTCATTAACCTTAGGTATTTTACTGTGTAATTATAATTGCCAAGTGCCGCGGGCTTGGAAAACGTTTGAACTCCTGAAGGTATCAGGGGACGGCAGAAAAGATATTATCTGATTTTTCTTCCATTTCCAGTTAAGGATTAATCTTGAAGATCCCCTATTTCCCCTGCAGAGTTATCTGCCTTCCCAAAAGGGTAAACTCTTCCCTTGCCTTAGTCCAGACTGTCCACGGTAAACTCAGAAGCAAACCATGGAGGAACTTCCCTGTTAGCGTGTGATTTTTCACAAATTCTGTAGGGCAGAGTGCAAATTGTTCCCCCTTTGTCTTAAGAAAAAATCGTGGGGATACTGAGATGACTTGGTGGTTGGTAAATGGTTGGCAGGCGCACTTGTGCATACGTGGGGCTCTGTGAAGAACTTGCACAATGCCTGGAATTGTATATTGTGCACAACCTTGTTCTGACACAACGGAAGACCTTCATCCTATTGCTCACTCGATGGCTCTCTGAGAGTAGTTTTTCACTCCCCAGTGTTGCAGGAGCCAGGTGTGCATTTTATAATACGCCTATTATACAGCCATTCTCAGTAGCCACTGCTTATACAATGACCCTTCTGATTTGTCCCACTACGGTGTGGGTGCCAATGACTTAGGTCCTCACCCAGTACAACTTCAGGTGTGCATTTCACATATATTTGCAGGCAAAAAATGCACCTCCCTCCTCTTCTTTCTTTGTTTCAAGACAAACAAAAGTAACTGGTATTTCACCCCGCCCTCCCCCCTCCAGCCCCCAACTACATGTGCCTGCAGCACAGGCGCCCTAGAAAGGGAAACCTGTTTTCCTCCTCCCAGGTTTCTGGTTTCTTCACCCAGTCTCCCCACAGTCCTCCACTCCCCGCACCCAGTCCTTCTGGCCTCTACCCAGACTCTGAGAAGTGGCCCGACATTCTAGGTAACCTGATTCCCCAGACGGGATAGGCGGCGGCCTGCTGCTGCGAAGGCGCGACCACGTGACCTTTCCTGCCTGCACCGGGGAAATGCATACCTTGTTCAGAAAACTAGGGGACAGGTGAGCCCAAGGTAGTGTTTTGAATCAGAATTAAAAACATGTATTTATTTAAAAGGTGCTTGCTTCTACATCAGACAGCTACCACTTTGATCATTCCAAATGAAAAGGCACGATTGGCCATGGGGTTTTATGGCGTGAACTGAGCTGCAAGACAAAGGAAGGACGATCTCCAGGAGGAAAAGGCGGAGCGGGTTTTATGGGAGCTGCTGCACAAGTCTGAACGCGGAGGCTGCACACGGGGAGGGCAAAGCCGCCCTGGCAGGAGCCCGAGCTGCAGGCCTCGGCTGGGAAGCCTGTCCCTCCTGTCCATTTCCCTGGCTCTCGCGGTCCCTCGTTTGTTCCTGACAGATTTCTTCTTTGATCTATGAAATGGGGAAAGTGGGGGACACTTTGATATACTTTAAGGGTGCAAGAATTTGCTGCTTTCTGCCCAAATAAAGGGCTTGTAGGGAGTTTCTTTGAGAACTGGAACATGCTGTCACATGTAATCTAAGGAGCTCAGTCTCCTCTTCCAGTGTCCATTAATCAACCAACACTTTTAAAGCATCTAGTATGGATTCTGTGAACTGTGGGGAAGTAAGGGCATGGTGTCTGCTTTTAAGGTATTTATGGGTTATCTGGGGAGATGGATATATGAGTGTAAATCATGACAGTAGTTAGCATGTATTGGGGATGCATTGAGTACTTCCCGTGTGCCAGGCGCTATTCCTCCTAACAACCCAATCGGGTAGGTACTATATTATCATCTCCATTTCACAGACGTTTTAGAGAGGTCACTCTCCCCAGGTCACATAGTGTGCAGCAGTCAGGTTATGATGCAGATCTGTCAGACTCCAGAGGAACTAGCAGCCTGTGCATGCCCCAATCAGGTACTATTCAGTGAAGGTGAGCGGCCGGTTTCATTCTGCCTCAGTTCTCCTTGCCCTCTCTCTGAGAAGCAGGGATACTGTCGAGGGTCACATGTGAGAACTTTCATCAGCCACCGTTGCCCCCAGGTACCCTACAGAAGTTCTGTTTCTTCCCCTTCCTCTGTTCTGTCCTCAACAACGCGTCCCATTTAATTTCTCCTTAGACAATGTTTATCTTGTGGCATACACTTTGTCCTCTCCTTTGTGGTTTTATAATCCAAGTGGAGAGAAGAGACCTAATTTGAAACAGATAAATATCAAAGCAGAACTTCACCTTGTTGAAATGGGTCTTGATCTTCTCTGAAATCCTTTCTTGAATGATTCACTGAAGAAAGTGTCTTCAATGATACATTCATCCTCTGATTTACATAGAGTAGTGACTTTCCTTACATGCACTCAGGTAGAATCAAGGTTTTCCCAGTACCCTTTGGCAGGTCTGACGGCACAGGCATCTTCAGCTCAACTTGCCACATATGGTTGTTGAACTCCCTCATGATGACTAAAGAACCAAACTTGCCTGGTTTTTCCAGGCAAGGCAACATTTTGATGTTTTTTAATAGTGTGAACACCTGCCAATAGGATTTTATGAGTATCATGGGGAGACGCATCCTCTGACCTGGCATATAATCTCACTTCTCTGGATGCTGGGCTAATTACATCAGCTCCGCTGGGCATGGGTCTAAATTGGAAATGTTCTAGTGTTTGAAAAATTCCAGATTGATAGGACTTAACCCCAGGATGCTTTATGATGTATCCCTAGTTACCCTAGTTGGCAGAAATTGAAAAGGCCTGGAAATCCCTATTTACTATAAGTCCCTCTTCTCTTAACTGGAAAGATGGGCATTGGAAGACTTGCTACTAAGTTTTACTTTGAGCACCTCTCTTGGCATCATTTATTACTAAAAATAATGGAAAAGACAGAGTAGGTATTGGGAAGCCTGTTTTCTAGTTCTAGGCCTGCTACTAACCAGCCTTGGACCAATTATACCCACTTCCACCCATGTGAGCCTCAGTTTCCTCACCTATAAGGAAATAAAATAAGATTTGGACCAGACCTGTGGTTTTAAAATCAGAGTACCCTGCTGTTTAAAAATCTTTTACATCTGGAGTTTTGTGTAAGGTTTTAGTTTACAGTTCACTGATAAACACTGTCATAAAGCCCCTGCTCTAGAGGCTTGCTGAGGTCCTGTTCCTCTTCAGCTTGAAAGATCTGCAATTCTATTAACACAGTTGGTGATAGCCATGTGCCTTGGGAATCACAGTTGTTTCATTTGGCTAGATTATTAATTGCAAGAGGAAAAGGAGTGGAAGACAAGATTGGAAATGAAATTTAAGTCCAGATTTGGGATTGCTATGGTGCTGTGAGACCAGGAATCTGGGCATTGTTTCATTGGAATTTGGGAGCCACCAATGATTTTTGAGAGCAAAATTTTGTCAGTTATGTTTTACATGCAGCTGTGAGTACAGGGACCTGAGAAATAGTGGCTGAAGTACAGATAAGTTATTCTCATGTACAAGACTCTGGAGTTGGGCAGTTCAGAGCAGGTGTGTCAGCTCCATGCAGTCATGCAGGGATCCAGGCTTCTCCTATTTTTCTGCTTTTCTGTTCTAGTGGAACAGGCTTTAAACTTCAGTTACCTCATGGTCTGAAATGACTGCTGGACCGACCCACCATGCTTGCATTGCAGGATAGAAGAAGGAGGAAGAAGGCTGGGCGTGGTGGCGCATGCCTGTAGTCCCAGCTACTCAGGAGGCTGAGGCAGGAGAATCGCTTGAACCTGGGAGGCAGAGGTTGCGATGAGCTGAGATTGCACCATTGCACTCCAACCTGGGCAACAAGAGTGAAATTTCATCTCAAAATAAAAAAGTTATCATTATTATTATTTTTACATTTCATTGGCCAGAATGTGAGTCACAATATAGATGTTATTATTTATTTTATTTATTTATTTTTTGAGACAGAGTCTCGCTCTGTCGCCCAGGCTGGAGTGCAATGGCACAATCTTGGCTCACTGCAACCTCTGCCTCCCAGGTTCAAGTGATTCTCCTGCCTCAGCCTCCCGAGTAGCTGGGATTACAGGCATGTGCCACCATGCCCAGCTAATTTTTGTATTTTTAGTAGAGACGAGGTTTCACCATGTTGGCCAGCCTGGTCTAGAACTCCTGACCTCAGGTGATCCACCCGCCTCGGCCTCCCAAAGTGCCGGGATTATGAGCCACCACGCCTGGCCAATATAGACTTTATTATGAGCAGCAGTGTGACTCAGTTGAAAGTAAGAGTTCTGTTCTGGGGTCTCCCATACAGGTGAGAAATGACTGGAACTCAGCTTTGGATTCATTTCTTCAGTGGCAGTAGATGGAAAACTATGGTCTACCTGGAGGGAATGAGGGCCTGAAATGGAGTGACCATGGGAACATGGGTAGGTTACAGAAGGGAAAGCCAATGCAGAGGAGGGCCGACAGGATTCTCCAGGTGTGATGGGATTTGCCAGCTGGCGTGAGGGAGTGGGAGGATACAAAAATCACATCTAGCTTGGGAACCATGTGAAGAGGATGCTGGTGATGCCATTGACTAAAGTAAGGACGTTGGAGTTTTAGGGAAGAAGGTAATGAATTAGGTTTTGGACATGTTGAGTTTGTCCAACAAACTGCAGTTTATTTGCACCAGGACTGGAGCTTGGGGAAATTTGTATTGTACATTTCTAAGTAAATATAAAGTTGACCTTTTTTTAATCTTAATGTCTCAGATGCTTTATTGGGCTTCATAAGTTGTTACTTAGGGGACTCTGTTAATCATAATGGAGTAAGGCAATAGGTTTACCTTTTCTCTTCTCTGCTGGACCCAAACTCCAGAGAACTTCTTTCCCACCATTGGGCTTAAGGATCCTGAGAGTCATGACAAAGATGATGTTCCAGGAAAATGCCTATTTCTTAAAAGGACTTTTGCCCAGAATACCTATGTGTTCTTCCACCCCAATGAGCTCAAATGTGAACAAAGCAGAAAGCTCTTCAATTGTAGTCCAGAGGCATTTCTTAGTAGCATCCCTTATTTCCTTTTTGCTCTGAGCCTCAACCTGGCTCCACTTGATCTTTCCTGTCTCGGACCCATTGTTTGAGTGCAACAGACTAAGTGAGGGCTGCCCCATGTATTAAAGAGGGATGTAAGTAGAGAGTCATAGTCAGCATCCCTAGGTCCAGGAGAAAAGCTTATAATGGAAATATGGAAGTGAGGGTGAAATTGGATGGGGCTTGGGGACACATAGCAAGGTTAATAGTAATGGTGGTCAAGAGACTAAGAATTAAGGCAAGGGCTCTTGAGCTCTGGCAGCAGACTTTAAGTCCATGAACATGGGGCATTATGGAGAAATCTTCTAGTGTATCTTGCCTAGGTAAAAGCAGCTCCTTAAGTGAGAAAATCTGGGTCAGATAATGCCAAGGAAAGGCCTCAAAAAAGACATGTTCAGCAAGAGAAGAGAGAGTAGTCTCTGCCCAGTCTGTGTGTAATGTATAGTGTTAGTTACTAGTATGCCTAGATAATAACACTATAGATCCTAGATACTAACACTATAGATCCAATGTAGGTTGGAATAGCCTTTTCCTTCAGATTTTTGAAGGCATTCAAATTTTGCTTGCCTGATGTTGTTCACTTGCCTGATGGCTCCAGGTATTGCTGCTGAGGGGTGGGATAGCAATCTGACTACTTGTCCTTTATTTGTGGCCTTTTTTCTCTTTCAGAAGCTTCAGGACCATCTCAATTTGACATGGAAGTGCTTTGCTGTAAATCTTTTATTATTCATTATACTTTCCACCTAATGGACCCTCACTCATATTTCTTAGGTATGGGGAACTTTCTTTTTTTTTTTTTTTTTTTTTGAGACAGAGTCTTGCTCTGTCACCCAGGCTGGAGTGCAATGGTGTGATCTCGGCTCACTGCAACTTCTGCCTCCTGGGTTCAAGCAATTCTGCCTCAGCCTCCCAAGTAGCTGGGATTATAGGCGTGTGCCACCATATCCAGCAAATTTTTGTATTTTTCGTAGAGACAGGGTTTTACCATGTTGGCCAGGCTGGTCTCGAACTTCTGACCTCAGGTGATCCGCCTGCCTCGGCCTCCCAGAGTGCTGGGATTACAGGCATGAGCCAGTGTGCCTGGCCTGATGGGGAATTTTCTCACATTATTTCTTTGATAATTTCTTCCATGATATCGTCTTTTCTCTCTTTCTGGGAATCCTGTTAGTCACATGCTGCATCTCCTAGACATTTTTTTTCTCCAAATTTTCATCCCTTTTCCTTTTATTCTGAGGATCTTAGTATTGCCTTCTCTATAAGGTTTTAAGTTGCCTTATAAATGCAGTTTTTCCCCCTATTGTTATCAGAAGGATGGCTATGGTCCCCCACGAGTGGAGATGGGAATTGGAAAGTTTGACTTGGAAGCATTCTGAATTTTCCCCTCACTTGTAGCTAGTCATCACCCACATGGTTCTAGTTTTCCATGTGATTTGACACAACTGAAGTTCAGTGGCTCCTTGGATTGCTGAAATGAAATGGAGGCCTTCTTTGCAACCTGAGCTCTTCTAGCTTTCTGTTTCTCTGTGTCTTAGAACAGAAGTTCATGTTTTGGGTCAGTAATGTAAGTAAGAAATTGAAGAAGTAGATGATTACAAATGAATAACCTGTTGTTAGTAGTGTACATAGGGTGGTTTTAGATCTATGTAGATCATGATGATTTGGTTGTGTGGCTTCGGCAGCCAACCACCTAAATTACTTGAATGAAGCTTCTTTCCTGAAAGGAGCTTGGATTCATCTGAATTTCAGAGTACTTTCATTTGAATATCCTGTCAGCATAATTCAAATTTTAAAATGCTTGCTTGGGTATTGTATTTTTTAAATAGAATTTTAGCATTTAACAACATAAACCAAAATAATCTTCTCCTTCCACCTCTCCACTGAACCTGTAGAGAGTCAAGGCCTTGTCTGAGTCCTGTGTTCTTGCCCTCCCTGTGGCTGCTGGTTCTAACCCAACTCCAGCCCCTTAGCAAGTGCTCTCCTCCTTTGAGCCTGTGCTGCTATTACACACCAGGCTCGCCCATTTCCTAGGGTGTCTCTTGCTGCCTTCCATCCCCCTCCACTTCACCCTAACCCTCTTCCTCTTTCTCGCACTCTCTCATTTGGTGTTTCTCAGTGGGGTTTGTGGATGTCCCGCATCAGAACCACCTGGGGTCTGGCCAGGCCGACTGGATCTGAAAGGGGTGGGAGCTGCAGAGGGGTCTGTTTGTTTTTCAAGCCCTCCTGGAGATTCTCTCACCAGAGTTCAAGAGGCACTGCTCTAATTTTTTTTTTCTTCTTTTAGAGGCTGGGTCTCACTATGTTGCTTAGGCTGGTCTTGAACTCCTGGCCTCAAGCTATTGTCCGGCCTCAGTCTCTGAGTGGTTGGGATTACAGGCAGAACAACTGTGCCCGGCTCACACTGCTCTAATTCCTGATACCCACCCAGCTAAGTTCCTGATTCTGCTTTACACCCTTTGCCCTTTCTCTTAGGGAGTTCATACTCTCCAGCAGGCTTTGTTCTTCTGCTACCCAGAGGCCCCCCTCCAGCTCCCACCTCTTATCTAGCATCCAGCCTTCTATTTGCAGTTATTCCCAGGGAATCTCCTGCATGCTGGGTGTGACCACCCACACTTGTCATCTCTTGGAACAACATCCCCAGGAGGTAGGTATTTTTGTATCAGGTTATTTTGTAAATGAGGACATAGAGACTAAGAGGGATATATGTATGGTGATATTTGCTTTGTTAGAGGGAATAATAATAAATGTACATTGAATACTTGGATGAGAGAATGATTCACCTTGAATATACTATCTTTGTAGACTTGATATGAAACTTGGGTTTGTTGTTCTTTCTTACCTTACTTCTACTAGAACCACTGGGAGGCAGGAGAGGGGGAAAGAGATGAAAAATGCTGTGCAAAAGTTCTGCATTAACAATGAGAATAAAAAACCTGTGGGAACCTCCCTCAAAAATGACAGGGCTAACCAGGAGTGCCCTAACTGCAACTTTGCCCAATAGCATTTTCTTTTTTTTTTTTTGAATTGTGTGGTGTTCATTGACTGTTGATTATTACAGAACTGGGTCAGTTGGAGGTCAGGGAGGCAGGGAAGGGGTAAGCTGTGGGCTGAGAGATGAAACAAGCGGTTCTACCAATCCATGTGAAACCTTTAGGGAGAATGTAGGGCTTTAAAAAACACATTTGGGAAATTTTCTTTATAAAATTATCAGAAGAGTAGATCACTGCCCTGTTTACACTTTGCATATGCAACAATACAAATGTAGAAAAATAACCCATTATGAGAAAGCAGTGAAAATAATTGCACATTAAGAGAGTTAGGTCACTGCTGGCCAGATCTGGCTATGATTTGCATCAGTTTTAGTTTTTCCGAAAGGAATGTTTGATCCAACAGAAAATGGGCTTTGAGTGTGCCAGAGCTCCTCTTTCTTCTCCTGCCCCCTCCTCTTCCCAGGTTGACGATGGATCCCCCAAGGCACTTGTTGCTTCCTCCAAAGGAGCTCCCCATTACAGCTGGAAGAGAGGCTTGTTTCTCCAGCTGTCTAACCTTTAGTTTTATCTGCCTCTTGTTGACCTCTTAGTTTTATAATGAGTCAGTTTATTTGCTTGTACAAATTGAGTTTTCTTAGAAATATAACAGTTAGAAAGAGGCCAATGTTTTGTTTCCCCTTATGAAGGAGAAGTAGCTATGGGACCGGGCACGGCTGAGGCTGTTCATTCCATGCCAGTCCCTGTTGTTGGTTTATTTTAGTACCACGTAGTGAAGCCTTGTGGGCAGAGAAATATTGTCTCCCTTGTCGGAGGTAGAAATATCTGCAGGGTTTACAAGCTAATTACTTCTCGATTCCCTGGGAGTTCTAAGAATTTGCTTAGCAACTGGCCTGACCAGTCTCCCCCAGCTGCCCCCCAACATGACTACACTTACTGGTGGCGCTGATGGAGCAGTTTTCGAACTAAACAAGGATTAAGCATTTTGTGAAAATGGTGCCAGTCTTTTCCTCGATGGGACCTGAGCCTGTAACCTAGTCCAACAAAACGAGGGAGAACAAGCCAAAAAAAACCTTTTTAAGAAACAACACAGGCAGTAGGAAATCATACTGGTCAGGGCTTGTTTTCCTGGCGTGGGGCCTCATTCCAACCTGTTGCAATCAGCTCTAGAGTGTCTATAGGGACACCCTGGTGCAGGGGCCCCGCGGAGGAAAGGAACTTTTACATTTCTGTTTGACTGGGCTGCTTGCCAGGGACTAAGTTCAAAGTGCAGTTTCCAGTAATTTGCTGAGACTTCTCTGTGGGTTTGATAGGCCAGGACAGAAGCCTGCAAGCCGAAGTAATATTTCCTGATTTCTGTCATTCCTTAAGAAGAGAAGGAAGGTTGTTGAGGGACTAGGGATTGGAGAATTTGTTGGCTCTGAGAGCAGATCGGACCCCCACTTCCCCCTGTCAACCCCAGCCCCTTCTCCTCAATCCCGTCTAGGGCCATTGGCAGCCTGGCACTAGATGGAATCACACGGGCTCCCTCTCAGAGCAAACGTGAGGTATGCATTCCATGAGCCAGCGAAAGCCTGCATTGATTTACTGCATGCTAGCATTATTTGGAGCTATAAAGTTGTCGAGTAATGGCAATATGTTCTTGTTTTCTCATATCTGTAGGATGAAAGTGAACATTTTTATAATCCTTCTCTCCTCACCACATTTAGTTCCTGGTGTTAAACATGTGGGCTTGATTAAAGGGGAAAAAGAACTGCAAAAAGTTAGATTTTTACATTCCTCTCTTACAATGCCTCATTCCCTCAACCATCCCCTTCCCAGAACACTGATGGCAAGGCCCACATTCTTGTCATTTCCTCTTTGTCTCTCCCCTTCTCCCTGCCCTGTGTCTATCAGAGGACTCGATGCATAATAATTCAAAATGAATCTTTATTAAATGAAGGGGTAGGTAGTGGTGGAATCTCACTTCAAAGAAGGGTTGGGTAGAATGATATCGTTTCTATGTCTCGTAGAGGCTCACAGGAATAGTGCTTTATTGATTTTGATTACAACTGCTTTTCTACAGCAAGAAATTGTGTTGCAAAAATGTTTGCTGTGGTCCCCATATCAGTCACTCTTTACATGGAAAGGACTCAGTTGAGCATGAAAGACATTAGGAATTGGGGAGAGAACAGAGAGGTAGTGGAGCACAGCTGAACTCTCCAAGATTCTTTAGCCCTGTCATCAAGTTGCAGTCACCTTTTATTATGATCACTCACTACCTCAAACATCTGTATACCCAAACCAAAGCAAACCCCAGGAATACACAAAGAGGGTGGCGTAAAAGGGGTAAATAGCCTGTAGGAGTTACTTCCTTCTTCCCCGACAAAGTTCCTTGACTTACTTCCTTAGTTCTCCTGCAATATACTTTTCATTCGCTAATGTGCCTCTGAAAGACTGACTATATGTGCTGCTTTTCCTCTAGCCTGGAAACCGAATTATAGCAATTTAACATTATAACATAATTCTACTGCAATAAAGCAATTTGGGGCTGGTGGTAGTGATGGAGTGGATGTTGGCGGCAGTGGGAGCAGATAATTTATTAGAAGGGAATTTTTCTGCATCTGTTTAAGAAATGCCAGGATAAAGCCATGTTAGTATGAAATCTTATTTAAATATTTTTATTTGAGGATTGGAACCATGTGAAACCATCTATATATGTATCTGTGATGCCAAAAGAACTAGTTAAAGGTTTTAAAAAAGGAGACTTTTTCATTATTTGAACTTGTATTACACAAATAATGGTTTATGTACTTAATTGGCTTTTAAAAAACCTACGTGAATGAATTGACTATTTGCTTTTTACAATGTGAAGTTAAAAAACGAGTCTCAGCTGGGTGCAGAGTGAGCCTGTAGTCCCAGCTACTTGGGAGGCTGAAACAGGAGGATTACTGGAGGCTAGGAGTTTGAGGCTGCTGTGATCGTTCCTATGAATAGCTACTGCATGCCAGCTTGGGCAACATAGCGAGACCCTGTCTAAAAAAAAGTCTCAAATATTTCAGTAATCTTTAGCTATGAAAAAAAAACTGTGACAAATTGCCTATAAAACCAAGCACCTAGCTGACTCTGTAGGTAGGTTTCAGGGAAAAGGAGAGCAAAGAAAGATGAATTTAAAAATTATACTTGGCCGCTGATGGTCCACACCATGGTGTAATGAAATTGGGTAATTTAGATTCTTGAGTAAAGACAATTTTCTCATCATCAGACAGGTCTCTTGAGGAGGGACATGGATTTCCCAACGTATATCTGACTACTACACATCTCTGTTCAGAAGAATACAGACATCTATCTGCAAAAGATCGTGGCCTTAAAATTGGTTTAAAGCATGTATTACTTCCTGCCAGTTCCTGTATGTGCTCGTGATTGGGGGATAAGATTAACTGCATCCTGCCTCCTATATCTATAATGTTAGGCATTTGACATTTATGGAGATAACATTGGCAGCTTCATCTGTTCATAAGGCATCCTTAAAGGTCCATCATATTATAATTTGCAATATCCATGGCACCCAAAACTCTGAAATTTCATCTTGTGTGTGGCAGCAAGCCCTTGTGCAGTGAATAAACTACCCAGCCACCTTAGTGGTCACACCTCAGCACAACTGTTGTTCTTCACACATCCTGATAGATGCAGCCAGTACTCTGCTGGAGTGATCAACATTTGGTTCCTTTGTGAAAAGTGACCTCTAAACAAAGTCACTTGACTTTCTTCGATGGAAATGACAAATGAAGGCTGAAGATATGAAAGTTCTTAGTGAGAAAATATTTTTACACACTTTTAAATTCTGTATTTTAAATTTCATTAACTTATTAACAGGCCTAAGGCTGGGCACAGTGGCTCACACCTGTAATCCCAGTGCTTTGGGAGGCCAAAGTGGGAGGATCGCTTGAGCCCAGGAGGTTGAGACCAGCTTGGGCAACATAGTGAGACCCCCTCTCTACAAAAAATAAGATGTAGCTAGGCATGATGGCGAGTGCCTGTAGTTTCAGCTACTTGAGAGGCTGAGGTGGGAGGATTGCTTGAGCCTAGAGTTCAAGGTTGCAGTGAGCTATGATTGCACGACTGCTGCACTCCAGCCTGGGTAACAGAGTGAGACTCTGTCTCTTAAAAAAAAAAAAAAAACAAAGAACAAAAACCTACAGGGTCACTTACACCTAGACTTTTCAAATATACTTTCCTATAAGGAAGAGGATGTTATGTGATAGTGATATTTGAAAATTTGAAAATTTTTATGTTACATGAACTGCTTGGGGTCATACAGTTTTTCTTTTTTGTTATGCTTAGGATATCATGGACCATATTTTTGAAACTATCATGTTGTAAAAAAATTAATAAATATTTTGACTTTTTTTGGGTAAGGACTATCACAGACCTTTAACATTTAAATGATCAGTATTGAAGTGAGTGACAAACAGTATATTTACAGTAGCACAAAGCTATATGCAGCAGGTAGTAAATGAATGGGTGTGTCTTGATTAGAAAAACTCAGAAATGAAAAGCATTAGGAGCCAATTATTCATATTACTAAAGCATTTTCTCTCTGCAGCAGAGGGCTGGCTGCAGGTTGTGTTTCAGGTATGGGTGGCATTTCTTTGGTTCTTTGTTCTGCCAAATCAGTACTGACCACTCCCAAGCAGCCCTTCATTTTTACCCCATATCCAACTCTTTTTTTTCTGTTGGGCTCCTTTCTTCCGATTCAGTGATCTCAAAGCCAGGCTAAAAACTGGGTGGGAAGAAGGAGGGAACCAAAATGAAATAAATGCCTTCCCTGTTTTACATACATGATCTCATTTCACCTTCATAAACCCCTCAGAAGTGAGGTACTGATAACACCCCATTTTGCAGATGAAGCTCAGGAATATTAGGTAACTTGCTCTAAGCCACACAGCAAGAATGTAGAGGGATTTACACCCTGGTTTGTGCAGCTATGAGGACGGAGCTCTTGCTCCTTCCCTGCAGCTTCCAACTAGGGGGAATTTAGCCTGTTTGTGATTTGGTGAAGGTCATTTTGTTGCCTTGTCCCTTGTCCCCTTAAGGACGGACCACATTGCTTCATTTTTAGTGACTTTCCCTGATACATTGAAAATGTGTTTGAATTAAGGACTATATCTATGGCATAAAGCAAGGAACATCTGATTACTTTTTCCCTGTGACTATGAATGCTAGAGTTCAAGGATCACACAGTAAATGCACTTCCAGCAAAACTTTTTAATGACTGTCACCTTATTCTTTATTTTCAAAATAATCCTCAGATATTTTAGTCAAAAAGCTGTACATGTAGGCTATAACTAAATTTATCACTATGCTCTTTGTGAAAATTTTTCAATTCAAAGTTTCATCCTCCTCCCCATCCTCAATAAATTTAATACGCCCATTACTTACTAACTGGGGATAGAAATAGCAAGTCATTATGATGTCTGTATTAACATCCAAAGCACACTGGGTTTCTTCTAGGATTTCCATATCTATTATTCTTAAAACATATAACTTTTAAAACGCAAATGGTTTTCCCAAGCCAATTCTCTAATCACAGACATAAATTTCACTCCATTAAGGAAAGGAAACCAGGCAGTATGACTAAAGTTAGGAATATGATCAAATTTCAAGGGAGGAAAAACAAAGATTAGGCATGGAATTCTTTCCATTGCTTTTGCTTGTGAAACATGGTTAAAATAAAACCCTGCCTTCCTGCACACAAAAAACGTGCAGACCTTTAAAGTGAGAGGTTAGATTTAGATATGGATGCTGTCATCCCCTCTCTCTGGATTGGCAGGGTATTCTGCAGAGAAGCCAGGTCTGAGTGCTGCCTCCTTGCTTTTCCTTAGAATGGGTGAAGGGGTCGGGAGACTGGTGAGAGCCAGACAGACGCTTCTCCTGTCTCTTTCTTAGGGTGGTTAGAAGTTATTCAGTTGCATTTTTCTCCTGTCTCTTTCTTAGGGTGGTTAGAAGTTATTCAGTTGCATTTTCTCCCATGAAATACCTGTTGCATATTTACGAGTCCTTGAAATAATGACAGTCCCCTAGAACTGGTGATAACCAGGCAGGTCTATAAACAAGGAAAGGGGATGTGATGGGAAAGTCTAACTGCGTAGGCTATGGGTGATAGATTCTGTGGTATTCTTTTGATGGCTACTCCTGAAAGATAGATTCTGTGGTATTCTTTTGATGGCTACTCCTGAAAATACTTCAGCCTCTCAAGGGTTGTTTTTAATGTTTATCAAGATTTTTCTTTATAGGAGTCCCTTTCAACTTATTAGACTTGCTTCCTTGCTGTTTTCTAAAAATTAAATGTGATCCACTATCTTTAAGAAATGTTAACTCTTCCACTGTCTGTACTAAGAACATGAGACAAGACCATTCTCTACCCCCCCGACTTATCGACAAGCAGCAAGCACATACATTTCTTTGAGAGTGTTCAGTGAGATGCACATTCTTGATTTCATATATATATATATGTATAGAAAATGAGATTTACCTTGTAGCTGATATACATTTATGTTGAATTTGAAATAGGTCAGTATAGTTATTGAGAAGGAAGAATTTTTTCAAGTTCTCTTAGTATCATAGAAGGAAGACAAAAAAAGTTTATTTAAAAATTCTATATTTCTGGCCAGGCGCCATGGCTCATACTTGTAATCCTAGCACTTTGGGAGGCTGAGGCGGGTGGATTGCCTGCGCTCAGGAGTTTGAGATCAGCCTGGCGAACATGGTGAAACCCCATCTCTTCTAAAATACAAAAAATTAATGGAGGGTGGTGGCACGTGCCTGTAGTCCCAGCTACTTGGGAAGCTGAGGCAAGAGAATCACTTGAGCCTAGGAGGTGGAGGTTGCAGTGAGCTGAGATTGTGCCACTACATTCCAGCCTGGGCAACAGAGCAAGACTCTGTGTCCAGAAAGAAAAAGAAATAATAATAAAATCTGTATTTTTATTGTTGGTAGAAATGAGAATTATTAAGCCTTTTGGAAAGCAAAGTAACAGTAATTATTAAAAACTGAAAATATATCCTTTCAACCTAGCAATCTCATATTTGGAGGTCTATATCATATTAAAAATATCTATAGTTATTACCAAGTGGCTGCCTATATTGCATTACCCTATTTTAACTCTCTGTATATGACTTACCATTATCTCCTATTTTTCATATTCTTCATTTATTCCCTCATTTGTTGATTGATTCATTCATTTATTGTCTTCCCACCAGAATGTGAGCTCTGTGAAAACAAGGACCTCATCTGTCTTATTCATCACTGGAACTCCAGCATCCAGAATAGTCCCTGGCACTGATGAGGCATTCAGTAAATATTAGTTGAATGAAAGAAATAAAAACACCCATAGATCAGGATGTATGACCAAGGATATTTATTGCAGCAGTATTATGGTGGCAAAAATCCAGAATCAAAGAGAATGTCCATTAGTGAGGGGCTGATTAGGACCTACACCACTACTGGGCTAAGCGGTGTGGCACAGTGGTTAATGGTATGGCTTTAGTGTCGGATGCCTGGGCTGTAATCCATTTCTGTGTTCATCTTAAACATACAATGAATGGTCCTGGGGAAGATGTTTAGCCCCTGTGTCTTAGTTTTCTCATCTATAAAACGAGGACAATAATGACACCAATCTCATAAGGTTTTGTGAGACTCAAATGAAATGATATAGGTAACATGTGGGAACAGTGCCTGGCACATTGTAACTCAATAAATAGTAGTTATTATTACTTCATGAAATAGTAAAGAGAATGACTTAAAAATCACTTGGAGGCATTTTCATGGTGCATAAGTTAGTGGCCAACACACAATGGTAAAGCACATGTATTGCATGTTGCTTTTGTAAATCTGACAATGATAATAAAATAATCTCATATATATGTATATGATTGCTGTGTTTATAAGAGCGTAAATTTATGGAAGATATATATTAGGTATATCAATCTGGGTGTGGGAAGAGAGTTTGCAGCAAATCTCATGTCTGTTACCTTAATCTTCTCCTGTTTTGGAAAGATGAACTCAAATCTGAGGGATTATATGAACCAAAGGTGCTGTAAACATAGGCAAATGGACCACAAAATTCTTGAAAATTGGAGAGAAGGGAATATAAATACCTATATCCACAGATGATTCAGCCATAGGAGACTATATGGACCCCAAATCTAGAAAAAGTTTTAAAATACCACTTTATGGCTGGGAGAGGTGGCTCACACCTGTAATCCCAGCACTTTGGCAGGCCGAGGCTGGTGGATCACCTGAGTTCACGAGTTCGAGGCCAGCCTGGCCAACATGGTGAAACCCCATCTCTACTAAAAATACAAAAAAATTAGCTGGGGGTGGTGGCAGCCACCTGTAATCCCAGCTACTCAGGAGGCTGAGGCAGGAGAATCGCTTGAACCTGGGAGGCGGAAGTTGCAGTGAGCCGAGATTGCGCCATTGCACTCCAGCCTGGACAACAAGAGTGAAACTCCATCTCAAAAAAAAATTAAAAAATATAAAATAAAATACCACTTTACTCATGTCAAAGCATTGTTCAAAAACCGCTATTCCATATCACTTATAAAGTCGAAATTCTTTAGGTTGGTCTTCAAGAGTCTCAATACCTGTGCTGACTCTCCCACAATTTCTTTAAACCAGCTCTGCCTTGGCAGTGTAGACCTCCCCTTGTCAACTAAAAATCTATCTTCACCTTTGTTCATGCCTTTCTCCCTCCTTTTTTGGAATCTTACTCATCCCTTAATCCTTGGCTTAAGTCCATCTCCTCTGAAAGGATGTTTGAATCACCCTAATCTTCAGGGATTTCTTTACCTACGTGCCTGTCTTCTACTAAATATATCATTATGGATGGACGCTGTGCCTGGTCACTTAGCACTTACCATGTGCTCTCTTAAACAGCCATTCATCTCCGTATGCAAATTTTCCTCCTTTCTTCAACTGGCAGACTTCTTGAGGATGGGGCTCATGACTTTTCCTTCCTTGTATTTCCACAGCTCCCAACATGTTCCTTGGATATAGCTGGCATGCAGTGAATATTTGTTGATGGATAGATATTTATAGCTGTTTTCTTGAAAACTGGAAGTATATAGTTATCCCATGATTAATGGATGGGTTGGAGCCCTTTAGTAGAAACCAATTTATTTGCATACAAGCTTATCTATCTAGATAAGAATGCTCTGCCTAAGTATGGAAAAAACTTCAAGAGCATTTCAAATCCTCAAAAATGTGTGTGCACTCAGTGATATGAATCCACATTTGCCATAAGCAGGATGAATGAAAAATGAAACTAAATGAGATATTTACATTTTTGAGAACTGGAAACAGTGAAATATTCATAAAGTTCATAGTAGTTAATACTTACTTGACTTTTATTATAAGCTATCTAAATACTTTATATATATTAACTCATTTAATCCTTAAAAAACCTTTAATTTTTAAAAAATTAAAAAAATTAGCCCACATTCAACGACCTATCTATTTTTAAAATGTTTTTGAGATAGGATCTCACTCTGTCACCCAGGTTGGTGTGCAGTGGCACAGTCATGACTCACTGCAGCCTTGACCTCCTGGGCCCAACCAATCTTCCTACCTCAGCTTCCCAAGTAGCTGGTACCACAGGTGTATGCCACCATACCTGGCTTATTACATTTTCTTTTTTGTAGAGACTTGGCTTCCCTATGTTGCCAAGGCTGGTCTCCAAATCCTGAGCTCAACTTATCCTCCCACCTCAGCTTCCCAAAGCATAGGGATTACAGGTGTGAGCCACTGTGCCCGGCCGTAGAGACACTATTATTAGTTCCATTTCACACAGGGTGCAACACAACTGCCCTAGCTCCTACTTGTACCTATGAGTTTCTTTAAGCTGTTTAATTGAAATACAAATAATTTGATGATTTTTGATTTGTAATTTAACCTATATAACTACATCTGCACAAAGGACAAAACCCATACATCCAAGTGTTTTGTAAATGAAAGACTATGATTCTGCTTAAGGTGAGATTTAAAACTAATGAACTTGGTTTAAAGAAAAATTAATAAACATCACCCCCCAAAAGTTCTCTGCAGACATCTTCTAAAGAAACTATTTACATTTGATCTGAGAATTCTGTTACTGCCTTTCTTTTAGAATGTTTTAAAAAGTCAATCTATGCTTTTTAAAATAAATTGTCTCCCTTATTAATAGTTACACCTGGTTTTAAACCAGAGACAGCTTTATTGTGCATTTCATTCAAATGATCTTGTCTGTAAGTATGATTTTACCCTCAAAGGCTGAAGACTTAGCCGTTAGCAAAAGGTGCTCCAAATAATTTTCTAATAGTCTCTAAAGAGAATTTTCAGACAAGAGTTCCAAAAATGTTGTCAACATTATGTTATCTAAATTCTGGGAAGAGCAAGCGATTCTTCAAGGTCATACAGCGATTCAGGAACAAAGACAGTATAAGAATCTAGCTAGGGCTTTTGACTCCTGTCCACTGTGTTTTCTGCTAACCAACACAACCACTAGAGGTCTCAGCGAGATACTTATGGGCTGCCCCCTAAAGGTGGTGGTGAGAGAAGAAACCCAGCCGTTTCATGGGGAGTACAGATAAGAATGTGACATTGACCTGAAGCCTCTACTGGGAGCAGCAGAGAGTGTCAAAATGTTGAGCATTGAAAGATTGACCAGTCTTCGTAGTCTTATTTAGCTGTTGTGTGTGAGAGAAGGAAGTTGTTGGATTTATATTGTGCTCCTCATTGAGAAGTAATAATGATTTCTCATGAGCCAGTCTTACGGGTTTGAATGCCCAGAAATTCTAAGTCAGGGTTTCAACCAATTTTGTGGACCCTGAACACTATAATAGCTAGCATTTAAGTGTCTACTATATGTCAGGAATTGTTTTAAGTACCTTACATACATTACTTCACTTAATCTTCATAACAACCCATTGAAGTAATGACTTTGTATCACTCCTATTTTATAGATAGGGAAGCTGAGTTACAGAGAGGTTTCACAACTTGCTTTAATTTGCTCAAGGTTATATGGCTATTAAATAGTTGAATTGGGATTCAAACCCAGGCAATTTGGCTCCAAAGCCTAATCAATTAAAAATTTATTATTAGTAATAAAAATTTCAAACATACATAAAGATAGGAGAATAGTGCAATGGACCTCCCCATTTACCCATCTCCCACACTGACAGCAATCATTAACTCATGGCCAATCTTATTTTATCTATATTTCTACCTACTTCCCTGGTTGCCCAGCCCCTTTCCTGGATTATTACACACACACACACACACACACCCCTTTTTTTGGTCATTATTTCAATAGTTTTTGGGCTACAGGTAGTTTTTGGTTACATGAGTAAGTTCTTTAGTGGCAATTTCTGAGATTTTGGTGCACCCATCACCCGGGCTGTGAACACTGTACCCAATTTGTAGTCTTTTATCACTCACCTCTGCCCCACTCTTGCCCTCAAGTCTCCAGAATCCATTATATCATTCTTATGCCTTTGCATCTTCATAGCTTAGCTCCCATTTATAAGTGAGAACATACGATATTTGGTTTTCCATTCCTGAGTTACTTCACTTAGAATAATAGTCTCCAACTCCATCCAGGTTGCTGTGAATGCCATTATTTCATTCATTTTTTATGGCTGAGTAGTATTCCATTATCTGTCTATCTATCTATCTATCTATCTATCTATCTATCTATCTATCTATCTATCTCACATTCTATTTATCCACTGGGTGGTTGATGGGCATTTAGACTAGTTCCATATTTTTGCATTTGCAAATTGTGCTGCTATAAACATGAGTGTGCGAGTGTCTTTTTCATGTAATGACTTCTTTTCTTCTAGGCAGATACCCAGTAGTGGGATTGAGGGATCAAATGGTAGTTCTACTTTTAGGTCTTTAAGGAATCTCCGTCCTGTTTTCCATAGTGGTTATACTAGTTTACATTCCCACCAGCAGTGTAAAAGTGTTCCTATTTCATCACATTCGCACCAACATCTATTATTTTTTGATTTTTAAATTATGACCATTCTTGCAGGAGTAGGATGGTATCTCATTGTGGTTTTAATTTGGATTTCCCTGATAATTGGTGATGTTAAACATTTTTTTCCTATGTTTGTTGGCCATTTATATATCTTGTTTTGAGAATTGTCTAGTCTTAACCTTTGCCCACTTTTTGATGGGATTATTTGTTTTTTTTCTTGCTGCAGATTCTGGATATTAGTCCTTTGTCAGCTTCATAGTTTACAAATATTTTCTCCCATTCTGTAGGTTGTGTGTTTACTCTGCTCATTATTTATCTTGCTATGTAGAAGCTTTTCAGTTTAATTAGGTCCCAATTATTTATTTTTGTTTTTGTTGCATTTGGCTTTTGGGTTCTGGGTCATGAACTCTTTGCCTAAGCTAGTGTGTAGAATAGCTTTTCCAATGTTGTCTTCTAGAATTTTTACAGTTTCAGGTCTTAGATTCAAGTCTTTGGTCCATCTTGAGTTGATTTTTGTATAAGGCAAGAGGTGAAGATTCAGTTTCCTTCTTTTGCTTGTGGCTTGCCAATTATGTCAGCACCATTTGTTCAATAGGGTGTCCTTTCCCCACTTTATGTTTTTGTTTGCTTTGTCAAAGATCAGTTGACTGTAAGTATTTGGCTTTATTTCTGGGTTCTCTATTCTGTTCCATTGGTCTATGTGTCTATTTTTATACCAGTACCATGCTGTTTTGGTAACTATAGCCTTGTAGTATAGTTTGAAGTTGGGTAAAGTGATGCCTCCAGATTTGTTCTTTTTGTTAGTATTGCTTTGGCTATGTGGGCTTTTTTTTGTTGTTGTTCTATATGAATTTTAGGATTGTTTTTTCTAGTTCTGTGAATGAAGACGATGGTATTTTGATAGGAATTGCACTGAATCTGTAAATTGCTTTTGTCAGTATGGCCATTTTCACAATATTGTTTCTACTCATCCATGAGCATGGGATGTGTTTCCATTTATTTGTGTCGTCGATAATTTCTTTCACCAGCGTTTTGAAGACTTCCTTGTCAAGATCTTTTACCTCCTTGGTTAGGTATATTCCTAAGTATTTTATTTTATTTTATTTTGCAGCTGTTGTAAAATGAATTGAGTTCTTGATTTGTTTCTCAGCTTGCTTGTTGTTGGTGTATAGCAGTGCTGCTTATTTGTGTACATTGATTTTGTATCCTGAAACTTTACTAAATTCATTAATCAGATCTAGGACCTTTTTGCGTGAGTCTTTAGGGTATTCTAGGTATGCAATCATATCATTGGCGAACACTGACAGTTTGACTTCCTCTTTAGTGGTTTGGGTGCCCTTTATTTCTTTCTATTGTCTGATTGATCTGGGTAGGACTTCCAGTACTATATTGAATAGAAGTGGTGAAAGTGGGCATTGTTGTCTTGTTCCAGTTCTCAGGGGGAATGCTTTCAACTTTTCCCCATTCAGTATAATGTTGGCTGTGTGTTTGTCATAGATGAGTTTTATTTCCTTGAGGTATCTCCCTTCTATGCCAATTTTGCTGAGGGTTTTAATCATAATGGGGTGCTCGATTTTGTCAAATACTTTTTCTGCATCTATTGACATTATCATATTATTTTTGTTTTAAATTTTGTTTATGTGATGTATCACATTTATTGACTTGCATGTGTTAAACCATCCCTGCATTCGTGGTATGAAACCCACTTGATCATGGTGTGTTATCTTTTTGATATGCTGTTGGATTCAGTTAGCAGGTATTTTGTTGAGGATTTTTATATTTATGTTTATCAGGGATATTAGTCTGTAGTTTCCTTTTTTGTTATGTCATTACCTCACAACACACAGATATTCTGTCATATTATTTATAAATATTTCTGTAAATATTGCTAAAAAGACTTAAAAAGAATCACACTCTTCTTCATAGAATGCACATAATATCTGTATTTCTCCATTTTGTGACATTAGTAGCTTTGATGATTATTATCTAGATTGGTGGTATTCCATTTTATCATTTCTTCTCCATTTATTTGCTGGAATACTTTCTATCATATTAGCTGTTTGATTATTCTGAGGGACAGTTTGCATAGGGAAGGCCAGATGGATGCTAGATCTATATTGACCCCCAACTCCCCCCACCCTTTTTTTTTTTTTTGTGACGGAGTCTCGCTCTGTTGCCCAGGCTGGAGTGCAGTGGCGTGATCTCGGCTCACTGCAAGCTCCACCTCCTGGGTTCACGCCATTCTCCCGCCTCAGCCTCCCGAGTAACTGGGACTACAGGCGCCTGCTACCATGCCAGGCTAATTTTTTGTATTTTTAGTAGAGATGGGGTTTCACCGTGTTAGCCAGGATGATCTTGATCTCCTGACCTCATGATCCACCCACCTCGGCCTCCCAAAGTGCTGGGATTACAGGCGTGAGCCACCGCGCCCGGCCACCAACTCCCTTTTTTAAAACTAGTTTCAGTGAGTTGGTTTCTTAACATTGGCCAAGTCAGTCACTTAGTTTTTAAATGTCGTAATGAAGTTATGAATGTTTAAACCTATTTGAATTTATTTGATGCATCTTTTAAAAAATCCATGCTCAAATTGTCTCCAAGAAGCCAGTGGGAGCCTTTTCAAGTTAGGCTTATAAATCTTTCAGTCATCTTCAATAGCTCTCTAATTTTCTGGTATGACAGGATGTTCTAGGCTTATCTTGTACATTTCTGGCCCTAAACCAGAAATTAGCTATTTTTCCAAGGAGCTTGAGTTTCCTTATGGGAAATGGTATTTTTTAGAAACCACAACCTAGATATGACGACTGCTCATTGATACTGAATTGGTTTATGTTTTAGCCTGCCTCCATTCTTTTCTCACTTCCTCCGTTCCTTCCTCTCTTCCTTCTTTTTCTTTCATTTTAAAGAGAAAATAAATGATTAGTTCTTACTGAGAATTACTTACTTGTTTTATCTTTCTGTATAAATTTGTGTCTAATTAATAATAGGTTTAGAATAATATAAAATATTATTAAAATACAATTGTAAAACAACCGTTTGAATTTATTTTGCAGTTCTTTTCATCTTTAGAGTATATACCAATAGGGATGTAGAAATCATTGTCTTTTAAAGTCACTTGAAAAAAATAGTTAAATTTATTTGCTTCATTTTGCTTTAGCATTGTAGTGTAGTTATTTTAGATTTATTTAATTTTGTTTTTAAAAATTTAATTATTTTTTAGAATTGACAAGTAAAAATTGTATATATTTATGGTGTACAATATGATGTATATATATTTATGGTGTACAATATGATGTATATATATACACACACATACGTGTGTGGAATGACTAAGCGATTTTAAATAAGCATTACTTCACATACTTATTTTTTGTGGTGAGAACACTTAAAATCTACTTTTAGTAATTTTCAGATATACAATATGTTGTTATTAGCTGCAGTCACCATGACATACAATACATCTCTTGAACTTATTCCTTCTGTCTAAGTGAAATTTTGTTTCCTTTGACCAGCATCTCCCCAATTTCTCCACCCCTCGGCCTCACTCCTGTTTATATGACTGATTTTTTATACTCTACATGTAAGTGAGGTCATGTGGTATTTGTCTTTCTGTGCCTGGTTTATTTCATTTATCACAATGTCCTCCAGGTTCATCTATGTTGTTGCAAATGAGAAAATTTTCTTTTTTTATAAGGCTGAATTGTATTCCATTGTGTACACATACCGTATTTTCTTTTTTCTTTTTTTTTTTTTGAGATGGAGTCTTGCTCTGTCACCCGGGCTGGAGTGCAGTGGCATCACCTCAGCTCACTGCAAGCTCCACCTCCCGGGTTCACACCATTCTCCTTCCTCAGCCTCCCAAGTAGCTGGGACTACAGGCGCCTGCCACCATGCCTGGCTAATTTTTTGTATTTTTAGTAGAGACGGGGTTTAACCATGTTGGCCAGGCTGGTCTCGATCTCCTGACCTCGTGATCCACCCGCCTCGGCCTCCCAAAGTGCTGGGATTACAGGCATGAGCCACCGCGTCTAGCCACACATACCATATTTTCTTCAGCCATTCACTCTTTGATGCACGCTTACCATGATTCCATGTCTTGGCTATTGTGAATAGTACTGTAATGAACAGGGGCTGACGACATCTCTTCAATATACTGATTTTATGTTGTTTAGATATATACCCCAGTAGTGGCTTGTTGGATCATATGGTAGCTCTATTTTTAATTTTTTGAGGGACCTCCATACTGTTTATGTATAATGGCTATATTTATTTATATTCCCAACAACAGTACAAAATGGTTCCCTTTTCTCCACATCCTCACCAACACTTAATCTTTCATCATTTTGATAATAGCCTTACTTTTGTTTTAAAGTTATATAAAACAAAGTATATTCAGAGAAGTTGGCCTCCAATCTCTGTCTCCCCTCTCCCATAGGTAATTTTTAAAAACTTCATGGTTTATCTTTCAATTTTATTTTACAGGAGCAAATATGTATAGATACTTGCATCTCGTTCACATCTACTTTCTTAGATAAATGTAAGTTTACTATACACATTTTCCTCCACCTTATCTTTTTTAACTATACAATTTATCTCAGCATTCACTGCTTAGCAGCAGGTGCAGCTATCTCTCATCCCTTTTAAGTTGCGTAGTTTATTCAACCAGTCCCCAAGTGATGGACATTTGAGCTGTTTCAAGTCTCACTTAAAGATTTCTGTATCTACTGACCAAAGCCTAAAGACATTTACATTGGATAAAAGTCTAATTCCAGCAAAGGGGCAAAATTAGATAAAATGACTTCTACAGTTTGGGTTGTATTCTCTTATTCATCATAGCATGTATAAAATAAGAGAATCTTCTTTGTTCAATAATACCAGGCTTAGGGAAACAACAGTAGGAGAATCAAGGCTATGTGGATTTTTAACTAGCCAGGTGGTTCTTAGTCCTGAATACTCAGATTGGTGTGTTTCCCTGACCTTAACTTTTCATGTGTAGATGGTAATGTGCTAGGAGTAGCTAAATTTTCAAAAGCTCATATGCTTAAATGACACAAATATTACCAATGGACAGCTGGCCTTTCATATCTTCTGGTTCTGCATCCACAAATTCAACCAAATGCAGATTAATGTATTTCCAAAAAAAGAGCCAATAAAAAATACAAAACATAATACAAATTTTAAAAAACATGCTTAACAACAATTTACATAGCATTTACATTGTATTAAGTATTATTAGTAACCTAGAGATGATTTAAATTATATGGAACAATGGAACAGAACCTAGAAGAAAAGCCATACCCCTACAGCCATCTGTTCTTCACAAAGTTGACAAATATAAGCAGTGGGGAAAGTACTCCCTGTTCAATAAATGGTGCTGGGATAGCTGGCTAGCCATATGCAGAAGAATGAAACTGGACCCCAATTTTCATCATATACAAAAGTTAACTCAAGATGGATTAAATATTTAAATGTAAGCCCTCAAACTATAAGAATCCTAGAAGAAAACCTAGGAAACACCATTCTGGACACTGGCCTTGGGAAAGAATTTATGACTAAGTCCTCAAATGCAATCGCAACAAAACCAAGAGTTGACAAGTGGGACCTAATTAGACTAAAAAGCTTCTGCACAGCAAAATAAACTATCAATAGAATAAATAGACAACCTACAGAATGGGAGAAAATATTTGCAAACAATGCATCTGACAAAAGTCTGCTATCCAGAATCTGTAAGGAACTTAAATAACGGGACAAGCGAAAACCAAAGAATCCCATGAAAAAGTATGCAAAAGACATGAACAGAGGACACACAAATGGCCAACAAACATGAAAAAATATTCCACATCATGAATTATCAGAGAAATGCAAATCAAAACCACAATGAGATACCATCTCATATGTCAGAACAGAAATTATTAAAAAGTCAAAAAATAACAGATGCTGGCGAGCCTGTGGAGAAAAGGGAGCATTTATACCCTGTTGAGTGGGAATGTAAATTAGTTCAGCCACTGTGAAAAGAAGTTTGGAGATTTCTCAGGGAACTTACAATAGAACTACCATTTGACCCAGCAATCCCATTACTGGGTATATATATTTAAAAAAATTGTTTTACCAAAAAGACACATGCACTCATATGTTCATTGCAGCACCATTCACAATAGCAAAAACATGGAATCAACCTAGGTGCCCATCAGCAGTGGACTGGATAAAGAAAATACCGTACATATACACTGTGGAATACTATGCAACCATAAAAAAGAACAAAATCATGTTCTTTGCAGCACCATGCAGCTGGAGCCCATGACCTTGAGCAATTGAATGCAGGGAGAGAAAACCAAATACCACATATTCTTATTTATAAGTAGAAGGCTAAATATTGGGTAAACATGAACATAAAGATGGCAATAATATATATTGGGGACTCCTAGAGGGAGGAGGCAGGGAGAGGGGCAAGGGTTGAAAAACCATTGACTACTATGTTCACCACCCGGGTGATGGCATCATTTGTACCCCAAACCTCAGCATTACTATTTGGGATCATTTGTACCCCAAACCTCACCAATATACCCATATAACAAACCTGCACAGGTATCCCCGAATCTAAAATAAAAGTTGCAATTATAAAAAAAAAAGTACATGTGAGGATGTGCATAGGTAATGTGAAAATACTGCCTCATTTTACATAAGGGACTTGGGCAGATTTTGGTATCTGTTGGGGTCCTGGAACCAATTCCCCACAGATATGTAGGGAGGACTGTACTATTCTTGGCCCCTCTGTTTATTTATCTATTATCTTTTAAATATTTATCTTTTTAAATGTTTATTATCTTTTTAATAAAAATGTCTTTATTATCTTTTAAAGAATGAATCTACCTTTGTGCATTCAAATATCACTTATATGCAGATGACTTCAAAATAATCATCTTCAGCTCAGGGATATCTCCAGGCACCTCCAGCCCAAGTCATCTAAAATGAAATGCATCATCTTGTATATTTTGCATACAATGTGAAAACATCTGCCCTATTGTCTATTCCTATTTTCAATAATGGAACCATTCTCCCAGGTTTAAAGCCACTGGTGCTATATCCTTATTTATTTATTTAGCCTTTGTGCTATCTAATTTGACCAAGTCTCCTAGGTTAGATATTGATTTACCTGGGCCACATGAAAACTTGGTCATGACAATCATACCCCAAAGACACCTTTTGGAAAAAAGTCTGTAATAGCAGCAATTTGTCTTTGCCGTTTTCCCATGGATCACTGTGTCAGATGAAGATATTAAAGGCATAGGGTCAAATGTGACTATTTGGAAGAAATACTGAATATGTGGAATAAAGGAATAAGAAAAATGATTTCAAAAGCTGGTATTAATGAGGTCCACTTAAACAAACGAAACTGATTAAATATCCCATGTGCTTTTATGAGAGAGAGTGCCCAGATGTGAGAGGGCTTGAAGCCACACCCAGCAGAAACACTGAAGGGCCAGGTGTGACGGCCAGCAGGAATGAGTTCTGCTACGAGAAATCAACCTCCAGTCCTCAAAAGGCTGTCATTAGAAGTACTAGAACCGTCAATCTTGGGAGGTTTTGTAGGAAGCAGAACCAGCACTAGTAGGTGATAGAGATGTGTCATCCAGGTTCGGCAGGGAAGCAGTGCCACTTTGAGTGTGGGCTGACATATTTATTATAGGAATTAAACCTTACTCAATTGTGGGAGGATCGGGGAAAGGAAGGCCCAGAAAGGGGAGTTGGAGGATCAGAGTGGAAGTCATTCATTTCAGACATGACTGAAGCATTGGCCTGGGTGGGCAAGCTGGAGCTTGCAGGAAAATCTGAGAAGATGAACCCTTCCAGCTGCTGACATGGGACTGTGAAGAGAGAATCGGTGCAGTGTCTTTGGGAAGCTGTTGCCTCAGGGGAGCTACTGAGAATTTGTAACCTCAGGGGAGCTACTGAGAATCTGTACCCAAGTGACTGGTAGTGGACAGCTGCTAGTCAGCAGGGCTAATAATTGGAAAGCACTAAATATGGGTCTGAGGAGAGAGAGGACCACGTGGATCCTGCCACACTCCTCTGCGTCTTTCTGTCAGTATGTCTGAGAATGAAGTCTTCATTTCTGTCTCAAATCTTGCCTGAGTTCCTTTTCTGCAACTCTTGTTTTTTGAGACAGAGTCATACTCTGTCACCCAGGCTGGAGTACAGTGGTGCAAGCATGGCTCACTGCAGCATCGAGCTGCTGGGCTCAAGCAATCCTCCCACCTCAGCCTCCCAAGTAGCTTGGGACTACAGGCAAATGATGCTGTGCCTGACTAATTTAAAACATTTTTTGTAGAGATGAGGTTTCACTATGTTGTCCAGGATGGTTTTGAACTTCTGTACTTCAGAGATCCTCCCACCTTGGTCTCATAAATTGCCAGGATTACAGGCATGAGCTACTATGCCTGGCCTGGCTACTCTTGACACAATCCTAGAGGGAAAGGAATTATGAGAGATGTCCTTACCAGACTAACCAACTTGACTACAGCATACCCAGCACAAAACAGAGGGAGAATTTTACACAATGAAAGAGAAAGAAAAAGATGGTTTTGAATCTGTCCAAGTGTGAGGTACCTCTAGAGATAATGAGGGAGTGACCACATGGCAGGGCAGGTGTAAATGGACTCAAGCACTGGGAATTTACTTTGCCCAAAGTTAAAAAAGAACTTCTACATGCTGCTACCATCAAATGTATCCATTTACCTACATCTGTGGCTGTGCACTCAACTTTCTGTTTCTCTGTCCCCCTCTATTTTCTGTGAACTGGTAGCTAGATTTAGAGACTTGATCCCCTTCAGGATAGATTATTTATTTTAGCAAGAAAAATCCAAAAGTGGTGCTTAGTGTCTGTGGTCTTTCTGTTTGTGACGTTAATGGCTACTTAATGCTCATTTCTTCATCTGGGGAAAGCCAGATCTCTTACCCTCTTTGCCATTGCCTTTTCTTTGAAGAATAAGTAAAACTTCATAATGCTGGCCAGAATGGGTGTCGCCTAGAGAAAAAGGCTTGTGCACACATGTTCTTATGCGCATGTATGTATCCACATATGTGCATTTCCACTACATGTTCTTGTGAAGATGAACTTTATTTTTGTGCTATTGCAAGAGACAGCCTGGGTTAGCTTCTTAATCAGCACCATTGGACGCCAGCTCAGAGAGACCATGTAAGAGGAAGAGCAGGACCTGCTGTGAGCAGTGTATTGTAAACATTTTTATGCCCAAGAGTAAGCATATTATCCTGCATACTTTATTTTTATACTGTGTCTTTGTACTGTGCCTCCTGGGGGATCAAACCAAATCCCTTCATTTACACTTCCCAGCTAGGTGAGGATGCACCGATTGGAGAACAGGGAGGCCCTGTGAATTAAGGGATCAGGCATTTGCTTTCATTGGCCCTCGTGCCAGCCCAGCCTGGGGACCTAGGTGAAGCGTCTTTGATGCTTTCACTTTATGGAAGTCCATAAATACAATTTGGTGGAGATCATACAGGACCAAACTAGTTTGGAAGCTAAATCACCTGTAATGTCTTGATGGAGATTTTCTTCAGCAGAGATGGAACTGACTCCTTTGCTGAGGTAGAAGAGTCAGGTATTATACGGTCTTAAATTGTTTATACTTGGAACACATTTTTATTGCCTTCACAAGTTAAAAGGTCCTGTTTCCCCCCCTGTTTGTTTCTTATGGATTTGGAGTTATCCACTGAAAGAAGGCTGCATTTTTCTGCTTTATAGTTTCTCCGACACAAAACTTCCCAAGGCAATTACAGGATTGACATGGGACGTATAGACATAGGGTTGGGAAGGAACCTGTAGACATCTTTCAGGAAAACATCGAAACCCCTAAAGAGAGAAAGAGTCCTGCTTAAAGACATCTGAATATACCAGAAAACCTTGGAATTGTTTGTTTATTAGCTTGATACATATGAAATTGCTATTTTCATATGTTAAAAAATGGTTAACTATTGGCTATTAGCCATATGAAATGTGGAGGTTGAATCATATGAAATAGCCCATAGTTAACCATTTGAAGATATGTTATAATTTAAAATACATTTAGCAGCTGTCCTTGTCATTAATGGATCCAAGCTTCCTTGAGTGTGAAATTAAGAGTGAATACAGTTAAGTAACATTGTTATAAGGGGATGAGAAAATGCACTCTATTGGACAAGAAAATTAGAGTATCCTGATTTAGATCACAATCCAAAGTCTCCTAGCATTTACTCCCTCACCGAGAGTGTTTTAAGTCATACACACTCCTCAGGTTTCTTAGGATGTTTGTTAGAAGGTGATTTTTGTCCCTTTGTGCATGAATGTGGCCCTGCAAACAGAAAGAGCATTAGATTCCACAGGGTACCTTGACAATGCCAAGGGAAGCAAGGAAGTTGAGGCTGGCCTTCTGTCTGGTGGTGGTGCTTAGACTTCTGTGCTTTGCAGCAGCAAAGCTGCAGTTTTGAGTCTGTGCTGTGCTTTGGTGAAGGTCATCATTGGGCAGATACGGATATTTGGTTTTATTATTTCCTCCAGAGATAATGGGACAGGGGCATATGAATCTTAAATATTTTTTAAGAGACTAAATGTTACTTTAAGAAAAGCCAATGTATGAATTTACTATGCAAAATCTACCTCTTTATGAATGCAATGTTTGGGTTAGCTGGCTAGGGCATTTCTATTTGAGGAACTGACTTAGAATAGAACTATAGTAAATATGATTTGAGTAAGTTTCAATAGATGGTCTTAAAAGTATATTTTCTTTTATTTGTGCTATTCTCTGGAATCATTTTTCTCCACTAAAAAGAAATACTTTCCAAACAGGCAATCTGTTTTAATTAGCCCCAAGGGAGGTATAAGAGGGTTCCTTTCATTGACAGTGTCAGCAAAACACGACTACATTTCTTTTCTCTTTTTTCTCTCTCTCTTATATTTAAGGTTCATCCTCTCTCTTCTATACTTAAGGTTCATCTGCTTACATCATTATAGCACCAAATGATTTCATTTCAACGTGCTTTATATGTTACGCTTCTCTAAAAATGCAGATGTAGCAAGCAGTAAATTCCCTGAAGGCAAGAGCGGTGTCTCAGGCAGTCACAGTGTACTGGAAGAGGTATGGGCTTTGGGGTAGAGAGTCCTGGGTTCAAATTGTGGCTTAATTTGACCATAATCTGTGTGCATGTGTGTGATCTGGGAGAATTGCTTAATTACTCTGACCCTGTTTCTTAATCTGTAAACAGATGAATAACTAACTCAAGGTTTCCTGGGGATTGAGTAATTACGGTAGAAGTGAAAGCATTTTTGGCTGAATACCTGGTACCAGGTGCTCAACACAGGTTGACTTCTTTGCCTTGTCTTGTCTGATCTTCTTTGTAAGGCACTATACACAGTAAGCACTGGGTAGATTGTCTCATTTTAGGTGGCCTGTTTCTTGATAATATAGACAAAACTCTTCTAATTAGTGAAAGCATTTTTGGCTGAATACCTGGTACCAAGTGCTCAACACAGGTCGACTTCTTTGCCTTGTCTTGTCTGATCTTCTTTGTAAGGCACTATACACAGTAAGCACTGGGTAGATTGTCTCGTTTTAGGTGGCCTTTTTCTTGATAATATAGACAAAACTCTTCACGTTGGTGGCAAATTATTTCCAAATCACACTGCATAACGGATTGCTATTGGAAAATTGTCTTGTAAACTAGCACCTTTAAATCTTTTGCCTGTAGCAGCTACAATGAGAGTGAGAGAGACAGAGAAACACAGAGAGAGAGAAAAAAAGAAAAACTCATTTATGAGGAGGGCAGTGGTTGTTATATTGTCATTATTGGGAAGTTTTATGGACATAAAAATCACAGTAGTTCTTGCTGGGACTCTCTTTGCCTCCTCAGCAGTTGAGTGGCTCAGCAGTTGATGGTTAATTCCAACCATCTTCTGTGGATTTTGGTTAGTTAACCTCAGAGGATAGCCCTTTGCATGTAGCCTCTGTTTGAGGGTTTCTTTTGTGAGCTTGTAGTACTTCATGTATTGAGTCAACCACTCAGTGCTAGCATACTTTTAAATGATTGGAGCCAATGAAAGCTTTGGAAAATAAATCTGTCTTGGGCAATATATGGCAACTTCTCTTTGAGTAATAGATGGTTTAAAATCTAACTTTACTTTTTCTTGCTTATGGATTCTTTGCTCACATTTTATAAAGCCAAGAAATTTTAAATTTTTTAAAGCCCTTGTGAAGATAAAAGATACAAGATAATATGTGCTTGCAATTGCTTTACCAAGGTTTCAAAAGAAATAAAAACAAAATGAAACAATTAAGAAGTCTCTGTCAAAGGTCTGGAAAATACGACTTTTGGATAGATTTTTCAGGAGACCTGTTTTGCATTAAAATACCAACTAAAACAAAATGATGGATTGTTTTGGCACCATTTAGATTGAGCTTATGTGATGAGAACTGTACATAAAAGACAGCCAGTTATTGTCGTAGTTGACAGATTTTTGGGTACTGTCTAGTTGTTCAGTATAGTAAAGTCCCAGGGGTCAGAAGCTTTTCCAAAATTCTTATGCCAGGAACGACACAAACTTTTGCTGTAACAGAGACTGACATTCTCTTCCTACTTTATAGATATCTATAAGTTGTGGTCTTTCCCTGGCACATCAAATTAGTTCCTGTGACTTTCTGTGTAATACATTATTGTTCCTGATGTGACTTCATTTTTACATGCAAAAATGTTTGAAATTTGCCTTAAAGTATTGGTCATATTTTAATGGAGATAGGTGCAGAGGTTTTCAAGTGGAGCAGACAGCTTAGGCAAGGAGAAAATGAGGCAGAGCGTGTCCTAGGAAAAGCAAGATGATGAGTTTGGTTGGAGTCTAGGTTGTATCTAGGGGTTCTCTGAGAAATAATATTGGAAAGGTGTTTTGGGGACCTATTTGGAAGGCTTTGAGTTCCTGGTTTTTAATTTTTAGGCAATGTGGATCCATTTTCATCTGATAAAACACATGTTCAAGAAATTTCTAAGAAGGCCCCTGGAGTGACCTAGAGGAGAGGTGATAAGGTTTGAATAGGGTAGCAGTGACAACAGGAAGCACATAATGACAGATTATCTTAATTTTGCCACATTATACTTTATATGCTTGTGATACAAGGTGACATATGTCACTGAAAGATCCTATTAATAAATTAACCTATTAATAGAAATAACAGAGGCCTTACATTAAGTCCAAGGCTAAGAGAGAAATGTGCTCAAGAAATATTCATGTTTGTTAGGTGGGTGTGAAGAGAAGTTGCTACCACAAATTCACAGATCTGGGTTAGAGATTTAATTGAAAGATGATTATTGAAGCCAACAAAGCCTAATAACACTCTATTCAGCACATCACAGTTTTTAACATTGATCCCCCACTTTTTAAAAATGGAATTTAGTCTTTACAGTAGTTCTATAAGGTAGCTCTTAGAATCCTCATTTTATAGAAACTGAGGCAAAACGAGGTTAAGTAATTTTCCCAGAGCATACTGGTGACAGAAACCAGACCCTGAATCTCTGCTTACAGGGGCCCTGTCCACAGCCTGCTTCCTCAGCTGTACTTGATGACCCATTAATGCGCAACAAAATGAATTTGTTTACTAATGTGGCCCGTTCACCATTTTCATCAAGGCTATGTTAATCATCCACCAAACCTTTTTGTTTTCTGTTTCTTCTAATGACAGTGAGAATTGCATCATAAATTACTTGCTCATTGTTGTTGGCATTGAGTTAAGAAGAGAATGTAGGCATGTTTAGATTAAACATATTTGAGTGAACCCCTGTAGCATTTCCAATGACAGGTCAGAACCTTTAAATGCTGAATAAATGTTAGTTGAACAGTGTTCCTGGGAATAAGAAGGATGCTTAGGAATGTGCCTAAAATGGAACATTAAATGATCCCCTAGTGACTTGAGAATCACTGTGCTTTACTAAGTGCCTCATTTATGGCAAAGCCTGGGGGAGACCTTAGCTCCTTGAGTTTTATCGTTTGTAATATTTGATATGTTATTTGAAGTAAATTGAAAGCATTCCTTGAATTACTTCTTTCTAATGTCTCCCATCTTTTTTCTTAATATGTAGTTCCAAGTTTAACTTACAGCTTAATTCCTGACTTTCAACTGAACTCACAGAAACAGGATTTAAGGTTTGTCAGTCAGTTGCTTGTAGGAAACATCTGATAAGGATCTAATTTGGATGATGAGATCCTGGACTTCTATCCAGAGTCTAAGCCACAGCTAGATGCCATAATGACAGGTCTTGGGAGAGAGTGAGTCTATGTTTCAGGTAGGAGGAATGTTAGTAATCTGTGGCCAGAGGTAGGACTGTGGCAATTTTAAAACATGGCTACAGATTCATTAAGAGGTGGATGGGTCTTGTCCTCTGTCCTTGAATCTGGGAAGGCTTATGACTACTTTAAAAAGTAGAGTATGACAGAAATGATGCTGTGTGACTTCCAAGATAAGGTCATTGAAGACTGAGTGTTTTGTGCTTTGTTCATTGCAATACTTGCTCTGGAACCTTGCACTGTCATAGAAGAGGTGACCACCATGAGGCCATCATCCTGGAGAGGCCTCCAGTAAGTGTTCTGGTCAATAGTTCCTGCTGAGTTTAGTCTTCCAGCCATCCCTGCCGAGGTGCAAGGCATGGAAGTGAAGCTGTTGTGGACTCTTCAGACATGTCCAGTTACTAGTTGAATATCAATAAATAACCTGCATTGATGCCACATGAAACAGAAGAATCACCCAGCTGAGCCCTGCCCAAATTATAGATCCACAAAATTGTGAGATAATAAAATGGCACAAAGTTTGGAGGTAGTTTGTTGTACAAACTGGAAATGGGTAAGTTGAACAGAATTTGGTACTAGAAGTAGAAAAAATTTCACACCGAAGGCTGAGGTGGGGGAATGCCACCCGTGTGAGAACAGGGATAACTGCCTTCGCATCCCTGTGCCACACCCTAAATTGGGACTGCCACTGGCCGCCTGCTGGTTTACCTGGGACATGGCAAGTGGCCAGCTAAGTCTGGAGCTCACAGCCAGCAGCTGGTCAACCCCAGAGGCCTGATCGAGAAGCATCCACTTGGGGTCCGGCTCATCCTCACAGGAGGCCTAGCTGCCTGCTCAGCCGTGCCTCCCTGACAGAAGTCTTTATGCATTAATGGTTAAGTAGTACCTGAGTGATGTCTAGGTGCACAGAGAAATGTCTCCACTGATCTGAAAAAACTTGAAGAAGTGCATGTATGTGTGTGTGTGTGTATAGCAGTAGCAGTAGTAGTAGTAGTACTAGTTATATAGTTCTTAAAGACGAGCTCTAGAGTGAATTATTATACAGATGATTTGTCTTCTTTACTTTTTACTCTCCAGAAGATAATACTCTAAATCCCTGCTATTCAGAGTACGTGTGGTCTGAGTACCAGCAGCACTGGTATTACTTGGGAGTTTGTTAGCAAAATAATATCTTAGATCCCACCCCAGATGTTGAATCAGGACCTGCATTTTAGCAAGATCCCAAGAGATACCAATGAACATTAATGTTGGAGGAATGCTGATCTCAGCATTACTGATCACTATTATTACTGCTTCTATTACGTCACTACCTCTCAAAACCTGAGGAGAGCTCCCACTTGTTGTACCATGTGCTAGCGACTTAAATACATTGCCACATGTAACTCCATTTTCATGATAACATTGCAATATAGATAATATCATCCCCATTATATACATGAGGGAACTGAGGCTTAGACTTTAAGAAATGTATCCAAGGCTGCACAGCTAATAAGCAGCAATGACAGGAGTAGAACCTAAGCCTGTTTCCAAGGCCTGTACACAATCAACCTCAAGGATTCAAGTGTGGTTTATTTGAGGGTGACCTCAGAAGATACTGATAGGAGAGTGCAGATATGAAATAGAGAAGAACGGGAGCAATAACGGGTACATTGTTGAGCCAGTTTCCATTCTGGGCATCTGCAGCCTAATCCCAGAAGACTCTGGGACATGATTTAAAATACATTTCAGGGTTATTCCCCTAAGCAATGAGGGAACTTGGGTATCGATACTGTCATAGGTAAAGAGCTGCTTCTGGGGGTACTAATATCCTGGTATTTCTGGGCAGCTGCACATGTGGAAAAAGTGGGCTTAGGCAGTCAGAGAAAGCCTGTAGGCAAAGAAATGCAGGTGCTGGCCATTAGAAATCTGGCCAGGATTAGGGTGAGAGAATATGGCTGGACATCAACAGTGTCTACTGTACTATGCTCGCCTTACCTTACAGAAATATTATTTAGAAGGACATTTTTCTCTTTATTTTTATTTATTGGACCAAATATTGTTATGGAATTAAAGGATCTGTATACACAAAGTCCTTCTTCTTAGGGATACTGGCATGTTTTTTAGACATTAAAATAAAATTTAAATAATGAAAAAGATAATATCAAATCATCTTACCTTAACAAGTAAGAAGCTTTCATTTCACTGTGTTCTCTAACAGTGCTCATCTATATGCATGCATTATTATATTCTTTTGTTTAAACTTAATGTATCATTGCCACTTTCTATGTGGCTACCTAAGCAGGTAATTATGCATGGCTGAGAAACATCCCATTATGTGGCTGTCACAATGCATTGAACAAGTCCTTTATTGCTGCATATTTAGGCTGAGAAACATAAGTGGCACAAATACAGGAATAGATACTTTTTTTTCAGCATGTGAGTGCAACTTAGTTTATTTCACAGTGACTGAGGCACTTCCACAGGCTTTGTTTCATTCAAGAAATATGTGTTGAGGAGCTGCTACATGCCCAGCTCTGTGTTGGGTATAGTGGTATGATACAGATAAAGACAGTCTTTGTCCTCCAGAAGACAAGTTTATTGTGAGGCAATTGGTGAAAAGTTAAATAGCAAACAAAACGTTAAGTACCGTAAGAAGAAATGTGATGTGCTAATGGGTGCTAAACCTGGGCTATATTTTTATGAGCTTAGAAATGTGGGTTATATAAAAGGTCATTGATTTTTACCTTGTTATCTTATAATTCTGTAACTCAGAGGCAGAAAATCCATATATATATATATATATATATTTTAAAGACAGGGTGTTATTCTGTTACCCAGGCTGGAGAGCAGTGGTGTGATCACAGCTCACTGTACCTTCTGCCTCCTGGGCTCCAGCTATCCTCCCACCTCAGCCGCTTAGGTAGCTGGGACTACGGATGAGTGACGTCTGGCTAACTTTTGTATTTTTTTGTAGAGACGGAGTTTTGCCATGTTGCTTAGGCTGGTCTTGAACTCTTGGGCTCAAGCTATCTGCCCACCTTGGCCTCTCGAAGTGCTTCCATATTGATTCTAATGAGACTTAGGAAAGGACCTTGGACCCTAGAATTCACACTCAACAATCACATATTTATTGGCCATGGGTGAGGAAGGTATGGAAGTGTATGGTGTGATCATATACTTGGCTGAGGGCCTCAGATTTCCCTGTAGATTTGCTTTCACATGGAGCTGGGGTTTGAGCCCAGGGTCATCAGATTCCAGAACCATGCCCTGACTCCTATGCTACATTACCTGCTAAGAAAAGTGAGGATAGGATGCTAATTGATGTATTATACCAGGATATGAGGCTCGATAAAGAGGTTCTTACTATAAACAGCAATACCTATCACTAGTCTAAAATGAATTTTAGCTGATTTAAGCAGAAAAGAAACATTAAAAATATACTAGATGGCTCATAGAATTTCCAGAAAGATTTGGGACTTGGAGGTCATGTATCCAGGAATAATGCCCCATATTACAGGGCAAAACAGACCCAGTGAAGATATTTCTGTGCTGTTGACTATACCGCGGGCCCCTATGACATGGGTCCTGCTTCTTGAGCCCCTGCCCTGGCTGCCTCTGGGATGAAGATCCAGTTATCCATGGTTCACATGCATGCTGCATGCTCCTTGCTTCTTCCCGACATGGCACTGGACATTGATTTCAAGTCTAGGGCAGGTGATTCCAATTGGCAGAACCTAGGTCATGTGTTAGACTAATTGTCAGGGAGACTTAGAATGCAAATATCTGGTATCTTAGTTCCCACAATGGACAAGGGCATTAGATTACCCAGGAGGCCAAAGAGTGACAAATTCCACAACTGTTCTTTTGGTTCTTTCATATTTTTCTTCTCTCTCTCTTCTGTTAAGCAAAATCTACCCACCCTTTAAGGTTCAGTTTATATCCCATTTCATCTGTGGAATTTTCTCTGACTTTGCTAGTCTTTCATTTTATCCCTCCTCTGAGCATTACTTACAGCCAGAATGAGTTGTGAAAATATAATATTCAGAAGTTGACTTCATATCATTAGCCCTGACCCTTATTGTGCCCATAAACTGTTGTAGCTAACATTGTATTTGGTGGCATTTTTGGATAGTTAATAGAGAAATAGCCTACAAGACAGAAATCAGTGAGTATTTATAGCTTCCTCTTTTTCCATCCAACCTGTCCTTCTTGTTATGTCTTTGGTTTTTATGTGATAGTCAATACTGTGTTGTGGCTATTATTTTGTATTTTCTAGTCTCTTTAACAGAAGGAATTCCTGAGGAAGGTAGCAACCATATCTAGTACTTCTTCTGTGATGTTTATAAAATGGTGCAAACAGTACATATTCATTGATTGGTTGAGAATAAGTATGCCTAAAAAATGCAACATTTGGTATATTTGGATCCTTTGATCCAAGTTGGTGTTCACTTGAAGTCAGAATACCTCATTTGTAGAAACAGTAACAAAACTTTCTCCCTTCCTGTAAAATCTTGCTTTCAATAGGATTGACAATGAAACACTTTATTATGGAACTGAAGATCCTCTTAGGAATGTTAGGTTCACAGTCTACATAGTAAAGAACCTTCTTTGAATGTCCACACACAAAGGCTGACTGCATAATCCTTTAATATGCTTTTCACAGACTTAATTCAATGGGAGTCAGGAGGAGGCTTTCGGTACTGAACAGTTTACCTGTCAGATTTGTCTTGGTAAATATACATACCTATTCTAATAACTGCTATCTATCATAAGAATGATTTGGGCCGGGTGTGGTGGCTTATGCCTGTAATCCCAGCACTTTGGGAGGCTGAGGCAGGCACATCACCTGAGGTCAGGAGTTCGAGACCAGCCTGGCTAACATGGTGAAACCCTGTTTCTACTAAAAATGCAAAAAATTAGCCAGGTTTGGTGGCGCGCACATGTAATCCCAGCCTGTAATCCCAGCTACTCGGGAGGCTGAGGCAGGAGAATCGCTTGAACATGGGAGGCGGAGGTTGCAGTGAGCTGAGATCGCACCATTGTACTCCAGCTTGGGAAATAAGAGCAAAACTCTGTCTCAAAAACAAAAAACAACAACAACAAAACCCAATGATTTGAAAGACTAATATCTGATTTTCCCATTAAAATGTATGTAACACATTTTCTATTATGGTTTTCTTTAAAAAAAGTTTTTAAATGATAATTTTTTAAAGCAATCTGAGAAATGTGCATACCCTCTAAAACAAATCTCCCTGTGTGCTACACTTAAATAATTTCCCAGTAGTAGGTTTAGATTTGCTATTACCATTTTTTATTACCTTATTCTAAGCATCTTGCATACTCATTTGTAGATGTGAAGGTATAAATCTGCATCATTTGTGCATTCAAATCTCATAAACCCTTTTCAAAAGAACTGTTTTTTTTCTACTTTTTTTTATTTAAAAATATTTATTAAGCAGATTGGGAGAAATATTTGTAATTCACATATCTGGTGGAGAATGCATGTCCAGACTATACAAAAAAACTTTTAAAACTCCAAGAAAACAAACAACCCCCCCAAAATGAATAAAATATTTGAGTAGACATTTTGCTAAAGAAGTATGGACGGCAAATAGACACACTAAAATGTGCTCAACATCATTAATTTCTAGGGAGATGAAAATTAAAATTACATCTATTAAAATGGCTAAAATACAAAGAAACTGATTATGTTACGTGTTGGTGAGGATGTAGAGAAACTAGAATTCATAGATAGCTGCTGGGAATGTGAAAGGAAATATAGCCTCTGGCAAACAGTTAAGCAGGTTCTTATGAAGTTAAACCTGTACTTACTATGACCCAGTAATCCTATTCTAGTTATTTATCCAAATTAAATAAAAATGTGTATTCACATAAAAAGCTGAATGTGATTATTTATAGCTACTTTATTCACTATCTCCTCAAGCTGGAAACAACTCAAATGTCTCTCAACTGGGAATGGGTATAATTACTGTGGCAGATTTATAAATGGAATACTTCTTAGCAATAAAAAGGAATGAACTACTGCTACAGTAATAACAGTAATAATTTGGATGGATCTCAAATGCATTATATTAAGTGACAGGAGCCATACTCTAAAGACTGCAGACTGAATGCTTTCATATATATATAACATGCAGGACCATAGGAACAGAAAACAGGGATGCCAGGGACTGGGGCTGAGGGGAAGGGGTTAGCTGCAATAGGATGGGATATGTTTTGGGGTAATGGAACTTGTCTATATCTTGATTGTGGTGGTGGTGGTTACATGACTGCATGTATTTATCAAATTTCACGGAACTGTACATGAAAAAGGGAGAATTTGACATATGTAAATCATACTTTAGTACAAAAGACATTACTAATTAAGTTTATTTTAGGCCTGAACTAACTGGTAAGCCCTGAGAATACAGAGATCAATAAGAAGGTCAATCTAGCTGAAGAAGTAAATGTGAAGGGACATAGGCAAATATAATACAAGTCAGCCCATGGTATTTTATAATAGAGATGTAATACAGTACTAGGGTAGCCTAAAGAAGGTTGCAGTAAGTGGAGCACAGTGGCTTGCACCTGTAATCCCAGCACTTTGGGAGGCCAAGGCAGGCAGATTGCTTGAGCCCAGGAGTTCAAGACCAGCCAGGACAACATGGTAAAACTCCATCTTTACTAAAACTACAAAAATTAGCTGGGCATGGTGGCACACACCTGTAATCCCAGCTACCCAGGAGGCCAAGGTGGAAGGATCACTTGAGCCCAGGAGGTCAAGGCTGCAGTGAGCTATGATCGTGCCACTGCATTCCAGCCTGGGTGACAAAGCAAGAGCCTGTCTCAAAAACAAAAAATATTGCTTTAAACTCTAATATTGTCTGTATGTGTGTGCTCATGTTCTGGGGGCAGGTGGGTGGGGGGCAGGTGTGTAACAGAGCCTCACAAGGAAGTGACATTCAATGAATGGAAAATAATTCCTCTGTAAGTTAGGTTGAGTGAGGAACAGAGAACAGGCACATCCAAATCACAGTCACTAATGTGAATAGAGTAAATGAGTTCTCAAAAAAAGAAAAAGAAAAAAGAAAGAAAAAGGCGAGCATGAGTTTTTATTTTTATTTATTTATTTACTTTTTATTATTTTTTTTTGAGACCGAGTCTCACTCTGTTGCCCAGGCTGGAGTGCAATGGCGTGATCTCAGCTCACTGCAACTTCCGTCTCTGGGGTTCAAGCAATTCTCTTGCCTCAGACTCCCAAGTAACTGGGATTACAAGCACATGTTGCCACGTCCAGCTAATTTTTTTGTATTTTAATAGAGATGGGGGTTTCACAGTGTTGCTCAGGCTGATCTCAAACTCCTGAGCTCAGGCAATCCACCCGCCTGGGCCTCTCAAAGTGCTAGGATTACAGGCGTGAGTCACCGTGCCCAGCCTGTGAGTTTTTAATAAACCAGTTAAAATTTGTTTATCCAAAGGAGAAGAAATACAAACAATACTGGACACATGCAAGATGTGTTTTTTCTTAGCGGCAGCTGCTAACCATCCTGGCTTCCTGGCAGGGAGCAGGTTATCATCTATCCTGTGACTACGAGGGCACACCCTGCGTTAGCCCTGAGGCAAAGAGATAATAATAGCATGCTAGACTGGCAGCCTACACTCTGGAAGGGTTTATGAGGAGGAAGTCCGCAATTACATATTTCTGGGCAAACATTAACCAAGATTGAAACCCAGATTTGAAGAAAAATAGCAGGCTGGAATCTTCAGACAGATTCTGTAGCTGTTCTGTGGATTGAAACAGTAGTCAGACACGCTGCTAACTCCAAAAGGTAAGGTAAAAGATTGAGATGGCAGTATATAAAACTTGGTAAGAAAACTTTTCCACACCTGCCCACAGAATGTGTTCTGTAACACACAGAGCATTGTCCACATATGAATGATGAGAAATTATTTACATTCATGACAACAGAACCGAAGCCACAACATAGGGTCTATTGTTCACCTCATAGGGGTGACCGAATCTATTTATCCATGTGGTTTGGGAGCTCACCACTGTGCATTGAAGGGCCTCCTGTTGGCAACATCACCAAGAGCATTTCAGTCACTGTTACTACAATCTGAACAATTTGGGTTCCACGCTGTGGTTTTGTAATTTCTATTTTTAAAACTTGAACCATGGTGTGTCCAGTCTTGGTTGGGCATACTTAAAATGAAACTGTTAAGCTAAAATTAGCTTGACATCAAGACGTTGCATGTTCATTTTCCTTATATTTATAGCTGACCACAGTCATTATACAGAAGCCATCTAGTCTTTACTGTGCACTCTAGGGAACAGGAGGGGCAGTGGGAGTAACCAAAAAAAGAACTACAAGTTTTTCCAAAGGCGGTTGGTCGTAACTACTGCCTGAGCAGAGCGGTGCCTGCGTCTTAGTGAGGTCAGCCCAAGTGGGACTGACCTCACTAAGATGAGGACTTTCCTTTGAACAGCTGTTTACTCTTCAGTTCTTCTGCAGTTAATCAACAGTGATGGGACCTTTTCTAAAAGTTTTGCTTAGGGCCTCAGAATTTAACTTAAATCACCACGAAGGAAGTATATACAACAAAGCTTCCTCTTAGTATTTCTTCACCAAGTAATTATCTACTGACATATCCAACAGGTGAAGATAAATGGACTCATCATGGTGTAAAAAAGAATTTTTGACTAAGAGTCAGAAGATCTTAGTTTTAGTTCAGTTTTTCTTCCGTTGGGTGTGTGGTTTGGGCCTCAATTTCATCCAATAAAATTCAAAGGGTTGAACTAAGATCCTTCCAGTTCAAAATTCTGATATTTCTCAACTTCTCGGAAGGAAGAAAGATAAATTGCATAATTCTAATCATATGTCAAATGAAACAGCAACTACAGAGGAAAGAAGACCCATATAATCAATATTTTAATTTTTTTTAAAATTCCAGAATATCATGTGGAAAATCGTCATGCTCTAGGGATAATATTTCTTGTGAGATACTATACATTATCCTTGACCTTGTCTAGCATTTTACTTTGAAATGATAAACAATATATTTTTGGCTGTTTCATGTTATTTCAGTTTCACTATCATTCATTTGACTGGGATATGTTAGTTAAGGCAGAGGTGCAAACCTTTTTGATAATAAGCTGTGCTATATATCATATTTCTTCTTTGAGTTTACTGGCTCAACTTTCCAAGTAACAGCCTTCAGGTATGTCACTGAGGGATGCTTTATGGGTTATGTCAAATACCCCAACTAAAATGACAACGAGAGATTGCTTACAATCCCTGCTGTTGACTTCTGAATGCATTGTTAGAGTCTTTACCACATCTTTCTCTGATTATTCATTTTTTTGTGTTTACTAAAGAAGAAGAATCAATGGTAGTAGATGCCCCAGTTATCTTGTGAATAATTGCAGACACGGAGAAATGGCAAATAAGAAAGAAATCAGGGCCTCAGTCACAGGGGAGGGTTGATAATGAGATTGGTGGATTTATAAGACGACAGCAGATTCTGAAGAATATTTGTTACACGTGAAAACTTTGTGACAATTACCACTTAATGACTCCTTAGGGATCTTCTAAATGAGGAGCTGTCAAACTTTTCCTGTAATGGAACAGATAGTAAATATGTTATGTTTTGTGAGTCATGTGGTTTTATCCCAACTACCCAACTCTGCATTTTTTTTTTTGTTTTTTTTTTTTGTTTTTTTTTTTTTGTTTTTTGAGACGGAGTCTCACACTGTCGCCCAGGCTGAAGTGCAGTGGCGTGATCTCGGCTCACTGCAACCTCTGTCTCCTGCGCTCAATTGATTCTCCTGCCTCAGCCTCCCAAGTAGCTGGGATTACAGGCGCCTGCCACCACACCCAGCTAATTCTTAGTATTTTTAGTAGAGATGGGGTTTCACTATGTTGGCCAGGCAGGTCTCAAACTCCTGACCTCATGATTCGCCCACCTCAGCCTCCCAAAGTGTTGGGATTACAGGTGTGAGCCACTGCGCCTGGCCTCAACTCTGCTTTTATAGCATGAAAGCACTCATAAGCGACATGCAAATGAATGGATATGCTGTGTTCAATGAAACTTTATTTACTAGAACAGGCAGTGGGTCAGATTTGGCCTGTTGGGCCTTAGTTTGTTGAACCCTGGTCTATTTTGATCATCCACATCATCTTCATCATTATTATTATTATTATTATTTTTTGAGATGGAGTCTTGCTCTGTCACCCAGGCTGGAGTGCAGTGGTGTGATCTCAGCTCACTGCAACCTCTGCCTCCTGGGTTTAAGCAATTCTCTTGCCTCAGCCTCCCAAGTAGCTGGGACTACAGGTGCATGCCACCATGCCCAGGTAAGTTTTGTACTTTTAGTAGAGACGGGGTTTTACCATATTGGCCAGGCTGGTCTCGAACTCCTGACCTCATGATCTGCCCACCTCACCCTCCCAAAGTGTTGGGATTACAGGTGTGAGCCACTGTGCCCGGCCCATCCACATCATTATTAACATCAATAAGAAATATTTATTGGACCCCTGTGATCTTTGGTGGAGTTGGGATCAGTGTTAATGTTAAGAAGACAAGGATGTGAACTTGACACCTGTGGGCCACAAATCAGCGTCAACTTTACCTATCAAATAAAGAGCAGTTTTTAAAAGAGAAAACCAGTACTATATAGTATGATGCTCAAGACAGATTCTCTTATTCTTCAGGTGTACTCTTCAGTTGTAACCCAAATTTTTAAGTGTTCACAGGTATATGTTTCTTTTTAATTATCACATGCCTTTTCTTATTTTCCACTCTACGACAGACAAATTTCTGAAATTAAAATCAAACTCCTCTATTTAAACTCTCTTTTGGGAGTATCTTGTTGGTCCTATAGAATGCTTTAGAAATCCCAAGATGTTGAGTGACATCTACATTCTAAGTGACATTCTAAGCTAAGCCATGGCTTTTCTTATGGTTTATGTGTGTTTGAGTAAGCAAATATTGGTGAAAATGAGGGTATAGATATAACTTCTTTCTTTAGTATCATAGGATTGACCCCACCTAAGATGAGGTAAGACTAATTTTATCAGATCCATTTGTCCTATTTCTACTTTCAAGATTAACATCTAGTTTTCCCTGGTAAACTGACAAAATCCAACTCACATTGTTTTAGAAAATTTAGGAGATGGGTGGTCTTGTCGTCTTACTATAACTGCTCATTTTTAGCTTTGTTTTTGACTTCTCAATTGTCCTTCCTAGTAGAAAGCTAAGTAAAAGTGTGGTTCATGAGTTTGATTATTGACATTTTAGCTTCTAGCGAGGCTCTAATTTTAGGAGTGAGAGATAGACTCACACATAGGCAGATATGTAGGGGTGCTAAAAGCATCTATTGTGCAATATTATCCTTTTTCTTTAGTGTTTGGAAAACCTGCTTCTTTGCCTTTGGGCCTATTAAAATAAAGGTATTTTATATGATAGAGGGGTATTATCAGCCATTAACTTCTCATCACACATTTGTTGATATCATGGCCAGTAGAGACAGGGTCTTAAGGGAATGAGGCCCCAGAAAGATACTTTTAAAGAGAAGGAAAAAGGGGCAGTTTGTTTTCCCTCTTATGATCTCATTTTCTCCCTCTATCTCGATAACACCAAATATACAAAGCTTCTGCAGCAAACTCAATGTGTGTTCTCGGGAACATGCTGCTCAAATAAAAATATTAAGTTAAAAATAATCAATTGCCTTATTTTATCAAATTTTGTGTTTAGCATGTATAATCTTGATGCAGAGAAACTTCAGCAATGTGAATGGCAGACCTTACACTTACTGGAGAAAAGTTCTTTTCTGATGGCCAGTCAAAACATACCAAGAAAATAGGAATGATTGGAAAGGTTACATGAACTTTATTTGACCTTTTTATGTAGTATATTTAAAGATAAAACAGTTTTGCAGTAAGAAACCATGTCAGTAGTTCTCAGGTCTGATTCATTTTTTTTTTTTCTCATTCCCTAAGCTCTCCTGTATTGAGGAAATTGCTGTGGCAACTGAGATGTAGATATTAAGATTGTTTTGCTGGTGAACCCTGGGATATGTGCAAATTGACATGTACTCAAGGGAGAATTCCCACTGCAAAGAGTGTTTGCCAGACCACTTTAGTTTTCCCCAGAAGTTAAGAGTGTACTCTGGCTAATACTAAGAATGGTCAGCCAGGCAATAGGGTGATTCAAAGAGACAAAGTCCATGAATTTGTCTCATGCTGATCCTGAGAAAAGGGTCCATTGCAGACTCTGAGAGAGAAGACTATGAAGTATCAGAAAGTTTATATGTATGGAACATTTTGTTTTTAATTTTAGAAAATTATTTAGAAAAAGGTAATATGGGTAAAGATTCTCGAAGAAAGGGATTCAGAGATACTCTGATGCCGGAGAAGCCTATCCATGGAGCAAAGGTAGAAAACTACCAATATTCTTGGATATCACTACGAAGTCACAGTTCAGGGATAGCAAAGTGGTTTCATGGAAACTGTGTTGGGAAGGATTCTGGAGATGTTTGTCCTCAGGGAAAAGAGTACTTTGATGAATTAGTGATGTCTGCTATAGGTGTGCGAGGGGGAAGTCATTGTGCATGCCCAGTAAATTTGCTTAGTTCTGGTTGAGGTACAATCTTATAGCAAGTTTTTTGATATCTAATCCTTAATTTCTTTATCTGTAATGAAGACAATGATACCTGGCCTACTTACCTGGAGACCTGTTGTGAGAATGGAATGAGAGAGTAACTGTGAAAGCATTTTGAGAACTATAAAGTGTTGGAGAGGAAAAAAAAAAAAAACTTTTCCCCTATCATCTTAGGTTCAAGACATGGGGACCTGTGAATTAAACTAACAAAAGACAGATTAACAGGAAAAAGACACACAATTTTTATTAATATTCACATGCCTGGAAATTCATAAAAAAGAAGTGAAACTCAAAGAAGTAGTTAGACTTAGCGGTTTATATACCTTTTTAACAAAGGAAAGCATTTGGGATTCAAGGGGTGATAAATTGTGGGAAGTGACTAGGAAATAGATGGGAGAATGAATGGAAGATAAGGGATATTTTAGTAAGATCTGTTTATGCAGACTCATTTTGATGTTGACTCTGCATCTCAATGATAAGAGCTGTGCTTCCTTTCCTGGTAAGGGTGGTGGTGGTGGTGGTAATGGTGCACCCTCATAAAGCGAAATCTTGGCCCTGATTTTAGGCAGATAAGAGGAGAGCAGAGAACTCTTCTTATGTCTATTGATTCCCAATTGCCTTCAGATAAAAATAATTCTTATGCTAAAGTGGCATATTTTCGGATGGCATATCTTGAGCCCCTTCAAAAGCATTCTACACATGTGAAGGTTTATTCTTGTATTGTAGGTTGCATATTTTCTCAAATTAAATCTCAGTTTTTTATAAATTCACGATGAAATTGACCCCATTGAAAAAAATGCAATGGAGATGACAGAAACAAAACCATCCTTATGTATCCTTCCCAAAATGCACCTATACTTTCACTGTCAGCCAAGAAAGATAGGAATGGAACTAATTATCTGCAAATATTCCTTGACTCCCTCACTTCCCATCTGAGATTAATTATTAAAAAAGAGTCCCTGATGGATTCCTGCCTTCAGGTATAATTACGTCAAAATTGACTGACATTTAAAGCACATATGACACTTTTTAGATTTAATTAGAGTAAATTTGTGAAATTTACTTGACTGGTAGTTTTGGGGATGGTTGGAGGCATGAAAGTATACTTAACATTATAATTTCCTGCTAATGCTAAGATTTAGCCCCTATTGGAAGGTTCTATATTCAGAATAAAATCACTTAAGAAATGAAGCCCCAGTGACTGTTTTGGTCATGAAATAATGAGCCCAGTCACTGAGAGATGCCCTGAGAAAAAAAAAATTGCCACCGACGACAGTGGAAACCCAAAATCTATAGATGTTTTAGTTAAACAGTCTTGAAGATTTTCATGATTTAACAACGTTAAAATTCACTTGCTTTGCTATAACATTTTTTGACATTGATATTATGAACAGCAAAAAGAAATGGAGTATTTTAGATCAACTCCAAAAAATTATGGATAAAAACATATTTATCTGAGTGTCTCTAATGATTGTTTTAAATTCCTCCATGTTTGTGGCTATTTCTTTTTTATAATTGTGTTAATGTTCTTTGTCTGGACTAAGCCTGCTACTGGTTTATTTTATTAATTATTTCAATAAATCAGTTTTTGTATTAATCACTAATACTTTTTTGTATTTTAGTATAATTAACTGATTTTATTTTTCTAATTCATAGTATTTGTTCTTCCTTTTCCTTCCTTCCACTTTCTCTAATTTTGTTTTTTTCCTAATGTATTGACTTGAATATTAATTTATTTTTTTCTTTCTTATCTTAATAATGTGCTCATGATTATGAGTTTAATTCAAAGTAGTTTTTTCAGCCTGGCCCATATTTTAAAATATGTAATGCATTTCATTATTATTTTGTAGATATTTTGAAACTTTAGTTTTGATATTTTCTTTGATCCAAGTATTGATTAAAAGCAAGTTTCTTAACATTTATGTGGTTGATTTTCTTCTTCATGTCCTTCTCTTCCTTCTTGACTTCTCTTCCTTCTCCTCCTCTTCTTCATCTATAGTTTATCAATGGGGTTATAGTCAATAAAGTGTTCTATGCATTTCTAGTTTGTTGTTGTTTTGTTTTGGTTTGATTTATAGTCAAAATTTTATAAAGGTACCACGAATTCTTGTAAAGTAGGTGAATTATTTTTATTAGGATAGCAATTTCTACATATCTATTATGTTAATATTAATCAATTATAGAATTGATATCAAACATTCTTATTTTTTCTCTAATTGATTTTTCCATGGACTAAAATTATGATTTAGAGTTTTCTAATCTTATGTTGTAGTCTATTTTCCCTTGCATTCCCTATAGTCTCTGCATTATGAAATTAATATAACTTTTGTGCACCAAGAAAGTTATAATCTCATTGTGGATTATATTCTATATCATAAAGTTTATTATTTGTTTTGTTTAACACTTTTGCTTGAATTTAGCCTTGTCCAATATTAATACTGTGAACTGAATTTATGATACTATTACAAATGTAATAATTATAAATTAGATGAGTAAAGAAAATGTAGCTTCTATATTTTTTACATCACAGCTAATTTTCTTCCTAAGCCTTTACCTTGTTAGAAAGAAAGAAAACTAGCAAGGCGCAGTGGCTCACGCCTGTAATCCCAGCACTTTGGGAGGCTGAGGCAGGCAGATCATGAGGTCAAGAGATCGAGACCATCCTGGCCAACATGGTGAAACCCCATCTTTACTAAAAATACAAAAATTAGCTGGGCGTGGTGGTGTGCGCCTGTAGCCCCAGCTACTTGGGAGGCTGAGGCAGGAGAATCACTTGAATCCAGGAGGTGGAGGTTGCAGTGAGCTGAGATTGCACCACTGCACTCCAGCATGAGTGACAGAGTGAGACTCTGTCAAAAAAAAAAAAAAAAAAAGAGAGAAAGAAAGGAAGAAAGAAAAAGGAAGGAAGAAAGAAAAAGAAAGACAAACTGAAGCTTGCCAAGTAATGGTATCCATATCCTTTGGATTACTTATTCTCTTTTCGAGAGAGGTTTTTTGAATTCCTTCTCCTCTCCCTGCATCTCCTCAAGATGACATTGTAGTGTATGAGGTTGGTTAAAGTAACACGGCAGGATCTGACACCATTCTCCTGTTCCTTATTGGTCTCTGTTGTGCCGTGTCTGTTGAGGTAGAACAGATCCTATCTGGGCTTTCAGGTGTTCTGGCATGGGGTTGAGAAATACTCACATTGTGTGTTCATTATTTTTTCTGATGTCAGGTCTGTATTATTCCACCAGGTGGTCTTGCTCATTGGGGTCCAGTGCTATGGCACATATGACCTTCTGGGTCCCTTGCAAACTGCACATGGGCTATGGGGACCCACTTACTAGCCCAGGTTCATGAGCGCATCTCCTCCCCTCTGTCAGTTCATATTGCCTATTTTTTTTTTTTTCTTATCATACTGATATGGCACTAAGCAGTGAGAAGGATTTTCCCTAGCGGCTTGCAGCCTTCTGCAGACTGTGTGGAGGAAGAGGGCTACTAGCCGTGATGTTTTCAGGTTTCCTCCATACTTATTGGAAAGTTTTTATAGTCCTATCCCTTTTTATGTCCATTTTAGAACTTTTATAAGTCATTTTATGCCTTAAATTAGAGCTAAATCTAAAGCACAGTACAGTCATATGCCACATAATGACATATGAGTCAACATTGAACTGCATATGTGACAGTGGTCCTATAGGATTATAATACCATATTTTGACTGTATCTTTTCTATGTTTGGATATGTTTGGGTATACAAATAATCATCTTGTGTTACAATTGCCTGCTGTCTTCAGAACAGTGACATTCCTTACAGGTTTGCAGCCCAGGACACACAAGCGATACCAGCTTAGGTGTGTAGTAGGTTATACCATCTAGGTTTGGGTAAGCACACTTCATGATGTTTATACAACAACAAAACTGCCCAACACTGCATTTCTCAGAATGCATCCTTGTCATTACGTGACGCATGACTGCATTAAAAAGGTGCAGCATCATCTGAACATCTTTTTCCTTTAGAAAGCATATTTACCTCAATTACCTATATTGTTGATCCATCAGCACATCCTGTTGATTTTATCTTCAAAACCTATCCCAACTCCATCTACTTTTTGTCTCCACCACTCCCATCCTAATATAAGCTACCTCCTCTTTTTGTTTGTTTTGTTTTGGTTGGATTACTGCAAGAGCCTCCAAGTTTATCTCCTTGATTCCGATCTACATAGCAGCCAGAGTGATTATTTGAAAATATAAATGAGATCATGTAAATTTGCAAGACTCAACAAAGGTAACTCCTTATACTTGAAATACGTTTAAATTCTCTCTCAGGTTCTAGGTGTCTATATTTTCTAGCCAATGCCTACCTCTCTGGCATCATTTCCTATCCTTCTCTGCCTTGCTGACTACACTCCAGCCAAACCACACTGACATTCTTTCTGCTGTGGAACAAGACAAGCTCCTTCCTGCCTTAAGGCTTTTGGGTAGTTTTCTCTGTCTATGGAATGCTCTTTCTCCATGACTTCTTAAGGCTGGCTTTTTCCTGGTTTTACCTTCAATCATCATATCCTTTGAGAGGCCTTCTCTGACCATCCAATCTAAAGTAGTCTTTCAGTCACACTTTATCACAGTACCCTTTCCTATATCAATCACAGCACATATTATTACCTGATTAATTTTATTGATATATTCATTAATTTGCCTCAAGCAGTGATACATAAGCTGTATGAGAGTAAGAACATGCCAGCCAGTTATCACCAATATTAATAACAGCAAAATAATACAGTATTAACTATGATTCCTCAGTCTGACTCTGTTCTAAGCCCTTTCCATGTATTAGGATCTCTAATCTTCACTGAAATCTCATGAGGTTGTTATTATCATCCTTATTTTTATAGATAAAGAACTGAGGCATAGAGAATTTCAGTGACTTAGCCATAGTCACAAAGCTATTAAATGTTAAAGTTGGGATTTGAACACAGGTGAAGTGGCTTCAGACACCACAGTGCTATGTGTTAGTTACAGAAGTTACAGATCTGAAAGAGAGGAGTAATACTCCTTTCAAATACTCAACAGTTGGGAAGACAGGCAAGTGAAAGGAAAATCACAACAAAACCTAAGTTACATATTACAGGCATCGGAGGAGGGCCACTGCTGGGTCATCTGCATTTGCTTATATAGGAGTAGAAATTGTAGAAATGTGGAAGTAGCAAATGAAACATTTTCCAGTTTAAAGTATATTGAGTAACTGAAGTCTGTAAGACTGAATTCTTTTTCTGAAATCATTTTGATATTGATTTCCCATTCATTTGCCCTGGCAAAGAGAGAGATTATTTCATGAATGAAAGGTGATGTGAGGAGACTGAAAGAAGGTGAACCCAACCATCAGGAGAAAACCATTCTTTGCCTACTTTGAATAAATCGTTTTGAAATAATGAGACATAATTAATGTCAGTGCTTTGGATTATATGAACGTTTGCAAAGATATCCAGTGCAATTCTAATGGCCAGAAATGGCAGTCTGATTACAGTTATGCCAAATAGCCATTCCATGCCTTACAGAATGTAGCAGTAAAATGAAATTAACTGTTGGCATCAAGTAGTAAGACTATGATTACAACCAATAGTGGCCAGTCTTTATTTAGTGCCATGAGCTAGTTCTGAGGGCCTTGTAGGAATTAGCTCACTTGATCCTCACAGCAAACCTGTTGAGATAGGTATTATTATGGAGCCCCATTTTACTGTGGAGGAAATTGAAGCCCAGAAAGGTTAAGCAACTGGCCTAAAATTACACAGCAATAAAGTGGCAGAGCTGGAATTTAAACCCAACCGTACGATTGTGTAAATAAAGCAAACACATAATAACCACTATTCAGTGACTATGTTTGCCTGGTGCTGTGTTAGTCACTTTCATGTAAAGGTGATGTGAGGAGACTGAAAGAAGGTGAACCTTTTCATGTATTGTCTCATTTACTCCTAAAACCCTGCTTGGTGGGTGTTAAACTCATGTTACAGATAAAGAAACCTAGACACAGATAGGATTAGGAAATTTTCCCAAGGTTATGTAAAACCAGGCCTGTCTGACTCCAAAGTCTATAGAAACTAGTAATTCATTAAACTCTTTCTAGTAGCAAGTGGGATACTGTTCTTCCTTCTCAGTAATTATGTTTACCACTTCAAGTTCTTTCCCTCTGGTACTTTTCTTTCATTCTTTGTGTTTTTATGATACACAGCTCAATAAAGCATAATATACAACCTGCTAACATTTTCAGAGCCCAGATGTGTGCTGGGCATTGTGCTAAATTGTTTTCTATTAATTACCTCATTTAATCCTTCCAGCAACCATACATCATAGGTACTATTATTAGCACCTTTTTATATATGAGGCAACTGAAGTTGAGAAAGACGTTTTTGGCAGAGGTTTGATGAAGAGTCTGGTGATGCAATTTTTCTGGAGAGAACATGCAGCATTTCAAAGCCTCATTGCCTTCCTCTGTACTGAGAATAAATGAACCCAGATTCAGAAGTTTTAACATTTTTGAACATTAAAAAATATTCAATATTATTTTAGAATGCTTTTTTTTTGGGAATCAGGGTGGCTTGGAGTTGTATTCTTTGTGGTGTATTTCTTGAAAAGATCCATTGGCTAATCTGGCTAATTCAGGACACTTCCTCTTCCTCTCCTCTTTCTGTGGCTCTCTCTTCTGTTCTCAGGGCAGCCACCATTAGCATGTGTCTACTGAAGGAACAAGTGTGGTGGGGAACAGGGTGTTGGGTCTCTGGGAAACTTATTTGCATACTTCTTGTTACAAAAGCCAACCACATCCTGGTTAAGACAATGTGCTGTCTGATAAACAGACTGCATCCCCCAGTGTCTGCCTGGAGCTCAGCCAGCGTGTGGCCCGCCTTTGTCACAAGGTGCTGTTTATTCTGCCTGGAAGTCCAAGGACAGAACAAACCAGCTAAATGAACCTTTTATTTCTCCCATTCTCTGACAGAAATTCCTTGAGTCAAAAACATGTATTAATATTAGGTTAAGGGAAAAGCATCAGAATTCTCCAAATATGCCTTCCTAATCCTGTGGAAAACATATAAAAAGCTTTGGTTTTCCTCTCTAGCTACAAATTCTTTGGGGTTTGAGAAAACTAGGAAACTTGGAAAATATAGTGCAAGGGCGATATAAAAATCGTGGTTTACCAAGACTTTTTGTTGATAAATATTTCTTTCCACATCTGTTTTCTATGTGTTTCCTTTCTCTTTTCCTCCCTCCCACCCCAGAAAACACAGACAAAAGGAAGTGGAGGCTTAAACAATTAACTGGTGACTGCAGGACCCATTGTTTAGGAATCTGGATAATTGAGTCCTAATTTCTCTGACTCCCTTCACTTTGGTAAATTATAGAAAGAAAAAGATTTTGAGACTCAGTCTCATTTTTGGCAGTTAAGGTAAGAAATCCATCTATGCTTCCGTTTTACTGTTTTTTTTTTCTTTTTCTCTCCTCTCAAAACAATTCAACATTTCCTTCTCTGCTTATTTCAAATCTAAATGTGGTACATATTTTAAGACATATTTTAACCACAAATTTTATTGGTGACTGCAATCACTGAAAGGAAGGTACTCTGTGAACACAGAAATTGTTTTAATGTTTTTAATCAATAATTCCTATAAACAAATTTTGTCTTGAGGAAATAGAATATGCAGCTATTTCCTTTCTGCATTTACAGTGACCTCTGAAATATATTACAACCACTCATCTGTATCTAATCCCACATGTGTGGTGAACACTTTAAGTAACTTATTGACTAGAATCCTTCTGGAGGTATCTGTGGAGGATGATGATAGAGATGATGTTACAGAACAGTTTGAAAAAGACGCCAATTGGCATTTTGAAGGATTACCAACATTTCTAATAAAGTCTCTGAAGAGATTTCTGGCTGCTTAAGAACAATAATATGATAGAGATTGATTATTTTGAGGTTTCGAAGTTAAATACTTGCATGTGGTGAATACTGAGGCTTATTGTGAAAATGAAAATTAGACCTATGTAGAAATCCTTGTGGAGAATGAGACGGTCAGGACTTTTATCAATGCTGCTCTTTATACAACTGCCTCTTTGGAGAAGAAGTCGGTTCACTGTCCTTGTTAAATTTCAACTGCGGCTGATTCTGAATCTTGAGGACCATTATGATGTGAAAAAAGAAAAAAACACTCACTAAAAGTTAATGATCTTTCCCTAATCTTTCAGAAAAGCTGATACTGACTGGTAGATAGTAGTGCTCTGTCAGAATTGTAGAATGAATGAATCAAGCTGATATAATTCACTAACCATCTACCCAAGCCAGGATCTGTGTTAGAGCTTTAGAGACACACCTTGTTTTATTGTGCTTCACAGGTGCTGCGTTTTCTGCAAACTGAAGGTTTGTGGCAACCTTGCATTGAGCAAGTCTATCAGCCCTATTCTTCCCAACAGCATGTGCCCACTTAGTGTCTCTGTGTCACACTGTGGTAATTTTCACAATATTTCAAACTTTTTCATTATTATTATATATATTTTTAAATTTTACTTTAAATTCTGGGATACATGTGCTGAACGTGCAGATTTGTTACATAGGTATACATGTGCCATGGTGGTTTGCTGCAATTATTATTATATCTGTTATAGTGATCTGTAATCATGATCTTTGATGTCACTATTGTAATTTTGGTGGGGGCACCATGAACTGCCCCCATACAAGATGGTGTGTTCTGACTGCTCCACATACCAATGGTTTTCTCGTCTCTCTGGGGCCTCCCTATTCCGTCAGACACACGATATTGAAATGGGGCCAACGAATAACCCTTCAATGGCTTCTAAGTGTTCAAGTGAAAGGAAGAGTTGCAAGTCTCTCACTTTGAATCAAATTTAGAAATGAATAAGCTTAGTGAGGAAGGCATGTTAAAGTCAAGATAGGCCAAAAGGTAGGCCTCTTGTGCCAAACAGCCAAGTTGTGAGTGCAAAGGAAAAGTTCTTGAAGAAATTAAAAGTACTATTCCAATGAACACATTAATGATAAGATAGCACAACAGAGGCCGGGCATGGTGGCTCACTCTTCTAATCCCAGCACTTTGGGAGGCCAAGGCAGGAGGATCACTTGAGCCTGGGAGTTTGAGACCAGCCTGGGCAACATAGTGAGACCCTGTCTCTATTTAAAAAGAAAAGAAAGGAAAAGAAAGTGCAACAGCCTTATGTTGATATGGAGAAAGTTTAAGTGGTCTGGATAAAAGATCAAACCAGCCACAGCATTCCCACAAGCCAAAGCCCCAGAGCAAGATTCTAACTCGCTTCCATTTTATGAAGGTCTGAGAGAGGTGAGGAAGCTGTAGAAGAAAAATTGGAAGCTAGCAGAGGTTGGTTCCTGAGGTTTTAGGGAAGAAGCCCTCTCCCTAACATAAAAGTGCAAAGTGAAGCAGTAAGTGCTGATGTAGAAGTCATCCAGAAGGACTAGCTAATTGATAAAAGTGACCACACTAAACAATAGGCTTTCACTATAGACAAAACAGCCTTCAGTTGGAAGAAGATGCCACCTAGGACTTTCACAGTGTTACAGTAGGTAGTCAGGCAGACATGAGCAGGTCAGGAGAGGGCCTCCTTCCCAACAGGAATGTCAGGCTACCATCAGGTGATGGTCAGGTGGTTGTTAACAGTCTCTCTAAAATAATAATTGATTGCAGCCAGCGCCAGGGAAAGGCAGTCTCCCAATAGATAGAAATATCTGAAACTGGTGATCAGCAGCTTCCTGATAAAATCTAGGGGCTGGGTGAGTGGGCTCAAGCATATGCACTAAGAGGCAAAATATTGGAGTTTAACTGGTATTTGACCTTCTAGGAACATTCGACTGGTAAGAGAACGCCTCAAGTGAGCACACATACATACAACTCCAGTAAACACACCGTGCATGCAGTCCCTCACAAGTGCTGGCAGCCACTGTGCATACGGACAGCCTGCCCAAGGGAAGAAATGGGAGATGTAATGCAGCCTTGGAAGCATGCCAACATATGACTCCCCAAATCAAAGGTCAAACCACGTACTTGATTTTCTTAAGTTGCCCACTTGGCCCTCTTCCAAGCGTACTTCCTTTCATTCCTGCCCTGAAACTTTTATTTTCTTTCCTTTTATTTTTATTTATTTATTTATTTTTGAGATGGAGTCGCACTCTGTCTCCCAGGCTGGAGTGCATTGGCACAATCTTGGCTCACTGCAACCTCAGGCTCCTGGGTTCAAGCGATTCTCCTGCCTCAGTCTCCTGAGTGCTGGGAGTACAAGTGTACACCACATGCCCAGCTAATTTTTGTATTTTTACTAGAGACAGTGTTTCGCCATGTTGGCCATGCTGGTCTCGAACTCCTGAGCTCAAGTGATCTGCCTGCCTTGGCCTCCCAAAGTGCTGGGATTACAGGTGTGAGCCACCGCGTCTGGTCCCTAAAACTTTTAAACAAACTTTCACTCCTGCTCTAAAACTCGACTTAGTCTCTTACTCTGTGTTTTGACTTTTGGTCGAAGTCTTCTGAGGATGTGAGAGTTGAGGTTGCTGCAGACCCAAATGGATTTGCAGCTGCTAACACAGCTATAGAGGAAAAGTCAATGTCTGGCTTCAAAGCTTCAAAGGACAGGCTGACTCTCTCGTTAGGGGCTAATGCAGCTGGTGACTTTAAGTTGAAGCCAATGCTCATTTACCATCTGAAAATCCTAGGGCCCCTAAGAATTATGTTAAATCTACTCTGCCTGTGCTCTATAAGTGGGGCAACAAAGCCTGGATGACAGCACATCTACTTACAGCATGGTTTACTAAATATTTTATGTATACTGATGATCTACTGCTCAGAAAAAAAGATTCTTTTCAAAATATTACTGTTCATTAACAATGGACCTGACCACCCAAAAGCACTGATAGAGATGTACAAGGACATTAATTTTGTTTTCATGCCTGCTGATAGAACACCCATTCTGCTGCCCAGGTATCAAGAAGTAATTTAGACTTTCATGTTTTATGATTTAAGAAATACATTTTGTAAGGCAATAGTTGCCATAGACAGTGAATCCTCTGAGGGAATCTGGATGGATCTGGGCAAAGTCAGTTGAAAACCTTCTGGAAAAGATTCGTGACTTTAGAAGCCATTTAAAGCACTCGTGATTCAGAGGAGGACGTCAAAATGTCATGAACAGGAATTGGGAAGAAGTTGATTCCAACATCATGGATGACTTTGAGGGGCTAAAGACTTGGGTGGAGCAAGTAACTGTAGGTGGGATGAAAATAGCAAGAGCACTAGAATTAGACATGGTGCCTGATGATATGATTGAATTACTACAATCTCATATTAAACTTTAATGGATGAGGAGTTGCTTCTTGTGGATTGATGAGCAAAGAAAGTGGTTTCTTGAGATGGAATCTACTTCTGGTGAAAAATCTGTGAACATTGTTGAAATGACAACAAAAGATTTAGAATATTATATAAACTTAGTTGATAAAGCAGTAGCAGGGTTTGAGAAGAGTGACTTCAATTTTCAAAGAAGTTCAACTGCGGTAAAATGCTATCAAGCAGCATTTCATGTTATGAGGAATCTTTCACGAAAGGATGAGTTAATTGATTTGGCAACATTTATTATTGTCTTAAAGAAATTGCCAAAACTGGCCAGGCACGGTGGCTCACCTCACTCCCAGCATTTTGGGAGGCCGAGGCGGGCAGATCATGAGGTCAGGAGATCGAGACCAGACTGGCTAACATGGTGAAACCCCGTCTACTAAAAATACAAAAAACTTAGCTGGGTGTGGTGTCGGGTGCCTGTAGTCCCAACTACTCGGGAGGCTGAGGCAGGAGAATGGCATGAACCAGGGAGGCGGAGCTTGCAGTGAGCCGAGATCGCGCCATTGCATTCCAGCCTGGGTGACAGAGCGAGACTCTGTCTCAAAAAAAAAAAAAAAACCACCCCAACCTTCAGTAGTCACCACCCTATACAAGGAACAGCTATCAACGTCAAGTCAAGACCTTCTACCAGTAAAAAGATCATGACTCGCTGAAGGCTCAGATGATTGCTAGAATTTTTTAGCAATAAAATATTTTAAAAATTAAGATATGTACATTTTTTAGATATAATGCAATTGCACACTTAGACTGTAGTGTAGTGTAAATGTAACTTTTATATTCACTGGGAAAATTCCTGTTACTCGCTTTATTGCAATATTTACTCTATTGCAGTGGTCTGAAACTAAACCCCCACTATTTCTTAGGTATACTCCTATTTACATTATTTTATTTATTATGATATACATCAAGTAAAAATGTTCTTTGTATACTTTAGAAAAATAGATGTATGAAAGGAATTGCAACAAAAGCAAAAATTGACAAGTGGGATCTAATTAAATCAAAGAGCTTCTGCACAGCAAAGAAACTCATCTGAGTGAACAGACAACCTACAGAGCAGGAGAAAATTTTTGCAATTCATCCATCTGACAGAGGTCTAACATTCAGCATCTTCAAGGAACTTGAATTTATAAGAAAAAAATAAAAAAATAAACCCCATTAAAACGTGGGCAAAGGACACGAACAGACACTTCTCAAAAGGAGACATACAGGTGGCCAAAAAACATGAAAAAAAGCTGAACGTCACTGATCATTAGAGAAATGCAAATCAAAACCACAGTGAAATATCATCTCATACCAGTCAGAATGGCTATTATTAAAACGTCATAAAACAACAGATGCTGGCAAGGTTATGGAGAAAAAGAAATGCTTTTACACTGTTGGTGGGAGTGTGAATTAGTTCAACCATTGTGGAAGACAGTGTGGCAATTCCTTAAAGACTTAGAGGTAGAAATACCCTTTGACCCAACAATCACATTACTGGGTGTATACCCAAAGGAATATAAATCATTCTATTATAAAGACACATGCATGTGTATGTTCATTGCCACACTATTCACAATAGCAAAGACATGGAACCAACCTAAATGCCCATCAACGACAGACTTGATAAAGAAAATATGGTACATATACAATGGAATACTAGGCAGCTGTAAGAAGGAATGAGATTATGTCCTTTGCAGGGATGATGAAGCTGAGAGCCATTATCTTCAGCAAACTAACACAGGAACAGAAAACCAAATACCACATGTTTTCACTTACAAGTGGGAGCTGAATGATGAGATCACATGGACACATTGGGAGAAACAACACACACTGAGGCCTGTTGGATCATGGGGAGTAGGAGGAGGGAGAGCCTCAGGAAGAATGGCTAATGGATGTTGGGCTTACTACTGGGGTGATGGGATGATCTGTGCAGCAAACCACTATGGCACACGTTTACCTGTGTAAACCTGCACATTCTGCACATGTACCCCTGAACTTAAAAGTTGAAAAAAAGAAAAAAATGAAAAATAGATGTAAAAAGTATGTTCATTGTCAGATTTTTTCACTCTGTTTCTCCATATCCTCTGCTCCAAGGTACTTTGATGAAATGTGTCCTGCCATGGCTGCTTTATGATCTGATATTGAAAAGGACTGTAGGCATTTAGAATGCATATATTTTATTGTCTTTAGATATCCAGTACTACAACATAATGTCTTCCACAAAGTGTTTCGAGTCCTGCTATAGCTGTGGCTTAGCTCTTCTTGTGGGAACCTGTGTGTCTTATGTTCTCTGCTTCCTCCAGGAGCCCCAGTTATCTCTTCAGGATTGAAGGGAGATCAGCATGGCTGCCTCTTGGATATTTGACTGCTCAATATCATTTCTACCAGATGGTGCAAGAGGGAAATCAAAAAACGCTGCAACTCAAACCAGTTTGAGTTTTAGCAATTTTGCTACTTGGTTCTAGGTCTGGTAAATGACTGGACCACAGAAGGAAGTTGAAGTTGTAGGTTTTTCGTAACCATTTAGCTCATTTCCCAGAGGTTTTGCTGGCCAGGGTGTTTGAAGATAGAAAGTGGCTAGAGTGTGGTTTCAGATCTGGGGCTTGTCTCTCTCATGAGAGAAAATGGGATAAAATTTAAAGGTCATTCCTATGTTTGAAAAAATGATTGACCAGGCTTATACATGAGATTATTTCTGCAACACCATTTGGAGGGTGTGTATGCCAATCATGTGGCTCTGTAAGGTGGAAGGAGGCATGATGTTCAGTTATGGTTGTTTTTATCTCAAGTTCTTTGACATTCAGGGCATGAGACAAAAGTATATAGTTTTGGTTTGGCATTCTGTGACAATCCAGCTGAGTTTGTTTTCTTCCTCTTCTTTTATGAGGTATTTTAAGGTTTAGATGTTCTTTTTACCGTGAAATCTAATTTAATTGTGGTTATTTTATTTTTCTGTATATGTGCCCAGAGATTTTTGGTTTATTGGTAAACTTTAAAAAATACCACAGTGCGTGTAAACATATATAATTTAAGAACCAGTCATGATTGAGGCCTATGATATCCTTTGGAACATTCTTACTTGGAAGCAATTCTAATTAACAAGATATTTTCTGGTTTCCTTCTTGTATGCTTTATTAGTAATAATGCTGTTAGTTAGCTACAAATCTTTAGTCCCATGGTTGACTTTTTCCCCATTCCCTTTCCTAGTAACCAACTGTATTGTAGTTATTTTTCATAAAAAATATGGCAAACTTGTGATAACAAACAACCAATATGATAGTGATAAGAATAGTCAAACTCTTAAAAGTCAGAATTTTGCAGATGTTCTTTTATTTTATTTTATTTTTTTGAGATAGTGTCTTACTCTGTTGCCCAGGCTGGAGCACTGTGGTGTGATCTCGGCTCACTGAAACCTCCGCTTCCTGGGTTCAAACGATTCTCCCACCTCAGCCTCCTGAAGTAGCTGGGACTACAAGCATGTGTCCCCACACCCAGCTAATTTTTGTATTTTAGTAGAGATGGGGTTTCACCATGTTGGCCAGGCTGGTCTCAAACTCCTGACCTTAAGTGATCTGCCCGCCTTGGCCTCCCAAAGTGCTGGGATTACAGGGGTGAGCCACTGTTGCCGGCCAGATGTTCTTTTATAATAAACTCAGTGAAAGTGAATTACAAGGAAACCTCATTAAATTACAATTGGTTTATTCAAAAGAATCTTACTTTTTAAAAAACATACTCTTCCCCCAGTTAACTAGATTCTCTATTTTTTTTAAAATAAGGATATTGAATAACTTGCTTGGCTATTCAGAACTATATTGTTTTTGCTGTCATTTAAATTCTAGGTTGAGACAGTTTAATTCTTTTAAGGAGTGAAGACACTAATGTCTGAGAGAAACACTGACAGAAGTTTTTTTTTGTTTTTTTTTTTTTTTTGAGACAGAGTCTCACTGTCGCCCAGGCTGGACTGCAGTGGCATGCTCTCAGCTCACTGCAACCTCTGCCTCCCGGGTTCAAGCGATTCTCTTGCCTCAGCCTCCCAGGTAGCTGAGGCTATAGGTGCCTGCCGCCGTGCCTGGCTATTTTTTTGTATTTTTAGTAGAGATGGGGTTTCTCTATATTGGCCTGGCTGGTCTTGAACTCCTGACCTCAAGTGATCCACCTATGTCGGCCTCCCAAAGTGCTGGCATTACAGGCGTGAGCCACCATGCCCGGCCACACTGATAGAATTTACTGTGTTTTTAACTATGCTTTGGACCACAGTGAACAAGAGTGATTAGGCTGTGAAATTTTCATATTCAAAAGATACACTATCCTGATTCTTATTCTTGAGCATGTCAAGGTCTAGTGAAGCAAAGGTTGTTATGTTTAGGAAAGACCAGATTGCAGGTCAGTTCTAATATGTAAGGTGCACATGATGCATTTCTGAATGCATGTACCATTCCTGTTCATTGACCATTTTCACTTCTGGCATGAGGATCCTTTGGAGGAAAAATAATTGTGTAGAAAAAATACGTATTTACCAAATTATTCACTTCTTGATGCCAATTGATGGCTCAAATATGAATTAAGTTTGTAATATTTCTTGGGAGCTATTTTACGCTATAGCCCTAAACTAAAAGCTGAGAACTTCTCATGGCTTTAAGAAAGTTATACTTGATACAACAAAGCAATGTATCTAGAATTCCCTCCTACATTGCCAGAGAATTTAAAAATACATCTATTTTGTAAGAGCTAAAAGTAGTTTCTTTTTTTTTTGTTTTGAGACGGAGTTTTGCTCTTGTTGCCCAAGCTGGAATGCAATGGCGTGATCTCAGGTCACTGCAACCTCCACCTCCTGGGTTCAAGTGATTCTCCTACCTCAGCCTCCCGAGTAGCTGGGATTACAGATGGGCGCCACCACACCCCGCTAATTTTTTGCATTTTTGTTAGAAATGGGGTTTCACCATGTTAGCCAGGCTGGTCTAGAACTCCTGACCTCATATGATCTGCCCGCCTCGGCCTCCCAAAGTGTTGGGATTACAGGCATGAGCCACCACGCCTGGCCTAAAAGTAGTTTCTAAAACATGTATAACAACTATTTATTGATGTTATTATGTGTAATACAAAATGCACAGGAACACAAAATACTTATAATGTATATTTACTTAGTACTTAGTACATATAAACTTGGATTCTGTCTTTAGTAAATGAGCTTTAGTGTCTTCCTGGATAGGTATATTTCTACTGTTGAAAGACTATCTTCCCCAGGTACCACATCCTTGGAAAGAGGCTTTGTTTGTGATTATATTGCTGTTGGATTAGAGGGTGAGCCAGGATTGATATGCTGTAGCCAACCATTCTTTTAAATGTTTCTCTGTCCAACTTTATGTTTGTCAGGGTTGGGGAAGGAGCAAACAGTAACAGAGGTTATCGTAAATATAAGAGAGATAGCTATCTTTGACAAATGAATGCTGTTAGTCTTGAATGAGTAGCTGAAGGAAGCTATGGAAATTCCATCATCTTCTCCTAAATCTTCATTCTGCTCTGGATGATTAATATTTGTTCGGTATGGAGTGTCTGCTAAACTGGGGGAAAGGCTTAAAGTCACTTTATGGTTCTTAATTCAGCTCTTTCAATGTCACCCAGGGAGCAGGTTTAAAAACTTTTAAAGTACAGATAGTAACATAATTTAATGGTAAGTTATTTTGGAAAAGATATATTGAGAAAAATAAGAAAATGTGTTTGCAGCGTATTTTAGCTAATTTAGGATTTATAAATGCACACTGGGTGTTCTCAGGGATTATTAAACAACATTGTATAATACGTATCTGCATCTAGTTTGGAATGCTAATGGAAGAAACTGATGTTTCTTGGGTGCCCACTATGAACTAGGCACTTTGCAAATTTCTTAATATACACTGGAGCATTTAATCCTTTGAGGTTGATGAAGGAACTGAGATTTTGAAAGACTTAGCCAACTTTCCCAAGGTCACACAGGTAGTAAGTGGTAAGCCAATCTTATTTGAAAGTCCGTGCTCTTCTGACTACACCACTACTGTCTATTTTTTCTAGCATCGCTAGGTCTTTGCTGATAGTGAAATGTATGATATTTGTCAAATTTATAGTATCAGATATTTAAGCAAACTCCTCACATACAGTTGTAAAGCAGCATTCTATTATTCTTAACATATATATTTACATGTCCATCACCATTGGCCTGTCCCCTATCAATCAGCTAAGCTGGTCCTGGAATTATTCCTTTATGAGATATGATAGATTCATCTTCTCCTGTCTGCTGTATGGGCTAAATTGCAATTCATGCCCTTAAAATTTTTCACTTGAGGCCGGGCGCAGTGGCTTATGCCTGTAATCCCAGCACTTTGGGAGGCCGAGGCGGGCGGATCACAAGGTCAGGAGATCAAGACCAACCTGGCCAACATGGTGAAACCCCATCTCTACTAAAAACACAAAAATTAGCTGGGCGTGGTGGCATGTGCCTGTAATCCCAGATACTTGGGAGGCTGAGGTAGGAGAATCTCTTGAACCGGGAGTTGGAGATTGCGGTGAGCCGAGATTGTGCCACTGCACTCTTTTTTTTTGTAGACTCTCTCTCAAAAAAAAAAAAAAAATTATCACTTGAACTGTTAACTGGTCCTTGTCGAGTCTGGACCGTGTGGAGAGAGGTGGCTAAATGAATATATCTAATCACCATTTTCACTGTCATCCAGTCTTTCAGTTGCCTACAGATAAGTCAAAATGTCAAAATGTCTAAGGATGGCACTCAAGAATGTATACAATCTGTACCCAACCTTCTTTTTTAGAATCACCTGCCACTACTCCCCTATCTGACCCTGGGTCCAGTGTTCTCTATCTCCACCTGTGCATGATGCTATTTCTTCTGCCGGTTTGGAACTTAACAAATCTGACCATCATGAGCTCAATGCTGATGTTAGCTCTTCTCTGAAAGCCACTCCTATTAGCTCTGAGGTGAAGAGATCTCTCCCATTTAGGCCACTTCCTATTGTCTAATCCAATTGCTTGCCATAACCATTTACTGCAAAGAATCATGAAAAGAGAACAGGTCTGACCTCCTTACCTATGATCTGTGTGACTTTAAGCAGGTCACTTTACATATAAGACTCAGTTTCCTGAAGTAGAAAATGGGTAAGATATATAACTATTCCCTTTGACTTACCACAGACAAGCTTCTTTTCTTCCTTATGGTTCAATTTCTTTTTTTTTGAGACCGATTCTCGCTCTGTCGCCCAAGCTGGAGTGCAGTGGCGTGATCTTGGCTCACTGCCAACTCTGCCTCCCGGGTTCAGGCGATTCTCCCATCTTACCCTCCCGAGTAGCTGGGACTACAGGCACGTGCCACCACACCCGGCTGATTTTTTTTTTTGTATTTTTAGTAGAGACGGGGTTTCACCATGTTAGCCAGGATGGTCTCGATCTCCTGACCTCGTGATCTGCCCGCCTCGGCCTCCCAAAGTGCTGGGATTACAGGCATAAGCCACGACGCCCGGCAGCTCAATTTCTTAAGTTGTAAAATGGAGATAATAAAAGTAACTAATATAGAATTGGTGTGAGAATTAACTATGTGTTAATCAAGATGGGTTGGGTTATGATCCAGTAAAAATTAACCCCAAATCTTAGTACCTTAAAACTACAAAACTTTATTTCTTGCACATCCATCTCAGGCTGGCAGGAACTCTGCTCCATATTGTCCATATTCAGGGTCCTCGTCTGCCAGAGCTTTCACTGTCTGGAATAACGCAGGTCACTGTGGCAGGCGAAAGGGGTTGTAGTGAATCGTGTTGGTTCTTAAAGCTTCTGCTTAAAAGTGATGCACATCACTTCTCACATTTCATTAGCCAAGCAAATCACATGGCTACAGCTAACTTCAAAGGGGCAGGGAAGAACAATCCTACCACATACTCCAAAGAACAAGGCCCAGAAACATCAGGGAATGGTGCTAATGGTGACCATATCACAACTTGTGTTCTTTGGCAACTTTCTTATGGTACATTTCCAGTTTTATCTGTCCTTCTACAGCATAGCCTCCTTGGAGTCAGAGTGAGTTCACTACCCTGTCTGCCACGTAGTGATCAGGACAGGTCCTCAGTTAATGTTTTGGTACATAAGGTGAACAGAGTACTACCCCAAGTGGCTTTTCCCCAAGTGTTGGAGAGGAACTTAGGTTTCTGCTCCCAGGATATATATAATTTTTGTATCCAGGAAAGTCTTTAGTAGAATATATATAATGTAACTCAAAATCAAGGTAAGGTCTTGCAAAGGACCTTATCATCTCCTGCTGTCTTTTTGCTTGAGCCCATATGGAAATATCAACTGTGAACCTGGAGGTATTAAGAGAGCCTACTCTTTAAATGCTTCATTTTTCCTCTTCTAAAGAACCATAGTCAAAGGCCAGGATCGATTTCTGATTTGTTTTAAGCAACAATATGGCTCAGGAAGAGGTGAGCACATTGTTTCAGAACTTGGGCTTGATCAGCCTCTGAAATATGCTTGAAATCAATGTATCTGGATCTGCAGGAAGGGCTGGAAAAAAAGAAAGTTTTTGGTGTTAAGTGATTTTTAGTTGAAAATCACCTACTGAATAGTCTGAAGTCATATATCAACATCTTACTTGCTTTTTCTTTTCTAATTATGTAAGACATTTATATTGTTTTTATAGAAAAGTCAGCAAATACAGATGAATGAAAAGAAAAAAAAAAGCACCGTAAAAGGAGAAATTACCTATAAGAAAAACATCTTAATTCCTGTCTTGGATTAATGTCTTTTAAACGAAATATCATCTACTCTTTCACTGTTGTAGTGAATGTTTCTTACAGCACTGATCAATTAACATACTGTGTTATAGTTTCTGTCACTACATTGTAAATTTACAGACAGTAAATTTACATCATAAGCTTGGCCTGATGTTTTCAAAGAAATTCCTTTTTATTAAACAAATTTTAAACAATACATAACAACTGTCTTTCTGTGACTTAGAATTACAAATTCCAGATGCAGGCATGGCTTTTTAAAAGTCACGAAAACAATCTTTAAGTAAACAAAATGAAGTGGCCACAAGTAAGCGGTTCCATGAGTTTATGGCTTGACGTGCAACAAGGATGAGAGAGGTGTTATGGAAAATCAAGATACTTTGAAAGAAATAGGCAAAGGGGGAGAATCTCCCCTATTGTTCAGGAGCTAGACAGAGTATCAAGTTTGGAAAATGAGTCATTTTTGTTGCTGTCAGAGCCATTCTAGGAGCCTGAGAAACTGGTGTCTGGTAGCAGGTACCCTTTACCTTTCATGCATTTAATCAGACTTCTCAAGAAGTAGGTTGGAGAGCTGGCAGCCATGGGGAGAGGGCGCCAGTGGGCATTCCCTTTGATCTGACTCCACGACGCTATCCTCCTCTTGGCCACCCATGGATGAGAAGGTAAAGGGGTAAATGATGGGATCTCTTTTGGGGACTGACTCAATCTGGAGATAACCCTGCTTATGACTCAACATTTCTCCTGCCTCTGGGCAGTGGGAGAGAATTTACGTCTTCGACTCCTCTGTTGATCTTTAAAAAAAAGACATGGCTGTGACCTGGATTGGCGGTATCTAATCTCCCCAAATAGACATCACAACTTGAGACCAAATAAATCAACATAGAAATGGTATATGAAATGAAATTAAAATGTAAACCGAGGGAGCTGAGCAAGATGACAACTAATAATTTGTGTAAAGCATCGTACATTACTGTCATTATTACTATTATTATCTCCATTTTACAAGGAAATTGAGGCAAGAAGTGTCTTGCCCCAAATCACGTGAAAATGATGTTTAAATTTCCTTGTAACTCAACATTTCATGTTTAGTGATCTATATTTTCTTTCCTATATATCCAAATAATGATATTTCTTGCCTTGCCATCCACCATTTCTCTCCTTCGGACCCTATTTTCACCTCCAATCCCGCTATCTCTTCAAGATCCTCTGAACATGCTGTGGATGTTATTATCTGGGCCTCTTTGGCTACACCTTTGCCCTTCTGTTTTACTCTTTTCTATATGCTTAAATCCTACTTGTTTTCTCAGGAGGACCTCAGTTCCCACTCCTCTGTGGAGCCTTTCCTGGTCTGTCTAGCTCACAGAGATCTCTGTCACAGGAATATCTCTTCTTGTATTTGTTAGCGGCAGTGCTTACCCAGTGCTTAGTAGTGGTAATTATTTTTGTAAAAGTTTATGTGTTAAACCCCAATCTAGAGTGTAAGTTCCTACAAGGCAGAACAGCCTTGTGTATAGCAAGCTTTAAGGAACACTGGTACTTATACTTCATTATGTACCTTTCCTCATATATAAATATATAAAAAGTACTGTATACTCTTCAACCTCTAAAAGGAATGACCACATGATTATCTCATTGTTCATATTGATATAGTTCATGCAGGAAGCTAAATCAGAACTTTCAGCCTGGGAAATATTTACCCAAGCTTAATTTTATTTAGTATTTTTTCCATTAAATGGCACATATCATGCTTCGTAACTCTTGTATACTTTATTTTGTGCCATGTACTTAAGCATCAGTAAGTTAAAATCACAGATCAGAAAGATACATTGCCGACCACGCAAGATAACATTCTATTTCTTCGAAGTCAGGCTTCTCCCTTCGAGTTGAGCTACTATTTGATGCTATCTCTAGTTGGTTTTATCAAAGACTTCTTCAGTCCTTTTTTAGAGTCAAAATAAAGATCTGGATAAAACCCAACTATCTGTAACTTAGTCCTGTGTATTTCAAAACCTTTTGCACAAAAGGAAAATAAGGCCCCGTAACTTTAGGGCACATATGTTCTGCATATATTCTCTCCAAAGACACAGGGTCCCAAGCCTGTGTTTGCAACTTTGATAATAAAGGGTGTTTGGTGTTTCACACAGCATTTGATATTTATGGATTAATTTATCTCTAAATCTGTCTTGAGGAGACCCCAGATTTGGTAAATAGATGATCAGACCAATTTTATGGGGAAGGACTGGAGTTTTGCCTTAAATGGGATCTTTCATAGACCAGAACCTCCAATTTGGCAACATACATTGATAAAAATAAATGAATAATTTCTTAATCTCCATTTCCCTTTGGTCTATGTCTTAATATTAGTTAATTGCCAGCAAGCAAATGATTAAAAGATGCTGTGAGGGTTTAAATTCACTTGTGAGAGGCACAAGAGGCAGGCTCAGGGCCTGAAGCGACAGGATAGATTTTTTTTTTTTTTTCTGAAGAATACATAATTGATTCTTTTTTTTTGGCTTTCTTCCTTCAAACCTACCCATTCACAGGATAATCATAATCACAGCAGTTTACATTTGCATAATGCCTTACCATTTGCTTTCACAGATTTTATTCCCACTTGATCAGAGGGTGTCTGCATTGTGCTGAGTACCTAATCTTGAAATAAATAATTTACTATATGAGGATTTAAACAGGTCTTTTAGATAAAAAGTGCATTACATATTTATGAGCACTGATTTCAAGAATCGCTTTGAAAGAACTATTGATGTTGCTTTATATTAGAGATCTGGAACTTAATCTCATTTGATTCATCCTTGATTTTATTTTTCTGAGGTTCCAAATCATGTTTGTAAATCCCTGAGGGTCTTTTTCCTCCCTGTGAGAGGAAAAATGTTTAGGCACATGTCAGGAATTTAAAAACCTTCTGCCACTATTCTCAGTATATTGGGAAAACCAATTTTCTGAAATTAAAATGGCAGTCCATTTTGCAAGGCAATAATAATGATGATGATGTTGGTAATAAAACTTAGGGGTTCTAATTCAGTACAGCAGGAGAGAGAAGATTTCAATCTATTAAAACAAAGTCCTTTGATGTCTGCTGTGAAGAGGGATCTCATAAATGGTTATTATTTACTTTTAAAATGCATTATTGCTTGAGCATCTGTGATTTACTTTTTTATTTTTGTTGTTTATAAAGGTTATTGCCTTTAAACCAGTTCTTCTTGCATAACCAAACCCCAAACAAACTAGGAGAAAATAAAAGACAATTGCAAGTAACTGAAATTATTTTTCAAACTCCTGGGAAGAGAAAGAAAGACTAGAATAAACATTGTTTCCTGATTGCTACAGTTCAAAATCACTAAAAGATTTTGCTTGCTTAAATAAAAAATGAAATTGCGAGGGGAAAGCTTTTTTTCCCTCTCTTTAAGAAGGGAGAGAGAAAAAAAAAAACCATGAAAGCAGGGGGAGCTTTGCAAGGCTACTGATGCCTGAGTAGAATCACTAACTGGTTCCCTCGCTCTGTGCTAGGCCGTCTGTATTCACTGTATCACAAGCTTGAAACCAGACCTCATTTGACGGAGCCAAAAAATGGTCCTTTTGTTGCTGTTTTTTTTTCCCTAGTGTCATCTCTCATGGTTGCCTGGGCAACCAGTGTGTATCCTTTCAGCATAGGTTACTGGGCCCCAGGAAGGAAGTGCTCCAGCGCTGGCCTGCTATTTTTATAGAACCGTTACATAATACAATCTATTAAAGCTTCCTCTTGGTGTTTTATTGCACAAAGGGGAAATTAAGTTTGATGACTCCTAAATGTTGGATGGAGGATGTCAGGTGACTCTAGGATTGTTTGGCTCAGGTCACATAGCAACAGTATTCCCATATGCAATTCCAGAAGAACCCATATACAATCATGCCCTTGGCAATGTTCGCCTGCCTGGGGATCATTAGAGGAAACTGAGCTCTCTGCTGCTCAGGGGTGTAAGTTTTGTCCGACTACACAATGCTCCCTCTCTGGTAGGATGGCAGCAGACAATGAAACACTATTCACAGTTAAGGGCAAAGAGAATTTTAAAGGTGTCGCACATATGCTTTTAATAGGTGGGGTGATTACTGGCAAAGAGAATTGGATTGAAAGACAGAGGACCAGGGTCTCTCTCAAGTCGGCCACTGCAGCATTGCATGAATGTTGTGGTCAGTTTTGCTTCTGGGTAACTCTCAAGTGGTCCAGGGCAGGGAGGCATTGGGACGGGATGGGGCGGGGGCGGGGGGTGTAATAGGTAAATGGCTTTTAAGTGGAGACCTAAGACCTCTGTAACACAACTTCAGGTATTCTCCACTTGCCAAAGGAACCAATGGGGAATAAAAGCTCTTAGCTCCCTTTATTCCCACCTTACCAGTTACAGTTTGCCACCAGTCTGAAATAAAGAAGGTGCAAGTGTGCCGTTGGATCAGAAGCCCTGTCCTGGACCATAAATGAACCCCTGTACCCCCAGGGAGATGTAAGGCCACAAGAATTTCCTAGACTAAAGGGGTGTGAGCTGACCACATGTGCTTCTGTTTTCACATTTTCACTCTGCTATCCTATGCACCCCCATCATCTCAGCTAAATCCTGAGGCCTCTGATTCTCAAATTTATGTCTCCAGCCTGCTTTTCTTCTGGGCTCAGCTGTCCTGTATTTCCAACTGCCTGCTGGAGAGCTCTTTCTGGATGTCTCATTTTGCTTCAAACTCAACAGATTCAAATGAAAAACTCCTGTTTCTGCTTGTATACTCTTTCAACACTTCTAACACCAAATGTGTGGGTTTTTTTCCCCCCACACTAACCAATTCTCCAATTCTCAGTGGACACCAACTAGGTATCCTAAAATTTAACTTGACTCTGATCCTAATTGCCCCAAGTTAGCATGGAAGCCGCGGATTAAGAGCTCAGTCCCACAAAACCGTCTCCCACTTCAGACACCAATCATAAGTGGTGGGTCCCCAGATTACCCACGACTTCTGTCTGACTTGGCTACAAATCAGAGGTTCCTATACTCCTTTCCTTAGGTTTAATAATTTACTACAGCAGCTCACAGATCCCAGGGACAAGTTTACTTATGCTTACAGATTTATTACAATGAATATTTTAAAGGATATAAATGAATAATGAGATGAAGAGATACATAAGGTGAGGTTTGCCAGGGTCCCAAGAACAGGAGCTTCTGTCCTCATGATGCATCAGCCTCTCGACAAAGGGATTTGTTCTTATTCACCAACCTGGAAATTCTCTGAATCCCTTCAGTTAGGGGTTTTATGGAGGCTTCCTTACATAAGCATGACTGATGAAATCATTGGCCATTGGTGATCAGCACAACCTTCAGCTCCTCTCCCTTCCCCAGAGGTCAGGTGGTAGGGCTGAAAGTTGCAACTCTCTAATCACTTGGTTAGTTCCTCTGGCAAACAGCTTCCCCCACACCCCTTATGGACTTCCCAAAAGTTACTTTATTAACATAAACTCAGGTGTGATTAAAAGGGGCTTGTTCTGAAAAACAGAAGATGCTACTTTCACCTTAATGAGCTCCAGAGCTGTTTCAGGAGCCAGAAACAAGGCATATATATATATATATTTCTTATTATGTCACAATTTCACAATATCCAGCATGAAACACATTTTTTTTTTTCCCCCAATCAAAGGCTCTTGCTGACTCCCTGGTTTCCATGAATACCCACATTCAGAGAATGCTCAATTTTGGTGATCATCTGGTCTACCCTTTTCATTTTATAGATAAAGAAAGTGAGGCTAAAGAGGTTAAGGGATTTATTTAAGGTCACTCAAAGAGTTGGTAGCTGAAGGACCCTGCTTTATGGTGGGCCCCTCTCCATTCTTCTCTGCCTATTTCACCTGGGCTTGATATCCCTAGGAATTGTGAGCACTTCTCCTGCACCTAGTCTTATCAATCCTCTTTCATGATCTCTGATAATTGAGTCTTTCTTTCCCATTTCCACTCTTATCTCAATAACTGAGCCTTACTTACATAAAGCCTAGACTATTTAGTTTCCCAATCGGTTGCTCTACCCCTTGAATCAGTATTGAACTTTACTTCTGGAATAATCTCCAACTTTATCATGTCACTTTATTATGCAAATACTTTTGATTGTTTATACTATATTAAAGTCCAAATTTAACTCTCCATAATCTGATTCCCTCTCACCCTTTCAACTTGCCTTTCTAGATTTAGTGTCCAGCAAAATCAGTGGCTCTTTATTTGGTAAAGTTTATTTTATTTACTGTTTTCTTTTTTACAGGTCAGAGATTTATTGACTGCTTTCCTTTTTTAATTTTATTGCTTCAGACAGTATGATTTCTGATGAAATATCTCCAATCTTCATTCTGTAGAGCTTCCAGAAAATAAAAAATAATATGGAGTTGATAGAATGGTAATGAACATTTGGTGCACATCTTTAAATTTTTTTTTAATTTTAATTTTTGTTTTTACAGATTTTAGCAGTACCAGTGCAGTTTTGGTACATGGGTATATTGTGTAGTGGTGAAGTCTGGGCTTTTAGTGTACCCATCACCCAAATAGTGAACATTGTACCCAATAAGTAACCTTTCAACAAATCTTTAGTCACTCATTCAAAACATTTCATTGAGTATTTACATTATGCTCAAGTGGTGACCAAGAAGGATATGGCTCCTACTATCTTGAATGTATAAACATAGAAGGGAGGCATTACATAAAAATTACATAGCCATTAAATATATGATTATACAAAGAATGAATTTACCACAAAATGAGAGTTTTAAGGGCTATGAAACACAAGTTAGAGTGCATGAGAGCAAATAATGGTGAGGAGTTGGGTAAGAGTGGGCTTTAAAATGTAGACTGGGAATTCAGGGAAGAATTTCTCAAGCAAGAATTTCCATTTCCACCAAAACATGAAGAATGAGATCAAGTTGGAGAAGCAAAGAGAGTGGATGAGGGAAGAAGAAGGGTTGATTCAGGCAGAGGGATTAGTGTGGTGAAAGGAAGAAAGGATCTAGAAGTTTTGCAGCGACTGAGAAGAGGGTGGAATGCTGAGCCTGCAGACAGTGGGGGAAATTATTGAGTATTGTATATAAAAAGCTTTGAGAAAGTGCACCCTGACAGCACCTCATCTCTCTGCAGAATTTCCAGTGTATAATAAGTCAAAGCTTTTGTTTTTAGGGAAAGCCTTCTATTTTGTAAAATTTCTACTTAGAGAAGAATATACAAATAATTATGTATTAATAACAGTGTTTACTTTCTTTGTTTTAGAGATGTAATGAATTAGTGGATTGGGGATTGGGTTTGAGCATTCCTCAAACCACTGGCTTTTTTAGTAAAGTTAAATTTATTATGGTTTCTTATTCTAGGAATTTGACCTTATTTTCCCTATGGGAAGAAGTGGGTTCTTTTGTGTGTGTTTTAGTTTTTTTAAGTGCAAGCTCAATCTCAAGAAATAGCTGGCTCACCCTGGAATAGTGGACGAAGGGAACTTCTAATTATTTAACTTTGATCCATTTAAGGAAGACAACATGACTTCTTAGATTAGGTGATTAAAACAGTCTTTTATTTCTATAAATTCATTTGAGGTAATGGAAGAAAGTAGAAGATACATAAAAGGTGGGGGTTTAAAACTTGAAGATATAATTAAAATTCTTTTTCTTAAAAACTTTGACCTAAAAAAGCTACCCTACGCAGCAGAGGAAAAATAATGGAGCTGGAATGAGGTACGTGACTCTGTTCTATTCCTGTCAACAGGAAGGATGGAGAACATTTTTTTTTTTCTCCCTTTGGCAAGCTTGCCTCCCAGCTTCCTATGGTTGGAAATGGGCAATAAATGGCAGGGTATCCAGTGATCTCTTTCTAGGCCTCCTGGTTACTAGCATTGGCAAGGACACTACTCTCCTTTTCTTTCTTATTTTTAGAGTGTTCTCTTTTTTTCCTTTATTTCCTTTTCAGGCTTGTGGGGAAAGCAAGGGCCTGTCATTATCAGGGAGTGAGGTGAACCACAGGGGCTGGTTTCCCAAGAATCCGGACCCAGCTGCCAACCTAGTGGGTCAGAGTCATCATCTTTATTACTGAGGGCGGTTTTCCTGTGAAAGTGAGACTTCCTTTCATTTAACACTCAGATGGTCATGGGAGCTGTTACATTTCTCCCTCTATCAGTTAATGAGAAAATAGACTATTCATCCTTATTCGCTTCTGCAAATAATGCCCTATGGTTTAACTGCAAAGCAAAGTGCTAATTAGTTTCTGAAGATGAGAAGTCATTACATTTTCTCTGGTGTTTTATAGTGATTTACCAAATACTTTTTGGTGGATTTGGCGAAGAGCAGGATTTTCCCCCTTCTACTAATAAACAGAAGAAGTAATCTATCATTTAAAAAGGCTTTAGAATTCCTGAAAGAGAAATTTGTTGCAACTTGTAGGTTTGGGTCAGACTGAGTTTATCTGGAGAGGCTAAAAGAGGGAGAAACAACAAGGATAATAATAGTTTTCTAGTTGATGACAATCTGCTTCAATACATATTAAATGCAATCAATATATAATCAGTTGCTATAAGAATTCCTGCAGCCATCTACCCTCCCTGGCTGGGCATGGTGACTCACGCCTGTAATCCCAGCACTTTGGGAGGCCGAGACAGGTAGATCACCTGAGCTCAAGAGTTCAAGAGCAGCCTGGCTAACATGGCAAAGCCCCGTCTCTACAAAAAATACAAAAATTAGCCAGGTGTGGTGGTGTGCGTTGGTTGTCACAGCTACTTGGGAGGCTGAGATGGGAGGATTGCTTGAGTCCAGGAGGTGGAGGCTGCAATGAGCCAAGATCACACCACTGCACTCCAGCCTGGGTGACAGGGAGATAATCTGTCTACAAAAAAAAAAAAGAGAAAAAAATACCCAAAATAAGAAGTAACTTTATCTTTGGGGGACACTCTTTATTGGGGGGGACCAATTTCCTCAGGGCAAACTAAACAGAATCCACTCACCCATTTTATTTTATATTAAAGTGCAATGACCCCTTTTCAATGACTGGATTCTGTAACTAAGTGTGAACCTACAGCGCCTGGATACTTGAGTTTGATTTTCCCACTTTCTTGGCTGGAGGTGCATTGCTTCCTCTGAAGAGTTACGTCTCCTATTTATTGTTCCAGTCTTGTGAAGTATTTGAACATCATTTGAAAGACTGTGGTAGAGAGCTGTGAAAAATTAGATAATTGATGTTCTGACTAGCCCAAGGGTGAAGAAAGTGTTTTTCTGTCCAAGTATATTGTATTTAGGTGACAGGATATTGTGCCTCTACCTCCTGGTGGCTGGAAGGAGGTAGTTTAATAGGTGTCTGGTATTATGTTTTAAAATACTGTTGTCATATGAGTCCCTTGGTTTTAAAAATGTATGCCTTCTCATAAGAGAAACTGTCTAAATTGCATCACTGAATTCATGACTGTTTGGGGACAGGTGCTCATACATATTAGACCCCTGAGGTTTTTTTTTGTTTTGTTTTTTTGTTTTGAGACAGAGTCTCACTCTGTCACCCAGGCTGGAGTGCAGTGGCATGATTTTGACTCACTGCAACCTCCACCTCCTGGGTTCAAGCGATTCTCCTGCCTCGGCCTTCTGAGTAGCTGGGATTACAGGCGCGAACCACCACGCCTGGCTAATTTTTGATATTTTTGGTAGAGATGGGGTTTCACCATGTTGGCCAGGCTGGTCTCGAACTCCTGACCTCAAGTGATCCACCTACGTCGGCCTCCCAAAGTGCTGGGATTACAGGCGTGAGCCGCCGCTCCTGGCCTAGACCCCCCAGTTTTACTTCATGTGTGATTCTGTTCCTCCAGAGGATATGGTGAGAGTGACATATACTTTCTCTATGGCTACTTCTTTGTACTCTGCTTGTTTGGACAAATGAAAACCATACAATTTTATAGAATCTTTGCTTTATTGTCCACTGGTGACATTAATAGTTGTCTGAGATTGACAAAAATTTCTAAGACCAGCAACTAACTTTTCTAAGGCTCACGCTTTTTCAGACCTCTCTGTTTTGTGGAATATGATTATCAGTGCTTTTGGGTGTTAGCCAACCAAGATGGGCCAAGAATTTTAACCATCTTTAATTCCATTATTAGGAATAAATCTAAAGTCTCAGAAGTTCAGACCTGAAAGCTACTTTAAAGATGTTGTCTAATTTATTATTATGCAGATAAGAAAAGAGAAAGGTGAAGGGTCTCAGATAAAGCCACATAGTGTGAATGCCAGGTTGCAGGCTAGCTGTCATATTGGGACCTGCATTGTACTATGTGACAGTATCTATGTAAAGAAGCTCACACCTCACAGAAGCCTGGTACTTGGCCAGATGTTTTATAGATAAGATGACGTTGACAGAGTCCCAGTTTGAATCCTTCTGCTACCTCTTAATAGCAATGTGACTTTGCAAGTATATTGAACCTCTTTAAGCCTCATTATTTTCTCAGTTGTAAAAGTATGATAATAATCTCTACCTCTTAGGATCATTGTGGAGATTAGATCAGGCAATTGATGTAAAAAATTTAGCCCATAGTAAGTACTCTCAAAATGTTAGTTATTATTGGGCTCAATTTCATTAATCATTTAATCTGTTTTAAAACCATTGTGTTATAAATTCTAACTATCAACCTAGTAACCTCCTAGGATTTCGCCCCATTCATCCAATATTTTTATTAAACATCTACTATGTGTAAGACACTGTGCTGAGTCCTTGGCAAAATAGAAATATGAATAAGAAGTAATTCTGGCCCTCTGTGTGTGTGTGTGTGTGTATGTAAGTAACATGCGATGGGGATAAAAGAAGTGGTAGAAGTAGAGTTTGATGATTTTTACTAATGATTATTAACTTGCTCTGTCTCTACGCTTCCTGCTAGTGGCATGTAATTTACCATTTGTCCTTTAAGAGTTTCTCTCCCAGCAACTTCACTGAATTTTGAAAATTTCCAGTGACCTCTTACAACTCTTGGTCATCCTCTAACAGAGGTTCATCCCCCACCTATTTTCAGGGAGTCTGTTAAGACCATCAATTACTCCTCCTTCCTTCATCTGAACTGTCTTCTGCTTTCTACCTGCACACAGGAGCAAGACTACCTAATGGACGTTATCAATTATAATAATTTCTGAGAATGTAAGTACCCAAGGAAAAGGACAGATTGTTTTCACTGGAAGTTTCTGTCAAACATTTTTCTTAAAGTTCCGGCACCATGAAGTCACAGAGCAGAAATACCCCCACTCCTGGGGAATCTTCAGTCATCCAGCAGTATTTCCACTCATTCTAGGGCTGTGAGTTCTCATTAGGTGGGGGGTTATCCTGTCTCCTGTAAACAGATACTGTGTTCTTACCCTTTTCTCTTTGGTACTATTTGCTGCTCTATTGCTGATTTTTTTTTTGTTGCTATTAAAAATACCTGTGTCTCTTTCTTTAAGAAAGTACCAAGTGGTCTCCACTCCCATTTATTTATAATGTCATCTCATTAAGAAAGAAAAGGAAGCATCTTTATCTTCTTTTCAAGGATAAACTCATGGAACATGTATATACATTTTTATACCCATATTTCCTTACCCCCTGCTCCCCCAATCCCTGTCAGCCTCAGCCTTGCAATTGCCATTTGACAGTAACCACTTATACCATGGTCTGTACCCAATGTTTTTGCTTTCGATTTTGCCTTCTGAAACATTAGTCATTTATGGCCTCAGTGTCAGTGATGGCAGAGCTTCTTCTTTATCCTCATGTCACTGGCTTCTTTCTGTTTTCTAGCAGTGAGTATCCCTGACAGTCCTCCTCTTTGCTACCCTTGGAAATGTAACCTCTGACATGGTTCCATGTTATCAGCCCTGTCTAGATGACTCTTAAATCCACATATACACCTCTTAGTGCAGCAGACACATGTCTGACATACCACTTATCAGAAGCCTCTCCACCCAAAACCTTAGGTTGTGTCATATGAAATTATTAATTTAATGGTTAAATGGCAATTGTATATGATACAACCTAATATTTATGTTCCCAAACTGAAGTCAGTTGTTTTTCTCCAAACCTGCATTTTCCCCAACTAGCCTATTATTATCATTGACAACTCTGGACACTTGTTTACCAGGCTTATGATATTGGAGTCATCTGTAACATCTTCCTCCTTGGTTCATACCTCCATTTCTCCTGTAAGTGAGAAGGCTATTAACTGATCTCTGATTTTTTTTTCTTCTTCCTAACCATGCTATCCCTGGATTGCCATAATGAAGCTTGCATGCCCGTTTTTATATTCTGATGTATGCTCTGAAGCAGCGATTCTTAGGTAGTACTGGTTTGTTCATTGTCCTTTCCTTGAAGAGTCTTTTGTCATCTCTTGTTTGAAGTTAAAATGCTTGTGATTAGATTATTTTCTTACTTGATTTTTTGGCCTATATCTCCTATTGTACCCTCAGTTTATTATTCTACTTCAATAAGCCACAGTTTAATTTTGGTAAGCTCTGGTTTTTAAATCTGTAAATTGGTACTAATAATATTAACAATCTTATAAGACTGTGGTTAAGATTAATTTAATACCTACAAATCACTTAGAATAGTGTCTGGGACGTAGTAAGCCCTTATTAATTGTTAATAATGTTGAAAAAATCAGAAAATTCATTATCATCTTGTGATGAGGTCAGATTTCTTTTATTGTTTTCTATGTTTTTGCCAAAAAATAAAAACACCTCAAAACCCACAGCTTTTAAAAGATTTATGTTTAATTCTGGGTTTATGAAAAACTTTTGGTTAATTCTTGCTCATCTTGATTTAATTTCATCCTCCTTAATTGTAGTGTTCTTGAATGATGATTTTAAAAAAGAAACATAAGAAACCATGTATTTTTTGGAAGGTGTTGAATATTAAGTATTCTAATAAAGGGTTGCTATGAAGAAAAACTTTTGGTAAAGGTGATTCTCAAACTTTAGTTTGCTGAAGTGGCCCAAGAAATATAGTCAGGGATTTGAACTGCGGTAATGTCTTTGAAGTCTAGTCGCCTGCCTTTAATTTTGCAGTAAGCGCCTAATCTCATTAGATTTCATACACTCTGTGTTTGCACTTGCACAAAAGCTGTCCAAACAAAGCCAAAATGTTGACACCACCGTCCTCTGATGGCATTTAGAATGAATATATTAAACACACTTGCACTAGCATTGCATTAAGCTAAGAAATAAATTTTGAACTTTGAACTCAGCAGGATAAAAAAGCTTTACTTGATAGCCGAGAAATTGTGTTGTGGTATCATGTAGGGAATTCATTGTGTTGTTCAGAGACTCCAAACATGCAAACATTCTCTACATACAGTAGGTACCGCACAAGTAAAGAATTAAAGTAAAGAGCAGTCCTCAAATCCCGTTGTTAGGGACCTAAATGGAAGGTAAAGTGGGCTGGTGGATTTGCTTTGAAATTCATTGAATAAACTTTGATTAAATTCACTTCAGAGAAGGGCTCACAATGAAAGAATATCTCCTAGTTACCGTGTGAATGAGAGTATGTCTTCTCTTCAATTCACTTCACTAATTTACGAATTTAGAAATTCTCTTTGTAAACTGGCAGTCATCTTTTTATTGAAGGTTTGGAATCTGACGATTATAACAAGAGTTCAAATGATAACTTCTTTGTCCCTTCTCATAAAATGAAGATAGCAACGAGACTGGAATTGAGGACTAACTAAATCTAGTGGCTAGGAGTATTTAATGTTTTCTAAATGGATAGTAACTAAAAGAAATAGACTTATCCATAAAATATGTATACATGTTTATAAACCTACATATCTGGAATATGGCCACCAATTAGGAAGTATATGCCAACAGCCTTCCATCAAGGAAAATAGTGACTACACAGCCCATATAGTGAAGTTTGTGCATTTTACTTACTAAAAGTCTCTTAGTTCCTTACTATGCTTGCTTTTTAAAGATGTTATTTGCTTGGGTTTTTGCTTTTGGCTTATATTAAAGCGATTTCATAACAAGCACTATTTGGAATGTATCACATTAGCTATTGTCAGAATGCCATTGAAGACATTATTCTATCCTATATTACCCTTCTTTATGAATATGATGAAAAAATTCTCTTAGGTCTTAATGTTAAGAGTGGTAGTACTTTTTCTGAATAGCTGGTTTGTTTTTATTTTCTGAGCATTGTGAACCTGTAACTAATGGATTGCCTTTTTATCTTTGCTTTGGCTTCCAGGAAATCCAGAGCTGTTTGCTACCTAGCACTAGCAATTACAGAGAGGTACAGAGCATGCAGTCTGCGTGTGTTACCTACCTTGGCTTTATTATTTTTCTTATTCTTTAATATATTCTTATTTTCCTTTTGTTCAAATTCCTTCAAAAATTATTTTTTGTAATTGCATAATTTTAAAAAGCTGCCATACATCCTTTGTGGAAAGGGATAAGTGTATATGCATTTGTAAATTTATGCATAAGTACATTTATAGATTCATACTTATGGCATGAGTGGTTTTCCAAACTGTAGCAAATTAGAAGCCACAAATTAGGAGAGGGATGATTGCTAGACAAAGGGCATTAAGAACGTCAACAGATGTGACAACTGATGAACTCCATTGAGGACACCAGAAGACTATCATTAAAAAGATAAGTGTGGGAACTCAAAAAGCACAGCTACCTAAGACCATATATACAGGGCCAAAAAACTCTACATGTCTCTCTGATCCAAGAAGTAGCAAGGTGCTATGATTGCTGTCTTAAAATGACCTCAACAGTAAAATAAGATTCTACTATTCTCCACATACTCTAACAGGACAGTGTTCTGTTTATTATCAGTTAGAAATATGTCCCCTTCCCTATCCCCAAAATGGTTCTCTTTAAAAGACTGAACTTCAAGTATTCAAAAAACTAACTTAGCAGAAAGAAGACCCTTACTTGTTCTTTTAAAAGCACCACATGTAAAGCATCTGTTGCATGACTAGGTTAGAAATCATTAGTTTGCTTCCCTACAAACCAATATTGCATCACCTGAACTGATCTGTCTTCAAAGGTAACTGAAGCCCACTGAGTGTGAGACTATGAGAATGATTCATTATTCATGGAGGGGAGGTTTAGTTACCAAGGACTGAGTGGGAATTTGGCTCAGATGTAAGTGATAATATAATATAATAATATAGTAATAGCAATAATGGCGGCTAACATGCCTCTCTTTGGCTCAACTACTTTTTTTTGTCTCATTCTGTTGCATGGGCTGGAGTGCAGTGGCATGATTTCAGCTCACTGCAGTCTTGACCTCCTGGGCTCAAGCGATCCTCCCACCTCAGCCTCTTGAGTAGCTGGAACTACAGGCACACACCACCATGCCCAGCTAATTTTTTTGTATTTTTTGTGAAGACAGAGTTTCACCATGTTGCCCAGGCTGGTCTTGAACTCCTGGGCTCAAGCTGTTATCCTGCCTCAGCCTCCCATTGTGCTGGGATTACAGATATGGGACACTGCACCCAGCTACTTTTGTTTTAATGAGGTGATAGAAAGTCCATGGCTCCCTGGCCTGCATGAGGAGGGGTGCACATGGCAGTGAGAAACAGATATTTGATTCTCAACTTGTGAGTGAATGAAGTCATTGGAACTATTACCTGAGTGTGGCATAGTGCCTAAAAGCATGGACTCTGGAGCAGAAATTCTGGGTTTAAATCTTGGCTTCACTACTTGCTGGCTGTGTGATCTTAGACAAGTTACTTAACTTCTCTGTGTCTTAGTTTTGCCAGCTTTAATATAGAGACAGCAATATTTCATACCACAAAGGGCTGTGAGAGTTAGATGAGTTACCATAAATAAAGTGCTTAAAACAATGCCTGGCTATATTAAACATTATTTAAATGATGTTATTTTTATCATTAAATATTACCACTAAGGTCAGAAGGAAGAATTTGTTTTGAGTTCTAAGGTAATATAAACATCCCCTTTCTTTTCACATTGCATTATATTTATCTTTATATGACGTTAAATTTGCAAATATGTGAATATCCTTATCCTATTCTATTCATATGCCTCTGAAAAAGGGGCAGGGTTCTGGCGAAATAGATTTGGGTCTTGGCAATAAACGTTTGGGGGTCTATTAAGAATAATTCCATATATCAAACCACAGATCTCACTTTTTAAAAAGTTAAATTTAATTTAAATGTGGTTTTAATCTTATTCTAAAAGTAACCTAATCACATTACAAAAATTTGTCTGTTCTTTATCTAGTTCAATCCCATGAACAAAACCAAACCACCATTATGGAATAAATGATACTATGTGTTTGTATGTAATGGGTTTTTTTTTTTAATGGTATATGGGTGTGTATGGATAGGTGTATGTGTTTGTTACAGTGATTCTCACACTTTCTTTTTCCTGTCACACTTAAACATGCTTAAAATAGTCCCATAAACATTTTCTAGCATCAAACTGTATTTTAGCTCTTCACTAAAATATAAGTAAAATCATTGCAAATTTGAACATCTTAACAGATGACTTGCAACTCGGCATCAACACGTTAATGCATCACTAGTTAATGGTCATAGTAATGTTGAATGGACAAGCTTATATTCTGCCTTTTCACTTAATATTTTTCATAAGCATTTTTTATGTAATTATGAGTTTTAGAAATTATTATTATAAAAATATTTCAAATATACACACAAAAAGGGAAACTATAATGACACTACATACACCTCACCCAGATTAAACAGTTATCCACATTTTACAACATTTACTCATCCCTCTCTTTTCTCTCTCTTTGGTAGAAGCATTTTTTTTTTTTTTTTTTTTGAGACAGACTGTTCCTCTGTCGCCTAGGCTGGAATGCAGTGGTGTGATCTTGGCTCACTGCAACCTCTGCCTCCTAGGTTCAAGCGATCCTCTCACCTCAGCCTCCCAAGTAGCTGGGATTACAGGTGCCCGCCACCACACCCAGCTAATTTTGGTATTTTTAGTAAACATGGGGATTCACCATGTTGGCAAGGCTCGTCTTGAACTCCTGACCTCAAGTGATCCACCTGCCTCAGCCTCCCAGAGTGCTGGGATTACAGGTGTGAACTACCGTGCCTGGCGGTAGAACCATCTTAAAGCAAATCCCAGGCATTGTGACATTTTGACATTCTATCTCTAAACATTTCAGCATGAGTCTCTAAAAAATCAGTTAAGTTTATGGCATAACCACCACAATACCTTTATTACAGTAAACAGAATTAACATCTAACTCAGGCTGTATTCAAATTTCCCTGAAAGACTCAGATAGGTCTTTCCAAGTCTATTTGCTTCAGAATCCAACAAAATCTACACATCGCATATAGTTGTGTGTCTCTTAAATCTTTTAAATCTAGAACCGTGTCATCCAGTATGGTAGCCACTGGCCAAAAGTGGATTTTTAAATTTAAATTATTAAAATGAAATGAAATTAAGAAAGTCAGACCATAAGTCACACTAGCCACATTTCAAGTGCTCCGTAGTGACCGCCTTATTTGGACAGCACAGATGCGGAACATTTCCGTCATCGCCGAACGTTCAATGAAACAGGGAACTCTTCGAGAGATGAACTCCTTCTTCCCTTCCCCTAGATCACCAAATTATTAAAGAAGCTAAATCAATTTTCCATAGTTCTTGAGTTGCTTACTTATGGACAGTTTGGCTTATTCCTTTCAATCTGGTTTTTCCTATAAATTAGAAGTTTCATTGAAAAGTTTGATTAAAGTTTTACTGTTTTGTGGGAGTTGTGGGGAGGCAGGAATACTTCATAGGTGGTGCTGTGTATTTCAATAATCAGGATTTTTGTGATCGATTTTTATTTCATTGAGTGAATGTACAAGCATATTTTTACTAAAGTTTTCTTTTATTATTGGATATTTAGCTTGTTACTGTTTTTTCACTTCATATCGAGTGTTGTCACGAATATTTCTGTGAATAGAGACTTTTTAATATTTAGAGTATTTCTATAGAATAGATGACCAGAAAAGAAAATTCTACATTAAAGCTATTAACAGTTTTATGGCTTTGGATTTGTATTATATTGTTTAATTATTTTTCAAAAGGATTATATCAACTGATACTACTCCCAGTAATATGTGGGTGCCAGTTTTACCACATCTTCACTGGTATCAAGTATTATCATGGAAATAAAGAGTTTTAAAAAATTTAATAGTGTCCTGAAATTCAAATGAGTTTTTCTTCAGTTCTTTTTTATTCCCTAATGTCTTGGGCAGACTTTACCAATGAGGTGCTTCTTCCAACAAGGAACGGTTTCCAACATCTTAGGCTTGAAGACAGGATGCACCAGGAGGCTTTGCCCTGAGCCCTTCCTGCCTAGATCCTTTTGGCTAATAATCCTTTTTCTCTCTTTATGATTCATTCTGAGAAGGCTTAGTGGTTAATCTTCTATTTCCAGTTTTATGCTGTGTTCCTCCCCCTCGCCTAGATCTGAAACATCCTTTCCTTCAACAATTCAAATGTCTTGGCTATTCATTTTCCCCTTTGGTTCAGAAAGCTTTAGTTGTCAATTCTATTCCCTTGTCAGCAACAATTTTTATTCTTACTGGCTTAGTCAGGCTGTCTGCCCTGGCTTTCTTTATAAGTGTTTTTGTGTGGAATTTTTGCCTCCTAGGAAGCCCACTGTAGCATAACATAATTAAGTGACAATATATGAGGTGCCAGGACTTTACAAGCAGTTAATGACTGGTCAGAAGATTTATAAGCAAGAGGTGAAATCAAAGTGAACCAAACACTCAAGTTCTATATAAATAAAAAATAAATAAAATTAATGTGGTTCAAATTGTTGTTTAACAGTTATTTGAAAAGAAGTACACGAAAACATGCATGTGAAGAAATCTTGAAATGCAATCGCGTATTCACAAACACAACTCCATCTGTGCCTCGTATTTCCTTTTCCGGCTCCCCTATTTGTGGGCCTCCCATAACTGTCTGCTTCAGCATTTGCTTTCCAACCTGCTCACCTCTGGCACTACTTTGATTCTTCATTGCTCCCCCTTACATTTTCAGTAAAAATAAAATGGGTGTAACTGAAGTTAGAATCTGACTCTTTATACAAAGCTATACATGTAAGATGCTAACCAGCACAGAAAATGTCTATCATGGGAAAGTTAAAATTGCAATGAGAAACTTAACCTCGGAATTTCCTGCTGCTCTGTCTCTTGAGTTAATGTTTTAATTTGATGTTCTTATTTGGCTCTAAATGAAAAGTTAGAGCAGAGGTAGAAAAAAACAAACAAACAAACACAAAAGACCTACATGCAACTTATTATGGTTGTGATGTAATTAAGACCACACAACAGCACATAACTCTCAGATGGTTGTGCTGAGTGTTTGTAGCGTCTTATAACCTCGACCAGACTATCTGACTGAATACTTCCAAGGATTGCGCTGCATAGATACAAAGTGATTTTTGGATTCCTGATAGTTATATCATAGCCTCAAATCCTATTTTCCATTTTTTCAGGAGCTCAAAAACAGGCATGTGGAAAGTTCTACTTAAAAAAAAAAGTTCAGCTGAATTGGTACTCTATACAAGGAACTATCTTAACTAAATTTTCAATCCAAGAAAATATCGCTACCCCACTCCAAATAAAGTGGTTGAACATCTCATATTGGGTTGGAAAAAGAGTTTAGTGATTTATAATGAACTGTTTCCTTCTAAAGGCATCACCTGGCACAAAGGTATTAATTGTAAGTATGTGATTAGTGAGAATGTAGTGAGGATTACTGGAAGATGGACATCTTATCTATAGTATTCTAGCATTCATTCTTTTCTATATTTCATTTTTTTTATTATACTTTAAGTTCTGGGACACGTGCAGAATGTGCAGGTTTGTTACATAGGTATACATGTGCCATGGTGGTTTGCTGAACCTATCAACCCATAACCTACATTAGATATTTCTCCTAATGCTATCCTTCCCCTTGCACCCCACCCCACGACAGGCCCCAGTGTGTGATGTTCCCCTCCCTGTGCCCATATGTTCTCATTGTTCAACTCCCACTTATGAGTTCAACACATGTGGTGTTTGGTTTTCTGTTCCTGTGTTAGTTTGCTGAGAATGATGGTTTCCAGCTTCATCCATCCATGTCCCTGCAAAGGACATGAACTCGTTCTTAATTATGGCTGCTTGGTATTCCATGGTGTATATGTGCCACATTTTCTTTATCCAGTCTGTCATTCATGGGCATTTGGGTTAGTTCCAAGTCTTTGCTATTGTGGATAGTGCTGCAATAAACATATGTGTGCATGTATCTTTACAGTAAAATGATTTACAATCCTTTAGGTATATACTCAGTAATGGGATTGCTGGGTCAAATGGTATTTCTAGTTCTAGATCCTTGAGGAATTGCCACACTGTCTTCCACAATGGTTGAACTAATTTACACTCCCACCAACAGTGTAAAAGCATTCTTATTTCTTCACAGCCTCGCCAGCATCTGTTGTTTCCTGATTTTTTAATGATCACCATTCTAACTGGTGTGAGATGGTATCTCATTTTGGTTTTGATTTGCATTTCTCTAATGACCAGTGATGATGAGCTTTTTTTCATGTTTGTTGGCTGCGTAAATGTCTTGAGAAGTGTCTGTTCATATCCTTCACCCACTTTTTGATGGGGTTATTTGTTTTTCTCTTGTAAATTTGTTTCAGTTCCTTGTAGATTCTGGATATTAGACCTTTGTCAGATGGATGGACTGTAAAAATTTTCTCCCATTTTGTAGTTTGCCTGTTCATTCTGATGATAGTTTCTTTTGCTGTGCAGAAGCTCTTTAGTTTGATTAGACCCCATTTGCCAATTTTGGCTTTTGTTGCCATTGCTTTTGGTTTTTCAGTCATGAAGTCTTTGCCCATGCTTATGTCCTGAATGGTATTGCCTAGGTTTTCTTCTAGGGTTTTTATGGTTTTAGGTTTTACACTTAAGTCTTTAATCCATCGTGAGTTAATTTTTGTATAAGGTGTAAGAAAGGGGTCCAGTTTCAGTTTTCTGCATATGGCTAGCCAGTTTTCCCAACACCATTTATTAAATAGGGAATCATTTCCCCATTGCTTGTTTTTGTCAGGTTTGTCAAAGATCAGATGGTTGTAGATGTGTGGTGTTATTTCTGAGGCCTCTGTTCTGTTCCATTGGCCTATATATCTGTTTTGGTACCAGTACCATGCTGTTTTGGTTACTGTAGCCTTGTAGTATAGTTTGAAGTCAGGTAGTGTGATGCCTCGAGCTTTGTTCTTTTTGCTTAGGATTGTCTTGGCTATATGGGCTCTTTTTTGGTTCCATATGAAATGTAAAGTAGTTTTTTCTAATTCTGTGAAGAAAGTCAGTGGTAGTTTGATGGAAATAGCGTTGACTCTTTAAATTACTTTGGGCAGTATGGGCATTTCTACGATGTTGAGTCTTCCTATCCATGAGCATGGAATGTTTTTCCATTTGTTTGTGTCCTCTGTTTTTTCCTTAAGCCGTGGTTTGTAGTTCTCCTTGAAGAGGTCCTTCATGTTCCTTGTAAGTTGTATTCCTAGGTATTTTATTTTCTTTGTAGCAATTGTGAATGGGAGTTCACTCATGATTTGGCTCTCTGTCTATTATTGGTGTATAGGAATCCTTGTGATTTTTGCACATTGATTTTGTATCCTGAGACTTTGCTGAAGTTGCTTATCAGGTTAAGGAGTTTTTGGGCTGAGACAATGGGGTTTTCTAAGTATACAATCATGTCATCTGCAAACAGAGACAGTTCGACTTCCTCTCTTCCTATTTGAATACCTTTATTTGTTTCTCTTGCCTGATTGCCCTGGCCAGAACTTCCAATACTATGTTGAATCACAGTGGTGAGAGAGGGTATCCTTGTCTTGTGCCTGTTTTCAAAGGGAATGCCTCCAGATTTTGCCCATTCAGTATGATATTGGCTGTGGGTTTTTCATAAATAGCTCTTATCATTTTGAGATATGTTCCACCAGTACCTAGTTTCTTGAGTGTTTTTAGCATGAAGGGGTGTTGAATTTTATCAAAGGCCTTTTCTGCATCTATTGGGATAATCATGTGGTTTTTGTCATTGGTTCTGTTTATGTGATGGATTATGTTTATTGATTTGCATATGTTGAACCAGCCTTGCATCCCAGGGATGAAGTGGACTTGATCATGGTGGATAAGCTTTTTGATGTGCTGCTGGATTTGGTTTGCCAGTATTTTATTGAGGATTTTTGTATCGATGTTCATCAGAGATATTGGTCTGAAATTTTCTTGTTTTATTGTGTCTCTGCCAGCAAAGATTTGGTATCAGGATGCTGCTGGCCTCATAAAATGAGTTAGGGATGACTCCCTCTTTTTCTATTGTTTGGAATAGTTTCAGAAGTAATGGTACCAGCCCCTCTTTGTATCTCTGGTAGAATTTGGCTGTGAATCCATCTGGTCCTGGGCTTTTTTTGATTGGTAGGCTATTAATTACTGCCTCAATTTCAGAACTTGTTATTGGTCTATTCAGGGATTTAACTTCTTCCTGGTTTAGTCTTGGGAGGGTGTATGTGTCCAGGAATTTATGCGTTTCTCCAAGATTTTGTAGTATATTTGTATAGAGATGTTTATAGTATTCTCTGATGGTAGTTTGTATTTCTGTAGGATTGATTGTGATATCCCCTTTATCATTTTTTGTTGTGTCTATTTGATTCTTCTCTCTTCTCTTATTAGTCTGGCTAATGGTCTATTTTGTTAATCTTTTCAAAAAACTAGCTCTTGGATTCATTGATTTTTTTTGAAGGGTTTTTCATGTCTCTATCTCCTTCAGTTCTGCTCTGATCTTAGTTATTTCTTGTCTTCTGCTAGCTTTTGAATTTGTTTGCTCTTGTTTCTCTAGTTCTTTTAGTTGTGATGTTAGGGTATCAATTTCAGATGTTTCTCGCTTTCTCATGTGGGCATTTAGTACTATAAATTTCCCTCTAAACACTGCTTTAGCTGTGTCCCAGAGGTTCTGGTACTTTGTGTCCTTGTTCTCTTTGGTTTCAAATAACTTATTTATTTCTGCCTTAATTTCGTTATTTACTCAGTAGTCATTCAGGAGCAGATTATTCAGTTTCCATGTAGTTGTGTGGTTTTGAGTGAGTTTCTTAATCATGTGTTCTAATTTGATTGCACTATGGTCTGAGAGACAGTTAGGATTTCCATTCTTTTGCATTTGCTGAGGAGTGTTTTAGTTCCAATTATGTAGTCGATTTTAGAACAAGTGCTATGTGGTGCTAAGAAGAATGTATATTCTGTTGATTTGTGGTGGAGAGTTCTGTAGATGTCTATTAGGTCTGCTTGGTTCAGAGCTGAGTTCAACTCTTGAATATCCTTGTTAATTTTCTGTCTCGTTGATCTGTCCAATATTGACAGTGGGGTGTGAAAGTCTCCTGCTATTATTGTGTGGGAGTCTAGGTCTCTTTGTACGTCTCTAAGAACTTGCTTTATGAATCTAGGTGCTCCTGTATTGGGTGCATATATATTTAGGATACTTAGCTCTTCTTGTTGCATTGATCCCTTTACCATTATGTAATGCCCTTCTTTGTCTTTTTTTATCTTTGTTGGTTTGAAGCCTGTTTTATCAGAGACTAGGATTGCAACCCCTGCTTTTTTTTGCTTTCCATTTCTTGGTAAATCTGCCTCCTTCTCTTTATTTTGTGCCTATGTGTGTCTTTGCACATGAGATTGGTCTCCTGAATACAGCACACTGATGAGTCTTGACTCTTTATCCAATTTGCCAATCTGTGCCTTTTAATTGGGGCATTTAGCCCCTTTACATTTAAGGTTAATATTGTTATGTGTGAATTTGATCCTGTCATTATGATGTTAGCTGGTTATCTTGCCCATTAGTTGATGTAGTTTCTTCATAGTGTTGGTGGTCTTTACATTTTGGTTTGTTTTTGCAGTGGCTGGTACCAGTTTTTCCTTTCCAGATTTAGTGCTTCCTTCAGGAGCTCTTATAAGGCAGGCCTGGTGGTGACAAAATCTCTCAGCATTTGTTTATCTGTAAAGGATTTCATTTCTTCTTCACTTATGAAGGTTAGTTAGGCTAGATATGAAATTCTGGGTTGAAAATTCTTTTCTTTAAGAATGTTGAATATTGGCCTCCACTTTCTTCTGGCTTGTAGGGTTTTACAGAGAGATCTGCTATTAGTCTGATAGGCTTCCATTTGTGGGTAACCCAACCTTTCTCTCTGGCTGCCCTTAACATTTTTTCCTTCGTTTCAACATTGGTGAATCTGACATTTATGTGTCTTGGGGTTGCTCTTCTCAAGGAGTATCTTTGGGTGTTCTCTGTATTTCCTGAATTTGAATGTTGGCCTGTCTTGCTTAATTGGGGAACTTCTCCTGGATAATATCCTGAAGTGTGTTTTCCAACTTGGTTCAATTCTCTCCATCACTTTCAAGTACACTAATCAAATGTAGGTTTGGTCTTTTAACATAGTCTCATATTTTTTGGAGGCTTTATTCATTCCTTTTCATTCTTTTTTCTCTAATCTTGTCTTCACGTTTTATTTCATTAAATTGATCTTCAATCACTTCCACTTGATTGATTCACCTATTGAAACTTGTGTATGCTTCTCGAAGTTCTCGTGATGTATTTTTCAGCTCCATGAGGTCATTTATGTTCTTCTCTAAACTAGTTATTCAAGTTAGCAATTCCTCTAACCTTTTATCACGGTTCTTAGCTTCCTTGCATTGGGTTAGAACATGCTCCTTTAGCTTGGAGGAGTTTGTTATTACCCACCTTCTGAAGTCTACTTCTGTCGATTTGTGAAACTCATTTTCCGTCCATTTTTGTTCCCTTGCTGGTGAGGAGTTGTGATCTTTTGGAGGAGAAGAGGCTTTCTGGCTTTTTGAATTTTCAACATTTTTGCATTGGTTTTTCCTCATCTCAGCGGAATTATCTACATTTGGTCTTTGCTGTTGGTGACCTTCTGATGGAGTTTTTGCATGGTCGTCCTCTTTGTTGATGTTGATGCTATTGCTTTCTGTTTGTTAGTTTTCCTTCTAACAGTCAGGTCCCTCTTCTGCAGGTCTGTTGGAGTTTGCTGGAGGTTTACTCCAGACCCTGATTGCCTGGTATCACCATCGGATGCTGCAGAACAGCAAAGATTGCTGCCTGTTCCTTCCTCTGGAAGCTTCATCCCAGAGGGGCACCTGCCAGATGCTAGCGGGAGCTCTCCTGTATGAGGTGGTGTCTGTTGACCCATGCTGGGAGGTGTCTCCCTGTCAGAAGTCACTGGGGTCAGGGACCCACTTGAGGAGGCAGTCTGTCCCTTAGCAGACTTTGAGCACTGTGCTGGGGGATCCACTGCTCTCTTCAGAGATGGCAGGTAGGAATATTTAAGTCTGCTGAAGCTGCACCCACAGCTGCCCCTTCCCCCAGGTGCTCTGTTTCAGGGAGATGGGAGTTTTATCTATAAGCTGCTGATTGGGGCTGCTGCCTTTGTTTCAGAGATGCCCTGCCTAGAGAGGAGGAATCTAGAGAGGCAGTCTGGCTACAGTGGCTTTGTGGTGCTCCAGTGAGCTCTGCCCAGTCTGAACTTTCCGGGGGGGCTTTGTTTACACTGTGAGGGAAAACTACCTCCTCTCTGGGCAGGGCATCTCTGAAATAAAGGCAGCAGCCCCAGTTAGGGGCTTATAGGTAAAATTGTACTTTCAAGGTGGTGTTCCAGCAGGCTCCACTTACCTTTCCTTTCCAAAAACATCTTAGGAAAAAGGATCTGTTGTGAAGTACCAGTAAGCCTGACTGCTGAGACAGATGTGGGTCATTTTGGTATTCATCTTCACAGATGTTTCTCACTCTGCGGGATTTGTTCATAGTCACTGGCTTTACTAGGGATTTAGGGAAAAATCAGAATCTCATTTTTTAATGTATAACTGGAGACACATCTGACCCTGGGACATATCTTGCCTCTGACAAGGTTAGGACTGAGCTAGAACCAAAGCATTTGGGTTTTTCAGGGGAAATTTCTGTTAACCCATAATAGCGTCATGATTATCCTTCTCACCATGGACATTCCCGGTACAGAGGTAGGAAAAATGCTCTAGGCGCAGAAATACCTTTTTTTTTTCTCTTTTTTTATTTTATTTTATTATTATTATACTTTAAGTTCTAGGGTACATGTGCACAATGTGCAGGTTAGTTACATATGTATACATGTGCCATGCTGGTGTGCTGCACCCATTAACTCGTCATCTAGCATTAGGTATATCTCCCAAAGCTATCCCTCCCCCCCACCCCCCACCCCACAACAGTCCCCAGAGTGTGATGTTCCCCTTCCTGTGTCCATGTGTTCTCATTGTTCAATTCCCACCTATGAGTGAGAATATACCGTGTTTGGTTTTTTGTTCTTGCGATAGTTTACTGAGAATGATGATTTCCAATTTCATCCATGTCCCTACAAAGGACATCAACTCATCATTTTTTATGGCTGCATAGTATTCCATGGTGTATATGTGCCACATTTTCTTAAACCAGTCTATTATTGTTGGACATTTGGGTTGGTTCCAAGTCTTCGCTATTGTGAATAATGCAGCAATAAACATACGTGTGCATGTATCTTTATAGCAGCATGATTTATAGTCCTTTGGGTATATACCCAGTAGTGGGATGGCTGGGTCAAATGGTATTTCTAGTTCTAGATCTCTGAGGAATCGCCACACTGACTTCCACAATGGTTGAACTAGTTTACAGTCCCACCAACAGTGTAAAAGTGTTCCTATTTCTCCACATCCTCTCCAGTACCTGTTGTTTCCTGACTTTTTAATGATTGTCATTCTAACTGGTGTGAGATGGTATCTCATTGTGGTTTTGATTTGCAAGAAATACCTTTTAGTCAGTGTTAAGGATGTTGATGCTTTCTTCCTATGAATCAGTCTATTTTTTTTTTCAAATATTGAGTCATGAAAATTTCCTTCTATTAAAACATTGCCTCATCAGTAGCACATGTACAATTGAGCACATACACTGGCCAATTGAAAGTGGGTTAGACAGGTCAGTGGGGTAGGTGTGGTGAGGGCACCTGGCTGCAGAGCCACCTGTGTTCACCTCCTTGGGAAGTCCCCAAGTCTCAGATAGAGGTGGGCTCAAATTTTGTCACTTGAAAGTACAGCAATTAATCCAGAAGTGTTAGGGGACAATTATCAAGCAGGACTTTCCCAGGGCCCACAAGCTAGAGTGCCTAGATGATATTTGGGTTTCATATCTTGGGTATGGATTTATCAGTCTCAAACTCCAGTGTGCAAAAAGTAAAAAAGACTGAAAGGGGTGAGGAAGAAAAGAAGGAAGGAAGGAAAGAAAGGGGGAGGGAGGGAAGGAAGGGAGGCAGGGAGGGAGGGAGGGAACGAAGGAAGGAAGGAGGGAGGGAAGGAGGGAGGAAGGTAGGGAAAGGAAGGAAGGAGGGAGGCAAGGAGGGAGGGAAGGAAGGAGGGATGGAGGGAGGGGAGGAAGGAGGGAGGGAGTGAAGGAGGGAAGGAAGGCAGGAAGGAAGGAGGGAGGGAGGGAAGGAGGGAAGGAAGGAAGGAGGGAGAGAGGGAGGGAAGGAAGGAAGGAGGGAGGGAGGGAAGGAGGGAAGGAAAAGGAATAATATTAATTTTTCTATAACTCAACCTGGACTTATCTGGGCCTTTATTTTGAATGGTAAATTTGATCTTTTTCTGGTACACTGTCAATTCCGTAACATCCAGCATTCCAGGGAGTAAGCATAGTTGAGGCTCCCACCTCCCTATCTTTTATTTTTGTGTTGAACACTGGAAGCTGTGCCATGACACTAGCGGGCAACAGACTTCCAGCCCACTCTGTTCTCAGACCTCTAACGGGTTTCTTTTGATTTGTTCACAGCCCTCCTGCTGTGACGCCCAGTCACCAGGCCTTCTTAAGTTACTCTATAGCCCCCTTTTCTGGATCACAAGACTCTGTCGGGCCTCCCTACTCTTTCTCAGAAACTCATCTCTGGCGGCCCAAAGGCTACCTCTGCTCCCCGCTTCCAGATGGGCTTAGCCTGGCCCAGCCACCTTAGCTCCGTGGTTATTATTTCTGTGTGCTGGATTCCTTAGTGTTTCCTCCAGCTTCCTTGGGGAGTTAGGCCCACATTTCCTCTTTCTTTAGAGTCCCTTAAACGTCTTTAGGCTCTTCATTACGTCCCTTCTCCCAGGGGTACAGCACAGGGTCAGATAAAGTGATTATTTTTTTTTCTTAGAGATTTCACCAGTGCTGTTCACTCAGTTGCTCAGGACAAAAGCTTCACACTCACACTTGAATCCTCTCTTAAATCCCATATCAATAGAATCAACTGCTCCTGTTCTCTTTATAAATTACGTATTTTAAATTCTGTCTGTTTTCCTCGCTTGAGTTTTCCTTACTTTTACTCTTAAAAGTAAAGAACTTTTAAAATTTACTATTGTATTTTCAGAAGACTGTGATGTGGTATATGTGCAAAAAATTTGTTTAATGAAATGCCTGAACAAATTTCCTATTGTTAAAAGTATTAATATAAGTTGTTTTCTTTTAGAATTATTTTTATAAACTACTTTTTTTTTTTTTTTGAGACGGAGTCTCTCTCTGTTGCCCAGGCTGGAGTGTAGTGGCATGAGCTCTGCTCACTGCAACCTCTGACTCCCAGGTTCAAGTGATTCTCCCACCTCAGCTTTCTGAGTAGCTGGGACTACTGGTGCATGCCACCACACCTGGCTAATTTTTGTATTTTCAGTAGAGACAGAGTTTTGCTATGTTGCTCAGGCTGGTCTTGAACTCCTGGTTCAAGCAATCTGCCTGCCTTGGCCTCCCAGAATGCTGGGATTGTAGGCGTGAGCCACTGCACCTGGCCATTATAAACTACCTTTTATGGACATCTTTTGAATTATCTCTCAGTATCCAAATTTGCTAAGAGTTAATTCCTAGCAATTAAATTTCTAGATTAAATAATGTGCACATTAAAAAATATTGATGTATATTGACAAATTTCCTCCCAAAAATTTACATCAAATTATACTTCTACTAATCGTATGTGGAAATGCTGTTCTTTCTGGCTCCTCAGCAGTACTGGGCATGATCCTTCAAAATCTTTACCAACTTGTTAGTTGAAAGAAACACACAATCTGATAGCCTTAATTTAGGTATACATATTTTTGGTATTCTTAATTCAGAGTAAAATGTTCTGATTCTGTTGCCAGATTCTGGGTGGACTGGGATAATATCACTTAGTACAGAATAGCGGAAGACTTAATTATTACATACTACTTAAATTACAAAATAAAATAATAAAAGTTTTGCCTTTCAAACTAAAACTTCATCGCTTTAGACCTGGAAACTGCCCCCAAATGATCCCATACTTCTGTGTATCGATTTCATTAGATTTGGAGAAGTTTTTATAGAGGTGTCTGAGCTTTACTCACTCAATCCTTCATGCTTATGTTTCATATCAATAAATAATAAAGATATATGTATTTTTCTATAAGATGCTCTACATATGAGAGTCTAATGGTTCAATTTGGAGGAAAGGGAATAATTATTTTATAAAGAGTTCCTGCACATAGTAACATGCCTCTTGAGGGAAAAAATAAGGTTACAGTTTTTTTTTTAGTTGTAATGAATATAAGGAGGTGAACCTGGCCTTATGCTATGTGTGGTAGCTTTCCTTTTGGCATACTGAAAGACAATGTGTTTTGTAATGGAACAGAAGCATTCCAAGCCACCCTTCTGTGTCTCTTGCTTAGCAGATTTATGTACTCTTGGCTAATAAGTCTGTCCATATAAACCAATGGACTCTTTCCATTCTCTACGCCTCGTAGCTCTGAAGAGACGACCCCTGTCTTTAGCTCTATGAGCCCTAAAACCTTTGAAGCAAACAGTAATATATTACTTTCCTCTTTGTGTTTTACTGCTTTCTCTAAAATGTGAAAAATAGCTAGAAGGGTATGTGTATACATATTTATGTGTTTCTAAGCTTTAGTTTGGAAAGGCTGAAGTTTCAAATTAAAAAAAAAACAGCATTTCAATCACATTGTGTGGCTTATATGACCTCTATTACTTAGAATACTGGAAATATCTATTAAATATCTTTTTTGCCTACAAGCATTCACACATTTTCTTGGTTTTATTTGACCAAAGAATATTTCAGCATCAGACTAACTTGCACCAGTATCTGTTCATATGTTTTGAAATTAATAGTTCTTGAAAGAAAGAACAGGTCATATTGCTCTCATTTACCTTTTTTGGCTTGTACGTGGATTTTCATAGACTGCAATGGAAATACTGTGGACAAGGATTATCTCTTCAGATTTAGATGTAAACACTAGAACTTACTATAATAACTTGGATCATGCACCATCCTAGGAACTAGGGTTATTTCCTTGAGACACTTGAGTGAATGGATCAGTTGCCAAGCAACTTGCATTCTTATGGGGCTAGGCTGGGGAACAAAAGGGCACCAGGTGGTAATACATAAAAGGAAAATGACAAAGACACATGGAAAAATAAAGCCTTCATCTGGGAATTGTAGTGTATGCCTGTTCAGAAATTTGGTATATGCTCTTCCTTATTCAATTCATTTCAACAGCTATCAATCTATGATAACATCTTTAATATCTGTGGCTATCCATCCATCACCCATCCATTCATTCACTCATCCATCCATCTGGACAGACTTATTTTGAGTTTAGAAATTACAAATAGTAAGCTAGAACTGTATGTCTCTTATATTAACTACTTTGCCAATAATTATTGTTCATTAATTTTTTACCGTTTCTCATAATTTCGTCTATTCCTCTTACAACTCTATGTCTTATATATATTTTTACTTTTAACCTTCTTCTGGTACATGCTTTCTTTTTCTCTCAGAAGTGATTATAGACAGTGAGGCCACTAGATGGGAGGGAGGAGGGCAAAGTTTAAAAAACTAACTGTTGGGTATTATGCTCACGATCAATTGTACCCTAAACCTCAGCATCATGCAGTATACCCACATAATGAATCTACACATGTGTGCCCTGAATCTAAAATAAAAGTTGAAATTATAAAAATAAAATAAAATCCTATATTCCATCTAAAAACAAAACAAAATGAAAAAGAAGTGATTTTATTGCTTCAGTGTTACTTGGTGCTTAGGCACTCAATCTAGGTGGGAACATAGATTCCTACAGAAGATTGTTGGGCCAGGCCTTATGCCCCCACTCTATATGAGACTTCATTCCTTGGCAGCCATATGCTGAAACCTAACATCCTTGAGTCCAAGTGGAAAACAGTGATGATAGTCTAACATGTCAGAAGTTTGGACACACAGTTGTACATGTAATCAGCTTTATATATTTTAAAACATAGGTCAGTTCTATTTGTTCAAATACACTATAAAAATAAACTTTTTCTCATATAGAAGCTAAAACTAAAGAAAACTATGAGTTCCTTGTTTTTGAGAGCTCTGCCAGCATCATGTCAGATTGTGTTAATGAGGATCTGTACTTTTTAATAGACTGCCCCTAGTACCATGTAACAATTGGAATCCAGTCATTCTCAAGAATTTCAGGAAAAAAAAGTACAATCCAGTTCAGAAACATGTCTCAAGGAACAAGAAACTATTATTTATTTAGTGCCTATTATATGCCTGACGTTGTGCTAGGCATTTCTTGATAGATTTTAAAACTTAATCTTCAAAAATCCTTGTATAGTGAGTATTATTACCCACATTAACAAATATGAAACTAAGCCTTGGAGAAATTAAATAACTTGCACAAAGTTACTCAGCTCCTAGAAGCCGTGCTTTTTGCCCTCAGTATATTTAATTCTACTAAGTTACACTATTGAGGGTCCTGCTGGTGATTGTAGAGACATTAGAGACAGTGTCTCACTCTGTCACGCAGGCTGGAGTGCAGTGGCACCATCATAGCTCACTGCAGCCTTGGACTTCCGGGCTTAAGCAATCCTCCTAAGTAGCTAGGACTGTCCTAGCTACACCTGGCTAATTAAAAAAAAATTTTTTTTTAGGGATAGGGTTTCACTATGTTGCTCATCCTACTCTCAAACTCCTGGCTCTCTCTCTCTCTCTCTCTCTCTCTCTCTCTCTCTCTTTCTTTCTCTCTCTCTCTCTCTCTCTCTCTCTATATATATATATATATATATAGCTTATCTGAAACATAGGAACTTGAACTTAGAACTTTCTGAGACATACTAATACTGATTTCTTTTGCATCATTTAAAAATTACTATCATTCCTCTTTGCAATATGTCTGATTTACTCAGGAGTGAGATACATTTATCAAGATATCCCTGAGCTAGAAATGGAAAAGTTGGGTGTCAGGCTGCCTTCGCAAAAGTGAATCCTTTTAGATGATAATTCTTATGCAGGTAACTAATTAAGGACATGTCTCTAGGAGAACCCAATGATTTCATGAGCGAAGCCAGGGAAAGAAAGAGAATAAGCCATGCAAAAGTGCTTTTTTTTTTTTTCTTGAGACAGGGTGTCGCTCTGTCACCAGGCTTATATAGATGTGTACATATATATGTATACACACACACATATATTTGGGCTTTTATATGTGTGTATATGTTTATAATATATAATATATATGTATGCCTAAATATTAGAAGCTTAAATCAGAAGCTGGCAATTTTCACTGGAAACAACGGAGGGTTCAGTCCAGGTATTCTGCCCCCCAAATGACTCTTTGCTCTCCTGGGAGGGGAAAAGGGAGTTGATACTGAGGGGGATGCTGAAAGGGCTTCATATGTGGGAAGCGATTGCCCTTGTCTCCCACTTCCTCTTAGGGCAGTGGTTTTCAAGGTGTGCCTATCTTAATCATAGGAGAATATTTCTCTTTATTTTCAAAATACACAAATGTGTGCGTCTCTACTGCGAATCTTTTGAATCATAACCATGTGGGCCAGTGGAGAGGTGTAGATAAAAGTAATATTAGCTTGTGCAAAGTTACTTTTTCCCATCTTTCTATTGTGAAAAAATTTAAACATACAAAAGAAGTTTAAAAAGGTAGTACACTGACACCCATATATCTACACCCACATAACTCATCCACATAACTGAGATTAAGAAACCCTCAGGTGATTCTGATGATGATTTTACTCTAGGTCTTGAAACCTGCATCCAATCAACTTCCTCTTGGGCTGGATCAGGGATAGAGAATGGCCTTGCATCGACCCACGTCTCCGCAGTCGTTAAGTGCATCTTGGGATTATCTTTCTAGATGAGCCTGAGGACCAACAACCTCTAGTGACTTCCTTTTAGCCTGTTACATATGTCTCTGGAGTAGTCATGGAGAGGTTATTGGGTTGGAGCTGGCAACCGAACAAAAGTCATTTGCCCATATTTGACTTATTGATATTTCAAGAGCACATGTTATTATGATCTTGAAATAGGTAGTTAAACACAAATGTTGGATTATAAACCAATTTTTAAAAAGTATGTGGAATGAAGAAACTGAAGCTTGGCCTATTATGGAAAAAAAAAGAGTCCAAGTCAACTTTTTGAAAGATTCCAGAGCAATGGACTACTTTAGAATCATCTGTCTGAGTGCCTGTATCCTTTTTTCAGAGCCCTTTAAAAACCTGATGAAAGTGCTAGATGTTCTCATTAGTGATTTGTATATAAACCATATAGTTTATTTTGTATGTAAATTCAGGATGGATACTAAGAGAAATTTTTCAGGAATCTGCCAGGTTAAAAAACACGTTTCTATACCTTCCTTCAGTAAAGGAAGGTCCTGGTCTGTTGTGGGACCCAAAATATGAATGAGGTCAAAAGATAGAATTAGTTAATGATGTAGTATCAAGCTTTGGAGTAAGACATAAGTCTTCCCCCAAATCATCCAGTTCAATCCTCTGGAAAACTGAGAGATGTAAAATATGGCAGAAATATTTTATCTAATTTAAGTAGCCATTAAGAGCCCTGTGCAGCATTAGGTTTACCATGAACAGAATGCTTTTAGTTTATTAATTCAGAACTGTTTTCTTACCCAACAAGTCCCTTCTTAAATGTCATTCAGGGAAGAAGTTTTTAAGCACTCAATATCTAAAGATAGTCTATGTCATTCTCATCATAATGTCTTAATTTCCTTTTTAGCAAATTTGACACCAGCATTTGTATTACTTGTTGATTTATTTGTATTTGACTGTCTCCCCATAGAATTTTACCTCAATCAGGATGAAGACCTTGTTTACCTTGTATATTACTGTATCCTTAGTGTAGTGTACAGTGCCATACACAGTTAAAGGCTAAAAAATACATGATGAATGAATGAATGATGAATTTACAGAGTTTGTGGTCAGACCCAAGCTTATGTAATTTTCTTGAGAGCACATAGGAAAGATATCTGGGAAATTACGTTTGTAATAAGTTCTTCTCTTGATGATAATGATGAAGACCATTGTGATGAAGATGGTAACATCAGCTGCCTTGGCAGCTGCTGTGTGGTAAACTGAAGTGAGCAGACCAAAAGAAATAAAAAGACACCGAAAGCACAACTTTAAATGATATCCTTTAATCTCTGGCTGCTGGGAAGAGCAGCCGCAGATAATCTAGTTTGTGTGCTAGGATCCCAAAAGAGCTGACAAACTATGAGCAAGATTAACTCTTAAGAAAAAAAAAGGTAAAGTCTCTGATAGCAACAGGTATTGTAAACAGTGGTCACTGTTGCTAATGAGAGAATGGGCTTGCTGTGTATCTGGGCCACAAAGACCTGTGCCTCTCCCAGGCTTCCCAGTGAGTCTTGTGAAGCGGCCCTGTCAATACTGGTCTTTTCCAAGGGGAAAATCCAGGAGATCACACTCACCCATTTCTAGCTATTTTCTTATATAGCTCTAGTTTACTAAGAAAGACATTCAGAGACATTTAGTGTAATTATTGTTACTACCTTTTCTGCCATTAAAAATTATTTTATATGACTTAAAAGTGTATACTGTGTAAATAAAACTTTTTTCCACATGTCTACGGTACCTGGCAAGTCTCAGTTCATTATTTGTTGAAATGTTCACCTTAAGCATTAGGAAATCTGCATATTTCTTGCTATTTATCCTTAAAACAGAACAAAACCTCAATTAAAAAAAAAAATTAGCTGGGTGTGGTATCTCATGCCTGTAATCCCAGGCTGAGGCAGGCATATCACTTGAACCCAGGAGTTCTAGACCAGCCTGGGCAACATAGTGAGACCCTGTCTCTACAAAAAAATACAAAAAATTACCCAGGCATGGTGGCATTTGCCTGTAATCCTAGTTACCTGGGAGATTGAGATGGGAAGATCACTTGAGCCTGGGAGGTTGAGGCAGCAGTGAGCCATGATTGCACTGCCAATGGGAGACCCTATCTCAAAAAAACTGAAAAGGATTTAGACGTGTGTGAAGTTCATTCTACAATTCAGTGTGACACTTTTATAACCAAATGAGTACCAATACCCTTATGAACACACATATATAAAGGAAAGAAAATAAAGAGAGAAAGAAAAAGAAGAAAAAGAAATGTGGTTAGAACTCCTTGTTTCATTTTACTCTGACTTGATTATTTCCCAGGCCCAAATCTAGAACTGGAAGGTGGTAGCTTATTGTATCAGAGGTTAAGCTTGTGGCTTTTATTTCCTGCTCCATCTAGAACCAAGATGTCCAAAGAGTATGTTTGGAAGGACTTTTTTTTTTTTTTAAATGATTTCTAGCTCTGTCTCTAGTCAGAGAATATGGAGGAGTTTGGGCCAACTCCAGAAAACAACTTCAATGTAGAAAACCATGGAGCGCAAGGTCCTGCTTCCATATATTTATTTTCGTGGAGCAGGTGGCAAGTTCTCAAAATAATTTTGTCTGTGAGATACAGATATTTCTGGGACATTTTCATAACCAGCTTCCTGCAGTAATTAGCTTCAGAGCTGGAGTATGCTAGAAACTACTGGGCCCTGGGCAGTGGTTAAATTAGGTGTGAACGTAAGCTGGGCTGATCTCCATTGTGTAGTTAAAAACCAAAGGTGGGCACAGAGAGAGTATTTGTTCTGCCCTTTCTTCACCCACTGCATTTTCATTTCCCCTTTCTCTACTCCAGAGGCCTAATAAAGGACTCTAATGTACGATACTCAACACAGCTTTAAAACATCCACGCAGAGTACAAAATTGTAGTAGGAATTTGGGTTTTGTTTTTCTTTTGAGTTTAATATGACTTCCTAGGTTCAGCGTATTTTGTAATATATTTCTTAAACCGCAGGATCATGAGGGCAAATTCCCTTGGGGGAAAGTGGCTCTGTGAGTTGATTAGCACCGTTTGCCTGCTTCCTAACCCTCTTCTGCTCAGGTATTAGTTGTTCAGACAGCTGAGCTTCAGCTCAGCTCTCCAGGTCCTGCGCTCCATTTTAATGCAAGCCAGTGATGCAAAGTCCCCGGCTTGGCTTGTCAGAACTTGATAGCTCTGTAAACACTGAAATCCTTGTTGCCATAACACCAGGAAAAATAATATGGGCTCCTGCATATAAATATAACGAAGGCCTTGGGGAATGGGAGCATTTCTAAATGACTTGAAGCTCTGTCACGGCATAATCTCTTATAAATAAATGTCAGTGTAGTCACTGAATGCAGACTGGATTTTTGCCTGACTACGGTGCTCAGCCTTCTAGACAATAGTTATGCTAAGGGATTATCTTTTAACATTGTGCAGTTATCTCCTTTGTTTGTTTTCTTTTTTCATTATTCACATAAGCCAAGGGAAATGAAAAGCATCTTATTTCAGGCAAAAAGGCCTGTGAATGATTAACTCTGGTTCCATGCGTTGGGACTTTGCATAGCAACCCCGTGGCTTGCAACGACAAAAAAGCTCAAGGCAGGAACAGCAGCCCAGGGACCTGAGACCAGCGTTCTCAAATGAAGGTGGTGAGAAACAGATTAAGTATAAGCATTGTGTTTATGGGTAGAATTCTCTGTAGCTGGCCCATTTAATTTGGCATTCGTTTTACTGCACTTTTCTTGGTGAAGATGTGTTTTGCTGACCTTTACTCTTGCTTTTTGAATACATTTGAGAATTCAAGTGAAACTTGGCCATGATTATGGCATAATGTGGTTTATGTCACCATATTTTATGGGTTCTCCCTAATACTATCCCAAACTGGGCTAACTCTGGCTAATTTTATATTTAAAAATGGAAATAACAGATAGCTTCATAATAGCATGCAGGTTTAATTTTAGCTCAACTAAAACTTTGTTGGTAAATTTTGGCACTCTTGAAATTATATATAACAGAAAGCATTATATGAAATAAAGATAAACAAATGGTGTGATTATGTAATTCCAATTAAAAGCCTATAAGTATGTAAAGAACCCAGATTGTACAAATATGAAATCTGAAATCAATATCAATTCCATATCCTTATATAGACATTTGGTGCTTAAACATTTATACAACAAGGTCCATTTAAAGATTCGAGTTAAAAGAGTTAGAAGAAAATGAAATATAAGCTAAGGACAGAAGAAACATTTGAGAATTTAGAAAAAAGCAGTATAGTTATAATTGAGCCAAAATATTTAGGACACTTAAATTTAGACTGCAAGTCAATCCAGATGTTTATTTATTAATGTTAATAATGTTTCCAGTGTTGTTATACAATGCTAAATCCCAGGGGTTCTGCTTCTGAGTTTAAAGACAAATGCAATGATCTTTATTCTTTTCCAGCTCTGTTTTAATTTTAGGAGCTTTTCTATAGCCATGATTTTCCCATAAATGTGTTTGCAAAATCTCGAGCAGCTCCTGATGTCTTGCAGAAAGTCTGAGTGAAACACTGCTCTAGCAAAGCTTTCCATGTTCTGCATTGCTCTTCTTGCTTCCATGGCAATAAAGAGAGAAACTTGGCATAAGAATATAATCTGTTCCTGCCTGTTTCTCATCTGAAGTCATAAACCTCTGCCATCCCACCCAAGACTAGAATTTCAGCTGGCATGAAACAGCTGTCTGCTTACAGGTTTATTCCGGTAGTAACCAAAGACAAAACTATTTTAATTGAAGGCCCTAGGCTGTTCTCCAAACCCTCACAATCTCTGGGTCATCCCCAGGAAGAAACCATTGAGGAAAAGGTACAAGTTACATTCTTTCTTATAGTTTTTGACACACTGTATATTTATGAAGTTGAGAACATTTTACCCTTCTAATTTGACTACATTGGATGCCATGGAGAAAAGGAGGGTCACAAACTCAAAAGCCCTGAGGGTTCAGGCACACAAACTAAGTCAGCAGAGAGTAGGCTGCAGTGCATGGGTGGAGTGTCCTGTCCGAAGGGGCATCTGCTACTCTGCTTCACTTATTGCTACCATGTGGGAATGTGGAGGCCCAAGTTGCTAGATATTCTGATTTGTCAATAGAAGTTCTCAGTCCTGCTTTTTATGGGAATTCTGCATAGTTTTAAATGTGGGCAATTATTCTGAATAAAAATCAAAACATTATGAATGTTAACCCAAACATGGCTCTGGATTGGATGTCTGGGGCTGCTTGGGTTCAACCCCTAGACTTTGCTCTTGACTCACTACTGGTAGACTTTGCATTTATCATTTGCTTAGGTTCTATAACTGTCAAGTAGCATAATTTATTTACACATTTTCCTTCTTACTCTGGTTAGTACTGCATAAAGAACACAAGTTTTGGAGTTGGGGAGAGATGTAGATTTTACTAGTTCCAGATTTTACCAAATTGTGACTTGCAGCCTCTTAATCCCTTGAAAGCCTCTCTTATGCCATGCAGAAATGAAAACCTATTTTACAGGAAGTTTGGAGGATTAAATAAACTAATATGTAAAATAATTAGCCCAGCCCTACAGGTGCTCTTTGCTTAGTGTTACCATTCTGATCATTACTATTAAGAACAAACAATACCATAAAGTGATCCACTTTAGAAGACACAAGGACTCAATCAGAAAGAGTTTCTCTCAGTATAGGGAGAAGAGCCTCTTTGTAGATCTAACATGCAATATAATACAAAATTGTATCAAGAGCCATCTTCATGTTCTTAAAGAATTTTGGGATTTTGTTGCTAGAGAAGACCTTGAGGAAACAGAAACTCTGACAACTAGAAATGACAGAAACATCAATTTCATCAGAGACATTAATATTTGGAACCATGACAAATAATGCTTTCCTTGAAATTCACTGTGACATATTAAGAACGTAACTTGTTATGAAAATAAAACCAAAGACTATATCTGGAACTATGTTGTAAAGTAAAAGAATGTAGGCTAAATTTTTTTCCTATCCATTTCTGTGGGATTATTTACTTTGGAAATAAATGGATGAAAGTCACTTAGAACATTTCCTGTTTTTTTTTTTTTTTTTTTTTGTACCCAGCCAGATCTGCTGTTAGAGGAGAATTCTTCTGTCCTAGCTGTGTCTCTGTGATCTGTGGATGAGGGTGGGAAAGCACCACTCAGTCAATTGGGGTGTACAAAATGGAGTTTGAGAAGGTAAGTGATGTTTTCTCCATGCTTTCTGTTCAAAATTAAGTGCAATTAAATGCTTTTTTTTTTTTTTTTTTTTTTTTTTTTTTTTTTTTTTTTTTTGAGATGGAGTTTCACCCTGTTGCCCAGGCTGGAGTGCAATGTGCAATGGTGCGATCTTGGCTCACTGCAACCTCCATCTCCCAGGTTCAAATTCTCCTGCCTCAGCCTCCAGAGTAGCTGGGATTATAGGCACCTGCCACCACACCCAGATAATTTTTGTATTTTTAGTAGAGAAGGAGTTTCATCATGTTGGCCAGGCTGGTCTCGAACTTCTGACCTTGTGATCCACCCACCTCATTCTCCCAAAGTGCTGGGATTGCAAGTGTGAGCCACTGCGCCCAGCCGCAATTAAATCTTTAACATTCAAAGGAAGAGACTTTCTTCCTTCTTTCCTTTTCCTGGAACAATGGAAAGTAATAACAGAAAATAAATCAGTCTAACAAATTGTCTAGTGGTAAAAACAAAACAGGGTACTGATGTAATATGGTTCAGTGTATCTTGGGTCTTTCACATGACATGTCCTCTTGCTTAATAAGAGTTCTTTGACAGTATGATATTGAGTGGTGAGATTGTGTAATGGATTATTTGAAGTGTTCATCTATAAGCCATTCATATATTTACTGACAAAACTCTTTTATTTTTAAAGCTTAATGGCAGTTAGTGGTGGTTATATAGGAGTCTGCCATAAACTCCATATCTATATATGGGAGTTTATTTAGTATTAACTCACACGACCACAAAGTCCCACCATAGGCTCTCTGCCAGCTGAGGAGCAAGGAGAGCCAGTCCAAGTTCCAAAACTGAAGAACATGGAGTCTGATGTTCAAGGGCAGGAAGTATCCAGCATGGGAGAAACATGTAGGCTGGGAGGCTAGGCCAGGCTCTCTTTTCACATTTTTCTGCCTGCTTTATATTCTAGCTACACTGGCAGCTAATTAGATTGTGCTCACCAGATTAAGGGTGGGTCTGCCTTTCCCAGCCCACTGACTCAAATGTTAATCTCCTTTGGCAACACCCTCACAGACATGCCCAGGATCAATACTTTGTATCTTTCAGTCCAATCAAGTTGACACTCAGTATTAACCATTGCAGTAATGAATAATAATATCTCCATCTACCGTAAGATAGGAACTATACTAGGCACTTAAAGGACATTGCTTATAATACTCATCACCCTTTATGTGGTGATATGGTTTGGCTCTGTGTCCCCACCCATATCTCATCTTGAATTGTACTGCCATAATTCCCACATGTTTTAGGAGGGACCCGGTGGGAGATAACTGAATCATGGGGGCAGTTTTCCCCATACTGTTCTCCTGGTAGTGAGTAAGTCTCACGAGATCTGTTGGTTTGAGCAGTTTCCACTTTTGCCTCTTCCTCATTTTCTCCTTGACTGCTGCCATCCATGCAAGATGGGACTTGCTCCTTCTTGCCTTCCACCATGATGGTGATGCTTCCCCATCCATGTGGAACTGTAAGTCCAATTAAAGCTCTTTCTTTTGTAAATTGCCCAGTCTCGGATATGTCTTTATCAGCAGTGTGATAACGGACTAATAATACATGTAGGTCTTCACGTCCGTTATACAGAGGGGGTAAATGGAGTCTCAGGTATAAATGGCTTCCCTCAGGGCATGTAGATAATTATAGGAGGCTAGAATTGAGCCAGATTTGTTGTTCTAGGCTCCTCTACTGTACACTTTCTCAAGTATTTTAGGGAATAATTTGTCCCACTTGTGGGACAAATGAATTACTTAGAAATCATCAGCAGTGTCTGACAGACAGCAATCCAACAGCAAAAACAGAGGTAGAACAAGATCAGTTAACACATATCAGAGGGAAAATTATTCAAGATCCCTTGCTATTTCTTAGCAGAGAAGGAAAGGTATTCTTCCCCTCTTGCTGACTGTATACATGACATGAAAGGAAATGGAAAAGAATTGAAAATAAAATGGCCATGATAAGGTATAGAATAAAGAGAGAATGGGATTGACAAAAGCATAAAGAAACTAGCTTCCCCCTCTCCTTTTCTCTCATGAACTCAGGCTCTTAAAAATGAATTAAGGGGGCTGGGCGTGGTGGCTCATGCCTGTAATCCCAGCACTTTGGGAGGCCAAGGTGGGTGGATCATGAGGTCAAGAGTTCGAGACCAGCCTGACCAACATGCTGAAACCCTGTCTCTACTAAAAATACAAAAAAAAAAAAAAAAAAAAAAAAATTAGCTGGGCGTGGCAGCACATGTCTGTAATCCCAGCTACTCAGGAAGCTGAGGCAGGAGAATTGCTTGAACCTGGGAGGCGGAGGTTGCAGTGAGCAGAGATCAGACCACTGCACTCCAGCCTGGGTGACAGAGGGAGACTCCGTCTCAAAAAAAAAAAAAAAAAAAAAAGAATTAAGGGCTACTAAATTTGATTGTAGAAAATGTCACCTAACAGCACCTGGCATTCACTAGACAAGACATGGTCATTCAATAAATGTGTGAGCAAGTAAAATCTTTGGTAACTTTGTTTCCATTCTTTCTAAAGACTCTTTACTCCAAATACTTTTTTCAATCCTGGTTCAGATGTCCCCATGTTATGAAGAGTATTAGATGATAAATAAATCAAAGGGCCATCCTGAGTGCAGAAAGAAATTCTCATATCTCATTGCAGATAAATTAGCATGACAAAATGCCTCCACTCTTTCTTTTCCTTTGGAAAAAGATTTTGGGTTTTTTACTCATATGTCTGTGTATTAGTCTGTTCTCATGTTGCTATGAAGAAATATCCAAGACTGGATAATTTATAAAGGAAAGAGATTTAATTGACTCACAGTTCCACATGGCTGGGGAGGCCTCAGGAAACTTACAATTATGGCAGAAGGTACCTCTTGACAGGGTGGCAGGAAAGAGAATGAGTGCTGAGCGAAGGGGGAAGCTTCTTATAAAACCATCAGATCTTGCGAGAACTCACTCACTATCATGAGAACAGCATGAGCAGCATGATGGTTAAATTACCTCCCACTGGGTCCCTCCCATGACACGTGGGGATTATGGGAACTACAATTCAAGATGAGATTTGGGTGGGAACACAGCCAAACCATACAATTCTGCCTTTGGCTTCTCTCAAATCTCATGTCCTCATATTTCAAAACACAATCATGCCTTTCCAACAGTCCCCCAAAGTATTCCAGCATTAACTCAAAAGTCCAAGTCCAAAGTCTCATCTAAGACAAGGCAAGTCCCTTCCACCTATGAGCCTGTAAAATTAGGAGCAAGTTAGTTACTTCCTAGATACAATGGGGTACAGACACTGGGTAAATACACCCATTCCAAATGGGAGAAATTGTCCAAAACAAAGGGGCTACAGGTCCCATGCAATTCCAAAATCCAACAGGGCAGTCATTAAGCCTTAAAATTCCAAAATGACCTCCTTTGACTCCATGTCTCATATCTAGGGCATGCCGATGCAAGAGGTGGGCTCCCATGGCCTTGGGCAGCTCTGCTTCTGTGGCTTTACAGGGTATAGCCCTCCTTCCAGCTGCTTTCACAGGCTGGCAATGATTGCCTATGGCTTTTCCAGGTACATGCTGTAAGCTGTTGGTGGATCTACCAGTCTGGGGTCTGGAGGACAGTGTCTCTCTTGTCACAGCTCCACTAGGCAGTGGCCCAGTGGGGACTGTATGTGGGGGCTCCAACCTCACATTTTCTTTCCACACTGCTCTAGCAGAGGTTCTCCATGAGGGCTCTATCCCTGCAGCAAACTTCTGTCTGGACATCCAGGTGTTTCCATACATCTTCTGGAATCTAGGTGGGATTCCCAAACCTCAATTCTTGACTTCTGTGCACCTGCAGGCTCAACACCATGTGGAAGCTGCCAAGGCTTGGGGCTTGCACCTTCTGAAGCCACAGCCTGAGCTATACCTTGACCCCTTTTAGCCACAGCTGGTACTGAAGCAGCCAGGATGCAAGGCATCAAGTCCCTAGGCTGCACACAGCAGGGGGGCCCTGGGCCTGGCCCATGAAACCATTTTTTTCTCCTAGGCCTCTGGGCCTGTGATGGGAGGGACTGCCATGAAGGTCCCTGACATGCCCTGGAGACATTTTCTCCATTGTCTTAACATTCAGCTGCTTGTTACTTATGCACATTTCTGCAACAGGCTTGAATTTCTCCCCAGAAAATGTTTTTTTTTTTTGATTGCATCATCAGACTGCAAATTTTCCAAACTTTTATGCTCTGCTTCCTCTTGAATGCTTTGCCACTTAGAAATTTCTTCTGCCAGATGCCCTAAATCATCTCTCTCAATCTCAAAGTTCCACACATCTCTAGGGCAGAGGCAAAATGCTGCCAGTCTCTTTGCTAAGGCATAACAAGAGTTACCTTAGCTCCAGTTTCCAACAAGTTCCTCATCTCCATTTGAGACCACCTCAGCCTGGACTTTATTGTCCATATTACTGTCAGCATTTTGGTTAAAGCCATTCAACAAGTCTCTAGGAAGTTCCAAACTTTCCTACATCTTCCTGTCTTCTGAGCCCTCCAAGTCTCTCGGAAGTTCCCTATTTTCCCACATTTTTCTGTCTTCTTCTGAGCCCTCCAAACTGTTCCATCCTCTGCCTATTACCCAGTTCCAAAGTTGCTTCCACATTTTTGGGTATCTTTATAACAGCACTTCACTATCTGTGGTACCAATTTACTGTATTAGTCTGTTCTCACACTGCTATAAAGAACTGCTCAAGAGTAGGTAGCTAATAAAGGAAAGAGATTTAATTGACTCACAGTTCTGCATGGCTGGGGAGGCCTCAGGAAACTTAGAATTATGGCAGAAGGCACCTCTTCACAGGGTAGCAGGAGAAAGAATGAGTGCTGAGTGAAGGGGGAAGTCCCTTTTAAAACCATCAGATCTCATGAGAACTCACTCACTATCAGGAGAACAGCATGACAAGCATGAGGGTAACCACCCCTATGATTACGTTACCTCCCTCGGGATCCCTTCCATGACACATGGGGATTATGGAAACTATAATTCAAGATGAGATTTGGGTGGGGACACAGCTAAACTATATCAGTCCATCTAAACAATTATTTTTGTTGTTACTTTAGAACATCCAGATGGGGCTCTTAAGAGTGAGGAAATCATATAAAGTTTGGTTCTATGAAGAGAAGCAAAGAAGGCAAGGTGAAATCACAGAAGGCCAAGTTTATTACTTATATTAGTTCACAGAGATGAAGTTCCAGGCACCGTACCTTCCTTGTGGCTATAGATGTCACTATCTCAAGAATCATGTAGATGAGTAGTTCTGAGTTTCCCATCAAGTTCCTGAATCAGAATTGCTCAGGGGAGGGAGAGGCATATCTTTTTCACTTTATGAAGGTTCCACAGGTGGTTCTGATGTGCAACCTAGGTCATATAGCTGACTTAGACCCTTTAGGTAATTCACTCCAGATTTTTTCCTCATTCATTCCAAATGAACACACACTACTGCACGATTTTTACATCAGGTACTCAGATCACAACAATGAGAATACAGCAAAGGGATTCTAAATAAAATAATATAAAATTCATCAAAATATGCTTCCCTCCAAAACATTGTGATTTTTGAACTAGATGTGATAAAATGGAAACAGAATCTTGAAAGTGCACATGTAATTAAGGTCAAAACAACAACGTTAGTAAAGTCAGATCCCTGATCAAAATTCCAGAGAGTGGGATGTTTGAAAGTTCACCAAACTAATGTGCCTGATTTGACCCTCATGATTTTTCACCTAAGAGGTTAGGGATGCTGGCAGCAGAGTTGCAAATAAGCTTGGAGCTTTAGGAAAAATAAAATTTCAGAGGGGGAAGGATGAGGAGGGGAAGAGAGAGAGGGAGGGAGAAGAGGCACCAACATGAACTGATGTAAAGTGAAGAATATCCTGGGGAAATAAAAGGAAGACCTCTATTGAAAAGAAGAGCCAAGAACATTAGAGTAACTAAGAATGAACCAATAAATGTGGGATGCTCCTGAGATGCTGGGGGCATATGATCGAAAGGCAGTTGTGATAGAAGCTGAGCAAGTGACGGCAAGGCCAAGGCAGAGGACCCAACAGTTCCAGGGAGTGGATTGAGAACTCAATCTGCAGCAGTAAGTGAACATAGAAGAAACCAGTGAAGATAGATGCCCCCAAGGGTCAGGGTTAGGAGAGTTGCTTGTGATAAGAAATGATATTAACCCAGAGAGGGCTTGGAGGAGGCTGATGCTCAACCCTCAAAAAGCCAAGTAACAGGACATTATATCCTTCTAACTCCACTCATCATTTCAGGATACAGTTTTTATCTTAAAAGTCCTTTTTTATTGTAGTAAAAATAGTGGTCCACTTGGAAAAACTATGCATTCAGCTCCCAGTAGATGCTCTGGGTATGATGAATGGCCAGAAGGAAGAAAGGGGAAAGGTCAGGGGCATGGTCTTTGGGAGAGAAAACCACCCCCTTTTGTCATCAGATAGCTACTGGAACTTTGCAGGGGAAGGATTATCTGGGATGTAAGTCAGAGGTTGTGTATCAGAGATGGAAACCTCCAGGTCCAGAGTTCAGAGGACAGAATTGTGGGAAGATAACAGGGTGTGTACATGACATTTGGAGAGGATAGGCATGAAAGAACCTGATAGAGATAATCCACAGTGGAAGGGCTGCAGTACCTCCAGAGCAAGTGTGGACTATAAACAGAAAACAGGAAGAGGAGCCTGGGGAAAACAGAATCCAGAAAGCACACTGGAGAAAAGAAAACTCAATATAAAACTTAATGCCTGGAAGAGAACTAAAGACTCATCAGAAACTTCTTGAAAGGACACCTCAGGAAGATGCCAGCTGAGGTGGTGGCTGAGGAGGCATCCAGTTGCTCTGCCACTCTTTTGACCTGAAGTGAAATAGAAGGTCTGGGGTTATGCAGGTAAAGATCGCTTACACATCCTGGAATCTCAGAGTATCAGCCTAGACCTGGGGAAAGAGGGAGGTGAGACTAGGTCAGAATTCTAAGAAGTGAAGCCTCTTTGGGATACAAAATAAAAGTAGTACAAGGGAGCCCCTTGTGGAACTTTTTAAATACCCAAGACTGTTGACAAGTTGGGACAATTCTGTGACAGATCTCATAAGATAGAAAGTTTATGTTTACATTTAGCAAACTTGATGTGTTGGACTGTGGCTGGGGTGAAGGAGGGGATGACACTGGGAAGACCAGGAAGAGATGAAAGGCCATAACTCAAAAGGTATAAGTTCAGGAAGAGGAATTTTCCCCTTACTGGTCGTGAAAGGATCATGTAAATGACCCCAGGCTTAGTGAAGTGGGAGCACCATAAGATAAGTCTCTTCTGTGGTGTTCTGGTCTTGACAACAAAAGTATTTTAAATAAATTGGTTAAAGAGCATAAGAAATTGTGTAAGCATTAAGGAAAAAGTATAACTAGCTTCTATTTAGCTTCATATAAGGATATAACATAAAATATTTTCCAAAAACTAGTACAAAATACATTGAAGTACTATTTGAATATCATTGGTGTTTTCCAGTGGAAAAAGAAATTTATATTGAAAATGCCAACTTTACAAAATAAAGAAGTGTTTAGAACTGTTCATCACTACAGGTAGGCATGCTCTATCAGATAGTATACCTTGAGCAAGAAGACTTTATGGTGATTTGAATCAACAAAACACCATATCTTGTTCAAAAAAGGTGCTCAATATGTGTTTGAGTGGATAAAATGAGTATATGTTGAGTAAAGAAATTAAAGAATAAATTAAAGACATAGTTGTATATTCCACTTGGGAAGTCTTTCTCCAGGGATGGGTTAGCTGCCCTTCCAGGGGCTCCCATTCTACCATGGGTATCTCCTATCCTATCCTGTCCTGTCCTGTCCTACTTTATGCTATGTTCTCTAATAAACTATAAGCTACTTGAGGTTAGGAACTAGTTCTTATTCTTCATGATAACTGTAGCCCTGACCATAGTGCTCTGCACATGGTAGATATTCAAGAAATAGTTGTATAAATGAATGGCATTTAAGCTTAAGCCAAATGCTAAATTAGCATCATACCTGGGAAATTAAGAGGGGTTAATTTTTTAGGGGTTAATACTTGAATGTTTTTTAGAAAGTCCATTAAGGAGCTATGATAAGAGAGAAGCAGAGGAACAATTCGGACAGTGTTATTATTTTAATTTGACCATATATTTGGAATGGAAAATGGATTGTAATGATTCAGAGCAAAGAATTCCTTTCTTGGAAATGAAAGGCTGGAAAATGAAGCATGGAGACATACTTCTTATTGAAAACACAGCAGGGGAGTGTCCTTCCCCCTAAAATCATTCAGACTGTCAGATTAAACATATATTATTTCTTAAAAAAATATTCCCAGAGGAAATCCAGCATCTATCTCCCCCTACTGGTGTCATATTAAGAGTGATGTCTGACTGTTTTCCCTTGAAATGAGGAATGTTCTAATTAAGATGAACATTTTAATTTGTTATTTGGACAAAAAAAACTTATATAAAACTTAAGCATTCTACAATGGACATTTGTGTTGTAATGAGCTTTAGCAATATTTGAGATATACATTGTTTCATCACACATAAAGAATGGTTAAATATTCTGGCTAGTTCATCTGCCATTAACAGATTTATATGACAATGGATTGTAACTGATTGATACAATGAAAGTTTTATTTACTACAGAAAATTTCAAACATATACAAAATATAAAGAATAATATAATTCTTTACATATACATACATATAATGGGAACTTCCATGTCCCATTATCTAGCTCCAACAAACAAGTCATAACTAATCTTGTTTCATTTATTACTTCCCCAAGGTCTCACATCCAGGTTGTTTTGAAGCAAAGTCCAAGCATTGTATCACTTCATCTGCAAATATTTCAATAAGTACCCAAAAGGTAAGGATGCTTAAAATATCCTCATAATATCATTATTATGCCTAATAGGTTTTTTTTTTTATCAATTATCTAGTCAGTGTTTACGTTTCCACAATTGTTTTAAATTTTGTCATTATTTATTTTATAGCTTGTTAGAAACAGGCTTTTAATAAGAGCTATAGATTATAATTGTTTGATATGTTTCTTAAATCTCATGGAATTGTAAATTCTTCCTCTATCAATTTTTTCTTTTAAAAAATATAATTATTTTTATTTTTAAAATAGATTTAGGGAATATAACTTTTTTCTTGCATTTTTTTTTTTTTGCTAAAACTGCATCATTTGTGTTCTGTGTTGTGTCTTATATAATGTGCCACAATCTGGAATTTGCTGCCTGGATCCCCATGGCATCGTATAAGACATTCATCTGTCCCTTGTATTTCTTGTAAATTGGTAGTTAGATCCAGAGGCTTAAGTTTATTCAGGTTTGATTTTTTTTTTTTTGCAAGAAGCTGTTATGCACTTTCATCACTCAAAGTTTGGCAGCAATTGAAGTTCATCATCTACTCCAGACTCTCTAGAGCAGCATTCGCTAATACAAGTTTCTATGGTGATGGAAGTATTCTATATCTGTTCTATCTAATATGGTAGCCACTAGCCACACATGGCTACTAAGCACTTGAATTGTGGCTAGTGTGGCTGAGAAATTGGCTTTTTATTTAAAAACTTTTAATTACTTTTAATTTAAATAGTCACATGTGGCTAATGATTACCATAGCAGATAATATAGCTCTTGACTCATTAATTCATTAATGGCTAAAAAATAATAATCTTATTTTATAATTTTTTCTTCATTAATTAAAATATTTTTATAAAGAGAAACTTCCTCTTATCAACTGAATTGTTGCCATGAGATTCAGTTCATACAATACAGGCAGAAAAGTAGTTTAATTTTCCCCCATATTTATCAGTTATCAAATAATGAGTTGATTCCCTAGTATTCTCCAAAGGTGACCCAAGGAGATTTTTTTTGTTATGAAGTCATATTTTGTATTTTAATTCATTGTAATTATTCTTATTGATGCTCAAATTGATCTAACCTTGGCCAGAGAGAACCTATTTCTTTTGAGTGCTCTTCATATGATCCTGTGAATATCAGTGTCCTGACTTCATCTACATTGTTCCAGGGTCATCTTATACATGGCCTGTCTCATGTCTAAAATTAGCCATTTGTCCAAGAAGCCCTGATTCCAGTTAGTAGTCTATTTCAAGAACATATCTGGACACTTGGGGTGATCATTGCTATTGGGTTGGTAATTCTTCTAGCTTGATAAAAGCACAACTAGAAATAGATTTTTTTAAAAGATAAACTAGATCATAAATTTATCTTGATACATTCAACTTAAAGTCAGGCAATGGAATTGTCTTTGATTTTAACTTTTTTTTTGTTTTTATGGTGAAAACCTGGAGTTTTAATAACATTAATTTAGTTACCCATTTCCTTTATGCCACAATATATACACAGTAATTTCAGAATAAACAATACCAACAATACCAGCAACAAAATTATTATTGAGAAAGTATAAGATTTTTTTTTTGATTTTGCATAATTTTTGTCCTTAGGGTCCTTCTCATGGATGACATTTTATTGTATTTTAGGTTTATATGAAGTAGTTCATCCTTGTGTGGTTTTGCCACAAACTGGATACACTTTTATATTTCTTTCATTTTATTTTTAGATAAATGAGATATCTTTTTAAGAAATGTAGTTTAATTTTATGATTATGTAAGATATTTATAAATGTGGTTTGAGAGTAAAATCTATAAAACAAAGTATTCAAAGATGTTTAGATTCTCTATCTCCTTAACTCAATTTCCTCACTCCAAGGATTTATTTAAAAACATTTACGATTTAATCCTTCATTTATTGTTATTAGCAAAGATGTGTATATATTTTTATCCTTCTTATATTAACCATAGTATACTATATAAAATTTCTCCCCTACTCTTTGTAAAAACTAAATGTATCCTGGAGATCACTGAACAATAATATGTAGAGATTGGTCTCATTTCTTTTTACAGCTGCATGTGTTCTATATTTCATTCAATAATTGCCTCCCCCCAGCAACCCTTTTTTTTAAAGACAGAGTCTTGCTCTGTCACCCAGGCTGGAGTGCAGTGGTGTGATCATAGCTCACTGCAACCTTGAACTCGTGGGCTCAGGTGATCTACCTGTTTCCAAGTTGCTTGACTACAGGTGCTCACCACTGTGCCTGGCATTTTTGCATTGTTTGTAGAGACAGGGTCCTGCTATGTTGCCTAGGCTGGTCTTGCACTCTTGGCCTTGAGTGATCCTCGCACCTTGGCCTCCCAAAGTGCTGGGATTATAGGTGTGAGCTACCACTCGTGGCTAATAATCCCCTTATTAATGAGCAGTTACGTTGTGGAAAGTTTTTTTTTTTTCCAAATGATAGCTGCAGTAGCAGTAGCAGCAGCAGCAGCAGCATCAAATATGTTACCTTTCTCCATAATCTTTGCTTATTCACTAGGTTTATGTAGGTATTCATAAAAATTTAAAACATAAATACGTTATATTAATGACCCAAGACAAGTGTTGGTAAAAAACTAAGGTACATTAATGCAAAGTTATAGGTCTTGGTATCCTCCAACTCAAATAAAATATTTTAATTTTCATTAATTATCCCATTAGGGGACTGATTAGTATTTTTCTGATTTTCAGACTTCCTAGGATAGAGCTTGGAAAGGTTGGAAAAGTAAGGATGATTGAACTTGAAAGGTGTGAATGAAAGAAGAATTATCTTTTGGGATGGAGAATAGTAGCTGTTTTCAAAGAAGATTTTATTTTATCTTTCATTTTTGGCCTATAAGTTTTGCAGAGAATCTGTGATTAGAGTATTTAGTAAAGTACTATGTAATTATTGTTCTGTTATTTGGACACATGTTTAAACTAGAATTTTGAAGATAGCAATTAGCAATAATTATGTATGTTCTAGCCACTTTATTCATTCTACCTCTTTTACCATATACTTTAAAGATATCTATATGGTAAAAGGTAAGTGGCAACTGAATAATCACAAATACATCAACAAGTAAAGAGATGCTTTGTTTTATTGAGTGCATTCTTATATTTTCTCTTTTGCTGGAATAATAAGTGGGGTTTTAAACTGATCTGTTCTAACATTGTTTTTCCTCATTTTCTCTCTCTTTAGAGGGTTTCAGCAGGTTTTCATACATTCTCAGTTAGAAGCTGTTATAATTTTTAAAATAATACTCTAGTTCTAGTTATTCTATCACGAGCTGATTCTATTTATACAACAAATAAATACTAATTAAAACTACTCTATAACCTTGAACTGTACATTAGGGAAGTTATACCTATGGTGGATGACTGAAAAGAGAGTCCAGGATAAACTGATACATCTAATTGCACATAGTAGCCTTCGAATCAAGACTCTCAAATAGTAAAATGCACTAAGCCAATATGGATGGGAATAGCCTCCTGCTGTTTTCCCAACTATTTGAATTTTTAATATCTTCTCTTATAGCTATATACTTTTGGTTCATTTATGCTAGCGGTGTTATCAGTGAATGTATTTTTAGATTCTGTATTCCATATTTTAGATTCTGTATTCCATATTTAATGAAATTTTATTTATAGGAAAGAAAGAATGGGTATGCATAAGGACCTAATCAAAGAGGCCTCTGACACCTGTTGAGCAGTTGTGTGAGTGTGTGATTATCCATGGAAAAGAAGATCAGAGGGAAACGGTGTTTAAAGCCTTTGATTAGTTAGCAGAGAGAATGAAGCAAGCCAAGTGCTTTGCACAAAGTGACAGAAATGAAGGTAGAAGAAACAGTTACAAATGGTGGTGGTACTAGAAGTAAGCTTCCCATAACTTCTACTCCGAACTTCAAGAAGGCTGTGGTTTTGTGGATATTCTTCCTTTGGCAGTCTACTAAATTAGAAGAACTGGAATATTAATAGTATTGAATTCTAGCTCTTCAAAAATATCACCAACACAATCTGTTGTTTATAAAAGCTGAGTTTATTCTTACCATCGTAAGGAAAAGAACTGCCTTGACAGAGTCTTACTAGTCTTGGAATGAGGATGGCAAAGTTGGGATTCTTAGGAGGTTTGGGGTCTAGTATGAGGTGAGTTTTCATTGTGGAGGCTTGCTTGATCAAGGTTGAGTAAGGTGGGTGTAAACAGCAAGGCTAGGGCATTGAGGTGAGGAAATTCAGAGTCTTGGGAGGTAAACTATAATTTCATACTATGTATGGAAGAGTTGAACAATGCGATATTAATTTAATGGGGTTCTTGGAAAGTTCCTGGGAAGATTAGTAATTTGCAACTTTTATCTTACTGGGCTATAGTTTCTTGGAATAGTAAGGTAATGATAAAACAAATACTATATGTGATTATTAGCCAAATTAATCAAGTTTATGATTTCGTTGGTTGCTTCTCAGATTTTTTTTTAAAGATTCCAGAGAAATCTACTGGGATGTGAGCACAACATTCTTAACCTAAAACAGCATATGTTCACCCTTTGTAGCTTGACATTCTGTCTAGAGCAATGATCCCCAACCTTTTTGGCACCAGGCACTGGTTTCGTGGAAGACAGTTTTTCCATGGACAGCGGTAGTGAGGGATGATTTCGGGATGAATTTGTTCCACCTCGGATCATCAGGCATTAGATTCTCATAAGGTGTGTGCAACCTAGATCCCTCACATGCACAGTTTCACGATAGGGTTTGTGCTTCTATGATAATCTAATGCTGCTGGAGGAGGAGGTAGAGCTCAGGCAGTAATACCCCCTTGCCTGCTGTTCACCTCCTGCTGTGTGGCCTGGTTCCTAACAGGCCACGGACCAGTGCTGGTCCACGGCCTGGGGACTGGGGATCCTGGTCTACAGTGTCTCTGTTCTGAACAACTGCCTGTCTGATTTCATGAATCTCTCATGTAAGGAATTCTATAGACTTGGTGTCATTGTTTAACTATCTCCCTTGAACTATGGCCTGTAGGATTCTGCCTGCTTTCTAGTCCTTTTGTAAAGCATCAAGAGAAGAGGTTTGAGGAGACAAGGAATTAATACAGAAATCTCCCTGAATAGTTAGGTTCAGTTTTTCTTCTTCTTAAATTAAGTTTTCTAATGATCTCTTTTTTCTTGAGGGGAAACTCATGGGGCAAAATGGACTCTAGGTGATGTCAGAGATCATGCTAAAGGTAGGAATCCATTTACCAAGATAACAATCCTTGTTTAATTTTTAGTAGGAGCCTATTGATTTTTGTTCAATAAATCCAATACCAGTGACTGGGGACTACCCAGTGATTTGATTTTGGTCCGTATGTGGTTATCAAATACTCCCATGTGGTTATCAAATAGTGTTTTAAAGTTTGGTGCTCCTCATCAAGAATGATGTTTCACCAGGCAATGACATTTGTATTGTTGAAATTATTTGGTAGATATAAAGCAAAAGTGAAGTATGTTTATTTATATGATATGTGAAAATGATACAGCCTCCAAATACATACCATCTGTTTTCTAGTTCTCTTTTAATTTCTATTTCTGTGAACATTTGGATATAAAAGTTTTTACCCTCAAAAGGTTCTAGAATATTCTTTTGGTGGAGACAGGAATCTTCTTTTCTAGGTATGATGTGATGCTGTGGGTAAGATTACCATCTGGTTGACCTGTTGTGCATTTTCTAGCTTAAAAAAAAATAACCTAAGGGTTGAATCCAGTTACCCAAGAAACTAACTGATTCACTACAGGGAACTGGTACCAAGGGAAGCTAGATGACTCTCAAGTGAAAATGTGCAAACTCCACGTTGATTTTCCAGCTAATGAGTAAGTTGTAGTCACATATTGGACTTATACCATAAAATGACTAAGCATGTGAAAAGCAACATTAAGAATAGCAGCCCCAAAGATAATATAGAAGTAACATAGTAGGCTGGGCGCGGTGACTCACGCCTGTAATCCCAGCACTTTGGGAGGTTGAGGCAGGTGGATCACGAGGTCAGGAGATGGAGACCATCCTGACTAACACGGTGAAACCCCGTCTCTACTAAAAATACAAAAAATTAGCCGGGTGTGGTGGTGGGCGCCTGTAGTCCCAGCAACTCGGGAGGCTGAGGCAAGAGAATGGCATGAACCTGGGAGGCGGAGCTTGCAGTGAGCTGAGATTGCGCCACTGCACTCCAGCCTGGGTGACAGAGCAGGACTTCATCACAAAAACAAAAAAAAAAAGAAATGACATAGTAAAAGATAACTTTAGATGAGCAAAAGAGGAAAGAAAGTGGCTAGGAAACAAAGAAAATAAAAGAATGCAGATTACAACATAACAATCTGTGGAATTATTTCATAAATATGGGATGGAAGTGGCCACATCTCATGCAGTCATCTTGATCTGAAATTTTTGGGTCTTGTGTCTCCTTTGATGACCATTTGTTCCTGTATGGTTCCTAAAAATACTCACATTTTTCCAGTAAAACCTGTCTTCTAGATTATATATTCCTTTTGAGTTCATTATTATGAAACCCAGAGTTTTGCTGTTATGTTAGTTCTTAACAGAACCTGATGGGATCTCATCCATCAGGGTTCAAGGACTGTCTTTCTCTGATCTCACTTCCAAAAAACCAGGTCTCTAGATTTCAGACCACAGGAGGATGTTGAAGAAAGTTTGCCTGTGTGGTTGATGATAACACTGAGTTTATTTTGTGAATGCTGTGGAGTATTTGGCCATAGTTGCTAGGAATAATATATGGAGTCCAGAATTGGATGATAGTCCTAGATGAATGCGCTGACCTATTACTAAGTGGAGTTTGTAAGGGGGAAGTGATGAACTCCAGATGAGTTGGTCTTATTGTCATTAAGGTGAATGACCTTAGACCAAGGATTGGTAAACTTTTTCTGTAAAGGGCCAGGTAGGAGATATTTTAGACTCAGCAGGCCATGTGGTGTTTGTAGCAATTACTCAACATGAAAGCAGATATAGACAATATAAAAACAACGTGGCTGAATGTGTTCCAGTAAAACATGATTTACAAAATACAAACATTGGGCTGAATTTGGTCCAAGGATCTTATTTCCCTACCTTAGAGCACTTTGGCCTTATGCTTGCTTTTAGCTTTCTCATGTGCCCTAGGTATTGGGAGGACGAGAAGCAAACAGCCATTGGGAGGATCTATACAAGCAAGCAGTTTTGTGCTGCTAAATTTGGATTTTGGGGGAAAGACAACTATCTTTGTTTACTAAGATACCAAGGATGCTCAGTTATTCATTCATTAATTCCATTATATGAAGCCTACTGTGTGACAAGTCCTGGAGATACAAAGATGAAAGGTGAAGGCCCTGGTCTCAAAGGAGCTTTTTTTCCTTAAGATTTTATAAATAGATACTCATGGCATTATAGGATATGGTGAAAAACAGTGTGCTAATTTGTTGTCAATAAAGTGAACTCAGGATCTAAGCCAGGTGTGCATGTGTGTGTGAGTATATGTGTGGATAAGGCCAAGTCTCTGCAAAAAAAGTGTTATCTTGGCCAGGCATGGTGACTCATGCCTGTAATCTCAGCACTTTGGGAGGCTGATGTGGGCGGATCACGAGGTTAAGAGATCGAGACGATCCTGGCCAACATGGTGAAACCCCGTCTCTACTAAAATGCAAAAAATTAGCTGGGCATGGTGGCGTGCGCCTCTAGTCCCAGCTACTCAGGAGGCTGAGGCAGGGGAAGCACTTGAACCCAGGAGGCGGAGGTTGCAGTGAGCCGAGATCGTGCCACTGCACTCCAGCCTGGCAACAGAGCAAGACTCCATCTCAAAAAAAAAAAAAAAGTGTTATCTTCCCTTCCTTTTCTTCTTTTTCTCATTTCTTACGTATAATATAATAATGCTGTGTTTTGAAGGCAAACTTTCAAATGCCTTTGGATAGTTGTGGGGATTTTGCATCCCTTTGCTACAAAACATGTCTTTTAGAAGATGTTGAAGACAAATCCTTCTTTAAAGCCCATTCGTCTATGGGCATCATTGATAAGATAACCAAGGTGATTTAAATAAGTAAAAAGTTATTTCAGTTGGGGCCTTGCATATGTAGAGGGGAAATGAAGAAAGTGTTCTCAAGAACTCTGAATCTCAAATCTCACAAACTCCCCACTCTTCCAGTTTGAACTGGACACATCTGTATGTTAGGCCCTAGATTTTACAACTTTATTGCCTTTTCTTTGGACCAGTTTTATGGGAATGGCCTGTGAAACAGCACCTATGCAGAGTAGGGAAAGCTAACTCAAGATAGAGGCAAAACCAGAGAAATCAGGTGTTTACAAGGAGTCAAGAAAGTATTTACCTTTTAAGAAGGGCAAGAAATTGTGGTGAAAATATACTTGAATATATTGAATCTATATTTACCTTTCTAAGCAGGTTATACTTCTCAGTATATAAACATTTGGAACCGAGGGGTTCCAATCTGCATTTTCTTTTTTTCCCCCTTTTATTTTATTTTACTTATTTATTTATTTTTATTTTTTGAGATAGAGTCTCACTCTGTTGCCCTGGCTGGAGTGCAGTGGCATAATCTCGGCTCACTGCAACCTTTGCTTGGACTACGGGTGTGCGCCACTATGCCTGACTAATTTTTGTATTTTTAGTAGAAATGGGTTTTCATCATGTTGGCCAGGCTGGTCTCAAACTCCTGACCTCAGGTAATCCACCTGGCTTGGCCTCCCAAAGTGTTAGGATTATAGGCGTGAGCCACCATGCCCGGCCCAGTCTGTATTTCAAAGATTTGTCTATGAAATGGAACAGTCACACTAAACATACTGCAGTCATACCAATGAGAAGGCAAAATAAATAAATAAATAAATAAACAAAAAATACCCCCCCCCCAAAAAAAACACCAAAAAACCAAAAAACAAACAAATGAAAAACAGAGAACAAAAACCAACACAAAAACCCAAGAACTAGCTGGTGGATTTGTCATTCTTGTATGAAAATTTCTACTTGCCTACAGTGATGGCTTTCCTGCTTTGGGTTTTTATAGTATTTGGCTTTTTGTGAGATTCGTATATTTAAAATAAAATTTAATATCTATTAAATATTAAAGCTACTTGCTGGCTAGTAGTTTCAATAATTTATTATGTATATCTTGTACAATGTCCTAGTTTCTTATTTTTTGTTTTTCTTAGAGCCTCGTAGAGCTTAGATTAGAGTGAGCTGAGTGAGGCACTCAGCTTGGAGACCCAATTTAAGGGGGTTTCAAATACCTCAATAATGAAATTTTAATGAAATATTTAAAAAATCAAAATTAATGCAAAAAATCCACGATGAACATCTTATCAAAATTTTAAATAAAGACAAGACCTACTCTGCACTTGAACAATTCTGTCTCATTCACCTCACCCTAATCCTGGCCCTGGTTCCAATGAAACTTAGTTTAAAAACAAGCATCTAGCCCCCGGGGCATAGTTTATTGGTTAGAAACAAAATCACATTAAGCTCTTATTGATTACTGCATTTTCTGGCACCCCTTAATATTTTGCATCCTAGTCCTGGTCCTACCTCTCAGCTACCCTTAGAGTTGATTAAATCCCACTGTATTACTTCTATAGGTAAAGTTTATGTGAAAGCTCACAGAGGTGATAGGACTAGCCCAGGTTGAGCAGACAAGAAATAATAGGGTTAAACTTACCATGGTTTTATGTCCTCTATCTTCCCAATTAAATTCCTTGAGGATAATATTTTCGGTTCTTATTTCTTTCTGTTATACAGTGCCATGAGTAAAGCAGTCTCCCCAACCCCTGTACTTGTGATTGTCCTGCTATCTGCCTACCATCAGTTATTTGTGTGACCTTAAAGGAGCTGCGTAGTTCTTGTTGTCTACATGGCATCCCAATTCTGGGTAAATTCAATGAAATAGAAAAGAAAAGAGTAGAAAGCAAAACAAAACCTTTCCCTGAAACTAAAATCCACTTTCATCTCACTTACATAGACAAAATAGCTGACTCAGTATTTGAAATTTTTTTTAATCAACTGGTTTGTAGTGATGTATGGATACAAGCAGAGTTCCCTAATACTTAAGACAGATTCATCTCCTTAGTAGAAGTTAGTAGAATTAATAAATAATAATTGAATGCTGTCCACAAAAGACAATGTTTGAGCTGGTAATTATTAGACCAGGTGGCTAGTGTTTCTTCATTTTCTCAAGAGGTGGGAAAAATATAAGAATTTTCAGTCTAATAACAATTATATAAAATAGCACAAGGTATGGGCAGGGGCGTGTGTGATGGCGGGAAAGCAGTGGGGAGGGAGGAGTTGGAAAAGAGGAAAGCACAGTCATCTTATATGGTTTTTTGGTTAAAACTATGAGAGATTTGTGGGTTTCACATCAGTCAACTTTCATTATTCTTGTTCCCATCTTCTCTGATTCACATGGTTTCAGTTTCTTTTGAGACGTCTTTGGTTCAAAACTTTATGGCCATGAAACAGAGTTTTAAAAACAGTTTAAAATTTTTTTAAATTTTAAAACTGTTTTAAACTGTTTTAAAAACAGTTTAAAATTGACAAAAAGTTTTGGAAGCAATCAGTGAGTTTTGCACAACTTTACTAGCAGTTATTTTTAGTGTGAAAAATGGTGCTATTCTATGATAAACATGGGTTAGGAATGTTTATGTCATTATTATGTAGCTACTTAGAGAAATAAGACCACAGTGTTACATATGTTTGTTGGAAATGGAACTTATTGGAAAGTTAAAAGGTGGAGATTATAATATATATACAATATGTGAGAAATATATTTTTTATATATGAGGAATATATTACATGGAGGCATAATTTCATTGTGTTGAAAACAGCATTTGCTTAAACTGGAGAAGAGATAGCTATTTTGCATTCCACAAATTGTATTTAATATTACATTTAAAAAATGATAACTTTCAACAGTTTGAGATCTCTTTTGAAGCCCAGATATAATTTTCATTGTGACAAAATAGGATGAAACAGGAAAGTTATTGAAAGATAGCGTTGATTTAAAAAAGAGGTAAAAAGTATATTTTCTTGTGGAATCAATTTTATATGGATGGCATAAATTTAATCCTTTGACTTATTTGTCTGCTAATCCTGTGATACATAATAAATTCATAGTTCAATTAATTGGATATATTGTATATAGTGACTCATTTAAGGAAAATGAGCTATCATGATCCAGAAGTATTTATGGGGTGACTAAAAGTTCAAGGTGCTGGCTTTACAACATCAGTAAACAGACTTTATACTTCTAGGAACTTAGATCTAAAATCAAAAAGAGAAAAAAAAGGAAGATGACATCAGAAGAAGGTTAAGCAATCAAAAAGTAATCATGCAAGACACATACCGGATGCAATAGAAACTAGATAATCACTCATTTCACAGTTCATTAATAAATATCTACTGGAGGGAGGAAAGGAAAGAAAATGTTTTGAGTACCAACTATTACCAGGCACTGTAACAAATACTTTATATTCTCTCAATTACGGTGAAATGGAGGGCATAAGGCCAAGGCATCCGAGAGAAATCTGAACATATGAGGAAGAACATTAGCTTTCATTCAGGAGGAAAACACATGAAAAATAGGGAGTAGGTGACTGGGCAGAAGTGGAAGGTTTTTAAAAGGTAATTTTGGAAAGTTGGCTACCTGGGACTGTACTGTGGAGGGCTCTTTAGCACAAGCTCAGGCATGCTCATCTTTATGTAGGTAAGGGAACCTGAAGTGTTTTTCAGCAGAGAGAATGTAAATGGCAGACACGATGGAGCCTGGCGAGCCATGGGGCCACGTGGAGATAGGGGGAGAGGAGAGTGGGCTTGACTTTGAAGACAGCGTTCTTACATGGCTCTATAGAAGTAAGTTTTCTTTGAATAGCCCTGACTAGTAGTGATTTTATTCATTTAATTATCAATAATTCAGAGCCACAAATATTTTCTCTGGCTTGCTGTCTATCTAAAAGCATCTGATTGTGAGAAGTAAATGTCGAATAAATAAAATGTTAAATGTTTAGGATAGGCCAATGTTTAGAGTCAGTTGGTGGTGATGTTCAAGGAAAGGTACACAAGAGTGTTCCTCTTCTCTTCCTCCTATTAAAAACAATTTCTTGAGAGAAGTAGGAAGCAGGAATTTCCTGAAGTGAGGAAGGGCAGACACCTGTGACAACTTGGCAAGCGTGAAGATATTTGCACCCTCCATTTCTGGTCCCCATAAATGCTCTTCAATCACTGCAGGCACGTCTGCCTCCTCCCCTCCACTCACACCACTCTTCTGAAGCTCCCTCATAAAACCCTCCTTTCTTTTTCCTTATCCTTCTTAACATCTTGTGGCTTTTTATGCAATTGTTCACCTCCTCTCACCTCTCCAGCCAGATTTCTCTTAATCATCCCACATCTTAACAGGGGTGATTCTCAGTCATCAACAGTCAGTATGATTCTTATATCATTAACATTCTTGAGAGTTAAATAGTTCCAGGAGATTGAGATCACTTAACTTTGCTAAGACCTCAAAAGCATACTATTTTATCCATAGAATACAGTTTTTGGACTGACTGAAACATTTGCCAAAATAATTAATGAATTATTTCCATGTAGATTACAAGTCTTAGTTTCAGTGTCATCCATTCGGGTAGGTGCTCTCTGACCTTTAGGACAATGTCAGGCCACTTAGTGACATTAAGATGTCTTTTAGTAAGGCACCTTTTACTTCTTTTATAATAGTCATCTCATTTCATATTCGTTTGTACCTCATTGAGGATATAAACTGTGTCTTAGGTATTGACAACTGTCTCTCCAAGATTTAGCCCGGGTATGTGTTAAGAACTCAAAGAATACTTTTTTTTTTTTTGGTTAATTGATCAAATGCTATGGACCTGTTCAAGTTCAAGAGATGCACTTTACCTAATATTTAATCTACAGAGCATCCTTTTTAGATATTCTTGCTTTTGCTTTATTTCCTCATTCATGCATCTAATTCCCACTTTCTCTTCTAGGCCATTTTTCTTTATAAACTTTTTTAAAAATATCACTCTATGAGCATTACTATGTGCAGCTAAGGAACAGACAGCAAAAAATCTGTGCTGAGCTATGCATGTAAGGCTTGAGGCTTGGCTTACAGGACAGTTAATCTTTCGGTCTTGGCAAAATTTCAAATCACCATGCATCTTGGGCCTTCAAATTTACTCACAAATTATTGGTACTACAATCTTTAATCTTATACTTTTCATATTAAATGCACTCTCTTCAGATTTTTTTTTCTCCTGGGAAAGTCAGTGGCTGCAATTTTCACCTGTGTATCTCTAAACTTACACCGCTAAGCCTATTCTTTCATGTGAATCCAGCCCCACATCTGATGGCAGCAGGATATTGGCTTTGGTTTGTGAAACTTAACACCTAAGGATTGTAGCATAATGTGGACATGGTATAGGGAGATGGGAGAACTGGCTTCTAGACCTGGTGGGGCCATTAACCCTCTAAGTGAATTTGGAGAATTGACTTCACCAGACATTCGGAGAAACCCTGAAGACTCCCTGCAACGCAGTTTTCTAACCAGCCTGCTGAAATAATTCTGAACTCCGCTTAGTGTTTTGAATTGCTTTGTGTTTCTATTTGTACCAATCTGACATGGTAGTAAAACAAGGTGTAGAAGAAGCTTTGGCCCTGACAGAACCAAGCAAAACTGAGATATGTCTCAAGTTTACAAAAGTCGGTGCTGCTGCCGGGAGCCTTCATATTTTACTTTTCTTCAACTCAAGCCTCTTGAGAGAATGGCCTAGTTAGAATAATATTAATCTAACACAAGTAAAAGAAAAATGAAACCAACTGCTTTTCTTTCTAAGCCCACAAAGAAACAGTAACTGGGCTTCTCTGGAGAAACGTAAAGTCAACCTCAGATGTGCTCACAGGCTGGATGAAGCCTAGGGGAAGCTAGGGGCTTAAGTGGTCACTTGAGGGGTATTCTTTTGAAAATTGTGTGGCTGAACTTACTTAAGCCTCTCTTATAGGAACAGCCACCCAGGAGAGTTTGTAACATAAGGGCAACCATACCATATTGGGAGACAAAATAACAATTTTCTTGATGAAGTACACAGAGCAGAAAGATTTGTGCACTAGTCAACTTTCTTTTTTCATGCTTAAAGGGAAAATCAGTATTTCATATTCATGGTTTCTGATGTAACATTTTGCTAGGACAGTCAGAAGGGATTAATACTATTTGTTGTAAAATATCCACAGTGTTATTTTTATAAGGATAACCAGACTGAGGATGATATTCTTAGGTTCCACCTGGTTTTCACACTTTTGGTGAAGTAAAATTTAATTGAGTTTTCAAAGGTAGGAAAATATTCTATTGCTGGGAAATATAGCGTAAAGGATTTCTGCATGCTTCCTCTGGGTTTTTCCTGTGAGCTTTAAATTAGGATTTTCTGCCAATTTTCTGGCAGAAGCAGAGGAGACATAGCAGTTTTGCTGATGGTTTTGATTATGAATTGTCTATATGGCATCAATAAAAATAACTAGAACTAGGTCTGATGGGCACTGAACTTGCTTAAAATGCTAATAAAAATTATAAGAGAAGGGAACGAATCTTAAATTTTAGATATTTTTTCTTATAGTCCATATGGAAAGACCATTTCTGTTAAAAGTACAATAACTAGAGAAGAATATGTTCTCTTCAAAGTGCCAATAAAAATTCAAAATGTCATTTTCCAGTGCAATTCGGCCTGAAATCAACCTGTTTTATGGTAATTATGGGCTCTGGCACCAGAACATAGCAGAGCTTTAGAAACATTGAATGAGTGATTGAGTCCAACCTCCATAAATGTGAAACATATGAAATGATTTGGGTAAAGTAAAAACCAGAGAGCGTTGTCACCCTCCCTACCTTGAGCTATGCATAAAGCTGCGTTAATGTAGTGGAGTAGTCATATCAGAATGAGGGAGAGGGTGAGAAAAATATTTTCAGAACAATAGAAATAGCATTTGAAAAGCATCTTATGTGGTAGAGGGGAATTTTCTTGTAAAGGTATAAACTGTGAGAAAGAGATGATGATGCCCAATGTGGGCAAAAAATGCCTTTTCATTGGCAAGATTCGGGTATATCACTATGAAAAGAAAACCATATATATTTCTTGTAACTACTGCAGCGGCAGGCATAAGGACCCGGTAATGCATCATCATATGCTACATGGCAGCTTATCAGGAGTGGCTACTCGAGCCAAGAGAAACGTGGCAACACTTCTTACTTGCTTCTCTTTTGCAAGCGTAACCTGAGCCCCTTGTGATACAGGTGTCTTGGCAAAAGGATTGCCTTAGATTAGTTTTAGCCTGTAAAACGGGAGAAAAATAAAAGCATTTCAATCTTATAGTGTTCAGATGTCCCAAATTATGGACCCAATAGAGTAGTGGCTGAATCTTCTTAAGTATTATTTATTTTTAAACAAATGTTTGAATAGTAATATAACCATTAAAGATACTGAGCCAGTAGCAAAAAAAAAAAAAAAAAAAAAAAAAATTCTTCCTACAAAGAAACCTCAAGGACCACATTTGTTTTTTAACTGAAGAGTTTTCCTAAACTCCTAAAACAGTAGTAATTAAAATACTCTGCAAATTATTCCAAGGCATATAAAAAAGGGGAAATCAGTTACTCATTTGTTGATTCTAGCATAACCCTCATACAAAAACCTGACAAAGAGAATATAAGGAATGAGAATGACTGATTAGTCTCATTCATAAACATAGATGCCAGATTCTTAAACAAAATATTAGTAAACCAAACGTAACATTGTATTTGAAAAAACTTCATGACCAAGTTGAGATTTTTTTTTTTTTTTGTAAATGTAAGTTGGGTTTAGCATTAGGAAATCAATTAGTGCAATTCCCCATACTAACAGATTAAAAAGTCAGACAACCATTTCGATGAGAAAGAAAAGGCATTTGACAAAATTCAACATCCAATTGTGGCAAAAACTCTTAGCAAATTGGGAATTGAAGGCATATTCCTGATAAAGGGTATCTGGAAAAAAACTGTTCTAAATATAATTCTAGATGGTGAAATATTGAAAACATTCTGAATATGATTGGGAATAAAACAAGGGTATTTTGACATTGTACTGTAATCTGAGGTTAGTGAGGCAAGAAAAATAAATACATTTTATAAGGATAGGAAAGAAGAAAGACAACTGCTATTATTTGAAGATGATTTAATTGTGTATCTAGAAAAATTCCCCCTAATTCAAAGCTAAATTGTCAGAGTTTATAAGATAGCATTTAAAGATTGCTGGGTATAAAATCAGTTAAACATAAATTGTTTTTCTAGAAATCAACAACAAACAGTTAATAAGTGAAATTTAAAATGCCATTTACAATCATGGGAAAAATATCAAGCACCTAGAAATAAGCCTTACAAGCTTCAGCCAAGATCTTTATGAAAAAAATATGAAATTACATTGAAAGACATAAAAGATCTTAATAAAATGAGGCATTTGTCATGTTCAAGGATTGGAAGAATCAAACTTTCAATAGGTTTTGTTGTTGTTGTTGTTGTTGAAATTTCACAAGCTGATTCTAATATTTATGTGGAAGTGCCAAGATGCAGATTAGCTAAGATTTTTTGATGAATAATGTGTGATCACAGTAGTTAAGTCAGTGTGGTGATGGAAATAAACAAATCGATCAGTGGAATGAAAAAAAGAACTCAGGAATAAACCCATACATACATGGGTACTTGATTTATAAGAGAGGGTTAATGGCCACTTAGTAGGGAAAGGATATATTTTTCGGAGTTGTGCTGAGATGATGGGTATGAAAAATGAAATGAATATTACTTCATGCCATGCACAAAAAACATTTCCAGGTAGATTAAAGACCTGAATCTTTAAAAGATTTAGAAGAAAATATCGGGGAATTCTCTGTCTCTCTCTTATTTTTCTTTTTCTCATCTTTCTGAAAGGAGATTTCCTATTGGTAGAGAATTCTGTGTTGGTGGTCTTTCAGAATTTTGAGTTTATTCCATTGTTTCTGTTGAGATTTCAGTTTTCATTCTTACTGGTTTTTGAAGGTTCTGTCTTTTTTCTTTGCTTTAAAAATGTTCCTGCCCTTTTTGGCTTTCAGGAGTTTAATAAATTGTGCTCCAGAGTGCATATATTTCTTTGTACTTATCCTACTTGGGGTTTATGCTGCCTTCTAAATCAGCATATTAATTTTTAAAAATGAATTTTGAAAGTTTCCAGCTATCGCCTCTTCAAATATTTCTTCTGCCTCATTCTTTCTCTCATCTCCTTCTGGGAATTTGATTATTCCTATTTCAGGCTTTCTCATAATATCCTATGTCTCCTGCCTTCTTCTGAAATTTCCATTATTTGTCCCTCCGTGTGTGTGTGTGTTTTGATATTTCTTTCTGATATATCTTCCAAATTCTCTTTTGAGCTTTGTCTAATCTGCTATTAAAACCTCTCCATTAAATTTTAAATTTGGGTTATTCTGTTTTTCAGGTTTATGTTTCCATTTGGTTCTTTTCATAGATTTCAGTTTTCTCCTGAAATGTTCAATTCTGTTCTTGATCTGCTTGGGAAAAAGAAGTATAGTTATTTTCAAGTCTATGTTTGATATTTCTGATATAAGAAGTTCCTGTGGGAATGTTTCTCTACTCCGTTGTTTCTGCTGGTTTTCATTCATATGTCTTGTATCCTGTATGTTTTGAAAAAATTATTTACTAGACATTGTAATTATAAAGTATTTTTTCTAGAAACAATTCTAGGCCAAGGAGAATGTTATTTTTCTCTATAAAGTTTTCTTCTCCTAGGCATCTGGGGCCACTGTTATTCTAGGATCTTCTCAATTCAATTTCGGAAACTGAAATGATTTGACCGTTAACTTTAGTTTCCACAAGGCGTTGTTTCCTACTTACCCATCCTAATTCTGAGAATGCAGCCCTTCAGCATCCCAGTCAAGAAGAGGGATTCCAATGAATCCCTCCCCCTTTGATCACTAAGAATTATGATCTCTGTCTTCTTAGCCTTTCACACTGTCAGAACTAGTCCCAGGCTCAGTATTCTGATTACTTATTTTAAATATAACTGAGTATGGTTTTGCTACTTATTGTTGTATACCTCACATATTTGTCTTAAAAACATTTTTTCTTCCAATTATGACACTTAGACACATTGTTTTGTGTTTCCTGTTACTACTTTTGTAAATTTGGGCATTAAAATTTTAAAACTAATTAGAGCTCTTTCTTTCCAAATTTGTCAGTTTTGCCATTTCTATTTTTCTTATTGAATTATTAGAGCTTTTTTTTCTATGTTTTGGAAAAAGAGAGGTTTTGTTGTTGTTTTTTACAATAAAAATTGGTTTATACTGTGTACGTTAATCTGTAACTTGTTTTCCTTTTTAAAAATATGTTGTGAATGTACCTCTGCAGTAGTCATTAATATAGTCATTTTTAGTAGCTACGTAGATTTTTCACAATATATTCAACGCTTTTCCTAGTTCTTAGACATCCTGATTACATAATAAATAAGAAAATAATTAATAGTAAATAAAATGATAAAGTACTAATTAATTATTGTATAATACATAACCTAAAGTGGGATTTTGGGGGTAAAAAAGTATATTTTATGTTTTGATTGATAAATATTGCCACATTACTTAAAATTTATTTTATTTGGCCAGGCGCGGTGGCTCACGTCTGCAATCCCAGCACTTTGGGAGGCCGAGGGGGTGGATCATCTAAGGTCAGAGGTTCAAGACCAGCCTAGCCAACACGGTGAAACCCCGTCTCTACTAAAAATACAAAAATTAGCCAAGCATGGTGGCACACGCCTGTAATCCCAGCTACTCTTCTCAGGAGGCTGAGGCAGGATAATCGCTTGAACCCAGGAGGCAGAGGTGGCAGTGAGCTGAGAACGCGCCGTGGCCCTCCAGCCTGGGCAACAGAGCAAGACGCCCTCTCAAAAAAAAATTTTTTATTTTATTTTTAATTGACAAATAATAGTTGTATACATTTATGGAGGCAACATTACTTTAGAAAAAGTATATAGTAATTCATACTCCTCTCAGCAATGTATGAAGGTCATATCTTGGTTATTTCTGTAATATTTTTTCATATTAACCTCAAAAACATTTTTTCAAGTTTCTCTACATTCCCCAATAAACTTGAGAGTTTGTTTGGAATCCCACTAAATTGAAACATTATCATAGGCAGAATTAATCTCTAATCAACTTCTTTTGCAATATTAAATCTTTCACGAGAATATTGTCATGAAGGACATGACCTTGTTCACTGCTGTACCACTTATGCCTATTTTCCATATTTTCAAGCATATAGAAGGTAAATATTTGTCAAATGAATAAAGTTTTTATTTTTCACATATGTTAATTATATATATAGATCTTCACATTTCTGTTTACATTTTTAAAAGATATTTTGTAGTTTTGTTGCTATTATGAATAGGGATATCCATTTGATTTACACTTAAGGTATATTTTTTCAAAACTTTTAAATTTATTATTTAGTACAAGATACAGAAATTTAGAAAATAGAGAAGATTAAGAAGAAAATAAAAATCACCAATTATCCTATCATTGTTAATATTTTTCTGTATTTTCCTCCAGTTCTACACATACACACACTCATATATGTATGTATAATATATACACATATAATATGTATATATTATATATTATTATAATATGTATTATATATAATACATATATGTATACATATGTATACAATATCATATATAATACAAATATACAGTTTAATGAGCATTATACATATCATTAAACATATATACCTATGTGTATATATATTATGTAATCAGGATAATTTATAATGTATAATGTATACACATATATAACATATGTGTATATATTTTGTTAAACCTATGTTCAGTGTTTTGGGGGCCTTTTTTACATAACAAAGTTTCATGAGCATTATACATATCATTAAACTTATTTGAAACATAATTGCTTTAATGGTTACATGCAGTTCCATTATTTAGCTATCTTATTATCTAACTCAGGAGTGTGCAATCTTTTGGCTTCCCTGGGCCACATTGGAAGAATTGTCTTAGGCTCCACATGAAATGTACTAACACTAATGACAGCTGACGAGCTAAGAAAAAAAAAATTGGAAAAAAAGTCTCATAATGTTTTCAGAAAGTTTACAAATTTGTGTTGGGCTGCATGGGCTGCAGGTTGAACACACTTGATTTAACTATTCTCTGATAATCAGACATTTGCAATGATAAGTTCCTCATTTTTCATAAAATAAATAAAATAAGTACTACTGTAGTATTACTATATTACACTGAAAATTTTAAATAAAAATATTGTGTATCTCTATTATCTTTTCTAATAGACTCAGAAGTATAATTACTGGGTTAAAGTCTGTGGGAAAAAATATTTTTGAGACATAGTCTCACTCTGTCACCCAGGCTGGAGTGCAGTCGTGCAATCGTAGCTCATGGCAGCCTTGACCTTCCAGGTTCAAGCAGTCCTTCTGCCTTGGCCTCCTGAGGAGTTGGGACTACAGGCATGCACCACCACACCAGGCAGATTTTTGTATTTGTTGTTACCCGGGCTGGTCTGTGAATATTTTTAAAAATCATAATTCACATTGTCAGTTTGCTTTTTTTTTTGGAGATGGAGTTTCGGTCTTGTCACTCAGGATGGAGTGCAATGGCGTGATGTTGTCTCACTGCAACCTCCTCCTCCCGGGTTCTAGCGATTTTCCTGCCTCAGCTTCTCGAGTAGCTGGGATTACAGGCATGTGCCACCATGCCTAGCTAATTTTTGTATTTTTAATAGAGACGGGGTTTCACCGTGTTGGTCGGTCTGGTCTCGAACTCCTGACTTCAGGTGATCCACCCTCCTCGGCCTCCCAGAGTGCTGGGATTACAGGTGTAAGCCAACACACCCGGCCTGCCAGTTTGCTTTCTAGGAAGCTTTTGCCAACTTGCAATCTGGCCCAGCAAAGCATGGGAGTTTCAGTCTTCCAGCACATGTACCAGGCTTCGAAAAAGTTTGGCACATCTGAATGGGTCCCAAAGGCCTCTTGTTTTCATAATAATTTGACTTTCTTTGATGATTAATGAGGTTGAATTTTTTTCATAACTTTATTATTTGAATTTTCCCTCATGTGCATTCTCTTTTTGTCCTTTGCTCTTTTTGTTTTGTTTCCATTATAATGTTCGTGTTTTTTATGTTCTGATTTTGTAATGGGGAATATAGCTACCAGATGAGTTCTTACTGGCACATTTTCCCTACTCTAATGGATAAACATATTTCATTAATGGCAGGATACCAGCTTTAGGGAAAACTAGTTATTATTTTTACTTCCACTGCCATTGGTCCTAGGAATTTTTTTTTTTTTTTGCATTACAACACTTTCTAGTTATGCTGTACTACTTACTGTAATGCTAAGTATAGGCTATTATATTCTTTAGCCGCATTATCATTTGGGTAGTGTCCTAGCTGAAATGGGATCTAAGGAAATGATATTTGCAATATGTTTTGCTGTTACGAATTGAAAAAGAATGCCTATATATGCAGCGAATACTTATTTTGTAAGTTTCCACTTTTCGAAAATTTAATTGAGTTGTAATTTACTTACAGTGACCTCTTCATACCTTCAGTATACCATTTAATCAGTTTTAACAAATACTTATCAAGACCCTAAATATTTCTACTTTTTTGCATTCTAGTGAAGTCTAATGGAGATGCATTGTTTAAACCTTTGTCTTTATTTCAACCTCATTTTTGATGGATATTTTCACTGAATATAAAATTCTGGTTTGATAATTTTTCTTCCTTCATTACCTTTTGATATCATTTGGCTCTGTGTCCCAACCCAAATGTCATCTTGAGTTGTGACCCTCGTATATCAAGGGAGAGACTTGGTGGAAGGTGATTGGATCATGGGGGCAGTTTTCCCCACGCTGTTCTCGTGATAGTGAGTGAGTTCTCATGAGATCCGACGGTTTAAAAGTATGGCACTTCCCCCTTCCTCTTGCCACCATATATGACACACCTTGCTTCCCCTTCACCTTCCGCCATGATTGTAAGTTTCCTGAGGGTTTGTCAGCCATGTGGAGCCAGAAGCCAATTAAACCTGTTTTCTTCATAAATCACCCAGTCTCAGGTAGTTCTTTACAGCAGTGTGAGAACAGACTAATATACCTTTAATGATATTACTCTATCGTTGTGGCTTTTATTGTTTCTGACAAGAGGAAGGTCTAATTCTTATTTTTGGCCCCTGTATAAATATTTCCTTTTTTTCAGGCTGATGGAAGATTTTCTGTGTCCTCAATTTTTAGCAGTTTAGTAGTAATTCCCTAGGTCTGTATTTCTTGGTATTTTTCTGCTTGAGGGTATCTGAGATTCTTGAATCTGTGGTTTGTGGTGTTTCATGAATTTTGGGAAGTTCTTGAGCATTATATCTTCAAATATTTCTTGTGGTTCCTCTCCCCTCTCCCCTCTCTTCTGTCTCCCTCTCCGGCTTTCCACGGTCTCCCTCTGTTGCTGAGGCTGGACTGTATTGCCGCGATCTCGGCTCACTGCAACCTCCCTGCCTGATTCTCCTGCCTCAGCCTGCCGAGTGCCTGGGATTGCAGGCACACGCCGCCACGCCTGACTGGTTTTCGTATTTTTTGGTGGAGACGGGGTTTCGCAGTGTTGGCCGGGCTGGTCTCCAGCTCCTGACCTCGAGTGATCTGCCCGCCTCGGCCTCCCGAGGTGCCGGGATTGCAGACGGAGTCTCGCTCACTCAGTGCTCAATGTTGCCCAGGCTGGAGTGCAGTGGCGTGATCTCGGCTTGCTACAACCCCCACCTCCCAGCCGCCTGCCTTGGCCTCCCAAAGTGCTGAGATCGCAGCCTCTGCCCGGCCGCCACCCCGTCTAGGAAGTGAGGAGTGCCTCTTCCTGGCTGCCACCCCATCTAGGAAGTGAGGAGCGTCTCTGCCTGGCAGCCCATCCTCTGGGATGTGAGGAGCCCCTCTGCCCGGCTGCCCAGTCTGGGAAGTGAGAAGCGCCTCTTCCCGGCCCTCATCCTGTCTAGGAAGTGAGGAGCGTCTCTGCCTGGCCGCCCATCGTCTGGGATGTGGGAAGCGCCTCTGCCCGGCCGCCCCGTCTGGGAGGTGAGGAGCATCTCTACCCGGCCGCCACCCCGTCTGGGAGGTGAGGAGCGCCTCTGCCCAGCCACGACCCCGTCTGGGAAGTGAGGAGCGCCTCTGCCCGGCCGCCCCGTCTGGGTAGTGAGGAGCGTCTCCACCCGGCTGCCCCATCTGGGAGGCGGGGAGCGCCCCTGCCTGGCAGCTGCCCCATCTGGGAGGCGGGGGGTGCCCCCACCCGGCTGCCACGTCTGGGAAGTGAGGAGCCCCTCTGCCCGGCCGCCACCCCCTCTGGGAGGTGTACCCCACAACTCATTGAGAACGGGCCATGATGACGATGGCGGTTTTGTCAAATAGAAAAGGGGGAAATGTGGGGAAAAGAAAGAGAGATCAGATTGTTACTGTGTCTGTGTAGAAAGAAGTAGACATAGGAGACTCCATTTTGTTCTGTACTAAGAAAAATTCTTCTGCCTTGGGATGCTGTTAATCTATAACCTTACCCCCAACCCTGTGCTCTCTGAAACATGTGCTGTGTCAAGTCAGGGTTAAATGGATTAAGGGTGGTGCAAGATGTGCTTTGTTAAACAGATGCTTGAAGGCAGCATGCTCTTTAAGAGTCATCACCACTCCCTAATCTCAAGTACCGAGGGACACAAACACTGTGGAAGGCTTACAGGGTCCTCTGCTTAGGAAAACCAGAGACCTTTGTTCACGTGTTTATCTGCTGACCTTCTCTCCACTATTGTCCTATGACCCTGCCAAATCCCCCTCTCTGAGAAACAGCCAAGAATGATCAATAAATACTAAAAAAATTAAAAAAAAATATTTCTTGTGCTCCATTTTCTCTCTCTTCTCCTTCAGAAACTGTGATAAGACATGTGTTTTAATACAAAATCGCCAATAATTCAAGGCCAATTATTCTATCTACCGTAGCTATTTACTTAAGGTACAATATATGGCCATCCCTTAATCTTTCCATATTTTAATGTCTTTGTCTATAAAAGAGAAAAATGCTATATCTATCTCATATATATCTCATAATGAAAATTAAATGAAATAATGTATTTAAAGCACTTAACCTACAGTCCACGCCAAGATACATGGGTATTTAAAAAATTAATGTCACACATTATTGGTCTATGGCTGAATCAGTAGTGTCAGTAAATAATGTTCTCTGGTCAGAAAAAGCCCCTATAAGAAGCGATAATGTGTGTAGAAACCTGAGGGAAGTGTGCCATAAGGCCATATAGAGATCTGTGGAGACATGTTCCAGATGAGGGAAGAGAGGTACAAGGACCCTGAAGTGAGGATAGTCTTGGTGGGTTTGATGCAAAGCAAGGAGGTCTCTGTGTCATGAGGAAAATGAGCAACAGGAAAGAGGGTTGGAGATGAAGATGGAGAGGTAGGTAGGGGTCTTACAGGTCACAGTAAGGAGTTTGGATTTTATATTTGAGGAAAGCCACAGAAAGTGCCCATTAATCATATCATGTCCTTCCATAATTAAAAATCTTCTTGGGGGCTCACGCCTGTAATCCCAGCACTTTGGGAGGCCAAGGAGGGTGGATCACAAGGTCAGGAGTTCGAGACCAGCCTGACCAACATGGTGAAACCCTGTCTTTACTAAAAATATAAAAATTAGCCAGGCATGGTGCTGCACTCCTGTAATCCCAGCCACTCAGGAGGCTGAGGCAGGAGAATTGCTTGAACCCAGGAGGCAGAGGTTGCAGTCAGCTGGGATTGCGCGGTTGCACTCCAGCCTGGGCAATAGAGTGAGACTCTGTCTCAAAAAAAAAAAAAAAATCTTCAATTGTTATTCATGTTTTTTGAATATTCTCCACACCACTTAGCAGGAACTTTCATGGTTTGACCACACCCATCCTCTCCAATTATATCTGGCATCACACCCTTTCTTGCTCATTACACTCCAAAAGTACAAGCCTTCTTTTTTTTTTTTTTTTTTTTTTTTGAGACGGAGTCTCGCTCTGTTGCCCAGGCTGGAGTGCAGTGGCGCGATCTCGGCTCACTGCAAGCTCCGCCTCCCGGGTTCACGCCATTCTCCTGCCTCAGCCTCCCGCGTAGCTGGGACTACAGGCGCCCGCCACCATGCCCGGCTAATTTTTTTGTGTTTTTTTAGTAGAGACGGGGTTTCACTGTGTTAGCCAGGATGGTCTCGATCTCCTGACCTCGTGATCCTCCCGCCTCGGCCTCCCAAAGTGCTAGGATTACAGGCGTGAGCCACCGCGCCCGGCCACAAGCCTTCTTTTGGTTCTTAAAACATATCTCTTTTTAGGCACAAAACCTTTGTATATGCAATTCCTGCTGCCTAAAATTACTTTTAATTTACCCTTTGCTTGGCTAACTCCTCAAATCAGGTCTCTACATGTCACTTTCTTTCCTGCTTCCCTGATTCCCTCTCTTGGTTATCTTGTAATAATTATATATTTATTAGTGATATTATTTGTTTAATGTGCATTCCTCTCCCTCAAATGGCATGTAGACTCCATTAGAGATGGGTGGCTTTTGTTTTCTTCTCTACATAATTTCTGTTATTTTGAGCAGCATCTGTCATCTGTCACATTTTTAGACATCTAATAAATAAATGCATAATTGGATTACTGACTAGCTGTTAAGTGATGTAACCTTCAGTATACAACTATTCACTGGTGAACCTGGAAGCCAGTCACAGCTCCTATTATCTCCAATACCATTGTTCTTACTGCTAACAAATTAGCTTTTATTTATGCACAAATAAAAATATTGAGAAATATTTTAAACTCTTTTTAACTTGCACTCCTCCTAGTAACATGCATTGGAGATATAAATTTTCATTTATATAATTTTCTCTTGAGGAGTAGATTCTGGTTTCTTCCTTCTACTTTAATGCATTTCCTATATTAATCAAAATCCATTCATTTTTCTGCCTTTTCTGCTATTTCTGGAATGTATTGAATTACATTTTGGTATTTATTGTTTGACTAAATAACTAACTTTTAATGAGTTCATTAAGATTGATATGCTAATCTACAGGGTCTTCTGAAATAGAAGAAAACCTGAATTTACCCTTTAAGAGAGAGATTTTTTTTTGAAGGCTATCACTTACAAATTATTATTATTATTGTTCTTTCCAGCAAAGACATAAACCTATGTGGAGATTTACACATCATTTTTGGCTGAAACTCCTTACTAGGAATTGTGTCCTTGGATATTTTTCCATTTTTCTTGGACCAAATCAAGCAGAAATAACTTTTTCTATATTGTGGTAATTTGGCTATAGGTAGTGTATTAGTCTGTTCTTACATTGCTATAAGGAAATACCTGAGACTGGGTAATTTATAAAGATAAGAGGTTTAATTGGCTCATGGTTCTTCAGGCTGTACAGGAAGCATAGTGGCTCCTGCTTCTAGGGAGGCCTCAGGAAGCTTCTAATCATGGTAGATGGCAAAGGGGGAGTGAGACATCTCACATTGTGGGAGGAGGAGCAAGAGAAAGCAATGGGGGAAGTGCCATACACTTTTAAACAATGAGATCTCATGAGAACTCACCCACTATCACAAGAACAGCACCAAAGAGCTGGTGCTAAACCATTCATGAGAAATTTCCCCCATGATCCAATCACATCCCACCAGGCCCCCCCTCCAACACTGGGAATCACAGTTGAACATGCGATTTGAGTGGGGACACAGATATAAATCATATCATTCTGTCTCTGGTTCTTCCCAAATCTCAAGTTCTTCTCACACTGCAAAATACAATCATACCTTCCCAATAATCCACAGCATGTTAACTCATTCCACCATTAACTCAAAAGCCCCAAATCCAAAGTTATCTGAGACAAGGAAATTGCTTCCACCTATGAGCCTGTAAAATAAAAAACAATTTAGTTACTTCTAAGATATGATGGGGGTATTGGCACTGGGTAAATACTCCCATTACAAAAGAGAAATAAGCCAAAAGAAAGGGGCTACAGGCCTCATGAAAATCCACAACCCAACAGGGCAGTCATTAAATCTTAAAGCTCCAAAATAATCTCCTTTTGACTCCATGTTTCACATGCGGGCACACTGATGCAAGGGGTGGGCTCCCAAGGCCTTGTGCCGCACTGCTTCTGCAGCTTTGCAGGGTTTAGCCCCCATGGCTACTCTCATGGACCGGCATTGAGTACCTGTGGCTTTTCCAGGCACAGGGTATAAACTGTTGGTGGATCTATAATTCTGGAGTCTGGAGGATGATGCCCCTCTTCTATCTAACAGCTTCACTAGGCAATGCCCCGGTGGGGAATCTGTGTGGAAGCTCCAACCCATATTTTCCATCTGCACTGCCCTAGTAGAGTTTCTCCCTAAGGGCTTTACCCCTGAAGCAGACATCTGCCTGGACACCCACGCTTTTCCATACATCTTCTGAAATCTAGGCAGAGGCTCCCAAGCCTTAACTCTTGTACTCTGTGCACCTGCAGACTTAACACCATCTGGAAGCTGCCAAGGCTTATGGCTTGCAGCCTCTAAAGCAGCTGCCTGAGCTGTACCTGGGCCCCTTTGAGCCTGGCTAGAGTTGAGTGGCTGGAATGTAAGCACCAATGTCCTGAGGCTGTGCAGGGCAGTGGGGCCCCAGGCCTGGCCCATGAAACCATTCAGTCATCCTAGGCCTCTGCCCCTATGATGGGAGGGGCTGCTGTGAAAGTCTTTAAAATGCCTTCAAGGCCTTTTTCCCATTGTCTTGGCTATTAGCACTTGGCTCCCTTTTACTTATGTAAATTTCTGCAGACTGCTTGAATTTCTCCCCTGAAAGTGGGCTTTTATTTCTACTACATGGCCAGGCTGCAAGTTTCCCAAACTTTTACACTGTGCTTCCCTTTTAAATACAAGTTTCAACTTTAGGTCATTTCTTTGCTCACATATATGAGCATAGGTTGTTAGAAGCAGCCACAATACATCTTGAATGCTTTGTTTCTTAGACATTTCTTCTGCCAGATAGCTAAATCATTACTGTCAAGTTAAAAGTTCCACAGGTCCCTGGGAAGGGGCACAATGCAGCCAAGTTCTTTGCTAAGGCATAACAAAAGTGACCTTTGCTCTAGTTCCCAATAAGTTTCTCATCTCCATGAGACATTCTCTGCTGGCACAGTTCATATCACTATCAGCATTTTGGTAAAAACCATTCAACCAGTCTCTAGGAAGTTCCAAACTTTCCCTTATCTTCCTGCCTTCTGAGCTCTCCACACTCTTCCAGCTTTTGCCTATTACCCAGTTCCAAAGTTGCTTCCACATTTTCAGGTACCTTTATAGCAATACCCCACTCTTGGTACCAATTTTCTGTATTAGTCCATTCTCACATCGCTATAAAGAACTACCCGAGACTGGGTAATTTATAGAGAAAAGAGGTATAATTGGCTCATGGTTCTGCAGGCTGTACTAGAAGCATAGTGGCTTCTGCTTCTGGGAAGTCCTCAGGAAGTTTCCAATCATGGCAGAAGGCAGAGGGGGAGCAAGGTGTGTCACATGGTGGGAGCAGGAGCAAGAGAGAGTAAGCGTGGAGGTGCCACACACTTTTAAACAACTAGATCTCATAAGAACTCACCCCCTATCACAAGAACAGTATCAAGGAGCTGGTGCTATACCATTCATAAGAAACCACCACATGATTCAACCACCTCCCACCAGGCCCCACCTCCAACACTAGGAATCATAGTTGAACATGAGATTTGGTTGGGAACACAGATCCAAACCATATCACATAGCAATATAGCAGCTTACTTGTTTAGTTCAAATGCAAATATTATTTCTAATTAGTTTTTCCTTTTTGGTAATAGTTTTTTTAAGAAGCAGAAACTTACAATCATTTGTTAGTTTATAAGAGGCTCAAAAAAAATCAAATTTCAGTTATCTGTTCAATCACTAGACTTACATAGACCTATCTTATGAATACATACATATACAGCAAGGTCTCTAACTTTTTTATATATACTTATTCAAAACATTTCCCAACAGACTAAGTTTTGTTGGCTGGATCAGCTCCTAGGATCTCTGAGTTTTGGGGAAAGTAGAAGGAAAAAAAAATTTTTTTTTTTTGAGATGGAGTCTCTCTCTGTTGCCCAGGTTGAAGTGCAGTGGCATGATCTTGGCTCACTGCACGCTCCACCTCCTGGATTCACGCCATTCTCCTGCCTCAGCCTCCCGAGTAGCTGGGACTACTGGCACCTGCCACCACACCCGGCTAATTCTTTGTATTTTTTAGTAGAGATGAGGTTTGACCGTGTTAGCCAGGATGGTTTCAATCTCCTGACCTCATGATCTGCCTGCCTCGGCCTCCCAAAGTGCTGGGATTACAGGCGTGAGCCACTGCGCCTGGCCAGAAAAATTTTTTTAAAAAAGCCTAAGTTGATCTATGTAATAAACAGGAAAGGTTGAGGAGAAGGTCTTGAGATCTGTTTTTGGCAGTTGGTTGTTGATAGTAAAAGATTAGGAGAACAATTGCAAAGTATGTATAAAATATTAAGAAAAGCAAAAATGGGGCAGAGATTTTTGAAGGATTTCTGTGTAAAAAGAATACAATATTAAAGAAATAAAGCATTTTAAAATTTTTGTTGCTGGACTGTGTTTCCAGCAAGATGATATGTATTGAGACACCATATGATGCCCTAGGTTTATTTGGGTAACACATGTGTAAGCTTGGACAAGATGATTGCTAAAATTGTTTCTTCTTCTAAAGTCCCATGGAAGTGTGATGATCTTTAGATACACATCTTGGTGCCTCAAACTTGCTTACTCATTGCTATTCAAGTATAGGAATCCATACTGTGTTAGCATTAGTAATGACATTTTATTTTTATATCTGAGGTGAATGTGCTGTTAGCTCATTGGCATGGGCTCCTATTATATCTTCTTCCAGGTTTCAGTAATGGCTTCATATTTCCAAGATCCTAAACTGGGCTTTAGTTAGGTTTATGTCAAAATTTGTCAATTCTGGCTGGCTTTGATTATATATCAGACGCAATTTAATTACATAATCTGGGATAAACTCATGGAAGGAGTGGTTAAATAGGCAGTATGACAGAACTGCTCAGAAATGGCCTCTTTCTGTGTTGATATAAGAATGTAAGGGCTGAGCAGTGGTTAAATGTGGGCATGCACGTAGGTGAATTGCGGTGGTAGTGGTGGTGAGGTTGCACAGATTGTAGAAAGCAGTGGGGTTCCTATTTGGCTTGTCCACCATACACAGTGAGAAACCCTCAGACTGCCTCTGGCTTACCATGAACCAGGTCTGTCTTTAAGGCCACACTTTTGACATCTGGTCTCTACGGAGTCAGCTCTGCTACTGGAATTTTGCTTGATAGGATTGGAATAGATGGGAAGCCTAAGAGGCTTCTGCATCTGGTCTCTATGGAGTCAGCTCTGCTACTGGAATTTTGCTTGATAGGATTGAAATAGATGGGAGGCCTAAGACTCTTATTGGCCTATTTAACTTAAAGATTGCAATTGTAGTGGTTGTGGAGTTGCGCTTGGTGTTGTAGCATCTGATCACCATTTCATTAGTGTTGATAGGCAATTGCTGAAGCATCCTGATTTCCCGAGTCAGCACCACGGTAAACTTTTAAATTCAGTATTTCCAAGAGCAAACTTCTAACTCCTGATGTTCCAGACTTCTCAATGATTTTGAAAGCATCTTATTCCCTAAATTAAATATTTTACAGATTAAAATAGCTAGAACATTTTTTGTTTCTTGGGTTGAAACTTCACAGATACAATACTTAATAATAGAAGTAGGATAGTGGCAATAAATTTAAAATAGGAAATTGGGATCAGTTATCTGACCTTGTTGGATTTGAATGCAGTTACAATTTGGCTACCATTAGAAAAGGAGACACTGATACTTCACAGCATGTAGTGGCCAGTTACTTAAAGTATCACTTGTGATATCTTGAGCCAGGTGCTCTATTAAATGTGTGTTTTGTCAGATCAAATGGCTATTATTCTGTTAGACCATTATGGTAGTAAATGAAAAATTCAAGGTGAGGTATGGTAACTGCTTCAGGGTGTGCTGGATAATTTAAGGACAACAATGACAAATTCAAGATACTGGGTCCAGGGGGCTTCTTGCTCTAAATGAATCCCTTCTTTTGTAGTCAAAAGTATAATGTAGCTGAAAAAAGGAGTCTGTGGGTTCCAAAATAAGATGAATTCACAATCTCTCCAGGTCTCTTATAAGAATATACAATATTGTTAGGGAAAAGTAGGACCTGAGAATTGAAATGTGGCCATTCGGGTGGATTTGGAATGAATCTGAATACCCTGACCCATCAAATCACTCTATCAGTGCCAGTCAATCCTTACCTGTCTCATGAGGTTAGTGGTGCCTCATCCAAGGGAGTTGGCTCATAAAGCATTGGCCATTCTCCCACACACTACCGTGGTCACCCTTGGGGCCTCTTTATACCTACAAATACCAACATGCCCTAGAGAGATTAGTACAGATATGACCAGGAATGAGATATTTATATAACACAATCATTCCCAGATTTAGCTAGTTTATATCAGTAGAAATCTAAAGACTATGCATGAATGTAGAATATAATGATGCTACACCAGAAAGGAAGGAACATAATTTTCAGGCTCATTTCATTGCTATGGGCACACTTACTCGAAATTCTGAATTCAATACAAGTTTAGGAAGTTGAAGCTTGTTCTAACCATGTGCCAGTTAGTTGGTTTAAAAACCCGAATGAGCCCCTAAACTAAATGAAATCAAGATGCCAGAAATTCCCTGGTAAAATATTGATGAAGGAATCCAAAGATTTAGAAGTAGATTTATAATGTCTGACCCACTTGCCCACTTCATAGCTATACAGTTGTCTGTCCATATCCTTGAATTCCACATTTGTGAATTCAACCAACCACAGATCAAAAATATTTTGAAAAGAATGACAATACAACAATACAAATTAATACAAATAAAAATACAGTGTAACAACTATTTTTATAAGCATTTACATTGCGTTAGGTATTATAAGTAATCTGGAGATGATTTAAAGTATATGAGAGAATGTGCATGGATTATATATGCAAATACTACACTGTCTTATATAAGAGACTTGAGCATCCTCAGATTCTAGTATCCTGGGGAGCTCCTGGAACCAATCTCCCTTGGATACTGAGGGATGAGGGACAATTTTATGTCCTAAAAGGGCCCAGACTATAATAAGTTTACCAAGAAATTGGAAAGTTATGGTGAGGGTACATCATTGTAGTGATTGTTGTCCTGTAGAGGCCAGGAAGTGAGATGCTGTCATGGAAATAGTCCATGTGAGTTCAGTGGGAATGCATGATGAAAGCAGGGTGGTAAAGGCCGTGAGACAGTGTGGTTACCACAATAAGCAGCAGGCTTGGAGTAGTTAATGGGATGGTTTCATCGGCAGGCATCTTTGGCATTAGTTAATTGATCCTGATACATCCAGTATTGGGATAGATAAACCCCATATTAAAGTCCAGCTTGATTTGTAGGACTATGTTCACCATAGTATACAATAATTGAAAGTCATGGCTGTTCACTTATTTCCTTGCCTGAAACAATCTGCACTGAGCCAATTTATCCAGAACCTCCTTGTGTTAGTCTGTTCTCACACTGCTATGAAGAAATACTTGAGACTGGGTAATTTGTAAAGAAAAAAGGTTTAATTGACTTATATTCTGCATGGCTTGGGAGGCCTCAGGGAACTTAACAATCATGGCAGAAGGCAAAGGAGAAGCAGGCACAGGGCAGCAGGATGGAGTGAGTGCAAGCAGGGGGAATGCTAGACGCTTACAAAACCATTAGGTCTCCTGAAGACTCACTCACTATCATTGAGAACAGCATGGGGGAACCACCCCTATTATCCAATTACCTCCATCTTGTCCCGCCCTTGACACATGGGTATTATAGGGATTATGGGGATTACAATTCAAGATGAGATTTTGGGTGGGGACACAGCCAAACCATATCACTCCTTGAATGAAAAGTGGGTGAGATATTCTTGAGGAAAATTCCTTGACTGATTGTTTTGCATATACAAAATTGTTTGTTTATTGTCTTTATCCTTGAATGACTTTTGGGTAAAAAAAATCATGGGGTTATTTTCTTTCCTTGAAAATTTTCTGGAAGTAGCTACCCTATCTTCCCGATGTAATATACTTACATCTACACTATCTTCCACTGCAAACAAGCTTCATTATCTTTTAGCCTTATCTTGCTTTTGAGAAATACTCCAGATTGACATTTTCTCCTTATAAGTTCCTTAATATTTTTGCCTGGCTTTCCAATGCCTACTTTCTTTCTAGTTTAATTTTTTACTAGGAGCTGTTTACTTGTTGACAGTTATGGGTCCATTTTTCTTGGGGTGCATAATATACTTTAGTATATAGATCCAAATCTTTTATTTCAGAAAGGTTTCTTGAATTATATTTAAGTATATGTTTTGTTCTATTATTTTTGTTTCGTTTCCTGGGTTATGAAAATTTTGTTTGTTCTCTAACCATCATTTCCTTTGTTTGTTTTTTGTTTTTGGAGACAGAGTCTTTCTCTGTCACCCAGGCTGGAGTGCAGTGGCATGATCTCAGTTCACTGCAACCTCCACCTCCTGGGTTCAAGCAATTCTTCTTCCTCAGCCTCCTGATTAGCTGGGATTACAGGTGTCTGCCACCATGCTCAGCTGATTTTTTTGTATTTTTAGTAGAGACAGGGTTTCGCCCTGTTGCCCAGGCTGGTCACAAACTCCTGAGTTTCAGGCAATCTGCCCACCTCAACCTCCCAAAGTGCTAGGATTACAAGCGTGAGTCACCACATCCTTTTTTTTTTTTTTTTTTTTTTTGAGACAGGGTCTTGCTCTGTCTCCCAGGCTGGAGTGCAGTGGCATGATCATGACTCACTGCAGCCTCAACCTCCCTGGCCCAAGTGATCCTCCCACTTCAGCCTCCCAAGTAACTGGGATCATGGGCATATGCCACCATGCCCGCATAATTTTAAGAAAATTTTTGTAGAAACAGTGTCTCCTTAAGTTGCCTAGGCTAGTCTTGAACTGCTGGGCTCAAGTGATCCTCCTGGCTTGGCCTCCCAAAGTGCTAGGATTACAGGCATGAGCCACCATGCCCAGCTCATCATTTCCTTTTCTAATCCTTTTCATCTTTTTATTTCCATTTTTGCTTGCTCTTTTTCTTTTTATCCTTTATGTACTTTGGCAGTGGCCATTTTCTCTCATACACCTTTTTATTTCAGCTTCATTTCTATGATAATCTTATTTTTCCTTCTATCCCTTCCCTGACCTATAAGTTCATATTTTATCTCCTCCAAGAGTCCTAATTTTTTCTTGAGTTCTTGCATCTTGTATGTACAGCTTTATGTTTTAGTGTCACAGAAACAATTACCTCATTGAGATTTTTAATTTAATGGCAAAAGCGTGTAGTCACTCTATTCGTCTTCGCAGTGGCAACACTTTTCTTGAGACTAATCTGGGTCTGTCATTTGTATTTCCTGTTCCTTGACTCCTTTTATGTGTAATACCTTTGATTTGATATTGTGTATGTTCTTTCTTGATAAACTATTTTTGGATAAGGTGAGTTTTTCTGCAATTTGTAGGAGGCTCACTTGAGGGGAGGGGTCAGTGCTGGTTTCAGAAAAATTAAAATTTTTATATAACTCAGGCTTTTGTGTATAACTTGGCTAGCCTTTACTTTTCCTATGGATATTGACAGCCATTTTGGGAGGTTCTTGTTTATGCTACCTTACAGTGCAAAGTTTTATTTTTTTCCTCTCTTCATGATCCCTGAAAATATGGCTTGTGTGGCTTCTCACTGATGCTTTTCTCCTTTTTTTCTTGGAATCAAACCATGCACAGGGACGTTCCTGAGACTAGACAGAACATACTCTTCCAACTCTTGCAGATAAAGGGATTTAACTGAGGTTTTGCACAGGGTGTGTTCCTTACCTCTGAAAAGCAGAAGTCACTTTGGCAGCTCTTTCTGTAGCCTCAAAGTCCTTTCATCACTTTATCCCTCACCTTCCCTTGTTGCACTCCCGTGCTTTTGGGGATCCTTTTACATATTTTGTGATGGACTTTAACTATCTCCTAGTGATACTGAAAATGGAATTTGTAATTTGGGTTTTGTTCTCTGAAACTCAGTTTTATGTCCTAGCTTAATTCAACTAGGAATCATTAAGCATTGGCTATTTCCAGCTACTACACATTAGGGGCTCTAGAGACAAATTTGTTTTTGAGGACTTAATATAGTGGAGCATGAAAAATAAGCAATGATGACCAACATTCCCCTCCCCCACCAAGCCAAAAAAACCCCAAATACCAAAAGGGGCAGAATATGCTAAATGTCAAAGCAGAGGTTGAAGGTGGTGGCTGAGAACAAACCTGAGTGGTTAGGAAAGGGTGGCAGTTAATGGCACCTAGAGATTAGCAAAATACTCTTCAGATGGGAGGCGCTCAATCAGTGTTTAGGGGATCTAGAAGAAGATTTGTTTTCAACTGAGAGAAATGAGATTCATAATATTCTCACTTTAAGTGTAATTTTAGGAGGAAATTCTACCCACAACTTTGAAATATTCTGGTGTATGTAATGATTGCTTTCTTTCTTCAGTTAGATCTATTTCCAGAACAAGGTTGCCACCTCTTACCTTATATTCTATTTCTTAACCTTGGTGCCTTTGAGATAGACTTTGGAGAGTGGGTCTAATGTTGACAGATGGATAGAGAGGGGATAGATTCTATGAAAGACAAAGGATGAGGCCAAAACCACATGCATGGGAAATCAGAGCATCTCTGGGCATTATAGGAAAAAAGAATTTTGTACAGGGCTACATTATTAAAGGCCTGAGATGTTAATCCAAAACATCATTTAGTTTTCTGACTAAGAAATTGTGTTTCAAATAGTATCAAAGAAAACTAGATGAATTTCCCATCAAATTCTCTATTTTCTTTTTCTATCTCGAAAGATAACAAGATGCTAATTATCTCAATCTAGTCTTCAAAAAATTAACAATGCAAAGTTTAGTTTTATAAAGTGCTTATTCTCTAATAAATAGAAGTGGAATAATTAGTCATTAATTATTGGTAATACATGTTATTTATTCTCTTATTCTTTTAGTTTTAACCAACTATCATTGATTGAAAACATTATTTGATTCATGTTACTGTAATAAGCTTTAACATACTTCTGTTCCTTCCCCATGCCCTCTTCCCCTGCCCTCCTCTCTACCTCACTTATCTCCTCTTTTCTATTCTCAATCAACTAATTATTCGTGGGAGCATGTACTAGGGGCAACATTACTTTTTTTTTTTTAATGAAGTATCTAGGTCTTCACCATTTTCGACACAATGCTATATTTTTCGTACCATATGTTTTTTGAAATGCTTATAATGCTCTCTTTTGGTGAAGAGGATTTGTTTGTGGATGTCATAAAGTCAAACACTACTCGTGTCTCATGATAGTAATCACCACCAATACCACCGTAATAGTAGTAATCTTTGGGTTGAATGGGCCAATCAAATTTATAATCTGCTATACTTGTCTTCTGATCTTCACTAGCGTGGCTTTTGTGTGCTCATGGAAAAAACAGGGAATAAAAGCTTGGTAGTTTACACGCTGTTAAAATTAAGAAAACACGATTTAGTATTAAAAGAGGTAATGATTTAATTTTGGAGTTGCTGAGTTGAGCTCTGGTGGTCTGGGAAGCTCGGGGGAAAATTTAGATATTGCAGTAACAGATTTGGGTTGGAATATTTTGTGACTGCAATAGCAGATGCACTTATAGAAGGCTTTACAAATCCAAATGTTGCTTCATATGACCTTGGGACATGATGGATTTCCCAAGGCTCCAGATTTGACAATAAGTTTTCTGTTTAGCCAAAACATGAAAATTCTTCTTCTTCACACGTTATTTAAAGAAAAGTGCTTAAAATTACATGGTATTTAAAATTTACTTAGTTGTAAAACCTATTAATAGAATATAAATATATGGTTTTTAAATCAGTACAATTGATTTGCAGGCTTAGGTAGCTTAGATTAAGGTAAATATCTTTTATGGTAATTTTCCTGGAACTGTAAATATGACTTATGTGTCTCCGTATCTTTGTTTCCACTGAAGACTTTGAAATAGCAATAATTGGGCCTTTTTGAGGACTTCTTGGGCCTTTTCAGGACTTCTACCAATTTGTTAATAGTATGCACCTTGGAAATTTTTAAGGATTCACCCAGACTTTAATAGTCACGGTTAATATATTCAAATGGTTTGAAAATTTGTGCTTGTAATATGATGATTTGAATTCTTGATACTGGGGCACTTTTGATTATCTTTGCACAGTGTGCATTTGCTTGTAATTTTTTTTACTTTGATGCACTGCTAATAGATAATATACCACACATTCTATGGATATGTGCTAGTTGACCCAATCAGAATAAATGTACAGGAACTCTGCTACATGGTAAATATAATTAAATACCATGAAAATGTCTTATTAACTTCTGTAATCTTTAAAAGTACGCAATCAATCATATTACTTGAAAAAACTTTATTTTTCAACCTATGATACTGCTTAAGGCTCTGTTCAAGGATGCATTTAAAAAACATGACAATTCTAAAAAATAAAATAGAAATTTTAACTGTTTGAATAATGGAAGGTGCACATTGACAGTAACTATTCATACTTTGTACCAAGATCTTAGTTTGACATAATTTTTTCAGCCTTGTTTGGATTTACAGTTAACCCTAAAAACATTAGTAAATGGTACCCACACTTTTAAATCATAAAAAGAAACCTAGATTTGTTTGCAGTTTTTTAATCTGTTGTTAATAAACTTGAAAGAACACAGCCCTGTCTAATAAACACATCAAACTAATGGGTACCAGAGCAGTTCAGAAGAGTGTTTGTTGTTTGGTGTTTAGGTTTCAGTCAGAATTAATCAACAATGGATGGGGCCTGCTGTATTTATTAGCAACTCAAATCCCTGTGATTTAATGCCAGGTCCTTTGACTCATTCCAGTGAATGCTGGCAAGTTTACAGCACTAATACATACTTACATCCTCGGGTCTTTAAAAGAAAGGGAAAAATAGAGCCTAAAATCAGACCACAGGATTGGCAAGAATTTCCCGAGAGCCATTTTGAATTTAGCCCTATACAGTGAGCCTGTGAATAGGAAGCAATTGATTCAGGAACAGTGGAGCCTTTTTTTGCCTGAAGAAGCCTTCAGCTGTGCAGATGGCTTGCTGGCATAATCCAGTCTGCTTTTGTCTTTTATTTTATATATTAGGCTACTTTCTTCTCACACTTTATATTGCTTTTATTTTCTCTCTGTGCTCTAAGCCTCCAAATTTCAGGGGCAAGGAGAGGTTGCAAGGGTTTAGTGAGGGTGGCAGGACTATATGTGGAGTATTTCCCACAGATTTATGAGTTGCTGGTAAATCGCTGGCAATGCTGCCTGCTTGTCACAGTCAGCACTAGGGTGTTCTTTGTACAAAAGTGTCAACTTTTGAATGAGGACTCTGGAAACAGATGTAAAGATTAATCTTGAGAATGCATTTTTCTGAGGCCCTGAAAACGTGCCTACTTGTGCAATAGCCCTGGTTCTAGACATTTATTTTTCAAAATGATCTCATTCCTCAGTTACAAAGACTTACATTCTTCACTGTTCATGTTCAGAAAATTCCACAGCCCTTAGCCATTCCTCCTGCTTCTCATGTCTGGGGGCTGCCTTTCGAGAGCAGATTATTTGTGGAAAGACATTATTTATCTGGAAACTGTTCAGTGAAAACTTGATGGAGTTGTTGTTACTCTAGGGACCGTCTATCTCCCTCGGAAGATAAGATTTGCCAATGCTTCCCCCCTACAACTTCCTATGGGAAGATAGCTGACTTTTGGCCTGATAAATAGTTTCACATTGGATGGGTTGTTGCCATCTCATGCATTCTTTTTCATCCTTCCCAGATATGCAATTTTCTTTCTTAGTGTCTTGCTTTCGGTTGTATTGTCTTTTATCCCCCCTCTCATACGGAAGTAAATTTTGAAGAAGAAATATATGCTAAAATGGGTATTTGTTCAGGTTTTTCAATGTTAAATATTAGGATATGTCTCAAAGTGTTCTGAAATAAATCTGTGTATATAAAAAAAAATCGAGCATGTTAATCACATACCTCTGTTTTTCCTCTAGTTTTCTTCTACACAATGATATATTTTCTTTCGGCAAATAGAAGACTTTGTGGGAATGATGTAGAACATGGGTTTTTTTTTTTTTTTTTTTTGTATTGTAAATGTTCCACAAACAGAAGATAAATACCACAGAATCCACCATTTTGGAATGACTTGTTTGTGAGTCAATTGTCCTTGTTTCCCCTCCTTAAAAATTATATCTTCCATTTATATGGGAAACACATGTAGATATTTCCTCTTTTCTTATCTTTAAACAAGATTTGTAATACATTTCAGCTGAAGATTAAAAAGATCTGGTCCTCTAAACATTTGTATAAGATTAGCACATGTACTGACATACAGACTTTTTCACTGTTGTAATAATTTCCTATATACTCAGCACTTTTGTTTGTGAAGAACATTTATTTTGGTACTGCCATACTTTATTTTCTCATTGCACCTCTTTTAAATTGCATTTCTCAAGGGCATTATATGTAATGAGGAACTTGGCTTTCAAATGAAAAATGTTTAAATTTAGGACCAAATGCAGATTTTTGACTAGAGATGGCAGAAGAATTGTGTTTATATCCTAGTTTATTTCCTGAACTAATAAACAACAATAACAATGATGAAAAACAGATAACAAAGGCCATCTGCAATAATACTGGGCAATAATTACACATACAAACCATAACAACAAAGTATAGGTGCTCAAAACTATGAAATTAAGACCAAACTCAGAAAAGGCTTAGTGTACTGGCACATACATCCATGATCTCTGCAATAAGTATGGTGCTTCACAGTTTGGGAGTCAATCCTGAAAGGTCCAATCAAGGCTCTCTCTCTGGAATGCCAGAGTCTAGGGGTTTGGATAGGTCAGAGGAAGATCACTGAATTCAGGTTTACTCCACCGAGGAGGAGCAGGGTCAGGGTGGAAATTCAGAAGTGCTCAAATATACCATTTTTATCACAAGCAGGCTGACCACTAGGAAGGGAGAAGATAGAAGGTGAAGATTTGTTAGGGAATTGCAGAGAGCTGAAGACTCATATGCTGGAGATGGCTCATACCTGCTCTCTAGAGCCGATGGATACATTTCCAAAGTTTGCAAATCAATTGTTAAACACAGCCATTATTAAAAATTACATTACAAACTTACAATAAATTACTTGAGAAACAAAGGCAATAAGTACTACAACTCATCACACCTTAATAACGATACATTATTATTATCTATGCTCTTGAGGTTATTCCCATCGATTGTATCTGTCTGGTGAAAATATGATCTGAAAGTGAACTACTGTGCATCTCTTTCCAACCCTGTATTTGGTAATATATCACATTGGTAGCTTGAAAACAGCCATGGCGGGAGTATTTATATCATGAAAATCTGCAAATGCTGCATATAAATACTTGACTTATTGTTTTGTTTATTAATTAGAATTAAAGCGATGAAGAAAATGTTAATGATGCAGATTAAGAGTGTTGTGCCATGGCACAAAAAACTGTGGAAGTATTCTTCTAGTATTTGAAACTATTGTCTGAAAGTTGCTCAAGTCATTGGTGAAAGAATGAAGTTCTGAGATGCACATCTTTTTTGTATCACTTTCATTTTACTTAGTAACATAAATGAAAGTATCACCAAACATTCATGTCAGAACACTTGTTCATTGCAACCATAGTTTGGGTATGAGTTTGGAAAATACAAGAGAAGCATTCTGTGATAATCAATTGGCTGTATAGACTTTATAATCAATATTTTATATGTTGTAAATTGTGTGCTATATATGCTTTATATTAGCAAAATTTATTATGTCTATGTAAAAAATCTCAAGTATACAAAAATGTATGTGCATGTGTAAATAAAAATGCATATATTATTTTTAGGACAGTTAGTTAAGCAATTACCAGCGCCCTATAGATGCCTTGCAGTGCATTGGGGAGATATCCTTTGCACTGCGTGTTGAGGGATGTAGATGGAAAGAATGGAGGTTTAGTAACTCAAATGCATGGATCATGTAGCTGGAGATACACCCAAGCCTCAGAATTAGTAAGAAAATATTTTGAAACAGTCTATTTGAATTCAAGATTTTTGCAGTACCAGTTTTCTGTCATTGTTACGCACTAAATTGTGTCACCACCTCAAACCATATGTTGAAACCCTAACCCCCAATATGACTGTATTTGGAGGCAGGACTGTTCAAGAGGTAATTAAGGTTAAATGAGGTCATAAATGTAGGGCCCTAATCCAATAGTACTGGTGTTCTTGTATGAAGAGGAAGAGATGCCAGAGCTTTCTCTACCTTTGTATGTGCACAGTGGAAAAGCCACTTGAGTTCATTGTGAGAAGGTGACTGTATATAAGCCTGGAGAGACCTCACCAGAAACCAACCCTACTGGCACCTTGATCTTGGACTTCCAGCCTCCATAACTGGAGAAATGGATGGCTTAAACTGTATTTCTGTTGTGGCTTAAACTACATTTCAGTTGTTTAAGCCACCCAGTCTGTAGTATTTTTATGGTATTTATTATAGTATTAAAGTATTATGATATTAAATTATTATGGTATTTATTTGATGGTATTTACTATGGCAGCTCCAGTAGACTAATACAGTCACAGTTTGAAAAGAATGAGCATGGGATATACAAATGGATAGTAAGACAAGAGAAAGAAATAGGAACTCATCCATGTAAAGTGGCATATAGAAAGTGCTCAATAATAATTATTATTATATAAGATAGATGAATAAGTCGTATCAGACTAATGGTAATGCCGGGAAGTAGAAGAAACATTTTAAAGATAAAATCTTCCATGTTACTAGAAAAATTAAAGACAATGTTAGTTTTGAAATGAGAGTTCATAGAAGAAAGTAAATGAAGAAGAGAAAGGTTGTGAAGGAAGGAAACTTACCAGAGAATTTGACAATTTTGGACCAAGTCAAGCTATTTAATTGTAAAGGACACAGACAGATAATCTCAGACACAAAAGAATTCAGTGAATAGAAGAACCAAGCATCTTTCTTGAAAAATATACATAATGAAATCTAAACAATATTGAAAAAATTCCTTGACTTGAAATCAGAAAATACAGTCTCATTTTTAACATGTTTGGAATATTAAAACCCAACAACATATTTTTGGATACAAAGAAAACTGCAATAAATTCTATAAACCAGAAAGATTGTGTAATATGGTAATTGATGACAACACACTGAAACTAGAAATTTAGTATAAAATAAAATAACAAAATCCCAACCACCCAGAATTATCAACAATAATAGCAAAAAAACAACTCAATGTTTAGCTCAAAGAGAGAAGTCAGAACTGAAATTGTGGAGCAATAGAAAATAACACTATTATAAAAATATTACATATTAGAACTTATACAGCTGAAACCATGCTCAGGAGAAAATTTATGTCCTTGACACCAAATGAAATGATCTCTTAACATAAGAAGTTAGGAAAAAACCAGAAAAATTATTTTTAAGAAACTAGAAAGCTGGGCATGATGGTGCACACCTGTTGTCCTAGCTACTTAGCAGGATGAGGCAGGACAATCCTTTGAGCCCTTGAGTTCAGGTGCAGCCTGGGCAACATAGCAAGACCTTGTCTCTTTAAAAAAAAAAAAGAAAAAACGAAAGCAGAAATAAGGCTTCATAAAGATAACAGCCAAATCAATGCAGTAGAATATAAGAAAACAATAGAACTAATAAATAAATGAAAGAACCCCCTAGTAACACAGATAATCACTAGCTAACCTAATTTAACAAGAAAAAGGAGATAACATAAATACATGAAGCTGGAAACCAAAAGAAAAAACAATCAGATACAGAGGGGATTACAAGAAATGTTTAGGAATTTTTTCATAAATATATTTGAAAACCTGGATACATAGATGATTTTCCAGGAAAGTACGTATAACCAAAATTGATCTCAGATGTAAAGGAAATCTCCAAACAGAATAATTACAAGGAAGACAAGAAAAGAAAAATACATTGCGAAAGCACTACCCTTAAAAAAAAAAAGATCAGGCTGTGGAGGTATCAAAGCTCTTCCAATTGATTTTTACAACACTACCACAACATTGAAACCAAATTCTGAAAAAATAAAGCTTTACACCTAGCTTACTAAACTGGAAACACCCCAACGTTAAGTGACTGGCTATATAAGTTTGTACAATGGAATGTCATGCAGCTACTAAAATAAAAAAAAAACAAAAAACTATGTTGATGTTCATGTGGAAAGAACTTTAAAATATATTATTAAATACAAATAAAGATTCAGAACAATGTATATATATGTATCAATTTGAACAAAATATGTATAGATTTATGAATTGGGAATTTGATGAAGAAACTGTTGATGGTGGTAGTTGACGTTAGGACTGGGAGGAAGAATCAGGCTTTATTGTATCTCTCTTTCTTACTTGGTTTGTAGACATGTATCTGTATTATTTTCGTTAAATCATTCATCAGATCCTTAGCAATAAAATAGAATTTGCATAGTCAGTAAATTTCCCCGCAGCAATGTAACTGATCTAGAATTGTGTGCATAACATGACATTTATCAATGTGTTTTCACGAGGTGGTATATCGAATAAGGCAGTTTTCCCTTTCATTCTTTGATCTGATGGAATTTCCAAGTGGAATCGCTGCTTGATATTCTGTGGAAAACTTGAAATTTTTTTCCAGCTCATAGAATATAAAAGAATACTAATACGGTTTCATCAGAATGTCCTTTACTTTTTTTTTTTTTTTTTTTTTTTTTGAGACGGAGTCTCACTCTGTGGCCTCGGCTGGAGTGCTGTGGCGCGATCTCAGTTTACAGCAACCTCTGCCTCCTGGGTTCAAGTGATTCTCCTTCCTCAGCCTCTTGAGTAGCTGGGATTACAGGTGCCCGCCACTACACCCAGCAAATGTTTTGTATTTTAGTAAAGACGGGGTTTCACCGTGTTGGCCAGGCTGGTCTCAAACTCCTGACCTCATGATTCGCCCCCCTCGGCCTCCCAAAGTGCTGGGATTACAGGTGTGAGCCACTGCGCCCAGCCTGTCGTTTACTTTAAAAGAATATTAGTCATTTAATTTTCATCGTATATTTCCACTTTTCTTTTTTTTTAAATTTATTTTTTATTTTAGTAGGTTTTTAGAGAGCAGGTGGTGTTTGGTTACATGAATAAATTCTTCAGTAGTGACTTTTGAGATTTTGGTGCACCCATCACCAGAGCAGTGCATACTGTACCCAATGTAGTCTTATTTTCACTTTTCTTTTTAGCTCCATAAAAAGAGCATACTCTACTCTAGAACAAAACAGGATCAAGAAATGTCACTTTTCCCCCCACAATATGTTAGAATTTTTGGCCTTCCTTTAACATTCAAACAACACTTACAAAGTTTCTGAAAATCTTAGTTGTCTGACAACTGAACAGATTATGTTAACTTTCTAGGTGGGCGTATTTATTCAGTCTGATGGGTACTATATGAGATACATTTTTAAAAATTTATAGAATGGGTCCAACTCTCTCGCACTATGCCATGTGAGTAGATACCACGTACAAATAAGGGAATCTCCTTAGGGAGTTGATTTTGCTTTTTGTAAGGAAGGAGTGTTTTGAACTCTTGTATGAGAATATCAGTGGCTGCAGTGTGCCAGGTGCTGTACTATGAGTTACCAGATTAAATGGTATACAAGCAACAGGAATTCTAATAATGTAGAAAGTGAAAGAGACCAAGAAGTTAAGTCTGAGGTTGGGGGCAAAATTTCATTGTCAGTCAAGAATTTTGGAGACATATGTCACCAACATGCTCCAAAACTGGATGCCTATTTTAGTGTATTTTACAAGGAAGATTTGGATATATGATATCTGGGTGTTAAAATGTGTTCTACCTTGCTATATTTGTTTAGCTGACACCAACTCCAGAACTCAGACATATATTACTTTTGAGAGTGACTGACCATTGTGGTATCTACAAAAGTGGTAAGAAAAGTGGAGGAATCTTTGTAGTTTCAGTCTGGGGATGCTTCCTTCATCCAGGAATGCTTTCTAGCATTCTTGAGTTCTGGCTAATGAGGTGCTAATGGGGTGTTATTACTGGCTACTAGACCAAGGCATCAGAGAGACAGGCTGGTAAACACCCTTTGAAGTATGTGCCTAATTCTTTGAAGTGTGTTTCTAATGGGAAGATAAGCACATTTCCTGTCTTAGAGATCCGAAGTTTTGTGTCCTAACCCTATGTTATCAATTCTAGGACACATTTGCTCTTTTTCAGGTAGTACTTAGTCAAGAAATTGCATTAGGGGGGTGGTTCCAGGGCTTGATCTTCTCATGTTGGATTTGGCTAATGGTGCCTCATATATGAAACCTGCTTAGTGATTTTCTTATATTCTGCCCCCTAAGAGACGAATAGAAATATAGGTCAAACTAGGGGAATACAAGCCCAAATGTCTCTCTAAATAAACTTTTCTTTGACTTCTCTGAGAAAAGTTGATTTGGAGGGATATTCTCCTCTTTGACACTGTTTTCTCCAACACTCTAATTAAGTAAGGTCAAAAACTGTCTCTTATTGGTCCCTTAATTCCAAGTTCCCAGTACAGTGGTTTGTACAGTGAGTACAGAATCTTTTAAGTAGTGCACATGTAAGATGTGATGTGGATTAAAACTCTGATGCTCTACCACATGATTCTTAAAACCCAAAAGTTCTCAACTTAGCAGAAAGCCAGATATAGGACAATATAATATTTTCTAAGCTTTTTAGTGTTTAAAGTATTTACAACTCATTTACCTCAAATTACATTCAGTGGAGATTCCCCAGACCAAATTTTAGAGGGTCAGGGTCAGATGGGAAGGGGACAGAAGATTTTCCAGTTTCTAGGTATGGACTCAGATTACATTCTAATTCAGTTAAGTGACAATTTATTTGTTAGTACAACAAATGTATTTGCATCCATCCAATCAGCAAATATGTCTTGAATATAGTATTCTTCCCCTTATTCATGGGGTAAATTTTCCATGACCTGCAGTGGAGGCCTGAAGTCATGGATAGTACTGAACCTTCTATATACTATGATTTTTTTTCCTGTACATACAGACTTAAGATAATGTGTGTAAATTAAGTGCAGTGGGAGATTAATAACAACAACTAATAATAAAATAGAACAATAATAACATTATTCCATAATAAAAGTTAAGTGAATGTCGTCTGTCTTGCTCAGTATATCTTATTTCATGTGATATTTTCAGATTGCAGTTGACTATGGATAATTGAAACTGAGGAAAGCGAAATCACACATAAGGGGGGAACTACTATATTTTATTAAGGGAAACAATCTGTTCCCATAAATCAAACCTCAGCTAGCAGAATTAAAGGTAAACTTGAGGAGTTAGGGATCATCACGGTGATGGGAAGAAGGACTAGAATGCAGCTCTACACAGAGCAGCACACGGAGTCTTGCGTTGTGAATTTTAGGTCCAGATTGACTGCAAGAACAAATCAGCAATCCTGAGAGGACCCACAGGCCCTCTGAAGGAAGCAGACTACTCCTGCAGGACCTGGGAGATACCCTGAATACTGTGAGTGCCCCACCTGTGGAAGTGGGAAAGGGAGACCATCCCCTCCTGAACACACACCCTCACTGGAGAAACTGAAGTTCTGTTTGTGGGAGAAGTTTCCAATTTTACCTACAGTTGAGTCAACTTAGAGAACCAAGCGAAATACAGGGGTAGAAGAAGCTGCAGAAAGGCCCTGGGAGCTCACTGGGTCCCCTAGCAGGCCATTCCTGCCTGGCACCACAGGGATCCATCAGGAGGGTGGCCAGAGGAGCAGGGGGGTAAAACTACACAGGGAGAAGGACTTCTCTAGCTGAACTCTGAAACCATTTGAACGGGGCAAGAAGCCTGCTGGTCAGAACTCAGGGGAGGGCTCAAATTCACTTTGAAGACTCTATAGGTGGGGGAAGTAACAAGACCTTTCTTTTGCAGCTGGGAGGCAGGTAGCCTGGGGCAAGTTTTCAAGCCCATCTTGTCCTCTGCCTGGAAACAGACTTGGGTCTGTTGTGGGGGACATGGTGGGAGTGAGACCAGCCCTTCACTTTGCGTGGGAGCTGGGTGAAGCCTGTGACTGCTGGCTTTCCCCAACTTCCCTGACAACCTGCATGACTCAGCAGAGGCAGCCATAATCCTCCTAGGTACACAACTCCAGTAACCTGGGAATCTCACCGCCATCCCCCACAGCAGTAGTAGCAAGACCTGCCCAAGGAGAGTCTGAGCCCAGACACACCTGCCCTGCCCCCACCTGATGGTCCTTCCCTACCCACCCTGGTCACTGAAGACAAAGGGCATATAATCTTGGGAGCTCTAGGGTCCCGCCCACTGCCGGTTCCTCTCTACACTACTATAGCTGATGCTTTCTGGGAAGTGTCACCTTCTGGCAGGAGGCCATCAGGACAATGTGCAGACAACTCCCAGTACCAGCCCAGAGCCAGGCAGACTCACTGGGTGGCTAGACCCAGAGGACAGACAACAATCACTGCAGTTTGGCTCACAGGAAGCTACTTCCTTAGGAAAAGGGGGAGAGTACTACATCAAGGGAATACCACACGGGACAAAAGAATCTGAACCACAGCCTTTAGCCCTAGACCTTCCCTCTGACAGAGCCTACCCAAATGAGAAGGAAACAGAAAACCAACGCTGGTAATATGATAAAACAAGGCTTTTTAACACCCCCCCAAAATCACACCAGTTTACCAGCAGTGGATCCAAACCAAGAAGAAATCCCTGATTTATTTACCTGAAAAAGAAGTCAGGAGGTTAGTTATTAAGCGAATCAGGGAGGCACTAGAGAAAGGCAAAACCCAATGCAAGGAAATCCAAAAAATGATACAAGAAGTGAAGGGAGAAATATTCAAGGAAATAGATAGCTTAAAGAAAAAAACAAAAAATTCAGGGGCTGGGCGCAGTGGCTCACGCCTGTAATCCCAGCACTTTGGGAGGCCAAAGCAGGCGGATCATGAGGTCAGGAGATCGAGACCATCCTGGCTAACATGGTGAAACCCTGTGTCTACTAAAAATACAAAAAATTAGCCAGGCGTGGTGGTGGGTGCCTGTAGTCCCAGCTATTCAGGAGGCTGAGGCAGGAGAATGGCATGAACCCAGGAGGCAGAGCTTGCAGTGAGCCGAGATTGCACCACTGCACTCCAGCCTGGGTGACAGAGTGAGACTCCATCTCAAAAAAATAAAAATAAAAAAAGAAATAAAAAAATAAAAATTCAGGAAACTTTGGACACACTTTAAGAAATGCAAAATGTTCTGGAAAGTCTTAGCAATAGAATTGAACAAGGAGAGGAAAGAAATTCAGAGCTCGAAGACAAGGTCTTCAAATTAACCAAATGCAATAGAGACAAAGAAAAAAGAATAAGAAAATATGAACAAAGCTTCCAAGAAATCTAGGATTATGTTAAACAACCAAACCTAAGAATAATTGGTGTTCCTGAGGAAGAAGAGAATTCTATAAGCTTGTAAAACATATTTGGGGAAATAATAGGGGAAAACTTCCCTGGCTTTGCTAGAGACCTAGACATGCAAATACGAGGAGCACAAAGAACACATGGGAAATTCATCACAAAAAGATCATCACCTAGGCACATTGTCACCAGGTTATCCAAAGTTAAGACAAAGGAAAGAATTTTAAGATCTGTGAGACAAAAGTACCAAGTAACCTATAAAGGAAAACCTGTCAGATTAACAGCAGATTTCTCAGCAGAATCCTTACAAGACAGAAGGGATTGGGGCCCTATCTTCAGCCCCCTCAAACAAAACAATTATCAGCCAAGAATTTTGTATCCAGTGAAAATACGCATCATATATGAAGGAAAGATACAGTCTTTTTCAGACAAACAAATGCTGACAGAATTCATTGTTACCAAGCCACCACTACAAGAACTGCTAAAAGGAGCTCTAAATTTTGAAACAAATCCTGGAAACATATCAAAACAGAATCTCTTTAAAGCAAAAGTCACACAGGACATATAAAACAAAAATACATGTTAAAAAACAAAAAAAACAAAAAACCCAAAGCAGACAGGCAACAGAGTATGATGAATGCAATGGTACCTCACATTTCAATACTAACATTGAATGTAAATGGCCTAAATGCTCCACTTAAAAGACACAACTGCAGAATGGATAAGAACTCACCAACCAACTATCTGCTGCCTTCAGGAGACTCACCTAACACATAAAGACTCACATAAACTAAAAGTTAAGGGATGGAAAAAGGCATTTCCTGTAAATGGGCACCAAAAAACGAGCAGGGGTAGCTATTCTTATTCAGACAAAACAAACTTTAAAGCAACAGCAGTTAAAAGAGACAAAGAGAGACATTATAAAATGGTAAAAGGCCTTGTTAAACAGGAAAATATCACAATCCAAACATATATGCACCTAACACTGGAGCTCCCAAATTTATTAAACAATTACTAATAGACTCAAGAAATGAGATAAACAGCAACACAATAATAGTGGGGGACTTGAATACTCCACTGACAGCACTAGACAGGTCATCAAGACAGAAAGTCAACAAAGAAACAATGAATTTAAACCATACCTTGGAATGAATAGATTTAACAGATGTATACAGAACATTTTTTTTTTGCAATGGAATCTAGCTGTGTCACCCAGGCTGGAGTGCAGTGGCACAATTTTGGCTCACTGCCACCTCTGCCTCCCGGGTTCAAGTGATTCTCCTGCCTCAGCCTCCCAAGTAGATGGGATTACAGGCACCTGCCACCATGCCTAGCTAATTTTTGTATTTTTAGTAGAGATGGGGTTTCATTGTGTTGGCCAGGCTGGTCTCAAACTCCTGATCTCGTGATCCACCTGCCTCAGCCTCCCGAAGTGCTGGGATTGCAAGCATGAGCCACCTTGCCTAGCCGTATACAGAACATTTTATCCAACAACCACAGAATACACATTCTATACAAAAATGCATGGAACTTTCTTTAAGATAGACCATATGATAGGCCATAAAACAAGCCTTAATATATTTAAGAAAATTTAAATTATATCAAGCACTCTCTCAGACCACAGTAGAATAAAACTGGAAATCAGCCCCAAAAGGAACCTTCAAAACCATGCAAACACATGGAAACTAAATAACCTGCTCTTGAATGAGCATTGGGTAAAAAACAAAATCAAGTTGGAAATTAAAACATTTTTCAACTGAATGACAATAATGACACAACCTACCAAAACCTCTGGGATACAGCAAAGGCAATGCTAAGGGGAAAGTCCATGCCCCTAAATGCCCACATCAAAAGGACTGAAAGAGCACAAACTGACCTTCTAAAGACACACCTCAAGGAACTAGAGAAAGAAGAACAAACTCAAACCCATCAGAAGAAAGGAAATAACCAAGATCAGAGCACAACTAAATGAAATTGAAACATAAAAACAATAAAAATGATAAATGAAACAAAAGCCTGGTTCTTTGAAAAGATAAATAAAATCAATAGACCATTAGCAAGGTTAACCAAGGAAAGAAGAGAGAAAATCCGAATAACCTCAGTAAGAAACAAAACAGGAAATATTGCAACTGACACCACAGAAATACAAAAGATGATTCCAGGCTACTATGAATACCTTTACACACATAAACTAGAAAACCTAGAAGAGATGGATAAATTCCTGGAAAAATACAACCCTCCTAGCTTAAATTAGGAATAATTAGATATCCTGAACAGACCAGTAACAAGCAGTGAGATTGAAATGGTAATTAAAAAATTTCCAACAAAAAAAGTCCAGGATCAGATGGATTCACAGCAGAATTCTACCAAATATCCAAAGAATTGGTACCAAAACTTTTAACACTATTCCACAAGATAGAGAAAGAAGGAATCCTCCCTAATTAATTCTATGAAGCCAGTATCACCTTAATACCTAAACCAGGAAAGGACAAAACCAAAAAAGAAAACTACAGATCAATATACTTGATAAACATAGATGCTAAAATCCTTAACAAAATACTAGCTGACCAAATCCAACAACATATCAAAAAGATAATCCACCATGATCAAGTGGGTTTCATACCAGGGATGCAGGGATGGTTTAAAATATGCAAGTCAATAAATGTGATACAGCACATAAACAGAATTAAAAACAAAAGTCACATGATTGGAGTGTTGGCAAGATGGCTGAATAGGAACGGCTCTGGTCTGCAGCTCCCAGCAAGACCAATGCAGAAGGTGGATGATTTCTGCATTTCCAGCTGAGGTACCTGGCTCATCACACTGAGACTGGTTAGACAGTGGGTGCAGCCTATGGAGAGCAAGTAGAAGCAGGGTAGGGCGTTGCCTCACCCAGGAAGTACAAGGGGGTGGGGAACTCCCTCCCCTAGTCAAGGGAAGCCATGAGGGACTGTGCTGTGAGGGACTGTGTTATCTGGCCCAGATACTATGCTTTTCCTACAGTTTTCACAACCCACAGACCAGAAGATTCCCTTGGGTGCCTACACCATGAGGGCCCTGGGTTTCAAGCACAAAACTGGGCGGCCATTTGGGCAGACACCGAGGTAGCTGCAGGAGTTATTTTTCTTACCTCAGTGGCGCCTGGAACCACAGCAAGACAAAACCGCTCACTTCCCTGGAAAGGGGGCTGAAGCCAGGGATCTAAGTTGTCTAACTCAGTGGATCCTACTTCCATGGAGCCCAGCAAGCTAAGATCCACTGGGTTGAAATTCTTGCTGCCAGCACAGCAGTCTGAAGTCAACCTGGGATGCTCCAGCTTGGTGGGGGGAGGGGCATTTGCCATTACTGAGGCTTGAGTAGGCGTTTTCCCCTCACAATGTAAAGAAAGCCATGTGGGAAGTTCGAACTGGGCAGAACCCACTGTGGTGCGGCAAAGCCACTGTAGCCAGTCTGCCTTTCTAGATTCGTCCTCTCTGGGCAGGCATCATAAAGGTACATAAATCCATGAAGATGAGGAAAACCCAGTGCAAAAAGGCTGAAAATTCCCCAAACCAGAATGCCTCTTCTCCTCCAAAGGATCACACTCCTCACCAGCAAGGGAACAAAACTGGATGGAGAATGAGTTTGATGAATTGACAGAAGTAGACTTCAGAAGGTGGGTAATAACAAACTCCTTTGAGCTAGAGGAACATGTTCTAACCCAGTGCAAGGAAGCTAAGAACCTTGATAAAAGATTACATGAACTGCTAACTAGAATAACCAGTTTAGAGAAGAACATAAATGACATCATGGAGCTGAAAAACACAGCAGGAGAACTTCTTGAAGCATACACAAGTATCAGTAGCCAAATCGACCAAGCAGAAGAAGGGATATGAGAGATTGAAGATGAACTTAATGAAATAAAGTGTGAAGACTAGATGAGAGAAAAAAAAAATGAAAAGGAACAAACAAAGCCTCCAAGAAATATGCTATGTGAAAAGACCAAACATACATTTGAGGTGTACCTGAAAGTGATGGGGAGAATGGAACCAAGTTGGAAAACACTCTGCAGGATATTATCCAGGAGAACTTCCCCAACCTAGCAAGATAGGCCAATATTCAAATTCAAGAAATACAGAGAACACCACTAAGATACTCCACAAGAAGAGCCAACAACAAGACACAGAATTGTCAGATTCACCAAGGTTGAAATGAAGGAAAAAATGTTAAGGGCAGCCAGAGAGAAAGGTCGGGTTACCCACAAAGGGAAGCCCATCAGACTAACAGCAGATCTCTCTGCAGACACCCTATAAGCTAGAATAGAGTTGGGGCCAATATTCAACATTCTTAAAGAAAAGAATTTTCAACCCAGAATTTCATATCTAGCCTAAATAAGCTTCATAAGTGAAGGAGAAATAAAACCCTTTACAGATAAGCAAATGCTGAGAGATTCTGTCACCACCAGGCCTGCCTTATAAGAGCTACTGAAGGAAGCACTGAATATGGAAGGGGAAACTGGTACCAGCCACTGCAAAAACATACCAAAATCTAAAGACCATCGACACTTTGAAGAAACTACATCAACTAACAGGCAAAATAACCAGCTAGCATCATAATGACAGGATCAAATTCACAGATAACAATATTAACCTTAAATGTAAAGGGGCTAAATGACCCAATTAAAAGACACAGACTGGCAAATTGGATAAAGAGTCAAAACCCATCAGTGTGCTGTATTCAGGAGACCCATCTCACATGCAAAGACACACGTAGGCTCAAAATAAAGGGATGGAGGAATATTTACTATGCAAATGGATAGCAAAAAAAGAAAAAAAAAAGCAGGTGTTACAATCCTAGACTCTGATAAAACAGACTTTAAACCAACAAAGATCAAAAAAGATAAAGAAGGGTATTACGTAATGGTAAAGGGATCAATGCAACAAGAAGAGCTAACTATCCTAAATATATATGCACTCAATAGAGGAGCATCCAGATTCATAAAGCAAGTTCTTGGAGACCTATAAAGAGACTTAGACTCCCACACAATAATAGCAGGAGACTTTAACACTCCACTGTCGGTGTTAGACAGATCAATGAGACAGAAAATTAACGAGGTTATTTAGGACTTGAATTCAGCTCTGGACCAAACACACCTAATAGACATCTACAGAACTCTCCACCACAAATCAACAGAAAATACATTCTTCCCAGCATCACATAGCAGTTATTCTAAAATTCATCACATAATTGGAAGTAAAACACCCTCAGCAAAGGCAAAAGAATGGAAATCATGATAAACACTCTCTCAGACCACAGTGCAATCAATTAGCACTCAGGATTAAGAAACTCACTCAAAACTGCACAACTACATGGAAACTGAACAACCTGCTCCTGAATGACTACTGGGTAAATAATGAAATTAAGGCAGAAATAAATAAGTTCTTTGAAACCAGTGAGAACAAGAACAAAGACATAACATCTCAGAATCTCTGGTACACAGCTAAAGCAGTGTTTGGAGGTACATTTATAGCACTACATGCCCACATGAGAAAGCAGGAAAGATCTAAAATCGACACCCTAACAACAAAATTAAAAGAACTAGAGAAGCAAGAGCAAACAAGTTCAAAAGCTAGCAGAAGACAAGAAATAACTAAGATCAGAGCAGAACTGAAGGAGATAGAGACATGAAAAACCCTTCAAAAAAATCAATGAATCCAGGAGATAGTTTTTTGAAAAGATTAACAAAATAGATAGACCGCTAGCCAGACTAATAAAAAAGAAAAGAGAGAAGAATCAAATAGACACAATAAAAAATGGTAAAGGGGAGATCACCGCTAATGCCATGGAAATACAAACTACCATCAGAGAATACTGTAAACACCTCTATGCAAATAAACTAGACAATTTAGAAGAAATGGATAAATTCCTGGACACATACACCCTCCCAAGACTAAACCAGGACGAAGTTGAATCTCTGAATAGACCAATAACAGGTTCTGAAATTGAGGCAGTAATTAATAGCCTACCAACCAAAAAAAGCCCAAGACCAGAAGTATTCACAGGCTAATTCTACCAGAAGTACAAAGAGGAGCTGGTACCATTCCTTCTGAAACTATTCCAAACAATAGAAAAAGAGGGACTCCTCCCTAACTCATTTTATGAGGCCAGCATCCTCCTGATACCAAGACCTGTCAGAGACACAACAAAAAAAAAAAGAAAATTTCAGACCAATATCCCTGATGAACATCAATGCGAAAATCCTTAATAAAATACTGGCAAACTGAATCCAGCAGCACATCAAAAAGCTTATCCACCACAATCAAGTCAGCTTCATCCCTGGATGCAAGCCTGGTACCACATGCACAAATCAATAAATGTAATCCATCACATAAACAGAACCAATGACAAAAGCCACAGGAGTATCTCAATAGATGCAGAAAAGTCCTTTGATAAAATTCAACACCCCTTAACGCCAAAAACACTCAAGAAACTAGGTGCTGATGGAACATATCTCAAAATAATAAGAGCTATTTATGGCAAACCCTCAGGCAATATCCTACTGAATGAGCAAAATCTGGAAGCATTCCCTTTGAAAACCAGCACAAGAAAAAGATGCTCTCTATCACCACTCTGATTCAACATAGTATTGGAAATTCTGGCCAGGGCAATCAAGCAAGTGAAAGAAATAAAGGGTATTTGAGTAGGAAGAGAGGAAGTCAAATTATCTCTGTTTGCAGATATGATTGTTTATTTAGAAAACCCCATCATCTCAGCCCAAAAACTCCTTGAGCTGATAAGCAACTTCAGCAAATTTCAGGATACAAAATCAATGTGTAAAAATCACAAGCATTCCTATACACCAATAATAGACAAATGGAAAACCAAATCATGAGTGAACTCCCATTCACAATTGCTACAAAGAGAAGAAAATACCTAGGAATACAACTTACAAGAGATGTGAAGGACGTCTTCAAAGAGAACTACAAAACACTGCTCAAGGAAATCAAAGAGGACACAAACAAATGTAAAAACATTCCATGCTCATGGATAGGAGAATCAATATCATGAAAATGGCCATACTGCCCAAAGTTATTTAGAGATTCAATGCTATTCCCATCAAGTTACCACTGACTTTCTTCGCAGAATTAGAAAAAACTGCTTTAAATTTCATATGGAACCAAAAAAGAGCCCATATAGCCAAGACAATCCTAAGCAAAAAGAACAAAGCTGGATGCATCACACTACCTGACTTCAAACTGTACTACCAGACTGCAGTACCCAAAACCGCATGGTACTGGTACCAAAACAGATGTATAGACCAATGGAGCAGAGCAGAGGGCTCAGAAATAACACCACACATCTACAATCATCTGATCTTTGAACAAGCCTGACAAAAACAAGCCATGGGGAAGGATTCCCTATTTAATAAATGGTGTTGGGAAAACTGGCTAGCCACATGCAGAAAACTGAAACCACACTCCTTCCTTACACCTTATATAAAAGTTAACACAAGATGGATTAAAGACTTAAACCTAAGACCCAAAACCATAAACACCCTAGCAGAAAACCTAGGCAATACCATTCAGGACATAGGCATGAGAAAAGACTTAATGACTAAAACACCAAAAGCAATTACAGCAAGATCCAAAATTGACAAATGGGCTCTAATTAAACTAAAGAGCTTCTGCACAGCAAAAGAAACTATCATCAGAGTGAACAGGCAACGTACAGAATGAGAGAAATTTTTTGCAATCTATCCATCTGACAAATGGCTAATATCCAGAATCTGCAAGGAACTTAAAACAAATTTACAGGAAAAAACAAACAACTCAATCAAAAAGTGGGTGAAGGCTATGAACAGACACTTTTCAAAAGAAGACATTTATGCAGCCAACAAACATGAAAAAGAAGCTCATCATTGCTGGTCATTAGAGAAATGCAAATCAAAACCACAATGAGATACCATCTCACACCAGTTAGAATGGCAATCATTAAAAAGTCAGGAAACAACAGATGCTGGAGATGATGTGCAGAAATAGGAACACGTTTACACTGTTGGTGGGAGTATAAATTAGTTCAGCAATTGTGGAAGGCAGTGTGGCAATTCCTCAAGGATCTAGAACCAGAAATACCATTTGACCCAGCAATCCCATTACTGGGTATATACCCAAAGGATTATAAATAATTTTACTATAAAGACACATGCACATGTGTGTTTGTTGCAGCATTATTCACAATAGCAAGACTTGGAACCAACCCAAAAGCCCATCGATGTTAGACTGGATAAAGAAAATGTGGCACATATACACTGTGGAATACTATGCAGCCATAAAAATGGATGAGTTCATGTCCTTTGCAGGGACATTGATGAAGCTGGAAATCATCATTCTCAGCAAACTAACACAGGAACAGAAAACCAAACACTGCATGTTCTCACTCATAAGTGGGAATTGAATAATGAGTACACATGGACACAGGGAGGGGAACATCACACACCAGGGCCTATTGGGGGTTGGGGGCAAGGGAAGGGATAGCATTAGGAGAAATAGCTAATGTAGATGATGGGTTGATGGGTGCAGCAAACAACCATGGCACATGTATACCTATGTAACAAACCTGCATGTTCAGCACATGTATCTCAGAACTTAAAGTATAATTAAAAACAATCAAGCTAAAGGAAACAAAACAAAACAAAACAAAAAGATAAGAACAACAAAAATCACATGATCATCTCAATAGAAAAAGCATTAGACAAAATTCAGCTTCCCTTTATGATTAAAACTCTCAGCAAAATTGGCATACAGGTGACATTCCTTCATGTAATAAAAGCCATCTATGACAAACTCACAGCCAACATAATATGGAATGCGGAAAAATTGAAAGCATTCCCTCTGAGAACTGGAGCAAGACAAAGATGCCCACTCTCACTACTTCTCTTCAGCGTAGCACTGGAAGTCCTAGCCAGAACTATCAGACAAGAGAAAGAAATAAAAGGCATACAAATTAGTAAAGAGAAAGTCAAATTCTCACTGCTGATGATATGATTGTTTATCTTGAAAACCTTAAAGACTTCTCCAGAAAGTTCCTAGAACTGATGAAAGAATTCAGCAATGTTTTCTGATACAAGATTAATGTACGCAAATCAGTAGGTCTTCTATGCACCAACAGCAACCAAGCTGAGAATGAAATCAAGAACTCAACCCCTTTTACAATAGCTGAAAAAAAAACACCAAACCAAAACAAACAAACAAACAAAAAAACTTAGGAATATACATAACCAAGGAATCAAAAGACTTCTACAAGGAAAACTACAAAACACTGCTGAAAGAAAGGTGACACAAACAAATGGAAACACATTCCACGCTCAAGAATGGGTAGAATCAATATTGTGAAAATGACCATACTGACAAAAACAATCTACAAATTCAATGCAATCTCCATCAAAATACCACCATCATTCTTCACAAAATTAGAAAAAACAATTCTGAAATCCATATGGAACCAAAAAAGAGCCCGCATAGCCAAAGCAAGACTAAGCAAAAAGAACAAACCTGGCGGTATCACACTACCTCATTTCAAACTGTACTATAAGGCCGTAGTCACCAAACCGTATGGTACTGGTATAAAAATAGCACATAGACCAATGGAACAGAACAGAGAACCCAGAAATAATCCTAAATACCTGCAGCCAACTGATTTTCGACAAAGCAAACAAAAACATAAAGTGGGGAAATGACAACCTTTTCAACAAATGGTGCTGGGATAATTGGCAAACCACATGTAGGAGAATGAAACTGGATCTTCATCTCTTACCTTATACGAAAATCAACTCAAGATGGATTAAAGACTTAAACCTAAGACCTGAAACTATAAAAATTCTAGAAAATAACATTGGAAAAACCGTCCTAGACATTGGCTTAGACAAGGATTTCGTGACCAGGAACCCAAAAGCAAATGCAATAAAAGCAAAGATAAATAGCTGGGTCCTAGTTAAACTAAAGAGCTTTTGCATGGCTGAAGGAACAGTCAGCAGAGTAAACAGACCACCCGCAGAGTGGGAGAAAATCTTCACAATCTATACATCTGACAAGGGAATATATTCAGAATCTACAAAGAACTCAAACAAATCGGTAAGAAAAAACAACCTCATCAAAAAGTGGACTAAGGACATAAATAGACAGTTCTCAAAAGAAGATATACAAATGGGCAACAAATATATGAAAAAATACTCAACATCACTAATGGTCAGGGAAATGCAAATGAAAACCACAATGAGATACCATGTTACTCCTGCAAGAATGGCTATTATCAAAAAATCAAAAAACGGTAGATGTTGGCGTGGATGTGGTAATCAGGGAACACTTCTACATTGCTGGTACAGCCAGCAGTGTACTGTACACTAGTACAGCCACTATGGAAACAAGTGTGCAGATTCCTTAAAGAACTAAAAGTAGGACTACCATTTGATAGTTGCATTAAATCAGCATTTGATCCAGCAATCCCACTACTGGATATCTACCCAGAAGAAAAGAAGTCATTATTTGAAAAAGATACTTGCACATGCATGTTCAGAGCAGCACAATTCACAATTGCAAAAACGTGGAACCAACCCGAACGCCCATCAATCAATGAGTGGATAAAGAAACTGTGGTATATATATACGATGGAATACTACTCAGCCATAAAAAGGAATGAATTAACAGCATTTGCCATGACCTGGATGAGATTGGACACTATCATTCTAAGTGAAGTAACTCAGGAATGGAAAACCAAACATCGTATGTTCTCACTGACATGTGGGAGCTAAGTTATAAGAATGCAAAGCATAAGAATGATCCAGGGTGAGGAGCCAAGATGGCCGAATAGGAACAGCTCTGGTCTACAGCTCCCAGCATGAGTGATGCAGAATATGGGTGATTTCTGCATATCCAACTGAGGTACCGGGTTCATCTCACTAGGGAGTGCCAGACAGTGGGCGCAGGACAGTGGGTGCAGTGCACCGTGTGCCAGCCAAAGCAGGGCGAGGCATTGCCTCACTCAGGAAGTGCAAGGGATCAGGGAGTTCCCTTTCCTGGTCAAGGAAAGGGGTGACAGACGGCACCTGGAAAATCAGGCCACTCCCACGTGAATACTGTGCTTTTCCGATGGGCTTAGGAAACGGTGCACCAGGAGATTATATCCCGCAACTGGCTTGGAGGGTCCTATGCCCACGGAGTCTCGCTGATTGCTAGCACAGCAGTCTGAGATCAAACTGCAAGGTGGCAGTGAGGCTGGAGGAGGGGCGCCCGCCATTGCCCAGGCTCGCTTAGGTAAACAAAGCAGCCAGGAAGCTGGAACTGGGTGAAGCCCACCACAGCTCAAGGAGGCCTGCCTGCCTCTGTAGGCTCCACCTCTGGGGGCAGGGCACAGACAAACAAAAAGACAGCAGTAACCTCTGTAGACTTAAATGTCCCGTCTGACAGCTTTGAGGAGAGCAGTGGTTCTCCCAGCACACAGCTGGAGATCTGAGAACAGGCAGACTGCCTCCTCAAGTGGGTCCCTGACCCCGACCCCCGAGCAGCCTAACTGGGAGGCACCCCCCAGTAGGGGCAGACTGACATCTCACACGGCCAGGTACTCCTCTGAGACAAAACTTCCAGAGGAACGATCAGACAGCAGCATTCGCAGATCACGAAAATCCGTGGTTCTGCAGACACCGCTGCTGATACCCAGGCAAACAGGGTCTGGAGTGGACCTCTAGCAAACTCCAACAGACCTGCAGCTGAGGGTCCTGTCTGTTAGAAGGAAAACTAACAAACAGAAAGGCCATCCATACTAAAAACCCATCTGTACATCACCATCATCAAAGACCAAAAGTAGATAAAACCACAAAGATGGGGAAAAAACAGAGCAGAAAAACTGGAAACTCTAAAAAACAGAGTGCCTCTCCTCCTCCAAAGGAACGCAGTTCCTCACCAGCAACAGAACAAAGCTGGACGGAGAATGACTTTGACGAGTTGAGAGAAGAAGGCTTCAGACGATCAAACTACTCCGAGCTACAGGAGGAAATTCAAACCAAAGGCAAAGAAGTTGAAAACTTTGAAAAAAATATAGACGAATGTATAACTAGAATAACCAATACAGAGAAGTGCTTAAAGGAGCTGATGGAGCTGAAAGCCAAGGCTTGAGAACTACATGAAGAATGCAGAAGCCTCAGGAGCCGATGCGATCAACTGGAAGAAAGGGTATCAGTGATGGAAGACGAAATGAATGAAATGAAGTGAGAAGGGAAGTTTAGAGAGAAAAGAATAAAAAGAAACGAACAAAGCCTCCAAGAAATATGGGACTATGTGAAAAGACCAAATCTGCATCTGATTGGTGTACCTGAAAGTGACAGGGAGAATGGAACCAAGTTCGAAAACACTCTGCAGGATATTATCCAGGAGAACTTCCCCAATCTAGCAAGGCAGGCCAACATTCAGATTCAGGAAATACAGAGAATGCCACAAAGATACTCCTCGAGAAGAGCAACTCCAAGACACATAATTGTCAGATTCACCAAAGTTGAAATGAAGGAAAAAATGTTAAGGGCAGCCAGAGAGAAAGGTCGGGTTACCCACAAAGGGAAGCCCATCAGACTAACAGTGGATCTCTCGGCAGAAACTCTACAAGCCAGAAGAGAGTGGGGGCCAATATTCAACATTCTTAAAGAAAAGAATTTTCAACCCAGAATTTCATATCCAGCCAAACTAAGCTTCATAAGTGAAGGAGAAATAAAATACTTTACAGACAAGCAAATGCTGAGAGATTTTGTCACCACCAGGCCTGCCCTAAAAGAGCTCCTGAAGGAAGCACTAAACATGGAAAGGCACAACTGGTACCAGCCGCTGCAAAATCATGCCAAAATGTAAAGACCATCGAGACTAGGAAGAAACTGCATCAACTAACGAGCAAAATAACCAGCTAACATCGTAATGACAGGATCAAATTCACACATAACAATATTAACTTTAAATGTAAATGGACTAAATGCTCCAATTAAAAGACACAGACTGGCAAATTGGATAAAGAGTCAAGACCCATCAGTGTGCTGTATTCAGGAAACCCATCCCATGTGCAGAGACACACATAGGCTCAAAATAAAAGGATGGAGGAAGATCTACCAAGCAAATGGAAAACAAAAAAAAGGCAGGGGTTGCAATCCTAGTCTCTGATAAACAGACTTTAAACCAACAAAGATCAAAGGAGACAAAGAAGGCCATTACATAATGGTAAAGGGATCAATTCAACAAGAAGAGCTAACTATCCTAAATATATATGCAACCAATACAGGAGCACCCATATTCATAAAGCAAGTCCTGAGTGACCTACAAAGAGACTTAGACTCCCACACAATAATAATGGGAGACTTTCACACCCCACTGCCAACATTAGAGAGATTAACGAGACAGAAAGTCAACAAGGATACACAGGAATTGAACTCAGCTCTGCACCAAGCGGACCTAATAGACATCTACAGAACTCTCCACCCCAAATCAACAGAATATACATTTTTTTCAGCACCACACCACACCTATTCCAAAATTGACCACATAGTTGGAAGTAAAGCTCTCCTCAGCAAATGTAAAAGAACAGAAATTATAACAAACTGTCTCTCAGACCACAGTGCAATCAAACTAGAACTCAGGATTAAGAAACTCACTCAAAACCGCTCAACTACATGGAAACTGAACAACCTGCTCCTGAATGACTACTGGGTACATAACGAAATGAAGGCAGAAATAAAGATGTTCTTTGAAACCAATGAGAACAAAGACACAACATACCAGAATCTCTGGGACACATTTATGGCAGTGTGTAGAGGGAAATTTATAGCACTAAATGTCCACAAGAGAAAGCAGGAAAGATCCAAAACTGACACCCTAACATCACAATTAAAAGAACTAGAAAAGCAAGAGTAAACACATTCAAAAGCTAGCAGAAGGCAAGAAATAACTAAAATCAGAGCAGAACTGAAGGACATAGAGACAAAAAAAAAAACCCTTCAAAAATTAATGAATCCAGGAGCTGGTTTTTTGAAAGGATCAACAAAATTGGTGGACCGCTGGCAAGACTAATAAAGAAAAAGAGAAGAATCAAATAGACGCAATAAAAAATGATAAAGGGGATATCACCACCGATCCCACAGAAATACAAACTACCATCAGAGAATACTACAAACACGTCTAAGCAAATAAACTAGAAAATCTAGAAGAAACGGATAAATTCCTTGACACATACACTCTCCCAAGACTAAACTAGGAAGAAGTTGAATCTCTGAATAGACTAATAACAGGATCTGAAATTGTGGCAATAATCAATAGCTTACCAACCAAAAAGAGTCCAGGACCAGATGGATTCACAGCCGAATTCTACCAGAGGTACAAGGAGGAACTGGTACCATTCCTTCTGAAACTATTCCAATCAATAGAAAAAGAGGGAATCCTCCCTAACTCATTTTATTAGGCCAGCATCATCCCTGATACCAAAGCCGGGCAGAGACACAACCAAAAAAGAGAATTTTAGACCAATATCCTTGATGAACATTGATGCAAAAATCCTCAATAAAATACTGGCAAACCGAATTCAGCAGCACATCAAAAAGCTTATCCACCATGATCAAGTGGGCTTCATCCCTGGGATGCAAGGCTGGTTCAATATATGCAAATCAATAAATGTAATCCAGCATATAAACAGAATCAAAGACAAAAACCACATGATTATCTCAATAGATGCAGAAAAGGCCTTTGACAAAATTCAACAGCCTTTCATGCTAAAAACTCTCAATAAATTAGGTATTGATGGGACGTATCTCAAAATAATAAGAGCTATCTATGACAAACCCTCAGCCGATATCATACTGAATGGGCAAAAGCTGGAAGCATTCCCTTTGAAAACTGGCACAAGGCATGTATGCCCTCTCTCACCACTCCTATTCAACATAGTGTTGGAAGTTCTGGCCAGGGCAATTAGGCAGGAGAAGGAAATAAAGGGTATTCAATTAGGAAAAGAGAAAGTCAAATTGTCCCTGTTTGCAGATGACATGATTGTATATCTAGAGAACCCCATTGTCTCAGCCCAAAATCTCCTTAAGCTGATAAGCAACTTCAGCAAAGTCTCAGGATACAAAATCAATGTACAAAAATCACAAACATTCTTATACACCAGTAACAGACAGACAGAGAGCCAAATCATGAGTGAACTCCTATTCACAGTTGCTTCAAAGAGAATAAAATACTTAGGAATCCAACTTACTAAGGATGTGAAGGACCTCTTCAAGGAGAACTACAAACCACTGCTCAAGGAAATAAAAGAGGATACAAACAAATGGAAGAACATTCCATGCTCATGGGTAGGAAGAATCAATATCGTGTAAATGGCCATACTGCCCAAGGTAATTTATAGATTCAATGCCATCCCCATCAAGCTACCAATGACTTTCTTCACAGAATTGGAAAAAACTACTTTAAAGTTCATATGGAACCAAAAAACAGCCCACATCACCAAGTCAATCCTAAGCCAAAAGAACAAAGCCGGAGGCATCATGCTACCTGACTTCAAACTATACTACAAGGCTACAGTAACCAAAACAGCATGGTACTGGTACCAAAACAGAGATATAGATCAATGGAACAGAACAGAGCCCTCAGAAATAATGCCACATATCTACAACTATCTGATCTTTGACAAACCTGAGAAAAACAAGCAATGGGGAAAGGATTCCCTATTTAATAAATGGTGCTGGGAAAACTGGCTAGCCATATGTAGAAAGCTGAAACTGGATCCCTTCCTTACGCCTTATACAAAAATTAATTCAAGATGGATTAAAGACTTAAACATTAGACCTAAAACCATAAAAACCCTAGAAGAAAACCTAGGCATTACCATTCAGGACATAGGCATGGGCAAGGACTTCATGTCTAAAACACCAAAAGCCATGGCAACAAAAGCCAAAATTGACAAATGGCATCTAATGAAACTAAAGAGCTTCTGCACAGCAAAAGAAACTACCATCAGAGTGAACAGGCAACCTACAAAATGGGAGAAAATTTTCACAACCTACTCATCTGACAAAGGGCTAATATCCAGAATCTACAATGAACTCAAACAAATTTACAAGAAAAAAACAAACAACCCCATCAAAAAATAGGCAAAGGATATGAACAGACACTTCTCAAAAGAAGACATTTATGCAGCCAAAAGACACATGAAAAAATGGTCATCATCACTGGCCATCAGAGAAATGCAAATCAAAACCACAATGAGATACCATCTCACACCAGTTAGAATGGCAATCATTAAAAAGTCAGGAAACAACAGGTGCTGGAGAGGATGTGGAGAAATAGGAACACTTTTACACTGTTGGTGGGACTGTAAACTAGTTCAACCATTGTGGAAGTCACTGTGGCGATTCCTCAGGGATCTAGAACTAGAAATACCATTTGACCCAGCCATCCCATTTCTGGGTATATACCCAAAGGACTATAAATCATGCTGCTATAGAGACACATGCACACATATGTTTATTGCAGCACTATTCACAATAGCAAAGACTTGGAACCAACCCAAATGTCCAACAATGATAGACTGGATTAAGAAAATGGTGGCATGTATACACCATGGAATACTATGCAGCCATAAAAAAGGAGGAGTTCATGTTCTTTGTAGGGACATGGATGAAATTGGAAATCATCATTCTCAGTAAAGTATGGCAAGGACAAAAAACCAAACACCGCATGTTCTCACTCATAGATGGGAATTGAACAATGAGAACACATGGACACAGGAAGGGGAACATCACACTCTGGGGACTGTTGTGGGGTGGGGGGAGGGGGGAGGGATAGCATTCGGAGATATACCTAATGCTAAATGACGAGTTAATGGGTGCAGCACACCAGCATGGCACATGTATACATATGTAACTAACCTGCACATTGTGCACATGTATCCTAAAACTTAAGGTATAATAACAAAAAAATGATCCAATGGACTTAGGGTACTTGGGTGGAAGAGTAGGATGGGGACGAGGGATAAAAGACTACAAATATGGTGCAGTGTATACAGCTCACAAATCTCTGCTAAAGAACTTACTCATGTAACCAAATATCACCTGTACCCCAATAACTTATGGAAAAAAAAAAGAAATAAATTACATTTAAAAAGGTGATGCTTCAATGTTTACTTTTTAAGTATCTTGTTTTTAAAAATAGACTTCATTTTTTAGGGCAGTTTTAGATTCACAGCAAAATTGGACAGAGGTATAGAGATTTCCCATATCTCCCTCCTCTCACATTCATACAGCCTTCCCCACTATCAAAATCCTGCACCAGAGTGGTACATTTGTTAATTAATGAATTTACACTGACACACTGTACACATTATTGTATTAGGGTAATTGTGTCTCCATAGAATGAATTAGGAAGTACTTGCTCGACTTCTATTTTCTGAAAGAGATTGTAGAAAATTGGTTTAATTTCTTCCTTAAATGTTTGGTAGAATTCACCAGTTAAATCTATCTGGCCCTAGTGATTTCTGTTTTGAAGGCTATTAATTACTGATTCAATTTCTTTAATATAGTGCTGTTCAAATTATGTATCTCTTCTTGTGTGACCTGTGGTAGATTGTGTTTTTTAAGGAATTGGTTCATTTCATCTAGGTTACCAAATTTCTGAGCAAAGAGTTGTTTAAAATGTTCTTTTATTTTCTTTTTAATGTTCACGCCATCTGTAGCGATGTCCCCTCTTATTTCTCATGTTAGTAATATGTGTCTTTTCTCTGTTTTTCTTAGCCTGTCTAGAGGTCATTAATTTATTGCTCTTTTCAAATATCTAGCTTTTGGTTTCATTTATTTCTGTATTTCCTTTTGTAAGTTTCATTGATTTCTGCTTTAATTTTTTTGTTTCCTTTTTTTTTGTGCTTACTTGTGATTTAATATGCTCTTCCCTGCTCCCAACACCCCTGTTTCCTAAGGTAGAAGTTTAGACGATCAATTTTAGTCTTTGTTTTTTCTAATATATGCATTCAGTGCTATAAATTTTCTCTAAGCACTGTTTTTACTGTATCCCACAAATTTTGTTGTGTTTTCATCTTTATTGAGTTCAAAATATTTTAAAAATTTTCCTGAGATTTATTTTTGCTCTGTGTATTATTTAGAAATGTGTTGTTTAATCTCCAAGTATTTTGAGATTTTCCAGCTATCTTTCTGTTGAATGTTTATTTTAGTCTAAGATACAATCAACCTGAGTTCTTTTCTCTACTTTTCCCATATATCTTTGTGTGGGGAGCAAGATGTTGTCATAAATTTTCTCAGCTAACTTCTGGATGAATCAATTTGAATTGCTAATGTGTAACTCATAGTTAGTAAGCTTCAATCACCTTATTTTCTTCTGCCTTAAACAGCTCTACCTTTATTGTGCTCAGCATAACTGTTTTTTAAAGAGGGCTATTTCCTTTTTAAAATATTTTATTTTTTTATTTTAGGTTCAGGGGGTACATGTGCAGATTTATTACATGGGTATTTCGCGTGAAGCTTAGGTTTGGGCTTCTAATGATCCTGTCACCCAAATAGTGAACATAATACCTGATAGGTAGTTTTTCAAACCTTGTATCCCCCACTTTTCCATTATGGAGTCCTCAGCATCTATTTTTCCCATCTTTGTGTCTGGATGTACCCAAAGTTTAGCTCCCACTTATAAGTGAGAACATGGGGTATTTCATTTTCTGTTTCTGCATTAATTCATTTATGATAATGGCCTCCAGCTGCATCCAAGTTCCTGCAAAACACATGATTCTGTTCTTCTTTATGGTTGTGTAATATTCCATGGTGTGTGGGTACCATGTTTTCTTTATCCAATTCACTATTGGTGGGAACCTAGGTTGATTCCTTGTCTTTGCTATTTTGAATAGTCCTGTAGGGAACATACAAGGGCATGTGTCTTTTTGATAGAACAATTTATTTATCTTTGAATATATACCCAGAAATGGGATTGCTGGGTCAAATGGTAATTCTATTTTTAGTTCTTTGAGAAAACTCCAAACTGCTTGCCACCAGGACTGAACTAATTTGCGTTCCCACCAACAGTGTATAAGCATTCCCTCTCTGCATTCCCTTTCACCAACATCTGTTATTTTTTGACTTTTTTATAATAGCCTTTCTGACTGGTGTGAGATGGTGTTCATGGTGGTTTTGATTTGCATTTATTTATCTGATGATTAATCATGATGAGCATTTTTTCAAATATTTGTTAGCCTCTTGTATGTCTTCTTTTGAGAAGTGTCTACTTTTTAATGGTGTTACTTGTTTTTTCATGTTGATTTAAGTTTCTTATAGATTCTGGATATTAAACCTTTGTCAGATGCATAATTTGAAAATATTTTCTCCCATTCTGTAGGTTGTCTCTTTACTCTGTTGATGGTTTCTTTTGCTGTGCAGAAGCTCTTTAGTTTAATTAAGTCCCATTTGTCTATTTTTTTCTTTTGTTGCATTTGTTTTGGAGTCTTCATCATAAATTCTTTGCCTAGGACAATGTCTAAGAGTATTTCCTAGCTTTTCTTCTAGGATTATTATAGTTTGAGGTCTTTGATTTAAGTCTTTAATCCATCTTGTCTTAATTTTTGTATATGGTAAGAGATCAGAGTCCAGTTTCATTCTTCTGCATATGGTTAGCCAGTTTTTACAGCACAATTTATTGAATAGAATATCCTTTTCCCATTGTTATTTTTGTTGACTTTGCTAAAGAGGAGTGGATTGTAGGTGTGTGGCTCTATTTTTGGGTTTTGCATTCTGTTTTATTGGTCTGTCTATTTTTGTACCATTACCATGCTCTTTTGTTTACTGTAGCCTTATAGCACAGTTTGAAATTGGGTAATGTGATGCTACTGGCTTTTTTGTTTTTACTTAGGATTGCCTTGGCTATTTGAGCTCTTTTTTGGTTACATATGAATTTTAGAATAGTTTTTTCTAAATCTGTGAAAAGTGACACTGGTAATTTGATAGGAATAGTATTTAATCTGTAGATTGGTTTGGGCAGTATGGACATTTTAATGGTATTGATTCTTCCAACCCATGAGCATAGAATAGTTTTCCATTTGTTTGTGTCATCTACATATCTTATTTTTTTTAAGTATTTTATTTTTTGTGGCTATTGTAAATGAAATTGTATTCTTGATTTGGTTCTCAGGTTTGGTGTATAGAAATGCTGGTGATTGGCCAGGTGCGGTGGCTCATGCCTGAAATTCCAGCACTTTGGGAGGCCAAGGCAGGAGGATCACGAGGTCAGGAGATCAAGACCATCCTGGCCAACATGGTGAAAGCCCGTCTCTACTAAAAATACAAAAATCAGCCGGGCATGGTGGCGTGTGCCTATAGTCCCAGCTACTTGGGTGGCTGAGACAGGAGAATTGCTTGAGCTTGGGAGGAGGAGGCTGCAGTAAGCCGAGATTGCACCACTGCACTCCAGCCTTGGAGACAGAGCAAGACTCCATCTGAAAAAAAAAAAAAAAAAAAAAAAAAAAAAAAGAAATGCTGCTGATTTTTGTATGTTGATTTTGTATCCTGAAACTTTGTTGAAGTTGTTTATCAGGTCTACAAGTCTTTTGGCAGAATCTTTAGGGTTTTCTAGGTCTAGAATCATGTTGTCAGTGATTACAGATGACTTCCTCTTTTCTTATTTGGCTGCCTTTTATTTCTTTCTGTCATCTGATTGCTCTGGCTAGGACTTCTAGTACTATATTGAATAGCAGTGGTGACAGTGGGCATCCTTTTCTTGTTTCACTTCTCAAGGGGAATGCTTCCAGCATTTACCCATTCATTGTGATGTTAGTTGTGAATTTGTCATAGACGGCTCTTATCAATCCCTAGTTTGTTTAGGGTTTTTATCATAAATGTTGTTGGATTTTATGCAAAGCTTTTTCTTCATCTATTGAGATGATCATTTGGTTTTTGTTTTTAATTCTGTTTGTGTGATGAATCACATTTCTTAATCTGTGTCTGTTAAACCATCCTTGCATCCCAGGAATAAAGCCCACTTGATCATGGTGAACTAACTTTTTAATGCGCTGCTGGATTCAGTTTGCTAGTATTTTGTTGAGCATTTTTGCATCTATGTTCATCAGGGATATTGGCCTGTAGTTTTCTTTTTTTTTCGTATGCCCTTGCCAGATTTTGGTATCAGGATGACGCTGATTTGTAGAATGAGTTAGGGAAGGGTCCTTTCTCCTCAATTTTTTGGAATAGTTTCAGTAGGATTGGTACCAGCTCTTTGTACATCTGGGAGAATTTGGCTGTGAATCTATCTGGTCCAGAGCTTTTTTGTGGTTGGTTTTTTTTTTTCTTTTTATTACTGATTCATTTTCATTACTTGCTATTGGTGTGTTCAATATTTCTGTTTCATCCTGGTTCAATCTTGAGAGGTTGTGTGTTTCCAAGAATTTATCCATTTCCTCTAGATTTTCTAGTTTGTGTGCATAGAGGTGTTCATAGTAGTTTATAAGGATCTTTTGTATTTCTGTGGGATCAGTTCTAACGTCACCCTTGTTATTTCTGATTGTGTTATTTGAATCTCTCTTTTTTTCTTGGTTATTCTAGCTATCAGTCTATCAACCTTGATAATCCTTTCAAAGAACCAATTTTTCATTGATCCTTTGTATGTTTTTTGGGGATCTCAATTTCTTTTAATTCTGCTGTGATTTTATATATTTTTCTTCTTCTAGCTTTAGGTTTAGTTTGTTCTTGTTCTACTTCTGTTAGGTGCAAGATTAGGTTGTTTTATGTCTTCTTTATGAAGGCATTTAGCAGTATAAACTTTCCTCTTAATACTGCTTTTCCCACATCCCAGATGTTTTGGTGTGCTGTGTCTATTTTCATTTGTTTCAAAAAGTTTTTTGATTTCTGCCTTAATTTTGTTTTTTACCCAAAAGTCATTTAGGGGCAAGTTGTTTAATTTCCATGTATTTATGTGGTTTTAAGAGTTCCTCTTAGTATTGATTTCTATTTTTATTCCACTGTGGTCTGAGAAGCTACTTGGTATAAATTTGATATTTTTGAAGTTATTAAGCAGTGTAAATGCTCCACTTAAAAGACATAGAGTGGTAAATTGAGCAACAAAAAAAGACCCATCCTTCTGCTGTCCTCAAGAGATTCATCTTACATTTAATGATGACCAAAGGCTCAAAATAAAGGGATGTAGAAAGATCTATTATGCAAATGGTAAACTTTAAAATGACTTTTTAAACCTACAACAGTAAAAAAAGGACATAGAAGGGCATTACATAATGATAAGGGGTTCAATTAAACAAGAAGAGTTAACTATTCTAAATATATACACGTCCAATATTGGTAAAGCAATTGGTAAAGCAAATTATTGTTGAAGGAGGTGCAGAATTGTTATTAAGCTATATTGAGATTTGATTTATGTCCAGGCATGTGGTCAATCTTAGAGGAGGTTCTGTGTGCAGAACAATTATTGAAACAAATGAAAATAGATACATAATATACCAAAACCTCTGGGATGCAGCAAAAGTAGCGTTAAGAGGAAAGTTTATACAGCTAAATGCCTTTATAAAGAAGACATAAAACAACCTAATGTTTTACCTAGCAGAAGTAAATTGGTAAAGCAATTACTCCTAGACCTAAGAAAAGACTTTGACATCCACAGAATAATGGAGGAGATGTCAACACCCTACTGACAGCATTAGACAGATTATCAAGGCAGAAAACCAATGAAGAAATTATGAACTTAAATTTGATACTTTGCTGATTGGGCCAAATAGTCATCTACAGAGTACTCCAACCAACAACCACAGAATATGCACTCTTCTCATCTGCATGCAGAACATTCTCTAAGATTAATGATGTGCTTGGACATAAATCAAGTCTCAATATACCTTAATGGAAATTCTGCAGCCCCTTCTCCAAGTCAGAAACCTAGAGGCCCTCCTAAATTTTTCTCAGTGCCTGAGCTGCACTTATGTAACTGGTAACCAAACTTATCAATTAAGGCTGGGCATTTGGCTCAAGCCTGTAATCCCAGCTTTGGGGGGCCGAGTCAGGAGGATTGCTTGAAGCCAGGTGTCCAAAGCCAGCCTGGGCAACATATGAGATCCTGTCTCTACTAAAAAAATTTTAAAAATTAGTTGGGTGTGGTAGTATGTGTCTGTTGTCCCAGATACTTAGGAGGCTGAGTGGCAGGACCCCTTGAGTCCAGGAGGTTGAGGTTGCAGTGAGCCATGATTATGCCACTGAACTCCAGCCTGAGTAATAGAGCAAGACCCTGACCCAAACCAAAACCCAAAACAAAAACTTATCAATTATACATTTGAAGTAGTTCTCTGTGTCTTTCTCTTAATCCCAATTTTCACTAACTTCAAATCTTCTTCATCTCTCACCTTAACTATTAGAGTAGTCTCTCAGTTCACTTTACTGCTTTTAGCTTTATTTCTCTCATTATGTACATATGTATTTATTTATTTATTTAATTTATTGAGACAGGGTCTAGTTCTGTCACCCAGGCTGGAGTGCAATGGTATGATCATGGCTCACTGTAGCCTCCTTCTCCTGGGCTCAGGTGATCCTCCCACCTCAGCCTCCCAAGTAGCTGGTACTACAGGTGCATGCCACCACACCTGGCTAATTTTTTTTTGTATTTTTGTAGAGATGGTGTTTTGCCATGTTGCCCAGGTTGGTCTTGAACTCCTGGCCTCAAGCGATCTACCTGCCGTGACCTCCTAAAGTACTGGGATTACAGGCATGAGCCACCATGCTTGGCCCATAATATAATGTCGATTATATTATCAGAAAAATAATTTTAACATTAGTATAACAGTACCTCTTTACATATATAACATATATATAACATATATATTGTATATATCAAACATAACATATATATATTCGTTCTGTTTAACAGTCTTTAGTAATGCAAAACAGACAAACACAAATGTTGGCAAGGATGTGGAGAAAAGAGAACCCTCTTTCTCTCTTGATGGGAATGTAAATTAGTACAACCACTATGGAGAACAGTTTGGAGTTTCCTCGAAAAACTAAAAATAGAACTACCGTATGATCCAGGAATCCCACTGCTAGGTATATACCCCAAAGAAAGGAAATCAGTATATCAAAAAGATATTTGCATTCCCATGTTTATTGCAGCACTATTCACAATAAGCAAGATTTGGATGCAACATCATTGTCTATCAACAGATGAATAGATAAAGAAAATGTGGTATATGTACACAATGGAGCACTATTCAGCCATAAAAAAGAATGATATCCTGTCACGTGCAGTAACATGGATGGAACTAGAGGTCATTATGGCATGTGAAATACACTAGACACAGAAAGACAAACTTCACATGTTTTCATTTATCTGTGGGAGATAAAACATAAAACAATTGAATTCATGGAGATAGAGAGTAGAATGATAGTTATCAGCAGGTGGGATGGGTCATGGATAAGGGGGAAGTGGTGATGGTTAATGCATACAAAAATATAGTTAGAATGAGTCAGATCTAGTATTTGATAACACAACTGGGTGACTACTGTCAACGTAACTTATTATACATTAAAAGTAACTAAAAGAGTATAATTGGATTGTTTGTAACAAAAAGAAAAAATAAATGCTTGAGGTGATGGATTAAAAAAAAGTTCTAAGTAGCTTAAAGTTCTTCCTAATGCCTAGAGGATGGGTGCAGACCCCTTAACAGTGCATACTTCACCCTTTTAAATCTTCTCCTTTAAACTCTGACTCTTGCTTTCATTCCCAGAAATTTGGTTACCATCCTGTAGGCAAAGAGTGAGCATACTTTTGCATGCTCCTCAAGGTCTCCTTGCTGTGAAGTCTTCGAAGGTTCCTTTCCTTCTCTTTGTCAATTTACTTGCCCCTCTCTTGTTTGTCCCCAGCTCCTTACTTACAAATCTTTCAGGGTTTCTCATATTTTGTTTCAGGTAGCTGTTTATATGCATGATCTCCTGCTGTGAGCACCTTAAAGATAAGAACTGTGTTTTATTCATCTTTGCTTCCCTTAGCTAAGAGTCTTGCAGGTAATAGGTGCTCAGCAAATGTTTGTTGAATGAACATTGAATGTGGAAAAGCCATATACTAATGTGGCGAAGGCATCATTGTGGCTTCATTAAACCTGAACCATGCAGACCAAAGGAATTTTGTCTGGGGAGAGTGGCAAGGATTAGTGGAGATTCTTGAGAATGGAATGGAAATAAGCTAAAGAGGAGTTCTGGTCTCACCCAGGTCTCTGGAGACACATAGTTGATGCCTTAAGATTAGTAAGGTTTAAAACTTGAGTCTTATGAATCTTTATTTTATTTCTCAGGGATTTCCCCCAAGCTACAAACATTGAGATTTTGTTAGGCAGGTCCTTATTCCAAAAAAGAATACCAATTTGTGTTTTAATGGTTTGGAATTGTGGTCCCTCTTTACTTTATTTCAGTAATTTTTGTGCTTTTTTATGCTTTCATTTAGCTGAATCTCAAAACATCAATAAAATCTTTTCTTGCCAAGGTCAACAACTCCCCCGAGAATCTTGCGAGCCCTACTCTCTTCCTGACATTCCCATTCCCTCTGCCTTTCCCCTCCTCTATTCTAGCACTTCGGTAGCGTTTCCCTGTAATAGAGCTATGTAGGCTGGCATGGGCCTCCTCTAGACTGAGTTACCAGAGGGCAGGCAGGTGCCAATTTCATAAAGTTCTCTCCTGCAGGGCCTAGTAAAGTGATTTGCATAATAGAGATGTTTAGAAAGTGTTGGGTGAATAAATAACTTAATAATGACGATGGCCCAATAAAGGCAGTGCAGAGGGAAACATAATGACCTCAGGAGTAATTCAGAGATATTCTTACTTGAAAAGGTTTAAGTAGGTTATTTGGTTTAAACGTTGTATCATCTGAAAACTCAATTTCCTATAGCAACTAGTACCAGATTGAGAGGACATTTTGTGCTGTTCAGCAATGTGAGGGAAGCTGCCGCTGGAAAGGGGAAAGGAACCAGTGTTTGGAGGGAGGCTGTGGAACAAGATAGAAAATCCTCAAAGGCAGCTAGCTGTCCATTTGCACTCCTAGAAAGAGTCAGAGAATGGAGGGAGGGCAAGGCTACTATTGCAAAGCCACTCATAGAGCCAGCCACAGTGTTTGTGTAGGGAGGGTAATTTCCGATAAAAATAGAGAAAAACTTTTTTTTTTTTTTAAATGTTAAGCACTTTAAAAGCAACTGTGGGAAATTTTAATCATAGGGTGGCTCTTTCTTTCTGAAAGAAGAAAGAGGTATTTCAATTTTAAATTCAGTGGGTTGAAATGATTGTGTCATTTCAGCTAGAGGGGAGCACGTCAGCAAGTGGAAATGTTTTATCGTGTAAAGTATGACTTGAAGATGTCACATTTAAAATTTTAAAAAAGTAAATAATTTCTGTAGTTGGTTTTCTTCCTCCACAAGAACATTTAGAACTTTGCTGCATTTGGAAAGAAAAAGTAAAAATTTCAGGCATCATATTCACCATTGACATAGAAATAGAAGTCTTACTAAATGGGCTGGGTTTCTTAATATGGTTAAGTTATGCAGAAAATAGAACAAAGATCGCCCCTTAGGAGATAAACTTTGCTTAGAGGTACTGGGGAAGATTAGCCTGTGAGTTTATTTAAGTATTTACGCTTTGATTATGGGAGTTATTTGATAAAAAGAGATGCTGACTAAATTGTAAGGCCCTTGGTTTCCAACTCCCTGTCTTACTTATCACTAAAACATCCTCTATAGTTCATTGACCTGTTAGACATTTGATACAAATTTGCTGAATCAATGAATTTTAGGATGTTTGGAATGTAAGTCTGCATTGATCATTTAAAGATGTCATCAGCCACCAGTAAGTATTAATAATGATGATAAAGGCACTATTTTAAAAAAGATTAATATAAAAATTAGAGGTATAAAATGATGACTTTATGGACTGTCTTCTTGAAGCTGGCATTATTACATGTTTGAACTAACCTGTAGTTTATGGAATATAACAATTTTCAGGGCAGTGTCCTTTTACAGAGCAATCAGACCCAACAGTCAGATTAACTCTGCCTGAATATGAAGAAATATTCAGAATCATGAAGCTCTCAAGGCTATTAGTGATGACTAAAAAATATTGAATAAAGAAATTCCTGGTCAGAGTAATTAGTTGCTCTCTTTATTTAGCTGATTGAAAGATACGGCTAATTAGAAATTTATTTTGCTGACAAGAGACCTTTTCTAAAGTGATTTTTTTCACTTCCACTGTCAGAACTTTAGGCAAATCCCTTTCTTTTGTAGCCAGGACTTACACGCATGGCAATTTTTTTTTTCCCTTTAGGAGAATATGTGTACGCGTATCAAGTAAGGCATATTGTTCATAGTTTCTTTCTAGATGTGTGACATTATTTTTTCCCTACAGAATTTTCATTTATAATCTAAGATTCTTCGTTAGTAGTAACAAATTACTGTGCCTCATAATGGTCTATACTTGGAGCATGCTGGAAAAAGAGTACAGATGTTAATTTTTTATCACAGACATTCTGGAGACAATTAAACTAGTTTTGTTTGTTTGTTTGTTTGGAGACAGAGTCTCGTTCTGTCGCTCAGGCTGGAGTGCAGTGGTGCAATCTCAGCTCACAGCAACCTCCGCCTCCCAGGTTCAAGCAATTCTCCTGCCTCAGCGTCCCGAGTAGCTGGTATTACAGGCGCCCGCCACCATGCCCAGCTACTTTTTGTATTTTTAGTGGAGATGGGGTTTCACCATGTTGGCCAGGCTGGTCTTGAACTCCTGACCTCAAGTGATCCAGCTGCCTCGGCCTCCCAAAGTGCTGGGATTACAGGCGTGAGCCACCACCCCTAGCCTAGTTTCTTCTTTTTTCATGACATTTCTGCACAAGGAAGTCTGTTTTTGTTGTTGTTAGGATTTTGTTTGTTTTTTGTTTGTATTGCCTCACTAAATGCATTGTTAAAACCTGTAGTTATTCTCTTTACTAGGGCAATCTCTTCCCTCTTAGGGGGTTTGGATTCTGACTGCCTGGATTCCAGTTCCAGTCCTGCCATATACTACCTGCATGGCCTCAGTTTAGCATCTCTACTGTTCAAACCCTCTAAGTTTCAGTTTCCTCACTTGTAACATGGGGAAAATAATAGTCTGTTGAGAATTAAATGAGATGCACTGAAGGCCCTTAACTGCCCATAGTAGCACATCGTAAGCATTCTATAATTACTGTTATCGCTGTAGTTGTTTATGTCTCTTCTTCTTTGTCCAGCCTTCCTTCTTCCTATGTTTTTTTCCCCTCGCTCAGATCAACTCTCTCACTCAATATTTCCAATATATATTTTTTTCTGGTTAATTTCATTTGTTATGTGAATATAGACCATGACATAAAGTAGGGACCGATTTCCATGTGAAGATTTTAGAATAGATACCATCATATACCTACTACAATATGTATAGGAATAACTTATTTGAGCATCGAAACACTGTTTCACATGTGAAACAAACCTAGGCCTACTCTCTTGCAGTGATTTACATGCTTTCCAGTGTGTTCCTGGATATTCGGCTCTCATCCTTGCATGTATTTTCCCACACCTCTACATGTGCCATCTCCTTTGCTCATGCTTCGCCTTCCTTCTCTGATTTCTAGCTATTGATGGTTTTTTTCCCTTGCCATGCATTAGAATTAACGTCTTTTTCTAATATCGCTTCTTTGTGAAGCTTATTACCCTTCTATTCTGTGTCCCAGATACTCTATGTTCAATCCAGTGGGGCCGCACAGGGAGAATACACAGTAATTCAGGATGGCAGCGGGGTGGGGAGAAAGAACAGGCTGGTCCGGCTCCTCCACTCCCCTGTTTCCAATGGGGGTAACTTCCCTGTTGTCCTATGTGCTGGTGACAAGGGAGAGACATGAAGGAATTGGAGGAGTTCTGTTTTTCAGGTGCTTCCCAATACCCACTGGATAACATCCAAGCTCCTGAACGTGGTACACATATTCCCTAAGGTCTGCGCTCTTGCAGCCTTGTCTTCCCACTTTAAAATTTGTACCCTGGTGATACTGTCTTTCAGTGCCCGGCACATCACATCCTGCTTTGAATTTATGTGTCGGTGCTTCTTGTGTAATGTTTGTCTGCCCATCTTTACCTTACCGACTCCAAGTCTCCAATCCATTCTTCCAAGCTCAGCACAGAGCTTGTCTCCTCTGGGAAGGCTTCCATGAGGCTTTTGCCTTCTTCCTACTGAGCCAAGTACCCTCCTTTCCTTTGGATTCAACTGCTCGCTGGGAATAGCTCTGTCATTATAGACCCTGTTACTTTGGAATGGCCTGTTTATGGGTCTGTGTTTTTCTGATGGAATAAATTCTGTGACAGCAGGGACCACATATTATTCATTTCTGTATCCCCACCTTCTAGCATGCTATGTGGTTCAGTGTACACCAACCACGGTTATTTGTAGAACTCTTAAATTGACCTCACTGGGATCCGTGGGGATGAAGGCAGTGACTGACGAAGGAATTTTACTTCCTTTCATGGGGCTTGCCTGATAGTGGCCTGACTTTAAATTTCTTTCAGACAACTTAACTGGACAGATAATTTAGCTCTTCTCCAATTTGCAGTCTTATTCCAGAAGGGACTATATTTTAAAAGGTGGAATTCATATGTTTACATTATTTGTAGATTTTTTTCTTATGTCATAGTATAGCTTGTTTGCCAACCACATGTATTTCCCATTTACTCATTTCTTCTACAGAACACATATTAAGATAATGGACTTTCTAAACACATGAGACAAATACCTACAAAATGCGTGAAACAAAATGGCCCATCAGCAGATTTTCTCATAGAAGAAACCCGTAGGCACATAATAGAATGCTCTCAGTACAAAAACAAACAAGCAATTACCTATGCTGCTTCCTGTGGGAAACTCAGCATCCTACCACCCATGGTGATGACTTCTGTGATTTTTTTTGGAGGGGTTACATCATTCTAAGGAAATTCATTCATATGTTTGTCAATAAATGCACATTTTATTTTCTTGGACAGAAAACAAAGTATGTTTTCGTTCAAGTTTATTTTCCTCTTTCTTTTGTTTTGTTTTTTTAACATAAACATTCAACATGCAATTTAGAATAATAGTGCAAAAGGCTGAATGGTGGTCGTCACAGGCTGATAGTGGGGAGGGAACTGTGTGTTCCAGAAACATCTGGAATATTTGTGATGTGGTAGTTGCCTAGAGTGTCTTCCTCTGGGCTTTGACATTAAACAATGCCTTCTAGAATTTAACTGAGTCAAGATATATTTAAATTGCAGACGTGTATTGTTGTTAGTCTGATAAAAATCATATTTGATGAATCTGCTCTTAATTTCCTTCTCTGTATTATAAAAGCTCTTCCTTTCTTATGTTAATCCAACATTTTCAAGAATATTATAAGAATGGAGACTTGAAATAAATCATATTGGGAAACACCAGTGAGAAAAGGTTTTGAAAATTCAAAAGGTGAAAAATATATCTAGCCCCAGTAGATAAATGTCTATGGTGAGAATTGATGTCAATATAATTTTTATTTTTTAATTTTTCATTATAAATTGTCAATTTATAATTGTATAAATTTATGGGGTACAAAGTGACATTACAGAGGATGGGAAGATGATGACCAAAGTGTTAAAAATCTCACTGAGGCATGAGGAATATATATATGTGTGTGTGTGTGTGTGTGTGTGTGTGTGTGTGTGTATATGTATTTAGTTCTATTGCACAGTGTGGCATATATTGTTAAAAATATTGTATAGTTCAACATAATTTTGAGAGTACGAAGAGTCCTGATTTTGCATTTTTCTACTTAATATTAGATAAAATACTAGTCATTTCAATCTGTGTCTTCAAATTTTGGCATCATCTTCTTTAGGTATGTAGAATCATCATCAATTTATCTAGGGCTTTTTGTAGAAAATTATCTATTTGAATTAAAAAAATCCTCAAGTTTTACTTAAACCTGAAAATTGCTATATTTGTTCTTTTAGTAATGGTAGTTTAAACAAAACAGCTTTATGAAATTTGAAGTTTAACAAGAAATTGCTAATTTTGAAAAGTATATTTTAGATATATGGACTAGAGACAAATTGTGAGATATTTTGTACTTTCTATTCTGAAATCACTATAAGATTTTAATAGAGTGTTCAAAGTTTCATTTCATAAGTAATATTTTTTCAAGTATCTACAGAAACTATCTGCTAATGCTGAGAAGAAAACACTTTAAGGAATCCATGATTATTAATTTATTCTTCTTGATTATATGGTTTGCTCCTCATACCCTCTGGATGCTCAGTCATAGAAAAAAATGTGATCCTTTAACTACGGGGTTAGAACAAAGGCCCATTTTCTGCCCACTGCTTATAGAAATCAAGAGACAAAATTTTACTTAGAGAGCTGTGGTCTAATGGAAATGTGGGTATTCAGAAGTAGCTTCTGAATTTAAAGTTGCATTTAAAGTTGGCATTTCTGTCCAATCTGGTTGAGAATCTGAAAGCAGTTCCACATTTCTTCATCAGGAAGTCAGGCTGACTTGTGATGAAAGATGATGAAGACAAATCCCAAACAGGGCTTCCTGTTTGTTTAAACCCCCAACCCAGGAGAAAATCGCTTCCAAGTTTCCCTGTACAATCACTGTAATATATTTTCTTTTCAGATTGTTAGCAGACTGCTCAGTTTGTGCTTGGCATTTCAATTATAGTGAAAAAGGTGAAACCCAGAAGACTCAAGGAATTCTCATTAGGAGTCTGAAATTTGATAGACTTTTAAAATTAACCTCTGCTTCTTGTTCTATCTTTAGTAGGCACATTATTCATTAAATCAAATGTATTGATTATCTGCTTTATGAACAGTTTTGAATTGGTTACTGTGATGGATTAGAAAAGAAGAAAATATGGCTTTTGTCCTCAGAAGTCTCTCTTACTAAAAAAAAAAAATCAGATTGAAATACAGAGAAAAATTTCAATTTAAAGATGGCAACCACTTTTAAGGAAGGACTAGATTGTTTCCCTAACATGAGTGCTTGTGCAAAGTGAGACGTTTTGTTTTGTGAATGACTTTTTAGATATTAAACAGTAGGAAAGAGAGGCAAAGGAATCAGGGAAGAGTGAAAACTTTGGAAAAAGACTTAGATGCTTTTCCTAGAATGCTGGGACATCTAAACCATGTTTGCACAGAGGTAATTAATGTAACCTTAATGTTAATTATACTTAATGTTATATATGTTAATATATATAGCTAACATATACTAAGCATATACTTCACATTGACTACTGAGCTAAATGCTGTACTGGCATTTCCTCATGTACTCCTGGGAATAGCCTTATGATATAGGTGGGATGCATTTTCTAGAAGAAGAAATTGGGACAAAGGTGAAATAATTTTTAAATAATTGACACTAGTGTCCATGTTTTAAACTTCTGCTCAAGGCTTTGCTTCTAAAGAACATTCTTATTTCTTCCTTGCTTTTCACATTTTCACCTGCTTTCATTTATTTTTTCCTTTTCTCATCTCTATCATCTAATTTTCTCCCTTGATTTCTTAACCCTTCTCATAGTTTCTCATAATATGTTGCTAGTCTGTCAAAATTTTCTTGTTTGACTGATGGTTCACTGAATACTTCTGTTGCTGTTGTATTCAAAACTATATACATGGATGATTGCTTTTTTTTTTTACTTTTACAGTCTAATGTAGATATGAATATGCTGAATACATGTACTTTGATTAGAAATGGAAGTAAATATCACTAAAGCCTAACATAATTCTTCTTCATAAAAGGGGCAAAGAGGCTATGAAGGAATAAGACATTTATTGCTAAAAGCATTTGTCTGCACACACACACACACACACACACACACCCACACACACACACACACACACACACCTGTTTTTTCTGGAGAACAAATGGTAGAGTTTCTGCCCATAAAGGATGGGCAGCATGTGTGTTCATATTTTAAAGCTGTCCAGCAAATTCTACCTACCACAAGTTAACTGTCTATTAGAACACAAGGATTCCATGTTCCTGTCCATCAGCTTCTGTCAATCTAGTGTGGCAGAAATCTTCTGAACCTTCAGCCTATTGAGATATACATAAATTCTATCAAGAAACTCTATAGAACATGGCACTGTCTTTATGATTTGGAGTGCCAGTGGAACTTGGTCATAATCAGTTAGACCCTTAAACTAAAATGCTCTGTAGGGGACCCACTGCCCACTGTCCTTTATAATGCACATTATTTTCAAATGAAACCATGGTCAGGATGAAGGCCAGGCTGCCATTGGAGATAATATTCTGAGTAACAGTTTCATTGGGAAATCATGCTTTGCATGGCTGTAGAAGTAATTCAAAAGATGGATTGCCTTGATCAGGCCAAAAACCCCTCAAACTGTTCTATTTATCTCTTTAGTGCTTCAAAAGCCTTGTAATTTCAATGATTACATAACAATTTGGCATATGTGAGTTCTCTGACAAAGTCCAGAATCTCAAATTGTAAAAATTAGTTTAACACAGAGTCCAGAATGAAACAGATTGGCAGAGCAAGTGTTTTTGCATCATTCATGACCCTTACCAGCTAGTCATTAATGATTTTGCCCAATACAGAATTCTAAGACTATTTCCCTTCTGGCTGTTTGAATAATTTACCTAGCAAGGTTAAAAAAATGTACGAGAATATCTTTAATTGAACAGCAGGGAACCTGTAATACCATGTGTTCATGAGAAATGATGCAGGGGAAGTATTTTTTGACCTGTGTTCTGCTGTCTTCCCTCAGAAGTTTATGTATCAAGGGAAGAGATGGGCCTGCACAGGTCTAATTTGTATATACTAGAATCCACATACAATGTTGTTGAAAAAGTAATCTTGGTGCTGAAATTATTTAAAAATTCACTGGAGGAAATGAATATTTGCTACCATTGAAAAGTGTCCATTTTATATAACCTAGGAAAAAGCAGACTATAAAACTAAAAGAACAAAACAAGTCCTGTAAAAATAAAGTAAGAAAAAGCCAAAGCAAAATAAAGACCAACCCAAAAAACCAAAAAGGCTGAATATATTTACAAGATTTTGTGTGTGTGGGTGTAAGCTTAAAAACTAAAACAAAATAGACACCAAGACGTGAACTGTTTGTTCTGCTCCATTTGGCTAAGTTCTTAAAGGTTACAGGAAGATAGTGTACTTATTGCTTAAGATGATGATAATTTATATTAAAAAATAAATACAGGCATGTGAGCAGGAAGGGGAAATTGCTTCATTAATTACCTGGTTATCTTATCAGGCCTCTATTTTTTTTGTTTTCTGGAATGCAGAGCAGGCTTCATGAGGAGTACTGAATTGCTTTGGCAGCAGCTAGCCAAGCTGAGTGATTTGCAACACTCTTTGTTCACTCTGCATTTATGTTTCATAATGTGAGCGTCTGCCTGGGTGTGTTGGTGCCACTCCGTGTACATCCCTTCTCTCAGCCAGAGGTCCAAGGAGGGGCCAAACTGTCTCCCTCTGAACTTTCAGTTAGCAAACAGCACACAGTCGATGTTGCCCGATCCTCTGTGGTCAGCGCAGTTCCTGATTCTAACCCCCCACTCCATAAGGCAAGCTCTAGAAACCAGGGTTCCTGAAAAGGAACAAGAAAAAGGTGATACCAGGTGAAACCATCAAAAGTTGTTTGCGGTAACATTAGCCCTATGGGTTCAAGCGCCCTTCTTTCAGTTTATGCAGTCACGCAGTGGTTACCTCTTGCTGGGTGACTTTATTCTTTTATCCTTTGTAGAAATGTTGTAATTCTGGCAAAAAGCCCACAGAATCTATGTTTAAAAAGAGAAACAAATAATGCTAAAATGCAATGTAGTGTATGTAATTAAAAATATCTTTCCTTGAACTTGGACAAAATAAATTATTGTGTAAAAATTATTTATTTTCCTAATTTAACTGCAGATTTGAACCTTAATCTTATTATTACTTTTTTTCCCTGGAATCTCTATGTTCAAAACCACTTCTTGATCTTCCAAAGCTGTGATATTTGTGAACTCAATTTGCACAATCTCTAAACGATGCTACTGGTAGCCCAAATTAATATGATAAATTACAGTTATTTCCATGCATTGTAAATCTTCTCTTGATTTTTTTCAGTCCAGAGGTCTTTTTTTTTTAATACCTATTATGACATAAGGAAGAGGTTCCAGCACCCCAGGGTCCTTCCCATTGGTTCTCACACGGTGTGCTTCTCTGGGTGGAGCACACTGGCGCTTCAGTTGAACCCAGGTAGTTTTCTCTTTGGCTTCCTTCTCTTTCTGATTATTTTCCTTCACGTGTTTCAGGAAACTATCTTGGCTCCTAGAGTGCTTAATGTGCTCAGTACGCACTTTAATTCTCTTGGCAAGAATCTTGCCCTTCATTGTTTGTTCACAACAATGCCAACAGCATTCTGGGTAACATTCTAGACTCTTCCAGTTTTGCTATGGCAACATTTGTGGGACATTCCTTTTCGAACAGTACCCATTCCCTGGATGTCAACAGTATCACCTTTTTTTTTTTTTTTAACTGTTTCTCATGCATGTAGCCAAAGGAACAACTCCATGTTTCCTAAAAGGTCAAAAGAATGTATATGGGGTGCCTCCCCTCTTCCCCTTTGTGTTTCCCATTTTGATGGATCACTGGAAGATGGCAGTTCTAGCTAAAGGAAGACTGTCTCTTGATTTTAAAGGATGAGGCTTTATAATATCTAGGCAAATGGCCAGAGTGGAAAATAATCTGTACATCACAATAATAATGATAAACATAATAATAAAAATAGTAACAATAATATGAAAGTACTCCACATTTTGTGTTTTTTGAAAAGAAAATATAGGGGAGGAAGTATATGTTTCCTCCTCTTCCCCCTTATATAATTTTCATAAAAACACATATCTCAAATGTGATCCAGACACAGCCAATCTGTGCCAATATGTCAATACAAAATGACAATTGCAATCAGATATCCCCCACAGGCATTACATAGGATTACCTGCATTTCCTAAGATAACTGTGTTTTAGAAAATTGACACAAAACTGACATAAGACAATCCTGGTAAGTAGGATTGGTGATCCATTTAATAGAAATCTACAGTGGAGGAATGGTTTACACTGGATGGCTTCTTGATGTTGCTGACCGTTTAAGTGGGAGAGATTGCCAGCTAAGAGTAAATATTATACATATATATATTTCTTCTTCTTTTTTTAATAATAGAGACAGGGTCTCACTATGTTGCCCAGGCTGGTTTTGAACTCCCGAGCTTAAGCAATCCGCCTGCCTTGGCCTCCCAAAGTGCTGGGATTACAGGTGTGGGCTACCATGCCCAGCCTTAAATGTTATATATTTTTAAGTAACATTTTATATGGTTTTATATACATTACTCCTTTTTAGTCACATATAAACCCTGTGAGACAGATGGGGCAGAAATTACATATTTTTACACAATAGGTTAGGCGATCTGATTACAATCAGTACTGGTATGTGTAACCTAGAGCTAGGATTAGGACTAGGCTCTCAGACTTTCATCAGCACATCACACTGCCAGGCTTCTTTCGGCTGAGCTGGTGGGGCTCCTCTGCTTCCTCCTTTCCTTGCGCTCAATCGCTGTGCTCTCATCAGCAGCTAGGAGCAGCAGTGCATTCTTTTCTTCCCTCTCGAACAGTCCCACGTTTAGTAGGAATTAATAAGAAGCTCCCCTCCATAAAAAAGTTAGAAATCCATTTCTTTTCCAAGACCCTTCTACTTCAGTTAAAGAAACTGAGATCTAGACGCAGAAGGAGGCCTGGGCTACAGACTCAGTGCTCTTTCTGCTCTATCACATTAGCTGACATCAGTGTCGCTATAAGAAACAAAAAGAATCTATTTAAAAACACAACTGATTACAGCTATTTCTGCCCCTAGAGGAGGAAAGCTCCTATGGCTGGAGATGATGGCTTTTTATTTAGAAAGTTTCCTTGTTATTGCCTTTAAATAAAAAAGGTTAGGCTTCCATTCCCTCCTCCCCTGCATATGGTGGTGCTGGAAGGTCTGAGCAGCAGGACAGCAGGCAAAGGGTTTCTAGAGACGTGCCAGCCAATGAGAAAGCCATGTGGGCTGGGGTGGTAGAGTACTTTTAAGAAGTGTCAAAATGAATATTAATGTAAAGGGCTCTGATGCCACCTCCCTTGCTGAAAAAACTTCAGTATAATCTGCTAAATAGATACTCCAATGCCTTCCTTGAGTGTTCTTTGTAGGGTAGAGGAAAGAGGGGACACAGGTACATCAGAGTCCTCATTGGAAGAGTGAAAATAGCAGCTGCTTGAGGCTAAAGTCTAGATTTCAGTGGGTACAGAAAACTTGATGTAGACTGTAGGGCATATACCACACAGATTTGCAGAGATTTTCAGAAGAGCAACAGCCTTCTTATTAGATGTGCATTTGCTGATTTGATGGAAATCTCAAGGTCACTGTAACTTCAGTTGACTTCTCCCTTACACAAAGAAGAGGCTAAAAGCCGTTATTGATTGCTCTCAAGAAATCAGAGAAGAGGCCATGGCCACTCAAATATCCTAAAAAGGCTTTTGGATTTATGGAACTGTGGAAACTAACAGTCTTTAAATATCAACTGGTCCAACCTTTGTCTACTTCCTTCTCCTTCTCATCCTTTTTGCAATAAAGGAATCAAAGACTTAGATTCAATATCCAATGTATACCAGGCCGTTGAGTAATCACAGATGCAAGACTAGAATCTGACTGTGGATTCAGAGTCAGAAGCCCTGGGTTCTGCTCCCTGCTGCATTTTCTTATTTTCTGTACCTTCTTGAACCTCAGGTCCCTCTCTGTAAAAAGAGGTAAGTAAAATCACATCTCACAGGGTTTTTGGAGGACCCTATGAGTTAATGTGGGATTTGAAAACTGTAGGAATGTTAAAACATTTTATTGTTATTATTTATGAGGTTATTTGGGTGCCAACAATTATACGAAGAGGATTATTTTGGCTTTCCTGAAATAGCAGCAGTGCTATAGTTGAAGTGACTTCACTGTTCTGCATGTCTGTGTGTGCACATGTGCAGATCCAGGCCAGGGCTAGGCAGTGAAGTTTATAGATTGTCTTTTGGGATAACGAGCTTTTGGGCTCTTGGTAGGCCTTCTAAATAATACATTGTTTTTCTTCTTTCTTTTCTTTTCACAGGAATTAGAATAATAGCTAAAATTTCTCACTTGTTTCTTAAGGAAGTTAGGAATACATCTTAATAAATCAAGAAGTTCAAACACATCATCCATAGCAACTTGAAGTAGACTCCTATTCTGTTTAACCATGCCTTTTGAGAGTCAAAATCCAGGGATGCTCCCTACAGCCAGTCTTGAAGAACAGAAGGGGAACTACATGCCACCAGGCTATGGGAGCTGTTTCAGCAGCAGATCATTACCTAATCTCTTCCTGTCTCCCCGGTAGAGCTGAACAGAGCCTGTGAGAGAAAATTCCGGATGTTAAGGGAAGGAGAAAGAGGTATAGGTGTAGGGACTAAAAGTTGATGTGGTATCATTCCTATGAAAAAAATAATCAGATTCATTTTTATATTTCCTAAGCACGCTTATATTTGGTGAAAAAAAAAGAGCATGTTAGAGACATTATTTATGATGGTCATGCCTCAAATCTTGTCTTTACTTACAGTTTCCATTTCCAAAACTCTCTTAAAGCTTCTAGTCTTTTTAAGCCTGAGTATTTTAATAGAAGTAAAGTCTCTCCTGTCAGAGTGCTATTCCCTAGACATGTTTGCCTCCAGGGTCTGAAAAGAAAGGAGTCCATTTTACACCCTGAAGCAGAGTGTACCCCTCTGTTCTCTTCAGACAGTGTGGGGAAGGATGTACCCCTTTAATCTCAAGAGGCAAGAAAATATCGAAACAGATGACTTTGGCAGGTTTGCTGAAGGCTGGCGGCAGGTTGGCCGGGCCGCAATCAGTGGCCTCCAGAGTTCAGCGTGACAGGAAGCAGGGGCTGCTGCTCTGCCTGGTCATTAGTGAGGAGCAAGAGAGCCTGATGATTAGTCCTTGCAGCACTGGAGAATGTTCCCATATCTGGCCCAGGGGACAGAGAGGTCCCAAAACATCCCAGACATTTGGTCGTCAGCGCTTTCATTCTCTCATCACTCAGGAAGTTAGAGAGAAGATAAAAACAAATTAAAGAATTTTTTTTAAAGCACTCAAGTTTTTCTTAACATTTTCCATTTCCTTTTACAACACAAGTTTTAAACCTTGTGATGAAATGCTAAGTCACAGATGTAAAGGTGTCAAGAATTATAATTGCACGTTCCACACACAACCTTAGCTCCTCTGAGCATGCAAAAAAACCAGGAATTAAATAACTTGCTGATTCAACTTTGTCAATACAATGAATCATATTAACAAAATGTTAATGAATTAGTGAACTTCCGCAAAAGGTGAAGAACAGCCATGAGCATCAGCATTATCTTGAGATGTTAGGGAGAAAGGGTGGTGGGAGGGATTGGGAGGTAGCAGCAGCACCAGCACAGAAACAAGGGCCAGAAACAGGCCTCCTGCAGGGGCAGCCACTTCCTCCTCCTGCCTGCTTAGCCCTGCTCTGCAGACACACAATAATCACCCCAGCGGGTCTAGGGATCAAATGACGGCACTGCTGAAGGATTAAGAGCAACTCTATCCTCTTGGCTTGGACTTTGGAATTTTCATTAAAATGACCTTGGGTGTGGTGAGAAAGGAATTCAGACAACAGGGATCAAGTCTTAAACATGTCACCTGGGAAAACAACCGAAGGGCCCCTTCAGAGAGAGCTTTCTTTCTGGGACTCAGGCAGAGTTGTCACACTTGTTTTCCTAAGTGTTTCTCACATGGGATTAGCCTCCAGATATGTGAAAAGTGAGGAGTTGAAGGTCTGAGGTAGGCAGAATGAGGCAAAAAATAAATTACAATGTGCTAGTGCAGGCTGGACTTCTTAACGTTCTCAAAGCTCTGTAATGTTTGACTTGTTGAGAGATTGCCCTCTTCCTCTCCTCATCTCATTGCTCTCAATGGAAGGAGCTGGGGCTCCATCTGCAATTCATGGTGGGTTATTGTAAAAAGCACTGTAGAGACTGGGTTGGCCTTATGTAGGCAGCAGCCTGTAGTCCAGCAGACGTGGATAGATGGCTGCAGGCTTGAGACTTAGGTAATTTGAGGCCGGGCATGATGGCTCACACCAGTAATCCCAGCACTTTGGGAGGCTGAGGTGGGCGGATCACGAGGTCAAGAGATCGAGACCATGCTGGCCAACATGGTGAAACCCCGTCTCTACTAAAAATACAAAAATTAGCTGGGTGTGGTGGTGCATGCCTGTAGTCCCAAGTATTTGGGAAGCTGAGGCAGGAGAATCGCTTCAACCTGAGAGGTGGAGGTTGCAGTGAGCTGAGATTCTGCCACTAGACTCCAGCCTGGCGACAGAGTGAGACTCTGCCTCAAAAAAAAAAAAAAAAAAAAAAAAAAAGTAACTGGAGAAAGGGTACAGGCCTCAGAAATTTAATATCAGAAATGGGAGGACTTGGGAGAAAAAGTAATCTGCTGATGACTACCACAAAGTATGTAAAAAGAGAATAGGTTTCTCAGTGTGGCTCCTATGTCTGTGGGCTCCTGAAGTGGGCTTAGCTGAAGTAGGAAAAATCATAGAAAGGTCCTCTTATAGCATCACTAACGAAATCAACAGATGTAGGCTAGGAAATGGCAATGACTAGACGTCAGAAAAAGGTTAGACAGTGAAGGTTCTGCTGAGACAGAACTGCAAGGAAGTTTTTTGGTCTTTGTCCATGCCCAGCAAGGTGTGGATCCTGATGTCTATCACATCTAGGATTGGCCATGCTTGGTTCTTAAACCAGTGGGGTCCAGTCTGATCATGTAAAGGACCGTCTTCTCCCATCAGTGCTTAGAGTAGTGAGGAGATGGGACCTGGTTCTGGTACTTGTGATCAGAGTGCCGGCAATTAAATTTGGCCCTTGGGATTTGTAAATTATTACATAAAGCTGCAAGTTTCCAATCTAACCACTGTCATCATCATCGTCATCACCATCATCATCATCATTATAGCTACCTATCAAAGGATAAACTCCGTTAGACATGGTATATACTGTTTGTAATCTTTTCTGATTTGGGAGACCAAGGAAATGAGTATCCTTATAATGTCTGATGCTCTAAAATACTAGAGCTCAACAGTTTTTTGAGGTCAGATTTTTAGTGATATGACCAGAGAGCTAGAGAAAGCACTTTGCAGTGTGAGAGAGAAGAAAGCAAAATTATATACATAGGCAATGGGGTTGGCTAGAGAGTTACGAGGGTTTTGGTTGTTCTTAAGCCACAGACTCCATTTTATTCATAGGTTCTACAAAACATTTTTTTTATGATAAAATTTTCTTTTTGCTGAAACTATGGAGGTTTATGTCACTTGCATAAGATAGTCTGAATTAGTAAATGTTAATAAAGCCTACCCTTCTTGTAAAGAAAAAGTTACAAAGAAAGAATAAAATGATTGTAAAGGTTAATAAAAGGATATAGGAAAATAATGGCTTACCATTCCATACTTGCCTAGAGCAGAGCTCCATAACCTGTGTTAGGAGAAGATAACTTTATCTCCAATTGCAAACCAAATTAAAAATATCATATATTGATACCTAAAGAATTGTTCTCCATAATGTCTCTGATTCATAAAGCTAAATGGTGTGTATTCCAAAGACTATAAGTAGACCTTTTTGCTTTTTTAAAATTTGTGAATGTCTGAAGCTCTCTATCTTTTTGGTTTTGTAAGTTTGGAAGAGGAAGGAAATATTCAACTCTTTTTTTTTAAACTATATTTCACACCATGTTTACATGATAATGGATAGAAAATTGTAGCTTAATGAAATCATTACATTCTTCTGTTTCAATATGGGGAAAGAGTTCACAAATTTATATTGAAAGAAAGTCAATGGCTACATGATGTATACTTAGAAAATCTAAAAGAATCTGCATGTACACTATTATAAGTGAATTTAACAAGTTCACTGGATATAGTATCAATGTATAAAAGTCCATTGTATTAATATATGCCAGTAAAAAATGAATAGTTAATAAAAATTGTAAAATATACTGTTCAGAATATAGTTAATTTAGAGCACCTGTGAATGCTTATCTCCAAAATGGCCTACTTGCAAGGTTGGCCCTTAGCTGGCATATGGGAACTTGGATTTCTACAGGGTTCTCATGACCCCAGCTGATAAGAGTTTTTCACTGTATCTATACTGTGTGCAAACAATGTGGTATATTTTGAACATCTGTTTCCCTCTGGGAGTCTGGAATTTTGGTATGTTGGGCACAGAATCTCCAGTGAGTTTTCCTGGTAGACAACATTCTGTACCTCACAATTTATTGCTGGGGGAATTAAGCTTATCCTGTGAGATTCTCCTGGGAGAGAACTTTTTGAAGCGTGTACTTGGTGTAATCTAGACTTCACCCAATGCTCCCTTTCCTTTTGTTGATATTGCTTTGCATCTGTTTGTAGCTCTAAATCATATTCATGAATATAACCATATGCTGGGTCCTTTGGGTCCACCTAGCAAATCATCAAACCGAAAGATGCTCTTGGGGACCTTAGATAGAAATATCATTTACTGTGATAGTAGGAAACATAAAAAACTGGAAACAAGTATGATAAAAGATATACAATATCATTACATCTAAAACTTTAAAATATTATTGAGAACAATTAAAGAAGACCTAAGTAAATACTGTGTTCATGGATTGGAAGATTCAATACTGCTAATATCTCAATTCTTTCTAAATTAATTGATAAAGTCAATGGAATAAAAATAATAATTCCAGCAGATTTTTAAAGGAAGTTAAATTTGATAAGCTGATTCTAAAATTTACGTGAAAAGACAAAGGGCTAAGAATAACCAGGACAAACTTGAAGCAGAATAAAGCTACCTAATGTCAAGATTTATTTTAAAGATATAGTAAGTAATTGAGAGAATATGACATTGGCATAAGAGTGGACAAACTGACCATTGGAACAAGATAGGAAGTCCAGAGACACACCTACACATATATGTTCAAATGGCTTATGATAGAAGTATAGAGGGGAAAGGATTATCTGTTTAGTAAATAGTGCTGCATTTATCAGATAGCCACATGGCAAAAAACATATCATGTACACAAAAGTCAATTCCAGATGGACTGTAGATCTAAATGTGAAAGACAAAATTATAAAACATTTAGAATAAACATAGATGAACATCTTTCTGACTTCGGAGTAGGCAAACTTGTTAAAATAGGAATCAAATACCCTCACATGCAAGAAAATAGTGATACAATAGAGTAAATAAAAGCAGGACCTTCTGTTTCTCAAAAGACTGAATTATAGAGTGGAAAAAGTACTTGCAGTACACATATCTAACAAAGGACTTATCTCCATAATATGTTAGCAAATTTCACAATTATTAAGAAAAATCAACAACAGCCCAATAGGAGAGTGGGCAAAAACTTCACAAAAGAGACAATCAAGTGTATAATAAACATATGAAAAGGTGCTCAATTGTATTAAACTTAAACAATTCTGTAAACTAAAACCACAGTGGGATACCACCAACATGGCTACATAAAAATGATGGAAACTATCAAGTATTGGTGAGGGAACTGGCCCTCTTATACAGGACAGATCAAAGGGAAAATTTGTTACAAACTGGTTTAGCAGTATCTACTAAAGGGGAGCATATGCATATCCTATAACTAGGTAATTCTCCTCTTAGGTATATACCCAGCAAAAATTCATTCATATGAGCAAAAGATATGTGCTAGGATATCACTGCAGTCCATTGATAATAGCCAAAAAATTGGAAAATAAGCAGTATTCATCAACAGTAGAATGGATAAGTAAATTGTACCGTCTTCAAAAAATGGGTTAGTATATAACAATAACAGTGAATGGTCTACAATACATGCAGCAATGTAAGTGAGTCTCATAATGCTGAATGAAGAAACCTACAGAAGACTACATACTGGATAGTTCCTTTTATAAAGTAGGAAAAAGGTAAAATCAATCTACCATGTTAGAAGTCAGGCTCATAGTACCTTAGGATGAACAGTCATGGGGAAGAGAGTGCAGGAGTGGTAGAGATTTTTGTGATACTGGGGAGGTTTGAGGGCTACTTTACAGGTTGTGTTTAGTTTCGAAAAATTCAGCAAGCTGTACACATATGATATAGAAACTTTTCTTTCAATGTGTTTTTTTTTTTTATCAAAAAGCTAAAAAGACAGTATTGGTGGTTTTAAAGTGCTCTGTTTTGGTTTCAGAATTCTGATGTAGTCATTTGATTAAACTGTTTGTTTAAGGATTGTGTTTGAGGAATTTTATCACTTATCATTAAACTATTAGTCTCACGGTGAAAATCTGATATAATACAGCGGAGATATGTCCCAAGTGCTTCAGGAGGACCGAGAATGAAATGGCTAATGTGCGGAAGTGGGAGTAGGAATTCGGGGAGAGCTTCATGGAGAGTATGATGTTTAAGGAGAGCTTTGAGAAGAAGGAATTGGAATAAGCCAGTGCCTTTTCTACTTTGTCCTTTGATATCATTACGTTTTAACTTTGGCTGCACATTAAAATAACCTGTGCAGCTTTAATACATTGAAGCTAGAAATCCATCTTCATTCAGAAATTCTGATTTAATTGATCTGCAGCTGGGAGCTGGGCAGCCGTAATTTTTCATAGTTTTCAAGTCATTTTGATGTGCAACCAGGGCTGCGAATTACTGATTTAGGCAGACAGTGAGAAAGTCAGTCAAGGAGTAGAAAGGAGTGCAGGACAGTGGCTGGAAACTGTAAATGACTTAGAAAGGCTGCATCACAGGAAGTTAGCAAGGCAGGTTAGGAAGGGTCTGAATGGAGAGCCAATCTAAGGAGTATGGCTCTTCAGTAGGCAAAGGGAAGACAGTGGAGTATTGTAGGCTGATGGCTGAAAGGATCAGATTTTCAATGAGCTCTTTAGAAAGATCACACTGGCTGGAGTCTGAAGAATGAACTGGAAGGAACAAGACTGCTGGAAAGAAAATCAGACTTTAATTAGCTGCCTTTACACTTTTTTTTTTTTTTTTAAACAGTCAGGGGCTTGCTCTGCCACCCAGGCTGGAGTGTAGTGGTGCAATCCTAGCTCACTGCACTCTCGAACTCTTGGGCTCCAAGGACCCTGTCAGCTCAGCCTCTGTAGTAGCTGGGACTGCAGGCACCCAGCATGGTGCTTGGCTAGTTAAAATTTTTTTTGTTGTTAAAATAGAGATGGGGTATCGCTTTATTGCCCAGGCTGGTCTCAAACTCCTGGCTTCAAGTGATTCTCCCAACTTGGCTTCCCACAGTGTTGGGATTACAGGTGTGAGCCACTGCATCTGGCCCTTAATGCTATTTTACAAGTTTCTGGGTCCTTATAATTGTTCCTAGTTATAAATCCATTTCCTTTCCTTTGGTGAACATGCACGTCCCTCACCCAGGAATGCTCTTGCCTGCCCTTTTAGACTGCTTGCTTGTCTTCTAATCTTAGCTTAAACATCATCTTCTTTGGAAAACCTTTCTTACCCCTTCTAAGAAAAACTTTTCAACACATAGAAATAAGGCAAAACAGAGGTGATATCAATGGCATTATTTGTCTGTATCATTCATGGATTATTTACTTCTTTAGAAGATCGCACTTGTGTTAATTTTGTTATTTACTAGTTGATTAAAGTTTAGACATCATGAAGTTACATGGTAACTGTGTAGTATAAATGATAACCCAAATATTATAATTTTATTGCTTTCTGGGACATTAATCAGTTTCGTATCTAACTAATAATCCTATTCTGAATTCATCTTTTAGAGATGTCCATGAATTCCCAATTCTTCAAATGACCTTGGAGCCAGCTTTATCTCTTACTGGTTCCCTCATTAATGAGCTAAATAAGACTTTGACACCAATTCACATGATTATATGAGAATCTTGGTTTAGCTTTTTGAAAATTTTACTTTGTCATCCTCTAAGATTGAGTTAGGTCTTGTTTCCCACAGACTGTTCGGCCCCATTATAGCTTGAACTTACTGCCTTCAGGCACCAGGGCCATTTTGACCACTCCTAACCCTCTTGACCCACCTTTGTTTCTCAGGGTACCAGGTTGTAGAATCATGTATGTTTTAAAATTAAAAAAAAAACATTAAAATATCCACTTTTTTGAAGTCTAGGACAGTAACCTGAATATGCCTTATGTTTCTTTCCCAGGATTTTATGAACACTAAAGGTGACAAGGTTTCTCTTTAACTTTGCATAACAGTTTTCATCATTGATTAGAATTTTGTCAAGGGTAATGATTGTTTTAGTTGACGCTCAACTCTATAAATTTAACATAAGAACTGGCTTTCAAAAAATTTATAATTGACAAGTGCATTGTTAAACTCTCTACTGATTAAGTTTCTTTATGAATAAAACTTGGATGTGATTCATCTTGATAACACATAAATATTTCAGCTAAAAAAAATCACACATGCTTATTAGAAAAGGGGATGGAGGGGAAAAAAAGAGTCAACCATAATTTTTTTTTTTTTAACCTAAAGGAAACCATTGGCCAAAATTTAATTGTTATTTTGGAGATTTTTTTCTATGTATAATTTTTCAAAAAGTAGTTGTAATATTTCAAATAGTTGTAATATTTCATAATATTTCATTTTATTATTTATTTATTTTTTCTGGGATGGAGTCTCATTCTGTCACTCAAGCTGGAGTGGAGTGGCACGATCTCGGCTCACTGCAACCTTCGCCTCTTGGGTTCAAGTGATTCTCCTGCCTCAGGCTCCCGAGTGGCTGGGATTACAAGCATCCTCCACCACACCTGGCTAATTTTGTGTACTTTTTTTTAGTGGAGCTGGAATTTCACCATGTTGGCTAGGCTGGTCTTGAACTCCTAACCTGAGGTGATCCACCATCTTGGCCTCGCAAAATGCTGGGATTATAGGAGTGAGCCACAGCCTACATCATACATTTTAAAACTTAATTTTGCATTATGTCCCTTTTCCATATTATTATACTCTTATAGATACATTTTTTAAATAGCAAAATTCATAACTCTCAAGTAAATTAAACAAGGTTCTTAATTATTGCTCTTTCTTGAATTTGTTTGATTTTAGTCACTTATAAAACTAGCATATTGTCATTCAAAAGCACAGTGAAAAATTCCTTCAATTTGTATGAAATATTTAATGGCTGAAGTGTAAATTCTGTGCCACTAATAAAAATTAGAAATTTTGGGTATCTTCTGCAATATTCCACTACTGTGATGTTCTTCTTATCATTCTGGGTGAGTAGGTTGACTCCTTCCTTTCAGATGGTCTCAGGCACTGCAGGGGTCAAGGAAGAGTTATAACCAATATAATTTAGAGGGGATGAAAGTTATGTCACATTTCTTTCTCCTATTCTGTGTGTTTCTTTATTCTTGAAGTATTAATTCCCAGATTCATTATTATTCTTGTCTTAACTGTCACCAGGGTCAAGATTAAGGTCAGGCCAGAGAGGTGCCCAGGGTGCAAAATAATAAGGAAAGACTCACTCCCAGGGTCGCACAAGTGCAGGGTCAATACCTCAGAGTGAGTGTCTCCTCAAATTTTGCTTACAAGTTATCTGACTTTCCTCAACCTAGTCCTAGCCAATATCTACTCTATTCAGAGAGATGACATTCCTGGAAAATAAGGCATGATGTTAGTTTGAACTTATCGTAAGTAATTATCCATCTGAATTCTACACTTTTGCTCCTCTAAGTGTGGAGTGTGGATCAGCAGTACTACCTGGGAGCTTGTTAGAAATACAAAATCTATAGCCTCATTCACAAATAAAACTGCATTTTAAGAAGATCTTTTGGTAATGATTCTTATACATGTTATATTTTGAAAAGCATTCCTCTAGGGAATTGTCACTGTGACAGAGATTGCTGCCTCAGGTGTTGGGTATTAGGGCATCACGGGTTTTTTTGGGAGGTAGTCATTGTGATGAGGGCAGGTTCCAAAGAGTTTAGAATATTTGCACATTTTACTATAGGCTCAGGTATGTTCTTCATGGAAACAAAAACTTTAGATTGTAGGCTCCTTTTCAACATTAAGTACTCTTAGCTTTGGAAATGTCTCAATTTACCTAAGGTATTTTTTTTTTCTGACTGTACTATTAGCTTCAATAGTTGCATTGTTATTTCTCAAAATATATTTTAGTTTTCTGCCCCCACATGTTTGGAAATATCTTAAAAATCATGCTTATTTTTACATGTAATTGTAAGCTAAAATGAAGGTGGTTAGATTCCCTTCCACCACAAAGATGGATGCTGTGTTCTTTTCACAATTTTGCATGAGAATACACACACACACACACACACACACACGCGTGCGCGTGCACACACACAGTATAATTCCAGTTTTGTTTATAACTATTAAGGAAAGATTCACAGAGTCAAGGTAGAAAACCTGACTTAAATAAGGATGCAGAATTCCAAGTGAGATTTAGCTAGTCCCAGTGTTAACAATTTTACCTTCTCACTGTTTTTGTTTCCACATTTATTTATAATGAAATAAATAATATAGTTTTAGTTAGACTGTTAATCCTGTCTCCTGCAAAGTAGGTTATATTGCGTTGTTTCACCCATTTTGTAGATGGCAGATAGGAAATTTCCTTTTCCTTGGATCATCCTTTATTTTCACTTTTTATAATGCAAATTCATTTATAATTACTTTTTTGGTGTTTTAAGTAACAGTGGAGTTAAGTTCCTGTCCCTGCGATGGCAGAGTAGTTCGTGTCAGACTAACTCTTCTAGAGATAACAATCATAGATTCTGCAAAATATATGAAAGGAAACAAACCATTATTATTTGAAGACACTGGAGAGTTACCCAAAGCAAGCAGAAACTGAAAGGAATTTATCCTTGAAAGACAGGCAGTTTGCTGGGTGAGATTTACATTTTTATAATGTTTTTTGTTCCTAAGTGGATAACCCAATCTATGGAGTATTGTCTGGGACAACTAGTACTCAAGGAGAAAGCTGCCATCTTATTGACTTGATGTATAAGGGTATAGAGTTTGGGACTACAAGAGTGATTAGAAATTTAGAGGGGAAATCTTATGAAGGAGGGAGCACTAAATTCTATGAATAAAGTCTCTCAAATCTTTGGCTGATACTTGATCTTCATATGCACAGAGGAGGCTTCAAGGATTCCAGTAGAAAGCAACAGTGGAAAGGCTAAAGGAGCTGAAGAGACATTTGAACAGACTCCCACCAAAGAGGAGGTAGTTTAGAGTCCTGCTTATTTGGAAGGGCTTGATATGTGCCTTGGTGCCTTGGGCTTTCTACTGAAACCCCAAGAGGGCCACACTTTGGAAGTAAAGACAAAGTTCTAAGACTAGAGAATTTTCCCTAGTAAGAGGGCTAAATTTAAAAAGACACGCACTAACAAACTCCCCACATCTATGGAAGTTCTATTTTAAAAAGCCTCTTCAAAATCAAGTTGATCAACCAGTAATTAAACTGCATGCTAGAACAAAAATCAACACCCTTCAGAGTATATAACAGAATCAAGTGTCTCTTAAATGTATTATTCTCACTATCATATGCAATAAAAATGTTTATACATGTGAACAAACAGGAATATACTACCTGTAGTCATGGGAAAAGGCAGATTACAGAAATAGATGGACTTGACTTAAATGTTGAAATAAGAAGACGAGGACTTTAAAATAGCTTTATATGTTCAAAGACTTAAAGAAAAGGATGTTCATAATGAGAAAACAAATGGGGATTCTCAGGAGAGGAATGAAACCTACAAAAAAGAAGCAAATATAAATTCTAAAATAGAGAAATGCAATAACTGAAAAGAAATATTCAATGGCTAGGCTTAACAGTAGATTGAAGACAGCAGAAGAAAGTCACTGAACTTGCATACAGGTTAATAAAACTTATCCATTTTGAAGAAGACAGGGAAAAATCACTGAAAAATAAGTGAATGGAGTCCTAGTGACTTATGGTGCAAAGGCCAGATAGACTTCCAGTTGATTATGTAAGATTCAAAATCCCTAAATTTGAAGTTTTTCTTCTGTATCACAACTGACTGCATGTGAAAGCATATCACCTGGTCTTCTTTACATCACTATTGGGGAATTAGGTTTTAGGGAACAAGCACAAATGCTAATACTCTTGCTACTATTATTGTTGTGAGTAATTGTCCTTCATTTCTGATCTAGGAGTCTTGTGTCTTCTGCCAGCATCAGTAAATTTGTGTCAGGTTAACTTATTAGCTTGCAAGTGAAGTAAATTCTCAAGCCCCTCTCAATCTTTGATAGTTCTTTGATCACAATGGAATTAAACTGGAATCAATAACAATAATATAATCAGAAAAATCCATGAATAGTTGAAAATTAAAAAAACCACTTCTATATAACTCATGTGTTGAAGAAGTCACAAGCTAAATTAGAGAATGTGGTTAACTAATGAATGCACATCAAAATGGGGATAGAGATAAATATTGTATGGAGGCAAATTGATAGCTTTAATATTAGCAAAGAAAAAAATGTTTACAATCAATGAGCCCTGTTTTCCTTTAAGCTAAAAGAAGAGCAAATCAAAGCCAAAGTAATTAAAAGGAAGGAAATAAAAAGATAACATTAGCAATCAATAAAATATAGAACAGAGGCCAGGTGCGGTGGCTTATGCCTGTAATCCCAGCACTTTGGGAGGCCGAGGTGGGTGGATCACGAGGTCAGGAGATCGAGACCATCCTGGCTAACATGGTGAAACCCTGTCTCTACTAAACATACAAAAAATTAGCTGGGCGTGGTGGCGGGCGCCTGTAGTCCCAGCTACTCGGGAGGCTGAGGCAGGAGAATGGCATGAACCTGGGAGGCAGAGCTTGCAGTGAGCTAAGATCACACCACTGCACTCCAGCCTGGGCGACAGAGCGAGACTCCGTCTCAAAAAAGAAAAAAAAAAAAAAAAAAAAATATATATATATATATATATATATATATATGTATATATAACAGAATAGCAAAAGGGACTTGACAGGTGTGATTAAATTAAGGGTCTTGCAATACGGAGATTATCCTAGATAATCTGAGTGGGTCTCAAATGTAACCACAGTTGTTCTTAAAAGTGAGAGGTGGAGGGATATTTGATGACAGAAGAGGAGAAGGGTGTGTGATAAGGGAAGCAGAGATAGCTATATGTGGCCAGAAGCAAGGAATGTCGGCACCCACCAGAAATTGGAAGAGGCAAGGAATAGATTCTTCCTTGAAGCCTCCAGAAGCCAGCCATACTGACTTTGGATTTTAGACCTGTAAGACTCTTTTTGGACTTATGGCCTCTTAGAACTTAGAGAATAAATTTCTGTTGTTTTAAACACTATGATTGTGGCATTTGGTTATAATAGCAGTGAGAAACTAATACAAACCCCCAGCAAGACTGATTAAGAAAGAACAAATACATAAATTACCAGTATCAGAATTAAAAGAGGGTATATAAATGCAGATTTTGTAGATAGTGAAAGAAGAGTAAAAGGATATTTGAAATAATTTATGCTTGTCAATTCAAGAACTAAGGTGAAATGGACAAATTCCTTGAAAAATAATAAGTACCAAACTGAGTTGAGAAAGAGAAATAGAAAAGCTAAGTAGCCCATACCTATTTTAGGAATTGAGATATTGAAAAAATTGAAATTCAACACCCTATTATGATAAAATTTCTCACGAACTTAGAATAGGAGGGAACTTGCTCAATTTGTGACAAGCCTTTAGGAAATATCTTACTTAACATCATACTTACATTTTGAAAGCTTCTCCCCAAAGATTTAGAAAAGACTAAGAAGTTTGCTGTGGGCACTTCTATTTAACATTGTTTTAGAAGTCCTAGCTTGCAAAAATGCAAGAAGATGACAAACAAATAAGAAAGGAAGAAATAAAACTGTCTGCTTACAGGCAGCAAGTTTTTACACAGAAATTCTAAGACACCTACAAAATCACTACTAGTACTGAAAAGTAAACTTATCAGGATTGGCAGATATTAAAAATATCAACAACAATTGTTTATAGTTGTAAACAATTAGAGAATATGTTTTTAAAAATTAAAGTAACGCTAAAAGCATACGGGGAAAAATAAAACAGAACTTTACCTTATATCAGGCATAAGCATTTATTCAATATGGATCATAGACAGAAATATAAAAGTTAAAATTATAAACTTTATAGAAAAACACACTGGAGAATATCTTCAGTATTAGTACCCACACCAGATTTTTAGAGTTCTACAAAGCAGTAACCAAAAAAGAAAATATAATAAGTATAACAACATTAAAAATTTCTGTTCATCAAAAAACATCATAAGAAAATGAGGTCAAGTGACAGACTGACTGTCAATAAATATATTTTACAATGGACTTGGAATTGGTATTTATAAAATAATAATAAAGAGAAAATTCAGTTAAAAATGTCCAAAAGACTTGAGCAGTAACTTTTTAACAGATGTATGAATGTTCAAATATTGCTCAAGATCAAGTCAACAGGAAAATGTAAATAAAACCACAGTGAGATATCAAAATGATATGACATTTTATTTCCTGTAGAATAGACACAATTTAAAACAACACCAAATGTTTGCGAGGATGTGGAGTAACTGGAACTCTAACCCTGGAGGATATATAAGAGGGTAAAATCACTTTGTACAATTATTTGGCAACTTCTTGTGAAGGTGAACATGTATCTGCCTAAGACACAGCAATTCCACTAATAAGTATTTGTGCAAGAGAAATGAATATTTGTCCCCAAAATTTGTCAATAAAGATGCTATAGCAGCTTTATTCATAATATACAAGTTATGGCATAGTCATACAATAGTATGTTACTCAGCAATATAAAAAACTACTAGTGCATACAACATCATAGATTTATGTATATATTTAGATTCCATTTATATGGAATTCCCAACCCAGCCTGGTAAATCTATTCTATGGTGATCAGAATCAGAACAGGTTTTACCTATGTGGGATACAGATTGACTGGATGGGGGCACAAGAACACTTTTGGGAAAGAGGGGAATAATTAATATCCTGATTTGGGTGGTCTTATTTGGGTATATATATTTCTCTAGACTCATTGAATTGCACATTCAAGATATGTGCATTTCACTGTATGTAAATTTTATCTCAATTTTAAAAAAATGGGAAAAATTGAGCACTTAAAAAATGTTTTCTTTAAAAATTTAAATTATGTTATTACCTTTAGTCAAAAATACATCAAGTCCTAAATGAATATTTTATCTTTATGCCAAACTGTCAAACTGAGAAAGTATGCTTTAAAACATTTTTTTTTAAATTTCCACAGGTTATTGGTGAACAGGTGGTGTTTGGTTACATGAGTAAGTTCCTTAGTGGTGATTTGTGAGATTTTAGGTGCACCCATCACCCGAATGGTATACACTGCACTCTATCTGTAGTCTTTTATCCCTCACCCCCTTCCCACCCTTTCCTCCTGAGTCCCCAAAGTCCACTGTGTTATTCTTATGTCTTTGCATCTTCATAGCTTAGCTTCCACTTATGAGTGAGAACAATGTTTGTTTTTCTATTCCTGAGTTACTTCACTTAGAATAATAGTGTTCAGTCTCATCCAGGTTGCTGCAAGTGCCATTAATTCATTCCTTTTTATGGCTGAGTAGTATTCCATTGTGTGTGTGTGTATATATACATATATATATATGTATATATACACACACACACACCACAGTTTCTTTGATGGGCATTTGGGTTGGTTCCATGTTTTTGCAATTGTGAATTGTGCTGCTGTAAATATGCATGTGAAAGTTTTTTTTTTTTTTTGTATAATGACTTCTTTTCTTCTGGATAGATACCCAGTAGTGGGATTGCTGGATCAAATGGTAGTTCTACTTTTAGTTTTTTAAGGAATCACCACACTGTTTTCCATAATGGTTATTATACTAGTTTACATTCCCACCAGCAGTGTAGAAGTGTTTCCTGATCACTGCATCAATGCCAACATCTACTATTTATTGATTTTGGCCATTCTTGCAGGAGCAAGGTGATATCACATTGTGGTTTTGGTTTGCATTTCCCTGATTACTACTGATGTTGAACATTTTTTCATATGCTTGTTGGCCATTTGTATATCTTCTTTTGAGAATTGTCTGTTCATGTCTATGATTTCTTTCAGCAGTGTTTTGTAGTTTTCCTTGTAGAGGTCTTTCACCTCCTTGGTTAGGTATATTCCTAAGTTTTTTTTGTTTGTTTGTGTGTTTGTTTTTTACACCTTTTTTTATAGGATTGTTGTTCTTTTGTTTTGTTTTGTTTTTTTCTTGCTGATTTGTTTGAGTTACTTATAGATTCTGGATATTAGTTCTTTGTCAGATGTACAGATTGTGAAGATTTTCTCCTGCTCTGTGGGTTGTCTGTTTACTCTGCTGATAGTTCCTTTTGCCATGCAAAAATTCTTTAGTTTAATTAAGTTCCAGCTATTTATCTTTGTTTTTATTGCATTTGCTTTTGGGTTCTTGGTCATAAAATCCTTGCCTAAGCCAATGTCTTGAAGAGTTTTTCCAATGTTATCTTCTAGAATTTTTATACTTTCAGATCTTAGATTTAAGTCCTTAATCCATCTTGAGTTGATTTTTGTATAAGGTGAGAGATGAGGATCCAATTTCATCCTCCTACATGTGGCTAGCCAATTATCCCAGCACCATTTGTTGAAAAGGGTGTGCTTTCCCCACCTTATGTTTTTGTTTGCTTTGTCAAAGATCAGTTGGCTCTAAGTATTTGGCTTTATTTCTGTGTTCTCTATTCTGTTCCATTGGTCTATATGCCTATTTTTTATACCAGTACCATGCTGTTTTGGTGACTATGGCCTTATACTATAGTTTGAAATAAGGTAATGTTATGCCTCCAGATTTATTGTTTTTGCTTGGTCTTGCTTTGGCTATGTGGGCTCTTTTTTGGTTCCATATGAATTTTAGAATTGCTTTTTTCTAGTTCTTTGAAGAATGATGGTGGTATTTTGATGGGAATTGCATTTAATTTGTAGATTTGTAGATTGCTTTTGTCAGTATGGTCATTTTCACAATAATGATTCTACCTATCCATGAGCATGGGATGTGTTTCCATCTTTTGTGTGGTCTATGATTTCTTTCAGCAGTGTCTTGTAGTTTTCCTTGTAGAGGTCTTTCACCTCCTTGGTTAGGTATATTCCTAAGTATTTTTTTTTTTGCAACTATTGTAAAAGGGGTTGAGTTCTTGATTTTATTCTCAGCTTAGTTGCTGTTGGTGTATAGAAGAGCTACCGTTTTGTGTACATTGATTTTGTATCTGGAAACTTTGCTGAATTCTTTTATCAGTTTTAGGAGCTTTCTGGAAGAGTCTTTAGGGTTTTCTAGGTAAAAAATCATACCATCAGCAAACAGCGACAGTTTTACTTCCTCTTTATCAATTTGGATGCCCTTTATTTCTTTCTCTTGTCTGATTGCTCTGGCAGGACTTCCAGTACTATGTTGAAGAGGAGTGGTGAGAAAGGGCATCCTTGTCTTGTTCCAGTTCTCAGAGGGAATGCTTTCAACTTTTCTCCATTCAGTATTATGATGGCTGTGGGTTTGTCATAGATGGCTTTTATTACATAGAGGTATGTCCCTTGTATGCTGATTTTGCTGAGAGTTTTAATCATAAACATCTCAGGTTCCCAGGCTAATTGTAGAATGCTAGTTCATTGAGTAGAGTCCAAGTTTAGTGTAAAAAGATGTGGGATATAACGTTTAGGAGAAGGCAAGAATAAAAGCAATCAAATTCAATTATAAGAAGGATTTTTTTTTTCTAACTGGTATTGAGATAAAAAAAAAACCTTTTCTCCTTTTGCTTTATTAACTTTCTAGGGTAGTCTGGGTCTGCCTCTATATTGCTGGATCATTTTTCACAAGTTCTAAATTTTTTTCAGCTGTTACAGTCTCATCTCAAAAATCAGTGCCAAAGCACTACTTATTTCAAAAGTACAATGTGATGATGAGAATAAAATAAAACCAAGACTTTTATGAAATCATGGGCTTAATTTTAAAAGGTTGTAAACTGGGATAATAATAAGTGATTCTTTACTTTTATTTAAGGAGGAATTTGAGTAATTAGCCCAGGTGAGATTTTTATATTTGTCAGGAAAAAGACTGATTTGACAGACTGTCTTGGTAACTTCAGGACTTAAAACTTCTAAAGAAAATAATGGTGTCTTATTCTCTATAAACTTTGGGATACTCTGAGAATCTTTCTAAAGGTCTGTGTTCATGTGGCCTTATGTGGAGAACAGACATGATTGTCATGATAAATATTACATGAATGAATTGATTTGAACAGTCCTAATTTTATTTTATTTTATTTTTATTTTTTTAAATTAATTTTGTTTTACTTTAAGTTCTGGGAAACATGTGCAGGAGGTGCTGGTTTGTTACACAGGTAAACGTGTGCCATGGTGGTCTGCTCACCTGTCAACCCCATCACCTAGGTATTAAGTCCCACATATATTAGCTATTTATCCTGACACTCTCTCTCCCCTGCCACCTGACAGGCCCCAGTGTGTGTTGTTCCCCTCCCTGTGTCCATATGTTCTCATTGTTCAGCTCCCACTTATAAGTGAGAACATGCGGTGTTTGGTTTTCTGTTCCTGTTTTAGTTTGCTGAGGATAATGGCTTCCAGCTCCATCCATTTTCCTGCAAAGGACATGATCTTGTTCCTTTTTATGGCAAGCAGTCCTAATTTTATAATGATCATTTTTATTATCAGTTTTTTTTTCAAATTATCTCTTTGCATGCAAAGAGATGGTAATATATTTATAGACTTTTATGTGGTACATATACACCATGGAATACTACACAGCCATAAAAAGACATATCCTTTGCAGCAACATGGATGGAACTGGAAGTCATCATCCTAAGTGAACTAACACAGGAACAGAAAACCAGACACCACATGTTCTCACTTTTAAGTGGAAGCTAAACATTGAGTACACATGGACATAAAGAAGGGAACAACAGACACCTGGGCCTACTTGAGGGTAGAGGGTGTGAGGAGGGTGAGGACTGGAAAACGACCTATTGGGTACTGTGCTTATTACCTGGGTGATGAAATAATCTGTACACCAAACCCCCATGAGGCACAATTTACCTATATAACAAACCTGCACATGTAGCCCTGAAGCTAAAATAAAAGTTAAAAAAAAGTATAGAATTTTTAAAAAGGGAAGATTCCTCAAGTATTATTGATTCAAATTCTCCAGTTTCACATTTGACTCAGGGAGGTGAAGTTACTTGCTCAGGATTACACGGTTTAGGGGTTACAGAAAAATGTAAACAATTACTTAGCCATATATTTTTTTAAATGTATGCAACTGAAAAGTGATGGTGACTTCACTGACTCACCAGAACAATTCTGACTTCATAAACTGTAATGTCCTTTCTTGCTCTAAGGTTATAAATTTGAAAGCTATAAAGGGAAAAGTATTTGAATACGATATTTGTGTTTCTATCTGTATTTTGGAAAGGACATATCAGCAGTGAGTTGAAGAAAGGGTACTTCTGCACTGAGGGTCTTGGAAGATGGCCTGAGGAAAGACAAAGAACAAGAAAAAGAGTTAGAATGAGGATTGCAAAGCATTGCTCACTAGAGATAAGAATTGTTTTAAGCATGTGGGTTTTCATAACTAAACTCCATGGTAGATTTTCTTCTGAATGCAGTGACAATGGTCTCTTTGTGCTTGCATATTTGCATATGAGAAGTTTGTGATATGACATAATTTTTTTTATCCAAGAATGGTAAATGAGAATGTGAAAATCACCTATATTTTCTTGCTTACAGGTGTCTGTGGAGATCATGCAATTAATACTACCTTCACAGTTTTGTATAGTTATGACAAAAAGTCTCTAAAAATAGAACAGCAAACATTGGCTCCTTTACTGGTCATGGATCCGGGTGTAATGGATGTTAAGAAAGGGTGTTACAATGGATCAACTCGGGATAAGAAATACTAAGAGTAAAGCATGTTTTGAATTCAAGATGAAAAGTAGAGAAGAAAACTTCACTATAGAATCATAGAATGTTACAGTTTTAAATAACTTTAAAGATAATCTTGGCAGGGTGAGGTGGCTCACACCTGTAATCCCAGCACTTTGGGAGGCTGAGGCAGGCAGATCTCTTGAGGTCAGGAGTTTGAGACCAGCCTGGCCAACATGGTGAAACCCTGTCTCTACTAAAAATACAAAAGTTAGCCAGGCGTGGTGGCAGGTGCCTATAATCCCAGCTACTAGGGAGGCTGAGGCAGGAGAATCACTTGAACCCTGAGGCGGAGGTTGCAGTGTGCCGAGATCATGCCACTGCACTCCAGCCTGGGTGACAGAGACAGACTGTGTCTCAAAAAAAAAATATTAATTCCTCATTCTAAAGATGAGAAAACTCAGGCACAGAGAAAAGAAATGACTTGCCCAAAGTCATATAATGGCAGATCATAGATGAAAAGCCAGGTCTTTTGACTTGTATCCAGATTTCCTCTTGATAATTTCACACTTGGTGCACATTCCACAGCCATCATCAGGCATTGTTTTTATGCCAGGTACTGTGTCATGCACTAGGGATATCCTGCTTTCTACAGGTACTTAGAGAAGTCATATTGACAATTACAACAGCAGGTAAATGGGTATAAAAATAAGCAGAATATTAAGGCAGTGCATATTCAACTCAGCCAAGAGAGTTTGGGAAATTTCTCAGAAGTATTGACATACAGGATGAGTCTTCATGTTAAACAGGTGAGAGATGAGAAAGAGAAAGAAGAGCATTTTAGAAAAAGGAAACAGCATGGCCATGGGCGGGCAAAACTCCACTCTCTCTCTCAGATTTACTGTCATTTTGCTTTCCAACATTAACCTCATTTCATTATTCTTCTTGGTTCCATGCATAGACACTCATAATCACCTCATAGATGCTTTGCTTTGAAGTGCTTTTGGGCATCACTGAGTGATACTGAACACTTTTTTTCCACTTGGATGTGTTTTATTACTTGCTTTCTGGCTCCAAGCACCTGCTGCCAATCCCAGCATTGGGCTCAAGTGATCTGCCCATCTCGGCCTCCCAAAGTGCTGGGATTACAGGCGTGAGCCACCACACCTGGCCTGAAGTTTTTTTTTTAATGAGTAAATGCAAGCTAAGAATTTGTCTTTGAGAGACACCAAACCTACAAAGCTGTTTGGAATCTTCTTCATGTATGTAGGTTCTTAGAATTGCTTCCCGAACTTGTAAGTAAAGACACAGGATGATTGATCGCTACCAGGGTAATTAATTTTTTTTTCCAAGATGAACTTGGGTATTGACTCAGGTTGTTTTTTTTTTTTTTTTTTTTTTTTTTTTTTAGACAGACTCTTGCTCTGTCACCCAGGCTGGAGTGCAGTGATGCGATCTCGGCTCACTGCAACCTCTGCCTGCTGGGTTCAATTCTCCTGCCTCAGCCACCCGAGTAGCTGGGATTACAGGGGTGCACCACCACACCTGGCTAATTTTTGTATTTTTAAGTAGAGACAGTGTTTCACCATGTTGGCCAGGCTGTTCTCGAACTCCTGACCTCAGGTGATCTGTCCGCCTCAGCCTCTCAAATTGTTGGGATTACAGGCGTGAGCCACTGTGCCCAGCCTTGACTGAGGTTCTTATTGCTTAGTGTAATATCTCTACTTCTTTGTTCTATCTATATGCTTTTAAATTTTTGAGTCTTTATTTAGAAAAGTTTAGTGCATGTTTTATAGAAATCATTTTCATTTGGAAGAGTAGTTTTAAGAATAAAATACCAGGCTTCTGTAGTTTCCTGATGTAATTTTTATTACGTTGTTAATGGTAAAAGAACAAGGACAACTGAAGTCTTTCTAATGATGATAATAAAACAGTTTTCCTTTACAGACAATTTTTTTTTTTTTTTTTTTTTGAGACGGAGTCTCCCTCTGTTGCCCAGACTGGAGTGCAGTGGTGCGATCTCGGCTCACTGCAAGCTCCGCCTCCCGGGTTCACGCCGTTCTCCCGCCTCAGCCTCCCGAGTAGCTGGGACTACAGGCGCCCGCCAACGCGCCCGGCTAATTTTTTGTATTTTTAGTAGAAACGGGGGTTTCACCATGTTAGCCAGGATGGTCTCGATCTCCTGACCTCGTGATCCGCCCGCCTCGGCCTCCCAAAGTGCTAGGATTACAGGCGTGAGCCACCGTGCCCAGCCACAGACAAATTTTAAAGGTGAACCATTTATCTTGGATAATTTTTAGTTCTATGGGCACCCGCATCGCTGAAAACAAAGCTAAAAAAAAAAAATCCCATAGGCACAAAGCCAACTTTGAAAGTGAGAACCTACTGAGCTTCAACCAAACCCACTGACAGTGCACCACAGGTGGACACCACATGGAAGGATGAAAAAATGTGATTGTGAAGGTCATGTTGACAGTTCCATGTCCATAATCTATTCTTCTTAAATTTGATCTGTGCATCTGGTATATATTTATGCATGTATTTGTGCTATAGGAGCTTAGAGTTCTTTAAGTAGGTCAGGGTTATCTGTGCTATGAAACCTCCTGCTGGGAAGAGATGGTGAGGTGGTGTGAGTGCGCTGGCAAATGCTAGTGGCCTTGGATTACACAGGGCCCTATTAGAGGAGGTTTTGAGGTTGTTTGGGGATCTCTGCATCTGAGAAGAGGATTAGTAGGAACTATACTTCAAAGAGGACCAGGAATGTACCATTTCCTATAACCTGTAAGAGCCAAGGAAAATTCTGCTGCTGCAGATTCAGTTCAGGACAAGAGTTGAAAATCACAGTTAGTACCAAGCCAATGATCCTCTGCTACTATTGCTTATAATATGCTGAGAATAAATAATTTGATAATGGAAGATTAGGAGACACATAAAATGGATACCTACATGGCTTATAGTGTAGATGAAGGTCTGTTTAAGGGCACATGATCACCTTTTTGAGCACATTTCAGGTTGGTGTCTTAGTCTGTTTAAATTACTTTTCAACAAATGTAACATCTTATTGACTTCTCAAAGCATGATTAACATAGATATCTATCCAAGTTATCATCTTTATGAATGGTGAAATAGCCCCTTAGGGAGAGCTACTATGTTTCTTATATTTTCTAGTAGAAAGTATGGTTTAGAGTCTTATGTCAGGAGGTATGGCTTGGTCTTAGCAAGTGTGACCCACAGCAAGAGTTCATAGTGGTTCTTCCACTCAGATTGGACCACTGTCTGAATGTCAAGAAGTAGCTGATTGGATTGTTTCAACAGCTTCAACAGTCCTTTCTTTATGTTGAGTCCTTTCACCATCCTGCTGACATCATCTGGTTACATTGATGGGAGTCTGCTTTGTGTTAAAATATATCACATGTAGTTTTTCTTAATTTCTTTCTTTCTTCTTCCTTCCTTCTTTCCTTCCTTCCTTCTTTTCTTCCTTCATTCCTTTCTTCATTCCTTTGTTCCTTCCTTCTTTCCCTCTGATAAACTTTCTAAAGTTGTAATTTTGTGGTTTTTCTTAACGCCATTTGTTACTCACCTAGATCTGCCATTTGGTAAACGTTCAATATTGGGCCACTTACTAACCATTTTGTGCCTCAGTTTTGTCATCTAAAACATGGGAAAAATAAATGCCTTGTAATGTTGTTCTGAGTATTAAATGAGCTAATACAGGTAAAACTTTTAGAACAGTACCTAACATACAGCAAGTGCTGAATAGGTGTTAGCTCTCATTTCTCGTCATATTGAACAGAGATGAGCAATTGAAAATCTGTGCTGGAATTTTGTGTCAACAAATTTATTATTCTTCTTCTACCATTTCACCAGTGTTTTGGTTTTACTACCTTTGAACACACAGGCTCAAGAGCAGATATAATCTCAAGCCATTAAAAGCATTTATTAGACATCCGTTATCCATATTATATAACCAAGGGGTTCTAAACTGTGGCCTGGTTTAGAAGTGGGGTGGTGAGTATGACCTCCCAGTAGGTGTGTTTCCCTGGCTGTACACACGCATGGGGGCACTCAGGGCTATTTCCAGATAAAATTTACATCTATGTGCCTAATGGTCCCAGGTGGACATATAGAGATGAATGTGTTGAATGAGTCTCCTGGTTTCTGGAGCTTGAAAGCTCCCTGTTAGAAGGGACTGATGATTCTTTCCATCCCACCTTATGGAATGTGAGCCTTACCCAGACCTAAATGAATGTCAGTGCTCTGTGAGCACCACCATTATCAAGCTGTGGAGTGACGTTGGCAGTGGAGGGCATGCACCTGACATAGAGAAATTTACACCCTTGGCGTAATCCTGGAGGTAACGGCGCTTCCAGAGTCACATAGTCCCTAAAGTGACACTAGAGGGCGCAGTATGGACATAGCTGTGAATTGCGCTCTGGACTTGTGAGTGACTTAGCCAATCCAAGGCTGGGCTCGATAGCTCTTTGAGGAGGTGAGGGAACTGAAGAAAAGCAAGAGGGACTGGGGAATCTAGAAAGGAGCATTCTTTGAGAGAAATAATAGTGATGATAGCTACCATTTATTGAGCACTTATTAAAGGTATGATTTAAATACATTGTCTCATTTGATCTTCACAATTATTCAGTGCAGGGCTATACTGTCTTCATAAAACAGAGGAGAACGCCTGGGGCGATGGCTCACACCTGTAATCCCAGCACTTTGGGAGGCCGAAGGGGGCGGATCATGAGGTCAGGAGTTCAAGACCAGCCTGGCCAACATAGTGAAACCCAGTCTTTACTAAAAATACAATAAAAATTAGCCGGGTGTGGTGGCAGGCGCCGATAGTCTCAGCTGTTTGGGAGGCTGATGCAGGACAATTGCTTGAACCCGGGAGGTGGAGGTTGCAGTGAGCCGAGATCGCACCACTGCACTCCAGCCTGGGTGATAGAGTGAGACTCCTTCTCAAAACAACAACAACTAAACAAAAACAAAAAACTGAGGAGGAAATGGAGGCTTAGAGGAACTCACCCAAGGTCACACAGCCTTTAAGTGGAGGAACTGGTGTTTAATCCAGAGCTATCTGAATTCAAAGACTATCTGTATTCTTAAATCTTAACCCTAATATTCTCAGTGAGGAAGGACTGAGGTTATATCTGAAAAAGAGCAACAAATAACAGCTTCAGGGCTGCTGAGGTGGGTTTCAAAAGTCACACAACTCTGAAGTATATTTCAGACCTCCTGTTCTTGGTGATTTGAGCAAAAGGTTTATTGCAAATTATTATCCGGAAACTATGTTTGTAGACTGAGAAATGGGTTTCTGTGAAACAGCATTCATCCAGAAAAGAAGTTTTTTTTCTGCAAGAAAGCAGTTAAAACAAAAACCTGGGGGAATTTGACTCTGATTTTTTTATCACTGAGTTTTCATAGATTCTGGTAGCATTGGATGTGCATATGTTGGTGAATACAGTTCCAGACTTGCGATAATAGAAGTTGTATCATACATGTTCACCCAAGAGCCATTGCTTGACAGAGGCATCTCCAGGTCTGAGATCTCAGGGGAGAGGCCTTCACCCATGGCTGTGAGAGTTGCCATGGTTGAGAACACCAGAATTCTCTCATTGTGTTGCTTGCCTGCCATGAAGCCTCTGGAAGGATATGGTGGCTGAAATAAGGCATGAGGCACAGATACAGATTTCCTGACTCAACTTCTGGTGCAGATAACATTGTTATACTACACATATTTATAATGCCCTTTTGGGTAAGTTTTCATAGAGATCATTTTCATTTTTTACCGATGCCATTAAGCTCAGTTAAGACTATTGGCAACCTTTCTCATCCTCCTCTCCCTCAATATTCAGTAACAATGGTAAGCTACAACAACCTAAAATATTAAGTAAGACTCTACAAATGACATAAACAGAATCTTCACAAAGCAAAAATAAAATTTGTTTTCTTAACAGATGGGCAGTGATTAAAAAGATGAATAACATTCAATGCCAGTAAAGGTATGGGGAAATGGGCACTAGAATTGTAAAATCAACACCTTTTGGAAGAGTGCTTTTGTATTATCTATTAAAATTAAAATACTAATTTCCTGTATCTCAGTTATTCCACTTCCAGAAATTAACCTTTTATGTCTTCCTTTACTTGTTCCTGATTTTAACGGAATACTTTTATGTTTCACCATTAAATAACTTTTGTTGAAGTTTCCTTTTCTTCTTCTTCTTTTTTTTTAGGTACTCATCATCTCTTTAAGGAAATATCTTTCCTTTATTAGTTTTTATTATGAATCAGATTTGAAATTTATTGATGCTTTTCCTCTTTCTATTGAGATGGTCACTTCTTTTTCCTCCTTAAATTTGTTAAAGTAATTCATTTTATTGATAGAATTTCTAGTGAAAATCATTCTAGCAGTTCTGGGGTACACAAGATTTGGTATGGCATATTATTTTTATTAATTTCTGGATTTAGCTTGTTTAATATTTGATTCAGCATTTTGCATCAGTGTTCATGTCTGAGATTAGCTTTCAATGTTCCTTACTTACACTGTCTTTTAGTTTTGGTATCAAAATGAGATGAAAATTTTTGTCCTTTTATATTTTCTCAAAGAGTGTGTATAAAATTTGAATAATCTGTTTCTTGAATGTTTTGGTAGAATTTACCTGTAAAATTATCTGATCTCAGTGATGTTATTTTTCCCTCATGATAATTTTTTACTTATTGTTTTGCTCAATTTCTTTAATGTTATAGAACTATTTAAATTTTCTTTTTACATAAGGCAATTTTTGTATAGTTTTTAAAAATAAAATTGTCCATTTTTTCCAAATGATAGGCTTTTCTTGGTATTCCCTCTTTAATTTCTATTGTATGTGTAGTAATGTCATCCACTTCTCATTCTTAATGTTGTATATTTGTGGTCCTCTCTCTTTATCTCTCTTTTATCTTTTTCAGTATTACCAAATACATTTCAGGGATGCCCCTAATATTTGTGGGGCAAAAGTATGAATGGAAGTTCATGTAGTGTATTATTTCTAAATACTTAAAAATTATAAGCCAAACTCATAAAAGCTTAAGTAAAATCTATTGTTTCCTTCTACTTTGACAAATATACCTTTATAATGACTGGGAAAGCATATTTGAATTTTAAATCCTTGGAATCCTTGAAGTTCCATTCAGGAAAGTGGAAGCACAGGGACATCTGGCCCCTGGCCCATAGCCTATTCTTGTTCTCCTTCTTCTCTTCCAATCCCAACTCTGTTCCACACCATGATAGGCATCACACCATGTCGGTGAACTTACTAACCTGTGCTTCAAACTCCATTCTCACTCTGCAAATATATCCTTCTTGACTATTTCTCAGGAGGGCCAAGCCTTGGGTCCATTGGTTGGGAATCCCAGGGAACTGAGTTGTGGCCTACTTTAGAAGGGGGCTGGTGAGTGTGAGCTTGTAGTTTATTTAATCTCTGTTCTGTCACTAATCTGTAAACTCTGTAAGGGTAGGGACTTTGTTGCTTTCTTTACTATTCTATCCCAAGTACGTTGTACAGTGCAGGGATTGGGGAGATGCAAAGATAGAGCTGTTTAGTAAATGAATGAATGAATGAATAAGCAAGAATGACTCTTAGGTTTCTAGCTGGAGACTCTGGTAAATGCTGTGCCATTCACTACACACAAAATATAGGATGATTGTAGCCTTATGAGGGATGGAGATTTGAATATCTTAAGTTTGAAGAGTGTGTGCTTATGCGGGTGCAATTTCTGGCAGGCATTGCACAAAGGGAACTGAAACTTATGAGAAAGATCTAAACTGAAGACATTGCTCTAACACATACTGGTATGTAGGTGTAGCTAAAGCTTTGAGAGTAAGGAACAGCAGATGTGATGAGAGAGAGAGAGAGAGAGAGAGAGAGAGAGAGACAGAGAGTGCCTGGACAGGAACCTTGGGGATAATCAACATTTAAAAGACAGACAAAGAGGAGCCTTGAAGAAAACTTTGAAGGTGCTTCCTGAGAGGTAGAGGAAAAGTGATACTACCAAGACAGAAGACAGCAAGGGAGTCAAAAACTGCCAAAAAGTCTATTGAGATGTGAACAAAAAGTGTTCATTAGATTTGTCAACTCACATCTTGGCAAAACCAATTTTAATTATTTGAGCAAAAGCCAGATTTTCCTGAGTTGAGGAGAAAGGTAGGGAGAGGAAATGGTGAGTGTAGATGGCATTTTTCTGGACACTCCTCTGTGAAATTACAGGGACTGTGAATGTGGTACTATGAGGATATATATGTTGAAGGCAGAGTACTTGTTGAAGATTTTACAGCTAAATTACGCATCAACTACCCCTGCTAAAGGGAGATTATGAAGTGATGTTGAGTACTACTTCCAGCGTAAGACTTCGTGGTTTACAAAGAAGAGTTTGGGAATGATTCTGAGGAGAATCACACAGATGGTGATATGATCATAAAATAAGACCTTGGAGATATTAAGTAGGATGACTACCTTCAGCTATGAGGGATACAGCTTCTCAGAAGACAGTGACTATAATATGCTTGATCTCCCGAAAGGGGACAACATGGAAAAGGACCTCAGTTGTACCAGGAGGAATTTAATTTAGAAAGCAGGATTTCCTGACATTGTGATTGAATGTTTAAACAGGTTACAAAAATTGTTATGAAATCTCAGAGGTCTCAAAAATATAACATTAACAGTTTTGAAATAAGACCTTGAAGAACAAATGTTGATGATTTCGATTAATCCTTTTTGAGCCAGAATAGCTGGTCAATGGCTCTGGTAGCTAAGGGACTGGCAATGCAACTCCGTACAGCTGCACAGTCAGTCTCTTGCCAACTACATTGAGCTAATTTGACACAAAGTGGTTGTTTGTAAGCCCTAGAGAGCCTTTCCACATCTCAAACCCTGGAGCTGCTCAAAATACTTCCTGTGGGCTTCAAGTTTAGACCTAAATAAACTTGAAAAATCCATCTGGTGTGGGCTGATTCTAGAATTCTGGAATGTAAGATAATTTGGACAAAGACAGAAGCCAAGTGGAACTCTCAGAGCACTGTATGTCCTTGTAAAGGTTGGAGGCCTAAAATCCTATTTATTTTTCTCTTAAATTGAACTGAAGGGATGAATAGCTCATTGTGGATGGTTTATATACTGTTAGCCATCTTGCAGCATTGAGAACCTCTGCTTACTCTTACCTCCAATTGTATTTTTTTGGTGGAAAAAGAATATAAATCAACCATGCTATTTTCATTCAAACACCCATTTATTCTCTTAAAAATGTATCCTTGTGTTAGAAACATTTTGTTACTTTTTTAAATGAACGAGTTTATGAAATGTCTTTACAAGGTCATTTGTATCATATTTAAAGCTTTCATTGGTATTATAATTCTTGCATCTATAAAGATCTGGGTGAAAATGTAGATATTATTAAACTTAAATACCTGTAAAAACAGAAACAGAGAGAGGGAATTTTAGTTAATATAGGCTTTGGTTTCATGATGGTCCCTAAGTTTAAAATTGTGGTAAGTTTAGAAGGGTGTTGATTTTTCCTTTACCTAATATAAACTGTTATTTAATCAGTAATAAACAGGATAAGTAGCTATTTCCATGGCTAATTTTGTTTATATGTTTATCTTTGTATATGTTTTCTATTACATCTCCCATTTTAGATTGACTACGTGTTTAAATTCGTTACCTTAGGACTTGTTAGTGACAATACACCAGTCATAGGGTAGAGATATTGGTTGCTGCTGAATTTAATAATGAGTTATTATTCTAGGTTCATTAATTCATGGCATATTCACTCAACTCATTCATTCTATCACTTATTTATTTACATGGCCACTCTGTGCCACAAATCATGTTAAGGACTGTGGATAAGTAAAAAATGTCCCCTGTTGATATAGTTTGGATATTTGCCCCCACCCAAATCTCATGTTGAATTGTAATCCCCAATGCTGGAGTTGGGGCCTGGTGGGAGGTGTTTGGATCATGGGGGCAGATCCCTCATGGCTTGCTGCTGTCTTTGGAATAGGGAGTTCTTATAAGATCTGCTCATTTAAAAGTGTGTGGCACCCCCACCCCAATCTCTCTCTTGCTTGTTCCTGTTCTCGCTATGTGCCTGCTTCCCCTTTGTCTTCCGCCATAATTGTAAGCTTCCTGCGACCTCCCTAGAAGCTGAGCAGATGCTAGCACCATGCTTCCTCTAAAGCCTGCAGAACCGTGAGCCAACTAAACCTCTTTTCTTTATAAATTACTCAGTCTCAGGAATTTTTTGTAGCAATGCAAGAACAGCCTAATATACCTGCATCCCAGAAGCTTGCAATTGGTGAAAGGGGAATAGGTGTATGAAAAAAATGAGGGCAATTATATGAGTTAGAACTCCTTGAATTGCATGTGACTGAGACCCAACTTCAACTAGTTTAAGAAAAATAGGGAATTTATTGGCTCATAGAATCCAGTGAAGTTCTGAACAAAGCAAGCATTAAAAGAGAGGGATGCAGCCAAGCTTTATGGACACCCAGCAACAGTAATTTCCCTTAGGCCTAACTTTCTTTCTTTTACCTCTGTATTTCTCCGAGAATGAGACCTTTTTTTGTCCCTCACTACAGATAGGATTTATTGTCTGTGGTGGTGAACTCACTACTGCAAAGCATTGACTACCAAGCCTATGCTTTCCACAAGGGAGAGGAACCAACTCATGTTAGAAGCTTTGGTTTAAAAAATTCTTTTCTTTAAAATTATTTTTTAAGGGCTAGGATACAGGTGAAGGTTTGTTGCATAGGTATACATGTGCTGTGGTGGTTTGCTGCACCCATCAATCCGTCATCTAGGTTTTAAGCCCTGCATACAGTAGGTATTTGTCCTAATGCTCTCCCTCTTCTTGCCCCCCACCCCGCGACAGGCCCCGATGGGTGATGTTCCCCTCCCTGTGCCCATGTGTTCTCGTTGTTCAACTCCCACTTAGGAGTGAGAACATGTGGTGTTTGGTTTTCTGTTCCTGTGTCAGTTTGCTGAGAATGATGGTTTCCAGCTTCATCCATGTCCTTGCAAAGAACATGAACTCATTCTTTTTTATGGCTGCATAGTATTTCGTGGTGTATATATGCCACATTATCTTTATCCAGTCTATTATTGATGTGCATTTGGGTTGCTTCCGAGTCTTTGCTATTGTGAATAGTGCTGCAGTAAACATACGTGTGCATGTGTCTTTATAGTAAAATGGTATATAATCCTTTGGGTATATACCCAGGATTGCTGGGTCAAATGGTATTTCTAGTTCTAGATCCTTGAGGAATCGCCACACTGTCTTCCACAATGATTGAACTAATTTACACTCCCACCAACAGTGTAAAAGCGTTCCTATTTCTTCACAGCATCACTAGCATCTGTTGTTTCCTGACTTTTTAATGATCGCCATTCTAACTGGTGTGAGATGGTATCCCAATTTGGTTTTGATTTGCATTTCCCTAATGACCAGTGATGATGAGCTTTTTCTCATATGTTGTTGGCCACATAAATGTCTTCTTTTGAGAAGTGTCTGTTCATATCCTTCACTCACTTTTTGATGGGCTTATTTTTTTTTCTTGTAAATTTGTTTGAGTTCCTTGTAGATTCTGGATATTAGCCCTTTGTCAGATGAGTAGATTGCAAAAATTTTCTCCCATTCTGTAGGTTGCCTGTTCACTCCGATGATAGTTTTATTTGCTGTGCAGAAGCTCTTTAGTTTAATTAGATCTCATTTGTTAATTTTGGCTTTTGTTGCAATTGCTTTTGTTTTTTTAGTCTTGAAGTCTTTGCCCATGCTTATGTCCTGAATGGTATTGCCTAGGTTTTCTTTTAGGGTTTTTATGGTTTTAGGTTTTACACTTAAGTATTTAATTCAACTTGAGTTAATTTTTGTATAAGGTATAAAAAAGGGGCCCAGTTTCAGTTTTCTGCATATGGCTAGCAAGTTTTCCCAGCACCATTTATTAAATAGGGAATCCTTTCCCCATTGCTTGTTTTTGTCAGGTTTGTCGAAGATCAGATGGTTGTAGATGTGTGGTATTATTTCTGAGGCCTCGGTTCTGTTCCATTGGTCTATATATCTGTTTTGGTACCAGTATCATGCTGGTTTGGTTTTTGCATTGCCAGTCCCTTAGCTACCAGAGCCATTGATCAACTATTCTCTCAAAAAGGATTAATCAAAATAATCAGCATTTGCTATTCAAGGTCTTATTTCAAAACTGTTAATGTTATATTTTTGAGACCTCTAAGAAGAGATTTCATAACAATTTTTGTAACCTGTTTGAACCTTCAATCACAATGTCAGGAAATCTTGCTTTCTAAATTAAATTCCTCCTGGTACAACTGAAGTCCTTTTCCATGTTGTCTCCTTTGGGGAGATCAAGCATATTATAGTCACTCTCTTCTGAGAGAGTATAGCCTTGTATAGTTTGAAGTCAGGTAGTGTGATGCCTCCAGCTTTATTCTTTTTGCTTAGGATTGTCTTGGCTATATGGGCTCTTTTTGCCTCCATATGAAATTTAAAGTAGTTTTTTCTAGTTCTGTGAAGAAAGTCAATAGTAGCTTGATGGGAATAGCATTGAATCTATAAATTACTTTGGGCAGTATGGGCATTTTTACAATATTGATTCTTCCTATCCATGAGCATGGAATGTTTTCCATTTGTTTGTGTCCTCTTTTATTTCCTTGAGCAGTGGTTTGTAGTTCTCCTTGAAGAGGTCCTTCACTTCCCTTGTAAGTTGTATTCCTACGCATTTTATTCTCTTTGTAGCAATTGTGAATGGGAGTTCACTTATGATTTGGCTCTCTGTTTGTCTATTACTGGTGTATAGGAGTGCTTATGATTTTCGCACATTGATTTTGTATCCTGAGACTTTGCTGAAGTTGCTTATCAGCTTAAGAAGATTTTGGGCTGAGACAATGGGGTTTTCTAAATATACAATCATGTCGTCTGCAAACAGAGACAATTTGACTTCCTCTCTTCCTATTTGAATACCCTTTATTTCTTTCTCTTGCCTGATTGCCCTGGCCAGAAGTCCCAATACTATGTTGAAGTCTGGCATTTTGAAAGCAGGCTTATGCATGTGTATGTAAAAGAAATGTGTATGAAATTCTAAGTTATAAATTACATTTGCCAATGTACTTTGTAATGTTGGCCTGTACCATTAAAGATGTTAGAATTTTGCCTTGACACTAGAGTCTGATCTTTAGGAGGAGGAAGGACTTAAGGAATGTACCAGAAGGTTGGGAGAGGCAAGAGCTAGATCAAGAGGGGGATTTGAAAAGTAGGGGTGAAGATAAAGATCCAGTTTTAACTTGGAAGTGGAAACTACTTCCAGGAAGAATGATTCTAGGAAAGAAAAACTTGTTCTATATGGGGGTAGAAATTTTGAGTGGTGACAATAAGGCTTGGAGTCCTTCCAAACATATGAATTAGTTTCAGAATTATATTATTTGAATCAATTGAACTTGAGAATTGGAATTGGTAGACATATTAAATCATTGCATTTTTATTAAGCTTTTTGACTTGAGGTTTCCAAATATTAGCAACTGCTTAATTAATTGGGCAGTAATCATGATGACGGGAGCTGTCTTTTATGTCTTTCAATGTGTCTGGCTCAGTGTTGAACATATAGAAACATGACTTACTGATTTCTAATAATTTGACAAGTACATTATATAGTATTTAGTAGATATGTACTTAGGTAAAATACATTTAAATTGACTAATTTCTCCACTGGAAAACTAAATTTATGTAATCAGGATTTTCTCTAAATAGTGGGCTGATTCCTTACCTTTATGGTCAGTGCAGTGGACCAAGACCAATAACATGGTGTATGATAAGATATTTGCTTTTGGGTGGGGAAGATTTGCTTAAAGCGGAGAAGGTTTCAGGATGACAAAACAAATTTTCCCGCAAGTTTGGTATCAAGCTTTTGTTTTGTTATACTTGATTATCTACTTTGGCTGAATAATCCAAACATACATTCCAATCCAATTTAGTCCCTGCTTAGAGTGGCTCTTCTTATTTGTCCAAGAGTTTCAGAACTATTTTTTTTCTACTTCTTCTGAGCATTCAGCCTTTATGTATTTCAAGGACAACAGACTCCAGAGATTTGGGTTTTATTCATGACTTCTTCAAGAAGTGGGCCATGCTATTTCAGTCATTTTTAATTGGGGGGCAAGTTGGATGCTGAATATTTCAAAGGAGAAAATAAAATAACCTAGTAGATATGTTTCCTGGCATAGATGATAGAAAAGTCACTTAGACTCCTGTATGCCATAGTTTAATCAAAATGTATCCAGTTCACTGTCTGTCCTTCCATTAATATCACAACTTAATGTACAAGTCTTTAGCATATCCTATACTTTGCCTAAAAGAAAAATGTATTTAACATCTCAGTGAATATACTTATTTAATGCAGCTCATAGATTCATATGTTTGACAAAGATAGTGAGAAATTTTAGGTAAAAATGATTTTCACAAAAGAGAATTGCATTATATGTTAAATTTATAAAACTATTTCCAAGAATCATGGAATCATAAAAGTGAGACAACAAACTCAATTCTTTTGCGTAAATTCTTTTGGCATTTGTTTAATGATTTTCTCAATCCTCCTGTTAGTTATATGAATCACAGGATTCCCAATGATTTGATAAATGTGAGTATGAAGTTTAACATACTTAGACTGGAAAAAGCTATCCAACAAGTGAGTCACAAGTGAGAAATACCCAACACAAATGTGTTATTTCACCTAAATTCTGATTAATAAAAAAATAAATGTGTGTTTAATGTTTTTTTTTCTCAATTATTTTAAGAATCCATAACACACCAATCGAACTTTAAAGTTGAACAGAAAGTTCCTGGAAATGACCTGGTCTAAGCTCTTAGCTGTCAGATGAGAAACACAGGCCTGGAGAGTTGGCCTGATGCATGCTTATTTATCTATGCAAGGACCTCAGCCAATGAGGTCCCAGATGGGCCCTGTGACCACCTACCATGAGAACTTGTAACCATTACCATAACCATCACCATTTGTACACTTGCATACTAGCCAGACAGTATACTAGTGTTTTATTTAATTCCTTCAATAATTCAGTGAGGTGCTTAACGTTAACATCCCTGTTTAACAGGAAAAAAAAAGAGGGGTAAAGTCACTTATTCAACTAGTCTTAAAGGAACTTTGAACCCAGTTTTTCCTGACTTCAAAACCCAAACTCTTTTCAACTATTCTGCCATTAAATAATGGTACTGTGGTGGGCTTATTGCCAAGTATGGAGGGTTTAGAGCAAGTGCATGACAATACCAAAGCAGAGTTCTTTTAGAATAATCAAATGCTGCTAACTGGGTGTGTGATTCTGAGGGAGACAGCCTATTTTCATGTCTGATAGAGTTCCTTTGAATGGAGAATATGGAAGATCCTGTACTTTATTAGGTGGCCCTCTCTACTTTAATTATCCTGATGCCTGTCCTCTGAGTCTTTCTCATTCTCCTCTCTTGTCTTAATCCTGATTTAAAAGGAGGATAAGAAACATAAGCAGATGAATAAAAATAGCAGCCCAGGAAGCTTTGCATTGATTCATTCTACAAATAGTTGTTAAATAAATACATGTGCCAGACACTATTCCTGATCTTTTAAAACTTGTGTTCTTGTGTGTGTGTGTGTGTGTGTATGTGTATGTGTGTGTGATGCACATAAATAAACTATTTGATCATCAATAACTTTTCACAGTAGTATCTTCTCACACTAGTGAACATTTTTGGGGTAGTTTTGGTACAGGCATTTAGGTTGATTTTTTTTTCCTTACAAAGTTCCTGGTAAGTTTGGAGGCTGGGAGTTTGATTATAGAAGGTATTATTAGTGCCTGTCTCTTAATTGATCAGAGGTTTTGCTATACTAAAATGACCGTTCTTAAAAAAGTGTTTCCGAAGATCTCTCAAGCTTTATAAACCTTCATTTTTGTACATGTTGTAACTGTTTGCTGAAAAATTCATTCTGTAGGTGGCTGAAACCTCCAGGGGGCTATGCACTGGGTGAGAGAAGTGAAATAGGATGTGGTAGGAGAGTAAATGGCAAAACAAGGGAGAGGAAAAAACATCCTAGTTTTCTTCTGCCTGGAAATAAACATGCAGGAAGCTTTAATATCAGTAGCAGCTGTAGATTTTTTTTAAGTTAAAAGTTTTGGAGATAGTTGGAAAAACAAAAACAAAAACAAACCACATCTGGAAACATTTCAAGCAAAGGCAATGTAAAAAATGTGTTGGATGATATATTAGGAGAAGAGCTGGTTGCAAGTAACACTAAAATTTAAAATGAGATCACTTATTTCTCTCTTATTTTATGCCTGGAGGAAAGAAATACAATGTAAGTGATCAAGGCTTTGTGGAGCAAAGCCTCAAGGATCTAGGTGCCTCATTGCTTGGAGTTTTACTACATAAGGCCTCTATTTTTAAGATAACGTCAAGGTCCAAGAAGGCTGCTTCAGCTCTAGCCATCACATCACTTTCCAGGTGGCAGGAAGAAGAAAGATGATGAGCCTACTCTCTCCCTTTAAGGTTATTTGGCATAGGTTGCATGTATTACTTCAATGTGCATCCAGAATTTAGACAAATAGTCACAACTAGGTGCAAAATGGCTAGGAAATAAGAGTATTTCAAATACCCAACTAAAGTTCAGGGATTCTATTACTATAGAAAATGAAAAAATAATTAGTGACAACTATTACAGTTTCTGCCACGGATAACTTTCACTTTTCTCTCTGTCCCAAGTCTTACAAGTCTATAATTTTAAATCCAGTCTGAGCATGTTTTCAATGAAACCTATTCTTTCCAATTTGTTTCTGAGTAGCAAAAACACTTTCTAATGCCCTGAGACACATTGCAGGTGAAGAATGGAATTAGGAAAAAAAGGAATGGCAAATGGATTTTCAACTTGCTCTGGGCATCACTAAAATTCCACAGAAACAGTAGCATCATTTCAGCATGACCAGTTCCCCTCATTCACAATGACTTTAATGTTGCAAAACAATTCAGATTCCTCAGGCACCTGGCAGCTGCGTGCCTGACTCAGTCTTTCAAATTGAGACACAGTTGGGACCTCAACTCCTGCTGCCTGACCTGCAGAGCATTTTCCTCTCCGTAGTTTTAGGAGGTGTCATCAGCCCAGTAGGGGAAACTCTTGGCAAACCCAAGGCGTTTTCCTTCCAGAAACTCAATGATCCTGCCTCTGTGAAAGGGCCAAATTTGTCAGTGGGAAAAGAATTTTAAGAAGTATCATGAAATAAACTGTGTTGCCATGCTCTGAATATTGACCCTTAGTAATAAAAGGTTCTTACATTTTCAAACATGGCGTTGGAGTCATCTCTTTAAATAATTAGCAAGAAGGGAGACAAGATGCAGGAGTTCACTTGGCTCTTTGAAAAGGAAAACTTTAAAGTCAGGTACGTTGGAAAAAAGTGAATCAAAACATAGGTACCTATAATCTTTCATAGTAAAATATTGGGGTTATTTTTTCTAAGATCCTACATGTGAACAAAAGAGGAGTGCCACAGTCTTGTATGTGCCTATATAGATGATATTTATTCTTAGGCATTTTTCAAGTTAAATATTTATTACTACTAGAGAGTTGCCCTGTTCTTCAATTATTTTTTTTCTTGGTCTCTTCCCTCACACAATTTAAAAATGATCCAAATGTTCCACTCACTGAGTGTGGGAAGACATAGAACAGAAGGAGGGGAAGAATGACAGAAACTCAGTGAAGGCCTTCAGAACCGTTTGCCAAGAAACGTTTTGGAGAGGTTAATGATACTTGAACACTAATGCTCTTCAGTTGCTTTTACCTTGAAGACATCCAGCTACTGTGTGTAGTTTAAACTACCTATCTACAAGCAGCAATTCTAATTATCATTGCCTCTTCTTATACCCAGAAATATTTGGCTGGATCAAGTTAGTTCTCAGATGTTGGTCAGTTTTCTGAGTTTTAAAAAGCGTTACTCATTACAACATTTGGAGCCTCCATTCTTTGTCCTTTACGGACATGGTAATATCAGTTTCCAAATTCAGAACTGTGACAGCATTCCGGTGGAGTATCCAAACTTGTTTTTATAGTCTTGGACAGAGAAGAAAAGAAAACATACTGGATAAAGTATGAGGAGTTTTTCCTTCTGCTAAACTCCCCCCACCTCCCGAACTCAACCAGAAAGAAACAAAATTAAAAACAAAGGAACCAGAAAATAAATGTGTGTCTGGGAATCTGATGGATTAGTTTCCTCCTAATATACCTGCTTCAGTAAATGCTTGCAGGAGAAATGTTTGCCTGTTCCTCAAATGTCATAGCTTTCCTTTGGTCTCTCTGGGTGGATCCAATTTCTCGGCAGTGTGATGTATTCCTTGTTGTTTCCAGTATTTTCAATGAACAGGAATCATCTGGTATATAATCCATGGCTGGGCTGAAGGCTGAGTGCAGCTGGCCACAGCTGTGCTAGAGTAGCCTGAGAAGAGAACTGCTCATATAAGGTTGTTTAAGAAGGTATTTGCAAGTGGAGCAGACAATGGGCTCGGTGCCAATCTCAGTCAGTGACATGGGTTAACCTTCTGTAGGCATTATGTGGTCATTGGTGGCCACAGAAGTGGACTTGAAAAGAAAGTGGAGTGTTCACTACCCGATGGCCTGTTTCACAGCTGAGTTTCAACCTCTTTGTGGCCAGATGAGCCTAATATAGTAAAAACTTTTTCATTCATTCTCGCCTTTTAAAGCTTTTCACTACAAATTTGTCTTTGGAGAAGTCTTAGCAGTGACACCACTTTTCCATTAATATTGGAGTGTATATTTACATGGACTCTTTAAATAATTTGTGTCTGATTGATTCTGAAAAGCATGCAATGTCTTTTGTGTGGGAAGAGCTAGTTCTTATAGAGTGCAAATTCATGGCATGCGGATGCTCTGGGGCAGCAGGAGAGCAGGAATGATTAAGACAAAAAGAACAAAGAGGATGAATTGGCAGAAAGGGCTTGGAGGGTATGTTTGGCTTTAGACAGACTAAAGGAAGGACACTGAATTCATAGAGTAAGGTGGTGTTGGGTGTCATTAGTTAGAAAGGAAAAGGTCAAGTCCCTAGAAAAAGCTATACGCTAGCAAGAATTCTCCAGTACTAAGGAATTAAACAGGCGGGGCCTGGACTCAAGAAGATGTAGGGGTCCCTGGATGGAGGAGACACTGAGACAATCTTTTGGCAAAACAGAGGATGTTTTCATTTTTTCCTTTTTTGTACTGATGACTGTGTGTAGGTGCTTGCTGCCAAAGGGAGAATTGTGGGCTGTCCCCTCCTGATTTAGCAATGCCAGAGGTAGTCAACCTTCTGAGAAGAACTTATACACATCTACTGTGAAGTTGGTAGTGGCTCTGTGATTCTCTTATTTTGAAAATTCACTGCCGGGTGAGTTTTAGAAGTTCTTTAGTACTTTACTTAAAATTTTCCCCCCAAATTAGCAGGGAATAATTTAAAATCATTTTCAAAATTCAGAGAAGTGGTTAAAGATTGTTTACCCTACCCACTGCTTTTCTTGCAACTGAATAAGACAGCGTATTAGGAAAAATGAAGCATCAGAATTGAACAGTACTTACTAGGAAGTTCAGTGTGTTCTGTGGTATTGTAGTGTACATTTTCCTGAGAAGGCTAAATAAACCAAGCCCAACTGGCATGCGTAATAAAACAAAAAATTGATATTGTAGTTAAGGAAAAAGCTATGAAGATAAAGGCAGCTTGAGATAGACATTTCTTGATGGCATTAACAAAGGTAGTACAGCTTGAGCTAAGTCTCTTAAACTATACTGCTAAGTAGTGTGGGAGGTAGTGGCTATTCCCTCTATCTACTGCTCTCTTTTTCTCTCTGTCTCTATCTCTCTCCATATTTTCAGAGTAGTGGACAAGTGTGTATGATGAGTACAGGTGGAAATTTGCCTGCAAGCCCAGTGAGAGGGTCAGCACCTTCCCTGATTAGGTCAAAGCCAACAAGGATAAGGGGCAGGACAAGTTCTTCCCTCTTGATGGGTGCCCTGAAGGTCCAGGACTTCAAGCAACTCAGGCCAAGAATTTGCTTTCAGTATCCTTTATACAAATAAATACAGTTAAATTAGATGGGCTGGTCATACTGTTCATTGAGCAATAGCAGTTCTACTCCTTTACACACACTTAACCCTCTGTCTTCATATAAAGAACTTCCTTTTAAATTCATGCCTCAAAAAATTATAAGAGTTTCATGCATCTTTCAAAAATGAGTGCTCATTGACTGCTTTTGTGTACACTTTACCAAACTCTTAACTTATGCAGTAGGAAAAATTTAAAAGACATAATTCTTGCCCAGTGAATGTCTTAACACATATAGTAACCTAAGGTATGTATTCCAGTATAAGAGCTATAGAAAAAGTAACTATGGGCTAGAGTTAGGGGAATTAGAAAGACAAATTTTTATGAAAACCAAACATTATATATACCAAGTTTTCATGGGCTCTGGTGTCTGATTTTTTTTCTGTGCACCTTTCTTGATATTGTTAGCTATAGATACTTAGGCATGGGTTGATAGATACATATACAGGTTGAAAGTTGATACACATTCTTATTTGTTTCCCACAATTGTTTTCTCTTAATTTAACGAGGCCACCAAAACCAGTGGGGAAAAGCCAATGTGGAAATTTTTGAAAAAAATCCCACATATAGTATTCACATTTTGAATGAGAAAACCCAGAGGAAAAAAAGGTGCTCAATACATGGGGGATGATGGAAAAATATTTTATTATGACGTGGCCTTGACCAGGCTACTATTTTTGCTGGACTAGAATGTGTTTTGTTATAATTTTTCATTTTATTTTATTTTATTTTATTTTACTTTAAGTTCTGGGATGCATGTGCCGAACATGCAGGTTTGTTACATAGGTATACGTGTGCCATGGTGGTTTGCTGCACCTATCAACCTGCCATGTAGGTTTTAAGCCCCGCATGCATTAGATATTTGTCCTAATGCTCCCCCTCCCCTTGCCCCCCACCCACTGACAAGCCCCGGTGTGTGATGTTCCCCTCCCTGTGTCCATGTATTCTCACAGTTCAACTCCTACTTATGAGTGAGAACATGCGATGTTTGGTTTTCTGTTCCTGTGTTAGTTTGCTGAGAATGATGGCTTCCAGCTTCATCCATGTCCCTGCAAAGGACATGAACTCATTCTTTTTTATGGCTGCATAGTATTCCATGGTGTATATGTGCCACATTTTCTTTATCCAGTCTATTATTGATGGGCATTTGGGTTGGTTCCAAGTCTTTGCTATTGTAAATAGTGCTGCAGTAAATATATGTGTACATGTGTCTTTATAGTAGAATGATTTATAAACCTTTGGATATATACCCAGTAATGGGATTGCTGGGTCAAATAGTATTTCTGGTTCTAGATCCTTGAGGAATTGCCACATTCTCTTCCACAATGGTTGAGTTTTGTTATAATTTTAAATCTCTCTTGATCTCCCTTATAACTCCATTATGACACCTTTTATGGTCTTTAAAAATTATGCAGAAATACATACTGCATGCTATTCTGTATTTAGGTTGGCTGGGAGAGTTTTAGGCAGAAAACTTGCAATTTTTCCACTAGGTTTTGCTGTTGGAATTACAGAAATTCTCTTTCTTTGTTACCAAATATGAGCCAGAAGGCTAGAACCCTGGCTGATGGCATGGCACCAGCTTTCATGGGGCTACATACCCACTAGTATTTAATGAATTGCATTCCTGTGGACACGAACCAAACAGGATACTTAATTTGATTACTTATCAATTGTCACAATTCTTTCATTCTAGGTGATATGGCTGGCTTATAGGTATCACCAGTACATTCATTCTACACCTTTATCCTCTTTTTTACATCCCAAAGTATAAAATAAACATGAAAAAATTATTGGACTGTTGCTATGGAGAAAAAGATCTTTCTATATATCTTTGTAATAGAAATGCCCAGTAAAGAATTGTGCCTGGGCATTTTTTTCATTTGGAGCAATTATATGGAACATCCCTTAGGTTTGATTTTGTGTTTATATCATAATGCATAGCCAAGTGTTGATACTGTGCCTATGTGGAGTCCAGATATCGTTCTGCTGTTAATGACTATAACATGATGTGAAGGTTGAAACCAGAAAGTTCACTTTTGCAGTCTGAAAGCAGCTGCCAACAGATGAGGGTAACAGAGCAAAGCTTGCCTCCAGCCTCCATGGTTTCTGCTGCCAGAACATTCTTCTTCCATTACTTCATATGGACCAGATAGGACCAAAGGTGCTCTGAAGATATCCCCATGTTTCCTACTAATAAAAAGAGCAGGATATCAACTTACACATTTATTGCAACCACATAGTATGTGTTAAAAACTTGCTAGGGATGTTTAGCTTTGTAAATTACAGCAGCTTCTCAAACTTTACTGCATCTGCAAATCCGTGGAGATTTAATGGATCTGAGGTGGCACCCAGATATTCTGCACATCTAACAAGCTCCCAGGAGATGCTGATGCTGCTGGTCTGTGCACCAAACTTGTGTAGCAAGGAACTGAAGCATAATACTGAAGTGACCCTGATGCCAGGTCTAATAACAATACCAACAATTTTTCTCTGACCCATAGAGTTGACTACATTCTGTGTCTTAGTTAACCTCCTAAATATTTGCTGTTGGCCAGGGGGAGGACCTGGTGGTGATAGGAGAATGACTGGACTTGGTCTACAGGGTATGTAGAATGGTATTGGGATAGCCCCTATACTCCCATAATTCCTTAAGCTGTATCAGTTCATGAAGTCATTTGTATTAATAGTCAATTTAAAATGTTAGCTCTTAGATTAAATTAGTTTAGTTAGTTGGTTTGTTCAAAACAGGAAATTGCTGGTAGGAGAGAGGGGTTGAGAGAAGCATGGGATGAGACTAAGAGTTTAAGAACTGGAAAAAATGAGGAAAGGTATTTTGGAGTATATGACATTTCAGAGAATAAACAACTTGCAAGGGACAAAGGACAATTCAGTGGAGAATGAGAGTGAGGTTTGGCTGGCCCAGTGGGGATTAGGGTATATAGGCAGCCAGGTTGGAGTAGTTAGTCCTGGTACAGATCAATAATATCACTGATGACCAGCTCAGAATGCACATTCCATTGGTGGTGACCCAACTGCAACAGCATAATTAAACAAAACAAAACAAAACAAACAAACAAAAAACTAACGAAACATTATTTCTTTTCAGGTGGATCTCTTCTGGTTTAGCAAGGAAGAAAATATTTCTCAGGGTTTATACCTGCTTGCAAGTTGGGAATTCCAGAAATCTCTTACTTTCTAGACCAGTGCAGTACCCTATTTTGAAAAGGCAGAGGGATTAATTTTCAAATTTATGTGTTTACACTGGTTTGATTTCAATGGCCCCAGGGTGACTTGAATAATTGAAAAGTAATATTGTTCCTAGAAACTTTTGGAAGACAAAAAACATTAAAAAAATATTTTGACCATTGTGTACCTGGAATTCTTGACCTTAGTAGATCTGGTGCAGTTAGTGGGCATGGAATTATTATAAATCATTGTTTTCCACTTCAAATAGATTTTAAAAAAACTATTTTCATTTCCTAATTATTTTAAGTTCATTAAATGTCTAGCCTTCTTTATAAATCTATAATTACATAACCCTAGAATGAATTTTTTTAAATTTTATTTTTATTTCAATGGTTTTGGGGGAACAGGTGGTTTTTGGATGCATGGAAAAGTTCTTTAGTGGTGATTTCTGAGATTTTGGTGCACCCATCACCTGAGCAGTGCCCACTGTACCCAAAGTATAGTCTTTTATCTCTCACCCCCCTTACACCCTTCCCCCTGAGTTCCCAAAGTCCACTCTATCATTCTTATGTCTTTACATTCTCATAGCTTAGCTCCTGCTTATAATTGAGAACATACGATGTTTGGTTTTCCATTCCCGAGTTGCTTCACTTAGAATAATGGTCTACATCCAGGTTGCTGCAAATGCCATTATTTCATTCCTTTTTATGGCTGAGTAGTATTACATGGTATGTATATACCACATTTTCTTTATCCACTGGTTGGTTGATGGGCATTTAGGATGGTTCCATATTTTTGCAATTGCGAATTGTGCTGCTATAAACATACGTATGCAATTGGCTTTTTCATATAATGACTTCTTTTCCTCTGGGCAGATACCCAGTAATGGGATTCGTGGATCAAATAGTAATTCCACTTTTACTTGTTTAAGGAATCTCTACACTGTTTTCCATAATGGCTGTACTAGTTTACATTCCCACCACCAGTGTAAAAGTGTCCCCTTTTCACCACATTCACACCAATATCTGTTATTTTTTGATTTTTAACTTATGGTCATTCTTGCAGGAGTAAGGTGGTGTCTCATTGTGTTTTTGATTTGCATTTCCCTGATAATTAGTGATAATGAGCATTTTTTCATATGTTTGTTGGCTGTTGGGATATCTTCTTTTAAGAATTGTCTGTTAATATCCGTTGCCCACTTTTGATAGGATTATTATTATTTTTTTTCTTGCTGATCTGTTTGAATTCCTTGTAGATTCTGGATATTAGTACTTAGATGCATAGTTCACAAACATTTTCTACCACTCTATGGCTTGTCTCTTTACTCTGCTGATTCTTTCTTTTGCTGTGCAGAAGCTTTTTCATTTAATTAGGTCCCATCTATTTATCTTTGTTTTTGTTACAATTGCTTTCGGGTTCTTTGTCATGAACTCTGCCTAAGGCAATGTGTAGGAGAGTTTTTCTGATGTTATCTTCTAGAATTTTTATAATTTCAGGTCTTTTATTTAAGGTTTTGATCCATCTTGAGCTGATTTTTACATAAGCTAAGAGATGAAGATCCAGCTTCATTCCTCTCCATGTGGCTTGCCAATTATCTCAGCACTATTTGTTGAACAGGGCGTCCTTTCACTGCTTTATGTTTTTGTTTGCTTTGTCAAAGATCAGTTGGCTGTAAGTATTTGGCATTATTTCTGGGTTCTGTATTCTGTTCCACTGGTCTACATGCCTATTTTTATACCAGTATCATGCTGTTTTGGTAACTATAGCCTTGTAGTATAGTTTGATGTTGGATACTGTGATGCCTCCAGATTTGTTCTTTTTGCTTAGTCTTGCTTTGGCTATGCAGGCTCTTTTTTTGGTTCCATATGAATTTTAGGATATCTTTTTCTAGTTCTATGAAGAATGATGGTGGTATTTTGTTGGGAATTGTATTGAATTTGTAGCTTGCTTTTGGCAGTATGGTCATTTTTAATGACATTTATGACAATATTGATTCTACCCACCCATGAGCATGGGATGTGTTTCCCTTTGTTTGTGTCATCTATGATTTCTTTCAGCAGTGTTTTTTTGTCTTCCTCGTAGAGATCTTTCACCTTCTTGGTTAGGTATATTTCTAAGTGTTTTATTTTATTTTTGCAGTTGTTGTAAAAGGTTTTGAGTTCTTTATTTGCTTCTCAGCCCTTGGTCGTTTTTGGTGTAGAGCAGTACTACTGATTTGTGTACATTGATTTTGTATCCTGAAACTTTACTGAATTCATTTCTCACACCGAGGAGCTTTTTGGATGAGTCTTTAGGGTTTTCTAGGTATACAATCATATCATCGGCAAACAGTGACAGTTTAACTTCCTCTTTATTGATTTGGATTTTCTTTAGTTCTTTTCTGTCTGATTGCTCTGGCTAGACCTTCCAGTGCTATGTTGAATAGAGGAGGCAAAAGCGGGCATCCTTGTCTTGTTCCAGTTCTCAGGGGGAATGCTTTCAACTTTTCCCAGTTCAGTATTATGTTGGCTGTGTGTTTGTCATAGATTTTTTTTGTTTGTTTGTTTTTTTGAGATGGAGTCTTGCTCTGTCGCCCAGGCTGGAGTGCAGCGGCACGATCTCGGCTCACTGCAAGCTCTGCCTCCTGGATTCATGCCATTCTTCCACCTCAGTCTCCCTAGTAGCTGGGACTACAGGCGCCCACCGCCATGCCTGGCTAATTTTGTTTTTATATTTTTAGTAGAGATGGGGTTTCACCGTGTTAGCCAGGATGGTCTTGATCTCCTGACCTCGTGATTCACCTGCCTTGGCCTCCCAAAGTGCAGGGATTACAGTCATGAGCCACCACACCCGGCCAGATGGTTTTTAGTACATTGAGGTGTGTCCCTTCTATGCCAATTCTTCTGAGGGTTTTAATCATAAAGGGGTGTTGGATTTTGTCAAATGCTTTTTCTGCATCTATTGAGATGATCATATGATTTTTGTTTTTAATTTTGTTTTTGTGATGTATTACATTTATTGGCTTGTGTTTGTTAAACCATCCCTGCATCCCTGGCATGAAGCCCACTTGATCAGCATATCTTTTTGATATGCTGTTGGATTTGGTTGGCTAGTATTTTGTTGAGAGTGTTTGCATCTATATTCATCAGAGATATTGGTCTGTAGTTTTCGTTTTTGGTGATGTTCTTTCCTGCTTTTGGTATTATGATGATACTGGCTTCATATAATGATATAGGGAGGATCCTTTCTTTCCCTATCTTTTGGGATGGTTTCAGTTAGATTGGTACCAATTATTCTCTGAATGCCTGATAGAATTCAGCTGTGAATCCATCTGGTCCTGGACTTTTTTTTGTTGGCATTTTAAAAATTTCTGTTTCAATGTCACTACTTGTTATTGGTCTATCAGAGTTTCTGTTTCTTCCTGATTTAATCTAAAAGGGTATATATTTCCAGGAATGTATCCATCCCCTGTAAATTTTCTAGTTTGTGTGTGTAAAGGTGTTCATAGTAGGCTTGAATGATCTTTTATATTTCTGTGGTATCAGTTATAGTATCTCCTGTTCCAGTTCTAATTCAGCTTATTTGTATCTTTTCTTTTCTTGGTTAATCTTGCCAGTGTACTATCAATTTTATTTATCTTTTCAAAAAACAAGTCTTTTGTTTTATTTATATTTTATATATTTTTTAATTTTATTTAATTCTGCTCTGATCTTTATTTCTTTTTTTCTGCTGATTTTAGTTTTGGTTTGTTCTTCTTTCTCTAGTTCCTTGAGGTGTGACCTTAGATTGTCTATTTGCACTCTTTCAGACTTTTTGATGTAGGCATTTAATGCTATGAACTTTCCTCTTAGTAACACTTTTGCTGTGTCACAGAGGTTTTGATAAGTCATGTCACTATTATCGTTAAACTCAATGAATTATTTAATTTCCATCTTGATTTCACGGTTGACCCAAAGATCGTTCAGGAGCATATTATTTAATTTCCATCTACTTGAATAGTTCTGAGGGTTCCTTCTGGAGTTAATTTCCAATTTTATTCCACTGTGGCCTAAGAGGGTACTTGATATAATTTCAGTTTTCTTAAATTTATTGAAACTTATTTTGTGGCCTATCATATATCTTAGAGAATATTCCATGTGCTGATGAAAAGAATGTATATTCTGCAGTTATTGGGTAGAATGTTCTCCAAATATCTGTTAAGTCCATTTGTTCTAGGGTATAGTTTAGGTCCACAGTTTCTTTGTTGACTTTCTCTCTTGATGACCTGTCTAGTGCTGTCAGTGGAGTACTGAAGTCCTCCACTATTGTGTTGCTGTCTATCTCATTTCTTAGGTCTTGTAATAATTGTTTTATAAATTTTGGAGCTCTTGTGTTAGGTGCATATTTATTTAAGATTGTGATATTTTCCTGCTGGGCTGATCCTTTTATCATTATACAATATCCCTCTTTGTTTTTTTAAACTGTTGTTGCTTTAAAGTCTGTTTTGCCTGATATAAGAATAGCTACTCCTACTTGCTTTTGATTTCCATTGCATGGAATATCTTTTTCTACCCCTTTACCTTAAGTTTATGTGAGTCCTTATGCATTAGGTGAGTCTCTTGAAGACAGCAGATACTTGGTTGGTGGATTGTTATTTATTCTGCCATTCTGTATCTTTTAAGTGGAGTATTTAGGCCATTTACATTCAATGTTAGTATTCAGATGTGAGGTACTGTTTTATTCATTGTGCTAGTCATTGCCTGAATGGAATACCTTTTTTTTTTCATTCTGTTATTGTTTTATAGGCCCTGTGAGATTTATGCTTTAAGAAGGTTCTATTTTGGTGTGTTTTAGGTTTTGTTTCAAGATTTAGAACTCCTTTTAGCATTTCTTGTAGTGCTGGCTTGGTAGTGGTGAATTCTCTCAGCATCTGTTTGTCTGAAATAGACTTTATCTCTCCTTCATTTGTGAAGTTTAGTTTTGCTGGAGGCACAATTCTTGGCTGGCAATTATTTCACTTGAGAAGGCTGAAGATAGGACCCTAATCCCTTCTGGATTTTAGGGTTTCTGCTGAGAAATCTGATGTTAATGTGATAGGTTTTCCTTTAGAGGTTACCTGATGCTTTTGCCTCACAGCTCTTAAGAGCCTTTCCTTTGTCTTGACTTTAGATAACCTGATGACTATGTGCCTGGGTGATGATCTTTTTATGGTAAATTTCCCAGGTGTTCTTTGAGTTTCTTGTATTTGGATGTCTAGATTTCTAGTGAGGCCAGGGAAGTTTTCCTCAAGTATTCCCTCAAATATGTCTTCCAAACTTTTAGATATCTCTTCTTGCTCAGGAACACAGTTATTCTTATGTTTGGAGGATTAACACAATCCCACATTTCTTGGAGGCTTTGTTCATTTTTTAAATTTTTCTTTCTTGGTCTTTGTCTGATTAGGTTAATTTGAAAGCCTTATCTTTGAGCTCTGAAGTTCTTTCTTCCTTTGTTTGATTCTATTGTTGGAACTTTGCAGTGCATTTTGTATTTCTCTTGGTGTGTTTTTCATTTCCAGAGGTTGTGATTGTTTTCTCTTTATGATATCTGTTCCTCTGGAGCATTTTTCATCCATGTCGTATATTGTTTTTTAAATTTCTTTAAGTTGTTTTTCACCTTTCTCTGGCATCTCCTTGAGTAACTTAATAATCAACCTCTGAATTCCTTATCTGGCAATTCAGAGATTTCTTCTTGTTTTGAGGCCACTTTTGGGAAGCTAGTGTGGTCTTTTGGGGTTGTTATAGAACCTTGTTTTGTCATATTACCAGAATTACTTTTTAATTCCTTCTCATTTGGGTAGACTATTTCAGTGGAAAAGTCTGGAACTCAAGGGCTGCTTTTCAGATTTTTTTATCTCATGGGGTGATCCCTTGATATGGTGCACTTCCCCTTCCCCTAGGGATGCAGCTTCCTGCAAGCCAGACTGCAGTGATTATTATTAATCTTTTGGGTCTAGCCACCCAGTGGGGCTACCTGGTTCTGGGCCAGTGCTGGAGAATGTCTACAAAGAGTCCTCTGATGTGGTCTGTCTTCAGGTCTCCCAGCTGTGGACCCCAGTAATGGGATTGCTGGGTCGAATGATATTTCTGTCTTTAGGTCTTTAAGGAATCATCACACTGTCTTCCCCAATGGTTGAACTAATACACCAACAGTGTATAAGTGTTCCTTTTTCTCCACAACCTTGCCAGTATCTGTTATTTTTTGCCTTTTTAATGATAATCATTATAACTGGTTGTGATGGTATCTCATTGTGATTTTGATTTGCATTTCTCTAATGATCAGTGATATTGAGCATTTTTTCATATAATTTGTTGGCCACATGTATGCCTTCTTTTGAAAAGTACATGTTTGTGTCCTTTGCCGACTTTTTTATGGGTTTCATTGTTTTTTCTGGTAAATTTGTTTGAGTTCTTTATAGATGCTAGATATTAGATCTTTGTTGGATGCATAGCTTGCAAAATTTTTCTCCCATTTTGTAGGTTGTCTGTTTACCCTGTTGATAGTTTCTTTTGCTGTGCAGAAGCCCTTTAGTTTAATTAGATCCAACTTGTCCATTTTTGCTTTTGTTGCAATTGCTTTTGATGTCTTCGTCATGAAATTTTTGCCTGTGCCTATGTCCTGAGTGGTATTGCCTAGGTTGTCTTCCAGGGTTTTTATAGTTTTTGTTTTTACATTTAAGTCTTTAATACATCTTGAGTGAATTTTTACATATGGTGTAAGGAAAGGGTCCAGTTTCAGTCTTCTGGATACAGCTAGCCAGTTATCACAACACCATTTATTGAATATGTAATCCTTTCCCCATTGCTTGTTTTTGTCAGGTTTTTCGAAGATCAGATAATTGTAGGTGTGCAGTCTTATTTTTGGGTTCTCTATTCTGTTCCATTGGTCTATGTTTCTATTTTTGTACCAGTACCTTGCTGTTTTGATTACTATAATTCTGCAGTATGGTTTGAAGTCAAGTAGCATGATGCCTCCAGCTTTGTTCTTTTTGCTTAGGAATGCCTTGGCTATTCAGGCTCTTTTTTGGTTCCATATGAATTTTAAATAGTTTTCTCTAGTTCTTAGAAAAATGTACATGGTAGTTTAATGGGGGACAGCATTGAATCTATACATTGCTTTGGGCAGTATGGCCATTTTAATGATATTGATTCTTCTTTTTAAAAAGCATGGAATGTTTTTCCATTTGTTCTTGTTATCTCTGATTTATTTAAGCAGTGGTTTGTAGTGGTCTGAAGATCTCTACAAGGAGTAGAGATTGTCACCTCCCTAGTTAGCTGTATTTTTAGGTATTTTATTCTTTTTGTCAACAGTTTTCTTTTGCATATTTCCTGTTTCTATTTTTCCTGCAGGCATAAGCTTTTCCCTCTCAATGTTGTACTTTCCTTTCTTAATTTTGTTTTTTAACAAAATTTGCTCAAGTTGTGTTGGCTTAGGTCTTCTGGTCGTTGACTTACCCTTGATACTGCCTTGGGTTCACATTGTGGGGCCCTTTGATTATCATGTAATTATAAAACGGAAGGCAATATGTCAGCGTGGTTTAGGTTTACATTTCTCTGATGACTAGTGATGTTGAACATTTTTTCATATATCTGTTGTCTATTTGTGTTTCTTCTTTGGAGAAATGTCTATTTAAGTCTCTTGTATAATTGCTCTGGCTAGGAGTTCTAGTACTATGTTGAAGAGAAGTGGCAACAGTGGGTATCCTTGCCTTGTTCCTAATCTTAGAGGAAATGCTTTCAGTTTTTACCATTGAGTATAATATTAGCTGTGGCTTTTTTGTATGTGGTCTTTATTATGTTGAATTAATTTCCCTTTATTCCTACCCAGTTGAAGGTTTTTATAACAAAAAGGTGTGCAATTTTATCTAATGTTTCTTCTGCATTTATTGAGATGATAATGTGGATTTTATCCTTCATTTTCTTAATGTGGTATATAATATTAATTGGTGTTCACATATGAAACAATCCTTGCATCTCAGGAGCAATTCTCATGGGTTAGAGTGCACAATCCTTTTAATGTGCGATTGAATTTGGTTTGCTAGTGTTTTATTGAAGATTTTTTTCATCTATTTTCATTAGAGAGATTGGCCTATATTCTTTTTTTGTGGTGTCTTTCTCTGGCTTTAGTATCAAGGTAATGCTGGCCTTGTAAAATGAATTTGGAGGTATTCCTTCCTCTTTAATTTTTTTGGAAGAGTTTTAAGGATTCTAATTAATTCTTTATGTATTTGATAGAATTTACCAAGAATGTCATCTGGTCTTGGGCTTTTTTTTTTTTTTTTTGATGGGAGGATTTTAATGACTAATTCAATCTGCTTACTAGTCACAGATCTTTTCAGATTTTCTATTTCTGCATGATTTAGTCTTGGTAAGTTGTATGTTTCTAGGAATTTACCCATTTCTTGTTACCAGTTTGTTGGCATATAATTGCTCACAGTACTCCTTTATAATCTTATTTCTATGAAATCAGTTGCAATGATTCTGTTTTTATTTCTAATATTAATTTTATAAGTCTAATATAAAGGTTTATGTTAGAGAAGATAATCAGTATGATTTGAGTCTTCTTAAATTTGTTAAGACTTATTTTATAAGCTAAAGGTTTTTCATTTTTTCCTCAAACAAGTCAACTTTTGTTGATTTTAAAACTTGTTTATTTATTCTCTATTTTAAAGATTTTTTGCTACAATTATCTTTCTTTTCTTCCTTCTTCTAACTTTGGATTGAGTTTGACCTTCTTTTCCTAGTTCCTGGAGGTATAATGTTAGGTTCTTTATTTGAGATCTTATTTTTTAATGTAGGTGTTTATTGCTATACGCTTTCCTCTTAGTATTGCTTTTGCTGAATCCCGTAAGTTTGGTATGTTGTGTTATTTTTTTTGTCTCTAGATGTTTTCTAATTTCTCTCTTCATTTCTTTTAACCATTGGTTGCTCAGAGGTGTGTGTTTAATTTCCACATATTTTTTAATTTTTTAGTTTTCATTCTTTTCTTGATTTCTAGTTTTGTTCTATTGTAGTCAGAGAAGATAATCAGTATGATTTCAGTCTTCTTAAATTTGTTAAGACTTATTTTATAAGCTAACATGTGATCTATCCTGGAGAATGTTTCATGTACAGGAAAATTCAAATCAAAACCACAGTGTGATATCACCTTATATTTGTTAGGTTCTCTTGTTTGTTTATTGAAAAAAACCCAAAAGACAACAAATGGTTATAATTTGGAGAAACCGCACATTATTAGTGGCACTACAAAATGGTAGGGCCCCTGTGGAAAACAATATGGGGGTTCCTTAAAAATTATTAATAGAACGACCCTGTGATCCAACCATCTCACTTCTGGGTATTTATCCAAAGGAATTGAATTCAGGATCTTGAAGAAACATCAGTACTTTCATGTTAATTGCAGTACTTTTTGCAATAGTCAAGATGTAGAAACAATCTGAAGTTCCATGAACAGATAAATGAATTAAAAAGTTGTAGTATACACATACAAAGGAATATTATTCAGCCTTAAAAAGAAAGAAATCCTTCACTATGCAACAACATAGATGAAACTTGAGGAAATTATTTTCAGTGAAATAAACCAGTCACAGAAGGACAAATATTGCATGATTCAATGTATATGGGGTATTTAAAACAGTCATACTCATAGAAGCAAATAATAGAATCATGGTTGCCAGAGAATGGGGGGGGAGGGAAAAATGGGGTGATACTAATTAGTTGGTATGCAATTTCACTTATGCAAGGTGAATAAGTTCTAGCAATCTACTTTACATCATTGTGCCTATAGATAAAATTTTGTATACTTAAACTTCTGTTATGGGCTGGGCATGGTGGCTTACTCCTGTAATCCCAACACTTTGGGAGGCCGAGGCGGGTGGATTATTTCAGATCAGGAGTTTGAGACTAGCCTGACAACATGGAGAAACCCCATCTCTACTAAAAATACAAAAATTAGCTGGTCGTGTTGGCAGGCGCCTGTAATCCTAGCTACTTGGGAGACTGAGGCAGGAGAATTGCTTGAACCCAGGAGGCGGAGTTTGCAGTGAGCCAAGATTGTGCCACTGCACTCCAACCCAGGTGACAGAGCAAGACTCCATCTCAAAAAAAAAAAAAAAAAAAATTCTGTTATGAGCATAGATCTCATGTTAAGAGCTCTTAATATTTTTTTTTAATGAGAGGCTTGATTTTCCCTTTCTATTACACTCCTAACATCCTCCGACATAACCAATCACAACATATTCAATATCTAAGAGGAGGAACAGTATTCTACAACAGTACTGTCCTGGGTGCAGCTGTCATTGTGTCAAGAACTTAATCCAATAACAGCTCCACATGACTAACTTTTGCTGCCACATATTCCATTTCATGGCCAAGAATATAAAACACAATGACTGACAAGACAGATTATGAAATCTGTAATGAAAATTAAACATTCTTCTATTGGGAGCAAAGATTTTTGAGCCAAAAAGAACTGGATTTGTATCCTAACTCACCATCTGCTGTTTCTATGACCTTGGGCGAGTTACTTACCCATCTGAGTCCCAGTTTCCTCACTTGTAAATTGGAGATAACAATAATGTTTATTTCACTGGGTTGTTGTGTGTGCAGAGGGTAAGCGCCAAGAGCTCGTGGTACATAAAATGCATGGCACACAAAGAGAACCCATGAGAATTCATTACATGTTCATTCTCCCTACATACTTCTCCTTGCTCTCTATGGTACAGCTGAGGAACATGAGCAGCAGCATGCACACACGAACAGGTATGTGCACGTGCAGACAACTTCTCCAGGGTTTGGCCACCTTTAGAGTTTCCATTCCATTTCTGGTTTTCTCTGAGACTGTTTTCCTTCTCTTCCTCCCCTCTCCACACCATTCTTCTCTCCTCCGTCTTCCTTCCTCTTCTTCCCCCTTTCCCTTTCTCTTCCCAACACCTTCCTTTCCCTCTTCCTCTTTTTTTTCTCCCATTCCTCCTCCAGGGATTTTCAGATGTTTTAACAGCAGCTCCTGTGGGAAATGCACACACACACAGTGACAACTAGGATTAAATTCAGTGCTTAATTACATTGTTGAAAACACCTAACTTGGTCCTAACAGCACACTCGCTGTAAGTAACACAAAACAGAGCTCTCCTTCCCCCACCAAAGTGGCCATTCTACAGGAGGATGATGTCATGTTATTACTATCAGTGGAAAGACTCAAACTATCCCTTGTATGGCTGCATGCTGGACTATTTTCAGAAATAGCATAGTCGTTGATTACTTTGATTGGGTTTTTATTTTTATTTTGCCACAAAGCTAAGGATAGCATAATCTAAATTTTAGGAGAATAAGGCAAATTTTTAGAAATATTTCTATCCTCTGATTATTCTGAAGGGTTTCATGATCCACATTTCATTCTTTTAGTTAATTTTTGATTACAAAACAAGTACCCCTCGGAACCTCCAAAATTAAGTCAATAAAGGTGATTACAGGTTAGGGTGAGGACATTAGAGAGAGTACCATGCATAGAAGGGGAGGAGGTCCAGGGCAAGGGGTTTCATTTATGAGGTGACCAGCTGACACATATCTGAGGTGGCAACAGGCCCTAGGCACCCTTAGCCAGAATCTCTGCTTGGCTTTTAAAATCACTGATATATTCTGAGCTCACAGAACTCCACAATTTACTTATCAGAAAAATTTTTAGTTCAGAAGGGCTCAAGTTATTCTCCAGTCTTCTGAACTGCTGCAATATGAACTCTGGTTAGAAGCTGCTGCTATAGGAGTTGTAGAAGTTTCCTAGGTCTCCAAAAAATATGTATTGGATGTTTGATGAGGGTTGAAGTGATGGTGCCTGCCTCTTGGTGCATATATCAAAATTTTAAAATGCTATGAAGTGTTAGATGTAGTACTGCTCTCCAAGACCCTTGAAAGTATGCAAATAGAGAAATTAAGATCACTTGGATGAACAAATATGTAAAAGAAATACACTTGTAAAGTAACTAACCTTGCATCCAAGAAAAGTTATAAGTGCTTTCAATAACTGGTGAATGCAAAGGGAGAAAGTCCATGTTTAGCTGAGATAGGGAAAATAGTAAATTGCCTGGGTGTGGTGCTTCCAATGCTAAAAGGCCAAGAGGTAGAAACTTCTCCCAGAAAAGGAGGGTATGGGGACATAGTTAGTGTCTTGGGAAAAGACCCAAAACAAGTGGGTACTCTGGCTAGTGTGAGAGGGGATTGATGCTGGGAAGGCAAGAGGTAAGGGAACTTTGCTTTTCTGATATCATTTGCCACACCCTGTGTGATGCATATGGAGATTGGATGCCCAGACCCCCATCAACTAAGGTTTGTTGCCCAGCCACTGGAAGAGCTGTTCATAGGAATTTTCTCAGCTACGTGAGCCACCTTGCCTGAAGGTCAAACGCTTTGGAGTGTGGCCCAGATCCAGTGACTGATCAAGGAGTAAATATGAAAGGTTAGCTATTTTGGCCTAAGGAGAAAATTCTGATGGCCCATTTTAGTTCTGAAGCTCCCTGTGGGGTCAGTTATGGCTGTCATCAGGCTTGCATCAAAGCTCAATTTTCCCTCTGACTAATCCTGTTTCCTTCCTTAACCTTTCACTGGTGCTGATCCTAAGAGCACTCTCTAATAAACACTCCGCATTCTAACTCCATTTCAGAGTTTGCTTCCTAGAGAACCCATCTGGGGAACTATTTCAATATATTATGTTATTTAATCTTCATAGTAACTCCTTGAGATTGATATTATTGGCTCCATTCCATTATATAGGTGAAAGATCAAGACTTTAACAGGTTACGTAATTTGCCAGAAGTCACAAACACTGGCATCTTCACTATGGTCTGTTTGACCACAATATCCATGATCTTTTTATTATACCATGCTGCCTACTAAAAGGATTAGCAATACACAGTTTCATGCATGTATAGTAATGATTAGATAATCACTTGTATTCCCTCCTTCAGTCAACAGCTATTTACTAAACATTCACCAGTGTCCCAGAATTGTTATAGTTATAGAAGGAAGAAATGTGAGATGTGAGAGAGATTTTCTATCTATATGAAGGCTGGGTAGACATGGAAAAAAATCTTATTTTTGCCTGATAATGCCATTCTGTAAGACTAAGGTCAATTTTGACAGTATCTTTAGAGAAAGACCTAGTCCAGATGTATTTTCTTTGGAAATTATATAATCTAATTAGAGAAATTAATGGGATATAAGTACAAAACAAACAAAAAAAGTGTTGCTTTGAAGACTCACTAAAGACAGACACTAACAAAATTGCTGCTGAATTAGTTGAGACCAAGACAAACTGTAAAATATTTTAAGAAATTATAAGCTTCTAAGAAAGGTATATACTTGGATTGCTTCTCAAACATATTTAAGTCTTGTCTTTAAACAGTGCAAATGGAAATCTTAAACATTGCATTTTGAGTATGGTTCATGCTAGAAAGATAAAGGATGGATTCCTTTATCTTATTTTAAACTAAAAAAATACTTTGGCCCAACATTAAAAGATATGCAACTGAGTGTACATTTATATGTTTTGAGTTAGAACAAAATATTTAATATATGTCTGCATTATTTTGTAGAATTCCCTGCTTTCTCTGTTGGCCACAACTGCTGTTAAACCAAGGTCCTCTACCATGTTTAGGATCATGTGTTCTACAACAGTGTATTTCATAAAGAATATATCCAATACAAGTTTATTCTATGAACAAATCATCCCAAATGTATGATATGAAAATCATTTTGTGTAATATGTCATGTACATTATATGCAAGCACCACTTGTAGATTTCTGTACAATATTTTATTCCATTAGGGACAGTGTCAACCTTTTTTCTTCTGGAAGAAAGACCATTTACAAGCTTTCTTTGTTAATGAAGTTCTGAATGAATTTTACCTTCTTTTATTGTATTAATTTTCAGTGAAACATTTTAAATAGTTACATGATGAGGCAACACATTTGAAAAAATTTAGCTAAAATAACAGCAGAAACTTCCTATTTCTAAGCTAAAATTAATCAAAATCAGAACAGAAACCCTCTTAATTTCATACAAAACTGCACTGTTTAATGTTTTCTATAAGAATGCTGACCTTTAATCTCCAGTGACTTGCCACTTTATCCTGTCTCTTTTATCTTTGACTTTTCTCCCAAATCTCTGAATAGTAATAAATTTCATTTTCATTGTGAGCTCATCATACTTTCCCACACATGTAATATCTACTTTTAGAATTACTCCTTTATAAACACACAACAACATAAAAACAGTATGCTAACTGGGCTTGCCCTAGGTTTGTATGAATTTCCCACATGCAGTGGAGTGAGAAAACAGACACAGAACCACAGAACTGTTTTCATCTGGGTGACTAGATAGCTTGGGCTAAGATCGTTGGTTAGAATTCCTACATAGATCTAAAATCCTAGAATTTTGCCATATTTGGTGAGAAAAGCAAGAGTGACACTGGTAGTAGGCAGTATTTCTTATGGGAAAGAAATACTGCAGATTTCTTTTGTAAAAAATATATAGGCAGATTTTTAAAATGACAGTTACAGTACAAATATAAAGACTGTAAATTTGGACTACTTTGTTTTATAACTAAATCAAGATAAAAATGAATCAAATTTAAATAAATAAAATTATTTAGAAATATATTGTTACTGTCCTCACTAAACATCAATATTTGGGTTCATTATTTATTATTGTAGAGCTAAGTTAAAAACTGCCTTAATTATCCTGAATCTTTTCTTAGGTCAAATTTTTCATGGCTTATGTTTCGCTCTTAGTTTGTAATGGAAGAACTTAAAGTTTCAGAATAACTTAATTTCTTTTCAAAGCTTTTCAATCCAGCTTTTGAATATTTGTGTTGTCTAACTTACTGCAGCCAGCACAGATGCTAAAAGTATGTGGTTCCATGCAGTAGCAAAAGCTCCTTCATACCTATTTACATTATTAGAGAGAAGACAATTTCCTTAAAGCAAATCCACAGATAGTTTTTGAGTTAATGTTATATGTGTTTGGTACTATGTCAGATGCTATAAGGTAAATGAAGATATGGAGATGTGACCGAGGAGTTAATCTAGTTAAAGAGACAAAATGTATCAAAATGCTCATGTTTTAAATAACAAAAGAAATATTTAAAAGTCAAATTAATTGTTCTACAGGTACAGTTAAAGAAGGCCCTTCAGACTCCAATGATTAAGGGAGGTTAGGTTTAGCTGAGTCTCAGGGGACAGATAGGATTTGAGTGGGTGAGAAGAGGGGTATTAGCATTCCAGACTGGTCATGGGGGGGCGGGCAAAGGGTGAGGGGCTGGGTAGGAAAAGTTGAATGTAGGAATTACAGAATCTATTCGGAAAACAATTAATAAATAAGCTTGGCAGAGATTTTATGAAGGAAAATAGATAAGATGATGCAATAATGGAGGTTTTGCTCAGATTAGAGGGTTGAGGCAAAGACTATTGGGTTTCAGACTAGGCAGTTTTGGCTTCAGTATGTGCGCCCGGTTTTTTCAAATTGTGTCCCATGGAACATCAATTTTGAAAGGTATGAAGACATGTACTATGAGGGAGCCAAAAAACAGTTCTAGAGGCAATCATTTAACATTGAGTTAAATAAAGTCACGTTTATTTTCTTTAGGAATTATTAGTCTTTAAATAGCAACATGTTTTGTAAATTTCCAAGAAGGTGAGGGGTATAGTATACAGAGTTTTCTAAACTTATGGAAATGAAGAAGAAGGCTCATAGAATAAATATATTGAATTGATGTGATTTGGTGAATGATTAAGCATATGAAGTAAGAAAGAGTATAAAGAAAGATAAAAGATGTTGCAGTTGAGAGATTATTGAAAAATCATGTTTTAATCGTTGCTATCATTTGTTAAACTGCTATTACATACCAGATACTGCAGATGAGGGACTGGGACTCAGAAGTTTAAGTAATTTGTCTAGGTCATATAGATAATGTGGGCTTGTCACAATAGTGCAATCACAGAATAGTGAAATGATTGATGGAGAGGCACCAAAGACATAAGTGAAAGGATGTGAAGTTTCTTTAATCACAAAGGATGTGGAAGCGTATGGTACCAATTACACAAAGTAGGAGGCAGTGTAGCTGACTCCCAGATGGAGGTACAGGTGCACTCAATGCATGCTACACAGTGTGATGATTCTGATTCTGCCAGATGAGCTCTTTTTTTTTTTTTTTTAATCTGTGTGACCATCTGCAAGTCACTGGTACAAAATAACCTCAGCATATTTTTGAGTGCTTGTTGTGGGACTGGGTGAATCAAAGGTCAGTTTCCTAGGAATGGTACCTCTTACAAGGCTCAGGCCTATCTGAGGTTCATTCTTATAGTAACTGTTAGATGCTGGATTTAAATCAAGGTCTATTTTGTTTCAAAGCCTACGTCTGTCCTGTATACTTGACTGCTGATTTTGTGGTATCAATTTAAGAATGGTAGAGCCATGGGAGTACCATCACCTGTGATATTCCCTCTTCAGGTCTACTGAAGAGTTTGATTTCCTTTGTTCCATAGTGAGGGAATCAAACTGTCCCTTTGGCTTCACTTACTTTTTCTAAGTTTTCCACGCAAAAGAAGATCAGTATATGTTCAGATGGATTCACTGGGTATCACATCCTGGTTGGTTTGTTTAAAGGAGGGGCTACTCTGTAGCTGTGAATCTTTGTCTCGAGCTCCTGACTATGATGTTGTAACATGCACAGCATACACCAGGACAAGTCCACCAGGAGGAAGATTCTCAAGATGCCTTTTGACAGGCAGTTTTCTAAATCCTTACAAACTCTTCCTCGTTATCCTCTTAGCAATCAATGAGGTAAATGCTATAATTGTCCCCAGTTTTTAAATGTAAGTAATATAGAGGATAAGTAATTTTCCTAAGTTCACATAGTCACTGAATGAGGGAGGTGACCTTCTTAAACCTAGAGGGTCAGACTTCAGTCTCAATATTGTTAACTCCTACTCTGTATTGTGGCTGTGAAAATCATGCTATGATACAGGTATTTGTTTTGATTCAGTCTCATCCTTGCCCTTTTCTGTTGATGCACCTGCTGTTTTCTCTTAGAAGTCTTATGGGGCTGTTTCTGCAGTCACTCCCAACCTCATCATGAGACTTCCCCACTTTTTCCTCTCACATTTAACCTTTATGTCCTTCTTTTGATGACAAAGTCTGTCCTTAGTAATCCTTTGGTCAACACTCTTACGTGAATGAAGGAGTATCCTCCTGTATAGTGTTGATGCTCTTGCCTTTTTTCTGTCTGTCTCTTTTTAAAAACTGTGCCTTTGCCATTCCAACTTTTTAAAACAAATATTCTCCTTCCTTCTGTTGAGAAACTTAGACATGTTCTATTAAGAGATAGGAGTATTTGGTAGATGTTCAAGTTTGTATGAAATCCTTTCTCTATTAATAATTTTTATTATAAATATTTTTCTGAACTCTCTAAATTGCACCTTCTTTTTCTCTTATAAAACCAGCACTTACTGATCTCTTGTTATATGCTAGGCACTATGCTAGCAACATAAAGGTAAATAAGAAAAAGTCCTGGTCTTCAGGTGCTCTGTGTCTCAGAGATGAATGTACCCAAATAAATAACTGTGTGGTGTAAGGTAAAAAGTGCAATGCTAAAAGAATGTTAAAGGTACCTGGAGACAGGGCGTGGTGGCTCACGCCTGTAATCCCAGCACTTTGGGAGGCCGAGGCAGCGGATCACCTGAGGTCAGGCGTTCCAGACCAGCCTGGCCAACATGGTGAAACCCCATCTCTACTAAAAATGCAAAAATTAGCCTGGAATGCTGGCACGCTGGCACGTGCCTGTAGTTCCATCTACTTGGGAGGCTGAGGTAGGAGAATCACTTGAACCCCGGAGACACAGGTTGCAGTGAGCTGAGATTGCACCATTGCACTCCAGCCTGGGCAACAAGAGCAAGACTGCATCTCACAAGAAAAAAAAAAAAAGTACCTGGAAAATGGTGAAACAATAGATAAAGGAAATAATATTTGGTTTGGTGCTTTGAGAGATGAACAGGAATTCACTAGCTGGAAAGGGAGCAAAGGGCAAATGAGGCAGAGTGAACCGTATGTGCAAATGCATGGACTTATGGAATGCACATGGTACACTGGAGGAATAAATTGACTTCTGATGTGTGTAAAGCACAGAATGCATGTATAAGAATGGAGAGAAGTGATGATAGACTAGCTTTATATGCTGTGCTAGAATTTGAGCTTAAGGCAATGAGAACTCCCTTTTCCTTTGTAATAATGCTTTAATCTCCCCTATGTCCTCCCTTAACTCTTGTTCAGGTATAAAATTGATGGTAAAGCTGGGTAGGCTCCACAGCCAAGGAAGTTTCTGACTTCAAACAAATATTAGAAAAAATGCTCAGCCTTTACCAAACAAACCAGTAGTGGTTATGGTAACATTTGCCAGGCTGAGCCAGTTTCCCTATCAATTATACTGCATGGCTTTCGGGATCAGGCTGCCTTCCACACATGGACTGTTGGTTTGGTGAAGAGGAGGGCTTATTGACTACTGCCCTTTTATATGTGAGAGTCTTTCTAGGTGATATTTGATTGCAGTTCACTTCATGTGTGTTTCAATTGTTGGGACCATCCTTCTCCTCCTCCAAATTATCAAGTGTCTATCTGGGTAGAAAACTGCCCCTTCCCAGAAACAGTGTGCATTTCCTGGAAAGTTGGTCATTTCAGCCCCAAATTTATGAGTAAACATTTCTGTCATTTTTTCTTCAAATTTGTTCTGATAATGTCTTTATAGATTCATTTCATTGTCTGCCCTACTCACATCCTTTTAAAGGAAAAATTATCACACCATAGTCTCTGGCAAAGCAACAAGATCCCATGACTTCTTCCCCAGTCATTGGATGAACACTGGACCCAAGAACAGCTACTCCCTTTGCCAATCAGTGACAAATTAAAATCTCCTTTTTGAGATTTTTTTTTTAAATTAACAGAGATAAAGAGTGTAGATAACATACATGTTGATGCTTCTCATTCATTCTTACACTGGAAAAATTTTCCTAAAATTTCCTCCACTTTAGCTATTTTGGACTTAACTGAATAGAGAACATCCCCCCCCACACCCCCCCCCACACACTATTATGTCTTCCTGATGTCTATTCAATAATTTAACAGATAGTTGTTTTCTGTTTTCAGTGTACATAGTGCTCAATTTATTGTCATAAACCCTAATCCTCTATAACGTAGCATAGGTGATTTCTAAACAACCTTTGAAAAATGTCTCTACACATTTTTTTCAATGTTGTAGCAAAAGGGCAGATTAAATACTTCCTATATCAATGATATTTACCATGTTATTAATATGTTGACTCCCTATTGTCTGTCTCAAATCAGACATGACTGTTAGCTTTGTATAATGACAATGAATGGTAAAGTTGGCTTTCTGCCAGGCAGAAGGGGTATATGCAACACACACACACACACACACACACACACACACACACACACACACGACACTCTGGTTTTTTTATATTTACATAATTCCAAGAAATTAAGTGAACATAGAAAGTTGCTAATGCTTTTTAAGGTCTTGTTTTATGTAAACAAGGAACCACAATAGGAGTGAGTCAATTTATGTCCTTTCTTAGTGTTCAAATAAACTGCAGCTGAAATGATTACACAGCAAATTTTACCAATTTTGCTCATGATTATAGTCTGCTGATTTCTCATTTATAGACAGCTAAAACTTATTCTTTGTATAGTTTGAAGGAGAGGTTTAGGATACCATTTTATATATATGTGGGCTCTTTATTTTTATTTTTGCCAAACAGAAGCAAACGTTAGAGTGTTCCACTGAGCAACAACTTAGAGTTGTTCCTGGTTTTGCTTGAGAATGCATTCGGCTCACTTTCACTTCAGCTTTTTAAACCTTTTTGTTCCTTTTGATTTATGAGTCTTTTCGTTCTACTTCAGAGATTCACTTAACAGGGACGTGCCAGACCCTCAAGTCCCCTCGGTTTATGGTGTGGATCTAGCCGACAGCCCTGTACCATGCCCTGCCCCATGGCAAGCTTGCAGTGTAAAACAGCACCAATTGCGTGAGACGACATACAAGACCACATAATAGAGGGGATTATAAGAGAACAAACATTTCTTTGCTTCATTTATAGTATCATTGTGGAAGGACGAAATGCTGTAAGTCTGCTTTGCCCGGGTGTGGACTTGTAATCCACCCAAAACTTTGATTGTTCCCTTCACTTTGCTTTGTAAAAGCTTCTGTGGCTTTTGTGGATTATTACTTCATAATGTTTGGACAAACATCAATTAACATACATCAAAACGTTTCCACTTATGTCCCTCTATGAATGGAGGAGACCCAAAAGACACATGGGTTTGGAAACACTCACATGGAGATGACAGGAGGCCAGGCTGTGCAGACAACACAGGTGTGCTGCTAGATATGTGTTGGGAATGGGGCATTTCTTAATGGAGCTTGGAGTAATTATCTAACCAGTCCTCTAAAGAGTGGCTTTATTGGAAACCTTAGCTATTATAAGGACTTTTTCTTTAAACCTAGGAAATGAGTGGTTGAAAATCAGATGAAGTTTGTGAACCTGGCTGTTGAAATTGGAAGCAGCAGAAATTATGTTAGTTTTCGTAGTCATTGGAGAACTTTTTAATCTTTAAAAAAATTTCTTGAGAGAAATTTGAATTCATAAATATTGAAAATATTTATGTCATAATGTCCAACAAAAATATTCCCAAAGCCATACTATATTATGGAGTTTTAAATATATGCCATCTTTTGGTGTTTGGCTTATTCTTGTAGGGATATTTTCTATCTATGAGGCCAATACTGTGAGTAGCTGGAACAAATTCATGGCCAAACCTTTACTGGTCTGTATTGTCAGTTATAAAACATTGACAACAGATTCTTGCCCAGTTGAGAGTACTACAGCTCCAAATATCTCTCATTATGTGTTTATCTGATAATAATGTCTGTATTTGTGTGGCAAATCCTCAGAACATATTAATGTTGTTATTGAAGACTGTGTCTAATTTGTAAAGGCACTATAAAATAACCCAAGAATGACTTCATTTTTTGGATTATTTTGTATATTATTATCATCAAGGCCTAGTTCCTGGAGAATTTCATTAATAAGTTTCAATAATCACATCAGGCTAATTTGCTGTATTTACAAGTCCACTTTATTAGAGTGGTATTAAAATATACTCATTTTCCTAGATTGCCATAAACCAAACTGAAGGGTTGCCTTTAGTATTAATTTCTTTTGCAAATAATTGTTTTAGCAAAAATTGCAATAATGTTCTTGTGTTAAGGAAATAATAGTAACTGAGTTCTGCTCAATAAGAGATATAAAAACTCTTTGTCTATTAAGAGGACTAGTTAAAATGCAAGAATCATTCATTTGGTCTATTAAGGTAGGTAAATTGAGTGTTAAGTGGCCCACCTCAAGCACAGGGAGAGATCTTCGTGCTCTGGGGGGACAGAAACATAAACAGAGCTACCTATGGTTCATATTAAAATAAAGGTGGATCTGACCTCATGGACACACCTGATTTTGAGATAGGGTAGCATAAAACTGGCATTTTTCACTTTCAGCTGACATTCTTTAGGTCCTTGCATGGGTAAAGGTGACACTGTATCCTTCTTCAATCTTAGGTTGCCATTTGAGATGGATGCCTGAAGCAAAGGCCTCACCTGGGGCTGCTTGTGTACCTGCTCTGTCCTCTCCACATTAAAATTTCTGCTTTTCTTTTTTGTACATAACTGCAACCACAGGCAATCTTTCAATATGATCTTTAAAGCCAATTATCTTCTATTATCTGTGTGGAGGGACAATCCTATTCCATAAAATCATTGAATTGTATTTGTGTTGAGGACAACAGAATTTTAAGAGATATATGCTTCAAATATGCAAGAAATTGTCTTCCGCTTTTGGCTCTGTGGACTGTGCAAAGCTGTTTTGCTTACTCAGTTTAGCTGAACATCGCAACCCTGTACCCTTTTGGAGTTCCAATATGGGCCCTGAAGAAGGGAAATTTAATCTGGTGGAAAAAACATGGGCTTTGAAGTCTGAGAGACCTGGTTTTTGATGCTGTCTCTGCTATTTATATCACAAGCTTATTAGTGACAAGGAGGATTAGTGACAATGTAGGACATGTCCAGCACCTGTTTTGGGCATTTGATAGATTAAAATAGAATAAGAGAAAGCTATCTTACTTGGAAAAAAGTCCCATTTCTTCCATTTCAGCTCCCTAATTCTGCAATTTTAGCTTTATTTTATTCAGAAGTATGAGGTGGCATGATGTCTCCCACTTGTATAATTTTACTGTGGATGTAGAGGGGACAGACTGGGTAGACAATAATAAGAATGAGGAGAAATATAGAGAACCAACGAGATATTACGGAATCATAGCCATTTATTTGTAGGATTCCTTTTAGACCCGTCACAATAGGAAAGTGGATTTAATTTAGCCCAAGAGGCAGTTGCATTTTTCTACATTTAATACCCTGGTTCATGGATAAGGGGTTACGCTGATCACAAGCTCAAGTGAAACTTTCCTATGTGGCTTTGAGGAGAGATTCCCTGACCTGTTTAAGTTTAATCTATTTTGGTAAAAATACTTATTAAAAATGATATTAGACTTCCAAGGTCTTTTCCTACCAACTTTCTTTTGTTGGTTGCCTATCACTTGGCTATCATTTTTAGACACTAAATGAAGAGCATGTGTAGCAAAGCACAGAAATGCACTTCTATTCCGTATTACCATGGGTAATGTCCAATATGAAATATGGGTTTTCTTGAAGTAGAACACACTACTTCAATTATTACATCCAGTTTGGAAACATGAATATTCATACAATTAGAAACTTGGAAGCATAGCACAAATTCTTTCTAACTGGACTCTGACCTAGTCATTTCCCCCTTCGCCCCAAATCTGGCCTAAAAATGCAGCCCCAAAGATGAAACGCCATGGTAGCCTGACATTCATTGATTCTAGAGGAAAATGCTAAAAAGAAAAAGTGGTCACACGAAATAACATTTTTCGTTAGTACTGAGCCCCAAAGTCGCTTAGATTATTTTTTTCCATTGTCTATTTTCATGTGAGTGATGGTAGGTGCTTTTGTTATTCATAACTTTTCTTCAGTTCTACATGATGAGAATGAAATCACACAAAGGAAGTATGTGGCTTATTAGAATATTTGAATAGTGCACTTAAGGTTGCAAATCAGGTCTTATTATAATCCCTTCTTAATTGGTTTTTCATATTTTTGCCTTTGGATTCTAACTTTTCAGTGCCAAGATAGATATTATTATACATCTCCAAAAATTAATTGTACTCATGTGGAAATGAACAAAACCTATGCTCTTCATAGAAAACACACACGCATATCAAACACAAGCACACACACAACTGCAATTCAAAGCATAAATCATTCTTAGGCTTTTGAGAGCATGCCTCTAGCTAGTTGTCCTAATGAAGAATTGTGAGCCTGCTAAAAAAGTTTCATTTCTAAATTTTCTAGATAAAAGTAGTTAAGGTTTTGACCATCTGCTAGCTTTATTGTTTTATTTGTTGTTTATTTATTGATGTGAAAATAAATTTACTGAGTTACTGTAATATAAGCTATTGGACTTTGTATAAATTGTTATACTAGGCTTTAAGATTTATAATGAGTTTTAAATTAACAGTAATTCTATTTCTGATTGAGTATCAGATTAGTAATATTTAATAAGAAAAAAACTCATGTAGGTGTAAGTAAATTGTAAGAGCCAGAGAGCTCTTGATAATCTGCATTTAGTGGTAGTAGTTATAATTGATCCTCACTAGCAAAATAGCATCTTTTTATTAGTCTTTTCTCTGTCTAAACAAGAAACTTGTTAATGACTTTTTTTTTTTTTTCATTTAGGGAACACTTTTTAGTAATTGACTTCCACCAGACACATTTCTGCTAGATTTGTTTCCTACCTTAATTTGGTCAGGTAACATGGGGGAAGAAATGGTCAGGGTACCTAAATAGAATTTGTAACTAAAGTTAGAACTGGGAATCTTTTCAATTATTTTGTTGAAAATATATGTGACTTTTTATAATATTTGTCACTGTTTTCATTGAGCCAGTGAGAATAAAAAACAGGAACCTGTAAAAAATTTCTTGAACTTTGGTCTTGTTCATCATTGTATCACTGGATTTGTTGAGTAAATGGGTATGCTTTCCTGGGAAAAGACATCACCATTTGTTATGCTCGAAGTGGGCAGTGATATCAAGATGTGTTATCACTGTCTATACCACTTGACAAAGATGTAGAGGAAAAACTTACGATGGATCCCAGGACCTCAAATTGAACACAACATATTAAGCACTCTTTTGTGAATAAGGCCCAAAATCACTAGTCTTTAGGGGCAGTTTGGGGTGGTGAGTCAGTAAAGGAAAACAATCATTTAGTTTGCTTCCTAATTGGGATTATCAGTGGCTACAAATACTGAAGTCAGATAGGATGATCTGAATACCATCTATCCCCCTTCACTTTCAACTTTTCTGTACTCATATTGATACTTGCCAGTATCAGCAAAGGGAAAAGAAGCCCAGGGCTGGGAATAAAGTTTATGCAATAAGTTGGTGAGCTTATGCAGCTCAATAAAAACTGATGACCTAGTGTTATTTCAAGGACATGTTATTCTAAATCTGAAAGGAATGTTGCAACCTAATCCTTACCGTCTTCACTCACCTGCTTCCAATCAGGACTGCTACTGATGACGAGCTTAAAAAGGGAGGAAGAGGAATTTAGATTTGAGCCAATACACAACAACACAACCAGGCATGTGTTCCCTTAAAAATCTTGTCTTCCTGAGTGTGTATCCCAACATTATGGAAAATTATATATGTGTTTCATCCACACTGATATGTTTTTGTTTTTGACTTAAGACATTAAGGAAATCTGACACCCTTTTGAGGCTTCTTAATCAAATGCTTTAAAAATATTTCAGAGACACTGGATTAAAATAATTGCTGTAGAGGATGAGTGGTGGCTTGGGAGAGTTTTCACAAACTTTTGTAGTCATAGAGATTTTTTTTACAAGAAGAACTTGTAAGGAGATCCATGAGGAAAGAGAGAAGAGGCTGAGCATTCAAAGTGGGAGGTTAACTGCTACACGTGTCGGTATGATGGAGGGTTTGTTGGCCCGGAGGAGGATTTCTTGATGCTGAGCTTGAGTCCTTCTTCCCTTACCTATGTTTGTTGGGAATGTAGAACAGCTGCTTACCACCCATATGATTCCATTATTTAATCTGCCGGCTTTTTTCTGGGAATGAAATAATCCTGATTCCTTTAAGCTTTCATCATGGTATCTGTTTCTCTGCTTTATAATCATTTTCACCAAGTTCTTCTCCAACTCTCCTCATCACAATTACAACTGGGAGCTTCAGAAGCGAATAACGCTGCTGAATGTAATGGAAACATGACTAAGACTGTTTTCAAAAGCATCCTCCATTGGCACAGATAAATTACTGTACAGTTACTTCATTATGTCATCTGATTTCAGTAACTGGGTTTAGAGGAGACATTGCCCAAAGAAAGGGAAGTCACCAGTTTCAATTATTATTTTTTTTTTAATTTCTGAAAGGGGAAATTTCAGTAGTATTCTGTATTTGTCCTTCATTTCCCTCAGATTTTTTTCTACGTGTTAATCTGATCTTTATGGACAAACACATTGTATTCTGCTTATTTTAATTGGAATTAAAAGTATACTAATGGCTTCTGTTGGTGATGACATTCATTTATTCATCCATTTATGCACTCAAGCCATATGTTTGAACTGCTAGCGAGAGAAAAGCTATATTCTAGGTGATAGGGTTAAAATAGTGAATAAAGATAGATATAGTACCTACAGTCTTGTGGTGGAGAAAGGTATTATACAAATGCTTATGTAATTGAAAATTGAAATATAAGAGATAAAAGAAAGAGCAAAGTTGTATGAGAATATAAAATAAAGGAAACTCACTGGAGACACGTTAAGGCTTCTCTTGGGAAAACAAAGGCACTGGAGCTGACATGTGGTGGGAAATTAATTGGACGAAGAGGCAAATGTGTTGGAGAACTGCGTTCTTTGTAGAGGGAACAGCATATTCAAAAAGTATTATGTATTTTTATATAGTTAGCAGACTTAAATTTCCTTAAATTTGTATTGTCTCCTTTAATTATTTTAGTTTGAATTACCTGTTTTCCCTTCATTTTGTCATAAGGAGTCCCTCATTTGAGTTTCTATTGTATGCTGATCCTGTGTTAAGGGATTTGAATTTTTCCTGATTAAATAACAAAATTTTGTATTGTGCTATACCATTCCTTAGGGCTCCACTCTGAATAAAAAACGGCTAATGGCTTTCACTTTTCATCCTAGACTTTGTTTAGTGTGACACTTACTGAACCCTCCATAAATCCCTGTAGTCATGTCTGTGTAGACATACATTGTTACAGAGGCACTCTGTCCTTTTTTCTGCTTTTGGAGAATAGGTGCTAAATTTTCCCACATTCTAAGATAATTTCATTGAATAGGACAGCCTCCTTATAAAATGGCGATAAGCATATATGACCCCCCTACATATCCCAGTAGCTGTATAGTTCTGCTTTGAGCTGCCTGATTAATTGACTCCCTAAGTCCCGCCCTAAATTCTTGATTAGTTAAGATTCCCCACATTCCTGACTTTTCCTTGAATTCTGTAGTCCCTCAAATTTGACTTACCCGTCCTGACTGTTGGCTACTCTTTAAATATCTTAGTTTGCAGCCCTGATTGACAGTCCCTGCATGGTTGTTCTTCAAGCACATATTGAACATTACATTCTCATGTGCCCTAGAACTATGGGTTTGATCGGTGTCTTTTAAATCATTCATAAAAAAAAATGCAGGAAACTCAAACAAGATAGACAATATGATATAAAACAATGTTTGGAATATGGTCCTTCTTGGCTGGGTGTGGTGGCTCACACCTGTAATCCCAGCACTTTGGGAGGCTCAGGAGGGCGGATCACGAGGTCAAAAGATCGAGATCATCCTGGCCAACATGGTGAAACCCCATCTCTACTAAAACTACAAAAATTAGGTGGGTGTGGTGGCACACCTGTAGTCCCAGCTACTCAGGGGGCTGAGGCAGGAGAATCGCTTGAACCCGGGAGACGGAGGTTGCAGTGAGCTGAGATCGCGCCACTGCACTCCAGCCCTGGCAACAGAGCAAGACTCTTGTCTCAAAAAAAAAAAAAAAAAAAGAATATGGTCCTTCCTTTCAAAAGAAGGACTTACAGTAAAAGGATTTCCATTTTCAGTGGCAATACCTTTGATTATTAAGGATGTTCATCACTTCCCTTTGTGAGGCAGGAAGAATGGCTTATCCAAAATCATTCATTTTGTTGTGAAAAGAATATTTTATTCATTTCAAGTGGGCACATTCATTCTTCCACATTGAGTTCTGTGGACTCCTAGATGATATGAGGATACTAACTAGATCTAGATAACTCCTAATTCTCTAGTATCCATCTCTTTGCCCTCCTGATCTCAGGCTTACCAAATTATGGACATGACTCATTTCTCTCCATATTCTATTACTCATACAACTTGACAAATATTCAAACAATATGGCAAAGATTGAGCATCACTTTTTCTTTTTCTTAACTCTAAAACTTCTTGATGGTCTGTTATCTTCTGGGCTCCCCTTCTTCATCCACCTGTTTCTCTTATTTGCTTTTGAGCTTCATTAGATCTCCCATTATGATAGTTTTCTTCTCTACAAAAGAGAAATGAAACATAAATACTATCTCCTCTAAGTAGTTGTAAGGAGTTTGCCAAATTGCAACATCAGAGGGAACAGTCCCCACAAGACTGCCCTCACCTTTGGACAGCAATTGCAAGTTCAGAGACTTCCCAAAACCACACTCAGTTTTGATAACCTGCTATTATGACTCACAGAACTCAGGAAAGTGCTATATTTGCAATTAGTTTTCTATTGAAAGGAGGCAAATTAGAACTGGCCAAAGAAAGAGACACACTGGGCAAATTCTGGGAGGCAAAGTTTCTGGTCATCTCCAGGTGGAATCCTGGATGGCATTACCTCCTCCAGGCTACTATGTGAGACAATACTCAATGAATACTGCCCAGGAGGAGCCTCACTTGATCTTCAGTATCTGAAGTTTTCATGGGAGCTTCATTATGTGGGAATAATTGATTGAATCATTGCCATGTTTCCAGCTCTCCTCCCTCCCTGGAGGTTGGGTTGACACCAAGGGGTTCACCATAAATCACCTCATTAGCATGAACTGTTGAGGTGTGCTTGAGGGTTCGTTATGAATAACAAATACACTCCTACCGCGCAGAAGTTCCAAGGGTGTAGAGATCACCTCCTGAAAGCCAGGGCAAAGGCCAGAATTCATTCTTACACAGTAGTTAATTAAGTGAAGAAAATCTGTCGCTCTTTTAACTAACATACTTTTATAATATATTAATATGTATTATATACCTAAACATATTATAACATATTCTATTTATAGTAAATAAATATGTATGATATGAGATAGAGATATCTGTGAAAATGATCAGTTGCTTGGATTATAAACTCCGAATGATATTTTCTTTTGAAGGATCTTATATACAGCCATGGGACAAAGTAAGTCACCATTAGAGGCATCATTATATATACAGTATTAGCACACCTACCTTAACCTCATTTTGTGGGAAGATGCCTCCAAATCTTTCATTTATTTATTAATTGGAATTATTTAATTCCTTTACAATTTAAAATGTATTAATTGAGAATCTAGGGTGGGTCAGGCACTATGTTTTAAATTTTGTGATGAGAACGACATAGTTTCTGTATTTGAAGAGCTACCATTCTATTGCAGGAGGCAGTGAGAAAAATTGTAATACAATACCATAAATGCTATACTAGTCATGAACCAGGTACTGGGGGAACTAAATGTAAGTACTTTCATTGAATTTGTGGGTAAGAAGTATCATCCTGGAAACAAGTTTCTTATGTCTGTCACATTGTATGTATAGTACTGGATAAATTCCAATGTTAAAATTAAAGTTTAATTAGGTAAGTTGGCATAAAGTTTTCATCTGTGTAGCCACTAAAATAGAAGTTGCTATTATATTTGATAGCTCCTTTTAAAAGCACCAAACTGTTTTATTTAACAAAAAAATCAATGAACATATTTTTTCATCAACTGCCAACAAAGTCTTCTGTTTGTATCATATTTCCACGGAATTTCATCTTCTTACTAAGTCTGTTTTGAGGGCTAATTTTGTCATTACTATATTCTCAAGACGAGAAAAATCACAATTCTCCTTTCTGGTTATCTATGGAATCTAGTATCTTGTTAGCTTCGTAATCATGTTTCATTAACTTCCTCAAGTACGTGCAAAATACTCTGAGAAACTGTACATTTCAGAGCTATATAAGAAGAGAATCATATATTTTGATCTTTAACTAAATGTGGTTAACATTGATTATACAATATTGTATTCTTTTATTATTTCATGTGTTAAACCTTTAACAGTTTCAAGTCTTAGAAATAAGATAAAAATCCTTGAAGAAAATTATCATGTAACATTATAGACATAGTAGTTACTCAGATATTATTGAATATAGGAATATGAATGTACTTTGCTAAAAATATGTTCTCCTAGAAGACTTTCCAAACAAATTATGTCAGGATAATGTAAGAGAATGACAGGGAATATTGGAGAAGGTGCTCTTCCAAGGGCTTTGCATGTAATAACTTATTTAATTTTCTTAACAATGAGGTAGATATTAGTCTTATAAATGCTTTCTTAGCAGGATCTCTAAAATATATGCTTTTTCCTCTACTTTTGACTCAACTTTAGTGCCAAATAATAAGAAAATGTTATTATCCAAAACTTGGAAGTATGGGAAAAGATAACTGTGTGACTTACATTGTTAAGTGATGGCATTGTCTAACAAGCTCACCTAAAGGTCTTCTGTCTTAAGAATGTAACTTTCCTTGACTTGCTATTTACTGGTATCCATGGCAACATTTTATAGCTTTGTTAGCACAGATCTTAACTTGCAGAAAGCCAAGAGGTTGCATGTGTTTATTTTTCTGATAGTAATGCAAATGGTTTCAGCCCAGTAAAAAAGATCACCTCAAAGTTCATGTCTCTGGCCCTGTCAGACAATACTCTCTTTTTTTATTGTTGTTATTCTAATTTAGCAATCCCATTCCAGATTTCTTCTTTTCTTTCAGTGACTCTGTAAACATGTGTCAGTATGTTTTAGTATAATGACCAGCAAAATAATGCCCTTTACATCTTGCTGATTCCCTTAACAAATTTAATAAAATTTTGACAATGCATCTACATGAGAATTATGTTGTCTTAAGATTTTGAAAATTATGTGTGACAACAAATGACCACTTTCTTGAATTCTTACTGCATTAATCCATTTAGGCTGCTTTAACAAATACTAGTAAACTAGGTGGCTTGTAAACAACAAACGTTCATTTTTACAGTTCTGGAGGCTGGGAAGTCCAAGACCAAGGTGCTGGCAGATTAGTGTCTGGTAAAAACCCATTCCTCATAGACAGTGCCTAGCTGTGCCCTCACATGGTGGACGGGGCTAGCTAGCTTTTGGAGGTCTCTTTTATAAGAGCACTAATCCAATCATGAGAGCTCCACTCTTGTGACTTTATCACCTACCAAAAGGTCCCACATCCTAATTCCACTGCCTTTGGGGTTAGGATTTCAATAAATAAATTTTGAGGAGACAAATGTTCAGATCACAGCATGTGTTAACAGGTTAACTCTCCTATAATCTCTGACCCAACTTGCTATCAATCTTGTATTTCACATTTTTTTTTTTTTGAGATGGAGTCTCACTCTGTCGCCCAGGCTTGATGGAGTATAGTGGCACGATCTCTGCTCACTGCAACCTCCGCCTCCCAGGCTCAAGTGATTCTCCTGCCTCAGCCTCCTGAGTAGCTGGGATTACAGGCACCTGCCACCACACCCAGCTAATTTTTGTGTTTTTAGTAGAGAAGAGGTTTCATCATGTTGGCCAGGCTGGTCTCGAACTCCTGACCTCTGGTGATCTGCCCGCCTTGGCCTTCCAAAGTGCTGGGATTACAGGCATGAGCCACTGTGCCTGGCCTTATATTTCACTTTTAACCCAGCTCCAAAACAAAATAAAACCATTGCCCACCAGGGCAAGCCAGGATTCAGTGTGAAACTCCAGACACTCTGTGCTAGATTTTCAGGACTGCCGTAACAAACTGTCACAAACTTGGTTTCTTAATACGATGGAAAAATGGAAACTTATTCTTTCACAGTTCTGGAGGACAGAAGTCCAAAATCAAGAAATCAAGTTCTTGGTAATACCATACTCCCTCCGTGGGCTCTAAGGAAGAATTTTTTTTTTTTTTTTTTTTTTTGCCTTTTTCAGCTTCCGAGAGCTATTAGTATTACTTAACTTGTGGAGGCAAAATTCCAGTTTCTGCATCCATCTGCACAGTGTCTCCTCCTCTTCTGTGTTTTCTCCTCCCTGTCTGTCAAATATCCTCCTGCCTTACTCTTATGACATCTGTCATGGCATGTAGGTCCACCCAGACAATCAAGGATGATCTTTAAATCTCAAGATCTTTAACTTAGTTACATCTGCAAAGATTCTTTCCCCAAATAGCTAATATTCAGAAGTTCTGGGAATTAGGATATATTCATATCTTTTGGGGGACTACCATTCAACCCACTATACTGCCATATCCAGCCCCAGTTCAGCTCTCTATGCTTACCTCCCAGTGTTTCTTGATAAGTATTTCTGTTTATTTCTTGATCCCTCTCCTATCCCTAACCCACAGACTTTACTCTTTACAGCTTGTTGCTTTTGTTGACCGTATAGTTTCTCTGTCTCGTACAGCTTCCCCCTCCTTTTATGTATCTAGTGTCCAATCTTCCTTCAAGCAGGCTTCCCCTGCCCCCAGCCCCAGTTTCCCCAATTCCAGGCTGAGTCTGGTGCTTTCTTGGCTGCTCTCACTGTACAGTGAACATACTCTTATTCTGTTGCTTCCTGAATTTCACTGGCTGTCCCCTTCTGTATATATCTGTATCCTCCATCAATCTTTTTCTCAAAGAGCACAAACTATGCACAACCTCACTCAGTGTCTGTCAATAACAGGCATTTACTAAGGGTTATTAGATCGGTCTCTAACTTAAAACCTACTTATTCTTAAAATTTAGCCTACAACTTTCTTTACGTTTAAACAAATCTAGCATGTGAAGTATAATTTATTTTGTGTTCTGGTATTCCTCAGTTATCTTTCTTATGCTTGGTTGGTTCACCTAAGTTATTAACTTTAGAGGATAAAATTTGTATCTTCTCTGGTAGATGTATTGGGAACATAGAAATAGCTCGCTAGATTTGTTTACTTAATCCCCAATGGAAATATCAAAAGTATACCTTGGGAGGAAGATAACCTGGCTTAAATTTATCTTTTACTTTTCTCCCCATTAGAGAAAGTCAGACTTCTTAACAGTTTACTAATGCTTTAGAACTAGGAAAAGTTTTGTTCCGATTGGAATTTCTAGTTTCTGGATTTTAACAAACTGTCAGCTTTCATAAAGCAAGTTTGTAGAATTTAATTTTCCTTCCCTATTTTATATCTTAATCATAACCACAGTACAAATAATTTGTTGTTTCAAAATCTCCATTCACTCATACATTTTATTCTTGTTGACCTTGGCTTATGCAATTTGGGTGGAAAGAATCACTAACTAGGAGAGGAATATTTGAACTTTGATTTTATGTTTCAGACAAAGTCTTAACTGAGACTTCAGCCACATGAAAGCATGAAATTATTATCTGCCTACTTTGGGAAAACCACCAGTTTAAAATATAAAAGAATTGTATTGTGTGATAGCTTACTCTAAGAAACTTTATTTTCTGTTCTTAACTACTAAATGAATATTTGGGCAATGGAAAATTTTTGTTTTCTATAGCCTTATGAATGTTAGTCTTAAAATCATTTTAAAAAATTCATCTGGTGTCAGGTATCATTAAAAACTCCATATTTGTGCCAGATTAACTGAAAACTTTGGCCCCAGATAAATTGGTGGATTTTGGCCAAGTTTTAGGCAAACTTGGGTCTTTCTTTATTTCAGGTAGAAAGTACATAAAGCTCTATGGATTCTTGCCCTCTGACCTAAACCAACTAAAATTCAACAATTTGGCTATGATTTCCTTCGAGGTTTCATATATTTTTTCGGCTATAAAATGTGAACCCAGGTCAAGAGGCATATACTGAAGCCTCAGTTTTAGCAAGAAAAATATATATGAACTAAAAGTGGAAATTCTACAGAAACTTGGCTGAGGAGAAAACTTTAAAACTGGAACAATTAACTTAGACTATTTGGGAGAAGTGAGTCTTTCATGTAATTTGCTCTCTTTTTCTGTTCTCATAATTTTAAAGAGTTTTGCGCTAACAGGCTTCTGTGCTGCATTACAATCTTTTGATAGGTTCTGTAGAGAAACTTCTCTTATTTTTTCCCTTTGCCTTTAATGTTTTGACTCTTCAATTTGAATTACTCTTTTATTTCTTTTTAATGCTTTTCTATTATGAGGAACTTAGCAAATTTCCCTCAAGGACTGAATCAGAGGGAACAGTGAATTAATCCAGGCAATATTGCACTCCATGTTATGCTCCCTTGTGATCCTTGTGTTGACCACTTTCTCTGGACAAGGACACAGCTCTGTAACATACCATGACTCAAGATGAGTTTCTTCTGTTTTGTGGAAACACTCCCCAAGAGGTGAAGAGGTGACTTCTATCCCTCCCCTTTGTCTAAACATCTCAGTCCCGGAGCTCACAATTATTTCTAAAGAGTTTCTAGCTGTTCTCACCAGGAGTGTGTTGAGCCCTTATGCAAGTAAAACTTCAAGAGGCACACCTAAACTTGTCTGAAAAGTCTCCTGAAGATCCTTCAAACAACTTTTCTCTCCTTTCTTTTTTTCCCAGTAACCTCTTTACTCCTTTCCATGAAGATTTCCATGCCTCAGAACAAAGTTGACCTCATCTTGAAGACAGGATAGAGGGGAGATAATGCCTGTCAACATCTATCACAAAATGTTGCTCAACTTACTGATGAATTAATAAAAAGTCATCTGTACTCTCTTCTGAAGCCCATCATCTGCTCCTGTAAGCCTTATTTCCCACTGTTCTTCTATATAGTGTATGCTCTAGTCAAAAATTTGACTCTTGCTATCATTCATTAATTCCTTCAATCAGTGAGTGTTTTTGAGTGTCTGCTATGTGCCAGACACTATTCTGGCCTCCAAAGATCCATTAAAACAAGCAAAACAAAAACCAGACACATTTCATGGTCTCATGGACCCCACATTCTAGTATAGCCTGGGCATTCCAGCTTTGTGTCTTTCTCTTCTTTAGTGGTCCCTCCTTAAGTATTGCCAGTCCTAACTTTCAACTGTTCCCTATGTTTCAAAGTTGTCTTGAATCCACAAAGTGCCTTATTAAGAGTAAGTTAATAGACTTACTCTTAACACTTGCAAGGTTGCGAGGCCTAGGATTGAAGTATGAATGAAATCTACATACTATTTGTATAAATATTTAAAAGATACAAGTTTAGCTGAAAACTCTGATAGCTATACAATTTCAAAATTTTAAAAATGTGTAAGGCTATGGTGTTTATTTTTCTAAAAGTTGGCAAAGTATCCAAGATTACTACGTGTATTTTTGAGCATATTTGGCTATTCTGTGTTGTTTAGCTCTTAAAAATTTTAAATGTTTAATATTGCAGACTGTTGCTCAGCTTCTATGTGCTCCTATTGCAAACATACTAATTTACTAAAGTATGAATGTGTCCACATGCCACACCTGGAACCTGTGGAGAAGAATAGCCCAGCAACAGCTGGGAAAGATGCTTCATTATAAAGAATCCTTTGCACCCATACTGAAAAGAAGAACTGTACAAGTTAATTAATTTGTGTTTTCTCTTACCTAACTCTTCTGCTGCTCACATCTTTCCCATATAACAAAGTAGTATCATCTCTGAAGTCAGCAGCAGCTGGCCTCATGCCATTTCATACCATTTTCATGCAGTCATCTTTTGTTCTGGGGACAAATGACAAGAGGTTTGAAGAGTTGATTATTTGGGACTTGAAGGAGGTTTGACATGAGAACCTGCATTTAAAACCACAGATTGGGCTCTGCTTGCTGGACCCCAGGTGACGATATATCCACGTATTCTGTTATAAATTTGGGTTTGTATGTTCATAATGTGTGGCACTCTCTAAAGTGTGAGGCCCAAAGGAGGATATTCTTACACAGGCCTGAAGGTAATACTTTCTGAAGGAAACTTTACTTGGACTAGGAGTGATCTATAATTCTGAAATCTCTAAACACTGCATTTTTTTTGTAATGTCTGGAAAAATGTGAGAAATGCTATAATACTTTGCCCATATGTCATATCTCCTCATAGAAAAAAAGTATTTTATGAGTATGAAAGTAATTTATTTGTTTTTTCAACCACCATCTGTGCACAATAGATTCAAGATTATAGAGTATTGTTTAAAAAAAAATTGAACAGCTAAACTAAGTACGAAAATGCAAATAACTGTAATTCATAATCCTTGCTTTCTTAAACTTAAGAATAAGTTTTATACATCTCTGTGACAGGGTAATTAACAACCACCACCAAATGGCAAATGTGAATTGCAGTGTGGGCGGGAGAGGAGTGAGGGAAGGAAGAAGAGTAAGAATCAGTTTAGTTTAAGAGGAAATTAGGAAATACTAATGGGAAGGTTCAGAAGGAAATAAGAGTTACAGGATTAGAGGTCAAGGCAGAGATTAGGGTTAGTGAATGATTTCTGCATTGTGGTTCAGAATTATAATAATGATATTTGCCTCTGTGGTGGTAATCAATACATTTCATAAGTGTTTCCTATGTGTCAATGATTCTATTGAATATTTTACATGTACCAGCTCATTTAGTCCTTAGAACCACATGAGGTTGCTGTTACCACAATCCTTCTCTTTGAGATCATATAAATAAGGCTTTGAGATGGTTACTTGCTAACAGAGCCAGGAAGTGAACCCAGGTGTATCTGACTGCAAAGCTTCCTTTTAATCACAAGGATATTTGAAGTCATTGGATAGGATTCAGGCTCCTTGGAATAAGGCAAAGAAAAATAAAAGAAGAAAAGGACAGTTAGAGAATGGTAACATCTTGGAGAAGAAAAAGAAGCTTTATTAATTTGGCTAACTTATGAGTGAACAAAATCCCACTTGAATTGATTTAAGCAAAAGAGGGGATTTTAATGGAAGGCTAAGCTATGAAAGAATGGGACAACCATGATTGGAGAAAGGTCAATATCTTTTATAGTATCGAGAACCAAACTCCAGCATCAAGCTTGTTTCCCTGTCTCTTAGCCGTGCTTCTTTTCTCCATATGTCAAGCTCATTCTTATCTCTTTCTAAAGAGTTTTTTCCATGTGGCAAGAACTCAGGTAACCAAAATTTCCAAAATTTTATAGCTTATGATTTCAGTCAACAGAGTCACATTGGCATGACTCTTTGGCTCTTGAGTCCAAAAATCAGGACGAGGTACTAATTGTCCCTGCCTAGGTCAAGACATACCAATAGTATTAGGATGCTTTTTGCTGCACAACAAAAAACATGAATAACCTCTTATTGTATATTTTTCTTACATAACAAGAAGTTTAGAGGGAGGGGTTCTAGAGTTGGTCAGGGCTAAATGTCAAGGGGCAGATTATCTAGGATTCTTTTAGCATTCTGTGTGGGTAGAAGCATTAATGCCGTTGTTGTCATAACCATATCCTTATGGTAGCATATGAAGCAGAAAAGAGGCAGGAAAAATAACTCTCCTTGTGTGACATTCTCTTTTTATTTGGAGAGAAATAACTGCATTTCAGGGTTAATGGGATCTGAACCTAATACAATTTTGGGATCTTCTTTAAGAAAACCAGAAAAATATTAAAATTAAAAATGGGGCACAGGGCTTTGACTGGAGTCATTACGAATGTTGGCCTCTAAACTTCCTGGTAAATCAAGTTTCTGTTGAATTTTCTCCTTTGTTTCAGTGGTTGGACTGAGTCCCATGAAGCCAGATCACTTCTGACTGCAAGGAGCTTGGAAAAGCAAGTATCTGGATCTTTTACCAGCTAAATTTGGAGGTAGGTATCTACCAGACTAGGGAAGAAGAGAAGAATGGCTGTTGAGTGCAGATCAATTTGTTTCCACTGAAGTCTATGGTTGAAATATTTATGCATAGCTGAGATATAGAATTGTGCTGTAAAATGTGGTTGATTTGGTGGTAACTATGTGGATAGGTGTGGTAGGTTGAAGTGTCCCCTGCAAATTTATGTCTACCTGGGATCTCAGAATGTGACTTTAATTGGAAATAGAGTCTTGCTGATGCAATTAGTTAAGAATTTTGAGATGAGTCGTACTGGGCTTTCGGTGGGTGCTAAATCCAATGGCTGGCATCCTTATAAGAAGAGAGGACACACACACACACAGAACAGGCCATTCAAAGATGGAGGCAGAGCTTGGGGTTATGCTGACAGGAGCCAAGGAATGCTGGGGGGACATTAGAAGCTGAAAGAAGCAGGGAAGGATTTTCCTCTATAGGTTCAGAGGATGCATGGCCCTGCTGACACCTTGATTTCTGGCTTCCAGCCTCTAGAACTGAGAGATAATTAATTTCTGCTGTAATAAATCACCCAGTTTGTGGTCATTTACTGTGGCAACCTTAGGAAGCTAAAGCAATAGGGTGAAGGGCAGTTATCAGAATAAGGGGATGTGGTGCTGGTAGACAATCCCAAAGGTGTCCACTGCAGAATTTACAAAAGGAGCTTAGCAGTAGGTGGAGTCATAGCTACAGAATGAGAGCCAGGTTGGTATATAGCCTTGATGTTATGACAAGGCATGAGAATGTCAGCACCAGGAAGAGTGAGCACTGAGAAGTTGAGAAAAGAGGGAAGTCATGATGAGACAGGAGGACAAGCACCTAGCCTTTCATCTAGACAAACTAATTCCTAAGCATTTCTACCTCCTTCCTGAATCTGCCTGTGAATGTCCTTCATGTGAAATGCTCGTCACCTCACTCTGCTTGACTAATTCATTGCCCTTCCCTTTGTGAAACTGACATTGAAGGTACACTCCTTCAGTGTTCATGTCGTTGGTGTGGTGTACATGTGTGTGTGTATGTGTATAGAGTGATACTTTCACAATTTTTTAGATTTCTTTTTGTGATAGGATATTCTTTCTTTCTTTTTTTTTTTTTTTTGAGACAGGGTCTAGCTCTGTCACCCAGGCTGGAGTGCAATGGCGTGATCTCAGCTCACTGCAACCTCCACCTCCCAGGTTCAAACAATTCTCCTGCCTCAGCCTTCTGAGTAGCTGGGATTACAGGCGCACGCCACCACACCCAGCTGATTTTTTGTATTTTTAGTAGAGACAGGGTTTCGCCATGATGGACAGGCTGGTCTCGAACTCCTGACCTCAAGTGATCTGCCCACCTCGGCTTCCCAAAGTGCTAGGATTACAGATGTGAGCCACCATGCCTGGCTGTGGTAGGATACTCTTGAAGTTATTTAGGACGTGTTTAATTAAAGACAATGGCATGCAATGTGTATCTTGTGGAGTCTGAGCAAAAAAAAATAAGAGACACTGATATTAAATTTTATGTATAAGTCTTCTGTATTTAAATACAGTGATTTAATAAAATCTGTTATTTGGAGACGGAGAAGTATTTCATGTATTTTCATTTTAGACATAAAGGAAATCAACTCCTTTGAAGTACCAAAATTTATAACTTAAATTGTTTTGATATAAATATACCTAAAACATATTGTATAGTTCTCTGGATTCTTATACAGAATGCATCTTCTCCCTGCTGACCCAGGGTCAACATTATACACATCCATTATTGTTCTGTGTGATATTATAATGTTCTGGGGCCTCTTTCCTAAATACCCTGACAATCATGCTGCTCTTTTCTCTTGCTGTGAGCTGACCAGCTGTGCCCCTGCCTGTTGCCAGCACGCTCCCCTCTCCTAGATCCCTGTCTTCCTCTAGTGCAGTTTTTAATTCATCGTGGCCTGGGAATCCAGATAACATAGCTAATTAGAAATGATCTAAATGTAAGAGTGAATGCCCCTGAGGGAGCATCTGTGGCCTTCTCTGTGAGTTTCTATGGGGATCTCTCCTTTGCGTTAGATGCCGTAAGCGTTAGTGTATGGATGGCAGACCTGTTTTTCCTTTGCTTCTCAACACTCAATTAGATCCGTGTAGCTAATGAAATTCATGAGAGCATGCAGCAAAATTCTGTATAGGAAGGTTTTTTTTTCCTTCTTTACATAGTTTCCCATGTTCTAAATTAGTTGTTTTAATGTTATCTATGTGTTTTTGTTTCATTTTAGGGTATCAGTGGGATAATATTAACTGCCAAAATAATTCATTAGTTGTAAAGCTCCATCCTGGCTAAACTGTGGATAATGTGCCTCTTAGCTTAGACTGCTGAAAAGTCATTATGGTCAATGACTGACCCACAGCCACCATGTGAAAAACCTGGGTTTAACTAGAAAGTAAAAACTGCTGGAACAACCTGATTGTGCCAAGAGGTAGTATGTTAAATCTATGTAGAAGTAGCAGAAGTTACAGGAAAAAAGCCAGTGATTACCAGGGTGTCACATTGTTTATGAACCAGGTTGCTGAGTCTTTGAATCTGGAGATGATAATTTAAGTCAAAATTTCAAGAGTAGGAATTCTGAGGTCAGAATCAATAGTGTAGTTGGGTATAAGTCATTTGAATAAAAAGCCGGCTTTTGAGCTTGACCCCTTTTCTCTCAGTTCCTTTTCCTAATTATCCTACTTTTCTCAAAAATGTCACTCACAAACTCTTTTGCTGTGAGAGTTAATGGTGAGGTGCATAAAATACACATACAAGTTTCAAAAGTGAAGTATAAATAGCCATAGCCTTTCAAAGTATTATTCAGGTTTAGGAAAACAAGTGCCTTTACACATCATTCGAGCACCCGAGGATGATTCTACCTGCAGATGGGCCTTTAAATAAGTGTGAGTTTGCTGCTGCTTCTCAACTCCCAGTTGGATACTGAAAAAAAAGATCTTTCTCAATTTCCTGTTCTTGTGCGTTATTAAAATCCTTCTGTTGCCCCCACTGCCACCCCTGCCTCTTTCTTCTTTTCCCATCTTTTTGTGTGGAGGATGTTATCCACAGTTCCCAGCAGTGATGATGCATTTGAGTCAGGAGGATGAGATTGTGACCCAGATACAGTGCATGAGAAATGAGTGATGGGAAGAGAGAATGACATGACGGGGGGCGGAGGGGGGGGAGAGGGGGGAGAGAGAGAGAGAGAGAGAGTGAGCAGTGGTGAAGGGTTATGAGTTGTACAGTTATTTCTAGCTTTGAATGGTTTCCAAATCTCATACATTCACAGACAACCTCGCCAAAGCCCACAGCTGTCATGCATTTTCAACAGATTCCACAGGGCCTAGATGAGGTTTGAAGGCATTCCTTTGCTCTTACACATTAGCTAAAAGGAATTACCGTAACATCTGATATTGTGGAAGTGGGACATTTGCCATCCTGACCTTGCCCAAAGCAGTCCGGAAATAGGAGTCTAAGAATGTATTATCTCATATGGCCCCTAAAGGTCACCAGGGGCCTGTCGGTGGCATTCTGAGAAAATCCAAGCACCCAATATGCTCTGCATTTGGAGAAACTGGGCTGCTTTGTATGGGCACAGTGGGCAGACACATGTTCCCATTGCTCGTTGGATGTTTGTCATAGGAAAGGCATGTTCCACTGGAGAAATTCCCAGCTGTCAGTAATGTGCTGATATACCACAGCCAATCATCAGAGGATGAGCCAAATAAACAGGATGTTCACAATGTGTGTGATTGCATGAGTGTGTAACAAAACTTCTGCCCATTTCACAGCCTCATAATGGGATTGACATGCATTGCTTAATGCATCTGTCTGTTTAGGATAGAAAGGCATAAACACCATGGAAACCATGTGTAAGAAAGCCCTTTCTTTGGCTATATGGGCTGTTGATATGATGGGATGAAATCTGGTATAAATTGGGAAAGAACATTGCTTTAATATTATGAGTTTACTTGCTGGGAAGTGCCTTGAAGTCATCCAAACACAGATGAGAAGGAATAATCAGATAATCAGTAGCTATTGAGAGTTAACAAAAGGGGCTGAGTTGATATGAATATTTTTACATACCAGTGGCGTCATCTTCATTCTTTCTTCTTGTAAGACACTCATTAGTTGAATTATTTATATAAATGTACAGAAATGAGTCAAAGTTATGTCATTGCCCTTTTTGTTTGGATATGCTGCTACTGTTAACAATTAGTTTCTAAATATATTCCCGAGGCAGCAATTTGGGAAGGGGGAGTAGTGGTTCCTTCAACACTCATGTGTAGATAGGTTCTTGGAAAAATAACATCAGGTATCCTGTTAAGTGTCAGACCTTTTACTTCTCTGAGCATTCAAATCCCCTTTGCTCAAGGTGGCACATCCATTCATGATAATAACAGTAATAAATAAGATTTATTGTACATTTCCTGTTTGATGGTACTGAGCTAAGCCTTTAACATGCATTAACTCTTTTAATTCTCACAAAACATATAAGATTGATACTATTATTATTACTATCATAATGATAAGAAAACCAGCATTCAGAGAAGATAGTAGGCTTTTAAGAAGGTAGAGTTAGTGACAGAGCAAGCTGGAACATGTATTTGAGTACTGAATCCATGCATTTAACCATTTCACTATGTTACCCTTGTGTGTCCCTGCTCTATGTGAAATTTGATTCTATTACAGTCTCTGGTGTTAATTATTTTATTGCATTGAAATGTGATTTGTATTTCCTTGAACAGGACTAATGCACAAATATAATTTTGGTATCCTAGGGTCCATCTGTATAGAATATTTCACCAACCTAGTACAGTTGAGGAACATGCCATGAAGTCTTTGTAATGATTTTTCTCTCTTGTTAAGTTTTGGTCTTTTAATTGTGGTTATTATGTGCTGCTTTTCAAACATTGCCCAAGATGCACTGATTTAGGAAAAAATCATATGTGCCAGGATGCTACCTCCTAATAATATTAACACTTTCAATAGGTTTTATGGATAAACACAGCAGGAAAGAAAAGGAGCTCTGAGTGTACAGAATCTGTGTGTTTATATTGGTTTATGAGATCGTTAGAGACTTGTATTGTATCATCTGGTAGAAAGCAGTACCACATAATGGTTAGGACTTGGGCTCTAGAGTTTCACTACTTAACGATCTGTGTGACCCTGAGCCATTTCATTGATGTCTCTGAGCCCACTTCTTTCATCTGTACAGTAGGTATAAGATAATAATTTTTATAAGATTATTGTTAGGATGAAATGAGAGAATCCCTGTAAAATTCATGGCTCCTAATAAGTATTTTAAAGAATGCTCTGAAATGCCTTTCAGCACTCTTCATTGCCAATCCTTGTACTGTTTCTCTTTGAGTCCTTATCACAATTAGACATGCTGTATTACACTTGTTAAATGTCATCTCCCTAAACTAGAATATAAACTCCCCAAACTCAGGTATGTGTCCTTCTCTCCCGTGCCCTCATTGCCTAGAACAGCATCTGACACAAGCTAGGCCCTTATGAATATTTGCAGATAAATAAATGACAGCTATTTTATTATCATCATTATTATCACTATTACTATGGCTCTTATTACCATGTGTTTCAGACTCAGATACCATGCTTAAGAAAATCCTAAAAATACTGTTTAGATTTGAATAGTTACCAAGAGGCTTACGAAATATTTGATTTCTGATCATAGAAGTTTATAGGAACATCAGAGCACATTGAGTTTAACCTCTTCAATTTATAAAATAAAAGACTTAGAATACTCCAAGGCCAAGTGATGTTAATTGGTCTTACTTGAGTCAAGAATTACCAAGTGGCGGCAGGGGCGGTGGCTCACGCCTGTAATCCCAGTACTTTGGGAGGCCGAGGCGGGTGGATCACGAGGTCAGGAGATCGAGACCATCCTGGCTAACGAGACCATCCTGGCTATCATGGTGAAACCCCGTCTCTACTAAAAATACAAAAAATTAGCCAGGAGCGGTGGTGGGCGCCTGTAGTCCCAGCTACTCGGGAGGCTGAGGCAGGAAAATGGCGTGAACCTGGGAGGCAGAGCTTGCAGTGAGCTGAGAGCGCTAGTGCACCTCGGCCTGGGCGAAAGAGCGAGACTCTGTCACACAAAAAAAATAAAAATTAAAATAAAAAAATTACCAAGTGGCAAGTAAGAGCTGGGATCCAGGCTCCAACCCCAGTCCAGTAAGCGCTCTTTCTGCTGTGCTCTACTGACATCTAACTTGGATACCAATATGGCTGTCCACTCTTCAGCAGACCAGGCCTCAACGAAACCATGGCCCTACTTTATCATTGCATTTTACTCCAAACTTCTTGTCCCCTTTTGTTGACTAGTCATGGCTGTATCTTCCAGGTTTTTCACAGGAATGGAATTTCTTTTTTGATGATAAAATGTGCACTAGTGACAAGTCATACATGGAAATGGCTGAGAACTGCAAGACACTGCTTGGGGCCAGGTAGAGATGCCCCTCTGCAGATAACTCAGTGAAAATTGGATACCTTTTGTCAGCTCTATTTGGAGTCTTTTACTGGATTTGGGATCTCCAAAGCATTTCATCCTGAGAGAAAATCAAAACAAAAGCTATAAAGTTTACTACTCCTCTAGCTTAGAGCTGTCCAGGAAGAAAAATGTATGAATTCATTCAATCAACACTTACTAAGAGATAGTAAGAAATGGATGTGTGTGGATGGTATTTACAAATATTTTCAAGTTGCATCATTTTCCCTCAAGGAGTTTATAGTCTAGCAAAAGATGGATTTTTCCAAATTAATCTTAGTGGTATATAACATGATAGTGAGAACATGGAGAGAGGAAATGAAAATAAAATTTTGAGGCAGCTTGGAGGAGGATGAGATTACTTCCAGATGGTGAATTGAGATGTTCATGGAAGAGGCAGCATTATAACTAGAATGATGGATCAGCAGTATTCTTCAAATTGCATGCAGCTTAGATCAAATATATTTTAAAGGTGATTTCTTAGGAAGTTCGTTTACTTCCTGACATTTTATATTCTTCTGTATGCCATATAACAGACTCAAATGTATATAATGTAATGTAAGTGCCGTAGCTTATTTCTCACAAGGAGGCATTTATTCGAGACATTGTTATGTATTTTTTGCATAGCCACAATTATAAATATTTACATGAGTTTATAAATAATAGCGTACCAAAAGAAAAAGAAATTGTATCTGGTACTTACACACATACAATATTTGGAGGCTCTACACATAGCTAAGATTATTTTTGGACATTTCTGATTTGACTTACATAACTGTTTATGCTTAAGCCACAAAAGGTTTTCAAACTAAAGTCCATTATGATAATAGTGTGATGTATCAAAGGCATCCATGAGCTGAACTCATGTTCTTATACTAAAAGTCTTGGAAAACATTTACAATGTTTACAATGCCTTCACACACTTTTTTTCTCCTTATGGATGTATCTTTCTACTTAAAATAGCTGCATTTATTTTAGTAGTTGATCTCTTTCCTGGAAATTATTTTCAAAAGTAAATACAATTTTAGTTAAATAAATATTTTAAGTTTTGCTTCACATTTTCAATGTATTAAGCACTACATGGTAACTAGAAAATTGAAAGTTTTTATTAATTTGATTAATGTAAGCCATATTTTACATTCAGCAACCCCAAATTAAATAAAAACAATCATAGAGGAATTATAAAGAATGTGATTTACATCAGTTTAGTGCCGGGATGGCTTTTCATTTTCTAATCTTCCCTTACCATTTCGACTTTGCCCTGTTCCTGGTCAGCTGGGAAGTTATCTGCTGTGGGGTTTCCTGTTTGCCTGTTGCTTTTCTACCTTGGGGTGCTGTAGCTACCCATTTGGCTTGCTCGCTCCTAAAGCTATGACTGCAGCCATGTAGTCTTTCGTGTTTCACTTGAAACATGCTGACAGATGTGCTGACTGAACATTTTAACCAGTACACTTATTGTGGCTTCTTCTGAAGCTGATTAAGCTACCAAAACAATTCTATGTTCTTCTGCTGATTAAGCTACCAAAACAATTCTGTGTTCCTCTGAAGAACAAAGAAAGGGCAAAACCAAAAACATGAATCAAATAGAGCCAATATGGAAGATGTACAGCTTTAACAGAACATAAGAACTGTGGTGTTCAGTGGCTTTTGGAGGCCACATTCTTTCATGTGGAGAGAACATGGAATGGCTTACTGTCTTGCTATAGTTTGCTTTTACATTAGCACTAGATCTTACACTGGATTAGTCATTACTATTTGTAATGAGTCAATAAAACTTAAAAAATACCTTGGGACAGTTTTTCTAAGCTCAGGAAAATATGACTATAGCTAGGAGAATGATTTATTTCCAATTATTTATTGAGCTGCTATTATGTGATGAAGACTTATTTAAAGAGTAAATATTTTTGCAAGACATAGTCCCTGTCCAGGGGAACTGGTACACCATTGCTGAAACTGGTGTGGGGTCTTGCATGGTTGAAGGAAGTCAAAGCTCTAAGCCAAATTAAGGATTTTCTGGTTGCTGATAGAATATTAGAACTGAAAGGTCTTTCAGATATCGTCTACTCCTCTAATTTTATTTTATGAATATGGTAACTATAATTGTTACTTGTCAAAGATCACCCGGAAATTTAGCAAGAAAGTCATATATGAACATATTTTTCTTTCCTCTAAATCTGATGTTTTTTTCATGATATGACATATATATTTATATTAATTTAAATGGGTCAAATGTAATTTAATTTTACTTTTATTAGTTTAGTGTATGTATGTATATGTATATATAAAACAGTAGTTCTCTCTGGAGATTGGCATTGTACATATACATGTATATATATACACACACACACATATTCTTTGCAATAAAAATGAGATCACATTTAACCTACCATTTTGTACCTCACTTTTTCATCTAACTATTGCATGAATATTTTCAATGTGAATGAATATGTTAAGAATATTACTTTTATTGGGACTGCAAAATAGTCTATTCATCTTGTATTTTACAACATTTTACTTTGATGTAACTTTTAAACACGTTATTTGAGGTCAATATTTCCCTTTGTAAATCATTCTGCAATGAAGATCCACATAATTATATATTTATTCTCCATTCTTTCCTTTATATTTCCAGACCTAGAGTTTCTGGGTCAAAGGAAACACATACATGCAAGACTTTTGATCCACAGTGGGCCCACCAACAACACTTTCCACTCCCAATTTAAAAATCCATAGTTTATATTCAGTGCTGCAGGACTGTAAAATCCATCAAGGGTTAACAGGTCTATAAAAAAATCCAAACAAAACTTCTCAGCCAGAAATATGAAGTCACAATGGCTTAGCATCCACCCAGCAGGGCTGTCATTTCCTGAAATGTATTAGATGGACAGGTGGCATCGATTAAGCTCACAGAAGAAAAGTGTTTGTGATGGAGTCTCCCCATTTCCAGCCTTCAAAGGCAAGAGGATGATGATCTTAGATTTAGCAGTGGCCTCAGGAGGAGGCTTTTGTCACATCCTCATACATCTCTGACTCACATTTGCTAAAGCTGGAATGTAAAATGCATATATGAATTTATAACAACTTAGAAGTCTTCAGATGTTAATTAGAGAGCAAATATATTTACTAGCTGGGGTCATTGTGTCTCCTACCTCTTGTTTGAGTTTGCTTGCTGTGTGTGATTGCTTATCAATATAAGAGTAAATAAGAGTTATAATTTAATTGTTTACTGAAAGCTGCTAGATGTTTGTAATGAAAATACTAAATTCAGTGAGGTTTGCATCTATCTTTTAAAAGTAAGAATAAACATTCTAATATTTAAAAATTGTCAAAGAGAAAAATGCACATGTACTCTTTTTTCAATTTTAACCTCTGGCATTTTGCTGCCTTATGTAGTACGTGCTCTTTGTTTTTCTCGGATAAGAAATAGCTGTAGATGGTTTTTCAAGCATATTGTTTTTAGGTAATGCTTTGAGATTATGCTCCTTCATGATAATACTTGTAGACAGTTTCGAGCATGATGTTTGAGCACAGAAATTAACCTCTATTTGTGTTTCTGAAGCAGTCTGGAAATTCAAGGAAAATTGTTTTGCATTTGATTGTTTTATACCATCTGTGATTTGAATTTTTCATGTAGTAAATTATTAAATGCTATCTCTAAAGGTAAGATTTTTTTTCAGTTAAGTATTTCATTATCTAAGTAAATGCTAATAGAATTTCAGATTAAATTAATATTTAAAATAAATATATATGCAATTATTTTACCATCTTTATTTTATCTCTCAAGTATAAGCTAGTTCATATTTATAAAGGAAAACTGTCAATTTTAAATTTTCATTTTTGTTTACAAATTGATTTTTTTCTGATTATTGGATTCTAGGATAGCTCCAGGAAAGCTTATTAAAATTTTTATTACAGCTCGTTTTTGGATAATGTAGATTTGTACTTGGTAAAGACATTCATGTTAGTAAATATTATCATTTTAGATGAGCCTAGTCTACTTCAAAAATGAAGAAGAGTATATTGCTGTACTTAAATACAGGAAAGGTACATTTGCATGGAATGGAGAGATGTGAGGAAAATAAAAAAGCCCACATAGCATGGATAACTTCTGGCTTAGGGAAGACTCAGGCAGTAACTACGTGACTATTCTGGGTGATCACTAGGTAGTATGAGGGTCTTAGCCACCTGTCTGGGTGGGGTATGCCCAAGTTAAGAGTTGTGTTCCACTTGCCCTTGATAACTCCCTGTCAACCCAAATGTTTGCTCTAGAGAACAGCTTCCCTCTGTTTCATCAGATCCCTTTTCTTCTCATATTATAGTATAAGGCCCACTTCTTTCAGGACAGTTTCTCTAATTAACATCCAATGACCTCCAAACCATCGACATATTAACAATTCTGGATCCTTTCATTTACTCCTCACTTTTGTAATCATTATAGCTCTCATTTTTGTAAATGGGATGTGTGTCTGCATTGCTTCCCTTATTAAACTATAATCATGAATCTGGGATCATGGCTAATCTTGACTGTGTTCCCTGGAACAATAAACAAAATAGTTATAAATCTGAGCATTTCTAAATACATGCAGTCCCTAAGGGGAATTTTATACCAATTTCTTAAACATTATGTGGAAAATATGTTTATTCATTGGATTAAAAGGAGAGGAAGAAAAAGAGATGGGTCTGAGCACTGAAATATTTATCAAAGGTTTGCTTCATGCTGTACAGTGTACTGAAACTTTGTGACATGTTACCTCACATAATCCTTGCCACTGCTCACATGGAGATACTGTTAGATCCACTTACAGATGAGGAAATGGGGAGGTTTTTTTCTAAGTTTTAGGAAGTTCAGAGACTTGGTCTAGGAAACATCATTAGTAAATGGAAGCATTGGGACAAGAACTCAAAAAATATGTGACAGGAAAAACTCCTTCTCTTTGCCAATTCTAACATCTTCCTATTCATTTTCTACTGGGCTTATCTTAATGAAGTGAAGTAATGCTTTAAAACCCCTTTTTACATTTTAAACTTGCAAAGCTTTGGTGCTTAAGGTTTATAGTTCAGTAATTGATTCTACTTTATGGACTGTGAATTCTAGGGTGGATCATTCCACAGTAGATTCCTTATTCACCTTATCTATAAATATAGGACAATTGAATTTTTAATCTGGAAAGGACTCTAGGGATCACTTCATTCTGTACAACCATTATAGAGATTCTCTGGTTCTTAACAAAAATATCCAATTAAAACCTGTTGTGAAAATAAGAAGACAATGATTTTTCATTGCAGCGTAGGGCGGAAAATATCATTTTATTATAATTATTAGTGTAGTATTATACTGGTTTTGTAGGCATGCCAGCTCACATAGTTAGTTACTTGGTCATCATACCTTACTTGAGGGAATAGTGACTATTCTAAGTTATATTCTTTTTTGGTTACTATGTCATATTTGTTTTCAAATGAAATGTAATTCAGACTGCCAATTCTTGTCAAGTAACGCCTAAATTGTAATACTTTACAGTGTTAAACACAACTTTCTACCAGCATAGTATAGAATATAATTTTATTAATAAAATATTAATAAAATGCAAACTGTAGAGAAAGAAATTGATAATTGCAGAAAGATGTCCCCAGAAAGCAGATCAAATTAAATGACACAATAATTCCCCTCCAAATATGAATATCTTTGGCTTAAAAGAAAGATCTGCTTTATGATGTTATAAACATATCCTTCCCTGGAGCAGTATTGATAATTAATGCCACATTCTGTTGGTTATAATTATATATGAGTTTGGTCATAAATGTTCTCATGCACTTTAAATGTTAATAAAATAAATAGGCTTTATTATTTCAAAATGATTACTTGCTCTCAGACACTGCTACTTTGCAGGAGAGGATGGCTGCCTTGGCACATAATGAAATATTACAGAGACATGCCGTAAACATTTGGAAGACACTCTCTTAGCTCTCAGGCAATGCAGCACGGGGAGCATATAAGGGCACAAGGAATATGCTTGAAGAAACCCAATCCCCGTCCTTGCTTCCACTTGCGCTCTCATAAATCAACTTGTTAATATCTTAAGCTTAGAAATAATTTTTAAAAAGGACAATGTTCCTCTTTTGTGGCTTGCAGGGCCAAGTGCTTTGTTTCTGGTCACTCTTACTTTCTAGATACAGCCTTTGTTAGTGTTTTAGATTTGAAACAGGGAGTGTCTTGCTCTGTTGCCCAGGCTGGAGTGCAGTGATGTGATCTCAGTGATCCTCCCACGTTAGCCTTCTGAGTAGCTGGGATTACAGGCACGTGCCACCATTCCCAGCTAATTGTTTTTTTTGTTTTTTTGGGGTTTTTTTTTTCCATTTTTTTCTAGAAACAAGGTTTTGCCATGTTGCCCAGGCTGGTCTTGAACTCCTATCCTCAAGTGATCTCCCTGCCTTGGCCTTCCAAAGTGCTCAGATTATAGGTATGAGCCACTGTGCCAGATTTTTTTGTTTTTAAGAAAATCCCCAAATGTTTAACTTCCGTAGGCAAGTTTATCCCACATCAAGAGAGAAGGACTCGTATATATTCTTATTTCATGACATATTAAAAACATGTGAGACCGACACATAGGTAATAAATAAGAGGAGTTAGTCCTTGCCATAGGAAGAATTATCAATTGAATAAAAAACTAAAAATAAGACTTCCAGTTTTAGCTTTAGCGTCTAAAGAGCTTGGAAGTTGTTATGTCTGTCTTCACAAGGAAAAGCTAATCAAATTGTGAACCAATGATTTTTCTTGAATCCATCAGAGAATAGACATTGCAAGGCAAATTTTCACCCTAAATTTCAGAAAGACAGGTGAATCCGGAGTCATAGCTGAGGTTTGCTTACCTGGAGCAGAAGCTGCTGGCATTATAATCCAGTAAGAGCACCTAAATGGTAATTTTGAAGAAATGCTGGAGGCTAAGTGTGAACTAGAGGAGAGTGAAAAACTTGTGGGGGTTGCAATTTTATGGGGCCCTCTTGCTTTTATGAGCTTTTACTCCAGGAACTTCACTGGATTCTCACAGTGGAGATCCAAGATTCTCTTGTGGCTCTGTCGTGGGGGCAAAAGAGTAATTCTTGCTAGATACTCCAAGACAGTTCTCCATAACAAAGACCTATGCTGGAGGAGAAAAAAGTTGACTAGAGTATATCCGAGCTGGGGGAAGGGCATTCTCAATCCAGTTACCTCTAGCCTTCAGGTCTCACCCAAGGGGGAAATATTATACCACTGAAGAAGCACTTATGAAGGTCACAGCCCAGAGGCACAGGACCACTAAGCACACAGTTATGTGTAAAATTATAGAATGCCTGACTTTCCCCATATCTTAGCATCACACCAACAGGGGTTCAGTATAACGACAGTGTATTACAATGGAAAGAACTGTAAAATGCAGAGTCTCTGAAGAAGAGTCTTAAGGAAGCCCAAAGTCAACAATGAAGATAAAAACAAGGACACTAGAGAAATTTGAGTCCTGTGGCACCTACAGTTACAGCAAACATTCATACAACATGTCTGGGGTTTAAAAAATTATAAAGCATGCCAGAAGTCAAGAAAAACACAATCTGAAGGGGGAAAGTAAGAATCAGACTCAGACCTTGATATAACACAGATGTTGGAATTATCAGACAGGAAACTTAAGATGACTATGATTAACATGTTAAAGGTCCTAATGGAAAGAATAGGCAACATACAAAAACAGATGGGTAATGTAATCTGAGAGATAAAAACAACAAAAATAAAAAATGAAAAAAAAATAAAAGAAGTGCTAGAAATCAAAGACAGAAATGAAGACTCTATTTATCAGTACAGCGGGCATGCCAGAGGAAAAAACTAGTGAGATTGAAAATAGGCCAACAAGAACTTTCCAAACTGAAAGGGAAAGAAAAAGAAAGAAAGAAAAGAAAGAAAGAAAGAAAGAAGAAAGAGAAAGAAAGAAAGAAAGGAGGGAGGGAGGAAGGAGGAGAAAAAATCAGAATACCCAAGGACTGTGGGGCAACTGTAATAAGTATAAATTATGCATAATTGGAATACCAGAAGGAGAAAAGGGAACACAGCAAAATAAATATTTGACATAATAATGGCTGAGAACTTTCCAAAATTAATCACAGACGTGCAGCACAGTTCCAGAAAGCCCAGAAAACACCAAGAAAGAGAAAAAACAAACAACAAACGAACAAAACAACAACAAAAAACACCATGAAAGTATACCTAAGCATATTATATTCAAGCAACAGAAAAGCAAAGACAAAGAAATCTTGAAAGAAGCTAGAGGAAAAATAATACATCTTATTTGTAGATAAAGAAGGGATAAGAATTATAGTGGTTTTCTCATCAGAAACCACGTAAGAAGAGAGTGGAGGAAAATATTTAAGGTTTGGAAGAAAAACAACCCCCATCTAGAATTCTATATCCAGAGAAATTATTCTTCAGAAGTAAAAGAGAAATAAAGACTTTCCCAGACAAAAACTGAGGGACCCGATCACCAACGAATCTGCCCTGAAATAAATGTTAAAAGAAGTTCTTTAGGAAGAAGAAAAATGATACAGTTCAGAAACTAGTGAAATGAGATTGTTCCCTTGACCCCTTCGCGGGACTTGTGAAGGGGGTGGCTCATTTACTCAGCTCGTAGCTCTCAACCCCTCATGGGAGGGGGAACATGCAGGTGAGTGGGTGCAGTGGCCAGGATGAGCACTTGTGGGGAACTGGCAGGAGCAGAACTCCATGTGGCCCACAGCGGCGTCTAGGGGTTGCCTGTGATTCCCAGATCCCCACAGGGTGTGTATTACAGTGTGCTCTTTTTGCTTTGTGAACCGTGGATGCTTAAGTGTTAAACAGCTCAGTGGAGGGTAAATGTGACAGCCTCTTGCACTGTACCCAGGTCCTGTCTGGCATCCAGGAGGAATGAGGTCACAGGTCACATGAACAAATTAGAGGGTAGTGAATGCGGAGGATTTTATTGCCAATGAAAGTGGCTCTCAGTGGGAAGGGGGACTGGAAAGGGGATGTAGTGGGAAGGTGGTCCTCCCCTGGAATTTGGGTGTCATGCCATCAAGCTGTCCCTTTGAAGCCAAGCTGCTTCTCTCTGATGTCCAGATGCTGGTTCTCTTCTCTCCTTCTCTGCCACGCCGCTCTGCTGGTAGGGCCTGGGGTTTTTATGGGTACAGGATGGGGGCTGGGGCAGGCCAGGGTGGATTTGGAAAAGGCAGCCTTTAGATTGGAAAACAGGAATGCATGCTCTCATTTTAAGCTGCAGGTCAAGGCTTGAGGGTGTTGCCCTCACCGGGGACCACTCTCTTCTACCCAGTATTTCCCTGCCTCCTGTCTGTATCACTAGGGTTTACATGAAGAAAAGAAGTGTGTTGAAGAAGTAATGGATCAAAGTAAAATTAAATCTTTTACTTTTCTCATTTTCAATTGCATTAAAAGATAACTCTTGAGAGCAATAATTGTAACAAAATATGGAGTTATAGTACATAGGTAAGTGAAGTGAATAACAGCAATGCATATGGGATGGGAATAGGGAATAGTCTATTATAAGGTACTTGTATTACCCATGAAGCAGTATAGAGTTATTTGAAGGTGAAATTAGATTAATTTAAAATGTGTACTTGAAAATCTAAGCCAACTACTGGAAATATTTTTAAAGAAATATAATTGATAAGCTAAGAGAGGAAGATAAATAGAACCATGTAATATAGTCAACTGAACCAGAGAAGGCAGAAAAGGAGGAGAATAAAAAGAAACAAAGAACAAATGCAATAATTAGAATAATTAAAACATGGTAGATATTAATTCAACTATATCATTAGTCACTATGTGGTTTATATAGATTAATTAAAGGAACAGATCATCAGAGTGAATTAAAAGTAAATACAGAGTTGTATTAAGTTAATGCTAGCTACTGTAACAACTAGTCTTCACAATTTCAATAGCTTAACACAATACAAGTTTATTTCTTGCTCATATTAAAGATGATCAGATATCTTTAATATGTCAGGGACCAAGTGTCAGGGACCAAGGTCTTTCTATCTCATGGCCTCACCATCCCTAGGGCTTCATGAATTCTGCATCTAGGTGCTGCAAAAATGAGAGAGAACAAAGGGGAAAAAGTCACACATGTTTAATTCATAAATTTTTATACAAAATATCTGATAATCACAACTTAATTTTATGATACTTATGCACTTTAAAGGGAAGGTGTAAATCATTAGGGCTGAGAGCAAGGAATTCTTATGAACATCAATTTAGGTTACTCTGGTCCATGAATTTTTATAAACTATTATCTCTAAAACAAAGATGTAGTATTTTGACTAAGTTTGCCAAAATACTTTGAAATTTTAAAAAATGTAAGAAAATTTTAACCAGGTTGAAAAATTATTTGGAAAATTTCTGGAAACCAATTTTGATAAATTGTTTTGTTTATTTTGGCAAAAAGTTATATTTTGAATATTATAATAAATGGTCCAATTTGGTAAATGTCTAAAGTTAAACTGGTTTAAACAAAAAATGCTGGCCTAAAAAACTTGCCTCTCTCCTAAATTTATGACCCTTGTTTCCATTCATTTACAACAGATTTCCATTTGGATGATTTAGTAGATAATTAAATACATATGTCCAAAATTAAAAAAAAAAAAAATAAGGATCTTCACTAAAAGAACATTCATTATTGAAAAGACAGAATAAAGATAATTCAATTAATTCATGAGAAGCTAGGAAATAAGAAGAAAATAAAAAGCACAATGCAACACAAAATGAAAGAGAGGAACACAAATATATAAAACTATCTCAATAAATGCAAACTGATTAAACACAGATCAACATACAGAGATTTTTATTGTTTTTAAAAAATGTATGTACTTTTTGTAGGAAACAGAGCAAAACAATGACATAGAAAGGTTAAAAGTAAGTAAATGGAAAATGTATCAGAAAAATACTATGTTAATATAAGCCAAATTGATTTGAAACCAAAAAATTTTACTGAAGTTATTTTATGATGATAAATCTATTTTCCAAGAAGATGTAGCAGTCTTGAATCTGTATGTAACTAAAAGCATATCCTCAAACACATGAGTCAAAATTGAAATAAGTTCAACAAAAAATAAACAAATCTACATAGAAGATTGCAACACAACTCTGTGATGTATTGGTAGATCAAGCATTCAACTTTTGTTTCATGTACAGACAAATGGAATAACACAATTAATACTGGTCTAATGTATATATATATATATATATATATGTACACATACATACACATATATATAATACTTTTTCCAACAATTAGACAAGTTAGAGATTGTTTTTCACACACTCTTGAAACTTTTAGAAAATTTGACCACATACCAAGTCACAAAACACATCTTAACAGATATCAATGAAGCCATATGATGTTGTCTGATCACAGGAAATAAGATAACGCAACAATATTTTTAAATAGACCACCAAACTCATATGTTTTGAATTTTAAAGCAACACTCTCCAAAATGTTCCATGGATTTAATAATGATGATGTTTATAAGAATGACATTGAGGATAATGGCAGCCAATTTCAATAGTTGCTTACTATGGGTCATGTACTGTGATATGTGCATTACATATACCTCATAAAACCCTAGGGGTAAGTTCTACTTCTATTGTTATTATTTTGCTGATGAGGAAACTAAATCACAGATCTAATGAATGATGGAGCTAAGATTCACAGTCCAGATAATTTGATTCCAGATACTGTGCTTTAAATCACTACATTGTGATGAAACCAAAATGAAAGAATGAAACAGCAATGAAATACTACATATCAAAACTTGTGCAAGGCAATTAAAATAGTTTTAAAACATGAGTTTTATCTTAAGTTCATTATAATAGTGTAGAAGATACACTAAAATTAATGTTCTAAAGGTCAACACCAAAACTTAAAAGGAGAAAAGCAAAGTAAACTCCAAGATAGTAGGCAGAGGAAAATCGTAAAGATAGAACAAAAATTAATTAAGTCTAAAACAAGGAAACATAAATCTTGTAGATGTAATATCTCTTTTTCATTTCACTTCATTTATTTCATTTCATTTTATTTTATTTCAACTTCATTATTTCTTTCTTTGTTTTTCTTTTTTAGACAGGACCTTCCTCTGTCACCCAGGCTAGAGTGCAGGGGCACCATCATAGCTCACTACAGCCTCGAACTCTGGGGCTCAAGCAATCCTCCTGCCTCAACCTTCTGAGGAGCTGGGACTACAGGCATCCCCACATGCCTGGCTAATTTTTTTTTTTTTTTTGTAGAGACAGGGTCTTGCTATGTTGCCCAGGCTGGTCTCCAACTCCTAGTCTCTAGTAATCTTACCACCCTGGCCTCCCAAAGTGTTGGAATTACAGGCATGAGCCACTGTGCCCAGTTAAAACCTATTTTTGTTTTAATAAAGACATTTATCTGACAAAACTCGTCAGGAAAAAAGAAGGCAATAAAAAATATAAAATTTTAAAACCCCAACGTGACTGTATGTAGAACAGAGATATTAAAACTCAGTGTCAAGTTCCATAAGGGACCTTTATACAAATACCAGGGTGAACTGACCAACTTTCTAAAAAAGTGTACACTACCAAAATTGATAGAAGAAGAAATTAAAAACAAACCATGAATTAATCTAAAACCATCATAATCACTTACTTGGTAGGCTACAGGCTACCCACAAAATGGACACAAAATGAGATATGTTTGTTTACCACTTTTACCGAACCCTCAAAAAGTAGATAACATCTATTTTGGGTACTCTTTCAAAAATTGAGGAATAGAGAAGATTGCTAACTCACCAAAATCAGAGAGAGAGTACAAGAAAAAAAATTATGGGCCAATTTCATTATAAGCACAGATGCAAAACTTCTAAGATATTAACAAATTCAACATATTATATGTTTCTATGAGATATATAACATTTAATTTTCAAAGTATGTAGATGAGTGTTTTATAATTGACATAGCAAAATTGTTTTCAGTAACAAAGTTGCATAATGATGAAAACATTGCCAAACATCTGTTTTCAAAATCCTGTCTTGATAGCAGGAATTATTTTCCAAAACAATCATTTTCTCACTTCTTATTAAAAATGCCTCTTTTACGTTGGGACATATTAAGGATGGGTGTGTGTTTAAATACTGCTAAGCAGGCATTTTTCATTACAGAAAAGGTCAGAAATTTGGAACAGCTGTTTTTTTGTGTGTGTGTGGAAGAAAAACATGTAACTCTTCTTCAAATTCCCCAACTCTTTTAAGGACTTTACCATGAGACAACCAGCAAATCGTTTTATGACATAGGATTTTCATGTCAATTCCCCATTTTAATACAATACCAGTCAATATTCTGGTCCAAGGATAATTCTTAAAATATATACTGAAGTGTTAGATTTACAGAGGCTTTTCTTTAACTTGAAATGTTTCTAGACACAGAAATGTATTATATTAATTCTAACCAATTTGAATTTCAATGACGGCATTCATGATGAAAGATATGCTGTTATCATCGTAGGGCTACATTTTAAATAGCAAGGCTGAAATACTACTTAAGGAGATTACGTTTTTAAATTTCTAGTTCTAGCTCAGTTCTAGTTGAAGCACCATAATTTCAATAAACACTAATAGAAATTTCAGCAGCTATAACATCAAGCCCTCAAAAGACTTTTTGAAAGAAATATCCTTTCTAACAGTGGAGCTAGACTCTCTAAGAGCATGTTATACGTTAGAATATCAATTACTTTTATTTGCATTCATCGGAACTGGTATTGCAAACAATTTGTCTGAGTGGAATGAAAGAAGAGACTGAAGTCCTTCAGTAACCCCTCTCATTAATTCTTTGTGCAAACAAACTCTAGTTGGGTATAAAGCCAGATAACCTAATGGATGTTTTGTAGAGGATGTGCAGCCACTTTGTTTACTAGTTAAGTTTTATCAAATAAGATGGACCAAGAAAAGCCAAGAAAAGTTTACAGCTCTATAAATCTCAAGCTATATTTTGAACATTCCTGAAACACCCAATCTGCAGACTTTAGCTTTGAGTAGATTTATAAGAGTCAAAAGTCACAGTCCTTGCAAACAGAGGAAACAGCACATAGAGTTTTTGTTTATTTTCTGTCTCTTAAAAAAATCAAATATGGCCATCAAGGATGTAAAACGCCAATAATCAACTACTGGTAGCAGAAATAAGGCCTGTGGCTCTTTTTGTCTCCTTGGTTTCCACATGTAAAAAAGGCAGGTGAAGAATCTTTCAGGTTTTTTCTATTTTGTTTTAACCAACTTTTTAATACATTTGTTTTGAACAATAGGGGAATTCCATGAAACATTGCAAGGAGAAGACAAAACAGTTCACTTGCTAATGTAGTTAAGAATATGGACAAAATGAATGCAGTTTGCTGTAACAGAAAGATTTCTTCATCCTCATGTTGGAAGGCATTGAGTTTTAGTTCTAAAACTTTTATTTATTAGGTCTTGGAACTTTGGACAAGTTATTCAAGTCTGCTTTTTATTTCTTACCTGTAAAATAATTGATCTCTCTGCTACATGGTGTTATTGAGAGGATTATGAGAAATCATTGATAAGAAAACTTTTTTATTTTGGTTATTTTTGTTTCTTAAAGAATCATACAAATTTAAGATATCACAATAATATTTTGTGGCTATGCATTCTTCCGTTCCTAGAATTGACTCACAGAGGTCCTTGCTCTGGGATCGCATACCTGCTTTGGCTGGGGAGCAATGAAATCCAAGCACAGTGGCATCAAGATGAGCTATTATTGTTTTATTAGCAATATTTATCAGAATTAAATTTCCATCTTCTTTACATTTCATTTTAGAAGACCCTACCCAGCAGCAGCTGCAATTTTCCGTGGTCTTATTGGGTAGATGTATTTATAATGACAGCTGAACTACTGCTAAACATTTAGCTTTTCAAATGAATCAAACGTAGAAAATAAAAGACCATCTCTGTTCCCTACCCGTAATAAATATAAAGAGTTTAACCTCCCTGGACTTAGAAAAATTAATTTTGCTTTTTTAAAAATTTTTTGAGATGGAGTCTCTCTGTCATGTGGGCTGGGTGCAGTGGTGTGATCTCAGCTCACTGCAACCTCTGCCTCCTGGGTTCAAGTGATTCTCCTGCCTCAGCCTCCCGAGTAGCTGAGATTACAGGTGTGCACCACCACACCCAGCTAATTTTTGTATTTTTAGTAGAGACGGGGTTTCCCCATGTTGATCAGGTTGGTCTTGAACTCTCGACCTCGTGATCGACTGCCTCAGCCTCCCAGAGTGCTGGGATTACAGGCATGAGCCACCATGTCAGGCCTTAATTTTACTTTTAAGTTCTAAATTCATTGGAAAATATCCTTTCTAATTTGTCCTAGTAAATCATTGATTCCCAAATGTTGCTTGTAATATTTCTATATGAATATTTTCATGCATTACAGTAAAAGTAATTGATCTTAGGCCCTTGTAGTAAAATTCTATTTGTAAATCAGAATATTAGTATATGCCAAGACTTCTGTCTAGAGCTGATCCAAGTTTTGGTTATGGAAGACTTGTGGAAATGTCCTGCTTTATCTTTAGTCTCCCATTGCCCCTTTCTTTTTAAAACAATGATTATAAATTATTTCTGTTATTAGGAGCCTTAATTAGGGAGCCCTAAGTACCTTTATTCTATTTCCTTTGAGTTCTAGTTGATTGCCAACCAGCCTGGAAGACAGAGGTTTAGAAAGACTGGGCTCTGATGCAGACTGTCCCAGGCTGCAAAAATCCTGCTCACTTTGTTTAAAGATATGAACTGCTTTAGGCTTGAGGTCCTCGAGCAGATTTCTAAGCCTGTAGCCAAATGCTTAAAAAACTGAGTGAGATATGGAATGATTTTAATCTTTCTGAACTGGAAGTTTCCCAGGGTTAGACAAGCTCTTATGCTGAAAACATAGCACAAAGTCCATTGATGACTACTGATATGGTTTGAGTCTGTGTCCCCACCCAAATCTCATGTCAAACTGTAATTCCAGTGTTGGACATGGGGCCTGGTGGGAGGTGATTGGATCATGGGGGTGGATTTCCCCTTTGGTGCTATTCTCATGATAGTGAGTGAGTTATCATGAAATCTGGTTGCTTAAAAGTGTGTAGCTCCTTCCCCTTCATCCCTTCTCCTCCTGCTGCCGCCATGTGAGACGTGTTGGCTTCCTCTTTGCCTTCCGCCATGATTGTAAGTTTCCTGAGGCCTTTCCAGCCATGCTTCCTGTACAGCCTATGGAACCATGAGTCAATTAAACCTTTATTCTTTATAAATTACTCAGTCTCAGGTATTTCTTTATAGCAGTGTGAGAATGGACTAATACAAGTACTTTCTCTAAGATTACCTCCTATGCTGTTTTAGTTAGAAAATTTCCCAATTACACCCTGATTATGGACCACCTAAGGTGGTATTGTCTCTTGGCTGTGATCTTCTCAATAACACCTTGAGATATATCAATGCTTCTTGATTTCTATAGCTTGAGTAGTAGAGATTAATGTGTTCATGTAACATTGGATTTAGCACTTAACCGAATTTAAATAATATAATGACATCAGCCATCAACTTCTCTTCTTAGGGCATTAGTAAAATGAATGTTAATTTTGGGGAAGTTCCTGAGTTTCTTAAAATTAATAAACTTTACGGAAATGAAGGACCAGCAAAGGGTGAGGACTACTCTAAAAAGCTCCTAATTTGTTGGTGGGATACCTTGATCCCATAGGAGAAGTCTTCCTAAAATGAGAATTGGTTCTCCAAAAGCCAGACATAGTTCTGATTGGAGAGGATTCACTTCTGGCCCCAGAGGACATGCCACAGAACTAAGGGAATTCTAGTCTCTGACCAAGAGACCAATTCTTCATGTGGTTTACAACAATTTTTGTTTTATGTGCTAAAGAATAGAAAGCTGAATAAGAAATGATTCTTGCTCTCAATAGTTTTTAAATTTTGTGGAGGCTGCAAGGCACTAATCTTACCCTTGGAAATTTCTTTTGGATACCCAGATAGCCATGACAATGGTGTAATGTATGGGGAAATTTTCCTCTATCATTCAAGTGATGCTTGTTTCTGGGGGGCAGTCAGCTATATATATGGTTATATTCTTAGAATCTGCATGCAAAAAAGATGTCCATTCAAGTAACGAAGACAAATATTTTTAAACTCTGGCCCAAGTCATTCTTCTAGGCCCAGGGTATACTTCACTTTTACTATGAATTCCTCCTCATCCCTCAGCTTCTGTACTTGAGAAGCTTTCAAACACCTTTGTTATAGCACTCATCGGTTATGATTTATGCATACATTTTTTCCATTAGACTCTGAACTCCTCAGGGATAGAGACTATCTATTATTTGTCTTTTAAAATTTTGAACTAGTTTTATTTTGTTGTCAAATACAAACACAGAATTGAATATTTGTAACAAAAAAGTTTGAATTTCTCTCTCGTAATAATTTCTAAGAGGAAACTGTCATTTTTTATTCCTTCTCCAGATGTAATTATTGACAGCTTATTAAGTAAAGTAGCATTTTCTTAGCAGTGACAGGTATGACTTTTGTCTTTTGAGGCTGTCTATAATATTAATATCTTATAATGTGAGCACATGAATCCATAATTGTCCAAATGAAGAGTTCAAGAATAAATTACTTGATTTAGAAAGATTCAGAAGAGCTTGAGTCTCTGGAACTGAAGTCCACCTCAGGTTTACATTTTGCCTCATAATCTTGGCTTTTAGAATGCATTTAATGCGTGAGAATAATTACTGGGTACCAATCACTTCTTTGCTTAGATTATTTTATGTACTTTGTGCATTAGATAGTTTTACTATTAGTTCTATGAGTGAGGTAGCTTTGAGGGATTATGTAATGAGCTTTAGATAATATAGGTGGTAAGTGGTCCTACCACTTTCCTTAAACAAGGAACTGTGCTCCCTTGCCTCCTTTTCTACCCCTGAGCTTCTCTCATCACTCCCTGCACCCTGTCCCCAATTTATTGACCTCAAATATTTTTCTACCTTGTTGCAGACTGAAGTGAAGGTCTTAGCAGATTTTGGGACACATGGAGTGCAGCAGAGGTTATCATCGCACACTGTGTTTATAGCTTCACTCAGCCAGGGTTTTTTGGCAGTTTTCAGGACCATAGAGGCCTCATTTCAACACAGGAGCCAGTGTAAATACACAACAAAGAGACCACACCTGAGGAGGTTTTTCTGTCTATTTTAGTGACCTTGTTTGTGGCTGTGGGCCACTGGCGATCCTTCTCATCAGTCAAATATTAAACTTCTCTTTCCGAAACTTCCCTTAGGCCTGTCTGAAGATTTTTGGTCCCCATGTTTTATGAAGTGATAAAGATTTTGAGCTTTTCAAAGACAAAGCTGGTATGTATTTTTTAGATGACATTGTCATCATGATTACATTTGCCGTGTAAATTAATTTTTATTTTTTTAAAGAGTAAGTTACCACTGAAGTTCCTCTTCTACTTGATAGTTGTCAGAAGACAAGATAAGTGCTTAGGTTTTGACATTCACAATCTATGTGACAGGAGGCTGATCAAAAGTTGGATTTCTGATACCCGATGAAAGCAATACGGTAGGGCTGGGCTAAATCAGATTGAATAAAGATCTTTCCTTCCTGTTTCTACTGCGGCATGAATACTAATAAGTTAATATGTTTTGGGTGCCCACCAAGTACCCATTTTAGAAGACCTTTAAAGAATATAAGAAATGAGTGACAAGATCCATGCACATGAGGAACTTAATTATTAAGAAAAGATTCTAACAAACTCTGGACCATTAACAGTTTGAAGGCATGGTTTTGCTTTTGTAAACTGAATATGAAAAGATGACAGGAAATAAATGGTTGTAATGTGTAATAAGAGTGGTGGTATTTGAAAAGAGGAAAGCTTGGAACATTTTTGGTTTGGTACACCGACAAATGTTGAGGGGCCTAGCAGATTTGCAAAAATTGAGTCTGGAAATTTGGTTCCCAGTGTGTGAACAGTATGGTCTGAGGGTCTGAGATAATTAGCAGAAATTAATCTTAACTTGCTGGCTTTAGTTTCTAAAGAGGCTGCTGACATGACTTGGTGCTATGCAAGACAAAGTTGACATGTAATGCAAGAGACGTTAATTCTATCTGCCAAAACATTAAAAATATGCTTATTAAATAGAAATAAATAATCGCTACATATGTATATAAAATAACCACAATGAATTTTTACAAGTATTGGATATAAATGAAAAAGTGAAAATTTCATACATCCTGCTTAGATATAGATGAAGCTGTTTTGCATGCTTCTCTTTCTTCAGTATTTAATTAGGAGATTTATCTACCTTATTGTGTAACTTGATTTTATATTTTACGTGTAAGAAGGTGAATCAACTTTTCTGTATTGCAACAATCTTCGTTAACATTTTCAACATGTACTTTCACTTTAGCTGATTTATAATTGCAGCTTCACTGCTTTATTGTCGTGTTTTATTCCTAAAACAATGTGTTTCTATATTTAAGGATGATATGGTGCACAAATGTTGTTAAGCATACAAATTGATGGCATAATTTGCCCTTGACCTTGGATCTTGGTGGTTGCTGGGACACTGAGGAGAGAGCTTTTTTTTGGCCATGTGGGAGACTACCAAAGGCATCAATTTTAAAACTAGACTGGAGCAATTACCATTACATTTATGTTAGAGGTTAACATTTGTGTTATTTCCTCTTATTGCCTGGCTTTACAGAATGTTATGCCCCACTGCTTTTATTAAATCCAGGTAATAGAGGAAATAACAGTGTTATTAACCTCTAACACTGATGAAAAATTAGTCTTAAGTAAAACATGGTTTAAAATCAGAGCCATTGAGCCAGTACTTTAGCTGGTTCCCTGACCAAGCACAGAAAGGCTTTGTATACTCATTGTGCCCATATTCATTATGATAAAAGTAAAACAAAGTATAACACGAAATAAATCTCTGGGGGAAAAAGGGATTTGATTTTAATATGTACTGTATTCTTACTAGTAAATGTTATAGTTTACATGACATTATATAAATAAATATTGATCAGGAGAGTACCACTTTTCTATGATTGAAAGAGGAATTCGTTTTGATAACTTGATTACTTTCACAGAAAAGCACTTAGAAATTTAATATATAATCATTGACCTCATCAGAAGTCACTAGTTAGGTGCTTCCAAACACAACTGTTGTTAAGCTGAGGATTACTTTAGAAAATTTCCCTTTTCTTTTCTTGTTTGCATTTAAAACAATAATTTTTCAAAGTGATTTTTGGGATTTAGGCAGAGTTTGCTTCCCTGGTCATACAATGGTTACACATGGTTTTGTTGGGATGTTTATGCTAATTGAGACCACAAAGTTGTGAGTGAATTTATACATTTTAGGCAAATTAGGAAATATAGACTTAGTCAATACAATTAGAATGATAATTTATTGTAGGAAAATAAGATCTTGGTATCATAGTCTATTGATTATGTAGTTTAAATAACCCTAAATGTATTTTGTATGCTTTGATTAATAAATATTGTATTTAAATTTAATTTTAAAGCAACATATTTCTATTAAGCAATGCATATGTGTATCTAAGTAACTCTAAAGGTTTTTCAATTGTCTGATTTTTAAATAAATCTCTCTGCCTAACATTTATTAGTGAATTGCCAAATTATTTAAAGGTATTTTTCTTTTGTGGAATAAAATGTACCTCTTAATATAAGCATATTGGTTTCTAAATTACTCAATATATTTACCATGATTTTGTAAATAATGAAGTAGTAAAAGATTTCCTTTTAATCTATTATTTTAAATATAGAATTAATATAATTGATTAGAATAAATATCAATGAGAGAGAACATTGTATCTTACATATTTATTCAAAGGATGGTGTTGGGTAACACTAGATTTAAGAGCTTTTGTGTGAATTAAATAAAACTGCACATACAGAAGTGTCTTGTAATTATGTTAACAGTAAGTATTATATTATTCTCATGACTTATAGTGGGGAAGATGTATATAAACTTCACAGTATTCATGGCATTCCTATAGTATAAGTTGTTTAATAGAAAATAACAAAGAAAAGTAGGCATTGTACTTCTTAATCTTTAGGTAAATATACATTCCAGTTGCATGAACAGTCCTATGTAAAGGCTCAACAATCCGTTTACTTTTTAAATTAACAACCACTTCAATGGTTAATTGAGTATTTCTAAGCCAATAAATTACCCTTCAACATTACTGACTGGAAGCTTAGTTAGTATCCAAAACAAGCCTGGCATTAATGAACTCATTCTCCAACAAAAGGAAAAGGAAGCATCAAATCTGAACTTTGGATGTGTTCGGTTCCTTATTCTAAACACATTAGTACACTGTATTTTCCCACTTAGAGAAGCTTTTGTACACTGAGCATGTGGCTGTTTAAATGCCCCAGCGGGACATCCAGAGGCTGCAAAAACGGGAAAAATTATTTGGAACAATTTGCTTTCGTTCAAGGGCAACCATTTTACAGCTGGTTTATTGCTATTCTTGTGCTGTTTAAGCTGTCTTTCGTGTCAAAAGTCCTTTCCTGCTTACAGATCATCAGGAAGCATTCTGCTGCGTGCTGTTTGCCTAAGTTCCTCCAGGGCTCCGGGCCTTTGATCACGGATACCATTTGCAATCTGGTTAAAAATAGGAGGCTGCTGAGATAAGCTTGGGTCCTGGCAGTGAGGAAAAGGCCCTTTCCTTTTTTTTTTTTTCTTTTTTTTAAACTTTGTTATTTTGCTTTTTAGCATGGGAACACATAATTGAAGCAAAGAGGAATAGTGCTTAGAAATTATAGCATGCTTAGAGGTGTAAAAAGTTTGTGTGAAAAAAGGTTATTGGTTATTAAAAAGTTCAGTTTTTTGAAACCAGTGTCATTATTGTAGTAAGTTAAAGTTTTGAACATAATGAGTACATTCTTTTCTTTGAGGTTGACAGAAACAATATTTGCTCCCTTACATTTAAAATACACTACTGGTAGCACAGCTTTCAAGCTTGTACTCCTAAGGATGGCATTTAAACCAGAAGCATATATTTTTTTTTTTTTAGTGAGGAAAAATATATTATTGTTGTTAGCAAACCTAATATAAAAGAACAATAATATATTTAATATTGCTATTAGATAACAAGCATTGTAAGGATAAAGTCAGAATAAAAGACTCATATTTTTTATAATTTTTATTGCTTATCATTTTCTAGTGCTTTCTTAAATTTGTCAACTTATTGAAAACAAAAGCATGAAGATATACATGATTTTTAAATTATAGTTTCTCTCAGAATTTTGATTAACATGATTGTATCAATCTTATGATATAGGAGGATGGTGACTTTCATTATTGTTTGCTTAAGCAACAAGTCAAATATACCACAAGCCAGGAAATTAGAGAATTAATTGGAAATGAAACATAACCTAGATGGTAAAATTGGATACTAGAATATCAACATGATACTCAACGTAGAATATTTACTGTGAAATAAAGTGTACTAGAAGGGATCTTGGGAGTTTAATGAATTTTTCTACCAGTGGGCAATATCATTTATTTGTTAATTTACTCAAATAAAGATCTGCGCAAAGCCAAAACCTATGAAGTAAAGCAGAATAAAAGAGTGCCATCCGAGGCTAAAAACATGTTTACTGTATTGCCACATGCATTCTTGGCAGTTTGGGGTCCTGTGTATATTTTGGAGGGGTAAAGAAGAATTAGTCAAAGGAAAGATTGTGGGAATAAATTTGTAGAATGGAGGGTAGGTGAGGGATTAGAGATGAAGGAATCTGTTTATATGGATTTCAGCATGAAAGAGAGTTTAGAAAGAGAGTTCCTGAAGCTGCAATTGATGCAGTTATGCTGGGCTGGAACAACTTGGGATAGGAAGTGTGGTGGGGAGGCAGAGTGGACTGAACTAAGCTGGCTGGAAGTGAAGTCTGGGATGAAGTTTACAGTGCGAGGCAGAATCAGATGATGGAAGAACATGTGCTGTGTACACTGAGTTGTATTAATTGTTATATATATATTTTTAATCAATAGTGTACTAACTTGTGCTGCTGAGTTTACTGAATTCATATTTTTAAAAACTCTAATTTGCCTAACTTTCAAAATAAAGCATCTAAAGCTTATTAAGCATATAGAACAGGAAACTTGGAAAGCTGTTCTTGTGTTTGTGTTTAAATATTACCAAGTATATAATAGCTCACATTCCAGCAGACACAATACTGTGGCTTAGTCAGACCATGTTTTATATTACAAATAGTTTTACGTAAAATGAATGTTCCAATCTATATCTCCAGAATGAAGACAGTCCTCTCTAAAAAGGGCTCCTTCATCCTGAAAGCTAGCTCAGAGGGTTTTTTGAGCTTTGTGTCCTGTTTGTCACTTCTTTGAGTATCTTAACCTGCAGTATAGTTACCCTTGCCACACTACAGTATCATAAAATGGGCATCTTGTATCTCTGTCTCAAGGTGATAATGGAGTTGAAATGTATATCAGGGAAAAGATCAGGATTTCATTGAAAAGATGGAATATACATTTTGCACTAATGTCTGAAAAATCAACTTGCTCATAAGTTATTAAAGGACCACAGGTGCAAGCAGTGCAATTTTTGCAATTCCCTTTCCTGATATATTCTAGCAAGGTCATTTGCCCCTAAGCCTCAGAAGGTTAATTGGATCTCATAAGTGAATGCACCCAATCACTCATGATTTGGGAAATTTTAAAATTGTTGTTATTTAGGCATTAACATTGGAATATCAAATTTGACTTTCTTTTTACTGAGTGGGATTGTTCTAAATTTGCTGGTTTTATGGCTCTTGTAATGAAAATTATTAAAAAAGAACACTAAAGGCCAACTTAAATAAAAACTACCTGTGTTGCTCAAATAAGTTTTTTACCTACATGTCTAGCAAATAGATTTATGGAAATTTAAATCTGCTTTGAGCTCTTTGGGACAAGCGTAATAGCCCTAAATCAAGTATTCAACATGCACCAGAGGTGGTCACTGTGTGGTAATTTTGTTGGTCAATGGAGTGACTCGTACTAACAAGGAAGAAATAGGAAAAGCAGGGGGTCGAGAAGGCGAGGCTGGACACCACTGTGTGATTAAAGTAGAAAGTGTTTTTCTAATACAGTTCTGTGCCTTATTTGTCTGTCTTCCTTTTTTTTTTTTTTTTTTTTTTTTACATCTTTTTGTTCTACAGTTTTGCTTTCTTTTTTCACCTGTTCTCTTTTGCTGAGATGGTAAGTTGCAGGCTCTATTCTGGGTTTAAGTTGATTGTACAAGTAGCAGAGATAATGACATTTTGAATTTGTTAAAAAGCTTTTATCTGAAAATTGACAGGGTATTTTTGTAAAACTAGCAGAAAACATGAGAGGGGCAATGAAAAAATATTTAGCCTTAAGACCCATAGATGTTTCTATTAGATCCATACAACTCAATAGAGAATGTCATGAAAATTCATCCATGAGTGAGAAAACTGGCTGCATGATATCTACCATGTAACTCCACATCAAGAGGGGCATCACCGTTTCATTCACTCTAGGCTCTCATTAAGTTCACTGCACTAGAGTGAGGGACCTGCCTGTGCTCTTAAAAGAAAGGGCAGGGGTCGGATGTGGTGGGTGACACCTATAATCCCAGCACTTTGGGAGGCCAAGGCAGGCGGATCACCTGTGGTTGGGAGTTCAAGACCAGCCTGACCAACATGGAGAAACCCCATCTCTACTAAAAACACAAAATTAGCCAGGCGTGATGGCGCATGCCTATAATCCCAGCTACTTGGGAGGCTGAGGCAGGAGAATCGCTTGAACCCAGGAGGCAGAGGTTGCAGTCAGTCGAGAGTGTACCATTGCACTCCAGCCTGGGCAACAAAAGCAAAACTTCGTCTCAAAACGAAAAAAAAAAAAAAAAGAAGAAAGGATGGTGAGCTTACCTAGATGACAGGTTGATAGGTGCAGCAAACCACCATGGCACATGTATACCTGTGTGACAAGCCTGCACGTTCAGCACATGTACCCCAGAACTTAAAGTTAAAAAAAATGCTCCATGTATCTTTAATGTATTTACCTTGACTAATTTTATAGACTATCTTATCTAAATACACTAGAACTATCAACTCTGTATTTGTTATAGTGTAGTTAATATGTAATATCTCATCCAAAAGTAAACATATTTAATATTTATTTTAAAACTCAACAAACATCATATATAATTTTACTTAATGGAGTAGCATATTATCTTCTCTAATGGCTTATCGATCATGAAAAATTTATTTCAAAGAGGACCATTATACAGATATATCAGGAATTAGTGGTATCTTAGGTGGCATCTTCACAAGGAAGAGACATAAAGATATTTCTTATTATTGCAGCATATCTATACGTTAAAGCATGTTCTCTTAAGGGATCATATCTTTGGCAGAAGAAAAGATATAAAAGGATTCTAAAAGTGGCTACGATATTCAATTCCACAGTACCAGAAGATTAATCTGCCACAATTTCTTTTGCTTTAATCACTATATGTCTTAGGTTTTCTCTTCTTTTTGGGTGCTCCCTTTCTTAATGGTAGTTGAATTCTCAGAGTTTAGCATATTGTACTTCTGGGGGAGTGGAGAGCTCTAGAGAAACTCAAATACTTCTTTTTACAAGATGTATATTTGTTTTATTCATAATTTGTCATGTTCTGGAATACAAAAGGTAATTGTAATGATGGCTGAATTTAACACAAAATTTTTAACTTCAACTTAAAACATGGACTGATTAATCTCATTCAATGGCAATATTCAATGCTTAAAGGAACATAAACACGTACACAATTGTGCAGTTTTCATAAGGGTTTATTTTATAACTGGTGGATAGCACATTTAACAGTTAAATACGTTTAAATAATGTATAGGTGACTACACAATTGCAGCACTGGTAACTAGATAGATAACCAATTCCACTAAAAACCAGCTAATGAGTAACTGTCTAAATATTTAAAAAACAGCTCTCGTTTGGGTCATCTTTCGTTTTGAACACCTTCTTAGGGGGGCAAAAGCCTGCTGGTCACAATGGAAATATATTAAGGCTAAATCTTCTGATATCCATTCTCGGAGGCTACTTTCAGCTGGATTAAGTCTCTGCCTCTAGGGCAAGCACCAATTTGTGGCCTCCAGTATCAGTGCTCTTCCTGTCTACCAGAGCAGACAATGTAAGCTTTATACCAGGCCTCAGAATCTGAGGGTAGCCTGCTCCAGTCAATATAGAGTTGTTGACTTTTGCATTAAACAATTTATTGTAAAGGATGAACAGCCAGATAAAGTGATACATAGGGTGAGGTCTGGAAAAGTCCTGAGCATGGGGGCGTCTGTCCCTGTGGAGTTGGAGTGCGCCACTCTCCCAGTATGTGGATGTGTTCTTGTTCACCTCCCTGGAAGCCCTGAACTGCTCAAATACTTCTAATAAGAAGCGTTACACAGTAGTTTGGGGAGAGATCATTGGATCACCATTGGAAGGTGATCTCCCATTTAGGAGATGAACTTTCATACTGGAAAGGATTGGCCTTTCAGATATTTGATAGAGAGCTACATGAAATATTTATGATGTTCCTGAGACCTAGACCATCGGGGTAGTCACACTATTGAGGATAGGAACACTTCACACAGACTTCTAGATGTGAAACTTTGTATAACTTTGAGGAGGAGGCCCAGAATTTAAAATACCAAGATTTTATGAGTACACAGGCCCTGGGAATTGTAGGTACTCAAGATAGTTCTCTGAGGGAAAAGTCCACCGTGGCATTCATTCTCAAGGAGTCAGATCCCACTAAAAATAGAAACATATCAAACCCCAAAAATCTCAAATGAATCTCAGTCTTAAGGGAAGAGGATTGTGTAGGCAGATTTTCCCAGTGCGGGGAGAAACAGTACATAGAAGCTTTTGAGTCCAGAGCAGTTTTTATTTTTGTTTTTGAAATCCATATGTGACAGGTACTGAGAAAGAGAAATATTTTGGTCTTTGCAAATTTAGGAGACTTTACAATTAAAAATCATAAGATAACAGTCAGAGATAGCTCATGAGGAAATCTGCTACAAATATTCAATGTACAAAATTCCTAAACATTAGGCATTCACAGATATTGGAGAGTTCATATAGGAGAGAAACCTTTTAAATGTGATGAAACTTCATCTAGGACTAAAAGACACATTTGTGCACGTTGGAGCATGTTGCCCCTTCCTCTGAGCAGACATAGCCTTGCACCAGGGCTTCCGGCTTGGTGAGCAGAGGATCACCTCATACTTTCCCCTTGTTCAGTGAATTGCTAGTGCAATCCTATCAGTCGCCCTCATTGTACTGAGTTTCCTGGCAGTTAGCAGGCCTGATGACATTCTACCTGGCTTTGTTAGTATTTTTTGAAAGCCTACTGCATGTATCTTTTGGATTCGTATGCAATATACTAAAGTGATAGATTGGGGTGATTATTTTCACTTTGGAAGTTTATTTGCTTTACAAAAGAGTATAGGATGATTTATTTAAAAAATCATTTCTTCTATGATTTAATTTATGAAAGATTAAGAATGCATCTAATAGTTAAAATAAATTTCACTCTTAAAATTTTTTGTTGTAAGTCAAGCAAAAATTATACAGATGGCGAGTCTTTGCCACATAATTATCTCCCCTAATCAGAATGATTACAATATGGAGTGTCTACTCTTTTTTTCTTAGTTTAAGGAAGTTTCAGACATACTCACACACAAATATTTATGGTAGATTGTATTATTGTTCTAAATTATTTGCTCACTTCTTACCCCTGAGAAGACAATGCATTCTTATGCTGTTGATTTCAGGCTTGGCCTTGGGACCTGCTTAAACCAAGAGATATGCCACATCCGAGCAGTTCTTTTCCTTGTGGCCCCTGCCATGAGAGCAGCGTGTACAAGGTGGATGCTGCTCCATTAGCGTGGATCCTGGGATGAGAAGACTCAGGGAGCAGGCTCTGCCAACCCACAGTCTACAGCAGAGCCACAGCCAGCAGTAGTCCTCATTCAACAGGAGGGGGAAAAAACTGCTCGTCATCCTTAGCTCTGAGATTTGGGGGTTGTTATCACAGAAGATACTGTCTCATAGAAGTTTTTAATATGACTGCTACTACAACAACTATTGCTATAATGTTTACAGCAATCATTGCTACTTTACGTTCCAACAGTATTATTGCTTGCAAGGGGCTATCAAATAGATGATCTTGTTGGAAACTCACAGCTACAAGGGCAGGTGAGGAAGCTGAAGTAATGAGTAGGAGAAGTTAATGAATTATCCCAAGGTCAAAGTGCTAGAAACTAGAAGGAGAGGATTTGAACTCTGATTTTCTTATTTCAAGTTGTTGTTTTTCTGGACCTTAGTTTACTAGTCTCCAATACACTTTACAGATTTCTCAAGGCATCTTAAGTGTAGCATGCTATCTCAATTGTCCATCACTTCACCTATAAAGACTCTGTCTTTTTAGGTACTTCATTATACAATTCCCTCACTGGCATTTCCAAGGCCTTCTAGTAGGCTCAAGGGACAGATGAAAATCCTTAACATGTTTGACACAATTCTGACTTGTCTAAGTTCTGCACATCTCCCAAGCCTCAAATTCCTCCTTAGTTGCCTCCTGGATTGCTCTCTGGCCTCCAGCTATACTAACGTTTCTTGGAAGCCCATGGGGAAGTCATGCCTTTTTCAGCCACAGGACTTTGTGCGTATAATAATTTTTTTCTGCCAAAATGTCACCTCTGTACCCTAAATTCTTACCATGTACCATCCTTGTTCTCCTCACCATCTATTCTGGATCTCTACTCAATAGTCAATGGCTGGGAGACCTCCCCGGACTTTCTGATCAAGTCAGTCCCCATACTTAAAGGGCATTTACCTCTGCCTCAGTGGTGGTTGATGTGGTTCACTTTGTGTAATGTCTCTTTTTCCTTTATTATTCTATTTATAATTGCTTGTTTATTCATTTTGCTCACCCTAGTACCTAGCACACTGCCTGCTACATAGGAAGTATTCCGCAAACATTTCTTAAATCTCTGAATACTCAGATATAATGCTGAACACTAAATATTCAGCTGCAGTGCTGTAGCTGAGCTGTCAGAAATGGGGTAGAAGTGTTTTGAGTTTTGATAAGGAGAGGGATCTGCTTGTTACATGAACTGGAAATAGTGATGAGATGGAAATTTGGTGTGAAGAAGCCAAGAGGTCATTTGTGGTCATTGTAACATCACCAGGTAATGATCAGAGAGGCAATAGAGAGCATCCCTCAGTGGCTGTGTCTACACAAGGCTCACCACTTTGAAGAAGCACATGCCAAGAACTCACATCCCATTAGTGGCTTAAGTTTTTGAACTTTCTTTCCAGTTTTCATAAAAGTTTTGTTTACAGACTTGACCAGCAGTAAAGCTAAGACGTTTGCATGTGTTTTACCAGCCCTATCATTTTAGTAGGCCTTGATTTCTGGAAGATTATTTTTCTCTGCAGATTTTATTCTTTTTTCCCCATTTGTTTTAATAAATAGCATCTTTCAGGCCAAGTAGAAAAGAGGATGAAGTATATCCTGTAAGTCTAAGGATGGCACAATGGCAACCACTGTTATGGAGCACTAACTGCTTTCTGGTATTATTGTTTAGTTATGAGGGCAACCTAGGTTGTTCATGTCTATATTTTCAAATGTCTTTTCATTTTCTATCCTTTTATTTTTAGTAGAGATCTGTTAAGGATTTTCACTCTCTTTCACTGGGCTGCTTTTCAATCTTATTTCACAGATAGCAATATTATATTTCTACTAAAAAAAAAAAACGAACTAAAAACTGTTTGCAAGTTTTCTGACAAATTTAGGCATGTGTGGTGTATTGGACTTAGGCTTTTAAGAATAGTAGGTTAGTTTATGATGACAAAAAGAGAGAAGTGGTACGGGAATAGAAAAAAGTAGCAATTGTTTGCCTTCTAGGATCCAATTTGATAAGATGAGAGTGGCATGAATATAGTATGTGCTGCAATCCAGTGTTTAAGTTAATGATGGACCACATATATGACGATGGTTTCTTAAGATTATAATGGAGCTGAAAAATTCCTATCACTTATTGATGGTGTAGGGATCATAACATCATAGCATTGCACATAACCTTTTCTATGCTTAGATATATTTAGACACACAAATGCTTACCATTATGTTACAATTGCCTACAGTGTTCAGTACGGCAACATGCCATACAGGTTTGTAGCCTAGGAGCAATAGGCTGTACCATCAGATTTTTGTAAGTACACTCTACGATGTTCACACAAGAACAAAATCACTGAATGACATATTTCTTAGAATATATTCCTGTGGCTAAGCAACACATGACAGTAATGATGTGGTCAGGGAGCCACAGACCATGAACAGGAACACCCAAGCAATGGGCTAGCCTGGAAAATATCTCAATGTGAGTTACAGGGAAAGATAAGACCTCATCGCAATGCTGGGGTGACTGCATCAGGATGTGCTCAAATCCCAATATACACAAAAATTTCCCAACCTGGATCCTCCATTTCGGTCTAGAGTACACTCAAGTCATCTCTGATGTAGGTCCTGCTGCATGGCCCAGAGCCCCAAAATTTCTTTAATTGTCTAACGGTTCCCAGTCTTTGGGGAGTTTATGGTCTGGTTAAGAAGACTTAAACTTTTTCTATTAAAAATGACACACAAACTGATATAGTTTGGATATCTGTCCCTCCCAAATCCCATGTTGAATTGTAATCCCCAGTGCTGAAAGTGGGGCCGGGTGGGAGGTGTTTGGGTCATGGGAGAGAATCCCTCATGGCTTGGTCCTATTTTCGTGATAGTGTGTGAGTTCTCGGGAGATCTAGTTGTTAGAAGTGTGTGGCACCTCCCCCTTCACTCTTTCTCTCACTTGTTCCTGCTTTTGCCATGTGATATGCCGGCCCCCTGCTGTGCCTTCTGCCATGACTGTAAGCTACCTTAGACCTTGCTAGAAGCCAAGCCGATGCCAGCACCATACTTCCTGTAAAGCCTGCAGAACCATGAGCCAGTTAAATCTCTTTCTTTATAAATTACCCAGCCACAGGCATTTCTTTATAGCAATGCAAGAATGACCTAATACGCATACCTTCTTTGCTTCCATGATATCTACAAAAGGTTACATCTAGTTAGCTGAATAGTCTAGAAACAATCCTACAGCTGCCAAAATAGTTGATGGCACAGGCTTAGTAATATAAAATAATAAGATTTGCTAATGTTTGCTGTCAATCAGTTGCCATTAGTTCAAGTAAGTTCTTCTGTTTGGTCTCTGAATCAACACAGTAACAAAAGTTGATTCCATGACTCATTCTGTCACCAAGTGGCAATGTCCCTGATCTGTCTTCCCTTTGCTTGGCCATGCCTATTTTCGGATCTTCTGGCAGAAGTCTAATACATATATTCCAACACTTTTAATTTTTTATCTTCTATCTTCAATTTGCTCTATCACTTTTCCTCTTTGATCTTTTCACAGTTCCTTTATCCCTTTATTCTGTTCTCCTTTTCTCTACCATTCTTCGTATAATTTACCCATCTTTGCCATCAGTTTTCTGGTCATCCTCAGCCAGGATGTGAGGGTACCTCCTTACAACATGTTCTTCATTGTAACGTAAAATGTTACAGCAATTCAACAAAATTCATATATTTTTCTTTACTTAAAAATACTTATGACATTTCACTTACTTTTTTATATGGGTAGGTCTGTCCTCTGTGATGTCTTCTCAACTTGCTTAGGAGTTTATCATAGAGATTTTTCCTATGCCTAAAGACCACAGAATCTAGGCCTTTACATGTGGGAATAATAAGAAACAGCTTCTGTGTAACAGCTTCGTTTCTGAATAGGGACCAAAGATGTCCTAGGCTGGAATCCTTATATAATTTTCTTATAAATATAGAAAAATGATAATTTAAATAGGATTTTCATCATTGTAGGTTCTGGGTTTATCTGCAATGCCAGTGCCAAATGGTTTCATTTCTCTATTTTTCTATGTAGCTTCCATTGAATTATTCTGATGTCCTCTGAAAAATCAGAAAAAACCATTTTTCTCTGTTTCTGGCAATGAAGAAGAAAGATTCTTTAGGAATATTTCCTACTGTCCCCTTTTCTCTTTGATACCAAAGGAATGGGATGATTACTTCATTAATTATAATATGGAATTATATAACCAAATAAAATGATTTTATATGATCCAGCAATTTCATTTCTGGGCATATACCTAAATGAAATAAAAGCAGGAATTTAAGGAGATACTCTACATCAATATTCATAACAGCATTTTTCACAACAGCAAAAAGGTGGAAGCAACCCAAGTGTCCATTGAAGGTTGAATGGATATACCAAATGTGGTTTGTACACACAATGGAATATTACTCAGCCTTGAAAAGGAAGAAAATTCTGACACATGCCACAACATGTATGAAACTTGACATTATGCAAAGTGAAATAAGCCCATCATGAAAGGAGAAAAATACTCTATAATTCCACTTATATGAGGTACCTAGAAATCAGATTCATAGCAACAGAAAGTAGATGGTGGTTGCCAAGGCCTGGAGGAAGGGGTGAATAGGAAATTACTGTTTAGTGGGTACAGAGTTTCTGTTGTGCAAGCTGAAAATAGTTCAGTGGTGGTGATGATTGCACAACAATGTGAATGTACTCAATGCCACTGAATGGTACACTTAAAAATGGTTCAAAAAGTAAATGTTATGTTATGCATATTTTATCACCACTAAAACAATAATAATTTTGGATTTTACCTCTAACATGTGAAACTAATTGTAAGTTGCCTACTTTGTGCCAGATGGTGCGCTGGGTACTTTACATACATTATTCCTGATAAATATGATTCTCATTTTATAAGTGAGGAAACAGAAGTACATAGAGGCAGTCAGGCATGGTGGCTCATGTCTAATCCCAGCACTTTGGGAGGTCGAGGTGGGTGTGTCACATGAGGTTAGGAGCTTGAGACCAGCCTGGCCAACATGATGAAACCCCATCTCTACTAAAAATACAAAAATTAGCTGGATGTGGTGCCGCATGCCTGTAATCCCAGCTACTTGGGAGGCTGAGACAGGAGAATCACTTGAACCCGGGAGGCGGAGGTTGCAGTGAGCCGAGATCATGCCACTGCACTCCAGCCTGGGTGACAGAGCAAGACTCCATCTCAAAAAAAAAAAAAAAAAAAAAGAAAAGAAACAAATAGAGGCTAAGATGCTTTCATGAAGTTAAGCAATTCAGCAGCAGAAATGTGATCTGAATTCAGGTCTGTGTAGTCTCTCCATTAACCCACATCTCTGCTCTGCTACTACTCATGGGGAACTCACGTATGTGTGCAGGCATGCACATACATTTCTGTATTTTTCTTTATATGTTTTATTCCCTAGCTTATAATTAATTTTGTTAGTTACTATAAATATGAATGTTGAGGATAACCACTTAATTAATATCACAAAGTTAATCCATGTAATCGCCTTATAGTATGTGGCATGTACCAATTCTCATTGCCAAACGAATCTGTGAGGAAGAACTGCCCAAATACAAACAGCTTTATTGGATGCCTCAGGAAGCAGGGAATTAGAGTGATTGCTTAGGCTTCAGGCTTTGCAATTACAACCTGACATTTTGGTAACAGCAATTTAAAATTTAAGTTCCAAAAAGGCTTAAGACCAAGTCTGTCATTTGACACTTTTTTCCCTCCACATTTTTGGGAAAAGAATGAATTGCTTAGAAATGGATCTTGTGGAACTGCTAGAAATTTTTTCTAAGTGTTTTTGGTCTCTGAAATGAGCTTACTTAATGTGTGTTCATTGTGTAAAAGAAGCAATCTGTCTGGTATAGACAGGAATTGGATCCCCATGGTAAACAAAATTGCCTCAGCCTTGCTGGAGCATGTACTTTCTAAGCAGTGGGCACAGAGACAGTGTAATTGGCTACCTCCTGCTTGTAAGTATAGGTATGTTAAATGTGGGCCTGAGGGGAACCTCCATTTTGGGTTGTAGTTTATTATTAGGTGAGGAAATTACTGGACACCTCCAGCTGCCATTAATCAGCCACAGAGTCAGACTGGAGCCAAGGGAGAAGCCTGTGGGTGGATTCTGCCCAGTGCTGTGGAAATACAAGAAGACGGAGACAAATGTTTTCCAGCCTAGCAGCTCTAAACTCTGCCCTTTCACAGTCCTTAACATGCATGTTCAAATTGATTTAGTCCATTTACCCCCTCAACCTAACCATCTATTTTCCTTGAAGACTGACAGTTTTATGTGTTGCTACCATGTTATTATGTGTTGCTGCTCTGCCGGTAGCTATAGTATTTCAGAAACATTTACTTCCAGACATAAAGGATGAATGAGGAGGGGGGGAATGTAGAGAAAGGGAGGTGAGGTTGAGTCATTTTAATTCCTTTTTTATAGGGTGCAAAACATGCCCATCTTGGCACTGACTTTCTCTCTCCCTCTCGTTTTTTTCTTTATTCCTTTTCTCTGTCAATGATTTCCATGATAAAACCTTGAATAACATTTCCCACTTGAGAAACGCATCTGTCAGGTGATGTCAATGCCTGGCTTACTCCTCTTCCTGTTGGGTTGCAAACATGGCCTTCTCTCATGGTCCTGGAATGCTGACATGGTCGGGCAGCCAGAGCCTAACACAGGTAGGGTCAAGCTGAAAACATGGGCAAGCCCTCCTGTCCTCAGCCTGGCTTTGGAGGGAATGGGAAGAACCTAGACACAATTTATTGTCTTTGCTGTTATGTAAATTCAGAAAAGGGAAATGGTGGAGGTAAAAGCAAGACCCCAAATAGCCTCTTGTCAGCTGCAGGGACGTCAGTCAAGACATTCCAAGTATTTGTCCAATGAGAGATATTTACCTCAGGGTAAGTGGGGATTCAAATCTGACCCCCACCCTCCACATTTTTGGAACTGGATGAAAGTGCCTTATCTGAACATGTAAGAATATTTCTGGCACTGAAGGCCAAAGACTAAAACTCTGAGTTAAAATAAATACTCAGAGATGGAAAGGAAACAGTGAGGTGAAAGGTTTGATCATTTATGAACCTCTGAACTCACTGACTACCATACCCTTGTTTTATTCTATCTGGTTTTCATGTACGAATCTATGCAAAGGCAAACAGAGAGACTCTCCTTTTACTTTTCCTGCTTTTGTGTGGACAAGTAGAAAATGAAAATTCTATTGATTTATGCTACACAAATAAAAATAAAACACATAAAATAAGGCAATTTGAAGTATGTAACCAGATATGAGAATTTTCTGATATTTCCTGTGGATCAGGTCTCAGTTATGCATAGGATCTGATTCTATTGAGTAGTCATGATGATTACCTAGTAATAGAAAAAGGTTTTAAAATAGTACCTTGAGAGCAAATTATTTTATAGTGAAATAGAATCTGAGGAACATTGAGACAGACATGCTTATATGGATATACACACATAAACCTATACATGTAATTTCTTTAAGGAAAAAACTTTATTACTCTAGCATAAATTAAACTTATGGTTCAGGGTTGTAGTCACCCAGTGACTTTCGACATGGGTCCACTTTGGGCTGCTGGAGGTTTCTGGGAGGAGTCCTTGAGTGGGTGTTGAGAGGGTGTTTGTGGTGATCTTTACATCATCATCATTTAGATGACAGTCCTTGTTTTCCCGGCAGTTCTCAGGGTTTGCATGGTTGACTGTCCCTAATCAGAGGTCACCTCAGCGATGCACTGAGATCCTCTGAAGCAGGGCACCCGTATGCCCCTAGGGAAATGAAGCATGTGGCTCCTTCAGCCATTCAGTCTCTGTTTGATGACTGTGGAATGACTGAGAAAGCCTCACAGACATTCACAGGCTTTTCTTCACCCTTGTGCTCAAGCACTGTTGTTGGTTTGGTGCTGGGAGCTTTGATGCAGACTGCCTTGCAAGGTCGAGGGTGGCCAAATGAATTACCCGTATTGCTTTCCGCAACAACTGAATTCTCTTTGATAGGATTCCATGAAAACACCATTTGACAGCACAAACCTCGTTCAGTTTGAAGAGCTGATGGATTGTAAAACTACTATAGGGAATCTTTTCCTCTTACAATGAACTTTAACAGTTACTTAAAATATCTCTTTAAAGGGCATGGGAGCATGTGTCCATAAAGTACTTAGTCGTTTAGAAAGTTACCTTTGTTTCTGGCACTGTAATACAGAAGCTTTCGACACTATTGGCAAGTGGGAGATTGTCTGACTGTTTGTTCTGAATCCAAAATTGGTATATATGTTGTAAAACATTATGACCATCTTTATGGGAACCACAGAACAGTCTGTTTAAAATTGAGAATTTTTCAGAAAATTGGAACTAACGATTGCCACAGTAATAGCTTAAATAATTAATATTTTGGCATCCTTCAGTCATATTTTACCTTTATAAAACTTTTCCCTAGCAAAGTATGATAAAAATTAACCAGTAAAAGCATTTCTATTTGAATTATCTAAGGAATTCTCTCAAGAGTCAGAGAGGAATCTAGATAGAGACAGCACTCGTGATAAAATTGGTTGCCTTAACCTGCCACTTTCTTCATGCTGGCAGAAAGTTAGTAACCCAGTATGGCTTTCTGGTGCAGAAACGAAGCTTGAGAATGATTAGCAAGGTATGAACAACCTGTAATTGAAGACTTAGAAATTTTCTGTATTGTCTTTATCTTTTAAATAAGCATACCTCTTCAACTGTAAACGAAACCTCTCAGTGACAGTTTTTATCTGAATAAAATTCAGTATTTGATAACTGTTTTTAAACATGCAAGTTTTGGTGTACAATAAATAGTGACTGTTGTTTTCCAGCTATGGCCTTGTTATGAAGTATTCCTTAAAAAGACCTGAATCCATAAAGAATATGAGATGGTAATAACTGACCATAGTTTATACTAAATAAGGATTTATGCTTCACAGGGAAGATGAAAAGTAATAAAAGAGGCAGACTAAATCTTATTCCAAAGTGTAAATTGTCATAGTAAATAAAGCTTTTCTTATATTCTTTCTGCCATATCATATTCATGGAAAGGGCCAGTCTTTTGCCTTTTCTCCTTTTCTGTAATTCTGCAGGACACTATTAGATATAATATATTAGATATTTTATATATATATATAAAACTACTACTTTTGACTGAAGGAAAATGGCCCTTGTCGTCCTTTAGGTTCAGTGAATTCAGGGAGCTAATTGTAAGATCAGGGTGTGTACTTTGACCCCCTAAGGGTGAAACCCTTTTAGTTGTACAGCAGTATACTTAATCGTGGTAATACGGCATTACAGCATATAAACAAAAGAACGGGGATCAGGATAAAGAAGCCACGGAGAAAGGACACACAATCACCTGGATACTTAATTCTTTTTAGTTAAATACTTGTGATTGAGTTATGTTTAGACTACAAGAGGAGGCAAATGAGTTTGGAAGACTCAGTACAGACACCCATTACCAGTTTTGCCAAACAGTGTCTGACGTCGCATCAACACACTGGAAGAATACAGGTTACTTTCCAGAATTCTAGAAAATACAATCCAGTTAGAATAAGTAGCAGTGATTTCTTTTAGCTGGTTTGTAATCTTAAATCGTTCTACTCCACATACTTCAACACAGGGGTTGGACAAATACTAGAGCTGGCCACCATCATTTCATCTCATCATTTTGTTCAAACTATAGATAATTTTATTCCATATCCATTTTTATTTTTAATCAGAGCGTACCTGCCTTTCTACTCCCATTAATGGCAAAAGCCACAATTACTTTTGCGCAGACTTCATAGGTATTTATTCTTAGGGTACTTTGGTAAAATTCAGGAGCCTGGAAAGTAAACAGAGCATTTTGTTGTTCGACAAAAGGGAAACAGCAGAAGTGCTATGACAATCGTGTGTCCAAGTTGCCTTGCACTACAGGTGTACATACTGTTCTAGGACATTTAAAAATACAGAGAAAATTTCACCTAGAAATTTGCATTTTGATTTGAACTTCTCCTTGTGGGTGATCATCGAATTTACCCAAGAAATTTAAAATACTACATGGTTTTTCTTAATTATGTCTGTGACTAGACTTTGTTTCTCTCTCCCAATTCTGATATTTTATTATTTTGTGATAAAAGACACTGGATCTAGCTGCTTGCTGTGTAAGGAGCACAATGCCTAAAGAATAAGTAACACTCTCCTTACTCCTGTTCCTATTCTATTTTTTGATGACTGGTGAATTTCATAGAACTTAGCCCCATATATGTTAAAGACAGTTTCAGAAATTTTGTGAACCTTTTAATAAATTATTACCTTGGTGCTCAACTTTGATTTAGTGATCATTATATTAATTAATGCTTTCAAAATTGCTGAGTTTTGGTTAAGTCTAGATTATAACAGCTTGAATTATGACATGTTTTATCTTATATTTTAGTTATCAAAACCATACTGGATAAGCCCTCAGGAAATCTGGCCAGTTTTCATGATAAATTGACTCAGCCTTGTAATGCATAATTCAGTCGCACAGCTGTGTAGTCTGGTGTGTTCTCTGAGGGATGTAGTTTTACTTGTAGGTTTACATCAAGAAAATCTACTCCAAGAAGTTTGATTTATACCCCAGAAACATATAAAAATGTGCATACTGATTTAACATAAATCCAAATTATACACTTTTTAATAAACACTGAATATATTTTTTCTTAAAACTCACATGCCAAGTTTTAAAGAAAGGCAGAAAATTTTGTGAACGTTTTTTCACTTCATTCTAGTAATGGGTCCCTCATTTAGAAAAATCTTGTTTTTTTCTGGTTATAGTTCCAATAAAAATGTTTTTTGGTAGTAATTTAAAATAGGTGTTGAATTTTTTATTATGAAGAGGCTATTGGGCATAGTGGCTAACAGTATGAGTATTGAAATCATAGACTGGAAGTATTCCTTTCCTGTTTTCAAAATTGTTGAATGCCATTAACAATTATATTGCTGTTAACCGATATATGCGAATGTATGCTTTCTTTCATCCCCGTCTGTGATTGAGATAAGGACAACTGGGAAATGTAGAAATCCGCCTAGCATGGATTCAATCCCTAATGAAGTTATAGTCCTGGTTACACTTAGAAAAGGTAGGATTCCATGGACCTTATTAAAATGACACCTCTTAGCCGTGAACAGCTCCAGGCATTTTATAAACTGTTGAAGTCCTGCAGTGATATCGTTTCAATGTAGAGAATATCTCATTACAGTCATTGACATAAAATGTCTCCATCAAACTTTAGCAATGTGTAGTTTTGAAGGTTTTAGGAGGGAGGCAAGAGAGTTTTTCTGAATGTTTGAAAAATAATCGTTTTAGGCAGAATGTTTAGGAAATGAATTTTTACTTTGGTTGTCCTTACCTTTGAGGAAATTCAGAAATTTCAACTTAAGCAGTGGAAGAAATTGAATTTCAGGTGAGCCTTTTTTTTTTTTTTAATTTCTTCTTTTAAAAGACCTAAGCAGTGGAAGAAATTCAATTTCAAGTAAGCATTTTTTTTAACTTCTTCTTTTAAAGGATTGGTGGCATAGACATACCCTTCTTAACCAGATGTTCATTTAAAAGACTGTGTTGAACACAGTGGGAAAGCTAGTTGATATGCCTGTAATCCCAGCACTTTGGGAGGCCAAGGCGAGTGGATCACTTGAGAGGAGTTTGTGACCAGCCTGGCCAACATGGTAAAACCACGTCTCTACTAAAAATACAAAAAAATTAGCCAGGCATGGTGGTGTGCACCTGTAATCCCAGCTACTCCAGAGGCTGAGGTATAAGAATCCCTTGAACCTGGGAGTTGCAGGTTGCAGTGAGCTGAGATCATGCCACTGCACTCCAGCCTGGGTGACAGAGCAAGACCTTGTCTCAAAAAAAAAAATTTCCCAACATTTTACTTCCACTTGAGTGTGATTTTCATGGCCATTGTCATTATTCCTAATTGTCAAAAATATTAAATACAGATGAAGATGAAATTAATACTATATTTTTATTCTTTATTAAAATGTTTAAATGATTATTTGATGGAGATAAATTTATATAACTTAAATGTCAAGTATTCTTTTTATGATTTTATGTACATGCTTACTATTACATAATCAATTTTGTGAATAGGAACAAGGTAAGGTTGTTGTATAAATACCAAGTAATGATTATATTAAATACTTATTTTTTATGCATTTAACAATATTATAAACTGATAGCTGAAATCCGAATATTGTGTGCTTAGATAGTCTTTAAGGGTCACGATACCATTAGAATACAATCTTTGACCTGAACAATATAGCTAAACTTTGACAATACTTCAAAATTTTTAGGCAGTTTAATTTATGGATTCGCGGTTGTTATATTTATCTAGTATGATTTTAAAATATAGATAATTTACTAAAACATATTTGATAATGTAAAGTAAACTCTATTTCAAGCAATTTGGTCTCTACTTTCTGTTCCTCTCAACAGTCTAAGACAGAAGAAAACTGCAGAAGATTGCTACCCGTTCAAGTAGAAAAACTCAAGCTGGAAAATTAGCACAGCTGGAAAGGCTAATGAACTTAGCATTTAAAAATGCTTGTAGAGCCGCCAGATCTACCCCTCAATCCCAGAGGTAGCTGTTTTTGACATAATCAACCCAATCATGAAACTTCAGAACCATTTAAATATCACAGTGGTGAAATAGATTTGTTTGTACCACGACCTTCACAATTTTTCTCACGATTGTCTTTCACCACCCATCATTTGCTCCTGACAAAGTGCCATTTCTTATTTTCTCTTTAAATAGACAAGTGGCAAATTGACCAGCAAGGTAGCTGGCCAGGGTTAGAACTCTGTTATTGAATTCCTATGGTGGGAGTGAAAACAAAAATACTGATGGATACCTATGTTATGCCTACAATTAACAGAGTAAACATCTTAATAGGCATAGAAGACACAAACAGATGTTCTAATTGCATGTCTGTGAGAAACTGATGTTTACTAGTTCCACTCTGGCTTGGCCTTTGAGACCTCAGGAAGTTTCTCTCCCAGTGGGGATTTCAGTGATTTATTGATTTCAGTACAATGAATATTTCAGAGACTCGCAGGATTTTTAAGAGGTTAAATACATCCTTACAAAGGTTAGCATTATTCACGCTTGAAGGGAATGCTTACTCTACTTTAACCAGGGTAGCTATGGCCACATTTGCCACATTCTTGCCTAAGTGGGAGAGAAGATGGATGGGGTAATGGAAGGGACTTTCTAATAGAAATTGTAGAAATAAAACATTGGCACAGAATTTTCTTTTCTTTTCTTTTCTTTTTTTTTTGCCTTGAGCTGAACAAAAAATGAGGGAGGTATAAATAACAGCAAACTCCTAAACATTCCTGGTTGAAACACTGAGTAGTCTTGATCCAAACAGTAAAGATATTTTTTGGCTCATATTTGAAATACTCAGAACCAAATAAAAATAATAATGCTTGGAAACTTGGAAGTTTTTTAAATGCTTAAGAAATGCTTAATTTATCACTCACATTCTGTATTGGTTTTCCAAGTTCATTCTCTTGTAATTATTTGGCTTTTTTTTTTTTTTTCCCAGAAAGCACCTAAAAAGTAATGGATGGGTACTTAGTACTCTTATGCTTTTTTCTTCTTAGTCACACTCATGGATATTGATAAACTGATGTGTTCTCATTGGTATTAATAATGATAATCCTTATCCAAAATGTACTTCATACCAGGTACTGTGTAAGTGCTTTAAACAAATCATCTCAATAAAATAATATCATTATGTAAGAAAAACAGGTATGAAATCATTTACAGACTATTTTGTAATAAACATAGACAGTATTTTATCTTAGCTACTCTTTCAAATTGTGCTCGATTATTGGTTATTTGCAATAAGATTTGGCTAACTTTTTTCTTCTTAAGATTAAAAATAAATAGTAGATAAGAATTTTGTGGTTGGCCAGGCCTCCTGCTTGTGTATTTTATGGCTCTAGGCCAGCACTGTCGAATACAGTAGCTGCTGGCTAGGTACAGCCGTTGAATGCCTGAAGCATAGTTGGTCTGAGTTAAAGATTTAAATATTTTCACTTAGACAATGTTTAAAACAGCATTTAATATTTTTGTATTGATTAGATGTGGAAGTGGTAATATTTGGATATACTGGATTCAATTAAATAGATTATCAATATTAATTTTACCTGCTTTTATTGGGGGAAAGTAGCCCCTATTCAATGCGTGGTACAGGGACAGCTGGCTAGCCATATGTAGAAGAATGAAACTGGACCCCTACATTTCACCATATACAAAAGTTAACTGAAGATGGATTAAAGATTTAGATGTAAGACCTCAAACTATAAGAATCCTAGAAGAAAACCTAGAAAATACCATTCTGCACATTGGCCTTAAGAAAGAATTTATGAGTAAGTCCTCAAAAACAATTGCGACAACAACAAAAAAATTGACAAGTGGGACCTAATTAAACTAAAGAACTTCTGCTCAGCAAAAGAAATGATCAACAGAGTAAACGGACAACCTACAGAATGGGAGAAAATATTTGCAAATTATGCATCTGACAAAGGTCCCTATAAGGAATTTTTACAATTGAACAAGCAAAAAACAAATAACTCTGTTTAAAAATGAGCAAAAGACATGAACAGACACTTCTCTAAAGAAGAATATTAAAAAATTGCTCAATCTCACTAATCATCAGAGAAATGCTAATGAAAACCACAATGAGATACCATGTCACACCAGTCAAAATGGTGATTATTAAAAAGTCAAAAAGCAACAGATGCTTGTGAGCCTGCAGAGAAGGGGAATGCTTACACACTGTTGATGGGAATGTAAATTAGTTCAGCCACTGTGGAAAGCAGTTTGTAGATTTCTGAAAGAACATAAACCAGAATGATCATTCAACCCAGCAATCCTATTATGGAGTTTATATGCAAAAGAAAATACATCATTCTACGAAAAGGGCACATGCACTCGAATGTTCATTGCAGCCCTATTATCAAAAGCAAGGACATGGGATTGAAAACACCTTTGCAAAAATCATAACAAAAAATTATTACAATGAAAGAGATCTTACCTAACCAACCCCATCTTGCTTCTAAGCTCCAAGCTGTCCTTGGCGTAGGCCAAACTAACTTTGGGAGGAAGTTAGTTTATAGTTTAGCTTTGAAACAAAGATGAAAACAGCCCTTTCCCAAAACAAACCCCTTTCCTGCCTGGGGACTAGCCTGCCTTTGCAGGACTAAAAAATTAGCCACAAGATTAGAAATTATGGTTTAGGCGTCATGCAGCTGGAGGCTGCAAAATTCTAAACCTCCTCAGATTGCTCCCGGGGATAACATCACTATGGTAAAACCTAAGATCCCTGCTTAAGATAGTTTGCAGACCCTGCACTGGATGGATCAGCTGGCACCACGCAGATGAATAAACTGGCTCATCTGATCTTGTGGCCTTCGCCCAGGAACTGACTCAGCACAGGACAACTTCGACGCCCTATGATTTCATCTCCGACCCAACCATCAGCATTCCTGACTCACGAGCCCCCTACCCATCAAATTATCCTTAAAAACTCCTAACCCCAAATTCTCCAGGAAACTAATTTGAGTAATAATAATGCCTATCAATGGTGGATTGGATAAAGAAAAGAAATGTGACACAGAGACACACACACACACGTGTGTGTATATATATATATATATATACACACATATATATGGATAAAGAAAAGGAATATATCCATATATATATATATATATATATATATATATATGGATATATATATTGGATAAACAAAAGAAATGTGACACACACATGTGTGTGTGTGTATATATATATACACACATATATATACATGTATGCTATGGAATACTACACAACCATAAAAAAGAATGAAATCATGTCCTTTGAAGCAACATGAATGCAGTTGGAAGCCTTATTCTAAGTGAATTAATGCAGAAACAGAAAACCAAACACTGCATATTCTCACTTATAAGTGGAACTTAAATAATGGATACTCATGGACATAAAAATGGCAATAGTAGACACTGGGGACTACTGGAAGGGGTAGGGAGGGAGAGGGACAAGGGTTGGAAAGCTGTAGGGTACTATGATCAGTACTTGGCTGATGGGATCAATTGTATCCAAACCTCACATCATGAAATTTACCTGGGTAACAAACCTGCATATTTATCCTCTGAATCTAAAAAGTTGAAATTGTTCATTTTTTTACCTGCTTCTTTTTACTTTTTAAAATGTGACTACTCAAAAGTTTAAATTTTCATAACTAGAATTATTTGTTGAGCAGCAATTTCTCAAACCTTGGAACCAGATTGGACACTGACAGCTTAATTTCCTGTTCCACACTTATTATTGCATTTTACTTGCTTTTATTGCAGCAACCATAGAAAATCCAGCTCCACAAAGGTGTGGCATCATAAAAAATGTAGCATAACTTGGAACACAGTTTGGGAACCACAGATATATACTATTAAAAACTCAACAATTTTTAGTTTTGTTACATATGCCGTCTCTCAGTGGAATGATGAATTCTAAGATGTTATCAGAATACATATCTCATTCACTTTTATACTCATTCATCTGTTCAGTCATTCATTTAGCTATTCATATTTAGTTCTAAAATGTGCAAAACATGAGTGCTGTGTGCTGGTGATACAGTGGTGAGAAATGCTGACAAAAATCCCTATCTTGTGGAGTTTGCATTCTAGTATATGGAAACAAAAAAAGAGAGAGAGAAACCTGAAGTGAACAGGAAAACAAGGTAATTGCAAGTCATGATAGGTGCTATGGAAGAGAGATGCCATGGAGCACTGCAGGGGTGGGGTGGGGTGGCCCCTTGGATGGGGGGGCCAGAGAAGTCCTCTGAAATGACGTTTGAATGAACACCAACAAAGGGAATAGTCAACCTGGAAAAGCATCTGAAAAGAGCATTCTGAAAGATTAGCAACAGCAAAGACCTTAAGAATGGAAATAACTTGGGGTGTTTGCACAACAGAAAGAAGACTTCTGTAGTTGAGGAAGGGGAAGCCTGATGTGACAAGCTGTAGAGCTTGGCAGGAGCCTCCGTGTAAGACATTGTATGCTACAATCAGCAGTTTCAGTTTTTATTTTCCAAAAGCAAGGCTTAAGCTACCTAGTGCGATGCTTTTCCTATAACAGGCACCAAGTAAATGTTTGTTGAATTAATGTAGATAGGCAAATAATGGGTGCCTAAAATGAATACAGGATCCAGCTTTTTAAAATAAGTCTTAAGTTTTTTTTTTTCTGATCAATTTAATCTTTTATTCTTTCAGAAATAGGCTTGTTTTATTGCAGGAAAAATAAATGACTAATTATTAATGTCTTCATTTGCAATTAACCACGTTTTTTATATATGAGTTTGTCAGGAGTAGGAAGCTGTGATGGTTAATATTGAATGTCAGCTTGATTGGATTGAGGGATGCAAAGTATTGTTCTTGGGTGTGTCTGTGAGCCTGTTGCCAAAGGAGATTAACATTTGAGTCAGTGGGCTGCAAGAGGGAGACCCACCCTCAATCTGTATGGGCACCATCTAATCAGCTGCCAGCGTGGCTAGGATGAAAGCAAGCAGAGGAACGTGGAAGGACTAGATTGGCTTAGTCTTCCAGCCTACATCTTTCTCCCATGCTGGATGCTTCTGGCCCTCAAACATCACACTCCAAGTTCTTCAGCTTTTGGACTCTTGGACCTTTGACCAAGAATGAAGGCGGCACTGTTGGCTTCCCTTTTGAGGTTTGGGACTCAGACTGGCTTCCTTGCTCCTCAGCTTGCAGATGGCCTATTGTGGGACTTCACCTTGTGATTGTGTGAATCAATACTCCTTCGTAAACCCCCCTTTATATATATATCTATCCTATTAGCTCTGTCCTTCTAGTGAACCCTGACTAATACAGAGGTTCTGTATAGGGACCAACCAAGACTGAAATCTTTGGGGAATTACCTTAATTCAGTGGTAGCTTCCAGGTGTGCTACCAGGCAGGTAATCCAGAGCTCATGAAACAGAAAGACTGTCAGACCAAATAAAGATGCTTGGATAGTGAATTTATTAAATAAATCATAAACATACAGCAATAGCAAGGGTAAAGAGACTGAGTAGACTGACATACTTGGAAGATGGAGCAAGTGGCACGGAAGGCAAGTCCTAAATTATGCCATTTGTACATGCTCAGGATTTTCCTGCTGACAATGTGGCTACAAGAATCAGAGTGAAGGTGTGGTAGCCAGAATAATGGTCCTTGAAATGGCTCACACTTTAATCCTCAGAATCTGAGAATATTGGTGATTCCCTGAGTCAGTGTCTATGCAAATGTCACTTTAAAGAGATCTTCTCTGGCCACCCTATCTCAGCTATCTTACATGGCTAAAGGGATTTTGCAGATGTGATTATGTTAAGGACCTTAGGAGGGGGGTTTTCCTAGATTATCCAGATGGACCTAATCTGATCACACAAGTTCTTAAAAATTGGACAACATTTCCTGGGCTCCAGTCAGAGAGAAATGTGAGGATGGATGGAGAGTCATAAGAATGTGATGCTGCTGCCGTTGAAGATGAAGGAAGATGTCCACCAGCTAAGGAATGTGGGTGGCCTCTAGAGGCTGGAAAAAGCAAGGAAGTGGATTGTCCCCATCAAGCCTCCAGAAAAAAATGCAGCTCAGCTGACATCTTGATCTTTGTCCAGTGAAATTTATGCCAGACTTCTAACCTATAGAAGATAAGTCTGTGTTTTAAGCCACTATGTTTGTGGCAATTTGTTATGGCAGCAATAGGAAAGTAATTCAGAAAGTGAAGCAGCAGGGCTGGGCAGGTGAGAGGGGCTTTAAGCCAACACTTGCTCTGTGAGAGATGCAAGGGCAAGATGCCGGCCATGGCCTGGCCACAGTTGTAGTTCTCTCTGCAGCTATAGCCTTTGCCTGAATTTTGCAAGCAGAGCACATCTGGGGAATGAGTTGGTGGCAGCATCCAAGACACCTTAGCTGTCAATAGCTGTGTCTTATAAATATTTAACATTTGTTTGGTCTTTCCATCATTTTCTACCTAAATTAAAACTCTCATTTGTTTCATTAAAAAAAAACTATATTAAAAATACCATAAATTCCATCTATTCAACCTGTTTTTTTTGTTGTTTTTTTTTTCTTACTCTGTCACCCAGGTTGGAGTGCAGTGGCATGATCTCAGCTCACTGCAACCTCTGCGTCCCGGGTTCAAGCACTTCTCCTGCTTCAGCCTCCCGAGTAGCTGGGACTACAGGCGCCCACTACCACGCCTGACTAATTTTTGTATTTTTAGTAGAGATGGGGTTTCACCATTTTGGCCAGGCTGGTCTCAAACTCCTGACCTCAGGTTATCTTCCCACCTTGGCCTCCCAAAGTGCTGGGATTACAGGCATGAGCCACTGTGCCCGGCCTCAACCTGTTTTTAACATGCTTTACTGACTTACTCTTTGACATTATTGTTAGGGTCTGAATGTTTTATGTTCCCCTATCGCCAAAATTCATATGTTGAAATCTTGATCCCCAAGATGATGGTGTTATGAGGTAGGGCCTTTGGGAGGTGATTAGATCATAGGGGAAGAATCCTTATGAATGGAATTAGTGCTCTTGTATAAGAGGCCCAAGAGAGACCCTTTGCCCCTTCCACCATGTAAGAACCCAGCAAGAAGGCACCCTTTATGAACCAGAAAGTGGGCCCTCGCCAGACTGAATCCACCAACACCTTGATCTTGGACTCCCTAGCTCCAAGATCTGTGAGACCTAATATTTTCTACTGTTTATAAGCCACTCAGTTTATGGTATTTTGTTATAGCACCCCAAATGGGTTAAGACATTTATGATATTTGTACATTTCTTTTTCCCCCCTTGCACACTGTTAGTGGAAATATAGATTGGTGTAGCCACTATAGAAAACAGTATGAAGGTGCCTTAACATTAAAAACAAAACTATCATATGATCTGGCAATCCCACTTCTGAGTCTATATTCAAAGGAAATAAAATCAATATGTCAAAAAGATATCTACACCCGCATATTCATGGCAGCATTATTCACAATAGCCAAGATATAGAAGCAATTAAATGTCCATCCAGAGATGAATGGATACAGAAAAGACCATACAAACACACACAGGAATATTAATTCAACCTTAAAAAAGAAGAAAGTCCTGCCATTTATGACAACGTGGATGAACCTGGAGGACATTATACTAAGTGAGGGAGGCCACGCACAGAAAAACAAATACTAAACTACTTATGTGATGAATCTAAAAGAGTCAAACTAAAAGAAGCAGAGAGTGGAATAATGGTTTCCAGGGGCTGGGATGAGGCAGAAACAGGAGGTACAAAGTTTTAGTTATACAAGATACTAGAGATCTACTGTAACAATAATGTATTGTATACTTGAAAATATGCTAAGAAGATAGATCCTATATTAAGCATTCTTATCATATACACACAAAATTATAATAAATATGAAGGCAAGAATAAATTTTTGGAGGTGATGGATAGGTTTATGGCAGATTGTGGTAATGGTTTCATGGGTCTATACTTATCTCCAAACTCATTGTGTACATTAAATATGTACAGCTTTGTGTATGGTAATAATACCTCAATAAAGTGGTTAGAATAAAGAATCCCACAAAAGGCAATCCTCCACAGGTGTAAATAAGTTGAGTGTGTTCAGTGTGCCCCTTCTGTTGAGTATGTTTAGGGATTCTTGCTTCCTTGATGAACCTCACTTTTGCCATACACCTCCCATGGAACTGAGGAGGATATTTTGAGAATTTTCCAGTACTTCAGGCTGTCTGACAGACTCTCAGTAGATGTGCAAACTTTCCCAGGTGCTGTGAACTGTACATTCTGTTTATAGTCTGAAATTGAAGTACATTATTTGGTTATATCAATGCCTTGGTGAACACAATAATCTATGCGCAAGGACAAATTATAACTGTAAACATTTGTTACACATGTAACATACAGAGAGGTGAAATCAACTTGCACACTTGAATAATCACATATTATGATAATTGTAAGAGAAGTAAAGGTAATTTAAAAAGTATATTTGGCTTTTGTTCAAGTTTTAAATATTAAAAAACCAACCACTAGACCATTATATTTTCAGTGTAATATCAGATCAAGGAGGCTGATAATGGCGTGGCTGTGTCCCCACCCAAATTTCATGTCGAATTGTAATTTCCACAGTTCCCACCTTTCATGGGAGAAACCCAGTGGGAGGTGATGAATTATGGGGGCAGGTCTTTCCTGCACTGTTCTCGTGATAGTGAATAAATCTCATGAGATCAGATGGTTTTAAAAAATGAGTGTTTCCCTGCACAAGCTCTCACTTTGCCAGCTGCCATCCATGTAAGATGTGACTTGCTCCTCCTTGCCTTCCACCATGATTGTGAGGCCTCCCCAGCCATGTGAAACTGTATGTCCATTAAACCTAATTTTCTTCGAGTCTCGTAGATGTCTTTGTCAGCACTGTAAAAATGGACTAATACAGAGGCTGTTGTCTACTTAACTCGTTCAGAAAAATGCAGCTTTTGATAAAATTTTGAACTAAAAATTGGAGATTGGGCTACTTCAATTATTTTTCAAAAACACCACTAATACATGATTGGGTGGTTGGAGATGGTCTGAGAGATGGATTTTTCCTGACATAGAAAATCAGCTAATATTCTCTTGAATCATACCTATGTAGGTGAAGCCAGATTTCTCGTTTAAATAATCTTTGGTTAGTGTGAGGTGCAGCCCATTTCTGAAAGGTTAGGAGTCAGCTTTTGTTAGCTGAGCTTAGTTCATTGATTCCATACTTTCATTTAGAAGTTCCTTTTCTTCTCAATTTGTATTTTAGGAATGAGAAGACCATCCTGGATAACACAGAGAGACCCTGTATCTACCAAAAAAAAAAAAAAAAAAAAAGTATTAGCCAGGCATGGTGGTGCATGCCTGCAGTCTCAGCTACTCTGGAGGCTGAGGAGGAAGGATTGCTTAAGCCCAGGAATTCAAGGCTGCAGTAAACCATGATCTCACCACTGCATTTACGCCTGGGCAACAGAGTAAGACCTTGCCTTTAAAAAAAGGAATGTGAAAACATTATTAATATTTACTTATCTTAGCAAGGTTTTCTATCCTAATGCAGAAGTCAATATTATGTTAGCCTCTCTTCAATTACAAAAGAACTATTAAATAAGCCAAAATTTTCTGAAAGTCAATCTCCACTTAGTAGTTTTCTTAAAGAATTGATTAATGGCTGATATAATAAACCATTTTTCTTTTGGCTGGAAAAATACTGTTAAACCATTCAATTTCATACCAATAAAGCAGTTTTTAGACAAATGTTATAATTGAACTGGATAACTATTAATTTGATTCAGACTTGCTAGGATCAGCCAAGCAACCAGTATTTGCTAGTCTGTTACAATAAAGGCTTAACATTAAATTTTCTGTTCCTGTTGTCACCAGGTTATAATTTCCTCAGAGATCAGTCCTTGAAGAATTAAATAAAAGCCATTTAGCAATTAGTCCATGAAGGTGTTAAAATTGTCTTATAGTTCATTAGTTACACTTTGATGTTGCCAGCTTCTACTAAATAAATCAAGGTTTAGGCAGTAGGGAAGGAAGAATGTTTTAATGGAGACTTTATTGCAACTGGTAATTACAAAAGATGAAGAAAAGTTTAAGCTTATCTAATAATGGTAATAACATAAAGTCTGATATTCAAATGTCATTTAAGCACTTTTCATTAAGAGATGATATGGGAAATAGGAAGGAATACATTGACCCATGGAAAATTAATGATGCGGCATGCACACAGACACATCCCCACTTCTGATAAATGACACTCATCACCAAATACAGTGCACATATGTAGAGACATCATTATTAAGTTAGAGATTAGATACAGCTTTTTTTTTTTGGAGTATGAGTACCTTAATAATAGGCCTCACATTTATAATTCTAAAATCTAGAATTTACAGCTAGCCCTTTCATTTGAAAAATAGTCAGAAAGCTTAACCTTATTTAGGGTCACTGTAGGTCAAGCTGATTTCTGTAGAATTCAAAATAAGGGGCTGCAAATATGGCTCTTACCTTGGGAATGGTGAGGATGACTGCCAGCAGTCCCCATGGCTTTTTCCTCTCACTTTACTTTGAGAGGATTGGGGGAGGTAGGAATCACGGGAGGCTCTGGAGTCTTAGCTGGAGAGTGGAAAGACAGACAAATCAAGTCATAGAACTTCTAAACCCTGCTGTCTCTTGCACTTGTCCTATGCTTCTCGTCCAAGTTGTATGGACTGATTCAATAGCACCTCAAATCATCTTGTGTATGAGAATGGGAAGATTTGGGAGGAGCATAAACTGGGCTTAGCAATAGTTAGTAGTGCTTACTATTGGGAAGTCATTAAGAATAGTGCCTTAGCTATTCAGAGAATTGACAGCTTACCTGCTTTCTTGAAATTGTCTTTGAATTTCTATTTTCAGAAAGAGGAGAAAACAAATATGCCTGCACTATGTATGCCTGCACTATGACAGGACTATTTTTTTTTAAGAAACACCAGATACATAAACTTTGCAGTGGAGGATAAACCATGTTCAAAAAGAAACAAACTCAGAAAGGAAGAGGGAAGGGTCATATGTATAGAATATGAAAGTGGATTTAATCACATGTATATAAAGAATTGTCCAAATGGCTAGCCAGATAAATACGTCTCATATTTTACAGTTCTGGTGTGATGAAAAGATGTTCTTTTACTACCTTGATAATCACACTTATGACACATAAGAAAAAAAATACAAAGTCAACCAAAAATAAATTCCTAGTTTTCAAGTCTGATGGTGAACAGAAATAGCCAGCCTTTGATAAGGTTTCTGATTTAATTATATACTTCCATATATCATAGAAAATATTTTGGTTATCATTGTTCTTCACGGAATTAAAAAGCATTACTAGATGTCTAAAAAGTTGCTACTTTAAAGAACTCTATAAGAACATTTGGGAAAAAGGTTTAGAAACCCAGGCAACTTTACAAATAGATAACTAATAATAATTATCCTAGAATCATGGAAATAAAAGATACTATAAGATCCATCCTTTTGTTTTTGTCCCACCTTTGTCTTCCCAGAACATTTTGTATTCTGTCCTATCAGGTAGTGTTCTTTCCAGGGTAATACATTGCGGTTAAAAAATGTAATAAAATATATATAAAAGCATTTTATATAGATAAATAGGAAGCAATTCACTCTTTAAAGAAAACTTGTAAAACGAGTTGCTAATGCCAAAAGGAGTAGAAAAGCTGTGATTTGTATTAACTCTGTTTGCAGGTTGAGACAGGGCTGGAGTGAGCGTGGAGCATGTTCTTCAACTGCAATTGCCTGTCTTAGGTAACAGGATAATTCTCTTTCCTTAGTGACTGCCTCCATCACATTCACGTGAGCAGCCAGTACATACTGGGGTGAAGGTGGGGGTGAAATAGGGGGATCCTTAGGGTGTCTTCCTTCCAACCCATCTCAGTTGAGCATATTTGTTGTAAAAATCAAAGAAACTCTTCAGTTTTGCAATATAATTCTTTGCCATTTCTGATCATAGTGGAGATTCTTTAGGAAATCTTAATGTCTCCGAAGCTTTCAAATAGAGAAAACAGAGCTCATATGTGTCCTTCACACTGTGGAAACAGGCTGTTTGTTGAACAGTCTTTTATGAGACTTGTCTTATTTTGTAATGTGACATTAGTCATTCTTGACCAATCATCTTGATGTCTCCATTAGGTTCTGAATGACCGGACCCTTCTAGGCACTGTTGTGTATCCAAAGTCTTAATCAGTAGTGTAAGTAATTTCTAAATTAGCAGGCCTTAGAAAACATTAATGTACCAAGCCTTACCTCAGTTTAGGTTTACAAGATATTTTACATTATAAAGCTCATTAACATTACTAATACTTATCTATTTATAACAAAATACTCCATATTACTCACTCTCACTCTACAGACCATATCCACAAGGATGGACATCTGATATCCAATTTGTTACTGTAAACATTTGTCGAACATTTTATTTGACCCCATGTTAAGCCCAGGGATGTAAAGAAAACTAAAACAATAAAGAAGGCAGACATCTATAGGAAAACAAAATAACCAAAGTAAAATAAAGCCCAATTGACTTTAAATATAGGGGTAAGGGGTTCCAGTCATATCATTAGACCTTGAAGTCAATATTATATTTTTAACATAATAGTTTCTGAGGCTATCAGGAAAACTATAATGTTTAAATGCACATTCTGTTTAAGAAGGCATGGAACACAGGTATATACCTATGGAAACATTCATCAAGCTATATACGTAAGATCTGTGTACTTTTGGTATGTAAATTATAACAATTAAAAGAAAGAACATATGAAAGTATAGATTATATCCAGCATCACTAAAAAAAGAGAGGCTCCTTTGGCCAGTCTTTTACCTATTTCACTCACTTATTTGGAATATTTGTTCTGTACAGCTCAGGATTTTTGTGTTCTAATGTGTAGTGTGCATTAGTATAATATTAAATTCTTTATCTCATCATTACTTTTGGTGAATAATTTTACTTCTTATACAGGATTTTTAAGTACCTGCTTATTTTTCTAATGCTTATAATATGCATACAATATAATTTTCATACTATATTAGTATCACATTCTTCAGTCTCATGTGAGAGACTAAATACTATAATTATGAAAAGAACTTCATGTTGTGTCATGATTCGGGGATTTTCTAGAACACTGGGTTAGGCCAGATACATTTTCCACAGTGGTCACAGATCTAGAAGAAATATTCTCATGCCCTGAAGCCCTGGCAGCACCCCAGAACCCCAGACTGTGGGGTTACAGGTCTTTATTCTGAACATTATGAAACTTCCTCCTAAACAATAGATAAATTGATTTTGTGGTCAGAAAGCCTGTGCTTAGATATAAGACAGGCTACAAATGTGAATTTATGCAGTTTGGAGAAGGCATAGAGATAATGTCAACTTTAATTCCTGTTTTTTCCCAAACACAGAGAATAGGCCAAAGGTCATGTGTGGAAATTAAAAAAAAATGGAAAACAGATGTTAGGAAGCTCACTATAGGAATGGAAACACAAGCAGCACTGAAAATTATTTAAAAGCAAAGCAAAACAAACCTTTGCTTAAAAAAAATCTAGAAAGTGATTATCTTATGAAGGTTCTATTTTCATAATGATTTGTTTAACACAGTTTGACTTTTTACTATTTTTCTGAAGTTTAATTTTATATAATCTTTATATATATAAAAGTTTAATTTTATATAATCTCTTCCTTACATCTAGAGACAGAATTTGGGAGCAAAACAAGATTTTAGAATCTGCCCATTATAAATTCCTAAAAAGATGATGCCTGGAGAATAGCCTCTTCTCAAAAACCAAAATACAACCATCATCCTAAAAAGATGATGTCTGGAGAATAGCCTCTTCTCAAGAACCAAAATACAGTCACTTTATCCCTCAAATAATCAAACTTTAACTTAAAAAATGTTTGTCTTTCAGTTGACAGTGGTGTTACTTTTCAAAATGCTTATTATTCTTAAATTTTCATTCCATTAAGACACATTAATACATTTCCTTGACATTAGTAAGAGCCATGCCAATTTATTGTGGTGAAAATAGATAGGTATAATTTCATGTTAGATTATAAAATACACCCTAATGACTCTCAAATGGATTGTCAATTCTTTTGTGCTTAAAGAAGATCTATGTATTTGACATGTTTTGACTTTTTATATATGATCTTCAGCCAAATAAAAGAAGATACTGCAAGATCAATGAAATGTATGGATGATGATCTGAAACTTTATAAACAAACACACAGTGGACCTCTAGACTCTATCTTGAAACTTTTCTCTGTGTTGTGTTTTAAAAATCCAGATAAGATTCATAAAAATGAAAGAAATGTAATATGATTAAGAAGGAATTTCTAAAATTTTAATAAAACCAAAATTAAGAGGAATTATTAAAAATACATATTCCTATTGCTGTTGTAATCTTTGTGTAGGAATGCAGAATAAGCTTACTCAATGTTTTCTTAAATTAAATAGTTATTAATCTTCCAGATATCACCATTTGTTGGAATTCAAGAGTTATGAATGGCCCTCACCATACCAATGCTTTCTGACTGAACTCCTCTCTATGCTAAATGCAAGAGACCCAATAGTTAGGCAGGTATAACTTCACCCCTATTCAGCCTGAAGAAGTTACAGAAGACTGATCGTCGTCCCTCTGCAACCCCTAGGATTAAGGGTTCTCTTATAAAAGGGAGGGGGGAAATGTCAGAGGCATTAGAACCAGAGCAACTCCATTTTGAATAGAGGCTGAGGAAAATAAGGCTGAGACCTGCTGGGCTGCATTTTCAGGAGGCTAAGGCATCCTAAGTCACAGGATGAAATAGGAGGTCCGCACAAGATACAGGTCATAAAGACCTTGCTGATAAAACAAGTTGCAGTAAAGAGGCCAGCTAAAACCTACCCAAACCAAGATGGCAATGAGAGTGTCCTCTGGTTGCCCTTACTACTACACTCCCACCAGTACCATGACAATTTGCAAATGCCATGGCAATGTCAGGAAGTTACCTATATGGTTCAAAAATGGGAGGCACAAATAATCCACCCCTGTTTAGCATATAATCAAGAAATAGCCATAAAAATGGGCAACCAGCAGCCCTTGGGGCTGCTCTGCCTATGGAGTAGCCATTTTTTTATTCCTTTACTTTCCTAATAAACTTGCTTTGGCTTTAAAAAATAAAAATGAAAAATACATATTTCTCAGCTTATCTTTCTATTCAAAACCTCCCACTTATGGCTTTCTTGTGTGTCTATGTATTTGTTTGGTTTAGTATTAACCAATTGACTTAAATGATGACAAAGGAGAGTTGGCATGCATTTGCAGTCGGTGTGTAATTAAGAGGATGTAATTAAGGATTATTGCTGGATGTATTTACATTAGGGATGTAATTAGGAAGAAAGAAGAGTCAGTTCAATAGCCAAGGAATGGATGCCAATATGTGCTTGGAAACTCAGACACTGAAATGTATTTCTTTGTAGGAGGAACTTCCTTGGTCATCCCAGTCATGTGCTGTAAGGGCAATGAAAGCAGTGGAATAAGGAGGAGTCTGGGAGCCACTGTGCCCAGAACCATCAGCCTCAAGCAAATCATCTTCCCTTGTCCTCTTGCTCTCATCTTACCCTTCCAGACAAAATCTATGGTGTACTATTTTTATGTGCGTTCTTATTTCTCATGAGTAGACACATTAACGTGATGAGTTTAACCATAGGTCATTTTGTTTATGAGTCTCTGGTTAAATGTTAATAGCCTGAAGTCAAGTATCAAACAAGAATTTAGAGCTAAAGATCTTGCAAGTTGTACTTACTGCCTATCCAACAACGTTAGGATCCAGCCAATCCTGTTTCTTTATATGTTTTAATGTTATCAAGAGTGAACACTTACTATGCTTTTTAAATGCCAATAACTGTTCTGAGCATCCTGGATATGTTAACTCATTTAATCTTCATGATGTGCACATGAGACAGCTACTATTATTATAATTTCTATTTTAAGGTTGAGGAAACTAAGTCAATAGAGAGGTTAAGTAATTCACCCAAAGTCACATAGCTGGTGAGAGGCAAAGCTAGCTATGACTGCAGAATCTGTGCTGTTAACCACCATACCACCATCTGTGCCTTTTTACAGTTGCTAGATAAATCTTTTGTGATCATCTCTTATCATAAGAAGGGGTAAAAATTATTGGATTGGATGTATGCTGCATTGTTCATATTGCATAGACAGTGATGGAGAGTTTTCTCCAACTGTGTAAGTCTGTTTTTTGTTCTGAATATACAGCTTGCGCCACTACAACATCACTTGACATACTCTCTAATATCACCATGCAGATTCATCGTCATCCTGTCTGTCGTGTGAATAACTCATAGCCTCAAGATTAGCACAATAAAAAGATTCTTAATAAAACAACATGAGATTCTACTCAAAGACTTGAAGGAAGCTGATCTCATGTCCATTAAACTGCTAGTTGGATCTGTTTGAAAAACTTCCAAAGGGTTAGTATATGTGTTTCAGTGCAGTGTAACGAAAATTCAGGACTGGTGGGGGATTTAGTAAAAGTTAAAAGAAAAGAGAAGTTAAAATCTGAAGCAAAGCAGACTTTTCAGAAACAATTTCTTGTTCCTCAGTTATATGGAGCCTTCATATGTAGAGAAAGGTTAACCTTAGATAGAGCTTGCCCTGCATATCAGTAATCTTTATTATTGAGACACAACAACTTTATTTCATAATCATTTTCTTCCGGCCAACCAGCTGTGATTACTCAAGGAAGATTAACTAAAACCTGATGGATTTCAGCCCCTATTCAGCAATGCCAGCCAAATACTATAATTACACAGGATGCAGGCTGAGATAATGTCGACCTTGTACTTAGAGATTGTCCTAGATAAGTTGAACGGTCAGATTTGCAGGTCGGGTTTTTCAATCACTGGGGCTGTATCTGTAAAGGGAAAGAGACAGCAAAAGAGGAAGAAAAGCAAGCAAAAGACCTCTCATCATTTTAGCCATCCTGAAAGAAAGCATTTAATAAAGACAAAGACTTCAACAGATAGGAGTGGGTTCACCAGTGCAGATTTTAGAGGCTGTGTGGAGGATGTATCGTTCCTAAAGTAAATGTAATTTCTGCCCCTCCTGAGTCCATGTATTATGTGGATGGGGCGTGTGGGAGCCTTTCCATTTGGCAGTTTGCACGGCACGCTGCTGATGTTATGAAATTTACATTAAGTTGGAAAAACAGTCTTTGTCATACCTTGTCCTTTTGGAGGAAATGGATTTCCTTAACAAGAGCACCACTTTATTTCCCCTATGAATTCAGATATGGAACACATTGCTGCATGGCGTTCTACCAAATAGAAAGGCTGCTAAGGAAGGGCTTATTATTCTAAAAATTTTAATGACCCAGAAGCAAAATATTTTTGGTCCTTATATTGTAGACATAAATGCTTAAGTTCAGATTTCAAGTGCCAAGACCTCTGAGATATTACTGTTGGAACTCAACCAAAGATGAGGGATGCAGGAGGTATTTGTTAATGGTTAATGAATAATTCCCTAAATCATTTGGTTATTAACTAGTTCAAAATGCCTCACCTCTAGATCTTTGTAATTTTATTAAACTACGCAAAAGTTTCCCTGCTTTAATAAACTTTAAGTTAAATGTGAAAATATTTTACATATATCAAATGTGCTTTCCTTTTAGTTTAATGATTTCTGAAATGCTGCATATTCAGACCTTTGTGCCTTTGCCCATGGTCCTTCTTTTTTAAGGGATAGCTTCGTTCCTACTCATTTTCTCCTAGTGAACTCCTATTCATTTTTCAAAGCCTACATCAGGACAATATGTTTTTGTTATTTTTATTACAATGTTTCTTTTTCTTTCTTCTAGTAATTAATTGCTCCTTCCCCTTTGGGTTCATGGTATAATATTCCTTCCTCCATTATACTGTGTATCACGTTTTATTACTATTATTATTTTTATTAGTTAATTGGCCATTTCTCCAGCTAGAGCTCTTTAAGGACATTGATGGTGGCTTATTTTTCCTTTGATCACTAGCATAAAAGAACCAGGAACATGATAGGCATTTAATAAATGTTTTTTTGAATGCATGAGTGCATAAGTAAATAGTGAAACAGGTTATTCTAAAGAAACAGGTTAGTTTTTAGAATAGCTGCTAAATTTTTGATCTTTCAAAATATCAAAGAAGATTGTGTTTTTAATATGTAAGGCCAATTGTAGACTCGGAAGCTACTGAAAGATGATATTGCTCTTTTTTTTTTTTTTTTTTTTTGAGACGGAGCCTTGCTCTGTCGCCCAGGCTGGAGTGCAGTGGCGCAATCTCGGCTTACTGCAAGCTCTGCCTCCTGGGTGCACGCCATTCCCCTGCCTCAGCCTCCGGAGTAGCTGGGACTACAGGCGCCTGCCACTGCGCCCGGCTAATTTGACATTGCTCTTAAAAGTATGTTAGAACACTTCCTTATTCTTCATGCATCCATAGAGAAAAGGAAAAGTCTTCTTAACTCTCCGGAAGAATTAATCAGAGGAGCATTTCTAACTTCTTTCCACCCACTCACTCACTCTCCTTCCACTGACCATTGAAAATGGGGGAAGAAAAAAGGTACGGTTGGCTCAAGGTTTTCTGGATCCTCCCCAAGTTTCTTTGGCTCTGCTGTTTACCTTCTGGCAGTCGCAACAGAGGAAACCAGCATCTTTAGATGAGTGAGTGCTATGGATTGAATGTGTCCTCTCAAATTATTGTGTTGGAAACTTAATTGCCAATGCAATAGGGTAGGGTCTGATGGGAGGTTTATAGGTGGAAGGGACTAATGCTGCTATAGAAAGGTCTTGAGGGACTGAGTTATATCTCTTCAGCTTTTCTGCCATGTGAAGACATAGAGTTTGTCTCTCCCTTGCTCTTCCTTCTTCTGCTGTGTTAGGATGCAGCAAGGAAACCCTAATCAGATACTGGCATCTAGATCTTGGACTTTGCAGCCCCTAGAACTGTGAAAATACAGTTTTAGTGGCCTGGTGTGGTGGCTGACACCTGTAATACCAGCACTATGGGAGGCCGAGGTGGGCAGATCATGAGGTCAGGAGTTCAAGACCATCCTGGCCAACATGGTGAAACCCTGTCTCTACTAAAAATACAAAAGATTAGCCGGGTGTGGTGGCGGGTGCCTGTATCCCAGCTACTTGGGAGGCTAAAACAGGAGAATTGCTTGAACCCAAGAAGCAGAGGTTGCAGTGAGCCAAGAAGAGGCCATTGCACTCCAGCCTGGGCGACAGAGCAAGACCCTGTCTCAAAAAAAAAAAAAAAAAAAAAAAAGAAAAGAAAAGAAAAGAAAATACAGTTCTGTTCTTTATAAATTACCCAGTGCATGGTATTCTGCTCTAGCAGCACAAAAACAACTAAGGCAATCGGTATTTTCAATGTAGGGTATATTATTAGGCCTGCAGAAGAATGTGGCTTAATCAGTAACCTAAAGCTGTTCATTTTTATTGATAACAAAGGTAATACTTGACCTTAATTTATCTGACTCCTATGTTCATCTTTACTAAGCATCCAATCTCAGGTAGGGGAAAGGAGGCATTAATTATTGTTCCCTACTACTACCAAATAAATCCAAAATAATGTCTCTAGTTGTACATTCCCAGAATATTGTGGAATTACAAAATTTTAGTGAACTCTTACTATGAATACACTGTAATTAATTCAAATTTAATATTTTAAATTACACAGTTGAGGCAGAGATACCAAACAATCTTATTTACTAAAAAAATTATTTGAGAATCACTTAATCGTCAGCCTTTTCAGAGAATGACGTCAGGCACGTAGGACTTGTAGAGGTCTAAACCCTCATCCAGTACAAGTGTTGAATAGAGACCACATTCTGGTTGAAGACACTAAGCCATCTTATTTCAGCCTGAATCTAGTAATCAGAAGCTCACTAACTCTTGATGCCTCCTGCTTGCTAGTTAGATAACTCCAAAGATTAGAGAGTACATTATTTTATTGAGTAATTTTTTTCTTTGTAAATTTTTCTAATTGTACTCTCTGGTGGAATATAAGCAAATCTATTTTATATTTTTTCCACTATAAATCTTTAGATTGTAATGTTATTTCTTTGAAATCAGGGACCATATATCTTTCATATGCATATCCTTTCTCTGCTTAATATTAATATAAAAAACATCTTTTGAGCACTAGGCACTGTGCCTGGTGTTTGTCATAAAAATGAATAAGATATGATTCCTTTCCTCAGGAAGGATATACAAAAAAAGGCTATACAAAGTATATACAAAGAAATGCATACAAGCTGTGGTATAAATTGCTGTAATGGAAGCATGTACAAAATGCTAAAGGAAGCTAAGAGAGCATCTAATATGGCTTAGGAAAAGAGGCTGACCTAGCTATGGAGAAATTTTTTGGGTGAGTCTTAAAAGAGAAATTTTCCTGGCAGAAAAAGAGGGGAAGAATTTTGGAGTCAGTGAGATCAGCATGTCCAAAGGCACAGAGGAAAGAAAGTTGGCAGCACACATAGTAAACATCAGTGTTCAAGGTTGCTGAAGTGAGTGAGTGTGTGGAGGGTGGCAGAAGAGCCCACAAATGAAGGTGCTTAGAACATGAATGGCTTCCTATAACCTGCTAAGGATGTGGGTATTGACTTAAGGAAAGAAAAGCCACTTTAAGATGTAGAATAGGAAAGTGGCTATGTTACATATATTAGAAAAATCACATAAGCAGTAGTACAATGGAAATGTGATGAAATTAAAAGCAGGAAGATCATTTAGAAAGTTCTTGTTTGCTTGTTTGTTTCTCTTTGGATTTTTGCAATCATACAGATGACTGCTGAATAAGGGACAGTGGGAATGGAGATTACAAATAAAAGATGGACACGAAGGATATTTAGCATGTAGAGTATATAGAATTTGTGGTTGGATAAAGGTGGGATGAGGGACAAAAGAGATTTAGGAAATAAAAGAAGTTTGTACAGGTTTGTTTCTTCGGGGTTGTTCAGGTGAAAAAAAGTTCAGAATAATACAAGCACTAAGGCATGAATCTTCGAAGAGAGTTCCAAGACTGATAATATTATAGAATTGGGAACCTCTAATATATGAGTAGTACTTGAACCATAGAAGTGTGCAATGCAAGAATATGCCATGATTAAGACGCTGGGGAACATTGGCACTTCAGAGCCTATTACAAGAGAAGGTCAGCAAAGCAGACTTAGAAGAATTGCTCAGAGAGGTAAGAGGAAAACCAAGAGAAATTAGGGCTATGGAGGCCAAGAATGAAGAGATTTTTCTGGAAGTAGGGAGAAGTCATCACTGTCAGAGGACATCATTTCATGCCTGTGAAATTCCTTGTGGAAAGATACAGGTAAAATTTAAAGAAAAAAAGAGACACCATCTAAAAAGTTTAAAATACCAGTCTAATAGATTGATACAACTTTAAAAGCAATTAATGAAAAGAATAAAAAGATAAAAAGGTCATGTTAAACAAGGACTGATACATTTCTGGTGGATTTCTTGATGAAGTCATTATCGACACTCTTACACAAGAGTGATTTGAGTGAGTTGAAATGGTCAAATAAAGAGCAGAGATGCTGTATTACAGATAGTGGCTGAGCTAGAAGATATTACATCAACGAATATATAAAGACTGTAAAAAGAATTGAGCTCCTTAAGGTCCTTTATTTGTCTATTTTATTTAATATTTTGCCTTTTCTCCTTTTGAAAAAAATTACACCAAACAGATTTTAATACCATACTACATATTAAGATAGGAATATTTGAATCAAATACCCACAGTATATTTCTTTTATGGATATGTTTTAAAAATCTCTTTTCACTGATTCTGGGGAACCAAGTAAAATTTGCCACTGTCTCAGTCATAATAGAGTCAATGTGGCCAACCTTGTTCACTGCCTATGGGAGGATGTATGAAGACCATTATTATTTCCAATCTTGCCCCATGGTTTGCCTGAGCAGCCATCACACCTAAAAGGTTTCCAAGATTTGCTACATATTTATATATGTAGTTTTCCATATTTGCTACATATTTATATACCTTTCTTGAATATAAAATCCATAACATAAAGTGTGTTATTGAACTGAAAGTTCCCAACTGTCTTGTGGAAAGGTATAGGTAAAATTTAAAGAAGAAAAAAAAAAAGACACTATCTAAAAAGTTTAAAATACCAGTCTAATAGATTGATGCAACTTTAAAAGCAATTAATGAAAAGAATAAAAAGATTAAGTGAGAAATATCTATTCTGTATTTATCCAATTATTAGGAAGTGCCTATTAATGGCTTAATAATGGTAATAGAAATTTCTGAAAATTAATTGTTTTTGGAGAAAATGGATTTTTTTTCAAATTACTAAGTAATGCTCAATTTAATGCTCAATTTTTTATTTTGGGCTTTGTCAGTTGGAAAAGAAAAAAGTTAAATTTCCTGGAAATTATGTTTGATAACACAGTAATTTAATTATCTTATCATTGTGCAGACTGATATTCAAGAAAATGATTTGCCATGGTAGATGTTTTGCTGACTTACTCTACAACTCAATTACAGCAGTATTTAAGGGCAAAGAGAAAATGGCTAGAAGTTACATTAATTTCATTGCAACTTTGACTTGTAGTTATTTTCAGTCTGATTTGGTAGGAGTTGGCTGGAGCTGTTTCATGGAAATGATCCTTATTTTTCTTTTGTAACCCTATGACCTCTTCCTTGAAAATAAATCTCTTCATTGACAGGCTCATTCAGAGTTGGTCTCAAATATTTTCCCCATCTCTCAGGTCTTCAGTTGGAAACCTGCCTGCATGGCCCTAGGGAATAACAAGCTTCTAACTGCATTATATGATCACTTCTTTGGAAATATATTTTGGTATCCATAGTTTTGATTTTCTATTAAGCAGTTGATTTTGCCATTAAGTTACGTGTCTATTATGAGTAGATGCTATTTCACTTGGTAGAAAATCCCCAAAGCAGGGCTTCAACAGGATAGGCATTCATTTCTCTGTTATGGAAATGAAATCTGAGGGTACTTATTTCAGGTGCGGATGCCACTGCATGGTGTCAGAGACTAAGGCTCCTTTGGTCTGGCTGCTCCACCACCCTCAGCACATAATTTCTATCCCAAATTTCAAGAAAACTCTTCTTGCTGTTGCCCCTTTGTCAGCATTCCAGCCAGCAAGGGGCAGGAAGGGTAGAGAAAAGGCAGGCCACTCTCACTAAGGACATTTCTAGAAAATGGCACACAATGTTTTCATTTACATTCTATCAGCTAAAACTTAAGCACAGGCCCATACCTGGAAGAAATGGAGTCCGGGAAGTGTAGTCTTGACTCCAGGTGGCCACATACCCAGCTAAGCCTGAGAGTTTTATAACAAAGGGAAGAGGGGAGACTGGATCCTGGAGAAAAAACAGTTATCTCTGCCACAGTTTTCTTCTCCCTGCTCAGCCTGTCACATCATCCCTGCCATTAAATCTCAGTTTCTGGTCTTCCTACTCAACTAAAGCTTTTTTGGATATTAGCCACTCTTTTTCTTCGGCTTTTGGAAAAATGATTTATCTGCTCTTGTCTTTATATACTATATTTGTATTTGTGTTCATCATGTTTTTCTCATCTATTAAATAGTATTCCTTAAGGAAAAAAGTCTTATGTATTCCAAGCCTAGTTGCGGATATGCACCCGAAGGAAATTCAGTAATACCATGACTAAAAGTCACAGGTACATAAATTAGACATACAAATAAATATTAGTACTCTTCTTGCCAGAACAAGGTTTCTTTAGAAATATCATAAAATTGGTCCGGGTGTGGTGGCTCACGCCTGTAATCCCAGCACTTTGGGAGGCCGAGGCAGGTGGATCACCTGAGGTCAGGAGTTCAAGACCAGCTTGACCAATATGGTGAAGCCCTGTCTCTACTAAAAATACAAAAAATTAGCCAGGCATAATGGTGGGCACCTGTAATCCCAGCTACTTGGGAGGCTGAGGCAGGAGGATTGCTTTAACCCGGGAGGTGGAGATTGCAGTGAGCCGAGATCATGCCACTGCTCTCCAGCCTGTGTGACAGAGTGAGACTACATCTAAAAAAAAAAAAAAAAAGGAAAAGAAATATCATAAAATCTATTATGTGTTCCTAGCAGGCTGCTCTGCTCTATTTTAAGTTTTTTTGTCTGATGGACTTCTGAGCTCTGCTGTCTGTCAATGGCACTATGGTTTTCCATTCATGAGTGACGTCTGAACAGTTGTGTCCTGTAGCCTGGAAGGTGAGATCCAAGAGACAAGGTCCTCAGATATAAACCGGAAGAATCCCTGAAAATATCCATTTTCCACAGCAACAATGAAACCAACACTCTGTGACTGAATAGTTCTTTATTCTCTCAGAGTACTAGGAAGAGATGTGAGAATGAGAATAAATATAAATGAATTGGTGCATACTTATTGATTGAGGTTTCCTAAATCAAGCTATGACTGTTTTATGGACAGGTTAAAAGCCAGTGTGTGGTAAACCAGCTTGATAATAATAATAAACAAGCCACTAGATATTCAAGATAAAATACAGGACAGCCAGTTAAATTTGGAGTTAGATAAAGAGTGAATTTTTAAAAATTATATATATGCCCTATGCAATATTTGGGATATATTTACACTCAAAAAGTTTCTATTTTTCTAAAATTCAGATGTAACCATGTTTCCTGTATTTTTATTTGCTAAATGTGATTTATGTTTTACTCTATCCATGGCACTTTGTAAGGCTCTTCTCTCAAAAGGTAGAGAGTATTTCTCTACTCTGCTGAATAGGGGCTGGCCTTAGACTTTCTTTGGCCAATAATATGTGGCCCAAGAAACACTGCAAATTGGGGTACCCAGGGTTAGGTTGCACTAGTAGACCCCCCAAATGAATGAAGTTTCTCAGGTGAGCCTGGATGAGCCTGCAGATGGGCCACTCAGCCAAACCACAGAATCCTGTGAAAGAGTGCATAGCTTTAGTTTTAACCCACTGTATTTTGGTGTAGCTTGCTAGGCAGCAATAGATATCTGATATAATTCTGATTAGAATGAGTATTTTTGAGCTCCTTTGAAATGATGAAGTTATTATAATGTTTATTATAATACTTAGGACGGTGACCTACTGTTTCTGGCGTGATGGCTGGATACTGAATGACTCTTCCAATGCATAATGTATAAATAAGCCTAGATAAAATATTTTAAAATACCATTTTATAAAAGAAACATGTCTGTATTGGCACAAAAAGAAAAATATCAAGAAAGCAAGAATAAAGTGAAAAAACAAAAAACAACCAGGAGGCAGTAGAGCACTGAGGCTAGAACAGATGAGATGAGAGCAAGGGCTGAAAATAGCCAAGATACTGATAAAAAAGAACACATTTTATTTTTTTCTTCTCATGCCTGCTCTCACCATTTATGAAGTACAAGTGAAAACTCACTTACCATGTATCTAAATACTTAAAAATAATACCTGAAACAAGCCCACAGCCTGGTCATGAATCCCACCAAGGATCCCACAGCCCATTCTCCAGGGATGGCCTTAGAAACTCAGAGGCTAAAGGACCGAATCCTTGCCCAAGCCAACCCTTCAATCTGATCTATCAGGTTGATCTTCTGGGGTCAGGCAGGGCAGAAGCTGAGACCAGTCCAGGAATCCTGGCAGTGAATGGACCAGGTCAAAACCAGGCTGGAAACTGAGTAGGACAAGCTCCCAGCTTCATCCTCCCCAGGCTGTTATATAAATGCCCCATGAATCCAAACATCATCCTGAGGATGAGGAGGGAGGGACAGGCAATCTTAGCAGCAATGGATTTGAGTATGGATCATTGAACTGACCGAATATAAATCCTAAATTAACTGAGCACAGACTCAACATATATCTGTTGTCAAACTGGAAGTGACTGAGTTGCTTTGAGGGGACAAGAGTAATTATTTTCTGCTTTATGGTGTTAATAAAACAAGTTAAGGCCGGGCACGGTGGCTCACACCTGTAATCCCAGCACTTTGGAGGCTGAGGTGGGCAGATCACGAGGTCAACAGATTGAGACCATCCTGGCCAACATGGTGAAACCCTGTCTCTACTAAAAAATACAAAAATTAGCTAGGTATGGTGGCACGCGCCTGTAGTCCCAGCTCCTCGGGAGGCTGAGGCAGGAGAATCGCTTAAACCTGGGACACGAAGATTGCAGTGAGCTGAGATCATGCCACTGCACTCCAGCCTGGTGACAGAGCGAGGGTGACAGAGCGAGATTCCGTCTCAAAAAAAAAAAAAAAGTTAAATCAGCTAATATAGTGAGCTAAATGAATCAATGCAAGGAATTACCATAGTGCCTTATCTGTACTAAATACTCAGAGATATTACTATTGCCATTGGTGCAAATCTGGACTCTAAAAAAAACTGAGTTCAATTTATGAAATGAAAGATTGCCATTTAGGTCTATTTCAGTCATATTGTATAAAGTAAACTCACTACAGTTGTGAAAAAGATATATAACAATAATGACTCAGAAATGATACCTTATGCTCGAAATCAAAATAACCAATATTTCTACTATTAAATCCAACATTGATGGTTTAATTTCAAGATAACATCATCCATCACATGTAATTCATTCTATTAGTTTCAATTGTATTATTTTTGCAATTTTTGAATTTAATTCATATGTATGCTATGATTATATAGTTTTACAAGCTGTATTCTCTGATTTAGTTTTTTTCTATATTTAAGTATTACCATTAAATAGTTAACACTAGTGGTCCTTAAAACATGTTCTCCTATAAGGAGGGTTCCTTGCAATTCAAGCATTCAACAAATATATAGTTTATTAAGCAGTATATTATGTAGTGAATACACAGAGGTGAATTAAATAGATGTAGTCCTTTCTCTTATGAGGCAGAGAATTTATGAACAAGATGACAATAGATAAAAATGTAGAACCTAGAAAGAAGTAAGAGGAAAGTAATAAAATCAACAGGGTAGTGCAGTATACTTTTATGAGAGGTTTTTAAGTTCCAAAAATAAATCAATGAATGATAAGAAAAAGAGAATTTTTCTTTCACATTTGTCTTTAGCTCACCTGAATTTTTACTTTTTATGATGCAAAGAAGAGATGCAGTATCATTTTCTTTCCTCCTGTGGGAATAGACTATTATCCCAGGACAATTTTTAGTGAGTTCTCTGTCAAATATAAAGTTTTATAAATATCTGGATCTGGGTTGTGGGTTTAGTTCCATCATTTCAGCAATACCATATTGACTTAAATGCTGTTTATCATAAGGTTTATAATAAGACTCAATTTCTGGTAAGGCCAGTAGCTCACTGGGTTCTGGACAAGAGGAGTCCTTACTTTAGTCTGTGCTTTAGCTGACCCACAGAAGTATTTTGTTTGGATTTGTTCGCATCTTGGTGTTCATAATTTTTTTTTTTTAGCAATCAGTTGAGCAAAAGAGAATTATGAGAGGGATTCATGACAGCTAAAGCCCCTAAGGCTAGAGGATAAAGGGGCTGAAAGCCACATACGTACATGAGGAAAGGAGAAAAATCAGTTTTGTCCTTGATATAGTTTGGATTTGTGTCCCTGCCAAAATCTCATGTTGATTTGGAGGAGGGCCTTGGTGGGAGGTGATTGGATTGTGGGAGTGGACTTCTCCATTGTGGTTCTCATGATAGTGAGTGAGTTCTTATGAGATCTAGTTGTTTGAAAGTGTGTGACACTTCCCTCTTTGTTCTCTCTCTTTCCTGCTCTGCCATGGTAAGACATGCTTGCTTCCCCTTCACCTTCCATCATGATTGTAAGTTTCCTGAGGCCTCTCAGTCATGCATCCTGTTAAAACTATGGAACTGTGAGTCAACTAAATCTCTTTTCTTCATAAATTACCCAGTCTTAGTTCTTTATAGCAGTGTGAGAAAAGACTAATACTGAAAATTGGTACTGGAAGTGGGGCACTGCTATAAAGATACCTGAAAATGTGGAAGTGATTTTGAAACTGGGTAACGGGTAGAGGTTGGAACAGTTTGGAGAACTCAGAAGAAGAGAGGAAGATGTGGGAAAGTTTGGAACTTCCTAGAGACTTGTTGAATGGTTTTGACCAAAATGCTGATAGTGATAAGGACAATGAAGTCCCAGCTGAGGTGGTCTCAGATGGAGATGAGGAAGTTATTGGGAACTGGAGTAAAGGTCACTCTTGCTATGCTTTAGCAAAGAGAGTGGTGGCATTTTGCCCCTGCCATAGACTTCTGTGAAACTTTGAACTTGAAAGAGATGACCTAGGGTATCTGGCAGAAGAAATTTCTAAGCCCCAAAGCATGCAAGATGTGACCTAGCTGTTTTTAAAAGTGTATGCTTGTATGTGTAAGCAAAGAAATGGTCTAAAATTGGAATTTATATTTAAAAGAAAAGCACAGTATAAAAGTTTGGAAAATTTGTTGCCTGGCTATGTGGTAGAAAAGAAGAACCCATTTTCTGGTGAGAAATTCAAGTTGGCTGCAGAAATTTGCATAAGTAAAAAAGAGCTGAATGTTAATAGCCAAGGCAATGGGGAAAATGTCTCCCGGGCATTTCAGAGACCTTCATGGAAGCCCCTCCCATCACAGGCCTGGATGCCCAGGAAGAAACAATGGTTTCCTGGACCAGGCCCAGGGCCCAGCTGCTCTGTTAGCCTTGGAACATGATGCTATGCATTCCAGCTGCTCCAGCTCCAGCCATAGCTAAAAGGGGCCAAGGTACAGCTCTGGCCATGGCTTCAGAGTGTGGAAGTCCCAAGCATTGGTGGCTTTCATTTGGTGTTGGGGTTGTAGATATGCAGAAGGCAAGAGTTGAGATTTGGGAACCTCCATCTAGATTCCAGAGGATCTATGGAAATGCCTGGATGTTCAGGCAGATGTCTGCTGCAGGGGTGCAGACCTCACGGAGAACTTCTGCTAGGGCAGTGCAGAGTGGAAATGTGGGGTTGGAGTCCCCACACAGAGTCCCCACTGGGGCACTGCCTAGTGGAGCTATAAGAAGAAGGCCACCATCCTCCAGACCCCAGAATGGTAGATCCACCGACAGCTTGCACTGTGTGCCTGGAAAAGCTGCAGACACTAAATGCCAACCTGTGAAAGCAGCTGGGGGGGGGCTCTACCATACACAGCCAAAGGGGTGGAGCTGCCCAAGGCCTTGGGAGCTCTCTGCTTGCATCAGCATGCCCTGGATGTGAGACATGAAGTCAAAGGAGATTATTTTGGAGCTTTAAGATTTAATGACTGTACTGCTGGATTTCAGACTTGCATGGGGCCTTTGGCCCTTTATTTTGGCCAATTTCTCCCTTTTGGAATGACAGTATTTTCCCAATGCCTGTACCCCCATTGTATGTTGGAAGTAACTAACTTGTTTTTGATTTTATAGGCTCATAAGCAGAAGGGACTTACTTTGTCTTAGATGAGACTTTGGACTGTGGACTTTTGAGTTAATGCTGAAATGAGTTAAGACTAGGTGACTGTTAAGAAGGGATAATTGTATTTTGCAATGTGTGAAGGACCTGAGATTTGGGAGGGGCCAGGGATGGAATAATATGGTTTGGATTTATGTCTCCACCCAAATCTCATGTCGAATTGGTGGAGCCTGGTGGGAGGTGATTGGATTATGGGGGCAGATTTCCTCCACACTGTTCTCTTAATAGTTAGTGAGTTCTCATGAGATCTGATGGTTTAAAAGTGTGTGGCACTTCCGCTTTTACTCTCTCACCCTCTCTCTCTCTTCTGCTCCACCATGGAAAGATGTGCTTTGCTTCCCCTCTGCATTTTGCTATGATTGTCAGTTTTCTGAGGTCTCTCCAGTCATGAGGAACTTAAGTCAATTAAACCTCTTTTCTTCATAAACTATTATTCTCAGATAGTTCCTTATAGCAGTGTGAGACTAATACAGTCCTAAAACCCACAATGAAGTTTTACTTTGTATTTAAAGTTGTGTGCTCTAAATGAGTCAAAATAGTGTCCAAGAAGACTGGGTGCCCCAACTAGCTGTACTTGTTCCTTCCCATTTGCTTGGGAAGTAGTTTTGGGAGGCATTAGAACTGCCTGTAAAGATTCAAGTTAGAGTTCAGAAAGAAATCTGTTCACCTTGTGAGACAGAGTAAAAGACTCTGATCATTTCTCTAAGATTTGACCTCTAGAATTTTGTTCTAAAATGTATCCACCACTTTTTATAATCAGGTATGGTAAGACACACAGACATGAAAATGAAGAAGTTTATATTCCCAGTTTGCTAGAAACAGGAGGCAGGGCATGCCACACAGGTCCATGTGGGGAAACCCCAGGGTCATTTAAGCAGCAAAGAGAGTGAGGGGAAAGCATGGGAAGAGCCTTTATTGTGGCTTTCTTGGAAAGGATTGGGCAGGGTAGGAGAGCAGCTGAGTAGCTTTGGGACTGGCTGGTTTGAATAATCTCAGCAAACTTCAGGGTATAAGGACTGCCCCTACTTTCCTGGAAACTGGCCCTGAGGGGATATTAGGGCAGGGAGATAGAGAGCTTGTCAGAGGAGGTAGTAGGGTATATGGACTGTGGGTTGGTTGGTTCAAATATGAAAGGCATGGCCTCAGGACAGTAATTAGCTCTGTTTAGGAAGTAGCTAGCCCTGGAAAGGGAAGTCTCTCCAGGATCAGTAAGATCCAAATTTCAGAGCATTATAAATTATAGACAATTAAAAAAACGAAACCACTATAATACAAATCAGTATATCATTTTTTTCTCTCGACAGAACCTGACTGTTAGATTAAAACCATATGTTGCATAATTGTTGTACCTAAAGTGGGCATCAACAGATGATCTTGAAAGTTTGAAACCAAACAAACAATTGATCTTTTCTTGGATGAGTCTGGCCCTCCCCATGAAGCATGCCTCCACCTCAGTCAGGGGAGAGCTGTGAGAATGATTGTGAATGACAAATACAATGGATAATTTTTCAAAATACTTTTCCATAATAAAGTAGTTTTAAGCCATTGATTAAAGTAACAGCTAATGACAGATTACTCATTGCATGTTTATGCCTTTATTTTTTGCTACTGAAGTGCAAGTTAATATGCATGAAGATTGAATCCATGCAAGTAATACACCAGCATATTGACTATCATACTAAATGCAAGTTTAATATGGTACAGATAATTTTGTCTTTGGCATGCTTATAATTCTATCTACCTCTAGGAAACTGATCATTGAGAAATATTACCATAAATTTGGTAATACAACAGAAGATATTAAAGGTCATGATCAGATTCACTTTTTAGAACTACAATCCTACAGCAGAAGTCTGAAAAGTAGACTTAATGGGCCTATCTGGCATGACATCTGTTTTTGTAGATAAAGTTTTATTGGAATACAACCATGCCAGTTTAATTTATGTATTGTATATCTCAGTTTTTATACTACATCAGTAGAATTGAGTAGTTGAAATAGAGACCGCTGGCCTGCAAAGCTTAAAATACTCTCTAGACCTTTATGAAAAAAGTTTGCTGACTCCTACTCTAGAAGATAGACTGAAATGAAGGTGAAAATATCTGAAAATAAAATACAATGAAAATGAATAAAAAAGTTATTGCTATGGTAAGACAAATTATAAATTGAGCTAAGGAAGTAGCAACAGGAATAGAGAGCAATCAGATGATACAGAATTTGGTGACTGACTGGATAGATCATGAAGGCAAGGAGAAAACCAAGATGAGTCTGATGACAGAGTGGAAGTTGGTGCCATTAACTGAGGTAAGAACCATATGATAAACAGTAAATGAGTGTGGATGTATGTATGCATGGCTGTATTTTAAAATAAGGATTGGGTGGTGGCTATGTATAAGAGTACAATGAAAATCATGAAGATTTGGAATAACCATCCTATGTCCAAGTGAGACCTTTGAAAACATGTTTATCTCACTTGGACATAGAATCATGCATTTAAAGCCCAAGTGATGAACCAAGACTCTACTTGAATAGGATATCAATGAGCTCATAATATAAGGCTATTGAATTTGGTTTTTCTTTATTATTGTATTTAAGTATTTTTTTCTTCTTTTTCAAAAACATTTAAAAAATATCAAGGATAAAGAGTAATTCCAGCACTTCTAATAAAAGTAGAAGCACTTTTTTTCTATTCAGTGACGTAAACTTCCAAAAGAAAAAAAAAAAAAGAATCTGGAAGAAAAAGAGCAAATTCAATACAGGGAGTAAGTAGAAGAGAGGAAATAAATATGAAGGCAGAAATCAATTAAACAGGAATAAAGAACAAAAATTAGAGAAATCAAAGAAACTAAAAGTTTGTTCTTGAAAATTTATAAAAACCTAGCTAGACTGTTGAAAAAAAAAGAGAACATAATTTGCAATAATTTGAACATATTAAAGGAGAAAATTTCTGTTTGGGGTGATGAAAACACTTTAGAAATAGGTGTTGGTGATGTTGTACAACATTGCAAATGTAGTTAATGCCACTGAACTGTATACATAAAATGATTAAAAAGTAAATTTTATGTTATATATATTTTACCACAATAAAAAGGTTTTTTAAAAAGAAGAAAATATAATTGAATTACTTTTAGTTAAGTTTAAATAATGGGCATTAGAGCCATAGCTTGGATTTCTGAATGTAATAAAATTCTAAATGAAAAATAATAATTAGATCTTGTTATTGCATTTCCATTTGGCAAGTAATTTTTGTGTTCCTTTTTCAGTGCTAGTGTAGCATCATAGAGTTCCATGGAGACACTCATCATATGAGTGTTAAAGAATAGAAGAAAACGTATAAATGCTACATCTCCTTTTCTTTGTCAGACTCCTTCCCCAGTGGTCTGGCTCTGTTCAGAACTGCCCCAAGTTGACTTGTTAAGCAGGTACCTATTATGAAATGAATTACTGATTCATGTCTTCTTCTCTTCAGGCTTAGAGTCTGCAGTTTTGCACATTTTGATTGTTTGATATATTTACCCATCCACCTATGAATATGAAGAAAATGTTCTTATATTCCTTTACTACCAGTGGAATCAATTAAGATCACTAAATTCATTTCTTTATCTGTGATTAAAAGAGGTAGGCATTTAGAAGGAGCTAGGAAGGGAATTCTCTCACACCAGTGGCCCTCCTAGGAAACCATCAAAATGACGAATATCTGGCCCTGAAAGCTGACATCATAATCACATGTTATGGTTACTTTTTCTGTCTGACAAACACCTTTAATTTAGCAATGTAAGAAAACAACCATTTTGTCATTTTTATGGATTCTGTGGCTCAGGAATTTGGAAGGGGACAGCATTGAAGGCTTGCCTTTCCTCTATAATGTCTGAGTTCTTAGCCAGGAAGATTCAAAGGGTAGTGCTACCTTGAGGACTAGAGGCTAGAATCATCTGAAGGCTCATTCATTCAAATATCTGGTTCCTGGGCAAGGAGAACTCAAAAACCAAGATTGTCAAAAGCAGTGCCTACATTTGGTTTTGCCATGTGGCTTGGCCTACTGATAGTGTGGCAGCCTCAGAGTACATGGTAGCTCAGCACTCCTAGTGCAAGTGCTCCAACTGACAAGTTAGAAGCTTCACTGCTCTTTCTGACCTAGCCTTGGAAGTCATGCAGCTTCTGTTGGTTGCAAATGAGTCATAAGGCCACCCATATTCAAGGAGGGGATTCATAGAACAACACTTTTTGATAAGGGTAGAGAGCATGTCATAAATGAGAATGTGAGATAGGACATATTTTTGCTGCCATTTTGGAAAATTTAGTCTGCCATACTATATGATTTCTAGCTATCTTCCTGTTCAGTTATTCAGTTTCCATAATTCAGTATGACTAAAAACTACTTGAAATAGAATTTGAGCATTCAACCTTCTCCTTCTACTTTCATCTTCATTTCACCCTGGCCTCTATTGCTTTAGTATTCTGTGGTTGTAAGGCTAAGCACTAAGCAAAAGGTCAACTTTTATAATGGTATAGCATTTTGTTTTTTGTGGATGTGTTTATTTTTTATGACTTTCCAGGTCTGGAGAAGGAAATGTACTGTTATGACTATAAAGACATCCTGCTGAATATCCTGATGCTTGGGAAAGTAAAACTCAATATAGAAAAAGCATCACTAATCAAATCTACAAGTAAGATTTACTTTGATGAGGAATTTGATGCTCAAGAAATATTTTCTCCCTTTTATTGTAAATTTATAATCCTGAATTAGATTTCAATGAAAACAGGAGCCATAATAAGCCACTCTTTAAAAATAAATCATGTATTGTTATGATTTTATTTCAGGATGTGAATTTAAGTTGTAAATTAATTCATTCTGCTAATGTTGGTTGTGTACCACTTTCCCTTCAGACACTATGCTAGATAGGGGTCTGCAATGGTGAATGGAACCCAGCATTCTCTAACGGAGCTTCTAGTCTAGCTGACAGGAGGGGTGGGGATGGGTAATGAGAATCATTACATGAGTAAACATGTAAGTTAATATACTGTTCCAAATTGTGGTCAGTAAAGTGAAAAGAAAGGATAGAGTCCAACCAGAGAGAAGAAAAAGAAAAGCTCATTTGTCCCAGCACTTTGGGAGGCCGAGGCTGGTGGATCATGAGGTCAGGAGATCGAGACCATCCTGGCTAACACGGTGAAACCCCGTCTGTACTAAAAATACAAAAAAAATTAGCCGGGAATGGTGGTGGGCGCCTGTAGTCCCAGCTACTCAGGAGGCTGAGGCAGGAGAATGGCGAGAACCCGGGAGGCAGAGCTTGCAGTGAGCCGAGATCGCGCCACTGCACTCCAGCCTGGGGGACAGAGCGAGACTCCATCTCACAAAAATAAAAAAAAAAGAAAAAGAAAAGAAAAGCTCATTTGGATTAAGTGAGTCAGGGAAAAAATATTTGAGAAACTGATATTTAGCTGATACTTGATGGTGATAAATCATAACAAGTTAGATGAATTTATTGTGAAAATTTAGGTAGAGGGAAGAACTTTCTCAGAGGCCCAAAGTCAGGTAAAACTTTGTATTATTTTATTTTATTTCAGGAACTATAAAATGAGAAAAGATTGATGAATATTAAGTAGAAGAGTGAGATGGTCATCTTTGCATTTAAAAAAGATCATTTGCTGTTGCTGTATGGAAAATGAATTGGAGCAGGGTAAGAATGGAGCTGGTTCTTGCTAATGTTTGTGGAGATGGAAAATAACTAGGGAAATAATTTTCTAAGAAGAAGAAATAAAAGACCTTCCAAAATTTCATAATTACTACATAGAATTTGTAATGTAGTACTACTCATTACTACACTCAACCCATAATTAGTATGCTCAACCCATAATCTCACCTGAGGGGTACAAAGGATAGTAAGGGTCTATACTCATACAATATCGCAACTAGAAACTTTCCCATGCAACGTCTTGCATGCCTCTTGAGTTCTTCCCTTTTGCCTCTGCAGGTAACTTTTTCTGGAGAAAGCCCTCCTCTCTTTGATCGTCTGTTGAAATCGTAGCCATCTTTCAAATCCCAATTTTAGTGCTCCCTCCTCCACAAAAGGTTGATTCTTGCTAACCAAATATTTTCTCTTTCTTGACTTTAGCTCTACCGCACTTAATTTTAAATGTTTCTTATGCCATTTTTCTACTGAGTGCAGGCCTGAATTTACCTGTGTAATGCACCATTCCAGATTCCATTCACCATTGTAGACCCAGGGCCTGGCAGTGTCTGAAGGAGAGGTGGTGCACAACAAACATTGGTGAAATGAATTAATTTCCAACTGCAATTCCAGTCCTGAAACATAATCATCAAAGTACATGGGTGGCTTATTATAACTCCTTTTTTTCATAAGTCATTCTTCTATAATCAACTCCCCAGTGTGTGTCTTCAATGGTGTCTTGATAAGTATTTATTAAATTACATTTGACTTTCAATTTAAATGATATTTTAAATTTATTTTGAAGGTGGTTAACTAGGATTTACTCATTTACTTGGATAATATGCACTCTTACTGCCATTCTGAAAGAAACTTTGCATAGATAAAACTATGTTAAAAATAGCACAAACCCATGAAACAAAAGTATTTAAATATTATTTTTCATCCTTAGATATAATCTAGTTAAGTATCAGCTAAATTGGTGCCCTATTGTGAATTTATCATTTTATCACTCTTAATGCCTTTAAACCTGTTTTTATTAAAGTAAGCAGTTCAACCGAGTCATTAGGAGGGATTACATGCAAATGTAGTTATGTAGTGTTGTGTAATGTAACTTGAAGTTTAGGATGAAATCAATACATGTTTAAGAAATTAAAAAAGAATGAACAATCAATTGTACAACAGAAACAATATAAAATATGTTGTATTTAAAGTAAAATAATTTTTTTAATTCAGGAAGTTGTGATCAAATACTTGCTACAAGCGTTTCATATTAGTTCATAAGGAGCTACAGCTAATTGACACATCAATAGAAAAACCTTTTTGATGGTTTGTTCAGTCTAATCTAAGCACCACAAAACTTCCCACAAAAAAACTGCCCTGAAGTCCACTTTGATAAGATTATCAATGAAACTTACAGTATATTTCCAGTTCTCACATTTTCCTTAAAATTTGTTAAGCTTAAGAAAAGAGATAGTGCTCTTATTTATTCAGTGATAAGTAAGCAAACAAATAACAGGCTAATTTAGATCTCTTTAGAATTTCTTTTGTGTAAGTAGTATTTGTAACAAATAGTTGTCCATTTCATAATTTCTAGTTATAACAGTTTTTACCATTCAACTTTGTGATTTTATAATGCCTAAAACATAGCAGTACTCAGTAAGGTATAAAAAGAACCAGTTATTCAGTGGAATGAGGGTTGAAAAAAGCAATGTACTAAGTCACAAGATTCAAATCTCTTCTTGGTTCCCTCACTCGCAGTTATGTAATTGTGAACCATTTTTTCCCCTAATAACATGACTTAGGAAGACTTGTTTTCTTCTTTTGCCAGTAATCATACTGATGGATCAATTAACCATATTGTTTTGTTTTGTCCTCCCTTTCCCCAGATTGCTTCTAAGTATTAAAAAAAAAAAAAATCACAGAATCAGCATTCCACTTGGTAGCTAACAATGGCTTAAAACATGTCAGTGAACTTATTTTTGCTTTAAAATATGGTTATCACTAAGGTTTATTTTTAGCTAGGCTGATTGCAGATTAGCATATTTGGAGAAATGATTAAATATTTTACCTGCTTGCATTGGAAGTACGTAAAGAGAGCTCCTGGATGATATCAGGTGATAGATAATTAGTTTGGCACCTTACCAGAATGAGGTCCAGCTATGAATATTTTATTACTTACTAACAAAAGTGAGCATTCAGCTTTTGGGTCCACTCAGATACCTAAAAAACAGCTATTCTGGCACATTTACAACTTGGTAAGCAAATTTATGCAATTTTAGGTCCCTCTGCTGATTTACCTGGAAAGGCCATTATGTAAGATAATGAATTCAACAGATGAAAATCAGTGAATGCATTTGCACAATGTCACTTTATATTATAAGGAAAGATCTGGCATTTCCTCACTGAGGCATGTCCATCTTCATGTGATCTACATATTAGAGATGTGGCCCCTACTTTGGAATTGAAAAGTTCTCTTGATTAATTTTTCCTTGAATATTGCATATATTTAACTTGGGTATTTTAAAACTGAGTCAAGTGCGTGTATTAGCCAGATATCATCAAATATTCAGGCTAACATGGTAGTTAACGATGCAATACAGAAAATATTTCTTTTTTCCATTATTTGCACTTCAAAAGCTAGATGAATCTCTAATCCAAGCATTTCTTAATTGGGGTGAGGGCTGCAACTGGGGTTGGAGTGAAGAAGGAAAGTGGCAAATAGAGTATCTTTTCTTCTTTTAATGTCTACATTTTCAGGAATGATGACCCAGATTATTCATTTAAATATTCTAATATTCATCAGTAAAAGGGAGTTAACTAAGCAGTTTGTGAGAGGGAGAAAATTGAAAAAAAAAACATAGAAAAGACTAAGAAATAAACTGAAATGAGTCAACTAATAAAATATTCAGAAGAAAAGAACACAACAATTACATCAACAGAAATTGAAAATCACCAAATCCAAGAAGATAATTAAGAGTAGGAACATAGAAGAGATTTGAAACAGACACTTGAAGACCCCCTTGTAAAAGTCTAGAAAGAATAGAGTGAAAGGAAAAGAAAGAATGAGACGAAAAGTTGAAATTTTAAGATGGGTTCAAATTACTTTATTAAAGAGTGGTTTTATTTGCAACATGTGTTGGTGTGACGATCATCCTCTGATAGTCTTAGCCACCTTGTTGATAGAAAAAAAATCAGATTTATAAACACTTGGGTATCTTTTATATTAAGATCATCTCTGAATGGCATTCCTGATTTTATTATTTTCAAATCATTATAAAGTAAACAGTGAGCAGTCAAGGAGACAAACTGGGATTTAAATCTTGGCTTTGACACTTAGCATCTCAAGATACTTACCTTCCTGTGAGTCAGTTTTCTCACCTGAAAAGTATGTATAGTAATATCACCTGTCTCTTAGATTTACTGTGTACTTTATTTTTAATTTTTTTTGAGACAGAGTTTCGCTCTTGTCACCCAGGCTGGAGTACAATGGCAAGATCTCGGCTCACTGCAACCTTTGCCTCCTGGGTTCAAGTGATTCTCCTGCCTCAGCCTCCCCAGTAGCTGGGATTACAGGTGCCTGCCACCACGCCTGGCTAATTTTTTTTGTATTTTTAGTAGAGATGGGGTTTCACCATGTTGGCCAGGCTGGTCTCTAACTCTTGTTCTCAGGTGATCCACCTGCCTCAGCCTCCCAAAGTGCTGGGATTACAGGTGTAAGCCACCGCACCTGGCCTCTGTCGTGTACTTTAAATGCATTAACACATGTGAAGGTCTTGATAACGAGTGCTCTGATATAGTAAGTGTTATCTAGGTCTTAGGATTATTATGTTTGGAGGAAGTCTTACAATACAGTATACATTATTGTTTTCTTCTCTAGAATCGAATAAATTATTTTTTCTTTGTAAGACATCTCAAGGAATTTAGAAGTTGTAAGGTATTTTCTTGATTTTCCATCATGTTCATGTTTTGAACTGAGGGGCGGATGGTTTCAAAAATTGTGTAAATGATAGAGATGATGGGGCAATCATTTTGAGGAGTTTTATTGGACGTAACTAGAACAAAGGAGATGGTTTGGGGTTGTCAGCATACACTCGTCGTCTGGTAAACTCTCCGAGCTCAATTTTCTTTACTTTAAATCTCCTTCTCTTCCTGGTCAGGGAAGAAGCTGGGATTGAGTTTGATTAGAAATTGAAATAAATCTGCTGAAAATGTAAAATTTGTGTTGGTTGATCACATTTCTTCTATAATCAACGTTCCTTGAGGAGTGATACTGGATGATTAGAATTGCTGGTTTATAGAAACAGCTGGTATGGGTTTAACAGTTTAAAACTGCGCTGAGAGCAGAAACCAACCTCACATATGTTTTAGCTTAATCACATATGAGTTAGCTTAATCTCCTGATAGGAGTTCAATTGATTTGGAAAGAGTTAATCAGAATTCACGATGCATTCTTGTTTGCAGCAGTGATTGGCCATAGCACCAACAGACAAAGAGAAGCGCATTACTGAGAAAGTTTGCTATATGCAGTTTTTGTTTCTGGAATTCTACATGTGACTGGCAATAAAAAGGTTTTGCCTTTTTCCCACAACAATAGTAAAAACAGCATGACTGTTTACACTACTGTCTTTGCTACTACCGCTTTTACCCAACCAAGACTAGAACATAATAGCCTTGGTTGGTTAAGTGGATACTATGACAGACTTATGTTAAGTGCATTTAAAATACAATTTCACATAATCCTCACAAAAACTCTGAGGTAGTCACTAACAAGCTAGATTTATAAAATTAACGATCAAAGCTATTAAATTATTAATCCAAGATTATCCCAAAAGTAAGAAATAGAGTTGGGATTTGAACCCAGCCTTGTATGATGACCAAACCATATGCCCTTTCTATTGTACTTGCCCCTTGTTTTGTTCCCACAATTTTCTATTCCAAAGATCTTTATAATTTCCAATGTTGGAATCATTTATAGGCCTGAGTCAGGATGTTTCTAAAAAGCAACACATATAACCTCAGAATAAAATGAATATAATTCGTTTTGTTTGTTTGTTTTGAGACTGAGTCTCACTTTGTTGCCCAGGCTGGAGTCTGGTGGTGTGATCTCAGCTCACTGCAACCTCCACCTCCCAGATTCAAGTGATTCTTGTGCCTCAGCCTCCTGAGTAGCTGGGACTACAGGTGTCTGCCACCACACAGGGCTGATTTTTGTATTTTTAGTAGAGACTGGGTTTCACCAAGTTGGCTAGGCTGGTCTCGAACTTCTGACCTCAGGTGATCCACCCGCCTCGGCCTTCCAAAGTGCTGGGATTACAGGCGGGAGCCACTGTGCCTGGCCCTGAATATACTTATTTTTAAATTTGTTTATATACTAATATAATTGAATGTGTTTAGCCTTATGAAAACTCATTACATTGTCCTTAAGATTCCAAATAAGAAACAATTCTTATTTGTATATGCACAGGGGAAAACTTCTGGATTGGCATCAGCCTAACGATTTCACATTTGGGAACCATCACATGACACCCCAGTGACTTAGTTGCTTCTTGCTCTAGGTTAAATCCTTGTTTTTTATTAGAGGAGTTACTGAAAAAAAGATATGTGTAAACTGACTATGCCTATATTAGACTACACTCTCTCATTTGTTTCTATCATAAGTTGAGAAATGTACTTCTGTGGGAAATAATTTGGCTCTAACTCATAATACACATTATTCTTAAAAAGCCTAGAATCCTTGTGATTTTCATAATAGGAGGTTGATAGGTATGATAAAATTTTTAAAAAATAAAAATCTGGCTAAATTTTAAAAAGGTGAGACAATTTAAACAATAGGTAGCTTACTCTGTTCCAGGTATTGTTCTAAAAACATATACATTGAATTCCCATAGCAATGCTAAAAGGAGGCACTATAATGATTCCCATTTTATAAATGAGGAAACAGAGGCCCAGAGATGTTAAGTAACTTGTTCCAGGTCTTGTAGCTAGCCAGTGAGGGAGCTGCAGTTTGAGTCTAAGCAGCCTAGCTTTAAGACTCCATGCTTTTAATTAACACGCCACACCTTGTGTTTTGTGTGCTTGTTTGCTTGCTTTTCTCTATGCTATGCTGTGCTCTGCCATGTGAGAAAGGGTTAGTAATACTTCTTTATAGTTTTTTTTGAACATATTCTGTTTAGCATCAGCATCTTGATACTATCTTTTTCTATAATGCTATTTCAATTTTAAAAATGTTGCTTTGTGTTACTTTTTATTTTAAATATTACATAGGGCCATTTATCCTTCTTTTTCTATTCATTACCCACTCCTCATAAATTATTGATTGATAATAAATATTGAATGGGAAAGTCACCCCTAATGTGGAGATAAAACAGGGGAATACAGAAAAGGACTTTGAATATTCTACTCTCATTGGCAAAACTTTCTCTACTGTGAGTTAGATATCTCACAGCATCTTCCCCTGTTGTTATTTAGTGTTGGATTTTAGAACTGTCTTTGTTTTGATTTGATGATGGTCACTTGTCATTTTCTGGCTTTCCATTTAGGAAGGTCAGGTCAGGTTATGTTGCTCTCTGCCTAGAGAAAGAGGATGCTGTATAGACATTGAGGTATTCCAGTTCATGTTGCAGTTACTTATCATTATAAATTAATTAAAACCTACCTGGTTATGATATGAATTTCCAAGTAGATGTGACTAATAACAAAAATAATAATAGTAACCAACTCATGGGTTCTTGTGAGAACAGAATGAGCTAATCTGTATGAAGCACTAGAGCAGTATGCAACATAGTGAGCTCTCAATAAATGGTGGCTGTCGTTATTATCACTACTGTTGTTTTGGGAAGTGGTGCTGATCCAGTGACCGATTATGTTGTCGCCTATGACAGCTTTTCAAAAATTTTAACAATGAAATAGATACCTTGGAATTCTGGATTAAATATACATACATACATATATGTATATTTAAAAATAGCACTTAATTTTCATAATAGCATATAAGCTTATGCTCCACATAGGTTAATGAAGACTTGTTAAGAACTGAGCATTGCCATTACAGGCCATTTAATAACAGTGAGGGAAGTGATAACAAACTCGTATGAACAATAAACACAGCATGAAAGCATATATAATTAAATTCTCTATGGTATGGTCTAAGTATTGTGTGGTGTTCAGAACAGAAAAAGCTCAGCTAAGGTTGAAGTATTCAGAAAGAATTTAGTCATGGAAGTGCTGGGACATGAGATTTCCTTTAAAGAAAAGGGTCTGTCTAGTAGAGAAGGAAAAATATAAGCATACATCTCTACGCAGAAATAAGCACGGTATACTTGTGGAATAACTAGTAAATTATCATTGCTCTGTATGCCTTTCTTATCGCTTATCATAGGGACTGAGCAAAACTTTTTCCCAGGAATGAGAACAAAATAATTTTAAAACAAATCCCAGATCATTGTTTCTGTCAAAGTCAATGTTACTTTCTAAGTAAATGCTGAAGCTAGTGGCTTTATAATGATATTTCTACAGACTTGACTTATTTAAATAATCTCATGGCTATTAAATTACTACATTGGATCTGGCAGATGAAAGTATCTGTGTTTTGCTTTACAAACTTGTTCATATCAAAAACTGCCTCTTCAAAAAAGGATAATGACCTTAGGGTGTAGTGATCATGTCATCCCATTCTAAATAGATCTGTGTTTCTCACTTATAAATTGGAAGAGCAGGGTGGTAAACCTGACTGCAGAATAAGTCATATTTCATTCGGAAATATCCAGGCTGGCATTCATTTGAGGACAGGAAAGAAAACACAGAGAAACATTCACAAATGAGAAGAAAGATTACAAAGGGTACAGTAGGTTGGTAAAGATAGATAGACACCTTTCTTTCTCTCTCCCCTCCTCTTCTTCCTCCTCGCCACCTCCTCTCCTTCCCTCTTAACTTTCTTCTTTGTGTCTAATATGAGTTAGTATTACTTACACACATACCAGCTTTATTGTCAGATGTTAATGCCCACAAAACATTCCCTACGTAGATATGAGAATTCCTCAGGTTGTGCCTTAATCTGTGCTCAAAAACAAACTCCCAGCCTGCTCTGCTTCTGCGTCTTGCCTTGCTGTTTTTTAGGGAGAAGACTATTCCCACTTGTGAATCTGGCATTTTTCTTGGAAAGCTGTCTTCCATCATTAGTCACCAGAGTGATCACCACCTTGATCTTGGAGAAAGAAACATTGCTATCCATTGGGATAGTCCCGTTTTCTGTAATTTCCCACACAATGAGACCAGCTGTAATTTTTAACAGGGTTTATGGAAGGTTAAGGAATAATGGACAGAAGCTACATCAGGAGCATTACTCACAGCTATTGGCCAGGCTCAGATCCATGTCTTGCTAACCACACTGTCTCCCTGTAACACTGTCTCCCATACAGGAGTGCTACCACACTGTCTCCTGTATGGTAGGTGAGAAGCGCTGCTCACCTCCCATATCTGAGACTATTTCGACTGTCTATAGGCCAAACTAGTTTAAGTTCTTTTTCAGTTTAAGATTTGCTGCTTAGATCTTCATTTTCTGTCATAAGATTGATATCTTTCCAGGATTTTTGACAACAGGAATTTCATTCTCTTATATTGATAGGTCTTCCTTTGGGGTGAGGGTATGTATCTGGGATAGTTGTAGGAACCTCATCCCACTCAAGGAAACATGCTCTGCCTTTCTGCTTCTTATAAGGCAACCTTGCAGTAGTCCAAGACTACGATGTTTTTGAGTTACCTGGTCTAATAAAAACCACAGGTGGCAAATAATTGTGTCCAGGTTAGCCCACACTAAGCTGAGTCCAGTCTCTCTTCCATCAGCCCTTTCCAAAGATTAAAACAATCTTGGTGTCTAGACTCAGGTTACTTGATACATATATTCATATATTTTATTTTTTTATATTTATTTTATTATTATTATTTTTAATAGAAACAGGGTTTTATCGTGTTGCCCAGGCTGGTCTCAAACTCCTGAGATCTGCCTGCCTCAGCCTCCCAAAGTGCTGGGATTATGAGCATGAGCCACCGTACCAGGCCTATATTTGTATATTTTAAATAATTAATTAATCTAGTTTTAATTGAAAAGTAAAGATTGTATATATTTATTGTGTACAACATGTTTTGAAATATGTATGCATTGTGAAATGATTACTAGAGCTAAGTAACATATGCATTACCTCACATAATTGTCATTTTTTGTGATAATCAAATCTTTCAGCAATTCTTCAGAATACAATACATTGTTACTAACTACAGTCATCATGTTGTATGATGTATCTCTTAAACTTATTCCTCCTATCTAACAAACTTTGTATTCTTTGACTAACATCTGCCCATCTCCCCCCTCCCCCAACCTCTGGTAACTGCCATTCTACTCTCTTCCTACAAAATACACTTTTTAATTTTAATTTAATTTTATTCTATTTTGAGACAGGGTCTCACTCTGTCACTGAGACTGAAGCAAGTGGTGCGATCTAAGCTCACTGCAGCCTTGACCTCCTGTGCTCAGGTGATCCTTCCCCTTCAGCCTCCGTGTAGCTGAGATTACAGGTGCATGCCACCACATTTGGCTTGAAAATTTTTTTTTTCATGGGGTTTTCTTACAGATGGGGTTTTGCCATGTTGCCCAGGCTGGTCTCAATCTCCTAGGCTCAAGTCATCCTCCTCTCTTGGCCTCCCAAAGTGCTGAGATTACAGGTGTGAGCCACTGCACTTGGCCTGGTTTGATTCCACATTTTCTTACTATGATAGAATACTGCACACTGGGAAATTTATAAACAATAGAAGCTTATTTGGTTCATGATTCTGCAGGCTGGAAAGTTCAGGATCGAGGGGCTGAATCTGGTGAAGGA